>NC_000007.14:5240242-7740242 GCF_000001405.40 Homo sapiens
TGTTTCTCTGGACCCTAACGCTGCGAGACACAGACGGATAGACCATCAGGACCTCAGGAGCCGCCTGAGTCTCCTCCCAACCCCGAGCTCTGAGGAGGGTGGATGGTTTTCTTCACGGCCACTAGGTGGTGGAAGTCTCCCAACTGTGCAGACATCTGCGGGGCTGGTGGGTTGGCGAGCTGTGGGGGAGGGTGCCCTGGTCAGACTGTGTCCTTGGGGGCTGGGCGGTCGCACCCGGGAGCTTCGCCAATGTGCTAGTTTGAATGAACTCCCAATGCAAAAATGGCAAACAGAGGCCGTGGAGAAACCTGGCTTCCTCCGACAATGGGAATTTCACTCTGTTCTCGTTACCGCCTGTGGATGAATGTGGGTCTCGGAGGGCGCCTCTCCCTCCGGGGAGAGGGTGACCTTGCCACAGTGGGACTCCATTCCAGCGGCAGCTCCCTCCCCTGTCTGTAGCCCCACGGCCTCCTGGCCGCCTGCCTTCTTATTGGCCACCCCTCCCCTCTCAACGACCTGTTTCCTAATCATGCCATTCCCCCGCGGGAGAGCCGATTCATCACCATTTAAAATGGTGAATCGATAAAGCCGGTCAGGCCGGGCGAGGTGGCTCACGTCTGTAATCCCAGCACTTTGGGAGGCTGAGACAGGCGGATCACCTGAGGTCAGGAGTTTGAGGCCAGCCTGGCCAACATGGTGAAACCCCGTCTCTACTAAAAATACAAAAATTAGCTGGGCATGGTAGCGGGCGCCTGTAATCCCAGCTACTCAGGAGGCCGAGGCAGAACACTAACTTGAACCTGGGAGGCGGACGTTGCAGTGAGCCGAGATCGCGCCACTGCACTCCAGCCTGGGCGACAGAGTGAGAGTGCATGTCAAAAAAAAAAGAAAGAAAGAAAAAGAAAAAGCCAGTCAGATCTAGAGAGGGCGACCGGAGCATCACCCCCAGACGGCTTGACTCTGAGCTCCTGACCTCAGCCTTCAGACAGAGGCTCTCCCAACACACACACACATAGACACGTGCGCACACACACACACACACACACACACACACCCCGCACCAGCAAACGCTGTCTGCTCTGAAGCAGGCACTGTGTAGTCTGATATGTCCCCGGGGAAGGAGGGTGGCCAAGCACAGACAGCTCCCGAGAGAGCCTGAGGAGAGAGCTGCCCAGCACCTCAGGATGGAGAAAGTGCTAGAGAGGCCCTTGGCTTCCCTGCATCCCACGGAGATAACAGCAGGTACAGGGAGTGAGGTTCGAGAGCAGTGAGTGTAAACCATAAGGCTCTGCCTGGGCAATACATGGTCCTTTCTCTCTTTTTTTTCCCTCCCTTCCTTCCTTCCCTCCCTCCCTCCTTCCTTCCTTTTTTTTTTTTTTTTTTGAGATGGAGTTTCACTCTGTCACCCATGCTGGAGTGCAGTGGTACAATCTCAGCTCACCGCAACCTCCGCCTCCCAGGTTCAAGCGATTCTCCTGCCTCAGCCTCCCGAGTATCTGGGATTACAGGCACGTGCCACCACGCCTGGGTAATTTTTGTACTTTTAGTAGAGATGAGGTTTCGCCATGTTGGCCAGGCTGGTCTCGAACTCCTGACCTTAGGTGATCCGCCTGCCTCGGCCTCCCAAAGTGCTGGGATTACAGGCATGAGCCGCTGCACCCAGCCTCATTCTTTCTTTTTTCTTTTAGAGTTCGGGTCTCACTCTGTCACCCAGGCTGGAGTGCAGTGGTGGGATCACAGCTCACTGCAGCCTCAACCTCCTGGGCTCAAGTGATCCTCCCACCTCAGTCTCCCAAGTAGCTGGGACTCCTGGTGCCCACTACTATGCCTTTTTGTAGAGGCAGGTTCTCGGTACATTGCCCAGGCTGGTCTTAAACTCCTGGGCTCAAGCAGTCCTCCTACCTCAGTTTCCCAAAGTGCTGGGAATACAGTCATGAGGCACCACACGCAGCCACCTACTCATTCTAAGACCATTCCTTCCCTGTGGTGGTGTTTATGAAATTGGAGTGTTAGGGGCGGGGCACGGTGGCTCACGCCTGTAATCCCAGCACTTTGGAAGGCCAAGGCAGGTGGATCATTCGAGGCCAGGAGTTCGAGGCCAGCCTGGCCAACATGGCAAAGCCCCGTCTCCTTTAAAAAATACAAAAATTAACCAGGCTTGGTGGTGCGTGCCTGTACTCCCAGCTACTCAGGAGGCTGAGGCACGAGAATCGCTTCAACCCAGGAAGCGGAGATTGCAGCGAGTTAAGATCGCACCCCTACACTCCAGCCTGGGTAACAGAGTGAGACTCTGTCAGAAAGAAAGAAAGAAAGAGAGAGAGAGGGAGGGAGGGAGGGAGGGAAAGAAAGAGAGAGAGAGAAAGATAGAAAGAAAGGAAGGAAGGAAAAGAAAGAGAGAGAGAAAGAAAGAAAGAATGAAAGAAAGGAAGGAAGGAAAGAAGGAAGGAAGGGAAAGAAAGAGAGAAAGAAAGGAAGGAAGGAAGGAAGGAAGGAAAAGAAAGAGAGAGAAAGAAAGGAAGGAAGGGAAAGAAAGAGAGAGAGAAAGAAAGAAAGGAAGGAAGGGAAAGAGAGAGAAAGAAAGAAAGGAAGGAAGGAAGGGAAAGAAAGAGAGAAAGCAAGCAAGCAAGCAAGCAAGCAAGAAAGAAAGAAAGAAAGAAAGAAAGAAAGAAAGAAAGAAAGAAAGAAAGAAAATTGGAGTGTTTCACAGCCCAGGGTCATTAATTTGGCCACCTGTCCCCTGGAAATCCGTAACTAAGTGACACCTTAGAATGAAAGAAACGCCTCATGGTGTGCACAGTGACCCATTGGCTTCAGGGCACTTTGCTCACAAAACACCCCTCCCCAAATAGAAGACTCTCCTGGGCAAGGTAACTCATCCCAGCTGGTGGCACAGGGCAGGACAGGGTTCAGTTGCTCCTGGCAGAGGCTGAGGGAACAGGGCCGGGGGAGGCCCCTGCTGTCCTTGTCTGAAGAGCCAGGATCTGCATAGCTCCCCACCCTCAGCCACCCCACCCTGGCTTCCCTGGGCCCCTTCTGAGATGCAGAGATGCGTTCTGGGATTGGCCACCATCCACCCCCAAGCCCAGACCATGGCACCATGCCCCAGGCTGCCTGCGGCCCTCTTCTTGACAGACTCGCAGTCAGGTCCCTGCAGCCTCCTTGGTGCTGACAAATGGCCCCCAGGAGGGTCCCTGGCCACTGCCCCAGAACCCACCATGGGCCCCGCGTCCTGGCCGCTGGCCAGCTCTGTCATTTATGTCCTTCTTGACCTTCGTGGGAGCGCCCAGGCTGCTCCATTCTGTCCTGAAACCTACACCAATGCAGAACGTCACTGTGGTTGGCAAAGTCACTCTGTTTGCTTCAGGTGGGCACCGCAGGCAGGGCTGAGGGCTGTGGCTGCCGTGTTGCCGGCAAAGGAGAAAAACCCGCAATTTGTTCAGACGAGCTCCTTTGCTTAAGGCTCTGGGGAGCATCTTTTCTGGTTATTTTCAGCTTTCTGCTCCTTTTGAGGAAGTTCAAGGGATCAGCTCCTGTCCCCACCCCCTGACTCCAGGGGTCAGACTGTGTCAGTGTTCTGGGGGTCCCTCTTAAGGAGGCACCCCAAATCTGGAAGAACCTCTGGGCTCCTAGAAAGATGAAGACACGTAGAGCTGTGCCCATCACTGGGCAGTTTCCATCAGAGAGGGCTTTGGGGCTTCGGAGCACGGGTCCCTCCCCAGGCCCTGTCCTCCAGAAGGATTTGGATGGGGTCATCGGAGAGAGAGAGCTCGTCCTACATGGCAGCAAGTGGCTCTTTTCACAAACTGTCCCTGCCCCTAGCTGGGCATAGTGGCACGCACCTGTAGTCCCAGCTACTGGGGAGGCTGAGATGGGAGGATCACTTGAGCCCAGGGTCTCGATCAAGGCTGCAGTGAGCTATGATCGCACCACCACATTCCAACCTGGGGGATAGAGTGAGACCCTGTCTCAAAAACAACAACAACAACAAAACAACAAAAACCAGTCTCTAGCCAGGCACAGGGGCTTACACCTGTGTAATCCCAGCACTTTGGGAGGCCAAGGTGGGTGGATCATCTGAGGTCAGGAGTTCAAGACCAGCCTGGACAAGATGGCAAAATCCCATCTCTACTAAAAATAGAAAAATTAGCCGGGCATGGTGGCAGGCACCTGTATCCCAGCTACTCGGGAGGCTGAGGCAGGAGAATCGCTTGAACCTGGGAGGCGGAGGTTGTGATGAGCTGAGATCATGCCACTGCACTCCAGCCTGGGCGACAGAGTGAGCCTTTATCTCAAAAAAAAAAAAAAAAAAAAAGAAAAGAAAAGAAAAGAAAAGAAAGATCACCTGTAACTGCCAGTGCCAGAGCTAACCTGGGGTTAACACTGCTGTGTGTTTCCTTCTGGTGACTTTTCTAACAGAGAGAGCCTGTTAGGAGCTGATTTATTCACATTAGTATGTAGCCCCACAATGATTGTGTGTTCTCCCTGCGTTACTAATGGGAATCTTTTTTTTCCAATCCCAAAATTGGAATCCATTGTCTGACAACACATTTGTGTGTTGGACAAAAGAGGCTGCCTGGAAAGGGTGCATGCTGAGTGATAGGAATGCAGGAGGTACTTGAGAGGCTTGAAACAGGCCGGGCGCAGTGGCTCACACCTGTAATCCCAGCACTTTGGGAGGCCGAGGCGGGCAGATCACGAGGTCAGGAGATTGAGACCATCCTGGCTAACACGGTGAAACCCCGTCTTTACTAAAAAATACAAAAAAATCAGCCGGGCGTGGTGGCAGGCGCCTGTAGTCCCAGCTACTCAGGAGGCTGAGACAGGAGAATGGCATGAACCTGGGAGGCGGAGCTTACAGTGAGCCGAGATTGCGCCACTGCACTCTACCTGGGCGACAGAGCAAGACTCTGTCTCAAAAAAAAAAAAAAAAAAAAAAAATTAGGTGTGGTGGCAGGTGCCATTAGTCCCAGCTACTCAGGAGGCTGAGGCAGAAGAATCGCCTGAGCCCGGGAGGCAGAGGTTGCAGTGAGCCAAGATCACGCCACTGCACTCCAGCCTGGCAACAGAGCAAGACTATCTCAAAAATAAATAAATAAATAAAAATAAAAATAAAGTCTGGAGACCACAGAGCAGGGTGTCTGAATGCAAGACCATGCCCACCCTGCTGGCAAGCATGGAGGACGGCGTGGAGCCAGGGTGGCATGTTCACTTGCATGCATGTGTGCACATGTGTGTAGACGTGTGTGATTCCTGGGCACGCAGTGTTGGAAAGATCACTGGCCTTTGTCCCAGACCAGGATTCCAGCCTGGGCTCTAAGTGGCCGTGTGGCTGCGGATGGATGGATGCAGAAGCCAAGCAGGCTATATCCTGCATTAATGTGGCCATTGAGCTAATGTCCGTGGAGTCATCATAGGTCCTGATCATTGGAGACATTGGATTTTTTATTTGTTTATTATTATTTATTTATTTATTTATTTATTTTTGAGATGGAGTTTTGCTCTTGTCCCCCAGGCCGGAGAGCAATGGTGCGATCTCAGCTCACTGCAACCTCCACTTCCCAGGTTGTCACCCAGGCTGGAATGCAGTGGCATGATCATAGTTCACTGCAGCCTCAACCTCCTGGGCCAGCAATCCTCCACCTCTGCCTCCTGAGTAGCTGGGACTACAGGTGTGCACCACCACCCCCGGCTAATTTTTAAAAATTTTTTAGAGACAGGGCATCTCCCTATGTTGCTGAGGTTGGTCTTGCACTCCTGGCCTCCAGCAATCCTCCTACCTTGGCCTCCCAAAGTGCTGGGATTAACAGGCTTGAGCCACTGCACCAAGCCCTGCCAATGTATGTTTTAAAGGGCATACTGTATTGTTCCTTCACACCCTATTCCTGCCTGGTGGGGTGCTTCCTCTCTCTGGCCACCCTGCGGTTTGTCCCGAATCTTCCCTCCTGCACAGGTGGGGAAGCCCTTCAAGGTCCACTCCACAGTTTTCTTGAGCGTGGGACACTTTACGATCCACAGATATTTGACAGGACCCGTGAATGGAAGGAAATAAAAGATTTTTCGTTCATTTTTGCAGACACAGTCACAGGATCCCAGAGGATGTATTTAGAATATGACATCTAAATATAATTTTCTCCTGGGTTGTTCAGAAAATTCCCATCATCTGCCATGCAGAACTGTGTAAAACCATTTTGCTCATGCAAACTCTGAACTCACTATTCTCACAGCCTCCCAAAGCCTGACCCTATCAGGCGCTCCCCTGTCTTTTTGACCAAGATTGCTTGTTTGATTTTGAACACAGTCATTTCCCAGGGAACCTGGCGATTTTCTGTCTCTTCCATTTAGGCCAACACCTTCCTTACTGCAGAAATAGGCCTTGGGGGCTCTTGCTTCCCTGTGAGTTCCCCGCCGTGCTCCGCAGCTACACTGTGTTTATTTTTTATTTATTTATTTTTTTGAGATGGAGTCTCTCACTCTGTTGCCCAGGCTGGAGTGCAGTGGCATGACCTCGGCTCACCACAACCTCCGGCTCCCAGGTTCAAGTGATTCTTCGGCCTTAGCCTCCCGAGTAGCTGGGATTACAGGTGCACACCACCATCCCCAGCTGATTTTCATATTTTTACTAGAGACAGGGTTTTACTATATTGGCCAGCCTGGTCTCGAATTCCTGACCTCAAGTGATCCGCTCACCTCGGCCTCCCAAAGTGCTGGGATTATAGGCATGAACCACAGTGCCCGGCCAGCTTCACTGTGTTAGCTAAGTCTTCAGGGACCCCCTCCCGTCATTGCTGTATTCCTTCTTAGCGGTTAGCAACTCAAATACACAGCCTACTGCCCCCTGACAAGGAAAGTGTGTGAACCAGGAAGACAGCCGTGGCTCCTCTGTCCTGTGTTCAAGTCCCCAAGACGACCAAGAGGAAGAGGAGGTGGCAAAGTGACAAGAGCAAAAGCACCAATACTAAGAATCTGGCCATTTCTGGATATCAAGCAGTAAACAGTTCAAAAGCTTCAAGTGCAGACCAGGTATGACGGCTCACACCTGTAATTTCAGCACTTTGGTGGCTGAGGCGGGAGGATCACTTGAGGCTAGAAGTTTGAGACCAGCCTGGGCAACATAGCGATACCTCATCTCTACAAAAAATACAAAAATTAGCCGGGCATGGTGGTGCACACCTGTAGTCTCAGCTACTCAGGAGGCAGAGGTGGGAGGATTGCTTCAGCCAAAGATTTCGAGGCTGGAGTGAGCTGTGATTGCACCACAGCACTGCAGCCTGGGTGACATAATGAGACTCTGTCTTTTTTTTTTGGAGCTAAGAGTTTGGGTCTGTCGCCTATGCTGGGATACAGTGACATGATCTCAGCTCACTGCAACCTCTGCCTCCTGGGTTCAAGTGATTCTCCTGCCTCATTTTTCCGAGTACCTGGGACTATAGGTATGTACCACCACGCCCGGCTAATTTTTTTGTATTTTTGCAATTTTAGTAGAGACAGAGTTTCACCATGTTGGCCAGGTTGGTCTCGAACCCCTGACCTCAAGGAATTCACCCACCTCAGCCTCCCAAAGTGCTGGGATAACAGGTGTGAGCTACTGTGCTTGACCAATAAAGCCTTTTTTTTTTTTTTTTTTGAGACAGGTTCTCACTCTGTCACCCAGGCTGGAGTACAATGGCTCGATCCTAGCTCACTGCAACCTCCACCTCCTGGGTCTAAGCGATTCTCATGCCTCAGCCTCCCAAGTAGCTGGGACTACAGGCGTGCGCCACCATACCCGGCTAATTTTTGTATTTTTAGGAGAGGAGGGGTTTCGCCATGTTGGCCAGGCTGGTCTCGAATTCCTGAGTTCGCGTGATCCACCAGCCTCGGCTTCCCAAAGTGCTGGGATCATAGGTGTGAGCCACCGCGCCAGGCCTAAATAAAGCCATTTTGAAAAGAGAGAGTGAGAAGTAAACGAACACACTTCCTGGCCTTGGTCCTGCTTGGAGAGGATTATCCTAGACCCGGTGGAGCAGGGCCCCCCGCCAAATCCATTAAGTCAGCAGATGCTGCTGCGTTCCAGCCTTTCCCCGGGAGGAGGAGCCGGGGGCCGCTGCGAAACTGATCACGCAGATCCGGGTGGGCGGCCTGGAGCCCTTGAGCTACAGGGCCTGGGTGCTTCCCCGCCATGACCGTGGCCAAGGCCCGCCTGAGTGGTGGGGGCCGAGTCAGCTGCAGCCATGATAACAGCTGCTCCCAGGAGGCCCCGTCTCCCGGACAGCCACAGTATCTATCCGACAGTTCCCGTTCTGTGGGGCCCAGGCCGGATCGATGCAGACAGTCCATCTCATTTATCGCTCCCTTAAGTACCACCCAGCAGGGCCTCCTGGGAGCCCGCTGGCCACAAGCCCTGCAGGTCACAGCCGTGGCAAATCCAGACCTCGCCCTGAACCGCAAGGAGAAAACACACTCAGCCTAAGCCCCTGCCCCTCTGGCCACGCGGCTCCCTTGTCACCGTCGAGGAAGTGTGCCCAGAAGGAGCGGCCAGGGCTTTCCTTCCTCATCTCCTGCCCAGAGCAGCCCCTTCCAGGCCACAGGCTTAGGGCCTTAGCCTGCAGGCCGAGGGCAGGCCCAGGGACACAGTGAGGGGCCTGGGCTATTTGAACAGCAGGGAGAATTTCCCATGCAGCATCGCAGAGGTAAGAGGCTCGATTCTTAGGGCTTCTTTCCAGTATTGAGGAGCTCAAGACCTGTGTCCACTCTGATTTGGTAAATCAGGGTTCTTTGAAGTCACGATAAAAATGCAGAGCCAGGCACTTTGGGAGGCCAAGGCAGGTGGATCACTTGAGCATGCTTGTAGCCCTAGCTACTCAGGAGGCTGAGAAAGGAGAATTGCTTGAACCCAGGAGGCGGAAGTTGCAGTGAGCCAAGATCGCGCCACTGCATTCCAGCCTGGGCGACAGAGGAAGACTGCATTTCAAAAAAAAAGAAAGAAAGAAAAATGCAGAGACGAATCTCTGAAATTAAAATGTTTTATTTGGGCGGGGTGTGGTGGCTCACGCCTATAATCCCAGCACTTTGGGAGGCCGAGGCGGGCAGATCACTTGAGGTCGGGAGTTCGACACCAGCCTGGTCAACATGGTGAAACCCCGTCTCTACCAAAAATACAAAAATTAGCCAGGTGTGGTGGTGCACACCTTTAATCCCAGCTACTCAGGAGGCTGAGGCAGGAGAATCGCTTGAACCCGGGAGACGGAGGTTGCAGTGAGCCGAGATTGCACCACTGCACTCCAGCCTGGGTTACAAAGCGAGACCCCATCTCAAAAAAAAAATAAAGAAAACACAATGTTTTATTTGGGAAGACAGAACTGTAATTCAGGGCATCCACACTGACTAGGTATGTCCAAGAACAAAAGGGAGGTCGGAGGTTTTAGAAAGAGAGAGAGACAGACAGACAGACAGACAGACAAGGGAAATGTTACGTATTGCTCTTTGAATTAATTTTTTTTTTTTTTTGAGACAGGGTCTCACTCTGTTGCCCAGGCTGGAGTGCAGTGGCTCAATCATAGCTCACTGCAGTCTGGATTTCCCAGGCTCAAGTACTCCTACCGCCTCAGCGTCCCAAGTAGCTGGGACTACAGGCACGCACCACCATGCTGGCTAATTTTCTTTCTTTCTTTCTTTCTTTTGAGATGGAGTTTCACTCTTGTTGCCGAGGCTGGAGTGCAATGTCCCAATCTTGGCTCACCACAACCTCCGCCTCCCGGGTTCAAGTGATTCTCCTGTCTCAGCCTCCGAAGTAGCTGGAATTACAGGCATGTGCTACCATGCCCAGCTAATTTTTGTATTTTTAGTAGAGATGGGGGTTTCTCCATGTTGGTCAGGCTGGTCTCAAACTCCTGACCTCAGGTGATCCACCCGTCTCGGCCTCCCAAAGTGCTGGCATTACAGGCGTGAACCACCATGCCCGGCCCACGCTAGCTAATTTTCTTTGTTTTGTGTGTGTGTGCATGTGTGTGTGGGTGTGTTTTGTTTCTGTTTTTTTTGTGATGGAGTTTTGATCTTGTTGCCCAAGCTGGAGTGCAATGGCGTGATCTCAGTTCACTGCATCCTCTGCCTCCCGGGTTCAAGCGATTCTCCTGCCTCAGCCTCCCGAGTAGCTGGGATTACAGGCGCCTACCACCACGCCCGGCTAATTTTTTGTATTTTTAGTAGAAACGGGGTTTCACCATGTTAGCCAGGCTGGTCTCGAACTCCTGACCTCAGGTGATCCGCCCACCTCGGCCTCCCAAAGTGCTGGGATTACAGGCGTGAGCCACTGCGCCCGGCCCAATTTTATTTGTTTTTGTAGAGATGAGGTCTCGCTATGTTGCCCAGACTGGTCTTGAACTCCTGGCCTCAAGCAATCCTCCTGCTTCAAGGCTCCCAAAGTGCTGGGAGCCACCAGGTGTGAGCCACTACATCCAGCACATACTGCTCTTTGAGAAAGATCCTTGGTGCTAGTGAGGTTCCCAGGAAGGGAACCTGGGAAGCTCTGATTGACAGGTGATGGAGGTGGGCAAAATTAGTCCTAGGGTTGCAGTGAGCTATCTCAGCAGCTGTACAGAAAACTGGCCTCAAATTACAGCAGCAGTGCCAGCCTTGGGGCTTGCGGAGAATGACATTTTTGGAGCAGGGTTCTGTGTCAGTTTTTCCCCCCGGCCTCTTGACGCTGTTTTAGTTGAGTATGACAAGAATGACCCAGTTCAGATGATCAACCTTCACAGTTCAAATCCCAATGCCACCACGTGCCAGCTGGGTTAATGTCCTGCGACTGCCATGGCAAAGTATCGCAGACTGGGTGGCTTCAACCACAGAACTTGATTCTCTCACTGTTCCGGAGGTCACAAGTCTGAGACTGAGGTGCCTGCCAGGGCCACCCATGCTCCCTCCAAGGACTCTGTGGGGATCCTTCCTGCCCCTTCCAGCTTCTCGTGGCTCCAGGATTCCTCGCTTTGAGGCTGCATTGCTCCAGGCTCTGTCTGTCTCCTCTCTGTGTCTCCGTCTTCTCCTCTGTCATTGGGTTTAAGCCCCACCCTAAATCCAATACAACCTCATCTCAAGACCCTTAACTAATTACATCTGCATTCACCCTGTTTCTTTTTCTTTTTCTTTCTTTTTTTTTTTTTTTTGTGAGATGGAGTCAGGCTCTGTCACCCAGGCTGGAGTGCAATGGCGCAATTCCGGCTCACTGCAACCTCCACCTCCAGGTTCAAGCGATTCTCCTGCCTCAGCCTCCCGAATGGCTGGGATTACAGGCACGCGCCACCAAGCCCAGCTAATTTTGTATTTTTAGTAGAGATGGGGGTTTTGCCATGTTGGCCAGGCTGGTCTTGAACCCCTGACCTCAGGTGATCCGCCCACCTCAGCCTCCCAAAGTTCTGGGATTACAGGTGTGAGCCATTGCACCCAGCCCATCCTTTGTTTTTTTTTTAAATAGGGTCTCACTCTAGCACCCACGCTGGAATGCAATGGTGCAATCTCAGCTCATTGCAACCTCCGCCTCCCGGATTCAAGCGATTCCCCTGCCTCCACCTCCCTAATAGCTGGGATTACAGGCATGCGCCACCATGCCCGGCTAATTTTTTATTTTTAGTAGAGACGGGGTTTCTCCATGTTGGTCTCGAACTCTTGACCTCAGGTGATCCGCCCACCTTGGCCTCCCAAAGTGCTGAGATTACAGGCGAGAGCCACCGCACCCAGCTAAAGATGACATCTTTTTTTTTTTTTTTTTTTTTTGAGACAGAGTCTCACTCTGTCACCCAGGCTGGAGTGCGGCGGCGCGATCTCAGTTCACTGCAAGCTCTCCTGGGTTCACGCCATTCTCCTACCTCAGCCTCCCAAAGATGACATCTTAACATATGTCCCTGAGTTGTTTTTCAGAAACCTGGACCCCCCCACCAAACGATCTGTTGACAGGTAGACCTCAGATAAGGGGGAGCTGAGGACAGAACTCTGACCCCTGTTCTTTGTTCTAAATTATTTCCCGAGGGGCCTGGAGGAGGTCCTGTCCACAGGCCAGAGCTAACATTCTTTTCTACCGATCCCAGATTTTTAGACAAAGCTTCGCCTGCTTAAAGCAATTGCAAATTAGAAAATGTTCAGGTCGGACGCGGTGGCTCACGCCTGTAATCCCAGCACTTTGGGAGGCCAAGGTAGGCGGATCATGAGGTCAGGAGATCAAGACCATCCTGGCCAACATGGTGAAACCCTGTCTCTACTAAAAGTACAAAAATGAGCTGGGCATGGTGGTGCATGCCTGTAATCCCAGCTACTCGGGAGGCTGAGGGAGGAGAACCACTTGAACCCGGGAGGCGGAGGTTGCAGTGAGCTGAGATCGCACCACTGCACTCCAGCCTGGCAACAGAGCGAGACTCCATCAAAAAAAAAACACTTCAAATCTTCCTATGACCTGTGGGTCCCTGCTTTGAGAGATCCCACTTCTATTTATTTACTTATTTATTTATTTATTTATTTTTGAGATGGGGTCTCGCTCTGTCTCCCAGGCTGGAGTGCAATGGTGTGATCTTTGCTCACTGCAACCTCCACCTCCCGGGCTCAAGCGGTTCTCCTGCCTCAGCCTCCCGAGCAGCTGGGATTACAGGTGCGCGTGCACCACCACACCCAGCTCACTTTTTGTATTTTCAGTAAAGAGAGGGTTTCACCATGTCGCCCAGGCTCGCCTCGAACTCCTGGCCTCAAGTGATCCACCCGCGTCGGCCTCCCAGAGTGCTGAGATTATAGGCCTCAGCTGCCGTGCCCGGACCCTCCCCAGCTTTAAAAACCCTTGCCCATAAGCCACTGGGAAGCCGTCGGGGAATCTGGGTTTTAAGCACGAGCTGAGCTGCCCGATTCTCCCTGTTTGGAGTCCTGCGCGAAACGCCTCATTTTCTCTTCACTGCAGCCCTGATGTCAGAATTAGGCTTTGCTGTGCGAGGCGGGCAGACTCTGGTTTGGTAACAACAGTCCAGAGGCATGTGCCGTCTGTTGCAGAAGAGCTGATGGAGCGGAGGGGCGGGGGGCTCTGTGGGCAGTGGGGATATTTTAGGTGGGGCTTCGTTCCCTGCCCCCAGCCCCGAACTCCAGGCCTCATCTCTCCTGATGGTGGCGAAAACGAGAACCTGACTGTGGAATTTACTATCTCTGTCCCTCGCAGTTGGTGTGGGGGCTGCCTTCTGGGGGACTCATATTTGCATAAGCCGGGGGAGGGCTTGGCTGCAAAAGAGCCACGAACGAACGAAGGATCACAAAAGCAACACAAATGCTCCGAAGCACTTAAAATAAAACCCAGCAAAGAAGCAGGCCAGTTAAGAGAAGGTGCGATTACCTAGCAGTCATTTTAAATTCACGCTCGACCCTCCAATCTTCTTAAGTGGTGGCCTGACTTTGCGTTTCAGCTGGACCTGGAATACATTCGGTATTCACTTTCCAGAAGCGACGCACCAGCCTACGGTCCCAGCTCACGTCTGGGGGAGGTAGGCACCCTTATTTCTGCGCTGTAAATGGAAAGGCTGCCGTCAGAGGTTATGTGGGAGGGTGAGAAAAAACGTGGAGGGTTTTAGCAACAGAAATGAACCAGGTGGATACAGATCCCCCAGCTATAAACACATGGCTGAGCTCAAAAGAAAGAGAGGCGAATTCTCAAATGTGAGAGCAGGAAGGCTGTCTTATGGCACGTGGGGCCAGGAGCATGGACCCCAGATCCAGGCTCTAGCTTGGGGCTGCAGTATAATATCCACTCCAGTTGAGACTTGACCTTGAATTTGTTTGAGATGCAAGAAAAGAGATGGCTCAAAATGCAAATCACTGGCCAGACACGGCAACTCACGCCTGTAATCCCAGCACTTTGGGCTGCCGAGGCAGGTGGATCACCTGAGGCCAGGAGTTCGAGACCAGACTGGCCAACATGGTGATACCCTATCTCTACTAAAAAATACAAAAGTTAGCCGAGACTTGTAATCCCAGCTACTCGGGAGGCTGAGGCAGGAGAATCGCTTGAACCCGGGAGGTGGAGGTTGCAGTGAGCCAAGATTGCGCCATCGCACTCCAGTCTGGGCAACAAGAGTAAAACTCCATCTCAAAAAAAAAAAAAAAAAAGCAAATCATTGAAGAGCTGCCCAGTCAAGAGAGATTCCTGAAGAAGACTCAGGATGTCTGGCGTATCCAGGGAGCTCAGGTGCTTGCCAGGGCCTGGGGGAGGTTGAAATGTGGAGGGTTTGCTTCACGGGTGGAGAGCTTCTGTTAGGAATGGTGAAAAAGTTATGTAATCAGATGGTTTGCACAACATCGTGAATGCACACGATGCCGCTGAATTGTTCACTTAAAATAGCTGCAACAGTCACTTTTATATTGTGTATATTTCCCCACAATTAAAACCAAAAGAGGCCGGGCGCGGTGGCTCATGCCTGTAATCCCAGCACTTTAGGAGGCCGAGCCAGGCAGGTTGCTTGAGTTCAGGAGCTCAAGACCAGCTTGACCAATGTGGTGAAACCCTGTCTCTACTAAAATACAAAAAAAATTAGCTGGGTGTGGTGGCAGGCACCTGTAGTACTAGCTCCTCGGGAGGCTGAGGCACAAGAAATCGCTTGAACCCGGGAGGTGGAGTTTGCAGTGAGCCGAGATTGCGCCGTTGCACTCCAGCCTGGGCAACAGAGTGAGACTTGGTCTCAAAAAAAAAAAAAAAAGAATGCTCAGTTAGGTGTCCAGTTATGAAAGTAATATTCATGAATCAATTTTTTTTTTGAGACGGAATCACTCTGTCACCCAGGCTGGAGTGCAGTGGCATGATCTCAGCTCACTGCAACCTCCACCTCCTGGGTTCAAGTGATTCTCCTGCCTCAGCCTCCTGAGTAGCTGGGATTACAGGCACCCACCACCGCACCTGGCTAATTTTTGTATTTTTGTAGTAGAGACAGGGGTTTCACCATGTTGGCCAGGCTGGTCTTGAACTCCTGACCTCAGGCAATCCACCCGCCTCAGCCTCCCAAAGTGCTGGGATTACAGGCATGAGCCATCGCGCCTGGCAGAATCAATCATTTTCTACATGCCAGGAATGATAGATTAGAAAAAACAGTGGTGGAGGGGAGGCACCACAAGACTGGCAGGAAATCACTCACAATAGCAGCAAAGACATAAAACACTGAGTAATCAATTAAATGAAATGAATACAATTTATATGAAAAACAGCTACAGTATCTGGAGCGGCTCAGGAAATATTTGTTAAACAAATGAATAATTACAAATTTTATAGGGATATAAAAGAAACAAGAAAAAAAGAAAATATTTACCACTTTTTTATAGGAAAAAAAAAGCAGTAACAATCCAAGACATTGGAATAAGCCTATTGGTACAAAGACTGATTATTGGCCAGGCACGATGGCTCATGCCTATAATCCCAACACTTTGGGAGGCCACGATGCGAGGACTTCTGGAGTCCAGGAGTTTGAGACCAGCCTGGGCAACATAATGAGACCCCCATCTCTATAAAAAATTGTTTTAAGTTAGCCAGTTATAGTGGCACACTCCTGTAGTCCCAGCTACTCAGGAGGCTAAGGTGGGAGGATCGCTTGAGCCAAGGAGGTGCAGGCTGCAGTGAGCCATGATTGTGCCACTGCACTCCAGCCTGGGCAATGAGTGAGACTGTCTCAAAAAATACAAACAAAAAAAGACTTGACTATTAAAAAGAAATCAAAGCAATGGGTAATGACTCATTTGGAATGGCTAAAAACACTGTGTCCCTACTAGTAAAACTCTTGCATCAATAATGAGAGGTAACAATCTCAACAACTAGTGAAAACAGGTGAAGCGCCTGCAGGGGTTCATCATGCTGTTCTTCTAGACATGTTGTGACACTGAAAAATTTCACAACAAAACGTTGTAAAGTTCGTGAAGCAGTTGGAAACATTTGAGCACTGATTGCATAGTCAGTGCTGTTAAGGAAACATTGTTAATTTGTTTTAGGGGGATAATGGGGGATAATGGTATAATGAGATGGTTTTCTTTTTTCTCTCTTTTTTTTTTTTTTGAGATGGAGTCTCCCTCTGTCGCAGAGGCTGGAGTGCAGTGGTGCGATCTCAGCTCACCACAACCTCTGCCTCCTGGGTTCAAGTGTCAATTCTCCTGCCTCAGCCTCCCGAGTAGCTGGGACTACAGGTGCCCGCCACCACACCCAGGTAATTTTTGTATTTTTTTTTTAGTAGAAACGGGGTTTTGCCATGTTGGCCAGGCTGGTCTTGAGCTCTCGACCTCAGGCGACCCATCTGCCTCGGCCTCCCAAAGTGCTGGGATTTCAGGCGTGAGCCACCACACCCAGCCTTATGGGATGGTTTTCAAAAGCATCCTTTTTTAGAAGTGGATTCTGATATATAATCGGATGGTATGATATGATATCTGGGATTTTCAAAGTCTGGAATGTGGAGGGGAGGAGGCACAGGTGTACCTGTACAGGTATGGATGAAACAAGATCACCCATGAGTCGACAATTGCCAAAACTAGGTGGTGAGGACATAAGGTTCATTGTTTTATTCTCTTGGCTTCTGTATAATTTGAATTTTTCAATAACACGAATATTTCTAAAGCCAATGACTTCATTATTGTTCCAAGATGACATGATTACCTATATGGAAAATTACAAAGAATCAACACAGAAACTTCCTGGAACTAATAAGCGATTATAGCAAGGTTGCAGGATACAAAGTTAATTTACAAAGGTCAATTGCTCTCCTAAGTACCGGCAATGAACAATTGGCCTTAAATTTAAAACACAGGCCGGGCACGGTGGCTCACACCTGTAATCCCAGCTCTTTGGGAGGCTGAGGCGGTTGGATCACGAGGTCAGGAGATCGATACCATCTTGGCCAACATGGTGAAACCCCGTCTCTACTAAAATACAAAAAAATTAGCCTGGCATGGTGATGCGTGCCCTGTAATCCCACCTACTTGGGAGGCTGAGGCAGGGGAATCGCTTGAACCCGGGAGGTGGAGGTTGTGGTGAGCTGAGATGGCACCTCTGCACTCCAGCCTGGTAACAGAGCAAGAATCTGTCTCAAAAAAAAAAAAAGGAAATTTAAAACACAGTACCATTTATATTAGCACCTCAGAACTGAAATACCTATGAAACTAACAAGATATATACAAGATTGATATGAGGAAAATTATAAAAGTCCGATGAAATAAATCAAAGAAGAACCAAATAAATGGAGAGATATTCCATGTTCGTGGATAGGAAAACTTGATATCGTCAACATGTCAGCTCTTCCCTACTTGATCTATAGATTCAACACAATCCCAATCAAAATCCTAGCAAATTATTTTGTGGATAATGACAAACTGATTTTCAAGTTTATATGGAGAGGCAAAAGAGCCAGAATAGCCAACATAATATTGAAGAAGAAAGTTAGAAGACTGATTTAATATTTACTATAAAACTACAGTAATCAAGGCATAAGCCAGGCACAGTAGTGGACACCTGTAGTCCCAGCTATATGGGAGGCTGAGATGGGAGGATGGCGTGGGCCCAGGAGTCCAAGGCTGCAGTGCACTACAATTGCACCTGTGAATAGCCACTGCACTCAAGCCTGGGTAATGCAGAGAGAGCCCATCTCTTAAAAAATAAAAATAAAAACAGGGCTGGGCGCAGTGGCTCACACCTATAATCCCAGCACTTTGGGAGGCCAAGGTGGGTGGATCACCTGAGGTCAGGAGTTCGAGGCCAGTCTGGCCAACATGGTGAAAACTTGTCTCTACTAAACACACAAAAATTAGCTGGGCGTGGTGGCGGGAGCTTGTAATCCTGGCTACTTGGGAGGCTGAGGCAGGAGAATCACTTGAACCAGGAGGCAGAGGTTGTGGTGAGCCGAGATCCCTCCACTGCACTCCAGCCTGGGCGACAGAGTGAGACTCAGTCTCAAAAAATAAATAAATATACAAATAAATAAAAATAAAAATAAAAAAGGAGGTGGGGGAACCAGTACCGTGGCTCACCCCCATAATCCCAGCACTTTGGGAGCCTAAAATGGGAGGATGGCTTGAGGCCAGGAGTTTGAGACCAGCCTGGGAAACACAGCAAGACTCCATCTCTACAAAAATGAAAAATAAAAAATTAGCCAGGCACTGTGGTACACACTTGTAGTCCCAGCTACTCAGGAAGCTGAGACAGGAGGATCCCTTGAGCCCAGGAGGTCAAGGCTGCAGTGAGCTATGATTGCACTATTGCACTCCAGCCTGGGCAACAGAGTGAGAACTGGTGTCTAAAAGAAAAATAAATAAAGACCCTGTGGAATTGGCAAGCAAACAGAGATGGATCAATGGAGCAGAATAGAAAGCCCAGAAATAGACACACATAAATATAGCACGTTCCTTTGGAAAACTATGCAGCGTATCTTGAGCTCTCCAGCAGGTTTGCATCAGTGATGGGGAGACACTCTTTTTATAAAAAAAAAAAAAATTGCAGGTCAGGCAAGGTGGTTCGTCCCTGTAATCCCAACACTTCTGGAGGCCAAGGCGGGCCTGTAATCCCACCACTTTGGAAGCTCAAGATGGGAGGATTACTTGAGCCCAAGAGTTCGAGACCAGCCTGGACAACACAGTGAGACCCCATCTCTACATCTTTTTTTTTTTTTGAAACGGAGTCTCGCTCGTCGCCCAGGCTGGAGTGCAGTGGCACTATCTAGGCTTACTGCAAGCTCTGCCTCCCAGGTTCATGCCATTCTCCTGCCTCAGCCTCCCGAGTAGCTGGGACTACAGGCACCCGCCACTGCGCCCAGCTAATTTTTTATAGTTTTAGTAGAGACGGGGTTTCACCGTGTTAGCCGGGATGGTCTCGATCTCCTGACCTTGTGATCCACCCGTCTCGGCCTCCCAAAGTGCTAGGATTACAGGCGTGAGCCACCGTGCCCGGCCTTATTATTTTTTTTTTTTAATTAGCCAGGCATGGTGGTGCACGCCTGTGGTCCCAGCTACTCAGGGAGGCTGAGGCAGGAGGATCACCTGAGCCTAGGAGGTCGAGGCTGCAGTGAGCCAAGATTGCACCACTGCACTCCAGCCTGAGAGACAGAACAAGACTCTGTTATATGTATTTGCACAAAGAAGAAACAATAGACACCAGGGCCTACTTGAGGGTGGAGTTGGGGAGGAGGGTGAGGATCAAAAAAACTACCTGTCGGGTACTGTGCTTATTACCTGGGTGATAAAATATTCTGTACACCAAACCGCCATGACACATAATTTACCCATGTAACAACCCTGCACGTGTGCTCTCAGTATCTAAAACAAGAGTTAGTCCGGGCGCGGTGGCTCACGCCTGTAATCCCAGCACTTTGGAAGGCCGAGGCAGGCAGATCACTTGAGGTCAGGGGTTCGAGACCAGCCTGGCCAACATAGTGAAACCCCGTCTGTACTAAAGAATACAAAAACCAGGCCGGGCGCGGTGGCTCACGCCTGTAATCGCAGCACTTTGGGAGGCCGAGGCGGGCAGATCACGAGATCAGGAGATCGAGACCATCCTGGCTAACACGGTGAAACCCCGTCTCTACTAAAAATACAAAAAAAAAAAAATTAGCTGGGCATGGTGGCAGGCACCTGTAGTCCTAGCTACTCGGGAGGCTGAGGCAGGAGAATGGCATGAACCCAGGAGGCAGAGCTTGCAGCGAGCCAAGATTGCACCACTGCACTCCAGCCTGGGGGACAGAGGGAGACTCCGCCTCAAAAAAAAAAAACAATAAAATAAAAAAATCAGCCAGGCATGGTGACACGTGCCCATAATCCCAGCTACTGGGGAGGCTGAGGCAGAACAATAGTTTGAACCCGGGAGGTGGAGACTGCAGTGAGCCGAGATGACGCCACTGCACTCCAGCCTGGGCAACAGAGGGAGACTCTGTCTCAAAAAAATAAAATAAGTAAAATAAAAGATACATTAATTAATTAATTAAACATTTCGTTTTAACAGACTTTCCTATCTCATCACCAACTCAGGGCAGTTTCTCCAGGAACCTGGCAGGCCCCACCACAGGGAGACCCTGCTTCAATCCGCCACACCCAGGCCTTGCCTGGTGGCCACTCTCTGCAGCCCTCCCCAGGGGTCCCTGGCCCAGCTCCAGGCCTGCTCAATGTCCTGTTCCTAACACTGACATCTCACAGCGACTGAGATCCGACTACGGTCCAGGCCCCACCGGAGGTGCTTCACAGGAATCATTTCTGCCTCACGATGGCCCTTTGAGGAGGAGGCTTTTATCGTGCCCGTTGCAAATGAGGAAACTGAGGCATGGAGAGAGGTACTAACTCACACAATAGCAGGAGACCCTGGATGCAGCTGCAGGCAGTCGGCCCACAGAGCCTGCTCATCTCAGGCCTGCCGGCTCCTCCACCTGCCTTCTGCAGTACCCTGGGAACCCCCCGAGGACAGGTGTCATCGGTTGCCTCATCTCACCGTCCCTGGGCCCAGCACGGATGCAGGCACACAGTGGCTGCTCACGTAAGCTGAGTGAAAGGAGTCGTGGCTGCAGGGTGCTCTGGGCCTCCACCCTAGCTCCTGCTATAGAATGTCTCCAATACAAACATGCCTTTTTTTGTTTGTTTGTTTTGTTTTGTTTTGAGACGGAGTCTCACCCTGTCGCCCAGGCTGGAGTGCTATGGTGCAATCTCGGCTCACAACAACCTCCATCTGCTGGGTTCAAGCGATTCTCCTGCCTCAGCCTTCCAAGTAGCTGGGATTGCAGGCGTGTGCCACCATGCCCAGCTAATTTTGGTATTTTTAGTAGAGACGGGGTTTCGCCATGTTGGGCAGGTTGGTCTTGAGCTCCTGACCTCAGGTGCTGGAATTACAGGTGTGAGCCGCCACTCCCAGCCACAAACACGCGTCTTTATTATTATTACTATTTTTTGAGACAGAGTCTCACTCTGTCGCCCAGGCTGGAGTGCAGTGGCACGATCTCTGCTCACTGCAAGCTCCGCCTCCCGGGTTCATGCCATTCTCCTGCCTCAGCCTCCTGAGTAGCTGGGACTACAGGCGCCCGCCACCACGCCCGGCTAATTTTTTGTATATTTAGTAGAGACAGGGTTTCACCATGTTAGCCAGGATGGTCACGATCTCCTGACCTCACGATCCGCCCGCCTCGGCCTCCCAAAGTGCTGGGATTAGAGGCGTGAGCCATTGCGCCCGGCCTCCGAGACCCCTCTTAGCAGAAGTGATCTGGGAGCAGGAAGCACCAGAAGGGGGGTGTCCCCAAAGCAACCCTGAAGCAAGCGTGCAGGCAACCTGAGAAGGGCTGTGGGTCTGGGCAAGCCTGTTCTTTAGGCAGCTGGAGCCTCGGTGGGCAAGAGGAACTCAACCCTCTTGGGAGCCCCTGGGCTGCTGTGGCTGTCCCAACCCAGGCACCAGGAACCCCGAATTTATCCACCAGCTGCCACCCATCATGGGTGAGGGCCGCTCCTAGGGCCAGCCCCAGCTGTGCACCTGCACCGGGAATGGCCTCAGGAAGAAGGTGACTGGCACCTGCAGGAGGACATGTTGGCTGGCACCCACCTTTTGGGGCAAGACAGGCCGAGGGGGCTGGGCGTAGTGGCTCACACCTATAGTCCCAGCACTTTGGGAGGCCGAGGCAGGAGGATCACTTGAGCCTAGGAGTTCAAGACCAGCCTGGCAATACAGTGAGGCTCCATCTCTACAAAAAACTACCCAGACGTAGTGGCATGCACCTGTGATCCCAGCTATGTGGGAGGCTGAGGCAGGAGGATCACTAGAGCCCAGGAATTGGAAGCTGCAGTGAGCTGAGATTGCGCCACTGCACTCCAGCCTGTGGGACGGAGTGAGACTCTGTCTCAAAAACAAAAAAAAAAAAAAAAAAGAAAGAAAGAAAAGGGCAGAGGGAAATCACGAGGTCAGGAGTTTGAGACCAGCTTGGCCGATATGGTGAAACCCTGTCTCTATTAAAAATACAAAAATTAGGCCAGGTGCTGTGGCTCACGCCTGTAATCCCAACACTTTGGGAGGCCAAGATGGGTGGATCACCTGAGGTCAGGAGTTAGAGACCAGCCTGGCCAACATGGTGAAACCCCATCTCTATTAAAAATACAAAAATTAGCCAGGCATGGTGGCAGGCACCTGTAGTCCAAGCTACTTGGGAGGCTGAGGCAGAAGAATCGCTTGAACCCAGGAGGCGGAGGTTGCAGTGAGCCGAGATCGTGCCACTGCACTCCAACCTGGGCGACAGAGTGAGGCTCCAGGGCAGAGGAGAAAAGAGAGGGAGAGAGGAAGGGTGGGGATCAGGATGAGGACAGGGAGAGAGACAAGCAGAGAGAGGAGAAGGCAATGTCACAGCAGCCACTAGAACCAAGACCACTGTCCCAGTTCTGTCCTCCTTTCGGTCACAGCAACCTGCCATCGGTCATTCCCTGGCCACTTGTGCCCGGTACAAACATGTCTGCCCTCCTGAGGCTGGGCCTGCTTCCTAGAGTCTGGGAGTGGAAGACATCACATGACCAGCTAGACCCCGACTCCCCAGGACCCCCTCCACCCCACCACCACAGCTCCCTGCTTGGGGCAGAGCTGAAACAACTCCCGCCCGGCCACATATGCCCTGAATCTTCCCCACAGTTGCCAGGGCCATGGTATCCAGGAGGAGCGAGCATTCGGCCCTCACTGCACTCAGCCCTTCCTGCCTTGCCCATGCCCATGAAGATGGCCTGTTTCTCCCTCCTTGATGGGGAATGAACCTGCTGGAGACGGGCGCACCTGCTCCCAAGTTCATTGAGAGTGCCAGCGAGGCGGGGGCTTGGACCCAGACCCCTGTGCGCCGGGCCTGCGCCCCTCAAACGCAGGCTCTGAGCATGTAAGCTATTTTTGTACGCACAGCGAATGTTCATTTTCCTCCTCCGAGGCAGGGCTGTTGAACCTTCTCTTCAGGTCAGGGACCCCTTAGAGAGTCTTATAAGAGCCACTTCCAGGGAAAAATCACGCTCGCTCGGCCGAGAGGGGCCCTGCACTCTGAGAGCCTGTGATTTCCTGAAGCGTGAAGTGTTTGGAGGAAGATTAGCCTCTCCCTCCTCCAGAGGCAGAGCTGGGAGGTGGAGGAGCCCAGCAGGGGGTTCAGTCCCAGGCTGTGGGAGCCCCTCGACCCCCGAATCTCCACCTCCTCCCCTGAGCCCTGCCTGGGTGACATCCTCCCAGGAACCAGGACAAATGGATCAGTCACAGGGTTCCCACTTGGCCTCCCTGGGCCTGAAACGACCCCACTCATTCTAATCTCCATCCTCCGGGCTCTTGGGAAGGTGAGAAATGTCTTCTGCCTCTGAAATCTCAGAAGAAATTATTTCCACTCCAGCAGCAGGAAACCCTTTGAGGGAAGAGACGGCTCCATCAGCAAAGATGCCACAGGATGGAATTGGCCCTGGGGCGGGGGCCTGCCCAGACTCCTCCCAGGCCAGAGAGAGGTGGGCTGGGGGACAACAAGTCCCCTCCACAGGGCCCCGGTACTGCATGAGCCGGTGAACAGGCTGCTCACGGACCAGGACCTTGTATCTGTGACCCAGCCACCAAAGGGTCCCTCAGGGCCCACACACAACCAAGCATGAACCTGGGAAATGGGAGCTCCGGCCCAGACTGAGGGGACAGGGTCATCCCCCAGCCTCACCCCAGTTCAGATCACAGCCATATGCAGAGTAAACTTGGGGTACAGGCAAGGCCCTGAGCCCTTCCCAAAGCTGAGGGGAAGTAGGTTTGGTGAGGAGATGCAGGGAAGGTTCTGGAAGGCTGGAAGCGCACCTCTTGTCTCCTGTCCTTTGGAGACAGTTTGTGGAATCTCTCTGGTAAATGTTTTTGTTTTTTTTTTTTTTCCTGAGACAGAGTCTCGTTCTGTCATCCAGGCTGGAAGGCAGTGGCACAATCTTGGCTCACTGCAACCTCCGCCTCCCTGTTTCAAGCGATTCTCATGCCTTAGCCTCCCTAGTAGCTGGGATTACAGGTGCACACCCCATCATGACCGGCTAATTTTTGTATTTTTTAGTAGAGACAGAGTTTCACAACTTTGGCCAGGCTGGTCTTGAACTCCTGATCTCAGGTGATCCTCCCACCTCGGCCTCCCAAAGTGCTGGGATTACAGGCGTGAGCCACCATGCCCAGCCTCTTTTTTTGTTTTTGTTTTTTTGTTTGTTTGTTTGTTTGTTTGAGACGGAGTCTTACTCTGTTGTCCAGGCTGGAGTGCAGTGGTGAGATCTTGGCTCACTGCAATCTCTGCCTCCCAGGTTCAAGCAATCCTCCTGCCTCAGCCTCCCAAGTAGCTGGGATTACGAGCATGTGCCACCACGCACTGCTAATTTTTGTATTTTTAGTAGAGATGAGGTTTCATCATGTTGGCCAGGCTGGTCTCGAACTCCTGACCTCAGGTGATCCACCCGCCTTGGCCTCGAACTCCTGACCTCAGGTGATCCACTCACTCTCACCTCGGCCTCCCAAAGTGCTGGGATTACAGGCTTGAGCCACCACACCTAGCCGATTCTTTTTTTTTTTTTAAGAGTTGGGGTCTCGCTCTGTCACCCAGCTGGAGTGCAGTGGTGCCATCATAGCTCGCTGCAGCCTAGACCTCCCAGGTCCAAGCGATCCTCCCACCTCAGCCTCCCAAGTAGCCAGGACCACAGGTGTACCACCACCACACCTGGCTAATGCTAATGTTTAAAATTTTCTGTAGAGACAAGGTTTTGCTCTGTCGCCCAGGCTAGAGTGCAGTGGCATGATCACAGCTCACTGTAGCCTCGAACCCCTAGGCTTCAGTGATCCTCCCATGTTGGCCTCTCAAGTAGCTGGGACTACAGATGGGCACCACCATGCTCAGCTATAGGATGAACTCCGATGGTCAGAAGGGTGAGGGGCCAGAGGCAGGACCCTCCAGGCAGAGAGACCAGCCCAAGACACAAACCTGGGAAGCGTGAGGGACCAGGTCGCAGAGGGTGGGGGCCCTAAATTAGGCCAGGGGACATACCCCACATCTTGCCCAAGAGCAGCAGAGTGCCGAAGGGCTGCCGACGGGCTGGTGGGCACACGCCCGCTGTGGCCCTGGGGCTCTGGCAGCTGAATAGGTATCTGTGCCAGCCCAGTGCCCAGACCCCAGGGCCAAGCAGATGGTCACAGAGCAGTCTCTCTTCTGTGCAAGGCCAAGCCACCACCGGGTACCAGACTTCATGTGGGGGCACTCCCGAATGACCACCCATCCTTCCATCAGCCCTGGGTGGGCTTTTGCCATTTTACAAGAAATGGGAGGCTCAGAGAGGTTGAGAAATGTGATCAAAGACACACAGCATAGCCAGGGGTTGAATCCAGGACTGCTGGGACACCAGGGGAGTGGCAGTTTACAGCAGAGCACGTGTGTGTGTGTCTATTGTTGTGAGTGTCTGTGTGAGCCTGGCAGTGGCCACGGGTGTCAGAGCCGACTCCTCCCAGCTCCAAAGACGACCGTGTGCCCTGTCCCCAACTCTGACCTCATAATGATAGCTGGAAACCGGTGGGAATGTTGACACCGTGGAAATTAGCAACTGCTACAAGTCAGAACGCTGGGCGTGTTAAACACTGACCAGTCCAGCACTGACTGACAAGTGCGTGCATCTGCGTGAGATTGAGTGTGTGTGGGTGCGTCTTTTTGTGTGTGTGTCTTTGTGTGTGTGTGTCTAGGTCTGTCCATCTGTGCGGCGCCTTTGTCTCCTGCTTTGCTCATCTGTCTATCCCTGTCTGAATCTGTGTGCACGCCTCTGTGTGTCTGAATGTGTCTGTGTGTGTCTGTGGCTGAGTGTGCTTCAGTGTGTGTGTGTCTTGCATGCATGTATATGTCTGTGTGTGTCTATGTGTGTGTCCAAGCACATATGCATTTGTGTGTGTGACAGCGTTTTGGGGGTGTGTGTGTGTGTGTGTGTCACTGTGTGCGTGTTCATGTGACTGTGTGTCCTCTCAAGCTGAAGATGATGGTTTCAACTGAAATTGAGGCTGACGCTCTCCACTACAAAGCTCAATTTGCTTGCAAATGTCCTTCAAGAGGCAGAGGAGACAGGAGCGGAGGGGGCGGGAGGCAGGAACCAGACAGAGGCAGCGACCGGCAGCAGAAATGACGTCACCAGGCAGATTCCAAGAGCGCCCCAGGACCAGTGGGGTGTCACCCACCCCTAGAGGCACTGTGGATCCTAGAGGTGACTCTTGCAGGCCCCAAACACAGCCCTTGAGAAAGCAGTCATTTGGGAGGATTCGGAGTGATAAAAATATAAAATTTGTTGCTTGCGAAAATCACTTGTGACTTAAGAGCCTGCGTCTCCCGTTGTCATGGAATTGACAATACCGTTGAGGATCAAAGGGACAAGAATGGATGAGGAGCTCTGTTTCCCACTTAACTCCTGGAAGCCTTTTCTCCCAAGCTTCGCACTCTCTCCTCCCTCTGAAGAAGACTCTAGAGGCCGTAGTGCAACCCTCCATCACTCAAAAGCTGGGACCCTCTCTGTTCTGGACAGACACCCCTTGTCAGGAAGAGCCCCTCCTCCCCCACCCCAGCCAAGTGGCTGCCATCCCGCTGCCCCACCCTCCTGGCCCCGGGCAACCATGTGACCCAAGCTGGGCCAATCAGATTCTCCCCTGGGATTTTTCACATTGAAACCAAAGGGAGAAGGGTTGGGCCCTCCCGGGAGATAAAAGTGGGTGGCTGTGTGGGTGGTGGCTGACGCCTGTAATCCCAGCACTTTGGAAGGGCGAAGTGGGAGGATCACTTGAGGTCAGGAGTTCGAGACCAGCCTGGACAATATGGCCCATCTCATAGACTTGATGGCCAAGGCCCCAAGAGGAGGCATGACTTGCCCAAGGCCATACAGTGCAGGGTGCCGGGTGATAAAGTCCCAGAGACGCTCTCTTCCTCCTGCAGGTCAAAGCACCAGAATCCAAAACGCCCTCTGCTCCTGATGGCTCAGAAGGGAGCCACCCCATCAATTATTAAATGTCCTTAAAAGCCCAAGAAAACTGAGATGGGACTGGATCAGAAGCCATCAGACCACTCACAACCTTTGGCTAAAAAGGAAAAATTAAGGCCAGGCGTGGTGGCTCACACCTGTATTTCCAACACTTTGGGAGACTGAGGTGGGTGGATCACTTGAGGTCAGGAGTTCGAGACCAGCCTGGCCAATATAGCAAAACCCAGTCTCTACTAAAAATACAAAAATTAGCCAGGCGTGGTGGTGGGCGCTTGTAATCCCAGCTACTCGGGAGGCTGAGGCAGGAGAATTGCTTGAACCCGGGATGCAGAGGTTACAGTGAGCTGAGATCGCACCACTGCACTCCAGCCTGGGCGACAAGAGCAAAACTCCATCTCAAAAAAAAAAAAAAAGGAAACATTAAGTTCATGGGGAGTTAATCCACGTATGGCACAAGGCAGGAATTCTCAGTGTTTTGGCATCCCTGGGATAACGACAAACCTCGCTTAGAACAAGATGTTGGGAGTCACAGAGTGGTTTCCAGGTAGTCCCTTTGACATCTTGGGGGAGTGGGGAGGGTACTGTGAAATGTGACTCTCACACTCACCTCAGCTGCACAGGCAAGTGCTCCAAGACTTCACAGGTGAACTTTTAGCTAAGGACAGAGTTCTTTCCCACCCTCCCCCACATGCATATTTATTTCACCCAACAAAACCTGACTTTTACACACATTTCATAAAGCAACGCGCATTCTGCATTCCCACGGAACGTTATATTGTGTGCATTGCTTCATCTCACCAGGCTTCCTTTTTAAGAACTTCCCTCTGCCCAGGCGTGGGTGGCTCATGGCTATAATCCCAGCACTTTGGGAGGCCAAGGCCAGAGGATTGCTTACGTTCTTTATGTTATTTAGCCTGGGCAACATAGTGAGACCCCATCTCTACAAAAACAAAAAATTAACCAGGCGTGGGGGTGCATGCCTGTTAGCTACTCAGGAGGCTGAGGCAGGAGGATAGCTTGAGTCCAAGAGGTCACGGCTACAGTGCAGCGAGCTATGATCGCACCACTGCACTCCAGCCTGTGCAACGGAGCGAGACCCTGACTCTTTTTTTTTTTTTTTGGAGACAGAGTCTAGCTCTGCAGCCCAGCCTGGAATGCAGTGGCAAGACCTCAACTCACTGCAACCTCCACCTCCCGGGTTCAAGCAATTCTCATACCTCAGCCTCCCAAGTAGCTGGGATTACAGATGTCCACCACCACACCCAGCTAATTTTTGTATTTTCAGTAAAGATGGAGTTTCCCTACGTTGGCCAGGCTGGTCTTGAACTCCTGACCTCAAGTGATCTGCTCACCTCGGCCTCCCAAAGTGCTGGAATTACAGGTGTGAGCCACCACGCCCAGCCATACCCTGACTCTTAAAAATGAAATAAAATAAAGTTAATGTTGTAAACATGAAATATGCTGCTCTCAAGAATTGATGTTCAGGCCGGGCATGGTGGCTCACGCCTGTAATCCCAGCACTTTGGGATCCTCCCAGCAGGACGATCACTTGAGCCCAGGAGTTCGAGACTAGCCCAGGCAATATGGTGAAAGCCCATCTCTACAAACCCCACAACAATTAGCCGCGTGTGGTGGCATGGACCTGTGGTCCTAGACACTCAGGAGGCTGAGGTGGGAGGATCGCTTGAGTCCAGGAGGTCGAGGCTGCAGTGAGCTATCATGGTGCCACTGCATTCCAGCCTGGGCAACAGAGCAAGACCCTGCCTCAAGAAAATAAAAAAAATAAAAAATAAAAAAAAGGATGCTGTAGGAGTTAGGACCAGAGAGATGTTGGGCTGTTTTAGGTGAACTTTTATGTTACTGATGATGAAGGAGAGTATCCAAGAGTGACTCTGCACACCCGAAAAACACCCTGAGTATGTCCCATCTCCTGGCAGCTCAGCACCCTTTCTGCTCCACCCCAGGGTCTACATGGTCATCCTGGGGCCACCACCTTTTATTTGATCATAAAGTTTTTTGGTGGCTCTTGCCTCTTTGAGACACCAACAGAAAACAGCAGATTGAGATCAGGGTAATTCAAGGAGGGTTATTTGCAAAGGCATGGTTCACATGAGGGAGGACAGGGGGTCAAGAATCGCCCGGCACTACGGTGACCTGGGATAGCAGAAAAAAGAGCTGTGACCGGCTGGGCGCAGTGGCTCACGCCTGTAATCCCAGCACTTTGGGAGGCCGAGGCGGGAGGATCACAAGATCAGAAGATCGAGACCATCCTGGCTAACATGGTGAAACCCCGTCTCTACTAAAAATACAAAAAATTAGCCAGGCGTGGTGGCAGGTGCCTGTAGTCCCAGCTACTCCAGAGGCTGAGGCAGGAGAATGGCGTGAACCTGGGAGGTGGAGCTTGCAGTGAGCCCAGATCATGCCACTGCACTCCAGCCTGGGTGACAGAGCGAAACTCTGTCTCAAAAAAAAAAAAAAAAAAAAACACGAAAACTATTTATTTCTTACAGTTCTAGAGGCTGGGAACTCCAAGGCTGTGGGGCTGTGTCTGGTGAGGACCTTCTTGCTAGTGGGGACTCCTCTCTGCAGAGTCCCAGGGAGGCACAGGGCATCCCATGGTGAGAGGGCTGAGCATCCTATCTCAAATCTCTCTTCTTCTTATAAGGCCACCAATCCCACTCCCATAATAACCCATAATTAATGAACGGATTACTCCATTCGAGAGGGCAGAGCCCGCATGACCCAATCAGCTCTTAAAGGCCCCACCTCTCAATACTGCCGCATTGGGGATAAATTTCAACATGAGTGTTGGAGAAGACAGACATTCAAACCATAGCAGGGCTTGTTAGTCTTTGTGGGAATCAAGGAGAATTTGATGAAATCCATCAATTCCTCTTCCTGGAAACAGGTACATCCACACTCCTTCAGTTCCAAGTGGCAGAAACGCCACTCAAACAGCTTTATGCTAAAAAGGGAATTTACTGGCCCACAGCGTAGGTGTCAGGTAAGGCTAGATCCAGGGTCTCAAGTAATGCTGCCAGGGCTCTGGCTTGATCGCTGTTCCGTTTGTCTTCATGAACTTCATTCTGCACATAGGTGCTGGGCACATGGCGGACAGGTGTCTACGGCAGCTTGATCTTATCTCCCCAAATTGAGGTGCCATAAAATAAACCCATCCAGGAAGACCTCATAAAAGTTCTAAGGAAGGCTCTGACAGGCCAGGCTCGAGCCATATGCCCTTCCCTGACCAACCTCTGTGTTCCAATGGATACTGTCCCGTGACTGGCCTCAGTGATGCTTTGGTGACTCACAGCCCTACCTCCCCCCAGGGCGGGTGGGGTGGAAGTTTCCCAAACCAATACACACTATAGCCACTTTGGGAGGCTGAGGCGGCAGATCACGAGGTCAAGAGATCGAGACCATCCTGGCCAACATGGTGAAACCCCCCCCTCCCCCACTAAAAATACAAAAATCAGCCCAGGCGTGGTGGTGCGCACCTGTAGTCCCAGCTGTTGTGTGCAGCCCTCCCCTAAGACACACAACAGCGCAGGGACCACAGGCCACCACTCACCCCTTTTCTTTGCAGGTAGAGAAATGGAGCCACAGATCAAGGTCACCCAGTGAGTGAGAAGCGAAGTCTGGAGCTGAGGCAAGTTTTTCAAATTCCTCATCCAAGGCTTTCTCTTGGAAAGCCCAAAGCTTATTAAATCCTTAAAGGGCATTATCAACGAGACGTGCATTGAGTTTCCTTAATCCTGCAAGAGGATTAGGAGAATTCAGCCAAGATAAGCTCCTTCAGGGACAAACCAGCCACCTCTCACCAACCCGTGCTCTTAGCGGGCTGGGACCAGCCCCCTCAAGGAGCCTCGACCTTGGGACCCATCCCCACCTCATCAGGCTCACAGCCCATAATTATAACAACCACAGCCATGTTCAGACAGCCCAGGAAGGCTTCCAAGGGGACTGGTGTTTTTAGAAGACAAAACAGCATGAACAAAGACATATAGTCAGAGGCTGGGTGCAGTGGCTCTTGCCTGTAATCCCAGCATTTTGGAAGGCTGAGGCAGGAGGATCACTTGAGCTCAGGAGTTTGAGACAGGGCTGGGCAACATAGTGAGACCCTGTCTCTACAAAAAATTTTTTAAATTGTGTAGCTGGGACTACAGGCATGGTGGCATATTCCTGTAGTCCCAGCTACTCAGGGAGGCTGAGGCAGGAGAATCACTTGAACCCATGAGTTTGAGGCTGCAGTGAGCTATGATTGTGCCACTGCAGTCCAGCCAGGGAAACAGAGCAAGAGCTTGTCTCTAAAAAAAAGAAGATATGGAGGCTGGAACTTGAGGTCATACCTACCCCTAAATATACAAGGCCTGGGATGAGGGCCAAACGATGAAAGGCTCACACATCATACTTAAGAGTTATAAATCAAGCGGAAAAACTGCTAGGCAAATACATTCTGTCCATACTTTTCTTTTTTTAATTTTTATTTTAGAGACAGGGTCTTGTTATGTTGTCCAGGCTGGATTCAAACTCCTAGGCTCAAGCAATCTTCCCACCTCGGCCTCCACCTGAGTAGCTGGGACTAGAGGCAGGCACCCAGCTCCTGTTTCATATCTTTCATTTTTTCTTTTTCTTTTCCTTTTTTTTTTTAATTTGAGACAGGGTCTCGCTTTTGTCATTGGGGCCAGAGTGCAGTGGTACAATTTCAGCCCACTGCAGCCTCTGCCTCCCAGGCTCAAGCAATCCTCCCTCTTCAGCCTCCCAAGTAGCTGGGACTACAGGTGCACGCCACCACGCCCGGCTAACTTTCGTATTTATTGTAGAGTTGAGGTTTCACCATGTTGCCCAGACTGTATTCAAATTCTTGGGTTCAAGCCATCCTCCCGCCTCGGCTTCCTGTGGCTCTGGGATTAGAGGTGTGAACCACGGCACTGGTCCGTGGTTGATTTCAAGGTGCCAAGATGACATCACTGGACTTGGATATGGGGAGAGAACGCAGCCGCACAGCACACTGTCATTTGGCATTTCCATCCTACAGGGTACCAGGGACGGAAATAACCCGGAGAATGCAGACCCTAGTCAAATAATTAGACAGTGATGAATTTTGAGTTTGTATTACCTTTGTATGTTTATTTCATTCCATTTTTAACAATGGCTGGCCAGGCGCGGTGGCTTATGCCTGTAATCCCAGCACTTTGGGAGGCTGAGGTGGGCAGATCACGAGGTCAAGAGATCGAGACCATCCTGGCCAACATGGTGAAACCCCGCCTCTACTAAAAATACAAAAATTAGCCAGGCATGGTGGTGCGCACCTGTAGTCCCAGCTACTCAGGAGGCTGAGGCAGGAGAATCACTTGAACCAGGGAGGCAGAGGTTGCAGTGAGCCGAGATCGCACCACTGCACTCCAGCCTGGCGACAGAGCGAGACTCCATCATAAAATAGAAAATAAAATAAAATAAAATAAATAAAATAAAATAAACAGTGGCTGAGTTTAACAACCTTCTCGCAATATTTCTTGAAAATGTGCTAATCAGCTCTCTGGAGCTGCTGGGAGCAGTTCCAGGACACAGCACAGAGCTGTTCCCTCCAGCAAAGGAGCCCATGTCCATGTCCACGTCCACTCATGGACAAGGTGACGTGCCTCAGCCTCACCAAGGGGCCCGGTGTGGCCAGCAAAGGCCCCACGTGGGTCAATTTCCACCGAGCGGCCAGATACCCCGGGCATTTTATTGATCCTATTGACCACGGCAAATGGCCGCTGGACACCAATTCAGTGCCAGCCCCGGCTCAGGGACTGCCACACGTGGTCCATGTAACTCAGAGTTATCCTGTGCCATGGTTACCCCACGTTACAGCTGAGGCCACTGAGGCTCGGTAAGACAAAGGCTTAAAGTCTTAGGTCACACGGTTAGGAGGCGGTAAGACTCAGACTAGAAACTCTTCTTCTGTCCTGACTAGGGGAGAAGGGCAAGGTGGGGGAAAGGACACCTGTCCCCAAGGAGCCACCCCTGAGGCCCAGCCTCCAGGGACACTGATAAGGAGCTGAAGAGTCCCAGGTGGGGAGGAGTAATCCTCTCTTTTTCCCTGTCTCCCTGTCTTTCTCCCCCTCCACTTCTCTCTCCCTTTCTCTCCTGTCTCCCTCTGTCTCTCCCTCTCTCTCACATCCCCTCTCTCTTTTCCTGTCTCTCCCTCCCTCTCTCTCCCTCCCCGCCATCTACCTCTTTTTTTGTTTTTTTGAGACAGAGTCTTGTTTTGTCACCCAGGCCGGAGTACAATGGCGTGATCTCAGCTCACCCCAACCTCCGCCTCCCAGGTTCAAGCGATTCTCCTGCCTCAGCCTCCTGAGTAGCTGGGATTACAGGCACGCGCCACCACGCCTGACTAGTTTTTGTATTTTTAGTAGAGATGGGGTTTCACCATATTGGTCAGGCTGGTCTCGAACTCCTGACCTCAGGTGATCCGCCTACCTCAGCCTCCCAAAGTGCTGGGATCACGGGCGCGAGCCAACGCACCCAGCCCCCGCCGCCCCTTTTTATCTCTCTGTCTCTGAAATACCCCAGTCAAGGATCCCACCCTGTGTATGGCCCACTGTGTGACCAGCTGCTTGGCAGGTCCTGGGCCGCTGCTCCCAGGGACAGGTGCCTGGCATAGGCGGGGAGGCACTCTCTCTCGATTTACTTTTCTACAGCATACATTTCTGGATTGGTGAAATATTATCTTTGTCTTTAGAGGGAACAATAAAGCTATTTTCAGCTTGGGAACAAATGAGTGCAATGGTAAATAAATCCCCAAGGCCGGTGCTGGGCAGGCCGGCGCTGTCGTCACGGTGGAGGCTGCCAGCCTTCCTTCCCGGGAAGGGCTTGGTCTCAGGGTGCGGGCACAGAAAGGATGTGTGGAGCCCAGGAGCAGAGGGGCGGGAGGGGAAAGGAGACAGGGAGCATCCTGGAGCCACGAGGCTGGACAGACCCGCAGGTTTTACGGATCCAGACACTGAGGCCCAGAGAGGGTGAGCGCCCTGCCCCAGGACACACAGCCTGCAGGTGCCTGGTCCCACTTCCTGGAGCTCTGCCGGGCACCACGGCTCCAGGGAGTGCTCCAGTGTTTTCTCAGCACTTGGGAACAGATGGCTCCAACTCTCACCCACGGACGCCAAACATTTTCCCTGGTTACCCTGCTAATTTGCTCACAGCCTCCTCTTGTAAATAGAGAGTACAAAGGCTTCTCCGAGTAGTGTGTATGCCGGGCAGACGCTGATGCCACGGGGAGAGGCCTTAGAAGGAGCACAGGAAAGTCCCAGGTAAGAACCAGGTAAGGCCAGGATCCTCGGCTGACCTGGGGGTCTTGGGAAGGACAGTGGCTCGGGGCCCAGGCAGACCTGGGTTCAGGTCTTGGCTCTGTGCTCCCTTGGAGCCCGGCTGGGAACCTTGCACTGGCCTCAGGCCCTCTGGCATCAGTTTTCTCATCTGTGAAATGGGCACGTTAATGCCAAAGGCATAAAACAGGAGCTATTATGTAGGCGCTCAGGGACTGGATGAATCTGTGGGAATCTAGCCATCCTTCCTGCCTTCATCTGGGGTCAACAGGGTGGGGGCTGCACCCTGGGCAGCATCCCTGCCTCTCCGTCCCCAACAGTAGTCCCTTCACCCAGCCCTTTTGACAAAATTCTTTCAACAACACTTATCAGGCCCTCCTCGGTACCCAGCCCTGTCACGAGGCCCAGAGAGGAGCTGATTCAAGCTTCCACACTGGGTGGCCTTGGGCAGCTGCCTTCACCTCTCTGGGCCTCATTCCCTTGAGCCTCCCACAGAGGTCACAGGGAGGATTCGATGAGACGATGTGTGCTCAGGGTGCTCAGAGTCACTCCTACCATGCAGCAGTCAGGGAAGGCTTCCTGGAGGAGGCAACACTAGTCCTTACCCCTTACAGATGCATGGGCATGATTGGGTGTGGCTGGTGCTTCCAGTGGGGGGTTGGGTGGGGAGGCACCTCATGGGCTCGAGCAGGGCCTGGGGTGCCCAGCTGCATGGAGGGGTTTGGAGCTGGCTGGAAAGGGGACTCCAGGCCGACCTCGGGTCCCTTGGGCCTCCCTCCCCTGTAACCTCGTTCACAGCAGCCCAGCTGGTAATGAAGTGCTCCTTCCAGCCGACAGCTCCTGGAGCTGGGCCAGGAGGCTCCTCCTGTCCTGGGCCTGCCTCCAGCTGCGGCCCGCAGTCCCAGAAAGACTTTACCGCACCTCTCCGGCCTGGGGTGTCCTGGGGGATGAAGCTCCAGGAGGCCACCTATGGCTTGGGGCCCCAGTCCCAGAAGCCTGGCCTGGGGCGCACCTCTCTGGTCTTCAGGAAGAGGGGCCTGGAATGAGAGTGGGGGCGTCCAGTGGGGCAGCTTAACCGGGCAGGGCTGACGGGACCGCGGCCTGGGGAGGGACCAGAATCTGCCTGGCCTCACTGTGTGACTTGGGTGAGCTCCTCTACCTCTCTGAGCCTGGGCTTCCCATCTGTCTGGGATGTCTCCCCTCCTGTAGTCACTGTGAGGTTCTGAGCAGAGGACACTCTTGGCCCAGAGCCTGGCGCGTAGCTGGTGGGTGAGCGCCAGCCCCTCCCTGTTCCTGCAGAGCCCTGCCGTTCAGCGCACACAGGCTGCCTTGCCCTCTCCAGAGAGGATCATGGGGCTTAATTTGTTGATTGAATTTGCTTGTTTGGCCCAGATGGTTGGGTCTCATTTTCTTTCTTCTTTCTTTTTTTCTTTCTTTTTTTTTGGAGCCGGAGTCTTGCTCCATCACCTGGGCTGAAGTGCAGTGGCACGATCTCGGCTCACTGCAACCTCTGCCTCCTGTGTACAAGCGATTGTCCTGCCTCAGCCTCCCGAGTACCTGGGATTACAGGCGCGCACCACCATGCCTGGCTAATTTTTGTATTTTTGGTAGGGACGGGGTTTCGCCACATTGGCCAGGCTGGTCTCAAACTCCCGACCTCAGGTGATCCACCCACCTCGGCCTCCCAAAGTCCTGAGATTACAGGCGTGAGCCACCACACCTGGCCGTGGGTCTCGTTTTCTCTTGCAAGTTTGACTCCATGGTGCCTGAATGCAGGGGAAGCAGGCGGTGTCACGTCCCGGCAAAGGCAGACATGGGGCTGACGCGGAACGGCCCAGGGACTCTGATCCTGGGGCTCAGCGAGTTTGCAAGGGGTGTTTCTGTCCACGGTCAGGCTTGCCAGCCTTGGTCCCTAGGCCCACCATAAGGTGGCCCAGTCCTGCCCCTGTCTTGGAATTGCTGAGAGCAGAAATGCAGTAATGTGTCACCATGATGATGGCTGGTGTCATGCGATCAGACCCACCATTCCTCAGTGGGACCCCCGCCTCACCACTCACCAGCTGGCTCCCTGGTCTGCAAAAGGTGGTTCGCTGGTACCCAGGTCCCTGTGCGAATGAGAGGAGCTGACGTCTATGAAAGCCACTCCCTGCACCCGGGGAGACTGAGGAGGTGGGAGGCTCTCGTCCCCCGAAAGCCCAGCCGGCCAGCCCCCTCTCCCTCTGCCTCCGCAGGGAACCGTGTCCCAAGCAGGGCCCTTCACCCCATCTCTGTCTGATCTCCACTGCGTGTACGGATTGACGGGAAAGATTCTAATGGGCTTTAAGTTAATAAGCTGGGAACGAATTAAGTTTGATCTCTGCCAGAAGCAGATGGCACAGCTGCCCGGCCTGGAACAGCCCGGCTGGAGCAGTGGCAGGCGGCAAGGGCTGGGTGGGGGTTTGCCCCACTGGGCTCTCTTTATTTTTCTCTCCTTCCCCCAACTTTTTTTTTTTTTTTTTTTTTTGAGACGGAGTCTTGCTCTGTCACTCAAGCTGGAGTAAAGAGGTATGATCTCGGCTCACAGCAACCTCTGCCTCCCGGGTTCAAGTGACTCTCCTGCCTCATGCTTCCAAGTAGCTGGGATTACAGGCACCCGCCACCACACCCTGCTGATTTTTGTATTTTTAGTAGAGGCAGGGTTTCACCATATGGGCTAGACTGGTCTCGAACTCCCGACCTCAGGTGATCCACCTGCCTTGGCCTCCCAAAGTGCTGGGATTACAGGCTGAGCCACTGTGCCCGGCCTCTCCTCCCCCCAAACATTTTATTATGTTTTATTTTAAAGAGATGGGGTCTCGCTTTGTCTCCCAGGCTGGTGTGCAGTGGTGGGATCACAGCTTACTGCAGCCTCCGCCTCATGGGCTCAAGCAATCCCCTCACCTCAGCTGCCTGAGTAGCTGGGACTACAGGAGTGGACCACCATGCCCAGATAATTTTTAAAATTTTTTTAGAGATAAGGGTGTCAGTATGTTGCCCAGGCTGGTCTCGAACTCCTGGCCTCAAGCAATCCTCCTACCTCACCTTACTATGAAATTTTTAAACATAAAAAACAGTGGAAGCTGAGCATGGTGGCTCACACCTATAATCCTAGCATTTTGGGAAGCTGAGGCGGGAGGATCGCTTGGGGCCAGGAGTTTAAGACTAGTCTAGACTACATAGCAAGAACCCCATCTCTATTTTTAAAAAAAGGGCCCGGTGCAGTGGCTCGCACCTGTAATCCCAGCGCTTTGGGAGGCCAAGGTGGGTGGAACACCTGAGAACAGGAGTTCGAGACCAGCTTGGCCAACATGGCAAAACCCCGTCTCTACTAAAAATACAAAAATTAGTCAGATGTTGTGGCACGCACCTATAATCACAGCTATTCAGGAGGCTGAGGAAGGAGAATCTCTTGAACCCAGGAGGCGGAGGTTGCAGTAAACCGAGATCGCACCACTGCACTCCAGCCTGGGTGACAGAGCAAGACTCCATCTAAAAAAAAAAAAAGAAGAACAAGAAGGCCAGGAGGTGGCAGCTCACCCTCCTGTAATCCCAGCACTTTGGGAGGCAGAGGCTGAGGTGTGAGGTTCACTTGAGGCCAGGAGTTTGAGACCAGCCAGGGCAACACAGTGAGACCTCATCTCTATTTTTTAAAAAGTGGAAAGAATTACACAGTGAAAACTCACGTGCTCACTGCCCGCATTCTGCTCTCTGCCTTTTCTGATCCCTACCTATCCATCTATGTAGCTCCCTATCCACCTGCCAATTCCAAATTTTCACGCATTTCAAAGTCAGTGGCAGACATTAGGGCACTTGGCCCTTAAACATGCATATCGTTAGCTAGAGGTCAAAATGTGGTATGGGCTTTGTTTAGTTTTGTTTTTAGGCACAGCTGATAAACAGTGAAATCTATAAACTTCTTTCTTTCTTTCTTTCTTTTTTTTTTGAGACGGAGTCTCACTCTGTCTCCCAGGCTGGAGTGCAATGGTAAGATCTCAGCTCAGTGCAACCTCCGCCTCCCAGGTTCAAGCAATTCTCCTGCCTCAGCCTCCCAAGCAGCTGGGATCACAGGCATGCACCACCACGCCCAGCTAATTTTTGTATTTTTAGTAGAGACGGGGTTTCACCGTGTTGCCCAGGCTGGTCTCAAACTCCTGAGCTCAAAGTGATCCGCCCTCCTTGGCCTCCCAAAGTGCTGGGATTGCAGGCGTGAGCCACTGCGCCCAGCAGGAAAGTAGAAATTCTTTAACCAATTTCCCCATGCCCTTTCCATTGTTCTATTTAGATTTCTTTCTTTCTGATAACAGCTTTTCTGCTTATTTATAGTTTACCAGAAAATCATTTTACCCAGTTTTTTCCTTTTTTGTTTTTTTTTTTTTGTTTTTGGCACACAGCGGAAGGTATCTTTTGTGTTTCCCTTTGCTGTTTCTGTATCCCCTAACGCTGTCATGCTGCCAGCTTTCCATATTATTCTAAATCTTCCTAACCGCATAGCCTGGTGGTGACTTCAGATTTCTCTGCAGGGTTACATATTATTTCACTGATTTCTCTGGGTTTTTCAAATATAACAATCATGTCATCTGTTCCCCATGGCGGGTAACGTAAATCGGGGACTCGTCTTGGCCAAGGGGACTATTTGCAGTGTTTGGCTCTTATGACGAACGTCTTTGTATATAAAAACTTTTCTGCATTTAGAAATATTTCCTCAGGCCAGATTTTTCTGGACCAAAAGGTAAGCATGTCTTTTAAGCCAGTTTATGTTCCAAAAGGGTTGGTCCCATTTTCAGTCCCACCAGCAACCCAGCAATGGGGAGATCTGGAAAAAAAAAAAAAAGAAAAAGAAAAGCCTTGTGGCGGGCGCGGTGGCTCATGCCTGTAATCCCAGCACTTTGGGAGGCCAAGGCAGGCAGATCACCTGAGGTCAGGAGTTTGAGACCAGTGGTGAAACCCTGTCTCTACTAAAAATACAAAAATTAACTAGGCGTGGTGGTGGGTGCCTGTAATCCCAGCTACGTGGGAGGCTGAGGCAGGAGAATCGCTTGAACTGGGGAGGCAGAGATTGCAGTGAGCTAAGATCGCACCACTGCACTCCAGCCTGGGTGACAGAGCGAGACTCTGTCTCAAAAAAAAAAGCATTGCTCCAAGGATTCCAACCCCTCACCATGGCCAACAAGACCCCCCTTGGCTGTTTCCCTTCTCCAACCTCACCTCCCTTCTCCCCGCTGTCCCTGTTCCCACAACAGTGGCCCTCCTGTTCTTGAATTAAATGAGCTGTTTCCAGACTCAGCACTTTGCATTGGCTGTTCCCTGTGCTGGGAACACCCTTCCCACTAACATTTCCATCATTCAAATCTCTCAGTTCAGATATCGCTTTCTCAGACCACCTGGATACCAAAGCCCAGCCCTGTCCCCTAGTCACGTGCTGGTGCCTGCTCCACCCCCATCTAGTCTTCCAAGCATTTGATGCTTCCGAAATTACTGTACCTGTTTATTGCCAGCACCCACCAGTTAAGTGCAACTCCAGGGGAGCAGGGACCCCTTGATGCGTCCCCTGCCTCTAGAAAATGTCTCACATGCACCTAATAATGTTTTTATTATTGATTTACTTATTTATTTTTAGAGACAGGGCTTTGCTCTATTGTCCAGGCTGGGGGGCAGTGGCACAATGATAGCTCACTGCAGCCTCCACCTCCCAGGCTAACACAATCCTCCCGCCTCAGCCTCCCGAGTAGCTGGGATTACAGGCACACACCACCATGCCCAGCTTATTTTCGCTTTTTTTTTTTTTTTTTTTTTTCTTGGTAGAGATAGAGTCTCTATGTTGCCCAGGCTGGTCTCAAACTCCTGGGCTCAAGCCATCCTCTCGCCTTGGCCTCTCAAAGTGCTGGGATTATAGGCGTGAGCCGCTGCACCTGGCCCACCAAATAATTCTTATCTGGAAACCCCACCCCCACATCCAGGACAAGGCAGGGATCCCCGTTGAAAGCTCTAGGCTTATGGGAAGCACTGGAGCTTGTGAACTTTATTTTTATTTTATTTTATTTTATTTTTTCCAGATGGAGTTTTGCTCTTGTCACCCAGGTTGGAGTGCAGTGGAGCCATCTCGACTCACTGCAACCTCTGCCTCCTGGGTTCAATCAATTCTCCCGCCTCAGCCTCCTGGGTAGCTGGGATTACAGGCGCCCACCACCACGCCCAGCTAATTTTTGTATATTTAGTAGAGACGGGGTTTCACCACGTTGGCCAGGCTGGTCTCGGGCTCCTGACCTCAGGTGATCCGCCCACCTTGGCCTCCCAATGTGCTGGGATTATAGGTGTGAGCCACTGCGCCCAGCCGTCATGAACTTTAAGATTAACTAGTTGGAGCAATGGACTGGGCCCCCCTGCAGCAGCACCCCCAACCTCCGCCCAGACAGCAGCAGAGGAAGGAGAGGGGTGTCCCGCCCTAAGAGTGCGTCAGCAGCCCCCGCCACCAGGTGATTCCATTCACCTGGGAGAAAACGGAGGCTCCCAGGTGAATGGAGTCACCTCACTCAACACTTCCTTATTCAGCTCCCAATGCAGTCTGCCCTTCAAGCAAATATTTGGCTCCTGCTGTATGCCAGCCCCTGTATGCCTCACTGCGCACTGAGGATCCAAAGAGAACGAAAGCAGGTCTCTACTTTCAGGGGGCTCCCAGTCCTTTAGAAGGGATGGGCAAGGCCTGGAGCAAAGGTGCTGACCCCATTGGTGGCGGGGCAGAAGAAACCGTGGGGGCTCCCTGGAGCGCTGACAACGGAGATGTTGCTTAAGGGGGAGAAGGAGCTGATCTGGTGGAAAGTGAAGGAAGGGCCTCAGGTAGGAGCCTGGTGGGGGCCTGGGCAGGCGCCTGTATCCATCCCACCTGGTGGCTCAGACCCGGAGGGTCTCTCCTGATTCCCATAGACAGGCCCCCACAGAGACCCAGGACAGGTGTGATTCCCACCTGGTTCCTGATTTCACCTCGAGGCTGGACCCTTCTCCCAGCCAGTAACACTCCCAGTCCCCCAGGGCTGGCTGATGTCCTATACCTGGGTCCCCTGGGCTCTGCTCAGTCTGTCCTAGAGCCAGGCTACAGGTGAGTAGAGGGAGAATAGGGCGGGGTCATGATTCCATTCACCTGGGAGAAAAACGGAGGCTCCCAGGCAAAGGGAGTCATGGGAAGCAACCTAGCCAGTTCTGATCCCAAGCTGGGAGGAGAAAGGGAGCGGGTCGAGGTAGGAACCAAGTGAGGGCAGGGCATGACTGAGGGTCGGCCACAGCCCCCACTCCTGGCTGGACTTGCTCTCCGCCCCTTCTCCAGCAGGTGAACTCCTACCCGTCCTTCGAAACTTTCAATCTGGTCACCCAGTGGCCTCGTGACTGAACCTACCCACCCACTGGCGGCGTTGCTGGCCTCCCAGGCGAGTGGATCTGTTGAGGGGGAGCAGCCTGGGCACCAAGGCTGAGGGGTGGGCAGCGGGGGTGGTGGGCTGGGTCAGCCGCAGGTCACCCGGCCCTCCCGGGGCCACCATGCCGCACCCTGGTGTGTTGGGGATCCTGATTTCAGCCTCAGCCTGGGCCTGGCGCCTGCACAGCCCAGCTGGATGGAAGGGTGGGGGGAGGGAGAAAGGAAGAAAGGAGATGGGAGCAGAGGGGAGGAGGGGGAAGATGGGGGAGAGGGGAGGGAAGAGGAAGGGGAAGGAGAGGGAGGGAGGAGGGGGAGAAAAGAGGAGGATGGAGGAGGAGTGGGGATGGTAGAAGGGAGGAGGGAGGGAAGACAGAGGGAGGACTGAGTAGGAGAATGGGGAAAGCGGAGGAGGGAGGGAGAGGGAGGAGGGGAGAGACAGGAAGGGAGGAAGAGTGAGGAGGAGAAAGGGAGGAGGGTGGAGGGGAGGGGAGAAGGGAGGAGAGCAGGAGGAGGGTAATGGAGGACTTTGGAGGAGGGGAGGGGTGGGAGGAGGGAAGGGGAGGGAAGAGAAAGGGGGAGGAGTGGGAGGGAGGAGGAGAGAAAGGGAAGGGGAAGAGAGGAGGAGTGGGGAGAATGGAGAGGAAGGGGAGAGGAGAGAGAAGAGGTGGGAGGTGGAGGAAGAGGGAGGGGAAGAGGAGGAATGGGGAGGAGGGAGAGAGGAGGTAGAAGGGGAGGGAGGAGGAGGGAGAGGGGGAAGAGAGGAGGAGGAATGGGGAGGAGGAAGAAGGGGAGGGAGAGGGAGGAGAAGAGAGGAATGGAGAGGGAGGGAAAGAGAGGAGGAATGGGGAGGAGGGGGAGGGAGGAGAGGAGGGTGAAGGGAGGAGGGAAGAGGGTGAGGAAGGGGGAGGGGAGGGGGAGGGAGGAGAGAGGAGCGAGAGGGAAGAGGGAGGAGGAGGGGGGAGGAGGAGGGAGGGGCGGGGCCGGGCGCGGGGGGCGGGCAGAGGCGGGGCGTGGTGGCCTGGGCTGTGCTCGTCGCCGCGCTCGTGGACCGGGGCCGGGCGGACTCGGGGACCGGCGGAGGACGCCGGGCGCGCCCGGCCCGAGGCTGGGGGAGCGGGGCGGCGTGGCGGGCGCGCCGAGGACCCCAGGCCGGGCCGGGCCGAGGTAAGCGGTGGCCGCGGGACGCGGGGAGACGCCGGCGGGGACCTGTCGGAGCCTTTGTCTGCGGCGCGCGCGGCTTCCCCCGCCCCCTCCCGCCCGCCCGGGCGCTGCCCCCTCTCCCCAGCCCGCCCCTGTCCCGGGAACCCGAGGCCACCCCGGCCGCGTCCTGAGCGGCCCAGCCCCCCGCGCCCGGCGACAAGCGCGGACCCGGACCCCTGGGCCCTCGCCATGGAGGGGGTCGGCGCCACCGCCTCCCTGAGCACCGCGCGGGGGTCCTCCCGCACGAAGTTCCTCCCCGGACCCCCCCGCGCCACCCCATCGCTCCCCTGCCCCCGCCGGCCCCTTCCTCGTTCTCGGAAAAAGCGGCCGGGAGAGGCGGGGCCTGGGCTCCGGGGTCACCTCGGGACGGCCCAGGGGGTCTGTCCTTTGCCTGGGGGCGCAGGTCCGCGAGCCAACTTTGCGGCTGATGAGGCCGGACAGGCGGCAGAAAGGCGCGGCGACCCGGGCCGGGGAGGGCGGTGGGCCCGGGGGGCCAGCCTGTGGCCCCTGCATGCATCGGTCCCCGGGGGGCTGCAGAAAGGGGGTGGCCGGAGGGGCTTGTAACCCACCCCCACAGGAGTTGGAGCAGCTTAGACCGCTGGGCTGCGGAAAGGGCAGCAGAGGCATCGTTAGCCCCGGTTAACGGGGACCAGGGGTGTACCAGGCATCAACTAACCAGGGCTGGTGACTGAGCCGGGAGTGCGAGCCCAGGCCCGCTTTCCAAGTGGAATTCGGTTCCCCTGGTCCTTCCTGGCTGGCCGGAGGAGCGCGGCCCCCGAGTGAGGCCAGACTGGCTTTGGGGTCCCGACGCCCAGCGCTTCCAGCTGCCCTGGGCCACTGTGCACTTCAGGCCCAGTGGAAATGGGAGGAGCCGGAGGGGGTCACTGGGCCAGGCTCCAGTCTGAGCTGCACGACCCCCCCCCCCACCCCCGACTTGGCCTCTCTGTGCCTCAGTCGCCCTCCCTGCAAAGTGGTGAGGGGCCTTGGCCAGAAGCAGTGGCTCACTCCTGTAATCTTGGTTCTGGGAGGCCGGGGCTGAGGGATCACCTGAGGCCAGGAGTTCAAGGCCAGCTTGGGCAACAGAGCAAGACCCCACCTCTACAAAAATAGAAATTAAAAAAATTAATAAATGGGGGAGAGCGGTGGGAGCCCTGCCTTGCCCATAGCAGTGTTAAGTGGCAGCTTGTGCAACTGTTGAATGCCTACTGTGTGCAGCTGAGCCTACCCCACCAGCCACCCACCCAGTCCCTGTTTGTGACGTACTCTCACCCTCTTCTTCCTCTACTGAGTTGTGAGGTGGGGAAACTGAGGCCTGAGGGGTGGCCTCAAGGCCAAAAAAATGACCTGTGTCTTCTCAAGGGCCCCCTGGGTCAGGCATCAAGGGGTCACGGCAGCGCAGAGTGGAGGAGCAGGGCCAAGCCCTGTAAACACTGGAGTTATTAAGCCAGTGTGCATGTCGTTAAATTTTAACTAAGGGGGGACAGGGCAGGAGGCCCTGGGTTGCCTTCCCTGGGGCGCAGTAGGCTTGGATGTGGGGGGCCGGGAAGGACAGAGTTGGAGGCCTGTGGCCCAGGAAAGGTGGGGGAGAGCGGCTGCAGCAGGGTCCCCACCCCCTCCACCATGGGGACAGTGGCTGGCCAAGCCGGGCAGTGTGGGTGGCAGCTGCCCACTTTGCCGACTAAGCCAGAGGGGACAGCAGCCGCCTCCTGGCTGGATGCCAAGCACGTCCGCCTTCCTGGGTGGCGTGGCCTCCGGGCAAGGCAGAAACCTCGGCTTTCTGGCCAGGAGTGTTCAGGGCACTGCACGTCCAGGGAAGCATCTTGGGGGCTCTTGCTGAACACAGACCAGGCCTTTCTGGGTTCAGATGTCCTCCTGGGCTGGGCTGGCATCCTGAGCAGGTGGCAGGAGGAGCATTTGATTGTTGTAGACTGTCACCCTGACACCATCCCCTTTCCTGGCTCTGCAGGCTGAAGAAGGGCCCCGGGGTCTCTAAGCCTTTGCTGACTCTCTGGCGCCTCCCAACGACTCTTGAGCTCAGGCTCCTGTGTCCACTTCACAGGGGAGACAGGTGTGCGGAGCCCGCCCAGAGCCACCCTCGTTCAAGCCCAGCCCAGCTCTGCTCTAAGCCCTGCTCGGCCGCCACCCCACCCCACCCCCAACCCCCCAGCTCCAGATGTGGCAGGACGGCCAGGGCTGACGAGGGGCAGTCAGGGGAGCCTTGAGCCTAGAAGGGGAGACACGCTGGGCTTCTCAGCCCCCAGAAGTCCGGGACCGCCTCTCCCCTGGTAGTGGGTACCAATTACCTGCGTTGGCCCCCAGCTGTCAGGGGCTGAATCTCCCCAGCCCCCAAGACCTGGAAATGGGAAGGCTCTGGCTTCAAAGCCCCAGTGAGGCCCCAGGCCCCCTTTTAGGCCCCAGTTAAAATTCTGTAGTGAGCTAGAAGAGGGGGACATGGGGTCACAGGGAGGTGCTTGGTAACTGATCATGAAAACCTGCCTAGAGGCTGGGAAGGGAGTAAACTGAGGCAGGGGAGCTGGAGGAAATGAGACCCAGGAGATGGGACAAGAGCAGGCAGAGGTGACATGGGTCAGCCCCAGAGAAAATCAGGATGGGCTGAGCGCAGTGGCTCATGCCTATAATCCCAGCACTTTGGGAGGCCAAGGCGAGAAGATCACTTGAGCCCAGGAGTTCAAGACCACTATGGGCAACACAGTGAGACCCCCATCTCTACAAAAAAGAAAAAAATTAGCCGGGCCTGGTGGCACACACCTGTTCCAGCTACTTAAGAGACTGAGGTGGGAGGATCACTTCAGCCTGAGAGGCAGAGGCTCCAGTGAGTTGTGATCGCGCCACTGCACTCCAGCCTTGGCAACAAAGCGAGACTCTGTCTCAGAAAAAAAAACAAAAAACAAAAAAATCAAGGTTCCTCTGGGCCTGTGGGACCCCATGGGGTGGGCTTCTTCCAGCCTTTACCACGGCTCTCCTTCATACTGGGGAAACTGAGGCACTACATTCAGCACTCAGTGCTGTGCTGTCCTCTCTGTTAGCCTCAAACTCCCTACGACGAGCACAGATCCTTTCTGCATTCAGATAAATGAATACACGTTATTAGAAAAAAATCATAGGCTGGATGTGGTGGCTCAGGCCTGTAATCCTAGCACTTTGGGAGGCCGAGGCGGGCAGATCACAAGGTCAAGAGGTCGAGACCATCCTGGCCAACATGGTGAAACGCCATCTCTACTAAAAATACAAAAATTAGCCGGGTGTGGCGGCGGGCACCTGTAGTCCCAGCTACTCGGGAGGCTGAGGCAGAAGAATCGCTGGAACCCAGGAGACGGAGGTTGCAGCGAGCCAAGATTGCTCCACTGCACTCCAGCCTGGGCGACAGAGCAAGACTCCATCTCAAAAAAAAAAAAGAAAAAAGAAAAAAATCATTTTAGGGGAAAAAGCTAGCCTGCCTCAGGCACACACAGGGCTGCCCACACAGTGCAAGCGTCTCCATCACAGATGACTTAGCTCCTTCCTTTCCTCCCGAAGGTCAGGGCTGGCAGATCCAAATTGAAGCAAGAAGCACTGAGGCAAGACCACAGGAAGAACTTCCCGCCATAAGGGTGGTTGGCCCCAGGACCAAGGGCCATCGTGGCTCAAAGTGCCACACAGACCTGGGTTGAGATCTGGGTTCTCCCACTTTCTGCCTGTGAGACCAAGGGGTTTCTCACTTTCCTCAGCTGAAAAATGAGTGATAAAGGCAGCTTCCTCCCAGAGGACACTGCAGCGCGGTGCAGGCACGCGTGAGGCTCACTCATGTCACCTGTTACTTCCAACTGCTCCCCAAGTCCTGGCATCGTACCGCCAAAGTATTCCTCCACTCCATCTATTTCTCACCGTGCCCACTGCCACCATGCAGGCCACCTTGGTTGCTCCCCGGGACAGCAGTCTCTGAGCCATTCTCCTCCCCTCTGACCCCTTCTCCCTAGATAGCAGTGAGGATGAGCACCTTGAGACACACCAGGTGAGGGCTGGGCGCAGTGGCTCAGTGGCTTACGCCTGTAACCCCCGCACTTTGGGAGGCCGAGGCAGGAGTTGGAGTTGGAGACCAGCCTGGGCAATGTAGTGAGACCCCCAACTCTACAAAAGAAATTTTTTAAAATTAGCCAGGCATGGTGTTTCGAACCTGTGGTCCCAGCTACTTGGGAGGCTGAATCAGGAGGATCCCTTGAGCCCAGGAGGTCGTGGCTGAAATGAGTGATGGTTGCACCACCATACTCCAACCTGGGTGACAGAGTGAGACCCTGTCTGAAAAAAAAAAAAAAAGAAAAAAAAGACATACCAGGTGACATTGCTTATCTGCTTAAATTAATGTCCTCTGGATGGATAGAAAGGACGGTCCCCCCAGGGGATACAGTCCCGGCCGCATGGCATCAATGTGGTGAAACTGAGGCTCAGAGAGGTTTAGGCCCTTGCCTAAGGTCACACAGCTGGGCTGAAAACCCGGGTCTTTGAACCTCACATCCAGTCCTGTTCAGGCACTTTCCTGGCTCCTTTGCAGTGAGGCATAGCTTGCTTTGGCCAACGAGTGTGACCAAAGTGACATGTGTCACTCCAGGTAGAAGCTTTATGGGTCAGTGCATGAGCCATGGATCCCTCAGCCTTCTTCCCTCACCTGCTCTCTCTGCTTTCTCCAAAGCAGAGGCTGCCATGGGCTCCGTGGGGAGCCAGCGCCTTGAGGAGCCCAGCGTGGCAGGCACACCAGACCCGGGCGTAGTGATGAGCTTCACCTTCGACAGTCACCAGCTGGAGGAGGCGGCGGAGGCGGCTCAGGGCCAGGGCCTTAGGGCCAGGGGCGTCCCAGCTTTCACGGATACTAGTAAGTAGGCGTGCGGGCAAGGTGCGGGTCTTGCCCCAAAGCAGGCTGGGCTGTGTGACCCCCAGTGAAGCCTTGCGGTATCGGGGAGCCATGGGTGGTCATGGAGGACTGGAGGCAGTGCCTGTCAGTGTGGATTAGATCTGCTGCATAACAAACACGCCCACCTTCTCAGTGTCTCCGCCCTGATGCTGCATGTCCCTGCTGGGGGCCCTGCCGACAGCCCCAGGCAGAGGAGGCTCTGTCTTAACATGGGCTTTTGTGCTCACTGGGTGGGTGAAGGGACCATGGCTCATGCGCTGACCCGTACAGCTTCTTTTTTTTTTTTTTTTTTTTTTTTTGAGACGGAGTCTCACTCTGTCACCCGGCTGGAGTGCACTGGTGCAATCTCGGCTCACTGCAAGCTCCGCCTCCTGGGTTCACGCCATTCTCCTGCCTCAGCCTCCCAAGTAGCTGGGACGGCAGGTGCCTGCCACCGTGCCCAGCTAATTTTGTGTATTTTTAGTAGAGACGGGGTTTCACCGTGGTCTCGATCTCCTGACCTCATGATCCGCCCGCCTCGGCCTCCCAAAGTGCTAGGATTACAGGCTTGAGCCACCGCGCCCGTCCGCTGACCCATAAAGCTTCTATCTGGAGTGACACATGTCACTTTGGTCACACTCGTTGGCCAAAGCAAGCTATGCCTCACTGCAAAGGAGCCAGGAAAGTGCCTGAATAGGACTGGATGTGAGGTTCAAAGACCTGGGTTTTCAGCCCAGCTGTGTGACGTTAGGCAAGGGCCTAAACCTCTCTGAGCCTTAGTTTCACCACATTGAAGAATTGGGCCAACTGACTTTGAGATCAGACTTGCAGAGTGGACAGCCCACAGGCTTGGAGTCTGACAGGCTCGGGTTCAAGCCTACCTCCCATCCTTTACCCACCAGGAGCCCCTGGTCAAGTCAGTGTTGTTCTGTGACCCTCGGTGTCTTCTTCTGGAAAAGGGAGATGATACTGTGTCAGTGTGGTTGCATCAGAATCCACAGAATCTTGCTTGGGCCTGTCCCTGGCACTCAGGAGGCACCCTGTAAGCTATAGTTCTTTTCTGGAGAGCTGCTGTTTATGCTAGTACTTTAGGCTCAGAAACCTGGGCTAAGGCTCGGCACGGTGGCTCATGCCTATAATCCCAGCACTTTGGGAGGCTGAGGCCGGAGGAACACTTGAGCCCAGGAGTTTGAGGCCGGCCTGAACAACCTGGCAAAATCTCGTCTGTACAAAAAATACAAAAATTAGCCGGGTGTGGTGGCACACGCCTGTAATCCCAGCTACTTCAGAGGCTGAGACAGGAGAATCACTTGAGCCCAGGAGGGGGTGGTCGTAGTGAGCCAAGGTCATGCCACTGCACTCCAGCCTGAGCAACGGCGAGACTCTGAAAAAAAAGAAAGAAAAAAGCAATTGGCTGACTAAAGTGGGAGCTAGTTAAGCCAGGCAGGCAGTCAGGAAGGTCATGGACAGTCTGGAACCCACGGGCAGGAGCTTCTTGGAGTCTCTGAGCTCCAGGAAGTCCCCAAGGTCTCACCTGATTAGGTCAGACCCACCCAGGGTAATTTCCCTTTTGATAAAGTTAATGGAGAAGGGACTTTAATCGCAAAACGCCTTCACAGCAGCACCAGGGCTAGGGTTGGAACTGGGGACTGTACTTCAGCTTGTCAAGGTGACCATAAACAGACCATCACGGTCCCCCCCTTGCCGGTGTGGCTCCCATAGACAGCTCCCTAAACCATGCCTCCTCTCCAGATAAAGGCAGTGACAAGGTCATACCGCCACCGAGCATGATACAAGAACCCGGTACAACCCCAGACATGCTGACCCCTTCCCCAGAAGGACAGGCAAAGGGTGTTCACTCTTCTCCTTCCATATCCTATAATTTTATTTTTTATTTTTTTGAAAACAGTCTCGTGCTCTTGCCCAGGCTGGAGTGCAGTGGCCCAACCTTGGCTCACTGCAACCTCCACCTCCTGGGGTCAAATGATTCTCCTGCCTCAGCCTCCTGAGTAGCTGGAAATATAGGCGTGCACCACCATGCCCAGCTAATTTTTTTTTTTTTTTTTTTGAGACGGAGTCTCACTCTGTCGCCCAGGTTGGAGTGCAGTGGCGCGATCTCGGCTCACTGCAAGCTCCGCTTCCTGGGTTCACGCCATTCTCCTGCCTCAGCCTCCCGAGTAGCTGGGACTACAGGCGCCCACTACCATGCCTGGCTAATTTTTTGGGTTTTTTTGTATTTTTAGTAGAGATGGGGTTTCACCGTGTTAGCCAGGATAGTCTCGATCTCCTGACCTCGTGATCCGCCCGTCTTGGCCTCCCAAAGTGCTGGGATTACAGTTGTGAGCCACGGCGCCTGGCCATTTTTTGTATTTTAGTAGAGATGGGGTTTCACCATGTTGGCCAGGCTGGTCTCGAACTCCTGAGTTCAGGTGATCTGCCCGCCTTGGCCTCCCAGAGTGCTGGGATTACAGACGTGAGCTGGTTTCCTGTCCATCAAGCTGGCAGCTGCAGTGGCTGTGAGGGCGTGGGTGTGGTGGCTGTAGCCACAGTATTTGGTGGCTTTTGATAATGGCCAGATGACAGAGGTATCTGGAACAGAGGGGAGCAGGGGTCACGGTGATGGACAGTGGCTATGGTGATGGCGGCCGGGGTGGTGGACATCGCCCTGTGCGGTGACTGTAGCCATGCGTGGAGCGTGCCCCGTCTCACCTGGTGTCTCTGGCTTTAGCATTGGACGAGCCAGTGCCCGATGACCGTTATCACGCCATCTACTTTGCGATGCTGCTGGCTGGCGTGGGCTTCCTGCTGCCATACAACAGCTTCATCACGGACGTGGACTACCTGCATCACAAGTACCCAGGTGGGTCCCTCCACGGTCACGCCCAGCCACTCAGCATCCTCCATCATGGCCTGGGGCCTCCCAGAAACCCCCGGCGGGGAGGGTCCTACACGGGGACCTGTTTTATTCAGATCTCGGCTCCACTGTGAGCTGCTGAGTGACCTCAGGGCAGCCACTCACCCTCTGTGGGCAGCGAGCCCCTTCTGGGAGGTCTCACCTGGCAGGAGTCAGTGCAGGGGGTGGGGCCTCCCTGAGCACCTGCTGTCTCTGGCCCTCTGCAGGGACCTCCATCGTGTTTGACATGAGCCTCACCTACATCTTGGTGGCACTGGCAGCTGTCCTCCTGAACAACGTCCTGGTGGAGAGACTGACCCTGCACACCAGGATCACCGCAGGTGCGCTGGGCCCCGCCACGGGACACCTGCCTGTCATGGCTTCCACCTGCCTGGCCGGTCACCCACTCACCCAGTTTCCCTGAGCCTCACTCCCCTCGTCTGTAAAATGGGCACACTTCCTAGGGCTGCCCTGAGGTCTGGTGTAAGACACCGTGGTGGGGCCTCTGTACCCCAAGTCATGTCCCTGGGCCTTGCCCAAGCTCTTCCCCACGTCCAGTGTGTTCTTCCTTTCCCATTCCTCTGCACGGCAACATCCAGCTTCAAGGCCCGGCTCAAATGGTGCCTCCTACAGGAAGCCCTCCAGGTGCCCCTGTTAGACTCGTAAAGCATCCCTGGCCCTCCTTAAAGGGGAAGGGCAGAGAAAGCCTCAGAGCGACTCTGCAGGAGGGGCGAGGAGGAGGGGGACCCCACCCAGTTGGCTCCACCACTCCCCTCACTAGCCTCTCCCCCAACAGGCTACCTCTTAGCCTTGGGCCCTCTCCTTTTTATCAGCATCTGCGACGTGTGGCTGCAGCTCTTCTCTCGGGACCAGGCCTACGCCATCAACCTGGCCGCTGTGGGCACCGTGGCCTTCGGCTGCACAGGTAGGAACCGGGGCCCAAGGGGGAGGCCTTGAGTGCCCACTTCCGACCCCATCCCACCCCAGCCCTGGTCTCCTGCTGGTGGCATGTGACATGATGGGAACCGGGCTGGCTGGGTGCCAGGTGTGTGTCCACCTGCATGCCAGCGTGCACACCGGCTCACACCCACAGGAGCCTGTGTAGTGTGTCTGCAGTGTGTGCGCAGCGTGTAGCCACAGAGACTCTGAGGCAGCCCCTGGTTTCCCTGGTATAAACAGGGCTTCAAAGACTGTTCTGCCTTTGTCACCATGTCACTGTTTATCTTGGGCAATGGCTTTGATCTGACTTTGTCACCCAGGCTAGAGTGCAGTGGCATGATCATAGCTCACTGCAGCCTCAACCTCCTGGACTCAAGCCATCCTCCCACCTCAGCCTCCTGAGTAGCTAGGACCTCAGGCACATGCCACCAAGCCTGGCTAATTTTTAAAAATTGTTTGTAGAGACGGGGATCTCTCTGTGTTGCCCAGGCTAGTCTTGAACTCTTAGCCCCAAGCAATCCTCCCACCTCGGTCTTCCAAAGTGCTGGTATTACAGGCATGAGCCATCGTGCCTGGCCTTTCAAACTTTTTTTGAAAACTAGTTTTTATTTTGCAAAAATTTCAAACCTACAGAAAGCTTGCAAGAATGATACAGTGAAGTCCCATACGAGCACTCTCTCCCCCTCTCCCTCCACCCCGTCTCTCTGTACTTAAATTTCTCCCTAAGTATATATAAATATAAAATACATATTTTCCCTTGCACCATTTGAGAGTTAGTTGTAGATGTCATCACCTTTCTTGCCTAATTACTAATACTTCAGAGTGTATTTTCTACCAGCCAAGACATTTTTTTCCTTTTTTTTTTTTTTTTTTTTTTTTTTTTGAGACAGTCTCACTCTGTCGCCCAGGCTGGAGTGCAGTGGCACCATCTCAACTCACTGCAACCTCCGCCTCCCGGGTTCAAGTGATTCTCCTGTCTCAGCCTCCCAAGTAACTGGGATTACAGGTGCCCGCCACCATGCCAGGCTAATTTTTGTATTTTTAGTAGAGACGGGGTTTCACCATGTTCCTCAGGCTGATTACGAACTCCTGACCTCAGGTGATCCGCCCACCTCAGCCTCCCAAAGTGCTGGTATTACAGGCGTGAGCCACCGCACCCCGCCCCGATAATGTTCTTTATAGCATTTTTTTTTTTCTGACCCAACATCCTCTCTAGATTCATACCTTTCCTTTAATCCGGGACGGTCCTTCACCCACCCCTGTGTTTCATGGTAGTGACATTTTGCAAGGGTCCAGGCCAGGCTTTGTAGACTTTCTTTTTTTTCTCTTTTTTTTTTTTTTTTTTTTGAGATGGAGTCTTTCTCTGTCCCCCAGGCTGGAGTGCAGAGTGCAGTGGCACGATCTCAGCTCACTGCAACCTCCGTCTCCCAGGTTCAAGGGATTCTCCTGCCTCAGCCTCCCGAGTAGCTGGGACTGCAGGCGCCCGCCACCACACCTGGCTAATTTGTGTATTTTTAGTAGAGATGGGGTTTCACCATATTGGCCAGGCTGCTCTCGAACTCCTGACCTTGTGATCTGCCTGCCTCAGCCTCCCAAAGTGCTAGGATTACAGGCGTGAGCCACTATGCCTAGCCAGCTTGGTAGACTTTCAAACTCTTTTTGACCATGACTTCCAGGAAGAAAGCAATACATTTTATATTACGGCCCTGTAAACACGTGTGTGTATTTATAAATGATGTCAAGCCTTCGTGAACTAATACTCCCAATACTACTGTTCTGTTTTGTTAAAAAACAAAAAAAATGCTGTGACTAGATTTTATTTTTTTAGAGGCAGGGTCTCACTCTGTCGCCCAGGCTGGAGTGCAGTGGTGGGATCATGGTTCACTGCAGCCTCAACCTCATGGGCTCGAGGGAGAGGCCAGGCCCCCCACATAGCTGGGATTACAGGCACAGGCCACTGCACCCAGCTAATTTTTAAAAAATTTTTGTCTCCATGCATGGTGGCTCATGCTTGTAATCCCAGCATTTTGGGAGGCTGAGGCGGACAGATCACGAGGTCAGGAGTTCGAGACCAGTCTGGCCAACATAGTGAAACCCCGTCTCTACTAAAAATACAAAAAATTAGCCGGGTGTGGTGGTGTGTGCCTGTAATCCCAGTTACTCGGGAGGCTGAGGCAGGAGAATCATGTGAACCCAGGAGGCAGAGGTTGCAGTGAGCCGAGATCGCACCACTGCACTCCAGCCCAGACGACAGTGCGAGGCTCTATCTGGAAAAAAAAAAAAATTGTAAAGACAAGATCTCACTTTGTAGTCCAGGATGGTCTTGAACTCCTAGACTCAAGCAATCCTCCCTTCTTAGCCTCTCAAAGCACTGGGATTACAGGTGTGAGCCACCATGCCCAGCCTTGACCAGAAGATTTTAGTTAGACAAAGACTGCCCCTGAGGCTACTTCCAGGGCTGGATTTGCTAGACTCCAAGGTAGGGGCCTGTGCACTTCTATTTTCCCTAGATCCTGATGGATTTCTGGCTGTATTAGTTAGGATGAGAGGGGTTATTGCTGTATAACAAATAGCCCAGAAATCTCAGTGGTTCCATAGAACAAGCCTGACTTCTCACTTTTGCTGCCTGTCTTCTCTGGAGGGTGAAGGGTGTTATGCTCCATACGGTCTCTCAGGGCCTCAGGCAGACAGTCCTCTCCCCACCCCGTAACACATGGCCTCTCCTGTCCCTGCCCATGGGAAGAAGAAAGGTTGAAAGTCCATGCAGACTTTTCACTGCCTTGCCCAGTAGTGACGTGTCATTTCTGCAGACGTTTCATCTGTCAGAGCTTGTCAATGACCCTGGCTGACCCCAAGGGTACACTGGCTGGTGTTCCTACTGCTGCGTGTCAAATCTCTCTGCCATTAGTGGTGTTAACGGCTGTTTACGCACCCTCGTCCACCAACACAGTTCTCTAGTGCATTTCTCCCAAGTTGACAGGTGATAATGGTGCCTCTGGGTTGTTCCTCTCTCTCTCTCTTAAGTGCAGCAATCCAGCTTCTACGGGTACACGGGGATGCTGCCCAAGCGGTACACGCAGGGGGTGATGACCGGGGAGAGTGAGTATCTGCAGACCCCCCGGGGAGGGGGTGCTGGGCTGCCCTGGGCTCTGGAAGCTTCTTCCCAGGGACTCCCCATGATGCTCCCCGGTCTGGGAGGGAGGCTCACAATCCCTGGGCAGACTGAGCTAGGGACAGTGATCACCATCTTTCCTGGCCTGGCTGGGGGTAGAAAAGGGGTGCACTCCCACATGGGAGGGACATGTGGGCCCACACATGTGTGTGCTGTGTTTCTGGGGTGTGTGATCCTTTGTGATCGGGGAAGCTTATGTCTCTGAGCATGTGGCTGGGTGTGTGTTTGGTAAGTCTGCGTGTGCGCGTGTGTTAGGAGGTGGGCCCCGTCCATGGCCGTGATGTCATGCACATCACACCATGCCTACAGCACCGCGCTCTCCTTGCAGCCACGGACACACAAGCCACCCCCTGGTCAGCACCCCATGTGGGTGTCTCACGGGCTTCTCAAACTCACGTCTCCTCCACCCACCCTGCCAATCACACCCACCCCTTCTCAGCAAATGGCACCCCTTTGCTCACGCCTGAACCTTACATGACATCCGGCCCTTCTCCAAGTCCTAGGTCTGTCCCCTGGCCTCCAGCCCCTGCAGAGGGGCAGCACTGGCCCCGGGTACCGGCACTGTGTGCGTGGAAGCCCCTCCCTCTCAGGGTTCCCAATCTTCCTTCTGTGCCTGGACTGGCCCGGGGTCAGTGCTGCCCAGGCAGGAAGCGGAAGCCCAGGTCAAGACCCACTTGGCCCTGGCTCGTTTCTCCCCTTGGGGGCGTTCTGCAACCCTCTGCCTGGTGCTGAGGTCCACCAGATGCCCCAGAGCTTCCAGACTCCCACGTGGGAGGTCCTGGTTCCTGTCGCTGGCAGGTAGATTTTGTGGTGTGGCCGAGCGAGAGAGGGTGCAGAATTGTGCCGGCACACTGATGTCGCGTGGTTTATGGAGTCAAGGGCCGCGCAGAAAAGACATGCTCAGAGCCCTGTCCACCCTCACGGGGTGGCCCACCATGGCCCACCATGGCCCTGACCCACCCTGCCTCACACTGGGCAGTGGCGCATGGTCACGCGAAGAAAAAACCCACAGCCTGCCCACCCCAAGGCCCTCCCTCCCGGCCTCGTGACCCTAATGGCGGCTTCCAGCGCCTCAAACATGAGCACTGAGCTCACAGCAGCCCCTGGCCAGGAACACCCGTCCCCAGGCTGCACTCCCGGCCCTGTCCTGCAGACCTCCGCGTCAAAGGTCCCCATCGGGACAGGGGCCCTCTAACTGCCCCCCACCTCTGCGCGCCCTCTGTTCCATTCCTTTCTGCCCCCTGCCTGAATCACGCACCATCTTGTTGCATCCATCCTCTTCCCACCCTGCGCCCGTGTGTCATCGTGGCCCTACTGCGTCCTCAGAGCAGGAGGGTGCAGCGACACGGCAGGCACTGGGTAAATGCCCCATGGTGGGGGTGTGTGAGCGGCGTCGGGGTGGGGCTGCTGTGAGGGGCAGCTCCTCTTGTGGCTGGGGCGGAGCTGGGGGCACCCGGAGTTGGGGCGGGAGAGACGGGACTCAGGACTTAGAGGGAGCGGCAGGGGGTGGGGCTGGGAAGGGAGGTGGGGTGGGGAGTGAGGGAGCGGGTGGGACGGGGCTGGGTGGGGTCAAGCTGAGTCGGGGGGTGGGGTGGGATGCAGCTGGGCGTGGCTGAGTGGGGGCGGAGCTGAGTGGGGGCGGGAGGCAGCTGGGCCACTCATTGTAGGAATTGCTGGAAGGGGCTGGTGGAGCAGGTCTGGTTGCGGGAGTGGGGTGGTGGCAGTGGGCGGGGCCGGCGGTGATGGGCGGGGCCTGTGGGTGGGGGCAGGGCCTGTGGTGGAGGGCGGGGCCTGTGGGTGGGGGCAGGGCCTGTGGTGGAGGGCGGGGCCGGTGGGGAGGGGTCTGTGTGTGGACGGGGCTGGGGCGGGACGGGGCGGTGCAGGGAGCTGGGCGGATCAGGCCCCGGCCCACTGTGCACGCCCCCCAGGCACGGCGGGCGTGATGATCTCTCTGAGCCGCATCCTCACGAAGCTGCTGCTGCCCGACGAGCGCGCCAGCACGCTCATCTTCTTCCTGGTGTCGGTGGCGCTGGAGCTGCTGTGTTTCCTGCTGCACCTGTTAGTGCGGCGCAGCCGCTTCGTGCTCTTCTATACCACACGGCCGCGTGACAGCCACCGGGGCAGGCCAGGCCTGGGCAGGGGCTATGGCTACCGCGTGCACCACGACGTTGTCGCCGGGGACGTCCACTTCGTAAGTGCGCACCGCCCACCTCTGTTCCCTTCTCTGTCCCCTTCTCTGTCCCCACCGCTTCGTCGGGAAGTACCTGGGGCCCAGCCTCTCACCTGCATCCCAGACTGTGGTCTCCTCCTGTGGTGGAGACTCCTTCCTGCCAGCCTCCTTTATTCTGTGTACTCTTACTGATGTGGCTTCTTACTGGCACCCCACGTCTCGTGGCCTAAGGCCCCACTCCACCCGCATCTGTGGTCCGGGGATCTGCCCAGCTGCTGTGCCCCACGGCGTGGGGCGTGCATGGCCCCTGTCCTTAGTGACACTCCACATGATGTACACTAAAGTTTCCATCCCTGGGACAGCCCACGTTCATTCTGAGGGTCTCAGCCCTCCTGGCTGCGCCAACCCACGTTGGAGAGTCCTCCTGCAGGCTCAGCCTGGCAGCAAACTCTCTAGGAAGCTCACAGCCTTCCTCCCTAGAGTCGGGACGCCAGGAGGGAAGTCAGGGCTCAGGGATAACCCTGGTTTCCCTGAGGGAATGTGGCGGGGCCCCCAGAATTTCCCACAGAAGTCGCCAGCCAGGAAAGGGAGTGGTCTCCCAGGTGGGGATAGGCGGAGAGGGAGGGCCAGGGGCTTGGTTCTGTGGCCCCTGGCTCTGCTGGGCTTCCCTGTCATAGCACAGAGGCACTGCCCCTACGGGGTCCCCAGCACAGACAGCCCCTGCCAGGAGGTGCCCTATCCCACCATCCCTGGGCAGGCAGACGTCCTTGGGGGGCTGGGGTGCCTTCTGGTGGCAGCAGCACTGCACAGCCCCCCAGGCTCAGGGCCGGCAGCTGTACAGGCTTGGGGACACCTGCAGGGTGAGGTCAGGAGTGCCAGGCCATGCAGAGGCGGGGCGAGGGAGCCATTGGTCCTCGTTCCTGAGGGTCGGGAACCAGAATGGTCATGCAGGCCTTGATCCAGTGAGTCACCTGGGCCCTTGGCTGGGGACGCTGAAGTGAGCCAGAAACACCATCCCCAGGGGAGCCCCCAGACCCAGAGAGGGGCCCAGGATGGAAGGGGACAAGCCAGGGCAGGGGTGCGTCCCTCTCATGGTCAGGGAAGTTCCCTGAGGGGCTTTTGGGCTAAGACCTGACCCACAGGAAGCGTGTTGGGGCAGAGGGAAAAGCGTGTGCGGTGGGTCAGAGGCTGGGAGGAGCTCCGTGTGTTTGGAGGAGGGGAAAAGCAGAGAGGTCATAGGGGACCAGATGCTCTGGTTGGTTTGGTCAGAGGCTGGTAGAGGGTTCACAGGAATGATGAGATGGAATTTGCTGCATCAGAAGTGTGAGAGAGAGCCAGGCGCAGTGGCTCACACCTGCAATCCCAGCTATACAGGAGGCCAAGGTGGGAGGATCGCTTGAGCCCAAGAGTTTGAGATCAGCCTGGGCAACATAGCAAGACCCTGTGTCTACAAAAAAGAAAACGGCAAAAAAGATTGGCCTGGGTGATGGCGCATGGCTGTAGTCCCTGTTACTTGGGAGGCTGAGGTGGGAGGATTGCCTGAGCCCAGGAAGTTGAGGCTGCAGTGAGCTGTGACTGCACCACTGCACTCCAGCCTCGGCAACAGAGCAAGACCCTCTCTCTAAAACAAGAAAGAAATGTGAAGTGAGAGACCTTGATAAAGTGGAGGAGGGGTGTCTGCACACAGTAGGTACCACCTGAATGTCAGCGCCAGCCCCAGTGCGGCTCTTCTGATTGGGCCTGGATTCCTGGCCCGTGTCTCCTGTCCTCCCTTCCACTCCAACCCCATCCCACTCCATCCTCCCTCCAGGAGCACCCAGCCCCGGCCCTGGCCCCCAACGAGTCCCCAAAGGACAGCCCAGCCCACGAGGTGACCGGCAGCGGCGGGGCCTACATGCGCTTTGATGTGCCGCGGCCAAGGGTCCAGCGCAGCTGGCCCACCTTCAGAGGTGAGTGCGGGGAGTCCTCTGCTGCCCTGGCTCTGGCACCCAGGCAGGGGGTGGGGGAGGCAGGCAGGGGTCCCCGTGGGCGCTGCCTCTGACCCCCGCCCGCCACCCTCCAGCCCTGTTACTGCACCGCTACGTGGTGGCGCGGGTGATCTGGGCCGACATGCTCTCCATCGCCGTGACCTACTTCATCACGCTGTGCCTGTTCCCCGGCCTCGAGTCTGAGATCCGCCACTGCATCCTGGGCGAGTGGCTGCCCATCCTCATCATGGCTGTGTTCAACCTGTCAGACTTCGTGGGCAAGGTGGGCTGCCTGCCCTGCCCGGTGTCGGGGGACGCCATGGGGTGGGGGTGACAAGGGAGGCCCTGGCCTATCCGGGAAGGGTTCTGAGTGAAGGATGCATGTGGCTCCCAGGTGGAAAGGGCAAGAGCTGTGCAGTGGCGCCATCCTGGACAGTGTCCTCTGGAGGGCGGCCCTGGCCTGATCCCACTGGGGCGCTCCGGAGTGTCAGCTGCATCTGGGAGGACAGGCGTGGCCCTCACCCTCTCGCCTCACGATCACAGGTCCCCTGGGGATGAGCACAGGAGGATGCCCCAGAGGGGACTCAGAGAAGGCAGGGACACTCAGAAATGGCTCAAAGAAATGGCCAGGTGCAGTGGCTTATGCCTGTAATCCTAGCACTTCAGGAGGCCAGAGATGGGTAGATCACTTGAGGCCAGGAGTTCTAGACCAACCTTGCCAACATGGTGAAACCCCGTGTCTACTGAAAATACAAAAATTAAATGGACGTGGTGGAGCGTGCCTATAATCGCAGCTACTTGGGAAGCTGAGGCAGGAGAATCGCTTGAACCCAGGAGGTGGAGGGTGTAGTGAGCCGAGATCGTGCCACTGCACTCCAGCCTGGGTGACAGCACGAGACTCTGTCTCAAAAAAACAAGCAAACGAACAAAAAAATCACTCAGCCAGCCGTGGTGGTGCGTGCCTATGGTCCCAGCTAGTCGGGAGGCTGAGGTGGGAGGATGGCTTGAGCCCGGGAGTTTGAGGCTGCAGTGAGCCACCATCGTGTCACTGCACTCCAGCTTGGGGGATAGACCGATACACTGACTCTAAGGGAAAAAAATGTAAGTGGAATTTGGGGGGCTTTTAGAGGGGTGATCCGGAGAAGGGCAGGGGTGCAGGCTGAGCTGGACAGGCCCAGGAGTGTTTAGGGATGGGGATGTGGCTAGAGGCTGTCGGGGGTGTGAGGCGAGTGGGGCTGTGGCCGGGACAGGGCGCCCACTTGCCTGGCTCTCTGCAGATCCTGGCAGCCCTGCCCGTGGACTGGCGGGGCACCCACCTGCTGGCCTGCTCCTGCCTGCGTGTGGTCTTCATCCCCCTCTTCATCCTGTGCGTCTACCCCAGCGGCATGCCCGCCCTCCGTCACCCCGCCTGGCCCTGCATCTTCTCACTGCTCATGGGCATCAGCAACGGCTACTTCGGCAGCGTGCCCATGATCCTGGCGGCAGGCAAAGTGAGCCCCAAGCAGCGGGAGCTGGCAGGTGAGGCCCGCGGGACGTGGGGGTGGGGGCGTCCTCCCAGCAGCGCAATGCCCCCCTCGCGAGGAAACCCAGGCTAGACCGCAGGAAGGTGCATTTGGGTTCCGGGGGTTCAGAACAGTCAGTGTCTGGGAGGCCGTAGGTGTGGGGACATTCTCAGCCACTTCATTCACTCATTTATTCGTTCGTTCATCCCACAACTACTTGGTGAGCCCCTCCTGTGGACCAAGTGCTTTTCAAGGCACCGGGGACACAGTGGCGACAAAACGGCGCTCCCCGTGCTGTGGGACTGACTGTCCAGATGTGGAGGCAGCCCAGGCCGGGCACAGTGGCTCGTACCTGCAATCCCAGCACTTTGGAAGGGCAAAGCGGGTGGATCACTTGAGCCCAGGAGTTAAAGACCAGCCTGGGCAACACAGTGAGAGCCTCTCCTCTCTACAAAAATGTTTAAAAAATTAGCTGGGTATGGTAGCGTGCGCCTATGGTCCCAGCTACTCGGGAGGCTGAGATGGGAGGATCACTTGAGCCCAGGAGTTGGAGGTTGCAGCTGTGATCACGCCACTGCACTCCAGCCTGGGTGACAGAGCAAGATCCTGTCTGGGGAAAAAAAAAAAAAAAATCCCAGATCGGCGTGACTGGTTGAATGGCAGTAAGTCCTATGGGGAAAAATAAAGCAGAGAAACAGGAGTGATGGGATGGGAGAGTCAGGCTCGGGAGCCAGCAGTGTAAATGGAGCAATCTGGGAAGACCTCACTGAGGAGGTGACTTGTGAGCAAAGACCTGGAGGAGGTAGCAAGGGAGATAGCCATGTGAGGATGCAAGGGAAAGGCATCCAGGAAGAGGGAGCAGCATGTGCAAAGATCCTGCGGCACTGAGGCCAGGGGATGGAGCAGAAGAGGAACGGGGTTTGATGGTTGATAAAGCATCCCTCCAGCTGCCGTGGGCATGGAGGTGAGTGAGGAGCTACTTCACCAGTCCAGGCCCTTGAGAATGGGGCTCAGACCTGGAGGAGGTCAACGTGGCACTGGGAGGTGCCGGATTCCAGGTCTTGTTTGGACGGCAGCCCACAGGACCGGCTGATGGGTTGAGAGGTAGGGTGTGGGAGAGGGAAGGGGGCTCCAGGTTTGGGGTCCACTGCTCAAGGCAAGAAGGCTGGCACTGGCACAGACTGAGATGGGAAGAGGCCTCGTTGGGAGGGGTTGGGGTTGGGTTTGGGACTTGGTACGTTCCAGGTGCCCATGGGACATCCCAAATTGTTCCTGATAGGGAGGAAGCTGCAAGTCGGAGAGTGGAGATTTTTTTTTCTTTTTAGATGGAGTCTTGCTCTGTTCCCCAGGCTGGAGTGCAGTGGCACGATCTCAGCTCACTGCAACCTCTGCCTCGCAGGTTCAAGCAATTCTCATGCCTCAGCCTCCTGAGTAGCTGGGATTATGGATGCCCCCCACCATACCTGGCGAATGTTTGTATTTTTAGTAGAGGTGAGATTTCACCATCTTGGCCAGGCTGGTCTCGAACTCCTAACCTCAGGTGATCTGCCTGCCTCAGCCTCCCAAAGTGCTGGGATTATAGGTGTCAGCCACCATACCTGGCTGAGACTGGAGATTAAAATGGGGAGGGTTAGGGCCAGGCTCACTGGCTCAGGACGGTGTTTTGGGAGGCCAAGGTAGGACTATCACTTGGGACCAGCCTGGGCAGTATAGCAAGACGGAGTCTCTACAAAAAAATTTTTTTAGGTTAGCCAGGCACGGTGGTGCATGCCTGTGGTCCCAGGTACTCGGGAGGCTGAAGTGGGAGGATCGCGTGAGCCCAGGAGGTCAAGGCTGCAGGAAGCTATGGTTGTACCACTGCACTCCGGTCTGGGCAACAGAGCAAGACCTTGTCTTTAAATTTTAAAAATGGGGGCTTGGGGGACTCAGAGAAGGCAGGCAAGGCCTGGAGTGCATAGCAGATGGCCTCGGGAAGAAGGAATGAGGAAGGACAGGATCCGGAGAGGGTGCTCCCAGGAGGAGCGATGGGGCAGCGGGTCCTGGAGGGGCGGCACGGTTCAGGCGGGTGTCACCGCACCTCACACCCGAGCAGCCGTGGCCACCAGGTGGCCGCCCTGGCCCTGCTCCCCTCAGGCTGGTGTTGTCCACAGGGAACACCATGACCGTGTCCTACATGTCAGGGCTGACGCTGGGGTCCGCCGTGGCCTACTGCACCTACAGCCTCACCCGCGACGCTCACGGCAGCTGCCTGCACGCCTCCACCGCCAATGGTTCCATCCTCGCAGGCCTCTGAGCCAGCCCCGCCCACTGCCAGGGACGCCGAGGGCCTGACCAGGGGCCCCGAGGCCTGAGGGCCCCTCCCCTGTCCCCACCTCAGTGCCTGCGGGGCCCTGAGCCTCCCCCTGTGCCAGCAGCCCCACTCCCTCAGGGTCCAGCCATGCCCCACCCTGGACTGAAGTTCTGCAAAGTCCTCCGAGGACCGGAACACGTTTCTGCGACCCGGGGCTCTGGCCAGCACTGTGTTCTGCGTTTGGTCTCATACCTGCGTCTACCTTCCATCTGTGTCCAGCGGCCCCGGCTCCAGCCCAGCCAGCACTCTGCAGGGTCACACGCACCGTGTCCCCACCCAGGACAGCAGACACCCGCCAGAGTGTGCGCGCCCAGTGACTGCACCCCGGCCCTCATCACCCACCGGCACTGATCGGGGCACCGCCTGGCCCAGCCTCCACCAGGGACCCCTCCTCATGAACTCTGGAGCCCTGAGAGGAGAGGGGCAGCCCCCCACCTTGTCACCCTCAGGGCTTCCCCTTCTGTCCTCATTCTTAGAGACTGCTTCTCCCAAACATAACGCGTTAGCCATGAAGGAGTCGGAGCCCTGGGTCCGAATGGACCCGCCTGCGGTCTGCATCAGCCTCTGGGAAACCACAGCAGTGATGCCAGCTGGGCACGTCAGGACCTCCCCACACACCCACACGATGCCACAGGTCAGGGGGCTGTGCCTGACTAGGGAGCCCTCCCATTGCCTTCCTGGCCCGGGATAGAAGAGGGGAGGTAAGTCTGGGGGCTACGAAGCCGGGCCCCCACACCCTGGCTGAAGTCAGCTTGACCTAGGTCTTGACCCTCATCCAGCAAGGGACTCGACAGACCCAAGGGTCCCTGGAACGTAGGGAGGGGCTGGGGGTCAGTCCAGCCCGGGCCTCCCAGAACACCAGGCCCGTGTGGGTGGCACCCTGAGGTCAGGGGATCCTAAGGGTGTCCTTCCAGAGACGGTGTTTCCAGGGGGAGGACCGCCCCCGCTTCCAGATCCCCGGCCCCGGCTGTGACTGCCCTGTTTCACCCCTGCTGTGTCCCATCCCCCGTCTGTCCACTAACTGTACCGCACCGGCCATTAAAAGATGAAGGCAGACCGCTGCACCGCCGCCTGCAAGCAGAGTTTGTGCGTGGACGGGGGCTGGGACTGCCATCTCGGGATACCGGTGGAACTCGGGCTGCCCCGCATAAGCCGGTCCTCAGTCTTCCCATCTGTGAGGTGGGCCGGGTGGATCAGGGAGCAGGAGGGTGTCCTCACACTGGGTAGGCTTGGTTTGTGGGCAGCGCTGGGTAGTGGGGTGAGAGCTGGGAGCACTTAGGGTTTGTCGCTCACCTTGACCGCCCGCCCCCCCCACCCCTTCGTGAGGATCAGGGAGGATGGCCACATGCAGCCCATTTGAAGGGGAAACAAAGTGGGCGGGGCTTGGCCCCTGCCCCTCAGGGACTGCACTGCATCCTAGGAGTCAGAGCCTCCTGGCTTCGAGCCTCATCCCTTTTGCTGATTTGTGCAATTTGGACAAAATCCTGCACTGTTCTGTGCCTCATTTCTTTCTTTTTTTATTTTTTTTTTGAGACTGAGTCTTGCTCTTGTCACCCAGGCTGGAGTGCAGTGGCACGATCTTGGCTCACTGCAATCTCTGCCTTCCAGGTTCAAGCGATTCTCCTGCCTCAGCCTCTCAAGTAGCTGGGATTACAGGTACGCACCACCACACCTGGCTAATTTGTCTTGTGGAGACCGGGTTTCACCATGTTGGCCATGCTGGTCTCGAACTCCTGATCTCAAGTGATCCATCTGTCTCATCCTCCCAAAGTGTTGGGATTACAGGTGTGAGCCACTGCACCCGTCCTGTGCCTCATTTTTGTTTTTTCTTTCTTTACAAGACAGGCTCTCGCTCTGTCACTGAGGCTGGAGTGCAGTGGTGCCATCATAGCTCACTGCAGCCTCCACCTCCTGGGCTCCAGTGATCCTCCCACCTCAGCCTCCCAAATAGCTGTGAATACAGGCGCGTGCCACCACGTCTGGCCAGATTCTTTTATTTTGTGTAGAGATGGGGTCTTGCTGTTGCCCAGACTGGTCTCAAAGTCTGGGCCTCAAGTGTTCCCCCTGCCTTGGCCTCCCAAAGTGCCAGGATTACAGGTATGAGTCACTGCGCCTGGCCTGTTCTGTCCTTAGCTTCCCCAAGGAATGGGGCTGGTCCAGGTTTTGATGTGGGTCCCGTAAAGGAGGGCACGAGGGCCACCTATGCTCTGGCAGGCATCCTCCCTGGGGCCCAGGTGGGCGGCCACTTGGGCCAAGACTGCGCCAGGTGACACCAGAGTGTTTCCCAGAGCCCATGCCGGGCCCTTCCCTTGCCCGAGGCCGGCTGGCTGCCCTCCATGGGTTACCCTCTTTGCAAAGCCCCGAATGTCCTCTGCAGGCCACCCACACTAACCAGGTCAGTCACTGGGCAGCCAGACCCCCACCTATAGCTTCCCTAGGCCCCAGTGCAGAGATGCCGTCCACCCCCATCTAGGTGAGGGCTTGGGGCCACTCTTAGCATTAGTATCATTTTCTTCTAGTATCATTTTGTGGTAGGCATGGCTGGAAATGTGCAGCTTTGCTTTTTTTTTTTTTTTTTTTGGAGGAGTTTCGCTTTTGTTGCCCAGGCTGGAGTGCAATGGCTCGATTTCAGCTCACTGCAACCTCTGCCTGCCGGGTTCAAGCGATTCTCCTGCCTCAGCCTCCCGAGTAGCTGGGATTACAGGCATGTGCCACCATGCCCGGCTAATTTTGTGCTTTTAGTAGAGACGAGGTTTCTCCATGTTGGTCAGGCTGGTCTTGAACTCCCGACCTCAGGTGATCCACCTGCCTCAGCCTCCCAAAGTGCTGGGATTACAGGCATGAGCCACCATGCCTGGCACTGGTTTTTTGAGATGGAATCTCGTTATGTCACCCCAGCTGGAGGGCAGTGGCACGATCTCAGCTCACTGTAACCTTTGCCGTGGGTTCAAGCGATTCTCCTGCCTCAGCCTCCCAAGTAGCTGGGATTACAGGCACGCTCCACCACACCCGGCTAATTTTTTTGTATTTTTAGTAGAGATGGGGTTTCACCATATTGGCCAGGCTGGTCTTGAACTCCTGACCTCAAGTGATCCGCCTCCCTTGGCCTCCCAAAGTGCTGGGATTACAGGCGTGAGCCACCGTGCCCATCCAACTTAACTTTTAATTTTTTCTCATGTAAATTTGTTCAATTTCTTTTTTTTTTTTTTTTTTTTTTTTTGAGACAATCTCTGTCACCCCCAGGCCAGAGTGCAGTGGTGCGATCTCAACTCACTGCAACCTCCACCCGCCGGGTCCCTGTGATTTTCCCACCTCAGCCTCCCGAGTAGCTGGGATTACAGGTGTGGGCCACCACACCCGGCTAATTTTTGTATTTTTAGTAGAGACGGGGTTTCACCACATTGCTCAGGCTGGTCTGAAACTCCTGGCCTGAAGTGATCCTCCCGCCTCGGCCTCCTAAAGTGCTGGGATTACAGGCACGCTCTACCACACCTGGCTAATTTTTTTTTGTATTTTTAGTAGAGATGGGGTTTCACCATATTGGCCAGGCTGGTCTCGAACTCCTGACTTCAAGTGATCCGCCTGCCTTGGCCTCCCAAAGTGCTGGCATTACAGGCGTGAGCCACTGTGCCCAGCCGATGAGCTCATTTAGATGGCTGCATGGGGTCACCGCCCCTGCACGCGTGGCACCCAACTTCTTCCAGTCGAATCCTGCTTCTTGGTGCCCTGATATGGCAGAATGCCCCCAGACACCACCCCTACTCCAGCCCCTGAAATAAACCACTCCAGACAATTTTATTTTTCCAATTAAATCTTTTCTTTTTTTTTATGAAAAAAGATCACACAGAATTTGCCAACAAACAAAATTCCAAAAGAAACATAAAAAAAAAAACCAATAATTCCCCCAAAAAACAAACCCAAAGTCTGGCTTTTCCTTCCCTCAAGATTGTCTGGTTGAGGCCTTGGTTTCCCTTGAAGGCTTGGGGCCTGGTTAAGTGCTTTCTGGGGCCCAAGCAGGGACCCTGGGCTTGGGCCGGCTCCTGCCTCTCCCTCTTCTCTCCCTAACAAACACTTCTCTATCCTGGGGGGTGAGTACAGTACACTTGGTGGGGTGGGCGGGGGGTGTGCTGGGGACTGGGAGGCCGGTGAAGCCGGTGCTAGACACTATAATCTAACAGGAAATAAAAAATAATATTCTGCACGTCAGAATGTTTTTTTTTATAATTTCATAGCTATTTTTCACAGTTTTAAAAAGTTTATATATATATTTATATATATTTATCTTTATATATATAATTAAAAAGTTGACTCCATTTAAAGGCTTATGATACAGGGGCGGGGCGAGTCTCTTGGTACAATAAAACTGTACAGGTTAAGAAGTGCCACCTCCCTCCTGGGTGGGGAGGGGCCAGGCGTGGCCGGGCGACAGTTTCAGCACCATTGGGGTTTTCTGTAGTGTGAGGGTTTGGACCAGGGTGGGCCTGTGCCGGGCCCTCTCCACCTGGTGCCTTTGACAGACACTCCGGGCTGCAACCCCACCCGGCTCTGTTCCCCAAGTCTAGGCCATCCTGAGAGGGTGGGGGCAGGGCCCCTGGCACAGTCAGGTAGGCCAGCTGGCATCGGGCTGCCCTGTCCCATGCACGGTGGGAGGCCTTGGGGTGGGCTCCATGCTAAGGGTGCTTGGGAAGCCCAGAGTGAGCGTCAGTTTGGTTCCTTAGAAGCGCCCCTCCCCACCGAATCCCCAGTCTGCATGGACCTGGGGGCACCCGGGCCCCCACGCAGCAGCAGCCTGGAGGGCCGGCCTGGCCAAGTGCTTGCAACGTGCTGGGCAGGAAGGGCCGGTCCGGCCATACCCTGATAGCTAAGAGGGGCCCCTGTCCTGGGGGCACTGAGGGGTTGGAAGGTGGGGCTGGAGGCATGTGCACATGCGTGCACACACGTGCATGCACACACACTCACCCGGGCATCCACGTGCACACCTGGCCCCATGCACACGCCTGCAGGAGCGCTCGCATGCACACAACGCACGTGGTCTCCGCGCCATGGCAGTGATGGAGATGGGTCCCTGGCCGCCCTCGGGGCACAGGTGGCCCGCAGGGCCCGGCGGGCTCAGCAGAGCACGGGCACGCCGTCCGTGGAGAAGATCATGCCCGTGGTGGGCTCGTAGGTGCCCGCGAGGTAGTACAGGCCCTCGCTGTCCTGGTACTTCTTGGTCTTCAGCATCTGCTCATACTGCTCCAGGCCCACCACCAGGCACTTGTGCGACACCGTCTGCACGTCATTTTCGTCCACATGCGAGGACTGGTATAGCGCGCGCTGCGGGCACGCGGGGATATCAGGATGGCAGGTGGGGGGCACAGAGGCCGAGGGAGCCCCAGGGAGCCACAGGGACAGAGACAGAAGCAGAGGGAGCCCCAGGGACTGAGACAGAGACCAAGTCAGAGACAGAGGCTGAGTAAGAGACAGACCAACAAAAGAGAGACAGAGACCGAGAGATGGAGAGCAAATGAGAGACAAGGATAGACAGACCAAGAGATCCAAAGACGCAGAGAGACAGAGACCGAGATCGAGAGAGACCCAGAGAGACACAGAGACTGAAAGATAGAGGTTGGGAGAGACCCAGAGAGAGTCAGAGGGCAAGAATGGCCAGAGACTCAGAGACAGACACTGGGAGAGCAGAGAAGACCCAGAGACAGACGCACAGACCAGAGAGACAGAGAACAGGAGCCAGGCACTGAGAGTGGCAGGGACAGGAGGTCAGAGGCTGAGGGAGACCATGGGGGACAGAGCAGCAGATGCTGAGCCGGGCCCTGTCTGAGCTGCCCGGAAGGAAGCAGCCATCCCCAACCCGCCCACCACCACCACCACCACCACCTACCTCCATGAAGTCCTTCCTCTGGCTGGAGACCCGCAGGGCCGCCGGGAGGCTGCGGCTGGACTTCTGGTCCCAGTGCTGTGTGGGGGAGAGAGGAGGGGCTTGGGTGAGCCCGGGGGCTGCTGCACCCGACCCCAGGCCCCAGGACAGGGCTGACCCACTGGGCAGGGCTGCTGATGCTCCAGCACCCAGAACGCCTCGCCCTCAGGTCTGCCCTACACCGCCTAGGACTGGGGGCCGCAGCCGGGCCGCAGGCTCACCTGGCCCTGGTGGAACTGCTTGCCCGGGCTGGTCTCCTCGGGGTGGTAGAACCACTTGACGCGGACCACCATGTTGTTGCCCCACGACTCCCACATGCTCTGGATGCGGCCGATGTAGGGCAGGTTGGGGCGGCCGGCAGAGAGGAACACGGCACAGTCCCCGATACGGATCATCTCCTTGCCGCGCACGATGGCCTTGTAGAAGAGCTTGCGGGCCTTGCCCTTCATGCCACGCCGCTGCAAGGACACGTGTGTCACGGCACAGGCCCTGGCCCAGCCCCAAGGAGCCCGCCGCCTGGCAGGCTCTGCCGCTTGGGACTCTGGGCCCTCGGCCTCTAAATCAACCCCTATCCAACTGTGGGGAGATGAGGAAGCTCCTTGTCTCGCTTCAAGTGGGGAAGCCCCTCTTCCATCTCTTTGACATGCTGGGTCTCCAAGAGGCGCTTCCCTTGATCTAAGCATTCTGCCGCTACAAGACTTCTTATTTTTGAGACAGGGTCTCCCTCTGTTGCCCAGGCTGGAGCGCAGTGGCGCCATCATGACTCACTGCAGCCACGAACTCCTAGACTCAAGAAATCCTCTCCCACCTCAGCCTCTGAGGAGCTGAGAATACAGGCGCACACCACGCCCGGCTAATTTTGATTATTTTTGTAGAGAACAAGGTCTCACTATGTTGCCCAGGATGGTCTCAGACTTTTGGCCTCAAACCACCCTCCCACCTTTGCCTCCCAAAGCACTAGGATCGCAGTGTCAGCCACTGCACCTGGCCTTATTTTTCTTTTGAAAATTACTTTTTTCAGAGAAAGGGTCTTGCTCTGTCACCCAGGCAGGACTGCAGTGGTAATATCATAGCTCACTGCAGCCTCGATCTCCTGGGCTCAAGCCATCCTCCTCCCTCGGCCGCCTGAGTTGATGGGATTACAGGAATCCACGGCTAATATTTTTATTTTTGTAGAGATGGGGGTCTCACTATGTTGCCCAAGATGGTCTTGAACTTTTGGCCTCAAGTGATCCTCCCACATAAGCCACCCAAAGAGCTGGGATTACAGGCGTGAGCTACCACACCTGGCCTTTTTTATCTTTTAAAAAATAGTTATTATTATTATTATTCTTTTTGAGATGAAGTCTCACTCTATCGCCCAGGCTGGAGTGCAGTGGCACGATCTTGGCTCACTGTAGCCTCTGCCTCCCAGGTTCAAGCAGTTCTCCTGCCTCAGCCTCCCAAGTAGATGGGATTACAGGCGTGCACCACCACGCCTGGCTAATTTTTGTGTGTGTATTTTTAGTAGAGACGGGGTTTCACCATGTTGGCAGGGTGGTCTCGAACTCCTGACCTCAAGTGATCCTCCTGCCTGGGCCTCCCAGAGTGCTGGGATTACAGGTGTGAGCCACTGCGCCCGGCTAAAACTATTATTTTTTTCAAGACAAGGTCTCACACTATTGCCCAGGTTGGAGTGTAGTGGCACAATCACAGCTCACTGCAGCCTTGACCTCCCAAGCTTAAGTGATCCTCCCGCCTGGGCCTCCCAAAGTGCTGGGATTACAGACTTAAGCCACTGCACCTGGGCAAGAGAGACTTGAAACTCCATTCTAGAGCAGCTTTGGAAATGCTGCCTGAGACACCACTGACCCCTTCTGGAACATGCAGGTGCTCCTGCCCCACACCTACAGCACGTTGGGGGCTCCCTGCCAGCCTGTCTGAACCACCACTTCTCACACTGGGTCCTGCCATGTATATGTGCCTGTGTGTGCACATGTTCATCTGTGCATTTGTGCACGTGTTCATGTGTGTGCACGTGTTCGTGTGTGCACGTGTTTGTGTGTGTGCACGTGTACTCGTGTGCATGCACGTGCATGGATGCACGTGCACGCATGTATGTGCCTACGTTTGTGTACGTGTGCAAGTGTGCATTTGTGTGGGTGTAGTGTATTTGCATATGTGTGCATGTTCATGTTTACATGGTTCATGTACGTGCCTGCATTCACATGTACATCTGCATGTGTGTATACTTGCTTTTGTGTGTGGCTGTATGTGCATTCATGTGTACATGTGCACACATATGTGCGTGTGTGTGTGCATGTGCCCATGCTTTTGAGTGCACTGTGTGCAAGTGTGTGTGCGTGTGTGTAGACAGCCACAGGCAGGCTGGAAGGGCTCCTTCTGAACAGCTAACCCACTGCTGCAGGCAGGGCACACGGGACCCCGACCTGGCCAGCCAGGACTTTGTCTTCCAGGCCATATTGATTCACTCAGGGGTGGGCACATGATCCTGGCCAGGCCAAGGAGCTTCAATCTGGACTTTTGCTAGCAAACCTGGGAAGGAGGTACCTTCTGCTGGGACTGCCACACTAGTGGCCAGGAGCCCGGGGCGTGGCTGGGAACACTCAAATGCCACACACAACAGGCTGTCAGGCCCCGCACCTGGAATTCCAGCACTCTGGGAGGCTGAGGCGGGAGGATCACTTGAGCCCAGGGGTTCAAGACCAGCCCAAGCAACACAGTGAGACACTGTCTCTACAAAAATATTTAAAAATCAGCTGGGTAGCATGGTGGCACATGTCTGTAATCCCAGCTACTCAGGAGGCTGAGGCGGGAAAACTGCTTGGGCCCAGAAGTTCAAAGCTGCAGTGAGCCACGATGGCACCGCTGCACTCCAGCCTGGGTGACGGAGCAAGATCCTGTCTCTTAAAAAAAAAAAAAGAAAGAAAGAAAAGAAAAAGCCAGGCGTGGTGGCTCACACCTGTAATCCCAGCACTTTGGGAGTCCGAGGCAGGCAGATCACTTGAGGCCAGGAGAGTTTGAGATCATCCTGACCCACATGGGGAAACCCCCATCTCTACTGAAAATACAAAAATTAGCCAGGCGTGGTGGCGTGCGCCTGTAATCCCAGCTACTTGGGAGGCTGACGCAGGAGAATTGCTTGAACCCGGGAGGCAGAGGGTGCAGTAAGCCAAGATCACACCACCACACTCCAGCCTGGGCAACAGAGAGAGACTCAGTCTCAAAAAAAGAAAAAGGAAAAAATCCCAGAGGCCTGGAAAGCCCCTTCCACGTGGCGCCGACGCCTGTGGGTCTGTGCTGATCTTTGCACGTTTCCTTCATCTGGGCTCCACGAGGGTGGCTCTGCGTCCCGGGACCAGAGGGCAGGACCACTCTGCTCTGAAGGACTCGGGCATCGGAGTCCGACAGACCCAGGTGCCTGAGGACACTCTGAGACTCAGTGTACCCATCCATAAAGTGGGACGCCAGCCCTCCACCCTGGGGTTCTGGGAGGTTACCACACACGGAGACACAGCATGAAGCCGTGGGCCCAGCAGAGAGACACAAGGCCCCCGGCCCCTCGGCCGTGCCCGGGCGCGAGCTTGCTCACCTGGGTGGGCTTGCCGAACCACTTCCAGAGCTGCCGGGCTGGCAGGAAGGCGGCGATCTTGGGCCGGTTCTCCACGGACGGCAGGCGCTGCCGCTTGGCCAGCTCCTTGGTGGTGGGGAGGTGGACGCCCTCTCTCTTCTTGGGTCGGCTCTTGGCCCCGGCCTGAGCCTTGGGCTGCAGAGGCTGTGTGGGCTGCGGAGGAGGCGCCTGGGGCTGGGGCGCGGGCGTCTTCTTGCCTGGGGAGTGGGCCGAGGGCCGCGCCTTGCCGGCCTGCTTGGTGGCCTTGGTGGGGAGCGCCGCCTGCGCGGAAGGGCCAGCCGTGGGGGCGGGGGCTGCCTCATCGTCCGAGCTGCAGGAAGAGTCCTCGTCTGTGGTGGAGGAAGAAGAGGAGGAAGAGGAGGAGGAGGAGGAGGATGAGGACGAGGAAGAGGAGGAGGAGGAAGAGGAGGAAGACGAAGAGGAAGAGGAGGAGGAGGAAGAGGAGGAGGAGGAAGAGGAGGATGAGGAGGAGGAGGAGGAGGAGGAGGAGGATGAGGAGGAGGAGGAGGAGGCCGGTGAGGCCGCCCTGGAGCTGGCAGCGCTGCAGTTACGGCCCCCGGTGCCGCAGCCCCCGTCCCCGTTCTTGTCGCCTTCCTCCTCCCCTTCTGTCTCCGAGCCGCTGCTGCTGCTGCTGCTGCTGCTGCTACTGCTGCCACTACTGCTGCTGCTGCTGCTCTCGGACTCTTCGGCCCCGTCCTGCTCAGCCTGGGCCTTGTCTGGGCTCTTGGGGTTCCCAGAGTCCTCGAACGTGAGCCCCGGCCCGGGCTCCTGGGCGAGGTCCCCGTCGGTGGCCTTGGGCCAGGGTGCCTTGGGCTCGCTGCTGCCGGCCGCGGGGGGATAGCTGCCCAGGCTCAGGAGGCTCTTGGGCTCCTGCCAGCCCCCCGCCCCCGGATCCTCCCGGAGCAGCAGGGCCTCTTTAGCCTTCTTGCTTTTGGGTGACGTGACACCCTCGTGGTCCAGTTTGACAAGCAGCTCGGCCTCCTCCCCCGGCCTCCGAGGGCCCTTGGCACCCGACTCCTCGGCTGCCCGCGCCTTCTTGGGCTTGGGGCGTGTGGCAGGCATGGTGATGAGGGGTGCTGGGGCCAGGGAGGTGGCAGGAGCTGGCAGCTCTGCAAATGGCTCGGGTGCTGGGCAGCTGGTGAAGGCGGGTGGTGCGGGACTGGGCTGCGGCGGTGCCGGGCGCGCCTTGGGGGCCTTGGCTCGCTTGTCCACAGGCTCTGGGGGGCTCTTCTTGGAACCTGGGGTGCTGCTCGGCTCCAGGGCTAAGGGGGTACTGGGGACCTCGTCTGTTGGGTTCCCCTCCTCCAGGGTAGCGGCTCTGTCTGCAAAACAAAACAGATGAGAAGCTGGGGCGGGGGCTTCCTGGCAGAGATGAGCTGTGGCTTTTATCAGAAAGGCCTGCTTCTGTGAGTTTTGTTTTTGTTTTTGTTTTTTTTTTGAGATGGGGTCTCAGTCACCCAAGCTGGAATGCAGTGGCGTCATCAGGGCTCATTGCAGCCCTAACCTGCCTGGGCTCATGTGAGCCTCCAGCCTCAGTCTCCCAAGTAACCTGAGGCCACAAGCATGCGCCACTATGCCTGGGGAATTTTTTGTATTATTATTTTTTTTTTTGTAGAGATACAGTTTTGCTCCGTTGCCCAGGCTGGTCTTAAACTCCTGGGCTCAAGCGATCCCTGTGCCTGGGCCTCCTAGAGTGCTGAGAATAGGCGTGGACCACTGCGCCCAGCAGAAAGGCCTGGTTTCAATCCTGGCCCTGCTACTTCTTGAGCAGAACCTGGCTGCAGCCTTCTTAGGCCTCCTTCGGCGGTTCCCCTATAACAACCTTAAGTTGTGTTGGCCCCAAAGCGGGTCCTCCTCTGCTTTCAGCCTGCACGAAGTATTTTCTCTGGATTCTGGAAAGAAACACAGGCCAGCTGCAGCTCAGCTGTGCCTCTGACAAACCAACCTGCCTCCCTCAGCCTCAGTTTCCTCATCTGTCACCTGGTCAGAACGGCCCTGCAGTGCAGGTGCAGAGTTCTCTTCTTTTTTTTTTTTTTTTTTTTTTTTTTGAGATGGAATTTCGCTCTTGTCGCCCAGGCTGGAGTGTAATGGTGCGATCTTGGCTCACTGCAACCTCCAGCTCCCAGGTTGAAGTGATTCTCCTGCCTCAGCCTCCCACGTAGTTGGGATTACAGGCACTCACCACCATGCCCAGCTAATTTTTGTATTTTTAGTAGAGACGGAGTTTCACCACATTGGCCAGACTGGTCTTGAACTCCTGACATCAGCCGATCTGCTCGCCTTGGCCTCCCAAAGCGCTGGGATTACAGGTGTGAGGCACTGCACCCGGCTCAGAGTTCTTACAGACAGCAGGCAGGCACTTCGGCAGGTTCCCAAGCCCTGAGTTTGGATGCACGAAGGAGATCCGCCCACCGCCCTGCCCTGGGGACCAGGCCAACCTACCACCCTTGGCCTTGGCGCTGGGTTTCCGCCCACGCCCACGGGCCTTGGCTCCTGGCTCCTCCGACCCAGCCGTGCCACCATCTTTGCCCTCCCCAGTGTCTTTGCTGGTCTTCCGGCTGCGGCGCTTGGCACTTGGCACCAGAAGGGCCGGGGACGGCTCAGCACCTGTGGGGCAGAGGACAGAGTGGCTCATCAGGCCTGGGGTCCCCAGCTTGGAGCTTCCAAGACCCTGGTCTGTCCCGGGGATCAGGGATGGGGGCGGAAGCAACCGACACCAGGTGGCTGACCCCGGATGGGCTCCCATGACAGGCTGTGAGGTCCAGCAGGGGAAACCCCGTCTGCAGGGAGCAGCCAGAGGCTCCCGAATAATGAAGTAAAACAAAGCACTTTGTGGAACCGGGACAGGTGGATAAAGATGCTGACTTTTGTTGGGTTTTTTTTTTTTTTTTTTTTTTTTTTAAAACAGAGTCTCGCTCTGTCGCCAGGATGGAGTGCAGTGGCAGGATCTCAGCTCACTGCAACCTCTGCCTCTCAGGTTCAAGGGATTCTCCTGCCTCAGCCTCCTGAGCAGCTGGGACTACAGGCGCATGTCACCACGCCCGGCTAATTTTTGTATTTTTAATAGAGACAGGGTTTCACCATATTGGCTGGGATGGTCTCGATCTCTTGACCTCGTGATCCGCCCATCTTGGCCTCCCAAAGTGCTAGGATTACAGGCGTGAGCCACCGCACCCAGCCATTAACAATTTTTGATCAGCTTCCCATGGCCTGGGCCACTGGGCTTGTGCTGTCCTCATGGACCCAGGACCTAGGAGCCCTGAGATCTCACGGGAGCCCACCCATGGCTTCTGCTGCTTCCATCACCTGTGGCTCCAAATGACTTCAGACAGAGCTCAGAGCCGGGCTTGGAGGGCGAGAGCCTGGGTGGGCGGCCCCTGGCAGGAGACCGGGTGTCATGAGCTTGTCACTTACACTGTATCTTATAGTCAGGGGGCAGGAGGCGGATATGTGAGAGGGGGATCCTGCCCGTGTCTCCGTCGTCAAACTCCACGGTGATCAAGTCCCCATCGTCCTCCAGGTCCAGTAACCCTGTGGGAAGAGGGGAGGCTCAGGGGAGGCCCTCGGACCTCCAGCTCCCTAGTGACGCACAAGGGTCAGGATGGCAGAAACCGGCCCCTGTGCAGCCCTGGTCTCTATGGTACAGCAGTGGGGACATGGGTGGAGGGTATACAGCGGCTCAGAATGTGGGTGTTAGAGCCAGGCCACCCGGGCAGGGCAGGAGAAATGGGTCTTTTTTTTTTTTTTTTTTTTTTGAGACAGAGTTTCGCTGTCGATGCCCAGGCTGGAGTGCAATGGCATGATCTTGGCTCGCCGCAACCTCCGCCTCCCGGGTTCAAGTGATTCTCCTGCCTCGGCCTCCCAAGTAGCTGGGATTACAGACATGCGCCACCATGCCTGGCTAATTCTGTATTTTCAGTAGAGATGGGGTTTCTCCATGTTGGTCAGGCTGGTCTCGAACTCCCGACCTCAGGTGATCCGCCCACCTCAGCCTCCCAAAGTGCTGGGATTACAGGCGTGAGCCACTGTCTCTGGCCTGGGTCTCCCATTTCTAGCTGACTTTGGGTGACACAAGACAGCTGAGCACATGCACCTGCGCCCGCTCATGCACAAGACCCTCCTGCAACCACAGCAAAGGAGGGACGCAGGTGTCAACCCTGAAGGACACAAAGAATGGGAAAGGGGAGGGCGGCAGTGGGAGACCGTGGCATTTCCGGAGAGATGCCGGGATGAACGTGCAGGAACGGGCTTTGATCTCCTAGGAGGAGGTGATACCCACGAGGAGGAGGTGGTTTTCCTAAGAGAATCCTGCCAAGGCTCGTGCTGGAGAGGCCCCAAGCACCTCCAGAGGCAGGGCTGAGGGAGACCTCAACACTGAACAGGCTGAGGGTGGCCCAGCTGGCAGGAGCTGGGAGCTTCACCCTAGAGAGAGGCTCCAGACTGAAAGACACTGAGCGCAGGGAGGAGGTTGGACAGGCCCCCCAAAGGGTGATAGCCCAGCCCTCTTCCCAAACGCCAGATGCTGGTACTATATCCCCAAGGATGTGAGTCTTGCAGAATCTGGGCAGCCCCCTAACAAAACCTTCCTGCCCACCCGCTATGACAAACACTCATGAGTGCACAGAGCTCCCATCGGCTTGATAAGGTTCCCTTCATTCAGGGTCCCCAGACGCCTAAGGAGTTCTAACCAGAGGAAGGGCACAGCACCAGCAAGCAGAAGGAGGGGGGACCGGGAAGAGAGAGGGAGCTGCAGAAAGCTAAAATGAGGCCTGGCGCAGTGGCTCACGCCTGTAATCCCAGCACTTTGGGAGGCTGAGAGAAGCAGATCACCTGAGGTCACGAGTTCGAGGCCAGTCAGGCCAACATGGTGAAATCCTATCTCTACTAAAAATACAAAAAATTAGCCGGGCATGGTGGTGCATGCCTGTAATCCCAGCTACTCCAGAAGCTGAGGCAGGAGAATCACTTGAACCTGGGAGGTGGAGGCTGCAGTAAGCTGAAATCACTGCACCGCACTCTGGCCTGGGTGACAGAGCAAGACTCTGTCTCAAAAAAAAATACAGAAAGTTAAAATGAAAAACAATCCTCTGAGAAAGTTTAAAAAGAAATGTGTTGATAAAACAAAAAAAAATTTAAGGAATATTCAGAGAATAAGAAAGAACTCTTAAGGTTTTTTTTTTTTTTGAGATGGTGTCATTCTGTCACCCAGGCTGGAATGCAATGGCGCAATCATAGCTCACTGCAGCCTCGACCACCCAGGCTCAGGTGATCCTCCCACTTCGGTCTCCCAAGTAGCTAGGACAACAGGTGCACACCACCAAACCTGGATAATAATTTTTTTTTTTTGAGACAGAGTCTCACTATGTTACCCAGGCTAGAGTGCAGCGGTGTGATCTCGGCTCACTGCAACCTCTACTTCCCGGGTTCAGGTGATTCTTTCCTGCCTCAGCCTCCCGAGTAGCTGGGATTACAGGCACCCGCCACCACGCCCAGCTTATTTTTGTATTTTTAATAGAGACGGGGTTTCACCATGCTGCCCAGGCTGGTCTCAAACTCCTGACCTCAGGTGATCTGCCCACCTTGGCCTCCCAAAGTGTTGAGATTACAGGTGTGAGCCACCACGCCTGGCCCAAGCCTGGCTAATTTTTGTATCTTTTTGTAGAGACAGGGTCTTGCTATGTTGCCCAGGCTGGTTTTGAACTCCTGGGTTCAAGTGATCTACCCGCATCAGGCTCCCAAATTGCTGGGACTACAGACGTGAGCCACCGCAGCTGGTGGACAATTTTTTTAAATGACAGCAGAAAATTTTAAAATTCAAGAAAACAGAAGGGGTTAGAAGATAAAAGTAGAGAAAATCTCTCCATAAGTTGAACAAAATAAGCAAATATTAACAGAAAAAAAGACACACACACCAGGGGCCATGGAACTAGCCCAAGTTCCAGGGAAAACATGAAATTCACAAGAGAAGTTATCCAAGTTGTGCTACAAGTAGAGCTTCCAAGAATGAAGGAAATTTGCTTCAAAATCAAAGCCTCCCTCTGCAGATACCCAGCATGATGAGAACACACACACACACACACGGAATTCCAGATCTAGGGATAATGAGAAGATCCTAAAAGTTTCCAGAGATAAAAAAGCAGGTCTCCTACAATGATTTTGGAATCACAATGTTGAATGTCTTCAACATGGGAAGCAAGATAAAAATAGAAAAATGTCTTTGAAATGGTGAGGGGAACTATTTCCAGTCGTGAATTTATACCCAGCTCAACTATCTCTAAAGAATAAGGGTACCCAGCTCAGCTATCTCTAAAAAATCAGGGTAGAATGAAGCGATTACAAACATACAAGGATGTGAGAAATTTAACTCCCACAGACTCTTCCTCAGAAAGCTACTGAAAGATCCACTGCTTAAAACAAGGAACTGAACCAAAAAAGAGAAAAACATGCAACGCAACAAAAGCGGTTCCCAGGATGAGGGACAGGGAAGGCCCAAGAATCCAGAATGATACCCATGAGGCAGGCCTAGAACACAGCCAGCACCTCCCAGTACAGGGGGACAGCATGTGCTAGGAAATCCGAATCTAAGGCCAACTTCTGCCTTATTAACAGCACTTTCAGAATTTGGATGATAAATGAGTGACTAATATGATGGAAAAAACTAAGTCTTCCTGGCCTGAGATCCTCTACTCAGGCTGGACCACTCATCTGTTGTTTTGCTGAGCTGGCATTGGCTTCCATCTTCTGGGTATGAATGGATGGTAGGCCAAGCAGTGGACTGTATTTGGCATGTGAGTGGGCTTTTTTTTTGCACGGGCGGGGTTTGTCTAATCCACATCCATACCCCCTCTCTAGGATACACTGCTTTTGCAAAAGCTAAGGGTTGGACCATTTGACTGTCTTTCTTGCCTGTCTGATATCCACACCTACATTTCCTAGGGTACCTGTTGTTTTTCTCCATCCAGCCTCCATTCTTTTTTCTTTTTTTGAGACGTAGTCTCACTCTGTCACCCAGGCTAGAGTGCAGTGGTGCAATCCTGGCTCACTGCAACCTCCACTTCCCAGGTTTGAGTGATTCTCCTGCCTCAGCCTCCCAAGTAGCTGGGATTACAGGCACCTGCCACCACGCCCGGCTAATTTTTGTATTTTTAGTAGAGACGGGGTTTTACCACGTTGGCCAAGCTGGTCTTGAACTCCTGACCTCAAGTGATTCCACCCACCTCGGCCTCCCAAAGTGCTGGGATTACAGGCATGAGCCACCACATCCAGCCTCATTCTCTCTTATTCTAACAACATGTCCACTTTGCAGGGGAAGCCACCCTCCCATCTTTCTCAGCCCACGAATAAAAGGGAGGTGACCTCACTCCTTAGCCCCAGGGATGAGAATCTGACCCAGGCCCGGTCGATCAGACTCACGGCAGTAGGATCAATGAAAACCATGTGGCCCAAGTCAGTTCACACTAGAACTTGTGTGGGAAAACCGAGACTGAGAAATCCTCCAATGATAAGAGTTCTTAAGATGGTAAAATACAATCTCCAAGGAGCTAGTGTGAAGCCAGCACAGATGACAGCACTGCTGACAGATACTCAGAGCTGGAGTCCTGATGACATCGTTTAAATGGTGCCTGGATCCAATCATGCCTGAAGGCCATACAGTTTTCAGTTATGTGAGCCCACAAGTCTTTATTCTTAAGCCAGTTAGAGTTGGGTTTTAGTAGCCAAACAAGTCCATACTGAGATGTTAGGCGGCAGGGGAGAGCTGGGGAGGAGGCATCTCACCTCGGACCACAGTGCCTGGGTAGAGACAGCGGTACTGCTGGCTCCAGTAGGCTGCAATCCTGGTCCCTTGTGGCAAGAAGCGAGTGGAGGCTGGCCTCACATCGATGATCTAGAAGGGCATGGGATGAGTGCAAGGTGTGGACACAGTTATGGCCATGGCCTTGGACACCCAGCCCACCCCGAGCCTCCCGAGGCCCCGCCCCTCCCCCCTCACCGCCTCCTGCAGCAACTGCTCCAGACAGTAGATGTGGGGCCGGTTGCCCCGCTCACCCTCCACCACCACGCGGTATCTGTAGGAGCAAACGAGGCGTGAGGTGGCAGAGGCCGAGACCTCCCCAGAGGGCCTCAATCCCACCAGCACAGCACTGCCTCCTAGACCACTGGGAGGTAACACCAGGACTCAGAGGTTTGCTGACTTGCTGAATTTGGGAATTCTCCCCCTTTTCTGGGTTCATTTTCCTCATCTGTAGGACTAGGGGTTGCAAGGCACAGTCCAGATCCTGAGAGAGGCCAGCACGCTCTCTCACCCCTTCCCGCTGCGGAGCAGCCGCGCCCAGCCCCTGGGAGGGTTCACCCAGTACTCCCTCAAAGTGCCCAGGGCCTCCCCGTCAGCTCTGAGCCCACTCATGCCCCTGCCCTGTGCCATCGGGGGAAACCACAGCCCAGAAAGGAGAAGCAGCCAGGCACAGAGGCGGCCGGGACACGGGGCGGGTATGGGACACGGGGCTCTGTGCCGGACCTCCCACCCCACTCACATGTCTGGCGAGTGCACGGTCTGCACGTGCCCGGCGTACAGCAGCTTGTCATCCATGGGGATGAGCACACGCAGGCCGTCCTTCAGCTCATCCTTGTCGATGATGCAGGAGCGAGGGGCTGCAGGGGTTGGATCGTGAGGCGAGGCTGGAGCCGGGGGCGTCTGCGACACCTCTCCCTCCTCCCGTTACCCCCAAGTCATCCCCTTGGAATGGAGGCCCTGGTACCGGGTGGGCCTGTGGGGCTGAGACGTGTGCACTTCTTCGTCTGCCTGTGTGTGTACCCGTGCAGACCTGTGTGTACCAGTGAGCATGTACAGGGTGCCGTGGCCAGCCCCTCTCCTCCTAGCCCCCTCCCCTGCCTGGCCCCAGATGTCTGCAAAGACCCCAGGTGGGTGTGAACCCAGAGATGAAAGCCTGCACCTGCTGCCTCTTCCCACCTCAAGACCAGCAGCCTCTGGGCCTGGCATGAAGCTCTGGGTGCCAGCCATCACCGGACACTCACAGCGACGATCCTCCATCATGATGTCCGCCCCCTCTTACTGCTGCCCACAGCCAAACTTCTAGGACTTTATTTATTTATTTATTTATTTATTTATTTATTTATTTATTTATTTTTGAGATGGAGTTTCAATCTTGTTGCCCAGGCTGGAGTGCAATGGCATGATCTCGGCTCACTGCAACCTCTGCCTCCCAGGTTCAAGCGATTCTCCTGCCTCAGCCTCCCAAGCAGCTGGAATTACAGGTGCCTGCCACCAGGCCCGGCTAATTTTTGTATTTTTAGTAGAGACGGGGTTCCACCATGTTGGCCAGGCTGATCCCGAGCCCCTGACCTCCGGTGATCCACCCTCCTCAGCCTCCCAAGTACTGGGATTACCGGTGTGAGCCACCGTGCCCGGCCTCTTTCTTTTTTTTAATAATTTTTTCAAGCCAGGCGCGATGGCTCACACCTGTAATCCCAGCACTTTGGGAGGCTGAGGCGGGCAGATCACAAGGTCAGAAGATCAAGACCATCCTAGCTAACATGGTGAAACCCTGTCTCTACTAAAAACACAAATATTACCCAGGTGTGGCAGTGCACGCCTGTAGTCCCAGCTACTTGGGAGGCTGAGGCAAAAGAATTGCTTGAACCTGGGAGGCAGAGGCTGCAGTGAGCCGAGATCACGCCACTGCACTCCAGCCCGGGTGACAGAGAGTCAGATTCCGTCTCAATAATCATCATCATCATCATCATCATCATGATGTCAGAGACAAGGTCTTGCTTTGTCATCCAGCCTACAGTGCAGTGGCAAGATCATAGCTCACTGCAGCCTGGAACTCCTGGGTTCAAGCCATCCTCCCACCTTAGCCTCCTGAGTAGCTGGGACTATAGGTGCACACCACCATGCCTGGCTAATTATTTTTTGTAGAGACAGGGTCCACTATGTTGCCCAACTGATCTCGAACTCCTGGTCTCAAGTGATCCTCCCACCTCGGCCCCCCAAAGCACTGGGATTACAGGTGCATGTGACCACACCCCACCTACCTCTGAGACTTTCCATCCACTTTTTCTTTCTGGCGGAAATGAATGCCCGGGGGCAAACTTGCCGACGGCGGTCACCTCTCATTGCCCCAACCCTCTGCTCCCTCCCTCTCCCTGCCCCTGCCAAGACACTTGGGCCTGCCCTTCCTCCTCAGTGGGACCTTTCACCTGGTCTGTCCCCGACATTCTCATTACCCAGATGGCTCGCTGGGAGAGGGATGGGTGGGACGGCCGTATCCCTGCTGTGCCTGCCTGTGGCCTTGTCACTGGCAGAGTCGACTTCCCACACCCTGACGTTGGGCTTGGCCATGTGGCTCTCAGAAGTGGCCGGGGCCCAATGCTGAGCCTAGGCCTCGAGAGAGCTCTTAAGCCCAACTTTTCCTCTTAAGCCACGGGTCTGGCAGGATAAACAACACACGCAGAGAGGACCACAGACCTGGAGCAGCTGACCCCTGGCCAGCCCATCACCGCAGGAGCAAGGCCACTGGGGGTCTGCATGGCCACCCAGCAGCCCTACATGCCCCTGAGACGCACACAGGCGGCGGCTGGTTGTCACATAGCGGCAGGTGACCAATGCAGCCTTGGGGCGGCCGACTCCTTCTCACTCGCTCCCCCATCCATACCCACGATTTCGCCTCTGGGCTACAGACCCCTGGGTCCCAGCCTGGGCGTGACTTCCCGATTGAGTCATCAAAGCCCAGCACATGACTCTCCCTGACCCGGGTCTCAGGGACAGGGCTTCCCCCCACCCCCACACCTGTCCTCACCCTTCCCTTCCCCTCTCCTCTGCCTGCACCCCCGACCCCACCTCCCATCCACACTCCCTCCTAATGTGTGCACCCTGCCCCGCCTCCTTCCCTGCTGCCCCCATGGCAGCCCCAGGCTACAACCCACTCTCGCCTGGACAGCACAGCCTCCTAACTGGACTCCCTGCCTTCCCTGGGGCCCCCACTCGTTCTCTGTGCAGCACCAGACAGTTTTTTTTTTTTTGAGACACAGTTTTGCTCTTTGCCCAGGCTGGAGTGCAATGCAATGGCATGATCTTGGCTCACCGCAACCTCCGCCTCCTGGTTTCAAGTGATTCTCCTGCCCCAGCCTCCCGGGTAGCTGGGATTACAGGCGCCCGCCACCACACCCAGCTAATTTTTGTATTTTCAGTAGAATCAGGGTTTCACCATGTTGGCCAGGCTGGTCTGGAACTCCTGACCTCAGGTGATCTGCCCAACTCGGTCTCCTAAAGTGCTGGGATTACAGGCATGGGCCACCACGCTCGGCCCAGACAGCTCATTTTAAAGCCAATCTGACCATATCACATCCCCACATCTAACCTCAGAAAGCTTCGCATTTTCCTTAGGGCCAACACGGAACTCCTTCCCAAGCCCCGCAGGACCTGCCTCCTCCCTGGTCCCAGGGCCGCTCTCTTGCCTCATCTGCAGTTGACTAAGCTGCAGCCAGTCCAGCCTTCTCATCGACCCGGATAACTCAGCCTCAGGATCTCTGCTCCTGTGGTTCCCTGCCCCCAGCTAGCCCAGCCCTTCAGTCTCAAGCCTTGCTCAGATCTGCCTCCCCCAAGGGAGGCTCCAGCAGCCCCGCCCGGCACATGTGGCATCACGGCCACTCACCCGGGGTCAGCGGCCGCTCCACAGCCCCGCCACGCGGCAGGTGCTCGTCCTCAGAGAAGCTCGAGTCTTGGTTGGGTTCAAAGTCCTCCTCGGCTGCCATGCTCTCCATCAGCTTGCTCACGGCACCCCCCTTGCCGCGGTTCTGGGGACAGAACATGGCCGACAAATGACTTAGGACCTGAACAGGGGTCCTGCCGGGTTGGGGACCCTCTCTGGAAACCTGGAGCCACAGTCAGGCCGCAGGGGGAATCTGTCATGTGCATGGCAGGGATCCCAGTTAGGGGCACCCCAGAGGCCAGGGGGAAGGTGAAATGGGCCCAAAACCCAGCTGGCCCATGCTCAGTACTCGGTGCTCAATACTCAGTACTCTGTGCTCAGTATCAGCACTCAGCACTCAGTACTCACTACCATACCTCAGTCCATCACTATGGCAGGTGCCTCCGTTCCCTTCTTAGAGAAACTTCAGCAGCATCTCCAGCATTTCCACCCAATGGGCTTGAGGAAAAACCACTCGGGCAGGGGCTAGCAGGTGTGGGGAGTGGACATGCCATCATCTGCCACTCGGGCAGATTCACCCAAGCCTGAGGGCCCTGTGAGGACCTGGTGCTGGGCTGGGGGCCTGTCACCCAGGTCTCCTGGTCTCTGTTCCAGTGTCCCTCGCCCCCGCTAGAGCAGACATTTCCTGAGGACAGGAGCAGAGTCCCCAGTATCTCCTTATCCCTGGAGTGTGGGGACGGCCACATCACCCTCGTCACCCGCAACCTCTCTGAGCCACAGCTATAGGGAGGGTGAATACAGAGGAGCAGGTGGAGCCCCCTGCCCTGACCACAGGAGCATGGCTGAGCCCCCCACAGCCCCCAACCAGGGCACGGTGAGCCTCACCTCCTTCTTCACCTCCTTCCCTTTGGCCTTGGCTTTGCTCCTTTTGGCAGCGGTCAGGGAGCTGGCGTGAGGAGCCCTGGCCTCAGAGGGCAAGGCAGGAGCTCGGGGCGGCGGCAGCCCAGCTCCTGGCCCAGCCTCTTTCCCTTTCTTCTTCTGGAGGAGGAAGCAGCAGAGAGGAGCCATCAAACGGCAGGGAAAGCACAGGCAGCACCCCTGTCCCCCTCACTCACTCACCCCCAAGTTCTGTGCCACCCCAAGTGCGCCCTCCCAGGAGGAACAAAACACCCCTTCTCTCTCTTCCTGCAAGCGTTTTTGGTTTTGGGTTTTTTTTTGTTTTTTTTTTTTTGAGACGGAGTCTCGCTCTGTCACCGAGGCTGGAGCGCAGTGGCGCGATCTTGGCTCACTGCAAGCTCTGCCTCCCGGGTTCACGCCATTCTCCTGCCTCAGCCTCCCGAGTAGCTGGGACTACAGGCACCCGCCACCACACCTGGCTAATGTTTTTGTATTTTCAGTAGAGACGGGGTTTTACCGTGTTTGCGAGGATGGTCTCGATCTCCTGACCTTGTGATCTGCCCGCCTCGGCCTCCCAAAGTGCTGGGATTACAGGCATGAGCAAACGCGCCCTGCAATTTTTTTTTTTTTTTTTTTTTTTTTTTTTAGAGACAAGGTCTCGCTCTGTTGCCCAGGCCAGAGGACTGTGGCACCATCACCACTAAATGCAGCCTCGACCTCCTGGGCTCACGTTATCCTCCTACCTCAGCCTCCTGAGTAGCTGGACTACAGGTGCACACCACCACACCCAGCTAAGTTTTTATTTTTTTAGAGACAGGGTCTTGCTATGTTGCCCAGGCTGGTCTCAAACTCCTGGTCTCAAGCAATCCTCCCGCCTTGGCCTTCCAAAGTGCTGGGATTACAGGCTGTTTTTAACGTGTATTATCTTATTACTAGTATATATTACTTGTTGCCCCGTCTGCCCAAAAAAGACACCACTGAAGTGTATATATGTTGCAAGTTCCTCTCCAGTGACCCTCCTACCAACTCCACAGAGTCAGCTACTAGTAACAGCATGGTGTATCCTTCTAGAACTTTCCACAAGCACACACAACCGTGTAAATATGAAGGCTACGCAGACACAACCATGCACACACAGTATTTTAAAAAAAAAAAAGTGGGAATTTACCAACAGTCCTGCTTTGCAACGTTTCCCCTCAACATGACTGATACATATGAAAGGAGCTTCATTTTAACAGCAGCCTATTGAGCCAAGGTATGGAGAAACCCTAATGCACTTACTTTAACCACCCCCGCGATGAGAAGGGCCTGTAGGCTGCCTCCGTTTTTTCACTCTCTGTTTTGTTGTTGTTTTTGAGACAGGGTCTGGCTGTGTTGCCCAGGCTGGAGTGCCATGGCACAATGACAGCTGACTGATAGCCTCAACCTCCTGGGCTCAAGCAATCCTCCTGCCTCAGCCTCCCAAGTAGCTTGGACTACAGACATGTACCGCCATGCCCAGCTAAAAAATCTACACTTTCTAAAAGGGACACGTCTAAAACAAATGGCCATTAGCTGGGCATGGTGGCGGGTGCCTGTAATCTCAGCTACTCGGGTGGCTGAGGCAGAATCATCACTTGCACCCGGTAGGCGGAGGTTGCAGTGAGCCGAGATCGCGCCACCACACTCCAGCCTGGGCAAAAAAGAGCAAAACTCCGTCTCAAAAATAAAATAAAATTAAGGAAAAAAAAAAAAAGGCCAGGTGCAGTGGCTCCTGCCTGTAATCCCAGCACTTTGGGAGGCCGAGGCGGGCGGATCACGAGGTCAGGAGATCGAGACCATCCTGGCTAACACGGTGAAACCCCATCTCTACTAAAAATATAAAAAAGTAGCTGGGCATGGTGGCACACGCCTGTAGTCCCAGCTACTCGGGAGGCTGAGGCAGGAGAATCGCTTGAACCAGGAGACGGACGTTACAGTGAGCCGACATCGTGCCACTGCACTCCAGCCTGGGCGACAGAGTGAGACTCTGTGTCAAAAAACAAACAAACAACAACAACCACCAAAACAAATGGCCAAGGCCAGGAGAGGTAGAAAAGTAATAAATAAAGATAACAATGGTCAAATGCTACCAAGACAACAACAGAAGTCACAGCGTCCATATCCAAAATGAAAGTCAAAGCAGAGAGCATTAAAAGAAACAAAAAATGGTATGTTCTAGGGAAAAAGAATATACAGTTTAATCCCCATTTTGGGGGGGAAAAATATATATGTGTGTGTTTGTGCGTGTGTGTGTGTGTGTGTGTGTGTGTGTGTGTGTGTGTGTCTGTGTGTTTTATTTTCTTGTTGCTGCTGAACTCTTTAATGCAAGTCATCCTTCTGGAATCAGAGGCATCTTAGGCGCTGAAAGAATGTTAGTGGCGCTGTCCCCTTATCTCTGGGATCCGTCATTAAGCAGATAGCTGCAGCTCCTGGTACATGTCCCTGCAGCTGTACCCACAGGGAAACAAAAGGAAATGACAGCAGAAAAAAAAAGGCCTGAATGGATTTTTCTTTTCTTTATCTTCCAAATTACTGTTATAATCAGATAAAGCCAGTAACTGTTTCTTTCCCTTTGATCTGAAAACCCACGGCTGGGTGCCTTCCCCTACTTTTTTGTAAAAAAAACATAAAGTAAATAAGAAAATAACTTCCGACGTGATAGAAGTTCTGTATGCAAAACAGAGACGCTGCCTGCTTTGGTAACTATGACAGCAAAACACCATCACCACCCAAACCACCAACCGCCAGCAGGGTCAGTGGCAGGAGACAGGCAGGCAGTGGGATGGCATTCAACCATTTAAAAATACTGACAGCCAGGCGCGGTGGCTCACGCCTGTAATCCCAGCACTTCGGGAAGCCAAGGCAGGCGGATCACTTGAGGCCAGGAGTTCGAGACCAGCCCAGCCAACATGGTGAAACCCCGTCTCTACTAAAAATACAAAAATTAGGCGTGAGGGCACGAGCCTGTAATCCCAGCTACTCTGGAGGCTGAGACAAGAGAATCACTTGAACCCGGGAGGCAGAGGTTGCAGTGAGCTGAGGTTGCACCACTGTACTCCAGCCTGGGCCACAAGAGTGAGACTCTGTCGCAAAAAACAAAAAAAATACTGATGTCCAGGTGTGGTGGCTCACGCCTGTAATCCCAACGCTTCGGGAGGCCAAGGCAGGAGGACTGCTTGAGCCCAGGAGTTCAAGACCATCCTGGGCAACATAAGGAGACCCCACCCCATCTGCACGAAAATAATTTTTTTTTAATTAGTCAGACGTGGTGGTATACACCTGTAATCCCAGCACTTTGGGAGGTCGAGGCAGGAGGATCACTTGAGCCCAAGAGTTTGAAACCAGCCTGGGCAACACAGTGAGACCACCTTCCCCGCCGCCGCCTTTTTTTTTTTTTTGAGACAGAGTCTCGCTCTGCCACCCAGGCTGGAGTGCAGTGGCACAATCTCGGCTCACTGCAACCTCCGCCTCCTGGGTTCGAGCGATTCTTCTGCCTCGGCCTCCCGAGTAGCTAGGACTACAGGTGACCGCCACCACACCCGGCTACTTTTTTGTATTTTTTTAGTAGAGGCGGGGTTTCACCATATTGGCTAGGCTGGTCTCGAACTCCTGACCTCGTGATCCACCCGCCTCGGCCTCCCAAAGTGCTGGGATTACAGGTATGAGCCATTGCGCCCGGCTGAGACCACCGTCTCTTATTAAAAGAAAAATTAGCAAGGTGTGTTGGTGTGCCACTGTGGTCCCACCTACTCAGAGGAGACTGAGGCAGGAAAACTGCTCGAACTTGGAAATTTGAGGCTGCAGTCAGCTACAATCACCACTGCACTCCAGACTGGGAAACAGAGCAAGACTCTGTCTCTTATAAATAAATACAATAAAAATATTGATAGAAGGCCAGGCGTGGTGGCTCATGCCTATAATCGCAACACATTGGGAGGCTGAGGTGGGCCGATCACCTGAGGTCAGGAGTTCGAGACGAGACTGGCCAACATGGCGAAACCTTGTCTCTACTAAAAATACAAAAGTGAGCCGAGCATGGTGGTGAGCGCCTGTGATCCCAGCTACTCGGGAGGCTGAGGCAAGAGAATCGCTTTAATCTGGGAGGCAGAGGTTTCAGCGAGCCAAGATCTCACCACTGTACTCCAGTCTGGGCAGTAGGACAGATTCTGTCTTTAAAAAAAAAAAAAAGATAGAAAATAAAAGTAAAAGCCCATCCCATGTGGCAGTACACATGATATAACACAGACTGAACTAAGTCTGAAAAGCAGAATACAGCCAGGAGCGGTGGCCCACAACTGTAATCCCAGCACTTTGGGAGGCTGAGGTGGGCAGATCATTTGAGGTCAGGAGTTCAAGATCAGCCTGACCAACATGGTGAAACCATGTTTCTACTAAAATACAAAAATTAGCTGGGCATGGTGGTGGGCACCTGTAATCTCAGCTACTTGGGAGGCTGAGGCAGGAGAACTGCTTGAACCTGGGAGGCGGAGGTTGCAGTGAGCCGAGTTTGTGCCACTGCACTTCAGCCTGGGCGACACAGTGAGACTCCGTCTCAAAAAAAAAAAAAAAAAAAAAAAAAGGATAGCTATCTGTCCAAGGTTACAGCAGGGAATGATCAATAGAGTTGGGCTTTGAACACTGGGGACGTAGCTTTAGCTTCAGTTCTGGCTCCTTAACCACTGGACTACATTGCCTCTTTGGGCCTTTCCCAAGAGTTCCTTCTGTTGGAGGCCCAGGGTTTCCAATTCCTGGCATCTGAACAGCTGAATACCCAGCTATTATATCCAGCTATAATACCAGAGGCTCACCCAGTGTCTGCCTTTTGATACTGTAGCAGGAACCTGGAACAGAACAGATTCATTGTTGACAAATGGAGGCTCAGACACCCAAGGAAAATCACCCCACATCTCAGCATCCCAAGAACAGACACTGTTAATGTGTGGTAGGTGCCCCCCAACACACCCAGCTAATTTTTTTATTTTTAGTAGAAACGGAGTTTCACCATGTTGACCAGGCTGGTCTTGAACTCCTGACCTCAGGTGATCTGCCCACCTCGGCCTCCCAAAGTGCTAGGATTACAGGAATGAGCCACTGCAAACAGCCTTTTTCTTTATTTTGAGACAGAGTTGTGGGTTCTGTTGCCTAGGCTGGAGTGAGGCAGTATGATCATAGCTCACTGCAGCCTTCACCTCCTGGGCTCAAGCAATCCCCCTGCCCCAGCTTCCAGAGTAGGTGGGACTATAGGCACTGATCACCACCACTCCCAGCTAATTGTTTTTTTGTTGTTTTTTTTTTTTGGTAGAGGCAGGGTCTTGCTGTGTTGCCCAGGCCAGTCTCAAAACTCCTGGCCTCAAGGGATCCTCCCACCTCAAAGTGCTGGGATTGCAGGCGTGAGCCACCGCAGCCAGTCTGGTGCCTGTCCATATGTGAGCCACCTATAGAGAGCGGTTCATAGGAGAAACCCACTTCACACAGTCCTGCATGGTAAGTGTGTGAAGTGAAGGGGTTAGAACATGTCTGGGCCTACTATGTGCTACCTGGTAGCATTATTATTTTATTTTTGGAGACAGAGTCTCACTCTGTCGCCCAGGCTGGAGTGCAGTGGCACAATCTCAGCTCACTGCAACCTCCGCCTTCCGGGCTCAAGAGATTCTCCTGCCTCAGCCTCCTGAGTAGCTGGGATTACAGGCACCCGCCACCATGCCTGGCTAATTTTTGTATTTTTTAGTAGAGACAGGATTTCGTCATGTTGGCCAGGCTGGTCTCAAACTCCTGACCTCAAGTGATCCACCCACCTTGGCCTCCCAAAGTGCTGGGATTACAGGTGTGTGCCACCGTGCCCGGCTGAATCATTATTATTATTGTGACTAATTGTGACACCTGTCCTGCAAGGCCTTCAAAAACCTGAGATGGCCTCTGCCACCAGGAGACAAGAGCACAAATCCAAGGTGCCTATGGATGGTGCTTACACTGGCCCCTTCCTCACTACTACCCCTTTGTCAGGAAATCAATGTGACTCTCATCTTTTTTGTGATCTTCTCTAGAATGTCACCCTTATTTGAGGGTTCCTCCTATATCAAGGGCTCAGGGTGGAGAGGTATTTTGACAGAATACCGTCAAAACCTAGCTGTTAAGTCTGAACGCATCCAAATAGGAGGAGGAAGCAACTGGCCCTCAGCTTCCTAGTGGCCAGTGCAAAAAGGGTAACAGGCCCGATTATAAAGTTGTCTAAAAGCAAGTTTTCTTAATCTGGGGTGTTCATAGAGAGAATTTAGGAAATCTGTAAATGGGTAGGAAAGAAAATCCCACCTGCATTTTCACATTTTAACCTCTAAAAAAAAAATGGGGTTTTCCTTCAGGTGAGAGTGGAGGCCACAAACCACAAAAGTACCAGCAGCGCCGGTGAAACCACAGAGTCTTGCAGCAACGGAAACCACAGAGACTTGCAGCACACAATAGTTACTCCAGGGACCTTAAAACATCCTTTACACTGCTTCAGAAGTACAGCACTAGCCGGGTGCAGTGGCTCACGCCTGGAATCTCAACACTTTGAGAGGCTGAGGCAGGAGAACAGAGTTTGAGACCAGCCTGGGCAATGCAGCAAGACCTTGTCTATACTTAAAATTTAAAAATTAGCTGGGCACGGTGGTATGCACCTGTAGTCCCAGCTACTCAGGAGGCTGAGGTGGGAGGGCTGCTTGAGCCCAAGAGTTCAAGGTTGCAGTGAGCCATGATCACAGCACTGCACTCCAGCCTGGGTGACAGAGTGAGACTCTGTCTCTAAAATATAAAATAATAAAATTTTAAGTACGGTATTTACTAGACCCATTGGCAGATGTGTTTATTAATTAAATACATCCCTAAAGGAATGTATAGGTACCATATCACAGAAGGGTCTTTTCAATATTTTGATAACTATGGTCACTATCACTGTCTTCCTTTGGGGTCCCAGGTATCTTATTCACTTTTTAAAGTCGTCTTCTGAGACAGGAGAAAAGAGAGTAAGGACCTCTGTAAGATACGGGTGGTCAAGCATGGTGGCTCATGCCTGTAATCTCAGCATTTTGGGAGGTTGGGGCAGAAGAATCACTAAAGGTCAGGAGTTCAAGATCAGCCTGGGCAACATAGCGAGATCCCCTCTCTACAAACAATAAATTAGCCAGGTGCAGTGACATGTGTCTGAAGATCCAGCTATTTGGGAGGCTGAGGCAGGAGGACTGCTAGAGGCCAGGAGGTAAAGGCTGCAGTGAGCCATGATCAGGCCACTGCGCTCCAGCCTGGTGACAGAGCAAGAGTTGACTCTTAAGAAACAAAGGAACAGGTGCCCAGCTCCTGCTGTGGCTAAGTCCTAGCAGGGGCTCCGGGCGGGCCTGGAGCCGAGTACATGGTTATTAACAGTGAAGCCGCTTCCCTAGGCTGGGAGGGGAGAGGGCCCCTCCCTCACGGAACCCCAGGGACCCTTCTGCGGCACCCCCTCCCAGCGCGGCCCCTACCTTCCTGGGGTCCTTCCTGTCCTTTGCACGCCCGGCGTCCTTGCGCGGGCTCAGGGGGCCGCCCTTGGCGCAGCGGCTGGTCTTGGTGGCGGGCGCGGTGCTGACGGGCGCAGGTGCAGCAGCCGAGGCGTCGTGCAGGAAGATGCGCTCGCTGCGGCGCCGCGTCCACAGGTCGTCGTCGCTGGCCTCGGGCCCCGCCTCGAAGCCAGGCTCCTTGGGGCCCCGCAGCTTCCGGGCCTTGCGCCCCTTCTCCACCGCCAGCTTGGCCTTGTCTGGGCTGCTGGGGTCGGGACCGCGGGCGCCAGGCGTGGGTGCGGCCAGGGAGGGTCCCGGCTCCCCCAGCCCCTTCTTGGGCCGCAGCAGCCCCGCAGGCGACCGCTTGCGCACCTTGACCTCGCTCTCTGAGTCGGTGTACTCGAACTCTGTGCCTGAACGCGGGAGGAGGGCGTGCTGGTCACAGCCTCGTGGGGACCCCTTCCCTCCCACCCAGCCACATGGACACCATTCCTCCCCGGCGGGACCTCCCCGCCAATGGCAGCGCTTCTGCCCGTTTCCAGGAGAGGAAACTGAGGCCCAGAGGAGAAAGACTCATCGGGACCACGCCTGTCCCTACGCCTGTCCCTACGCCGCCTCGGCTGCCCGGACGCTGCTCCCAGCCCCTTGCCCCATGGGAAGATCCTGGGCCCCTTGAGCTCCTCCAAAACCCCATGTGACTTGTGGAAATCCCAGAAGCCAGGGCAGCTGGGCAGGACGGGCCCCACACCTGCAGGGCAGCAGCCCTCTAAGGCAGGCAGGCGGGGAAACCCGCAGAGAATCCCCAAGCCCCGCTCGCCTTCTCTCCCCCGTTCTTGGTGCTGCCTGTCGGAACTGGGTGGTCCCAGGAATCGTCCACTCCCACTGCCCTCTCTACACGACATGGCCACCCCAGCAGCCCTCCTCCCACCCCAGGCCCCACCCATTGCACAGCCAAGGCCCTGCTTCCCTCTGTCCTGGATCCTGGGTCCCAGCTCCCGGGCTGCTTGAATGCACAGCCTCTGAGCACAGCCACCCAGCACTCGCCCAGCACCCACCATCCCCACTCATTCCCAGCTGCAAGCTTTGCTCTCTGCCATCCCCTATGCACAAAGCACCAGCTCCCCCGACCTCTCCTTGGAACGGCGCTAAGTCCTTCAGAAGGAGACCCACCCCACAACCCGGGAAGTCCTCTATGGCCGCACCTCTGTTGTCACAGGCAATGCCACACCTTCGCATTTCTGTCCATGCCCAGGTCCCAGCTTATCCCAGCCTGCCCTGACCCTGGGAAGCAGATCCGAGTTCTCTGGGATCTCCAGCTCAAGCCCCAGGTCAGAGCTGGTGTCCAGGAAAAGAGTGTGAGTGAGGCGTAGATGGCACTGCTCCCCAGGACAGGGGCTCCAAGGTGCCTTCACTCAGGGATGCAATCTCTATGACAGTCCCTTGCGTTAACAACCTCAGGGAGAGCCAGTGGTCTGCCTTAAATCCTCCAGCACAGGAGCCGAAAAGCCAAGGCCCAATCCCAGGCCTACTGACCCCGGGGGGCAGCCGTGAGAGGCTTGCTCTGCACTGCCCCGGTAGATGAAGCCACAGCAACAGGGGCTGGCGGGGGCTGCCCAGTGGGAAAAAGTCACCAGCAAAGTGTAATAATCCTATTAATTAACTTTTTTTTTTTTTTCTTGAGACGGAGTCTCGCTTTGTCGCCCAGGCTGGAGTGCAGTGGCGTGATCTCGGCTCACTGCAAGCTCCGCTTCCCGGGTTCATGCCATTCTCCTGCCTCAGCCTCCTGAGTAGCTGGGACTACAGGTGCCCGCCACCACGCCTGGCATTTTTTTTTTTTTTTTTAGTAGAGACGGGGTTTCACCGTGTTAGGCAGGCTGGTCTCGAACTCCTGACCTTGTGATCTGCCTGCCTCGGCCTCCCAAAGTGCTGGGATTACAGGTGTGATCATTAATCTTTTGCTAACAAGACTTTCCAACTTTCCACTGTGCAAGGAGGCAGCAAGGGGCTTTTGAGGCTGATGTGGGTGCAGGCCACAGGCATGAGCGCTCTGCTCTGGGTATGACAGAATGAGGTACCACCCCGTAACAGTCCCCCCAGAGATCCACTGGAACACCTGGCGTACGTAATCCTTCACAGGCCCATTGTGTATGGTGCAGGGAGGGACAGTAGACAGAGAGGAGGCTCACGTGGAAGGCAGAGAGTGAAGTCACAGGAGGCAGATCTCCCTGCACCCTCTACCCTGGCACTAGACACGGTCTTCTTGGCACACACAGCAGGGAAGGTGGGGCCCACATAGAAAAGAAATAGAGTCCCGCTGACCTCAGCACCAGGAAAGAGAAGTCTAGAAACTGGCAACACAGAAGAGAATAGAAAGCGAGCCAGTGGCCAGGCACAGTGGCTCACAACTGTAATCCCAGCCCTTTGGGAGGTCAAGGCGGGCGGATCACCTGAGGTCAGGAGTTCAAGACCATCCTGGCTAACATGGTGAGAAACCTGTCTCTGCTAAAAATACAAAAATTAGCCGGGCATGGTGGCGGGTGCCTATAGTCCCAGCTACTCGGGAGGCTTAGGCAGGAGAATCACTTGGACCCGGAGGTGGAGGCTGCAGTGAGCAGACATTGCACCACTGCACTACAGCCTGGGCCACAGAGTGAGAATCTGTCTCAAAAAAAAAAAAAAAAAAAAAAATTTGGCCAGGCACAGTGGCTCACACCTGTAATCTCAACACTTTGGGAGGCCAATTTGGGCAGATCACAAGGTCAGGAGTTCAAGACCAGCCTGGCCAACATGGTGAAACACCATCTCTGATAAAAATACAAAAATTAGCCAGGCATGGTGGTGGGCACTGTAGTCCCAGCTACTCAAGAGGCTGAGGCAGGAAATTGCCTGAACCAGGAGGCAGAGGTTGCAGTGAGCTGAGATCGCGCCACTGCACTCCAGTCTGGGTGACAGAGTGAGACTCCGTCTAGAAAAAAAAAAAAAAAAATTAGAAAGGGAGCCAGAGAGAGGTCCCCATGCTCTCTCTCTCCCCAGTGTCTCTAAATGGCCCTGAAACTACCTATACACAGAATAGACTCCAAGCAGCCCAGGGCTCAGCAAAAAGTGATCTGAACAGAGGCCAGAGATACCACCTAAGAAACTGGACTTCAAGTCCCACCAAGGAAATATCTGCTAAAACAAAGGAGATCATATTCACTGGAAAAAAAAAAAAAAAAAAAAAAAGGCATTCTGACTCTCCACAACCTCAGCCCCACAATGTCCAAGATACAGTCCGCAATTACTAGACAAGGCCATTCACAGTGGCTCACACCTATAATCCCAGCACTTTGGGAGGCCAAGGCGGGCAGATCACTTGAGGTGAGGAGTTTGAGACCAGCCTGGCCAACATGGCAAAACCCCATCTCTACAAAAAATACAAAAATTATCTGGGCGTGGTGGCATGCATCTGTAATTCCAGCTACTTGGGATGCTGAGGCACAAGAATTACTTGAGCCCAGGAGGCGGAGGTTGCCATGAGCAGAGATCACACCACTGCACTCCAGCCTGGGCAACAGAGCGAGACTCTGTTTTAAAAAAAAAAAAAAAAAATTACTAGACAAATGAAGAACCAAGAAAATGCATCACATTCCAGAGAGAAAAAAGAAAACCAACTAAACGTGACCCTGAGATGAACCACATGTTGGAAAGAACAGCCAACGATTCTGAAATCCTCAAAGAGGTGAAATAAAACTTGTTTTCAATGCATGAAAATTTCACCAGAGAAATAGGAAGGACAAAAAGAAACAACAGAAAAGAACCAAATGAACCAATTGTAAGTATAGAACTGGCTAGGCACAGTGGCTCACACCTATAATCCCGGAATTTGGGAGGCTGAGGCAGGAGGATCCCTGAGGTCAAGAGTTCAAGACCAGCCTGGGCAACATAGCAAGACTCTGTCTCTACAAAAAATACAATAATTAGCCAGTCATGGTGGCATGCACCTGTGGTCCCAGCTACTCAGGAGGCAGAGGTGGGAGGATCACCTGAGCCCAGGAGGTTGAGGCTTCAGTGAGCCATGATTGTGCTACTGCATTCCAGCCTGGGTGACAGAGCAAGACCCTGTCTCAAACAACACAAAGAAATTATAAAACTGAGAAGTACAATTTCAGAAATAAAAAATCCATGGAGGGGATCTAAGAGCTGAATGGATATGATTAAGAGAAAAGTAAGCGAGTGAGTTTATGAGTTTGGGTGTGGGGGAACCAGCCTCAGAGACCTGTCAGATAACAAATGGTAAAATGTATGTTAAACAGGAAAAGAAAGAACAAGAAAAAATGCTTGAATATTTGCTTTTCCTCAATAGCTGAAATCTTCCCAAATTTGATGACAAACAGAAACTTGCAGATGTTGGGTGTCAGATAAACACCAAGCAAAATAAACATCAACAAATCCGCCACGAGGCATGCCACAGTCAAACGGCTGACAAAGATAAACACGAACCCCCAGGAACAACAAGAAAAATGTAACCTATCACTTCCAAAACAATCGTCTGATTAATGGCGAACTTCTCATCAGAAACCAGAGGCCAGAAGAGAGCAGGATATCTTCTAAGGACTCAAAGAAAAAAAAAAAACTGTCAACCCAAAATTCTATATCCAGTAAAAACAACACTGAAGAATGAAGGTGAAATAGAAACATTTTCAGGTAAGAGAACACTAAGAGGCCGGGCATGATGGCTCACACCTGTAATCCCAACTACTCGGGAGGCTGAGGCAGCAGAATCACTTGAACCCAGAAGGCGGAGGTTGCAGTAAGTCAAGATCGCGCCATTGCACTCCAGCCTGGGTGACAGAGTGAGACTGTTTCAAAAAAAAAAAAGGAACACCAAGAAAATTCCTCACCAGCAGCTCTACAAGGCAAAACTGCTAAATGAAGTTCTTTGGGCTGAAACTGCAGGAAAACTGGAATCCTCAGACAAGAATGAAAAGCAACAGAAATAATAAATATCTGAATAAATACAAAAGACTTTGTTCACTTTTCCTCTCAATTTCCTTATAAGCCATTTAAATGATTAAAACTAAGTTTGTGGTCGGGTCCGGGGGCTCATGCCTGTAATCCCAGCACTTTAGGAGGCTGAGGCGGGTGGATCATGAGCTCAGGAGTTCAAGACCAGCCTGGCCAAGATGGTGAAACCCCATCTCTACTAAAAATACAAAAATTAGCCAGGCGAGGTGGGAGGTGCCTGTAATCCTAGCTACTTGGGAGACTGAGGCAGGAGAATCGCTTGAACCCTGGAGACGGAGATTGCAGTGAGCCAAGATCACGCCACTGCACTCCAGCCTGGGCGACAGAGTGAGACTCCATCTCAAAAAACAAAACAAAACAAAACTAAGTTTGTAACATTGTCTTTAGGGGTTGATACCATGTGAAAAAGTATTACATATAATATAAAATATGAGGTATGATATGGACTTACAAAGTTGCAAGATTTCTGTATTTTATGTGAAAAAAACATGGTAAGTGGATGTAAAAAGGAATGTATATTGTTATCTCTATTTTCTATTTTTAAAAATGACAAAATGATACTGAGAAAGCTAACAGGAAAATTAAAATGGAATTCTTAAACATATTCAAATAAATTTGTTTAAAAGGCAAGGAGAACCAAAAATTAGACAAAAAACTAAAGACTAAGACACTAATAAACTGAAAGGCAAAGCACGAAAAAGGTATACCACGCCAATTGTAACCAAGAGAGCTGGCGTGGCTATACTAATAACAAACAAAATAGACTTTTTAAGACAAAAATTGTTACTAGCAACAAAGAAGAACATTCTAAAATGATAAAAGGGGCCAGGCGTCGTGGCTCAGGCCTGTAATCCCAGCACTTTGGGAGGCCAAAGTGGGCAGATCATCTGAGGTCAGGACCAGCCTGGGCAACAGGTAGAGGTTGCAGTGAGCTTAGATTGTGTCACTGCACTCCAGCCTGGGCAACGCTGCACATTAAAAAAAAAAAAAAAAAAAAGAGCTCGGCACAGTAGCTCACGCCTGTAATCCCAGCATTTTGGGAGGCCAAGGCAGGCAGATCACGTGAGGTCGGGAGTTTGAGACCAGCTTGACCAACATGGAGAAACCCCGTCTCTACTGAAAATACAAAATTAGCCAGGCATGGAGGCGCATGCCTGCAATCCCAGCTACTTGGGAGGCTGAGGCAGGAGAATCACTTGAACCCGGGAGGTGGAGGTTGTGGTGAGCCGAGATCATGCCGTTGCACTCCAGCCTGGGCAATGAGAGCGAAACTCCATCTCAAAAGGAAAAAAAAAAAAAAAAAAAAAGGCATTCTGGCTCTCCACAACCTCAGCCCCACAACGTCCAAGACACACAATCCAAAATTACTAGACAAGGCCAGGCACAATGGCTCACACCTGTAGTCCCAGCACTTTGGGAGGCCAATGAGCGCAGATCACTTGAGATCAGGAGTTCGAGACCAGCCTGGGCAACAGAGCGAGACCTCTTCTCTACAAAAAATTGCAATTGTTTTGGGGCTCCGTGAACAGTGCCCATATAAGATGGGAAACTTCACCAACAAATGTGTTTTTTTTGTTTCTTTTTTTTTCTTTTTTTTTTTGTGTTTTTTTGTTTTTTGAGATGGAGTCTCACTCTATTGCCCAGGCTGAAGTACGGTGGTGCAGTCTCAGCTCACTGCAATCTCCGCCTCCCAGGCTCAAGCGATTCTTATGCCACAACCTCCCAAGTAGCTGGGATTACAGGTGCCCACAACCACACCTGGCTAGTTTTTATCTTTTTAGTACAGATGGGCTTTCACCATGTTGGCCAGGCTGGTCTCAAACTCCTGACCTCTGATGTTCTATCTGCCTCGGCCTCCCAAAGTGCTGGGATTACAGGCGCGAGCTATCGTGCCCAGCCAATGTGTGTGTGTGTGTGTGTGTGTGTGTGTGTGTGTGTTTTTCGACAGAGTGTCGCTCTTGTCACCCAGGATGGAGGGCAGTGCAATGGCCCGATCTCTGCTCACTGCAAACTCTGCCTCCCAGGTTCAAGCGATTCTCCTGTCTCAGCCTCCAGAGTAGTTGGGATTACAGGCGCCCGCCACCACATCTGGATAATTTTTGTATTTTTAGTAGAGATGGGGTTTCATCGTGTTGGTCAGGCTGGTCTCGAACTCCTGACCTCAAGTGATCCGCCCACCTCGGCCTCCCAAAGTGCTGGGATGACAGGCATGAGCCACCACACCCGGCTGTATGTTCTTTATATAGCGAGGAAGAAAAAAAAAAAAAGTGTGTGTTGACTGCTCCGCCAACCGGCCTTCCTCATCTCTCTCCCTCTCCTTGGGCCTCCCTATTCCCTAAAGCACAACAATACCGAAATTAGGTCAATTAATAATCCTACAATGGCCTCTAAATGTTCAAGTGAATTGAAGAGTCACATGTCTCTCACTTTAAATCGAAAGCTAGAAATGATTAAACTTAGTGAGGAAGGCTTAAGCCAGTCAAAAGCCAAGATAGCCTAGAAGCAAGGCCTCTTGTGCCAAACTGCCAGGCTGTGAATGCAAAGAAAAAGTTCTTGAAGGAAATCTAAAGTGCTCTGGTGAACACACAAATAAGAAAGTGAAACAGGTTCATTGCTGACATAGAGAAAGTTTGAGTGATCTGGAGAGAAGATCAAACCACCCTCAATATTCCTTGAAGCCAAGCCAAATCCTCATCCACAGCAAGGCCCCAACTCTCTTCAATTCTGTGAAGGTTGAGAGAAGTGAGGAAGCTGCAAAAGAAAAGTTTGAAGCCAGCAGAGATTGTCTCATGAGGTGTAAGGAAAGAAGCTATCAGTTGGGCACGGTGGCTCACGCCTGTCATCCCAGCACTTTGGGAGGCCGAGGCGAGAGGATCATTTGAAGTCAGGAGTTCGAGACCAGCCTGGCCAACATGGTGAAACCCCATCTCTACTAAAAAAAAAAACACAAAAATTAGCCAGGCGTAGTGGCGGGTGCCTGTAATCCCAGCTACTTGGGAGGCTGAGGCAGGAGAATCACTTGAACCCGGGAGGCAGAGGTTGCAGTGAGCTGAGATTGCACCACTACATTCCAGCCTGGGCAACAGAGTGAGACTCCATCTCAGAGAAAAAAAAAAAAAGAAAAGGAAAGAAGCCGTCTCCATAACATAAAAATGCAAGGATAAGCAGCCGGTGTTGATGGAGAAGCTGCAGCGAGTTCTCCAGAAGATCCAGCTAGGGTCACTGATTAAAGTGGCTACACCAACCAATGGATTTGCAATGTGGACAAAACAGCCTTCTAAGAAGATGCCATCTAAGGCTATCATAGCTAGAGAGGAGAAGTCAGTGCCTGGTTTAAAAGCTTCAAAGGACAGCCCGACTTTTGCTGGGGGCTAATGCAGCTGGGGACTTTTAAGTTGAAGCCAATGCTCAATTACCATTCTGAAAACCCCAGGGTCCTTAAGAATGATGCTAAATCTCCTCTGCCAGGGGTCTACCAGTGGAACAACAGGCCGGGTGCAGTGGCTCACACCTGTAATCCCAGCACTTTGGGAGGCTGAGGCAGGCGGATCACGATGTCAGGAGATGGAGACCATCCTGGCTACCACAGTGAAACCCTGTCTCTACTAAAAAAAAAAAGCACAAAAAAATTAGCCAGGCATGGTGGCGGGCACCTGTAGTCTCACCTACTCGGGAGGCTGAGGCAGGAGAATGGCATGAACCCAGGAGGCAGAGCTTGCAGTGAGCAGAGATCACGCCACTGCACTCCAGCCTGGGCGACAAAGCAAGACTCCATCTCAAAAAAAAAAAAAAAAAAAAGATGCTGAATCACCTCTGCCACTACTCTATCAATGGAACAGCAGACCAGGTGTGGTGGCTCACACCTGTAATCCCAGCACTTTGGGAGGCCAAGGCAGGAGGATCATTTGAGGTCAGGAGTTCAAGACCAGCTGGGCCAACATGGGGAAACCCCGTTTCTACCAAAAATACAAAAATCAGCCACATGTGGTGGTGCACGCCTGTAATCCCAGCTACTCGGGAGGCTGAGGCAGAAAAATCGCTTGAACCTGGGAGGCGGAGGTTGCAGTGAGCCAAGATCGCACCACCACACTCCAGCCTGGCAAAAGAGCGAGACTCCGTCTCAAAAAAAAAAAAAAAAAAAAAGGGAATAACAAAGCCTTGGTAACAGCATCTCAGTTCACAGCATGATTTACTGAATATTTTAAGCCTGCTGTTGAGACCTATTGTTCACAAAAAAAAATTCCTTTCAAAATACTACTGCTCATTGACGATGTACCTTGTCACCCAAGAGCTCTGAGGGAGACGTACAAGGAGATGAATGTTGGTTCCATGCCTGCTAGCACGGCGCCCATTCTGCAGCCCATAGATGAAGGAGTAATTTTGAATTTCAAGTCTCGTTATTTAAGGAATATAATTTGTAAGGCTACAGCTGCCACGGATGATGATTCCTCTGATGGATCTGGGCAAAGTAAATGGAAAACCTTCTGGAAAGAATTCACTATTCTAGGCCGGGTGCAGTGGCTCACGCCTGTAACCCCAGCACTTTGGGAGGCCGAGGCAAGTGGATCATTTGAGGCCAGGAGTTCCAGACCAGTCTGGCCGACATGGCGAAACCCTGTCTCTACTAAAAATACAAAAATCTGCCAGGTGTGGTGGCGGGCACTTGTAATTCCAGCTACTCGGGAGGCTAAGGCACAAGAACCGCTTGAACTGGGGAGGCGGAGGTTGCAGTGAGCCGAGATCGCACCGCTGCATTCCAGCCTGGGCGACACAGCGAGACTCAGTCTCAAAAAAAAAAAAAAAGAAAAAAAGAAGTTGATTCCAACCCTCGCGGACAACTATGAAAGGCTCAAGACTTCACTGGAGGAAGTTACTGCAGACGTGGTGGAAACAGCAATAGAACTCAAGTTAGAGTGGAGCCTGGAGATGGGACTGAATTGTTGCAATGTCATGAGACATTTGAAAAGATGAGGAGCTGCTTTTTATGGAGGAGCAAAGAAAGTGGTTTCTTGAGATGGCATCTACTCCTGGTGAAGATGCTGTGAACACTGTTGAAATGACAAAGGATTTAGAATATTGCACAAGCTTAGCCGATAAAGCAGCAGCAGGGTTTGAGAGGACTGCTTCCAATGTTGAAAGAAGTTCTATAGGTAAAACGCTATCACAGTATTGCATGTTACAGAGAAATCTTTCTTGAAAGAGTCAATCGATGTGGCAAACTTCACTGTTGTCTTATTCTAAGAAATTGCCACAGCCACCCCAACTGTCAGCAACCACCACCCTAATCAGTCAGCAGCCATCAACATCGAGGCAAGACCCACCATCAGCAAAAAGTTTACAACTCACTAAAGGTTCAGATGATCGTTAGCGTTTTTGGCAATACACTATTTTTAAGATATGTACAATGTTTTCTTAGACATAATGCTATTACGTCCAGGCGCGGTGGCTCACACCTGGAATCCCAGCACTTTGGGAGGCCGAGGCGGACAGATCACCTGAGGTCAGGAGTTCGAGACCAGCCTGGCCAAGATGGGGAAACCCTGTCTCTATTAAAAATACAAAAATTAGCCAGGCGTGGTGGTGTGTGCTTGTAATCCCAGCTACTCGGGAGGCTGAGGCAGGAGAATCACTTGAATCCAGGAGGTGGAGATTGCAGTGAGCAGAGATCACGCCACTACACTTCAGCCTGGGTGACAAAGCGAGACCGTATCTCAAAAAAGAAAAAGACATAATACTATTGCACACTTAAGAGACTACAGGATAGTGTAAACATATGCTTTTGGTTTGGTCTTTTATTTTTGAGACAGGGTCTCATTCTCTTGCCTGGGCTTCAGTGCAGTGGCGCATTCTCGGCTCACTGCAGCCTCGACCTCCCGAGCTCCAGTGATCCTATTACATCAGCCTCCCAAGTAGCTGGGACCAGAGGCGCATGCTACCGTGCCTGGCTAATTTTTCTGTTTATTTTTTGTAGAGATGGGGTCTCGCTCTGTTGCCCAGGCCGGTCTTGAACTACTGAGCTCAACCAATCCTCCTGCCTTGGCCTCCCAAAGTGCCGGGATTGTAGGTGTGAGCCACCGTGCATGGCCAATAATCTATTTTTTAATTAAGGTATGTACACTGTTTTCTCAGACATAATGCTACTGCACACTTAATAGGCAACAGTATAGTTTAAACGTAATTTTATATGCACTGGGAAACCAAAACATTCACGTGACTTGCTTTACTGTGATATTCGCTTTATGGTTTGGAAGCAATCCTGCAGTATCTCCAAGACATGCTTGTGTACCCAAAGGAATGAGAAGGAAGAAAATAACAAAGAGTAGAAACCAATGAAACTAATCACGTCTAGCCAGACTGGCCAAGAAACAGAGTAAGAAGAAACAATCTGTATCAGCAATGAAAAAGGAGACATCACTACAGACCCTTCAGACAGTCAACGCAGAATAAAGGAATAATTTGGACCATATGCCAATACCTTGGGCAGTCTGGGTGAAATGGATGTTTGGGGTGTATGAATAGCAAGTGTAAATGTCTGAGAGTACTAGCCTGGCTGGTGCATTTAGGGGCTGTGGACAGGATAATGTTGTCCAAGCAATCAGAGTCTGATGGTGGTGGGTCAGACAGGTAGCACTGATCAGAGGGCAGCGGGAAGCCATTTGGAGGTTCTGGGCAGAAGAGTGGCCTGGCCAAGTGTGCACTCTGAAGACACCCTCCAGCTGCTTCTGTATGAACAATACCTAAGAATAGGTAGCCTTGTAGGGGGCCCTGGTGCCTCTTTCCAGGACTGCCAGGCCTGGAGCCCAGCAAACAATGGCAGGGCATGAGAGCGAGGAGGGGGAAGGCAGGGTCTGGAGCCTGGCGTGGGTGCCACAAATGGGGTTCCAAGACACTGGAGGTCAGGGGTGGGGCTTTGCTCCACGAACCTGCAGAGGGCATGAAGCCAGGGGCAGCTGGGGGGCCTTCAGGGGCAGCAATACCTGTTTTCCTGTCCTAGCCCCTGCCAGGAGAGCCTCATACCTACCCCTACTGTGGCTCAGAAAAGGATGCCGGGGGGGTCAGAAGGACCCTCCCCTGCTGGGGCCAGGGGAACTCAGAGCCTGAACACATGCATGACCATCTCCATCTCCGGCACTGACCCCAGCTGCAGGTGAGCTGCGTCCGTGTGAGGGCACTCAGCCCGGTGAGAACAGGGAGGGCCCACGAGAGGGTCCCAAGAAGGCAGGGCCCTGATGCAGGGAAACAGTCAGAGATGGAGAGACAGGAAAGACATGGACCGGGGTAAGCGCCAGCTGCCTGCCCAAGTGTGAGTGCCTGCTGCCTTGGTTTACCTATCTGGATTGTGGGCAAGTCAAAGAGAGCTTGGTGCCTGCCCACCCCACCTGACTCCTCCAGGCTCAAGCCCAGGCCACATGAGGCCTGTCCCACCCGTTCTCCCATGGCACAGACCGCACCCCCACCATCCCACAAAGTCTGAATGAGATGCGCTCTCTCTTCTTTCTACCGTGACGTGGCTGTTCCTTCCCCTGCACCTGTGTCTCGGGTAACCCCACGTCTCTCTCACGGGCCAGACTGGGTGTCACCAACCTGGAGTGGCCCCCACAAACCCCAGGCTGGGTCAGGGACCTCCATGGAGCTCCCGCAGCCCCTCAAGTGCCCAAAACAGGGCTGTGTTTGCTGGCAGTGTGAGACTGAAGGAGGTCGCCCTTTGCAAGGCGAAGAATCCCCTCCTTGGAGATGGCAGGCCAGGGCCCCTGTCGCGAGCATCCCTGATCAGCACGGGGCTGGCCCACGAGGCTGGGGTTCTGCCCATTCCCAGCTCTGCACCTGCATCTCTGAGCCTCAGTTTCCTCACCTGTGGGATGGGGCAATGGCGTCCGCCCCTCCCACCCACCCCCACCGCAGCCCACCTGCTGCCACTTACCCAGCAGGCTCTGCCGCTCCTCTTTCTTCCGGGCCTTCTGCTTGGCCTCCAGCTGTACCACAGACAGGGATGGACCCACCGTGGGGCTGGGGAGGGCGCTGGCGGCGAAGCGTGCCAGCAGGCCCAGCCCACTCTCCTCCAGGCCCGGTGACAGGGCCCGCTCCCGGGCACCCAGCCTGTAGCCACCACCGCTGGCCTCGTCCTCCTCCTCGAGCTCCTCCTCCTCGTCCTCCTCCTCCGAGCTCTCATCTGGCGTGCAGAAAACAGGGACCGAGTCAGAGCCTTGGCCTTGGCGAGGGCCACCCCCCACCGCCCCCTGGCCCAGAGTGGCCTCTGGGCTCCAGCCTAGTCCCTCAGTCCTGAGCAGGGGGCCGCTGGGGGTGGATGCAGACCCAGCCCACGGGTTCCCCCCATCCGATGGCCCAATGCCCCCGGCCAGCTGAGCCCAACGCGGGCATCCCAGAAAGCCCGGAGGTGGGCAGCGGCCTTGTGTGTCAGGGTGGGCTTCTGTGAGGGGCACCAACATGCACCTGTGCTGTGGCAGGGGCCAGACACACGGACAAGGACTGGAGACAGCGTTCTCCACAGTCACACGCGCACACGCCCCAACACACAACACAGAGGCAGGAGGAGAAGGAAAGAGGAAGCGGAGGGAGGTGAGCACGGAAGAGGGCCCTGGGGACTCAGGCTAGGGGTTCTGGGCACAGGTGCCTGTGGCAGCTTCGCCAGCTGAGTCCTGAGGGCTGGCGGCAGGAGAAAGTGGAGTTCGGACTCTTCCTGGGGGCCAGGGGACCCCCATGGTTTCAGCCCCGAGAAGGGATCTGGAGTCTAGAGTCGACTCCTGGCATCGCTTGAACCCGGGAGGCGGAGGTTGCAGTGAGCTGAGATCGCATCACTGCACTCCAGCCTGGGTGACAAGAGTGAGACTCAGTCTCAAAAAAATAAAATAAAATAAAGTTGACCCCAGCCGGGCACAGTGGCTCACGCCTGTAATCCCAACACTTTGGGAGGCCGAGGCAGGAGGATCACTTGAGCCCAGGAGTTCCAGACCAGCCTGGGCAACGCAGAGTCCCCGTGACTAATTTTTTAGAAAAATTAATTAGAAAAAATTAAGTTGACTCCTAGCAACTCCCCCATTCTGGGGAGGCTGGGCAAGTCCTCGGCCCTCTCTGAGCCTCTATTTTCTCACCTGCAGCAAGGGGTGACCCTCCCAGCCCACTGGCTCAGCCAAGGCCGGGGTCCAGAGAGAATCATTTGCATGGAGGAGAAAGCCATTTGCAAGCTTAAAGACAATCGAACAGAAACAGGGCCACCCCCGTGACTTGCAGGCAGGAACTGTGCTGTCCCCATGCCCAGGGAGCTAAAGTCAGCTGTGACTCTTCACTCATGGGATGCCCAGGAAGGGCAGGGGTAGACTGAGGCCCAATGGGGTTAAGCACTCGGGCAGTAGAAGAGCAGGCTCGAACCCAGAGCTGGCAGACTGTCTAAAGAAGCCCCAGGGCCGGGCAAGGTGGCTCACTCCTGTAATCCCAGCCCTCTGAGAGGCTGAGGCGGGAAGATCTCTTGAGGCTAGGAGTTCAAGACCAGCCTGGGCGACAGAGCAAACCTTGTCTCTACAAAAAAAAAAATTTTTTTTTTTTTTTTGAGATAGAGTCTCGCTCTGTCACCCAGGCTGGAGTGCAGTGGCACGATTTCGGCGCACTGCAAGCTCCACCTCCTGGGTTCACGCCATTCTCCTGCCTCAGCCTCTCGAGTAGTGGGACTACAGGCGCCCACCACCACACCAGGCTAATTTTTTTTTTTTTTTTGTATTTTTAGTAGAGACGGGGTTTCACCGTGTTAGCCAGGATGGTCTCCATCTCCTGACCTCATGATCTGCCCGCCTCAGCCTCCCAAAGTGCTGGGATTACAGGCATGAGCCGCCACACCCAGCCCCCCCGCAAAAATTTTAAAATTAGCCAGGCGTGGTGGCTTACACCTGCAGTCCTGGCAACTCCGGAGGCAGAAGCGGGAGGATCGCCTGAGCTCAGGAATCCAAGGCTGCAGTGAGTTATGGTGGCACCACTGCAGTCCAGCCTGGGTGACAGAGCGAGACCCTGTCTCAAAAATAAATAGGCCAGCGCAGTGGCTCACGCCTGTAATCCCAGCACTTTGGGAGGCCAAGGCATGTGGATCATGATGTCAGGAGTTCGAGACCAGCCTGGCCAACCTGGTGAAACCCCATCTCTACTAAAAATACAAAAATTAACCGGGTGCAGTGGCGGACACCTGTAATCCCGGCTACTCAGGAGGCTGAGGCAGAAGAATCACTTGAACCCCGGAGGCGGAGGTTACAGTGAGCCGCGATCGCCACTGCACTCCAGCCTAGGTGACAGAGCAAGACTCCGTCTCAAAAAATAATAATAAGTAATAAAAACTTTAAAAACATAAAGAAGCCCCAGCCTGCCTCTCTGGTCGGTGACTTAAGATGAGCTTCATCCAGTGACCTTCCCTGCCTGCCTGAGAGTCTGCAGTCCCCGGAGCCCAGCCCAGGCTCTCAGGACAAAGGCAGCTGGCAGACAGGAGGCTCCCTGCACACAAACCAAAACCCCCCACCAAAAAGAGAGACTGTCTTGAGGCAGACACTTGCTTCCAAGGACGGGCAGGTGGAAGGCCTGAGAGAGCAAACTCTGCCCTGAGATGCAACATCCAAAGTGCCACCCATGAGCAGGTGACAGGGGTGCCCATCTGCCTCACGGACCAGAGTGCTGGGAGCGGGAAAGTGACTCTAGGGGCCGCAGGGCTGGAAGGTGGCCCCTTCCAGCAAGAAGAGGTGGACACCAGACCCTTTCTCTCCAGGGCGGGGAGCAGTCTAGGCTCGGATAGACAGACGGGGAAGACGGACAGCCAACTCCACAGTCTCCTGCCAACGCCCCAAGCCGCCTGCTTGCTTAAGCAACTTGTGGCCAAAAGTGGTGGCCCCAGAGGTGCCAATGAGGGCAGAGGTTCTGTCTACTCATGTATTGGAGACAGCCCGGATTTCTGCTGGGCCACCTCAGAGAGGAAGGCGGTGAAGGTGATGAGTCTGAGGAGTCCGCAGAGGAGTAGAGGGAGGGAGGGAGGGAGGGAGGCAGGAGCCAGAGGGAGAGGGAGGAGGTTTGTTAAGAGGGTGAGAGGGGAGACTGGCCCCCGGAGCAATGGATGAAGCAGGCTGGAGAGGCCAGCCAGGCAGGCGGGGGCAGGCAGGCAGGCAGTGCACACTTGCGATCATTCACATTGCAGGCGTCACATGGCTCTGTCTCCGCCCCAGTGGGCCACAGCGGCAAAGCAGGCTAAGTGTAGGCAGACTTTTCAACAGCGCCTGGGTCCCCCACATCAGGTCTCCCTGGGGTGGGCCAATTTGAGCAGGGTGGTGGGCAGGGGGCTGGTTGTGGGGTGGGGGCAGGGGGTTGGACGTGAGGCCAGGGATCTTCCCTTCTAGCCACTCAGGTGCGCAGACTCCAGAAATCTTTCCCATCCAGAGGAATTCTCAAGCAGCTGGGGCTGCGGGGGGAGGGCGAGCTCTGGGTTTCTGGATGCCCGCAACGTCCACGCCAGAGCCCAGAAAGCCGAGAGCAGCCCAATGCCCGCACCTCGGCATGGGAGACCCTCCCGCCTCCCTGCGTGCTTGACAAGGCCACACCCGCTGCTCCTGCGGGGTCTGGTGCACACCCCGCTAGCGTCCGCAGCAGGCTGGGGAGCAGAGGGGCTCTGAGGACCAAGAAAACCTTTCTGGAGTTGTCCACACCTGAGGCAATGCAGCTTGCCGAGGGCTGGGGACAGGGAGGGGGGAAAAAAGTCCCATCAAAGTAACCCAAGGAAATGCAGAAAAACTTTTTATTATTATTATTATTTAAAGAAAAAAGCAACAACAAAAAAAGATCTTGGCTCAGGACATGGGGTTGGCGGTGACAGGTTGGTGGTAAATGTCAGAGCGATCTGCTGCTGCCAGACCCGGTGGGGGCGAACCCCGAGGAGGGAGGTGCACGGAGGACAGAAAGAAAAGCGTTTTGCCTACCTACGGAGCAACGAGCCAGGCTCGCACCCAAGCTCAGTGACCCGCTGCGCCGTCTGCCCTACTCCCAGCCTTCGCTTTGCGTCCAGAGTGCAGCGTGAGAGCAAATGCAAGAGACCAAAACAGACATTCAAAGCGTCATGGGGAGGGGTCAAGGGTGGAGGGATGGTCGGGCTGCTGGAAGAAGCAGACATACTAGAAAAGCCAAGCCAGTTACGGAGTTTAGTACCAGGTCAGCGAGGCCCTATTACCCAAATATCCCTTTCAAGACCTGCTCAGTGGTGGACTGGCGGGGGTGGAGGGGGGCACTGAGGAGCCTGGGCCTCCCCCGCCTCCCCTCACCCCCCGCACTCCCCTATCTGGGTCCCGTCCACTTGGCACTGCGGCGCCAGCCCGGAGCCCCTTCCTAAGAGGCCTAGGGCGCTGCCTGCTTCTCTGTGGGGTCTCAGCTGGGGCAGGAGGGCTCAAAAACTTGGAAGCGGAAACCGCGGCTTTAAGGGGGCGTGGGGTCCAGCCCATGGGGGAGATGGGGGAAAGGGAGGAGGCCGGGGAGGGAGAAGGGGATCGTAAACTAACCCAGCTCATCCACGGACAGCCCGGGCAGGGGGAGGCCTCGGAAAACGAGGCTGGCCAGTGGGTCGGGGGCCTCTCTTCTCGGTCCGGGGTGGTGTTCGCTCAGAGGGGTAGTAGCAGCCCAGGGGAACATGGGCCCCGGGGCATCGTACTCCTCGCCATACCACCTCCTGGTCACCCAAAAGGATCTCTGCCAATTTGGAGGGGAGGTCTGGGAGGGGAGGCGGTAGACCAGGAATTCAAGAGCAGGGCTGGAAAAACAGGGCGGGCGGGGGGCGGGGGCAGCATTCAGGTCCCGGGGTGCCCGAGCCAGGTCAGACCCAGGGACACGATGACACCTCCAGACCTTCCTCAGGGAGTAGCTGACATCCAGGTGTGGCTACCCAGGGCCTGGGGGATCCCCTCAGCTGGCCCTAGTGGGAGTTCGCCCTGAAGCAAATCCTAAAACCAGGGCTAGGAAAAAATGTCAGAGATTCACTTGCTTCCCTTTCTTGGGGCATTTCTGGTTGAAGGGCCCAAAAGGCTCACACACATCTAACCCCAGAAGCACAATTCTGACACTGGAAAGGGCAAGGCCAGCGGGTTCTCAGGGGCCTGGCAGCTCTCTCTTGAGAACCGAGGTGGCTGAGGACCCCGGGCTGGGACCAGGCCAGCCTCTCTCCAAACAGAGCACGATGCTCCGTCCCTTGATGCGGCAACGGAGCCGCTTTCGTATTGAATGACAGAGACCAGGGGTGTCAAAGGCTCTGGGCCCTGCACTGCCTACGCACCCTTCAAAACAGAAATACACGTGAGAAGACAAGTGTTTGTAAATAATAGTTTTTAACCACTGGCAAGTAAGAATAGAGCTTTAAGAAAATAAAAGACAAAACAAGCAACTAAAAAAACATGATGATGCTGGAGGTGAAGGCGCTTGATTTTAAACCTGAAAAATGAAATGAATGCCAATCGCTACCAGGGATATTTGAATAACACAGGCAAGCGGCAGGCGGCACGGTCCCGTCCCTACTCCTTCTGGGTGGGGAGGAGGGAGGGGAGGAGGTGGGGGAGAAACAAAATGAGAGGGAAGCGTCAACCTAATGTCTAGTAAGGACACAGCAAGAGAGACAAGGCACACAGGTTTAGTTAAAAATGAACTCGATATGTTTAATAAAGCTTGGTATTACCAAAATCGCGGTACAAACATCAAGTCACACGCCCACACGACAGAATTCCATTTACAAAATGTTCCTCGGGAAGCCTCCACCGAACCCGTGCCCAAAGAGAGCCCGAACCAAGCCTGGGGTCTCTGGGTGGGCAGAAAACGTGAGTGCGGGGGTGGGGGGAACTCGGGGGAGGGGGAGGAGGGCAGGGAGGAGGGCAAGTGGAGAGAAACGCAGACTCAAAAGCAGTCCATATAACAGCTCAAAAAGAGCCAGCCGGGGATATTATCACAATGATACAGTACAAATCAAAGCAAAAATCAAAATCATTCGGCTGATAACAGCAGGCTACGCTGCCAAGAACCCAGATGGCAGCCTTCTTGCGGCCATCCGCACGGGCCTCCTCACCCACCATCTCTCCCGTGCGCCCACTCGCTTCCCTCTCGCTCACTCGCACGCACTCTCTCGCTAGGAAACACGGAAGGTATTTTGTGTTTGGAGCTAGTAACCTTGGTCAAACGATTCCTCCGAAGAGTCGCTGAAGGAGGAACGCGCCTCGGCCTCTCGAAGCAGCAGACAAAACGGCTGCTTCCTGCTGGTGGCCGGCTTGGGTTTCAGAGTCCGGGGGGCCGCCAGGCCCCTCTTGGTCAGCTTGGGGCCACCAGCTGCCTTGCTGTTCTTTGCCACCATGCTACACAGGAGGGAAGGCGTCAGTTTGGAGCTGGAGGGGCCTTGGGCGGGCCACTCGTCCTTCAGGAATTCTTCGTCTTCCTCTGAGTCCGTATCTGCAGTCAAAGTAGTTTTTAATAGAGATAAGTCACAGGGCAGCAGGAGCTGGTGTCATTTTATTGGTTTTAATGGTTCTGAGAACGTACTGGAAGGTGCCAGAACAAACAGGTCCGAATACCTAGTAGGCGGCCGTACAAAGGCCTTGCCCCATGTCACCAGCTCCCCTCCCAGTCCAGGCTTCTCCCTTGCCCTGGGTGCCTCGGTCATTGCATGGCATCTTCCGAGTGCTGGACCCAGGCCCTTCCTAGACTGGATGCTGCCAGCCTCACCCACCAGTCACTCCAGGCTTTCCGGGCACCGGAGGATGAGAGAAGCCCTATGCTCAGGAAGGTCACGGTGGTCACTGCCTGTCCCATGGGATTACGATGGCCCAAGGGTGACAACCGCAGAGGACCTGACTCAGGAGGGAAAGGGCTCATGACAGCCAATCATGCATTCTCTTCCCAGTGCCCCTCCCAGCAGCCTCCCAGTGGCAGCACGAAACAGGCCACAGTAAGGGTGTTTACACCATGGGAATGGGCAAACGCTGTTACCGCTAGCAGATCCCTTGCCCTTCTTTCTACGAGCCAGTGAGCCGGCCCACCACTGCTGGCTTCCCCAGAGTCTCCAGCCTAACTATACAACGGAGGACAAGAGTCTTCAAATCTTCCGGGGAGACAACCAGCCAGCTTTGGGAGGGGAGCCTGCCAGGCAGGCAACGCTCCGGCCCCCGCCATGCTCACGCCATTTTGATCTGCTTTTCTTACTGGGCAAGATGGGAAGACAGGGGTTCCAGAGACAGAGAATAATCCCCTGATCTGCTGAAATCCACTCCAGACGGGGGGAACGTGAACCAACACAGCTACAGCTCTGGCAGCACCTGCCACCTCCGAGTCCAAGAGAAACCACATGCACGCATCCGTGGCGGGCATTCCTCTGACTGCTCCCACCAACACCTAAGCTTTCACTCCAGCAAGACCCCAACCTCAGGATGGTCCGGCAACTCTTGGGTGGGACAAGGGTCCAGCCCCGCCAGGCTACCAGCCCCTGCCCATCGAACCAGTCAAAGTGCGCTCTCTCTTGTATGCTCCAATCTGTCCCTCCCGAGGCTGTGTCCCAGGCTGGAGAGGCTAAGTGGGTGACAACCAACTTGGCCTCCTACAAGAACCCACAGGGAGGTCGGGTGCAATGGCTTGCATCTGTAATCCTACCACTTTGGGAGGCTGAGGCGGGCAGCTCACGTGAGGCCAGGAGTTCGAGACCAGCCTGGCCAACATGGCAAAACCCCGTCTGTATTTTTAAAAAATACACAAACTGTTGTATTTTCTATTTGTATTGTATTGTAGTGGACAGGGCCTGTTATCCCAGCTACTCCGGAGGCTGAGGTGGGAGGATCACTTGAACCCGGGAGGTGGAGGTTGCAGTGCGGCCGAGATCACACCACTGCACTCCAGCCTGGGCGACAGAGCAAGACATCATCTAAAGAAAAAAAAAAAAAAAAAAACCCACAGGGCATGCCAGCGACCCCTACAATCGAAACTGAAAAAGCAAGAGGAGACCGTTCTCGCTTCGACCTCCGTCCAGCTCAGCAACTCCCTGCTGGACACACCCCTACCTCCTTGTGAACCCTGCACTCTCTCTGACCCAGAATTGCAGAAAAGCAGATTATAAAAAATAAACAGAGGAGCGCTCTGCAGAGCCAGGTGAATCCCACAGCCACCGTCCTGCTGGAGCCAGGCCCACTGAATTCCTCACTGCTCCATGAGTCCGTTTCTCTCATCCAGGACAGTGGAGTTTTCGACACAGGCACGATGGAGTGAAGTTGCCCATTTGACCATTCCCAGACCAGGCACGGCAGCTCATGCCTCTAATCCCAGCACTTTGGGAGGCCGAGGCAGGCGGATCACCTGAGGTCAGGAGCTCAAGACCAGCCTGGCCAATGTGGTGAAACCCCGTCTCTACTAAAAATAACAACATTAGCTGGGTGTGGTGGTGCGTGCCTGTAACCCCAGCTACTCAGGAGGCTGAGGCAGGACAATCACTTGAACCCGGGAGGCGGAGGTCGCAGTGAGCCGAGATCATGCCACCGTACTCCAGCCTGGGCAAAAACAGCAAAACTCCATCTCAAAATAATAATAATAATAGTAATAATTAATAAATAAATAAAACGGACATTCCCTCACACGTGCCAAGAGTGAACACACCAGCTCGGAGCACCCCAGAGACATCAGAGACAGAGCACATCTCTGACCTCCAGCTCCACCCCATCCACGTCCACCTGAAAGTGGGGAATTCTTTCAGCTACCACCCAAACTGCATCCACAGACCCCAATCCCTCAGAAGATCAAAAGAACAGCAATCTCCCCCGACTTCCCTGAACCCCCTTCACTTTTCCAAAATGAGCAGAGATTGAGAGAGCAAAAGAAAGCCCCTCCCTTCCCCCTCAGAGTGATGAGTCTCTGGCACTGTCTCTTCCTGCTTGTGCCCACACACTGGCCAGGAGCCTAGGCTACACTGCTCTGATCACACCCATCCCAATCAAAGAAGCACTGAAACCACGACACTCTCATATGTCCTCAGCACAGAAGGCATGAGCCAGCTGCTTAACTCACACCCACAGGGAGCATGAGTCCTGGTGACCTGCTAGCCTAGGACAGACGAAACACACGCACCCTGAAAAAACTAGCAGCTTAATTCCGTGCCAGGTGCCACGTTCAGCTCTCTGCCCACGTAAGCTCACTTAAGGCCCCCAACGACCCCGTAAAGCAGGTGACGATATCTTAACTCTGAGTCCATAAACACTTTTTATTTCCTTAAGAAAACATGCTTTACGGTATCAATAAACACGGCGACTTTTCGCCCTTGACAGTCAAACTCCCCCTTCTCCGCCCATGAACCGGCCAGAGCCAATCAAAAGCCCCAGACACACAGAACCAGGCAGCTGCCAATGCAAAAGCTCTCCACCCGCCCCAGGGCCTGGGGATTCCCAGAACAAACACCACTGACACTGACATGGGCCAGAACCCAGGAAGCTCCCTCCTTCTGGCCTCCCTGCAGCTAGCCACAAACTTAGCACCTGTCCGCCCTGGGCATGAGGTGCTCTGTCCACAGATACTGAGCAAGCACCCACTACCTGCCAGGCAGCAGGTTCTGGGCCACAAGAGGCCATAACCATGAGGACGCTCCAATCTGACAGTCTCTTGTTAAATGAGATAAAACTCCATTCTTCAGTCCCATCAGGAATGCTCCATTTCAAGAGCTCAATAGCAGCTAGGCAAGGCAGCTCACGCCTGTAATCCCAGCACTTTGGGAGGCTGAGGCAGGAGGATCTCTTGATCCCAGGAGTTTAAGACCAGCATGGGCAACACAGCAACACTCAGCCTCTATAAAAATAAAAATAGTAGTAGTGTGCGCCTATGGTCCCAGCTATTCGGGAGGCTAAAGTGGGATGCTTGCTTAAGGCCAGGAGTTCCAGACTAGCCTGGAAAACAGGGAGACCCCATCTCTACGAAAATAAAAATAAATTAGCTGCACGTGGTGGTACACAGCTGTAGTCCCAGATACTCAGGAGGTTCAGAGGGGAGGATTGCTTGAGCCCAGGCACCAGCCTGGGAAACACTGCAAGACCCTGTCTCTACAAAAAATTTTAAAAATTAGCCGGGTGTGGTGGTGCTCACCTAGTCCCAGCTACTCGGAGGGCTAAGGCAGGAAGATCACTTGAGCCCAGGAGCTCGAGGCTGCAGTGAGTTATGATGGCCCCACTGCACTCCAGCCTAAGCAATAAGAAGAGACCCTGTCTCAAAAAACGCACGGCACAGTAGCTCACGCCCATAATCCCAGCACTTTGCAGGCCGAGGCAGGTGGATCACCTGAGGTCAGGAGTTTAGGACCAGCCTGGCCAACATGGCAAAACCCCGTCTCTACTAAAAATACAAAATTAGCTGGGTGTGGTGGCACAAGCCTGTAGTCCCAGTTACTCGGGAGGCAGAGCCAAGGGAATCGCTTGAACCCAGGAGCTAGAAGTTGCAGTGAGCCAAGATCGCACCACTGCACTCCAGCCTGGACGACAGAGTGAGACTCCGTCTCAAATTAAAAAAAAAAAAAAAAGAAAGAAAATAGTGGGACACAGCCATGATGGCAGCAGGTTCCAGTGGGTAGGTGGGTCGGGCCGAACCAGGTTTAACCCCGAGTCGCCTCTCCGCACCCGAGCGCACACACTCCCCTCTGGCTCTCGGGCCACATCATCCCCAGTAACAACATGGGGGTACCACTGTCAGAGCTGCCACAGACACAGTAACGCCAATGAACCCCTGCATCCATAGCCGAGCACGGTGGGCGCTCCATAAACACTGCTTCCGCCAACACTTCGCGACAAAGCCGTGGTCCGCAACAGACGGCATGCTTCCTGTGGGTAGGGGAGTCCGGTCACCTCTAGGACCCTCAAGAGCAGTCGCGCTCCAGGCCTCTCTAGGCCAAACAGCCGCAAACTCTATGACGCACAAGGCTTCCTCGCCTATGACATCCGGTAGGCAAATGGCGGGCGGGCAAGACAGGGCCGGCGGAGGTCGGCTCCCAACCGCCAATCACGGGCGCCCACCAATCACAAGCACCTGCCTGGCATCACACCCGCCAGTCACAGGCATATCCGCTTCAGGCGGCCTCCCCCCCCACTTCCGGCTTGGAGGCCATGCCAAGCTCAGGCACTGTAGTGCGCCCCAGAGAGAGAGCGAGAGCGAGAGAGAGAGTGAGGGGCGGGGGGGGAAGGAGGACGGTGGAGAGAAGAGGGGAGAAAAGGAGAGAAGCAGCGGACCAGAGGTGGCGCGGCATACGCTACTTACTGTAAGAGTAGCTGCTCACTTCCGAGGCAAACGGGGAATGGGCCGACTTGGGCTGGCCTCTGGCCTTGAACCCCACCTCCATCTTCCTGGTTTTGGCTGCCCTTTTGTGTTTACCTTCTCTGGAGGATTTCAGAGACAGGCCGAGGCCCTTGGCCAGCGCCTTCCTGTTCTTCCCCAGCAGGCTGTCGTAAGGAGTCAAGTACCTGCCGCAGCCCCCGCTAGTTTTCGATTTCCCCCCAGCACTGTCCGAAAACTTGAAGGGCGACTTCAACTTGTCCTGCTTGGTGAGGGAGAGGGCCTTGTCGAGCTTGCTTGCCAACTGCTCCTGGTCGCTGGCCATCTTCTTCTTCTTAATCTTTAGCTGGAGAGGGAAGGTGGGTCATGGGTTAAAAGATCTGACAAAACAGTATAGTGGGTTTCAGTGCACATGCTCTGCCCAGCCTGGGCTCCAATCCTTCACCTGCCTCTGTGATTTAACTCCTCTTAGCACGCATATATATTTATTTTTTTTTTAGAGACGGAGTCTCGCTCTGTCGCCCAGCCTGGGGTTCAGTGGCGCGATCTCGGCTCACTGCAACCTCCACCTCCCAGGTCCAAGCATTTCTCCTGCCTCAGGCTCCCGACTAGCTGGGAGTCGCAAGTCACTGCAGCCTCGACCTCTGGGCTCTGTGACCCTCCCGCCTCAGCTTTTCTGGTAGCTGGGAATACAGGCGTGCGCCACCACTCCTGGCTAATTTTTATTATTTTTATTTTTGTAGAGCTGGGGTTTCATCATGTTGCCCAGGCTGGTCTCAAACTTTTAGGCTCAAGCCATTCTCCCACCTCAGCCTCCCAAACTGTTGGGATTCCAGGCTGACCACGACTGGCCAGCTTCAATGTGTAACTCTGTAAAATGGGGGTACTTGTGTCTGGGTATCGCAAGGTGCTTCTGAAGATGAACTCAGATAAGGTATGCAGTGACCACAACGTCTGGTACAAGGTAACCACTTATTAAATAGCTGGTGCTGTGGTTACACTGATCGCTGGCCCTGGCTTTCCGTGGCACTGCTTGGTGCCTCCTAAGGAAGTACTTCGACCAAGTGCTGCTGCCGATGGCCTGAAGAAGGCAGCCGGATTAAGGGAGGAGGAAAGGAATCAAGATCAAAAACCCAGATTGAAGCGCAGCTGATATGCCTATCTCAGCCACCTACAGCAGCTGACAAAGTACTAGTGCACACTCCAAACCAGTTCATCCAACTAAAGGGGCCGAAGCTGCCAAAAAAAATGCCTCAAGTGTTCCTTGGATGCCTGAAGCAGAAAGAACGATTAGAGATTTCACAGATTAAATTCCTGCCTGCATGTCTATCGTCAGCTGTAGTCATTTGTTGAAGCGAAACACGCAGTTTCAAAGCCATTAATGCCCCAGGTTTGAACATTTTATCTCTATTTTCTTTAATCAGGTGACATTTCTTAAGGAAGAAAAAAGCTGGGATGGTGTCAATTAAAACAAAAGCATCCCTCACCACAATTTGAAAGTAAAAACGATCTGGTGTTAACACTGGCAATCTTTCTTCTCTTAGACCCCGTCTCCCTCCATGAGCCTGCCCCTCTCAGCCAAGTCAACCAAAATACCCCTCAGCTGGGTGCAGTGGCTCACACCTGGAATTCCAGCACTTTGGGAGGCTGAGGTAGGCAGATCACCTGAGGTCAGGAGTTCGAGGCCAGCCTGGCCAAGATGGTGAAACCCCATCTCTACTAAAAATACAAAAATCAGCTGGACATAGTGGTGGGCACCTGTAATCCCAGCTACTTGGGAGGCTGAGGCAGGAGAATCGCTTGAACCTGGGAGGCGGATGTTGCAGTGAGCCGAGATCGTGCCACGGCACTCCAGCCTGGGTGACTGAGTGACTCTGTCTCAAAAAAACAAACAAACAAAAAAAAACTACCCCTTTGCACTGGACTTTATGGGGAGGGATGGCAAGGTACATTAGTATTTACAAAAAGGCACCTTAAGTGGATGATTTCAATGTTCTGAAGAAATAAGAAGAATCAAGGAGTTGGCTCTCAGCCCATTACCCCTGGAGAGTTCAGAGAGGAAATTACCATGGCACCAAGCCCTTGTTTCTTAGAACTACAGAATGGCAGAGCTGCTCATTAAACTATTACACCATTAAACAACAGAGCAATTGTATTACTTGGTTAAGAACTTGTGTCTCTCCTTGGCTTTAGCAAAGGGTCATGCAGCACACAGAGGGAGATAGCTTTTAGGCCTCCTGTCTCTGAGGCTGTGTTACGTCGGTAGGTCTCTGACCTCCTCTGGGCCTTAATCTCCCCCTCTGTACAATAAGGAAGATTGGAGAAGAGTCATTCCGGCATTGAAGACAACCACTTCTAAGGTTTCTGTACAGGAACAAAGGGCCTGCGAAGGGAGCGTGAACTCTTAACACACCCTCCAGACACCTCCCTGAAAGATCTCACACACCTGGAAGACTGGGTTACTCACCTGACTGATGAAGTCCGACGAGGCCTCATGTTCATCCCAAGTCTGGTTCCTCCCCCTGGCTTTCCCCATTCCGATGAGGGCATCATGTTCCTCCTCAGACCCCTTGTGTCTCTTTCTTATCCCTGCTCCCAGCTCATAATCATCTGATGTCAGCAGAGACTTGCTGCTCAGCCTGAAACGCAGACACACTGCCGGTCAGCACCCTGGCCAGACAAGGCTCGCAGGCTGAGGTCCACCCTCATGGCCCTGAAGGGTTGGGCTCTGGACCCTGAGCGTGGACAGTGATGGCAGAGTGACGGGCGTGGGGAGATGGATCTTGTAAAACAACAGTGCTGGAATTCTGGGATATTTGTGAATGAGGCAGAATGAGAGTTTAAGGTGAAAGAAGGAAGAAAGCATTTTCTTTCTTGTGCGCTTTTACGCGTACACTCACACACACACACACACATCTCTGTGCGGTCAGATACCTATTTACCAAATCGTGCCAAGAACAAAGATCAGAAACGCCAAGGAAATCCACCAGGATGGCAGGGGGAGTTCAGAACACAAGTTTACACGAAGAAGGATTCCAGTCTCTCTTTTCCAGTAAGGGAAAAAAAAAACGAAGAAGGAGCCACTTGCTGGTCTCTGGAATCCCGTGCGCAGTGGGGACACAGACATGGCTTAGAAGCCCCACTTGCTTGCTTTAAGCTGAAACTTCACAGGTGATCGAAACAGCCGATCTGTACTTGGCACTCACTCACTGTGTGTCTTGCACTGTGTTAGTGGCTTTATATTTTGGCCACAAACGTTTGCTGCTGCTGTATTTTATTTATTTATTTATTTATTTATTTATTTATTTAATTTATTTTTAGATGGAGTCTCACTCTGTTGCCAGGATGCAGTGCAATGGCTCGATTTCAGCTCACTGCAACCTCTGCCTCCCAGGTTCAAGCAATTCTCCCACCTCAGCCTCCCAAATAGCTGGGATTACAGGCACACACCACCACACCTGGCTAATTTTTGTATTTTTAGTAAAGAAGGGGTTTCTCCATGTTGCCCAGGCTGGTCTCAAACTCCTGACCTCAAGTGATCCGCCTGCCTCGGCCTCCTAAAGTGCTGGGATTACAGGCGTGAGCCACCGTGGCCAACCTGTGTACTTATTTTTTTATAGATGAGAAAACAGGCTCGGAAAAGCTAACACCTGGCCCGAGGTCGGTCACACTAAGGGGTGGTGCTGGGACTCAAGAACAGGAAATTTAACCAGTGCAGGCCACACCCCTGACCACCACGCTGCTGGTGGCCGCAGCCTCCTGCCCTCTTCTCCGGGAAGCTCTCCCTGCCCCTGCTGCGGCTGGTGAGGGAGATTTCTACCTCTCTCCATCCTCTCTTCGGTCAGAAACATCCAAGAATGTTAAATGCAAGACATGGGGGCCTTGGGGCTGTTTTATCCTGAGAAGAACTGTGGCCTTCCCACTGCCTCTCCTGTGCCCTCCGAAGGTCCCCCCACGCTCCTTCTGCTTCCTCAGGGCAGGTCTTGAGCCGCCTAGCGTCTACCCCACCCTCCTGCCCCAGGCTCCCAACACTCCAACCCCTTTCCTTGACGGGCCCCTTTCCGATCGTGCTACAGACACCGAGGGAAGGACGAAGCATCTTTTCTGTGCACGCCTCGCCCTGCGGGAAAAGCTCTCATTCCAGCTGGCGTTCAGAAAGACCCACACAGGTGCCCCACAAGGCTGCGACCGCCGCCCGAGGAGGAGAAGCTTGTCCCCAAGTGCCAGAAGGGGCCAGCCCTGGTCTCGGGGCAAGCCAGCAGGTCCGGCACGGCGGAGACCGAGCGACAGCCGGGTCATAGCCCGTCCCAACAAGCAAGGCTGGCAGCCCAGCGGGTCCTTCCGCAGGGAGGAGGCGCGTGGAAAAGAGGAGGAATTAGGCCCTAGGCGTGAGGAGGCAGGCGTGGCAGGAAGACAGGTGAAGCGCTGGGTTAGGACACGGGAAAAATCTGTCGCAGGAGCCATCCTCCAGGCTCAGCACCGGCCTCGCTCCCTCCTGGCCCGGGCAGCACAGGCCGTGCTCCCCGAGGGCCACTGCTGCGGGTAGGTCAGAGCCCGAGGGACGCGAGGTCCCCCAGCACCCCGAGGCAGGCCCTGCGTGGGGCCCGGGCTCCTCCCCTCAAGCTGTGTGCCAGTCCCCGACCCACCGAGGGGCCAGCCTTACTTTCCGCTACTGTGGCCGCTCTTCCCTCTCTTGCGGGGGGGCGACAGGGCGCTCGGGGCGTGGGTCCGTTTCCGCGGCCTGCCAGGGCCTCTGCGTGCCAAGCTTCTATGGGGTTCCTCGCGCCTGTCCCTTAAAAAGAATCACACGCTTGGCTGTGACGCTGGGGGGCGGGCGGGGCGCGGAGAACGGGCACACGATGCACACACGGCGCCGGGTCCACGCACACCTCGACGGCTGCTGCGCGCCTGGGGGCCTGGTGGGCCGGGGCAGGGGCCCCACGGGGCGGGCGGGGGACACACTCACTCGGAGTCCCGGCGGCGCTGCAGCTTCACCAGCTCACGCTGCTTCTCCTTGTACTGGCGCTGCACCTCGGCCAGCCGCATCCGGAAGTCCAGCTCCAGGGCGTCCATGTCCTCCAGGGAGGACTTCATGGCATACATCTGGGGGAAGAACCGGGAGAGGAGGAGGGGGTGAGGATGCCACTGCCTAACGACGCCCACCGCCCACCCAGGGGTGCCCCTGAGGAAGGGGAGACTGCACTGGGAGCTGGGGCTCGAGTCCCACCGCTGCCACCTCCTGACTGTGGCCATGGCCTCATCGTATGCAAGGGACCCTGTGCTGGCTCTGCGGGGCTGTGGCAGTGCTCAATTAGATGTCATGCCTGAAGCACAGTGCTTGCGTGTGACACCTGCTCCATCAGTGAGGGCCACTGTGTCATTTATAAACGGAAGGCTCAGCAAGGGGATGCTGCAGCCCCAGGCCCCGTGGGCACCTAAGGCCAGAGCTACATGTGACCCTGGGCTACTCTGTTTCCAGTGGATCACACCGCGACCTGTGTGATGAGCCTGACATGCTAGCAGACAGGTAAACTGAGTCCCCGAGAAGGGCAACCACTTGACTGGGACCACACAGCACATCAGCACAAGGAGCTGAACGTAGCTCAGGCCTCTCTGGCGCCAAAGCCAGCCACGCCCCAGGCAGTAGGGCACCTCCACAGAGGGGCCTCCCACCCAGCCTCCCCCGCGGACCCCAGGGAGGAAGCAGCCAGCCGCTCACCCGCTCCTCCTTCTTGCGCATCCAGCTGTACTTCTTGTTGGGCTTCAGCTCCCGCGGGAGCCGCAGGTTCTTGAGTGGGTCCACCACGGGCCCATCCAGCACCTCCCTCAGCATGTGGCTGCCAGCTGCCAGCAGACTCTCCAGGGAGGGCCGCGCCACCAGGGCCCGCTCCGCACCTGTGGACAGGAGGTAGGTAACAGGGCGCTGCTGCCACCCCTTCCCCAACCCCAAACGGGGATGCCGAGGCCCAAAGCAAGCGCAGGCCCCAGGCCACACGTGCCCATCCCCCAAGGTGCTGAGTAGACAGAGGCCTTTGTGACATGCCGGAAGTCCTGAGCATCTCTAAACAAGAACGGGGAGAAGGCCAGGCATGGTGGCTCACGCCTGTAATCCCAGCACTTTGGGTGGCTGAGGCGGGCAGATCACCTTAGGTCGGGAGTTCAAGACCAGCCTAGCCAACATGGTGAAACAGTGAAACCCCACCTCTACTAAAAATAACAAAAACTAGCCGGGTGTAGTGGCACACGCCTGGAATCCCAGCTACTCGGGAGACTAAGGCGGGAGAACCACTTGAACCCGGGAGGCAGAGGTTGCAGTGAGCTGAGTTTGCACCACCGCATGCCAGCCTGAGCAACAGAGCAAGACTCCATCTCAAAAAAAATAAATAAATAGGCCAGGCGTGGTGGCTCACGCCTGTAATCCCAGCACTTTGGGAGGCCGAGGCGGGCAGATCATGAGGTCAGGAGATGGAGACCATCCTGGCTAACACGGTGAAATCCCATCTCTACTAAAAAATACAAAAAAATTAGCCGGGTGTGGTGGCGGGCGCCTGTAGCCCCAGCTACTCGGGAGGCTGAAGCAGGAGAATGGCGAGAACCTGGGAGGCGGAGCTTGCAGTAAGCCGAGATGGCGCCACTGCACTCCAGCCTGGGTGACAGAGGGAGACTCCATCTCAATCAATCAATCAATCAATCGAACAGGAGAGAAGGCAGCACGCCTGGCACAGGGTCCTGTGCTCTATTCACAGAGTACAGGCTAGGCACAGCATAAGCCTCCAGAGGGAGGGCCTCCAAAGACCGAAGGGTTCTTTCCAGCAGTACGGCTCTCCTTCCACTTATTTGTACGTGCATTTTTCCATAGTGAATATGCATAGCTCTTATAATCAGAAAAAAGCCCAGGATGAAAAACACAAACCAAGCAGAAAGGTGTAAAAAAAAAAGACAGCCCGCTTCCTTCCTCCTCCAACACACAGGTCCCTCCCTCGGGAGGCTACTGTGGGTGCAGTTTCCAGTAGACAGTTCCAGAAATGATTATGCATATTCAAATGCACACGACATCCACGGGCATCCTTTAAAATATAAAAATAAGCCGGGTGCAGTGGCTCACGCCTGTAATCCCAACACTTTGGGTTGCCAAGGCAGGTGGATAATTTGAGGTGAGCAGTTTTGAGACCAGTCTGGCCAACATGGTGAAACCCTGTCTCTACTAAAAATTCAAAAATTAGCTGGGCATGGTAACAAGCACCTGTAGTCCCAGCTATTCGGGGGTTGAGGCATAAGAACTGCTTAAACTCAGGAGGCAGAAGTTGCAGTGAGCTGAGATTGAGCCACTCCAACCTGGGCAACACAGCGAGACTCCAGCTCAAAAACAAAATTAAATAAAATATAAATGTAAACTGGGTGCCTGTAGTCCCAGCTACTCGGGAGGCTGAGGCAAGAAGATCACTTGAACCCAGGAAGTTGAGACTGCAGTAAGCCATGATCACACCACTGCACTCCAGCCTGGGCAACAGAGCGAGCCTGTCTCAAAGAAAACACACACACACACACACACACACACACACACACACACACACACACACACACGATCTCAGGCTGGGCACGGTGGCTCATGCCTGTAATCCCAGCACTTTGGGAGGCCGAGGCGGGTGGATGGCTTGAGGCCAGGAGTCTGAAACCAGCCTAGCCAACATGGTAAAACCCCCTCTCTACTAAAAATACAGAAATTAGCTGGGCATGGTGGTGACCACCTGTAATCCCAGCTACTTGGGAGGCTGAGGCACCAGAATCGCTTGAACCCAGGAGGCAGAGGTTGCGGGGAGGCATGATAGCCCCACTGTACCCCAGCCTGGGCAACAGAGGGAGGCTGTCTCAGGAAAAAAAAAAAAAAAAAAAAGATCTCAATCAGTACATACTGTATCACATTTTGCTTTTTTTCTGCTTAATGTCTTTTCTCATATTAGCACAAAGCAAACATCTACCTCCTCATTATGAGCTTGGACCTTATAAAAACTGCCATCTCTAAAGGTCAAAAACACTAGAATGCCAGCAATTTTAAATGGCCAAACGTGCAAAGGAGCCTACGCAGAATCATGTGGGGGGGCGGGGGCGGAAGGGCAGCCTAGAACACTCTTGAATTGATGAGTTTTGATTCATCTAAGTCATCTCCCATTGATGGCATTTAGATTGTTTCCTGTCTTTTCAAGATAGGGTCTCACTCTGTCCCCCACCCTGGCTGGAGTTCACCATCACACGTCACCACAGCCTCAAGCTGCCAGGCTCAAGCAATCACCCTGCCTCAGCCTCCTGAGTAGCTGGGACCACAGGCACATGCCGTCACACCCAGCTAGTTTTTGTATTTTTTTGTAGAGATGGGGTCTTGCTATGTTTCCCAGGCTGGTCTTGAACTCCTGGGCTCAAGTGATCCTCCCGCCTCAGCCTCCCAAAGTGCTGAGATTACAGGCGTGAGCCACCGTGTCCGGCCTCCTATCTTTTTGTAATAGGAGCACATGGGCACATAGCTGGGACACGTGTGACAGGAAGAGCCTCACCAGTGTGATGAATATGACCAGGTGTGTGCAGTTCTCTGATAAATACTCCCCCTACCCTCCAGGAAGGGTGCTCCAACCACAGAGATCTTGCTTTAGTCTCTACCAAATTTAAATGAGTTCTATTATAATTTTTCAATTGACATTTCATTTTTTTAATGCACATGGGGTCTCGCCATGTTGCCCGGGCGGGTCTTAAACTCCTGGGCACAAGCAGTCCTTCTGCCGCAGCCTCCCAAAGTACTGGGATTGCAGACGTGAGCCACCATGCCCGGCTGACATTTTCTTTGTGATCTAAAATACCAATTTTTGGCTGGGTGTGGTGGCTCACGTCTGTAATCCCAGCATTTTGGGAGGCCGAGGCGGGCGGATCACCTGAGGTCAGGAGTTCGAGACCAGCCTGACCAACATGGAGAAACCCTATCTCTACTAAAAATACAAAAAACTAGCCGGGCCTGGTGGCGCATGCCTATAATGCCAGCTACTCAGGAGGCTGAGGCAGGAGAGTCGCTTGAACCTGGGAGGCGGAGACTGCGGTGAGCCGAAAACCATATTCTCTATTGGCAGTGTGCAAAGTTCCAGAGACAGACATGACTAATGATGCTGCTGAGGGGGAGCTTCTCTTCCTTGGCACTATTCACATTTCACTATTCATTCGCATCTCTGCTGGGGGCTTGTCCTCTGCCTTCACTGTAGGGTGTCTTGCTGAGTCCCTGCCTTTACCCACTAGATGGCAGTAGTGCTCCCCCCAAGCTGTGACAACCAAAAATGTGGTTGCCAATGTCCCCTGGGGGGACAAAATCATCCCTAGTTGAGAATGCTTGTTTTGCTCTTCTTATATCTTTTTTTTTTTTTTTTTTTTTTTTTTGTGAGACAGAATCTCACTCTGTCGCCCAGGCTGGAGTGCAGTGACCAATCTTGGCTCATGCAACCTTCGCCTCCTGGATTCAAGCAATTCTGCCTCAGTCCCCTGAGTAGCTGGGACTACAGGTATGTGTCACCACACCCAGCTAATTTTTTTATTTTTAGTAGAGATGGGGTTTCCCCATGTTGGCCAGGCTGGTCTCAAATTCCTGACCTCAAGTGATCCGCCTGCCTTGGCCTCCCAAAGTGCTGGGATTCCAGGCGTGAGCCACCGCGGCTGGCCGCTCTTCTTATATCTTTAGGGAAACTGAGGCCACAAAGCCGCAAACCTGATCAGCTCCCAAAGGTTGATGTTAGATTGAAACCATCTCACCCACCCCATACCCCCGCCTCGAGGTCCTGCGAGACTTAAGAGTCTACAATGTCAGGTAAGGATGGAGGGCTGTTCTGTTCTCCAAGAGGGGACCAAGGTACAACTCTGTCACCTCCTTCACCCTCCCACAAACCTATTATCCCTAAGCTCTTAACTGATCAGGCAAGGGACGCCCAAGTGACCTCTAGGCCAGTGGTGATGGGTTCAGTCGTGTCCCCACTAATTTAATATGCGAGAATCCTAACCCCTAGTAACCTCATTAGGTGACCTCTGTGGGAGACAGGGCGTTTGCAGAGGTGGTCAAGTTCAAGTCATGACAGTGGGCCTTCATTCCGTAAGGCTGGTGTCCTAATAGGGTGGAGAATTCTGGGCTGGGTGCAGTGACTTACACTTGTAATCCCAGCACTTTGGGAGGCTGAGGCGGGCGGATCACTTGAGGCCAGGAGTTCAAGACCAGCATGGCCAACATGGGGAAACCCCGTCTCTACTAAAAATACAAAAATTAGCTGGATGTGGTAGCATGTGCCTGTAATCCCAGCTACTTGGGAAGCTGAGGCAGGAGAATCACCTGAACCCAGGAGGCAGAGCTTGCAGTGAGCGGAGATCACACCACTGCACTCCAGCCTGGGCAACAGAGGGAGATTCTGTCCCAGAAATAATTAAAAACAAAAACAAAACCAGTACCAGGTGGGAAGACCAAGGGAATGTTTTTTGTTTTTTGTTTTTTTTTTGAGATGGAGTTCCACTCTTGTTGCCCAGGCTGGAGGGCAGTGGTACCATCTCGGCTCACTGCAACCTCCGCCTCCCAGGTTCAAGTGATTTTCCTGCCTCAGCCTCCCGAGTAGCTGGGATTACAGGTGCCCGCCACCACGCCCAGCTAATTTTTGTATTTTTAGTAGAGATGGGGTTTCACCATGTTGGCCAGGCTGGTCTCGAACTCCTGACCTCAGATGATCTGCCCGCCTCGGCCTCCCAAAATGCTGGGATTACAGGCGTGTGCCACCGTGCCTGGCCAACCAAGGGAATTTTGATTTTCTTCTACCCAAAAAAAAAAAAAAGTTTCTATTGAACTATTTTCGTGAGAGAAAAGCAGCAATGAACTTTAGGACAAGTGCCTCCCAGTGGGGAGGGGGGCGTTGCTCACACAGGCCAATGGCAGCGTGGCTTCTCCAGGCTTCCTTGAGGGCCATCTGACCATGACAGTCACAAAGCCTTGAAAAATGTGGCCTTGTTTGGACCCAACAGTTCTACCTCTGGGCATACAATCCCAGGCAAATCAGAGATACGGACAAAGTTTTTTTTTCTTCAAGGATAACCATCATGTTATTTGCAACGGAGAAAAAAAAAAAACAACTTTGTTTTAAAGCAGACGAAAATGCCTGACCATCTAAGACTGGGTCATCAAGGGCCAGGGCCACCACCAGGCAGAAAGTTGGGCAGTCCCTAAAACAATGATTTTTTAAAAACCACAGCTTTAAGCCGGGTGCTCACGCTTGTAATCCCAGCAATTTGGGAGTCCAAGGTGGGAAAATCACTTGAGTTCAAGAGTTCGCGACCAGCCTGGCCAACATGGCGAAACCCCATCTCTACTTTTTGTAAAAAAAAAAAAAAAATTAAAAAACCCACAGCTTTGAAAAATGTTTAATAAAGAACATTTTAAGTAAAGTGTCCGGGCGCGGTGGCTCACGCCTGTAATCCCAGCACTTTGGGTGGCCAAGGCGGGTGGATCACTTGAGGTCAGGAGTACGAGACCAGCCTGGCCAACATGGTGAAACCCCATCTCCACTAAAAATACAAAAAGATAGCCAGGCATGGTGGTGCGTGCCTGTAATCCCAGGTACTCAGGAGGCTGAGGCAGGAAAAATCGCTTGAACCTGGGAGGCGGAAGTTGCAGTGAGCCGAGATGGCACCACTGCACTCCAGCCTGGGTGACAGAGTGAGACTCTGTCTCAAAAAAAAAAAAAAAAAAAAAAAATTTAAGTGAAAAGGGCAGGGCAGGTTACAGAACACTATTTACAAAAAGATCTTAATTTGAGAAGTAAATATGTGTATGTGTGTTCTAGAGGAAATATACTAAAACACTGGCAGGGATATCATCTCTTCAACGGGTGTTGCCCCGGCCCTTCCTCCAAACCAGTTCTAGGCCCAGTTTTCCATGCTGAACATCAGTCATTCTGTGTCTGGCCCAGCATTCAGTGCCCTTTCTGCTGAAGGCATCCCATTCTCTTTGAGAACTACCCTCCCCCTTCCCTACACCCCAGAGGCAACACATCCCAGATCAAAGGACAGGTAATGATCAGCGCAGCCCATGTCCCAGAACTCAGTTTGATGCCCGCAAAAAGCATGAACCGAGGCTGGGAGCGGTGGCTCACACCTGTAATCCCAGCACTTTGGGAGGCCAAGGCAGGCGGGTCACTTGAGGTCGGGAGTTCGAGACCAGCCTGGCCAACATGGCAAAACCCCATCTCTACTAAAAATACAACAATTAGCCAGGCATGGTGGCACATGCCTGTAATCCCAGCTACCTGGGAGGCTGAAGTAGGAGAATCACTTGAACCCGGGAGGGCGGAGGCTGCAGTGAGCCGAGATGACACCACTGCACACCAGCCTGGGTGATAGAGGGAGACTATGGCTCAAAAAAAGAAAAACAACAACAACAAAGCATGAACCGCAGTCAGCCCTTGAGAATGAATCTCAGTGTTTTTGCCAAAGCTAGCAAGAAAGAGGTGGCCTCTTTCGGAAGGCTGCTGAGCAGGCCCAGGGACCTGGGAGGAACTGACAGACCACCCCCCACCCCAGTGAGGACAGTAAGTCGGCCTTGAATGAGGCCAACAGAGAGAAAAGTCGAACAGCAAGAGGGAAGGAGGGAAGGAGGGAAGGAGACGGGGACACAGAGAGAGAGAGACTAGGGAAGGGCCTGTGTAGGAAAAGAAAGACTTGGTTTCTTGGCTTGAACACCTAGATCCAGCCATACCTGAAATTACCTAATTACTGCCGGACTTCAGTTCCAAGAGCCAATTAATTCTCTCCTGCCTAAACCAATTTAAATGAGAGTTTCTGTTCCTTGCAACCCAAGAAATCCTGCTAAAACACACCATCAATAGAATGAGAAATTTCACCACCAGGAAACCTACAGACTGGCTGCACAGTGCAAACACACTTAACATGCCACTCACTCAACAGGACGCTTAAAAATGCTCGAGATGGAACATTTTGTTATGTGTATCTTAACCACAATTTTTTAAAAAATTAATATGAATAAACCATATTCCGGGTTTTTCATAATTTAAAAATCTTATAAAAAAATGTTTAAGAGGCCGGGCACAGCGAGCGACTCACACCTATAATCCCAGCACTTTGGGAGGTCAAGGTGGGCAAAATCACTTGAGTCCAGGAGTTTGAGACCAGACTGGGCAACAGAGCAAGACCCCATCTCTAAAAAAAAGAACTTTTTAAAAAGTTAGCTGGGCATGGTGGTGGACGCCTGTAGCCCAAGCTACTGGGGAGGCTGGGGAGGGAAGATCACTTGAGCCCAGGAGTTTGAGGCTGCAGTGAGCTAAGATTGTGCCACTGCACTCCAGCCTGGGCAACACAGCAAGACCCCATCACCACAAAACTAAAACTCACGAATCTGCAGAACTCAGAGGTCGCGCACTCTCACCTCCCATCTCTTGGCTCCTCCTCTCCAGCTCCAGCTCTGCGATCTCACTTAGCAGGGTGATGCCATGCAGGAAGCTCTGCTCCAAGACAAGGCTCTCGGCTGCTTCCAGCTTCTCCAAGGCCTGGGCTCCAGCAGCACCCGGGGAGGGCAGAGGCCTGGCCTGGGGCAGCTCCGCAGCTGCCGCCAGGGCGTTCATGCCAGCCAGTGGGTCCTCCAGACTGGGCAGGAACTGGTCAGAGCTTGCCTCTTCCAGGAAGCAGGTGCTGCCGAGTACAGGCACGGCCTCTTGGGGCTCCAGGCTCGGGCACTGTCCCTCCCCGGCGGGCACGTCACAGTCTGACATTTCTAGGGTGGGCTGGGACTCGCTCGGTGCCACCTGCGCCAGGCCTTCCTCGGGCACTGCCTCCACCACGGGCACCGCCACAGGCACCTCCACCGGCTCCTCCTTGGCCTCCACCAGTGTCTCGGGTGTCAGCTGCACCCCCAGGTCCAGGGCGGCGGTGCAGGGTTCTGTCCGGCCCGGGGAATCCACCCGTGGTTCAGGCCCCTCCACAAAGTCTGGACACTCAGAGGGCTCTGCGCAGCTCTGCCCGGTGGCACTCAGCGCCTGGGCCTCCAACAGGCCACCTCCACAACCCCCTGCAGGGCTGGGGGTAGCCATGGCTTCCGCGGCGGGCAGTGGCAGCGGCGACTCCAGAGGCGGCAGCTCTGTGGGGCCCTCGTCCATGTCCTCCACCTCTGCCTTCACCTCCCGCTCAGCCAGCGGTTCTTCCTCCGGGCCCTCCCGCAGCGGCTCTGTGATCTTGGAGGGGGACAAGCGGATGGGCTTGTCTTCGGGTGAGAGTGCCAGGCGCTCGGGCCCATCAGCCGGGAGCGGCACATCAGGGGCCAAGCCGTCCGCGTCGGCGGCGGCCGTGGGCTGCAGCAGGAAAGGGTAGGGCCTCCCGTAGTGCGGTGGCAGGGCTTGGAACGGGTACCTGGGCGGGATATCTGCCAAGGACACAGGGGTCAGCATGGGAGCCCTAGGATCTGATATCCCATGTCCCCACTGACACCCGCCCACCACCCCAGACAGAGACCCAGGACGCAGCCGCCCCCTGCTCACCCAGCTACAGGGTGGGAGCTGTTCTAGGTGGGATCTCAGAAACCCCAGGGCCATGCAGTGGCCCCAAAGTGAAAAACCAGCCACCTTCTTGTCCCCAAGGTCTTGTGGTCTTGAAGGCAAAGAACCACAGTGGTCTCTCTTGTTCCTTTCCCACTCAGCACCCAGCACAAGGCTAGACCAGAAGCCAACACTTCATGAGGTCTGCAAAGGCCTACAGCTGCCTTTACCCACCTTGTGTGGTCTGGTCTCCACTCCCCAGGAACCTACTGCTCCACCCCATTAAAGCAGTTGTTCAAAATCTAACAGCAGAGCCAGGCGTGGTGGGCCACGCCTGTAATCCCAGCACTTTAGGAGGCCAAAGGGGGATGATCGCTTAAATTCAGAAGTTCAAGACCAGCCTGAGCAACAGAGTGAGACCCCATTTCCTTTTTTTTTGAGACAGAACTTCACTCTTGTTGCCCAGGCTGGAACGCAACGGCGCCATCTCAGCTCACTGCAACCTGCACCTCTTGGATTCCAACGAATCTCCTGCCTCAGCCTCGCGAGCAGCTGGGACAAGAAGCATAAGCATGACCCACCGCGCCTGGCTAATTTTTTTTTTTTTTTGAGACGCAGTCTCGCTCTGTCACCCAGACTGGAGTGCAGTGGCGCGATCGCGGCTCACTACAAGCTCCACCTCCTGGGTTCACGCCCTTCTCCTACCTCACCCTCCCAAGTAGCTGGGACGACAGGCGCCCGCCACCATGCCTGGCTAATTTTTTTTTTTTTTTTGTATTTTTAGTAGAGATGGGGTTTCACCATGTTAGCCAGGATGGTCTCGATCTCCTGACCTCGTGATCCGCCCGCCTCAGCCTCCCAAAGTGCTGGGACTATAGGCGTGAGCCACTGTGCCCGGCCGTGCCCGGCTAATTTTTTATATTTTTAGTAGAGACGGGGATTCACCATGTTGGTCAGGCCAGTCTCAAACTCCTAACCTCAGGTGATCCACCCGCCTCAGCCTCCCAAAGTGCTGGGATTACAGGCGTGAGCCACTGTGCCTGACCTGGAAGACTCCATCTCTACTAAAAAAAAAAAAAGAAAAAAAAATTAGCTGGTCATGGTGGCGCACCCCTGTAATCCGAGCTACTTCACAGGCAAAGGTGGAAAGATCACTTGAACCTGGGAGATCAAGGCTGCAGTGAGCTATGATGGCACCACTGCACGGCAGCCTGGGTGACAGAGTGAGACTCTATCTCAAAGCAAAACAAAATGTAACAGCAGGGCTAGCTGCAGTGGTCTCAAGCCTACAATCCCAGCAGTTCGGGAGGCCAGGGTGGGAGGACTGCTTGAGCCCAGGAGATCAAGACCAGCCTTGGCAACAAAGCAAGACACATCTGTACAAATATAAAAAATAAATTGGCCAGACATGGTGGCTCACGCCTGTAATCCCAGCACTCTGGGAGGCTGAGGTGGGCAGATCACCTGAGGTTGGGCGTTCGAGACCAGCCTGACCAACATGGAGAAACCCCGTCTCTACTAAAAATTCAAAATTAGCCGGGCATGGTGGCACATGCCTGTAATCCCAGCTACTAGGGAGACTGAGGCAGGAGAATCGTTTGAACCTGGGAAGCGGAGGTTGCAGTGAGCCAAGATTGCCCGACTGCACTCCAGCCTGGGCAACAAGAGCAAAACTCCGTCTCAAAAATAAATAAATAAATAGCCAAGTCCAGTGATGCGTGCCTATGGTCCCAGCTGCTTGAGAGGCTGAAACAGGAGGATCGCTCGAGTCCAGGTGTTCAAGGCTGCAGTGAGCTGTGATTGTACCACTGCAGTACAAGCTGGGGCAACAGAGTGAGGATCCCATCTCAAAAAAAAGAAAAGGAATAGCAACCCAGTTCTGTCCCCCAAGTGTAATCTCCCTGAGAGCAGGGCTGTGTGCCCCTGATTCTCTGCACCACTCCCAGCCCAGCAGCTGGAGGCACACAAAAGGAAACTGACAAAGGAGAGACAGGCGCCGGGCCAAGCTCAGTGATTGCCACCACTGGCCCAAGCTCACCCAGCCTTGGTGCCAGAATCTGAAGTTGAACCAAAGTCCTCCCAAGCACACGCTCACACACCTGATACCCCCCAGGGAGGAAGAACACAGTCCCAGCCCCCAAAGCCACCTGCTGCAGGTCCCCTCTGATGCAGAAGACGGCAAGAGCGGGTGTGTGCATGGGACCCACAGAACGGGGGGAAAGCTGCCCAGAATGGGTGTCCCTGGACCATCATCAGCAAGGCAGAACTTAGCGCCGACTGCATGCTGAGCGTGTGACAGGTCTGGCTCGGTGGAAAACTCAGAACAACTCATCCTGAAGCAGTTTCTAATATTACACCCATTTCCCTGACACTGCCGCTGAGGAGGGGCCGGGGAGAGGCTGGATTTGACTGTGAGCTCCTGTGTTTGTCTCAGTGTCTGGCGGCAGGCCTGGGACGCAGGAGGTGCTCCGTGGAGGTGGAATGAACGAACGATCGAACGGGTCAATGAAAAGATGGATGAGCAGTTTTACCGCTCCAGGGGCAGAGTGAGACCCTGAGGGTCTCAGCTGCATCCTACCTGAGAACAGGGCCTGGAAGGGGCTGGGGGCTTCCTTCTCCAACTCCAAGTCTTTCTTCTCGACCACATTCTCGGGAGCCTCCTCCTTGCGGGTGATACCCGGGGTGGGCGGTGGGGAGGCGGGCGGCGGGCTGGTGGGGTGGGAGCTGGGGGTGGCGGGGTAGGCGTAGGCGGGTGGCTTGGACACGTCCTCCAGCTTCTGGATGACCTTGGCCTTCAGGGCAGCCACAGGGGATGCGCGGGGTGATGGTGGCGGGCTCACGGCCTTGCCGTAGGTGCCCGCGGGGCCGGCGGCCAGGCCAGGGGGCTTCCGCGGCAGCAGCCCGGGGCCGGCGGTGGCCAGGCCAGCCTTGCCCGCAGCCTCCAGGCCCCGCTTGCTCCCCTTCTCTTCCATCTCCGCCCGGTGCTCCTGCGCCTTCAACCGCTCCTGCTGGGAAGGGGCCGGCAGGCAGGGTCAGCACGGCACGAGTTTCCCCCTCCCCGACGCCCGCACCTGCCCTGTCCCCCCAAGGGTCCCCGAGTCCGAGGAGAACCTCATGCAGGGCCTGGGGTCCAGGCTGCCCACCCCGTCCCAGGCCAGAGACAGACATTCCATCCCAGCCCATGTGTCATAAGCACAGCGTTCCACGCAGAACCCCAAAAGGCAGCGCTGGGGGTGAGGAGCTCTGGTGAGCCCCTTCGAACCAGGGCTGATGGGGGACCTCCACCAGGACCCCGGCCCTGCACGGACCCTCACAGTCAGGACAAGGGGGGCCAGATGGGGGGCACAAGGCCCCACACCTCGATGGCATTGGGCGCACTCACTACCTGCTAAACCTTCCTGCTTCACTGCGTCATCATTTTAGGGTCTCAAAAGGCCCCAAAGAGGGCAGGAGGAAGCCAGGCATGTCTTTTATGAGGAAATGGGAGGGAGTCAGCTCGGCGACCACCAATGCCTACCTGGGCCGGTCAGTCAATACACAAAACACACTAGGGGCCGGGCACAGTGCTCCCGCCTGGAATCCCAGCACTTTGGGAGGCCAAGGCGGGTGGATCACCTGAGGCCAGGAAGACCAGCCTGGCCAACATGGCGAAACCCCATCTCTACTAAAAATAGAGAAAAAAATTAGCCGTGCATGACAGCATGTGCCTGTAATTCCAGCTACTCGGGAGGCTGAGGCAGGAGAATCGTTTGAACCCAGGAGGCGGAGGTTGCAGTGACCCGAGATAGTACCACTGCACTCCAGCCTGGGCGACAGAGCAAGACTCCACCTCAAAAAAACAACAAAAACAAACAAACAAACAAACACCAGAACAAAGCGCTCCAAGGACAGGCCGCTCTCCCGATTACTAAACAGTCACATTTAGCAACCCAAGGACTAGGCAACGCTAGCATCTGTTTCTGGGAGAGGAAACCTGAAGCCCAGAGAAGTAAAGGCACTTGCCCACGAGCACACAGCCAGGCCTGGCAGAGCTAAGATTCAGACCCAGGGCTCAGGCTCTGAGAGCTTCTTGCTGTATGCACTACCTGGGCCGACTCCTCCAGAGCAGACCCTTTGTGTCCCCTATCTTATGGGACCATGCCGTCAGGAGGCAGCTGGCCAGGCCTCCTTGTGCCTCTCCGAGAGGCCACCTGGAGAGAAGAGGCCAGGCTGGGCTCAGGCAACAGCGGGAGCCCACTGGACTCCTTCAGTGTCCAATCACCCTTCCCCAGTCCCCAAGGCCACCTCTCTGCCTTGGTTTCCTCCTCGCTCCTGCACCCTGCCCTGCCAATCTCCATCTGCCTCTGCTCACAGCTCCCTCCGCCTGGAGAACTCTTCTACAGATGGCTCCAGGTCTCGGTTCCACTGCTGCCTCCTCCAGAAGCCCTCCCTGACCACCTGCCCCTCTGCTGTTTTCTCCCTCCCTGTAACTGTCTGGAGATTCTGCTGGCTGACTCGTCTGCCTCGTCACCCATGGGGGCCCCCAGAGGGAGCTGCGCCTCATCCTCCCCGACTTACCACGAGCTGGGCGCTCCTCTGCAGTTCCAAGGCCTGGGCCGCCTGCTGCTGCAGGTACAGGAACTCCTGCTGCCGCAGGAAGTGCTGCTGTGAGAAGAGCTGCAGCTGCTGGGCGTGGTGCAGGGGGCTGCGGCCCGGCGGGTACAGGGCGGGCCAGAGGGGCGGTACGGTGGCCCGCTCCATCAGCTCCGCTGCAGGGACAGAGACAGTGCGCTGCACCTGCGGCCTGATGCTCCACCACCATGCCCATTACGAGGGGAAGCTGAAGCCAGAGAGGGGCCACACCCACACAGTGGGGAGCTGGGCTCTCTGCGGGCCCCCGGCTGCTCCCCAGGGGCCAGGAAGTTTGTCCTGTCCTCCATGGGCCACGTGTGCACCCCAGGCCCGGGGAACACAGCCCTGTCCACACCCGGGGTGGGATGTTCCCACAGCCTCGCAACCAGAGCAGGTCAGCACGCAGACACGTACGAGGACCACTGTGAGGACCTAGGGAACGCCTTCTCCCACCCCTCCCAGTGGTCTACAAGGTGGATTCCTGGGGAGGCGGTGGCGCCAGGTAAGGGGAATCCCAGCCCCCACCCAGGGCTGCCTGTCTCGCTTCTCTTTATGGAGTTTTTGGGCAGGAGCTCATTGCAACAAGGACCCCAAGGCTTTACAACACTGGCAACAGATGTTCTCTCTGAACCCCGGTCCGCCTCCCCAGCCCCAGATCTGCCGGCCGCCACCCCTCAGCAGGAAGCCCTTGGCATCAGAGACCATCTCGCTGGGCATGGCCAGTCTGGCCCATGGTGGCCACATAGAAGGTCCACTTACCAAAGTGAGGAAGGTGATCACTGGGAATGACCACCAGCTGGCCCGATTGGGGGTCCCTGACAAACTGGTAGGCTGACGGGAGGGAGCCCCCCAGGCCAGGTGGGAACGCAGGGGCCATGCCCTGGTGCAGAGATGGGGGACCCAAGCCTAGGAGGAGAAGCCCAGGCCTGAGTCAGTGCTGGGAGCCCCCAAGCGGTTTGTCCTCGGGCAGCCCCAGCCCAGCACCACCTCCCAAGTCCTGAACCTCCTGGGGCCTCCAGTGGGGAAGCCAAGGGACAGGGGTGCTGGCTGGCTGCAAAGAGCACCCCAGAGCCACCCGCATTGGGCATCTGCCCCAAACAGGCATGGCAGAGGGGCCCCACGAGGCAGAGGCCATTATCATTCCTTCTTCCGACGAATGCGGGAGGCAGGCCCAGGCCCCCCAGGAAACGGCAGGCAGGAGCCAGCCCTGAGCTCTTGTCCTGCACCCGCCCCCTCCCACCCCTCCCTCAGAGAAGGGGAGAGACCCTGTGCCCCACACTCACCGTAGGGGTGTCCAGCGAGCCACATGGATGCGTTGCCCGAGCGGGGCAACCAGGGGTGCGTGGCCAGATGGGCTGCGGGGTCGGCAGACCAGCGACCTGAGCCCGCCAGCGCCGGGCCCCCCGTCACCATGAGGTTGGGGTTCAGGCCGTTAGGAGCACAGCTGGTAGGGTGCAGGCGGGCCAGGTCAGCCAGCTCCTTACTCTCTCTGGAAGGAGGATCATAGGTGTCAGCGACAGCTCGGACAGCCCAGGGGACGAGAGGGAGAAGCGGGGTTGCCCCAAGGAACTGTTTGCCACCAGGCCATGAGTCAGGACAACCACTGCTCGGAACTGAAGGGCCTCCCGGGGCCTTCCACACTCACTGTAGGGGCAGTGGGGCCACCTGGCCTGGGCAGGGCTGGCCCGATGCTGAGGACCAGAGTGACTCCCGCTCTCAGTACCATAGCATCCATGGTCGAGGGGCCAAGCCCACCTGGGGTCATCCAGCTGCCCCTCACCCCCAGGGGCTCCTAGATACCCCCTAGACCCTCAGGATCCCCCGACACCCTCACCTGAGCAGCTTCTCCTGATCCCGGTCCAGCCGTGCCCCGAGCAGCCGTTCCTCCCGGTGTCTGGCCCGGTCGTCCACACAGTCCTCATCTGCTCGGCCGTGCCCTGCAGGGGGCCAGGTGGAAGTGAGCCCCCAGCCAGCACCGAGCCCATCCCAGACCCATTGGCCCCACTGCCCTCACCCCTCCCTGGGCCCCCCAGAGCCCCGACGGTCCTGCACAGCCATCCGTGTAGTGCCTTCACCCCAACATCTTTCCTTATGACGCATCAAGCTCCCCCAAACCCCAACTGGGGTTCCTCAGGGCCAGAAATCATCCATCCGCTCTGTCATCCCCCATCCAAAAGGCCTGTCTATGTCCCCTAGACAGACAACCGTGGCGATAATTAGGCCAACAGCCAGGGATATTGTAAGAAAATGTCATAAAACTTGTCACATAACAATGAAACGTGAGGCCGGGTGCACTTACTAATGCTATTTTTATTTTATTTTATTTTTATTTATTTATTTTTTTTTTTTGAGATGGAGTCTCGCTCTGTCGCCCAGGCTGGAGTGCAGTGGCACGATCTCGGCTCACTGCAAGCTCCACCTCCCAGGTTCCCGCCATTCTCCTGCCTCAGCCTCCCAAGTAGCTGGGACTACAGGTGCCCACCACCACGCCCCGCTAGTTTTTTGTATTTTTAGTAGAGACGGGGCTTCACCGTGTTAGCCAGGATGGTCTCGATCTCCTGACCTCGTGATCCACCCACCTCAGCCTCCCAGAGTGCTGGGATTACAGGCGTGAGTCACCGAGCCCCGCCACTAATGCTATTTTAATGACGGGAAGGCAGATTCTGAGCTGGGGATTTGGTGAGGACAGGGCAGAGTCCAAATGGAGAAAAAAAACACAACCCAAAAACTAGCCGGACCTGGGCCACATGAAGCCAGACTGTGGTCCCAACCACGCAGGCCTGTGTGTCCCAAGACAGTTTAAATACACATGGCTAGCCAGGCGAGGTGGCTCACACCTGTAATCCCAGCACTTTGGGAGGCCGGGTGGGGGGGGCGGGGCGGATCACCTGAGGTCAGGAGTTCGAGACCAGCCTGGCCAACATGGCAAAACACCGTCTCTACTAAAAAAAATACAAAAATCAGCCAGGCGTGGTGGTGCGCACCTGTGATCCCAGCTACTCAGGAGGCTGAGGCAGGAGAATCATTTGAACTCAGGAGGCAGAGGTTGCAGTGAGCCGAGATTGCACCACTGCACTCCAGCCTGGACAACAGACAGAATAAGACTCCGTCAAAAAAAAAAACAAAAAAACAAAAAACACACACACACAAAAATTAGGCGGGCATGGTGGCATGCACCGGTAGTCCCAGGTACTCGTGAGGCTGAGGTGGGAGGATCTCTTGCGCCGGGGAGGTCGAGGCTGCAGTGACTCCCTATTATGATTGCACTATTGCACTCCAGCCTGGGTGACAGAGCGAGACCCAGACTCTAAAGAAAAAAAAAAAAAATCAAGATAGAAAAGTAAACCCAAAGAACATTATCCACTTGGGTGGAGGGGGTGGCCTTGGCCCCCTGAGTGGGAGATGCTACCGGGCTCACCCATCCCTGTCCCTCCCTATAGCCAGCCCCTGAGTCCCAGGCCTGGCACATGGATGGTCACCAGAGGAGAGGGGACAGGGAGCGGCGGAGTGGCAGGAGCCCCGTCTGGCCCTCCTGGTACCTCCTTGTCCCTGCCACCCTGCCCTGGCCCCTCTTTGAGTGTTCAACACCATGAGCCAGAGATGGGACACACCGGACAGGTGAAGGCCCGGGAATGGGAGGAAGCTGAGCCCCACGGCAGAGGCTACCAGGTGTGCAGCTCGAAAACCTGCCCGTCGGCTCCCAGGTGCCATTCGCACAGGCGGAGGCACGGCTGATACTCCCCTTGGGGCCGGCCTTCCCAGGGCTTCCGGGAAGAGGGGTGGGCTGGGAGCTAGGTCCTCCTACGCAGCGCTACTGTGGGCAGACCCCGGCCATCAGCCACCCCCAAGGGCCCAGTCCAGCACCGCCAGCTGCAATGTCAGGGGATCAGCCGCCAGCACAGAGAAACTATCCTTCTGCTGGAGACAAGGTCCCCACCCAGCTGTCCTAACTGGGGTCTACAGCGGCCCCACAGCCATGACCCTAATGGGTGAGGAAACTTGGAATCAAGCTTCTCCTCTCATCTCTCCCTTCCCACACCCCCAAATACCAGGAGCTCCTAATAAGCAGCACCCCAGGCCCGACAGAATGGCTCACGCCTGTAATCCCAGCACTCTGGGAGGCCGAGGTGGGAGGATCACTGGAGCCCAGGAGTTTGAGACCAATCTGGGCAACACAGTGAGTCCCCATCTCTACAAAAACATAAAAAATTAGCCAGGCATGGTGTCATGCCCCTGTGGTCCCAGCTACTTAGGAGGCTGAGGCAGGAGGATGGCTTGAGCCCAGGAGGTGGAGACTGCAGTGAGCTGTGATTACACCACCATACTCCAGCCTAGGCCACAGAGCATCTCCCTTTCCCTGCAGGAAGGTGGGAACCCACCAGTCCCAGAAGCAGAAGAGAGGAACCCAGAGAGGGGCACAGCCATGCCGGCCCAGACGCCTGCAGGACCGAGTGTACGGAGGGACAGCCGGGCAGCCCGGCACGGGGAGAAGCGTGTTGACGAGGGCGCCTGGACACGGGCCTCCAGGGCTACCTGGACCTCCAACATCAACGTAGCTCCTGTATCAAAGCAGAAGCTGAGCCCACCATGCACCCCTCAGTCAGGACTGCAAGGGGCCCTGCCTGTGGACCTCACGGGGAAACTGAGGCCCAGAAGGGCAGTGACAGGTCTCAGGCAGGACTGGGGCAACGGAGGGCCACTCCAGAGTCCCACAGCTGTGCTGAGAAATCGAGTCATGAGATCAAGCTTCCTTCTCCCAGGGGAGACAGCCGTCCCAGCTTACAGAATCCCAGAGGCTCAGCCACCTGAGGGGGCCACCCTCACGCCCCCTGGGTCCTCCTGGAGTCTGGGACAAGCTTTGAGCACAGGGCTCTCCCCGTGCCCCCAGAAGAGGCAGGCACTTAGAGTGCAGCCTGGGCTGCCCCAAGCCCTCTGTCCCCCCGACTGTCCCGGCTGTCACTGTGAATGGTCTCAGGGGCTTCCCATCCCAAGCGCCACCTGCCACAGAAGCCAGTCTGCTGGCCAGCCCCATATCAGAGCACCTGCCACCCTCAGGGCCTCAAGGGCCACAGCCCCAGGTTGCTCCCTGCAAATGTGGTTGGCCTCTGAAGAGAGATAGTGAGCCCTCTGTCCCCCACCCCTGCGCTTGGCCGGGCCCCTCCTCTACCCTCCTCACTCTGTGGCCCTCCATCCGCTCTAATCCTGGTCCTATCTGTCACCCCACAGGCCCAAGTGGGGACCTGGCCGGCCTCTCGAGGATGCCCCACCCTCTCTGCACATGTCACACTTGTCCCCTTCCCCACCTCTGGGCCACACACACACCATTCCCACCACCTGGACCTCCACCATCAGAGCTCAGCTTCAAGTGCCACTTCCTCCAGGAAGCCCTCCCTGACCACCTCTGCTCCATCACGTTCTCTTGACTATACACAGCTATTCTGCTTATTGATCATTCACTGTCTGTGTCCTCGAGGCTGCAGTGAGCCATGACTGCACCACTGAACTCCAACCTGGGCAACGGAGTGAGACCCTGTTTCCAAAAAAAAAGAAAAAGAAAGGAAAGAAGGAAAGACTGAAAGAAAGAAAAGTAAACTCAGGTCGGGTGCAGTGACTCACGCCTGTAATCCCAGCACTTTGGGAGGCCAAGGTGGGCAGACCACCCAAGGTCAGGAGTTCAAGACCAGCCTGGCTAACATGGTGAAACCTCGGCTCTACTAAAAATACAAAAATTAGCTGGGCACGGTGGCAGGTGCCTGTAATCCCAGCAACTCAGGAAGCTGAGGCAGGAGAATCACTTGAACCCGGGAGGCGGAGGTTGCAGTGAGCCAAGATCACAGCACTGCACTCCAGCCTGGGCGACAGAGTGAGACTCCATCTCATAAATAAATTAATTAATTAAATAATAAAAATAAAAAATAAAATAAAGTGGATAAATAAACAAAGGCTGTCCCTGTGCCCAGCAGGGCCCCAGGCCACTTTGCAAACATGAACTCATTCAATCACCATCAACCCAGGAGGCAGATCCCAGCCCTCATCCCTATCTTCCAGATGAGGAAACTGAGGCACAGGGAGATAAAGAAACATGCCCAAGTCACAAGACTAACATGGAGGCGTCATGGCTGTGATCAGCGTCCAAGTCGGCCCTGCTGACCACCAACATACACGGCCCCACACAGGGAGTGCCACAGGGCCCTCTCCAGCCACGTCACTGCCGCCCCCTCTCTGCAGGCCGCCCAGAGGCCCAGCCCCAGCCCAGGGCCCATGGTGGGGTGAGGGTGTCCTGCAGCAAAAGCCCCCGAGTCTGCAGCGCTAACGACTCCACTCACAGGTCACACGCCCCACATCGCAGCCATTAGGAACCCAAGGCTCACGCAGAGGCCCCGTTCCCATGGCAACCCCTTCCTGGCCTCTCTCTGAGCAGTTCCAGATAGGGTTGCTCTCCAGGGGTCCGGGGAAGCGGATCGGGGGGGAGTGACTGGATAGAGGCCCCAGCAGGCTTGTCACCAACACCATGGCGTACACCCGGCTCTGCACCCCCAGCCGCCCCCTGTGAAGCTGGAGGTGGGGACATCCCCACAGCCCCTCCCTCCCAGACCTGGCCCCACCCTAGAGGTGATGGGCCAGTGAAGAGGTAGGAAAGACAAAACTCAGCTCAGGGCTCCCCGCTCAGCCTTGCCTCATCCCTGCAGGCCTGTCTCCCCATCTGAATGGGGAGAGTAACAGCCCCTCCTCTGCACAGGTCCACGCCCTCACAGGAGACCTCATGGAGCTGTCTGTTCATACGGGCTGCTGGCTCAACGGCAACGATTGCTTTCTATTTTTGGGGTGGGGGCAGGATCTTACTCTGCCACCCAGGTTGGGGCTCAGTGGTGCGATCTCACTGCAGCCTCGACCTGCTGGGGTCAGGTGATCCTTCCCTGCTTCAGCCTCCCAGTAGCTGGGACTATAGATGCCACACCACTATGCTCGGATGATTTATTTTTATTTTTATTTTTGTAGAGTCGGGGTTTCACTATGTTGCCTAGGCTAGTCTCCCAACTCCTGAGCTCAAGCGATCTGCCCACCTTGGCCTCCCAAAGAGCTGGGATTACAGGCATGAGCCGCCGCATCTGGCAAGGATGCCCCTTATCGTTCTTAGCTTCTTGGGCATGGGGGCTCTGACTGCGTGGGGCTCACAAATGTAGGTAATGCCTGTCCTTCATCCATCTCAAGGTCCAAGGCCCCCTGAGGCCAGACCTAGATCCTATGTGAGAACAGGAAGACCCAGGGCTCCCCTGCACAGGCAGGTGCATTCTAAGACCCTAATGCCTGAATATGAGCAGATGAGAGAGAGGCGTTTATAACGCACCCACTATGTGCCCGTCAGCCCACCCAGCATCAAGCAGATGAGCCGCCCCCAGAGGCCAGAGGGCTCGAGGCTCTTGTTCAAGGTTACGTAGCTACAAAGGGCAGAGCTTGGACTTAAACCCATTGACAAAGGCAGAGGGCTCGCTCCAAAAAGCAAGAGACTGGGGCGAGAACCCAGGAGACCAGTGTGACAACCCGACTGTCCTCAGCTGGGGGAACTGCCCAGACACAGGCGTCCCAGGGCGTCTCTCTCCTCCCTCCTTTCAAAGTGGCTCAGCACTCAGGCTGGACTGCCCAGAGAGAAATGACCACTTCTTATGGGATTTTTTTTTTTAAGGAGAGAAAGAATCCAGCCCCCTACTTTTTTGTTCTTTTAGAGACCGGGTCTCACTCTGTTGCCCAGACTGGAGCGCAGTGGTGCAATCATAGTTCAATGCAGCCTTGACCTCCTGGGCTCAAACTATCCTCCCACTTTAGCCTCCTAAGTAGCTGGGACTACAGGCACACCAGCATACCCGGGTGATTTTTTTTTTTTTTTTTTTTTTTTTGAGATAGAGTTTCGCTCTGTTGCCCAGGCTGGAGTGCAATGGCACGATCTCAGCTCACTGCAACCTCCTCCTCCTAGGTTCAAGCCATTCTCCTGCCTCAGCCTCTCAAGTAGCTGGGATTACAGGTATGTGCCACCACACTTGGCTAATATTGTATTTTTAGTTAGTAGAGACGGGGTTTTACCACATTAACCAGTCTGATCTCAAACTCCTGACCTCGGGTGATCCACCCGCCTCGGTCTCCCAAAGTGCTGGGATTACAGGCGTGAGCCACCACGCCCAACCTATTTTTATTTTTTGTAGAGACAAGGTCTTGCTAGGTCGCCCAGGCTGGCCTCAACCTCCTAAGCTCAAGTGATCCTCCTACGTTGGCCTTCCGAAGTGCTGGGATTACAGGCCTGAGCCACCATACCCAGCCCCCAACCAGTCACCTACTTTTCAAACATCAGCACCAACAGAGAAGAGCAGCTTCAGATAAATCCCCAAACATCTCATCCCAAACCTCTGGCACACCCTCCCTCCCTCCCTCACATTCGCATGTCCCCCTCCCCCACACAAACACACGCACAGCCTCTTGGGCACAGACAGGTACTCTGGGATCTCAGATGGACTCCAGTGACCGTGAGCCCCCAACAAAGGTGCCACCCCATGTGACGGGAGGATCCTTCCAGAGAAAGGCTCAAAGAGATCTCCTGCCTCCCAGGGGGGCCCACAGCCCCAAACCTCTGAGCAGGAGACCTTTTTCCATCACCAAGCTGGCCACCTCCAATCCAAGCGCTGTTGGCCCCTCCCTCCTTCTGTCCCAGAATAAGGCAGGTTCTCATGCAAAGCCCCAGGGTCAGAGTGTAGCGGGGCTTCCCTGGCTCCAGGAGCTCCACACAGAGCAGTGTGTTCATTCAGTCAGTCAACAAACACTCACTGAGCATCGCTCACCATGAGCCAGCCCTGCTGGATGAAGAGAATTCCAAGACAAGCCTGACAGAGCCCCACCTCCCAACTCAAAATCCAAAGACTTCAGGGCCGTCCCCGGAAGGCAGGAGCATCTGGAGCTCGGCCAGAGACAGGCCCGGTCCAAGGTGGCTCCACCGGGAGGTGAAGGCACAGAGGATGGGGAGACATGGCTGTGCAGGAAGTGGGAAGGGCACTGCAGGCGGGAGGTCCAGCACCAGATACCCAGGACCGGCTGGGGCAGGCATCAGGGTGGTGGGAAAGTGACACAGCTGGCTGGGCGCGGTGGCTCACGCCTGTAATCCCAGGACTTCAGGAGGCCAAGGTGGGCAGATCACTTGAGGTCAGGAGATCGAGACCATCCTGGCTAACAAGGTGAAACCCCGTCTCTACTAAAAATACAAAAAATTAGCCGGGCGCGGTGGCGGGCGCCTGTAGTCCCAGCTACTGGGGAGGCTGAGGCAGGAGAATGGCGTGAACCCGGGAAGCGGAGCTTGCAGTGAGCCGAGATTGCGCCACTGCAGTCCGCAGTCCGGCCTGGGCGACAGAGCGAGACTCCGTCTCAAAAAAAAAAAAAAAAAAAAAAAGAAAAAAAAATACAAAATTAGCCGGGCATGGTGGCGGGTGCCTGTGACCCCAGCTCCTCAGGAGGCTGAGGCCGGAGAATCACTTGAACCCAGGAGGCGGAGGTTGCAGTGAGCCAAGATCATACCACTGCACTCCAGCGTGGTGACAGAGCGAGACTCCATCCAAAAAAAAAAAGCCAAGCATGGTGGCTCACACCTATAATCCCAGAGCTTTGGGAGGCTGAGGCAGGTGGATCAACTGCGGCCAGGAGTTTGAGACCAGCCTGGCCAACACAGTGAAACCTTGTCTCTACTAAAGAAAAACAAATACAAAAAAATAGCTGGGCATGGTGGCGTGCACCTATAATCCCAGCTACTCAGAAGACTGAGGCATGAGAATCACTTGAACCCAGGAGGCGGAGGTTGCAGTGAGCCAAGATCATGCCATTGCACTCCAGCCTGGGCAACAGAGCAAAAGTCTGTCTCAAAAAAAAAAAAAAAAAAAAAAAAACAGATGCGGTGGCTCATGCCTGTAATCCCAGCACTTTGGGAGGCCGAGGCGGGTGGATCACTTGAGGTCAGGAGTTTGAGACGAGCCTGGCCAATATGGTGAAACCCTGTCTCTACTAAAAGATACAAAAGTTAGCCAGGCGTGATGGCACGCACCTGTAGTCCCAGCTACTCGGGAGGCTGAGGCAGGAGAATCGCTTGAACCCAGGAGGCAGAGGTTGCAGTGAGCAGAGACTGTGCCACTGCACTCCAGCCTGGGTGACAGAGCGAGACTCCATCTCAAAAAACAACAAAAAAAAAGTGACACAGGTAGGAGATTCAGTACTTTCGGAGGCCAAGGCAGGCGGATCATCTGAGGTCAGAAGTTTGAGACCAGCCTGGCCAACATGGCAAAACCCCATCTCTACTAAAAATACAAAAATTAGCCAGGCATGGTGATGCATACCTGTAATGCCAGCTACTGGGGAGACTGAGGCACAATCGCTTGAACCCAGGAGGCAGAGGTCGCAGTGAGCCAAGATGGCACCACTGTACTCCAGTCTGGGCAACAATGCAAGACTCTGTCTCCAAAAAAAAAAAAAGAAAAAGAAAAAATTAGTCGGGCGTGGTGGCGCATACCTGCGGTCCCAGCTACTTGGGAGGCTAAGGTTGGAGGATCGCTTGAGCCCAGGAGGTCAAGGCTACGGTAAGCTATGATCACACCACTGCACTCCACCCTGGGTAACAGAGCAAGACTCTATCTCTAAAACAAAATAATAATTTATAAACTAAAAATAAATAAAACAGGCTGGGGGCAGTGACTCACGCCTGTAATGCCCAGCACTTTGGAAGGCTGAGATGGGCGGATCACCTGAGGTCAGGAGTTCGAGACCAGCCTGACCAACTTGGAGAAACCCTGTCTCTACTAAAAACACAAAATTAGCCAAGCATGGTGGCACATGTCTGTAATCCCAGCTACTCTGGAGGCTGAGCCAGGAGAATCACTTGAACTTGGGAGGCGGAGGTTGCGGTGAGCTGAGATCGTGCCATTGGACTCCAGCCTGGGCAACAAGAGTGAAACTCCGTTTCAAAAATAAATAAATAAATAAAACAATTCTAAAGAATCCAAAATATAACAGATACTCATAAACCACTTACAGGCACGTAAACTCTCTACCTACCTAAAAAGTCACTCAAGTACTGAGTATCAAGACCGTGAGGATGTTGGAACCCCAGTTTCTGTCTGTTCCTCACTCATTCACTCATCCATCAAACACCTACTACGTGCCAGAGCCCAGGCTGGCTAGGTACCGGGGACACTGGAATCGGTAAGGCACAGTTAGGTCCCTCGATGACTTCAAATTGAAGGTTTGATATTTGTCTATTCCCAAGACCATCTGTTCTCAGGAAATGACTGAAAGTATCACGAAGGTGCGATGCACACAAAGACTGAAAGCAACGTTCCGAACACAAAACATCGGAGAAGGAACAAACGAAAATGCCCATCAAGGGAGTGGAAAACTGAACCATGGTACATGCTCGCAACAGAACATTCAAGACCATTTTAAAAAATGATACTTATAAAGACTTAGCAATAGCAAAGGGAAAGGGCCCACACTGTAATGTACGGGAAACGGCAGAGAGACCCAAGATCCTACCCGCACCTGGGCTCTGCCCAGGACCTACCTTTGACGTTACTCAGCGACAGAGAGCGCTCCTGGTCTACCAGCCCAGGCCCCAGCCGGCCACTGCCGCCACTGTCCTTCTGCCGGGCCACAGCCACTGCAATGCCCACAGGCGGGTGTCGCACTTCTGCCTCACCCTGGGCACCAGAGCCCTCGCGCCCGAAAGCTTTGGCGCTCTCGGGCCTCTCGGGGTCCCGCTTCAGCTGCCGGCCGCCGCCCGCTGCAGGGCCTCCGGAGTGTGGGAGACGGGCCTGGGCTCGGGAGGCACCCGCAGAGGTGGGCGCAGGCTCGGGTTTCATGGTGCCCAAACCTCCAAAGGGGCTCTTCTTGCCACAGCCACCAGGGCGCACGGCCACGGCGTCCCGGGCAAAGCTGCCACTGTACTTTATAAGGCTCTGCATGGCCGAGGCCTCTCCAGACCCGTGGGCCGCAGAGTGCATGTCAGCGACCGGCCGGCCGCAGGTGGCCGCCGAGCGGGGCAGCACAGCCCCAGGGTCCAGGTAGGCCTTCTTGGAGGAGGAGGCAGCGACCACGGCGGCCTCCTCTTCGGCGCGGCTGTGGTGGTGCTGCGCGGCCAGCACGGCCATCTGCGTGGCGGCGAAGTTGCCCAGCTCGAAGGGTTTCCATTTATGCTCAGGGCCGGTGGGCGGGGGGCGCCCGGGCTCCAGGCCGAAGAGCTTGGCGGCCTGTTGGGCTGCAGGACCGGCTGGGCCGCGGGGCGCACGCTCGCAGGGCCTCGGGTCCGCCTCGGGCTTGAGCAGCTCCTTGGCAGGCACGTAGGCGCGGGGGTCCGGGGAGGCGCGTGTGGCCCGCACCGTGGGGGCATCCGCGGGGGGCGGCCGCTTGAGCGAGCGGATGACCGAGTTCTTCTCGCGCAGGCCCTCGGGCCGGTCCAGAGGCCGCGGGGAGCCGGGGGGCGCCTGCAGGACCCCTGGCCTGCCAGCCTCGCGCTCGCGGGCCCGGGCATCGCGCGCCTGGGATGCGATCTGGATGGGCCCCGGGCGCTCGTCGAAGGCCTCCACGGAAGGCACGAAGGTGGGCGCCACCACGCGGTGCTCACGGCCCTGCTCGCGGAAGACGGTGTAGACGCCGGCGGGGGTGGCCGCGGGGGGTGCAGGAGGCCCCTTGGGGGGCGCGGGCGGCGGGGGCAGCGGTGAGGGGCAGGGGCGCGGCCCAGGGAGCAGGGTCTCCGTGCGCCGCAGCAGCCGCGCGCCCTCGTCCTGCCGGGCAGCCTCCTTGGCACCCCCGCGCCCCGCTTCGGCCACCAGCGCGGGCAGCCCCACGTCCCCGGCGCCGCCGTTGCACATGGTCAGTACCGACGGCTGCAGCGCCGCATTCTTGGTCTTGGACTCAGCCAGGAAGGGCGACAGGCGCTCAGCCAGGCGCGGGGGCCCCCGGTCCTGGCGGCCCTCGGCGCGCGCCTCCTGGGTCAGGTCCACCACGCCCCGTGGCCCCGAGGCCTCCTCGCCCCGGGCGCGCGGGTCCTTCTTGCCGAAAAGCGGAGGCGGCTCCCCGCCGCGGCCCGCCCGCTCCTTGGCTGGACCGTCCCGCGACGACGAGCCTTTGGCCGGGGCGCCCGAGGAGTGGCCGCCGCCAGGGGTCCGGGCCGAGGGCGCGTGAGAGTGCAGGGAGCCCGGAGCCCCCGCGGTGGGCAGGTAGAAACCGTCTGCGGAGAAGGGAACAGCAGGCAGTGAGCGAGCGCCACCTCCCCTCCCACCCCTGCCTGGGCGGAGGCGGACCCCTGAGAGGGGGATGGACCAACCCATGCCTCCCCCAGTGTTTTGGTTTTGGTTTTTTTTTTCAGAAAGAGTCTCGCTCTCCTCACCCAGGCTGGAGTACAGTGGCGCAACCTTGGCTCACTGCAACCTCCACCTCCTGGGTTCAAGCGATTCTCCTGCCTCAGCCTCTCCGGTAGCTGGGATTACAGGCGCACCCCACCACGCACGGCTAATTATTGTATTTTTAATACAGGTGGGGTTTCACCATGTTCGTCAGGCTGGTCTTGAACTCTTGACCTCAGGTGATCCACCCGTCTCGGCCACCCAAAGTGCTGGGATTACAGGCTTGAGCCGCACTCGACCCAGTGTTTTTTCTTGGAAATTAAACGGTTTCGGTGCAGGGAGCCCCGAGGTTTCACACCAAGGCAAGGCACCCCCCAGGGCAAGAAGAAATGGGCGTCCCAGCCCTAGAGAGCGCAGGCTCTGGAAATACCTACAACCAAGTTTAAATCTACCCTTCCCAAGCCTCAGTTTCCTCATCTGTAAAAGGAGAGACCAGGGTTTGTTTTCAAAGTTGCCCGGAAGGCCTAGCAGGGCCCCTAAGAGGACAGTGTGACCAGAAGGCACCCAGGGCTGTGGGTGGGCCCAAGGAGCCTGTGGGGGGTCTTAGGGACTCAGGTCTCAAAAAAGCATCTTAGGCCACAATGGCTCACATCTGTAATCCCAGCACTTTGGAAAGCCGAGGTAGGAGGATTGCTTGAGGCCAGGAGTTTGAAACCATCCTGGGCAACACAGCAAGACTCCACCTCTACAGAAAAGTTAAAAAGTCAGCTGGCTGTGGTGGGGTGTGTCTGCAGTCCCAGCTACTTGGGGGGCTGAGTCAGGTGCATCATTTGGGAGTTTGAGGCTGCAGTGACCTATGATCGCACCACTGCACTCCAGCCTGGGCAACATAGTGAGACCCTGTCTCAAAAAAAAAAAAAAAAAAAAAGCCAGCATCCTGGACAGAGCTGGGGGCTACCTGGATGCTGCCAAAGGCCCCAGAAGCCTCTCAGAAGGCCCCTGTGCCACCCCCAACCCCGGACTCCAGTCTTACCTCCTCCTGGCCCCTGACCTTTCTGGGTATCGAAAATGCTGGGCTGACCCAGCTGGCTGAGGAGGGGGCTCCCACTGCTGGGGGGCTCCAGGTGGTTCAGGTGGAGGTAGGATGGGTACAGCCCACTGGGCAGGTGGGAGAAGCCTGTAACAGAAAAGAGAAAAGCTGGGCTGGGCCAATTCGTGCTGCTCACCAGGAGCTTCCTTCCAGCTCCTGGAAATAAACTATTTTGGCAGCCGACCGCTGGTACAGGGCGCCTTGAGGTTTAACAGCAGCTCCTCAGGGCAATGCATTCTCCTGCTCCCCAACCCTGGGTCTCTCTCCAGGCCCAGGCAGCCCTCACGGGGGACTGGGGTCTCCAGTCCCCCCCAGAAAGAGGATCAGAATGGATCCAACTAGCGGGGCCCGATAACAGCCTACCAAACATGACCAAGAGCTTTGCCACTGTCATCCTCATTTAAACCTCAAAAACAACCTATAAGGAAGAGACTTAATGTCCTCACTTTAAAGACGAGAAAACTCAGAGCAGGCCACTTGCCCAAGACGATACAGCAGAGCTGCCTGGCTTTGGATCGAGACCATCGAACCCTGCAGCCAGGACTCTTAACCTCAGCCTAACACAGGCCCTTTCTCTGCTGTGTGACCCCAAGCTGGTCACCTGCCTTCTCTGAACCTCAGCGGACCCAGCATCTTCAGCTGCTGGGTCTCCCAGGCAGGAGCTGCCAGGAAGGAATTCCTCCCACCAAGGATCCTCCCCGCCTCCCCAAAGGCCACCCCCTCACCAGCAATGCCCAGCACCAGCATCAGGACGTGCTGACTTCAACTATTCAGATTTTTTTTTTTTTGAGACAGAGTCTTACTCTGTGGCCCAGGCTGGAGTGCAGTGGCAGGATCTCGGTTCACTGCAACCTCCACCTCCTTAGTTCAAGAGATCCTCCTGCCACAGCCTCCTGAGGAGCTGGGATTACAGGCGCCTGCTACCACACCCGGCTAATTTTGTATTTTTAGTAGAGATGGGGTTTCACCATGCTGATCAGGCTGGTCTCGAACTCCCGGCTTCAAGTGATCCACCCACCTCAGCCTCCCAAAGTGCTGGGATTACAGGTGTGAGCCACCACATCCGGCTCAGAATTTTTTAAAAATAAAAATAAACAGAATTGGGACCTTGCAGGACAAAGAAAGAAGGGGTAGCCATGGAGAGAGGAGAAGTCACCTAAGAGAGCACACAGAGGCCAGGCATGGTGGCTCACACCTTTAATCCCAGCACTCTGGGAGGCCGATGGGGGAGGATTGCTTGAGCCCAGGAGTTTGAGACCAGCCTGGGAAACATAGTGTGACCCCATCTCTATTTAAAAAAAAAAAAAAAAAATTTAAATAGTTTTTTTTTTTTAAAGGGCACACAGAATGACAGCCCTAAGAGGCAGGCAGGTGCTAGGGTGCTGGGTAAGGGTCCTGATTCTCTGCCTAAGCCCAGAGTCCTATGGGATCCCAGGCCAATTAGAGATCTCTCAGGGACTCAGGTACCCCATACCCAGCTGCCCCTGCTAAGGCCAGGGATGCAGGACCTGTCCCTGGTCCACTGGGCCGATGTCTTCTCTCCAGCACCGCCTTGTCAATAATCATGCCATTGACAACACCCACAAACAAAAGGGCTACCCGATACCTGTTCTCTCATCCAATCATTCAAACAGCACTCCCAGCCGGAGCAGTGGCTCATGCCTGTAATCCCAGCATTTTGGGAGGCCGAGTTGGGTGGATCACGAGGTCAGGAGTTCGAGACCAGCCTGATCAACATGGGGAAACCCCATCTCTACTAAAAATACAAAAAATTAGACGGGTGTGGTAGCAGGCGCCTGTAGTCCCAGCTCCTCAGGAGGCTGTGGCAGGAGGATCTCTTGAACTCAGGAGGCAGAGGTTGCAGTGAACCGAGATCAGCCTGACCAACATGGTAAAGCCCTGTCTGTACTAAAAATACAAAAATTAGCCAGGCGTGGTGGCGCACGCCTGTAATCCCAGCTACTCAGGAGGCTGAGGCAGGAGAATTGCTTGAACCCGGGAGGTAGAGGTTGCAGTGAGCCAAGATTGTGCCACTATATACTCTAGCCTGGGCGACAGAGCAAGACTCCATTTCAAAAAATAAATAAATAAGTAAAATACAACCAACAATAAAAAAACAGCTCTCCCACACAGGCATCAGGTCTCTGCTCTCCCGTCTGTAAAATGGACCTAATGGGCTTAATAGGCCGGGCACAGTGGCTCATGCCTGTAATCCCAGCACTTTGGGAGGTCAAGGTGGGACGATCGCTTGAGCCTAGCAGTTCAAGACCAGCCTGGGACACATGGTGAAACCCCAACTCCACCAAAAACGAATACAGTAGTTAACCGGGCGTGATGGTGTGCACCTGTAGTCGCAGCTACTCAGGAGGCTGAGGTGGGAGAATGGCTTGAGCCTGGGAGGCGGAGGTTGCAGTGAGCTGAGATTGCACCACTGCACTCCAGTCTGGGCGACAGAGCAAGACCCTGTCTCAAAAAAAAGGGCCTAACAGTCCCTCCCCCGGGCAGGGCTGGCTCTGAGGCTGAAGTGAGCTGAGTGTGCACTGGGCTGTGGTAAGCACCCTGTGTGTTTGTGGTCATCACTAGGATTTGTTGGCCAAAGAGAAAAGTCTCAGGGACAGAGAGGTAGTGAGCTGGTGGCAGACAGTCCCGAGAGGCAGGCTCTCCTCATCCAGACCCTCTGGCATCTGCCTTGGCTGGTTAAAGTGGGAGGCTCAGGTGCGACCCCAGCCTAGAAGGCCCACTCTGTGCAGGCTGGGCACCCTCGTGCCTGGATTCAGATGCCTTCCCCAGAGTGTCCAGGAAGAGCAGACTCGCTGACCTCATCTGTACAATGGGCAAAGTACTGTAAGGACTGGATGGGGTCCTGTGACTAGAGACGCCTCTGGCTGAACCTGTCTCCTCCTGGGCTGAACACAGCAGCCGCAGGATTCGGGATGACGGTCAGACCTGGCCCCGCAGGAGGAAGTGGAGGGAGAGTGGCTGGGGAGGGCCGGAAGAGCCCTAAGCCTGCAGCAGGAGCTCCAGGGCTGCAACCTTCCAGGAACCACGAGCACCTACAGGACACCTGGGAGGAGGAAGGAGGAAGGAGGGAGGAGGGAGAAGGAAGTACCTAGCGCCCAACATCCAGAACCTGTCAAAGCCAGAGAAGACAGAGGAGCTTGGAGGTCTGCAGGCCCATTCCTTTGCAGGCAGAAAATCAAAGTGAGGCTCTAGAGAAATCCAGAATCTGCTCACGACCCCGGGGAAGCCAGGCCTGCAGAGCCCCTACATTGAGGGGCATGGCTGCAGAAATGCAGAAGAAAAGGCCCCAACAGCCCCAGGTCCCCCCGCTCTGGGAAATTTTTTTTGTGGAGATGGGGTCTTGCTATGTTGCCCAGGCTGGTCTCGAACTCCTGCCCTCAGGTGATCTTCCCACCTCCACCTCCCAAACTGTTGGGATTACAGCTGTGAGCCACCATGCCCGGCCTGCTCCTGTAATTATTAATGAGCCTACTGTGTACCAGGGATACAGTGCTGAGTAGATCACACTAGGCCCTGAACTCAGGGCTCACTCCGGTGGGAAAGCGGGTAGTTCATGAATGATGAGATAATCTGTCGTCACAAGCAAGTGATGGAAGTGGGTGCGGAAGAGGGGGTCTCTGAGCTGAGCCGGAGGAGGACTGGAAGGTGGTCTGTGGCATGGGGTGTCAGGCTGAAAGGAGAGGAAACAGCTCATACAAATGCCCTGTGACAGTGACAAGAAGAAGCCCTGAGCGTTTGAGAAACAACAGGGAAGCCAGGTGACCTGGGACCCACCAGCCCCAGCTCAGCGATGACAACAGAGGGGCACATGAAGTGGCCAGAGTGGCTGGGACGTCAGCCCAGCAGCCCTCAGCCCCGACCCCGGCATGTTCCTTACCTTCATGGGCGTGGGCGGCCCACAGCTGCACCATGGGCAGGTTGCTAGGGGTTGGGGAGCGGAAAGACAGGTCAGAGGGCAGTGGCACTGGGCTCCCATGGGACGAGGCCGAGGGCCCCATCCCGCTGGCCACAAAGCTGCCCAAGAAGGCCTCGCCTGCAGAGAGAAGTTGGGAGGACCGTCAGGCAGACAACCAGGGAGGCGCCGCCGCCCCAGCCCACCGCCCCGACCCACCGCCCCGAGACCGCCGCCTCTCCCCAGCTGTGTGGAGCTGATGCTGGCCAGGAGACCAAAGAGGGTTCCCCTGCTCCGGCCCCACCCCTGGGCTGCAAGATGGTCCTGGATCAACCCAACCAGACCCAGGGCTTGAGAAAGCACAATACGGCAGGAAGCCCCCCACAGCAGACCCTCAGCCCTGGGCACCCCGCACCCTCGGAGGAGGGCCTTCCACCCCTGCCGCCCAACCAGCCCAGATCCGGCCCGGCACCATTCTCCCCATCTGCAGGTGGAATCCTGAAGTCGGTGGCGCACTGGGACTTCCAGAGGCCACAGGGCAAGGCGGTGGGGGACTTACAGGCGGGGGGCTCATATGCTGAGCTCTGCAGGCCCAGAGAGGACACCCACCCTCCAGCCAGAGAATCACCTCCCACAGCAGCCCTAGCCAGCCCCGTGTGCCCATTTCACAGAAAAAGAAGGTGAGGCTCAGAGATGGGAAGTGCCAGGTCACACAGCCAGAAAGCAGGGACTCAGAATGCAGCCCTGCAGGGTGTCCCCCAGCCCATGGCTGGCACCACCGAGCCACAGTGGCTTAGGGAATGAATCCGTGATGAATGGAGCGGCAGGCGTGGGGGCCGCTAAGGGAGCCCCGTGGAGGGCAACCCCTCCAGACAGCAGGCCCCACCCCGGGGTCACTGCCAATAGGGGCCACGGGGCAGACTGCTGCTCAGAAACATGATGGAAATCAGCAGGGCCTGGGTGGAAGCCACAGCCAGCCCCGCCATGCCCCACGTGGCCAGGCCCACATCGGACAGGGTGCCTCCCAGCTGCCACCCAGGGGCTCTGTCCCACGAGCCCCAAACGCCATCCCCTCTAAGGGAAGACCCTGGCAGGCCTCTGGGTCACAGGTCAGAGAGAAGCATGCAGGCCCTGGCGCACGGGGCTTCCCTTACCAGGTCTCGGTTTGCACATCAACAAAATGGAGATAAACATGCCTCCCTTCGGGAATGATAGGGAAGGAAGCATGTGTTTAACCACAATGACAATATAATGAGGCCGAACACGGTGGCTCAAGCCTATAATCCCAGCACTCTGGGAGGCCAAGGCAGGCGAATCACAAGGTCAGGAGTTAGAGACCAGCCTCACCAACATGGTGAAACCCCGCCCCTACTAAAAAGACAAATACAAAAAATTAGCTGGATGTGGTGGCGGGCACCTGTAGTCCCAGCTACACGGGAGGCTGAGGCAGGAGAATCGCTTGAAGCTGGGAGGCGGAGGTTGCAGTGAGCTGAGATCGCTCCACTGCACTCCAGCCTGGGCGACAGAGAGAGACTCCGTCTCAAAAAAAAAAAAAAAATGCTAAAAATTAGCTGGGCGTGGTGGCGGGCACCTGTAATTTTAGCTACTCGGGAGGCTGAGGCAGGAGAATCACTTGAAGCCCGGAGGCGGAGGTTGCAGTGAGCCGAGATCGCTCCACTGCACTCCAGCCTGGGCGACAGAGAGAGACTCTGTCTCAAAAAAAAAAAAAAAAAAATGCAAAAAATTAGCTGGGCGTGGTGGCAGGCACCTGTAATTTTAGCTACTCGGGAGGCTGAGGCAGGAGAATCACTTGAACCCAGGAGGTGGAGGTTGCAGTGAGCTGAGATCGTGCCACTGCACTCCCGCCTGGGCAACAGAGTGAGACTCCGTCTCAAAAAAAAACAATATAATGATAAATAATGACAACAGGCCGGGCAAGGTGGCTCTCGCCTATAGTCTCTGGAGGCTGAGGCGAGAGGATGGGTTGAGCCCAGGAGCTGGGAGACTGCAGTGAGCTGTGACTGCAATTACAACACTGCACTCCAATCCAGGCGACAGAACAAGACCTGGACTCAAAATATAAATAATAACAATAACCAGCCATGGCACCCATTCGCTAAAAGCTGGAATGCACCAGGCACCGTGCAGCTGATTTCAAATCCTCCCAGCAACACCCTCAGGAGGTGGCAGCAAAGCACCTCCAGCTGGGTGCTACCACTGGCCAGCCCCCAGCGGAGGGATTCCGTGTGTACCCTAGAGCTACCTCCTTTAAGGCCCTGTGTTGTGAGCACTGTTTACAGGGGGCATGGATAAGTTATGTGGCTTTGCAGGAGATGTGGGCTCCTAGATGGCCCCGGTCCAGCCTGTGGGAGCTCACAGATCCCAGTCCAGCCTCTGAGTCCCCAGTGCCTCCCTTCTCCCCAATAAAGGGCCTGTATACAAGTGCTCACTGACCGCCTCCCAGGGGCACAGGATCCCAGAATATCCAACCCATCTTCTTTGGGGTACATGTGGGGAAACTGAGGCAAAGAAGGGCAGGGCCTCCACCTTGGGCCCCAAAGACAGGAGTGGGCAGAGCAGCAAGGGGTGCCCTCGGGCCACACGCCATCACCACCACCCCGTGTCCGGCCCCCAACACTCCAGTCCAGCCAGGCCCAGCCCCCTCACCGGACTCCAGCGCCAAGCCCTCGGGCCCCGGGGCCTCGGTGGCCAGTCAGTTCATCCATGCGGCCCAAGCCGGGGCAGCAGGGCCTCCAAGCCCTGCTGAGCCCCGGGCTTCCGCCTTGCTGTGGCAGGCGGGTGGGTAGAAGGCTCCGGAAGCCAGCAGCCAGGGTTTGCGCAAGAGCTTACATCAGCCGCCAGCTCTTCCTGCCGCAGGCTGCACGGAAGCCTAATGGCCCAGGCCGGCCCCTGCCCGGGCTTGTGAAACCCGCCCAGCAGCACCCAGGCCCGGATGCCAGCCAACGGCTCCTGCCCACCACAGGGCTCAATGGCACCCAAAGCCCCTCCTCCCAGGCTGGGCGGGGCAGCCGGGAACCCCCAGCATCCCCAGCAAGGCAGTGCCGTTCTCAGTGCCTCAGTCTGCCACTCTGTAAAATGGACACACAATCCCCACTCAGCTATGGCGATGAGGCCAGCGTGCCACCCCCCTCACCTCACTCTCCAGAACAAACAAACTTCTCCCTGGTCACGTCAGGAGCCTGCCCCTTTCCCGCCTGGCCCGTCAGGCACGAACTCCCAGGCCTCCTAGAATGCTCCTCCTTCACTCCCACCTCGGGTCTCCCTGGGCCCCAGAGAAGCCTCCAACAGCCACACGACCCAAGCAGGCCCCAAGTGACCTGTGACCACCCACAACCCCTCGGAAACAGATCTGCCAGCCTCCTTGTGGATTTCATGCCTCTGTCTTCCCCGAGAGACAGTTCCCTCCTTGAGGGCGGGGACTATCTTCCTTACTTCCTGCCATATCACAGTGGCTGGAACCTGCCACCTGTGACCTGCCACCCAGGACATACTTCTATTTGGGATTACCCAATTGCACGAGTGTTGTTTCTTTTTTTAGAGACAGGGTCTCACTCTGTTCAATTCACCCAGGCTGCAGTGCAGTGGCTCGATCATAGCTCGCTGCAGCCTCCAACTCCTGAGCTCAATCAATCCTCCAGCCTCAGCCTCTTGGGTAGCTGGGACCACAGGCACACATCATCAGGCCCAGCAAAAAAAAATTTTTTTTTTTTTGAGATGGGAGTTTCGCTCTTGTTGCCCAGGGTGGAGTGCAATGGCGCGATCTCGGCTCACCGCACCTTCCGCCACCCGGGTTCAAGTGTTTCTCCTGCCTCAGCCTCCCAAGTAGCTGGGATTACAGGTATACCCCACGACGCCTGGCTAATTTTGTATTTTTAGTAAAGATGAGGTTTCTCAATGTTGGTCAGGCTGGTCTCGAACTCCCAACCTCAGGTGATCCACCCGCCTCATCCTCCCAAAGTGCTGGGATTACAGGCGTGAGCCACCGTGCCTGGCCACCCAGCTAATTTTTTTCTTTTTCTTTTTTGCAGAGATGAGGTCTTGCGATGTTGCCCAGGCTGGTCTCAAACTGCAGGCCTCAAGCAATCCTCCTGCCTTGGCCTCCCAAAGTGCTGGGATTACAGGCATGAGCCACCGTGCCCGGCCTCTTTTCTTTTTTTTAAAGACAGGGTCTCTCTCTGTTCACCCAGGCTGTAGTGCAGTGGCTCAATCATAGCTCACTACAGCCTCCAACTCCTGAGCTCAATCAATCCTCCAGCCTCAGCCTCCTGGGTAGCAGGGACCACAGGCACACACCATCACACCCCACTAATTTTTTTCTTTCTCTTTTTTGTAGAGATGGGGTCTTACTATGTTGCCCAGGCTGGTCTCAAACTCCTGGCCTCGTGCGATCCTCCTGCCTTGGCCTCCCAAAGTGCTGGGATTACAGGCATGAGCCACCCTGTCCAGCCATAAATGTGATTTCCAATGTTCCCAGGGCCAACGCAAAGAGATACACATTAGGGTGAGGAGAGGATCAAGGCATCCCGCAACTCACAAAAGAGGCTCTAAAATAAACCCCGAAGAAGCACAGCCCATGCCAGGCCATCCTGCCTGGTCTCCTTCCATCTCTAGACTATACTCCAAGCCCCCACAGTGCCCCCCTGCCCCACCCACTGCTCACACCCACACCCAAGGACCGAGCAGTTGCCATCCCCCCGTTTCACCAAGAAGGATGCAAGCCTCAGGGTGCCAGGGGGCACTGAGTTAGGCCCAGAGCTCACTGGCCTCTCGAAAGACTTGACTGGAATCCCTCATACCAACCTGCGGTATGGGGGTCTCCCTGCCTCTCGCCCTAGGCTGAGCTCAAGACCTGGCTCCCCAAATCAAGTAACTGGCTGCCGCCTACTCACCCCAGTTATTATCTCACCCGACACCTTAGAAGCTAAGACCAATGACCGTCAAAACCTAAAACACACACCTGGGCACAGTGGCTCACACCTATAATCCCAGCACTTTGGGAGGACGAGGCGGGCAGATCACTTGAGGCCAGGAGTTCAGCCTGGCAGACATGGTAAAACCCCATCTCTACCAATAATACAAAATTAGCCGGGCGTGGTGGCACACAACTGTAATCCCAGCTACTCAGGAGGCTGAGGCAGGGGAATTGCTTGAACCCAGGAGGCAGAGGCTGCAGTGAGCCAAGATCGCGCCACTGCACTCCAGCCTGGGCAACAGTGCGACACTGTGTCTCAAAAACAAAAACAAAAAAACCTAAAACACACAGCCGGCACGATGGCTCACACCTATAATACCAGCACTTTGGGAGGCCTAGGCGGGTGGATCGTGGATCACTTGAGGTCAGGAGTTCGAGACCAGCCTGGCCAACATGGCGAAAACCACCCCCCGCCCCCGCCCCGTCTCTACTATAAATACAAAAATTAGCTGGGCGTGGTGGCAGGCGCCTATAGTCCCAGCTACCTGGGGAGCTGAGGTGGTGCGATCATGACTCACTGCAGCCTCAACCTCCCGGGCTCAAGCAATCGCCCCACCTTTGCCTCCTGAGTAGCTGGGACTGCAGGTGTGCACCACCATGTACAGCTCATTTTTATTTTTTCTTTTTCGTAGAGTCAGGATCTCACTATGTTGCGAAGTCTGGGGTCTAGAATTCCTGGGCTCAAGCGATCCTCCCACCTCGGCCTCCCAAAGTGCTGGGATGACAGACCTGAGCCATTGAGCCTGGTCTATGATTATTGTTATTATTTATGGTTACAAACCCTGGAGCTCAGAGAAGCTAAAAGCACCTACTACAAGGTCAGAGTCCGTGTCTGCTTCTAGCCAAATGCCATTTGTCCTTGCTTAAAACAAAAATTCAGAGCTGGGAGTGGTGGCTCATGCCTGTAATCACAGCACTTTGGGAGGCAGAGGCGGGCGGATCACCTGAGGTCAGGGGTTCTAGACCAGCCTGACCAACATGGTGAAACTCCGTCTCTATTTAAAATACAAAAATTAGCCGGGCATGGTGTCGTGTCCCTATAGTCCCAGCTACTCGGGAGGTTTTTAGGAAGGAGAATCACTTGAACCTAGGAGGTGGAAGGTGCAGTGAGCCGAGATCACGCCACTGCACTCCAGCCTGGGCGACAGAGTGAGACTCTCTCTCAAATAAATAAATATTCAATTTTGAAACCATAGATAGCTGGTGATTACACAGGATGAATACACCAAACACCACTAAAGTATACACATTTCAAATGGTTAATTGTATGCCACGTGAATTTCACCTCCATGAAAAAAATGCAAGCTGTAGCCTGGCGTGGTGGCTCACACCTTTAATCTCAGCACTACCAGAGGTCAAGGTGGGCAGCAGATCACTTCAGCCCAGGAGTTCAAGACCAGCCTGGGCTGATAGAGACTCTTATCTCTACAAAAAAATACAAAAAAATTAACCGGGTGTGGTGGTGCACGCCTGTAACCCAGCTACCCTGGAAGCTGAGGTGGGAGGATTGCTCGAGCACAGGAGGCTGAGGCTGCAGTGAGCTGAGATTTCGTGCAGCCTGGGAGACAGAGCAAGACCCTGTCTCAAAAAAAATTTATTAAAAATTAAAACTAAGGCCAGGTGCGGTGGCTCACGCCTGTAATCCCAATGCTTTGGGAGGCCGAGTGACTCACCCACCATGTCTGGCCCACCAATGCAATCTTCCCTCTGCAACAGTAGTTGCTGGGGACCCTTCTAGAAACTGTATGGTGGGCACCTGAAGTCCTCCCTGGTTCGAGTCGGGGGGGGGCGGGGGGGCTGCATGTGATCATGATAGGGATATAAGTTCCTTAAACAGCAAAGAACCAGAAGGCTTTGTCACTGCCAATGGGCTAGTCCAGAGTAGCTCCGGCCCACCTCTGCCCCTCGCCCTGAATCAGGTCCTCCCTCCAGATATACAGGGAAGACCCTGCACACTCCCGCCTGTCTATACCCTAACTCCTTCACTCCCTTCTCTTACAGCTCAGCCTTCCCTGTCCTTTTTCACATTGCAACTTACCCTGCCACGCCCTTTCCTGAAATGTTTTTCTCCACTGCTTATCACCTGTTATCACAGGTGTTAGTTCCTTATTGTCTCTGCCCACTGAAGACAGCAAGCTTTTCTTTGAAAGGGTGTCTGCTGCCTGTTGCCAGGAAAGCACCCAGACAGTAAACGATTGGGCGTTGCTCTGTACCAATAAAACTTTATTTACAAAAACAAGACGTGGGCCACATTTGGCTAGACTGCTCACCCCAGCATTACTAGGTATGCTACGAGTTATTTTTTATTCCTAGTCCTATGCTGCACATCGGAGGTACTCAAGTAGTATTTACGGTAGGAACTGGGCACAGTGGCTCATGCCTGTAATCTCAACACTTTGGAAGGCCAAAGTGGGAGGACCGCCGGGAGCTTAAGAACGGCCTGGTTGGCCGGGCGTGGTGGCTCACACCTGTAATCCCAGCACTTTGGGAGGCCGAGGCGGGCAGCTCACAAGGTCAGCAGATCAAGACCATCCTGGCTAACACGGTGAAACCCCGTCTCTACTAAAAACAAAAAGAAAAAATTAGCTGGGCGTGGTGGCGGGCCCCTGTAGTCCCAGCTACTCCGGAGGCTGAGGCAGGAGAACGGCATGAACCCGGGAGGCGGAGCATGCCGTGAGCTGAGATCATGCCACTGTACTCCAGCCTGGGCAACACAGCGAGACTCTGTCTCAAAAAAAAAAAAAAAAAAAAAAAGAACAGCCTGGGCAACAGAGCAAGACCCCATCCCAAAAAAATTTTTTTTAGGCCAGGCACAGTGACTCATGCCTGTAATCCCAGCACTTTGGGAGGCCAAGGCAGGCAGATCACTTGAGGTCAGGAGTTTGAGACCAGCCTGGGCAACACGGTGAAACTCCATCTCTACAAAAATTAAAAACAATTAGCCATGCATGGCGGTGTGGGCCTGTAATCCCAGCTACTCAGGAGGCTGAGGTGGGAGAATGACTTGAGCCCAGGAGGCGGAGGTCGCAGTGAGCCGAGATCGCGCCACCACACTCCAGCCTGTGACAGAGCGAGACCCTGTCTCAAAAAGACAAAAAAAAAAATTAGAAAATAATATTTATGCGGCTGGGCGCAGTGGCTCACGCCTGTAATCCCAGCACTTTGGGAGGCCGAGGCAGGCAGATCACCTGAGGTCAAGAGTTCAAGACCAGCCTGGTCAACGTGGTGAAACCGCATCTCTACTAAAAATATAAAAACTAGCCGGGCGTGGTGGTGGACGCCTATAATCCCAGCTACTCGGGAGGCTGAGGCAGGAGAACTGCTTGAACCCAGGAGACAGAAGTTGCAGTGAGGCGACACAGTGCCACTGCACTCAAGCCTCGGCGACAGAGTGAGACTCTGTCTCAAAAAAAAAAATATATTTATGGTGTGGAATGGGGGGGCAAGGTCCTGATTAGCTGGAGGAAGGGTGCCCAGGCCTTCCCTGCAGCATTCTCTGGGACCTGCTTCTCTACCCTGTGCTCCCCACTCCTGTCAACGGGGAGAGGGATTGGTGTCCCTTTTACAGATAAAGAGACTGAGGCTCTCACTCCCAAACCTACACTTCTCCACTCAGCCGCACCACCCAGACAAAGCAGAAGCGTCTGTTAGACATAGGTTGCACATTTTCAATCCCAGACAGCCCTTCATAACCAAACACATTACATTTTATCTTCACTTTTTTTTTTTTTTGAGACAGAGTTTCACTTGTTGCCCAGGCTGGAGTGCAATGGCGTGATCTCAGCTCACCGCAACCTCTACCTCCCGGGTTCAAGCAATTCTCCTGCCTCAGCCTCCCGAGTAGCTGGGATTACAGGCATGCACCACCACGCCCAGCTAAATTTGTATTTTTAGTAGAGACGGGGTTTCTCCATGTTGGTCAGGCTGGTCTCGAACTCTCGACCTCAGGTGATCCGCCCGCCTCGGTCTCCCAAAGTGTTGGGATTACAGGCGTGAGCCACCATGCCCGGTTTATCTTCACGTTTTAAAACATCTTGACCTCTCACAACAACTGCATCCCAGACTGCGGTGTGGTGGCTCACACCTGTCAATCCTAGGACTTTGGGAGGCTGAGGCAGGAGTCGTTTGAGGCCAGGAGTTCAAGACCAGCCTGGGCAACCTAGCAAGACCCCATCTATACAAAAAAATTAAAAAATTAGCCAGGCTTAGTGGTGTACACCTGTAGTCCCAGCTACGTGGGAGGTTGAAGGCACGAGGATCATTTGAGCCCAGGAATTAGAGGCATTGAGCTATGGTTGCACCACTGCACACCAGCCTGGGCAACAGAGTGAGACCCTGTCTGTTTAAAAAAAAAAAAAAACTGCATCCCTTAAAATGTCAACAGACTATCAGAGCATCTCATAGACTCAGTCAAACCAGAATTGTCACCCAGGAAAGGCATTATTCTGGCCCTAAACACTGACAGGTAACATAGGTGTTTCCGAGATAGCAGCTAAAAATCCTGCAAGGACCCTCTAGATAGAATGACCTTCAAACTCCCATAGATCACAAGATCCAGAGAGTTCTGTAATATCTAAGCCAAAGAATGGGTTAACACTCTGGCTATATAAAGATTCTCAGAATGCCATAAGAATCCCAGGCAGGGCCGGGGGCGGTGGACCATGCCTGTAATCCCAGCACTTTGGGAGGCCAAGGCGGTTCGATCACAAGGTCAAGAGTTCAAGGCCAGCTTGGCCAATGTGGTGAAACCCCATCTCTACTAAGAATACAAAACTTAGGTGGGTGTGGTGGCACATGCCTGTAATCCCAGCTACTCAGGAGGCTGAGGCCGGAGAACTGCTTGAACCTGGGAGGCGGAGGTTGCAGTGAGCCGAGATCACGCCACTGCACTCCAGCCTGGGCGACAGAGCAAGACTCCGTCTTGAGAAAAAAAAAGAATCCCAGGCAATTTGAAAAAGAGAACCTGTAAATGGCTAAACTCCATCGAAATTTCAAGGCCATTAGCATTACAAAGAAGTATTGAAACAGTGATGTCATTTTCATTCCATCAAATCAGCAAATTTTTGCTTCTAGTTGTGGAGGGCGCTGGGTGGTTAGCTGCCCGGGAAGGATGAGAACTGAGCCAATTCATCTCCAGCTTTTGGAAAACAAATCCGCAAGGCTTACCGAGGACTGCAGGCGCCCAGACCCACTTCTGGGGATCCCTCCCAAGGAAACAGGCAGACCTACTTACTGGGATGCTCGCTGCAGCCAAAATGATCTGCAGATTCCATATGCAATCCCCATCAAAACCCCAGCAGCGCATGCACACTTTCAGTGTGTGTGTGTGTGTGTGTGTGTGTGTGTATAAAATGAAAAGGTGTCTCTAAAAAGTATACAGAAATGGCGGAGCACGGTAGCTCATGCCTGTAATCCTAGCACTTTGGGAGGCCGAGGCGGGCAGATTGCCTGAGCTCAGGAGTTCACGACCAGCCTGGACAACACGGTGAAACCCAGTCTCTACTAAAATACAAAAAAAAAATTAGCTGGGTGTGGCTGCATGCGCCTGTAGTCCCAGCTATTGGGAGGCTGAGGCAGGAGAACTGCTTGAACCTGGGAGACAGAGGTTGCACTGAGCCGAGATTCTGCCACTGCACTCCAGCCTGGGCAACAGAGTGAGACTTCGTCTCAAAAAAAAAAAAGAAGTATACAGAAATTAGGCTGGGCACAGTGGCTCACACCCATAATCCCAGAACTTTGGGAAGCTGAGGCAGGAGGATCACTTGGGCTCAGGATTTCAAGACCAGACTGGCCAACAAGGCAAAACCCTGTCTCTACTAAAAATACAAAAGTTAGCCAAGGCTAGGCACTGCGGCTCACACATGTAATACCAACACTTTGGGAGGCTGAGGCGAGTGGATCACTTGAGGTCAGGAGTTTGAGACAAGCCTGGCCAACATGGTAAAACCCTGTCTCTACTAAACATACAAAAATTAGCCAAGTGTGGTGGTGCGCACCTGTAATCCCAGCTATTAAGGAGGCTAAGGCAGGAGAATCCCTTGAACCCGGGAGGCGGAGGTTGCAGTGAGCCGAGATTGTGCCACGGCACTCCAGCCTGGGTGACAGAGCAAGACTCCGTCTCAAAAAAACAAAACAAAACAAAACAAAAAGCCAGACATGGTAGCTTGTGCCTGTAGTCCCAGCTACGCGGGAGGTTGAGACAGGAGAATCACGTGAACCCAGGAGGGGGAGGTTGCAATGAGCCGAGATCATACCACTGCACTCCAAGCCTGGGCAACAGAGCAAGACTCTGTCTCAAAAACAAAAAATAAAAATAAAAAGTATACAGAAATTAGCCCAGGCACAGTGGCTCATGCCCATAATCCCAACATTTTGAGAAGCCAAGGCAGGAGGATCACTTGAGCTCAGGAGTTTGAGACCAGTCTCGGCAACATCAAGAGACCCGTTTCTATTTTAAAAAATAAAAATAGAAAAGTATGCAGACGTTGAAATCCAGAACTCGAACACGTATTTGCACACCCATGTTCATAGCAGCACTATTCACAACAGTCAAAGGGTAGAAAGAACCCAGCTGTCCATCTACAAATCGATAAACAAAATGGGGTCCATCCAGCCAGTGGAATATTATTCAGCCCTGAAAAGGAAGGACAATCCGATACATTCCACAACAACGTGGATGTACCTTGAGGACATGAAGCTGAGTGAAATAAGCCAGACATAAACAACAAATACTAGGGCCAGGTGCAGTGGCTCACGCCTGTAATCCCAGCACTTTGGGAGGCCGACGGGCAAATCATTCGAAGTCAGGAGTTGGAGACCAGCCTGACCAACATGGTGAAATCCCATCTCTACAAAAAATACAAAAAATAGCCCATTGTGGTGGCGGCACCTGTAATCTCAGCTACTCGGGAGGCTGAGGTGGGAGGACTGCTTGAACCCAAAAGGCGGAGGTTGCAGTGAGCCGAGATTGCGCCACTGCACTGCAGCCTGGGTAATAGAGCGAGACTCTGTCTCAAAAAAAAATTTTTTTTTAATGTTTTTAAAGACAAATACTGTGTGTGATGCCACTTTTGAGGTACCTACAGTACTCACATTCACAGAGACAGAAAGCAGTAAGTAGAGGCCGGGCCCAGTGGCTCAAGCCTGTAATCCCAGCACTTTGGAAGGCAGAAGCGGGCGGATCACCTGAAGTCAGGAGTTCGACACCAGCCTGGCCAACAGGGTGAAACCCCGTCTCTACTAAAAATACAAAAATTAGCTGGGCATGGTGGCAGATGCCTGTAATTGAAGCTACTCAGGAGACTGAGGCAGGAGAGTCACTTGAACCCAGGAGGCAGAGGTTGCAGTGAGCCGAGATTGTACCACGGCACTCCAGCCTGGGCGACAGAGCGAGACTCTGTCTCAAAAAAAAAAAAGAAAGAAAGAAAAGAAAAAAGAAAAGAAAAGAAGAGCCAAGAAGTGAAAAAGGAAAACAGACAAATTCCTATCAACACCCCCACCTCCCTGCCAGCCCCCAGCGTTCCTGCAGGGAGCTAGGGCCTTGAACCCCTCACCTCCCGCTGTGGGACCTGGGGGTGGGCGTCTCACACTCTCTGAGCCTAAAATGGCAAGATTCTGTGCCCCGGCCTCGCAGGGACGTCTGGGGCACCCCCACACTCCGGTGATAGAGCTCGAGGCTGGGGTGGTGGGACAGGGGGCTCACCCTGCACGTCCTTGGCACTGCGGCTGGGCTATCAGACCTGTGGCCACCGCCGCCGTTCTGGAACTCCCATCGGCGCAGAAAAGAGGCAGGTGAGAGTCCGAGGCTGCAGTCTCCTCCAAGCTATGCTGGGACCAGAACCAGGACCAAGACTGCAGTAGCCACCAGCCCAGATCAACCCGCTTCAGCCCTGCCCCACCTGGGGCAGGAGAGCCTGGGGGCTGGCCCCAGGGAGGAGGGAGGCCCACCCCAACCTCTTCACCCCATCCTGCCCCTCCTACACCTCCAGCCTCCGCTCCAGCGGAAAGCCATCCCTGACTTCCCCACCAGGTGAGCAGATTCCCAAAGATCCATCAAGCTGGGCTCCCAGTTACTCCCCACCTGGGATCACAGCACCAGCCGGCAATTCTGGCTTAATTCCAGTCCCTCTCCCATCCTCAAATATGGGCAGGGACTTTGTCTTGCTCCAATCAGGTACCCAGCCCACAAAATAAGTGTTCGAATTTAAATAAAGGGAATCCCAAAGGCGGCCAAGGAGAGGTCAAGGCCTCAGGCCAGCCAATGATATGCAAATACGTCCATCTCAGCCTTGCCCCTAGGGCTCCAGACTTTGTCAATTCTCATGCAATCACAAAGGATTTCCCCAGTGACTGGTTTCCCCCCTACCGAGACTCCACCTCCCAGGGTGGAAAAAGAGGTAGGGGTGGAGGGCCTTCTAGGAACTGCTCCAGAAAAAGCTAGAAGACATCAGATGCCTCTTAGCAGAGACAAAAGAACCAGATCTCCCAGGCAAAGTAGCAAGAGAAGGAGTGTGAGCCTACAAGAGACTGCACAGTATTTGATCTTTACAAATCCTTTCCCAAACACCAGAACCTCACAAAAATGACAGTAATACAAAAAGGAACAAAAGTGGCCGGGCGCAGTAGGGGTGGATCACGAGGTTAGGAGATCGAGACCATCCTGGCCAACATGGTGAAACGCCGTCTCTGCTAAAATACAAAAATTAGCTGGGCGTGGTGGCGCGCGCCTCTAGTCCCCACTACTCAGGAGGCTGAGGCAGGGGAATCTCTTGAACCCGGGAAGCGGAGGTTGCAGCGAGCTGAGATCGTGCCACTGCACTCCAGCCTGGCGACAGAACAAGACTTCCGTCTCAAAAAAAAAAAAAAAAAATGGAACGAAAGCAAAATAGGAGAGAAGTGGAAAGGAGGAAACATCCCCCTGGCCAGGCGCATAGCTCACGCCTGTAATCCCAGCACTTAGGGAGCCCACGGCGGGTAGATCACCTGAGGTCAGGAGTTTGAGACCAGCCGGGCCAACATGATGAAACCCTGTCTCTACTAAAAATATAAAAATTAGCCGGGTGTGGCAGCGCGTGCAGCTACTCGGGAGGCTGAGGCAGGAGAATCGCTTGAACCTAGGAGGTGGAGGTAGGTTGCAGTGAGCCAAGATCACGCCACTGCACTCCAGCCTGAGTGACAGAATGAGACTCCGTCTCAAAAAACAGAAAGAAAAAAAAACCATTTGGAAGCAAGAAAGCAGAGAGACAAGAGATGTGCGGCCTGGCACAGTGGAGAGTGGGGAAAAGAAACACTTAGGCTTGGAGCAGACAACCAGGAAACCAGCAATTCTGGAGACTGAATCCAGAGACCCTAGTACCTGTAAAGCCAGGGATCACGGAAAAGCTGAGGACAAGAGAGTTGGTTTCACCACAGAAGCACTGACCCCTCTGTTTACTAGGGAAAGATGGAACCACTGAGGGTATGCATTCTCAGGACTAGGGTGTGGACCAAAGGGAAAACAGGAATCAGAGTGCGAATCATCAACCTTAACATGCACACTCAGCTCTTGGGACAGGAACAGCCTGGCTTCAACGTCAACAGACAAGAAACCGCTGAATTCTTGCCTGTGAGATATACAAGGTCAACAAGGAAAGATCTTTTTACAGAGGGCATTCAAGAAGCTCCTCAATGGCCAACAAGCCCCACCCTTACATCTGAATCCCATCTGCTTTTTCTTAAAGAAGGGGCACCTGAGAATGATTATCAGCAGGTGCCCACGGGAAGTCTCCAAGGTGAAAGAGAAAAGAGAAAAAAGACTCAGAGAAAACAAAGACAATGCATGAAAGAAGAAAACGCCAGGGGAAAAAAATACAATTAATATCCTAGTAATGGGAATTAATGTATGCATGAAACAAGAACAGGATGCTATTAAAAAAAAAAGCAAACTCAGGTTATAAGAGCTCTTGGGACATAAAAATATGATAGCTCAAATTTAAAAATTAAATTCGACAAAAACTAGCCAGGCGTGGTGGCGCACCCCTGTAGTCCGAGAAGGCTGAGGCAGGAGGATCGTTTGAGCCCCAGTCGTTTGAGCTCAAGGTTGCAGTGAGCAGTGATTGCACCACTGAACTCCAGCCCCAGTAACACAGGGAGACCCTGTCTCAAAAAAATAATAATAATTAAATCGAAAGGTTAGAAGATACCATTAAGAAAATATTAAGAAAATCTCCTAGAAAGAAGAAACTGCAAGATATAGAAAATACAAAAGAAGGCCAGGCGCAGTGGCTCACGCTTGTAATCCCAGACTTTGGGAGGCCGAGGCGGGTGGATCACGAGGTCAGGAGATCGAGACCATCGTGGCTAACATGGTGAAACCCCGTCTCTACTAAAAAAAAAAAAAAAAAAAATACAAAAAATTAGCCAGGCGTGGTGGCCGGTGCCTGTAGTCCCAGCTACTCGGGAGGCTGAGGCAGGAGAATGACATGAACCCGGGAGGTGGAGCTTGCAGTGAGCCGAGATCGCACCACTGCACTCCAGGCTGGGTGAAAGAGCAAGACTACGTCTCAAAAAAAAAAAAAAATTTTTTTTTAAATTCAATGATCAGATCAGACGCAGTGGCTCACACCTGTAATCCCAGCATTTTGGAAGGCTGAAGCGGGCAGATCACTTGAGGCTAGGAGTTTGAGACCAGCCTGGCCAACCTGGTGAAACCCCATCTCTACTAAAAATACAAAAATTAGCCAGGCATGGTGGCACACGCCTGAAATCCCAGCTACTCGGGAGGCTGAGGAATGAGAATCATTTGAACCCAAGAGGCAGAGGTTGCAATGAGCCAAGATCATGCCACTGCCCTCCACCCTGGGCAACAGAGCAAGACTCTGTCTCAAAAAAAAAAAAAAAAAAAAGAAAAGAAAAAATTCAATGATTAGCCCAGGAGACCCAGGATATCTAACTAATAGGAATACTAGAGAGAATAGCAAAAATACTGGGAAGGAAATTTAAAAATAAAAATAATACAAAAAATTTCAGAATGAAAGTCTTGAGTTTCCAGTTTGCTACAGTCTATGCAGCACCCAAGACAGTAAATGCAAAAAGACCCCATAACAAAACATATCAACATGAAATTTCAGAACAGTGATGAAGAATAACAATAACCGTGGCCAGGCGGAGTGGCTCACGCCTGTAATCTCAGCACTCTGGGAGACCGAGGTGGGTCAATCACCTGAGGCCAGAAGTTCGAAACCAGCCTGGCCAACATGGTAAAACCCCATCTCTACTAAAAATACAAAAATTAGTCGGGTGTGGTGGCATAAGCCTATAATCCCAGCTACTTGGAAGGCTGAGGCTTCAGCGCTTGAACCCGTGGTGGAGGTTGCAGTGAACTGAGATCTCGCCACTGCAATCCAGTCTGGACAACAGAGTGAGACTCCATCTCAAAAAAAAAAAAAAAAAAAAAAAAGGGAAGAGAAAAGAGAAGAGGAGAGAAAAGAAAGGAGAAGGCTGGGCGTGGTGGCTCACACCTGTAATCCCAGCACTTTGGGAGGCCGAGGCAGGTGGATCACTTGAGGTCAGGAGTTTGAGACCAGCCTGGCCAACATGGTGAAACTCCGTCTCCATTTTAAAAAATACAGAATTACCCGGGCATGGTGGCACATGCCTGTTAATCCCAGCTACTTGCTACTTGGGAGGCTGAGGCAGAAGAATCGCTTGAACCCAGGAGGTGGAGGTTGCAATGAGCTGAGATCGTGCCACTGCACTCCCGCTTGGGCTACAGAGTGAGACTCCATCTCAAAAAAAAAAAAAAAAAAGAAAAAAGAAAAGGAAGGGGGAGGTGGGGAAAGGTTCATACACAAAGATCAGCAATCAAAAATGGCATCATATTCCTGAAAAGTAGCAGTCGAATATGGAAGGTGATGTTGCAATTCTTTCAAAATCCTAGAGGGAAGGCCGTGTGTGGTGACTCACACCTGTAATCCCAGCTACTCAGGAGGCTGAGGCAGGAGAATCACCTGAACCCGGGAGGCAGAGGTTGCAGTGAGCCAAGATGACACCATCACACTCCAGCCTGGGTGACAGAGCAAGACTCTGTCAAAAAAAAAAAAAAAAAAAAAATTCCTAGAGGGAAAGTATTTCCCAAATAGCACTCAAGTGTGAAGGTAGAACAAAAGCATTTTCCAGGCATACTAGGACCCAAAAACGTTGCCTTCCTCTCACCCTTTCACAGAAAGCCACCGCAGGATGTGCTCTACAGAAAGAAGGGAGTAAAACAGGAAACGGGAAGGCAAGGGAATCAGACACACAGGAGAGAGGCAAAGGGAGTCTGAAGAACAATGGCTCTCCAGCACACCCAAGAACCGGGCCAACCAGACTAGAGAAGGAAGATGGAAAATTCCAGGAAGGAAATCTCCAAAAAAAACAAAGCAGCTCATCCAATAGATATGACAAGTGAAAAAAATGCATCAAGGGACCAGAAGGCTGGCTGGGCATGGTAACTCACACCTATAATCTCAGCACTTAGGGAAGTCCAGGCAAGAGGATTATTTGAGCTCAGGAGTTCAAGACCAGCCTGGGCAACATAGCGAGAGACCCCATGTCTAAAAAAAATTTAACAGTTAGCCAGGTGTGGTGGAACGCACCTGTAGTCCTAGCTACTTAGGAGGCACTGAAGTGGGAGGCTCATTTGAGCCCAGGAGGTTGAGGCTGTAGTGAGCCACGAGAATGCCACCACACTCCAGCCTGCGTAACAGAGCGAGACCCAGCGTCTTAATAAAAAAGAGAGAGAGAAACTGGAAGCCAGATATTCTAAGAAATTCCAAATGAAAAAAAAAAAAAAAAAAAAAAGACATTAATTCCAGAAAATGAATTTTCGGCTGGGCATGGTGGCTTACGCCTGTAATCCCAGCACTTTGGGAGGCCGAGGTGGGTGGATCACCTGAAGTCATGAGTTTGAGACCAGTCTGGCCAACATGGTTAAACCCCATCTCTACTAAAAATACAAAATTTAGCCGGGAGTGGTGGCAGGCGTGTGTAATCTCAGCTACTTGGGAGGCTGAGGCAGGAGAATCGCTTGAACCCGGGAGGTGGAGGTTGCAGTGGGCTGAGATCGCGCCACCGCACCCCAGCCTGGGAGACAGAGCGAGACACTGTCTCAAAAAAATAAAATAAAATAAAATAAAAATAAAAAAATAAAAACAAACCTCACAACCACCAAATGAACTCATTCACTCTAATGAACCCATTTTATAGATGAAAAAATTGAGGTTTAGAAAGTCATCACATGCCCTTTAACTGGAGAAACAACATCCACACCTCAGCTTGGAGGCCATCCTGCCTCTAGATGGAGCAGTGTTCTATCTGGGGATTACCAGGAGCTTCCAGGGACCCCCAAAATGCTCAGAAATGTGTCAAATGGTTGGTGAAGATGTGGGAAGTCAGGGTTTCCCCCCAGGCTGAGGGTCCACCATTTTGCTTATCCCCTGAAAAAACCTCACATGCAATGCTGAGTACACTGGTGGCCTGGGAGAGGTGACACTTGAGTGGCTCCCACCTAGTGGCCTAGACTTCCTCCCAAGTCACATGCCAGGCCTCTGTGGGCAGCAGAGGTGGTAAGGACCCTGGCCCTGACTGACCACTAACCAGGGCTCCCAGCAGGCCCTGGGGAGGCCCGAGACCTGTGCTGAGAACAGCTCCAGCCCATCCCGTAAAAAGCTGAGCTGGGATGCCTGAAAAGCCGGGGCAAGGGTCTGGCTGGAGGACAAGGCTACAGTACATGAGAGGGTGGGAGGAGCTGGGCCAGACCACAGACTGGTTCATGCCGGGGAGCCAAGAGCAGCCCCCGCCAGCCACATCCAAAACAAGAATGCCCAGTCCCCAGCCTGTCCTCAAATCTGCCCCTCCCCATCCCTCCACAAGTGGTTCGCACCCAAGCCATTGAGTTCTCCTCCCTCCTTCCCTCCTCTCCCCATCCGTCTTACCTGCCCAACCTCCAAAGGGCCATAACCCTGGACACCTCCAGCCTCCCTCCCTGGTAACCAACACCTCCTAATTACCTCCTGCTTCTCTCCTCGTCTACCAGACTGTCTCTGGCTAGCAACCCAGCCTCGTTTCTTTTATGTTTTGACACAGGGTCTCACTCTGTTGCCCAGACCACTGTGAGTGCAGTGGTGCGACCACAACTCACTGCAGCCTGGATCTCTGGGGCTCAAGCAATCCTCCCATCTCAGACTCCCAAGTAGCTGGGATTTACAGGCATTCGCCACCATGCCTAACTAGTTTTTTAAACATTTTGTAAAGACAAGGTCTTGCTATGTTGCCCAGACTTCTCTCCTAACTCCTGGCCTCAAGCGATCCACCCGCCTAGGCCTCCCAAAGTGGTGGGATTACAGGCATGAGCCACCATGCCCAGCCCCTAGTTTTTCTTTAAATGCTTATTTTGAAATCATTTCCAATTCAGAGAAAAGTTTGAAATAGTACAATGAATGGTCCTATGACCTTCACCAGATCCAACAACTGTGAACTGCTCTCACTGTCTTATTTGTTTTTTTTGAGATGGAGTCTCATTCTGTCTCCCAGGCTGGAGTGCAGTGGCACGATCTCGGCTCACTGCAACCTCCCAGGTTCAAGTGATTCTCCTGCCTCAGCCTCCCAAGTAGCTGGGATTACAGGTGCCCTCCACCACACCCAGCTAATTTCTGTATTTTTAGTAGAGATGGGATTTCACCATGTTGGCCAGGCTGGTCTCGAACTCCTGACCTCAGGTGATCCGCCCACCTCAGACTCCCAAAGTGCCGGGATTACAGGCATGAACCCCGTGCCCAGCCTCACTGTCTTTTTTGATATGATACTTGATGTACCATCGTCTCCCATAAATATATATATTATATATGTATATTTATAGATATAAAATAGATATTTTTTCTTTTCCTGAACCATTCCGAGGACAAGTTGTAGACTCTATGTCCCTTGCCCGTAAACATTTCAGTATTCTTTCTTTTGTTTTTTTTTTGAGACGGAGTCTCACTCTGTCGCCCAGGCTGGAGTGCAATGGCGCGATCTCGGCTCACTGCAAACTCCGCCTCCCAGGTTCACGCCATTCTCCTGCCTCAGCCTCCAGAGTAGCTGGGACTGCAGGCACCCGCCACCACGCCCGGCTATTTTTTTGTATTTTTAGTAGAGACGGGGTTTCACCATGTTATCCAGGATGGTCTCGATCTCCTGACCTCGTGATCCACCCGCCTCAGCCTCCCAAAGTACTGGGATTACAGGCGTGAGCCACTGCGCCCGGCCCACATTTCAGTATTCTTATTTCCTAAGAACAAGGACATTCTCTTACAGAACCACACACAGTTATCCACTTCATAAAACCTAACAGTGATCTGATACTATCAACTAATCTACAGTCCATATTCCAGTTTTGTCAATTGTCCCAATGATGTTCTTTGTAGCAATTTCTTCCCTGATCCCAAGATCCAATAGAGAGCCATACATTGCCTTTAGCAGTTGCATTTTTCCAGTCTCTTTTAATCAGGAACAGTTCTCCGCCTTCCTCTGCCTTGCATGCCATTGACATTTTTTTAAGAGTCCAGACCAGTTCTGTGAAATGTCCCTCAATTTCAATTACTCCTTCCACTTAAAACCCTCCACTGCCTCCTCATTCCTCAGTTTAAAATTCCAAGACCTCATGACTGGCTTTCAGGGACCTGAAGGATCCCACCTCCCCCACATCCCCTCCCACCAGCTCCAGCCATTCTGCCAGCTCAGATACGCCAGGCTCTGACTTTTGTGTTCCGTCCACCTTCACCACACTTTTCTGCCCTTTGCATGCAGGAAAAAGGTCACCCCTCCAGATCAGTCGGGTGGGGGTGGGCTGTGCTGATACAGCCCCTCACCTCTCAGACCAGACCAGACCTTTACCATTTTGTTTACTGCGTGGTCTGTGTCCCTCTTTTTTTTTTTTTTTTTTTTTTTTTGAGATGGAGTCTGTCTCTGTCGCCCAGGCTGGAGTGCAGTGGCATGATCTTGGCTCACTGCAACCTCCGCCTCCCGTGTTCAAGTGATTCTCCTGCTTCAGCCTCCCCGAGTAGCTGGGATTACAGGCACCCGCCACCACACCCAGCCAATTTTTTTTATATTTTCAGTAGAGATGCTGTTTCGCCATGTTGGCCAGGCTGGTCTCGAACTCCTGACCTCAGGTGATCAGCCTGCCTAGGCCTCCCAAAGTGCTAGGATCACAGGCGTGAGCCACCGTGCCCAGCCTGCATAAGACTCCACGGTGTAGTTTTACATTTTTAAACATCAGATTACAAAACAATATGAGAAGCCCATCTCCAGGTGGTTGTCCAGGGAAAGTTGGCAACTTTCACTGTTGGGAAATTTTCACTTAAAAATAGGTCGAAGTTAAGCTGGGAGTGGTGGCTCACGCCTGTAATCCCAGCACTTTGGGAGGCCTAGGTGGGTGGATCACCTGAGGCCAGGAGTTCGAGACCAGCCTGGCCAACATGGCGAAACCCCATCTCTATTAAAAATACAAAAAAAAAAAATTGGCTGGGCGTGGTGGCAGGCGCCTGTAATCCCAGCTACTCGGGGAGGCTGAAGCAGAATTGCTTGAACCCAGGAGGTGGAGGTTGTGGTGAGCCTAGATCGTGCCACTGCACTCCAGCCTGGGCGACAGAGCAAGACTCTCTCGCAAAAAAAAAAAAAAAAAAATCAGCCAAGCGCGGTGGCTCAAGCCTGTAATCTCAGCACTTTGGGAGGCCGAGGCGGGTGGATCAAGAGGTCAGGAGATCGAGATCATCCCGGCTAACACGGTGAAACCCCGTCTGTACTAAAAGTACAAAAAAATTAGCCGGACATGGTGGCGGGCACCTGTAGTCCCAGCTACTCGGGAGGCTGAGGCAGGAGAATGGTGTGAACCCGGGAGGCAGAGCTTGCAGTGAGCCGAGATGGAGCCACTGCACTCCAGCCTGGGCGACAGAGCGAGACTCCGTCTCAAAAAAAGAAAAAAAAATTTGCTTAACCAAGCACAGTGGTGCTGGACTGTAGTCCTCGCTACTCGGGCGGCTGAGGCAGGATGATCTCTTGAGCCCAGGAGTTTGAGACCAGCTGGACAACATAGGGAGACCCTGTCTCTACAGAAAATTTTAAAATTAGGCCAGGCATGGTGGCTCATGCCTGTAATCCCAGCACTTTGGGAGGCCAAGGCAGGCGGATCACTTGAGGGCAGGAGTTTAAGACCAGCCTGGCCAACACGGTAAAACTCCGTCTCTACTAAAAATAAAAAAAATTAGCTGGGTGTCGCGGCACACACCTGTAATCCCAGCTACTCAGGAGGCTGAGGCAGGAGGATCTCCTGAGCCCAGGAGTTCGAGACCAGCTGGACAACATAGCAAGACCCCGTCTCTATAGAAAATTTTAAAATTAGCCAGGCATGGTGGTACATACCTGTAGTCCTAGCTACTCAAGATGCCAAGGCAGGAGGAGCCCAGGAGTTTGAGGCTGCAATGAGCTATAAACGCAATACTGCACTCATCCTGGTTGACAGAGTAAAACCCTGTCTCTTAAAAAAAAAATTTTTTTTTAAGTAACAAAATCAGCTGGGTGCAGTGGTGCACACCTGAAATCCCAGCACTTTGGGAGGCCAAGGCAGGAGGAGGCCAGGAGTTTGAGGCTGCAATGAGCTATAATTGCACCACTGCACTCCAGCCTGGGTGACAGAGTAAAACCCTGTCTCTAAAAAAAAAAAAATTTTAAGTAACAAAATCAGCTGGGCGCAGTGGTACACACCTGAAATCCCAGCACTTTGGGAGGCCAAGGCAGGAGGATTACTTGAGCCCAGGAGTTCAACACCAGCCGGGGCAACATAGCAAGACCCTACCTCTACTAAAAAATACAAAAACTTAGCAGGGCATGGTGACACATGCCTGTAGCTCTAGCTACTCGGGAGGCTGAGGTAGGAGGATGGACTCAGCCTGGGAGGTGGAGGTTGCAATGAGCTGAGATCACGCTATTGCATTCCAGCCTGGGTGACAGAGTAAAACCCTATCTCAAAAACAAAACAAACAAACAAACAAAAAACATTTCCTTCTCGGATTTGTGTGTTCACTCCCTGAATCCCCGGAAGAACATGAGCTCCAATGAGGGCAGAGACTTCTGTCTGTTGGGTTCACTGCCGCATTCCTGGGACCCGAGCGGTGCCTGGCACGCAGGAAGCACTTGGAAATTATTTGCTGAGTAAATGAGCAAGTGAGGAAAGAAGGAAAGCGCTGGGGTTGGGAGCTGAAGAACCAAGAGAGCCCCCTCCCCACCAAGTGGCCCTTCCAGATTCCAGAACCCTCCCAGGGCCTCCCTTGTCGCCTCTAACCAGAGAAAGAAGCCCCTTGCAAATCGTCCTTATCTCTCCATCACTCTGCCAGCGGTCTTCACTGATTAATCTTTCTAAATCAATCCCAGTAGGCTGACAGACTGGATTCCAGAGATGGATCTGATCAGACCCTGGAGAAGGCCCGTGGCCCCCTGTTGCCAAGCCAGAGTGCTAGCCAAGCCAAGCCCCTCCCTTGTTAGCCAAGCCTCCAGTGTTAGCCAAGCCAGAGTGCAGGGTCTCCCCACCCAGAACCCTGGGTCCCACCCTCTATTCATGTACCCCTCCAGGGCCAGCCTAGGGTGTGGGGGCAGGGAGAATAAACATCCAAGTACAAAATCCTACTAATAGCTCTTTAATTGCAGCCTGTGAGGACAACTGAGTCCAGGCCTCCCAAGCCCAGAGCACAGAGCCAAGCCCCAGGTGTTTGTCAGTTACATGCCCATCTCCCAGATCAGGCTGTGAATATTTTGTTCACAATGTAGCAAGGCTCAAGGTAATAGGAAACTTAAAAACCACCCTTCCCTGATCCCAAACCCCATTCATTCTTAAATTCACCTCCTCTTCTGCAGAGAAAGAGGCCAAACCCCTCCATCTTGACCCAAAAGGCAGAAACCAGCTCTTCCAGAGGACCTTCCACAGCAGATGGCTGTCAATACTAGCTTGGATGGGATTCCTCCCCGGGGATCTTTCTCCGAGGGCCCCTCCAGCTCTGAGCTCTCTCCAGGGAACCTCCCTCGGCCTAGGAGGGGCTTTATAAGCCCTGACAGCGCTCATCCACGTCCGCAGAGCCCAACCTTAATGTGCCTCTCCCTAGCTGGGTGACCCCAAGCAAGTGGCTCAACCGCTCAGGACTTCCCGGTACAAAAATAAACAAATAAAGATGGGACTGATAACGCTGGCAAGACCTAAGGTGCCGACAGCCAAGGAAGAGAGGGAGGTGCGTCAGAAGGGAAAATGTAGCACCTGCACCCCACAAAGAAAACGCGGGAGGGGGAGGATGTGCTGGCTTGAGGAATGTGTAATCCGGCCCAGCCCCAAGCAGAGAGTGAATGGGAGCTGCTCCCACCTCGTGGCTAATGGGATTAGCACGGGCTTGGCTCTGGGCGTTGGCCTGGGGTCCGAGGTCTCCTTGCGGCTACTCGAAGTGGGGGAGGGGGACAGCCAGAACCAGCACCGGCCCCCACCTTTCCCTCCCGGGTGAGCACGGGGTTCAAGGGGGCGGCAGCTGTCCTCCTGCTGTTTCCTCCCCGACCTCAGCCTCGGCGTGCAGAAGTCAGGCAGCTCCCAGCGAGCGCAGAAGGTGCGCAGAGGCAGGGCTCCGAGGCTACCTCCCGCTGGGCTTCCGAGGCTGGTGGCTTGGCCTTCCCTCCACCTCAGCCTCACCATCCAGCAAATGGGCATTAGGCCGTCTGACTGCTGCGTCAGATTAGGCGCGGCCCTGGCACTGTGCATGCATGCATGAGTAGTAGCTTGTTTTCACCGCTTCGCATTAGGGCACTTTGCCTTGCCAGGCCGGAGCCAGATCGCAGGCGGGGAGTGCGCGACGCCCCTTCCCAGCCTCGAAAAAGCCAAGCGCAGGCCCAGCCAGCCAGAGAGACCCGGGTACCGATTCCCAGGCTTGGGGGGGGCCCCCCTGCCACCACTCCGGGCTGGACCAAATGACCCAAAAGACACACGCATGCACACACACACACATCACGGTGGACTTGTGGGGAGCGCAAAAGGGGACAGCTCAGATGGTCTCTGTACCCCAGGGCCGCCCCCCAAGTTCTTCCTCGGGGGTCCCCCGCGCCCCTCCCTCGCCACAACACGCCACTAGAGAACAAACCCTTGCCCCGGTCACAGACCCCGGGCGGAATACGCCCCCAGCTCCGGAGGGACACAAGCAGGTCCGGGGGCCAAGACCTGGTTCTTGCGCCCCGGCTGGCGGGGATCTCCGAGCTCCCGGCCCCCGGGCGCGCGCCCCTCCCCCGCCCGGCGCCTCACAAAGGCCCTTTGTCCCGCCGAGCCCCCGGGACTCCAGTTCCTGAAAAGTTCCAGGAGAAAAATCAAAGAGAGAGCAAAATCGGCGAGCTCCGCCGAGCGGGCGGGGCAAGGCCGAGGTGGCAGCTCCTGAGAGACCCCAAGGAAGAGGGGAGCATCGAGGGCTACTCTGGAAATTGCAAAAATCCGAAACTGCAATTCGAACAGGAGGTGGATTTTTTTTTTTTTTTAAGTCGAGACTTGGGACGCCAAGCACAAAAGCCAGGGACAGCCCGGGAAGGAGGGACCAGGTGTCCTGGGGCGGCCGCCGGGCAGGTCTGGAGGTCCCCGAGTCTCCTTCCCACCCCTCTGGCTGCAGCGGCCGCGGACTGACTGGAGGGAGAGTCTCCCGCCCCGGCGCAGCGCCCGCCCGGGTACCGTCCCCACCGCGCCTGGGCAGCCCGTCTCGGGAAATGGTGGAGGCCGCGGGACCTTCTCGGCCACCTCCTCCAGCAGCTCGATGTGAGACCCAGGGTTTTCCCCTCCGCCGCCTGGGCCCTGCCCGACCCGCTCTCTTCTTTCCCCCTAGGTTCGGGACCGCGATGGTCCGGTTTCGGTGTCCCTGCCGCACCTCCGCACCCTCTTTCGCGCTGGAAAACAAGGGGTCCCCGAGGGCCGGGGTCGCCGCCCTCCTACCGGGGTGCAGGTTCCCAGGGCCGCCGTTCTCCCGGGGAAGAAAGGGGCATCCCGCCCGCCCCGAGGCCAGGGTCCCAAGGCTGGGGTCACCGTACTCCCGCATCCCCCGGCGTACTCCCGCATCCCCCGGCGCTCGGTAACTGCCAGGGACCCGGCTCGGCGCGAGTGGTGGAGCTGGGAACAGAACCCAGGAGGGCCCACGAGCGCCAAAAGTAGCGTTTGCCAAGAAAAAGATTCGAGCTCGGGGAGCGGGTGTCTCGCGGGGTGCGGGGGCCGGTTTGTTCTTTTCTCGCCCAGATTTTGAAAACTCCAGCCCAGGCTCGTGCCGCCGGGGCCCCGGGGATTGGAATCGCCCCCGGTGGCTCGGGCTACCACACCGGCTTTCGGCTCACGAGGGCCAAGCACGCTACGGAAAAGGTAGCCGAGCCGCGCGACACTCTCCACCGCCTTGGCTCCGGGACCAGGAGTTTCCCAGCCCTGGGAGCCGAGTCTGCCCGCACCCCCGTGGCCGACCGAAGGAGAGTCGCCGAGCCCCGGCCGCGAGTGCACAGGAGGACCCGGCCGAGTGGATCTCCCTGGGAAGACAGGAGGGGACGGGCACGGCGCGGGGCACTTACCCGGGTGCGGATGGAGATTCAGGCCGGCCATGTACTTCCCGGGCGGCAGCGGGCCGGGCAAGCCCGAGGCGGGCAAGCGTCCGGCAGTGGCCGCGCCCACGCGGTGGCTGTCCATGGCCAGGCCGGACAGCAGCGGCGGCGGGGGACCGTGCACGGACCGCTGGGGCCCGAAGTCTCGGCCATCCATCCTCCGCGGGAGTGCCGCGATCAGCCCCCCACCCGGCCCGCAGGCCTAGCTCAGTGGGACCTAAAAGTTCGGCCTCGGCGTAGTCCCAGAGTCCTCGGGCGGCGGGGGCTCCGCGGCGTGCATGGCGGCGGCCAGCGGGGCTTGCGCTCGGCGGCGGGCCCGCGGCCCGGGGCGCACAGGCGGCCGGCGGTGGGGCCCCTCCGGGCGGCCAGGCGGAGCTGCGCGAGGCGGCGCACACGGCGTCTTGGCGGGGAGGAGACAGGCCGCGGAAGAAATAGAAAGGGGGAAAGAAAAAAGGGAAAAAAAAATAAAGTAACAAGTTTCAGAAAGTCGCCTCGCCCTTCAGGATCGGGGGGTGCCGACTGAGTGGCCAGAAATGAAATCGGGAGTAGCCCCTTTCCACTGAAAAATGAAATCCAAACTCCTTCCGCCGGCGGCTTCAGGCTCCCGGGACCTGGCTCGGAAAAGTGACCGGCGGCGGTGGCGCGCTGCGCCCCAGCCCGGACTCTGCCTCGGCGGCTGCCGGGTCCTCCCGAAACCGGGGAGGGCTCCTCGGCTGCGCCCAGACGGCGTAAATACAAACCTCCTATTTTATTCCTAGGCGTCAAATGCTCCGGGGTTTAAAACCGTGAAGCCTTGCCACAAACGGTCCGAAGTGTCTCCCAAAACACTCTGGCACTATCTGATCCGCAAAGTTTAATATTTAACCTTTTGGAGACCTCGCCTCCCTTTTCCGAGTTTGGTTTTTCCTGAGCTCGCCTTGAACCGCCGACGGAATGGTGTTTTTCTGGGGGTGGGAGGAGGGAGGGTCCAAAGCGGGTTTATTATTTTTAAAGAGGCTCGTGGTCCCCCCCCTTTCTCCCCCCGGGGGGCACTGTGAGTCCCAGAGCTCGAGTCCGAGGACCCGAGACGTGGCATTCTCGCCTAAGGACTGGAAAGAATCCTACAAAACAAGCTTTGGTTTCATTTTCCAACGCCCTGGCCTGAGCTCCTGCAGCCCGAGGACCTGGCCTGGCGTGGGGGATTTGGGGGATGTCAAGAGGGGAAGGAAAGGGATCAAGGGTCTCGCTCCTACTCTAGCTTCCCCCCCCACAACCACCCCCCAAAATAACCTACAAAGAAAGCCTTTGCAACGCGGGCCTGCCAAGGGGCGCCTCCCCCACCTTTGGGTAAATCCCCCTGTAGTTCCAGGTTAAAGCTGTTTGTTTAAAAGATTTGTCCTTTGCCGATTCTCGTGAGGATGGGAGGGGGTCTTGGAGCCCACCCTTCCCTCGATCTCTGTCTGCAGCAGCTCACATTCCTGATTCCGGGAGGCCTGGGCTCTCTTAAGAGAAGCCGATCACGCCAAAGCCACCGGCTCCCGGGTGCCCGCCCGGCGCCCTGCACTCCGCGCCCAGCCCCCCGAGCAGGAGACCCCCTCGGCTGCAAAACCCCTAGCCAAACCCGCCGGCCTTCCTCTCCAGCCTCCCTCCCCAACTTTGCTAAGGGTGCCTATTTTAACCCGGTTTTGGTTACAAACACCCCCTCCCTCCCTCTCTCCCATCAGGCTCTGGTTACCAGATTCGCGTTTACTTTGGAAAAATCTAAGATCGCCACATCCGAGGATACATGTCTTAAGGAGGCGATGAGCTTCCCGTGATTTTTTTTTGTAAGAGATTCTTTGGGTAGCTTTCTTTAAAAGCCAGCGCCTCGTAGTATGCCCAGGCGCCCCAGTTTGGGGAAGTCGGGGTGAAGCCCCCTGGAACACCCTCACACTGGCAAAGAAGCTGCCTCGGCTATCTGCGGGCTCCGCTGCGTTCTCCTTACTTTTCTCCCCCTCTTAAATGGAGTTAAAATGGCTGAATTCCGGCTTTTAATTAAAAACAGCCTATAATCGAAAACGTCTCGGCGTCCCGGGCTCCCCCGCCGCCTGCTGGGAACCGAGAGAGGAACCGCCGCCCCTCGGCCGGGCCAGGAGGGCCGGAGCGGGGCTGGGGGCTCGCGTGGGTGCCCGGGGCCCAGCAGCCCACCCCCACCCCTCCCGGGGCGCCCCCTCCCCGCCGGCCCTGGTCCCCGATTCTGCAATCCGGAGCCAGACAGTAGCGGGGATCCCCCCCCGCGCACCCCGAGGGGCAGGCGTGGTTGGGGGGCGAGCTGGAGAAGTTTGGAGACCATCGCGCCCGGCCGGGGGCCGGCAGGCTGACCGGCGGCGTACCTGGCGCGGCTGGGTTCACGGCTCCAGGCTCCGGCGACAACGACTCCGGCGGCGGCCCCGGCTCCCGGCGCAGCTAGGCGCCCCTGCTGCCCGCCATCCCGCGGCCGCCGCTCCCCTCCGCCACCCGCAGCCGCCTCACACTTTTTGCCCGCCTTTCCTTTTTTTGGTAGAAAACCGCTCCCCGGGCCGAGCGCTCGGCGCGCCAACTCCTCCGCCCTCCCGCGGCCCGGCTCCCGCAGCCCCCGGAAAAGCCAGCTTTCCTCCCGCCGAGCTCCCCGCTTTTTAATAAAATCCAGGTAGCGCCGGTTTAAAGAATCCCAAATCTCCATATACAGCCCGGGATTGGAAAAGGTACATTACACAACCCCCCTTTCAAGTTCCTCTCGCAGGATCTAAAAAAAAAAAAAAAAAGGCAGCGGAGGGGGGTGGTTGGAGGGGGTTGGGGGAGGGGGAGCCCTCTCCGGCAAAGAAACACGCATTGTTCCCGGGTGCCCGCCCCCCCCCCCAGCCCGGCCCCCGGCCGCCGCGCATTGGCCGCGCGCGCCGCCAATCACGCGCATGTAAACACCTTGGCCCACAGCCATTCCTATAAAACCAATTACGGACCTAGGGGCTCCAGCAGTTTCCAGGCTCCCCTCGGCGGGGCTGAATGATCAAAACTGGTGGTGAGAATTTTTCCGGGCCGTTTCTAGGCAGCCCTCCCCCTCCACCAGCTCGGACCCCCCCCTCCCTCCTTTCTCCTTCTCCTCCCTTTTCCTTCTCCCCTCCCCCAGCGTCTGGGCTGAGTGATCAAAATAGAGGAAGATGGTTGTCGCCGCAATCCAGGGCTTTGCAAGGCGCGGTTTAATGGGCCGCCTGTCAGCTTCCTGCTCGCAGGAGGAGGTGACAAGCCAAGCGAGCCGGAGAGGGCCTGGGGCCCGGCTGGCTGCACCCCGCACTCCGGGCCCCGGCCCCCGGCCTCCCCTGGGGTGCGCTTCTAGTACGCGCGGTGGAGACGCCGAAACAGACAAGGGCTGCTTTTTCCCTTGTTTTTTTTTTCTTCCTTTTAAAACAAAGCAGCGATTCATTCCCTCTCCCCCAGCAGCGCGGTCGGGTGGGATGGGCAGGCGAGAAGGCCGTTTTCCTAGCACTGACCTACGGGTCCCTCCCTGAAACGCGGTGTCAGATGGTTACTGATTAATATTTTGGAGAGGCCGCGGCGGCAGGCAGCGGGTGAGTCTCTAATCTTCTAAAAGGGGTTCCTATAGAAACGCGGAGCGGGGCGCGCCCCCCGCTCGGCCCAGGCCCGGGCTGCGGCGCTTCGCACAGCGCGCCCCTCCCCAAAGCCCCTCTTTGCGTGGGCGCTCCCCTCTCCTTCCCCCCCCGCCAACAAAAAATCAGAGCAGAAAAAAGGATTAGATCGGCTGAGCGCGAACTGAATCCCTCTCGATTCTGACATTTCAGCCTATTAGCATTTCTCCACGGAGCCTTCTGAAACCTATTAAAGTGTAATATTAAAAACCTCTTGGCTGGGGGCCTCTCTCGCCTTCCATCCGCCGCGCCCCCTCCAGGGAGGGCGAGACCGGGAAAAAAATAAAATCTGTTGAGCTCAGAGGAAGTAGCCGCCAAGCCCAAAAAGTGCTTGGCTGGCCACGGCGGCCGTAGGGGGAAGGGAGCCCCAATCCCCCAGACTTTGTACTTTTATTTTGCGCTTTCAGCAAAATCCTTTCTGGGTTGAGTAGCCGTGAGCTGCCCGCGGCCGACCTACCTGACCGGGGGCGCAGGGAGTGCGGACCACGCCAGCAGGACTGTCCTGGGGGCCCCCGCACCCTCTCTCTGCAGCCCCCCGAGCCCGGCTAGGCATTACGTACCCTGGAAAGGAAGCTTGGAGGGGCAGAAATCCTTCCAATGCTGCCTCGAAGAGCAACTGCAGTGATAAGATTTTAATTAAAACAAGAGAAGCCCGCTCTTTCGCCCCGCGCTGCGGACTCAGCGTTTTCGCATTGCCCGTTCTGTTTTTTTTAAATCAATTTTTAAGGCAACTTTTTGGGAGGGGGGAAAAATGAGCGAGTTAGTGCCCATTCGTTCTATTTTCTTTTCTCCACTTTTAGAAAAAAGTGGGGGGAGGCTTCGAGAACGAACGGGGGGGTGTCTAATTTAATTCCAGGATAAATTTGAGGAAAAAAGTTCAGCCTCTTGAGGGCAGTTTCAAGTTGCCCTTCCTGGAGCTTCCTGCGTTAGTTTCTAGGCTGCCCTCTTTTGGAAGCTGTAGCTCCGCTGGGGAGGAGGGAGGAGTGAGAAGGAAAGAAAGGAACAAAAATAGCCGGAGCCGAGGGGAACAAGCCACGGTGTCCGCGTTTGGAGCTGGGCGTGCGGGTCTCAGTGGCGGCCTCGGCATTCGGGGCGGCGGGAGGCGCCCGGTGCATCCCCGGGACGGCCAGGAGCAAAGACGGAGAGGAGAGGGGGGTTAGAGAAAGGAGGTATTGTGTCTGTGTGCCTTAGGGGAGGAGGGGACTGCAGGAATCGAATAAACGCAGTCGAGCTGCGCGGGGCTGCTGGAAGCCCAGGCGGGGGAAGGGGGCCGTGTGTGGGGGCGCAGAGCGCCCTTGAGCCTTACGCAGAGGTCTTGTGTGTTCCTAGTTAAGCCCTCCCACGCCCGAGGCCCCATCGCTTCCTCTCCACCCTCTTTACCCACCAATATTCCAAGCCCAGATCCTAATTCCCCACCGCATTACCCCGCCCTGGATTTGGGGAATGTTTTTCTTTATTTTAATATAGCTCAAGGAAAAAATACGTATATCTTGAGAGATTTGGGGTGGGGAAAACAAAAGCCTTGCGGAGTAGAAAAAACAAAGGCTTATTTTTATAAATGTTTAATGTTTTCACCCCCTGGATGCTCCGAGACGCCGTAATTGTGACGGCGGGGTACGTGTGCCATAAATCATTTAGTTGCTAATAAAAATTCTGCCTGTTTGCCCTGGATTTGCCAATGGCGTTTGCATTTTTCAAGTGTGCGCCTCGGCGGTGTGACGAACCCAGCCGGTATTTCATTAGGGCCGCGGTTCGGGGCAGAGGAGGTCCCCTCCCCGCCTGGGCTTTGTGCGCCCAGCCCCCTTGCACCGGCCCTTCCATACCTGCCCCCGGCACCCACTCCATATTTGCGCGGCCCTGCAGCCACCGGAGTCCGGCCGGGGAGCAGGGCCTGGGGACGCGGTGGTGGTGGTGGCTCCCAGTTCCTGGCCACCAGGCGGGGCGGCCAGGACGCATCCTGCCCACGCGGTTTTCCAGGGCTGCCGCGTGCTTGGGGGCGCGGGCGGGCCACGCGGAGAGGCCACCTGCCCGGGCCAATCTGTACGCTCCGTGATCTTCGCCCGCTCCCCGGCCCCGCGCCCTGGTGTCCCTGCAGTCGCTGAGTAAACAGCGACTGGGAGCCATCTTGGGGCGGAGGACCGATCCCAAGCGAAGTAGTAGTGGCTGCAGCCCGGGTGCCCCCATTCGTAAAGGGGAGCCTCTAGGACATCCCTAACTAGGCTTCAGGGTCCAGGGAAACGCCCTCCCCAGTATGGCGGGCCACATTGAAATGTAAAAACCAGGCCTGGGCGCTGTGGCCATAGGGCACAGGCCATAGGCCACCAGGTCCAGCCGCCATCTTCCGCGCCCCACCCCCATTCCATCCCCTCCCCCTCCCCACCCCCTCATACTTTTGTTTACCCAGCGGGATAGGTGGCCAAAAACTGTGGACGCAATTGAGTGAAAGTGCGTGTGTGTGTGTGTGTGTGTGTGTGTGCGCGCGCGCGCGCGCGTGTCTGTGTGTGTGTGTGTTTGACTGGGTAGAAAATCGGCTGGGGGCTGGGGGGGTCTTCCTTGTAGCCCTAAGCCGCAGCTGCGGGAGAAGCTGCCCTGGCTAGCCGAGGCCCGGCCCAGCGTGCTTCTCCGCGGCCAGCCTGGGCCACCGGAGCCGAGGCCTTCCCTGTGTTCCTAGGCCGCTGGCTCCGGCCTCCGCTCCCTGGACGCCTCCCGACTGACAAAATTCTCCGTCTTTGTTTTAAAACCAAAGGACAGGCCAACCTTGAGCCCGGCCGTCACCCCTGTCGCGCTTTTGTTGGCGCAGGCTCGGCCCCCTACACCGGGCTGGTGCAGCTCCCGCGATCAGACGGTCTCTCTCAATTCGGCGTTGAACCCGGTTCTTCCCAAATTCTGGTATTGCTGGCCGCTTGGACACGTTCTCCCCTTATCCCTCCCCCAGCGGGGAAAGAAAAAGCCAGGATCCTTTCCTTGGCGCGGCCACCCGAGCCACTCCACCCGTCGCGCCAACCGCCTTTCCAGGTGGGGACCAAAGCCCCCACTCTCCGCTGGCATCTCATTGAAGGGCACCCCCCCGAGGGATTGCCAGCTTCTGCTGCCAGCTGAGAGGCCGTGTGGCTGGGCGTCTTAAGCGCCGGTTTCCGCAGGTCCCGTGTCTGGCGGGCGCGGCTAAAACCCGGAGAGGCTGTGCCCGGGAAAGCCACGTTCGCCGTCCCCTCGCTGCGACAGGCCCAGCCGCGATACAGCGCCAAGTCTAGGTCGGGCCAACCCAGCCAGGAGCTGCCCGGACCTGCCTGAAAGACCAGGGACGCGGCGCCAGCGCCCCACACCCCACCGAGACCAGGGCGCAAGGCGGGCAGAATTCGGACTGATGCGCCAGGCCCAGCCCCGATGGATTCCAGCTCCTCTCGGCCCCGCCTCCGGCCCTGGCCTCTTCCTCCAGCCGGGGTCGGGTCCTCCACTCCACTGTTTGGCTGGGAAAGGACCGAGACGCGCTCAGTGCACAGGGGGCCGGCTGCGGCCATAAATCTCCGGGCGGGCCCTCCTTCCCGCTGCTCACGCCGGGGTGCTCCGGGCCGGTCTCGTGTCCCGGGCCACGCCGCGCACCCTGCTCACCCCATCACGGCCTGGGGACCCGGAGACTGCGCAGGGAACCACGCCAGGAGCTTCTCCGTTCACCAAAGAGAGGGAACGGCCTCGTTCCTCGGTGTCAACACCATCCATCTCTGAGGGCGCTGGACCCTGAGGTGGCCCGAGCTTCACAGGATCACCGCCTTGGGGTAGGGGCGCCCGGGCCTGGCATTTCCTCCTAGGAAGGCTCGGTGAGACTGGGATGGGCATGCGGCTCTCCGCTCGAGCCCAACTCCGGTGCCACCTGCACCACGGAGGGGTGACCCCAGGGTCAGGGTCAGAGCGGCTTCTCAGAATTCAGCTTGCCACCTCTCCGCGGACCCTGCCTTCATCTCGTGCCTCCTCAGAGCCCTCTGCGGGCGCATGAAGGGCCTTTTTTTTTTTTTTTTTTTTTTTTTTTGGCACAGGTGGACCAACGGGGGGTGTGACTGTGGGCACCGTGCGCGGAGGCGGAGGCTCATCTGGTTCCCACCCTCCGTGCCGCTGGATGCCCCAGGATTTTCTCCAACCGGGGTCCCGGCTTGGAGCCCTCCTTGGTGCGAGCTTTGGCTCAGCAATGGGGAAAGCGGGAATGGGTCTCGCCCTTGTGGCTGCCTGGTGGAAGCGGCGGTTTTGACACACGAATAGTCGTGGGGAGCAGATCCAGAGAGGGCGCATTTGCAATAATAACGCTTAGTTTATCTCTGCCAGAGGGGCGGGAACAGGCCTTCGCGCTGGTGTCTTACATCAGCCAAGCAAACCATGGGCGCGATTGGAGCCAACCACCTCCAGCGGGGTTTTGCTCCAGACTTAAGGTGCACGGAAACCGGAGCATTCAGCCCTTCATGGATGCCTCCCGAAAACCTCACCATGCCAGTGACACGACTGCAAACGGCGGGTGGCACATGCCGGGGGCTTGGGATGGGAGGGTTTGGAAACCTCGCTCCAAGGACGCCCTCAGCCAAGGAGCTTCGGCTCCTTCCTAGAATTTCTAGAAGCACTTTTGGAGGGACCGAGGGCTTCCGGCCGGGCCCAGAGGAATTTGAGCGCTTGCCCGGGCAGGCAGAAGCGCAGCCTGGGAGTGGAGAGGCTGCTGGGCCACATTCCGGCCCAGCTTCCCCCGCTAGGCCCCAGCCCTGCCGCGGCGCCCCAGGAAGCACCTCCGAAAACAAAGCGCTGTGGTTTCAGCCCAAGGTTAAAGTCCACCGCGAGCGTGTTTTTTCCCCCCTCCAGAATCTAAGAGCGATAGCGTTTCTCCAAATAAACCGCCAATAAATCAGCTCCCGGGGGCGCCTGCTGAAGAGCTCTGGTGACCTTGGGGGATGGTTTTTCTGCCTGACCCGTCTGAGCACAGGCTTTGGGGAGGAGGGGGCAGTGTCAGCCCTACCCCTCCAGAGAGACGCGGAAGAGGGAATGGCCAAGGGCATTCGTGGGTGATTACAGCAGTACGTGTGTACCCAGAGGAGATGGGAGAGGCTTGGAATGGGGGAAAGGGGCGACTGTGGTTATCCGGGGGCCTGTAGTGCGCGGTCAGGAGGCGTTTGTGATTGCGAGGAGGGCTGCTTGCTGTCGGTTCAACGATTGCTGGAGCGCCGGCGGTGTCGGCACAGGTCTAGGCATGGGGAAAGCACCACTGGGGACAGACACGGCCGCTTTGGGGCCCCGAGTCTTTGTCTGCCTGGGACTGGATGTGTTTGTGTCGGTGTGACTAATGGGATTTATGGATGTCAGTGCCAGGGTGACTGATGAAGGGCTTGGCAGCACGTGTGTTTGGGGAGAGGCGCTGCACCTAGGTGGGGAGTGGGTGCCCCGGGAGAGGACTGTCCCTTCTCTTAGAGGTTCCTTCCCCCACCCCCTCCCTGCCGGCTCCCAGCTTTGTTTAGGCCTCTGAACCCCTCCGGGGCAGGCCTGTGCACGCCGAGTTCTGCAGCAAATTCCACGGCCAGCCTGTCCCTCAGAGGCACCTCAGCACGCCCCACCTCTCCCAGCCCCACCTCCCCAGCACACGCCACGCGTCCCAAATCCAGGCTGTCCCACCCCCTTCCCAGGCAGAGCCTTCCCAGTTTGCTCTTTTCCCATCTGAACTCCTTATGGTGTGCTCTGAGCCCTGCTTCAGGCAGGCTTTGACGACCGTATGGTTTGGGTACCGGCATACCCATTTAACAGATGAAAAAGTTGAGGTGCAGAAAGGAGATGTGACAAGCCCACGCAGCCAGGAAGTAGCAGGCACCCTGAACTAAACCAGGCAGCTTGCTGGGGACCCCACTGTGGAGGCCCTTTGCCTCTGGGAGCCCCCAGCCTGGCTGAGACTCGCTTAGAGAAGGTAGAGGCAAAGGCCACTCCCATGACACAGGACACAACCTGCCACCCTTGTACTGTGCGTTATAACCATCAGTCCTCCCTGCCACTCGGTAAGGGCTGTCTCCTTCCCTGACCTGGCATGAGGAAGGAGGGGGGCAGTGAAGGTCAGAGGACTAGTAGGAGAGCCTGGTTTGGCCTGGGGCAGGGTGGGGTGCTGAGGTCAAGGTAACCCAGGGGTCACTTTGGAGATCAGGAGAGCCGTGGCTGGAAAGCAGGAGCTCCTGTGTGATTCCACAGAACCTAGCGCAGACTCAGGTTCAGGACAAACCTGGAGAATCCATATCCCCTCTCCCTTGGGATCATCTTTTTTTTTTTTTTTTTTTGGAGAGACGGGGGTCTCACTATGTTACCCAGGCTGGTCTTGAACTCCTGGCCTCAAGCAATCCTCCCACCTCAGCCTCCCAAAGTGCTGGGATTACAGGCCCAAACCACCAAGCTTGGCCTCCCTTGGGGTCTCTTCTTTTTTTCTTTTTGAGACAGGGACTCGTTCTGTCGCCCAGGCTGGAGCACAGCGGCACACCCGCAGCTCGCTGCAGCCTCAGCCTCTCGGGCTCAAAAAATCCTTCTGCCTCAGCCTCCCAAGTAGCTGGGACTGCAGATGCATGCCACCACGCCAGGCTAGCTTTTTTTTTTTTTTTTTAATGTTTTATAGAGATTGGTGGGGGGAGGGCGGGTCTCGTGATGTGCAGGCTGGTCTTGAACTTCTGGCTTCAAGCAGTCCTCCCTCCTCGGCCTCTCAAAGTGCTGGGAGCCACTCACAGGTGTGAGCCACCACGCCCAGCAGAGCTTCGTTTCCCAATCTAGAAGTCTGTCATACAAAAAGGCATCCCGGTTTTCTCTCTCTCTCTCTCTCTCACACACAGACACACACACACACACACACACAGAGTCACCTCCCCCCACCTTTTTTTCCTTTTTATCCTTCTTTGGCATTTTCTTTCAAGCAGAAAATAAAAACATTTCCCATGGCTACAGCTTTGAAAGCTTCCCTCTCCTATCAGCCTCCATCCCACGCCCACCCCAATGTCAATCCATTTCTAGAGCCAGCGTCAAGTCAAAAACAAACCCACAAAGATCAAGCCTGACAGGCCCCCTCCCGGCTGCCCTCCACTCTCTCTTCATGTATTGGTCTGCCTTCACCCCAGAGAGGAGCACGAGGTAGGAATCCTATCATACACACACACACACACACACACAGAGGCACACACACATACAGGCACACACACAGATGCACACACACATACAGGCACACACACATACAGGCACACACACACAGGCACACACACAGGCACTCACACACACACAGGCACTCACACACCAGCTTCTATGGCCATGGAGACTCTCTAAAGAACCTTCTAAGCCAGGCGCAGTGGCTCACACCTGTAATCCCAGCATTTTGGGAGGCCGAGGCGGGCGGATCACCTGAGGTCGGGAGTTTGAGACCAGCCTGGCCAACATGATGAAACCCACGTCTCTACTAAAAATACAAGAATTAGCTGGGCTTGGTGGCGGGTGCCTGTAGTCCCAGCTACTCAGGAGGCTGAGGCAGGAGAATTGCTTGAACTCGAGAGGCGGAGGCTGCAGTGAGGCAAGATCATGCCATTGCACTACAGCCTGGGCAACAGAGCGAGACTCCATTCCAAAAAAACAAAACAAGAATCTTCTAGAGCTGCTCCTGCCAGAAAGACCTGTTCACTTGGTTCCATCTGCTGGAGGGGTCCGGTTGTCCCCCACCTGCCCCTGCCCCTGCCTTCCTCACCTGGCCCCATTCCCGCAGATCCTCCTCTGTTGTAGATTGAAGAAAGTCCCCCCCAAATTCATGTATTTGATTCCTAACCCCCAATACCTTAAAATGTGACCTTATTTGGAGTGACGGTCATTGCAGATGTAATTAAGATCAGGTCACACTGGAGTCCGGTGGGCCCTAATTCCTTATGATGTCCTTATAAAAAGAGGACATTTGGGCTGGGTGCAGTGGCCCATGCCTGTAATCCCGGCATTTTGGGAGGCTGAGGCAGGAGGATTGCTTAAGCCCAGGAGTTCGAGACCAGCCTGGGTAAGACCCTGCCTCTACAGATTTTTTTTTTCAATTAGCCAGGCATGGTGGCACATGCCTGTAGTCCCAGCGACTTAGGAGGCTGAGGTGGGAAGATGGCTTGAGCCCAGGAGGTCGAGGCTGCAGTGAGCTGTGATCATGCCACAGCACTTCAGCCTGGGCAGTAGAGCAAGATCCTATCACCAATAAAAGGAGGTGTTTGGAATCAAACAGCTATGGAGGGAAGACAAAGTAGAAAGATGTAGAGGGGGGTGGACACACCAGAGAGGCCTGGGACAGACCCCTCAAGCCCTGCCAACACCTGCCACCTTGGACTAGAGGCTTGATCTTGGACTTCAAGCCTCTAGAATGGTAAGAGAATAAATTTCTGTTGTTTAAACCACCAGTTAGTGACACCTCACTATAGCAGCTTAAAGAGACTCAGACACCATCCCAAATCTAAGAGCCTACAAGGGTCAAGTGGGAACCATTGACCCTTGTAGCTCCTGGCAGTTCCAGCCAGCTATCTCCAGGGTGCCAGATCTGCTGTTGTTCCTGGGAAGCTGGCGTATCAGTCAGAATAGGCCAGGTTATGCTGCAGTGACAAACATCCCCTACATCTCAATGGCTTGATGGAACACAGAAAAACGTATTCTCCTCTTCACATTGTCAACACAGCCTGGGCACTGCTCCCAGGCTGCTGACCTCCTTGTGGTGTCTGGCCAGCCTGAGCCAGTTAGAGTTCATGAGTTGTCCACCTCCATGTGAGGTCACCATGGGGCATGCACAGACTCCCATGTCCCTGGTGCTCACACCCCACACGATCACACTTAGCTGAGGGGTGCTGGAGAGGAGAGTCTTGCTGTGCCCGGGAAGCGGAGAAAAAACAGGTATTGGTGAGTTTAGACAATGTTGGCCACACTTGCAAAGCCACATCTCCTGAGCTGCTAACTTTGGCACTTCTTTTAAAATTGTGGTAAAATACACATCACATTTACCCATCTTAATGGTCCCCCCGATCCTTTTTTTTTTTTTTTTTTTTTTGAGACAGAGTCTCACTCTTGTCGCCCAGGCTGGAGTGCAGTGGCACTATCTCGGCTCACTGCGAGCTCCGCCTCCCAGGTTCCCGCCATTCTCCTGCCTCAGCCTCCCGAGTAGCTGGGACTACAGGCGCCCGCCACCATGCCCGGCTAATTTTTTTGTATTTTTAGTAGAGACGGGGTTTCACCGTGTTAGCCAGGATGGTCTCGATCTCCTGACCTCATGATCCGCCTGCCTTGGCCTCCCAAAGTGCTGGGATTACAGACATGAGCCACCACGCTCGGCCCCCGCCCCCTTTTTTTTAGATGGAGTCTTTGGTGGTGAAATCTCGGCTCACTGCAACCTCTGCCTCCCAGGTTCAAGTGATTCTCCTGCCTCAGCCTCCCAAGTAGCTGGGATTACAGGCACCCGCCACCATGCCCGGCTAATTTTTTGTATTTTCAGTAGAGATGGGATTTCGCTATGTTGGCCAGGCTGGTCTCAAACTCCTGACCTCAGGTGATCCACCCACCTCGGCCTCCCAAAGTGCTGGGGTTGCAGGTGTGCGCCACCGCGCCCGGCCACCACCTTAACCCTTTTTAAGTGCACAGGTCAGTGGTTCAAGCACATTCGCCTTGTTGTGCAGCCATCACCAGCATCCATCTCCAGAGCTGTTTTCTGTCTTCCCAAACTGAAACCCTGTCCCCTTTAAACACTCCCGATTCCCCTCTCCCAGCCCCTGGCTATTGTACTTTCTGTCTCTATGAATTTAATTACCCTAGGAACCCCGTATGAGTGGAATCATACAATATCTGTCCTTTAGTCTGGCTTATTCACTCAGCATAATGTCCTCAGGGTTTGTCCATATCACAGCGGCTGGCAGAATTTCCTTCCTCTTCGGGGCTGAATAATATTCTGATATTCCCAACATGCTTGTCACCTCTACAAGCCTGTGAGGCTGTGTGAGCTTCCCAGGGTCCCCAGAATAAAAACTGGGTGGTTTACACAACTGAAACTTAATTGCCTTACAGTTCTGGAGACTGGAGTTCGAGATCAAGGAGTGGGAAGGGCTGGTTCCTCCTGAGGCCTCTCTCCTTAGCTTGTAGATGCCGTCTTCTCCCTACGTCCTCACATGGTCGTCCCTCTGTGCGTGTCTGTGTCCTAATCTCCTCTTCTTATAAGGACATCAGGCATATTGGATTAGGGCCCAACCTAATAACTTCATTTTAATTTAATCGTCTCTTTTAAAGACCGTATTTCCAAATACAGTCACACTCAGAGGAATTAGGGGTTAGGACTTCAACATATGAATTTGCGAGGGACATAATTCAGCCTATATCAGAGGCTCTTCATTTTATTGTTTTATTTTACTTTTTGAGACAGGGTCTCACTTGTCACCCAGGCTGGGGTGCAGTGGTACAATCACAGCTCACTGCAGCCCCAATCTCCTGGGCTCAAGCGATCCTCCCTCCTCAGCCTCCTGGGTAGCTGGGACTACAGGCGTGTGCCACCACACCCAGCTAATTTTTTATTTTTTGGAGAGACAGGGTCTTACTAAGTTGCCCAGGCTGGTCTCAAACTCCTGGCCTCAAGCGATCTTCCTGCCTTGGCCTTCAAAAGTGCTGTGATGACAGGCGTGTCCCTCACTTTATTCTATCACTCTCTCCCCCATGCCTGGCCCATCAGACCTCAGTGAATGTCCATTCAATGAATGAATGAAGTGATGTCATCTCGGTAGGGTTTTCAAGGATGAATAGGAGTTTGCTAGGCAGAGAAGGCACAGAGGGCATTCCAGGCTTAAAGAACAGCCTAGGCCAAGGCCTGGAAGCCTCCCAGCGGGGCTCTCTGTCTCACAGGTCACATGCCAGACCTGGGGCAGGGAAGAGAGCTGTGGCCCCTCTCAGTCCGCAGAGGCCAGCCAACCTGCTCCCCATGAGCTGGAGCCCAGCCAACCTCCACAAGGACCAGGACCCCAGTGCCTCTGCTCACAGGAGCTGGCTCAGATGATTTTCGCTATGTCTTTTACCCTTCACGCCTGGGTGGCTTGAGCGTATTTATTTAACTTTCATTGTATTGGTGTTTTTGTTGAAAGTGCAGGAATTATTCATAGCCGGTTTCGGTTCTCTTCTGGCAATGACCGCATCTTCCTATGCAAGGTACAAATTACCTGTCAGGCCAGTTCACCATCAGTCAGGGGCTGTGACCCAGCCCCAAGCCACCGAGGCTCAGCTGCTCTGGAAGATGGGTCTGGCTGGAGGTGGTGGGGCCTGAATAGGTCTTTGTCCCCCAAGTTGCCAAGGATAGGGAACATGGATGGGAAACAAGGGGATTGGCCCAGGAACAAATCCTCCCTCTGCGATCCTGCTCAGTCTACCTGGCCACTCAGTACTCAGTCTTCTCATCTGTAAAATGGGCATTGGAGTGAGTGTCTGGCATGGCGGGCCATCCACATTGTCACCCACTGGTGTCACCCACTGCCTGGGTGAGCCTGGGCACATGGGTGCCCTCTGTCACCTCCAAGGAAAGGAGACAGAGATACTCATAGAGAAGAGAAACTGAAAACAGAAGGGACACAGAAGGGCTTAGAGGACACGTCCTCAGCTAATCTGGCCCCCTGGGTTGTGGTGGCATGAGAACACAGCCCTAAAAAGTTCCTCCTATTGAAAGATGGGGTCATCTGGGCACAGTGGTTCATGCCTGTAATCCCAGCGCTTTGCCAGGCCAAGGCAGAGGGATCCTTTCAGCCCAGGAATTTGAGATCAGCCTGGGCAACATAGCAAGATCCCATCTATACAAAAAAAAAATTAGCCAGGTATGGTGGTGCACTCCTGTAGTCCTAGCTACTCAGGAGGCTCTCTTGTGCCCAGAGTTCGAGGCTGCAGTGAGCCATGATCATGCCACTGCACTCCAGCCTAGGTGACAGAGCAAGACATTATCTTTAAAAAAAAAGAAAAAGAAAAAGGTGTGGTCAGCTGGGCACAGTGGTTCACACCTGTAAACCCAGCATTCTTTGAGGCCAAGGTAGGAGGATAGCTTGAGGCTAGAAGTTTGAGACCAGCCAGGACAACATAGCAAGACCTTGTCTCCACAAAAACAAACAAAAAGAATCAGCTGGGTGTGGCAGCTCACACCTGTAGTCCAGCTACTCGGGAGGCTAAGGCAGGAGGACCACTTGAGCCCAAGCATTGGAGGCTGCAGCAAGCTATGATTGCACCACTATACTCTGGCCTGGGCAACAGAGTGAGACTCTCTAAAAAATAAAAAAAATAGCTAGAACACAGGGTTTGGCAGAAAAGGATATCTAAGGCTATGCTTCATAAAACTCCAACAGGTGCAGGCCAGGCGTGGTGGCTCACGCCTGTAATCCCAGCACTTTGGGAGGCTGAGGCAGGTGGATCACCTGAGGTCAGGAATTCGAGACCAGCTTGACCAACATGGTGAAACCCTGTCTCTACTAAAAATACAAAAATTAGCTAGGCCTGGTGGCATGTGCCTGTAGTCCCAGCTACTCGGGAGGTTGAGACAGGAGAATTGCTTGAACCCAGGAGTTGGAGGTTGCAGTGCAGTGAGCCAAGATCATGCCACTGCACTGCAGCCTGGGCCACAGAGTGAGACTGTCAAAAAACAAAAAAAACTCCAACAGGTGCAGAACCCGGTTTCACACATTTTCCAGACCTGCCCATGTGGGGACCACAGCAATGAGACACTGATCAATGTTTAACAAGTTCTCAGGTGGCTTCAGCCTGAGGTGGGGTGGGGGATAAGGAGAGAACCTGATGTGTAGCCTCTGCCAATGTCTGTGGTGTAAATTCTCCCAGCTTCAAGCTACCAACGTGATGTCACTGAACTCAGACTTGGGAAGAGATGTGTAGTCGCTCACTTATGTAGCATTTCCACCACAGATAACTGTAGCATCCGGCGGTGCTGGCTTTCACTGCATGAGTAACCCCCAGGAGAAAACCACCCAGCTGAGCCCATCCTGACTTTCTGACCTGCAAAATTGTGAGCAAAATAAGGGGATGGTTCTAGACTGCTACATTTTGTAGCAATTTGAAGCACAGCACTAGTCACTAGTGGGGCCACTGAGTCCAGTGTGGGATGATGCTTAAAAGGGTGGAGGGGCCGAACCAGGCCAGAGCACCTTTCACCTACGCCTGACTGGGAGAATCCATGCCAGTCTGACGTGCTCCAGCCCTGCTAACATCGTGAGAAAAAGCCAGTGACAAGGCTGACAGCCCTCTGGAAGGGTCTCTCATGGGCCTCAGTGGCCACTGCTCCTGGGACAGAAAGCCCCCACAGGGCTTTAGCAGGAGCCAGGGGGATTTGTGGGCAAGTTGCCCACCTCCGTGCCATGCTGACTCCTGCCACACTAAATACCCGCCCAGCCCCACACCGCCTCAGACACAGGGTGAAGAGGCCAGGACAGGGCTGGCCAGGGGCCCTGGTTTAAAATAGCAGCACCAGTCCTTTGTTTTGTCTGCAATGCAGCTCTGCCGGTCTAGCTCCTGCTTTGATGTTGGTATTTAAGCCTCTTCTGGGAACCTGAACCTTCCCCAAGCACATCAGAAACCCACACTCGGGCACATACATACATGCATGCACACACTTGCATGCTCACCTGCTCCCCTGAGAAGCCAGAGGAGGTAGCCTCAGGCTCCAGAGCTGTCCCCCACCTCTGCCCAGGTCCCCCTCCAGATCTGTGTTAGTGTCCTGTGGCTGCCGTAACAAACCTGCACTCACTGGGGGCTTCAAACAACAGAAACTGGCTGGACACGGTGGCTTACAACTGCAGTCCCAGCTACTCAGGAGGCTGAGGCAGGAGGATGTCTTGAGCCCGGGAGGTCAAGGCTGCAGTGAGCTGTGATCACGCTACTGTACTCCAGCCTGGGTGACAGGAAGACCCTATCTCAAAAAAAAGAAAAAAAAATCAGAAATTTACTGTCTCCTGGAAGTCAGAATTCTGAGATCAGGGTGTTGGCAGGGCCGTGGCCTTCCAAGTCTCTGGGTGGACTCTCTCCTTGTCTCTTCCCGGCTTCTCGTGGTGCCAGTCATCCTTAGCATTCCTCTGTTGTTTTTCTTCTTTTTTAAAAATAAAGGCCAGGGCCAGTGGCTCACACCTGGAATCCCAGCACTTTGGGAGGCCGAGGCGGGCGGATCACTTGAGGACAGGAGTTCGAGACCAGCCTGGCCAACACGGCAAAACCCTGTCTCTACCAAAGTGAGCTATATTTGCACTACTATACTCCAGCCTGGGTGACAGAGCAAGACCCTATCCCAAAAAATAAAAATAACAGCTATGATTGCAGTGGTGCAATCACAGCTCACTGCAGCCTCAACTTCCCAGGCTCAAGCCATCCTCCCACCTCAGTCTCTCAAGTATCTGGGACTGCAGGCACCCATGACCACGCCCAGCTAATTTTTTTTTTTATTTTTTTTTTGTAGAGATGGGGGTCTCACTATGTTCGTCTCAAACTCCAGGCTTCAAGCAATCCTCCCACCTCAGCCTCCCAAAGTGCTGGGGTTACAGGCGTGAGCCATCATGCCTGGCCTCTTGAGACCTTGTCTCTAGGAGAAAAAAAAAAAAAAAACCCCACACACACAAAAAACAACTCCATCTGGCAGAGTAAGAGGGTGAGAGGCCAGGAATGGGATGTGGCCACCTCTGACCCCCAGAGCCCCAGCCCTTAGTGTCTTGGGGGGACAAGGCATGTCTGGTACAAGGGGCAACAGCCAGCAGGGACTGGGGTGGGCACTGCTGGTTCCGCTCTCATCCCTCTGATAGTGCCCTGGGCCCTGTACCCACACCCCAGGTTGCAGAGAACCCCCCCTGCCCCGCCCCCGCCTGGCTGCCGGGAAGTCTAGCTGGGCCAGGCGGGTTCTGCCGGGAACTGCCCTCCCTGAGCTGAGGCCCCCCTGCCCCTCTCCCCGCCATGGATCCAGCAGGTGTTTGCCTGTCTGACCCCTGTGCTGGGAGCATGGCTTCCCCTGCTTGGGAAGTCTTCACTGTCTCCAGCCCCTCAGCCCTTCCTGGGGCTCCTGGGGTCCACTTCCTCAGCTGTCTTCCTCCCCCCAGACTGAGACCCCTTTGGGGTAGGACCTGGGTGCTGGGTGAGCTGGGCTGGCGCAGAGCTGGGAACGGGCAGGCCTTCACTGACCCACTTATGACCCCACGGTCATCAGAGCCATCGGGGCCCTAGGGCTCAAGGGCAGGGCTGGGGCCCTGGAATTCCCACAGGTGCAGGGGATGATGGCTCGGGGGTGGGGAACAGAGGGGCCCAAGGAGTCAACAGCACCTGAAGGGCCAGAGTGAGGACGTGACAGGCGTCCAGCAGCGCGCCCCACCCATGGCCCTGGACTTAGCCTCAAACCAGAAAGGAGTGTGGGCTGTGGGTGCATGGTCCTGAGAAGGTGGCACCGTCATGCTTGCTTCACGAGAAGCCCCGCTCACCCACCTGTGCGGGCACTGCCATCCCCACCCTGCATGGGTTCCACCCCTGACTGGCACACAGTGGGTGCTATGCCCAGTAGGTGCACCCCAACATGGTGGCAGAAGTGGCATTGGGCTTAAAGGCTAAGATCTGATCGGGAGAGAACCCCATTCACCTCTCAAAACCCTAGACACCACCCCAGTCACAGGAACAGATAGGGAGGTGTCGGAGGGAGGCTGGGCTGCCCTCTACGACAAAAGAACGTCCTGGCAATAAGAACTGCTCAGTAGTGGCACATGGGGCAGCCCAACGTCCAGCAACAGAGGGATGGATCAGTTGTGGTTTATTTTTTTTTTGAGATGGAGTCTCTCTGTCACCCAAGCCGGAGTGTAGTGGCTCGATCTCGGCTCACTGCAACCTCCACCTCCCGGGTTCAAGCAATTCTCCTGCCTCAGCCTCCCAAGTAGCTGGGATTACAGGTGTGTACCACCACACCCAGCTAATTTTTGTATTTTTAGTAGAGACGGGATTTCACCATGTTGGCCAAGCTGGTCTCAAACTCCTGACCTCAGGTGATCCACCTGCCTTGGCCTCTCAAAGTGCTGGGATTACAGGTGTGAGCCACCGCGCCCGGCCCAGTTGTGGTATTTTCATACTTGGGAATATGATTCAGCCTTAAAAAGGAGCAAAGTCCTGATCTGTGCTATGCCATGGGTGTACCTCGAAAACATTCCAGCCAGACACAGAAGGTCACCTATAAAATGATCCCATTTATATGAAATGTCCAGAATGGGCAAATAACAGAAGCTGACTGGGGGTTGCGAGGGGCCTGTGGGAGTGAGTGTTTAACAGATACGGGGTTCCTTTGGGGGCAATGGAAACGTCTTAGAACTAGATAGAGGTGGTGCGTGCACAGCACTGTGAATGTGCTACCTGCCACTGATTTGTTCGCTTTGAAATGGGGAATTTTATTTTTTGAGGTCTTGCTCTGTCACCCAGGCTGGAGTGCGGTAGTGGTGTGATCTTGGCTCACTGCAACCTCAAACTCCTGGGCTCAAGAGATCCTCCCACCTCAGCCTCCCGCGTAGCTGGGACTACAGGCGTGCACCACCATGCCTGGCTAATTTTGTGTATTTTTTTATAGAGACAGGGTTTTGCCATGTTACCCAAGCTGGTCTCAAAACTCCTGGGCTCAAGCGATTTTCCCTCCTTGGCCTCCCAAAGTGCTTGGATTACAGGCCTGAGCCACCTCACCAGCCTGTGAATTTTATGTCATGGGAATTTTACATCAATTACGAAAAAAAAAAAGGCGCAGCCCTCAGCAGTGGTGAGCCCTCACTGTTGGGAACAGGAAACCAAGGCCTGGCCGCTGGAAATGGGGCTAAGAGGGTCTCAGAGGCCTTCCTCGTACACACCTGCCCTATCTTCCAGACCCTCCCAGAGTGGGTGGTGGTCCCCACAGCTCCATAGCGGCCCCTCTTTCCCCCAGGGTTGCTACCAACACTGGCCGACCCTCCACCAGGTCTCCCTACCCCAGCCCAGCCTCTCCTTCCTCTGCCACCCCCCTCCCTGCCCCCACAGCCAAAGCTTGGGCAGCACTGGTCCCCGGCACATCCCACGTCCCGGCCTCCTGGAACTCCCTTCCTGCCATTGCCTCTTCCTGGAAAACCCTTCCCGTCGCCCACCCTGACTTCTCTTGTCATCCCGAAAGGCCCAGCATGAGGGACACCTCCCCAGAGAAGCCCTCCCTGGGTTGGGCAGGTAAGACCCTCTCCCGCGGGCTCTGGGCAGCTGTGCTCTGCTGTGTGATCTGTCAGGCAGCAGCTGTCATAGGCGACTGCCTGCAAGTGGCCTGGGGCCAACATCTGCCTAAGGGTTTCCCATCCCAGCTCAGCCCCCAGCTTGCAGTGTGACCCAGAGTGGACCCCCAGCTCCTCTGAACCCCATTTCCTCCCCACAGACAGAGCGCCTCCCAGCCTGCCAGGGAAATTTGGGAAGACAGGAAAACATGTTCAGCACAGGGTCTGGCTTGGAAAACAGCAGCCACCATGACTCGGCTGATGCTAAAGGCTTGCTTCCTTTTTTTTCTTTCTTTTCTTCCTTTTTATTATTACTATTTTTAGAGACAGGGTCTCCCTCTGTCACCCAGGCTGGAGTATAGTGGTGCAATCATAGCTCACTGCAGCCTCAACCTCCCGGGCTCAAGCCATCCTCCTGTCTCATCCTCCTGAGTAGCTGGGACTACAGGCATGCACCGCCACACCCAACTAATTTTTGATCTTTTTATAGAGACAAGGTCTCGATACTCCTGGCCTCAAACAATCCTCCGGCCCAAGCCTCCCAAGCAGCTGGGACTACAGACACCTGCTATCACACCGGGCTAATTTTTTTATTTTTAGTAGAGATGGATTTTCACCATGTTGACCAAACTGGTCTCAAACTCCTGGGCTCAAGATCTGCCAGCTTCAGCCTCCCAAAGTGCTGGATTACAGGCCTGAGCCACTGCACCCGGCCTATTTTACCATCATTTTTTAAATGAAAAATAAAAGGGAGGGGGATCTTTGGGGATCTGCGTGGGTACTTTGCTCCGCTGCCACAGTGATGTCCCCACGGCCCCGCAGTCCAACTGCGTCCCATGCAAAGTATCACTGGCAACCATAGCCTCGTACCTGAGCTGCCTCTGTTCCAGGGACACGTTCCGGAGCTGACACCCCTCCTCACCACCCGCCCTCGAGTCATGCTGCGCCACTGCCTCTGCCCCCCAGGATGCCCCGAGAGGGCACCTTCGACCTTCACTCCTGGGTGGGCCACATGGGTGTGGAGGCCAGACTGGCTTCACCCCTGCAGCGATCCGTCCACCTGGAGAGGGCACCTTGTGCGGTTTAATTTGGTTGCCATCATCCTGGAACCAGGCTGTCCCTGGAGACCTAATCCCTTCTGGGGATTTAAAAGAATCAAACTTGCCAAGGAAGACGTGAGCTTCTGGCCCCAGGCTCTGCCAGCTTCCCATTTTAATTGGGACCATTTTTAGCCCTCACCGGGAGGCTTCCGAAAACCCCCCAGGCATCTCCCTCGGGGCCCACAGGGGTGACGTGTGCCCACCCTATACCAGGAGCTCCCTACCCTCATCTCGGAGCCCCCAGCACCCACACCAGCTGCCCCTTCTATGGGTGGGGCTTTCAGCTCTAGAAGTAAAAGGGAGTTGCCCAAGGCAGACCTGAGCTCAGAGCCTGTGTCCTTGAGGGGCCCTTGGTGGGCAGCAGGTCCCCCTCCTCCCACCCAGAGCCCCCCCCTTCCATCCGGAAGTGTTGCCTACCACCGAGGCTACAAAACCCACATGCCAGTCCCTACTCAATGCCCCTAGGACCGACCGACCCGGCGTGCCCGGGAATGCCCCAGTTTTCTCACTGAACACCTTCCATCCAGGCACCCTCTCATCCCTGGGACGGTGGGTCACCCAGCCACCCACAGATAAGCACGGTAGGGGGTTGGAGGGTGTCCCCCGAAAAGACATGTCCACTGGAACCTCAGATAGGCTCTCACTGGGAATAACGGACTCTGCAGATGGAATTAAGGTAAGGCTCTCGAGATAAGCGTGCCTGATTAGAGTGAGCCCTAAATCCAATGACTCCCGTCCTTAAGAGACACAGAGCGCACTCCCACGTAACGAGTGCCTGACGGCCGGGACAGAGACTGCAGAGAAGCAGCAACGGGCCCAGGAGCGCCAAGCGTGGCCCGCAGCCACCAGAGGCTGGAGAGAGGCCTGGGAAGGATTCTCCGTGAGAGACTAGAGAAGGAGCCAACCCTGCCTGCACCTTGATCTGGGACTTCTGGCCTCCAGAGCTGTAAGACAATAGGTTTCTGCTGCTGAAGCCACCCAGCGTGTGGGCATTTGTAACCGCGGCACTAGGGAATGAACACAGTAGGTGGGCCAGGCACAGTGACTCACACCTGTAACCCCAGCACTTTGGGAGGCCGAGACAGGAGGATCACTTGAAGCCAGGAGTTCAAGACCAGCCTAGGCAACACGGCGAGACCCCATTTCTACATAATATTGAAAAATTAGCCAGGTGTGGTGGTGCACACCTGTAGTCCCAGCTACTCTGGAGGATGAGGTGGGAGGAGCACTGGAGCTCAGGAGTTGGAGACCAGCTTGGGCAACATAGCAAGACCCCTTCTTTACAAAATATTTAAAAACTAGCTGGGTGTGGTGGCATGCACCTGCAATCCCAGCTACTGAGGAGGCTCAGGCAGGAGGATCTCTTGAGCCTTGGAGTTCAAGGCTGCAGTGAGCCTTGATTGTGCCACTGTACTCCAGTCTGGGAGACACAGTGAGACCCTGTCTTTAAAAAAAAAAAAGGCCGGGCACGGTGGCTCACGCCTGTAATCCCAGCACTTTGGGAGGCCGAGGCAGGCAGATCACAAGGTCAGGAGATCGAGACCATCCTGGCTAACATGGTGAAACCCCGTCTCTACTAAAAATACAAAAAAATTAGCTGGGCGTGGTGGCGGGCACCTATAGTCCCGCTACTCAGGAGGCTGAGGCAGGAGAATGGCGTGAACCCAGGAGGCGGACCTTGCAGTGGGCCGAGATCGCGCCACTGCACTCCAGGCTGGGCGACAGAGCAAGACTCGGTCTCAAAAAAGAAAAAAAAAATGCTGGGCACATTGGCTCACGCCTGTAATTCCAGCACTTTGGGAGGCTGAGGCGGGTGCATCACTTGAGGTCAGGAGTTTGAGACAGCTTGGCCAACATGGTGAAACCCTGTCTCTGCTAAAAATACAAAAATTTGGCTAGGCACGGTGGCTCATGCTCGTAATCCCAGCACTATGGAAGGCCGAGGCAGGCAGATCATTTGAGGTCAGTAGCTCAAGACCAGCCTGGCCAACATGGTGAAACCCCATCTCTACTAAAAGTAAAAAAATTAGCTGGGCATGGTGGTGGACGCCTGTAATCCCAGCTACTTGGGAGGCTGAGGCAGAAGAATCGCTTGAACTCGGGAGGCAGCGGCTGCAGTGAGCCAAGATCACACCATTGCACTCCACCCTGGGTGACAGAGCGAGGTTCCATCTCAAAAAACAAAAACAAAAATTACCCAGGCGTGATGGCAGACACCTTTAGTCCCAGCTACTCGGGAGGCTGAGGCAGGAGAATCTCTTGAACCCGGGAGATGGAGGCTTCAGTGAGCCGAGATTGTGCCATTGCACTCCAGCCTGGGCGACAGAGCAACAGAGGGAGACTCCTTCTCAAAACAAAAACAACAACAACAACAACAAATAGTTGCATGTCAATTTTCCCATTGCAGGGGGTTGGATGATGTTCCCCCAAAACTTCCTGTCCACCTGTGACCTCAGAATGTGACCTTATTTGGAAACAGGATCTTTGCAGGTGTCATTGGTTAAGTATCTCAAGAGGAGATCATCCTGGGCTTAGGATGGGCCCTAAATCCAGTGACCGGTGTCCTTCCAAGAAAAGGAGGGGCGCCGGGCGGGCTGGTTCACACCTGTAATCCCACCGCTTTGGGAGGCCAAGGCGGGCGGATCATGAGGTCAGGAGATCGAGACCATCCTGGCTAACATGGTGAAACCCCGTCTCTACTAAAAACACAAAAAATTAGCCAGGCGTGGTGGCGGGTGCCTGTAGTCCCAGCTACTCGGGAGGCTGAGGCAGGAGAATCACTTGAACCTGGGAGGTGGAGGTTGCAGTGAGCTGAGATCATTCCATTGCACTCCAGCCTAGGTGACAGAGAGAAACTCCATCTCAAAAAAAAAACAAAGAAAAAAGAAAAGAAAAGGAGGGGACACAGGCACAGAGAAGGCCATGTGACGACGGAGACAGATGGGAGCGATGCAGCTACAGGCCTGGGAACACCGAGGATTTCTGGAGCCTCGGGAAGCTGCAGGGAGGGCTGGAACGGAGCCTCCCCGACGGCCTCCAGAAGCAGCCAGCCCTGCCCACACCTTGAGTTCGGACTGCTGGCCTCCAGCACTGTGCAAGAGCAAACTCCTGTCATTAGAAGCAACCTAGGCTGTGGCCACCCGCCCATCTCCCTAGGAGGTCTGGCTGCTCTTGGATACCCGGAGCCTCCTACCTCAGCTTGCTGGGCACTGACCTTGAGCGTTGCTCCCTCGACCTGCAGTGCTCCCTGCAGCGCCCCACCCCATGGGGGACACAGGAGGGGACTCTCAGAGCCGTCCCCCCGACAGGCCGAGGCTCCTCCCAGGAGAGGACCCCACTGCCCCGCCAGCACTGGACACTGGACACTGTTTTCCATAAACATTTCTTTGAACTGAATTTCATTCTTCTCACCCAAGAAATCTCTGGAAAACAATGCTGAGGCCAGGGTGGAGTGCCGGGGAGAGGGGATGTTTTAATGGTTTGTGGAGGGTTTTCTGTTTTGTTTTGTTTGTTTTTTTCTGGCATTGTCTCTCTCTTCTGATTTCCCTGTAACTGACAGGGAGGAAATGGATTCTGAAAATGGGTTCCTTCCCACCCCTGGGGGCTCTGAGATCAAAGTGTGGTGGGGCCGGGTGGACAGGACTTGGTGCTCCGAGGTGGGGTCCTTCCTGATTCCCTCCCACCTTCTCCACCATGCCCCCCTTTACCCAACGGGGCCTGGCCAGGAAGGGGCATACCAGGGGGCTATTCTGGGGGACAGGTCTCCAGGGCACCTGCCCTGCGTGCCCACCCAGTGAGGGGTTCCTGGCCCAGAGTTGCCCCCTCAGCATATCCCAGGGGGCTGGTGACCCTGTAGGCCCCTCCACTTTGCTAAAGAGGATACAGGGAGGGTTGGTGGCCCAGAACTCACGAACCACTGCTGACCAGGAATGGCCAAGGGAGGCCCACACAGAACACCCAATCCCACAGCCACCTGCTCTAGTACCACTTGGGGCCTCTCCAGCCACTGGCCTGGCTGCATTTGCTCTCCAAAACTGCCACTTTCTTTTAGTTTTTAAGGGACAGGCTCTTGCTCTGTCACTGAGGCTGGAGTCCAGTGGCACAATCATAGCTCACTGCAGCCTCAAACTCCCGGGCTCAAGCGATTCTCCCACCTCAGCCTCCTGAGTAGCTGGGACCACAGGCACACGCTACCACATTGGGTGTTTGGATGGATGAGTAGATGGGTGGATGGGTGGGTGGGTGGGTAGGTGGATCGGTGGGTGAATGAGTAGATGGGTGAGTGGATGGATGGATGGATGGATGAGTGTGTGGATGGATGGATGGATGGATGGATGGAGAAGTGGATAGATGAGTGAATGGATAGGTGGATGGGTGGGTAGATGGATGGACAGGTGGGTGGGTGGGTGGGTAGGTGAACGGAAGAGTGGGTGGATGGGTGAATGGATGGATGGATAGATAGATAGATAGATAGATAGATAGATAAACAGACAGACAGATAGGCTAATGGATGGATGAATTCGTGCTTTCTGTCCCTTGACCTGGTCTACAAGCCACTTCCCCAGCTAGACAAAGAGAGCTTAGAACCCCATCCCTGCCAGGAAACAGACAAAAGCTGTCGGGGTCTTTTTTCTCTCTCTCAGCCTTACCTGGGACACACAGAGCTTTACGGTGGGGCCTTGTTCCAGTTGCTGCAGGCTGCCATTCCTGAAGGTCGGGGGACAAGCTGCCTCTTCAACCCCAGCTCTGCTGGGGGCTCCTCAGCGGCTGGGGGAGTTGTGGGTGGGGCAGGAGACCTGGCGAGAAGCTCACGGGTACCCTCACCCACCTCATCCCGCCCTGTGCCCAGCCCTGACCCCAGCCCTCCCTCTTTGTACCTCACCCCGTGGAAGGAAACACACTGAAGGTGGGGAGGGGTGGGCCAGAGCCTCAGACTCCTAAGACAAAGGGAGAAAAATGGACCGAAGAGAGGCAGGGGGTAGACGCAGGCACTGCCTTTTTTCTTTTGTAGACAGGGTCTCACTCTTGTTCAGGCTGGAGTGCAGGGCGCCATCATAGCTCACCACAGCCTCCAACTACTGGGCTCAAGTGATCCTGCCTCAGCCTCCAAAGTAGCTGGGACGACAGGCATGCATCACCATGCTTGGCCAATTTTTGTATTTTTTGTACAGATGGGGTCTCACTCTGTTGCCCAGGCTGATCTTGAACTCCTGGCCTCCAGTGATCCTCCTCAGCCTCCCAAATCTTGGGGATTACAGGCATGAGCCACCACCCCCAGCCTTATTTCCTGACATTTCTATGGTAAAATTGATTGCTTTTATAATCAGAAAAAATATACAGTGAGACTTAAAGACACGGTCTGTAACCTTGAGAGGCCAAAACAGCCCGCAGAGGGACAGGCGACTGGCCATTTTGATGCTAGGGCCCCAGGCACGAAGCAGGCAAGTCCCCCCTCCCCACTTTGGCCGGCGAGACTTTGAAAAGAAAGCTGGACGTGCAGGAGCAGGGGTTGGGAAGGGGAATTCCAGGAAGGGGCCTGGGACTGGGGCCCTGGAACCATGGTGGCCCCCCAGGCCAGATCCACCCCTGGACAGGTGCAAGGACTCTGGGAGCGGCCCCAAGGATCCAAATACCTTCCTCAGCAGCCCCTTTAATTTGCTTTCTGCAGAAAGTAAGCTAATGCCGGCAGCGGAGACTTCATTTAGGAGAAGAGCAGGCCTCGGCATATCCCTAGCATTGGCAGCATTCCTGGGAGGAGAGGAGGGGAAGGCTGGGGAGGGGAGGGAGACTGGGCTAGAGGGAGCCCGCAGATTCACCTAATTCCAGGGTGGAATTGCTCGCCAGCCACCGTGCCCTCCATCATTCTCCAGAGGCCCCACCTAGTTTCCTCATTCATCAGTCACCAGGCCTTGTCCTATGGCCCAGCCGGGGGGAGATGTCAAGGCCAGGGACCCCTCTGAGGCTCAGAGAGGGGTGCGTAGCAGGAGCAGTAAAGCCAGGACTGGGCACGGTGGCTCACACCTGTGATCCCAGCACTTAGAGAGACAGAGGCAGGAGGATCGCTTGAAGCCAGGAGTTCAAGACCAACATGGTGAGACCTCTGTCTCTGCCAAAAAAAAAAAAAAAGTACATATATATACACACGTATATATATATACGTGTGTATATATATACGTGTATATATATACGTGTGTATATATATACGTGTATATATATACGTGTGTATATATATACGTGTATATATATACGTGTGTATATATATACGTGTATATATATACGTGTGTATATATATACGTGTATATATATACGTGTGTATATATATACGTGTATATATATACGTGTGTATATATATACGTGTATATATATACGTGTATATATATACGTGTGTATATATGTATATATATACAAATTTTTTAAAAGCCAGGACCTGCCTGGCCCAAGCTTCCTCCCTGGGGCCTCAGTAGATGGTTCTAGACAGTGGAATTCGTGTTCTAGGCCTGGGGCTCTGACCTCAGAGGCCCTGTCAGGAGATTCAAACCAAGAAGTGAAATGCAGTGAAATTCAGACTTGTGCCTCTGTATACGCCGCGGACACGTGTGTGCAAAGGCGTGTGCATGTGCGTGTGCCTTGCTTCCTGGGTCAAAGTGGCTTCTGATCCAGAGATACTTTGAAGTTCCTTTTTTTTTTTTTTTTTTTTTTAGAGAGAGGGTCTTGCTCTGTCACCCAGGCTGGAGTGCAGTGGCGCGATCACAGCTCACTGCAGCCTCAAACTCCTAGATTCAGGCAATCCTCCTGCCTCAGCCTCGCAAGTAGCTGGGATCGAAAGCGTGCGTCACCACACCTGGCTAATTTTTAAATTTTTTCTAGAGACAGAGTCTGGCTATGTTGCCCAGGCTGGTCTTGAACTCCTGGCCTGAAGCAACCTTCTGCCTCAGCCTCCCAGGTATCTGGGACTGCAGATGTGCACCACCATCCCCAGCTAATTTTTAAATTTTTTCTAGAGATAGAGTCTGGCTATGTTGCACAGGCTAGTCCTGAACTCCTGGCCTCAAGCAGTCTTCCCACCTTGGCCTCCCAAAAAGCTGGGTTTAGGCGAGGCACGGTGGCTCACGCCTGTAATCCCAGCACTTTGGGAGGCCAAGGCAGGCAGATCACTTGAGGTCAGGAGTTTGGGGCCAGCCTGGCCAACATGGTGAAACCCTGTCTCTACTAAAAATACAAAAAATAGCCAGGCATGGTGGTGTGCGCCTGTAATCCCAGCTACTCGGGAGGCTGAGGTAGGAGAATTGCTTGAACCTGGGAGGCGGAGGTTGCAGTGAGCCAAGATCGTGCCACTGTACTCTAGCCTGGGCGACAGAGCGAGCCTCCGTCTCAAAAAAATAAAACAAAATAAAAGGTTGGGTTTATAGGCATGAGCCACTGCACCTGGCCACTTCTAAGTCTTACTGGTTCCCTGCTCTGGGCAAGGCCTGGGCACAATTTTACAGACGGGGAAAATGAGGCCCAGGATCCCACGGTGGTAGAACCGGCTTCTCACAGGCCTGCCGACTGGAAACTCCTCACAGGGTTCCCCCTGAGCCAACATCCCCCTCCCGTGATCCCAACCAGAGCTCCTTGCTGTCCTGGGCTGTGTCCCCAATGGCGGGGCTGTGTCTCCGGCTCCTGGCCTAGGTGGCTCTGAGGGCACCTCTCTGGGCCTGGTCTGGCTGGAGGGGGCCCCAGGAGAGGGTCCCACAGGCGCCCCCCACCAGTCCGCGCCTGCTCCTTCCAGATTCTGCAGGCTCTGGTGACACCTGCTGGCCACGCATCCCATCACCATAGCAACCCAGGCTGGGCCTCTCAGCCCCCAGCAAGGCTGGGATGGGTGGGTTCACCCAGGCTGGAGGGTGGGGGGTGTGGAGGCACTGGGGGCGGAGCACACCCGCCTGACCCACCATCTTCTTTCCTCATGGGAAACTCTCAGCCCCAGGAAACTCCTGTGCCCGGCTTAGGTCCCCTCCTACTCTCTCCCCTTCTCCTGTCCAACGGCTCCGAGAGCTTGGAGTTCTCACCCAGCCCCCAGTCAGTGACTCCAGCTGAGACATCACCTCCCCGCAGGCCTTCAAGGTTCCCATCTCAGACACAACGACTCCACCCCCACTGTGTGGGGCCCCAGGCCTCAGCTCAGAGGGGCCCCACCTCCCGCCACCCCCCTCCAGCTCCTCTGGGTCCCTCTGCTCAGTCCCCCTGGCCTGTGTCCACTTCACCCCAAGTCCTTCACCATGCCCTGAACGGAGCCTATCTCCCGTCACCCGGACAGTCACCTGTCACCTTGGCGCTGTCACAGCTCAGCCCCATCCCCAGCTTCTCTGTGGCCCCCACAGACTCAGCAGGCTTTCGCAGACACACAGACACCTGTCCTGCCCGCGCTGTGCCTCAGGGAGAGGCGCAGGTCCCACCAAGCTGCACTGCCAGCCCCATAAACGGCCCTGCGGTTCCCACCCGGGGGCTCTGCACCTGCGGCTCCCTCCCCAGAATGCTTTTTCCAGCTTCCTCAGTCTTGCTAACAGTGATTCAGCCAAGCCTTCCAGAACATTCCGCCGGCTGTGACCTCCCCAAACCCTGCTCTGTGTTCCTCACACTGTCATGGCCTGGGGACTGTCCCATCCCAGCCAGGCCTCCTCCGTGGTGCTGCCATGATTTCAGGATCCCCACGTGTCCAGGGCTGAGCCCAGGGCCGACCTAGGAGGTGTCTGCTGCCCTGATCCTCTTGACCCTCCCACTCCAGGCCCCAGTCCCACCCCAGGAGGGTCCTCCCCATCCCCACTCTCCCCTCCTCCCAGGGTCTGCAGGGAGCAGCTGGGCCACCACTTTGCCCAGAGGCAGTCCTGGGGCACAACCTGAGCCCACGTACCCAGCGTGGCACAGCCAGGGACGCAGTGCACAGGAGAGGGCTTAAGGGACCTCCCTGGAGACCCCCAAGTGGCTCCTCGAGTGACGGGGGCTGGTCATGGACGTTGAACCACCTGGAGGGAGGCTGTGTGGAGAGGCCGAGCTCAAGAGACAGAGCCTTGGTCCTCCTGCCTGCCCCAGGGTGGCCTGTGGTCCTGGGCTGGCCACCACCTCTCGGGGCCTCAGTCTCCCCATCTGCACTGGAGCGGGTGGGCACACTTGACCCCATGGCTTGGCAATGCCTGGCCACACTGCAGGGGCCGAGGGGGTGGCCAGCCCTGCCCCTGATGCCCACCACACCCTAGGGACGGCTCAGAGCCCAGCCGCTCCTGGGGGCCTGGTCTATGCCTGTCCCTGGCCCCACACCCCGCAGTCTGGTGGCAGCTGCTGCACCCGCACCTGGAATGTCCCTGAAATCCCCAAACCTCAGCTGACCCCATGGGGGAAAGAGGGCTGGAACCTGCCCCCCTCTCCTCCCCTCCAAGGTGCAGACCCACCCTGTCCCCACACAGAGGGCACACTGAGTGCCCTGCCCCGCCCCGCTCTGCCCAGAGAGGCCGGAACATCAGGGGAGCTTGGGCCAGTCTGGCCACGCCTTGGAAATAGTGGCCACGCATCAGCCCGGGGAGGCCCCAGGCCTGGTCAGCCTCCAGGTCCTGCCCGCCAGGCTCAGCTTCCCGGCCCTCCCGCCTCCTCTCCCCGCTCCGGTTAATCTGTCAGTTCCATCTGTCTCTGTCTTGTTTGTCTCTCTATCTCTGTCTCAGTCTGTCTCGATCTCTGTCTCTGCCTTGCTATCTCTGTCTCCATCTGCCTCTCTCTCTGTCTCTGCCTATTTGTCTGTCTCTGTCTCTCCATCTCTCTCTCTCTTTATTTTTAAAATTTTCTTTTATATAGAGACAGAGTCTTGCTGTGTTGCCCAGGCTGGTCTTCAACTCCTGGGCTCCAGTGATCCTCCAGCCTTGGGCTCCCTAAGTGCTGGGATTACAGGTGTGAACCACCGTGCCCAGCCAAGAAACATCTCTAAACCCCTCTCTTCCTCCCAGCAGTGACTGTGAAGGGCACTGGGGACAAATCCCTTTTTGAAAGGATCTTCTGGATGATGTCATGGATTTGGGCCTCTTCCTGCTGGGGGTCACTGGGTGGTACTTCTTGGCCATCCAGCCAATAGCAACAGGCCAGCATGTGATGACGTCACTGTCACCCCCACTGTCTCCTCGGGTTCCAAGGAGCAAGAGGCTTGCACCATTCCTCTCTAATCTGAGATGGATTTTGTGGGTTTGCGTGGGGGGAAGGTTTTGTTTTTTTTTTTTTTAGCAAGAATCTTCTTAAGCCATACACCCATCTCATTAGGATTAGTTTTGTTAATCTATAGATCCACTTATTCGGCCGCACGCCAGCCTCCGAGTGTCCCAAACACGAAGTCAAAGGGTGAGCAGAGCACCTCGGGCCGGCCCTCCTCCCCTGGGAGGATCCACCTCTCCCATGGGACAGGGACAGCTACGACTTTCGGCGGCTCCCTTCTAGGCACTGTTCCAAGCATCTCATGGACTGTTCTGTGTCTCCTCCCAAAGGAGGAGGGGGAAACTGAGGCCTCAGGAAAGGGGCAGCTTGCACAGAGCCATACAGCCGGGGCCTCAGATAAATGTGATTGCTCCAGATCCCTACCAGCACAAGTCAGGCAAATCTGTACATTCAATGTTAGCAAAGTTTGGTTGGTTGGTTGGTTGTTTTTTAGAGAGAGGGTCTCACTGTGTTGCCCAGGCTAGTCTTGAACTCGAGCTCAAGTGATCCTCCTGCCTCAGCCTCCAAAGTGCTGGGATTACAGGCATGAGCCACTGCTACTGGCCTGCAAAGTTTTTGTTTGTTTGGTTTGAGAGTCTTGCTTTGTCACCCAGGCTGGAGAACAGTGGCACAATCATGATTCACTGCAGCCTCCACTTCCTGGGCTCAAGCGATCCTTCTGCCTCAGCCTCCCAAGTAGCTGGGACTGCAGGCATGCACCACTACACCCGGCTAATTTATTTATTTATTTATTTTTTTTGAGACGGAGTTTTGCTCTTTTGCCCAGGCTGGAGTGCAGTGGCACAATCTCAGCTCACTGCAACCTCTGCCTTCCAGGTTCAAGCGATTCTCCTGCCTCAGCCTCCTGAGTAGCTGGGATTACAGGTGCCTGCCACCAAACCTGGCTAATTTTTGTATTACTATTAAAGATGGGGTTTCACCGTGTTGGCCAGGCTGGTCTCGAACTCCTGACCTCATGATCCACCTGCCTCCGCCTCCCAAAGTGCTGGGATTACTGGTGTGAGCCACGGTGCCGAGCCACATCCGGCTAATTTTTTAAGATTTCTGATTATTGTAGAGATGGGGTCTCACTATGTTGCCCTGGCTGGTCTTGAACTCTTCCTGGCCACAAGTGATCCTCCTGCCTCGGCTGTTTTATTCTTATTTTATAGAAAAGAATAACTTAAAAAGAAAGTGTTATTTTTTTTTTCTCACGTGAGTAAATGATCTTGTGCATCCACTCCAGAGGCCACTGGATTAGTATCAGTTTGATGTCTTGTTACCCATCCAGACTGATTTCTGAGAAGCAGGAGGAAAGAAATGAGTTCCTCAATGAGTGAAAAGAAAGAACCTCATTTTACAGATGGGGCCCTGAGTGAGGCTCAGAGAGGTTCAGGAAGCTGCCCCAGGGCACACAGCGAGGGAGCAACAGAGCCTGGGAGCCGAGGACAGGGACACCCTCCAGCCTGCAGGGCCCCATCAGCACCCAGGTTGCAGAGTGGGGACTCACGGAGGAGAAGGCGTCCCCAGGGCATAAGACGCCTCCCCCACTGCCCATCAGCGCAGATGGCCACCCGAGCTGCCAGTGAGAGAGGACGCGCTGCTTGGCTAAGCCGCTGTTGTTTGGGATTTTCTATCTCTCGAATCCTAAAGGGTAGAGTTTGCTTACCAATGCCGCCCTCACCCCTACAGTTGGGGAAACCAGAGCCTGGAGGGTGGTGCTCTAAGAGTGATCCCAGTCACACTGGCACTCCGAGTGCCACCTTCCACGCCGTCACTTTAGGAGTTTGCTGTGAGGTTAGCCTCATCAGCAAACTCGAGGCTGGCTTCCTATCCTCTTGCTCAGGGAGCAACCCTGGCACTACTGGGGAGGACTCTTGGGGATTATCTTGAGAGCACTCTCAGAGGAGCACTCCAAGGAGTACTCTTTGGGAGCATATCTGGGGAGCACTCTTGGGGGGGAACATATCTGGGGAGCAGTATCGGGAGCACCTGCAGGGAGTATTCTCGGGCATATGCTTGGGTAGCACTCTCAAGGAGCACTCAGGGCACATACTTGAACATTCTCAGGCCACATACTTGGGGAGCACCCTCAGGGAAGTACTCTAGGGAGTACTCTTGGGGAGCCTATCTGGGGAGTAGCATCAAGGAGCACTCTCGTGGGAGCACTACCTTAGTCTCCTTGCTCGCCACTGGCTTCACTGGCGTCAGAAGCAATTCCACAAGCCCAGCCCCTCCTGTCCTCCCTGATTCCCCACAGGACAGTGCCATCCCCTCGGTGGGAATGGGCTCCTATTATGGGTTTGCATTCCCATGGCGCCAAGTCGGTCCTGAGAAGATCCTCCGGGATTGCTGACCATCCACTTCCCCGCAGGGGGGCTCAAACCCAGGCTGTGAATTCGGGGAAGTGGGAAACAGAACTTTTTGGATGTCCCTAGATGGTGCCTCCCCCCCACCCCCACTACACACACACAAACACACACACACACACACACACACCACTTCCATGGCGCCAGGAGAGAGTTTGGTCCTTCAGCAAGATCACACTCTTCTCCATATGACCCCAGCCAATGAGCGGGCGAGACCTGGCCATCTCTGCCCCATGCGGGACTCTCTCATGGGCCGTGCTGGCTCCAGCATCGCAGTCTAACAGCTCCCTGCCGCATTTCGTTCCCTCTGTGCTCCTTCCCCAGTGTCACTCCTCCTTCAAACCCCAAGAACCCGTTTGCCCTCCGCAGTCCTTCTCAGCATCTGCTTCCTGAACGACCCAACCTCCGTTCTGCACTGGCCCGGTCACCCCACCGAAACTGGCAACTCCTGCTCCCACCTAACGTCATCATGGGACCTAAAAGCAGACCAGTCCCCACTGCTGTCCTCCCCGAGGCTCAGCTCTGCCCAGGAACCCGCTGCCTGCTCCCATCCCTGGTCCTTTAGGCCCATGGCATCTGCTCTCTCGGGACAGTGCTCCCCCTGCACCAGTCAGCCTGCCCTGGGCTCTCAGGAGGCAAAGCCAGCCATCCCTCAGTTTCCACTTCACCCCTTCCCAAGGCAGTGAGCTTGGGGGCAGCTCGAATCAGTGGGAGGACAAACCAAGGGGGATCTCAAACTCATCACGATGTGCTCGCACAGAAACCCCTCATCTCACGCGGTCAATTACAAACCCTGGGAAGTGGGGACAGGCGAGGCCCAAGGGGCCCTGAGAGCAGGGAGGCAGAGCCTGAGGGCAGATTCTCTGAATCCTGAAGAATAAGCAGAAGCAGCAAACTCAGCAAGGTGGGGGGGCTCCAGGCAGAGGGAACAGCTTGTGCAAAGGCCCTGGGGCAGGCCAAGGGCAGAGAACTTAAGGTATGGAAAAAAAAAAAAAAAGGCATGGAAAGGAGGCCAGCATGGCTAGGAGCAGAGAACAGAGAAGGGAGGTTGGGAGGTGAGAAGGGATGGCCCTGGGTGCTGAGACTCAGAACAGAATGGGCCAGTCCCCTTTTTTTGTTTGTTTGAGACAGAGTCTTGTTCTGTCATCCAGGTTGGAGTGCAGTGGTGCAATCTCGGCTCACTGCAACCTCCATCTCCTTGGTTCAAGTGATTCTCCCACCTCAGCCTCCCAAGTAGCTGGGATTACAGGTGCACGCCACCATGCCTAGCTAATTTTTGTGTTTTTAGTAGAGATTGAAATTCACCATGTTGGCCAGGCTGGTCTCAAACTCCTGTCCTCAAGTGATCCACCTGCCTTGGCATCCCAAAGTGCTGGGATTACAGACGTGAGCCACTGCACCTGGCCTAGGGCTGTCCCCTCTAAGAACACACAGACTTGTGGGTGATGGTCAGAGGACAGCTCAGATGAGCTCAGCTCAGGTCAGTTCCACAGGAGTCACTATACTACATTTTACAAAGGGATTGGGGGGACTCTGTGAGCACCACAAAATTCGATCTGTCCCATTCTGTGGCAGCTGTGTGGTGTGGGTGCCACAGAATGGGTGACTACTCTAAGCAAATCAAGGTGCTCTCATTCCCCTGGTCAGAGCAATTGGTTCAGTAGTAGGAATAAACAAGGAATCCCACAGCCCAGCTGGCTGGCAGCTATCCTAAACTGAGTCCTTAGAGATGTAAGCTGCTGGATCAAGCTCGACCTGAAGCCTACCCTACCACTGCACATTTTCCATCACACCAAATTCCCTGCATTGTGAAGCTGTTTCGAGCTAGGTTTTTTATTATTTGCTACCAAACACATCCTGCAACAGGTGGTGGGAGTGAGTTCCTGCAGAAACTCAATGGAGCATTAAGGCCACCTCGGAAGCCATACACAGCAGTCTCCAGAGGGCAGCAAGCTAGAGAATGACTCTGCAGTGTCAGGGAGGGTCAAGCTGTATTTTAAAAAGCAACGGAAGGCTTGGGAAATGCAGCTTTTAGATAGCAAAGGTCTGTGGTGCCCCAAGTGGCCCCCATCAGCCAGGAGTGGGTGTTTTGGAGGGAGGAGGTGGCTGGCCTGGGGAATGGGTCCAGGCCTCCCAGTTCACCAGATCTCCAGGCCACGTTATGGCGGAAGGCCATCCCTATCGCTGTGCCTGGCTGGCCTGGGCCCACAGCCTGCCTCGCCGGGGAAAGGAACCCCTGCCACGACGGAGCAACTATTCAATTCTCTCAGCGAGAGCGCTGCCAGCTTCCTCACTCACACAGCCCAGCTGGAGAACTGCCCACAAGTTAAAAAATATTTCTTTCCAGCAGACATTGCTCCGGCGGATTCAAGCCTTATCTTTCTCTTCCAGAGGAGAATTGTTCATTTCACTTCCTTAAAAAAAAAAAACAACCCCAAAACCTTAAACCACAAACTGAAAAGCAGGTGGGACCGTTTCAGGATTTGGCTGAAGTTTGTCTCAGAGCTGATAAGGGACAGTCAGTTGTTTCTGGGCAACACAGCAGCGAACGGGCAGGGAGACGGGTCCACACTGTCCGTCAATAAAACCACCCCCCAAGGCCTTGCTCTGTATAGAGAGGTTTCTGGCCACCCACAGTGGCTCACGCCTGTAATCCCAGCATTTTGGGAGGCCAAGGCGAGTGGATCGCTTGAGGTCAGGAGTTCGAGACCAACCTGGCCAACATGGTGAAACCCCGTCTCTACTAAAAATACAAAAATTGGCCGGGCGTGGTGGCTGATGCCTGTAATCCCAGCACTTTGGGAGGCTGCGGCGGGCGGATCACGAGATCACGAGTTCGAGACCAGCCTGATCTACATGATGAAACTCCGTCTCTACTAAAAATACAAAAATTAGCCAGGCATTGTGGCGTCCACCTGTAATCCGAGCTACTCAAGAGGCTGAGGCAGGAGTATCGCTTAACTCGGGAGGCAGAGGTTGCAGTGAGCCAAGATTGCGCCACTGCACTCCAGCCTGGGCAACACAGCGAGACTCCGTCCCCCAAAAAAAAAAAAATTAGCTGGGCGTGGTGGCACATGCCTATAGTCCCAGCTACTTTGGAGGCTGAGGCATGAGAATCACTTGAACCCGGAGGCAAACAATGTCTTAACAGAGCAGAAATGTCAACGCTGGCTGCTGGGTTGGCAGGGCATTTTGAAAGCAAGTGTGGGCTGGATGTGGTGGCTGACAGCTGTAATCCCAGCACTTTGGGAAGCCAAGTTGGGAGGATTGGTTGAGCCCAGGAGTTTGAGACCAGCCTGGGCAACATAGTAAGACCCCTCCACCCACAGCCCATCTCTACAAAAAATTAACTGGGCATGGTGGTATGTACCTATAGTCACAGCTACTGAGGAAGCTGAGGGTAGAGGACTGCCTGAGGCCAGGAAGTCGAGGCTGCAGTGAGACATGATCATGCCATTGCACTCCAGTCTGGATGATAGAGCAAGACACTGTCTCAAGAAAGAAAAAAACAGAAAGAGAAGAAAAGAAAACAAACGTGTGACCTACTCCAGAACTCAGGCCGGCGGTAGGATTTTACCAGACACAGGTCTGCAGAGATGGACCACAGGGCCCTGGCCTTGGCTCAGCCCCAGTACAGTAAGTAATCAATAAATAGCACAAGGGGGCCGGGCGTGGTGGTTCATGCCTGCAAGCCCAGCACTTTGGGAGGCCAAGGCGGGTGGATCACCCGAGGTCAGGAGTTTGAGATCAGCCTGACCAACATGGTGAAACTCCATCTCTATTAAAAACACAAAAAATGCTGGCTGGGCACGGTGGCTCACACCTGTAATCCCAGCACACTGGGCGGCCGAGGCAGGTGGAACACGAGGTCAGGAGATCAAGACCATCCTGGCTAACATGGTGAAACCCCGTCTCTACTAAAAATACAAAAAATTAGCCAGGCGTGGTAGCAGGCGCCTGTAGTCCCAGCTACTCAGGAGGCTGAGGCAGGAGAATGGCGTGAACCTGGGAGGCAGAGCTTGCAGTGAGCAGAGATTGTGCCACTGCACTCCAGCCTGGGCAACAGAGTGAGACTCCATCTCAAAAAAAAAAAAAAATACAAAAAATTAGCTGGGCATGGTGGTGTGCACCTGTAATCCCAGCTACTCGGGAGGATGAGGCAGGAGAATCACTTGGGCCCAGGAGGCAGAGGCTGCCGTGAGCTGAGATCACGCTGTCGTACTCCAGCCTGGGCAGCAGAGTGAGACTCTGTCTCTAAATAAATAAATAAATAAATGGCACAAGGGCATAGCAGTCACCTGATGAGTCACGCAGCCTTTTGGCCAGGCACAGTGGCTCGTGCCTGTAATCCCAACACTTTGGGAGGCTGAGGCGGAAGGCTTGCTTGAGGCCAGGAGTTCAAGACCAGCCTAGGCAACATAGTGAGACCCCATCTCTACAAAAAAAATAAGCCAAGTGTTGTGGTGCATGCCTGTAATATCACATACTTGGGAGGCTGAGGCAGGAGAATCACTTGAACCTGGGAGGTGGAGGTTGCAGTGAGCCAAGATCGCACTTCAGCCTGGGCGACAGAGTGAGTGAGACTCGGTCTCCAAAAAAACAAACAAACAAAAAGACAGTGCCTGACACATAGTGAAATAGGGCTACTATTAATTGTTAGACATTGTGAAATTTAATATAATCATGAAACACTCTGCAAATACAAAGGCCAATAGTTGAAGACACAGAGATACCATGAGTCTGTCATTACCACGCCCCTTCCTCCCCCTCCCTCAAATAATGCCTCAATTCATAACTTTGTTATTTTGTTTTTTGAGACAGGTTCTCGCTCTGTCACCCAGGCTGGAGTGCAATGGTGCGATCTCCGCTCACCGCAACCTCTGCCTTCTGGGTTCAAGTGATTCTCATGCCTCAACCTCCCGAGCAGCTGGGGTTACCGGCATGTGCCACGACACCAGCTAATTTTTGTATTTTTAGTAGAGATGGGGTTTCACCATGTTGGCCAGGCTGGTCTTGAACTCCTGACCCCAAGCGATCTGCCCACCTCGGCCTCCCAAAGCCCTGGGATTACAGCCGTGAGCCACCATGCCCAGACTCAGGCCTAATCTGATGGCAGAGGCTTGGGACGTGCACCCGGGCCTCCATCCCAAGCCCGGCCTCGCTATCTGCACATTGCCGCCCCTCTGCAGCCCCGAAACATTTGTTCCACCAGCTGCAAGGGCGTTCTCACCTCCCTTCATCCCTCACCATATTTTTTTGTTTTGTGGAAGCTGCACAGTTCTGAAGTAATCGTGCTACTGGGAAACAGGGCTGAGAGTCTCGTTTGTTCAAAGAAAATCTTTTCCTTCCACGCACAAGTGCTGTGTTTGCACCATAAATTGCCTTCTGCATTAGGTCCCCGCCAGCCTTTCTCCTGGTGTCCTGGTGCCCAACCCTCCCCGAAGGGCTCCAGTCCTGCACTCTCGGGGTGGCAGGTGGCTGCAAACACAGCCGGACCTGAGCCCAGCTCAGCAGCTCAGGGATAGGTCAGGGAATAACAAGGGCAGGAGTTCACATTTATTGAGCACCTACTATGTGCTGGGCACTGCACTGGGCACTTCCTTAATCGGCTGCATTTTCTTCCTTCCAGCCAGGCACGGTGGCTTCTACCTGTAATCCCAGCGCTTTGGCAGGCTGAGGCCAGAGGATCGCTTGAGCCCAGGAGTTCCAGACCAGCCTGGGCAACATACTCGGTTGATACAAAAGTAATTGTGATTTTTGCCATTAAAAGTAATGGCAAGAACCACCTTTACTTTTGCACCAACCTAATTACAAGACGCCATCCCTACAAATTTAAATTACCAGGTGTGGTGGTGAGTGCCTGTAGTCCAAGCTACTTGGGAGGCTGAAGTGGGAGGATTGCTTACACCCAGGAGGTCAAGGCTGCAGTGAGTTATGATCGTGCCACTACACTCTGGCCTGGGCAACAGAGCAAAACTCTGTCTCTAAAAGAAACAAAATTGGCCAGGCGCAGTGGCTCATGCCTGTAATCCCAGCACTTTGGGAGGCCAAGGCGGGCAGATCACCTGAGGTCAGGAGTTTGAGACCAGCCTGGCCAATATGGTGAAACCCTGTCTCTACTAAAAATACAAAAATTGGCCAGGCATGATGGCGGGCGCCTGTAGTCCCAGCTACTCGAGAGGCTGAGGCAGGAGAATCACTTGAGCTTGGGAGGCAGAGGTTGCAGTGAGCCGAGATCATGCCACTGCACTCCAGCCTGGGAGACAGTGCAAGACTCCGTCTCAAAAGAAAGAAAAAAAAGAAACAAAATCAGCTGGGCACAGTGGTTCACTCCTGTAATCCCAGCACTATGAGGGACTGAATCACCTGAGGTCGAGTTCGAGACTAGCCTGGCCAACACAGTGAAGCCCCGTCTACTAAAATTAGCTGGCATGGTAGCACACACCTGTAATCCTAGCTACTCAGGAGGCTGAGGCAGGAGAATGGCTTGAACCCAGGAGGTGGAGGCTGCAGTGACCCAAGATCGCACCACTGCACTCCAGCCTGGGCAACAGAGTGAGACTCTGTCTCCAAAAAAGATAAAAGAAAAGAAACAAAATCCTCACAGAACGCCGTGAGGTGGGCCCATCCATCATTATCTCATTTTACAGAGAAAAAATGAAAGTATTCACTTGCCCGAGGCCGGTACAGGAAGCCAGGCATTACCTACCCCACTGTGGGTACCCACTGGTACGTTGGGAGATGAATTCATCTCCTGTTGGCACGCATTTCCTTTTTACATAAAATTACATAAAACAGAATCAGTCACTATGTCACAAGCCATGGCAGAGGGAGGCCCCGGGCTGGGTCAGGCGTTGCAGGCAGTACCCAGCTCGCCATGGATTGTGGCCAAATGAGGTTGAGAGACGATGTTTTCACCTGCAGCTCTCAAATGCTTGCTCTCAGGAATCTCCACTCTCTTACTGGGGACCCAGCCGCAAATGACATCTTAATAACAATATGAAAATAATTTTGCCAGATGCAGTGGCTCATGCCTGTAATCCCAGCACTTTGGGAGGCCGAGGCGGATGGATCACGAGGTCAGGAGATTCAGACCACCCTGGCTAACATGGTGAAACCCTATCTCTACTAAAAATACAAAAAATTAGCCAGGTGTGGTGGCGGGCGCCTATAGTCCCAGCTACTCGGGAGGCTGAGGCAGGAGAATGGTGTGAACCCAGGAGGCGGAGCTTGCAGTGAGCCAAGATCGCGCCACTGCACTCCAGCCTGGGCGACAGAGTGAGACTTGGTCTCAAAAAAAAAAAAAAAAAAAATATATATATATATATATATATATATAATATATATACACACACACATGCATAAATGACCAGTGAGCACATGCAAAGAAGCCCAACCTTATTAACCATCAGGGAAATACAAATCAAAAGTATCATGAGATACTACCACCTCACATCTACTAAGATGCCTGTAATCAAACAGACAGAAAACAGCAAGTGTTGGCAAGCACATGAAGATATTGGAACCCTCAAATATTGCTGGTGGGAATATAAAATGGTGCAGCTGCTGAGGAGAACAGGTTGGCATTTCCTGAAAATGTTGCCGTATGACTTAGCAATTTTACTTCTAGTATATATCCAAGAGAATTGAAAACACGTCCACCTAAGAATTTGGCCATGAGGGCTGGGGCAGTGGCTCAGGCCTGTAATTCCAGCGCCTTGGGAGGTCAAGGCAGGAGGATCACTTGAGGCCAGGAGCTCCACATCAGCCTGGGCAACATAACAAGACCTCATCTCCACAAAATATTTAAAATTAGATGGGTGTGGTGGTGCATGCTTGCAGTCCCAGCTACTTGGGAGGCTGAGGCAGGAGGATTGCTTGAGCCCAGGAGGTCAAGGCTGTAGTGAACCACGATTGTGCCACGGCACTCCCTCCTGGGTGACAGGGTGAGACCCTGTGTCAAAACAGAAAAAAAAAAGTTTTGGAATGGATGGTGGTGATGATTGCACAACATAAATGTGCTTCATGCCCCTGAACTATATATATATTTATTTATTTATTTATTTATTTATTTTTTTTTTTTTTTTTTTTTTTTTTTTTTGAGACGGAGTCTCGCTCTGTCGCCCAGGCTTGAGTGCAGTAGTGCAGTCTCGGCTCACTACAACCTCTGCCTCCCAGGTTCAAGCGATTCTCCTGCCTCAGCTTCCTGAGTAGCTGGGATTACAGGCGTGCGCCACCACACCCAGCTAATTTTCATATTTTTAGTAGAGACGGGGTTTCGCCATGTTGGTCAGTCTGGTCTCGAACTACTGACCTCATGATCCACCCACCTCAGCCTCCCAACGTGCTGGGATTAAGGTGTGAGCCACCGCGCACCTGGCCTGAACTATACATTTTTAAATAACTGGCCGGGCGCGGTGACTCAGGCCTGTAATCGGAGCACTTTGGGAGGCCAAGGTGGGCGGATCACGAGGCCAGGAGTTCAAGACCAGCCTGGCCAACATGGTGAAACCCTGTATCTACTAAAAATACAAATATTAACTGGGCATGGTGGCTCATGCCTGTAATCCCAGCACTTTGGGAGGCCGAGGCAGGCGGATCACCTGAGGTCAGGAGTTCAAGACCAGCCTGGTCAACATGACAAAACCCTGTCTCTACTAAAAATACAAAAATTAGCCAGGCATGGTGGCGCACATCTGTAATCCCAGCTATTCGGGAGGCTGAGGCAGGGAGAATTGCTTGAACCCAGGAGGCAGAGGTTGCAGTGAGCCGAGATCACGCCACTGGACTCCAGCCCAGGAGACAGAGCAAGACTCCATCTCGAAAATAAAATAAAATAAAATAAGAATACAAAAATCAGCTGGGCGTTGTGGCAGGTGCCTGTGGTTCCAGCTACTTGGGAGGCTGGGGCAGAAGAATTGCTTCAACCCAGGAGACGAATGTTGCAGTGACCCGAGATGACACCACTGAACTCTAGCCTGGGCCAATGAGCAAAACTCTTATCTCAAAAAAAAAAAAAAAAAAAACACTAAGATGGTTAATTAAAAAAAAAAAAAAAAGTGGGTGGGAGCATGGAACATATATTCACATTTGTTTGGATATTAAAAAAAAAAAAACTACCAGTGGCTGGGCGTGGTGGCTCACACCTGTAATCCCAGCACTTTGGGAGGCCGAGGTGGGCAAATCACCAGAGGTTAGGAGTTTGAGACCAGCCTGGACAACACGGTGAAACCCCGTCCTACTAAAAATATAAAAATTAGCCGGTTGTGGTGGTGCGCGCCTGTAATCTCAGCTACTCGGGAGGCTGAGGCAGGAGAGTCACTTGAACCCAGGAGATGGAGGTTGCAGTGAGCCGAGACTGTGCCATTGCACTCCAGCCTGGGCGACAGAACGAAGCTCCATCTCAACAAACAATACTAATAAAATAAACAACTTTCTTACAATCAAAATAAAAGATCATATCGTATCTAGTTTCTGCAACTTCTCTCTGGGATCAATAGACTGTGAACTATTTTTTGTTTACCAGATCTATGATAGGTACGATTTTATTGATTATTTTTTTTGAGACGGTCGTGCTCTGTCGCCCAGGCTGCAGTGCAGTGGCATGATCTCAGCTTACTGCAACCTCCGCCTCCCTGGTTTGAGTGATTCTCCTGCCCCAGCCTCCCAAGTAACTGGGACTACAGGCGCACACCACCACACACAGGTAATTTTTGTATGTTTAGTCGAGACGGGGTTTCACCATGTTGGTCAGGCTCTTCTGGAACGCCTGACCTCAAGTGATCCACTCACCTCAGCCTCTCAAAGTGGACTGATTGATTGACTGATTGATTGATTGAGACAGTCTCACTCTGTTGCCCAGGCTGGAGTGCAGTGGTGCGATCATAGCTCACGGCAGCTTTGAACTCCTGGACTCAAACAGTCCTCCCACCTCACACCACTGCACTCCAGCTCGGGCAACAGAGCAAGACTGTGTCTCAAAAATAAAAATAAACAAAAATAAAATCTGGAAAAAGGGGGAGAGAGGGAGGGAGGGGAGAAATGGTGGAAAAACTACCTATTGGGTACTATGTTCGCTATTTGGGTGATGAGTTCACTGGAAGCCCAAACCCCAGATTATACAATACACCCATGTACAAAAGCTGCACAGGTACCTCCTAAATTTTTTTTTTTTTTTGGAAATGGAGTCTTAGTCTGTCGCCCAGTCTGGAGTGCAGGGGCACAATCTCAGCTCACTGCAACCTCTGCCTCCCAGGTTCAAGCGATTCTCCTGCCTCAGCCTCCCGAGTAGCTGGGATTACAGGCGCCAGCCACTATGCCCAGCTAATTTTTGTATTTTTAGTAGAGACAAGGTTTCACCATGTTGGGCAGGCTGGTCTTGAACTCCTAACCTCAGGTGATCTGCCTGCCTCGGCCTCCCAAAATGCTGGGATTATAGGCGTGAGCTACCGCACCTGGCCCTCCTGAATCTATTTTTAAAAAACAAGTCTGGTAAAAGACATCAGAGAATTTAAAAAAAAAAAAGAAAAGAAAAGAAAAAAAAAAGAGGTCACCAGAAACCCTTCCATCTGGAAGAAACGGTGTTAATTACCACACAGTGCCTTAAAGAAATGCAGGTTAAATCTCTTACAGTCTTGGAGGGTCAGAAGTCCGAGATAGGTCTCCCTGGGCTCAGGTCAAGTGCAGGCCGTGCTCCTCCTGGAGGTGCTGGGGGATGATCCCCTTTCCTGGCCTTTGCCAGCTTCTAGAATCTGCCTGCACTCCTTGGCTGGAGGGAGGACCTCACACACAGTGCGGCCTCTCCAGCACACAGAGTTGCTAGAGGTCCTCCCTCCAGCAACTGCCCGTGTTTCTCCCTCACCAGCCCTCGGCTCTTCCTCTCCTGCCTCCACGGCCCTGGTGATTGGACTGGGCCACCAGGATAATCCCAGAGCCTCTCCACATCTCAAGGTCCGCTGATCCGCAACTTCCGTTCCCCTCTGCCACAGAACCCGCAATCATGGGATCTGGGGACTGGGGCATGGACATCTCTGGGGCTCATTATTCTGCCTCCACAGCCGGTCACAGCACCGCCGTGCCACGACCCAGCCAAGGCCTGGGCAGGAGGCAGGAGGGAGGCAGGAGCCCGGGACTCCTGGGGGTGACAAAGTTTGCAGCTATCACCCTGATCCTCAATCCCGGAGGCAGCCAGCTGGAGGTCGCCCCATCTCGGGACACAAAAGCAAACTCAGTGGGCTTGTGGGGAACGAATGCGCAACAGAATTTACATCAATTTAAATGTACAGGCAGTGGCTCACTCCTGTAATCCCAGCACTTTGGGAGGCCGAGGCAGGCGGATCACCTGACGTCAGGAGTTCAAGACCAGCCTGGCCATCACGGCGAAACCCTGTCTCGATTAAAAATTTAAAAATTGGCCGGGCACAGTGGCTCACGCCTGTAATCCCAGCACTTTGGGAGGCGAAGGCGGGCGGATCACGAGTTCAGGAGATCGAGACCATCCTGGCTTACACAGTGAAACCCCGTCTCTACTAAAAATACAAAAAATTAGCCAGGCGCGGTGGCGAGCGCCTGTAGTCCCAGCTGCTCGGGAGGCTGAGGCAGAAGAATGGCCTGAACCTGGGAGGCGGAGCTTGCAGTGAGCCGAGATTGCGCCACTGCACTCCAGCCTGGGTGACAGAGCGAGACTCCGTCTTAAAAAATAATAATAATAAATAATAAATAATAAATAAAAATAAAAAATTAGCTGGGTGTGGTGGTGGGCACCTATAATCCCAGTGACTCGGGAGGCTGAGGCAGGAGAATCACTTGAACCTGGGAGGCGGAGGTTGCAGTGAGCCGAGATCACACCACCGCACCCCAGCCTGGGAGGCAGAGTGAGACTCCGTCTCCAAAAAAAAAAAAAGAAATCAGGGAACTTTGCAAATAAAAATACCCTTTTGGGCAGCAGCTGAGAGCTGTCCTTCCCGTTTCGAGGGCCAGATCACGCCAGGGAAAGACACTAAGGCCACACCTGATACACAGCTCCGCCTCTGGGGTCCTCAAAGTTCCTCCCCGTCAAAAAATATTAATCCTCCGCTCCAGCCGTTTCACTAAGGAGAGTCTCTTCTAAAGAAACAATCCTAAAGATAGAGAAACAGCAGCCTAAGGAGATGGGAGCTGCTTTCCTTAGGAGACTGACTCATTGGAGACAACCTAATTGTCTGACAGCAGAAAGAGCTTGTGACAGCAAAGCCCTGTCATTAAAATGATGGAGGAACCCAAGAGGCTGCACTGCGTGTGTGAGCAGAAAAGCAGGACCCGAAATCCAATGATTGCAGCCTCGAACTTTTTTTTTTTTTTTTTGGAGATGGAATCTCGCTCTGTCGCCCAGGCTGGAGTGCAGTGGCACGATCTCGGCTCACTGCAAGCTCTGCCTCCCGGGTTCAAGCAATTCTCCTGCCTCAGTCTCCCGAGTAGCTGGGACTACAGGCGCCCGCCACCACACCCAGCTAATTTTTCTGTATTTTTAGTAGAGACGGGGTTTCACCGTGTTAGCCAGGATGGTCTCGATCTCCTGACCTCGTGATCCGCCCGCCTCGGCCTCCCAAAGTGCTGGGATTACAGGCATGACCCACTGCGCCGAGCCCTGTTTTTGTATTTTTAGTAGAAACGGGATTTCACTGTGTCAGCCAGGATGGCCTCGATCTCCTGACCTCATGATCTGCCCGCCTTGGCCTCCCAAAGTGCTGGGATTACAGGCGTGAGCCACCACGCCCAGCCACCTCAGACATTTTTTAAGAGCCTAGAACAAAGGCTGGAAAGACGTTAACTGAAATATTAACGGATGCACTGCCAGGCGGGTGAGAACGTGGGTGTGAACTATCTTTTCCCTCTGTTCTACTTTTCGGAAATTTTCACATTTTCTAGAAAAGGAACATAATAGAACTAAGTTTACCTCTTTTTATATTTATTTAGTTAGTTATTGAGACAGCGTCTTACTCTGTTGCCCAGGCTGGAGTGCAGTGGTGATCTTGGCTCTCTGCAGACAACAACTCCTGGGCTCAAACGATCCTCCCACCTCAGCCTCTCAAGTAGCTGAGACTACAGACGCGCACCACCACGACGGGCTAACTTTTTAGTTTTTGTAGAGACAAGGATCTCACTATGTTGCCCAGGCTGATCTCAAATTCCTGGCCTCAAGTGATCCTCCCATCTCAGCCTCCCAAAGTACTGGGATTACAGGCATGAGCCAACATGCCAGGGCCTAAGTTCACCTCTAATCAAACTGGCTGTGTTCACTACTAGGTGTATAAAATTAATCCAGTCCCTTTGTTTTGGTGTGTGAATGTGTGTGTGAATTGAGAGTGTGTGGTGTGCGGGTGTGATGAGACATAGGAGACTGTGCGTGAGCAGTGGGGGTTGTGTGTGTGTCTGCATCTGTGTGGACATGTCTGAGTGACTATGTATGAAGAATGTGTGTAAGAATGAGTTATGAGTGGACTCTGTGGCTCACGCCTGTAATCCCAGCACTTTGGGAGGCCGAAGTGGGTGGATCACCTGAGGTCAGGAGTTCGAGACCAGACTGGCCAACATGGTGAAACCCCGTTTCTACTAAAAATACAAAAATCAGCCAGGCATGGTGGCGTGCACCTGTAATCCCAGCTACTCGGGAGGCTGAGGCAGAAGAATCGCTTGAACTCCGGAGGTGGAGGTTGCAGTGAGCTGAGATCGTGCCACTGCACTCCAGCCTGGGTAACAGGGCAAGACTGTCTCAAAAAAAATTTTTTTAAAAGAATGTGAGTTATGTGAGCATGTGTGTGCTACATGAGTGAACACGGGCATGTGTGTGTAAATGAGCACATCTGTACTTGTGCACGTGAGTGTGAATGTGTGAGCTATCAGTGTGTGGGTGTGTGTGGGGGGGGTGTACGTGCAAATCCACACAGGTGCTGCGTGGAGATGAGAACGTGTGTGGTGTGGGTGTGAGTGTGAGCGTGCAAGGGTGTGCATATAGGAAGCTCCGTGTGTGGATGTGAGCGTGGGAGCGTGCCGTGGAAAGCATGGGGTGTCCGTGTAAGTAGAGTGCGTGTGGGGTGAGCAGAGGTGTGTCTGTGTGGCTGGGGTGGAGGTGTGGACTCAGGCGGTGTTTGTGGACATGTGGAAGTGTGAGCACTGCTGGAACTGTGTGTGTGTGATATGGGTGTGACACGGGAGAGGGTTTATGAGCCTGAGTGTGAGTGTGCAGGTGTGTGTGCGAGGGCATGTGTGTGGGTGTGGTGTGTGTGAATGCGGAGTGTGCGAGTAAACGTCCGTGTGTGAATGTCAGAGTGTGGGATGTGGCATGTGATTGTCAGAGTGTCTGAAGTGTACGGGTATGAACGGGCGTGGGCGTGGGGCCGTTGGACGAGTGAGTGCACATGCGTGTGCGTGTGCCAGTCTGCGGGCGTGGGTGAGGGACTGATGGAGCGTGTGCCTTCCCAGCAGGGGCTAGAGATCAGCCTCGGGCAGTGACGCTGGGGCACCTCCCCTGCCAGCCATCATCTTCCCCAGGCTCTGCAAGGCTCAGCTGCATGCTGGCCGAGGGGGCCTGGCACACAGAGGCCGATCCCCAGAGGGACAGCAGGGGTCTGGCATCATGGCAGGGGACACAGCGCCACCCTCAGGGGCCCCGTGACCAAGGCGTGCCCCTCCCTACCCCTCACACATCCACCCCTCCACCCTGCCCCCAAGGCGGGTACCCAGCGCAGGCCCGGGCAGCTGCCCCAGCTCCTGGACCCTCCACATCAGAGTTCCCAAGACACCCGTGCCCGCGGGAGCCTGAGCTGCCACGAAACCCGAGAGCCAGGAACTCTGGGAAACCCGCAGTTCTGAGCTGCCCAGAGAAACCGCAGGAAGGGCCTGGCCAGCAAGTCACCATTCCCGGCTCCTGAGTGTCACCACGGCCAGCCTTCCACAGGGCAGGCAGACACAAGACACAACACACAAAAGGAAGGGGAGACCCCCAGGCCCCTTCCGCAGAGGCTTCTCCGACCCCCGGCCCAGAGGCTGCCCCCTCCCCTTCCCGGGGGGGAGATGTCCCCTTCCCGGGGGGGAGATGTCCACTTCCTGAGCTTGGAACACAGCAGAGTGGCCCCCGGCACCTGTGAAGGGACACAGGTGACATCCTTTGCTCTCCCAGCGCGGCCGGCTGGGAGCTCTCCTCCTTCACCCAAGGCCTGGAGATGGCGGTGGCTGAGAAAGGCTGGCCGGGTTCCCAGGCTGCTCCAGCCACGCAGAGGCGTCCCTGTGTCCTTGCCAATGGTATCTGAGTAGGGACTCCCCTCCCTCATCCGTGCAGAGCAGAGGCCCAGCGTGCAGCATCTCACCCGGGCTCTGTGACTGTGCGACACGCTAACCACCACTAGCTGCGTGGCCTTAAGCAGGCAGCTGACCCCCGGGCGCCCCGACTTCATCTGCAAAGCAAGGGTCACGGCAAACCATGGCTCCGAAGCTAGGATTCCGTCACGCCATCTCCACTATCCTGCAAGTTCAACGCCCGCAATAAATCAGCCGCTGTGCAGGGCTCCTGGGGGCAGCCAAAGCCTCTCGAGCTGGCTCTTCCGCCCTCCTCCAGCCACGACTCCCGAGGCTTCCAGTGCAAACCCTCGGAACACACGGGCCGGGGCTTTTTCGCTCTGTCGCCCAGGCTGGAGTGCAGTGGCGCGATCTCGGCTCACTACAACCTCCGCCTCCCGGGTTCACGCCATTCTCCTGCCTCAGCCTCCCAAGTAGCTGGGACTACAGGCGCCCGCCACCACACCCAGTTAATTTTTTGTATTTTTAGTAGAGACGGGGCTTCACCATGTTAGCCAGGATGGTCTCAATCTCCTGACCTCGTGATCCGCCTGCCTCGGCCTCCCAAAGTGCTGGGACTACAGGAGCCCGCCATCACGCCCGGCTAATTTTTTGTATTTTTAGTAGAGACGGGGCTTCACCGTGTTAGCCAGGATGGTCTCGATCTCCTGACCTCATGATCTGCCCTCCTCGGCCTCCCAAAGTGCTTTTCATTTTTACTTTAAAGGCTCGCCACATGGACAAAGGCCAGGCGGCTTCACACACTCAGTCGACTCCAGGTACAGACCCCTGACCTTTTCAGGGCTCTTCGCATGTTCTGGCCTCCCTGGCGTAGTGCCCCCCACAAAACAGGGGCATCATGGCCAGGCGCGGTGGCTCACGCCTGTAATCCCAGCATTTTGGGAGGCTGAGGCGGGAGGATTTCTTGAGCCCAGGAGTTTGAGACCAGCCTGGGCAACACAGTAAGACCCTGTGTGGTGTGGTGGGGCGCACCTACAGTCCCACCTCCTCGGGAGGCTGGGGCAGGAAGATCACTCAAGCCCAGGAGGTCGAGGCTGCAGTGAAGCAGGATGACGCCACTGCACTCCAGCCTGGGTGACAGAGCAAGACCCTATCTCAAAACAAAAATGAAGCAGGAGCATCAGCTCAGGAGGTGTGTGGGAAAACACAAGTTCCCCCAGACCTGGGCTGAAGCCGCTGCCCCCACTACACCCCCAGCACGCCCCTCAGCAAGGCCAAGGCCAACACCAACAGGCCCAGTGCACTAAGACGCACTTTCTAAAAATGGCCACAACATGACCTCCCACCCCAAGAGGTCTTCTGCAATGACAGCTCATCACTCATCCTGGCAAGTGGGGGGTCTGTGCCCCGTCTCTTGACTGTGGCAGCTTCTGGGACTGCCTTGGTCAACAGGGTGTGGAAGTGATGCCATGTGACAGCCAAAGCCAGGGCCCGTCCTTCTGGTTTTCTGGAGACGCTTGCTCTTGGGACCCAGCTGCCACGCTGTGAGGAAGCCCAACTAGCCTATGTAGAGAGACCACATGGAGAGGCCACTTAGACCACATGGAGAGACCACATGGAGGGGCCACATGGAGAGGCCACGTGACAAGGCCACATGGAGAGGTCTCATGGAGAGGCCACACGAGGCCACATGGAGGTGTTCTGGCCACAGGCCCCACTGAGGTCCAGGTCAACACCAGCATTGACCACCAGACCTGCGAGTGAAGATGCTTCCAGGAGACTTCAGTCCCCAACTGCTGAGTCACTGTGGTGGAGGCTCCAGACACCATGGAACAGATAACTCGTAGTGCCATCCCCTGTGCAAATACCTGCCCTGGAGAAGCCGTGAGCACCCCACAGTGGCCGTTCTGGACCCTGAACTTGGGAGTGCCTTGTTATGTACAAGACAGAATGTTTCTGGCTATTGCTCAGCCTTGGCGCTCCTCTCCCCCGCTTGCCTGTCACTGTAATGACAGTCTCACATGTTCCTCTGAAGGAAGGGCTCCTGGGCTTCCTCGCTGCACACATTCCCATCCTCTCTCCCCTGCTGCAGCCATTGGCGTCGGCAGCACAGAGTATCAGCCCCCACCCACTGCCCAATTCCCCAGCACCGACCGCTGATTTCCCTCCAGCCAGACACAAGACATCACCAGGGGACGGTGTGTACATGTCAAGCTGCAGGCAACGGCTCAGACAATGTTGGGCAGGATGGGAGGCTCCTGGCCCTATGTCGCCATTTCTGCCAGAGAAACACCATCACCTCAAGAACCAAGCCAGAAGGAGGCATTGCTGAGTCCCTGGCTCATGTGAGGGGCCCCACCCTGGCCGCTCCGTTCTGCAGCAGCCCTGGAGCCCACCCTCTGCCGGCAGCCCTGTCCCCATCCGGATCCTGGTGCCTCCTCCCACCTCCTGCCACATTTGGGCCGAGCCTCTTCCCAGAGCCCAGGACAGGTAAAGGAGGTCTCTGCCCCAAACTGACACTGCAAATACACCAGCCTCAAGAGCACAAGTGCCGGGTGCGGTGGTTCATGCCTGTAATCCCAACACTTTGGGAGGCCAAGGTGGGTGGATCACCTGAGGTCAGGAGTTCGAGACCAGCCTGGCCAACATGGTGAAACCCCGTCTCTACTAAAAATACAAAAAACAGCTGGGCATGGTGGCACATGCCTCTTACCCAGCTACTCAGGAGGCTGAGGCAGGAGAATTGCTTGAACTCGGGAGGCAGAGGTTGCAGTGAGCCGAGATTGTGCCACTGCACTCCAGCCTGGGCGACAGAATGGGACTCCATCTCAAAAAAAAAAAAAAAAAAAGCACATGCACTGCAGATTTCACTCTTTTTTTAGGTGGAGTCTCACTCTGTTGCCCAGGCTGCTGGAGGGTAATAGTGCGGCCTTGGCTCACTGCAGCCCCCACCTCCCAGGTTCAAGTGATTCTCCTCCCTCAGCCTCCTAAGTAGCTGGGACTACAGGCGTGCGCCACACCATGCCCGGCTAATTTTTGTACTTTTTGTAGAGATGGGGTTTCACCATGTTGGTCAGGCTGGTCTCAAACTCCTGACCTCAGGTGATCCACCAGCCTTGGCCTCTCCAACTGCTGGGATTACAGGCGTGAGCCATTGTGCCTGGCCCAGATTCCACTTCTATGGGGCACCCAGAGGAGTCAAACTCATAGGGACAGGAAGTAGAATGGTGGGTGCCTGGGGCTGAGGGAGGGGGCTGGGGAGTGAATGTTTAATGGGGACAGAGTTTCAGTTGGGAAAGATGAGAAAGTTCTAGAAGCGGATGGTGATGATGGCTGCACAACACTGTGATGTGCTTAATGCCACCGAACTGTGCAGTTCGTTTTTTTTTTTTTTCTGAGACAGGGTCTCGCTCTGTCACCCAGGCTGGAGTGCAGTGGTGCAATCACGGCTCACTGCAACAGTGACCTCCCAGGCTCAAGCGATCCTTCTGCCTCAGCCTCCCCCTAAGTAGCTGGGACCACAGACAGGTGTGTGCCGCCATGCCCGGCTAATATTTGTACTTTTTGTAGAGACAAGGTCTGACTACGTTGCCCAGGCTGCTCTCAAACTCCTGGGCACAAGTGTTGTTTCTGCCTCGATCTCCCAAAGTGCTGGGATTACAAGCATGAGCCACCGCCCCCAGCTTGAACTATGCACTTTATTTTACTTTTTTTTCTTCAAAAAAATCCTCCGCTGGCAAATTATGCACTTTATTTTTTATTTATTTATTTATTTATTTATTTATTTATTTATTTGAGACAGAGTCTCGCTCTGTCACCCAGGCTGGAGTGCAGTGGCGCGATCTCGGCTCACTGCAAGCTCCGCCTCCCGGGTTCAGGCCATTCTCCTGCCTCAGCCTCCCGAGCAGCTGGGACTACAGGCGCCCGCCACCACGCCCAGCTAATATTTTTGTATTTTCAGTAGAGACGGGGTTTCACCGTGTTCGCCAGGGTGGTCTTGATCTCCTGACCTCGTGATCCGCCCGCCTCGGCCTCCCAAAGTGCTGGGATGACAGGCGTGAGCCACCGCGCCTGGCCAAATTATGCACTTTAAAATGGTTAAGATGGTCCAGGCCTGGTGGCTCACGCCTGTCATCCCAGCACTTTGGGAGGCCGAGGCGGGTGGATCACTTGAGGTCAGGAGTTCGAGACCAGCCTGGTCAACATGGCGAAACCCCGTCTCTACTGAAAATATTTTAAAAATTAGCTGGGCGTGGTGGTGGGTGCCTGTAATCCCAGCTACTCCGGAGGCTGAGGCAGGAGAATCGCTTGAACCCAGGAGGCGGAGGTAGCAGTGAGCTGAGATCACACTACTGCCCTCCAGCCTGGGCGACAGAGCAAGATTCTATCTCAAAAAATAATAATAAAATAAAATGAACAATGCTGAGGCTGTTTCCACAGCCCTGAGGGAAAGCCTAAGCTGACTCGGCCCTGCCTGCCTTCAGCCAGCCACCACTTTTGCTGTCTGAGCTGCCACCAGACCACAGGGAGGCTTTTGCAGTGTGTAGCCTGCACAACCGTGCCAGTGTACCTGCACTGCTCCCTGCCAGGCCCATCCTGACCTACGCAGCCTCCTCTTTCACCTTTGGCCTCCCCAGCCCAAGGCTGTCTCAGCTGTCACCTCCTGATGCCCCCTGGGGAGTGTCTGCCCCCCGCTTTGGGTCTTGTGTCTCCATCCACACACCTCTGTTTCAGACAACCCGCCTCCCCAAGCACGGCACCCGCCCCCAACCATCGGAAGTGAACAAAGCTACCAGCCTCGGACCCAAGGAAGGGGTTGTAGGCAAGAGGTCAAAGTATCCGTGCTGGAAGGACCACACAGCCGCCTGGCTTTCTAAATCAAGTCCATTTTATTTGAAATTTTCCACATGCCACACATGTACATGAAAATTCCCATCCAGAATGTAGTTTGCTACAGTGAACACCAATGTCAGGAGCAGGCATCACCGTGAGACGCCACGGGGGCAGGTCAGCGGGACGGGGACAGGGAGGTTGGTCATCGAAAGGCAGGTGATGCATGTCGTGTCATTTAGCACCTGGTCATGAGATACGGCGAGACCCCCAGGTCCAGGGAAAGGTCTCCCCTTAAAACCACGTGGAGCTCTGCTGTCTCTGGGCAGTCTCACGTGGACAGACAATGCTCAGAAGGTGGCGAAGGGGCTGGAGGGAGATACCACCGACGGCTGCAGGGGAGGGGCACGCACACACACAGGCACGCACATGCTTGCCCATGAACACCCCCCGGGCACACACACACCCTTGCACACTCCCCACCCTCCCTCCACCCCAGACACATCAGCACAGCGGTCCAGGCTCTGGCTCACTCCCCGGGAGGCTTCTGTGGCCAGGGTTCCCATGGCGGGTCTGGTGGCAACAGCTTGGAGAAAAGCCTCCCGGGACCAACCCTCATTCCCAGGTCCACTGATCTGGGGTAGGAGTAGCCAAGTGTTCTGACAGGCGGTTTTCCCGTAAACCGACCCCTTCAGCGTTTCTGCTTTTTGTTGTTTGTTTTCTGAGACAGGGTATTGCTCCGTGGCCCAGAGTGGAGGGCAATGGTGCGATCTTGGCTCACTGCAACATCCAACTCCTGGGCTCAAGCAATCCTCCTGCCTCAGCCTCCTGAGTAGCTGGGACCACAGGCACATGTACAATGCCCAGCTAACTTTTTTTTTTATTTTATGTAGCGATACAGTCTCACTATGTTGCCCAGGCTGGTCTCGAACTCCTGGGCTCAAGCGATCCTCCTGCCCCAGCCTCCCAAAGTGCTGGGATGACAGGCGTGAACCACCACGCCCGGCCCCTCCCATGTTTCTCAAAGGAGCTTTAGAGAGCAGAGGAGCCCGAGTCACTGCCACCACTGGGTTCCTCAGTGTCTGTGGGGTTTGTGTTCATCATGCCCAGTAGATCTAGAAACTTCTTTTGTTTTTTTTTTTTTTGAGACGGAGTCTCACTCTGTCGCCCAGGCTGGAATGCAGTGGTGCGATCTCAGCTCACTGCAAGCTCCGCCTCCCAGGTTCATGCCATTCTCCTGCCTCAGCCTCCTGAGTGGCTGGGACCACAGGCGCCCGCCACCACACCCGACTACTTTTTTGTATTTTTAGTAGAGACGGGGTTTCACTGTGTTAGCCAGGACGGTCTCGATCTCCTGACCTCATGATCCGCCTGCCTCAGCCTCCTAAAGTGCTGGGATTACAGGCGTGAGCCACTGCGCCCGGCCAGATCTAGAAACTTCTAACTTGAATCCCACACCCCCAAGTGCAAATGAGACCCATGACCATCACAAAGACCCCCCAGCGTCGTGGTCAAGGCTACCAGGAACTGGCAGCAGCGCTCTGCCCACGTCCACAGGAAGTGGCCGACGTCTCCTCTGCCTTTGGTTTAGTGGCCCCACACTTCATCACCTCACTTTGTCCATGAATTTCACACGTTTTCTTACAAGAGCTCTGTAATGCGCCAGGCACGGTGGCTCACACCTGTTATCCTAGCACTTTGGGAGGCCGAGGCAGGAGAATCACTTGAGGTCAGGAGTTCAAGGCCAGCCTGACCAACATGGTGCAACCCCATCTCTGCAAAAATACAAAAATTAGCCGGTCATGATGGCAGGTGCCTGTAATCCCAGCTACTCAGGAGGCTGATGTGGGAGAATCGCTTGAACCTGTGAGGTGGAGGTTGTAGTGAGTGAGCTGAGATCGTGCCACTGCACTCCAGCCTGGGGGACAAAGCAAGACTCCCTCTCAAAAAAAAAAAAAAGGCTCTGTAATTTTCAGATCCTAAAAGGAGCAGATAACAGGGGAAGAGGAGGTGGGAGGCTGCCACAGCGCTGCCTGCTGGGGGATCAAGGTCCCCGCATCCAGGCCTCCAGCACCCTCCATCCCTGCAGGAGCACTGCTGGCACCGCCAAGGCCGGAGCACTGGTCTGGAGCTTCATTGGCCGGCAGGGGCCCAGCCCTCAGCTGTTGGAGCCCTACGGCTCTAGGTCTGGCCCCTCCACAAGCCCTCCAGGCCCACGCCTGAGCCCAGCCCCGGTCCCCTGGGTCCAACGGCCTGTGGCTCTGGGTCCGGACCCAGGGTGTGGTTGAGGGAGGGCGCTGCTGAGCTGGCAGGCAACCCTTGTGTGTTTGCAGCGCAAGAGGAGCTCAGCCCGTCCTGGCTGCCGTCCTGGGTCGAAGCAGCAAGTGTCTTCCCGCCCTGTGCACAGACAGGTCCCAGGAGGGCCTCTTGGAGAAGAAACCGCTCAGGCCCATGTCCTGGCAGGGCCTCTGGGGGCAGCAGATGGCAAGGATAGAGCCCGCCCCCTCTGCTGCAGAAGGAAGCGGCCCTCACCCAGCCCCCCTGGGCTGGACGGGCCGTTGAAAACAAGAAAAGCCTTCCATAGCAGAAAGGAGTACTCAAGGCCCAGAAAGGCAGCTTTGCTCTGGGTCATCAGGCTCAAGTGCCTGCTCTGGGCCACCTTCGGAAGCCTGGTGGAGCCGAGTGTTGCCTGGTGACGTGGAGCAGGAGGCGGGGCGGAGGCTGCGGGACACGGGGCTGCAGGGCCGGGAAGGGGGTCAGGAGAATAAATAGCAGCTAGGTGTGGGGTGAGCTGGGAGCACAGGCAGGAGGGGGCAGCCAGAGAGGTTGGGGCTCTCCCTTTTAAAGAACAAAGGGATACATACCCTTTCCCCTCCTCCCTCCCTCCAACCCCACAGTCTCTCCCTCACATACACACACGGAAGACGTGACTCACACACACATGCACACACAGGGCACAGGTACACGAAGGCACACGTGCACACACAGGGCACAGGTACACGCAGGCACATGTACACACAGGCACACGTGCACGCAGGCACACGCATGCAGGCACATGTGCACACACAGGGCACAGGTACCCGCAGGCACACGTGCACGCAGGCACACGCACGCAGGCACGGGGACAAGTGCTGACCACGCTCCTCCAGCAGGCAGCATATGGTCTGCTGCTTAACAGCCGAGCTCTGCCAATTGGGGACCATTAGGGTGGGTTCTTTTCCCAGCATCAAATGCTGCAGAATATAAATTGCAACTAACGCTGGTGCCAAAATAGCACTTAGAGAAAATAAGCACGTTATTAACATCTGGTGAAGCCCATCTCGGGGGTAGCAGCAGCGGAAATTCTTGCTCTAAGTCAGAGGATGGTTGCAGGGGACACTAAAAATACAAGGTCCACTGTTTCAGGGGTGCTTTCCAAGGCACTGCACCCCAGCCTCAGGAACAGCCCTTCCCCCAGTCCTGTCTATGAGTATAAATTATGCTGCTGGTTAAAACCGCTTGCTCATGAGAACAGGACACCCAGGCGCGATCGTACACACGCTAGGATGCATTCCTGGAGCAGACGCAATTCTCTAGCCCGAGTGGGGAATGTTCTGGAGGAAGGAGTGGGGCGGAGCTGCGGTGCCCAGAGACACAGGCCCCCTGAGGGTCCGGGAACCTCCCAGGCCACTCGCCCCTGCCTGGTCGGAGAGCAAGAAGTGGTCAGTCCCAGGAGGCACCACACCACCCGATCTGATCGCCGCGCCTGGTGGTCTCCAGGTGCCATTTTAAAGCTCTAAAGAAATGCCCAGGAACTGTGGGTGGGGGGGGTGCTCCCACCACCTCTGAGACCCTCATCTACAGCCCCTGCCCCCTGGGGCCGTGGGCAGCTGGTCCTGCGGCCTGCAGACTAGGAGACGGGGCCTAGGGGTGTGGCTCTCACAGGCCATGACAGGAGGGCCAGGAGGCCTCTGGGAGGCGAAGGCTTGGTCTGGTGTGGGTCCCACCATCGGGCACTGCTGGAATCAGCCTGCAGAAGGGTCCCTCTGGCCAGGAGGCAAAGGTTCTGCACTGGGTGCAGCCTGGGGCTGGGAGAGGACCCGTGGGCTTCAGAGAGGAGGCGATGACCCCATACATACAAGAAAGTCAGGGTGAAGTGGGAGGAGACCTCAAACCCCAGATCCACCTGTGCCAGTGAGCAGAGGCGCCAGGGTGGGGTCAAGACTGCCAGGTGGAGAGCTGGGAGGCAGCCTGCACAGGAGGGCTGTACCTCCCCACAGCTCTGACCCCAGTTCTCCAAAGGCCTCCTGGACAAGGAGCTTGGCCCCCAGAGCAAGGAGCTGCTGAAAACCATCCCCACTCAGGGGCAGGGCCGGTGATTGGAGGCCTGGGGATGGTGTACCCCATTTTTTAACAGCAAAGCAAATGTGAGACACCACCCCACAGGACGGGGCATCTGTCACACGGAAACCCAGGAGGAGGAAGGCGGGCTGGACAAGGGGCCCTTCACCAAGAGCGGCCAGGGCGGCGGTCCAGGCTAGCAGGGCCCAACTACAGCCCCCTTTGGAAGCCACTGGCCCAGGGACAGCTCTAGGAGCGCCTGGAGGTGGAGGACGGCAGAAGCGGCCACCGTGGCACATGGGGTGAGGACTCAGATGCCAGGAGGATGTCCTCATTTTTGGAATAACTTTGTTTTTTTCTCTTTCTTTTTCAGAGATGGGGTATCCCTGTGTTGCCCAGGCTGATCTCAAACTCCTGGGCTCAAGTGATCCTCCCAAAGTGTGTTGAATATATATATATATATATATATTTTTTTTTTTTTTTTTTTTTTTTTTTTTTTTTGAGGCGGAGTCTCACCCTGTTGTCCAGGCTGGAGTGCAATGGTGTGATCTCGGCTCACTGCAACCTCCGCCTCCCAGGTTCAAACGATTCTCCTGCCTCAGCCTCCTGAGTAGCTAGGATTACAGGCGCCCGCCACCACGCCCAGCTAATTTTTGTATTTTTAGTAGAGATGGGGTTTCACCATGTTGGCCAGGCTGGTCTTGAACTCCTGACCTCGTGATCCACCCACCTCAGCCTCCCAAAGTGCCGGGATTACAGGCGTGAGCCATCGCGCCCAGCTGAGTATTTTTAAAGTCTTAAATGAAGTCATTTGAAATGGGGTCATGTGATTGCTACTCCAGCCTTAAGAATCCTTTCTGGGTTTTAATGTTTCGCGTTATTCTAACAAAGCCGAATGTGTATCGATTTCCCCAGGAACGCGCATGGACCTTCCCAGGGAAGCTGAAGGCCGTGGGGTGGGTGGGAGGGGGAGGAGGCCTCTCTCGTTAGAAACGGGCCCTGCTGGTTGGGCTGAAAAGTCACAGGAGAGGCTCCAACCAGCAGTCCCAACCTCAGGGGACCTCTCTGGGGCCACAGGCATCATCTGGCTAGAAAAGCCCCAGAGACATGAGTGGGCTCAAGTGTGTCCTAATGGGATGGAGAGTCCCAAGTCTGCAGCCACTAAACTGGCAGGCCCTTCCCCATGTCACACTTGACCATGCAAGGGGACACTCAGATACACGGTGACCAGCCCGGCCGACTGGACTTCAGGGGGACAGCATGTGGCCGCCCATCCACGGGGCCCCGGTGGCAGGTGACCACAAACACAACAGCCAAGGGACACGCTTCCCGGTCGGAAGTGGCAGGGGGTTCGGGCCCTCCAGGCCCGTGGACAGGGCCCCCAGGGATTGCGGCTCAGTATACAAACCCCCCAGCCAGGCCCCAAGGGTCAGCCTGGTTCAGCCAGCCCCCCACATCGACCGTCCCCCGAGCCCCCTCATGTCACCCAGAACGCATCCCCTCGACCTAAACTTCACAGAGCAACAGTCCCCATGAGAGAGCCGTGGAGACGCCGGGAGCCCCAGGAGCCAGGTGGGGCGTGGCTGGCCGGGAGAGAGGCCCCCTTCCTCTTGTGACAAACCAAGGGTCCCTGGCGTCCCAGGCTCCTGCAGCTTCTCGAGGTGACTGAGACCGATGGGCGGCGGCTCCGCCTCTCACCACCACAGGTTCGGCGGTTCCTCGGCCACTCTGCTCTTAAATAAGGTGATCTCATCCAGGTGCACCAGGGGGACGTCCCGGATGACGTCGGTCAGGCCCTCGTGGAGCAGAGGGAAGATGACGACGTTTAACGCGGGCCGCTCGGCCTGGAAGCTGAACCAGAGACAGGCGGTCAGCGGATTACATGGGTGGCCACGGAGGGGGCGGAGCCTGCTGGGGAAGCCCAGGAGGCACTCACACCTGCCTCCCCGTCCCGGGCTCACCTGGGGCTCCCAGACAGACCATGCCTGCCAGAGTCACCCTCTAAGTGCCTCAAGGGCCCTGTACGTGGCAGACAGAGCTGGGGAGGAGCACGGCAGCCGGGAACAGGCCACACGCTTCTCTCCAGGCTCAGGGGGCACCCGCTCCATGCCAGCCACGAGGATCAGAGGCCCCGGAGGCCAACCCTGCTCTGCAGACGTGCTGCTGGGCCCCAGGGCAGCAGAGGGACCCCACTGCAGGAGTGGCAGATCCGAGGCCCCTGGCCCACGGAAGCCCCACGGCCAGGACAGAGAGAAGGGACAGGTGCCCACACCCCACAGCCGCAGGTGGGCCACCTCAAGGGGGTGCGACTGCCAAGTCAGTGAGGCAGCAGCAGTCGCTGGGAGGAGCAGATACCCAGGTGGCCACTCAGGAAAAGCACACGTTTGACCGCATGACAAATGGCAGGTAGGCGACCCCCCCCCAATGCCCCCACCCCCAGGCGACCAGCCCCCGCCACGCTGTGCACGAAAACTCATGCACAATTGCCACGGGGTGCCCACCGAGTGCCAGACGCTGCATTGAGCTCGACAGACATGACCTCATTTTGCCTTCCCCACAACCCTACAACCAACCACAGTCCCCCAGCGGGCCATGAAGCAGAACAGGGACCCCTCCACAGTCAGAGCAGGCCACCAGCACAGCCCTACTGGCCCTCCTAGGCCAAAATGCAATGCAAGTGCATTTGTGGCTTGCCCCTGTAATCCCAACACCTGGGAGGCTGAGGTGGGAGGATTGTTTGAGGCCAGGAGTCCCAGAACAGCCTGGGCAACATAGGGAGACTTTGTCTCTATAAAAAATTTTAAAAAATGAGTCAGGCATGGTGGTGCATGCCTGTCACCTCAGCTACTTGGGAGGCTGAGGCAGGAGGACCACTTGAGCCCAGGAGGTAGAGGCGGCAGTGAGCTAAGATCACGCCACTGTACTCCAGCCTGGGCAACACAGTAAGACCCTGTCTCAAAAAAAAAAAAGAAAAAGAAGAAGAAAAGAAAATACAAAGACGACCCAAGTGCCAGCCCGGGAGCTCCAGGCAGAAGGAAAAACATAGCAGTGCCCCAGAGAGGAAGACAAAAACATCCAGGACGGGCGCAGTGACTCACACCTATAACCCCAGCACTTTGGGAGGCAGAGGCAGATGGATCACCTGAGGTCAGGGGTTTGAGACCAGCCTGGCCAACATGGTGAAACCCCGTCTCTACTAAAAATACAAAAATTAGCAAGGCAGGATGGCGGGTGCCTGTAGTCCCAGCTACTCAGGAGGCTGAGGCAGGAGAATCCCTTGAACCCAGGAGGTGGAGTTTCCAGTGAGCCGAGATCGTGCCACTGCACTCCAGCCTGGGCAACAGAGCGAGACTCCATCTCAAAAAAAGAAAAAAAAAATCGAGGCTGAGCGCAGTGGCTCATGCCTGTAATCCCAGCACTTTGGGAGGCCGAGGTGGGCAGATCACCTGAGGTCGGGAGTTCGAGACCAGCCTGACCAACATGGAGAAACCCCATCTCTACTAATAATACAAAATTAGCCGGGCATGGTGGTGCATGCCTGTAATCCCAGCTACTTGGAAGGCTGAGGCAGGAGAATCACTTGAACCTGGGAGGCGGAGGTTGCAGTGAGCCGAGATTGCGCCACTGCACTCCAGCCTGGGCAACAAGAGCAAAACTCCGTCTCAAAAAAAAGACAAAAAAAAAATCCAGAAACTTCTGCCCAGAGTCTCAGTGGGTGCAAGGCAGGGAGTTACCCACGACAAAGAACCTCACCGTTTGCCAACACTAAGTCAAGTCCCCCCGGCCACAGCGGCCACTTAAAGGGAAGAGGACGACGGGGTCCAGCCTCTCGCTGTGACCCTGCCTGAGGTGGTGCTGGACTCACGACACACAGAGTCAATAGCAGAAAGGCACTCACAAAAGCAGAGGTTTCGGCAATAAAGACGCCATCACACACCTCTTTCCACACAGTAATCTCGTGGGCAGCAATGTCCATGACCGTGAACACCACGGGTCATGTGGCAGACGCATCCTGGCCTGTGAAACCGTCATGCCATGTACTTGATTTGCATCAAACTCCACCCCCTCTGGCTCCAGCTCGTGAGGCTGTTAAGGAGCTGCTGTCGGCTGGCCGTGGTGGCTCACGCCTGTAATCCCAGCACTTTGGGAGGCCAAGGCGGGTGGATCACGAGGTCAGGAGATCAAGACCATCCTGGCTAACACGGTGAAACCCCGTCTCTACTAAAAATACAAAAAAAAAATTAGCCGGGCGTGGTGGTGGGCGCCTGTAGTCCCAGCTATTCGGAAGGCTGCGGCAGGAGAATGGCATGAACCTGGAAGGTGAGCTTGCAGTGAGCAGAGATTGCGCCACTGCACTCCAGCCTGGGCGACAGAGGGAGACTCTGTCTCAAAAAAAAAAAAAAAAAAGAGCTGCTGTCGGGACATGGAAGGTGATTTTTCTTTTTTTTTCGAGACAGGGTCTTGCTCTATCTCCCAGACTGGAGTGCAGTGGCACAATCATAGCTCACTGAAGCCAGTAGCTGGGACCACAGGCACACATCACCACACTGACCAGCTAATTTTTTTTTTTTTTTTTGAGACGCAGTCTTACTCTGTCGCCCCGGCTGGAGTGCAATCGCGTGATCTTGGCTCAATGCAACCTCCGCCTCCCGAGCTTAAACGATTTTCCCGTCTCAGCCTCCCAAGCAGCCAGGATTACAGGTGCCCGCCACCATGCCTGGCTAATTTTTGTATCTTTAGTAGAGACAGGGTGTCACCATGTTGACCAGGCTGGTCTCGAACTCCTGACCTCAAGTGATCCACCCGCCTCAGCCTCCCAAAGTGCTGGGATTACAGGTGTGAGCCACCATACCCGGCCATTATTTTTTATTTTTTATTTTTTGTAGAGACAGGATCTCACCATGTTGCCCAGCCTGGTCTCAAACTCCTGGGCTCAAACAATCCTCCCCCCTTGGCCTCCCAAAGCACTGCGATGACAGGTGTGAGCCATGGCACCCAGCCAGGATTCGTTTCTCGCCACAAGCAAGGAATGAAGCAGGGGGGCCTGCTCTTCCACACACCCTGAGGGGGTCACAGGCTGCATCTGTCTCTGCGGCCAGGAAGGAGCAGCCTGCTTTGGATGTCCCTGGGTGATGTGAGAAGGTGCCACTCTAGAGTAGTGTGTGGAGGGGACACCTGGGGCAGAGGGGGAGTCTCTGTGGATTGGGACAGAAAGGCCAGCCCTTCTTGGCAGTCAGAGGGCACTCCTGTGCGGCTTCATAGTCTGCTACGTACATAATGAGGCTCAAAAAGACTGAGTTTGGGAAAAGTTAAGATCCTCCTATAGTTCCTCAATGTGATGACTGGGTGTTCACACTCATTGGCGAGATGTGCCTCTCTCAAACCTTGTTCAGATGCTGCAGACACATTACCCATCAGATGTGCAAAAAAAATAAATAAATAAAAAAGGGAGGCCAGGCGCAGTGGCTCACGCCTGTAATCCCAGCACTCTGGGAAGCTGAGGTGGGAAGATCACTTGAGTCCAGGAGTTCAAGACCACCCCGGGGGCTAGGCATGGTGGCTCACACCTATAATCCCAGTACTTTGGGAGGCCGAGGCGGGCAGATCATCTGAGGTCGGGAGTTCGAGACCAGCCTGACCAACATGGAGAAACCCTGTCTCTACTAAAAATTCAAAATTAGCCGGGTGTGGCCGGGCGCGGTGGCTCAAGCCTCTAATCCCAGAACTTTGGGAGGCTGAGGTGGGCGGATTACCTGAGAGGTCAGGAGTTCGAGACCAGCCTGGTCAACATGGTGAAACCCCATCTCTACTAAAAAAAACACAAAAAAATTAGCCGGGCGTGGTGGCACACGCCTGTAATCCCAGCTACTCAGGAGGCTGAGGCAGGAGAATTGCTTGAGCCCAGGAAGCGGAGGTTGCAGTGAGCCGAGATTGTGCCACTGCACTCCAGCCTGGCCAACAGAGCAAGACTCTGTCTCAAAAAAATAAATAAATAAATAAATAAATAAATAAATAAATAAAAATTTAGCTGGGCGTGCTGGCGCATGCCTGTAATCCCAGCTACTCGGGAGGCTGAGGCAGAATTGCTTGAACCTGGAAGGCAGAGGTTGCAGTGAACCGAGATGGTACCATTGCACTCCAGCCTGGGCAAAAAGAGCAAAACTCCATCTCAAAAAAAAAAAAAAAAAATGAGCTGGTTGTGGTGGCACATGCCTCTAATCCCAGCTACTCCAGAGGCAGAGGCAGGAGAATCTATTGAACCTGGGAGGTGGAGGCTGCAGTGAGCCAAGATCGTGCCACTGCACTCCAGCCTGGGAAACGAGCGAAACTCTGTTTCAAAAAAAAACAAAAAACAACAACAAAGAAAACAAAGCCAGCCTGGGCAACATAGGGAGACTCCATCTCTATAAAAAAATGTAAAAATTAGCCGGGAGTGGTGGCGTGCACCTGTAGTCCCAGGTACTGAGGAGGCTGAAGCAGGAGGATCACTTGAGTCTGGGAGGTCAAGGCTGCAGTGAGCTGTGATTGCACCATTGCACTCCAGCCTGGGCAACAGAGAGAGACCCTGTCTCTAAAAAAAGAAAAAGAAAGAAAAAGAAGAGACGGCGGCCGATACCCAGTCGTGTGTGAAGGTGAGTCTGTCAGAGACAGGAGGGTGATGGCCATCAAAAAAGGCAGCGCGGTCACCAGCAACAGGTCACCGGCGACAGGTCAGCAGCCACGACACCGGCCGGCCCTGCAGGCTGAGACACAGAGAGACGGTTGAGACCCCAGGCCACCCAGGGAGAGGACGGGTGAGCCGCACAACAGCCCGGGGCCAGGTCCTCCCTCTGGCTCCATAAATCCTCCAGGCAGGAAAAAAGACGAGAAAGAGAAAAGCGTCAGGAAAAGCGAGAGCAAACCGCTGCTCCTCCTCCTCCTTCCGCGCCCAGGGCGCAAAGCAGGGGGCGGGGCCTGCGGCCGGTTCCCGGGAGCCCCAGCGCCACCTGCTGGGCCTTGGGCGCAGCTGCAAAGGCCAGAGCTGCAGGGCTGACACTGACCCCTAGGCCCACACAGGTGCCCTGGGCTGGAAAGCCCAGGGAAGGCCGGTCAGACCCTGTCTGCAGGTCAGCTGGGACCTGCGGCTCGGGCCACACTGCCGTGACCGGGGCCGGCGTGGAGCCAGGCACAGGCACTGATGCCACGAGGAAGCTGTGGTACAGGTGTCCGTGGACGGGGCCTCTCCCACCTGGCTTTGGGGTGGTATCTGACTGCCAGCAGGGTGGGAAGAGAAAGGCTTTCAGCAGCCCTGGGGGAATCCAGCTTATGTGAGCACAGAGGTCCCTGCAATGCTGTGACCCTCTCATCTGCAGAAGATCCTGACACAGCCTGCCCAGCACAGAGCCTGGAGGTCCCCACAGAGGTCCCCTCAGCCCTGGATGGCCCTGCACAGTCCCCGACACGGCCCCTCTCCTCTTCCAGGCGTGAACTCCCATCCCTCCAGCACTCACTCCCTGCCTCATTGCTCAGGGCAGCTCTCGAAGACTGTTTCTCCATCTGTAAGCTGGGGCTGATAGCACTGACCTCACAGGGCTTCTGTGAGGCTTGAACAAGAGGCAAGATGCAGTGCCTGGAGCAGAGAGAGGCACCATGGGGGCCCCAGGCAGGCGCCCTGGAGGGGCACACACGGGAGGCACACTGCGAACACGGACGCCTCAACACCCGCATCCCACTCGGTTGGCAGCAAGTGCGCCGTGGGTCCCACCACAGGCCTGGGTGCTGCACCAGGTGCGGGACATCGGAGGGGGAGGGGTGGGTGGGGTCACAGAGGGACTGGCACAGAGGGATGGGCACGGCTTCTGCCGAGGAAGTCCTGAGGCTGCTCTCCAACACCACGCAGCAAGCATGGGTGATCAAGGGCTCTCCCAGGCACCTGCGTGTAACCAGCGCCCTCTGGGGCCACCTGCGAGCTCAGCGCCGGGCTCAGCTTGTGCCTGAGGACACAAAACACCAAAGAGCTGTGGAGCACCAGCCTTCAAAAAACGCACCGTCCAACCGGGGAACGCAAAGAGCTTACTGCATCCACCTTAGATCATCAGACTTGCCTAAAAACCACGAAGGTGCAGGTCACCCCAGGAGGCCAGAGGGCAAGCTCCCGGCCTGCAAGGGGCGGCATGGAGCCGGCCACAGGCAGCAGGTGAATGGAGGAGAGCAGCTCAGAGCAGGGGCTGGCATCCGGTGCCACGTCCAACCGACCCGCCTGTAGCGCCATGCAGAGAGGATTCTGAGGACCAGAAGGAAAAGCAGGCTCATCGGAGCAGGAGGCCTTCGAGGGTGGGGCGGGGGGCTGCCCCGTCATGAGCACAGCCGTCCTGAACTGCTTGGGGATCGTGGACGTTCTCCGCTGCAGCAAGGAAACAGACAACTCCCAGAGCCGGCCCCCATCGCCACAGGAAGTCGCCCCAGCCCTGCGGAGCTGAGACCGTCCCGCATGGGATGGGTCTGAGGGCCCCAGACTCACAGGCAACAGAAGAGAGGCAACGCCCACTCCCAAGTCCCTTCAACAAAACACCCACGCAGGAGGTGGCAGCTCTAGGTGCACAGTCGCAGCCTCCCACTGGCTGGAGGGCCTGTGAGTGGAGCCCAGCCGCAAGCGCAAGCGTATGGGGGGCGAAGGCCCGAGGCTCTTCCCACATCTGACAGGACAGAGCTAGGGCGGAGCTGCCTGCATCCGCCACACCTGAGAAAACCCAGCTTTAGCCTCTCGGTACCACAGCCTCACAGAGCACAGTGCACCCCTTCCCCCAACAGCTACCGCCTGTTCCCAAGCCCACTCGACTAAGCCCTTTGGAGCCTGTGACCCACTCAGCCCTCCTAAAATGGGGTACATCAGCAGGTGTCACATCCAGCTCACAGCACAAGGATGCTAAGATGTGGGGAAGCAGAGCCAAGGGGCTGAGCTGGAACATTCCAGCTGCCACCCAGGCTGCCCCCCTGGTTCCACCGCAGGCGAAGTCAAGATCCAAAGCAAAGTCGAGGACACAGTGACCGTGTTTTTAAAACCGCCATGAACCAGGGCGGACCACGACACCCAGATGAGAGCCGTGAGGACAGCACTGAGAATAATCACTTAGGGCTTTATTTACTGACACAAGAGGACTCCACGGTGTAGTGTTACATTTTTAAAAATCAGATTACAAAACAATATGAGAACCCTATCTCCAGTTCATTCTCCAGGGAAAGTTGGCAGCATTCACTGTTGGGAAACCTTCACTTAAAAATAGGTTGATGTTGGCCAGGCGTTGTGGCTCACGCCTGTAATCCCAGCACTTTGGGAGGCTGAGGTAAGCGGATCACCTGAGGTCAGGAGTTAGAGACCAGCCTGGGCAACATGATGAAACCCCGTCTCTACTAAAAATACAAAAATTAGGCCGGGCGCGGTGGCTCACGCCTGTAATCCCAGCACTTTGGGAGGCCGAGGTGGGCAGATCATGAGGTCAGGAGATCGAGACCATCCTGGCCAACACAGTGAAACCCCGTCTCTACTAAAAAAAAAAAAAATACAAAAAATTAGCCAGGTGTGGTGGCGGGCGCCTGTAGTCCCAGCTACTTGGGAGGTTGAGGCAGGAGAATGTCGTGAACCCGGGAGGCAGAGCTTGCAGCGAGCCGAGATCACGCCACTGCACTCCAGCCTGGGCGACAGAGCGAGACTCTGTCTCAAAAAAGAAAAAAAGAAAAATACAAAAATTAGCCAGGTATAGTGGTGCACACTTGTAATCCCAGCTGCTCAGGAGGCTGAGGTTGCAACCCAGAAAGCAGAGGTTGCAGTGAGCTGAGATCCCGCCACTGCACTCCAGCCTGGACGACAGAGTGAGACTCTGTCTCAAACAAACAAACAAGAAAAAAGATTGATGCATAGTCTAAATTTTTAAAAAGTACTCTATAAACACAAGTTGTTTTTACAACCAGAGAGGGGGAAACCCCAACCAGGATTATTCCTGAGACAGCCAGCGGCCGACCGCAAGGACAACAGACTACCCCAGAGTCTGGCAAGCAGGGTTGTCGGCGCCCAGTGGCTCGAGACGTCCTGGCTGATGGCTCTTCTCGCAACTCTGTGAACAGCTGGGGCCTCCTTCCTGTCACCTCTCCCCACCTGCAGGGACACGAACACTCAGGGCGTTCATGTCCTGCTGCCCCCTTGGCCGGGCGCACGCCTCTCTCAGGAGCCCTGATCACTCCAGCAGTCAGCCCGTCCTCCTGAGAGGTCTTGAAATGCGTCACTCCCCACATCGCCTACCAAGCTCCAGCTCTCTCCAGGAATCGCCTCCTCCTAATTTGTGTTCAATTCTAGGTGCTCACCTGACTTCCTGCGCAGCAGCAGAGCATCAAACTCCAGGATGCCCTGTCACGAGGGGAAGCGGAGATGCTAGCTAGCTAAGGGAAGAGGGGCCAGACTATGTGGGCCTTCCAGAAAGGGCCTGACAGCAGGTGGCGAGGGAGAGGGAGAAGGAAAGGTTCTCTGTTCAATCTACCGCCTTTACCCACAACTGCCCAAGTAAGCACTGCTTCTAGATCCAAACAACGGGCAGAGATGTGAAAAATCCAGAGTTAAAGATGGTTGCAGGCTGGGTGCGGTGGCTCATGCCTGTAATCCCAGCACTTTGGGAGGCCGAGGCAGGCGGATCACCTGAGGTCGGGAGTTCGAGACCAGCCTGACCAACATGGTGAAACCCTATCTTTACTAAAATACAAAATACATGCTGGTGGCGCAGGCCTGTAATCCCAGCTACTCAGGAAGCCAAGGCAGGAGAATCGCTTGAACCCGGAAGGCGAAGGTCGCAGTGAGCCGAGATTTCGCCACTACACTCCAGCCTGGGCAACACAGTGAGACTCCGTCTCAAAAGTAATAATAATAATAAGAAGAAGACTTTTGTACTTGTGGGAGAGGAGAGCTTGAACTATCTAGAAAATTTACCATGTGGCTAGGGAATGCTCAAGGAGCAGAGGCTGGGCCGTGGGAGACCAAACCCCTTGCTTTCACCCTGTCACTGCCTGGTGCTCGTCAATTCCAAGAAACCACTGGTAGGCACTCGGTGAAGGCTGGGGACCAGGTCACGGGATGCTGGTGATTTCTGCGGCCCCTGAAGCTGTACGCAACCCACATCACTCACCTGCGGAGAAGCGACTGCTGCAGGCTCTTGCAGGTGGCGAGGGACTCCCCGGTGAACAGGTGGCACATGACAACCTGCAGGCAGCGAGCCATGAAGGCCAGCACGGCATCGGGCTGGAGGGTGCCGCTGCGAGAGACCAGGCACAGGCGCTGCAGCGAGGGGCACTGGCTCAGCGCCTGGAAGAACTGGGCGTTGGCGCTGAAGTAGGGCTGCTCCAGCCTGCGGGGAGAGAGGGCAGCTGTGAGGTCCGAGGGAGGGGCTCGCAGGCCAGGCCAGCTGGGCGTCTGGAGGTGCTGCCAGTGGAAGCTTCCTGGCCTGGGGCCCAGCCCAGCTGTTCCCGCCACCTCCCACCAATACCACTATCCCTTGGAGTACTGGGTGCCGACTCAGGCCCCCAGGGTCCCCCTTGGAGATCTGATTTGGAGGCGACCCGGTGGGCCTGATGCAAGCAGCCAGCCAGTGTCTACAGAGCCCGGCTTCAAGTCACCAGCCGAGGCCATCAGCATCTGTGTCCGCAGCCTGCCTGGTGCACCCCAATGACCCCCAGGCACCCTATCTTCCTCAAACGCTGGTGTGCTGGGCAGCGGATGCAAAGAGGACCCCACACATGGCCCCTGCCCTTGGGAAGCTCAGCTGGACAGGGAGGCAGATAAGGACTGAACACCATGAGAGAGGGCGGTAATCCGGGAGGCTGGTGTGGGGGAGGGAGAGGGCGAGAATCTGGGAGGCAGGGGGTAAGGTGGGCAGGAACTTCAGCCAGATGGGGGCCACTTCAGCCACGACAGATGGGAGGACAGCGCTGGATGGCTGCAGGGCCAAAGGAGGAGGCCGAGGGGAGTGGGGCCAAGCTAAGAGGTTGGCAGCCAGGGCAGGGGGGAGGCCCAAGTCCGCACCAAGGCTACAGTGACAGAGACCAAGACGGGAGAACCCAGGGGAAAGGGGAGGACTTGGGAAAGGGAAGTAGGGGACGACATTCTAGATCCTTCCTGGGGAGTCTGTCCATGCAGACAGAAAGCAGAAGGACAGGCCATGTCTCGAAGTACAGTGGCAGATGTGGGGATGTGGCGCTGCTGAGGACAGGCCCGGGGGGCCCTTGGAGAACCAGGCTGTGGGACTGGGCAAGACCTGGACTGTGGCAGGTTGTGGGGTGCAGCGAGCCCCTGAGATAAGAATCAAGAGGGAGCAGAGAGGCTGGAGGGGAACTCACGTGACTTCAGGGGCTGCCAGGAACTCCCGGGGTGGGGGGAGGAGCCGCTGGAGGGACGGGCTGAGGCGAATGGGGAGGGGCTAGTGTGGACTGAGCTGCGACGCCCCCCCACACACACACTATGCAGGAGTCCTCACCTTGGGACCTGAGGGTGTGGCCTTATTTGGAGGCAGGTTTGTTGCGGATGCAAGGGAGTTAAGAGGAGGATGCATCCTGCATGATGGGGACTCTAAATCTAATGACTGGTTCCTTATAAGGCCAGGTGAAGGCACAGAGATACCCAGACACAGACAGAAGGCGGCCAGGTCACAACAGAGGCAGAGACTGGGGCCACGTGTCCACCAGCCAAGCAGTGCCAGGCGTGGCTGGCAGGCGCCCGAGTTCCTCCTCACCATCCTCAGAAGGAATGAACCATCCCTGCCCATAGCCTGATTTGGGGCCTCTGGGCTCCAGAATCGTGAGACAATAAATGCCTGTTGCATGAAGCCACTCAGTTTGTGATCAATTGTCCTGGCAGCCCCAGGATCCTAGCACAGATGCTGAGGGCAGCCACAGCAGAAGGCGCCACAGGCATGGAGATTCTTCCCTGGTAGGTGACACAAAAAGACCAAGTCACGGCGGGCATGGTGGCTCACACTTATAATCCCAGCCCTTCAGGAGGCCAAGGCAGGAGGATCACTTGAGCCCAGGAGTTTGAGAAGAGCCTGGGCGACATAGTGAGAGCCCAGCTCTACAAAAAGTACAAAAATTATCCAGCCATGGTGGCACGCACCTGTACTCCCAGCTACTCGGGAAGCTGAGGTGGGAGGATCGCTTGAGCCCAGGACTTCGAGGCTGCAGTGAGCTAGGATCGTGCCACTGCACTCCAAGCTGGATGACAGAGCAAGACAGTCTCGATCTGTTGCCCAGGCTGGAGTGCAGTGGCGTGATCTCAGCTCATTGCAAGCTCCCGGGTTCACGCCATTCTCCTGCCTCAGCCTCCCGAGTAGCTGGGACTACAGGCGCCTGCCACCGCACCCAGCTAATTTTTTGTATTTTTAGTAGAGATGGGGTTTCACCGTGTTAGCCAGGATGGTCTCAATCTCCTGACCACTTGCTCCACCCGCCTCAGCCTCCCAAAGTGCTGGGATTACAGGCGTGGGCCACTGCACCTGGCCAAAATTTTTTTTTTAAAAGAATAAAGGAAGTGTGGCTCATGAGAGACTGGTTATTTACTTTTGTGTGTGTGTGCGTGCGTGCGTGCGTGCGTGTGTGTGTGTGGAGACAGGGGTCTCACTATGTTGCCCAGGCTGGTCTCCAACTCCTGAGCTCAAGCAATCCTCCTGCCTCAGCCTCCCAAAGTGCTAGGATTATAGGCGTGAGCCACCATGCCTGGTAGTTAATTTTCTTTTAATTGATTTAAGCAGAAATTCTCAGCCAGGTGCGGTGGCTCACGTCTATAATCCCAGCACCTTGGGAGGCTGAGGCAGGCGGATCACCTGAGGTCAGGAGTTCGACACTGGCCAACATGGCAAAACCCTGTCACTACTAAAAATACAAAAATTAGCCAGGCAGGCCGGGCACGGTGGCTCATGCCTGTAATCCCAGCACTTTGGGAGGCCGAAGAGGGCAGATCACCTGAAATCGGGAGTTTGAGACCAGCCTGACCAACATGGAAAAACCCCATCTCTACTAAAAATACAAAATTAGCTGGTCGTGGTGGCACACACCTGTAATCCCAGCTACTCGGGAGGCTGAGGCAGGAAAATCGTTTCTACCTGGGAGGCAGAGGTTGCGGTGAGCCAAGATGGCACCATTGCACTCCAGCCTGGGCAACAAGAGTGAAACTCCATCTCAAAAAAAAAAAAAAAAATTAGCTGGGCGTGGCGGGGCATGCCCATTATCCCAGCTACTGGGGAGGCGAAGGCAGGAGAATTGCTTGGAGGCAGAGGATGCAGTGAGCTGAGATCACACCACTGCACTCCAGCCTAGGTGACAGAGCGAGACTCTGTCTCACACAAAAAAATAAATAAATAAAATTAAATAAATAATAAAATAAAACATCCAAATTGTCTTTATTTTTCTATATTTGTTTTGTTAAGCTATTCAGATTGTTTTTATTTAAAGATAGTAATAAAATGTTTTCATTACGTATATTTTAAATACCACCTCTCCCTAAAAAAATCCTAAAGTAAACAACCCTTTGCAGACCGGAAGGTGGGAAACGGGAAGGGGTAAAAAAGACGGTGCAGGCGCCGCACCTGCTGAGCTGCAAAGTCACCTCTGGATTTCTCTCCAAAGCAAAAGCAGGAGGCTCCAGACAGCAGGAGATGGAAACGGGGCGTTGGGCAAGGACGGTGCCGTCGTGTGGTCACTAGGTGGCGATGCGGCTCCGTGCTACCCGCCCCAGATCGCCCCGAGCCTCTGGGGTTAAAAACCAAGTCTGCAGAGCGTGGAAAAAAAACCTTTTTTCCACGAGATAACCACATCCACATTCTTCCGCCCCGGAGGAAGTCACCTGTCACAGGTGTTCAGGATGTGGCAGGCCCACGGGAGTGACTGGTCAGGCAGCGGGCCTGGCACGTCTAAAGCTTCCTAGGCTCCCACAGCACGCCGCCTGGGGCACGGCACCCAGGACGGTGGCAGAGCTGACCTGACTCGAGTGACCGGCAGCGTCTGCAGGGAGGATGGGGACGAGGAAAAGGCTCCCACTGCGCCGGGCCTCACCTTTGAGTGAGGATCCAGCCTCCCCATTCTGCTCCCTGAGGGGGCACCTGGGTCTCCTGGTGACTCTGTGGGCATGAAAGGTGCTGAGCTCACAGTGCGGGGGCTCCCATCTGGCCACCCACTGCACGGGCCGTGAGAGCAGCACCCAGGCCTCCGAGGTGTCCCTAGGGTGGCTCCGGGGCCTGGCTCTGAAAAGGATGGCCCGCTTCTGCCCAGACGCTGCCCTGGTCACGCTCACAGCAGCCCGGGTGACTCAGGGTGACACGCTCCCCCGCCCTCCACCGCAAGCAGGGCTTAGCTGGTCTAGGGAAAGAAGGTGTCTTTTCTGCCCAATTTGTAATCCCCTTACTACTGAGGTGTGTCCAAGTCCCAGCCAGAGCGACTCCTTCCTGCACCACCCCCTCCCTGCCAGGAGCCCCAGCAAGCACAAAGCTGGGGGTCACGGTGTGGGGGCTGCCAGTGGCAGCAGGTGGCTGGCGTGGGATTCCAAGCTCTGCCACCAAAGAGACTCCGGCCGCCCCAGGATGCGGCCTCGGAGCATCGTGCCAGCCTCCAGGGATCCCAGCGCCGTTTCCTCTGCACAGCTCCTGCCCACGGGCAAGCGAGTGCCACCTGCTCCTTCCACTGCAGCGTCCGGGCTCCCTTGCCGCAGAAGGCAGGAATCCAGAGGAACGGGGCCAGCTGGCAGCGTCTGGGAACCGGCATTTGTTCTGAACAGGCAGTACCCAGCTCAGAGCAGACGTGGTTCTCAGGGGCTGCTGGGCACAGGCTGGAGTTTGTCCACAGAGATGGCATTATGAGCAGGGTCGGTCTCTCAGGCTGGCCCACAAAACCCACAAAACCCACAGAACCCGCAGGCCTCTCCGCGCCTTCTCCATGGCCCTGCTCCTGAGGAAGGCCCTTGGCCACGGGGATTCCGTCCCAGACTCCGGAGGCCATCGGGGACCATGAAATCACGCTGACCTCGGGAGGCCGGAGACAAGCAGCCATGTGACCTAGGCAAGTTCATGCACTCTCTGGGCCTTACTTTCTTCATCCATTAAGTGGGTACAACTGTGTCGACACTCAGAGGTTGTTGAGAATATCAAAGGGGTCAAGACCTGTACACCCATGAAAAGCACCTGGCAGAGGTCACATGAGCCCAAAGGTCCCCTCCACCCGCGGTGGCTGCCGTCACCTCTGCCTCTTGCTTCCGGAACACCCCCTCCCTCCGGCCAGTGCCTCCCTTGCTGACAGCCTCTGCTCGGTCTCCCTTCCACATTCTTCTTCCTCTTCCTGGCCAATCCTTGTCACGTGTGCCCCAGCCCAATCCGTGGGCTCACCTGGATCCATAGGTGGCTAAAGGCCACCTATGAGCTGAGGACGCCAAAGCAACTCTCCCAGGCCAGACCTCAGCCTGGACTCAGGGCTTGGCTTAGGCCCATCAACTAGGAGGCCACACTTAACAGACTCTCCGGACCGGGCACAGTGGCTCACACCTGTGATCCCAGCCCTTTGGGCGGCCCAGGCAAGAGGATCACTTGAGCCCAGGAGTTCAAGACCAGCCCGGGCAACACAGCAAGACCCCGTCTCTACAAAAAATACAAAAAACTAGCCAGGCGGCCGGGCACAGTGGCTTACGCCTGTAATCCCACCACTTTGGGAGGCCGAGGTGGGCGGATCACCTGAGGTCAGGAGTTCGAGACCAGCCTGGCCAACATGGTGAAACCCCGTCTCTACTAAAAATACAAAAAAAAAATTAGCCGAGTATGGTGGTGGGCACCTGTAATCCCAGCTACTCTGGAGGCTGAGACAGGAGAATCGCTTGAATCCAGGAGGCAGAGGTTGCAGTGAGCTGAGATCATGCCATTGTACTCAAGCCTGGGTGACAGAGTGAGACTCTGTCTCAAAAAAAAAAAAAAAAAAAAACTAGCCGGGCATGGTCGCATGTGCCTATAGTCCCAGCTACTCGGGAGGCTGAGGTGGGAGGATCACCTGAGCCAGAGAAGGTCGAGGCTGCAGTGAGCTGTGATCATGCCACTGCACTCCGGTCTGGGAGACAGAATGAGACCATTTTTAAAAAAAAAAAGTGGGAAAGCCCAAATTTTACATGCATTTTGCGTCAAATTTCTAAAGCAGGGAGATTCTGAAAAGTCGCCCGTCTGGTTCTCAAAGCAGTCGCCCGTCCTGGTTCTCCAGGATGCCTGGGTCAGAGCATGAATAACCACCCCGCTCCCCACGCACGGAGCCTCGCAGTGGCTCGAGCTGAGAATCAAAGCGGCCGATCCAGGGCCTGGTGACTCCACCAGACAGGAAATACAGAGGCTTCTAGCAATCTGCTCTGCCATTTGAAAGTCCTGGGTTTGATCCTGCGCTTCTCAACCCAACACTAACAGGTCTGCAGTGGGAGGAGGTCGAGAGGGAGGGTGGCGCCAAGCTGGCTGCATGGCCGGGGGACTCCAGGGTGTGAGCCTCCAGCTCGGCTGCTCCCGAGCAGACCCGGCCACTTCCTGCCATGCCTTCTGCGGGAGAGGGGAGATTTACAAGGGGCGCCCTTATCTCTACTCTGCATGGCTCCAGGGCCAAGGTCAAGCACCGGTGTTTGCGAGAGACTCAGCTCCCCCTGAGCTCCCACAGCCTCATCTGGGAAATGGGAATGATCAAGGCTGCAATCGCAGCAGATTATGGCAGGGAGGATGGGCTCAGTGCATGGCTCTCAGCAAAGGCACAAGGTGAATGCTAACTATTCTGGGGACAATGACACGTGCCCACGTGCCCCTTAGGCTGGAGCATGACTTCATGTACCCGCAACCCACCCCACCAGCTAAGGACTCACAGAGACACCAGCTCACTCATCTAAGCCCTGCCTCCACTTTCTCCCCCACCCAGTCCCTGGTAGTACTGAGGCTCAAGGCCTTCACTACCTTTTGGGTAATTTTTTTTCTTTTTTCTTTTTACTTTTTTTTTTTTTTTTTTGAGACCGAGTCTCACTCTGTCACCCATGCTGGAGTGCAGCGGCCAGTGGCGCGATCTCGGCTCACTGCAAGATCCGCCTCCCGGGTTCATGCCATTCTCCTGCCTCAGCCTCCTAAGCAGCTGGGACTACAGGCGCCCACCACCACGCCCAGCTAATTTTTTGTATTTTTAGTAGAGACGGGTTTCACCGTGTTAGCCAGGATGGTCTCGATCTCCTGACCTTATGATCCACCCGCCTCGGCCTCCCAAAGTGCTGGGATTACAGGCGTGAGCCACGGCGCCCGGCCGAGGCCATTTTGATTTTTACTTTAAAGGCTCGCCACATGGACAAAGGCCAGGGGGCTTCACACGCTCAGTCAACTCCAGGTACAGACCCCACCTATTCAGGGCTCTTCGCGTGTTCTGGCCTCCCTGGCAAAGTGCTGGGATTACAGGCGTGAGCCGCCACGCCCGGCCCATTTGGGGTAATTTTTCTTTTCTTTGCTTTTCTTTTTGAGAGTCTCACTCTGTCACCCAGGCTGGAGTGCAGTGGTGTGATCTGGCTCACTGCAACCTCTGCCTCCCGGGTAAAGAGCAATTCTCCTGCCTCAGCCTCCTGAGTAGCTGGGACTACAGGTGCCTGCTCCCACGCCCCGCTAATTTCTGTATGTTTTTGGTAGAAACAGAGTTTTACCATGTTGGCCAGACTGGTTTCCAACTCCTGACCTTAGATGATCCGCACACCTTGGCCTCCCAAACTGCTGGGATTACAGGAGTGAGCCACCATGCCCAAACCCATTTTGGGTAATTTTTCAAGATCAGATTTATTGGCCAAGATTTTCAAATTCATCTCAAGTTAACGAATTCTTATTCCTTAAATACTAGGAACGGACAAGAACACCGTTCACTCCACAGCACAATTCAGCATAAATTCATGTTGTGCTTGGCTCTGGAAATGCCATGGGCCCTGGACACTGTCTGGTGTGGAGCTCTCCCAGGCCTGTTGTTCCACCTCCTCCCCGCTCTGGGATGGGTCCTGCTCCTAGTCCCAAGGACCATCACCTCCCAGGAGTCTGTGGTCCCCCTCCTGAGCCGACCTCTCCTGTCTCCTCCATCCTGTGCCCTGAAGTCCATCTGGGATGCCCAGGGAGGCTGCTCCCTCTCCCGGGTGAAACCCCTCGGCACTGTTGCCCACCTTCCTTGTCTGCCCCATCTTCCCTACTCCCTCCCACCTCCCATTGTGCCCTGGACCCTCTGAACCGACTGCTCTCTGAAACGACTGCTCTCTGAACCGACTGCTCTCTGACATACTTCCAAGTCTCTGGGGTTTCTTCACATGGTACTTACTGACCCAGAAAGCATCTGCCTTGCCAGGCGTGGTGACTTATGCCTTGTAATCCCAGAACTTCGGGAGGCTGAGGCAGGTGAATCACCTGAGGTCAGGAGTTCAAGACCAGCCTGGCCAATACTGCAAAACCCCGTCTCTACTAAAAATACAAAAAAATTAGCCAGGTGTGGTGGTGCACACCTGTAGTCCCAGCTGCTCGGGAGGCTGAGGTGGGAGAATCGCTTGAACCCAGGAGGCAGGGGTTGCAATGAACCAAGATCGCGCCACTGCACTCCAGCCTGGGTGTGTAGAATGAGACTCTGTCTCAAAAAAAAAAAAAGAAAAAAAAAAAAAAAGCAAAGATGGAGGCCAAGGGTGGTGGCTCACACCTGTAATCCCAGCACCAGCACTTTGGGAGGCCGAGATGGAGGATCACTTAAGCCCAGGAGTTCAAGACCAGTCTGGGCAACATAGTGAGACCTTGTCTGTACACAATTTTAAAAATATATATATAGCCAGGCATGATGGCATATGCCTGTAGTCCCAGCTACTTGATAGGCTGAGGTAGGAGGATTAATTGAGCCCAGGAGATTGAGGATGAAGTGAGCTATGATGGCACCACTGCACTCCAGCTTGGATGACAGAGCGAGACCCTGTCTCAAAAATAAATAAATAAATAAAATTTAAATTAAAAAAAAAAAAGGAATTGCATTGCAAAGTCAGGTCAGAAAGGCCTGGGTTCGAATCCTGCCTCCCCCACCTACTGGCTCTGCTGAGTGGCAACAATGATGCACCTGGCAGGGTCCTGAGACGATTTCACAGGATGACTCATAGTAGGGCCAGGCAGTCACTCAAACACTATCAGGAATAAAGACACTAAGCTCAGACATCCGCCTCCTGCACCCCCAGCTCCTCTAGATGCCGCTCTCCCCAGAGCCCCGAGACCGACGTGGCACGCTGCGAGGCCCCGCCCCAGCCTCTGCACTCCTGGAGGGCAGGCCAGCCACCGAACTCCACGCGAACGCCCCAGTTCCCTCCGCCAGCTTCCAGCAGAGGCCCGAGAGGTCCCCGCGGCCCCCTCACCTGAGGTCCCTCAGCCGCTTGCAGTGCTTCAACATGTCTGAGAGCGCGGGCATGTACACCACCTTCCCCATCATGCCCAGGTTGGCCAGCGACAGGGACCGCAACTGCTGGCACTGCAGGCCGATATTGACCAGCCCGGAGCCCGTAAGGACGCTGGGCAGCTGTGCGAGCGTCAGGTGCCGCAGGAAGGCCAGCTGGCCGATGGCGGCCACCTCCGAGTCCCCGACACTCTGTGCGCGGCTGCAGGGTGGGAGCGAGTTGCGGATGGCGGGCTCGTTGCGGGGCATGGCGGAGGAGAAGTTGGACCCAATCAGCTCGAGGTGTTCCAGGAAGGGCAGGTTCTTCAGCAGAGACCAGAACACGGAGGAGGGCTGGGGGCACGCCTGGCCCGAGAAGGGGCTGGGACAGGACTGCACGCCCACACGCACTTTCTTGCCAAAGCCGCGCGGCACTGCGTGCATGGCCGGCTGGGCGGGCGCGCGGTCGGCGCGCGGCGCGGAGTCAGCGACAGAGCAGACAGGCAGGGAGAGGGAGCGCAGGTGACGCAGCCGGGCCAGGAGCTGGCAGAGGTGGCGGCCCAGGCCCTCCGAGCTGTGGTGGTGGGCGGCCGAGAGGTTCAGGTGGCGCAGGTTGCAGCAGGACGCCACCAGAGTCTCCAGGATGCTGCTGTCGATGTCGTCCTCCGCCTTGCGGAGCAGCGAGTCTGGGGACAGGCAGTGGACGCAGCCGCTGAGGTTCAAGCTGGCCAGGCTCCGCAGGTCCTTCCCGCCGTTGATGACCTGCTGGATCAGATGGCCGCCTGACAGGGTACAGCGGCTGAAACTGAAGTAGAACGGGTTGTTGAATTTCATGTGCTGCAGGAGGGAAGAGCCGTTCAGCCAGGACTTGGGCAGCTGCAGGGCATCCAGCACGACATTGCGCGCCATGGAGTCCAGGAGGTTCTTGGTGGCGCCGCTCTCCGCGAAGCTGCCAGGGACGGAGATGAGGAAGGCGTGGAGGTTCTGAGGAGTGCGGTCGCTAAGCACAGCCAGGTAGAGCCGCACCACCTCCTGGTTGATGTAGCCGGGGGCCAGGCGCGCATAGAAGACCCGCAGGTTCTGGTAGTGCGGCACGTTGCTCTGGCCCACCATAAGCTGGCCCGAGAGGATGGCGCCCTCGCGCGTGCGGTCCAGAATCTCGAAGTAGAGCAGCAGCTTCTCTAGGCTGGTGCAGCAGGGCACCACGCCGTAGGAGGGAGTGAACAGCGTCTGCTTGAGCTCCCGCACGCGGCTCAGGGTGGCCTTGCACTCGCTGCTCAGCTGGCTGGCGTCGAAGCCGGGGCTCACGTCGATGGCCAGCGAGCGCAGGTGCTGCAGGGCCGAGAGCATCTTGGAGAGGCGCAGGGAAGTGAGGTGGCAGCCCGAGAGGTTCACCTTCACCAGGCTGCGGCAGCGGGCCACGTGTTCCACGGTGGAGCCAGGCAGCCAGTAGCAGCCAGCCATGCTCAGCTGCTGGATCTCCCGGCCGATCTCCTTCACCAGCTGCCTCACTTTGTCCTCGCTCGCCTGCGGGACAGAGGCAGGGTGGGGAGAGGAAGGAAAGGGCTGAAGGCACCTACGGGTCTCCAACCCTCAGTGCGCACACTCCCCCTTGCAGCAGCTGCTCCACCGGGAGGGAAGCTCCCCACCTCTCGCTGCCTACCTGCCCGCACTCTGACCTGGAGCCAAGAGTCCCCAGCTAAGTGGGACTGGTAGAGGGGTGCAGCCACGGTAGAAAACGGTTTGGCAGGTGGGCACGGTGGCTCATGCCTGTCATCCCAGCACTTGGGGAAGCCAAGGCAGATGGATCACCTGAGGTCAGGAGTTCGAGACCAGCCTGGCCAACATGGTGAAGCCCGATCTCAACTGAAAATACAAAAACTAGTCAGGCATGGTGGTGTGCGCCTTTTATCCCAGCTACTCCAGAGGCGAAGGCAGAAGAATCGCTTGAACCTGGGAGGTGGAGGTTGCAATTAGCCAAGATCTTGCCACTACACTCCAGCCTGGGCAACAGAAAGAGACTCTGTCTCAAAAAGAAAAAAAAGGCCGGGCCCGGTGGCTCACGCCTGGAATCCCAGCACTTTGGGAGGCCAACGAAGGCAGATCACCTGAGGTCAGGAGGTCGAGACCATCCTGGCCAACATGGTGAAACCTCATCTCTACTAAAAATACAAAAATTAGCTGGGTGTGGTGGCAGGCACCTGTAAGCCAAGCTACTGGGGAGGAGGCAGGAGAATCGCTTGAACCTGGGAGGCAGAGGTTGCAGTGAGCCAAGATGGCACCATTGCACTCCAACCTGGTGACAGAGCAAGACTCCATCTCAAAAAAGAAAAAAAAAAAAAAACGGTTTGGTGGTGGTTCCTCAAAAAGCTAAACATAGGGCTACCACATGAGCCAGCAACTTCACTCCTAGGGACAGACCCAAAGGAACTGAAAACTGAGACTCAGCCTCCCTACTCTGTGCCTGTTCACTGCAACAGATTCACAAGAAGCCACAGGTACAAACAGCCCCAGTGTCCATCAACAGGTGGATGGATGAATCAGATGCCAACTGTCCACACGGGGAAATGTGATCCAGCCACAAAGGGGAAGGGAGGCCGGGCGCTTCAGCGCATGCCTGTAATCCCGCACTTTGGAAGGCCAAGGCAGACAGATCAGTTAATCTCAAGGGATGGAGACCAGCTTGGGAAACATAGCGAGACCCCATATCTACCAAAAAGAAAAAATATATTAGCCAGGCGTAGTGGCGCACACCTGTGGTCCCATCTACTTGGGAGGCTGAGGCAGGAGGATGGCTTGAGCCTGGGAGGTGGACGTTGCAGTGAGCTATCATCGAGCCACCACGCCCAGCCTGTTTCTGTTTTTTGAGACAAGGTCTCATTCTGTTGTCCAGGCTGGAGCACAGTGGTACAACAATAGCTTACTGCAGCCTTGATGTCCCGGGGTTCAAGAGATCCTCCCACCTCAGCCTCCTGAGTAGCTGGAACTACAGACATGTGCCACCATGCCATGCTCATTTTTCTCTTTTTTTTTTTTGTACAGATGGAGTTTCACCAAGTTGTCCAGGCGGGTCTTGAAATCCTGAGTTCATGTGATCCACCTGCCTCAGCCTCCCAAAATGCTGGCATTATAGGCATGAGCCACCAGACCCGGCCAAAAAATTAAATTAAAAAAATGCTCCAGGCCAGGCACAGTGGCTCATGCCTGTAATCCCAGCACTTTGGGAGGCTGAAATGGGCGGATCACGAGGTCAGGAGTTTGAGACCAGCCTGATCAACATGGTGAAACCTCGTCTCTACTAGAAATACAAAAATTAGCCAGATGTGGTGGCAGGCGCCTGTAATCCCAGCTACTCAGAAGGCTGGGGCAGGAAAAACGCTTGAACCCAGGAGGTGGAGGTTGCAGTGAGCTGAGATAGTACCACTGCACTCTAGCCTGGGCAACAGAGTGAGACCTCGTTTCAAAAAAAAAAAAAAATGCTCTGGATGTACACCGAGAGGCACTGGCTAGAGGCGCCGAGCCCTTCCTCTGCAGAGAACAAAGCTTCATGGAGAGGAGGCCTGGAGGCCTGATACCAGCGTTGCAGGGAGCACACTCAGCTCCCTCATCCACTGAAGACCCTCCAGCAGAAAGAGCTAAAGCTTGCCAGGCACAATGGGTCACACCTGTAATCCCAGCACTTTGTGAGGCCGAGTTGGGTGGATCACTTGAGGTCAGGAGTTCAAGACCAGCCTGGCCAACATGATGAAACCCTGCCTCTGCTAAAAATACAAAAATTAGCTGGGCATGGTGGTGGGCACCTGTAATCCCAGCTACTTAGGAGGCTGACCCAGGAGAATCATTTAAATCTGGGAGACAGAAGTTGCAGTGAGCCGGGATCGTGCCACTGCACTCCAGCCTGGGGATTCTCGTGCCTCAGCCTCCTAAGTAGCTGGGATTACAGGCTCCCACCACCATGCCCAGCTAATTTTTTGTATTTTTTGTAGAGACAGGGTTTCACCATGTTGGCCAGGCTGGTCTCGAACTACTGACCTCAGGTGATCCACCCACCTCAGCCTCCCAAAGTGCTGGGATTACAGGCGTGAACCACCGCACCTGGCCTTATTTTTATCTTTAAGATTCATTACCAGGCCGGGTGTGGTGGTTCACGCCTGTAATCCCAGCACTTTGGGATGTCGAGGCGGGCAGATCACGAGGTCAGGAGATCGAGACCATCCTGGCTAACACAGTGAAACCCCGTCTCTACTAAAAATACAAAAAAATTAGCCCGGCGTGGTGGCGGGCGCCTGTAGTCCCAGGTACTCGGGAGGCTGAGGCAGGAGAATGGTGTGAACCCGGGAGGCAGAGCTTGCAGTGAGCCGAGATCATGCCACTGCACTCTAGCCTGGGCAAAAGAACGAGACTCCATCTCAAAAAAAAAAAAAAAAAAAAAAAAAAAAAAAAAAAGAATGGCTAAAACTTAAAAAACTGACAGTACCAAGTGTTGACAAGGCTGCAGAGCAATTGGAACTCCTGCACCCTGCTGGGGGGTGCAAAATGGTGCCCTCCCACTGCACCACTGGAGAGCCACATATTTAACTTTACAACAAACAAGACCCAGCAATTCCACTCCTAGCGATCCACAAGAAAGCACATCTCCAACCCCTCTCCCCCACTCCCAAGGCCCTAGGTTCCCTCCCAGAACCATGTCCACATACATCTGCACCCTCCTCCCCAGGCAGCACACCACCCATGCTTTTCTGCCCCTTGCTTCTGTCCCTCAATGCATCCTGCAGACGGCGCCAGTCAGGACTTGGAGTTCCTGCCACCTTTATATCAGCACACAGGGTTCCACTGCAGGGCTGTGCCCAGTCCTCAAAGACTGAGATCTAGCTTGTTTCTCATCTCCTGCCCCCACGCCTGCTCACCTGATAGTCCTTTTGCAGCAACACGGTGTGGATGAGGCTCTTGTCAAGGCACAGGGCTGCAAGCTTCCGACAGGTACGCCGGACGTTCAGAATCAGATCTGTGCTGGGGACGTGACTCAGGATGTGAAGGAGGATCTCATCAGAGAACCCTAGGAGGTGGACCCCGTCTGCCATCCCGGCTGCTGCAGGGTGCATGTCATCATCATCATTGGATATGTCCTGAAAATAAGGGGGACACCATTCCCACAGGATCCCCAAGGATGGCTGTCAGCCTAGCCTGCAGCTAGGCAGAGAAGCAAAGAGAAGCCCTTATCCATGGGAAAGAAGGTGTTTTTACTAAAACTCTCAACTGAATGACAAAGAATTCACGAAATCCTTCAAAACTCCATTATAGAGCTGTAAGCCAGGGTCTCCCTTCAAAAATGAAAGATTACAAAAAAAGATCATCATGTGTTTATTTCTTTTGTTGTGAGACAGAAGTTTCACTATTGTTGTCCAGGCTGGAGTCAATGGCGTGATCTCGGCTCACTGCAACCTCCGCCTCCCAGGCTCAAGAGATTCTCCTGCCTCAGCCTCCCAAGCAGCTGGGACTACAGACGCATGCCACTTTGTCCAGCTAATTTTTTTGGTTTTTTGTAGAGACGGGGTTTCCCTATGTTGCTCAGGCTGATTTCAAACTCCTGGGCAAGTGATCCTCCTGCCTTGGCCTCCCAAAGGGTGTTTTGTTATAATAGAGACAGGGTCTTGCTATGCTGCCCAGGCTGGTCTTGAACTCCTGGGCTCCAGCCTCCCAAAGGGCTGGGATGGCAGGTGTGAGCCACCATGCCCGGCCTCTTTTTTTTTTCTTTTTTTTTTTAGACAAGGTCTTGCTTTGTCACCCAGGGTGGAGTGCAGTGGCGCAATCTCGGTTCACTGCAACCTCCGCCTCCCGGGTTGAAGCAGTTCTCCTGGCTCAGCCTCCCAAGTACGTGGGATTACAGGCGACTGCCACCACGCCCACGCCCGGCTAATTTTTGTATTTTTAGTAGAGACGGGGTTTCACCATGTTGGCCAATCAGGTTGCAAATTCCTGACCTCAAGTGATTCATCCGCCTCAGTCTCCCAAAGTGTTGGGATTGCAGGTGTGAGCCACCATGCCCGGCTTTTTTTTTTTTTTTCTTTTGGAGAAAGAGTCTCACTCTGTGGCCCAGGCTGGAGTGCAATGGTGCGATCTTGGTTCACTGCAACCTCCACCTCGCAGGTTCAGGAGATTTTCGTGCCTCAGCCTCCTGAGTACCTGGGATTAAAGGCATGTGCCACCGTGCCCAGCTAATTTTTGTGTTTTTAGTAAAGACGGGGTTTTGCCCTGTTGGTCAGGCTGGTCTTGAACTCCTGGCTTCGAGTGATCTGCCCTCCACAACGCTAGCCTTTCAGGCAAGAGCCCTGCACCTGGCCATGCACACTTCCTTTTCCATTGCTGTAGTTCATATCTGGCAAATTACAAGGTGTTCTTCCCTAATGTGGGCCTGAGTCAAAATGCCTGATGCCTTTTTGGTTTATACGATGAAGAGGGAGAAGAGCTGGACCTAATGAGACATGAAGTCCCCAGATCGGGGACAAAGGAAGGCAGAAGGCTTTACCAAGGGGAGCCTCTCAGAGCAGCTGATCTCTGTAAAGACCACGCCGAGGAGAGAGTGCCCGGAATCATCTCCACTACATCATCTTTCTGGGGACTGTGTCTACACGACCCTCTGGCTCCAGCCTGCTCCTGCTTCCTGTACATATTTGCCTGGATGGAAGCTCTGAGTTTTGCAAAGCCAGGCTGCTACCATGGCAACCGTGAAGGCCATGGAGGAAGAGCCTATCTGCACACCCCACACGGGTATCGGAGGTTTCCTGGGAACTCTGACTGCGACAGTCCTTTCACCCTCTCCAGACAGGATTCCCATCCTGCTAAGCCCTCGCCAGGCCCTAGACAGGTGTGCTGGAATGTGTCCCACCTTTCTTCCCTGGGAACAAAGAAGTACCCTCCATCCTCCAAAAGAGAAAGCCACACGGAAACCAAAGGACATGGCCCGTAAGGACCCATGAGGCTCATGAGGGTCAGAGGTTAGACACTTACTTCTACCTTCCCTCCTAATATTTTAATAATTAGCAGAACAAGGCCGGGCATGGTGACCCACACCTGTAATCCCAGCAGTTTGGGAGGCCGAGGCGGGGAAATCACAAGGTCAAGAGATCGAGACCAGCCTGGCCAACATGGTGAAACCCCGTCTCTACTAAAAATACAAAAATTACCGGGGCATGGTGGCAGGCGCTTGTAGTCCCAGCTACTCAGGAGGCTGAGGCAGGAGAATCGCTTGAACCCCGGAGGCAGAGATTGCAGGGAGCCAAGATCACACCACTGCACTCCAGCCTGGGCAACAGAGCAAGACACTGTCTCAAAAGAAAATTAGCAAGACAGGCTGGGCACAGTGGCTCACACCTGTAATCCCAGCATTTTGGGAGGCTGAGGAGGGCAGATCACGAGGTCAGTTCTCGAGACCAGCCTGGCCAACATGGTGAAACCCTGTCTCTACTAAAAATACAAAAATTAGGCCAGACGTGGTGGCTCACGCCTGTAATCCCAGCACTTTGGGAGGCCAAGGCAGGCGGATCACGAAGTCAGTTCTCGAGACTAGCCTGGCCAACATAGTGAAACCCCATCTCTACTAAAAATACAAAAACTAGCCAGGCGTGGTGGCATATGCCTATAGTCCCAGCTACTCGGGAGGCCAAGGCAGAAGAATCACTTGAAACCGGGATGTGGAGGTTGCAGTGAGCTGAGATCGCGCCACTGCACTCCAGCCTGGTGACAGAGCAAGACTCCATCTCAAAAAAAAAAAAAGAAAGAAAAAAATACAAAAATTATCTGGGCCTGGTGGCGGGCACCTGTAATCCCAGCTACTCAGGAGGCTGAGCAGAATTACTTGAACCCAGGAGGCAGAGGTTGCGGTAAGCCGAGATCGCACCATTGCATCCAGCCTGGGCAACAGAGCGAGACTTTGTCTAAAAAAAAAAAAAAAAAAATTAGTGGGACACAGTGGCATGTGCCTGTTGTCCCAGCTACTCAAGAGGCTGAGGTGGGAGGATCGCTTCAGCTCAGGAGGTTGAGGCTGCAGTGAGCTAGGATCTTGCCACTGCACTCCAGCCTGGATGACAGAGAGAGACCTTGTCTCAAAAAAAAAAAAAGATAAATAAATAAAAATCAGATTCCTGGAACCCACCCCAGACTTGTGGGGCCCAATCCCAAAAGACAGACTCCCAAATCAGGGACAACCTTTATCAGAACCAGAGACAAACTTGATCAGAATCAGAGACAATCTTTATCAGAACCAGGGACAGTCCTTATCAAGGAATGAACTGTACCCCTCCCAATTCCCAGTTTGCAGATTTATGAAAGAATGCCATCACAGAGCTCACGTGGTAAGAATGAGAACTTAGGGCAAAACACTATTAAAAACTCCAGCACTGGGCCAGACGCTGTAATGCTGTGCTCACGCCTGTAAAACCAGCACATTCAGAGGCTGAGATGGGTGGATCACCTGAGGTCAGGAGTTTGAGACAGGCCTCGGCAACATGATGAAACCCCATCTCCACTAAAAATACAAAACTTAGCCGGGTGTGGTGGCACACGCCTATAGTCCCAGCTACTCAGGAGGCTGAGGCAGAAGAATCGCTTGAACCCGGGAGGTGAAGGTTGCAGTGAGCCGAGATCGCACCACTGCACTCCAGCCTGGGTGACAGAGTGAGACTCTGTCTCAAAAAAAAAAAAAAAAAATCCAGCATCATATAGATTCCACAGTTACACGACCACACTGAATTTTTCTTAAAACCTCATAGAAATTACAATAATTTTTTTTAAAAAGAGAGGGAGAGACAGCAGGCCAGGAATTAAGTTCCAGCTCTCTCCATCCAGCCACAGCAAATTCCACAACATCATTTTTTCCACATGCTGTGCTCCAAATAAAACAGAAATTTTGGACAGGCGCGGTGGCTCACGCCCGTAATCCCCAGCACTTTGGGAGGCCAAAGCGGGTGGATCACGAGGTCAGGAGTTCGAGACCAGCCTGGCCAATATGGTGAAACCCCATGTCTACTAAAAACACAAAAATTAGCCAGGCGTGGTGGTGGGCTACTGTCCACAGCAACTATCCAGCAACTCGGGGGGCTGAGGCAGAAGAATCGCTTGAACCTGGGAGGTGGAGTTTGCAGTGAGCTCAGATTGTGCCACTGCACTCCAGCCTGGGTGACAGAGTGAGATTCCATCTCAAAAAAAAAAAAAAAAAAGAGAAGTTTCATCTCAGGCCAGACCCCTGATGCAATTGTGGGGCCAGCACCCAACCTGGTGGGGCAGGTATCTGAGGGGTGATGCCCAGACAAGACGAGAAACTGGCCCAGGAAGCAGCTCGAATGGGCCCCCACCCCCACTCTCCATCTCCGGCCAGAGGACCCTAGGAGGCAGCTGCTGGGCGGGCGAGTTGAGTCATTTCCCTGGAACTTAGCTTCCGGAGACAACTTTGTTAAGTTAAGGCACCTTGCACCAAAAAAGGTGGCAAGCTCTGGAGAGGAAACAAAAACCAGGGTGCAGGAAGGGCGCGGTAGCTCATGCGTGTAATTCCAGCACTTTGGGAGGCTGAGGCAGGCAGATCACTTGACGTCAGGAGTTCGAGACTAGCCTGGCCAACATGGTGAAACCCCATCTCGACTAAAAATACAAAAATTAGCTGGGCGTGGTGGCAGGCGCCTGTAATGCCATCTACTCAGGAGGCTGAGGCAAGGAGAATTGCTTGAACCGAGGAGGTGGAGGTTGCAGTGAGCCAAGATCGCACCACTGCACTCCAGCCTGGGCGAAAGAGTAAGACTCTGTCTCAAAAAAAAAAAAAAAAAAAGAAAAGAAAAAAAAACCCAAGTTGCAGCCTGGGCAATGTGGCAAAACCTCGTCTCTACAAAAAAATTAAAAAATTAGTTGAGCCAGGCACGGTGGCTCACGCCTGTAATCCCAGCACTTTGGGAGGCCAAAGCAGGCAGATCACGAGGTCAGGAGTTCGAGACCAGCCTGACCAACACGGTGAAACCCCGTTTCCACTAAAAATACAAAAATTAGCCAGGCATGGTGGCACGTGCCTATAGTCAGTCCCAGCTATTCAAGAGGCAGAAGTGGGAGGATCACCTGAACCCGGGAAGTGGTGGCTTCAGTGAGCCATGATCGCGCCACTGCACTCCAGCCTGGGCAACAGAGTGAGATCCTGTCTCCAAAAAAAAAAAAAAAAAAATCTAGGTAACTGGCTGGAGGTCAAAGGCCAAGTAATGCCTCCCACAGGGCCTGGACTCCTAAGCCCAGAACCTCCCTTCCCTCCACCACCAGGAAAGGGCAGCTGAGGCTTCCAGACAGGTCCCAACCAGGCACCTCATTCCTGGGGTCTCCTGAAATTCCAATTCTGGTGTGAGTGGCAGGCCCTGGAATGTGCTTACCAGGCACACTAGGAACCACCGGCTATAATGACAACTTGAAAGTGGTTTAAAGAGTTTAGTTATTCGCTAAACTCTGTGTTTTATGTACTTTTCAGAATATGTAACATTTCACAGTTTTTTCAAAACCCTTCCTTTGTAGAGATGGAGTTTTGCCATGTTGCCCAGGCTGGTCTCAAACTCCTGAGCTCAAGTGATCTGTGCCTGGCCTAGTTTTTTTCAAAAGTGAAGCAAAAGTAAGATCTGAAATCTTGGCTGGGCATGGTGGCTCACGCCTGTAATCCCAGCACTCTGGGAAGCCAAGGCAGGTGGATTATGAAGTCAGGAGATCGAGACCATCCTGGCTAACACGGTGAAACCCCGTCTCTACTAAAAATACAAAAAAATTAGCCAGGGGCCGGGCGCAGTGGCTCACGCCTGTAATCTCAGCACTATGGGAGGCCAAGGTGGGCGGATCACCTGAGGTCAGTAGTTCAAGACTGGCCTGACCAACATGGAGAAACCCCGTCTCTACTAAAAATACAAAAAAAAAATGTATTTTTTTTACAAAAATACAAATGCGGACGTAGTGGCACGCGCCTGTAATCCCAGCTACTTGGGAGGCTGAGGCAGGAGAATCGCTTGAACCTGGGAAGCAGAGGTTGCAGTGAGCCGAGATCGTGCCATGGCACTCCAGCCTGGGCAAAAAGGTGAAACTCCGTCTCAAAAAAAAAAAAATCAGCCAGGTGTGGTGGTGGGCGCCTGTAGTCCCAGCTACTTGAGAGGCCGAGGCAGAAGAATGGTGTGAACCTGAGAGGTGGAGCTTGCAGTGAGCCGAGATCGCGCCACTGCACTCCAACCTGGGCGACAGAGCGAGACTCCATCTCAAAAAAAAAAAAAAGGATCTGAAATCTTATTACCTGCCAAAAAACATCTCCTACCTAGAACCCTAACCTGGGCTGGGCGCAGGGGCTCACACCTGTAATCCCAGCAATTTGGGAGGCCAGCCTGAGCAACACAGTCACACCTCATCTCTAAAAAAATTTTAAAAAGAGAAATAAAAATAAAGAATGGGCCGGGCACAGTGGCTCACGCCTGTAATCTCAGCACTTTGGGAGGCCGAAGAGGGTGGATCACGAGGTCAGGAGATTGAGACCATCCTGGCTAACACGGTGAAACCCCGTCTCTAGTAAAAAAAAAAAAAAAACCAAAAAATTAGCTGGGCGTGGTGGCGGGCGCCCGTAGTCCCAGCTACTCGGGAGGCTGAGGCAGAAGAATGGCATGAACCCGGGAGGCGGAGCTTGCAATGAGCCGAGATCACGCCACTGCACTCCACCCTGGGCAACAGAGCGAGACTCCGTCTCAAAAAAAAAAAAGAAAAAGAAAAAGAGGCACTGAACCATGTGAAGTGTTATTTAAAAAAAAAAAAAAAAAAAAAAAAAAGCAGAGTCCAGCTGGGTGCTGTGGCTCACGCCTGTAATCCCAACACTTTGGGAAGCCAAGGCGGGTGGATCACCTGAGGTCAGGAGTTCGAGAACAGCCTGGCCAACATGGCGAAACCCTGTCTCTACTGAAAATACAAAAATTAGCCAGGTGTGGTGATGCACACGTGTAACCCCAGCTACTTGGAAGGCTGAGAAGGGGAATCGCTTGAGCAGGGGAGGCGGAGGTTGCAGATCACACCGCTGCACTACAGCCTGGGCGACAGAGCGAGACTCTGTCTCAAAAACAAAGAACAAACAAACAAGGAACAGAGGGGGCTTTAAGCTGTAATTCTGTAAGACCAAGGTACCAGGACCCCCCTTCTTCCCTGACCCCAAGCACACACAGCTAACTGGAATCTTCATTTCAATCTTATCAATCTGCAGTTGAGCCACACACCGTTCCTTGTCAATCAAGAAGCCACTGGGGTCATTTCTAGGCCGCATTCACTTCAAATGTAGAAGGGCGGTGAGCACAGCGACCCCCAGCCATCTCCAGAGACCCTGCCCCATCACTCTGAGGAAGACACTTGAGCCTCTCACTCTTGCTCCCTAGAACCCAGGCAAGCTCCTAAATCTGCGAAGTGCACCCAACGATCTGAGACCTGAAAGGTGACAGATACCAACCCAGGTGCCCATACAGATAGGCAGGAAGCATCAACGGGAAGCCACTAGTCAGAGTCTAGAGTCCCCGCTGCACCCCTTTCTGCAGAGACAATACTTTGCACCACATTACAGGGACGCGGCGGGCTTCTCCATCGGACCCAGATTTGGGGAGTGTTGGGAAAGAATTCCAGGGTACGTCGTAAGTCCCTCAGGTGAAATGGCTTTTCCTCCATCACCCACCCCCCACGTCATTCAGCAAGCAGGCTCCAGGGAGAAGTGGGCTGGGGCTGAAACTGAGCATCCAGAGATAGAAGATGGAGTGGGACGTGGGCACGGAGGGGGAATGTCCCAGGGCTGCAGGGGCCCAGCCAAGGAACCGGGGCACTGAGAAAGGGGTCTCGGAGGAGCCTGGACCCTCAGGGGACGGAGAGACGGGGACAACTCTGGCGATCAGGAATGCACGAGCGAAGGGGGAGACAGCTTGTGCCTTCCGAGACAGGGTAGGAGTCTTGGGGACAGGATGCGGGAAGGACGGGAGCAGGGGCAAGGCCAGGGTCAGGATGGGAAGGACGGGGCGGGGTAGGGGTCGGGATAGAAAGGATGCAAGGGAACCCGGGTCGGGATGGAAGAACCCAGGGAGACCGAGGCCGCCGAGGCAGAAGCAGAGCGGAGACAGTCGCGGACAGTACCTCTCCGGAGCTGGCCATGTCGCCGGCGGGTCCGAACCGCGGCCGCGGGATCCGCAACCCCGTGCCTCCCACCTGCCCGGCTAGGGATGCTCGAAGCCGGCGCGTCCACCGCTCAACCGAGACCCCGGCAAGGAGCGGGCTCTCGTCACTTCCGGCGCCCGCCTACACGCACTTCCGTTCGTCCGCAGGCGGGCCCTAGGCGGCCGCCATGTTGAATGTGGCTCCGCCCGGGGAGCTGCTGGAGTACGAGGGAGCCAAGAAGGGCTCCAAGGACCTCTGCCTCTTCTCTGAGCTCGTTCTTAGGCCCCTCTGCCGTCTGCACGCTCCTTTCCAGCCACCCGGCCTCCCGATGCCGGCCTAGCACGTTCCTCGCGCCAGGCTTTTGCATCTGCCCTTCCCACTGTCTTTCGTGTGCAAACGCCACAGGTCCTGCGCACCGCACCCCTCATGGAATAGCGTCGCCTCCTCTCTACCTTCACACACGCCCCGAAACTTGCCTCTCATCCTGTGTCTCTATAGATTTTTGCACCATCTGACCGACGGTATCTTTTTTTTTTTATCCTCCTCTAATAAACTGTAAGCAGGGACAGGATTTCCCAATACCTGAAACTATCCCTGGAATGTGATAGACACTGACTGAATACATATTTGCTAAGTAAACATGAATGTATGCACCCTCATACTTAAGCGTTTGCGTTTTAAAATAATTAGACCCGGCCGGGCTTGGTGGCTCATGCCAGTAACCCCAGCACTTTGGGAGGCCGAGGCGGGCGGATCGCCTGAGGTCAGGAGTTTGAGACTAGCCCGGCCAACATGGTAAAACCCCGTCTCTACTAAAAATACAAAAATTGCTGGGCGTGGTGGCGCACGCCTGTAGTCCCAGCTATTCGGGAGGCTGAGGCAGGAGAAGTGCTTGAACCCGGGAGACGGAGGTTGCAGTAGCTGAGATCTGGCCACTGCACTCCAGATGGAGCAACAGAGTGAGACTCCGTCTCAAAATAAATACATACATACATACATACATACATACATACATACATACATACTTAGAGCCGACAGGATGGCTCACGCCTGTAATTCCAGCATTTCAGGAGGCCCAAGCGGGAGGATCCCTTGAGGCCAGTCGTTCCAGACCAGCCTGGGCAACACAGCAAGAACCCCCAGGCCCTCTACAAAAAATAAACATTTCCTGGAGACTGAGGGGGAGGATCGCTTGAGCCCAGGAGTTCCAGGCTGCAGTGAGCTGAGATTGCGCCACTCCACTCCAGCCTGGATGACAGAGCAAGACTCTTGTCTCCTCAACAAATAAATACATAAAAATATTTTACTAATAAAAATCCCTGGGGAAAGTTCATTCTCTGGAATCAAAAGAACTGGGTTTGAGGCCAAGCACAGTGGCTCACGCCTGTAATCCCAGCACTTTGGGAGGCTGAGGCAGGAGGATCGCTTGAGCCCAGGAGTTTGAGACCAGCCTGGGCAACACAGCAAGACTTCTTTCTACAAAAAAATAAGACGAAGAAAGAAAAAAAAAAAAGGCCAGGCGCAGTGGCTCATGCCTGTAATCCCAGCACTTTGGGAGGCCGAGGCAGGTGAATCACCTGAGGTCAGGAGTTCGAGACTAGCCTGACCCCGTCTCTACTAAAAAAATAAATACAAAAATTAGCCAGGCGTGGTGGTGTGCACCTGTAATCCCAGCTACTTGGGAGGCTCAGGCAGCAGAATTGCTTGAACCCAGGAGATGGAGGTTGCAGTGAGCCAAGATGGTACCTCCAACCTGGGCAACAGAGCGAGACTCCATTTCAAAAAAATAAAATCTTAAAATCATGAAAAAAAAAAAGAAGAAGAAAGAAAGAAAAAAGAACTGGGTTTGAATACTGGAACTAATTCTGGGTGACCCTAAGCAAGTGTATTCATTTTCTAGGGCTGGCCTAACAAAGTTTCACAAACGGGGTAGCGTAAACAGCAGAAATGTCTTCTCTCACAGTTCCAGAGGCCAGAAATCGTAAATAAAGATGATAGTGGATCATGCTCCCTTCAAAGGCTCTAGAGGATCCTCCCTTGCTTTTTCCTTTTAATTTTATATATATATACACATATATAAATATACATATATACATATTTTTTTGTTGAGATGGAGTCTCGCTCTGTCGCCCAGGCTGGAGTACAGTGGCGTGATCTCAGCTCACTGCAAGCTCCACCTCCCGGATTCACGCCATTCTCCTGCCTCAGCCTCCCGAGTAGCTGGGACTACAGGCGCCTGCCACCACGCCCAGCTAATTTTTTGTATTTTTAGTAGAGACGGGGTTTCACTGTGTTAGCCAGGATGGTCTCGATCTCCTGACCTCGTGATCTGCCCACCTCGGCCTCCTAAAGTGCTGGGACTACAGGCGTGAGCCACCACGCCCGGCCAATTTCATATATTTTTTAATAGAGACAGGGTCTTGTTGTGTTACCCAGTCTGGTCTTGAACTCCTGGGTTCAAGTGATCCTCCTGCCTCAGCCTCCCAAAGTGCTGGGATTACAGGTGTGAACCACCATGCCAACATTTTTCGTAGCTTGGGTGGTTCCCTGAAATCCTTGGAGTCCCTCGGCCTGCAGCTCATTACTACAATTTCTTCCTCGGTCTTCAGGTGGCCGTCTCTCCACTGTCTCTCTATGTGTCCTCTCCTCGTCTTCTGACACCAGTCATGTTGGATTTAAGGGCTCGTCTTTTTTTTTTTTTTTTTTTTTTGAGACGGAGTCTGGCTCTGTCGCCCAGGCTGGAGTGCAATGGCACGATCTTGGCTCACTGCAACCTCCGCCTCCCGGGTTCAAGCGATTCTCCTGCCTCAGCCTCCCGAGTAGCTGGGATTACAGGCACGTGCCACCACACCCAGCTCATTTTTGTATTTTTAGTAGATACGGGGTCTCACCACTTTGGCCAGGATGGTTTCGGTCTCTTGACCTTGTGATCCGCCCGCCTCGGCCTCCCAAAGTGCTAGGATTACAGGCGTGAGCCACCGCACCCGGCCAGGGCTCATCTTAATCCAGCATGATTTCACCTTAACTAATTGCAATCCAACATGATTTCACCTTAACTAATTACATCTGCAAAGACCCCATTACAAATAAGGCCATATTCTAGGCCGGGGGCCGTGGCTCATGCCTGTAATCCCAGCACTTTGGGACGCCGAGGCAGGCAGATCACGAGGTCAGGAGATGGAGACCATCCTGGCTAACACGGTGAAACCCATCTCTACTAAAAATACAAAAAATTAGCTGGGCATGGTGGCGGGCGCCTGTAGTCCCAGCTACTCACGAGGCTGAGGCAGGAGAATGGCATGAACCTGCGAGGCGGAGCTTGCAATCAGCGGAGATCGCGCCACTGCACTCCAGCCTGGGCGACGAGCAAGACTCCGTCTCAAAAAATAAATAAATAAATAAATAAATAAATAAATAAGGCCATATTCTGAGGTTCCAGGTGGACATGAATATCTGGGGGACACTGTTTACCCTAGCACATTGAGTTTCATCTCATAACCCCCAGGCCTCTTTCCCCCTCCAACTTCATAGGCTTGATCCACTTATTAGTATGAAGAGGTCTCTGGTGAGCTCCAATTGTGGATCACGGGGGTGGCTGGGGAACAGAGGGACAGTCCTTGCCCCCAAAGAGCTCATGGTTTCGTCCACAGTAAAGTACAACTTTAGGTATCACAAAAATGAGTGTTGGGGCGGGTGCAGTGGCTCACACCTGTAATCCCAGAACTTTGGGAGGCCGAGGAGGACAGATCACCTGAGGTCAGGAGTTCAAGACCAGTCTGGCCAACATTCAAAACCTCGTCACTACTAAACATACAAAAATTAGCCAGGCATGGTGGCGGGCGCCTGTAATCCCAGCTACTCGGGAGGCTGAGACAGGAGAATCTCTTGAACCTGGGAGGCAGAGGTTGCAGTGAGCCAAGATCACGCCACCGCACTCCAGCCTGGGGGATAAGAGCGAAACTCTGCCTCAAAAAAAAAAAAATAGTGTTAATGATAGTTCCCATTGTTTGCTATTGGGGCCTAATTCTGGCCCAGGCAAGCATCTGGGAGAGTTTCACAGAACCCTGAAGTTTCTCTCCTCCAGGCCTCCTGCCACCTGCCTGTCCTCCTCCTTTCTCCTCTGCTCAGCCACTCTGGTCCATGATGTGTGAAACACTCAAGGTCTCATCTACGCACTGCAAGGGTCCCTTCTCTGGGGAAAATACTTTCCCCCTGGTCTTGCTGGTTCTGGCCATAACTCAAATGTTGCATCTTCCTAGCACGTCTTCCCTGGAATTCTCTTTCCCAGCCTCTCTGACCCATTCCTCCTTTTTTCCCTATAATCTGTTACAAGATGTGCTTTTCTTTTTTTTTTGTTTTGTCTTTTCTTTTTTGAGATGGAGTTTCGCTCTCGTTGCCCAGGCTGGAGTGCAACGGCACGATCTTGGCTCACCACAACCTCTGCCTCTCAGGTTCAAGCAATTCTCCTGCCTCAGCCTCCCGAGTAGCTGGGATTACAGGCATGCCTGGCTAATTTTGTTTTTTTTTTTTTTTTTTTGAGACAGAGTCTCGCTCTGTCGCCCAGGCTGGAGTGCAGTGGCAGGATCTCGGCTCACTGCAAGCTCCGCCTTCCGGGTTCACGCCATTCTCCTGCCTCAGCCTCCCGAGTAGCCGGGACTACAGGTGCCCGCCACTGCGCCCAGCTAATTTTTTGTATTTTTAGTAGAGACGGGGTTTCACTGTGGTCTCGATCTCCTGACCTCGTGATCCGCCCGCCTCTGCCTCCCAAAGTGCTGGCATTACAGGCGTGAGCCACCGCGCCCGGCGAATTTTGTATTTTTAGTAGAGACGGGGTTTCTCCATGTTGAGGCTGGTCTCGAGTTCCTGACCTCAGGTGATCTGCCCACCTCGGCCTCCCAAAGTGCTGGGATTACAGGCATGAGCCACCGCTCCTGGCCACAAGATACGTTTTTCATTGCAGCAGTCCTTCCCTTCCCCTTTCCCTCCCCTTCCCCTTCTCCTCCCCCCACTCCCTTTTTTTCCTTTCCTAGATAGGATCTTGCTCTGTTATCCAGGCTGGAGCGCAATGGCACAATCACAGCTCTCTGCAGCCTCAACTCCTGGACTGAAGCAGTCCTCCCACCTCAGCCTCCCAAGGGAGAGCTGGGACCACAGGCATGCACCACAATGTCCAGCTAATTTTGTTTATTTTTTGTACTGACAGGGTCTCACTTTGTTGCCCAGGCTGATCTCAAACTCCTGGGCTGAAGCGATCCTCCCACCTCCCAAAGTGCTGGGATTACAGGCATGAGCCACTCTGCCCAGCCTGACCTGTTTATTTTCTGTCCTCCACTAGAACAGTGCTTGGCAGTAGCAGGCCCTTGATCAATGTTTGCCAAATAAATGGTGAATTGAATGAGATGATGCATCTCGTGTCCAGTGCAGAGGAGTGATTCAATCAACAGAAACTATAACCACTAATACTGTTATGAATTCTAGTAAGGAAGGACTCCCACATTGCATGGGTGTCCCCAAGTTTCAGGAACATTCAACATGAAAACCAATGAGGCTGGGTGCAGTGGCTCACACCTGTAATCTCAGCACTTTAGTCTCTACTAAAAATACAAAAATTCGCCCGGTGTAATGGCGAGCACCTGTAATCCCAGCTACTGGAGAGGGTGAGACGTAAGAAACACTTGAACCCAGGAGGCGGAGGTTGCAGTGAGCCGAGATTGCGCCACTGCACTCCAGCCTGGGTGACAGAGAGAGACTCCATCTTGAAAAAAAAGAAAGATGGAAACCAGTGAGTGTTGGGTGCAAAGACCCCAGGGGCAGAGTCGGTGCCAGCACCTGGCTGCTCTTATTCTCACACAGGCCTTTCTGGGATTGGAGAGGCCGGATCTGGGTGACAGTTCCTCACAGTGTCCCCACAGCTCATGGTGTGAGAGCCCCCTGGAGCGCCTGGCTGACTGTGGTGGGCAGTGGGACCCTGAGGCCAGGACAGAGCACTAGGCCCTGTGAGTTCACTGAGACCCTGGCACAGGACCCAGAAATGAGGCAGGCTATGGTAGTGGTCTGTGACCGCCCCACTCTCCACTCCTTTTCAATTCATCCACAGTGGGGTCCGAAGCCAGGCGCAGTGGCTGTAATCCCAGCACTTTGGGAGGCAGAGGTGGGAAGATTCCTTGAGTGCAGGAGTTCGAGACCAGCCTGGGCCAACTGGCGAAACCCCATTACGACAAAAATTAGCCAGGATGGTTGCAATGCTACCATCTATCTTTCTTTTCTTTCTTTTTTTTTTTTTTGAGATGGAGTTTCATTCTTGTTTCCCAAGCTGGAGTGCAATGGCATGATCTTAGCTCACTGCAACTTTTGCCCCCTGGTTTCAAGTGATTCTCCTGCCTCAGCCTCCCAAGTAGCTGGGATTACAGGCACCTGCCACCATACCCAGCTCATTTTTTTGTATTTTTAGTAGAGACGGGGTTTCGCCACATTGGCCAGGCTGGTCCCCAACTCCTGACCTCAGGTGATCCAACCGCCTTGGCCTCCCAAAGTGCTGGGATTACAGGTGTGAGCCACTGCGCCTGGTCGCCATCATCTATCTTTCTTTCCTTTTCTTTTTCTTTCTCTCTTTCTTAAATAGAGAAAGAGTCCCACTGTGTTGCCCAGGCTAGTCTCTAAACTCAAGAATGAATTCTAGGCTGGGCGCTGTGGCTCACGCCTGTAATCCCAGCACTCTGGGAGGCCGAGGCAGGTGGATCATGAGGTCAGGAGTTCGAGACCAGCCTGGTCAACATGGTGAAACCCTGTCTGTACTAAAAATACAAAAATTAGCCTGGTGTGGTGGCACACCCCTATAATCCCAGCTACTCGGCAAGCTGAGGCAGGAGAATTGCTTGAACTCAGGGGGCGGAGGTTGCAGTGAGCCGAGATGGTGACATTGCACTCCGGCCTGGGTGACAGGGCGAGACTCTGTCTCAAAAAAAAAAAAAAAAAGTATGAATTCTAGTGTAAACCGTGGACTCTGGGTGATACCGTGTCAACGCAGTTTCATCAACTGTAACATGTAACCCTCTGGTGGGCGTGTGGATAGAGGGGGAGTCTGTGGGTGTCTGGGGACAGCGGGTACCTGGGAACTCTGCACTCACCATTCAGTTTTGTTGGGAACCTAAAACTGCTCTAAAAAATAAAGTCTATTAATTTTTTTGGAACTGCGTTTTTGTTTTTTTTTTGAGACGGAGTTTTGCTCATGTCGCCCAGGCTGGAGTGCAATGGTGCAATCTCAGCTCACTGCAACCTCTGCCTCCCAGGTTCAAGCAATTCTCCAGCATTGCCTCCTGAGTAGCTGGGATTACAGGCATGTGCTACCACACCCAGCTAATTTTTTTTTTTCCCCAAGACGGAGTCTAACTCTGTCACCCAGGCCGGAGTGCAATGGCGTGATTTTAGCTCACTGAAACCTTCACCTCCCGGGTTCAAGTGATTCTCCTGCCTCAGCCTCCTGACTAGCTGGGATTGTAGGCACGTGTCACCATGCCCAGCTAATTTTTGTATTTGTAGTAGGGACAGGGTTTCGCCATTTGGCCAAGCTGCTCTTGAACTCCTGACCTCAAGTGATCCACCCGTCTCAGCCTCCCAAAGTGCTGGGATTACAGGTGTGAGCCACTGGGCCAGGCTTGAACTGCATATCTGGCCTTCTCACTCCTGGGGATCCTCCCACTCATACCTAATGGCCTCAGGGCCGTTGCATGAGCTACTCACCTTGGTGAGTGGCCCTCACCCCAACTATGGCTAATTTCTCTTCATCTTCCTCACATCCCTTCTGCAGAACCCCTACCCTTCCCTAGACCATGTCACGATTCCGTCGCATCCTCTGCCATTGTCCCTCGGAATATTCCTAGATGGCATTTATCACTGTGGATAGTTACCACTACTCAGCGTTTTGGCTAAGATCAAGTGTTCCATCATCGTGGGTAATTAAATATGCATTTTTAATTAATTAAATATTTAAGTAATTAGTCATATTTGATTAATTAAATATCTGCATTTAATTACAGGTGGCTCATACGTGTAATCCCAGTACTTTGGAAGGTGGAGGCAAGAGGACTGCTTGAGGCCAGGAGTTTCAGATCAGCCCAAGCAATATAGCAAGACCTCCATCTCTACAAAAGATTTTTAAAAATTAGCCAGGTGAGGCCGGGTGCGGCGGCTCACGCCTGTAATCCCAGCACTTTGGGAGGCTGAGGTGGGCGGATCATTTGAGGTCAGGAGTTCGAGACCAGCCTGGCCAACATGGTGAAACTCCATCTCTAGGCTGGGCCTGGTGGCTCACGCCTGTAATCCCAACACTTTGGGAGGCCGAGGCGGGCGGATCACGAGGACAGGAGATCGAGACCATCCTGGCTAACACGGTGAAACCCCGTCTCTACTAAAAATACAAAAAATTAGCCGAGCGTGGTGGCAGGTGCCTGTACTCCCAGCTACTTGGGAGGCTGAGGCAGGAGAATGGTGTGAACCCGGGAGGCGGAGGCTGCAGTGAGCCGAGATTGCCCCACTGCACTCCAGCCTGGGCGACAGAGCAAGACTCTGTCTCAAAAAAAAAAAAAAAAGGAAAGTCTTGGCCAGGCGCAGTGGCTCATGCTGGTAATCCCAGCCCTCTAGGAGACCAACAGATAGAAGGATCACTTGAGGCCAGGAGTTCGAGGCTGCAGTGAGCGACGATTACACCACTGCACTAAGCCTGGGCAACAGAACAAGATCACATCTCTAAAAATAAAAATAAAATAGCCAGGCGTAGTGGCTCACACCTGTAATCCCAGAACTTCAGGAGGCCGAGGGAGGTGGATCACCTGAGGTTAGTAGTTCGAGACCAGCCTGGCCAGCATAGTGAAACCCCATCTCTACTAAAAATACAAAAGAAATTAGCCTGGTGTGATGGCGTGTGCCTGAAATCCCAGCTACTCAAGAGGCTGAGACAGGAGAATCGCTTGAACCCAAGAGGCAGAGGTTGCAGTGAGCCGAGAACACGCCATTGCACTCTAGCCTGGGTGACAAGAGTGAAACTCCATCTAAAAAAATAAATAAATAAAATAAAAGGGCCTCATGCCTGTAATCCCAGCACTTCGGGAGGCCAAGGTGGGCGGATCACCTGAGGTCAGGAGTTTGAGACCAGCCTGTACAATATAACGAAACCCTGTGTCTACTAAAAACACAAAAATTAGCCAGGCATGGTGGCACGCGCCTGTAGTCCCAGCTACAAGGGAGGATGAGACAAGAGAATTGCTTAAACCCAAGAGGTAGAGGTTGCAGTGAGCCGAGATCGCACCACTGCACTCCAGCCTGGGTGACAGAGTGAGACTCTGTCTCAAAAAAATAACAAGAATAAAATAAAATGAAAGTACTGATGGAGTGCACCCGCTACAGTCACCTTCCAGTTGTTACTGATATGCCCAATTCTCAAATGGGGATATGGGCAGTGATGTGACTTCCCAAAGCCACATAGACAACGTGTCTGACAATCAACCAATGCTCCATTCTGTCTTGGAGGTTGTATCTCCTCTTTGGGCCTGTGTCCCCAGTCAATCCATGCCTCTGAGACACACCACCTCCCCAGGGGACTCCTCTGGCCTCCGGAGCCAGCTCAAGCATTCTTCCTCCAGGAAGCCCTCTGGGGAAGCCTACTCAAGAGTGACGGCCCAATTAGCCAGGCATGGTGGTCCACACCTGTAGTCCCAGCTACGTGGGAGGTCGAGGCGGGAGGATTGTGTGAGTCCAGGAGTTGGAGGTTACAGTAAACTATGATCACAGTGCTGCACTCCAGCCTGGGTGACAGAGTGAGACTCTGATTGTAAAAAATGAAATAGGCTGGACGTGATGGCTCACGCCTGCAAACCCAGCACTTTGGGGAGCCAAGACGAGTGGATGGCTTGAGGCCAGGAGTTCAAGACCAGCCTGGGCAATATAGCAAGACCCCATCTCTACAAAAAATAAAACAACAGAAAAAGAGTGACAGCTCCTCTCTCCCTACCCCCATGTCTGCCCATGTTCAGTGATCCTTTGCTTTTTTTTTTTTTGAAATGGAGTCTCACTGTGTTGCCCAGGCTAGAGTGCAGTGGTGCGATCTCAGCTCACTGCAACCTCCACCTCCCAAGTTCAAGCGATTCTCCCGCCTCAGCCTCCTGAGTAGCTGGGATTACAGGTGTGCACCACTATGCCCAGATAATTTTTTGTATTTTCAGTAGAGATGGGGTTTCACCACGATGGCCAGGCTGGTCTCGAACTCCTGACCTCATGTGATCCGACTGCCTCGGTCTCCCAAAGTGCTGGGATGAACTCTTGACCTCACGTGATCCGACTGCCTCAGTCTCCCAAAGTGCTAGGATGACGGGCATGAGACACTGCACCTGGCTCCTTTGTTTTTTGGGGGGAGGGGACAGAGTCTCACTCTGTCTCCCAGGCTGGAGTGCAGTGACACAATCTTGGCTCAATGCAACCTCTGCCTCCTAGATTCAAGTGATTCTTCTGCCTCAGCCTCCCGAGTAGCTAGGATTACAGGTGCACGCCACCCTGCCCGGCTAACTTTTGTGTTTTTAGTAGAGATGAGGTCTCACCATGTTGGTCAGGCTGGTCTCCCTTTGCTTTTTAAAATCTGTGTTTCTGGCCCTCTTCCTCTTTCTCTTGGAGTAGGTGGTGGCAGCAGACGCTTGTGCAGCTATACGCAAGATTAAGGCTGGGACTTCCTTGGCAAGAAGCAGGAGCTGCTGAAGTTGCTGGTCAACCTATGGGTGAAGCTGTCCCAGCTGTGCATCACCAATGTCAGCAGTCCCGTCTTTTTGACACCAGGGACCAGTTTCGTGGAAGATAATTTTCCCATGAATGGGGGCAGGGGGATGGTTTTGGGATGATTCAAGCACATTACGCTTATTGCGTACACCATCTCTATTATTACATTCTAATATATGATAAAATAATTCTACAACTCATCATGATATAGGATCAATGAGAGCCCTGAGCTTCTTTCCCTGCAACTAGATAGTCGCATCTGGGGCTGATGGGAGACAGTGACAGATCATCAGGCATTAGATGCTCATAAGGAGTGCACAACCGCCGGGCGTGGTGGCTCACGCCTGTAATCCCAGCATTTTGGGAGGCCAAGGCGGGTGGATCACCTGAGGTCAGGAGTTTAAGACCAGCCTGGCCAACATGGCAAAACCCTGTATCTGTGAAAAATACAAAAACTAACCAGGCGTGGTGACACATGCCTGTAATCCCAGCAACTCAGGAGACTGAGACAGGAGAATCGCTTGAACCCAGGAGGCAAAAGTTGCAGTGAGCCAAGATCACACCACACCACTGCACTCCAGCCTGGGTGACAGAACAAGACTCCATCTCAAAAAAAAGAAAAAAATTGAGACAGGATCTCACTATGCTGCCTAGGCTGCATTTGGGCTCAAATGACCCACCTGCCTCAGCCTCCCAAAGTGCTGCGATTACAGGCGCGAGCCACCACGCCTGCCTGGCCTATTTTAATTTTTAAGAGTCACGGTCTTGTTCTGTCACCCAGGCTGGAGTGCAGTGGTGCAATCATAGCTCACTGCAGCCTTGAGCTCCTGGGCTCAAGTGATCCTCCCACCTCAGCTTCCCAAAATGCTGGGATTACAAGCATGCGTCACCACAGCAGGCCCAATTAGATAAGGTTTGAAGTATGTCTACACCTGCAAGACCACCACCACAATCGACATAATGAACATCACCCGATGCTCGTGTTCATCAAAGTCTCTGCTCTCTCTTCCTATGATCACAGCATGTCACTGTACACTCATTTGTTTGCCTTCGTGCTTGTGATGTCTTCCCCATTAAACTGGGTGCCTGGTGAGGACACGGAACACATCTGGTTGGTTCTCCTCTATACCCGCACTATCTGGCACAAATAGTGATTGGATGGATGGATGGATGGATGAATGAATGGATGAATGAGCAAATGAATGAATGAATGAGCAAATGAATTAAGTCCTCAATGAATGAATGAATGAATGAATGAATGGGCAAATGAATTAAATCCTCACTTCCAGACTGACAGCTCCTCCAGGGCAGGGTCCTTGTCCAGGTCATCTCAGTAGCCTCCCCCACCGTAGAGTGGTCACTCAATGAATGGGGGTTGAATGATTAAGTGGCCCAAGGTGGCCCAGGGCTCACCACTGCAGAAATCAGACCAAAAGAGCTAGAACCACCCCAGAGAGCCCTTCAGGGGACCTCCAAGATAACACAGGAGGAAGGGTACCACCTTCCTCTCTGCCAGTAGGCCACTGTGCACAGTTGAGAGTCCAGGCCTCCTGGGGGGACCGGATCATTTCCAGAACAACTGCTATGCACCAGGTGGTGTTTGGGGTAAACGGCATCCCTGCAAGGGATCCTCACCCCCTTTTCTTCCTTCATTCTCTGCTGGTGTCAATCACAGCTTCTAGCAGAGGGAAGGCAGGCCAGGCTTGGTTTCTTCTTGCGAGAGTATTTAACTCAGGGCCCTGTAGAACAATGAGAATCTGACCTGCAACTAGCTGGGCGTGCTGGGGCATGCCTGTGTAGTTTCAGCTACTTGGGAGGCTGAGGCAGGAGAATTGCTTGAGCCCAAAGTTGAGGCTGCAGTGAGCCATGGTTGTGCCATTACACTCCAGCCTGGGCAACACAAGACCCCGTCTCAGAAATAAAAAGAGAACCTGGCCTGCAGTGCCAGGCAGGCCCTGAGGTCCAGGAGCCTGGGTATCTCCCTCTGCAGCATGGGTCACGAACAAACTGGGCCCTCAGAGGCCACGGGATGGCGCCCAGTCTCCAGTCACAAGGCAGAATCCAGACCTCAGCCCATAGCTAACCAGAGCTGTCTGCAGGCCAGATATGGCCCCATGGACCCCCTACCCCAACTTGACTTTGATTCCAGGTCCCCCTCTGTCTGGATGAACAGGTAGGAATTGCGGCCTCTCCTAAGCCTATGGGAGCCTGGGCCAGGCTGACCCTCAAGGCTGACAGCCACGATCCCATAGGTGAAGGCAAAGGCGTGGCAGCTAGGAACACCCACTACACCCCCACTCAAGGGAACACCGTGCCCAGCTACCCTGAGACAGCCCCACTCCCAGGAAATGCAGGTGCCAACCAGCCCCAGTGAGGCATGGCACCTGAGCCAGACACCCCCAAATAGTCCCTTCCCACCTCCTCAAGCATCTGCACTCTGGGTGAACCCAGAAAAACTGGGGTACCTGGGGAGACATAGAAGGGCCAGGCCAGGAACTCCCCAATAAGCAGGAACAGAGACCTGACCCCTGAGCCTCCCCCACCCTCTAAGGCTGCTCAATGTCAAGGCAGGAGGGATCTCCACACACCTGCACTCTGGGTAAGGACAAGTTGGCCCCCACTGCCCCACCCTTTTGCAGGGTTCACCCTCCTGCAGGGTTCACCCTCTGCTGCCCCCAACCCAGCCACACCACAAAGTCACACTTGGCCTCATTTTTAAGGTGTGCACTTTTATTCAACTGGTCTCAAGTCAGTGTACAGGTAAGCCCTGGCTGCCTCCACCCACTCCCAGGGAGACCAAAAGCCTTCATACATCTCAAGTTGGGGGACAAAAAAGGGGGAAGGGGGGGCACGAAGGCTCATCATTCAAAATAAAACAAAATAAAAAAGTATTAAGGCGAAGATTAAAAAAATTTTGCATTACATAATTTACACGAAAGCAATGCTATCACCTCCCCTGTGTGGACTTGGGAGAGGACTGGGCCATTCTCCTTAGAGAGAAGTGGGGTGGCTTTTAGGATGGCAAGGGACTTCCTGTAACAACGCATCTCATATTTGGAATGACTATTAAAAAAACAACAATGTGCAATCAAAGTCCTCGGCCACATTGTGAACTTTGGGGGATGCTCGCTCCAACCGACTGCTGTCACCTTCACCGTTCCAGTTTTTAAATCCTGAGTCAAGCCAAAAAAAAAAAAAAAACCAAAACAAAACAAAAAAAACAAATAAAGCCATGCCAATCTCATCTTGTTTTCTGCGCAAGTTAGGTTTTGTCAAGAAAGGGTGTAACGCAACTAAGTCATAGTCCGCCTAGAAGCATTTGCGGTGGACGATGGAGGGGCCGGACTCGTCATACTCCTGCTTGCTGATCCACATCTGCTGGAAGGTGGACAGCGAGGCCAGGATGGAGCCGCCGATCCACACGGAGTACTTGCGCTCAGGAGGAGCAATGATCTGAGGAGGGAAGGGGACAGGCAGTGAGGACCCTGGATGTGACAGCTCCCCACACACCACAGGACCCCACAGCCGACCTGCCCAGGTCAGCTCAGGCAGGAAAGACACCCACCTTGATCTTCATTGTGCTGGGTGCCAGGGCAGTGATCTCCTTCTGCATCCTGTCGGCAATGCCAGGGTACATGGTGGTGCCGCCAGACAGCACTGTGTTGGCGTACAGGTCTTTGCGGATGTCCACGTCACACTTCATGATGGAGTTGAAGGTAGTTTCGTGGATGCCACAGGACTCCATGCCTGAGAGGGAAATGAGGGCAGGACTTAGCTTCCACAGCACAGCCCCGAGGGGTAACCCTCATGTCAGGCAGAGCCGGGAGACAGTCTCCACTCACCCAGGAAGGAAGGCTGGAAGAGTGCCTCAGGGCAGCGGAACCGCTCATTGCCAATGGTGATGACCTGGCCGTCAGGCAGCTCGTAGCTCTTCTCCAGGGAGGAGCTGGAAGCAGCCGTGGCCATCTCTTGCTCGAAGTCCAGGGCGACGTAGCACAGCTTCTCCTTAATGTCACGCACGATTTCCCGCTCGGCCGTGGTGGTGAAGCTGTAGCCGCGCTCGGTGAGGATCTTCATGAGGTAGTCAGTCAGGTCCCGGCCAGCCAGGTCCAGACGCAGGATGGCATGGGGGAGGGCATACCCCTCGTAGATGGGCACAGTGTGGGTGACCCCGTCACCGGAGTCCATCACGATGCCAGTGGTACGGCCAGAGGCGTACAGGGATAGCACAGCCTGGATAGCAACGTACATGGCTGGGGTGTTGAAGGTCTCAAACATGATCTGTAAGGCAGAGATACACCATGTCACACTGGGGAAGCCACTGGGGACAGCCAGGCCAGACGGGGGACATGCAGAAAGTGCAAAGAACACGGCTAAGTGTGCTGGGGTCTTGGGATGGGGAGTCTGTTCAGACCTACTGTGCACCTACTTAATACACACTCCAAGGCCGCTTTACACCAGCCTCATGGCCTTGTCACACGAGCCAGTGTTAGTACCTACACCCACAACACTGTCTTAGACACCTAGTCAGAGAGACAAACACCAGAAAAAGAGCTCATCTGGGAAAAAGCAAATAGAACCTGCAGAGTTCCAAAGGAGACTCAGGTCAGAGAAGAGAGTCCTACGGAAAACGGCAGAAGAGAGAACCAGTGAGAAAGGGCGCAGCTCCGGGAGGCCAGGAAGGAGGGAGGCGGCCACCAGAAGAGGTAGCGGGCCACTCACCTGGGTCATCTTCTCGCGGTTGGCCTTGGGGTTCAGGGGGGCCTCGGTCAGCAGCACGGGGTGCTCCTCGGGAGCCACACGCAGCTCATTGTAGAAGGTGTGGTGCCAGATTTTCTCCATGTCGTCCCAGTTGGTGACGATGCCGTGCTCGATGGGGTACTTCAGGGTGAGGATGCCTCTCTTGCTCTGGGCCTCGTCGCCCACATAGGAATCCTTCTGACCCATGCCCACCATCACGCCCTGGGAAGGAAAGGACAAGAAGCCCTGAGCACGGGCGCAGCCCCCACCCCGGAAACCGGGAGGCTCCTGTGCAGAGAAAGCGCCCTTGCCTCCCGCCCGCTCCCGGGGCTGCCCCACCCAGCCAGCTCCCCTACCTGGTGCCTGGGGCGCCCCACGATGGAGGGGAAGACGGCCCGGGGGGCATCGTCGCCCGCGAAGCCGGCCTTGCACATGCCGGAGCCGTTGTCGACGACGAGCGCGGCGATATCATCATCCATGGTGAGCTGCGAGAATAGCCGGGCGCGCTGTGAGCCGAGGTCGCCCCCGCCCTGGCCACTTCCGGCGCGCCGAGTCCTTAGGCCGCCAGGGGGCGCCGGCGCGCGCCCAGATTGGGGACAAAGGAAGCCGGGCCGGCCGCGTTATTACCATAAAAGGCAAACACTGGTCGGAGGCGTCCCCGCGGCGCGCGGCAGGAAGCCAGGCCCCAACCCCCTCCCAACCGGGCGCCAGCCCCGCCTCCGCCCGGTTCAAACAGCGCCGGGTCGGCGCGCGCGCACGCAGCGGCCACACCCTCGGGCGGCCAGCGGCTCGGGCAGGAAGTGCGCGCAAGCGCCCGGGAGCCGCGGCGACCCCACCCCTTCCGGCCGAGCCCGCCTTCGCCCCAGCCCAGGCCGCGGCACCCCGGGCCCCAGAACGCACGCGCAGTTAGCGCCTTGAGTCCCAGCGCGCACGCGCAATTAGCGCCAATTCCCAGCGCGCACGCAGTTAGCGCCCAAAGGACCAGCGCGCACGCGCAATGGCGCCCCAGCCCCCACCGGGCCTGGCGGGGGCTCCGCCGCGCCCACCCTGCGATCCCCATTGGCAAGAGCCCGGCTCAGACAAAGACCCCGCCGGTTGCCCCCGCCCCGAGAGCGGCACCCCCGGAGCGCGCCTCCCGAGCGCGGCCTCGCGCCTCCGAACTGGCGTGGGGTGTCCCCCATCTCCGGAGGCCCAGGGGCTTCTCCCGCGCCCCCCACGGCGGTCCGGTTCCCCCCCCATGCGCCCCCCGCTGCGGCCCAGACGGCGGCTCTGCACGGGCGAAGGGGCCGCGGCCGCCTGCGGCCGGGCCGTGAGCCGCCTGCCCCGGTCGGCTGGCCGGGCTTACCTGGCGGCGGGTGTGGACGGGCGGCGGATCGGCAAAGGCGAGGCTCTGTGCTCGCGGGGCGGACGCGGTCTCGGCGGTGGTGGCGCGTCGCGCCGCTGGGTTTTATAGGGCGCCGCCGCGGCCGCTCGAGCCATAAAAGGCAACTTTCGGAACGGCGCACGCTGATTGGCCCCGCGCCGCTCACTCACCGGCTTCGCCGCACAGTGCAGCATTTTTTTACCCCCTCTCCCCTCCTTTTGCGAAAAAAAAAAAGAGCGAGAGCGAGATTGAGGAAGAGGAGGAGGGAGAGTTTTGGCGTTGGCCGCCTTGGGGTGCTGGGCCCGGGGGCTGGGGGCGCGCGCCGTGGCCCCCGCGCCCCACGCTGGGCAGTGCCCGGTTCGGCCCCGCATGGCCAGGCCTGCCCCCGGCCTGCCCGTCTCTCGGGCCCCCCACCCACCGCGGGACATCCTAGGTGTGGACATCTCTTGGGCACTGAGCGCCCAGGTGGGGTGGGCCAGGGTCTGCACGGGTGCCAGGGCCCTGGGTTCTGTACGCTCCTGCAGAAGGAGCTCTTGGAGGGCATGGAGTGGCCAGGCAGTCACTCCCCCTTGCCGACTTCAGAGCAACTGCCCTGAAAGCAGGGCCTGAGGACCTCTGGCTGTGGGGCTCAGCTAGCTAAATGTGCTGGGTGGGTCACTAGGGAGAGACCTGGGCTTGAGAGGTAGAGTGTGGTGTTGGGGGAGTCAGGTGGCTTGCGGCCACTTAGAAGTCGCAGGACCACACTCCCCAGGACAGGGCAGGGGCCAGCGGTCCAGTGGCTGGAGGTGGCCCGTGATGAAGGCTACAAACCTACCCAGCCGCAGCCCTGGGAAGGAAGGTGGGCTCTACAGGGCAGGGCACCTTTTACCCTGGAGCTGCCTGCTTTTGAGGGTAACAGTCACGCCCAGCCAAGACAAGGCCTGGGGCGTTAGTGGGTGACCTAGGCACTGCGGGGCGGGGGGGCTGGGTCTACACAGCCTGGGTCTGGGCCCACCGTCCGTTGTATGTCTGCTATGCGCAGCCACAGCTGAACTGCCCTCCCAGACCATCTGGAGGCCGCTGGGGGACTCTGGGGACCAAGACTCCATGTGCCACAGAGGATTGGGGGCGGGGCGGTGCTAGGAACTCAAAGCCAGCCTGGGAAGACCCTGTCCTTGTCACCCTTTCTTGCCTTGGGTCTGTCCACTGAGTAGCACACAAGACCGGGTGGGCAGGGTCCGTTCTGCTCCGGGAATCACAGACTGTGTGTACCCAGGTGGTGGGCATGCAGCGATCAGTGGCGTGGGACCACAGAGGGGCATTCGGCTCAGCCTAGAGGAACCTGCCTTCCTCCTCCTCCCCCTCCTTGGAGGTGGTGACAAGAAGCTGGATTTTTACACAAAAATAGGAAGAGTGGTGAGGTGGGGGCACCTCAGGCCTGCGGGGCTCTTTGCAGCGCGTAGTAGGTGTTCACTGAGTGTGTGTCGCAATAGGCAAAGATGAGTCCATATAAGGACATGGAACCTGTGGCCAGGAAGGAGGCTGCTTGTTCCAGTTCACGGTACAAGGCTGTGCTCAGCCAATGGGACCTGCTCCTCCCTTGAAGGTTGCAGAGGCCACAGCCTGGTGGGAAAGATGACCACCACCCAGCACACAGTGGCAGACACAGGTTCACAGTCCAGAAGACTTGCTGAGCCTCCTCCATCACCACCCCACGCAAGGGCAAACTTCCCCAGCCTGTATACTCCCTGCCTCCTGGGGATGGGACTGTCCTGTCCCTGGCCTTGTATCTTTCAGCTGCAGGCGTCTTGCCAGCTGCCTCAGGACCTGCCAACGTTCACCCGGCTGGCGTTGTGGGGCGATGGGCGGGGGGCCCTTCTTGCTGCCTGTTGATGAGGGCTGGTTCTGGGGGTTCGTGGAACGTTGAACTGGGTGGAGTGCTGGGGGGGTGGGGTGGGCAGTGGGGATGGGACCGGATCTGCAGAGCAGGGATGAGAGGTTGTCAGGTGGGCGGCTCCAGGCAGCAAGGTGGGGTGCAGAGCAGACCTGATCCCCAGGCAGGACCTGTGTTGCCACTGGGCCTCCATTCAGCTGGCCAAGAGACAGGAGCTCCAGCCCCACCCCGCCCCGGGCTGCAGCATTCCTGGCCTGTCCTCCTGGCTTGTGGTTCCCTCTGTCTGCAGCGGCCACTTCCTAGTGCTCTCCTATGCACCCTTCAAGTCCCATCCCAGAAAGCCCCTCTTTGGGGAAGCGTTTTAGCCTCTGCAGCCACGCCTTCCTCCCTACCTCAGACCAAGGCTTGCAGCTGGCATTTAGAACTGGGCCTCAGCCACCAGGCTGCGAGCCCTCCCAGGGTCTCCGTCACCCCCACTCCTTCCCACTACACCCACCCCAGGGCTCCTCGCTGTTGAATGAGTGACTGCCTGGGTGTCCTCAGGTGGCAGGTTGGAGGTGGCCGAGCAGCCTGGGGTGAGGGGCAGGGAGGAGCTGAAGAGAGAAAGCAAGCAGCGGAGCAGGAAAAGAGGAAGTAGAGGTGCCTGGCCAGGGGGCGGGCCGAGCAGGGGAGAAGTGAACAGGTTCTCTTCTGTGCTTGGGAACTTTGCCCTGTAAGGGAGCTTTCGGAGCTGTCACTGGGGCACGCACGCAGCCCCCGGAGAACCCTCGGTTGAACTCAGCCAAGGGGACTCCACCTGCCTGGCTGGGACTTTTGTTTTTTCCCCTCCAAGCCTTTGCTTTGGTGACACCCCCACCCTGCAAGGCCTCCAGGCAACCAACTCTTACAGCGCAGACCCAGGGACCACTCCTTGGCCCTCCCGCAAAACAACCACCCAGCCACCTTGCCCTGGGCACTGCAGCGCCCTCCCTATCCTGCCAGGAGGGAATCCAACCTCCTTTTTATTATTATTACTATTTTTGATACAAGGTCTTGCTGTGATGCCCAGGCTGGAGTGCGATCACAGCTCACTGCAGCCTCGACCTCCTGGGCTCAAAGCCTTCACGAGTAGCTGGGACTATAGGCACACACTTCCAAGCCTGGCTAATTTTTAAATTATCTGTAGAGGTATGGCTTCTCACCATGTTGCCCAGGCTGGTCTCCAGCTCCGGGGGGCTCAAGCGATCCTCCCACCTCAGCCTCCCAAAGTCCTGGGATTACAGGCATGAGCCACCGTGCCCGTCCTCAAGCTCCATTTTGTAGAGGAAGGAACTGAGACAGAGCTTCCCTCCAAGACTTGAGTTAGCTCTAGGAGGACAGGGACCCTGAACACGGTAGGTGCTCAGTGAGAGGAGAATGAATGAATGAGGGGGGGCAACATTCCAGGAGACACACCCCCATTCACAGACTAGGAAACTGAGTCAGGACTGGTGAAGTGCTCAAGTCCCCAAATGCGGTGGGAAGGACTCTAGCCTCAGGGTCCCTGAGGCGGCAGCCCTGCCTCCTGCCTCACACTGCCCCTCCCTGGTAAAGGGTCCCCTGGAATGTCCCCAAGGCCTGAGTCCAAAGGCTGTTTGAAAGTCGGAATTCCTGGGCCCTACCTCCCTCCTCAGAATTTATCACCTGAGGCCCAGAGAGGACACCATCAGCCCATGGTCACGTGGCAGCAAGTGGGGTCTCTCCCACTGGGGTGTGATGGCTTGTACCTGTAATCCCAGCATTTTGGGAGGCCGAGGAGGGAAGATCGCTCGAGCCCAGGAGTTGGAGACAAGCTTGGGCAACACGGGAGATCCTATCTCTACAAAATCAGCTGGGTGTTGTGGCACGTGCCTGTACTCCCAGCTAATTGGGAGGCTGGGGCAGGAGCATTGCTTCAGCGTGGAAGGTCAAGGTTATAGTGAGCTATGATCAAGTCACTGCATTCCAGCTTGGATGACAGAGGAAGACCCTGTCTCAAAAAAAAAAAAAAAAGAAAAGAAAAATTAAATTTAAAAATTAGGTGCTCCAGGCTGGGCGTGGTGGCTCACGCCTGTAATCCCTGCACTTTGGGAGGTCAAGGCGGGTGGATCACCTGAGGTCAAAAATTCAAGATCAGCCTGGCAAACATGATGAAACCTTGTCTCTACTAAAAATACAAAATATTAGCTGGGCATAGTGGCGCGTGCCTGTAATCCCAGCTACTCAGGAGGCTGAGGCAGGAGAATCGCTTGAACCCGGGAGGCAGAGGTTGCAGTGGGCCGAGATTGCGCCGCTGCACTCCAGCCTGGGTGACGAGCAAAACTCTGTCTCAGAAAAACAACAACAAAAAAGTTGGGTGCTCCAGCTTTTATTCATTTAAAAATAAAATAGCCGGGCACAGCGGCTCACACCGTAATCCCAGCATTTTGGGAGGCCGAGGCAGGAGGATCTCTCGAGTCCAGGAGTTTTGAGGAGCATGGTGAGACCCTGTCTCTACCAAAAAAAAAAAAAAAGACAAAATTAGCCGGGCATGGTGGCATGTGCCTGTAGTCCCAGCTACTGGGGAGGCTAAGGTGGGAGAACTGCCTGAGCCTGAGGGGTCGAGGCTGCAGTGAACCAAGATCATGCCACCGCACTCCAGCCTGGGTGATAGAGACCCTGTCTCCAAAAAAAAAAAAAAAAAGTAAAAGAAAAAGAAAAAGTAGGTGCTCCCGGTTTATTTATTTAATTTATTTTTAGAGATAAGGTCTCTAAAAATTTTAGAGACAGGGTCTAGCTCTGTGGCCCAGGCTGGAGTGCAGTGGCATGATCACAGCTCACTGCAGCCTTGACCTCCTGGGCTCAAGCGATCCTCCTGTCTCAGCCTCCTGAGTAGCTGGGACGGCAGGGATGCCACCACATCTGACTAATATTTTTATATTTTGTGGAGATGGGGTCTCTCTGCAATATAACAGGGTCTGTCTCCCTGTGTTGCCTGGGCTGGTCTCGAACTGCTGAGCTGAAGTGATCCTCTCACCTCAGCCTCCCAAATTGCTGGGATTAGAGGTGTGAGCCACTGCACCTGGCCTCAGTTTTTTGTTGTTGTTGTTGTTCGTTTTTAGTTGTTGTTGTTTTGAGATGGAGTCTTGCTCTGTCGCCCAGGCTGGACTGCAGTGGCACAATCTCAGCTCACTGCAACCTCTGCCTCCCGGGTTCAGGGTTCAAGCGATTCTCCTGCCTCAGCCTCCTGAGTAGCTGGGACTACTGGCTCGCACCACCACGCCCAGCTAGTTTTTTTTTTTTTTGTATTTTTAGTAGAGATGGAGTTTCACCATGTTGGCCAGGCTGGTCTCAAACTCCTAACTTCAGCTGATCTGCCCACCTTAGCCTCCCAAAGTGCTGAGATTACAGGTGTGAGCCACCATGCCTGGATAGTTTATTTATTTATTTATTTATTTTCCTTTTTTTTTTTTTTTTGAGCTGGAGTCTTGCTCTGTCACCCAGGCTGGAGTGCAGTGGCACGATCTCCGCTCACTGCAAGCTCCACCCCCCTGGGTTCGCGCCATTCTCCTGCCTCAGCCTCCCCAGTAGCTGGGACTACAGGCGCCCGCCACCACGCCCGGCTAATTTTTTGTATTTTCAGTAGAGACGGGGTTTCACTGTGTTAGCCAGGATGGTCTCGATCTCCTGACCTTGTGATCCGACCGCCTCGGCCTCCCAAAGTGCTGGGATTACAGGCGTGAGCCACCGTGCGTGGCCTATTTTTTCCTTTTTTGAGACAGAGTCTTGCTCTGTCGCCCAGGCTGGAGTGCAATGGCGCCATCTTGGCTCACTGCAACCTCTGCCTCCCGGGTTCAAGCGATTCTCCTGCCTCAGCCTCCTGAGTAGCTGGGATTACAGGCACCCACCACCCCACCCAGGTAATTTTGTATTTTTAGTAGAGATGGGGTTTCACCATGTTGGCCAGGCTGGTCTCAAACTCCCGACCTCAGGTGATCCGTCTGCCTTGGCCTCCCAAAGTGGTGGGATTACAGGTGTAAGCCACCACACCCGGCCTTTATTTATTTATTTATTTATTTATTTATTTATTTATTTATTTATTTTGAGATGGCGTCTCGCCCTCTGTCACCAGGCTGGAGTGCAATGGTGCCATCTCAGCTCACTGCAACCTCCACCTCCCGAGTTCAAGCGATTCCCCTGCCTCAGCCTACTGAGTAGCTGGGACTACAGGCGCGTGCCACCACGCCCAGCTAATTTTGTTTGTATTTTAGTAGAGACGGGGTTTCACCATGTTGGCCAGGATGGTCTCCGTCTCCATCTCCTGACCTTGTGATCCGCCCGCCTCAGCCTCCCAAAGTGCTGGGATTACAGGCATGAGCCACCGTGCCCAGCCTATTTTATTTTTTAAAATAAAACAGAGTGGGGTCTCTCTGCCTCCTGGCCACCTTCTCAGCCTTAAGGGCCAGCTTCAGGCTGCCTTCTCCAGGAAGCCTGCCATGACTTCCTCCCTCTTCTACTCTAACAGCAGAAGGTTTCCTGCTCAGAAAGGGGCAGTGACCCAGCCAGGATCACCCAGTAAGGGCACAGCCAGGAGCTGAAGGGCCTTTTGCCTGGAGCAGCTCCTGGATCACACTGCTCCTGCATGCAGCACACCGTCACTGACCAGCCGGACATGCTTCCAGAGTTAACTGGCACTGTTTTGAGAAATGAGAAAAGCACCCTGAAGAAAGCAAGCACAATTCCTAAGACAGATCTTAAATGAGAGAGAGAGCAAGAGAACAACAAGTTTAATGGCATCAGGAGGAAAAGCAACAGGTTTCCTTCAGAATGAGGTATTAGGGGGTGCTGGGTGTAGTGGCTCATGCCTGTAATCCCAGCACTTTGGGAGGCTGAGGCAGGCAGATCACGAGGTCAAGAGTTTAAGACCAGCCTGGCCAACATAATGAAACCCCACCTCTACTAAAAGTACAAAAATTAACCGAGTATGGTGGTGCACACCTATAGTCCCAGCTACTCGGGAGGCTGGGGCAGGAGAATCGCTTGAACCTGGGAGGCGGAGGTTTCAGTGAGCCAAGATCGTGCCACCGCACTCCAGCCTGGGCTATAGAGCGAGACTCTGTCTCAAAAAAAAAAAAAAAAAAAAAAAAAAAAAGGAGGGTGTTGGGCCGAGTGTGGTGGCTCACGCCCATAATCCCAACACTTTGGGAAGACAAGGTAGGAGGATCACTTGAGTCCAGGAGTTCAAGACCAGCCTGGGCAACATAGCAAGACCTTGTCTCTATATTTAAAAAAAAAAAAAAAAAAAAGGAAGGTGCTTTTTTTTATTTTTCGAGTCAGGGTCTCACTTTGTCACCAGGCTGGAGTGCAGTGGTGGAATCTCAGCTCACTCCAGGCTCAACCTTTTGGCCTCCATTGATCCTCCTACCTCAGCCTCCTGACTTACTGGTACTACAGGTGTGTACCACCATGCCCAGCTAATGTTTTGTAGAGACAAAGTTTTGCCATTTGCCCAGGCTGGCCTCCAACTCCTGGGTTAAAGCAATCCACCTGCCTCAGCCTCCCAAAGTGCTGGGATTACAGGCATGAGCCACTGCACGCAGCAGAGAGTGCTGCTTAGAAAGCAGTCAGGGGGCCAGGCGTGGTGGCTCACGCCTGTAATCTCAGCACTTTGGGAGGCTGAGGAGGGTGGATCACGAGGTCAGGAGATCCAGACCATCCTGGCTAACACGGTGAAACCCCGTCTCTACTAAAAATATAAAAAATTAGCCAGGCATGGTAGCGGGCACCTGTAGTCCCAGCTACTTGGGAGGCTGAGGCAGGAGAATGGCATGAACTTGGGAGGTGGAGTTTGCGGTGAGACGAGATCGTGCCACTGCACTCCAGCCTGGGCGACAGAGCAAGACTCCATCTAAAAAAAAAAAAGAAAAGCAGTCAGGGAGGGCTCCTCAGAGGAGGTGACCAGCAGAGCCTTGGTCCCCACATACACCTGGCCTCCAGACATAGCCTGGGGTGGTCACTTGGCTGCCTTCAGTAGCTCTGCCCTGGGCCTCTGCAGCTCCTTGGCAGAGGCACCAGGCTAAGGGGAATCCCTGCCCCAGAGGAAGTGGGAACTTCTAACACTTCTTGGGAGAGTTTTAAAAAATCCTTAAAAACTACCCTCTGTCTCCAGCCCGCAGGGTACCCGGAGAAACCCTTCCAGCCTTCCTAGGGAGTTCCTGGACTTGCTTATTTGATTGAATTATTCAGAAAAAGAAAATGCGGTTTCCTGGGCTTCCCCCTTACACACACACACACACACACACACACCACACCACACACACACCCCACACACACACACCCCACACACACCACACACACACACCACACACACCCCACACACACACATCCCACACACACACCACACACACACACACCACACACACACCCCACACCCACACACCACACACACACCACACACACACACTGAACGCTTTTTGCTTTCTCTGGACCCATCTGCTGTAGGGCCAGCTCTCCCCCTTCTCCAGATGAGAAAGAGACCACATGTGCAGAGAGGAACTGGATCCTTTGGGGCCTGCAGGCCTAGGCTGTGGGCGCTTGGAGGGGGAGGCTGCGGGCACCCTCATCCTCCCCGGGACTCACAACCACTCTCCTAGAGGCCAAGGTAGCCCTTGGGACTCAGGACCCTTCTGGTTGTCCCGAGTGGGGCCTCAGAAGCTGGGTGACAAGTTGGGCCAGGAGAGATGGGGGTCAGTAGCAAGTTCAAGTTCAGGTCAAGTGGGGTTCCCGAGGCCCTGGCTCTGACACCCTCTTGGGGTGCTGCACAGGCCAAGGGTGGGTCCTTCCCATGCTAAGGACTGTCCCAGGCAGTGGCTTCCCTGCCCTGGGCCTCTTGCCCTCAGCTGTGAAAAGGGGCAGGGGGTTACCTAGCTCCCAGGTGGCCCCTGAGAGGGGCCAGTGAGGCGGGGTCTGCAGTCCAGGCCCAGGGTCAGTGCGAGGGACTCGCCCCTTCCTGGCTGGCTGGGCTTATCCCTGACGCTCTCCTGCCTGGCCTGGGACCTCAGAAATGCCCCTTGGAGCTGGGCATAGTGGCTCATGCCTATAATCCCAGCACTTTGGAAGGCTGAGGCGGGCAGATCACCTGAGGTCAGGAGTTCAAGACCAGTCTGGGCAACATGGTGAAACCCCATCTCTACCAAAAATACAAAAAATTAGCTGGGTGTGGTGGCGGGCACCTGTATTCCCAGCTACTCGGGAGGCGGAGGCAGGAGAATCAGTTGAACCCAGGAGGTGGAGGTTGCAGCCAGCTGAGATCGAGATCACGCCATTGCACTCCAGCCTGGGCGAGAAGAGCAAAACTCAGTCTTAAAGAAAAAGAAAGAAAGAGACAAAGAGAGAAAGAGAGGCTGGGCACGGTGGCTCACACCTGTAATCCCAGCACTTTGGGAGGCTGAGGCGGGCAGGATCGCCTGAGGTCAGGAGTTCGAGACCAGCCTGGCCAACAGGGTGATACCCCATCTCTACTAAAAATACAAAAATTAGCTGCGTGTGGTGGCGGGCACCTGTAATCCCAGCTACTCGGGAAGCTGAGGCAGGAGAATCCCTTGAACCCGGGAGGTGGAGGTTGCAGTGAGCCGAGATCGCGCCATTGCACTCCAGCCTGGGCGACAAAGAGCGAAATTCCATCTCAAAAAAAAAAAGAGAGAGAGAGAAGGAAGGAAGGAAGGCAGGCAGGCAAGCAGGCCCCTTGGGAGGCCAGGCACCTCTCAGCCTCAGTCTCCCTTGTTCTGAGGTGGGGTGAAGATTCCCACCCGTGGTTCTGATATGGGGGACACGTGATTGGGCTGGGATGGAGCTCACATCCTTCAGCCCCTCGGGGTGCCTGAAGAACTAAGAACGGAGGCCGAAGCACAGTGGCTCACGCCTGTAATCCCAGCAAGCAGGTAGGTGGCTAAATACAAAAATTAGCTGGGCGTGGCGGCACATGCCAGTAATCCCAGCTACTCGGGAGGCTAAGGTGGGAGAATTGCTTGGACCCAGGAGGCAGAGGTTGCAGTGAGCCGACATAGCGCCATTGCACTCCAGCCTGGGCAACAAGAGCAAAACTCCATCTCAAAAAAAAAAAGAAAAGAAAAGAAAAAAAGGGATGATTGCCTGAGCCCAGCAGTTTGAGGCTGCAGTGAGCCATGATCGTACCTCTGCACATCAGCCTGGGAGACAAAGCGAGACCCTTTCTCTAAAAAATAAGTTTTAAAATAAATAAAATAGTCTGGGGCACTGGCTCCTACCTGTAATCCCAGCACTTTGGGAGGCCATGGTGGGTGGATCACTTGTGGTCACGAGTTCAAGACCAGCCTGGACAACATGTTGAAACTCCATCTCTACTAAAAAAATACAAAAATTACCCAGGTATGGTGGCAGGTGCCTGTAATCCCAGCTACTCGGGAGGCTGAGGCAGGAGAATCGCTTGAACCCAGGAGGTGGAGGTTGCAGTGAGCTGAGATCACACCACTGCACTCCAGCCTAGGCAACAGAGCAAGACTCCACCACACACACACACACACACTTTTTTATTTAAAAATTTAAAAAAATGTCCCTTGGAGGTGGGGCAGTGGCGGTATGGGTGAGGCCCCCTTGGAGGGGTGGAGAAGGAGAGAAAAGGGAGGTGTTGGGAGGTGCAGGCGGACGGGGCAGCTGCTGACTGAGGAGGCCACTGGCTCACCTGCCTTGGGGCTCAGCCTGTCCTCCTGGCCACCCCCAGTCCAGAGAGGAGAAGGGAAGACAGAGGCCCCAAGGGCCTACTGTGTGCTGGGCGCGTGTCAGGGTGGTGCCCACGTCACCTCATCAAAAGCACCCCACACCCCTGTCGGCCAAGTGGGACTCTCCCATTTCTCAGATGAGTAAACCGAGGCCAGGGAAAGTGAGAGACTTGGCCCTATAGTTAACACGGTTTGGCTATTACCAGGATGTTCTGGAACATGATTATCCAGGTCCTGGCCCAGGGCCACCATTCATGGCGAGCTTCCAAGGGCCCACCAAGTCCTTCAGCCTCTATGTGGTTGTTGTTCTCAGCCCCATGTTTCAGATGGGTAAACTGAGGTTTGGAGTGGCCAGTGGGAAGAGGCAGAGCCAGGCTCGGTGGCTGCAGTTGGCCTCGCTGCCCTGCCGTGGGGCGCATTCAGGGTTCACTTGGTGCTCCTGAGCTGGCGTGGGCTCCTGCAGTCCCGGGGCCTGCCTGCCCAAGGGGAAATCCGATCACAGCCACCGCGCAGCATCACCAGGCCCTCCTCAGCCAGAAATCTCTGCCACTGCTGGGCTTGCCAGGAACCTGAGCCGGCCCGTGGGGGACAGGCCCAGCTGTCTGGGCTTCCTGAGGTGTCTCCCATACGCTGCCCCGTGCCAGGTGCTGGGGACAGGAGGGGACCTCCCTGGCATGCACTGTCCACTGGGGACAGGGGCACAGAGCTGGCCAGCCCTGATCCCATGAGACTGGTCCTGTGCAAACCCAGGGAAAGCCCCAGACCCAGCCTCAGTGCAGGGAGAGTCCCAGAGGCCTCCTGGTCTTCGATTTTGCCGGCTCAGGCAAGAAGGGGTTTGGGGTTTCTCTTGGGACTTCGGCTTCTGCTGGGGACAAGGCACAGGCAGGGCTCCCTGACCTCCCTGAGGAAGCCCCGCCGCTCCGTTTCCCAGGTCTCTAGGGGGTAATTTTTTTTTTTAGACGGAGTCTCGCTCTGTCACCCAGGCTGGAGTGCAGTGGCGCGATCTAGGCTCACTGTAAGCTCCGCCTCCCGGGTTCACGCCATTCTCCTGCCTCAGCCTTCCGAGTAGCCTATAGGTGCCCGCCACCACGCCCGGCTAACTTTTTTTTGTATTTTTAGTAGAGATGGGGTTTCACCATGTTAACCAGGATGGTCTCGATCTCCTGACCTCGTGATCTGCCCGCCTCGGCCTCCCAAAGTGCTGGGATTACAGGCTTGAGCCACTGCGCCCGGCCTCTAGGCGGTAATTTTTGCTACTTAAGTCACCTTGTCTGGCACGGTGGCTCATGCCTGTAATCCTAGCACTTTGGAAGGCCTAGGCGGGCAGTTCACATAAGGCCAGAAGTTCAAGACCAGCCTGGCCAACATGGCGAAATCCCATCTCTACTAAAAATATAAAAATTAGCAGGGTGTGGTGGCACATGTCTATAATCCCAACTACTCAGGAGGCTGAGGCATGAGAATTGCTTGAAATGGGGAGGTGGAGGTTGCAGTGAGCTGAGATCACACCACTGCACTCCAGCCTGGGCAACAGTAGAGACACCGTCTCAAATAATAATAATAATAATGTCACGTGGGCTCTCCGATAGCCAAGGGCCATCAAGGCCAGAGATGACCAAGGCCCAATGTTGGGACCTCCATACCTTTGTCCCTGGGGCCACCTGGGCTGCACAGACATGTAGCATTGGGGGTGACAGTGGAGAAAGGCACACAGATGTCCCTGAGGCTGTGACCCGGGACATGTAAGGCTGGAGGGCTGGTCCAGGCTCAGGTGGGACTTAGCAGTGAGCCAGCTGTGCACAGGCCAGGGTGCTAAGCGTTGGGCCCTCTTAGCTCAGCAAAGCCGGAATGAAGCCGGGCGCGGTGGCTCACATCTGTAATCCCAGCACTTTGGGAGGCCGAGGCAGGCAGATCACCCGAGATTGGGAGTTCAAGACCAGCCTGACCAACATGGAGAAACCTCGTCTCTACTAAAAATACAAAAAAATTAGCCGGGCTTGGTGGCACATGCCTGTAATCCCAGCTATTCCAGAGGCTGAGGCAGAAGAATTGCTTGAACCTGGGAGGCGGAGGTTTCGGTGAGCCAAGATTGCACCATTGCACTCCAGCCTGGGCAACAAGAGCGAAACTCTGTCTCAAAAAAAAAAAAAAAAAAAGCCACAGTGAAGAGCGCCCCAGATCCGGTGGGGCTCTACAGAAATAGGCATAGCATCCTTCCCACGCTGCGAGACCCCCAGAATAGTCTTTTGAGGAACCTGATCTTTCCTACTCGGAGCCACTTTCAGGCTTTATATTAAGTAGGGTTCAGCCATGCCACTCACACACTGGATGTCCTTGGAAAGTGACTCAGCCTCTTCAAGCCCACAAGCCTCAGCAAGGCCCTGTGTGGGTCAGGTGCAGCGGCTCATGCCTCTAATCCCAGTCCTTTGGGAGGCTGAGTTGGGAGGTTCGCTTGAGGCCAGGAATTTGAGACTAGCCTGGGCAACATAGTGAGACCCCATTTCTACAGAAAAAATTTTAAAAGTTAGCTGTGTGTGATAACATGTGCCTATGGCCCCAGCTACTCAGGAGGCTGAGGCAGGAGGATCGCTTGAGGCCAGGAGTTAGAGACTAGCGTGGTAAACATGGCAAGACCCCTGTCTCTACAAAAACAAAAAAAGACAAAAAAACATGACCCCATGTGTATGACACTGACTGGGGAGGCGGGGCTTCCAGGCCTTTCAGGGACTTGTCACAGACCCTCTAGAAGCTGGACACAAAATGAGGAAACCAGGCCAGGCTTGGTGGCTCTTGCCTGTAACCCCAACACTTTGGGGGGCCAAGGCAGGTGGATCACTTAAGGTCAGGAGTTCAAGACCATCCTGGCCAACATGGTGAAACTCCATCTCTACTGAAAATGCAAAAAGTAGCTGGGCACAGTGGCGCATGCCTGTAATCCCAGCTATTAGGGAGGCTGAGGCAGGAGAATCGCTTGAACCCAGGAGGCGGAGGTTGCAGTGAGCCAAGATCACGCCACTGCACTCCAGCCTGGGCGACAGAGCGAGACTGTCTCAAATTAAAAAAAGGGGAGGGCCGGGCGCGGTGGCTCACGCCTGTAATCCCAGCACTTTGGGAGGCCGAGGCGGGCGGATCACGAGGTCAGAAGATCGAGACCCTCCTGGCTAACACGGTGAAACCCCGTCTCTACTAAAATATAAAAAATTAGCCGGGCATGGTGGCGGGCGCCTATAGTCCCAGCTACTCGGGAGGCTGAGGCAGGAGAATGGCGTGAACCTGGGAGGTGGAGCTTGCAGTGAGCCGAGATTGCGCCACTACACTCCAGGCTGGGCGACAGAGTGAAACTCCGTCTCAAAAAAAAAAAAAAAAAGGTGGGGGAAACCAGGCTCAGAGATGATCGAAGTCTCAGCCAGAATCACACAGCACACGTGGCGAGCCAGAGCCCAGGCCTGGAGGGCCGGGTAGGGGGATGCACCTTGCATGCCGCTGGGATATTGAGGACAATTTGAATCTTCTTTTTTTATTTTTATTTATTTATTTATTGATAACAGAGTCGCTCTGTCGCCCAGGCTGGAGTGCAGTGGCACCATCTCAGCTCACTGCAACCTCTACCTCCCGGGTTCAACTGATTCTCCTGCCTCAGCCTCCCGAGTAGCTGGGACTACAGACGCCTGCCACCATGCCCAGCTAATTTTTGTATTTTTAGTAGAGATGGGGTTTCACCATGTTGGCCAGGCTGCTCTTGAACTCCTGACCTCAGGTGATCTGCCCACCTCGGCCTCCCAAAGGGCTGGGATTACAGGTGTGAGCCACCAAGCCCGGCCGCAATTTGAATCTTCTGCTGGGCCAGGCTGGTCTGTCCAGGGGGGATGCAGGACCCCGAAGCCGGGTGTGGTGGTGCATGCCTGTGGTCCCAGCCACTTGGGAAACTGAGGTGGGAGGATTGCTCAAGCCCAGGAGGTCAAGGCTGCTGTGAGCTATGATTGTGACACTGCACTCCAGCCTGGGCAACAAAGGGAGACCCCTTAACTAACTAAATGAATGAATGAATGAATGAATGAAGGCAACCTGAGCTGCATTCCTTGGCCTGCCAACCTGCCCAGCCCCATCCCTCAGCCCTCCCTGAGTCTGAGGGCCCTGCAGGTCCCACACAGGGCCAGGCTCCATCTTGTTTCTGCAAATTTGCACCTTCCGTTCCATTCCCTGCCACACTGCTCACGGGTCACCATGGATGCTGGATAACTGCCACCGTCTCCTTGGAGAAGCCCTCCGTCATCTCAGCCCCTGATGTCAGGTATTCAACCTGCAAATCCTCCCTGTAGGTGCTGGGCTCTCCAGAGCCCTGGGCTGTGTGCAGGGGACTCAGGGGAGAACGGGCCCCACCCAGCTCCTTCCTCACAGAGCTTTCAGAGGCTGGGGGCCTCCCTGATCCCCTCCCAGATCCCAAGGCCCCTGCTGCCCCCACCCTGCAGACTGGGACTCCGTGAGGCTGGGCTCTGACTTGGATATTGTGGTTCCAGCACACAGCAGGCACCGTGGCTGTAGTAGGCGTGCATGGGAAGTCAGGAGGAGCAGACCTGTCATCTCCCCTGCTGAGGACACAGCCCGGTCAGCGTGTCTTGGCGGCCTGGGGCCAGTGACTGAGCCTCTTGGCCCAGTTCCTTGCCCACCTTGAAGATCTGTAGGGAGGGATAAAGAGATCAGGTCCAAGGCCAGGTGCGGTGGTTCACGCCTGTAATCCCAGCACTTTGGGAGGCCGAGCCAGGCAGATCGCGAGGTCAGGAGTTCGAGACGAGCCTGGCCATCATGGTGAAACCCCGTCTCTACTAAAAATACAAAAATTGGCCAGGCATGGTGGCAGGCGCCTGTAATCCCAGCTGAGGCAGGAGAATCGCTTGAACCCGGGAGGTGGAGGTTGCAGTGAGCCGAGAGCGAGCCACTGCACTCCTGCCTGGGTAACAAAGCAAGACTCCATCTCAAAAAAAAAAAAAAAAAAAAAAATCAAGTCTGGCGCAGCCCCAGGAAGCAATCTTGGGCTGGGCACACCGCATTTCTGTGACATGAAGGCAGCGACACCTCGTCGCTGTCACAGGGTTGCTGGGGTTGGGGGCTAGAGGAGAGGAGGAGCCTCTGTTGAGGGCTCCAAGAAGGGACAGAGAGGTGGTGCTCATGGGTCCTGGAGACACCTTTTGGGTGGTTCGTGCCCTCCATCCTGGGCCACTTTGGGGAGGTGAAGGAGGGAAGCATTAAGGGACAAGACCCCCCGTTCCCAATTTCTCTCCGGAGCCAGGGTTTCTCTGATTCGAAGAAACAGGTGTCACAACCCAGGAAGTCCACTGATGGCATCTGCCCTGGGGCATCAGCATTTAGGGCTGATCACTGAGGTCTGCACCTCCCAAGGCTGCTGTGCCCATTCCTGGGCGCCCCAAAGGGGAAGAAAAACTCCTGAATGTGCACCGGGACAGGACCCATCCCATGCGGTGACAGAACCTCATGATAGCGCCCGGCGCTCTGGATATTCAAACTGTGGAGCCCAGCAAGGGAGCGCCGGTGGTCGGGCAGGGTCAGAGGGGTTTTGAGGGTGTGCGATGGCTGCTGTGGTGAGCCACTGGCATGCCTAATACATGCAAGACCTGTTGCCAGGCCCTGAGCTGCAGAGCCACCTGGACCAAGGTCACTGTGGTGGCAGGGTGCCCACATCCATCAGCTGCTGGCCACAGGATTGCGAGCCCTGGCCATCTCTGCCCAATGCCAGGCACCTCTGAAGGGCCTTCCGGCTACAGAGCTCCTGCGGGATGGGCCGGGGTGTCCCTGGCCATCATGGTGTCCCTGGGCCTGCATTGAAGCTCAACTTCTGTTGACCCCAAGGGCACTTCTTAATAGATGTCCTACTCTTTTTTTTTTTTTTTTTGAAACAGAATCTCACTCTGTCACCCAGGCTGGAGTGCAGTGGTATGATCTTGGCTCACTGCAACCTCTGCCTCCTGGGTTCAGGCAATTCTCCTGCCGCAGCCTCCCGAGTAGCTGGGATTACAGGCTCATGACACCATGCCCGGCTAATTTTTTGTATTTTTAGTAGAGACGGATCGGGGGTCTGTTGCCCAGGCTAGTGTGGCACTCCTGGGCTCAAGCAGTCCACCTGCCTTGGCCTCTCAAAGTGCTGAGATTACAGGCATGAATCACCACACCCAGCCTACATCCATCCATCCATCGATCCATTCATCCATCCATCCATCCATCCATTTAGACAAAGTCTGGCTCTCTGGCTGTGTTGCCCAGGCTGGAGCGCAGTGGTATGATCTCAGCTCACTGACCTCCTGGGTTTGACCTCAGCCTTGACCTCCTGGGTTCAAGCAATCTCCCTGCCTCAGCATCCCAAGTCGCTGAGACTACAGGTACACACCACTATGTCTGACTGTTTTATTTTTTGTAAAGATGGGATCTTGCTGTGTTGTCCAGGCTGGTCTCAGGTGATACTCCAGCCTGGGCCTCCCAAAGTGCTGGGATTACAGGCGTGAGCCACTGTGCCTGGTCGTCTCTAGTCCTTGGAGCACCAAACTCCTGCCTGCCACAGGGCCTTTGCACTTGCTGTGCCCCCGACATACCCTCCTGTCAGGCTCTCCCTAAATTGTCTCCTTGGTGGACTCCTATTCAGACTTCAAGGCCCAGCCCAAAAGACCCCTCCCTCTCTGGAAAGCCTTGCCAGTTCTACCACACAGAGCTTTTTTAGCTCTTTCTTACTTATCCTTCAGGGCTCAGTGTCAGCATCACCTCCTACAGCAAGTCTTCCCTGATCCCTAGACTGGGTCGGGACTCTTGTAGTATTTTTTGTCATACTGGTCACAGTGGATAACTAAGTGTATCTGTGTGATGATGGGTTTATGCTCTGCCTCGCTGCTCCACAGGCAGGAATGACATTTGTTTGTTTCTTTTTTGAGACAGGGTCTCACTCTTGGCCCAGGCTGGAGTGCAGTGGTTCAATCATAGCTCACTGCAGCCTCAAACTCCGGGGCTCAGGTGATCCTCCCACCTCAGCCTCCGGAGTAGCTAGGACTACAAGTATACAACACCACACCTGGCTAATTTCTTTTTTTTTTTTTTTTTTTTTTTTTTGAGATGGAGTCTTGCCCTGTCGCCCAGGCTGGAGTGCAGTGGTGTAATCTTTGGCTCACTGCAACCTCCACCTCCAAGGTTCAGGGCAATTCTCCTGCCTCAGCCTCCTGAATAGCTGGGACTACAGGCGTGCATCACTAGGCCTGGCTAATTTTTGTCTCAACTATGAGACAGGGTTTCACAATGTTGGCCAGGCTGGTCTCGAACTCCTGACCTTGTGATCCACCCGCCTCAGCCTCCCAAAGTGCTGGGATTACAGGTGTTAGCCACCACGCCCGGCCAAATTTCTTGTACTTTTTGTAGAGATGGGGCCTTCCCTTGTTGTCCAGGCTGGTCTCAAACTCCTGGGCTCAAGCAATCCCCCTGCCTCAGCCTCCCAAAGTCTGGGATTACAGGTACAAGCCACCACATCTGGCCTTGATACCTGTTTTGATCACTTTGGGATCATGGCATGTAGTTAGGACTCAGTAAACTCAGCTCCTACTTGCAAATAGGAAGAAAGGAAGGAAGGAAGGAGGAAGGGAAGGAAGGAAGGGAAGGAGGGAGGAGGGAGGAGGGAAGGAATAAAGGAAGGAAAGAAGGAGGGAGGGAGGAAGGAAGGAATAAAGGAAGGAAGGAGAGAGGGAAGGAAGGGAGGGAGGGAAGGAAGGGAGGGAGGGAAGGAAGGAGGGAGGGAAGGAAGGAGGGAGGGAAGGAAGGAGGGAGGGAAGGAAGGAGGGAGGGAAGGAAGGGAGGGAGGGAAGGAAGGAGGGAGGGAAGGAAGGAGGGAGGGAAGGAAGGGAGGGAGGGAAGGAAGGGAGGGAGGGAAGGAAGGAGGGAGGGAAGGAAGGGAGGGAGGGAAGGAAGGGAGGGAGGGAAGGAAGGGAGGGAGGGAAGGAAGGAGGGAGGGAAGGAAGGGAAGAAGGAAGGAGGAAGGGAGGGAGAGAGGGAAGAAGGAGAGGGAAGGAGAGGAAAGGAAAGGAGAGGAGAGAGGGAGAGAGGGCAGACCCCGTTCTATGTCAGAAGGGACAGAAGTAACATCCGGAAGGGATGTGTTATCTGTCAAGTGAGTGAGCATCCTGTCCCAGGAGTGTGTCCCAGGAGGGTGTGGGCACACCCTTGGCAGGAATGGTGTCCCGGGACTGCCAGAGCTGTTGAGGAATAGCGCTAGGGAGGAAAGGGCTGGGCCGGCTTCGGGCTCACACCTTCCAAGGATGTCAGAGAGGAGGGTGTGTCACAGGAAGTGCCTGGGTCTCTGGGCTGTAACTGACTCACCGGGACTCTGATAATATTAATACTCAGACGCCAGACTGCAGCCTGTTCTCCAGAGGCCCCCAGGGGAATGAATCAATGACTGTCTGATATCCTGAATGTGTGTTAGAGGCTGACCTGGAGGAGGCAGCTAACCCAGCTTGAGGAACTGGCAAGGCTTTCCTGAGGAAGGGTCTTTTGGGCTGGGCCTTGAAGTCTGAATAGGAGTCCACCAAAGAGACAATTTAGGGAGGGGTTGACACGGGGGGATGTTGGGGAAACTGCAAGTATCTGATGTGCCTGGGCTCTTTGGGAAGCGTCTGGAGAGACTTTGGTGGGGAGGTCTGGACTGGACACCATTTCTATCCTGGCCAGTACCCAGCAAAGTAAGTGAAGAGGCCGGGCGCGGTGGCTCACGCCTGTAATCCCAGCTATTTGGGAGGCTGAGGCAGGAGAATTGCTCCAACCCGGGAGGCCGAGGTTGCAGTGAGCCAAGTTCGCACTACTGCACTCCAGCACTCCAGCCTGGGCAGCAGAGCAAGACTCTGTCTCAAAAAAAAAAAAAAAAAAAAAAAAAAAAAAAGGCTGGGTGCCGTGGCTCACACCTGTAATCCCACCACTTTGGGAGGCCGAGGCGGGCGGATCACGGGGTCAGGGGATCGAGACCATCCTGGCTAACACAGTGAAACCCCGTCTCTACTAAAAATACAAAAAATTAGCCGGGCATGGTGGCGGGCGCCTGTAGTCCCAGCTACTCGGCAGGCTGAGGCAGGAGAATGGCGTGAACCCAGGAGGCGGAGCTTGCAGTGAGCCGAGATCGCGCCTCTGCACTCCAGCCTGGGTGACAGAGCGAGACTCCGACTCAAAAAAAAAAAAAAAAAGGTGTTGGGGAGATCTGGAGTGAGAAAGTCTAGTTGGACAAACTCCATTGAGAAAGTCTAGTTGGATGAGGAGGCTTGTGGGGGCATGGGCGCTGGGTGAGCCCTCTTAGCACTGCCTACCCCTTTCTCTCTGCCCTGATCCATCCCAAGACACAGCGTGGGACAAGAAGTCAGAGGGGACCCTGGGTGCTCGAAGCAATGGACCGGACCCATTGTACAGATGGGAAGACTGAGGTGGGCAGGGACAGAGCCCACGCTTACACACCTAAGCTCAGCTTGGGTTCTGGAGCCCATGAAGGCAAGAGACAGGCTCCCCTGGAGTTAGGCTCCACATAGAGGCAAGTTGACTGGGCCAGCTTCTGGGCCCAGCGCTGGGGCACTGGAAGACCTGCCAAAAAACTTAGCAGAAAGTAGGTACTAGAACTCTGGATCAGGCCTCCCAGCTAACAGCCGCGGGACCTCTGGGCTTCCTTCCCCCAAAGCTGGGGGAAGGTGAGCTTTTCCTCCCCCTCAGCCCTGGCCCAGAGAAGAAAACAGAGCTTGCAAGGTCACACAGCAAGAATGTGGCACTGGAACTCAGCTAAGAGGTGGGAGAGGGCCTTGGAATCTAGAGATTAGCCGGTGTCTGGAATGCGTGGGGCAGGAGTGTCCTCAGAGGAGGACCGCAGGGCTGGGCATGGGCTCAGGAGCTTCGGCTTTGTTCCCTAAGGGCAATGGGGAGCCATGGAGGGTATGAGAGCAGGAGAGAAGCAAAAGATGTTTCAGGAGGTGGCTCTACATTATAAAGGACCCAAGAGGAGTCCAACACAGACCCTGTGACCTTGGATTTCAGATTTCTGTCCGCCTCTGGCCAAGTAAAAGTTTGTGTTAGAAGTTGTAATCATGGGCCGGGCGTGGTGGCTCACACCTGTAATCCCAGTACTTTGGGAGGCCAAGGCATGTGGATCACGAGGTCAAGAGATAGAGACCATCCTGGCCAACTTGGTGAAACCCCGTCTCTACTAAAAATACAAAAATTAGCCAGGCATGGTGGCGCATACCTCTAGTCCCAGTTACTCAGGAGGCTGAGGCAGGAGAATTGTTTGAATCCGGGAGGTAGAGGTTGCAATGAGCTGAGATTGCGCCACTGCACTCCAGCCTGCCAATAGAGCAAGACTCCGTCTCAAATAAAAAAAAAAAAAAAAAAAAGAAGTTGTAATAATAGGTTGGGTGCAGTGGCTCACGCCTGTAATCCCGGCATTTTGGGAGGCCGAGGAGGACAGATCACTTGAGGTCAAGAGTTCAAGACCAGCCTGGCCAACATGGCAAAACCCCATCTCTACTAAAAATACAAAATTAGCCAGGGGTGATGGCACATGCCTATAATCCTAGCTACTCCGGAGGCTGAGGCAGGAGAATCGCTTGAACCCGGGAGGCAGAGGTTGTGGTGAGCCAAGATGGTGCCATTGCACTCCAGCCTGGGCAACACAGTGAAACTCCATCTCAAAAAAAAAAAAAAAAAATAATAATAATAATACTAACAACCTGTGTGTCTGTGTTGCTTTTTCCGTTTTTTGATGCTTTATAATTTGATTTTGCCCCCATGGCAACTCCGAGATGTAGGCAGGGCAGCTGTCATCACACCAGTTTATTTTATATTTTATTTTATTCTATTTTTATAGAGATGGCTAGGGGGAGTCTCACTATGTTGGCCACGCTGGTCTTGAACTCCTGGCCCCAAGCAATCCTCCCACCTCAGCCTCCCAAAGTCATCACGTCATTTTATAGCTGCGGGTCCCTGGGCCAGTAGTTGCAGTCGGTGTGTGCAGCTCCCACGCCTTCCATCAGGGCGTTGCCCACCTGGATGAGGGGAGGTGGTGAGCCCCTGCCTAAGACCCCCTGTCCCCTCTGGCCCAGACATCCTTCAAAGGTCATCAGGAGCCAGGCCCTGTCCTGCTCTGTCCCTGTCAATTCCCAACAGAGGCACAGGCCCCTGTTTTCTCATCTGTAAAATGGGGTGGGCCGAGCGCAGTGGCTCATGCCTGTAATCCCAGCTCTTTGGGAGGCTGAGGTGGGTGGATCACTAGAGTTCAGGAGTTCAAGACCACCTGGTCAACATGGTGAAATCCTGTCTCTACTAAAAATACAAAAAAATTAGCCAGGCACGGTGGCACGCGCCTGTAATCCCAGCTACTTGGGAGGCTGAGACAGGAGAATCGCTTGAACCCAGGAGGCGGAGGTTGCAGTGAGCCGAGATCACGCCACTGGACTGCAGCCTGGGCGACAGAATGAGACTCTGTCTCAAAAAATAAAATAAAATAAAATAAAATAAAATAAAATGGGGTGGAAACCTGCTGTATGGAGTTCCTGGGAGGACAACGCCAGCGTGTCCAGGAATCAGACCAGCGCTGCCCGCAGCTCCCGTGTTAGTAAAACGTTAGCTGTCATTACTGCTTACGTGCCCGGGGAGGGAGGAATCAGGAGCCACTGGCCTCTCTGTGGGTTCCAGGGAAGGAGGGCAGGGGAGGTACAGAGAGAAGGAGCAGAGTGTTCAAGGATCGGATGGAGGCTGAGCTTCCTGGCCATGCCTTAGCTCACACCCAGCGACCTGAGTCCAGCGCAGAGGACAAAGGGCAAAAGGCAAAAGGCAGGGTCTGGAGTCTGGCCTCTCCCTGTCATCCAGGGGCCACTCCGGGCATTATCTAGGTTTTTTTTGAGACGGAGTCTCGCTCTGGCGCCCAGGCTGGAGTACAGTGGCGCGATCTCGGCTCACTGCAAGCTCTCCCTCCCAGGTTCATGCCATTCTCCTGCCTCAGCCTCCGGAGTGGCTGGGACTACAGGCGCCCGCCACCATGCCCGGCTACTTTTTTGTATTTTTAGTAGAGACGGGGTTTCACCGTGTTAGCCAGGATGGTCTTGATCTCCTGACCTTGTGATCCGCCTGTCTCGGCCTCCCAAAGTGGTGGGATTACAGCCACTGTGCCTCGCCTATCTAGGCTTAATCATGACAGCCATCCTTCCCTAAGGGTGCACCGGGTGGGGTGCGGGCCCTCTATCTCTGAGCTTTTGCAAGCAGGCCCCCTCTGCCCCCACCTGCCCACTGAACCATCACCCTCAGCCTGGGGGCAGGGAGCAGATATGTTACTGTCCAGAAATGGAGGCCCGGAGGCTCCCAGAAGAGGGAGGTGTCAAAATGCCACAGTGCATTCCTTCCTTGGGGAGCTGAACCAGAGGCCACGCCCAGCCACAGCCCTGACACCCTGACACTGGACATTTCTGGGTGGGTCATAAGAAGTCACAGCCTGAGGCCGGGCACGGTGGCTCAGGCCTGTAATCCCAGCACTTCGGGAAGGTGAGGCAGGAGGGTCACTTGAGCCTGTAATCCCAGCAATTTGGGAAGCTGAGGCAGGAGGATCACTTGAACCCAGGAGTTTGAGACCAGCCTGGGCAACATGGTGAGACCCCATCTCTACAAAAAAAATACAAAAATTAGCTGGGTGTGGTGGCACGTGCCTGTAGTCCCAGCTACTCGGGAGGCTGAGGTGGGAGAAACACCTGAGCCCGTGAAGTTGAGGCTGCAGTGAGCCATGATCACACCACTGCACTCTAGCCTGGGTGACAGAGCAAGATCCTGTCTCTAAAAAAACCAAACAAAAACAAACAAACAAAAATTAGCCTGATGTGGTGTCAGACGCCTGTAGTCCCAGCTACTCAGGAGGCTAAGGTGGGAAGATCACTTGAACCCAGTAGTTTAAGACCAGCCTAGGCAATATAGCGAGACCCCATCTCTACCAAAAAAAATTAAAAATTACATGCACGTGGTGGCTCACACCTGTAATCCCAGCACTTTGGGAGGTCAAGGTAGGAGGATCACTTGAGCCCAAGAGTTTGAAACCAGCCTGGGCCACAAAGCGAGACCCTCTCTCTATAGAAAATCTAAAAATCTAAAAATTAGCTGGGTGTGGTGGCACTCGCCTGTGGTCCCAGCTACTAGGGAGGCTGAGGTGGGAGGATCATTTGAGCCTGGGAGGTGAAGGCTACATGAGCCGTGATCAGACCACTGCACTCCAGCCTGGGTGAGAGAGTGAGACCCTGTCTCAAAAGAAGAAAAAAGCAAGAAAAGAAAACCAATAAATCACAGCCTGTCAGGCGGCTCATGGGGACCCTCCTTGGGAATATCTAGAACAACATTCCTGGTGTCTGGAGCTGTCTAGTCAGTCCTTACGGCCCAGCAGCAGGAGATCAGAACTTTTGCCTCATCCAGGGTTAGCCCTGCCGTGTCTGGCCTCAAAGTGCCCATCTGTATAATGGAGCCAACGGCCTCCTAGGGCCCTAGGTGGACGCTGGACAACCTGGGTGGGGCGGAGCGGGTGGCATTTGGAGCAAGATTTCCCTACTGGGAGTCCCTGGCCCCAGACAAGAGTCCTTCTGGAGTCCCAGAGCTGTGTGTGTGTGTGTGTGTGTGTGTGTGTGTGTGTGTGTACACACAAGTGCACTGGGGGGGGTGCTCGTTCAGAGCTAATTAGAGGTGTTGGCCCCATCTGCCCCCAAGTCGGTGATCCCTCAGATCTCTCTGCTGCCCGAGAAGAGACTGTTTCGCCCCCTTCCCCAGACGGGCCTTCTGGCATGGTTGGGGTTCGAACCCGGGGCCAGGGCTAGAGTCTCAGCTTGGGGTGCGGGGGCCGACTCTGCCCGGGCTGGGTGGATAGTTGTTATCGGGAGCTCCCAGGCCCGCGCGGCTCACGTGGGCCGCAGCTCGCGGCGCCTCCCGCGTCCCAGGGCCGCGAGGCGCTCCGGGAGATAAGCCAGGCCCCGTGCGAGTCCAGCGCGGACCCGGCCGGCCCCCAGCCCGCCCCTCACCGGCCCCCACCCCGCCCCTCGGCCGGCCCGGCCCACTTGGCCCGAGTTCCTCTCCATAAAAGGCGAGGTTTGGGAGCGCCCGGGGAGGGGGCGTTGGGTCCACGGGCCGCCCCCGCCCACCGTGTTCCCCTCCCTCACTGCGAGCCCTCGCCGGCCCGGGGGTGCAGCCCAGCCCCCCTGCCGCGACCCCCACGCCGGGCCCGTAGACCACGACCCTGACCCCAGTCCCCACTCCGGATCGGGCCCACAGCACCCCCCGCCGGTCCCCGCGAGTCCCGCGCTCTGTCCCCATTTTGCGATTGAAGAAATTGAGGCCCGCAGCGTGCGTAGCCCGGCTGGGGCCACGGGGTTGGGGACTGAACGGCCGGAAACGCCACACGTGCCTCCAGGTGGCAAGCCAGCTCCTCATAGACGCACACGAACCCTTCTGCAAGTGGGGTGCATGTGTATATTTACACCTATAGGGATTGGGGGCCTCAGGGATGGGGGGCCCTCCCCCGCACTTAGACTAGAATCCCCCCTCCCCGCAGCGCTGCCACTTAGCTCTTACGTGACCCTGGGCACACGATACTTTTACTCACAGCCTCAGTTTCCCTGTCTGTTAAATGGGGGGAGGTTTGCATCTGCCGGGTTTGCACAACGGGTTGTGCAAAGTACAACACCCAGCCAAGGGTCAGTGCAGGGGAACAGGAGGAATGGGGCAAGGGCGGGGCCCGGCGCACCCCCAGCCCCCGCCCTGCCGCACACCCCTCTCAGAAGAACCTGCATTTAGGGTGAGACGGATCGGACCTAAGCCCGCCCCGGCGAGACTGCAGTGAGACTTAGACATAAGGCACACCATCAAGCAAACACCGGGTGCTCCATAAATGCAGCTGCGCCCTCCCGCCCCACCCCACTGGGGAGCGTGAGTCAGCTCGGTCCAGGCGAGGCTGGGAAGCCGAGCCTTGGCTCTCATGTGGCTCCACCCGCCTGGCTCTGGGGCCGGGGCAGGTCTCGCCTCTCTCTGGGCCTCAGTTTCCCCTCTGCCTGCTGCAGGCCAGGGCCGGGCCTGACCCCCTAGGGGGAGGAGGGCGGCGAGGAGCCGGGCAGCGGGGAGCCCGGGGGTCCCTCGGGGGAGCGCGCCCCCTCCCGCCCCCGGCCCGCGGCCCCTGTGGCTCAGAGGCAGGGTGGGCCCTGAGCCGGCCACGTCCGCGGCCCACGAGTCCGCCATAAAAGGCAAACGGCGCGGGTCGCTCTGCCAAACTTAGTCATCCGGCCCGCCGGCAGCCGCAGCGACTTCCTCCGCGGGCTTCCCGTTTTCGGAGCGGGGCCCGGAGGGGGTCCGAGGTGTGGCCGCGACTTTCGAAATGCCCGGCTGCTTCTCCGAAGGGGCGGCGGAGGGGGCGCCCTCGGAGCCATGGGGGGAAGGGGGTATCGGCCGGGTGGGGGAGGGGATCTCCCCCGCCCTGCCCCGCCCTCCGGAATGATCCCGCGGCTCCTTAACCCCTGAGCTGCCGGGAGCGGGGGAAGGGGCTGGGCTCCGGCCGGGGTCGGGGCGTCCCTGGGTCCAGCAGGGAGTGGCCTCCCGGAAGACGCCGGCGAGGGAGGCCCAAGTGCCTGCTCCGAGAAATCTCAGCGAGGCCTCCTTGGGAGAAAAGTGCAAGGCGGTGACGTCCAGTCTGTAAAATGTGAAAAACGCCCAGGCCGAAACCACCCAGAACCCGTTCCTGCAGGGAGGAGGGTGGGTGGGACCAACAGGGGATCAGTCACTGCGCCAAGGCAGGGACTAGGGCCATGGTGGACAACGGGGGTCTACCTCAGTGTTCCCCAGACACAGACGGGTTCCTACTGTCTGGCCCCACTTATGTGAAGTTCTAGAACAAGCCCCACATTTTCTGGTGACAGCAAACAGGTGGCATTATTTATAGATGTAGGGGCAGGTATTTATGGGAGGGGGCACAGAGAAGAGCATGAGCTGGGGGTGGAGGGGGGCATCCACTGATTCTGAGATCCTATATTTCTTTGAGAAAACAACTGAATAAAACATAGCAAAATAATAATTGCTTCATTCGGGGTGTATTATAGTACCTTCTGTACTTTTCTGTATCTTTGAAATATTTCGGCTGGGCGCGGTGGCTCCTGCCTGTAATCCCAGCACTTTGGGAGGCCAAGGTGAGCGGATCACCTGAGGTCGAAAGTTCGAGACCACCCTGACTGACATGGAGAAACCAATTAGCCGGGCGTGGCGGCGCATGCCTGTAATCCCACCTACTCGGAGGCTGAGGCAGGAGAATCGCTTGAACCTGGGAGGCAGAGGTTGTGGTGAGCCGAGAACAGGCCATTGCACTCCAGCCTGGACAACAAGAGCAAAACTCCGTCTCAAAAAAAAAAAAAAAAGATTTCACACTTTCCAAAAAAGGGAAGAAAGCGAAAGGACAAAGGCTCAGAGTTGGACATGGTGGTCAACCACTGTGACCCTCAGTTTCTTCTTCTATACTCATGGGGCAATAATCTCTTTGGGGGTAATTAAAATGATATGCGATAATGCAGGCAAAGTGCTAAGTACGAGGCTTGGGCATAGAGTAGGTGCTCAGCAAAGGCGTCTGGTGAGGGGCTGCCCTTTCTCCCCGGGGGAAGGGGAGGACTTGCTGGGGTGAGGGTCCTGGATGGGAAGGTTCTCTGCCCACAGCTCTCTGCACCCAGCTCCTGCCTGGCCCGACCTGGCCTGGTTGGGAAGGCTTGTGTTTCTGACAAATGGGGCCAGCCAATCCCAGGCCCTGCCTGTGCTGTTCCATCCTGTCCTGTCTTGTCCCCGGGGCCAGGGTCACTCCGGGTGAGACTCAGAGCCAGTGTACCCAACGGGACACAGGCAGGCAGGTCACCAGACCTCCGATTCCAGGCGGCCGGATCTTCAGGCAGCCTGTCTGGGCAGTGAGGACACTGGGGTGGCAGGTGCCAGCCGGTCAGGCCTAGAGCCCTGGCCGGAGCACTGTTGCGGGATCTTAGCCCAGAGAGCCCCAGAAGGCTGTGGGCGGCCAGAGCCGGCCTGGGAGGAGGGCAGGAGAGGGTGGGGTTAGGGGAAGGACGAGAAAAGAGAAAGTAAAAGGAGAACAGCTACTTTTCCTGATGTTATTTTTGAACACCTGTGGGTATTGAGCCCTGCACCCAGGCTCTCTGAGAAAAGTCCCCCATGACCCTGATAGGGGAATTAAGACCCCAAGGCAAGGCACAGTGGCGTGTGCCTGTAATCTCAGCACTTTGGGAGGTCAAGGCAGGAGGATTGCTTGAAGCTGGGAGTTTGAGACCAGCCTTGGTAATGTAGCAAGACCCCATCTCTACAAAAAAATTTAAAAATTAGCCAAGCATGGTGGTGCACATCTGTAGTCCCAGCTACTAGGGAGGCTACAACAGGAGGATCACTTGAGTCCAGGAGGTCAAGGCTACAGTGAGCGGTGATTGTGCCACCGCACTTCCAACCTGGGCAACACAGTGAGACCCCGTCTCCAAAAAAAGAAAAGACTCCCAAATACAGCAAGGTCAAGCAGCTTGACCAAGGTGACCAGCTGAGAAGGGCAGTCAGGGGAAGCTGGGACCCAGGGAGAGAAAAAGAGAGATTGACAGACACATGGCTGGGGGGACTTGCAAGCCCTCGGGAGGGGGTAGGAAGCAGCTGCCGGGAATGGGTGCCCAAAGAAGCAGGAATGAGGGGTGGAGGGAAGGGCCTCATTTCTGGGGAAGGCCCAGGGAAGGGCCTCATTTCTGGGGAAGGCCCAGGGAAGGGCCAGGGTGCAGAGAAGCCAATGACAGCTGGAGAGTTGGGACTGCTGCCAGGACAGACTAGACGGAGACTGCTCTTGGGTGCCACCTAGTGGGAACCTTCTTTACTGTCATCCCTGGAGAGATGGACCTGTGACGTCCCCACCGGATGCCCCGCCCACCATGGGCATCCCCATCCCAATCATCCCTCACCACCCCCAGGCTCGGGTCGCGTCCCCCCAGGCTTTGATGGACAAGTGGCCATGGAAAGCATCCTCAGCTGCCCCAGGGTTCTGCCATCACCCATCCACTAAATGGTCCAGGGACCCTGGGAGGTATTGCTTTCCCCTTTACACAGATGAGGAAACTGGTTGGGCACGGTGGCTCATGCCTGTAATCCCAGCACTTTGGGAGGCTGAAGCGGGTGGATCACCTGAGGTCAGGAGTTCGAGACCAGACTGGCTAACACAGTGAAACTCCATCTCTATTAAAATTACAAAAAGGAGCCCGGCGTGGTGGCAGGAGCCTCTAACCCCAGCTACTCAGGAAGCTGAGGCAGAAGAACTGCTTGAACCCAGGAGATGATGGAGGTTGCAGTGAGCCAAGATGGCACCATTGCACTCCAGCCTGGACGACAGAGCGAGACTCTGTCTCAAACAACAACAACAATAAAACACAGATGAGGAAACTGAGGTCTAGAGGGGCGGCAGCACTTGTCCAGGGTCGTGGCCGACAAGTCGCCAAGCTGGGGAGTTTCCATGGGATCCAAGCCTATCCCCAAGCAGCCCAGGGGACACAGACAGCATGCAGGCACACAATCGCACACCCTGCCCCGCCACCCCTGAGCCTGCCGCATCGTCATTCCTGTGCAACTAGGCACCCTGAGTCTCCACATCGGGGTGGCTCTGGGGTACACAGACGAAGCAGAGAGCCGGCACCCCATCCTGCGTCTGAGGAATCCAGCTTTCCCTGGCTGGAAGACCCGGTCATGGTAACGCCCTGTCCTGCAGGTTCCGCCTCTGCTGTGACCTCCACCCCTTACCTAAATGCAGATTTCAGATTTCCGAGGTTAGCCTGGAAGGAAATAGCTTATACTGTACAGCTGAAGCATGGCAAAGGAAGCAATCTCCATCAACAGGAGTCTGTGGGCTGGGTGTGGTGGCTCACGCTTGTAATACCAGTAGCTTGGGAGGTTGATGCAGGACTGCTTGAAGCCAGGAGGCTGAGGCTGCAGTGAGCTATGATTGTACCACTGCACTCTAGCCTGGGAAACAGAGTGAGACTGTGTCCCCCAAAAACACATAAATTAATAAAATTAAACTAAATAAGAGACGGGGTTTTTTTTTTGGTTTTTTTTTTGAGACAGAGCCTCACTCTGTCACCCAGGCTGGAGTGCAGTGGCACGATATCGGCTCACCGCAACCACCACTTCCCGAGTTTAAGCGATTCTCCTACCTCAGTCTCCCAAGTAGCTGGGACTACAGGCGCCCGCCACCACGCCTGGCTAATTTTTTGGATTTTTAGTAGAGATGGGGTTTCGCCATGTTGGCCAGGCTGGTCTCGAACTCTCAAGCTCAGGCAATCCACCCGCCTCGGCCTCCCAAAGTGCTGGGATTACAGGTGTGAGCCACCACGCCCAGCCATGAGACAGAGTCTTGTCATGTTGTCCAGACTGGTCTCAGACTCCCCAGCTCAAGCAATCCTTTTACCTCGGCCTCCCGAAGTGCTGAGGTTACAGGTGTGAGGCACTGCACCCAGCCAGGAAACTTTGATTAAGGCTCCCACGCCTTGCTCAGCTCCAGCCCTGCAAAAATCTCCAGCCCTGCAGAGACTGAGCATCGAGTCCCTGATTTCTCTTTTCCAGAAGTATGTGGGAAAGGGTGGTTATAACTGCACTCTCTCCAAGACGGAGTTCCTAAGCTTCATGAATGCAGAACTGGCTGCCTTCACAAAGAACCAGAAGGACCCCGGGGTCCTTCACCGCATGATGAAGAAACTGGGCACCAACAATGACGGGCAGCTAGATTTCTCAGAATTTCTTAATCTGATTGGCGGCCTAGCTATGGCTTGCCATGACTCCTTCCTCAAGGCTGTCCCTTCCCAGAAGCGGACCTGAGGACCCCTTGGGCCTAGCCTTCAAACCCACCCCCTTTTCTTCCAACCTTTCTGTCATCATCTCCACAGCCCACACATCCCCTGAGCCCAGCACACCAACCACCTCATGCAGGTCCCACCTGCGGATGGTAATACAACAATGTCACTTTTTTAAAACATGAAAAAAAAATTTTTTTAAAAAGACAGGCCAGAACTAGTGGCTCATGCCTGTAATCCCAGCACTTTGGGAGGCCGAGGCGGGCGCATCGCCTGGGGTTAGGAGTTCAAGACCAGCCTGGCCAACATGGTGAAACCCTGTCTCTACTAAAAATACAAAAATTAGCTGAGCGTGGTGGGCACCTGTAATCCCAGCTACTTGGGAGGCTGAGGCAGGAGAATCGCTTGAACACGGGAGGCAGAGGCTGCAGGGAGCCGAGACAGCACCACTGCACTCCAGCCTGGGCAACAGAGCAAGACTCCATCTCCAAAAAAATAAACAAATAAACAAAATGCCAAGAGTATGCTGATGTAAAGGTTTAAGTAGAAACTCTGGTTGTTTTACTCATGTGTGTAAACCAAGCCCCCAAGATGTGCCACCAAAATACAGAGTTTGTGGGTGGATCAGCCTGTACCTGAGCCCCCTCTGCCACACTGACATGATCCTCATTAAAGAAAGAAAAGAGGGGGCAGGTGGATCACTTGAGGTCAGCAGTTTGAGACCAGAATGGCCAACATAACGAAAACCTCCTCTACTAAAAATACGAAAAACTAGCCGGGTGTGGTGGCCTGCACCTGTAATCCCAGCTACTCGGGAGGCTGAGGCAGGAGAATCACTGGAACCCGGGAGGCAGAGGTTGCAGTGAACCGAGATCACACCACTGCACTCCAGCCTGGGCGACAGAGGGAGACTCCATCTAAAAAAAAAAAAAAAATGTTACAATGGTAAACTTTATGTTATGTATCTTTTACTACAATTTTTTTTAACCTTGATTCTGAGAAGGGGTCCCTAAGCGTCATCAAATGCTAATCGCGTCCACGCCCCTGAAAGCTTACAGCCCTGGTACTTCCTATTGGTCCAGCCTAGCAGGAAGCTGGCAGCCATGAATTCTGGGAAATGTAGTGTGCAGCCCCCATGCCGGAGTCACGCGCCCGCTGTGATGGGTGGGCTCGGAGCTGGCACACAATAGTTCTGTGGCCGACATCCAGCTCAGCAGGGAAATTGTGAAAGGCACACTCGGTGCCCCTATTCCCACGCTGCCCACGAGCAGTCTCGCGCACGGCCACACAGACCTGGGCGCACACCTGTCCCCTAGTACCATCCAGCCTGTGGGCGCTCCAGGTCTGCAGTTTGTACCTGGACACCGTTGCCAATCTAAGTGCCAATCCGAGCCGCCTGCGGATCAGGCTCGCAGACGCTCGCTCGCTCTTCCCTGACGCAGCCTCAGCGGGAGCAGGGGCCTTCGCAGTGAGGGTGGGAGGATGTACAGGCTACAGGTGCCCCGGCGGGAAGGAGGTATCAGGCATGCAACACAAGTTACTGCAAAGACCCTGACGTGGGAGCCCGATTGGCCCAGGGTGTGGCCGGGGGAGACGATAGGGGTGAGGTGGGGTTGGCCACGTTGTCCATGAAGAGGCTTCTAACAAGAGACCGTGGCCAAGTCCCCCAGGTGAGCGCTGGGACGCTGCCTAGTGAATTGAATGACTCGTATTGTTCCCAAGGTTGCAGCTGTGGCCTCCGAAGTGACTCAGCAGAATTCCTGGGAGTTGGGGTGGGGGCGAGGCTTACTCCAGACGGGCTGGGGGAGGGGGCGTTGCCCGCGCGCTAGCCCCTCCTCCCAGCTCCTGCGGACCGCGGAGCTCGCCCACTCTCGCGTTCTCCCCTCCGCCCAGACATCTACAGGCACCAGCGGCGACGAGGCGGGGATGATGCTGGAAGACTTAGGGTGGGACGGCCCCATCCTCTCGGAACCTCCGTCCCTGCAACCGATTTTAGGGTGGGGATGGGGTGGGGGCTGAGTCTGCCCTCAAAACGGGGCTCAAGGCTCTTGGCTTGGAGCAGGCAGGGTTGGCCCTGTCCGGGCCCCCGGAGTGACTCAGCCCAGTCCTGGCCCTCTCCGGGACTAACTCTCTTCCTCTAAATAAAGGGAATCTTTCACCCAGCAGCCTGGAGTGGGTCCGCGGAGATAAAACAGGCCCTCCAGAGTGATCCCTTCCCTGGTGGCTGATGGGGCATGTGTGTGTTGGGAGAGAGGGAGAGGGCAGCCCTCCACCTCAGGCTGGGGCAGGCTGGAGTGAAGGTCCAAGCGCTGGACCCGAGCAGCAGCCTCAGCCCCAATCTAAAAGCTCAGCCCGTTTTCCCATGCATACAATGGGCATAACTGTCCCAAGAATGAGGCTTGCTGGAGTTACTGGCAAGCTGCGCGCTGTCCGCCTAATTCACCTAATTCAGGGCAAGAACCGCTCTCTGGCCCCTGCACCTGGGAGAGGTGGGGTGCTGGACCGAGGGCGAAGTAACAGCGTCCTGAGGGCCCATCCCCAAATCGCCTTCCTTAGGGAAGCCGGAACAAACGATGCAGCGGGGCGGCCCTGGATCTGTTCCTTCCTAAGAGCTGGAGCAGGTACAGCCCCATCCTAGACCCCAGCAACCCGCGCGCCCTCCCTCGCACCATCTCCCCTACCTGGTTGGTTGGGTTGTGGGGTTCCAGGCGACCGCCAGGTGGCGCAACCGACGCGCCTGCCGCGCCAAGCTGGGTGGGGCTGGACTCGTCCGGTGATGGGGCCCTTTGGGCAGCCAGACACATTTTTTTTTCAGAGTTTCACTCTTGTTGCCCAGGCTGGAGTGCAATGGCGCGATCTCGGCTGACTGCAGCCTCCGCCTCCCGGGTGCAAGTGATTCCCCTGACTCAGCCTTTCGAGTAGCTGGGATTACAGGCATGTGCCACCACGCCCAGCTAATTTTGTATTTTTAGTAGAGACGGGGTTTCTCCATGTTGGCCAGGCTGGTCTCGAACTCCCGACCTCAGGTGATCCGCCTGCCTCGGCCTCCCAAAGTGCTGAGATTACAGGCGTGAAGCCACCGCGCCCGGCAGCCAGACACATTTAAAAGTCCTTTGGGCCGGGCGCGGTGGCTCACGTCTGTAATCCCAGCACTTTGGGAGGCCGAGGGGGGCGGATCACGATGTCAGGAGATCGAGACCATCCTGGCTAACACGGTGAAACCCTGTCTCTGCTAAAAATACAAAAAATTAGCAGGGCGTGGTGGCGGGCGCCTGTAGTCCCAGCTACTCAGGAGGCTGAGGCAGGAGAATGGAGTGAACCCAGGAGGCGGAGCTTGCAGTGAGCCGAGATCGCGCCACTGCACTCCAGCCTGGGCGACAGAGCAAGACTCCGTCTCAAAAAAAAAAAAAAAAAAAAAATGTTATCCGTGCATGGTGGCGGGTGCCTGTAGCCCCAGCTACTCAGGAGGCTGAGGCAGGAGAATCACTTGAACCCGGGAGGCAGAGCTTGCAGTGAGCCAAGATCACGCCACTGCACTGCAGCCTGGGCGACAGAGTGAGACTCCTTCTCAAAAAAAAAAAAAAAAAAAAAAAAAAAAAGAAAGCCCTTTGAAGTGGAGAAAAGGTACTGGGTTCAAAAATGCAAAATAAGAGTCCAGTCGACGGAGTGCAGTGGCTCACGCCTGTAATCCCAGCACTTTGGGAGGCCGAGACGGGTGGATCACGAGGTCAGGAGATCGAGACCATCCTGGCTAACACGGTGAAACCCCGTCTCTACTAAAAATACAAAAAATTAGCCGGGCGTGGTGGCGGGCGCCTATAGTCCCAGCTACTCAGGAGGCTGAGGCAGGAGAATGGCGTGAACCCGGGAGCTGGAGCTTGCAGTGAGCCGAGATCGTGCCATTGCACTGTAGCCTTGACAACAAGAGTGAAACTCTGTCTCAAAAACAAACAAACAAACAATTAGCTGAGCGTGGAGGCACATGACTGTAGTCCCAGCCACTGGAGAGGCTGAGGCCAGAGGGATCACTTAAGCCCAGGAATTCGAGGCTGCAGTGAGCTATGATTGCATTACTGCACTCCAGCCTGGGCAATATAGTGAGACCCCCATCTTAGAAAGAAAGAAAGAGAGAAAGGAAGGAAGGAAGGTAGAAAGAAAAAAAGAAAGGAAAGGAGGGAGGAAGGAAGGAAGGGAATGAAGGAAGGAAGATTCCTAAATTCAATTCAGAAACACAAAACCCAACAACCTGACTAATGTCCTTTCTGCAATCAAGAGTAACTTTTTGTGTTATCTTTTGTCTCAGATACAAATCCACAAGTTAACCTGTTAACTTCACTGAGCCTCAGCCCTTAATCAAAAGCAGATAGTAAAGTCAAATCAAAGTTTCCTGGAAAGAATTAAATAATCCTTAGGCGGGCTCCTTATGCAAAGCAGCCCTCCCCTTGGCCTCCTGTCCAATATTCGAATGTTGTTTTCTTTTATTTATTTATTTACTTTATTTATTTATATATGACAGGTCTCGCTCTGTGCCCAGGCTAGAGTGCAGTGGCATGATCTTGGCTCACTGCAACCTCCACCTCCCAGGCTCAAGCCATCCTCCCACCTCAGCCTCCTGTGTAGCTGGGACTATAGGCACACACCAGCACGCCCGGCTAATTTTTTTTTTTTTTTTGACATGGAGTCTCACTCTGTCACCTAGGCTGGAGTGCAGTGGCAAGATCTCCACTCACTGCAACCTCCGCCTCCCGGGTTCAAGCAATTATCCTGCCTCAGCCTCCCGAGTAGCTGAGATTACAGATGCGCACCACCAAGCCTGGCTAATTTTTGTATTTTTTTTTTAGTAGAGATGGCGTTTCACCATGTTGGTCAGACTGGTTTCAAAATCCTGACCTCGTGATCCACCCACCTCGGCCTCCTAAAGTGCTGGGATTATAGGCGTGAACCACTGTGCCCGGCCTTTTTTTTTTTTGAGACGGAGTCTCACTCTTGTTGCCCGGGCTGGAGTGCAGTGACATGATGACATGATCTGGCCTCACCACAGCCTTAACCTCTCAGGCTCAAGCGAGTCTCCTGCCTCGGCCTCCTGAGCAGCTGGGATTATAGGCGTGTGCCACTACCACCTGGCTAATCTTTGTTTTTGTTGTTGTTGTTGTTTTTTTGAGACGGAGTCTTGCTCTGTCACCCAGGGTGGAGTGCAGTGGCATGATCTGGGCTCACTGCAACCTCTGCCTCCCGGGTTCAAGTGATTCTCCTGCCTCAGCCTCCTGAGTAGTTGGGATTACAGGCGTGCGCCACTATGCCCGGCTAATTTTTTTTTTTTTTTTTTTTTGATGGAGTCTTGCTCTGTTGCCAGGCTGGAGTGCAGTGGCGCGCTCTTGGCCTCCTGGGTTAAACCGATTCTCCTGCCTCACCTTCCCGAGTGCTGGGATTACAGGTGTGCACCATCATGCCCAGCTAATTTTTGTATTTTTAGTAGAGAGGGGGTTTCAACATGTTGGCCAGGATGGTCTCAATTTCTTGACCTTGTGATCTGCCCACCTCAGCCTCCCAAAGTGCTGGGATTACAGGCGTGAGCCACCACGCCCGGCAATTTTTGTATTTTTTTAGTAGCGACGGGGTTTCACCATGTTGGTCAGGCTGGACTTGAACTCCTGACCTTGTGATCCGCCCACCTCGGCCTCCCAAAGTGCTGAGATTACAGGCATGAGCCACTCCGCCCGGCCTAATCTTTGTATTTTTAGTAGAGATGGGGTTTCACCATGTTGACCAGACTGGTGTTGAACTCCTGACCTCAAATGATCCACCCTCCTCGGCCTCCCAAAGTGCTGGGATTACAGGCCTGAGCCACTGCACCTGGCCTAATTTTTGTATTTTTACTAAAGACAAGGTTTCACCATGTTGGCCAGGCTGGTCTCAAACACTTCTGACCTCAAGTGATACCCACCCCGGCCTTGGCCTCCCAAATTGCTGGGATTACGGATGTGAGCCACTGTGTCTGGCTGCAGCTAACTTATTTTAATAGTTTTATTTTTTGAGACAGGGTCTCATTCTGTCACCCAGGCTGGCATGCAGTAGCATGATCACAGCTCGCTGCAGCCTCAACCTCCTAGGTTCAAGTGATCCTCTTTTTTTTTTTTTGAGATAGAGTCTCGCTCTGTCGCCTAGGCTGGAGTGCAGTGGTGTGATCTCAGCTCACTGCAAGCTCCGCCTCCTGGGTTCACGCCGTTCTCCTGCCTCAGCCTCCCGAGCAGCTGGGACTACAGGCACCCACCACCACGCCCAGCTAATTTTTTGTATTTTCAGTAGAGACGGGGTTTCACTGTGGTCTCGATCTCCTAACCTCGTGATCCGCCCGCCTCGGCCTCCCGAAGTGCTGGGATTACAGGCATGAGCCACTGTGCCCGGCCTCAAGTGATCCTCCTACCTCAGCCTCCCCAGTAGCTGGGACTACAGGCGCGTGCCACCTTGCCCAGTTAGTTTTTGTAGTTTTAGTAGAGATGGGGTTTTGACATGTTGCCCAGGCTAGTCTTCAACTCCTGAGTTCAAGCAATCTGCCCACCTCGGCCTCCCAAAGTGCTGGGATTACAGGCATGAGCCACCATGCCTGACCCCTCTAATTTTTTTTAAAGAAGGAATTGGAGCAGCCACACTTTTGAGCTCTGCCCCCCGGGTTTTGTGTGATTCCAGGAAATCTTGGCCCCTCTCTGGGTCTCTATGTCTTGTCTCCAGTTGGAGACTCTGGGGAGGAGGGGAGATTGTGGCTGCCCCCATACAGCTTGCAGCTGAGCAGAGGCCCTTGGATTTGGGAGTTTGGGAATCCTCTTTTCCCTTGATTCTACTGGATTGCATTCAGTCCAGATGGAATGAGGTTGTGGGAAGGGGAGCCAGGATGAACTCTTAATGGCTTGGAAACAGATCTGATCTCCTAAGAGGACAGGAAGTCAGACTCCTTTTGTGGGTTACAGGGGAAATCATTCGGTAGTTGATTGGTAATGTCTGCCATGGTGCAAAATTGAGATTCAGCTGTGTATGTTGTTACCACCTTGGTCTAGTAAATACAGCACCTAGTAGAGAGTCAGGAAAGCCCAGACTCTGGTCCCAATTTACCACTGCCTTTCTGAGGTATCCTGAATAAATTAGCTCCTTAGAGCCTTGGTTTCCTAAACTCTAAAGTAAGACATAATCTTCCCAGGGTTGATTTGAAGATGCAGTGAACATATTGTCAGTTAGGATCTTCGTGTTGCAAGAAATAGAAAATACGATGGGTGCTGTGGCTCATGCCTGTAATCCAAGGACTTTGATAGGTCAAGGCAGGAGGATCACTTGAGCCCAGGAGTTTGAGACCAGGCTGGGCAACATACTGAGACCTCGTCTCCACCAAAAATTAAAAAATTAAAAATTAGCAAGCCAGGTGTAGTGGCTCACACCTGTAATCCCAGCACTTTGGGAGGCTGAGGCAGGCAGATCACCTGAGGTCAGAAGTTCGAGACCCACCTGGCCAACATGGTGAAACCCTGTCTCTACTAAAAATATAAAAAGTTAGCCGGGCGTGGTGGTGCGTGCCTGAAATCCCAGCTACTCGGGAGGCTGAGGCACAAGAATCGCCTGAACCCAGGAGGCGGAAGTTGCAGTGAGCCACGCTCAAGCTACTAAACTCCAGCCTGGGTGACAGAATGAGACTCTAAAAAAAAAAAACCCCAAACAAAAAGTTAAAAATTAGCTGAGAGCGGCCGGGCGCGGTGGCTCACGCCTGTAATCCCAGCACTTTGGGAGGCCGAGGCAGGCGGATCACAAGGTCAGGAGATTGAGACCATCCTGGCCAACATGGTGAAACCCTGTCTCTACTAAAAATACAAAAATTCGCTGGGCATGGTGGCCCACACCTGTAGTCCCAGCTACTCAGGAGGCTGAGTCAGGAGAATCACTTGAACCCAGGAGGTGGAGGTTGCAGTGAGCCCAGATCTCGCCACTGCACTCCAGCTTGGGCAAGAGAGCGAGACTCCTTCTCAAAAAAAAAAAATTACCTGAGAGCAGTGGCACAGGAGGCTGAGGTGGGAGGATCGGTTGAGCCCAGGCAGTGGAGGCTGCAGTGAGCCATAATTGCACCACTGCACTACCCTAGCCTGGGTGAGAGAGGAAGACCCTGTCTCAAAAAAAAAAAAAAAAAAAAAAGGATAAGAAGTGGAAAATACCAGTGCATCCTGGCTAGAACTGTCGTAAGGGCTTCTGTAACTGTGTAGAGGTGACAGGACTTCAGGTATGTATGATGAAGGCTCCAGCTGCATATCCCTGTGACTTCCTTAGCAGTGTCTTTCCCATGGGTCAGCTTTGTCTGTATTCATAGGTGGCCACATGCCTGCTTGAGGTCCTGGTGACTCCAGGTGTTTCCTACAGAGCAGGGTTCTGCGGCAGCAGTTCCAAGCAACAGCCCTGAGATCGCTGCTGATGGGGCAATTCAGGTTCACATGCCCATCCCTAGAGCGATGACTGCGTGGGAAGAGGGTGGCCCCCTAGGCACCAGAATGAAGATCTCAGCTGTCCTGAAATGTGTGGCAGTGCACAGCGTGGGGGGGAAAGAGAGATTTACAAGGAAATCCCTAGGCAGTCAGAGAGGGCTTGGTAGAGGATGTGGCTCGGGGCGGGGGTTGGAGGGGCGGGCGCTGTCGGGCGCAGCGGAAGACACAGGGAGGGTGGCAGGAGCATGGGATGTGGGTGTGGCAGGAGACCTTAGGGAAGGGAGCCTGCACCCAGGGATTTCGCAGACTCTCCAGGAAGCCATCGGGATCTAGGCCAGAAACCTCTGCATCCCCCATCCCCCATCCCCCACCCCAGAGCTCCTGCTGAGCGCCCCTCTGCCTTTGCCAGCAGGAAACCAGTGGAGGGGCGGTGAGGGCTGTGATCCAGATTCACCGGAGAGGGAAACAACCGGGAGGGGTCGGCAGGCAGGGCGTGGCCAAGGGTGTGCGCTCTTCAAGGCCTCGTGAACCCCAGGGCGCCCCCTCTCCAGCTGCGCCCACAATTGGGGGCTGACCTCCACTGCAGGACCCCAGGCCTTGCTCCCCCGGGACGCCTCTCTCGGGTGTCCCACCGCACCACTGAGGCCGCGCACGACCCTCAGCCACCGCAGCCCGCTTGAGCCCAGCTGCCCATCTCTTGCCAGCACCGCCTACTCCCCGCCCGCCACCCCACCATTGGCTTCCCAGAGCAAAGACCTCCTATGATTGGTCCATTTCCGCGAGGCCACGCCTCCTGGTCGGCACAAAGAGCCGGACCAGCACAGCCCGCCCCAACTCCGCGTGCTCCTAGCCCCTGGAGGCGCGGATGAGCCGCGGCCGCCACGGGGGGGTCGTAGTAGTGACTGCGACCATGGTGGCTGTGAGCACCGAACTCGAGCACTTGAGGAAGGCGCTGGCTTAGGGCCTGTCGCGCTGCCATAGCCTCGGATCCCACCTGAGAGGGGAAAATTCGGAGCCTGTCTACCCAGCCCCCAGCCCCGGGGCTCTAATCCCTCCCAGGGACTGACCCCCGCCCCCTTGTTCCCAGACCTTCCCTATTTTCTCTCCCTGCCCAGGGGAGGGGGATGGTGGACTTATTAGGTAACGGAACTGTTACAGTTAAGAAAACTGTAGCTCAGAGAGGGTAAACTACCCCGAGTCATACAGCAGTCGGGGGGAGCCCAGAAATAATACTGAGGGATGGGAAGGAAAGGGAGAAGCTGTGGCTGGTGTAATCCTCTACATCCCACTCCTCCCCACCCCTGATACACAGTTATGAGCTAAGCCAGGGAGGGCTCCCTGAGCACACATCAAGCCTGCAGGCTGACGGATTTTTTTTTTTTTTTTTTTTTGAGACGGAATCCCTTCTGTCGCACAGGCTGGAGTGCAGTGGCGCGATCTCGGCTCACTGCAATCTCCGCCTCCTGGGTTCAAGCGATTCTCCTGCCTCAGCCTCCCGAGTAGCTGGGACTACAAGCGCCCACCACCACACCTGGCTAATTTTTATATTTAATAGAGACGGGGTTTCACCATATTGGCCAGGCTGGTCTCGAACTCCTGACCTTGTGATCTGCCCGCCTCCTCGGTCTCCCAAAGTGCTGGGATTACAGGCGTGAGCCACCGTGCCCGGCCTTTTTTTTTTTTTTTTTTTTTTTTTTTAAGGAGTCTCACGCTGTCGCCCAGGCTGGAGTACAGTGGCGCTATCTCGGTTCACTGCAACCTCCACCTCTTGGGTTCAAGGGATTCTCCTGCCTCAGCCTCTCGAGTAGCTGGGATTACAGGTGCCCGCCAGCACGCCCGGCTAATTTTTGTATTTTTAGTAGAGATGGGGTTTCACCATGTTGGCCAGGCTGGTCTCAAACTCCTGACCTCAGATGATCTGCCCACCTTGGCCTCCCAAAATACTAGGATTATAGGCGTGAGTCACTGTGCCCGGCCAATTTCTTTCAAAATTTTGAAAAATTTTGAAACAATCACACACTTAAAGCTACAAATACAGTGCGAAATTTTTTTCAGCCAGGTGTGGTGGCCTGTGCCTGCAGTCCCAGCTATTGGAGAGGCTGAGATGGGAGGATTGCTTGAGCCCAGGAGGTCAAGGTGGGTGAGCTATGATCAATCTACTGCACTCCAACCTGGGTGACAGAGTCACACCCTATCTCTGAAATAAAAACAAAATAAAAAACAAACTAATTTTTTTCCTAGAAAAAAACTGAAAATAAGTTACTAGCCTGATGCCACAATCACCCCTTGTATTTCCTTCAAACAGGGTTATTCTGCTATATAAATGGCCAGGAAGTTAATACATTACTTTTGGGGTTTTTTTTGTTTTTTTTTTTTTGAGACGGAATCTCACTCTGTCATCCAGGCTGGAATGCAGTCACACGATCTCCGCTCACTGCAAGCTCCGCCTCCCGGGTTCATGTGCCATTCTCCTGCCTCAGCCTCCTGAGTAGCTGGGACTACACGTGCCCACCACCACGCCCGGCTAATTTTTTGTATTTTTTTAGTGGAGACGGGGTTTCACCTGCTAGCCAGGATGGTCTCGATCTCCTGACCTCGTGATCCGCCCGCCTCGGCCTTCCAAAGTGTTGGGATTACAGGCGTGAGCCACCGCGCCCAGCCTGTTAGTTTTTTGAGATGAAGTCTCACTGTCACCCAGCCTGGAGTGCAGTGGTGCAATCTCCGTTCACTGCAAACTCTGCCTCCCGGGTGCAATCGATCCACCTGCCTCAGCCTTCTGAGTAGCTGCGACCACAGGTGCTCACAACCAAGCCCAGCTAATTTTTCATATTTTTGGTAGAGACGGGGTTTCGCCATGTTGCCCAGGCTGGTCTCGAACTCCTAACCTCAAGCGATCAGTCGGCCTCAGCCTCCCAAAGTGCTGGGATTACAGGTGTGAGCCACTGTGTCGGCCAACATATGATACATCACTGCCATCTAAACCTCAGACCCATTTGAGTTCCTGAAGATGTCCCCAGAATGTCCTTGCAGCAGAAAAATCCAGCCCATGTGTTATTTCGTTCTTGCATACCTTTAATTTCCTTCGGGATGGAACACTTCTCAGTCTGTGTTTGGCTTTCATAACGTTGACTCTTTTTTTTTTTTTTTTGAGACTGAATCACTCTGTCGCCCAGGCAGGAATGATGCAGTGGTGCGATCTTGGCTCGCTCACTGCAACCTCTGCCGCCCGGGTTCAAGCAATCCTCCCGCCACAGCCTTTGGAGTAGCTGGGATTACAAGCGCCCACCACCACAACTGACTAATTTTTGTATTTTCAATAGAGATGGGGTTTCACCATGTTGGTCAGGCTGATCTCGAACTCCTGACCTCATGATCCACCCGCCACAGCCTCCCAAAGTGCTGGGATTACAGGCGTGAGCAACTGCACCCAGGCATTGTTTTGTATTTTTAGTAGAGCTGGGATTTCACTATGTTGGCCAGGATGGTCTCAAACTCCCGACCTCAGGTGATCTGCCTGCCTCAGCCTCTCAAGGTGCTGGGATTACAGAAATGAGTCACTGCACCTGGACTATTTTATTTTATTTCATTTATTTATTGTTGAGACGGAGTTTCACTTTTGTTGCCCAGGCTGGAGTGCAATGGCAAGATCTCGGCTTACTGCAACTTCTACCTCCTGGATTCAAGCGATTCTCCTGCCTCAGCCTTCCGAGTAGCTGGGATTACAGGCATCCACCACCATGCCCGGCTAGGAAAATGTATTTAGGTGCATCTGTATGAATTCCTATACCTCTTATGTATATTGAAAGCCAAGAGTTTACATTGATAGATCCTGGGGTGCACTCCAGTTTACAACTCCCTTCTCTGCCTTTGAGAACCTGGCTACGATTATTGTGATACATCTGCTTCTTTTTTTTTTTTTTTTTGAGACAGAGTTTCACTCTGTCGCCCAGGCTTGAGTGCAGTGGTGCGATCTTGGCCGGCTGCAACCTCCACCTCCTGGGTTCAAGCGATTCTCCTGCCTCCCAAGTAGCTGCGATTACAGGTGCCCGCCACCATGCCTGGCTAACTTTTGTATTTTTTTTTTTCTTTTTGAGATGGAGTCTCCCTCTGTCGCCCAGGCTGGAGTGCAGTGGCACGATCTCGGCTCACTGCAAGCTCCGCCTCCCAGGTTCATGCCATTCTCCTGCCTCAGCCTCCCGAGTAGCTGGGACTACAAGTGCCCGCCACCATACGCGGCTAATTTTTTGTATTTTTAGTAGAGATGGGGTTTCACTGTGTTAGCCAGGATGGTCTCGATCTCCTGACCTCGTGATCTGCCCATCTCAGCCTTCCAAAGTGCTGTGATTACAGGCGTCAGCCCCCATGCCCGGCCTAATTTTGTGTTTTTAGTAGCAATGGGGTTTTGCCATGTCTTCCAGGTTGGTCTCGAACTCCTGACCTCGGGTGATCTGCCCACCTCGGCCTCCCAAAGTGCTGGGATTACAGGCGGGAGCCACCATGCCTGACCGTATCTGCTTCTTTTTTTTGAGTTGGAGTCTCACTCTGTCGCCCAGGCTGCAGTGCAGTGGTGTGATCTCGGCTCACTGCAATCTCAGCCTCCCGGATTGAAGCGGTTCTCGTGCACCAGCCTTCTGAGGAGCTGGGATCACAGGCACGGGCCACCACACGCAGCTAATTGTTTGTATTTTTAGTAGAGATGAGGATCCACCATGTTGGCCAGGCTGATCTCGAACTCCTGACCTCAGGTGATCCGCCCGCCTTGGCCTCCCAAAGTGCTGGGATTACAAGCGGGAGCCACCATGCCTGGCCACATCTGCTTCTTTTGTCAACCCCTCCGGGTGTAGCACGTGTCTCCTGGGCACTGTCACCTTTCACCTTGTAGACCTGTCCTCCAGCCTTGCTGTCCTTTGGCAGGGATATCTCCTAGCCCCAGGACAGCTTAGTCACCCCTCCCAGGTCACCGGCCCCGCCTAATTGAGCTCCCTACCCTCAATGAGATCTCATCCTCCCCCATTTTGACTGTCCACCAAGCAGCCAGCTCTCTCCTACCCCACCACCCCCGAGCCCTCTCCACCCCATTGACGCTGCTCAGAGCCACCACCCTCCCCCACCCCACTGGGACGCCCACCTGGCTCTGCTCCAGCAAATGGCTCCGGGACTGATTATTCTGGAAGGAAACGGAAAGGGGAAGGAACTAAGGGAAGAGAAGGAAGGAGGCTTTCTCCGGTTCTTGTTTTAGCTTAAAAATTCATGCCCCGTGTGCACTTCAGTCTAGAACACACTTCCTTTTGTTTTAACGTGATACAGCGTTTTCACTATACAACTTCTGGTAAAATTGCTGCCTGGTTATCCGGGGGCTGTGTCTGGTCAGAGAGGGGGCCTGGCAGGCTGGGAAGGACAGGGAGGGGTGGGGGAGGGGGAAGACGGGTGGGGGAAGGTGGACGGGGCTGGCCGGCCTCCTGTCGTCTTCCTTCCCTGGACAATGGGCTGGCGGCTGCCGCAGAGATAAGGAGTCTTGTCAGGGCTGGGATCACAGCCGCCGGCCGACTGCCTGCTGGGGAAGGTCCCTTCCTCGCAGACCTGGCCAAACCACCCCCACCAAGCCCCGCCGCCTCAAGTGAGATCTCCTTTCATTGTACCTTCCTGAGAGCGAGGTCCTCAGAGCCATGCCCCAGGGTCACCAGGAGGCTGGCTGTGAGCTTGGCGTCTGGGGAGGCCCTTTCCCAGGCCGAGACACCTCCCCTGGCTCCAGGACACAGTCGCACAAAGATAATTGTTGTCTTTTTGTTTCTTTATTCTTTTTTATTATTTTTTCTTTTGAGATAGGGTCTCATTTCATCACCCTGGCTGGAGCGCAGTGGTGTGATCATGTCTCGCTGCAGCCTTGACTTCCCCAGCTCAAGTGATCCTTGTGCCTCAGCCTGAGTAGCTGGGACTATGGATGTGCACCACCAGGCTCGGCTGATTTTTTTATTTCTTTTGAGAGATGGAGTCTCACTATGTTGCCCAGGCTGGTCTGGAACTCCTGGACTGAAGTAATCCTCCCCCATCCTGGCTAACACGGTGAAACCCCGTCTCTACTAAAAACACAAAAAAATTAGCCGGGCATAGTAGCGGGCACCTGTAGTCCCAGCTACTCGAGAGGCTGAGGCCGGAGAATGGCGTGAACCCGGGAGGCGGAGCTTGCAGTGAGCCGAGATTGCGCCACTGCACTCCAGCCTGGGCGACAGAGAGAGACTCCGTCTCAAAAAAAAAAAAAAAAAAAAAAAAAAAATTCCTCCCTCCTGGGCCTCTGAAAGCGCTGGGATTACAGGTGTGACCCACTGTGTTCAGTTTAAGATTAAATTTATGTGAAGTAACTTATGTTACTTTCCAGCCCGGCCAACATGGCGAAATCCCATCTGTACTAAAAATAGAAAAATTTGGCTGGGCGCGATGGCTCACGCCTGTAATCCCAGCACTTTGGGAGGCCAAGGCAGGCGAATCACGAGGTCAGGAGATCGAGACCATCCTGGCTAACATGGTGAAACCCTGTCTCTACTAAAAACACAAAAAATTAGCCAGGTGTGGTGGCACCCGTCTGTAATCCCAGCTACTCAGGAGTCTGAGGCAGGAGAATCACTTGAACCCGGGAGGCAGAGGTTGCAGTGAGCTGAGATCGTGCCATTGCACTCCAGCCTGGGTGACAGAGCGAGATTCCATCTCAAAACAACAACAACAAAAATAAAAATTAGCGGGGCACGCTTGTAGTCCCAGCTACTTGAGAGGTTGAGGCAGGAGAATCGCTTGTACCTGGGAGGCGGAGGTTATAGTGAGCCGAGATTGCACCACTGCGCTCCAGCGCCTGGGTGACAGAGCAAGACCCTGTCTCAAAAAAAAAAAACAAAAACTTACCACACTCAAAGTACATAAACCTGCAGTACATCTCCTGGCATGGTTATGGGTGTCTAGGTCCGAATCGCAGCCTGTGGAAGCCCAGGGGGACAGCTCCGGCCCCAGTGGTTAGAAAGTGTAGCCCTGCCAAGTGGGGATGAACCTGATGTCGTAGTATCGGGGGAAGAAAAGGACCTAAAATTTCTCATAAGTTTCATGTTAATTACATATTGAAATGATAGTATTTGGGATATAGGAGTTAAATAACATACATTAAGAAATTTGGGCCGGGCGCGGTAGCTCATACCTGTAATCCCAGCACTTTGGGAGGCCGAGGTGGGCGGATCACGAGGTCAGGAGATCGAGACCATCCTGGCTAACACGGTGAAACCCCGTCTCTACTAAAAATACAAAAAAAATTAGCTGGGTGTGGTGGCGGACGCCCTAGTCCCAGCTACTCGGGAGGCTGAGGCAGGAGAATGAAGTGAACCCAGGAGGCGGAGCTTGCAGTGAGTCGAGATCGCGCCACTGCACTCCAGCCTGGGCGACGGAGCGAGACTCCATCTCAAAAAAAAAAGAAAGAAATTTGATGTCACTTGTTTATCTTTACTTAAAAATTTTTTTAACTTTTAGGCTGGGCTTGGTGGCTCACACCTGTAATAACAGCACTTTGGGAGGCCGAGGCAGGTGCATCACTTGTGGGCAGGAGTTCGAGACCAGCCTGGCTAACATGGTGAAACCCTGTCTCTATTAAAAACACAAAAATTAACTGGATGGGGTTTCACCATGTTGGGCAGGCTGGTCTCGAACTCCTCTCAGATGATTCTCCCTCCTCGGTCTCCCAAAGTGTTGGGACTACAGGTGTGAGCCACCATGGCGAGCTCTTGTTCTTTTTTTTAAGATGAAGTTTTGCTCTGTCACCCAGGCTAGAGTGCAGTGGCACGATCTCGGCTCACTGAAGCCTCCACCTCCTGAGTTCCAGCAATTCTTGTGCCTCAGCCTCTCGAGTAGCTGGGATTACAGGCATGTGCCACCATGCCCAGCTAATTTTCGTATTTTTAGTAGAGATGTCGTTTTGCCATGTTGGCCAGGCTGGTCTCAAACTCCTGACCTCAAGTGATCCACTCACCTTGGCCTCCCAAGTGGGAGGCCCACATAAGCCACTGTGCCCGGCCCCAATTAGGTTGTTTTTTTTGTTTTGTTTTGTTTTGTTTTTTGAGATGGAGTCTCTTTGTCGCCAGGCTGAAGTGCAGTGGCTTGATTTTGGCTCACTGCAACCTCTGCCTCTCAGATTCAAAGTGATTCTCCTGCCTCAGCCTCCCGGGTAGCTGGGACTACAGGCGCGTGCCATCATGCCTGGCTAATTTTTGTATTTTTATTTATTTTATTTTATTTTATTTTATTTTATTTTGAGACGGAGTCTTCCTCTGTTGCCCAGGCTGGAGTGCAGTGGCGCGATCTCGGCTCACTGCAAGCTCCGCCTCCCAGGTTCACGCCATTCTCCTGCCTCAGCCTCCCAAGTAGCTGGGACTACAGGCACCCGCCACCACGCCCGGCTAATTTTTCGTATTTTTAATAGAGACAGGGTTTCACCGTGTTAGCCAGGATGGTCTTGATCTCCTGACCTCGTGATCCACCCGCCTCAGTATCCCAAAGTGCTGGGATTACAGGCGTGAGCCACCGCACCCAGCCGGTTAATTTTTGTATTTTTAGTAAAGATGGGGTTTCACCATTTTGACCAGGCTGGTCTCGAACTCCTGATCTCGTTATTTGCCCGCCTCGGCCTCCAAAAGCCAAGTGGGTTTTTACAGTTCCATCTGTTTGCTCTATTAGGTCAGAAGATTGAGAATGGTAACTAAAATGGAAATTATGTGAAACTGGCCAAAATAGGTTGCAGTGAGCCAAGATCGTGCCACTGCACTCCAGCCCGGGTGACAGAGTGAGACCCAGTCACACACAAACACACACACCAACACACACAAGCCAGAATCAGTACTTACAGGTTTTCCTGAAATAAACTTAGGGCAGGGGCCACTGGTCAAATAAGCATTTTTTGCAGCTTTTTTCTTTTTTCTTCTTTTTTTGTTTCATTTTTTTTTGCAGCTTTTAAATGCTGCCCACCAATATTGTCTTATAAAAGAAATCAATTTGTTGGTTACCCGATGAGTCAAACTGTGTTCCGCGGTTAACTGAGTATTTCACTGAATTTCAAAGAACTGGTTTGTTATCAGATCCAAACCACAGCTCTCTTTTATCGTCACATCAGCAGCCATGATCTTTCCAGTTTTCTTTTTTGGCCTCTGGTGCCCCATCTTTGGTAATTATTTGTGGTTCATCTTTTGAAGTTTCTTTGAGTGGGGCCGCAAGAGAGATTTGATTACACGGAGTTGATTAACGGCAGCCTTCGTAGCAGTATTATCAGCAGGGTTGTTCCCTCTAGCTTCCATAGCGTCTAACCTTGAATGTCTGAGAATTTTGATAAAAGTCAAGGCCTGGTCACTGGACGGCCTCCAGTAAATTCTGTACGCAGGATCCATGTTTCATTTGATCTCCAGTGGAAGTGAGGAACGCCTTTGTTTCTTTGTTTCTTTTCTTTTCTTTTTTTGTTTTTTTGAGATGGAGTCTCACTCTGTCACCAGGCTGGAGTGCGGTGGCGCGATCGCAGCTCGCCACAACCTCCACCTCCTGGGTTCAAGCGATTCTCCTGCCTCAGCCTCAGGAGTAGTTGGGACTTCAGGTGCCCGCCACCACACCCGGCTAATTTTTTTGTATTCTTAGTAGAGATGGGGCTTCGCCATGTTGGCCAGGCTGGTCTCGAACTCCTGGCCTCAAGTGATCTGCCTTGGCCGCCCATAGTGCCGGGATTACAGGCGTGAGCCACCATGCCCAGCCAAAAATGAAATTTTCTGTGCCCATATTCCAGCCGAGGAAGCCCAAGTTCCCACCGGGAGCGTCTACACGTGCAGCCGCTGTTATCTGTACCCAGGTAACATCCTCCAGCTCTTGGGGAGATCCAGCTGACCTCCAGTGTCCCCGTGCCCACACACGTGGCCAGGAGCAGCTGTCAACAAATGGCTCTTGGGTTGAGGCAGGAGTCCTCCAGATCCTTTGGCCCTAGCATGGGCTGACTGGGAGGCACGGCACCTGGAGTCTCCCACATGTCCCTGGCGGAATGAACGTTCAGTGGGATTCCTCATGGTAACTGGCTTGATAATGCACCCTCTGGGATCTGTCCCTTCCCTGTCCTATGTCCCTGTCCTCTACCTGAACCTTTTGTGTGGAATGGCACCTCAGGCCCGGCCTCTGGGGGATGAAGATGGTGTTAACTGCATTCAAAGCCTCCCTCTTGTCACCCACGATACACTTTCTGCCCTGGCAGGGGGACAGGAGGTTCCTTGACGGCTAGTCCAGGCCATGACGGGTTGATCCTGGATTAAAATAAGTCAAGCTTCAGGCTGGTGCAGTGGCTCACGCCTGTAGTCCCAGCACTTTGGGAGGCCGAAGAAGGCAGATCACCTGAGGTCAGGAGTTCAAGACCAATCTGGGCAACATGTTGAAACCCCATCTCTACTAAAAACACAAATATGGCCGGGCGCGGTGGCTCACGCTTGTAATCCCAGCACTTTGGGAGGCCGAGGCGGGCGGATCACAAGGTCAGGAGATCGAGACCATCCTGGCTAACATGGTGAAACCCTGTCTCTACTAAAAATACAAAAATTAGCCGGGCATGGTGGCGGGTGCCTATAGTCCCAGCTACTCAGGAGGCTGAGGCAGGAAAATGGCGTGAACCCGGGAGGCGGAACTTGCAGTGAGCCGAGATCGCACCACTGCGCTCCAGCCTGGGCGACAGAAGCAAGACTCTGTCTCAAAAAAAAAACAAACAAAAAAAACCCACAAATATTAGCTGGGCATGGTGGTGCATGTCTGTAATCCCACCTACTGGGGAGGCTGAGGCAGGAGAATCTCTTGAATCCAGGAGGTGGAGGTTGCAGTGAGCTGAGATTGTACCTCTGCACTCCAGCCTGGGTAACAGAACAAGAGTCTGTCTCAAAAAAAAAAAAAGAAGTCAGTCGGGCACGGTGGCTCACGCCTGTAATCCCAGCACTTTGGGAGGCTGAGGCAGGTGAATTGCCTGAGCTCAGGAGTTCGAGACCAGCCTGGGCAACACGGTGAAACCCTGTCTCTGCTAAAATACAAAAAATAAGCTGAGTGTCACGGTGTGCACCTGTACTCGAGCTACTTGGGAGGCTGAGGCAGGAGAATTGCTTGAACCCGGGAGGCAGAGGTTGCAGTGAGCCGAGATCGTGCCACTGCACTGCAACCTGGGCAACAGAACAGAGTGAGACTCCATCTCCAAAAAAAAAGGAGTCAATCGTGTCAATCGTTAGGGAGCTGGTGGATTTATAGCCTGTAGTGACCACATCAGTGAGGCACTGGTGCTGGGAGGCACCTCAGAGGTCATCCCATTCAACCCCTTCACTGACTCACAGCTCAGAGAGGGCAAGAGACTTACCCAAGGGCACACAGCAAGTCGAGGGCACCAGCAAGGTCAGCACCCAGGTCTCCCGCACCTGGGCCCACGTGGTTTTCAGTCTGGAAACTGGAAATGGATATGAAGCCTTGGAAAATCCCAGCAGGGCAGGATGGGGGTGGCCCAGCTGTTTCACTATGGAAACAAAAGTCTTGTTTTCCTGGCTACTCCAGCGGGGCCGGGACGGAGGCAGATGTTTCTCTTCACCTGCCAGGAAAGTTTGGAAATTAAGCCCTCCTTGCAGGGAGGAAGGGACCCAGTGCTCTGGATTTTCAATTTAATGGGCTACCCAGGTCTTCGGAGTGCAGCCAGGGAAGCACAGAGGAAGCGCCCTGGAGAGGAAGCCAGAGATTTCCTGGAGGCGCCAGGGATGCAAGGAGTGGCCTGGAGAGGGAGTGAGGGAAAAGCAGCAGACGCCCCTAACTTCCTCCTCCTCCTTCCAACAGAAACCTGGTTTGGGGTTTTAGTGGAGACGTCTCGCCATGGCCGCCAGTGTAGACATTAATTGGTCTAATGCAGGCACCAGGTCCCCGGCTTCTTGCAGGGAGGGGCATGGTTTTAGGACAAGGCATGGCTTTAAAATAAAAAATTAATTGTTGTAAAATATGCATAGCATGACCCGGCATGGTAGCTCATTCCTTTAACCCCAGCACTTTGGGAGGCTGAGGTGGGAGGATCAGGTGAGCTCAGGGGTTCGAGACCAGCCTGGGCAACATGGTGAGACCCCGTCTCTACCAAAAATACAAAATTTAGCCCGGTGTGGTGGTGCATGCCTGTAGTCCCACCTAGTCGGGAGGATGAGGTGGGAGAATCACTTGAACCTGGGAAGTTGAGGCGATTTTTTAAAAAATTAATACTCTAGGCCAGGCATGGTGGCTCACGCCTGTAATCCCAGCACTTTGGGAGAGGCCGAGGCGGGCGGATCGCCTGAGGTCAGGAGTTCGAGACCAGCCTGGGCAACATGGTGAAACCTGGTCTCTACTAATAATACAAAAATTAGCCGAGCATGGTGGCATGTGCCTGTAATCCCAGCTACTTGGGAGGCTGAGGTAGGAGAATCACTTGAGCCTGGGAAGTGGAGGTTGTAGTGAGCCGAGATCGCACCATTGCACTCCAGCCTGGGGCGACAAGAGCGAAACTCTGTCTCAAAAAAAAAAAAAAAATCATAATACTCTTTTTTTTTCTTTTGAGATGGAGTCTTGCTCTGTCACCCAGGCTGGAATGCAGTTGCAAAATCTTGGCTCACTGAAACCTCCGCCTCCTGGGTTCAAGTGATTCTTCTGCCTCAGCTGCCCAAGTAGCTGGGATTACAGGCGCCCACCACCACGCCCAGCTAATTTTTGTATTTTTTTAAGTAGAGATGGGGTTTCACCATGTTGGTCTCGAACTCCTGATCTCAGATAATCCGCTGGCCTTGGTCTCCCAAAGTGCTGGGATTACAGGCATGAGCCACCATGCCTGGCTGAGGCAATTACTTTTTGCAGAGACAGGGTCTTGCTATGTTGCCCAGCCTTGTCTTGAACTCCTAGACTCATTCAATCTGTCCATTTTGGCCTCCCAAAGTGCTGAGATCGACCACGACCACACCTGGTCATAACTGGCTTTCTTTATATTCATATGCATTTTATCTTGTGCATTTAAAAACTTGATACTGTGAGAAGGTTCATAATTTCTCAAAAGTCTGTTTTAGATAGTGCTGGGGAGATGTGATGTCTGGAGCCCTGGCAGCTGCCTTGAGATTCTGAGGACCTGAGCCTGAAGGCAGAGTTCACCTGACAGGGAAGGCAGAGTGAGAAGTGGGGGAAGTTCCAGGGTCCTTTCCAGCTCTGTTACAGTGAACCAACCCTGGAAACTCCCCTCTTTGGGGCTTCTTGTTTCTTGCTATAATGAAACATCTTGCTGGTTAGCCAGTTGAGTTAGAGTTTTCTCTTTCTTGCATTTGAAGCTACCATGACTGCAAGAGGGAGTTCCCGAAGGGGTCTGGGAATGGCCCAGGGAAATAGGGGTGAGGTGAGACTCCACTGCCCCGACAGTGCCCATGTATGAATTAGAAAAAGTGGGCCAGGCGTGGTGGCTCACACCTGTAATCCCAGCATTTTGGGAGGCTGAGTGGGCAGATCATGAGGTCAGGAGTTCGAAACCAGCCTGGCCAACATGGTGAAACCCCATCTCTACTAAAAATACAAAAATTAGCTGGGCTTGGTGGCACACATCTGTAGTCCCAGCTACTCAGGAGGCTGAGGCAGAAGAATCGCTTGAACCTGGGAGGTGGAGGTTGCAGTGAGCCGAGGTCATGCCACTGCACTCCAGCCTGGGTGACAGAGTGAGACTTTGTCTCAAAAAAAAAAAAAAAAAAAAAAAGAAAAGAAAGAAAGAAAAAGAAAAAAAGTGGGCCAGGTGTGGTGGCTCATACCTGTAATCCCAGCACTTTGGGAGGCTGAGGTGGGAGGATTGCTTACAGCCAGGAGTTTGAGACCAGGTTGGACAACATGGTGAGACCTTGTCTTTACAAAAAAATACAAAAACCTATCTGGGCATGGTGTTGCATTCCTTTAGTCCCAGCTACTTAGGAGGTTGAGGTGGAAGGATCACTTGAGTTAAGGGAGGAGACCACCCCTCATATTGTCTTATGCCCAATTTCTGCCTCCAAAGAAAGAAAAAGTAAAAACTAAAAGGCAGAAATGAAAACCACAGGCAGACAGCCCAGCGCCACACCCTGGGCCTCGTAGTTAAAGATCGACCCCTGATCTAATCGGTGATGTTATCTATAGACTACAGACATTGTATAGAAATGCACTGTGAAAATCCCTATCTGGTTTTGTTCTGATCTAATTACCGGTGCATGCAGCCCCCAGTCACGTACCCCCTGCTTGCTCAATCACGACCCTCTCACGTGCACCCCCTTAGAGTTGTGAGCCCTTAAAAGGGACAGGAATTGCTCACTCGGGGAGCTTGGCTCTTGAGACAGGAGTCTTGCTGATGCCCCTGGCCAAATAAACCCCTTCCTTCTTTAACTCGGTGTCTGAGTTTTGTCTGCGGCTCATCCTGCTACAGAGTCTAGGAGGCAGAGGTTGCAGTAAGCCAAATTCACGCCACTGCACTCCAGCCTGGGTGACAGAGCAAGACCCCACCAAAAAAAGAAAAGAGGCCAGGCGCAGTGGCTCACGCCCAGCTAATTTTTGTACTTTTAGTAGAGACGGGGTTTCACCATGTTGGCCAGGCTGATCTCAAACTCCTGTCCTCAGGTGATCCGCCCACCTTGGCCTCCCAAAGTGCTGCGATAACAGGAGTGGAGGCTCAACTTTTTAAAGAAGAAAAGGACGAATCAGGACAGGAGACAATTACAAGCTCTGTTCATTCGGAATTCTCATTGGCTTACAGAAATAACTTTGGCTAGTGATTGGTTATATGTTGTAGACAGACCCACAGGGTGGATGGCGTCTGTGGCCACTTGGGCATTAGCTGGTCCAGAGCCCAGAGTCCATGTAGCAAGTAGCTTCAGGACGTAATTATTTAGCTCAATAGAAAGTGAGATGTGACTGCTGTTACTTTTTTTTTTTTTTGAGACGGAGTTTCACTCTTGTTGCCCAAGCTGGAGTGCAATGGCGCGATCTCGGCTCACTGCAACCTCTGTCTCCCAGGTTCAAGTGATTCTCCTGCCTCAGCCTCCCGAGTAGCTGGGATTACAGGCGTGTGCCACCAAGCCCGGCTAATTTTTGTATTTTTAGTAGAGACAGGGTTTCACTATGTTAGCCAGGATGGTCTCGAACTCCTGACCTTGTCATCCACCGGCCTCGGCCTCTCAAGGTGCTAGGATTACAGGCATGAGCCACCACGCCCGGCCTTTTAACTGCTGTTACTTTTTTTTTTTTAATCATTTTTATTCTGCTAGTTCCATAAAAGCAATGTAAACACCAGCATTCTATACATCTTGCTGGTGAACTCACATAATGCTTAGTTCCCTGATCCTTTGACCTCCTTGTCTTCTCCAGTTATTTTCTGTTTGGACCACTGGCCACAGGAATGGAGTGGGGTTGGGGCTTAGGAGAGAGCAATGTGGCTTTTTGGTATGACTTGTTTCATTGACTGCTGTTACATTTTAAATGCCTTTCTGGGCCTGATAATTTAAGGGGGCTGGCATTTCTCACATCAAAGGGCAAAGGGTTTTTTTGTTTGTTTCTCACTATTGCTCAAAAGCCACATGTGTCAAGGACAGCTCTTGTTAACGGGCAGAGAAGCTTATAGAACCTTTCCAGGGCTGGCGCGGTTGTTCATGTCTGGGGGACAAGAGCGAAACTCCATCTCAAAAAGAAAAAAAAAAAAAAGAACATTTCCAGGCCAGGCACAGTGGCTCACACCTGTAAGTCCCAGCACTTTGGGAGATTGAGGTGGGAGGATCACTTGAGGCCAGGAGTTTGAGACCAGCATAGGCCACATGGCAAGAACCCAGTTTCTACAAAAACATTTTTTTTTTAAATTAGCTGGGCTCGGTGGTGCACACTTGTGGTCCCAGCTACTCGGGAGGCTGAGGTGGGAGAATCGCTTGAGCCTGGGAGGCGGAGGTTGCAGTGAGCTGTGATCGCACCACTGCATTTCAGCCTGGGCAACAGAGGGAGACTCTGTCTCAAAAAAAATCAAATAAAGAAAAAAGAACATTTCCATTATTGCAGAATGTTCTATTGGACGGCGCTGGGCCAGATGCCTGCCCCAAGCCCTGGGACACCCAAACCTGGTGAAAGTGCCAAGCTCCCATCTGGGGGTGCTCACGGAAGGGGCCGGGAGCTGGGATTACAAGCGTGGAGGCAGGCGCCACCCCAGAGGAGGTGGGTGATGTCTGAGCCAGAGTCTTTGGGATGAGCAGGGCTTTGGCAGGCAGCTTTGTTGGGCAGGCAACAGGCACAGCAGGTGCAATGGCATCGAGGTTGGAGAGGTGGACTGGCGGGGAGAAGAGAAGGGAGGGTGGCAGGAGAGATGGGCAGAGGCCCCCCAGGAGCCCAGAGCCTTCAGGGCTTTGGGCCCTCTTGGGGCACTGGGGAGCCACGGGAGAAGTGTGGGGTGGAGAGGGGCGCCCTGGATTTGACCACCTTCAGGAACCTACCTTGGCTGCCCGGGTGGGTGGGATGGAGGTGATGAAGGTGGAGGTCGTAGCATTGTCACTGAGAGCGATGCTTATTCTGATTTTTGCCCCCGTGAGCCTCAGAAATCGGTCAGAACAGTGCTCGGGCTGGGCGTGGTGGCTCACGCCTGGAATCCCAGCACTTTGGGAGGCCGAGGCGGGCGGATCACCTGAGGTCAGGAGTTTGAGACCAGCCTGGCCAACATGGCAAAACCCCGTCTCTACTAAAAACACAAAAATTAGCTGGGTGTAGTGGTGCATGCCTGTAATCCAGCTACTCCAGAGGCTGAGGCCTCCCTGGGAGGCGGAGTGCAGTGAGCCAAGATTGTACCACCGCCCCTCCAGCCTGGGTAACAGAGTGAGACTCTGTCTCAAAACAAACAAAAAAGAACAAACCAAAACCAGTGCTCCAATTCACCTTGCTGAATTGGAGAAGAACAGGTGCCTGGGTCCTCCCGGCTGACGGTGACGTCACTATGAGCCACCACGCCTGGCCCGGTGGGTGTTTACAGCAGAGGTGGTTCAGGGAGGAGTGAGTGGCAGATGGTGCAGGCTCAGGGAGGAGTGAGTGGCAGGTGGGGCCTGAGGCCAGAGGCAGGAGGACCGTTCAAGACTGAGGTGTCTTGGGCACTGGTGCCGGGGCCGGGGAGAGCCCTGGCATGCCGGGCCCCGGCCCTCAGTGAAAGCAGGATGAGGTGGCGGCCAAGCAGGGAGGCCAAGGCCTGGCAGCAGCCGGCAGCCCCTCTCCTGGCAGGGACATCTTGGCAGGAGCCGGGCTCTGCCCAGGGCGCTAATGTCCTCTTAATTAGCCAGGCACTTGCCAAGCACTTGCCGCTGCGGCCTCACTTTGCAGAACGCACTTGGGTTTGGAGCAGGACCAGCATCGGCCACCGGGTGAGTAGGGGGGATGGCCAGGTGAGTACCATGGCCAGAAGGTGCGGCCTCTGAGTCCCCACTGAAGCCAATCCAGGCCCCGACCTCTGGTCATCATCAACAGAAGAGTGACAGAAACAGAAAAGATATCAAGGAACACGTTTTCAGGGCCAGATTCCAGGTCCCCCACCTATTTTCCTTTGCTCCTGCCTTGCCTGGCTCTGCCCCCTTGAACTCTTATTCACCCAGTGTAGGCATCACCTCCTCCTGAAGGCCCTCCTGGACTGCACAGTTAACTCTGGAGCCTCCCCTGCACAGGGCAGCTCATGTATGGATCCACAGGTGAGTTCCTGTCTTTGAAGGGTTACAGTTTAGGTCCTGGAGCAGTGGTGGGGAGGTCACACCTCCACCCACATCCCTCTTTGCAAATCCCATGGGAACTATGAGCCTGGGTCCCCCAAACTGCATGTTCCCCACTTAAAGCTGGGCCAGATCCTGTTTGCTGTATCCAGGCCTCAGTTTCCCTGCTTGTAACCAGAAGTCCATGCAGCCAGAAATTGTCAGGGAGCTGGGCACGGTGGCTCATGCCTGTAATCCCAGCACTTTCAGAGGCTGAGGCAGGAGGTTCACTTGTGATCAGGAGTTTGGGACCCCAGCCTGGGCAATACAATGAGATCCCTGCCTCTACCAAAAAATTAAAAACAATTAGCCAGGCCTGGAGGCATACACTTGTAGTCCTAGCTATTCAAGGGAGGCTGAGGTGGGAGGATCACTTGAGTCCAGGAGTTTGTGGCTGGGGTGAGCTCTGATTGTACCACTGCACTCCAGCCTGGGTAAGAGAATGAGACCTTGTTTTATTTTATTTTATTTTTATTTATTTTGAGATGGAGTCTCACTCTGTCACCCAGGCTGGAGTGCAGTGGTGCAATGTCGGTTCACTGCAACCTCTGCTTCCCGGCTTCAAGAGATTCTCCCGCCTCAGCCTCCCAAGTAGCTGGGATTACAGGCGTGTGCCACCACGCCTGGCTAATTTTTTGTGTTTTTAGTAGAGACAGGGTTTCACCATGTTTGCCAGGCTGGACTTGAACTCCTGACCTTAGGTGATCCATGCCCCCTTGGCCTCCTAAATTGCTGGGATTATAGGCATGAGCCACCGGGCCTGGCCGAGACCCTGTTTTAAAAAAATTAATCAGGTCCAGTGCGGTGGCTCACGCCTGTAATCCCAGCACTTTGGGAGGCCGAGGAGGGCAGATCACCTGAGATCGGGAGTTCGAGACCAGCCTGACCAACATGCAGAAACCCCGTCTCTACTAAAAATACAAAATTAGCAGGGCGTGGTGGCGCACACCTGTAATCCCAGCTACTTGGGAGGCTGAGGCAGGAGAATCACTTGGACCTGGGAAGCAGAGCTTGTGGTGAGCCGAGATTGCACCATTCCACTCCAGCCTGGGCAAAAAGAGTGAAACTCCATCTCAAATAATAATAATAATAATAATAATAATAATAATAATAATAATTGGTAGAGATGTTGGTAGAGGCAGGACAGTGGGAGTGACAGCCTGGTCCTGTCCTCCCGGGCTCTGGCTGACCATGCTGTAGTGTGGCTCAGGGCCCTGGAGGGCACAGCTGTCCTGTGGCCCTGTGGTCAGCCGGGAAGCCAGGCCTGGCAGGACTCCTGCCCTAGAATCAGCTCCTCCCACTCCCCAGGGTCCCATGCAGGGCGCTGGCCGTACCAGGCCTCCTCGCGGGTGCCACAGAGCCAGCGGCTGCACAGCAACAGAGACGCCATTCACAGGCTCTCGGCCACGAGGCCGCTCATTTACAGAGGGCTGAGCCGCTGACATCTGTGCGTTTGTAACATGGACAGCATTTCTGGTCCCATACAGACGCCTGGGCCAGCCACATTTATCTCCCCTTGAGAGAAGGGAAACGAGGCTCGGGAGGGAATGAGGGATTGGCTTGGGGTCACACAACTTTAATGATGACCCTGGGCAGGAAGCTCCCAGGATGGCAACAGAGACTCAGGGCAGGCTGGGCATGGTGGCTCACACTTGTCATCCCAGCCCTTTGGGAGGCAGAGGTGCAAGGATCACTCGAGCCCAGGAGCTCAAGGCCAGCCTGGGGAATATAGTGAGAACCCATCTCTAAAAAAAAAAAAAATAGGCCGGTCGCGGTGACTCACGCCTGTAATCCCAGCACTTTGGGAGGCTGAGGCGGGTGGATCACGAGGTCAGGAGATTGAGACCATCCTGGCTAACACGGTGAAACCCCGTCTCTACTAAAAATACAAAAAATAGGCCGGGCGTGGTGGCTCATGCCTGTAATCCCAGCACTTTGGGAGGCTGAGGCCGGCGGATCACGAGGTCAGGAGTTCGAGATCAGCCTGACAAACATGACGAAACCCTGTCTCTACTAAAAATACAAAAATTAGCCGGGCGTGGTGACACGCGCCTGTAGTCCCAGCTACTCAGGAGGCTGAGGCAGGAGAATCGCTTGAACCATCGAGGTGGAGGTTGCGGTGAGCCGAGATCGCACTACTGCACTCCAGTCTGGGAGACAGAGTGAGACTCCGTCTCAAAAAAAAAAAAAAAAATTAGCCGGGCGTGGTGGCGGGCGCCTGTAGTCCCAGCTACTCGGGAGGCTGAGGTAGGAGAATGGCGTGAACCCGGGAGGCGGAGCTTGCAGTGAGCCGAGATCGCGCCACTGCACTAAAGCCTGGGCAACAGAGCGAGACTCTATCTCAAAAAAAAAAAAAAAAATTTAGCCGGGCATGGTGGTGCATGTCTGTACCCCCAGCAATTTGGGAAGCTGAGGTGGGAGGATTGCTTAAGCCCAGGAGTTTGAGGCGGGAGTGAGCTGTGATGGCACCACTGCACTCCAGCCTGGGTGACAGAGTGAGACCCCGTCTCTCCCTATCCCCCGCAAAAAAAAAAAAACAACTCAGGGCTTTCCCACCCCTGTCCTTGCACAGATGAAGAACCGAAGCTTCTAGAAGGGGTATATTTTGCCCCCAGGCCCCAAATCCTGGTCTTTGGACTACAGTCAAGACCTAGCACAGGGCTCAGGCCTAAAAAAAAGCTGTTGAGGAGGGTGTGAGGCTGCAACGTTGCGGTGAGAAGGGGGTCCCCAGGGAGGGCGCAGCAGGAAGCCCCAGGGAAGTGCCTGGGAGAGGGAGGTTGTGCAGCCAGAAGGAGCAGCCCGCAGCCTTTGGTTGTTGACTCCTGCTTTGTAAGTGGCAGTCTGGTTGGGTAGGACAGGGTCCGAGTCCTCACTCAGGGAACTGAGTCCAGGGTGAGCTGAGCAGCCCTTCCTGGTGGCCTCACTTTCCCCTGCAGAGCCTGCTGCATGGTGTCCAGTGGCCAGCCTGGGAGGAGCTCAGGACTGGCCTCACCTCGTGCCACGCCCTCGTACCAAGGTGGCTCAGATGGCACCTGGGTTCCCGAAGGGCCCAGGAACACAGCGTCCATGTCCCCATCCTTCCCCGGAGGGACTTGGGGTGGGGCCTGCAGGAAGGATCATGTGACTTGTTCAAGGGCAGCTTGTCCTGCCCCGGACACAGAGGTGCCCATCGTAAGCGAGATGCAGGCAAGGTGAGGACAGGGCATGGTGCCGAGCAGGAATGATTTTCGAAAATGCTACTCTGTGGTCGGGCACGGTGGCTCACTCCTGTAATCCCAGTACTTTGGGAGGCCCAGGCGGGCAGATCATGAGGTCAGGAGTTCAAGACCAGCCTGGCCAACATGGTGAAACCCCTTCTCTACTGAAAATACAAAAAACTACCCGGGCGTGGTGGTGGATGCCTGTAATCCCAGCTACTCAGGAGGCTGAGGCAGGAGAATCGCTTGAACCCTGGAGGTGAAGGTTGCAATGAGCCGAGATTGCACCACTGCACTCCGACCTGGGCGACAGAGAAAGACTCCGTCTGAAAAACAAACAAACAAAACCCCGAGATTCTCTTTTCCCCCGTCCGGAGCTCTATGGCCATCTGGAGCTCGTTCTGTCCACAAGGACACATTTCCTGGCAGCAGCTGTGGACCAGGGCTCACTCACTCACATCTGTACCCAATCTAGAGCAGGACAAACACCTATCACCTGCACTGGCAATGGACAGAGGACAGTGGCAGCCCCATCACCAGAGGCATTCAAGCCAAGGCATTTTCTATCGTCTATTTATCTATCTATCTATCTATCTATCTATCTATCTATCTATCTATCTAGATGAGATCTTGCTATGTTGCCCAGGTTGAACTCCTGGCCTCAAGCGATCCTCCTGCTTCAGCCTCCCAAAGTGTTGGGATTTCAGGTGTGAACCACTGTACCTGGCTGGAGTGCAGTGGCACTGTCATAGCTCACTGCAGCCTCCACCTCCTGGGCTCAAGGAATCCTCTTTCCTCAGCCTCCTGAGTAGCTGGGACCACAGGCATGCACCATCACACCCAGCTAAACCTTGATTTTTTCCATAGTATATGGCTCAGGGCAGAGCAAAGAAGCACAAAAACATGTTGGCTTGCGGTTGAGGGCTGATGGGAGGGGGTTCTGGCCAAAGCCCAAAATTAACAGCCACAACGTCAGTGTCTGTGGGAGGGGTTGCCAGGGGCGTGCGGGTTCTGGGGCTCAAGGCCCTGCCGGTAAACCCATTTGAAGCAGGATGGCAAGAAGGTGACACCATCTTCCCCCGCGCACTGAAAGCCCCTGGCTGGGATTGCCTGGGGCAGACACAGGCTCGGACCAGCCCCAGCAATCCCAGTTTATCAGCGAGCCGGCTGAGGGCCCGGAGTTATCTCAGTGCCCGGCCTGAGACCTTGTGGGCAGCCTGTGGTCATGCTGGCATTCCAGGGGCCTTTTGGCATGTGGGGAATGTCCAGGAAAAGCCTCAGCCTTCGGTGAGGCGCAGAAAAGGGAAGTGTCCCTAGAGGGGGTGGGTGAGGGCGTGGGAGGTGGTGTCTGCAGGGAATGTCCCCTTTGGGGGAGGAGGATGGAGGGTTGGGATTCTGAGGATGGGGGGGGGGGCTGTAGCCAGCACCATGTCCCTCCTGTGTGACCAGCTCAGAGTCCCATGAAATTGGGGCTTGGGAGGGGAAGGGACACTGGCCTGGGAACCAGAGACCTGGGCTGGTCTGGCTCACAGTTGCTGGACCTCTGTGATCCGTGTCAAAAAACGAGAACACCAATTCCTGTCCTGCCCACTCACCACCAGGTGGGACCTGAACCCTGGCATCGCCAGCATTGGGAATGTCGGCCACTGACTCAACCACTCTCCCGGAGACCTATTTGGGCCACCCGAGGCGGGTGCCTGGGCCACACGGAGGGGTCCTGGTGGTCTTCAGGGCAGCGGCTGTGGGGCTGAAGCCTCAAGGAACCACATCTCTGCATAGGAGGGCCAGGCTGCAGGGCCTCGGAGACAACCTAGTTGGGCGTGTTGGGGTCTGTGGGTCCCAGGTCCTGGCCTCACCGGGTCCCCACCGCGCTGTCAGCTCCCAGCCTCTTTCCCTCGTCTGCCTCTGGGCTTCTGTAAGGCTATGTGCTCCAAGGCCACCTCCTCCAGGCAGCCCTCAGACCCCCACCTTCGCCCAGTACCGATCTGCACCGTGGTCTCTGAAGTCTCCATCGTGACCTCAAACCTCGCTCGTCCTTGCTCCTAGCGAGGCTTGGGGTCGGGGTGTCCGAGGTGGGGGACATCCGGGGGGGTTAGGTGGCTGGCGCGGGGAGCCGGGGTTGTGAGGGGTGATGTCCTCAGGCGGCGGCGCTGCGGGGTGCGGCGAGGACACCGGTGGGGTGAGAGCACCGGCGGGGCAGCAGCGGGGGCCGCAGCGCCGGGTCCCTCGGCCCGGGGCCCCTCCCGCGCGGAGCCAGGGGCGGGACAGGGGGGCGTGGCCTGGTGGCGCTGACGTCACCTCGCCTATAAAATGTCCGGGGCGCCGCTAGCTGGGCTTTGTGGAGCGCTGCGGAGGGTGCGTGCGGGCCGCGGCAGCCGAACAAAGGAGCAGGGGCGCCGCCGCAGGGACCCGCCACCCACCTCCCGGGGCCGCGCAGCGGCCTCTCGTCTACTGCCACCATGACCGCCAACGGCACAGCCGAGGCGGTGCAGATCCAGTTCGGCCTCATCAACTGCGGCAACAAGTACCTGACGGCCGAGGCGTTCGGGTTCAAGGTGAACGCGTCCGCCAGCAGCCTGAAGAAGAAGCAGATCTGGACGCTGGAGCAGCCCCCTGACGAGGCGGGCAGCGCGGCCGTGTGCCTGCGCAGCCACCTGGGCCGCTACCTGGCGGCGGACAAGGACGGCAACGTGACCTGCGAGCGCGAGGTGCCCGGTCCCGACTGCCGTTTCCTCATCGTGGCGCACGACGACGGTCGCTGGTCGCTGCAGTCCGAGGCGCACCGGCGCTACTTCGGCGGCACCGAGGACCGCCTGTCCTGCTTCGCGCAGACGGTGTCCCCCGCCGAGAAGTGGAGCGTGCACATCGCCATGCACCCTCAGGTCAACATCTACAGCGTCACCCGTAAGCGCTACGCGCACCTGAGCGCGCGGCCGGCCGACGAGATCGCCGTGGACCGCGACGTGCCCTGGGGCGTCGACTCGCTCATCACCCTCGCCTTCCAGGACCAGCGCTACAGCGTGCAGACCGCCGACCACCGCTTCCTGCGCCACGACGGGCGCCTGGTGGCGCGCCCCGAGCCGGCCACTGGCTACACGCTGGAGTTCCGCTCCGGCAAGGTGGCCTTCCGCGACTGCGAGGGCCGTTACCTGGCGCCGTCGGGGCCCAGCGGCACGCTCAAGGCGGGCAAGGCCACCAAGGTGGGCAAGGACGAGCTCTTTGCTCTGGAGCAGAGCTGCGCCCAGGTCGTGCTGCAGGCGGCCAACGAGAGGAACGTGTCCACGCGCCAGGGTGAGTGGGGACGCTGCCCCCGCCTCTCCTGGTCCGTGCACAAAGCGCACCCCACCCGCGCCCCTCCAGCCTCCCGCCCTTTCTCGCTCGCGGCGCCGCTGCGGTCCGGAGCACTGCCCATTGCGCCCCCGCTAGGCACGCGGGCTACCCCGCCTGGAGGGGGCGAGGAGTGGGGCTTTGCCCATCCTCGGGTGCCGCTGCCCACCTCCCACCCCGGGCTGGGATCATGGGCTCCCCTAGGCCCCGCGGAGTCGCAACCGTACGTGCACCCTCCTAACCCCCCCCCCCGCCCAATCTTGGCTCTCCCCACGCGCGCTGATCCCTCGGATCAGCTGTCCCAGCTCTTGCGGAGTGGGAGCCCCTCACCCATTTCCTCGTGCCCCTCCCCCCGCCGGCTGTCCTGGAGCTCGGGGGTCCGAGGCAAGGGTCGCCACCCGCAAGGGCGCGCCTCCACCCCCACCGGCAGCCTTTCGCGGGCGAGATGGGGGAGGTTAGCCAGGCCTTTGATCCCGGCGGGGCGCGCCTCCACCTCCCCGTCTGCCCGGCCTTCCTCCACCTCCTCCCGCTGCCGGGCGGGGTCGGCCTCCGCTGGTGGGGGGGGGCGCGGGGTGTCAGCCCTTCCCCCCAGCCCCTCCTCCCGCGTCTGCCCCGCGCTCGAGGCCGCGGCCTTTGTGAGCAGGGGGGCGGGTCGCCTCGACTGGGTCCTCCCTCGCCCCCTTTGTCCTGCTCCATCTCTGCAGATGGGAAAACCAGATGCGGCGGGGCGGGGGAGGGGATCGGCTTTTGCGGTTCACCCCTGCAGAGGAGCCCCCCGCGCCGCCCCCGGGCCCAGGGCTCGGGTCCCGAGGTTCCCCAGGAGGCGGTCTCCCTCCTCGCGCCGCGGCCCGGGAACGGCGTGGCGCGGATGGCGGCCCTCCAGGCACCCCGCCCTTCGCCCGCCGCGCGCGTCTCCAGGCCGGTGCGCTGAGCTCCGCTCCGCGGGCGACCGAGGGCGGCTTCAGCGCGAGCCGGGAGACCCCAGGCCAGCTCCCTCGGGAAGCCCCTACCCTCTGGTGAACCCATCCCCTAGGGCGCTCGCCGGGAACAATTGACTGCAACTCGATCCGTCCCCTCCGGGGCCTCCTGCAGGCACGGCTATTTGCGACCGGCCTGTGCGCCACTCTTTCCCTTCTTTCTCAGATTCTCCCCGAGGGGCTTTCTCTTCCTTTTGGCGTCCTCTTCCACTCCTGGCGGAGAAGCTGTTCCTTGCTTGCAGACAGAGGCCCCGCTGGAGGGAGGGGCGTGGGGGGATCTTTTTCCCTGGATAGGAAGTCGGACCCCAGGCCTTGGAGATGGCTGGACGGGAGCCCAGTTTGTGTCCTCATCCCTCCTCTTGGAAGGAGCCCTCCTGACGGCCCCCCTCTTGGCTGTGGGCTCTGCAGGAGGGGGAAAGACCCCCCATGGCAGTGGGGGTGAGGGTGGAGGCCTGGGTGGGGTAATGGCCATTTTGTGCCTGAAGTTTGCTACCTTAAGTCCCAGAGAGGTGAAGCTGCTTGTCATGGGTCACACAGCAAGTGACCACAAGGAAGCAGCATGCAGAAGTGGGTGCATTTGGCTCCAGAAACCCCGTTTCCTGTTTCCCACAGCGCATGGCGGGCAGAGCTCCTCACCTGATCAGCAGGCATTGAGCCCTACTAAGGGGACCTGCTGAGCCATGAGTGAACCAGTGGGGTTCACGTTCTCTTGGGGACATTACGAAGTGTCAAGGAAAAGGCAGCGGGTACAGGTTATTAGATGGCTGAGTCCTTTCTGAGCAGGACATTTGAGCTGGCCTGAAGGATGAATAGAAGGTGGCAGGTATGGGGGGGGTGCTGTGTGGACCAGCGTTGTAGGCTGTGGGTGTCTCCTGTGCAAAGGTCTTATGGCAGGAAGGTACAGAGAAAGCCCAGTGTGGCTGGGAGGAAGCTTGTGAGGTCTGGGCCACGGGACCTTGGGTGAGAGCTTAGTGCAGGGCTATGGTCCTTGCCTTGGGGTTGCAGCCACAGCCTCCCGTGGGGAAGAAGTCGCAGAAGTAGGTGGCCTTGGCCCTGGGGGCCAGGAAGTTGCAGAGAGCCTGAGGGTGTTTTTGGCGAGCCTGGGCAGATAACTCCCCTCTCCTGAGAAGCTTGCTGGGGGCGTCTGGTGTGTGATTCAGGCTGATAGGGTGGGAGGAACCAGAAATTGCAGCCAGGAGAGGTGGTGGTGATGGCTCAGCTTGGAGTTGAAAGGGATGTGGGACGGCGCGGGGGTGGGGGTACTTGGGGGCCGAGGTTGGGGCTCCTCTGGCCTCAGATCTTGGGGTCCTTATCTCGTTTCTATGTCAGCCAACTCCCGGGGGGCTTTTGGGAACTGGAGTCTGCAGGGGTGGGCGTGGGGGGCGTGTCTGCAGAGGCCATTTTGGACGGGCCTGCGTGGCAAGGGGGAGGCGTCTGCTTCCGACACACATGCTGGGGAACGCCAGCCAGGAAGGGGAGGATCCGGACTTAGCTGGCAGGGGGGATGTGAATCATCTCTGCAGGCCTGCACGGGCGGGCCCGGTGGGGGCAGGGTGCTCCCCTTTGAAAAACGCTGCGCCCTGCTCTTCAGCCTCAGTTTCCCCATCTGTAAAGTGTGCATTCCAGGCCTCCTTGGGCTGGCCCAGAGCTGCCCTGGGCAGGGGCTTTCAGCCCTTCACACCAGAGGCTGGGTCAGCTGAGTGAGTGCTCCTTTGTCCTCCCGCCATGCCCCAGGCTCCTCCCTGCTCCCCAGGATCCACACCTACCCTGGCCCCGACCCTGGGCCATGCCTCACCACACTTCCTGTCTTCTCTCACATCTCTCACATCTGGGAGTCCTCTCCCGCCAGCCTGTGCTTGCATCTGGGGATCCATGCCAGGGATAGGACCTGTCCTCCCTGCTGGCTTGGGACATGCCCTCTCCCAGCCACTCTGAGGAGGGCTGACTGAGGAAGGGCTCGTCAAGCTGGGCTTTGCAGGATGTGTAAGAGTTCTCCCCACGAGGCGCAGGGCATTCTGAGCCCAGGGAATGGCTTGTATAAGGATGCAGAGGCATTTGAAATGGCCAAGTAGTTGCAGGAATCGACTGGAAACCGGGGTGGTAAGGTGAAGCCATAGAACATTCCAGGCCCCCTCCCCTAAATGAGATGGAAGGAGTGCCTGTTTTGAACAAGCCAGGGGCATCTGGGGACCGTTAAGGCCTGGGGGTGGTGATGGGGACTGGAGGGTGTGAGGCAACCAGGGGGTGCCCCTCTGAGCCACCACAGACAGAATGGTTCAGAAGGCCAGGCACACTGGCTCTCGCCTGTAATCCAAGCACTTTGGGAGGCCAAGGAGGGAAGATGGCTTCGGCCAAGGAGGGAAGATGGCTTCAGCCCAGGAGTTCAAGGCCAGCCTGGAAAACATGGCAAAACCTCTGTCTACAAAAAATACAAAAAATTAGCCAGGCATGGTGATGCACGCCTGTCGTCCCAGCTACTCAGGAGGCTTAGATGGGAGGATCACTTGAGCCGGGGAGTTTGAGGCTGCAGTGAGCCGAGATCGTGCCACTGCACTCCAGCCTGGGCAACAGAACGAGACCCTGTCTTAAAAAAATTTTTTTTGGCCTGGTGCGGTGGCTCACGCCTGTAATGCCAGCACTTTGGGAGTCCAAGGTGGGTGGATCACCTGGAGGTCGGGAGTTTGAGACCAGTCTGACCAACATGGAGAAACCCCATCTCTACTAAAAACACAAAAATTAGCCGGGCGTGGTGGCGCATGCCTGTAATCCCAGCTACTCTGGAGGCTGAGGCAGGAGAATCCCTTGAACCCGGGAGGCGGAAGTTGCAGTGAGCCGAGATCGCACCATTGCACTCCAGCCTGGGCAACAAGAGTGAAACTCCATCTCAAAAAACAAAACAAAACAAAAAAAACAACCAAAACAAACAAACAAAAAACTGTAATTAAAATAATTAAAAGAAAAAAGTTAAAAAAAAAAAAAAGAGAGGATGGCTCAAAGGCTGGAAACAGGGAAGGCCACTGTGAGGGGAGGACAGGCAGGGCTAGACCTCTCTGGAAGGAGGAGGGAGAGGTACCCGTGGGCCCGGCACAGGAGACTCTTAATCTCCTGGCTCCCGGGGGCTTCTGTGGGCCTGTGACTCAGGATTTCTGTGCCTCTGTTGATGAAAAGAAAAATCCTGAAGAAAACACTGTTCCCATAGTAACACAGCTCTAATTAGAGACTCCAAGGCCAAGCGAGGGCCTTGGAGCCAGGAGGGGCCCTGCTCTACTGGGGGGACGACACCCCTTTCCCCTATCCCTCCCTGCTGGGGTGTGGCCTGATGTCTACGTGGCACCAGGCCCCTAAATCCTTTCAACATCCTGGCGGAGCGGAGAGGCTGGGCCCTTTTGACAGGTGGGGAAACTGAGGAAGGTTGCAGGGAAGGCACTCATCCAAGGGTGCCTGGCCCCCCGCGGTGGGTGCCTCACTGGCTGGCCTAAACCTTTGCATCAAACCAGTTCCAGGATTGAACGCAACAGGCTGATGGGGACTGAGTCGTGGTACAGATGGCGGCAGTTGTGTGGCCCTGGGCCCAGGAATGGCTGGGAAGCTCCCTTTCTTCTCTGGCTTGGGGGATGAGGTTAGTGTAAATTTCATGGAGTTGCCAGGAGGATTAAGGCCGACGTGCATTCACACGTGGCCCCGTGGCTGCCGCCAGTTAAGCCCTGCGCAGCCATTGGAAGTCTCATTGAGAAGGAGCCTCCCGGCTTCCTGCATTTGTTCCAGGCGGGCTGGTAAGCGCCCTGCTTATTTGCAAGGCTGTGTGAGGACGAGCCCTGTAAACCCTAGGACGAGGCTGTGCTAATGTGGTTTCTGTTCCACTGTCTCCCCTTCTCCTTTTGCCCCTCTTTCTGGGGAACCTGGAGCCCCTGATGCCCTCTGTTTTTTCCTGCTGCTGGGGTGGACCTAGAACCTCTCCCTCCATCCTTTCTGCTGCTGGGGTGGGCCTGCAGGAGGCTGTCCTCTTACCTGGTCCCTAACTTCCCTCCGATCAGCGGGGCTTCAGCGGAGCCCCAGCGCATTGGACAGGTGGTGCTCTGTGGCCGGCACAGGCCAGGGCCCAGGGTGCGGCCCCTGCCTGTAGGTAGACATGCAGGCCCTTCTGAGCAGAATGAGGGGGCGGTGAGGGCAGCTGTGCGGGTGTGGCTGGCCTGACGGCTCCCTGCAGCCCTGCGGCTTCTGTGCAGTGGGGGTGGGGCGGGCCAGACCTTTGCAGGGCCTCTTGGCTGGTGGAGGGCTGAGTGAGCAGAGGCCCCAGCCCTCGTGTTCCCTGGGGTGTGGCCTTAGGATGGTCCCGGCACCCTGGGACCCAGCCCCTGCTCACCTTATCCTCCTCCCGTGCTTGGCTGGGGTGTGGTGGCTGAGCCAGCCCACCCAGTGCGGTGGATGCTCGTCGGAGGGCAGAGGGTGGGCTACCGGCTTAAGGGGCCCCAGGGAACCTGGGGGGTGGAGCCCAAGGGGTTCCAAGAAGGGGCGGGGCCAGGAACCCATAGACAAGAGGGTGGGGCAGGGAAAGGGCGTGGCAAGAGGGCCACCCACCTCCGGTCCAGAGAGCCAGCCAGACCCTTACTTTCTCTTGCTGTGTGACCTTAGGCAAGGACATGCCACCACCGGCCTTAGTCTCCCTCTTTGTGAAGTAGGATGAAGATCCCCACCTGTGGAGCAGATGTGGGGCTGCATGGTTGGGTCAGGATGGAACAGGATGGGGAGGCCGGGCGTGGTGGCTTACCCCTGTAATCCCAGCACTTTGGGAGGCAAAGGTGGGAGGACTGCTTGAGTCCTGGAGTTTGGGCAACATAGCGAGACCACCCCCATCTCTACAAAATAATGTTAAAGTTAGCCAGGTGTAGTGGTGAGTGCCTGTGGTCCCACCTACTGGGGAGACTGAGGCAAGAGGATCCTTTGAGCCCAGGAGGTGGAGGCTGTAGAGAGCCATGCTTGGGCCACTTGCACTCCAGCCTGGGCAACAGAGCAAGACCCTATCTCTAAAAAAAAAATGGAATTGAGGATGTGTCCTCTGGGTGTGGGCTCTACCACCCACCAGCCTCCCTCTCCTGTGGGTGCTGCCTGCCACCCACCGCTGAGGTCCCTGCAGCATCAAGGTGCCCAAACGAAGACACTCTCCAGCTCTGAGCCAGGCACCCATACAGAGCCCGGCAGACGCCTCTGCTGCTGCAGTTCTTAGAATCCAGAGCGCGTGGGGAATGTGAATTTGTGCTGCTGGAGCCAAACATCCCACCTCCAGGTTTTAGCTGGAGGAATCCATGTGGATATGCAAAGCAATGTAGTTATAATGAATAGCAATTGTGGGCTGGGCGCAGTGGCTCATACCTGTAATCCCAGCACTTTGGGAGGCTGAGGTGGGTGGATCACCTGAGGTCAGGAGTTTGAGACCGGCCTGGCCAACATAATGAAACTCCGTCTCTACTAAAAATACAAAAAAATTAGCCGGGCATAGTGGCGGGTGCCTGTAATCCCAGCTACTCAGGAGGCTGAGGCAGGAGAATCACTTGAACCCAGGAGGCAGAGGTTTCAGTGAGGCGAGATCGTGCCATTGCACTCCAGCCCGGGAGACACAGCGAGACTCTCTTTCTCAAAAAAAGAATAGCAGCTTTGCTATAGCTTAGGGGAGCAAAACCCGAAAGCCACCTTAAGTTTCCCGAAGATAGAGATCCCTGGGGTCCTATTCTGAGACAGAGTCTTGCTCTGTCGCCCAGGCTGGAGTGCAGTGGCGGATCTCAGCTCACTGCAGCCTCCGCCTCCTGGGTTCAAGCAATTCTCCTGCGTCAGCCTCCCGAGCAGCTGGGATTACAGGCGCCCGGCACCACCCCCAGCTAATTTTTTTTTTTTTGAGACAGAGTCTCGCATTGTCGCCCAGGCTGGAGTGCAGTGGCGCGATCTTGGCTCACTGCAAGCTCCACCTCCCGGGTTCACGCCATTCTCCTGCCTCAGCCTCCCGAGTAGCAGGGACTACAGGCGCCCGCCACCGTGCCCGGCTAATTTTTTTTTTTTGTATTATTAATAGAGACGGGTTTCACCGTGTTAGGATGATCTCGATCTCCTGACCTCGTGATCCGCCTGCCTCGGCCTCCCAAAGTGCTGGGATTACAGGCATGAGCCACCTTGCCTGGTCCTTTTTTTTGTATTTTTAGTAGAGATGAGGTTTCACCATGTTGGCCAGGCTGGTCTCAAACTCCTGACCTCATGATCCGCCCGCCTCGGCCTCCCAAAGTGCTGGGATTACAGGTGTGGGCCACTGTGCCCGGCCAGTCCCATTCTACTTTTTAGGGACATGGAATCATGTAAAGATGCCATACAGAAAACAGTATGCAAATCCAGAGACAGAGGACATCTGTGCATGTTTCTTTCTTTCTTCCTTTTTTTTTTTTTTTTTTTTTTTGAGATGGATTCTTGCTCTGTCGCCCAGGCTGGAGTGCAGTGGTGCAATCTCAGCTCACTGCAACCTCTGCCTCCCAGGTTCAAGTGATTCTCCTGCCTCAGACTTCCAAGTAGCTGGGATTACAGGCATGCCCCACCATGCCCAGCTAATTTTTGTATTTTTAGTAGAGGCGGGGTTTCACCATGTTGGCAAGGCTGGTCTTGAACTCATGACCTCAGGTGATCCACCCGCCTCAGCTTCCCAAAGTGCTGGGATTACAGGCGTGAGCCGCCGTGGCAACCCGCATGCTTCTTATGTATAAGAAAAAAACAGCTAGAAAGTTGTGGGTTCACTGGCTGGGCACATGGTGGCTTGTGTCTGTAACCTCAGCACTTTGGGAGGCTGAGTTAGGAGGATCATGTGAGGCCGGGAGTTCAAGACCATCCTAGGCAACATAGCCAGACCCTGTCTGTACCAAATAGAAAAAAAAATTAACTTGATGTGGTGGTGTGTGCCTGTAGTCTCAGCTATTTGGGAGGCTGAGGTGGGAGGATCACTTGAGCCCAGGAAGTCGAGGCTACAGTGAGCTATGATTGTGCCACTGCACTCCAACCTGGGCAACAGAGCAAGACCCTGAATCAAAAAGAAAGAGATGTATTTGCCAACACAGGGGTGTTCTGCAGTGGGGTGGGAAGGGGACGTGTAGGACTTCATAGTTTCCTTTTTTTTGTTTTAGAGACAGGGCTTAAAAAAAAATTTTTTTTTTTTTTTTGAGGCGGAATTTCATTCTTGTTGCCCAGGCTGGAGTGATCTCGGCTCACTGCCATCTCCGCCTCCCAGGTTGAAGTGATTCTCCTGCCTCAGCCTCAGGCAATTTTGTATTTTTAGTAGAGACGGGGTGACTCCATGTTGGTCAGGCTGGTCTCAAACTCCCGACCTCGGGTGATCTGCCTGCCTTGGCCTCCCAAACTGCTGGGATTACAGGTGTGAGCCACTGTGCCTGGCCCCTTTTTTTTTTTTTTAAGTAGGGTCTTGCTAAGTTGTCCAGGCTGGTCTTGAACTCCTGGTCTCAAATGATCCTCCTGACTTGGCCTCCCAAAAGGCTGGGATTGCAGGAGATATGAGCCACCGCACCCGGCCCTTTTATAAGTTTTCTAAAGGAAAGGAACATGTACCATCGTGTTTTATTTTAATTTTTACATAGAAGCAGGAACAATAGCATGAACCCCCAGACACGGCCCCCCAAGATGCGCTGTTCCGCTGTGCTGCAGCCCCATTTGTCCTTTTCTATACCATTTTTGGTTGTATTTGAAGCAAATCCCTGACATCAGGGCATTTCATCCCAAAATACTTCCATCTGTGTTTCTAAAAAAACGAGGCCATTTTCTTATGTAACCACAACGTGATCAACAGTAATCAATGCTTAACATCTAATTCTGGGCCACGTTAAGACCCTCCTGATTGGCTCAAGAATGTCTTTTGTGCAGTTGGTTTCTTGATTCTTTTTGTTTTTTTTGAGACAGGGTCTCACTGTGTCACCCAGGCTGGAGTGCAGTGGTGCAATCACGGCTCACTGCAGCCTCAGCCTCCTGCCTCAGCGATCCTCCTGCCTCAGCCTCCCAAGTAGCTGGGACCACAGGTTTGCACCACCACTCCCAGCTAATTAAAAAAAGTAATTTGTAGAGACGGGGGTGGGGTGGGGGTCTTGCTATGTTGCCCAGGCTGGTCTCAAACTCCTAGACTCAAACAATCCTCCTGCCTTGGCCTCCCAAAGTGTTGCGATCACAGGCATGAGCCCCTGTCCCTGGCCCCTATTATTTCTCTAACTGGGGAAAGTCATGTGGGAACAGATGTAGCTTGCCTTGGCCTCTGACCGGCCCTGCCTGCGTTCCTGGGTGCTCTCTGCTGCTTCTCATGTGTGCCACTGTGGGGACTCGGCCGCCCACCCCACCCCGTGGTGTTACCTTGCGTGTGTAGTTCTGTGAGCTCAGGGCTATGGTCTGCCAGAACTAGGGGGCGTGGGGCCCCAGTACCAGCCCAAGGCCTCCTCTCTGCAGGTATGGACCTGTCTGCCAATCAGGACGAGGAGACCGACCAGGAGACCTTCCAGCTGGAGATCGACCGCGACACCAAAAAGTGTGCCTTCCGTACCCACACGGGCAAGTACTGGACGCTGACGGCCACCGGGGGCGTGCAGTCCACCGCCTCCAGCAAGTGAGTGCCTCGCTCCCACCTGTCACCGCCCCCACCACCTTGCCTGGGCTACCCCGCCTGACCCTGTCCCGCCATCCCCCAGGAATGCCAGCTGCTACTTTGACATCGAGTGGCGTGACCGGCGCATCACACTGAGGGCGTCCAATGGCAAGTTTGTGACCTCCAAGAAGAATGGGCAGCTGGCCGCCTCGGTGGAGACAGCAGGTAACACTAAAGCCCCAGTTCCCTGGAGCCGTCCTGGAGTCCTGGAGGGTCTGGCCATGCCGTGGTCACTTGGTAGCCCCAGCCAAGGCCTGCTCTGTGCTGGGCATCCCCCCGGACTGGCCCCGCACTGTCCTACCCTGGGGACTGCTGTGTGACCCCAGCTCCTGGCCCTCCCTCTCTGGTCACCCCAGCCTCCACCCCACTCCCTGCCAGGAGGCTCACTGACTCCCCTCTTTCTGGGACAGGGGACTCAGAGCTCTTCCTCATGAAGCTCATCAACCGCCCCATCATCGTGTTCCGCGGGGAGCATGGCTTCATCGGCTGCCGCAAGGTCACGGGCACCCTGGACGCCAACCGCTCCAGCTATGACGTCTTCCAGCTGGAGTTCAACGATGGCGCCTACAACATCAAAGGCAGGTTCTCCTGTGGGCAGCTGCTGGGCAGGGAACCCCTCGGTCGGGGCTGGGGTCAGTGCTGCGGGGAGCGCCCTCTGCATCCACACTGGACCCTGGCTTGGCTCAGGGCCATTCCAGGCCCTAAAGGGACAGGTGTCTGATGGCCACCAGGGGCTCTGGGATGCAAGCAGCCCCTTTCCCTCTTGTCTGTGTGGTTGGGGGGACTTACCTTGCCCACCTGACAGAGAGGTGTGTGGAGGGGAGAGCAGGGAGGGGAAGGAGAGCAGGGAAGGGGAGGGAGGAGAGCAGGGGAGGGGAGAGCCGGGAAGGAGAGGAGAGCAGGGGTGGGGAGGTTCTGGAAAGGGTGTGCAGGGGAGGACGCGCCTCGGTTATGGGACTGGAGCCCCTTCCCAGGAGGACCCCCAACAATCCAGAGGTGCCTGTTAGGATTCAGAACATGGTTTTTTTGTTTGTTTTTTTGAGACTCACTCCCTCACCCTGGCTGGACTGCAGTGGCGTTATCTCGGCTCACTGCAACCTCTGCCTCCTGGGTTCAAGTGATTCTCCTGCCTCAGCCTCCCAAGTAGCTGGGATTACAGGTGTGCACCACCACGCCTGGCTAATTTTTATATTTTTAAAATTTATTATTTATTTATTTTGAGACCCAGTCTGGAGTGCAGTGGCGTTATCTCGGCTCTCTGCAACCTCTGCCTCCTGGGTTCAAGCGATTCTCCTGCCTCAGCCTCCCGAGTAGCTGGGACTATGTGTGGGAGCCACCATGCCTGGCTAATTTTTTTGTATTTTTCATAGAGACGGGTTTCACCATGTTGTCCAGGCTGGTCTTGAATTCGTGGCCTCAAGTGATCCGCCCACCTCAGCCTCCCACAGTGCTGGGTTTATAGGTGTGAGCCACCACACCCGGCTAATTGTTTTGTATTTTTAGTAGAGACGGAGCTTCACTATGTTGGCAAGGCTGGCTCGAACTCCTGACCTCAAGTGATCCGCCCACCTCAGCCTCCCAAAGTGCTGGGATTACAGGCGTGAGCCACTGCGGCCGAGCAGAACACGTTCTAGGACCCTTGTTCATGTGTCCATCATGGACAGGAGGACGTGCGGGCCATAGGGACCCTGGCTCATTCCGGAGCCGGGACTGGAGGGTGGGGCGTCACCCTTGGGAACACCCGTGCCCACCCTCCGCTGCCCAGGGTAGGGGTGGGGAGCCAGGCTTTGGGCCCCACTTGATAAAGTCCCCTCCCCAGACTCCACAGGCAAATACTGGACGGTGGGCAGTGACTCCGCGGTCACCAGCAGCGGCGACACTCCTGTGGACTTCTTCTTCGAGTTCTGCGACTATAACAAGGTGGCCATCAAGGTGGGCGGGCGCTACCTGAAGGGCGACCACGCAGGCGTCCTGAAGGCCTCGGCGGAAACCGTGGACCCCGCCTCGCTCTGGGAGTACTAGGGCCGGCCCGTCCTTCCCCGCCCCTGCCCACATGGCGGCTCCTGCCAACCCTCCCTGCTAACCCCTTCTCCGCCAGGTGGGCTCCAGGGCGGGAGGCAAGCCCCCTTGCCTTTCAAACTGGAAACCCCAGAGAAAACGGTGCCCCCACCTGTCGCCCCTATGGACTCCCCACTCTCCCCTCCGCCCGGGTTCCCTACTCCCCTCGGGTCAGCGGCTGCGGCCTGGCCCTGGGAGGGATTTCAGATGCCCCTGCCCTCTTGTCTGCCACGGGGCGAGTCTGGCACCTCTTTCTTCTGACCTCAGACGGCTCTGAGCCTTATTTCTCTGGAAGCGGCTAAGGGACGGTTGGGGGCTGGGAGCCCTGGGCGTGTAGTGTAACTGGAATCTTTTGCCTCTCCCAGCCACCTCCTCCCAGCCCCCCAGGAGAGCTGGGCACATGTCCCAAGCCTGTCAGTGGCCCTCCCTGGTGCACTGTCCCCGAAACCCCTGCTTGGGAAGGGAAGCTGTCGGGTGGGCTAGGACTGACCCTTGTGGTGTTTTTTTGGGTGGTGGCTGGAAACAGCCCCTCTCCCACGTGGCAGAGGCTCAGCCTGGCTCCCTTCCCTGGAGCGGCAGGGCGTGACGGCCACAGGGTCTGCCCGCTGCACGTTCTGCCAAGGTGGTGGTGGCGGGCGGGTAGGGGTGTGGGGGCCGTCTTCCTCCTGTCTCTTTCCTTTCACCCTAGCCTGACTGGAAGCAGAAAATGACCAAATCAGTATTTTTTTTAATGAAATATTATTGCTGGAGGCGTCCCAGGCAAGCCTGGCTGTAGTAGCGAGTGATCTGGCGGGGGGCGTCTCAGCACCCTCCCCAGGGGGTGCATCTCAGCCCCCTCTTTCCGTCCTTCCCGTCCAGCCCCAGCCCTGGGCCTGGGCTGCCGACACCTGGGCCAGAGCCCCTGCTGTGATTGGTGCTCCCTGGGCCTCCCGGGTGGATGAAGCCAGGCGTCGCCCCCTCCGGGAGCCCTGGGGTGAGCCGCCGGGGCCCCCCTGCTGCCAGCCTCCCCCGTCCCCAACATGCATCTCACTCTGGGTGTCTTGGTCTTTTATTTTTTGTAAGTGTCATTTGTATAACTCTAAACGCCCATGATAGTAGCTTCAAACTGGAAATAGCGAAATAAAATAACTCAGTCTGCAGCCCCAGGCCGGCCTGTGTGTGTCTTGGGGCTGAGGTGGGTGGGGGGGCTGAGGTGGGTGGGAGGGCTGGCGGGACAGGTAGGCGCCCTGGCTCCCCAGCTCAGTGCTGGGAGTGTGCAGTGGGAGGGAGGCCGTGGCTCCAGTGGGTGCTCCGGAGCTCGTGGGCCCAGCACACCTCCTTAAGCGGGGGATGGAGCGCTGGGAGGGGGTGGACTGTGGCCCATGCGACCCCCAGAGCCATTAGGAGGAGTTCTGTGGTGAGAAGTGGCTGTGGCTCCTCGTAGGCTACGTCCACCATGCGGGGGACCTCGGGGGTGTCTGGCGGTGGCACGCTGGATGTTGAGAAGGCGCAGCCCAGGGAACACTCAAACCAGGAGACCCCACATTATCCTCTAGTTGACATGTGCCCTTCGACTAGGGGACTTGGTGGTAGGGGCAGCTCCGCCCCCATACTGCGAGGATCCGGGCCTTCCACTTCCCCAGACACAGCAGGTTGGGGTGCCCCTGGGGCTGGGAGATGCTGCCCTGGGCCCCTCAGGGGGCGGCCGTGGTAGGATGGACCGGGCCGAGCGTGCAGACCCTGGGCAGGTCCCTACATCGGAACCAGCAGCCCTGGGGATATCTGGCATATCAGAGGCTGAGGACTGTTTCCAGACTTTACCAAGGCCACAGTCAGGGCGACCTGGGTTCTGAGCCTCCCTTTGCATCCTAGGCTGCAGGGACAGGGGCTGGGCAGAGGCTCGCGGACCTCGTGCAGCTTCATTCACTCCCAGGTGCCCCTAAGGATAGCAGCTGCGAGAAGACTGAGGGGAGGAGCAGTAAGGCGCAGCCTGGAGCGGAGGGACCTGGCGTCCAGTCATTGTGCGCTGGGAAGGCGGTGATGGCGACGGAATTTGGGACACGCGGGGCGTCCCGGGGGCAGCCAGGGCACTGCAGGCCGGAGCCCCCTGTTCCCCCGCATCCTCCCCGCCGTCGGCAGCAGAGCAAGCGCTGATTGGCTGCTGATGACGCAACTGGGAGGGCTGCGCTGTGATAGGTGGTCCCTCGGGGGCGTGGGGCGCAAGTCTTGAGATTGGCAGGGGCAGGTGGCTGCTGCAGAGGGAAGTCGGGGTCACCTCAGCGAGGTTCCGGCGGCCACCCCTCTCCCCTCCCCCATGAAAGCCAGGCTGGAAGCCAGAAAAATCCCAGTGACTGGAAGGGACAGATTAATCCTCCGGAACCAAACTCTTTGAGACCTGGGGAGGAGGGTGGGAGGCACTGGGAAGGGGGATTGGGGGGAGCCTGGCTCATTTCCACCCATGGAGCTGACCTAGAATGACCCTAAGGTCCCCGGAGCCACCAGCTGATTCCGAATTCCATTCATTCTGCAAAATTTGGCGCCTACCACGTGGCCGAGATTCCCGAGGCTGCAGCCAATGAGCAGCATAGTCCGATGGGGGAGGCTGGAAGGGCCGTTCACGAGATCTCTCGGGAGGAATCGGTAGGAGCTGCCCAACTGAAAGGGACGGGGGAATAACCCGGGGCGAGGGACCTGCCCAGGCCCTGCCCTCTGGGGGGAAGCCAGGCCAGGGGCCGGGGGCATCTCTGGGGTCCCAGGTGAGATGCGGGTCGAGGGAGCCAGGCCACGGTTCTCCAGACTCGCGTGGAGGCCACGAGCGTCTTCTGGAGGAGCGGGCACTGCGCGGACCGGCAGACTCTGGGGCGCTCAGGCTCCCCATCTCCTGACCTTTTCCTACCTTCAGTTCCCTCCTGTCAGGACAGGTTCTGGGGCTCGCCGGGGCAGGGAGCCAGGGCAGAGGGTGCAGTTTCCGCTCCTGCCTGAGTCACCTTCGCTTTCTCAGCGATTCTTCATTCACAAGGGCGTGGCCCATCACACGCACTCACACACTTGTGAACTTGCACGCACACACACATATGGACCTGTGCAAAGAGCCCCATGCACAGGCAGGTACACGTGCATGTAGGCGTGCACACAGACACGCACAGATGCAGGCAGACCAACTCCCAGGAATCTGTCTCCAGCCTACAGGGATTCAGCACTCAGGGTACCAGCCTCTGTCCCGTGCACCCCCATTCCCGGCAGTTCTCCCAGGTGGGTCGGGGGCCACTAGGGACCCCATACCCCGAGGGTGGCTCCTCCATTAAGCCTGCCATGGGGTTGGGAGTGAGAGTCCCACCTCCCACTTGAGAGTCCCCAGTGAGTCAAGGCAAGTGCAGCCAGGGCTCCAAGATCCTTGTTGGGATTCACTGTGATCCCCAAAGATCACGACTTAAGGGAAAACATTCAATTAAACTTGTTAGAGCAAAGAAAGGAGAGACTGGGCTGGGAGCAGTGGCTAACGCCTATATAGTTCAGCTACTCAGGAGGCCCAGGTGTGAGGATTGCTTGAGTCCAGGAGGCTGAGGCTGCAGTGAGCTATGATGGCACCACCCACTGCACTCCAGCCTGGGTGACAAAGCAAGACCCTGTCTCAAAAAAAAAAAAAAAAAAAAAAAAAAAGGAAAAAGAGGCCGGGCACAGTGGCTCACACCTGTAATCTACTAAAAATAAGAAAATTAGCCAGACATGGTGGTGGGTGCCTGTAATCTCAGCTACTTGGGAGGCTGGGGCAGGAGAATCGCTTGAACCCAGGAGGCGGAGGTTGTGTGAGCCGAGATTACACCACTGCACTCCAGCCTGGGCGACAGAGTGAGACTCTGTCTCCAAATAATAATAATAATAATAATAAAATAAAAAGAAAAAAGAAAGAAAGAAAGGAGAGACTGAGCTATATTGCCCAGTCCAGGCATGTGGGCAGTCTGGGGGACAGTGGGGCATACTCGGTGTCTCAGGGTCCCAGCCCTGGGTGCCCCCACTGCTGTCTGCTGTGACCTCCTCAGGAGGCCTCATTGGGAGGGACCCTGAGTCCTGCGGGGGGCTGTGGAGCTGTCACCAGCCCCAGGAGGACTCAGGCAAGTCCCTCTGGTGGTCGAGGCCTCTGAGCTTCCCAGTGTGTCTCCACGGGACACCCCCCCTCCAGACCTTCTGCCCCAGCTCAGCCTCTTCCAATTCATTATCAGGGGGTGGGGGAGGGGACAGGAAGCCCCAGACCCAGCTGGGCCCCATTTCCTCCAGGGCCACAGTGGCCTCTCCCACAGTCACGAGGATGGGGGCTGATCTCACTCTTTTTTTTTTTTGAGACGGACTCTCACTCTGTCGCTTTTTTTTTTTTTTTTTTTTTTTGAGACGGAGTCTCACTCTCGCCCAGGCTGGAGCGCAGTGGCGTGATCTCGGCTCACTGCAATCTCCACCTCCCACGTTCAAGCGATTCTCCTGCCTCAGCCTCCTGAGTAGCTGGGACTACAGGTACGTGCCACCACACCTAACTAATTTTTGTATTTTTTAGTAGAGATGGGGCTTCACCATATTAGCCTCCCAAAGTGCTGGGATTACAGGCATGAGCCACCATGCCCGGCCTTGACTTCACTCTTTTAAAAAAGTCAAATACTTGGTGCTTGAAATCCCAGCACTTTGGGAGGCTGAGGCAGGAGAACTGCTTGAGCTCAGGAGTTTGAGACCAGCCTGGGCAACATGGTGAGACTCCTGTCTCTGTAAAAACTACGAAAATTAGTCAGGCATGGTGGTGCGTGTCTGTCGTCCCAGCTGCTCAGGAGGCTGAGGTGGGAGGATGGTTTGATCCTGGAAGGTTGAGACTGCAGTGAGCTGTGATTCCACCACTGCAGTCCAGCCTGGGCCGCAGAGCAAGACTCTCTCTCAAAAATAAATAAAATAAAATAAAAAGTCTAAAACTTTTCTTTCAAACGACGGCTTTTGGGGCTCATAAGGTGCGTGAAGATGGAAAGGGGGCCCGGCAGTGCCCATTTCGGCTCCCTTGGGACCCCGGCTTCCCTGAAGACCCCTGAGCAATGGTTGGCTGGGTGCCTGGTCTCCCTGAACGGGCTGTGGGCAACAAGGTTGTCTGGATGGGGGAGGGGCTCTGAGACCCTTGGGGGCAGCAGAGGGAGAAGGGAACAGATGGGGTCTCCCAGGCAGAGAGGCCTGGAGGGGTGGGGCGGGGCAGGGCATTTGGCGTGAAACCCAAGCCCCTTAACGGGGCCCTAGCTTAAACCGGGAGGAGGGGCCTCTGTGATGTGCAAATAATTAACACAGAAGCCTTCACTGTGCTCCCCTCCTCATCCCAGGACCCAGGTCTGACCCTCAGGAGGGGAGGAGGTGAGCAAGGGGGGAACCCACCTTCCAGGGAACCCCCAGATAGTGCCAGGCACCAGGCAAGTGCTCTAAAAGGCTTTACTAATATTATTTGAAGAAACTAAGCTAATAAATAAATACGGTATAAAATCAAAGGGTACCCACAGATATAAACAAAAATCCACAGCTAACCCGGCCCCAGCCCTCTTTCCTTTGGAGGTAACTGTGTTAATGGTTTTTTACACCCCTCTGGAATTTTTTTTTTTTTTTTTTTTTTTTTTTTTTTTTTGGGAAGGAGTCTGGCTCTGTCGCCCATGCAGCGCAGTAGCGTGATCTCGGCTCACTGCAACTTCCACATCCCGGGTTAAAACGATTCTCCTGCCTCAACCGCCTGAGTAGCTGGGACTACAGGGGCGCACCACCATGCCCGGCTAATTTTTTTTTTTTTTTTTTTTTTTTTTGAGCTGGAGTCTTGCTCTGTCGCCCAGGCGGGAGTGCAGTGGCGCAATCTCGGCTCACTTGCAAGCTCTGCCTCCCGGGTTCACGCCATTCTCCTGCCTCAGCCTCCTGAGTGGGTGGGACTACAGGCTCCAGCCACCACGCCCGGCTAATTTTTTGTATTTATTTTTTAATAGAGATGGGGTTTCACTGTGTTCGCCAGGATGGTCTCGATCTCCCTTTTTTTTTTTTTTTTTTTAGACGGAGTCTCGCTCTGTCGCCCAGGCTGGAGTGCAGTGGCATGATCGTGACTCACTGCAAACTCCACCTCCCGGGTTCACGCCATTCTCCCGCCTCAGCCTCCCGAGTAGCTGGGACTACAGGCGCCCACCACCACACCCGGCTATTTTTTTGTATTTTTAGTAGAGACAGGGGTTTCACCATGTTAGCCAGGATGGTCTCGATCTCCTGACCTTGTGATCCTCCTGCCTCGGCCTCCCGAAGTGCTGGGATTACAGGCGTGAGCCACCGCGCCCGGCCTCTTGTTTTTTTTTTTTTTTTTTTTTATAGACTTCTAAGGAAAGCAACACTAAGAAAATATATTTTTAAGAAATTATTCAGCCAGGCGTGGTGGCTCACGCCTGTAATCCCAACACTTTGGGAGGCTGAGGCGGGTGGATCACTTGAGGCCAGGAGTTTGAGACCAGCCTGGCTCACATGGTGAAACCCTGACTCTACTAAAAATACAAAAAATTAGCCGGGCACAGTGGCATGCTCCTGCAATGCCAGCTACTTGGGAGGCTGAGGCAGGAGAATCCCTTGAACTGGGGAGGCAGAGGTTTCAGTGAACCAAGATCGAGCCACTGCACTCCAGCGTGGGTGACAGACTGAAACTGTGTCTCAAAAAAAAATTTTTGTTTTTGGAGATGGGGTCTTGCTCTGTCACCCAGGCTGGAGTACAATGGGGTGATCTAGGCTCACTGCAACCTCAAACTCCTGGGCTCAGGTGATCTTCCTGCCTCAGCCCCTGGAGTAACTGGCACTACAGGTGCATGTCAGAACACCTGGCTAGTTTTTAACTTTTTTGTGTGTAGACAGGGTCTTGATATGTTGCCCAGGCTGGTCTCCATCACCTTCTGGGCTCAGTGATCCTCCTGCTTCAGCCTCCCAAAATGCTGGGATTACAGGTGTGAGCCACCATGCCCGACCCTGAGGGATACCTTAATGTTTATTTCTCACATTTCTTCTAGAACAAACATTGCCAGCGCATCCCAGACTCTGAACTGTGGCTGGGGACTGCAGCATGGAGGTCTTTGCAGGCACTCTGGGAAACATGCCACAAGCAGGGTATTAACCCAAGACAGTCAGTCCCTCCAATGAGAAAAAGGAGCCGAGGGACTGTGCATGCCTCAGAGCCAGATGCAGCAGAACTGGTGGGTTGAGGGGGCACTGAGCGCCTGGTGCCTCCTGCTGCCCCCCACCAGCTCCGACAGTCCTCGTCCTTGTCCTCCCCATCAGAAGGGAAGAGTGAATTGTCTGTGGGATGTGCCAGTGTCCCCGGTTCTGAGGTTGGGCAGGCTGGGGAGCCCCAGACATGGCTTGCTGCCCACTGTGGAGCCTCCTGGACTTAGTTCCAGGCTCTGCCCGATCCTCTGAGGGTGTGGCTTCAAAGCCCTGCTTGGGCCTAAGGCCATCCCAGGGCAGTGACTGAGGGTAGACTGAGATGTCCCTTGGGCACCAGTCCTAGGGTACCTGGGCTGGGGGTCTTCAGCTCAGGCCCCCTAGTGCCCGTCCTTTGGGCTGTGGGCAGGTTTCCACAGCACTGGCCCTTTCTGACCTTACACCCCTGTGCATCCTCACTGGGGCTCTGTGAAGGTGAAAGTCACACTAAGGACTGTGCCTATGGTGGCCAGGGCACCCCACCGGCAGCACACCTCAGAGGCCTCATCCTAGGCGCTGCTCACTTTTTTTTCTTTTTTTTCCTTTTTTTTTTTTTTTTTTTTTTCCGAGACAGAGTCTTGCTCTGTCACCTAGGCTGGAGTGCAGTGGCATGATCTCGGCTCACTGCGACCTCCTCCTCCTCCTGGGTTTAAGCAATTCTCTTGCCTCAGCCTCCTGAGTAGCTGGCATTACAGGTGCCCGCCACCACGCCCGGCTATTTTTGTAGTTTTAGTAGAGACGGGGTTTCACCATGTTGGCCAGGCTGGTCTCAAACTCCTGACCTTGTGCTCTGCCCGCCTTGGCCTCCCAAACTGCTGGGATTACAGGCGTGAGCCACTGTGCGTGGCCCTGCTCATTTTCTTACCACAGCTTTCCAGAAATAAAGTTAGGATGGAAAGAGAGAGAGAGAGATTGAGAGAGAGAGAGAGCACCACATTCAGATAGAGACAGGAGAGTTCTCAGCAAGAAGAGAACTCAGCTCAGAGTTGAGAATGTCTCAACTCAGCTGTCTCCCTGCTGAGACGTCCTGGGCTGAAGTGTCCCCTCACCCCTGCGGGGCTGTGACTGCACACTGCACACATGGGTCACAGCAGGGCTTGGCGTTTGGAGCAGGCCGGGTTGGTGGCTTGTCCTCATCTCTTGCCTGGAGCTGTGCTGGCCTGTGGTTTGCTTTGGCTGCTACCATGTGGAGGGAGAGGTGCTTGTGTCCATGCCTGGCCTCTTGGAAGGCCACCACTGTGATGGAGAGAGGAAGGCCACCACTGTGATGGAGAGAAGCCGGGGCCAGACCGATGAGGGCTGAGAGCCCATGGGCAGGGGTTGTGGTCTCGGCCAAACCCCAGCTGGCAGCTGATGGCAGCCACCCCGGGGTCCTCAGATATGGCACAGCTGCCTGGCTGAGCCTCGGCAAAGGGAAGCCTTGTGGAAAATAGCAACTCAGGGATGTTGTGAGTAGTGGGCTGAGCTGTGGTTTATTTTTTAGAGACAGGGTCTTGCTCTGTCACCCAGGCTAGAGTCCAGTGGTGTAATCATAGCTCACTGCAGCCTTGACCCCCCAGGCTCAAGTGATCCTTGTGTCTTGGCCTCCTGAGTAGCTAGGACTATAGGTGCATACCACCATGCCTCGCTTGTTTTTTGTTTTGATAGAGATGGGGGTCTTGCTAGGTTGCCCAGGCTGGTCTGTAACTCCTGGGCTCAAGTGATCCTCCTGCTTTGGCCTCCCAAAGTGCTGGGATTACAGGCGTGAGCCACTGTGCTGGCCTTGGGGTGTGGTTTTATGTGGCCATAGATGACTGAGATGGGTGAGAAGCGGGACCTAGGGGAATATACAGGGCAGGGGGATCCGACAGGGGGACAGGAGGGCAGACAGCTCCTGGAAGGCCTGGGAAAGAGATATCAGGGCTGGACCCTGGAGAAGTGAGGCTTTGAGGGAGGGGAGGAGATGGGGCCTGGCGGGGTACGGGCGCTGCTCCTAGGTCTGAGGGCATCGGCGGTCTGAGAGCTTGCGGGAGGGAGGGCTGCCTCCCGGTGCTCGGTGCCCTGGCTCTCCTCCTTGCTGCTGGCTGGCCTCCTCCTCCTCATGCATCTGTGTGTCCTGGAACACAGGGCACTGTCCCTCTGCCTGTCCAGAAAAGCACGTGCTCCTTGGGGCCTGGCCTGCTCAGCCCTATGTCCCACCCGCTCCCTGCTGCTATTCCCAGGCCTTCGGGCCTCACTGCCTGGGGTGGCCGTGCTCAGCCCCACCCTGTGGTGCCATGGCCTCCCCACCCCTGCCCCGAACTGCCCCTGGGACCAGTTCCTTCAGCTCCCAGGACAGGGCCTGGCCATCCCTGTGGATTCTCCCTGTTCGTGGACCCCCATTGGTGCCCAGTCTCCTTGGACTGTCTTCTGAGCCTCTCTCAGATGTACCCCCAACTGTACCCTTTCACCCAGAGGCCATTTGGCAGCGTCCTCCAGGACTCCTGCCGTGGGGGAAGTCTCCACCAAGGCCAACGCGTGACTGCATCCCGAGGAGCTGATTTAAGATCTGGTTCTCAGGAACACCTGGAACTGGCCAGTCAGCATCCCCGGCCCTGCGGTCTGCACTTGGACAAGGGTCAGGCAATGAGGATGAGCAGCAGGCGGGGCTTCTCCTGGAAGCCTTCCCAGCCTCCTGGGCCACTCCAGTGGGTCCCCTCCACAGACTCAGCCTGTTCCCTGCCACCTGGTGCCGGTTTCTCTGTGGCACCTACTAGGGGCCGAGTGCCCCGGGACTGCCCAGCTGAGCAGCGCCGTCCAGGTCTGCACCCAGCTACACTCAGGGCACGTGCACAGGTGAGCAGCCGGGCACGCAGGCACCTGCCAGGTGTGGGTGTGGACTAGGTGCTCCCGGGGGTCCCAGGTGGGGCTGACAGTCTCAGATGACCCTGAGAGGTTGGTCTGGTCAAAGGATTAGGCTTTTATCCGCAAGAAATCACTGGAAACGTGGGAAGGGACAGCACAGCTCTGTGGGACGGCGCAACCACCACCATCACAGCCGCTCTGCCCTCCCTGCCGTCCTCGGCCAAGCACTTTTCCTGTCTCCCCTCCCCAGTTCTCACAGCCCGAGGAAGATGCTGCGGCGATTCCCACTTTACGGCTAATGCCAGGCCCAGGTATGCCATACTGCTGTCAGGGCTCTCACCACCCCACCTTGGGTGACTCACACCCAGCAAGATGGGGAGCGTGGGACCTGACTCAGAAGCTGGTGCTCACCTGAGTCCCTCTCCTGCGGGTTTAACTGGCACCTTCTCCTGGGGAGAAGCAAAGCCAGAGGTCCTGGGCCGTCTCCTCCAGACATGTGTGCAGACGAAGGGACAGGAAGCGACGATGAGTGGAACTGATGATTGGACTTCATCCTGACCAAGAGGCACACACAGCCAGTGACTGCAGAAGTGACCACGTCCCCCCGCAGGGGTCCTGAGAACAGAGCTCGTGGCCTGGCCTGCGTTAGCTTCACACCAGCCTAGATGACTGCAAGAAATTCAAAGAGAAGGCAGATGGAACGTGCTGTGAGAGGTTCTCAAAGGCAAAGAGCTAATTAAAAAGTCTGTTTCAGAAGCACTTGCTCCTGTCTTGTAAATGCTCCAGAAAGGAAAAGCAGAATGCAAACCTTCATGTCAGCTGGGTGCGGTGGCTCACGCCTGTAATCCCAGCACTTTGGGAGGCCGAGGTGGGAGGATCATGAGGTTAGGAGATCGAGACCATCCTGGCTAACACAGTGAAACCCCATCTCTACTAAAAATATAAAAAATTAGCTGGGCGTGGTGGCGGGCGCCTGTAGTCCCAGCTACTCGGGAGGCTGAGGCAGGAGGATGGCATGAACCCGGGAGACGGAGTTTGCAGTGAGCCAAGATCGTGCCACTGCACTCCAGCCTGGGCGACAGTGAGACTCTGTTTCAAAAAAAAAAAAAAAAAGAAAACCTTCATGTCTGGTTCACTAGTTTCATGAGTACTGTATATATCACAGTAAAAGATCACACCTTGCAGAAGTACATTGAGATGTGATCAGCAGTTATCTTTGGGTTACAAAGCATGTCTATTTTTGCTTTATATTTTTGTTTTCAAGATTTTCCTACTTTGCATATACATTTTCTATTTTTTGTACACTTTTGATTGGTAAATGTATTTTGTGTTTAGAGGGAGTCTCACTCTGTTGCCCAGGCTGGAGTGTGCAGTGGCATGATCTCAGCTCACTGCAACCTCTGCCTCCCAGGTTCAACTGATTCTCCCGCCTCAGCCTCCCGAGTAGCTGGGACTATAGGCACCCGCTATCACACCCAGGTAATTTTTATATTTTTGTAGAGACAGGGTTTCACCATGTTGGCCAGGCTGGTCTCGAACTCCTGACTTCAGGAGATCCGCCCACCTCGGCCTCCCAAAGTGCTGGGATTATAGGCATGAGCCACCGCGACTGGCTGGCAAATGTATTTTTTAAGATACTTTTTTTTTTCGAGACAGAGTCTCACTCTGTCACACAGGTTGGAGTGCAATGGCGTGATCTTGGTTCGCTGCAACCTCCATAAAAAAGACACTTTTTATTATTACTTTTTTTTTGGAGATGGAGTCTCACTCTGTTGCCCAGGCTGGAGTGCAGTGGTGCAATCTCGGCTCACTGCAACCTCTACCTCCCGGGTTCAAACAATTCTCTGCCTCAGTCTCCCGAGTAGCTGGGATTATAGGCACCCACCACCATGCCCAGCTCCATTTTGTATTTTTAGTAGAGATGGGGTTTCACCATCTTGGCCAGGCTGGTCTTGAACTCCTGGGCTCGTGATCCACCCGCCTTGACCTCCAAAATACTGGAATTATAGACGTGAGCCACCACGCCCAGCCAAAAAAGACACTTTTTAAGGATGGAAAAATAAAGGAGGTGGCTCACACCTGTAATCCAAGCACTTTGGGAGGTTGGGGTGGGCCGACTGCTTGAGCCCAAGAGTTCAAGACCAGCCTGGGTAACATGGTGAGAACCTCCTTTTTTTTTTGAGACGGAGTCTCGCTTAGCTGCCCAGGCTGGAGTGCAGTGGTGCGATCTCACCTCACTGCAACCACTGTCTCCCGGGTTCAAGTGATTCTCCTGTCTCAGCCTCCCGAGTAGCTGGGATTACAGGCACCCGCCATCATGCCCAGCTAATTTTTGTACTTTAGTAGAGACAAGGTTTCACCATGTTGGCCAGGCTGGTCTTGAAATACTGACCTCAGGTGATGCGCCTGCCTCGACCTCCCAAAGTGCTAGGATTACAGGAGTGAGACACCTCGCCCAGCTGTTGAGTCCCCTTCTTTACAAAAAACACAAAAATTAGCTGGGCATGGTGGCCCACGCCTGTAGTCCCGGCTACTTGGGAGGCTGAGGTGTGATCGCTTGAGCTGGGAGGTTGAGGTTGTAGTGAGCCGTGACTGCACTCTGCACTATAGCCTGGGAGTGCAGTCTTAGATCTTTTTCTAAGACAGAGTGAGATCTCATCTCAGAAAGATGGAAAAAAGGCCAGGTGCAGTGGCTTACACCTATAATCCCAGCATTTTGAGAGGTCGAGGCAGGAGTGGATCACTTCAAGTCAGGAGTTCAAGACCAGCCTGGCCAACAGGGTGAAATCCTGTCTCTACTAAAAATACAACTGGCTGGGCACGGTGCCTCACGCCTGTAATCCCAGCACTTTGGGAGGCCGAGACGGGCAGATCACAAGGTCAGGAGTTTGAGACCAGCCTCGCCAACATGGTGAAACCCTGTCTCTACTAAAGGTACAAAAAATTAGCCAGGCGTGGTGGTACACGCCTGTAATCCCAGCTACTCGGGAGGCTGAGGCAGGAGGATCGCTTGAACTTGGGAGGCAGAGGTTGCAGTGAGCCGAGATTGTGCCACTGCACTCCAGCCTGGGCAACAGAGCAAGACTCTGTCTCAAAAAAAAAAAAAAATGTATGATGGAAGACATAAAAAGAACAAGTTGGATGCAGACAGAGCTATAGACCTGGAGGCCAGTACGTGACTGTTAAGGGAGAAAAGCAAGGTACTAACTTCTTTAAAACCAAAGGCCCCCAAGTCCTGATCAGGTGTGTTGCAATGTGCTGGCCAGCGCCTGGGGAAGGTGGGATGAATACCACCACCCTGGTCACTTTGGATGGAAAAAGGATAGCAGCAGAACGGATACATAGCTTTTACTTATTTACTGAAATTGCAGAAAATTTTATGATATTGTTGCAAATATAGAGGAGGAACAGGAACAAGGACTGCATGCCATGAACAAATTAAAAATAAACACAGATTGGGCCGGGTGCGGTGGCTCACGCCTGTAATCCCAGCACTTTGGGAGGCCAAGGTGTTCAGGTTACCTGATGTCAGGAGTTCGAGACCAGCCTTGCCAACATGGTGAAACCCCATCTCTACTAAAGCTACAAAAAAAATTAGCGGGGTGTGGTGGCAGATGCCTGTAATCCCAGCTACTCAGGAGGCTGAGGCAGGAGAATCACCTGGGAGGCAGAGGTTGCAGTGAGCCGAGATCGTGCCACTCTACTCCAGCCTGGGTGATAGAGCGAGACTCCCTTTCAGAAAAAACCAAAACCACATTTAGAAGCTGGGAATGTGGGTAACCTTTTGGGGGATGTAACTTTTCTCTTGAAGCTTTTAGTATACTTTTTCTCAGACATGAGAAAGACAGGTAATTGTTCCATAGAAAGTTGCATACGGCAGGAGACCCTGTTTTATTAAAGCGAGCTGTAGTCCATCTGCATTTGGAGTTCACAGCTTCCCCTGTGCCCAGGGCCCCCTTCAGATCTAGGGTCCAGATTCCTGCCTGGCCTGGTACATGGCAGGAAGGACTCCGGAGGAGAAGAGGCTGTGCCAACAGCGAGGGTAGCAGGGCCCTGGCACTGCAGTGTCTCACCAGTCAGGGAAGGGACTCAAATGCCATGGCCTCTCAGCCCAGGCACTTCCTGTCCTTGGAACCTTGTCCCCTCCTCAGCTGGGCGAGGCTTCTCCTGGTTTACTTGACCTTTAGGTGGGCAGACTGGGGAAGGGGCCTGCAAAAGAAACCGACTGCACCTTTCTTGCAGGGGATTCTGTGCCAAAAACAGATAGACCCTTTGTGCCCAATGTGGGCCTTGGTAGCCGCCCTAGCGGGATTTGCCTAGCAGATCACCTGATCTTCCTCCCTGGCAGGGGAGTGGTGGGGATCTTACTACTGGGCCTTCCGGGCCTGCTCCTGCCAGGACCCAGTCGGGGAGGTGAGGATGCTGGTTTAGACCCAATCACTTGGACGAATCTGTCGGCGGCCCCTGTAACTTGCCGGATGGCGGGGTGGAGAGACGAAGCTGGAGGGAGCAGAGCGCACAAACATTTATTTACAAAAGTCCCAGTTACATATGATACAGGCTTTTTACACACAGTAGTTGAAACGGAATTATTTTATCTATTTTTACTACCAGAAGGTAAAGAAAAAGTTTAATGAACTAATCGTTTCTTGTTTTTATACAAAGTGACAGATCATGCACATTTTTTTCAGTTTTTAAATATTTTGCTAAGTGCAAATACTAGATTCCTCTCTCCAGTTTTAAGGCAAGTAAGAGGGGGCTGTGGCTGGGGAGCCTCACGCCCTGCGGCAAGCCCTGCAGGGCAGAGAGAGGGAGCCAGCTGCCTCAGGGTTGCCTGTTGTCTGACCTGCTCTCTGGGCACTGGCACGGCCCCTTGCTGGCTGGTCTGAAGACCCCCAGTGCTTCTCTCCCCAATGCTGTCACTGGTCCAGGCAGGAGCCCGAGGTTCAGGCCCTGCCTCTGGACAGAGGGGCCTGGAGAACCAGGGTGGGTGCTCACGGCAGCCCTGTGGTCCCCCGTGCCTGGCTCGGGGAGGATCCTCAGGAATCAGGGACCCTCCAAGGAAAGAGGCCGCCGCTCCTTCCCCACCAGCCCAGTGTGGCCAGAACAGCTGGAACTCCTCTCAAATGACCCACCCCTGGGGTTTGGCCTTAGGAGAAACATCACTCTGGGCTCCCCCTCCCCTGCCAGGGTTGAGGCCAGCACCTGTCTAGGGCTGTTTCTGCAGCTGCTGCCTGCTCCCTTTGTCCTGCCTGGGGCTCTTGCTGGAGCCACGTGCCTAGGGTACAGGGCAGAGGGAGCTGAGGCTCCCAGGGCCTGAGGTCACCTCTTCAGCTGTGATGTCTACAGCCGCCCTCTGCTCCCAGAGATCCTCCCTGGGGAAGCACAGGGAGCATATTTAAGGTACCGAAGACAATCCTGTTGCTGCCGCATGGAGCCTGCCTTTCCAAGGCACTGTCGTTCAGGCTAGTAGCAAAGTTCAGGCAGTCCAACAGGTATGGGCGCCAGCAAGGACATAGCAGCAGGCTGCCCCCAAGCCCGGCCTCCCTGCGCACCCTTACCCCAGGTCCAGGTGACCACCTGTCTTCAAAGCCTCCATCCTGGGCAAAGGCAGAAAGAATGGGTATCTTAGTTTTTTTTTTTTTTTTTTTAAAGATAGAGTTTTGCTTTTGTTGCTCAGGCTGGAGTGCAGTGGCACAATCTTGGCTCACTGCAACCTCTGCCTCCCAGGTTCAAGTGATTCTCCTGCCTCAGCCTCCTGAGTACCTGGGATTATAGGCATGCGCCACCTTGTCCGGCTAATTTTGTATTTTTAGTAGAGACGGGGACTCAAACTCCCGACCTCAACTCATCCGCCCGCCTCGGCCTCCCAAAGTGCTGGGATTACAGGCGGGAGCCACCGCGCCGGGCCATCTTAGATCTTAGAGCCCACTTTAGTCCTTGAAATACATCTGAGAAGCCAATGGCAGCGAATGACGGTGCCCGCCTGCCCCAGGCACCTTGGGTGGGCCAGGCCCTGCTTCAGGAGGTGGCGGGCCACTCCGGAGACTGATGCAGCCCCACCCCAATGGTTGTCGGACTCAGCTGTGTCTGAGGTCTGTGAACTCCCAGCCTCTCAGAACCCCATGGCAACACGACAAGGACAAGGCAGGGCATGAGGAGGAGGAGAAAGTGATGCCTGTGGCCAGGAAGGCTTCAGACCTCTCATCTGTCAATGGGCCAGAGTGATGCCTCAGGCACCGCTAGAAACCCAGGGCCGGACAGGAGGCGAGGAGGGTGAGTGGGGACATGGCAGGGCTGAGCTGATGCTCAGCTGACTCCATGAGAAGGGAAGTGACCTTCACATGGGGGATACTGGACAGCACCCTCTACCTGCCTTCAGCAACCACTGAGAACACCCGGGGCACACACGGGGCAGGGGTGGCACCCAGGGTCACCTGTCTCCCTAAGGAGGCCCACTCCTCCCCCAGAAAGCCAGGGGGGAAAAGCTGCTCATCACCCAGGGTGGCAGAAACGTCTCCCCCAGCAGTTGGGCTGCCCAGCAGGGCCACCAGGCCTCTGTCCCAGCTGCCTTAAGAGGCTCTTTCAATGGGCCAGCTTCAGAACCATCCAGTGTACCGCAGCGGCCTGGCCTGGGAAAGGATTTCTCAGCCTGACTTTCCAGAGACCGAGGATGAGAAAGTTAGGCGGCAACAGAACAAAACCCCCGCCGCGAGATGGGTCTGCTGCTGCCTCATCTGAGTAGGTGTAAGAGGGGAGGAGAGGTGCCCTCAACACTCACTGCAGTGGCGCACGGGTTTTGGATGGGGGGACAGCATCTTGGCCCTCACAGCTGTGGCAGTGCCTCTGCGGGCCATGGTCCCAGCCCCCCACCCTGAGCAATGCTTCCCAGGCCCGCAGGTGCAGCCCCCTCTGCCCTTGGCCCAACCGTGGGCCCCTCCAGGGAGATGCTCTCGGCTGCCTTGCTACCCAGGGGTCGGCTCCGAGGAGAGGCCCAGGTGTGAGCAGCAGGGACCTGGTCTATGGCCTATGCCATGGACAAGGCAGAAGGACTGCCGTTGGTGGCCTGGGGGATGCGAGGGGAGGGGCAGTTCACATCGCAGCTCTCTCCGAACTCCACCATTTGGGACGTCTTTATTATGGATCCGTCCACTCTTCCAGGAGCAGTAGCCCTTCTAGGAAAGGGGTGGGAAGAAAACCAGCCTACCCTTCAAGCTGACTTAGGATGCAATGGTACAGACACCAGCCTTGGGGGAGGGTTCTCCATCCACACTCCTACCCCAAACGGGCTTTGTGCTGCTCAATGGGGATTCGGGGCCATCAGAAGCGATGCCGCGGCTGGGGGCCAAAGTGCATGGGCAGGTTGTGCTCCAGGGGCATGTGGATGGGACCGAAGTCATAGTTGACCCGCACGTTGGGCAGAGGGGGCACGTACGGGGCTGGGATAGGCCCCATGTTGAGTGGGAAGTTGTTGAACACAGGCCGCACGGGAGGCAGGGGGAAGGGTGGGTGCGCGAAGGCATAGGGTGGCATCTGTGGCTGTGGCAGGTTCTGCGGAACGGGCCTCGGGAGGGCCTCCACCCTCTGCACCTTCTCCACAGGCTTCTCCAGCGGGGGTCCAATGCGTTTGAAGGTGTTCTCTGAAAGGGATGTGGGGATTAGTGGAGAAAAACATTAAACCAACCTCAATGGAATCTAGCCTGGGACCAGGGCAGCGACCTCTGGACACGGGAGTGGCTCCACATGCTGATCAAAGCACAAAACGTGGACACCTCCCAAATGCCACTGCAAGAAACCAAGAACAAATCTGTACTTCCACCAGTGTCTTGCTCCACAGTGGCACCTTGGAAGGTGGCACGTCCACCCACCCAGCCAGACATCCTTCAGAGCCAGGGCCTTGATGGGCCACCTCAGTGACTCAGTTACTTTTTTTTTTTTTTTTAATAGATGGGGTTTTGCCATGTTGCCCGGGCTGGTCTCAAACTCCTGGGCTCAACTGATCCACCTGCCTCACCCTCCCGAGTGCTGGGATTGCAGATGTGAGCCACTGCACTTAGCCTCTTTTTTTTAAAGAAAAACAGATGGGGTCTTGCTATTTTGCCCAGGCTAGCCCCAACCTCCTGGGATCCAGTGATGCTCCCACCTCTGCCTCCTGAGGAGCTGGGATCGCAGATGTGTGCCAACACACCTGGCTTCACTGCTTTTCAGCCTCAGAAGGATCAGCTGGGTCTACTTTTCTTTAGCCAGGTGTGGCTTGATTGATTCCTGAGCTCAAACCCACCCCTTGGGACTTCCTCACCATCAAGGAGATGCCAAAACTATATTCAAGGCGTTGAAGGCCTTTCCATAAGCCTGAGATGTGGCCGCGTGGGTGAAGTCAGGTCTATAGCCACCTGAGGGACAGCACCCCCTCCTCTCCTGTGCTGGGTTGAGTGCCAGGACACTCAGGGAGGCCAGCAGAAGCCTGCATGGCCTGGCTGCTGCTCTGTCCTGGGGGCCTGGGGAGGGGCACTTGCCTCCATTCTTTCTTTTCTGTTCCTCTTCAGCCTCCTTCTGGATTTCCTCAATAAGCTTCTCATCATCTTCCTAAAACGCAAGCAATGAGAAGGATGAACCTGTAGCTTCATGCAGTGCTGAGGCCCCGTGGGACAGTGAGGAGGCCGCTTGTTGCTTATGGCCATGGAACAAGCCCGAAGCCTGCTGCTGGCCAGTGGGGCCTGGGCTGCACACCGTTCCTTCCTATTTCCCCGAAGGCCTCCTTCCTTCATCAGCCTGATGGCGTTCCACAAGGAGGCCATCCACAAGGCTGGGCAGAGGGGTCTGAGCATGGCAGGCAGCTGCCTGGTGAGGTGGGGGGATGGAGGGCCTCCATGCACTGAGCTGCGTGCAAGTGGTGGATATGAGAAGGGTTTGGAGAGGGCTGGGTCTGAGTGGGCACAGCCTGAAAAGTTTCAGATCCCAAGTCCACAAGCGCTCGGCATGGCAGCCTGTCTGCAGAGCCTGGAAAAGTCTTGCAGATGTCCTCAACTGAGATGGACAAATGTCCAGTCGGGCCCTGCTTAGCCCCCAAGGCTGGCCTTGGCTCCTGGGCCAGGCCTCGGGGAGAGGAGGAAGGTGCGACAGTGAGGATGGTCCCCCTCGGACCTTGCCGTCTCTTCTCCCAAACCCCATGCTTGGTAGGCCTGAAATAACAAACACAATTCACACTTGGGTTATCCAAGCCTCAGACACGAACCGAAGAGGCACTGTGAGTGCAGGCAGATGTGGGAGCTGTGCTGGGAAACTCAGGGGCCACACTGGGCAAGCCCCAGAGGTTGGGTTTTTGCCACATGCAGCTCCCACACCCCCACCTGCCAGCAGACACCATGGTGGGAGGACCGGGCTGCTGCCTCAGGACAGACCACCCGTGATGCCTGCTTCATGAGTGGCGCTTACCTTAACCCCCCTCCTCAGTGACCCACAAAACAGCTGTGCAGTTTGTGGGACTGAAAGACGATTAACTGGATTGAAAAAACCCGCCAAGTGGGTGCCCATCTTTCCTGGCTGGCTGCAGGGCCAAGGGGCTAAGGTGTGGGCCCGAGGGGGCTGAGGCTCACAAGCAGCAGAGTGGCAACACCGTGGCAAACCCAAACACGCCAACTGCCGGCTCAGCAAGCAGGAAAGAGATAGCTGACTATAGGAGGGCTCTGTTCCCTGAGGTCCTCCAGGAGTTGAGAGCAGCCGAGCTGGGGAGAAGGATGGGGAGGGATGGTGGTCCCTGATATCGTGAGAGGATTAGCAAGTCCCAACAATGCAAGCAGTCTAATGAAAGCACATTTATTTTCCTAGACACGGCGTCAGAGCCTAAATATCTGGCCAATTTCTTTGCTGTGGGTTGGAATATTAATAATGATCAGTTTGGATTTTTTCATGCCGATCTGATGACACCCAGAGCAGCAACTGGAAGGAAGACAATCCTTGGCCCAGTAGAAGATGGGCAGCCCCATCGAGGGCTAACCAACGGACAGTTTGCAGGTTTACTTACTAGGTTATTAATGTCACAGCCAAGACAGAAATGAGTGATTTCCCCACACAATTGTTTGTGAACCGCAAGGATTCTGGAGTTAGGAATTTCCTTCACTAAACGTGCACTGCATGCCTACTCTGTGCTAGACACTGTTCTAAGTTTGCTGATTAAACTTCAGATCAACAATGAAACAGAAAGGCAGATGGACTGAGTAAGTAATTAGATAACACATTCCCTTGGTTTGGTAGATGAAAGATTCTTAGAATAAACTCCCTGGAGATTGGTTCTATCTGCAACAGTGGATGACACTATTAAATTCTCCTACATTCTCTAGGCCTCAGATGCCAAGTGATGGGTTTGGACTAAAAGGTCTCATAAGCTTCTTTCCAACTCTGACACTTGGACATTCTTAAGATACTCAAGTCTGTTTTCAGCAAAAGGAGCCTCCTTGCTGCTGCCTGGCCACGTGTTCTGAGCAAGGCATGAAGAGAGGAGAGGTGACAAAGGTCAAGTTCCCATCATGCATTTCAAGAGTTGCAAAGTGCCCAAGCACACCACAGAATCCTATGTCTGGAAGGAATCCTGAGGGAGCTGTCTCTCTCCAGGGTTAACACATAAGAATTCTCTATCAAAACCCCCAGATGAGGTCATCTAGCCTCTTTGTGAACACTCCACAAGGGGGAACTTACTACCTTCAACATAATCACTAAGTGAGTCAACATGAAGGACTGCAGTAACTCAAGAGGGTTGGGTGGGCAGTTTGAAGGCCTCCATGTGAATATCAAGGTAGATGCTATCAACTCTCTAGACTGGGAGCTGGCAAGCCTCTTCATTTTGGAGCCAGTGGCAGGCCTAAGAAAAAAGACTAAAAAAAAAAAAAAGAAAAAAAGAAATGAACCAAAAAACCCCAACAAATTAAGCGAACTGATCCAGAAAACTGGTGGGAGGATCACTTGGGCCCAGGAGTTTGAGACCAGCCTGGGCAACAAAGTGAGATCCTATCTCTACAAAAAATACAAAATTTAGCCAGGCATGGTGGTGTGAGCCTGTAGTCCCAGCTACTTGGCAGTGATCGTGCTACTGCACTCCACCCTCCACCCTGGGCGACAGAGTGAAACTTGTGTTAAAAAAAAAAAAAAGGAAGAAAGAAAAAAGAAAGAAAGTTGTGCAGCAGGAGGGCCGTGGGCCTACACCTCTTAGCTAAGTGAGCTCGGCAGGTTCCTGAGTATCCCTGCGTCCAGGAAGCTCATCTGTAAATGGGCTGCTTTGTTAAGGACTGAATGAGCTCAAGTATGTAAAGGATGTAGCCCAAAGTAAATGCTCATGATTAGGACACAGGAACACTGAAAAATGACAGGTAGAGAAGTTTCATGAAGAAGTGGTGCACACTGGGAGACACCCACAGTATTTCTTTCAGGGGTCCTCACTCTGGTCCGTTACTAATCACAACCAACAGGACTGCACAACCACCACTCTGCCTCACCTCAACCTCTGCCGCATCTCCTCGATGCAGTTACACCATCAGTCCCCAAGGGACACTTATGGCCTTCGATGGCACAAGGGGGTACCTCAGGAATCATTCATTCCAACCTCTGTAGCACAGAAACTGAGGTCCCTGAGAAAGTACCTTGTTCAATGTTACGGCTAGTTGGCGGTAAACTGGGACAAACACACACACCGGGCCACTCAATGGTCCTCCTGGAGGAAATCCACAGAAAAGATATCCTGAAGGTGTCCCTGCCCCATACACAGCAGCCACACCAGTCAGGACCGTGCTGGACGCTGCAGACACAGTGAGGAGTGTGGCAGCCTTGGCCCTCCTTGTGAGGGCCTCACGTCTCTGCTATGAGCAACGTTCCAACGGGCACCTCTCTCTGAAATTCCACATGGATAGAAGGGGCAATTTCATAGCATTAAAGACTAGACACTCGGTGGTTCACGCCTGTAACCCCAGCACTTTGGGAGGCTGAGGCAGGCGGACCACGAGGTCAGGAGATAGAGATCATCCTGGCTAACACGGTGAAACCCTGTCTCTACTAACAATACAAAAAATTAGCTGAGCGTGGTGGTACACGCCTATAATCCCAGCTACTCGGGAGGCTGAGGCAGGAGAATGGCTTGAACCTGGGAGGTGGAGGTTGCAGTGAGCCGAGATCGCGCCACTGCACTCCAGCCTGGCGACAGAGGGAGACTCTGTCTAAAAAAAAAAAAAAGACTAGCCACTAACCCCCTTTTTTCCCTCAGACTCTCCCCTGATAAAACACGAGGGACAAGAGAGGCTCTCTTTTGGGGAGAAGAGCTCTGGCCCCCTGTGGCACTGCTGAGGCTGAGAGCATGCAGGCCACTGCCTGATTTTTATCACTAAGCTTCCGTGATAAATCCCAGTGCTCCTGAATAAATCCTATTTCAGAACTCCCTCAGAAGGGTCTGAGGCACCTGCATAGGAGCGCGAGCCCAGGTTTCTGATACAGATCGGCGGGGTCTGGAGGACACTGCAGATAGAACCTTCCCAGCCTGCCATTCAGAGTTCTTCCTGGAGAGGAAGAGGGAGCCTCAGAGTCCCAAGGGAATAAAAGTGTCGCATCCTCACCCTCCGAAGACAGCCACCCCAGAGCCTTTCTTCCAATCCCTCCCTCTGCTCTGATCACTCTCCTGATTGGCAAGTGGAATCAAGACCATTTGCCCTTGAGTCCTGTCTTGGGAGTCACGCCCTTAGGAGTCTAAAGACAGTCTGGTTTGTATTTCACCCAAAATGACGGCACTCAGCTACAATGACCTACAATTTTATCATAAATCATGAGCCAACTGTCAGTTATACCTAGATATAGGGTTAGGTGTTTCAGATTTCAACTGTCTCCAACTGGCTAGAGTCACAGGACACTGTGCTTAATAACTTTAATACAACTTAAAAGTTTTTTTTCTTTTTTAAAATAAAAAAATTACGCTTTTAGCTAATATGTTAGACTCTAAAGGGAAGATTTCTTTCCTTTTCTTTGAGACAGTGTCTTGCTCTGCTGTCCAGGCTGGGGTGCAGTGGCACCATCATAGATCACTGCAGCCTCCACCTCCTGGGCTCAAGAGATCTTCCTGCCCTAGCCTCTTGGTAGCTCAGACTACAGGCGCCCACCACCATATCTGACTTTTTTTTTTTTTTTTGTAGAAATGGGGTTTCACCATGTTGCTCAGGCTAGTCTTGAACTCCTGGGCTCAAGCGATGCACCCAACCTTGGTCTCCCCAAAATGTTGGGATTACAGGCATGAGCCATCACACCCAGCTGGAAGATTTCTTTCTTAATTTGGGGAGGAAGTTCCTTCCACAATCAGTTTCTCTGAAGCATTTGAAATTCCTCAAGTCAAGAGTGAAGACAGGCCAGGTGCAGTTGGCTCATGCCTGTAATCCCAGCACTTTGGGAGTTCGAGGTGGGTGGATGACTTGAGGCCAGGAGTTAAGAGACCAGTGTGGCTAACACGGTGAAACCCCATCTCTACTAAAAATACAAAAAATTAGCCAGGTGTGGTGGCGTGTGCCTGTAATCCCAGCTACTCTGGAAGCTGAGGCAGAATTGCTTGAAGCTGCAGGTGGAGATTGCAATGAGCAGAGATGGCGCCACTGCACTCCAGCTTGGGTGACAGAGCAAGACTCTGTCTCAAAAAAAAAAAAAAAAAAGTGAAGACAATTCCAGTGCTTTGGGAGGCTGAGGCAGCAGGATCGCTTGAGGCCAGGATTTTCAGACCAGCAAGGGCAACACAGTGAGAACCCAGCTCTACAAAATTTTAAAAATTAGCCAGGTGTGGCTACTGGGGGGCTATTTGTGGGGCTGAGGTGGGAGGATCACTAGAGCCCAAGGAGGTTGAGGCTGCAGTGAGCTATGATTGTGCCATTGTACTGGCACAACAGGGGAAGATCCTGTCTCAGAAAAAAAAAAGTGAAGATAACTGAATTGTAAACTTAAAAATGGCAAATTTTATCTTATGCTTCACCACAATTAAAAAGAGGGAGGGGCCAGAAGCGGCGTCTTGCGCCTGTAATCCCAGCACTTTGGGAGGCCGAGGCGGGCGGATCACGACGTCAGGAGTTTGAGACAGGCCTGGCCAATATGGTGAAACCTCATCTCTACTAAAAATACAAAAATTAGCTAGGTGCAGTGGCAGGCGTCTGTAATCTCAACTACTCGGGAGGCTGAGGCAGGAGAATCACTTGAATCTGGGAGGCAGAGGCTGCAGTTAGCCGAGATGGTGCCACTGCACTCCAGCCTGGGCAACAGAGCAAGACTCTGTCTCAAAAAAAAAAAAAAAAAAAAAAAGAGGGAGGGAGGGTTTAGGATTGATTTTGAGGTTAAACATGAGGCCTAGTCCCTCATAAGATACTTCTTGGACTTGGGATAAGTGACAGATGGGGTATTGAGTCCATTCTGGAGTCAAGTCCCTCAGGAAACATTCCAGGCATATGAGCATCACCATCCTGTGAAGAGGACACTTGGAAAAAGGCCACGCTACAAATCTAGGACACACCTAGGCTGCTGGGAGAGGGGAAAAATAGAAGGAAAGAGGATGAGGAGGAGCCAGGGGCTGAGCTGGATCACAGCACAACTGTCCTGCTGTCTCGGGGCTGAGTCACAAACAGGAAACCCTGGTGGTAGAGCTGCCTGGATGGCAGGGTGAACTCATTTTAAAGCAGTGCTGGCTTCTTCAAGAGAGGCTGCTGGCGTCACGGGAAGAACTACAACTCTGGGGCTCCAGACCTGGCTTGAGTGCATATGCAGCTCTACCCCCACTACCTAACCTGGAACCCACTCCTTTCCAAAACAGGTTAGGGTGAGAAGCCAATCATCTCGTACCTTTTTTTTTCCCTCTAGACAGGGTCTTGCTCAGCCCAGGGTGGAGTAAAATGGCGTGATTATAGCTCACTGCAGCCTTGAACTCCTGGGCTCAAGTGATCTTCTCACCTTAGGCTCCCCGAGTAGGTGGGACTACAGGTGTGTATCACCATGCCCAGCTAATTTTTAATTTTTCTTATAGAGATGGTGGTGGAGGGGGAGTTCTCACTGTGTTGTCCAGGCAGGTCTCAAACTCCTGGCCTCAAGCCATCCTCCCACCTCCGCCTCCCAAAGTGCAGGGATTACAGGTGTGAGCCACTGCACCTGGTCTGATCACTCTTATAAAGCGCCAAGCACAGTGACAACAACAGTAGTTAACATGCACTGAGAGATTACTATGCACCAGCCCCTGTCTACACACCTCACATGGACCTCAGTTTCACCACAGCTCCCTGAGTCAGGCACTATGAACTGATTGCCACGCTGCAGATGAGGAAACCCTGGCACAGCGAGGTTGTGACCCAGGCAATCTCGTCTCAAAGCCTGAGCTGTTAACCACATAACCCCTCAGGTTTCTGAATCGGAACTTCTGGCAAACCTGACTGGGGGCCTGAGAACACTGCTGTCGGGCTGGGAGCGTGTGTCAGAGGCAACTGTTCTAAGGTGTGCTTTATTCTATAAAGAGTGCAGAAACACAAGAGGGTTCCTTCTGAGAAGAGCAGAATTCTGAAACCTCCTTTCTCCCCTTACAAGACGTAACAGGACAAAACAAAACAAAACACTTCTACTCAAGGAAACAAACAGCCAAAACGCAGAGCAAGGGGCTGTGTTTTGGAAATTTTTAGGGAACAATCCTCCTTTTCTCAGGCTCAGCTTACCCAGAAGTGCATGTGCCATCCCCTGAAACAGCCCACTTGTCGGCCTCTGGTCCCTGGCACTTGTCCTTTGGGATGAAAGCCAGTAGATTCCTCTTGCCCAGAGTGGGAGTGGGGAGCTTGGGAAAGCTCATAACCCTCATCTCTTGAGCCAGAAATCTAAGCTGCACATGGGGGCCCAGCACTGAGGTGAGAGGCTGTAGTGCCTCCCTGGGTCACTGGTCTCCAGTGGCCTCTGACCAGGTGCTGTTCTCAGCTCACTGGTTTTGGTCCATCTCAAAGGCAGAAGCGAATGCTTCAAGATTTCCTTGCCTGACATGTTTTCTCCTGACACTACCAAGTTACTTGAATCCCATGGGGGTCCCATGACATTTTCTCTTTCTGGCCTCTTCTCGTCACAAAAAACTCAGGGATTTGGTTCTCATCAACATAAAAAAAAAAATGCCATTATTTCTTTTCCTTATACATATTGATTAAAACAATCTTGGGAAACATTGAACAAAACAACACAGCTAAAATCAGCCGTAATTCCTCACCAGAGATCAATCCTGGGAACATTCTGATATCTTTTCCATTGGCTGCTTTTATATCCACACTTCACTGTCAAGCCCACTCAGATTCCATTGTAGAAGGTCACGCTCTGCCCCCACGAGGTCCTGCTGCCTTGTACGGATTGCTTAGCTCACACCCCCTTCTCCACGCCACGGGAGGCTGGCAAGGATTTCATAAGAGGACCCTGAGGCTCAGAAGATGCAGAGAGTGGCTGGACCACCAAGGTGGGCAGTGTGCTGAGGCCAGGGCAGGAGGTCTGGACTTGTAGGTTCCAAGGATGGCCGGCAGTTCTCAACTCTGCATGGCTCAGGCTGGGTTGCTGGGCTCACCCTGGACAGCGGTCTATAGAGGTTCACCTGAACCTATTTGAGATCTGAGTTCCTGTTCATGCCATTTGCCCTGGCCAGTGGGGGCAGGAGGGGCTGCTGGCTGCATCTTTACTCGCTGCCACAGATCCATGACAGACCATGGTGCATCCCCTCGAGGGCTGCAGTCTCTGTGCCTCATCCTTGGTTTCTGGCACAGGCCTTAAGAAGGACCCAGCTGGCCTGAATGAGTTCTGTCTCTGCTCTCCTTCTGGCCCCTCCTAATCCCAGTGAAAACTTTCAAATGAATTCTCAGCACAGCTCCTTTCTGATGAGCAAGGCCAGGCTGAGGTGAGAGGGAGTGGATGCTGATCAGCGACCAAGGTGTCCCTGGATCAGCAAGGGCTCAAAAGAACAAGCGTAATGATGTGTCAGGCCAGGGTAGAAGTTAGCCCTCCAATCACCTGATGTCAGGGGTTCGAGACCAGCCTGGCCAACATGGCGAAACCCCATCTCTACTAAAAATACAAAAATTAGCCAGGCGTGGTGGTGGGTGCCTGTAATTCCAGCTACTTGGGAGGCTGAGGCAGCAGAATCGCTTGAACCCGGGAGGCACAGGTTGCAGTGAGCCAAGATCACGCGACTGCATTCCAGCCTGGGCGACAAGAGCAAAACTCCATCTCCAAAAAACAAAACGAAGCCCTCCAGTGCCCCATCGCTACTCCAGAAGGTGTACCTATGGATCACAGTGGGATCCAATGAGTACCATGACGAAGCACACGAATGGCACCACAGTGGGCAGTGCACCCCAAATGCAGTGTCAAGGACAAAGGGTCAAAGCAGAGAGTGAAACGGGAGTCTCACCCACCCAGCGGAACTGGAAGAGCACTTTCTGTTTTTTTTGAGACAGAGTCGTGCTCTATCGCCCAGGCTGGAGTGCAGTGGTGCGATCTCTGCTCACTGCAACCTCCGCCTCCCGGGTTCAAGTGATTCTCCTGCCTCAGCCTCCCAAGCAGCTGGGAGTACAGGCGTCCGCCCCATGCCCAGCTAATTTTTGTAGTTTTAGTAGAGACGGGGTTTCACCATATTGGCCAGGCTGGTCTCGAACTCCTGACCTTGTGATCCACCCGCCTTGGCCTCCCGAAGTGCTGGGCTTACAGGTGTGAGCCACTGCGCCCAGCTGGAAGAGCTGGAAGTAAGGCCGGGTGCGGTGGCTCATGCCTGTAATCCCAGCAATTTGGGAGGCCTAGGCAGGTGGATCATTTGAGGTCAGGAGTTTGAGACCAGTCTGATCAACACGGTGAAACCCCGTCTCTACTAAAATACGAAAATTAGCTGGGCCTGGTGGCGTGCACCTGTAATCCCAGCTACTCAGGAGGGTGAGGCAGGAGAATCACTTGAACCCAGTAGGTTCAGGCTGCAGTGAGCCGAGATCACATCACTGCACTCCAGCCTGGGCGACAGAGGGAGACTCCCTCTCAAACAAAACAAAACAAAACAAAACAAAAACAAGGAAATAAGCGGATTGCATTTTAACAGGGAGGGAGATTTGTTTCCTTTCCTTGAATTCCTTTGAGCTCAGCAGGGCGCAGAAAGAACTCAGCCTGACACAGAAGACTCTGGCTTGCTGCCTGCTGCATGCAGGTAGGGTGGGTGGGAGGAAGACGCAGCAAGAGCTTGTGGGGATGGCAAGCACCCGGCCTTTCCAGAAACGTGCTGCACTTGAAGACGGCAAGTGAGGTAGAATTTACCAGAGAGGTTTTAATTAAGAAGAGAGAAACAAAACATACACAAACATCCTCCCTTAGCTTGTCCCTCCACAAATATGCCCCACAGTTCTGTCCACGCAGCAGGGTATAGACAGGAGAAAACGAAGAAAGAGAAACTATGAGTGATTAAAAAGGGGAAAAGATTCAATTTATTTTCACAAATCAGATATGAACAGTAATCAGCAGCCACAGGCTGACTGTTCCCAAAATAACCATTTGAGCGCTTGGCACAAAACTATTTTTGCCAAAGCCTTTACGGTCCTTTTGAGACTTTTTTTCCAACACTTCTGGTCCCCAGGGCTGGCTGTCCACGTGCCTGCTGGCCAGCCTCCTGTGACCATGGGGGAAGAACGGGTGGCTTTTCTTCTTCATTGCACTTTTCCTCCCCTTAGAAAGCTGACTGGGAATTGCAAGTCGACTGGTGCTTCCCCTCTGAGATTCTGGGGGTGGGTTGGGGCTGGGATCCAGGTCATGTGTGGCCACAGCTGTTGTTAATAAACTTGCAATGATTTCATGAGAGGCTTCCAAAGAGCTTAAGATTTAGTTTCAAATTATTCCCAGATTAGCCACAGATCGCCTGAGCAACGGCAGACCCTTAGCCCCCACCCCTTGCTGTCCCCAGCAACAGGAAGTTGGGGGAGGGAGCAGCAGAGCTTGGAGTGGCACATGCTGCGCAGCTGTGGCTGGGAAGGGCAGGGAGGCAGGACAGTGTGCTGGGGAGGAGCAGAGACTTCACGGGCTCAGGGCTGGCCCTGGCTTCTGCAGCCACCTCCTCAGGTCAGACAAGCCCAGCACCCAAATACCACTATCTGGAGCACTTCCCCCACAAGGACCTGGAGATGGGGGCAGAATGTGGCCATGTTTTGCGTCCCGTCAGGGTCAAGTGCTCACCCAGGGGCCTGGTGGGATCTGCTGAAGACATGTAGCAACAAGCACCAACAGGCCGTGTGTACTGGACTGTGCTGCCCTGCTTGGGAAAGCCCTCAGTGACATCGAAACCCTGTCTGGGACACTGCTGGGGTAGCAAAACTGCCAGGGCCCCTTTCTACTATTTGCAGCTTCATTCATCCATGGGGAAAGAGTCTGGCGAGGTCCCCACCCCTCTGCAAGGGCTACCTGGTTCATGGGGCTCAGGGACCCTATGGGCACCTAACGACCATGTATTTGTGGCAGGAGCCAGACACTGGTTGGAAGACCTGGGCTCACATCCTGGTCTCACCAAGCTAGGGATCCTGGGCTAGTGACCTACACATCATCTCCCTCATCTGCAAAATAGGAAAGCACTGCCTCCCAGTCCCATGCAGTAAAAATCACACTGCATAGCACGCTCACATGGTGTTGGCTGTGTGGCTATTAAGAGGAAGATGAAGAAACCGAGGTCAGTTTTGATGACAGATCAATGATCACACCCACCCCACTAACTTCACTTTTTTTTTTTTTTTTTTAACACACAATGATATTTATGACAGTGATGAGAAATAACACGCCAAAGCCAGCTGTGGAAGCTGGGTGATGGGACAATCTGGGGGCTCACTTTACTCTTTTGTAGAATAAATTTTTAAGGTTAAGGAAAAAATTCTGAAGCCAAAAATCAGTTTCCAACCTAAAAGTCTAAAATACCTTTCCTTACCAGGTTTCTGCGTTTCCTCATCAATCCTCCCTTTCACAGCCTTCCTCCCTAATTCCAACAACATCATGTCCTTTCCCCTGCCGCTTAAGCCAGGGTCCCAAAGGTCCCCAGGACTTTCTGCATGCCTGATCCACCAGGGAGATGCTGCGCTGGCCTGAGGGGAGAAGGCAGGCCTGGGAATACTCCGAGGACAAATGACCCGGGTGGAAACCCAGGCTACCATTTACTGGCCACAGTCTTAAGCAAGTAAAACCAGGATGATACATCTGCCTTCGAGCACTGCTACAGAACTGAATGTATTAACATCTATAAATGTTAGGCTCAGTCCACTGCTGGTTTGGAAAAATGAGTGTCTCTTAACCAAATGGCTAGGCGATAATTGTACCAAATTAAACTGGCTGTAAAAGCCCTAGGGTTTTATTTGAACTGGACAGGTTTCAAACTCTTACATTCAAAAGACAAAGACACTGTAGAAAACAATTCTCTGTAGTTTCTCGTAGCCAAAACCCAAGACAAACACGGACTTTGTTTTGTATTGAAAGAGAACATGCTGTTTTAAGTTTTGCCATACTCTCAAATCCAGACTGCCAGGTGCCTGTTCCTCTCACAATTTGCTCCCCACCTCAGCTACCACTCCTGTGGCCATGCAAGGACCAGTCAGTATATTCACGTTCAGTAAAGTTCCAGGATCACTCTTCCCCTACTGCAAAATAACGTCTGTTCACTTATGTGTCAAGAGCTGGCTTTCCACTCTGCTCCCTAATCCAGAAAACTGTGGTATGCTGTGACTGTTCGCTTCTGGTTTTTTGCTTCCTAAAGAAGACACCTTCTTTATAAGACTCTTAGTTGAATGCTTTTGGCTTCATTTTGATAACTAACAGAGAAAGAAAGTTACTGTTCACCACTTGAGCTCTTACTGTGGAGTGGTAGTTCAGGTTCCCAAGCAATCCCTAGTCATTAAGGATGAAAACTCAACTTCCCTCCAAAACCATGATGGGACAACTCCCTCGCTGACAAATAAGAGATTCTTCCTGGCCCTGCTGGTTAATTAAGCCAGAGAACAGGCTTGTGTGACAGTGCATGCTTTGTTTCACTGAACTTCTGAATGGCTTTGTGTTCTCAGAAGCCCCAACAGATGCTGGGTTGGAATTCGATCGGTCTCCTGGTGAGAATCAAGGAAACGGGGCTGATCGCTGTTTTGATGGGAACGGGACAAACGGAACAGAATCTCCGGCTGTGGCTATCAGAGGAAATTGGAGGGATTTGTATTTGCCTGACCTTCCTTTCAAACTTTATTTTGAGCAAATCTAGAAACTTTCTCAGGTTAGAAGATGACGATCCAACAAGAAAACAACAAGGCAGTGCATGCTATGGCACCCAAACAAGGAAAAAGCACATGAGAAACCCACACCATCAATCCCAGGCATGGGAAGCAACGGGAGGAGGCAGCAGAAGACACAGAACGAGGAGGAGAAGAAAGAAAAAAGTGCTGAGAATAGGCCAGACTGTTAACACCCACCCTCACGCTAACTCCCACTCTGCCCTTTGTCTCTAGAGATGAAATACTGCCTGTGGAGCTCTTCATAGCTCCAGCTGAAAAAAAAAATCTATTTTTTCAAGATTCATGAAGTTCCTAGAGATGGTTGCCTCCCACTGTGCTAGCTGCCAGGGGGCTGAGGAGGTGAGTCAGCAGAAGGGCTGTGCCTGGGAATGTCTGTCACACAGGGGCACGGCCTGCCTTGTGAGCACTTCCCACTGTGGGCTGCACCTCCCGATCACCCAGCAAAAGAAGGATGACTCGGGCTTGGCTTTCTATGTACAAAAAGCCTCCTTTTCTTCCACACATCTCCTTAGTGACAGGAGGGCAGGCTAGCTAAGGGTTTCACTGGGTCATAAGCTTTGTAATCTGAGTGATTTTTAGGGGTCTCTTATCCCAGCTTCCCACCCAGTTAGGAGCTTGTTCCGTGATAGAACATTCCTGAAATAGAGAACACCTGGTTACCACAGAGGACTCACATCTTTTCAAAACCATGAGTAGCTCTCAGGATTATACATTTCTTTCCCTTTTTTTGAGACATGGTCTCACTCTGTCACCCAGGCAGAAGTGTAGTGGCGCAGTCAGGGCTCACTGCATCCCTAACGTCCCGGGCTAAAGCAATCGCCCTGGAAGGAGCTGGGAACACAGGTGTGCACGCACCACCACCCCTGGATAACTTTGGGATTTTTTGTAGAGATGGAGTTTTGCCATGTTTCCAAAGCTGGTCTTGAACTCCTGAGACTCAAGAGATCTGCCCGCCTTGGGCTCTCGAAGTGCTGGGATTACAGGCATGAGCCACTGCACCAGGCCAAATTACGCATTTCTTTTTCTTTAAGATCAAGTCTTGTTCTGTTGTCCTGGGTGGAGTGCGGTGGCGCGATCTTGGCTCACTGCAATCTCTGCTTCCCAGGTTCAAGTGATTCTTGTGCCTCAGGCTCCCGAGCAGCTGGGAGGCCCTCCCCGCAACAACCTGTAGTGGCTGCGCAGCAGCCCCCTTGGATGGGCCCCACACCCTCTCCTTTGCCGCAGTCCCCACTATGCCTTCCTGCCTCCTAGACCCAGACGTCTGGATGCTCCATCCAGACATCATTTCTGCTACCACCTGCCCCTGTGGTAACTTGGGTCTGTGACCCCAGCAATCCATACTGTTTGTTTTCGATGTGAAAATCTTCCTGTTTCTTTTCTTCCATGTTTTAAAGTGTAGATATATATAGAATTACTTTTTGTACAATTCTAATGTAAGCATATATAAAATTTGACATATCTCCTGTTTTTTGGGATATTTAAATGGTGTTTCTAAATTTGTACAACTTTAAACAACTCAGTGAACAGTGTTGCAGACAGAACTTTGTGAACTTGTCCAACTGTCTCCTGCGGATAACCTTTTCTAATTAAGAGGAACTCCCAGATCAAGTACACGCACTACATCTTCGGATCTGTACACAGTAACTGCCCACTATGCCCAATTACAGTGTAGCAGATGCCAACAAATCTGAAAACTACCTACCAGCAGCCAGGTACTATTTTCATTTCCATTTATTTGATTATTAGGGGTGGCTGTTAGCCAACTCCAACAGATTGTGGCCAGGTAGAAAAGCAAGCATTTTTTTTTTTTTTTTGGGGGGGAGACAGGGTCTTGCTCTGTCACCCAGGCTACAGTGCAGTGGCAAGAACATGGCTCACTGCAGCCTTGACCTCCCAGGCTCAAATGATCCTCCTGCCTCAGCCTCCCAAGTAGCTATGACTACAGGTGAGCACCACATCTGGCTAATTTTTGATATTTTGTAAAGATGGGGGTCTCACTATGTTGCCCAGGCTGTTCTTAAACTCCAGGATGCAAGTGATGCTCCTGCCTTGACCTCCCAAAGCTTACAGACATGAGCCACTGCACCTGGCCAGCAAGCAGCTTTTTTCCCTACTTATAATTTTTTTAAACTTCCTCTGTCCATTTTTGAGTTGAGGTGAATAGACCATAGGGAGACTCCTCAGTATAACATCTTCCTCCACAGACATTCTGGCTGGGTCTGTGATGGCTACTTCTTCCCGTCTCACTTGCAGTTGAGGAAGAATGTCATTAAGTTCTGGCTGATGGGACTGAAGCAGAAGTGACCTGTTGCAGCTTCTGGAAGCCTAACATTCCTTAAGAGATAGGGAAGCAGGCTCTTTAGCCTCACTGCAGCCCCTTTGCTGCTTGGAATGTGGATTTATCAGCCAGAGCTCCTTTTCAGACAATGACCTCATGTGATCCTTGGCTATGATCTAGGGGTGGCAGAGTAGAATGCTGGAAGCAACTGGATCCCAGATAAGAGCTGCTAGCCCACCCCTGGGCTGTTCATCTCTGTACTTACACATAGAGGAGAAACACACTTCTGTTTTCCTTTTTTTTTGAGAACCCAAAGTGCCGGGATTACACCCATGAGCCACCACACATGGCTCCACATTTTTTTTTTTGAGACAGAGTCTCACATTGTCACCCAGGCTGGAGTATAGTGGCACGATCTCAGCTCACTGCAACCTCCGCCTCCTGGGTTCAAGCAATTCTTTCTCAGTCTCCTGAGTAGCTGGTATTACAGGCATCCAACACCATGCCCGGCTAATATTTATATTTTTATTAGAGACAGGTTTCACCATATTGGTCAGGCTGGTCTTGAACTCCTGACCTCAGGTGATCCACCCGCCTTGGTTTCCCAAAGTGCTAGGATTATAGGCATGTGACACCGTGCCTAGCCTTAATTTTTTTTTTTTTTGAGACGGAGTCTCGCTCTGTCGCCCAGGCTGGAGTGCAGTGGCATGATCTCAGCTCACTGCAAGCTCTGCCTCCTGGGTTCACGCCATTCTCCTGCCTCAACCTCCTGAGTAGCTGGGACTACAGGCGCCTGCCACCACGCCCGGCTAATTTTTTGTATTTTTAGTAGAGACGGGGTTTCGCCATGTTAGCCAGGATGGTCTCGATCTCCTGACCTTGTGATCCACCCGCCTCAGCCTCCCAAAGTGCTGGGATTACAGGCGTGAGCCACCGCGCCCGGCCAATTTTTTTTTTTTTTTTTAATGAGATGGGGGTCTCACTATGTTAACCAGGCTTGTCTTGAACTCCTCGGCTCCAGCGATCCGCCCACCTTGGCCTTCAAAAGTGCTGGCATCACAGGCGTGAGCTACTGTGCCTGACCCTCTCCCCCAGTTTTTCATGTATCCCTAATCTTTGTTTATGATGTCATTTGCCAGTGAGAATTTATTATTTTTTAGTCTGGCCTTGATGTAATGCAAGAAAAACCTTATCTTCTCCAAGATTATAAAAGTCATTCCCTTCATGCTGTCCTCTCTCTCCCCAGCGTAGTAGCTAGTGTGACCTGGGAAACATAGCCCCTACAATGCCCTGAAATGGCTCTCATCACACTCCAGATCTGAGGCCGGCCCCTGGGCCAATCGCTGTCACCTCCCTGTGGCTCTCTCCACCTGCAAACCTCACCTGCTTTCTTTCCGATCCCCAAACAGACCCTATGTGTTTAATTTCCTTGCCAGCCTTGCTCCTCCTCTAAAATACTGTATTTTTAAAGCTTAAATCAAGAAGAAATATTTGATTTGATTTCTTAAATGTCTTCTCACCATCTACAGATACCATATAATGATTTACGTTAATAGAATTGTTAATATTAAACCATCATTGCATTTCTAGAACAAACTCACTTGGTCATGCTTTCTATTTGCTAATATTTTATTTACATAATTTAAAATCTAGATTATAAGTGAGTCTCATAAGAAAATCTGTAGTTTTCTTTGTTAGGGCTATCTCCGTCAGGCTTTGGAATCAGCGTTATGCTGGCTTTGAACAGATACATGTGTAAGTTTCCTTACTTTGCTCTGGAATATTTCAGAGGGCACAGAGTTTTATTTCCTGAAGAATTAAAAGAATTTGCCTATAAAACTGTTAGGGCATGCTGCTTTGAGCAGCATGAGGAGTAGCTGATAATTAGTTTCTCAAATTTTTTCTTTGGTTATCAGTCTATGTAATTTCCTATATTCTTCTCCTAAGTCAAATTTTGTTACGTATATTCAAAATATTTGTCATAAAAATATATTTCTATTTTCTCCCTATAAAGCAATAGGCAGCCATGTGTCTACTTACAGTGGGATCGGTCCAGAGAGAGCATCTTGAACACTCCTGGCAAGGGGCTCCTGGTGAGCGGGGATGTTGGCAGAAATGGTCATATCCATTAATAGAAACTCGACAGAGGTAGCACATCTGGGCACCACAGCGGCAAGACATGCGGTTGCAGCCTTCAGATTTGATGAGGCCAGTCCCACACTTGTGGCATTTTCTAATGCGGGCAGCAGTCATTTTTTCTTCACTGAAATAAGAAAACATAATTTGGAGCTGGGAGGGAAGATGAGGAGGAAAAAAATATGGCCATTAAGCATTTATTTATTTTCACATAAAATGATCACTTATGGCTTTTTTGTGACATTAAACAGTGAAAAGAGCCTAGGTTTTGGAGTCTGAGAACTGCTTCAAAGTTTTAATTGTATGACCTTCAGTAAATTACTCACCTGCCTGGAGACTCAGTTTCCTCATTTTTAAACTGTGAAAACACAACTTTCTCATGGTGTTTTGAGAATTACAGACAAAATATAAAGTACCCTGGCATAGTGCCCAGTACTCAGCATTTAGAAAAGGACTGCTCTATTTGTTATAGGAATCCCTGTAGGCTTAAAATGGAGAGAACAGGCTGAGCATGGTGGTGCACGCCTGTAATCCCAGAACTTTGAGAGGCCAAAGCAGGAAGATCATTTGAGCTCAGGAGTTTGAGACCAGCCTGACCAACATGGTGAAACTGTCTCTACTAAAAATACAAAAATTTGCCAGGCGTGGTAGTGCACACCTGTAATCCCAGCTACTTGGGAGGTTGAGGCAGGAGAATCGCTTAAACCCGGGAGGTGAAGGCTGCAGTGAGCTGAGACCGTGTCACTGCACCCCAGCCTATGTAACAGAGTGAGACTCTATCTTAAAAAAAAAAAAAGAAAAAAAAAAAGAAAGAAAGAAAACATTGTCAAGGAGATGAGGTTTAGATAAAGTGCATTTAGTACTATTACCTTAATGAGTCACCTCTGTAGTACATCCGTTTATGATTTTAGTTACTCAGCAACTGTGAAGACACTACTCAACGTTCTACAACTCAAGGTTCTGTTTTGTTTTTTTTTTTTTGAGACAGAGTCTTGCTCTGTCACCTAGCCTGGGGCACAGTGGCTCCATCTCAGCTCACTGCAACCTCCGCCTCCCCGGGTTCAAGAGATTCTCCCACTTCAGTCTCCCAAGTAGCTGGGATTACAGGCGCCCACCACCATGCCCAGCTAAGTTTTGTATTTTTAGTAGAAATGGGGTTTCACCATGTTGGCCAGGCTGGTCTGGAACTCCCGACCTCAGGTGATCCACCTGCCTCGGCCTCCCAAAAGTGCTGGGATTACAAGTGTGAGCCACTGTGCCTGGCCTATTTTTTTTGAGACTCACTGCAACCTCCATTTCCTGGGTTCAAACGGTTCACATGTCTCAGCTTCCCAAGTAGCTGGCATCACAGGTGTGTGCCACCACATCACCACACCTGGCTTTCATGCCCGGCCATTTTTTGTATTTTTAGTAGAGATGAGGTTTCACCATGTTGGCCAGGCTGGTCTCAAACTCCTAACCTCAAGTGATCCGCCTGCCTCAGCCTCCCAAAGTGCTGAGATTACAAGCGTGAGCCACTGCGCCCAGCTAGACTCAAGGTTCTAATGAAAAACTTTTCAATTTGAAAAGCTATGTGCCCAAACACAACTGCAATTTTCTACAGCACAAACCTTCTCTGTAAGAGCACCCTGAGGCTGAGGTGCGGCTTTAAGGTGTGGCACTCCAGTTGCCTGGGGCTGGCTGACTTTCCCTGGGAAGCTGCTCAAGGAGAGAAGAGGCTGTAAAGAATTAAGGTTACAGTCTTTTCATGAAGGCTTGGAAAGAGGGTCTATTTGCTTGCTCATCCGATCTGTCTGGCACTGACATGAAATAATAATGGGTATGGAGGGAGAAAAAAAGGCTCTCCTAAAATGGACAGAGGAATACATAAAGCATGCCTGCAACTCAACATTGCTGAAATGTTAAACAGCTATTCAATATTGCTGAAATGTTAAACAGCTATTCAATATTGCACAAATGTCCACTCAAGTCCTTTGCTTCTGCATTTGTAAGAGTAGTACTGGATAGGGCCAGAATGGAGTTTTATTATGGGATGTGGTGACTACCTAGCCAGTAATATAAAAGTGAAAAATGGGGAAAAATCATGGTTGATTCCTTCAGAGGAAAGGTGGTTTGGCAACTAGATTCTCAACCAGGCAGGAAACACAGCCCCGCAGGATGTGCTCCCGGGGCAGGACAGGAAGAGAAGCCGGAGCTGTGACTGTGGTTGCTGACCTTGCGCTCACACAGGAAGGCTCAGGGCCTCTTCTATGCAGCCAGCGACAGCCCAGACTCCTGTAGTTATCTGTGCTCACCACCAGCCAGTGTGTGGGTAACTCCTCTCTGGGAGCCATATTCTGATGGTGGCATAAGCCATGCCCTTCAGATCTCAGCCCGTCCCCTTTGTGAGCGTGAAGATGCATGTGTGTATGCATTCTTTTGCTGTGGTAAAATGCACATAAAATTGACTTTTTAAACCACTCTAACGTATACAATTCAGGGATATTTTGAGTATTCACGATGTTATACAATCAACATCACTATCTAGTTCCAAGAGACTTTTATAACCCCAAAAGGAAACCCTGTACCCACTAAGCAGGCATTCCCCATTCCTCCTTGCCCTGCAACCCACAGCGTGCTTTTGGGCTCTACAGATTGCCATTCTGAGGCTAGGCAAATGCCCATATGCCTCTGATATTTCATAGGAATGGAAATCACACGTGTGTTTTTGTGCCTTTTTTCACTTAGTGTGTTGTTTTCTAGGTTCACCTATGTTGTAGCATGTATCGATACTTCATTCCTTTTTATGGTTGGATAATATTCCATTGTATGAATATATCATATTAGTTTATTCATGAGTTGATGGATTGAGTTTTTTTTGCTTTTTGGCTGGTGTGAATTGTGGTTAAATGAACATTCTTGCACAAGTTTTATATGGACACTTGTTTTCACTTATGTTGGGTGAGTACCTGAGAGCGGAACTGCTGGGTCATATGGTAATTCTATGTTTAACTTATTGGGGAAAGCCAACTGTTAACTATGGCGGCTACACTATTTCTATTCCCACCTCAATGTATACTGGTGTCATTTTTTCTATATCTCTGTCAAGACTTGTTATTTTCCATCGCTTTCATTATAGTCATCCTAATAGGTGTGAAGCGGTATCTTATTATAGTTCTGATTTGTATTTCTGTAATGACTAATGACGTTCAGCATGCTTTCATGTGCTTGTTGGTCATTTGTACATCTTTCTGGAGAAATATCAATTGATATTGTTTGCCCATTTTTTTTTTTTGAGACAGAGTCTCACTCTGTCATCCAGGCTGGAGTGCAGTAGTGTAATATCAGCTCACTGCAACTTCCGCCTCCTGGGCTCAAGTGATTTCCCACCTCAGCCTCCTGAGTAGCTGGAAATACAGGCTTACACCACCATGCCCAGTTAATTTTTAAATTTTTTGTAGAGACTGGGTTTCACCATGTTGTCCAGGCTGGTCTTAAACTCCTGGGCTTAAGCTATCTGCCCGACCTTGGCCTCTCAAAGTGTTGGGATTACATGCATGAGCCACTGTGCCTGGCTGTTTGCCTATTTTCTTTTTTTCTTTTTTTTTTTTTTTGAAACGGAGTCTTGCTCTGTTGCCCAGGCTGGAGTGCAGTGGTGTGATCTTGGCTCACTGCAACCTCCACCTCCTGGGTTCAAGAGATTCTCCAGCCTTAGCCTCCTGAGCAGCTGGGACTACAGGCACGTGCCACCACGCCTGGCTAATTTTTGCATTTTTAGGCGTTTCATCATATTGGCCAGGGTCATCTCGAACTCCTGATCTCGTGATCCACCTGCCTCAGCCTCCCAAAGTACTGGGATTACAGGCATGAGCCACCGTGCCCCGCCTGTTTGCCTATTTTCTGATTAGGCTGTTCTCTTACTGCTTTCAAGATTTTCTATGTCTTTGGTCTTGAACAGTTTGACTCTGATGTGTCGTGGTGTGGACTTCTTTGAGTTCATCCTACTTGGAATTCATTCAGCTTCTTGGATGTATAGACTCTTGTTCTTCATCAGATTTGGGAAGTTTTCAGCCATTATTTCTTCAATATTCTTTCTGTTCATTTTGCTCTCTGCTCTTCTTTGGGCTTCCCCTTAATGTGAATATTGGTACATCAGATGATGTTCTACAGGTCCCTTAGGCTCTATTCACTTTTCTTCATTCATTTTTCTTTCTGCTCCTCCTCCAACTGCATAATTTCAACAGCCGTATCTTCAAGATCTCTGATTCTTCTGCCTGCTCAAATCTGCTATTGAATTCTTCTAGTGTATTTTTCATCTCAGCTATTGTAATTTTGGGGTACAGAATTTCTGTTGGTTTCTTAATTTTTCTTTTTTTTTTTTGCAACAGAGTCTTGCTCTGTCCCCACGCTGGTGTGCAGTGGTGCAGTCTCAGCTCACTGCAACCTCCATCTGCCGGGTTCAAATGATTCTCCTGCTTCAGCCTTCCAAGTAGCTGGGACTACAGGCGCCCGCCACCACATCCAGCTAATTTTTGTGTTTTTAGTAGAGAAAGGTTTCACCATGTTGGCCAGGCTGGTCTTGAACTCCTGACCTCAAGTGATCCGCCCACGTCAGCCTCCCAAAGTGCTGGGATTACAGGCGTGAGCCACTGCGCCTGGCTGGTTTCTTAATTTCTATCTATACTCTCTACTTGTTCATACACTGTGCTCCTGGTTTCCTTTAGTTCTTTGCCCATGGTTTCACCTGGCTTTCTGAGCATATTTAAGACAGCTGATTCAAAGCATTTGTTTAGTATGCCCAATGTGTCCTCAGAGATGGTTTCTATCAACTACTTTTTTCCCTGTGAATGGGCCATACTTTCCTGTTTGCTTTATAAATTATTGTTGAAAACTGGGTGTTTTGAATATTATACTGAGAAGAGTCTAGAAATCAGGTTGCTTTTTGTATGGTTTGAGATTGTTTAGTGACTTTTAAAAATTATTTTTGTAAATTAGCCGGGCATGGTGGTGCATGCTTGTAGTCCCAGCAACTCGTGAGGCTGAGGCATGAGAATCGCTTGGGCCCAGAGGTGGAGGTTGCAGTGAGCTGAGATCGCATCATTGCCACTGCACTCCAGACGGGGTGACAAGGCGAGACTCCATCCCAAAACAAAACAAAACAAAACAAAAGGAAAAAAAAAGGGGGCCAGGTGCCGTGGCTCACACCTGTAATCCCAGCACCTTGGGAGGCAGAGGCGGGCAGATAATGAGGTCCGGAGATCGAGACTATCCTGGCTAACACGGTGAAACCCCATCTATGCTAAAAATACAAAAAATTAGCTGGGTGTGGTGGCACACAACTGTAGTCCCAGCCACTCAGGAGGCTGAGGCAGGAGAATCGCTTGAACCTGGGAGGCGGAGGTTGCAGTGAGCCAAGATTGCACCACTGCACTCCAGCCTGGCGACAGAGCGAGACTCCATCTTAAAAAAAAAAAAAAGAAAGTTATTTTTGTAAAGACTATTCCTTGTTATGTGTGGTCACTGAAGTCTCTGTTGTATTAGCTTAGTGGTCAATGCCAGGAAAAAAAAAAAATGAAAGAACCAATCCTCCCATCCTGATCTTTGCAGTTGGAGTACTCTGAGTTGACTCAGCCAGGTCATCTGTAACTTTCTTAGTTTTTGAGTTCCTGTTAATACAGAACCTAAAGCTCAGTGTGAGGTGAAAGCCTAGGGTCTTGGGTTTTTCTGAGCATGTGTTGAGCCCTAGACATGTACGTAGTCTTCTAGATCTGTCTTGGCTTGCCCATGTGTTACTCATTGCCTCAGGCAGCTGCAGCTGGTACATGCCTCCAAATGCTTTCAACACAATCCACTGGGAGGCTGTTTCAGCCCTGAGGAAGTTGTGAAAGGTGAAAAAAAAAAAGGGAAAAAGTTGCCTCTGGCAGTTTTTGCCAGGTTAATTCTTGCTCTGGTGGGAGATAGGAGTTTTTGGAATTCCCTACACTGTCATGTTTTTGTAATGTCACTCCCTTGAGTGTATTTTTTGAGAAGAACTAAAGTTTGGTGAACAATGCAGCTGACTTGCCATGTCCACATCTGAAACCTTCATTTTCTTTCTTTCTTTTTTTTTTTTTTTTTTTTTTTGAGATAGGGTCTTGCTCTGTTGTTCAGGCTGGAGTACACTTGTACAATCATGGCTTACTGCGGCCTCGAACTCCTGGGTTCAAGGGATCCTCCTGCCTCAGCCTCCCAAGTAGCTGGGACTACAGGCACGTGCCACCATGCCTGGCTAATTTTTAGATTTTCTGTACAGAGAGGGTCTCACTTTGTTGCCCAGGCTGGTCTTCAACTCCTGGGTTCAAGCAATCCTTCCGCCTTGGCCTCCCAAAGTGCTGGGATTACCGGTGTGGCAGCCATTCATTTTCCTATACTTAATCTCTCCCACTCCTGGTTCTTTGGGTTAGCTCGTATAGTTTTATCACCCAAGCTAGAAGCCTGAGAATCATTCTAGACTCCTTCCGCTCTTACTTCCCGTATCTATCAGCTACCAAGACCTGTTGATTTTACATCTTAAATATTTCTTAAATTTATCCCCTCTTCTCCATTTATAATACTACAAACCTATATTGGAGCCCTATGATAGAGTGGCTTAGACTACTGTAATGGCCTTCTAAATTTTCTCCTTTATTCAAGTCTTGCTTTCTTTAAAGCTACTTGCCCTGTAGCCACCAAAATCATGTAACTTAGGCCATGACATTCATTTGCTTAGAAGTATTTCATGGTGGGCCACCCAGACACTGCATAGCTCTGGGTGTTTTGTAATTTGAGATGCACAGAGCCACCTGTGAAATGTTCTCACCAAAAACCTTTGAGTGAGAACCTAATCAAGCCTTTAGCTCTATTTTTTTTTTTTCTTGAGATGGAGTTTTGCTCTTCTTGCTCAGGCTGGAGTGCAATGGCGTGATCTCGGCTCACCATAACCTCTGCCCCATAGGTTCAAGTGATTCTCTTGCCTCAGCCTCCTGAGTAGCTGGCATTACAGGCATGCACCACCATGCCTGGGTAATTTTGTATTTTTAGTAGAGACAGAGGTTTCTCCATGTTGGTCAGGCTAGTCTCGAACTCCCGACCTCAGGTGATCCGCCTGCCTCAGCCTCCCAAAGTGCTGGGGTTACAGGCGTGAGCCACTGTGCCTGATTAGATCTAAATTTTAATTTATAGAAAATTGAAGGGACAGGCCAGGCACGGTGGCTCACACCTGTAATCCCAGCACTGTGGGAGGCCAAGGCAGGCGGATCATGAGGTCAGGAGATCGAGACCATCCTGGTTAACACGGTGAAACCCCGTCTCTACTAAAAATACAAAAAAAAATTAGCCAGGCATGGTGGCGGGCACTCATAGTCCCAGCTACTCGGGAGGCTGAGGCAGGAGAACGGTGTGAACCTGGGAGGCAGAGCTTGCAGTGAGCCGAGATAGCGCCACTGCATTCCAGCCTGGGTGACAGAGTGAGACTCTGTCTCAAAAAAAAAAAAAAGAAAAGAAAAAAAGAAAACGCAGGGGACAGAAGAACAAGTTAAATGATACCACGAGAAACCAGCCAACTCTAGAAGACATTCTACAGGCCAATTATCAAATGCAATGAATCTCATTTGGATCCTAACCTGAACAAACTAACTGCAGTACACATGTAAAGCTAATTTGAGATAATTAGTGGAACTGTGAAGTTGGTATGAGATATCAAAGACTTAAAATTTCAATTTTAGTTTTGTTAGTGGTCATAAAGGTAAGTGCTATATAAGAAAAAAAGGTTTTATGGGTGAAATGACATGCTGTCAGGGATTTGGATTTGCTTGAAAACACTATAGCAGTTTAAAAACAAGAAAGTGACGGCCGGGCGGGCGCGGTGGCTCACGCCTGTAATCCCAGTACTTTGGGAGGCTGAGGTGGGGGGATCACTTGAGGTCAGGAGTTCGAGACCAGCTTGGCCAACCACGGCCGACAAAGTAAAACCCCATCTCTACTAAAAATCCAAAAATTAGCTGGGCGTGGTAGCAGGCGCCTGTAATCCCAGCTACTCGGGAGGCTGAGGCAGTAGAGTCGCTTGAACCTGGGAGGCGGAGGTCGCAATGACCCGAGGCACTCTAACCTAGGTGACAGACGGAGACTCCGTCTCCAAAGGAAAAAAAAAAAAGACAGAAAGAAAGGGAGGGAGGATCACTCAAGCTCAGGAGGTCAAGGCTAAGGTTAGCTGTGATTGTGCCATTGTATTCCAGCCTGGATGACAGAATAAGACACTGTCTCAAGGCGAGAAAAAAAACGTTTTGACATCTGGCAGGATTCTGTTGCTCTTTGGTCCCAGAGGGGCTATATGATAAGGAAAGGCAAGTTGAAGCCCGTGGAGCACCCTCTCTCTAAAAAAAAAAACACATCACCAGATTCCTTTGGGCATCTTCTAGACTGGCACCACCATCAAAGACTTCTAAGATGCAGAGGCGATGATTCTTTCACATCTCTTTTTACTTCTCATTTGGCTTGTACAGAAGAATGGCTCTTGGAGGACAGTGTATTACTTTAAGCCTCAACAGATGCTGACTAAATGTGGCTGCTGTTTTAGATGTCATCTCTCACCAGAACAAACAGCCCCTGGCAACTGGTATGCTGCGAATGATTTGGAAAATGCTTTTCCTGTCTGTTCGATAATCAGAGAACACCAGCAGCCAGTGAGGACCTTGATTATGTCGTTCAATAGGATAACACACCGTTCTACTTGAACGACATGCAGATAGAACCTGGTGAACAGGAAGTAGCAGTTATGGTAGTATGTATTAATATGCTACATGAATGCCAGAAGGTTAGAGAGAGAAATCCCTTGAATGTAGGAATGTGTCATCTCTATGAAGTTCTGGTGGTCTGGAGGTCAGGCATGTATATCATGATATCCCTTCCAAAGCTAGGCTCATGACAGAAGCATCCTCTATCACTAAGGAAGAAGCCCAACATTTGGGAGGCTGTTTTTGATTTTTGGAATCAACATATATCACATTTGGATGTTCTGCTCTTATCCACTTACTGCTGATCTAAAAGGCTGCCAGGTTTAAATAGGACCCAGTGGTGGGCTATGTGTGGCAGACCAAGACGCTGAGCGGAACCAGTGCCAGGAACCGATAGGACAATCAGAATGAAGGCTGTGCTTTGTAAGTAATTCTCCTTCCAAGAAACATCTCACAGCCTGCTACTGAGTCCTGTAGTAGTCCAGATGCCTTATCACAGGGCTGCATTCCCTCCTGGAGGCCTGAGGAGAGAGTATGTTTGCTGCTCATTTGGGTTGTCTGCAGAATTCAGTTGAGGTTGTAGGACCGGGGTCTCTATTTTCTTGGTGGCTGTCAGCTGAGGGTTTTCCCAACTTCTACAGGCTACCTCAATCCTTGGCTCATGGCCACCTTCATCCATCTTCAAAGCCAGCAACAGGGGGGTCAAGTCCTTCTCACGTTTGTTTGACTCTTCGTCCCACACTAAGGACTTTCTGCTTTTAAGGATTTGTAATTAGACTGGGTCTACTCGGATAATCCAGATAACCTCCCCATCTCAAGGTCCTTAACCATACAACCAAGGGCAAATCACATGGGCCTCAGCCGCCTCATCTGTAAGAGAATAATGGTACCCACCTGTGCTGCATACTTGGGAAACTGCCCAAATTGCCATTGCCCACTTCATTTTCTGAGTACCAAACTCCTTCCATATCCTTCATATTTAAACTGGACATAAAGTCACCCAACTACAGGCTACATACGGTGCTTGCCTTGCCCACGTGACAATCTAGACCAATGCGATACGAGCGGAAGTGAGATATATGTATATAATTCCTGTATCACTTATAACATAAAGAAAAGCTGCCTGCTTGGCAAGTTGTCTATTTCCCACTTTCTTTGGGTTTGAGTGTAAATGTGGCCACAATCTAGTTACAATCATGCAGAAGAGAATATCACCTTCAGGGAAGGGTGAAGCAGTTAGACAATCTTCTCTTTTTTTTTTTTGAGTTGGAGTCTCGCTCTGTCGCCCAGGCTGTAGTGTTGTAGTGGTGCGATTTTGGCTCACTGCAACCTCTGCCTCCCTGGTTCAAGCAATTCTCTTGCCTTAGCCTCCCAAGTAGCTGGGACTACAGGTGCGTGCCCACCACTCCTGGATAATTTTATTTTTTATTTTTTGTAGAGATGAGGTTTTACCATATTGCCCAGGCTGGTCTCAAATTCGTGAGCTCAAGCGATCTACCTGCCTTAGCCTCCCAAAATGCCAGGATTACAGGCCTGAGCTACCCTGCCCGGCTGTGAGACAATCTCTGAATAACGTCAGGAGATAGATATGCACCCTCAGCTGCATGGTAAGGCTAGATTGTTATGAGAGAAGAGAAAGAGATTTCAGTATTACTTCGGTCATTGCATTCTTTTTTTCTTTTTTTTTTTGAGACGGAGTCTCGCTCTGTTGGCAGGCTGGAGTGCACTGGCGCAATCTTGGCTCACTGCAACCTCCGCCTCCCGGGTTCAACTAATTATCCTGCCTCAGCCTCCCGAGTAGCTGGGATTACAGGCAAGCGCCACCATACCCAGCTAATTTTTGTACTTTTAGTAGAGATGGGGTTTCACCATGTTGGCCAGGATGGTCTCAATCTCCTGACCTCGTGATCCGCCAGCCTCGGCCTCCCAAAGTGCTGGGATTACAGGCGTGAGCCACTGCGCCTGGCCTGCATTTTAATAAGTGAGTATTTGTAATGTGCTCAGCCACACAGTACTATACAAGTAATGGTTATTATTATCACAGGCGTATCATTTTGTATTCTGGAGGTGGGCAATTCTACTTAGGTCTCAGGCCAACAGTTTCCTATAACACAGACATAAGCAACACTAGTGCAGTCTAAGTTAATTAAAACGCGTTACTTGCTTATTTAGAAAATAAGGAAAAGGGGGACCATCATTTATTGAATTCACAGGTGCCAGGCATTTATATGTTAGTTTGTCTTCTGAAATAACTCCATGAGGCTGCAGAGATGAGGAAACAGAGGCTCAAGGGTTAGATTACTTCCCCAAGATCACTCCAGACTGGGGTGGCTCAAGCGTGTTCTTCCGACAACAGTATGCCCTCTCTACCAAAAAGCAGGTTAATGGGGAAGTTGAGAATCAGCCCATAGCCCCTCTGAATTCTGTTACTCACATAGAGGTACGGTACTTGATGTCGTCTTTTTCAGCCAGCTCTTCACAGGTGAGGCCATTATGTTCTTTCCAGAGTCCCTGACACTTCCTACAGGTTTCCTGGGGATAAAGGACAGACACAAAGACAACTCCTGGTGAGTGGACACCACAGAAGTTCCTGTTCAACAAAAGGGATATGAAATGAGCTTTACTTGGCTTGAATTCTTTCAGAGGATGCCTCTCCTTTTCAGGGGGGATATTTCTAAAGACATCTTTTAATAGAAGAGGTTAAGAGGTGGTAGGGCTAGGTGGCTGACGCCTGTAGTACCAGCACTTTGGAAGGCTGTGGCAGGCCAGGAGTTTGAGACCAGCCTGGGCAACAGAGTGAGACCCTGTCCCTTAAAAAAAAGACAAAGAGTTGGGGGAGGAGAGGGGAGTGGTAAGAATCATTAGAAGGACGCACAAGGAAAAATTTCTCTCCCTAGATCAAAAGGAAGTGTTGCTCCCATCACTTAATTTGCATAAGCCTTTCTAAAATGCTCTGGGCCATCTGAAAAAACCAAAGGAGACGGATCTTGGGTAATCTTGGGTTTTTAAAACACAGTAGCACGAGCTGCTTGGCAGGGCCTGTTTGGATCTCGTTAATCTCTGCAAAATCCCTGTGCCCACAAGCTGGCGTCCAAAACTCGCTTCTACTGGATTGAAGAATGGCCTACTTCAGTTCACCAGGGGCTCCTAAGGGAGACTTTCCTCCGTTGCTCATCACTCATCGGCATGGATGTCACCCTTAAAAGTTTCACTTCATATATAAACATGCATCTTAAATAATCACCACCTTTATTCTAGGATCCTTCATAGTTTATAAAATGCTTTCATATGTGCCAGAAACTATCCCACATCAGTAAGAATAATTTAAAGAGCCAGGCGCGGTGGCTCACACCTGTAATCCCAGGAATTTGGGAGGCCGAGGTGGGCGGATCACGAGGTCATGAGGTCAGGAGATTGAAACCATCCTGGCTAACACGGTGAAACCCTGTCTCTACTAAAAATACAAAAAAAAATTAGCTGGGCGTGGTGGCAGGCGCCTGTAGTCCCAGCCACTCAGGAGGCTGAAGCAGGAGAAAGGCGTGAACCCGGGAGGCGGAGCTTGCAGTGAGCCGAGATCGCGCCACTGCACTCCAGCCTGGGCGACAGAGCAAGACTCTGTCTCAAAAAAAAAAAAAAAAAAAAAAAAGAATTAAAAAAAAATGTTAATCCAATGATCACAGGCATTAAATGGAAATTATAACCCTAATAGGTTACAGTGAAGGAAAACATAGTGTTGTCAGTTTTAAGTGGGGCCCTGATCTAGTCTGGGGAGACAGTGAAGGCTTGAGGAAGTGAGGCCTGAGATCCAAAGGACGAGTCAACGATGAATAGGGCGGCGAAAACAGATCAACACTCCAGACAATGGGCAGCAAGAGAAGACTCTGGCAGGCAAAGCCGGGCATGTTCAGTTCCTATGGCTGGACTGCAGACAGTAAGCATGGCCCTGGAGGCCTGCACGCACCAGACCAGGCAAGGCCTTGAAGGGCATGATGAGCAGTTTTTTCTTTATCCTATGAGCACTAGGAAGCCCCCAAAAGGTGCCAAGTACGGAAGTAACACGATCAGGTATGTCTTTTAAAAAAAATCATTCTGGGTGGAAAACACTGGAGGGAGGAAAGAGTGAACGTGCAAAAGACAGAAGCTAGTAAAGCCACTCAGGAGAGAGGCCATGAAGGCCCAGACAAGGGTGGTGGGCAAGGACAGGTAGAAAAGGGGACTGACTTGAGAGCAAGGGAGGAAGTAAGACTGGTGGGTGTAGAGATGAGTCGCCGTGCCTGGCCCTTTTGTACATTCTGAATTTTATACTATATGTGTACTATCTAATAAAAAGAATTTAAAAAGGGAGAAAAATGGAACAGAATGCTGAGGGAGCTGAGAACCTGACCCTTCTGGTGGGATGTCGTAAAAAGCCTCAATCAGGGTGGGCATGGTGGCTCACACCTACAGGTGCCTCATTCCAGCACTTTGGGAGGCCAAGGCAGGCAAATCATTTGAGGTCAGAAGTTCGAGACCAGCCTGGCTAACATGGCGAAACCCCACCTCTAATAAAAATACAAAAATTAGTTGGGCGTGGTAGCTGGTGACTGTAATCCCAGCTACTTGGGAGGCTGAGGCAGGAGAATCACTTGAACCTGGCAGGTGGAGGCTGCAGTGGGCAGAGATGGCACCACTGCACTTTAGCCTGGGAAATACAGCCAGACTCCGCCTCAAAAAAAAAAAAAAAAAAAAAAAAAAAGGCTCAATCAATGGGCTAGGGTGGGTGGGGCAGAGAGGAGCTGACAGGACATACATTTAAACGCACTGCTTCCGAGGGATGCGGATATGCTCTGTTCCCTCACCTACATCCCATTCAGTAAACAAAGGTGATATATATTAGGGTGCCTAACTATTACCCACCGAAACATACAGCAGCACAAACCCATTTTTATAAGAAACAAACCCTGTGCCTGACTATTGCAGGAAGCTGGAGGACAAACAACAGCTGGAGAATAGATGAGCTGATGTTTGGCTCCTAACCTCTAAAACAATGCCAACCCAGCCCCTTCCAGGAGTAACAGCTTGAAAACAATACATGGCATTTAGATACTTTTTAGCATTCCTGGCAATTCCGTTATTAATTCATGGGTCTTCCTCATAAGGGAAGAAACCCCATTTTTGAGATGAGGCACAGGCCCACCAGGGCAAAATGACCTGGCCAGGCTGGAGCCAGGTGCATGTGAGGGCCACTGTGAGGCCCTCTGCTCTGCTCACCCTCTACGTCACAGTGCTTCTTCTGTAGGTGAACGTGTGGGTTTTCAGCCAGGGCGCTTCTTACTGAAGGGCCCGAGGGTCCCGGAGAACATATCTGAAACGTCTTTTGAAAAGACTGTAGCACTTTGGGAGGCCGAGGCGGAGGGATCACCTGAGGTCAGACATTAGAGACCAGCCTGGCCAACACGGAGAAACCCCATCTCTACTAAAAATACAAAAATTAGCTGGACGTGGTGGCAAATGCCTGTAATCCCAGCTGAGGCAATCCCTGTGAGGCTGAGGCAGGAGAATTGCTTGAACCTGGGGGGCGGAGGTTGCAGTGAGCAGAGATCGCACCACTGCACTCCAGCCTGGGCAACAGAGCAAGACTCCATCTCAAAAAAAGGGGGGACAAAAAAAGACAAGACCAGACCATGTAGCTAGATATGAAACCCACAATTAAAATAAGGCAAGCAAACACCAGGCTGGGGAGTTTAACATTTGGAGCTCTCTCTGTGTAGTGTCTTTAAAATGTACTCTCTCTTCTAAACAGTGTAAATTTTACTAAATTGTAATTTTCTCCTCTCAGGCACAGCTAGGCTTTGCTCCTAAACTCAGCAAATGCTTACGCATATTACGAAGAAACGCTCTTGAATGGTTTTTTTTTGAGCCAGGGTCTCACTCTGTCACCCTGGCTGGAGTGCTGTAGTGTGATCTCGGCTTACTGCAACCTCCACCTCCTGGGCTCAAGCGATCTCCCACCTCAGCCTCCTGGGTAGCTGAGACTACCAGTGATCATGCCTGTAATCCCAGCACTTTGGAAGGCTGAGGGGAGCGGATTACCTGAGGTCAGGAGTTTGAGACCAGCCTGGGCAACATGGTCAAACCCCATCTCTACTAAAAATACAAAAATTAGCCGGGCATGGTGGCGGGCTTCTGTAATCCCAGCTACTCTGGAAGCTGAGACAGGAGAATTGCTTGAACCCAGGAGGTGGAGGTTGCATTGAGCTGAGATGGTGCCACTGCACTCCAGCCTGGGCGGCAGAGCAAGATTCAGTCACAAACAAACAAACAAAGTGCTGGGATTACAGGTGTGAGCCACTGCGCCCAGACTCTTGCATGTTTAACATGATAACCACATTCTTCAATCTGTGGTTTACAAGAAAGCCCCAAAGGGCCATTTTGGAAGGCAAAGTACACTTTGACGAGTAACCTCAAAACATGAAGAACAGGGTATCGTGGCCATCGCGCGGGACCACACTTTCTATCCCCTTGTGCCTTTCCGACTGGGGGAAACCACGGAGTTCACCGTCATCCCAAATACAGTAAGCAGGCAAGCAGCTCCCGCCCTCTCAGGGGGGAAGGAGCATGCATGCTGGGTAGTTTGTTAACAAGTAGCCCGCCAGGCCACGTTCTTCACGTCATCATGGAGGTTGCTGGTTAAGTTTATGATGCCCTTTTGTCCTCAAAATACATTAAGGTGTTTTGGCTGTTCATGAGGTCTTCACTTTGCAATATAAAGAAAGCACTTCCGTCTTCCTTTATTCATTTTCTGCTGCCTGAATAATGATTAATGAATAAAGCAGAAGATTAAATTCAATTCCAGATGACCCTATCATGATGGGAGCTGAAATTTCTTCACATAAACAGCTTTCTCAAGAACCAGTAGACAAATGTATCCGGCCACCACCTCCTCCAAGCCCAGCAAGTGTGATAATAATCTTGAGACCTTTGGGTCTGTTGGCAAAGAATCCAAAAGAAAATCTGAGCCCACAGGCCAAAGTCACCGGGTTCTGTGTTTGTTTCCTTGCCTTCCTTGCAAAGCCACCTGGAAGGTGTCCGTCCCCATGCGTGCTAGATTTCAGTTGCTGACTTCCATCCAGCCTTGTCTCAGAAGCAGAACAAAGTACAAACTGCTCCCTTACTTTTAAATGGTTCCTACAGTGAAACCTGTCAACTCACTCTCTAGGGGGAGAGAAGTCACTGACATGCCACAGGGCATTACGCTGTTGCCAATCCAGAAGTAGCTTCAGAAATTTCAGCTCTCTGTTCTGTCACCTCAAAAAATGGTGAGACTGGGCCGGGTGCAGTGGCTCACACCTGTAATCCCAGCACTTTGGGAGGTGGAGGCAGGTGGATCACCTGAGGTTGGGAGTTCGAGACCAGCCTGACCAACAGGGAGAAACCCCATCTCTACTAAAAATACAAAATTAGCTGGGCGTGGTGGCGCATGCCTATAATCCCAGCTACTCAGGAGGCTGAGGCAGGAGAATAGCTTGAACCCAGGAGGTAGTGGTTGCGGTGAGCCGAAATCTTGCCATTGCACTCCAGCCTGGGCAACAAGAGTGAAATTCTGTCTAAAAAAAAAAAATAATAAAATAAAATGGTGAGACTATAAATCTCCAGCACTCTTGAGGTAAAAGGCCCACACACTTGACTATTCGCAAATGCTCAGCCAGGGACCACAGGACCGTGGGCTTCCAGGCCATCTGTGTCTTCTAGTTGTCAAAGATGCTGGTCCTCCCCACCCATACGCCCAAATGACATACAGAAGGCCAGAAAGACACTGATTTTAAGATGGAACCCCTTAAATCTCAGGAGTTTATGCTGCAACCCCTGAGAATCAATAAAGTTCAGCAAAGTCAAAGCTCAGGTAGATTCAGTGAACTTTCTTTCCTTTTACTAAGGGAATCCAAGAACCTCTATTTTTCCTAGGTCAAGAATGCACATAACAGCCGAAGAAGGCTTGGTCCTTGCCCTCAAGGAGTGCACTCTACTGAGAGAGTTACATATCGGGGCAAATCAAGCACAGCATAATGGGGGTTCAGTGTAATGTGCACGCACACACGGCAGGGGAGCATGCATGTGCATGCAGAGGAGAAAGAGGTGAGTCAGACAAGGATTCTTTGCGGAGCTGACATCTTCATGGGATTGACTACAGTAAGTGCCATGAGTAATCAGAACCTCCATGCAACCAATAAAGTGCTTCTCCTACTGGGATCTACGTCTTAGTGAAACGCTTTTCCAGCAATGACAGCCATTAAAGCCAAGTATCTGAACCTCAGAACCAGATGCTCAAACCAAACATTCCAACAATGAAACATAGTTCAAAAGATTCCTATTTTAATAAGCACAAAGTTTTCATCTCATTAAATAAAATTATTTTGGGCCGGGCACAGTGGCTCATGCCTGTAGTCTCAGCACTCTGGGAAGCCGATGTGGGCAGATCACGTAAGCCCAGGAGTTTGAGACCAGCCTGGCAAACATAGTGAGACCCCATCTCTACAAAAAATACAAAAATATAGCTGGCTGTGGTGGTATGTGCCTGTAGTCTCAGCTACTTGGGAGGCTGAGGGGGAGGATTTCTTGAGCCTGGGAGGTGGAGGTTGCAGTGAGCTATGATCAAGCTACTGCACTCCAGTCTGGGTGACAGAGAGAGACTGTCTCAAAAAAAAAAAAAAAAAAAAATTTTTTTAACTGACTTGAATAAAGCAGTATATTTTAAAGTATGATTTATTTCATTACACCCTTTTAAATTTTCTGTATCTGTGTATGTTTTGCCATGTTATGTTACAACAGTAGCACACATGTAACGTACAAATAAACACATACGCTGGGGGTGTCCTCTGCACAATTTTTCTGATACGGCAAGCAATAAAATTGTACATCTGCCGCTCTCAATACTGAAGCGCCATGGAGGAGGCCTGGAGAGTGCAGCAATGTGTCGGAGTTATGTTTCAGAATACTTCCATTAATTAGTGAGCTTGAGACCAAAGACAGAAAGATGGTTGAGAAGCAACTGGAAGAGTCTATGAAAGAGATGAGGGTGAGAGAGAAGCCTAGAAAGACTTCTAGGCTTCTGATGTAGGACACTAGCGAGATTGGTGGAAACATGAACTTAGATCAAGTGGTGCAGAATAAGATCTGAGTGACGGTGGGAGGCAGAGGCGAGTTTAGTTCCAGACCAGCTTACTTATTCACTCATTTATGTGCTCTTCCAGTATCTGCTGAATTTCTGTCATTTGTATGAGACACCGGAGATACAGCAATAAACAAGTTAGGCTCAGTTTCTATCTTCATGACATTTACGTTTTACTGAAAAACACAGATATTAACTGACACTAGGGGCCTAGTCAGAGGATGCGACATTTAAGCTGAGTCCTAAAGGAGGAGTCGGCCAGGTATGGGTACAGAGGGAAGAGCAAGGGTGAAGGCTTCAGGGCAGGAGAGGGTCCGTCTCATGCTGAGAAAGTCAGTATGGCTGGAGCCCAGTGGGGGAGAGTGGAGAATGGACCATGGTCACCCAGTAGGACTGAGGCTATAGGAAGGAGTTTGGAAAGCTAGGCTGACCAGGTGGGAAATGCAAGCATCTGGTTGACATTTCAAAAGATTCTTCTGGCTGCTACTGTTAAAGGGATGGTTTGCTGGGGTTGTAGGACCTTGCAGCACCCCCTTTCTAAACTAAGGCCAAGTAAATAACTTCTAGGGGAACAGGCTCGGAGTGTGGATTTGATTCTTGCTTAGATTTCCTCAACAGTCCTCCATAAATAAGGGCACAGCTTACTTCCTGAAACAAGGTGTGCCAACACCAAGCCTGGCAGGGGCAGGAAAGGCTAACCTGCGATGGGGCAATAGCAGCACACCTGTACTTTTTTTGTTAAGAAGAAGAGAACCACATTTTCTGATATGGCTTCAGAAAGGGACTTTATTACTATTCTTCTTAATATTTTAATTACATTCATTAATTTTTTTTTTTTTTTTTTTAGAGACAAGGTCTTGCTCTGTTGCCCAGGCTGGAGTGCAGTGGTGCCATTATAGCTCACTATAACCTTGACCTCCTGGGTGCAAGCAATTCTCCCGCCTCTATCTTCCGAGTAGCTCGGACTATGAACACGTGCCACCACAGCTAAATTTTGTTATTTTATTTGTACAGACAGGTATTGCTATGTTTCCCAGGGTGCTCTCAAATTTCTGGGCTCAAGCGATCTGCCCACCATGGCCTCCCAAACTGTTGGGATTATAAATATGAGCCACAGAGCCCGGCCCTGTTTTAAATTCTTTTTTTTTTTTTTTTTTTTTTTTTTTTTTTTTTTTTTTTTTTTTGAGATGGAGTCTCGCTTTGTCACCAGGCTAGAGTGCAGTGGCGCAATCTCGGCTCACTGCAAGCTCTGCCTCTTGGGTTCAAGTGATTCTCCCACCTCAGCCTCTCGAGTAGATGGGAATACAGGCGCCCGCGACCACACCTGGCTAATTTTTCTATTTTTAGTAGAGACAGGGTTTCACCATGTCGGCCAGGATGGTCTCCATCTCTTGACCTGGTGATCCACCCATCTCGGCCTCCCAAAGTGGTGGGATTACAGGCATGGAGCCCTGTTTTAATGATTGACTGAGACAGGGTCTCACTGTGTCACCCAGGTTGGAGTGTAGTGGCACAATCTTGGCTCACTGCAGTCGCGACCTCCCTGGCTCAAGCGATCCTCCCACCTCAGCCTCCCAAGTAGCTGGGACCACAGGTGTGCACCACCATGCCTGGCTAATTTTTTGTAGAGATGGGGTCTTGCCATGTTGCCCAGGCTGGTCTCAAACTCCTGGAGTCAAGCAATCCGCAAGCTTCAGCCTCCCAAAGTGCTGGGATTACTGATGTGAGCCACCATGCCTGGCCTGGGGAACATCTTTAACAGAGGTCTAAAACTCCTGCTTTTCACAGTACTAGCTCCATGCTCCTGAAGCCTTAGGTTTTTTTTTTTTTTTTTTTTTTTTTGAAACAGCATCTCGCTTTGTCACCCAGGCTGGAGTAAATTCCGACTCACTGCAACCTCCGCCTCCAGGGTTCAAGATTCTCATGCCTCAGTCTCCCAAGTAGCTGGAATTACAGGTATGCACCACCATGCCCGGCTAATTTTTGTATTTTTAGTAAAGACAGGGTTTCGCCACATTGACCAGGCTGGTCTTGAATTCCTGGCCTCAAGTGATCTGCCCACCTCGGCCTCCCAAAGTGCTGGGATTACAGGCATGAGCCACTGCGCCCAGCCCCTGCAGGCTGTTTTTCGAAGGGATTGGGTCTCACTCTATTGCCCAGTCAGTGGCGCCAGCATAGCTCATGGCGGTCTCCTCAGTAGCCTGAACTTACAGGTGTGCGCCACCATGCCCAGCTTGTAGGCTTAGGTTTTTTGTTAAAGAAATAAATGAGACCTGCTAGGACTGAAAACTTACACATCTTCACAAAGGGTGCTTTGCATACACATCTCAATCTTCACAGCAACTCTACAGGGAAGTACTGGAGAATTATTCCCATTTTTAAAAAAGTAAATACGGCTGGGCATGGTGGTTCACTCTTGTAATCCAAGCATTTTGGGAGGCCGAGTAGGGTGGATCACTTAAGGTCAGGAGTTTGAGACCAGCCTGGCCAACATGGTGACATCTCGTCTCTACAAAAAATACAAAAATTAGCCAGGCGTGGTGGTGCAAGTCTATAATCCCAGCTACTTGGGAGGCTGAGGCATGAGAATCGTTCGAACCTGGGAGGCAGAGGTTGCAGTGAGCTGAGATTGTGCCACTACACTCCAGCCTGGGCGAGACAATGAGACTCTGCTCAAACAAAAACAAAAACAAAAAAGGTAAGAGAAAAAGAAGGCTCAGAGGGTCCAATTAATTTGGTCGAGGTCACAGAGCTTTAGACATGAGTCTGTCTGATCCCAAATCCACTTGCTCTTACTCTAGTCCCACTGTGTGCCCACATGGCGTTTGCTAGCGAAAGCAGGTCACTGTTTACTGGAGAACCCAAGGGCACGTGGCTATGAGACAAGCTGAGGTTACAATGGCATCTTGTGTGAGAAGACCACAGAGGAACAATCAGCAAATCTGGGTGTGAGCATCAGGGCATCAAAGGCATGGCCGTGCAGCTGCAGCTGTGCAGGATGTCTGCTTCCTGGAGAGCTGCGAATGGCTCAGTAAGAGGCAGGATGGGATGGAATCAGACCTGAGGATACCCTTTCTTACTGGTAACGATAGGAACCTGCTAATCACAGGGTGATCTCAGACTGGACACGTGTGAGGAAGTAGCTGTTCCTGCCACCTTTGGGCAGTTGCATGTCTGGCGGTATAGCAAAAGGAAGTCCATTTTTAGATTTCCATTACCGCATAAACAGAGATAGGCTCCATGAAAGTGTTCCATAGTCACTCCCTCAACCAGCCCCTGGACGCTTACTTGTAAATACTTGCCACTTACCTCCTCAAAGGTGGCCAGGATCAGGGCATTAAGATTTGGTAATGGCATTGCTTGAGATTATCACCATCACTGAAACTGCTCTGGGTCGGTTTTGTTCAGAGCAATGCAGGTAACAGAGACAGTTTCTGCACTGAAAGGAATGAAGACACTCTCATGTTCCCACCCTTGCCCCTTCCACCAGTGCCACTGAGAGCCTTCCATCAGTGCCGCTGAGAGCCTTCCATCAGTGCCAGAGAGAGGGATCGGTATAAAACGAAGCCCTTGTCCTCTTAGAGTCTACTCACAAACAGATAACTGTATACTCTGAGGAAGATGGTGAGTACCTCAGAGGAAACTAAAGCCAGGTAGGGGGCAGGCAGTGTGAACAGGGAGGGTGCCATCTGACACTGGTTTGTCAGGGAAGGCTTGTGTAGAGCTGGCACTTCTGCTTGAGCCTGAAGGCTATCTGGTAGAGAAGCGTTCCAGGTACAGGGAATGCAAGCAGGACAGTAGACGGAGCTGGGACAGGACAGAGCGCTCAGAGAATCCAGCACCCACACCCCCTATGCCCTCAATGGCACAACATTTTGCCTAAGAATATCTCTTCTCCTCTGGCAACACCTACTCACCAGTTCTCCTTTCAAATACCAGTGGCTTGGGAAACCCAAATGACCCGGGAAGAGCTGGCACTTGCTCACTGGGCTCCCACAGCACTTAGCTTATGCGTTGTTACTGCACTTTTAGTGGCGTCTTGTAATTATCTGATTATGTCACATCTTTTCCAAATGCCAGGCGCTCCTTGCGGCAAAGATGACGTCCTGCTGGTCACTATGGACAGGCTTGGCATGGAGGGCTCAATTCATCCAATAAAAAAAAGTTCACTTGGCCAGGCATGGTGGCTTACGCCTGTAATCCCAGCACTTTGGGAGGCCGAGGCAGGTGGATCATGACGTCAGGAGATCGAGACCATCCTGGCTAACACGGTGAAACCCCCGTCTCTACTAAAAACACAAAAACAAATTAGCCAGGTGTGGTGGCGTTCGCCTGTAGTCCCAGCTACTCGGGAGGCTGAGGCAGGAGAATGGCCTGAACCCGGGAGGCGGAGCTTGCAGTGAGCTGAGATTGCGCCACTGCACTCCAGTCTGGGCGACACAGCGAGACTCCACCTCAGGAAAAAAAAAAAAAAAAAAAAAAGTTCACTTGAGGCCGGGCACAGTGGTTCGTGCCTGTAATCGCAGCACTTTGGGAGGCTGAGGCGGGCAGGTCACGAGGTCAGGAGTTCGAGACCAGCCTGGCCAACATAGTGAACCCTGTCTCTACTAAAAATACAAAAATTAGCCGGGTGTGGTGGCGCACGCCTGTAGTCCCAGCTACTCAGGAGGCTGAGACAGAAGAATCACTTGAACCCAGAAGGCAGAGGGTGCAATGAGCCGAGATCCTGCCACTGTACTCCAGCCTGGGCGACAGAGAGGGAGTCCGTCTCAAAAAAACAAAACAAAACAAAAAAACCCCAAAACAAAAAAAAAGTTCACTTGAGTGCCTATTCTGTGCCACATGGAGATGCGATGGAGATGAAGCCTGGAGAATTCCTGACCTGGAGGGGCTCGTAATCAACCACCGTACATCTCAGGTATCTTTGGATTTCTAGGGCCTAGCACTAGATTTGAGCGGCACAAGGTGCTGAATGTCTGAGCTGGAGGCTGGCAAGACAAAGCACATCTTCTCCATGCAGAGAGTTGTTTTTTTGTACTTTCCATGGGCAAAAAAAGCGTATCTATCTCCTCTCTGAAAGAACATTATTTCCTCCCTATTGGGTCTTATTTATAATTATGCCAAGTATTTTATGAGAAAATGAAATTATTAATATATACGACCCTTTCAGGTTAATTCATTACAGCTTCAGCCTTAAGGATGAGTTACTGTCCTTCCTTTCTTTGCTCCCTAATGTCTTTCCCCAATTTAATGAGTTAAACTACAAACAGCAGTTATTACCAAGCAGCTAATGACCAAATGCTTGCAGATGGTGTGAGAAAGTACTGCATATGTTTCAATTAGGATGTTCTTTGTTGATTTTCTCCTGTAGTTTCAAGACATGGAAGTTGATCTCTCTTCAATCAGGATAAAAGGAGCTCACAAACAGTAGACCCTGAAAATGTGTGCCCAAGAGAACTTCTGGTTTAGAGGGGTCAGGACTGGAAATGCGCATTCTGCCTGTGTCCCAGCCTGGCTCTCCCCAACACCCCCAGGGGCTGTGGAAGGCCAGTTGCCGCCCAAGGGTAGGCTGCACGCTTCCCCCACTGGCCAGCATTCTCCTCTGCACTCCCAGAAACAAGATAATCCAAACTGCCTGGGTCCAGTTCTTAAAGGACACACAAAATTCTTTTTTTTCTTTTTTCTTGAGATGAAGTTTTGCTCTTGTTGCCCAGGCTGGAGTGCAATGGCACAATCTTGGCTCACCGCAACCTCCACCTCCCAGGTTCAAGCAATTCTTCCTGCCACAGCCTCCCAAGTAGCTGGGATTACAGGCGCCCGCCACCAGGCCTGGCTAATTTTTGTATTTTTTAGGAGAGACTGGGTTTCACCACGTTGGCCAGGCTGGTCTTGAACTCCTGACCTCAGGTGATCTGCCCGCCTCGGCCTCCCAAAGTGCTGCGATTACAGGCACGAACCACCGCACCCAGCCAGGACACACAAAATTCTAACATGAATTCTTCTAACAGTGTCTTGTAATGATCTGATTATGTCACATCTAAGAAGCCAAGCTCACCATGCAGGGGATTCCTCTCTATCCTCAAAGTACAGTAAATCATCTCTCAAAGGAAGGAGAACCTTTACATTTCCAAATGCAGAAATTCAAATCTGGGAGTGGCCAAGTGAGAGCTCTGGGAACCATTACAAAGCCTCCCCCACCTCACTCCCTAGTCCTGAGGAAAGGGCTTCTTTGGGGAAGATTTCATGTTGTTCTTAAATATTTTTTGTTTTCATACACACCTCACCTACCATTTCTATGTACAGAACCAGGCTTTGAAAAAAGAAATCTTGAAGTGTTATTTCTGTGGATTAGAAAAGTTCTTTCCCTGAGCCACCAGGATTAGGTGACAAATTGGAATAGAAGCTTTATATGTGGTTTCTGTGCTAATGCTGCCCCCTAGGGATGGAAAGTTACAAGGCACCGAGACACCAGCTTGACTGCTCTGGGAGAGACCACACATAGCTGCCGGCTTTTTACTATACTATGGGGACCAGGGCTTCGAGGACAGAGTGGGAGGGTAAAGTCTTTCTGGAATAAATCAAAGTTCAATTTTATCTTTATCATAGTAACTACAAACAAAACTACCAATTCCCTTAGTTACTCAAATACAGACGACTGTTTCTCTCGAATGGCTGTTTAACAGAATCACCGAGACTATATCAGCAACGCCTAGGCAATGGCATCATGTGGACATTTATATAAAAATTCCAAGACCAAGGCCGGGCGCGGTAGCTCACATCTGTAATCCCAGCACTTTGGGAGGCCGAGACAGGCGGATCCCGAGGTCAGGAGATCGAGACGATCCTGGCTAACACGGTGAAACCCCGTTTCTACTAAAAATACAAAAAAATTAGCCGGGCGTGGTGGCGGGCGCCTGTAGTCCCAGCTACTCGGGAGGCTGAGGCAGGAGAATGGCGTGAACCTGGGAGGCAGAGCTTGCAGTGAGTGGAGATCACGCCACTGCACTCCAGCCTGGGCGACAGAGTGAGACTCCGTCTCAAAAAAAAAAAAAAAAAAAATCCGAAACCAGTATGTGAGCTCCTACTAAGGACTATGGGTCCTGCTCTGCAGTGGGGACACACATTAAGTGTAATATACAGTTAAGACATGATTGTAAGTGCTGAGGAGAAAAAAATAAAGGAAGAATGCACTGGGGTGGAGAGGGGGAAATAGTTCACGATTATAAACTGGTGGTCAGGGAAGGCCTCTCTGCGAAGGTGCATGTAAGTGAAGACTTAAGAAAGGCGAGGGAGAGAGTCTGGTGCTATCTGGGGGAAAGAATTCCAGGCACCAGGAACAGGGAGGAGCAGGGTGGGCAGAGCTGTAAGGTGGAGAGGAGGGTTGGGTTTGCAGGCTGCCTGGGGCCTGAGCCCAGAGTAAACAGATGCTGAAGAAGAGCCTCTGCAATGGCTGTGCATGAGGTTGATTCCCAAAGAACCCCACCTGCAGGGATCCCTTTCACGGGGAGCTCTCAAGCCTTCTGAGCTGCGCCTCTGAAGGTGGGGCCTCTCCCGCCTTCCTGCCGAGCTTCTCACAGCCTGGAAAGGGCAGGAGGGGAGGCTGTGACTAAGCCCCTTCCAAAGGATTTGCTCCCCATAGATGCTCCATACAATACAGGTTGTGGAACCGAAGTTACTACAGCAATGACTTTTTTTTTTTTTTTTTTGAGACAGGGTCTCATTCTGTCACCCAGGCTGGGGTGCAGTCAGTGGTGCCATCATAGCTCACTGGGCTCAAGCCTGGGCTCAAGTGATCCTGCCCCCTCAGTGCCCAGAGTAGCTGTGACCACAGGCACATGCCACCATACCTGGCTAATTTTTTGTACAGACCAGGTCTTGCTATGTTGCTCAGACTGGTCTCAAACTCCTGGGCTCAAAGGATGCACCCGCCTCGGCCTCCCATATGCTGGGATTACAGTTGTGAGGCACTGTGCCTGGCCAGCCATGACTTTTAAACTATAAACTGTGGCCCTATGGTGGGTTGTAAAGTCACTTCAGTAGATTATGACTAGTGGATTTAAAGTTAGAACAAAAATACTAGGGCACATTCCATGTGTCAAGTATTTGTTTTATAAAACTGTTTCTGTTCCACCTATATTTATTTATGTTTGGATGAAGCTTATGGTAATTTATATTTCTTACTATAGGTCACAAACAAAAAAGTTTAAAAGCCATTAATTTAGAATTCATTCAGAATTAAAGTTTCTTTAAAAAGGCACCAAAAGGCTCATTCTCACAATAGGAAGTCCCAAGGATCACTGCCAGGAACTGAAAACCAGCCCCATCTCTAGTTACCCTGGAGGTGACTCTGCTGATAAGGAACAATGCCCGGGAACCAGGGGAACCCCCCAGCCTTCTCCATCCTGCAGGAGCAGGGCCATGCATAGGAAGCAGATCTAATCATTTCAAACTGTCAAATAGAAACACTGTTATCACTTGGGCAGAAACAAGCCAGGCTGACCTTGTCTTTGCTCACTGCTTGGGCTACCTCTGGGCTTCCCAGGGTTTTGCTGGGAATCTTGGCCTGGCAGGAACAGCCAGCAAAACCAGCTCCTGCCTGCTGGAACTCCACTGTCAGCATGCCCTGGAAGAGAGGCTGCAGATTCCAGGAAGCCTCCTTCCAGGTAGGACAAAGACCATCTTGACACTCCTCCTCATGCCCAGGCTGACAACAGCTGGACTTAAAGTCACTGGATCAGATTGGGGAAAGGAGCCACTGGGGTCTGGGCATGGGATGGGAAGGAGGAAGTCGAGGCTTCATCCTGAGTCATTCAGCAGAAGTGCTGGTTCCAGGGTACAGCGCAGCTTCAAGCTGAGCAGGTAACTTCGCGTTGGTATTTTAGGGCGCTGTGTAAAGATGGCAGTAATTCATGTATCCAGGGACAGAAGAATACAAAGCTGTCTGAACTTGGGGTTGACAATACCCCTTTGTGGATATCAGACAGGACATCTTGCAAGGTACTGTTTATATAGCAGGCATAGAAAAGCGGCTGCCCCTGGTAGTTTTTCACATTCTCATAAAAATCAAATCCCTTCTCAGAGTAAATAGCAAAGCGGACTTTTTTTTTTTTTTTTGAGATGGAGTCTCGCTCCGTTGGCCCCGGCTGGAGTGCAGTGGCGCAATCTTGGCTCACTGCAAGCTCCGCCTCCCAGGTTCACACCATTCTCCTGCCTCAGCCTCCCGAGTAGTTGGGACTATAGGCACCCACCACCACGCCCGGCTAATGTTTTGTATTTTTAGTAGAGACGGGGTTTCACCGTGTTAGCCAGGATGGTCTTGATTTCCTGACCTCGTGATCTGCCCGCCTCGGCCTCCCAAAGTGCTGGGATTACAGATGTGAGCCACCGTGCCAGGCCACAAAGCGGACTTTTAATCTTTCCCTCCTTGCTAGTGAAATGTGACAAAAAGGGAAGCCTCTCATGGGGACAGGAGATATGAACTGAGGATGAGGGTCAAAGGAGGGAGGAAAAAAGGGTCAACTCGACACAGAAGAATGATAAAAAGTATAGGTGGGAGACACCCAGAGTGGAGGGCTCAGAAGCAGGGCCAGAGATCCCAGTCCCGAGGAAGAACGCTGTTAGGAAGTAGCCGGGGTCTGCTGTTGCCTGCCCTTCCAGGGCTTCATGCCCTTCATTCTCCTGGTTCACAAGATTTGGGCGTTCTAGTCACGGTGTATCTTCCCCATATCTTTACTACGGGAAATAGTAAAACACTATCTAGTTAGCATACTATCCACCTGATGCCTCTAGATGTGACTACTTTCACACCTTCACTCATCCCCACAGGGCTCTTATCCAGCCGAAATCTAGTCATCTCCCCCAGGAATATGAGCAGGAGCATAAGTGATTTTTAGTTCTGTGGACCTAATATTATAAAGAGCATTAGAGAGTATTTCAACGCAGGCAGGTGGCTACAGATGGCCCCCCTTGGTGGAAACTATCCCACCCAGTCCCGTGCTATGCAGGATGGGCAGGACTGTCTGCACCTGCCAGCCTGAGAGGAATATGGGCGGTCGGGCTCCAGCTATACCTACTAAGCAGAGTTGCATCTGACAAGATCTCTGATTCCGACACATAGTAAAGTTGAGAAGCTCTGACCTCTTTTGATCCAGGTCTTGGTTTTGCTGATCCTCTGATACCTCTATTTAGAAAAGAAATGATGAGATCTTTAGAAGACCAATCTTTGCCACTGGCAATCACAGGGAGGCTGACACACTCATTATCCATTCTTTTCAGTGTGGCTGAAAAGACTGGCAGAGTTTACTCAATGCTTATGAAATCATCACTCCATCTTGCCTCAAGTGAAAGATTATATTGACAGATTTAGCAGTAAGAGACCAAAAGATGCTAGAGAGTGAGGTGAGGGGTCTGTTCATGCTTCTAAATCAAGACCTAAACTTTGTATCAAATCTGCCAGATATCACTGTTGAAACTGAGACTGTGTTGGCCAGGTGCAGTGGTTCACGCCTGTAATCCCAGCACTTTGGGAGGCCAAGGTGGGCGGATCACTTGAGGTCAGGAGTTTTGAGACCAGCCTGGCCAACATGGCAAAACCCCATCTACTAAAAATACAAAAATTAGTCCGACATGGTGTTGTGCACTTGTGATCCAAGCTACTCGGGAGGCCGAGGTAGGAGAATTGCTAGAATCTGGGAGGTGGAGATAACATCGAGCTGAGATCGCACCACTGCACTCCAGCCTGGGCAAGACTCCATCTCAAAAAAAAAGAAAGTAAGTGAGATTGTGGATGGTGCGTTTGGAAATCCTTTTTTTTTTTTTGAGATGGAGTCTCGCTCTGCCACCCATGCTGGAGTGCAGTGGCGCGATCTTGGCTCACTGCAACCTCTGCCTCCCAAGTTCGAGCAATTCTCCTGTCTCAGCCTCCCGATTAGCTGGGATTACAGGCACGCACCACCATGCCCAGCTATTTATTTATTTATTTATTTTTAGTAGAGACGGGGCTTCACCATGTTGGCCAGGCTGGTCTCAAACTCCTGACCTCAAGTGAGGCACCCGCCTCGGCCTCCCAAAGTGCTGGAATTACAGGCGTGAGCTACCGTGCCTGCCCTGGAAATCACTTTCATAAACAACCTGGATGTGAGACTTTCAGGATCCATTTCCTGCACATGCACTGCTCCCCTGAGATGACACATGCCTGACCACAGTGCTGCTGCCCGACTGCAGAGGACCCAGCCATGTGATAGTGGGCTCCTCTGATGTGCATAGAGGGGCTGCCAAAAGGAGACACCCAGAACTAGAGGAGAGTGCTGAACTGGTGGTTGGGTAAAAAAAGTCTTTTACTTCCTCTTTTTGCTTATTCTTGGATTTAAATTTTTGGTACAGTTAATCATGTATGAAACAAACCTTAGGAGATTCCATCATTTCACAGAAATGTTTATGAGCAAGAAATTAATGGTATGCCCCTCACCATTCTGACCCCAAAGCATGCTTAATCTCCACCCCTACTGCTTCATTAGTTTCTTCATGTCCGACAACCTAAGGTGACCTTTGGAAGCAAAAGTACAGCTAAGGTGGTGTAACTGGGTCTCGTAACACAGTATGTTGAAATGTGACTTCCCTCTCATCTTTGTTGAGTTGTGTTTTCAGCCTTAATCCATAGCCCAAATTCTCAGTTCCAGTTATGTGGCCTACCCGGGAGGAACTTGTAGTGGTGGCCATATAAGGAGGCCGTCTGTAGCCTTTTTCAGGGGTGAGGGTCCACCCTGGGAAGGCAGGACTCAAGGTCTTCCCAAGACGAACCACCATGCCTCTCCCTTCCCTAGGAGGCCTAGAGTGTTTTCTGTGAACTGCTTGGTTCCGGGGGAGCTGCCGGAGTGGCAGCCTGCTCTGATGTTGCTAATATCATTTGTTATAGCAACAAACGATACTTTTTTCTTTACAGAAACTGCTCTAAATAACACAGATGGACAACAGGATAAAACCTCACCAGAGGCAATATGCCTTTTGCCAGGCTCCCTAAGCTGTGCTCTAGTTAGGCTCAGCAACTGCTCCATGTGCCCATGTGAAGGCTGGAAATCCTGATGAACACAGAGGGGACCCAGCTGCTCATGCCTGAATAGACTTGCCTTTGGCTCATCTCTAAGCCCAGTGGTAACTGTTCCTGCTTTCTATTGTTTTCCCAACTGAATCACACGTGCTAAAAAGACACATCATTTATCTGTGGCTGTTATGAACTGAACTGTGTCTCCCTCAAATGCATATGTGAAGCCCTCAACTCTGACACCTTGGACAATGACTGTATTTGGAGACAGGGACTTTAAAGAGGTGATTATATTAAATGAGGCTGATGGGGTGAGCGCTATTCCAATCTGATAGCCTTATAAGAAGGACAGAGAGAGCCGGGCACGGTGGCTCACGCCTGTAATCCCAGTACTTTGGGAGGCCAAGGCGGGCGGATCAAGAGGTCAGCAGTTCGAGACCAGCCTGACCAACATGGTGAAACACCGTCTCTACTAAAAATACAAAAAAATCAGCTGGGCGCGGTGGCGGGCACCTGTAATCCCAGCTATTTGGAAGGCTGAGGCAGGAGAATCTCTTCAAACTGGAAGGCGGAGGTTGCAGTGAGCCGAGATTGTGCCACTGCACTCTAGCCTGAGCAAAGAGACCAAAACTCCGTCTCAAAAAAAAAAAAAAAAAAAAAAAAGGACAGAGAGAGACACCAGAGGAGTGCACAGAAAAGACCATGTGAGGACACAGCACGAAGACAGTCCTCTGCAAGCCAAGGAGAGGGGCCTCACAAGAAACGAAATCTGCTGACAACTTCATTTCAGATTTCTAGCTCCAAAACTGTAGGAAAACTGACAGCATATATAAGCCCCTAGTCTGGTATTTTGCTAAGGCAGCCGAGCTGACCAAGACAGTGGCCATTGATGACTATCAAGGAGTAGATGGCAGTGGATCAGAGAAGTTCCCGCCCCTTTGTGCACACGCTGTGCCCTCTGATCTTCTTCATACATGTTGGAGACGTTAAGTCCTGATTCTGGGAGACAGATGGAAAGCAGGCTGTAGAGACTGGGACTAAGTCCCAGAAAACCAAGAATGCCACCGATTTATTTTCCATCCAGAAGAGCACATGGCTTCCTGGAAGCAGCTGCCCCTAAATACATGTTTACTTTGGGGGAATGATAATCTTGTAGTTATATCAGTTACTTTGGTCTTTACTAATGTTTATATAAAAGGATCCCACTCTGCAAAAACGCCAAGTTGGAGAGTTATGTTTGTTAAATTTAATAACAAGAAGTGAAGCAACCAGACTTTAGAATGAAACTACACACACATGATGTAGTGCTTGTAGCATCAAGACAATTCGGAGTTTAACCCACTGATGAATTTCAACAGGAGATGGACTTTGAATTGATGTTCTGAGAATAAAAAGAGGTTTCCAGAATTCATAAAACACATGTTGAATTACATTTTTATCCACTTACATACATTCTCTTGCTGGTACCCGACGATAAAGACTCATCGCATAAATACTTATGTGATCACATAAGCACACTGGTGCTGGTATGGAGCATGAGTCTGGAACAGAGAAGGCCAGTGAGGAGGCTGCTGTGGTCTTCCTGGTGAGCAGCGCAAGGTAGAGGATGGATATGAGGGAGGACTCAAGATAGGATGCTGTAGAGCACTGGGAGGCGAGGAGCTGGGGCTTTCTAGGACACAGGGACACAGGCAGCACACTCCCAGGATAATGCTGAGGAGCCCTACTGGATTCTATCGTTTGACCAAGGGGGATGTCTTGAAATTGGAAAATGTACAAAAAAAGTACTGAGATGTCCTGGCTACAGCTCAGGATCTGCGGTTTATAGATGTATTGTGTCTTAACAAGAGACACGGGGCAGGGGCAGGGTGTATCCATCTCTCCATCGACTCAGGGTGGTGGGGGCCTATGTGCACGGTGTGGGCATTCCCACCACTCTCTGGACCTCCGGAGACCAATGTGTCCTCTACAACACCAAATGCCCCACCTGCGGGCAGTACCGCACTGGTCACCAGCACCACCCCAAGCGGGGGAAGTCAGTGGTTATTGAGATTCTTCTATGAAGCCACAAGGTGTACAGCATGGCCTCTCCCCGCCCACCTATCTACCCTGCCTGCTTACGGTAATTAGCGTGGCCCTGTCAGTGGAGCTGCTGTTCAAGAACAGGCTCGACAGAATGGAGTGGGCTGGAGATAGCTCTGTGGGAGAAAGCATCTACAAGAACAGGCAGGCAGGTGGGGGACTGGCCTGGTTTGCGAGAAGAGAAGAAGGGGCCAGACTAACAAGAGTGACAAAGGCTCTAGAAGCCACTGCAGGTTCCAACTGGGGGTGATGTGAAGAACAGCAAAGCTGACCTGTCACGTGGGGCAGTATGCAGGGAAGAGAGCAAGTTGCAGGATCAAGTGCAGGAGGCCAAGACCACAGCCCAGAATGAGGGTCTGCAAGGAATTTCTCCATTTGGCTAGATCTGGAGAATAAAACACCCCATATCATCACAGCAAATAAAAATATTAAGCCTGAGCAACACAGCATGACCTTGTCTCTACAAAAAAATTAAAAAATTAGCTGGGTGCAGTGGTGCGCACCTGTAATTCCAGCATTTTGGGAGGCTGAGGCAGGAGGATCACCTGAACCCAGGAGTTTGAGACCAGCCTAGGAAAGATAGAGAGACCTCCATCTCTCTCTTTCTCTCATTTTTTTTTTTTTTTTTTTGAGACAGAGTCTTGCTCTATCGCCCAGGCTGGTGTGCACTGGCATGATCTCTGCTCACTGCAACATCTGCCTCTTGGGCTCAAGTAATTCTCCTGCCTCAGCCTCTGAGTGGCTGAGATTACAGGTGTGCACCACCATGCCTGGATAATTTTCAATTTTTTTTTTTTTTACGACGGAGTCTTGCCTTGTCGCCCAGGCTGGAGTGCAATGGCGTTATCTCGGCTCACTGCAACCTCCGCCTCCTGGGTTCAAACGATTCTCCTGCCTCAGCCTCCTGAATAGCTGGGATTATAGGCACCCACCACCACGCCCAGCTAATTTTTGTATTTTTAGTAGAGACGGGGTTTCACCATGTTGGTCAGGCTGGTCTCACACTCCTGACCTCATGATCCACCCACCTCTGCCTCCCAAAGTGTTGGGATTACAAGCGTAAGCCACTGTGCCTAATTTTCAAATTTTTAGTACAGATGGGATTTCACCACATTGGCCATGCTAGTCTCAAACTCCTGACCTCATGATCCGCCTGCCTCAGCCTCCCAAAGTGCTAGGATTACAGGAGTGAGCCACTGCACCCAGCCCTACATCTCTTAAAAAAAAAAAAAGGCCAGGTGTGGTGGCACACACCTGTAGTCCCAGCTAATCGGGAGGCCAAGGTGGGAGGATCACTTAAGCCCAGGAGGTCGAGGCTGCAGTGACCTATGATCGCACCACTGCACTCCAGCCTGGGCAACAGAGACTCTGTTTCAAAACTAAACAAAACAAAACAAATGAAAAAAGTCAGCTGGGAATTCCTGGGGAGACTAGTCCAAAAAGAGGTGACACTCACTCATTTATAGTTGTGCAAAGCGGGGGGTCTTTAAAGCAAATGTGGCTCTAGGAGGCCGAGGTTGGCAGATCACCTGAGATCAGGAGTTCAAGACCAGCCTGACCAACATGGCAAAACCCCATCTCTACTAAAAAATACAAAAATTAGCTGGGCATAGTGGCACGCACCTGTAATCCCAGCTACTCGGGAGGCTGAGGCAAGAGAATTGCTTGAACCAGGGAGGTGGAGGTTGCAGTGAGCTGAGATCGCGCCACTGCACTCCAGCCTGGGCGACAGAGAGAGACTCTGTCTCAAAAAACAAACAAACAAACAATATATATATATAAAGCAAATGTCGGTACAGAATGGCAACTGCTGAAAAGCCAGCTTCATATGTAACTAAAGCAGAGCTCCCACAATTTAAAAGGTGAATTTTTTATTTTAAATAATGGCAGGGAACAATGTAGTGATTCTGGAACGCTCAAATAAGGTACCAACTACTAACAGTCTGTTGTATGCTAGTTACTATGCTGGGCACTTCACAGACATCACCTCATTCAATTCTTATCCCTCTGCACACACGCTAGGTTCTGCACAGACAAGAATTAGAAGCCCCAGAGGGGACAGGCTTTCCTGGGCCATATCCCAGGGGACAGGGGAGGTGTGACTTTGGCATGGTGTAGTGGCTCATGCCTGTAAATCCCAGCACTTTGGAACACTGAGGCAGGAAGATCACTTGAGGCCAGGAGTTTGAGACAAGCCTGGACAACAAAGCAAGACACCCTCTACGAAAAATAAATTTAAAAAAATTAGCTGAGTGTAGTGGTGCCCACTTACAGTCCCAGCTACTCAGGAGGCTGAGGCAGGGGGATTGCTTGAGCCCAGGAGGTCGGGCTGCAGTGAGCTAGGATCACATCACTGCGCTCCAGCCTGGGTGACAGAGCAAGACCCTCTCAAAACAAACAAACAAACAAACAAACGAACAAAGGAGCAAGGTCATGAAGCCTATAGCGCTAACTCTATTCAAATTCTTTTTTTTTTTTGAGGTGGAGTTTCGCTCTTGTTGCCCAGGCTGTAACGCAATGGTGCGATCTCAGCTCACTGAAACCTCCGCCTCCTGGGTTCAAGAGATTCTCCTGCCTCAGCCTCCTGAGTAGCTGGGATTACAGGCATGCACCACCATGCCTGGCTAATTTTGTATTTTTAGTAGAGACGGGGTTTCTCTATGTTGGTCAGGCTGGTCTTGAACTCCTGACCTCAGATGATCCGCCCACCTCAGCCTTCCAAAGTGCTGGGATTACAGGCGTGAGCTACTGCGCCTGGCCCTCTTCTTTTTTCTTTTTTTTTTTGAGACAGAGTCTTGCTCTGTTGCCCAGGCTAGAGTGCAACGCGATCTCGGCTCACTGTAACCTTCGTCTCCCAGGTTCAAGTGATTCTCGTCTCAGCCTTCCAAGTAGCTGGGACTACAGGCATATGCCACCAGGCCCGGCTAATTTTTTTGTATTTTTAGGAGAGATAGGGTTTTGCCATGTTGGTCAGGCTGATCTTGAACTCCTGGTCTCAAGTGATCGGCCCGCCTTGGCCTCCCAAAGTGGGAGGCATTGACCACCGCGGCCAGCCTCAAGTTCTTTCCATGCCAAAGAAATTTCTTTCTCTCCAGCTATATACCTTATAATTTTATGCAAACTTTTAACACAAAACAAAGCTGCCCTTAAAAGTGCTGACGGCAGTTGCAAAAAGTATGATTCTGAACCAAGTCAAGCCCCATCTGTGAGAACTGTCGCTGGGGAACCCCACCGAGCTGCACCTGCATTGAGTACTCAGGCCAAGCCAGTGGCCTCTGCTTCCTCACAGTCTCCCGTCCGTCCTGTCTGCCTGGCTGTGTGACCAACACAGCTCTCATGGGGCTCCTGGCACACAAAAGATACCTGGACATTAGAGGGGCACCACAGGGGAATACACACACAATTGGGAGGAGCAGCTTCCGGCTGAAAAGTCTGGGCCCCCTATGCCCCTATTCTTAAGGAATAATGGCATTTCCGGCCTAACAACTGGGAGAGAAAGAAAACTCCTAAACATACAGTGCAACCTGAGCCACGACACAGAAAAGCCACTGGACTCAGGTTCCAAGCACTTCCTCTCTGGTCATTGTCCCAGGCTAGATTCAAGGCTGGCCCTGGGTCTATGACCAGGTGTGCATCCAGCTGGGGCACTTCAAAATGGGACCAGTGAACACTGGACATAACCTCATCCAAGGCCCATTATTTCCCATAGGGAAGGGTTATTGTTCCTTAAAAGCCAAACCAAACCAAAACCCACCAACCACATGAAACGAACCTCGTAAGAGAACTAACTAGTGGCCTGACCTAAGAGAAATACCACTACAGACCACATACATCTCCCTTGTTTTTAGGGCACTCTGACGTATGGTTTACATAGTGTGGAAAACAGAAGTGATTTCATTTTCTAATGGCATTAATTCTAATTTGTCCAGGTGTTAATTTTAGAGCAAACACATGTGATTTAGAGACTGCTCAGCACGTGCTTCTGCAACATCAGCCAAGGAGTCGCTATCTGCTGTTGTCTTTTGCTTCTGGATGTTACATGCTCTACTGTATGGGTGGTCTGGGCAATGCCATCTGCGTTCACTAAAGGTGGGCACTAGGTAAATTATCTCCATTGTAAGACTGGACTACTAATCACAGAACCATATTCTTTTGGTTTTCTTGCCATTTTCTCAGGCTTTCCTCTATAAAAGGAAAACAAAAAGGAAAACTAGAAGAAAAAATGAAATAAAAGATCCAAGCCATATCGAAAGGCCACTTATATGGCTTCTGGTAAATTATAATAATGGCAAACCCTTACAAAGGGACCATCCTAAGCACTTTGGGCTTAACCATTTGTCTGTCTTTTATATTTGTGTTAGCATCCTCAGATTGGAAAGAACTGACTAAGAACAGGTCTGGAATTACCATTCAATCGCTATGAGAGTAGGTGAATCCCCTTCCAGTCCTGGCCTGACCTCATTCTCCACTTCCTGTGCAGAGTCCTGGGAGTGTTGCTCAGGAAATCCTAGGAATCAGAGTCTGCCCAAGGGGAAGGGTTGTCTATGCAGAGACCATTAGAGTAACTAAATCAGAATCCAGTAGAATCAGGGGAAGGAGGATACTGGAATGTAAGGGAGCTAGAAAAACAGCTCTTTGCTCTCTTCCAGGTTCCTGGTTTACATACACAGCCCCAGCCCTGTTATTACACACCCACACTCTTAACTGGAGCAGTAAGACCACAGTGATCTTTCCAGGGGGTAACCAGATTTTGCGACTGTTCTTGGTATTCTACCTTCTCCTACACACCTGTCTTCGTCTTGGTGGTACTGAGGTTTCCTCCCAGTTCAGAGATGTGCACTCCAATGCCTGACGCCCCACTGTGGAGCCAAAGGGCCCCGGCTACATAAATTTGCCAATACTCAGGCATGTGCCCAAATCTAGGTTTACTTCTGAGGCTCTGGGGCCCTCTGCTGACCGCCTGCTGTAACTTTTAGCTCCTCACCAGACCAATAAGAAAACCAGTCTGAAAAATCTTCCCATTTTACTGCCATCTACAAGACTTTCAATTATGTTCTCTGAGCTTCTGCAATGTCAATATATTACCTGCGTTTCATAAACAGGATCAGAAGAATGTTAAGGCTGACAGGCCCTGGGCAGGGAACTAACCATCGCCAAGGACTGACCTACGTTACCACCTCCCCAAGCGCAGAGAAAAATGAGATTCAGAGATTCATGCCACCTGGCGTCCCCACATGACCTGGTGGTCAGGAAAATGGCTCTGGGCCCGCCTGAGTAGTCCACCATGGCTACTTACTAAAGTGACCTCAGGTGAGTGACCTCACCTCTCCCAGCTTCAGCTTCCCTATCTATAAAAGGAGTGCTTATAAGGAGGCCGGCACTCGTAGTGACAAATATCAACTGCTGCTCTGCCATGGCTCCAGTCACAACTGTGCCTCCTGGGCCTGCTACCCTCCAAGCACGCTTCCAGGAAACCCTGCACTGTGAGAGCTACAGCAGTGGGACAAGCTGCAGAGGCTGCTCCTCACACAGAAGGTGACGGAGCAGATTTCTCGACTCCACTTCATCAGGGAAGACATGAGAGCTGGACTGGATAAATTAAGAGGCAAAGGTCTGCAGACAAGCTGAGGAGGCCGAGCTCCTAGAGAGGAAGTGGGGAGCATGGCTGGTTTATCAGTTGCTCTCCAATAACCCTGATCACACAGGGACTAGAAATGGCCTCAATAGAGCAAAGAGGAAATTTATGGGAGCCACAAGTGTAGAATATTTTAAAAGTTATTGAGTAAAGTTGTAAAATTTAAGAGTACAGAGATTAGATACAGTGGAATGAATAACAGCAGCAGCTACCATTTATTGAGTGCTTATGGATGAAACATCTTAGTTATCAAGTCATTTAATCCTCCTAACAGACTTTTCAGGAGGATCCTGTCACCCTCGGGTAGGGGTGGTGGTGGTGCGGTGGCGGGGGGGCGGTGCACACAGCTAACAAGTGGTGGGACAGGCATCTGAACATGGCCATGCTGCTCCAGCCAGCCCCTGCTAAAGGCACTGGACTAAGGGCCTGTTTGTCACCATCTAGTGACATATTTTGGGCAAATCCTTCAGCCCTAGAATGGTGCAGAACAGGGCAAGCTGTGGTCCGGCCAGCCTCACAAGGGGCTGGGTTGTGAGGATGCAGGCGCTGAGCGCACTGGTGCACACACACCGTAACAAGTGTAACGAGGCTGTTGGTGAGTCTGGGGGAATGCGGTGAAGCCTCTCAGCAGTAGGAGTGCTGACCAGAGTCCCTTGAGGGTCCTCCCTGCCTCACATTTCTGGAAGCCTAAGTGATCACCAGATGTGCAATTATTTGATAAGGCTTAGCTCCAGGCGCTATGACAACAGACACAAAATCAAAACCACTGAAATCGAGAGAATAGCCCTGTCATGGAATCTCCCATGGAATGTGCTACTGCAAGGAACAATTAAACAAAAAAAGAAAGGCAGGCACCACTGAGAGAAGAGCGTATCTGTGTGAGTGCCTGCATTTCTAACAACTGGCCCTGTGGGAATGAGCATCTTTAGACCCTCAGCAGGAGAGACTATCATGCTCCTCCAGGTCCCTCACCCGCCTTTCTGCTAAGCGGCCAGAGTCCCTGGGCAGGTGAGCCAGGCGGCTCCACAGTCGGCTTTAAGAAACACAATAGGGACCCTGTATGCACAGCGAGTCCCTTAGGGTCCTGGGAGTCTCTTGCTGGGATCATTACATCCTCAGTCCTCTGCTACCAGAATAATCATGTGACAAGCTAAATCTGATCATTTCACTACCCTGTTTAATGACCATGGATAGACTTCCTGCTGCAATCAGGAAGAAGTCCACGTTCTTCACACAAGGGACATCTCCCCCACGAGCTGGCCCTGAAGCTTCCAGCCTCCTCAGAGCTCGCCCTGGAAACACACGCTCCCCTCTACTTTAACACTCTGTGTCCTCTTCCGGAAGTCTCTTCATGCTCTAATGCAGCCTTCAAGGTCCAACAGGGAAGTGGTTCCTTTGTCCCCCGCCCTGCCCCCAGCTAGCTCTGTCATCATAGAATGCGATCCACTCCCCCAAGCCCAAGTCTCCTACCCGAGTCCTCCACGTGGTGGGCTTGTCAGCTCACTGGTTACTCAACACTTCTTTTTTTGTTGTTGTTGAGACGGAGTCTTGCCCTGTCGCCAGCCTGGAGAGCAGTGGTGCGATCTCGGCTCACTGCAATCTCTACCTCCCGGGTTCAAGCGATTCCCCTGCTTCAGCCTCCTGAGTAGCTGGGACTACAGGCGCGCACCACCATGCTCAGCTAATTTTTTTTGTATTTTACTAGAGACGGGGTTTCACCATGTTGGCCAGGATGGTCTCGATCTCCTGACCTTGTGATCTGCCCGACTCGGCCTCCCAAAGTGCTGGGATTACAGGTGTGAGCCACCGCGCCCAGCACTCAACACTTCTACTTGGATATCTAAAAGGCACCCCAGACAAAAGATGTCTGAAGCACCACTTCTGGCCCCTGGGCTCCCCTGTATCCCTGAAGGACACAGCCACCCACTGGCTGCTCATGCAACAAAACCCAATTCCTCCTTTCTCTTTACCCCCACTCATTCCAGCTTGTCCTTTCTGTTCCGCCTCCAAAATGCACCTCACATCTAACCCACTCCTATCTGGGTCCAAAACCCAGCCTAGATCCCCTCTGGCTGGGCCATGGCGGAGAGCCTGGACTTCAGGCCATCCCACCCCTCACTCCCTCTCATGCTGCTGCCTCCAGCCATACCCCGCAGATACCCCAGACCCTTCCCACACTGGGGTCTCAGCTCCTGTGTTCTTACCTCAACAGCTTGTCCCTGGCTCTTTGAACGCCTAGCCTCTTGCTTATAATTTGGACAAGTCCTGAATCGTTTGTGGTTCTTCAGAGACACTGAAGAGCCACCTGGGCCTTTAGCAGCACCCTAAATGTTTCTCATACTATGCCTAATGTAGGAACCTCCCTACCTCAGGAAATCCAAGCAATTACCTAGGGCCAGAATCTGAATTATCATCTGGTTTCATCTCCCATCATTTACCTGTTTTAGGAAAAAATACAAACTTTATTCTGAAAGAGAAAAGTCATCCTTGGCCCCAAACACGTCACATTTTATAGCTACACAGAAACAACTGTGGATTACCAAGTCCCCAGCAGCTTCTAAGCTTCTGGGAGGAAATCTGTAGCCCTGACCCAGTGTGCCTCCCTCTCTAGTTTATTCCAAGGGGTGTTCTCAAGCCTCTAGGGCTAGGCAGGACCTGTAGCACCAAGGACAGTGTCTTCCTCCTCCTTGATTAACCCTACCCACTGACCACACTGACAACCTTTCAATGTTGTTCTTGCTTAGGAAGTGTCAAGGACGAGTCCCATTCCTCAACTGGGGATAGTTTTCTGTCTGGTATGTTGGCCCAAGCCTCACTGGTTGCAACTTACCAGACCACACTGCGAAACCACACTGCTCAGCTTCAACACTCCGGCTTACTGACTGGCCATGGCATCTCATCAACAGCCATCCCTCAATCCTGACTACATAAACGGGAAACACCCAGAAAAGGAGGATAGGAGGTGAAAAGGCCAAATTCAAAAGCAAGTTCAACATGAAGACGGGATCTGTGTAGCCCCTAAGGGTGGTAACCCCCAGTGGTTTTCTAAAGAATGCTACAAAGATGACCATCTCCCTGTGCCACAGCAACCTTAGACAATGGGTCACAGCCCACTGGCACTCTGGCTCTGTGTGTGCCACTTCTGTGGCCGGCTGCTGCCTCTTCTCAGGGTGGGGATGATGGAGAAATGCTTGCAGACCTGTCCACTCAGCAGACACAGGCACCTGAGGCCATGCGGGCCCACGCTGCTAGGAAAAACCGTTGGCTTTCTTTCCCCTTTTCTAAATTGCAAAGTTGGCAGATTCTGTACCTACGTGCCAGCCCACACTGACTTTTTCTCAAATCTAGACTCCAAAAATCCCTATCTTGTTCTGAAATCCTTTGGAATCACCTCAGAGGCTACTTGACCAGGTTACCCTCACACCCGTCCCTCTAAAAGGGCAGCCATGGAGCACATGTTACTACTTAGCTTGGAGCAGCCAATCTCTGGCCTAAAGGAGAGATGACAGTTTTACTTTCATTTTTTTTCTTTTTTTTTTTTTTTGAGACAGTCTCACTCTGTTGCCCAGGCTGCAGTGCAGTGGCGCGGTCTTGTCTTACTGCAACCCCTGCTTCCTGGGTTCAAGCGATTCTCCTGCCTCAGCCACCCGAGTAGCTGGGACTACAGGTGCCCACCACCATGCCGGGCTATTTTTGTATTTTTAGTAGAGACAGGGTTTCAACATTTTGGCCAGGCTGATCTTGAACTCCTGACCTCAAATGATCCACCCACCTCAGCCTCCCAAAGGGCTGGGATATCGGCGTGAGCCTCTGCGCTCGGCTGACATTTTTACTTTTAAATAAGTAGCATGTAATAGAGTTAGAATAATCATGTGCAACACTTTTGGAAAGAAATTTGAAACTGTGCTCCAAGAGTCTTAAGCAAATGGATTCTCTTGGAATCAAGAGTCCTACTCTAGGGATCTATTCTAAGGAATAATTCTAAAAAAGAAAAAGCTTTACATATAAAGCTTTGCATTGCGTTAATGTAGCATCAAAACCAGAAAAAAATTCTACATTTCCAACTCAGGAGCAAGCATAGGTAAACCAACATAAATCTGTGTGATGGAATGACAACCTCCCATGACGGGGTCACAAACTCCTTAAGAATGCAGAAAGTGCTATGTCATGCTAAGTTAAAAAACAAAAAACAAAACCGCAGGGCACAACACTGTATGTATGCAATGATTATAATTATATGGTAAAAACAAACAAACAAACAAAAAACAGACACCAGACCACAAGCTAGAAATGCAGCATCACATGGTAGAAGGAATGAAGACAGGGCCAGTGGAATCTATGTAGCCCTTAGCAGCTCCTGGCCTCTTTGTTTATTCATTAAAAAAAAAGGGGAAACAAAAGACCTTGCTGGATTTTGTTTTATTTTTAAAGAGACAGGGTCTCTTGTCACCCAGGCTGGAGTGCAGTGGTACAATCCACAAGTTGGAGGCTCACTGCAGCTTCCAACTCTATTTTCCTGCAACAGTGCCCAGAGGTGTCTATATCTAAGTGGTGCTGCCAGACTGCTCACCACATCCTGAGGTGGGTCCCGTATCACCCCCATCCTCCATGTGGAGAGACCAAGGCCACAGGCACATAGCATCATGACTTAACCACCTCATCAGAACTCTCTGAACAGGTAAGATGTTCTCCAAGTTTTGTGATGGGAGAGAGGTGCCAGTTGCAATCCTGGCTCTACCCCTTTGAGTGCACACTTAACCTGGAGCCTCAGTGTCCTCATCAAGGAGAATGAGGACAATGTCAGCACCTTCCTCTCAGGGTTACTGTGAGGATTAGGAATTACAACTGTTTTTAAAGTGCTCAGCACAGCAGTAGATAATCAATGAGCCATACAATTATCATCAGTGTCTATGGATAAAACCTGTTAAAAGTGCAAGATAAGCCCAGCAGAATTTACAGCCTAGTTGCTATGGCCATCATTACAGAAAAAAGATAAACACCACATGAATTCTCCAGCCTGCACAGAGAATAGGGACGGGCATCACTTGTGTCTGGTGAGAAGGCTGGCTACTGCTAAGTTAAGGGCAAGATCCAGTAGGGGTCTTGTGGCGGGATGTGTGAAGACCAAGGCAGCAGCAAGTTGATTTGGTCTGGCAGTATCAGGTACTGGTCTGTGATGGTGGGACCAGTGTTTCCACAAGCTGGGCCTTCTTTTTTTTTTTTTTTTTTTTTTTTTTGAGATGGAGTCTCGCTCTGTCACCCAGGCTGGAGTGCAGTGGCGTGATCTTGGCTCACTGCAAGCTCCACCTTCCAGGTTCACGCCATTCTCCCACCTCAGCCTCCGGAGTAGTTAGGACTACAGGCACCCGCCACCACGCCCAGCTAATTTTTGTTTTTGTATTTTTAGTAGAGACGGGGTTTCACTGTGTTAGCCAGGATGGTCTCGATCTCCTGACCTCGTGACCCACCTGCCTTGGCCTCCCAAAGTCCTGGGATTACAGGTGCGAGCCACTGCGCCTGGCCCACAAGCTGGGCCTTCTAAGCCGAGCCTCTGCATTAAAACAAATGCTGATCTTTAGGCTCCTCTTGGAGTTTGTCAGCCCTGGCCTATTCCAGGAAGCACCAGCTGCTGGCTTCTCCTGGGCCTGGCCCCATGCAGTTCGATGTTCCCTGGGGTTGCTGGAAATCAAGTCTGGCTGATGTCAGGGGCAGTAAAGCCCATCCCATGTAGCCACGTAGCTTTCCCAGTTCCACTCAGGCTGTGGTGGCTGTCCCTTGCTAGTGAGAAAAAGGAACTTGACTGATACCTGAACAACACCCTAGCAGCAATTCCAGTGGGTGTTCAAGCAATGTCTTCTTCAAGGCACCTCACATATAGTTAGGAAAAACAAAACTTTACCTTTACAGAGTTCTTTCCTCTAGTAAACCAAATGACATGCCTCACATTTTTAAGGTGATGAAAAGAGAGGTCAGTAAAATTTTCCCCAAGAAGGAAAGGGTGCTTGGGAGTCCTGCATGGGGGGCTGGGGGTGGGGTGGGGTGTTAGTCTGTAGCTTTGTCACCCCACAGGCTTCAGGATGTGCAGGGGGTATCAGATTTGAGCAGTCTTTACACAGCATAGGTGGAGGGGTGAAGAGAGTGCCCAGGATTCTTGCTGATGGTGAGCCACGCTCTGGATGAAGGCAGCGTCTTGCCTGCCCTCAAGCCGCCATCTTGGGTCCTGGTGGCTCACTCTTTATTCTGCCTCTCTACCTCACTGGAGGCTCATGGCCTCCAGTGATTGGGCTGCCCATGTACAATGTCCACCACGGATGGGTGGGCATGGAGGTAGCTCCCCTGGCTGTGGTAGCTGGAGACAGTGAGCACGAACAAAACCATCTCCTCCTTTTTGCTCCAGAGCCTCTTGATCTCCTCCATCTTCAGAATTCCATGAATAAAACGTGATTAATGTCAGGAGGCCCCTTTCTGGGTCCATGCTCTGTTGGCCTGTGTTCTCTCCTCCTCCCCACAGAAGCCCTGGGATGGAAGCCAGGGTGTAAGGGAGGATTGTTGGGAGGGCAGGGCTATAGAAATTGTTCTGTTACTTTCCAAGACACTAAGGGATGCACACTAAACATTACAACTTTGAAAACAGCAAGCTACACGGTGAACTACATCAAGGCAAATTCTATTACTTTTTCCTCTTTCCTCAGCAAACTGAAAAGACAAAGCGGTGAGCTAAAAGTGAGAGGGGAGGGGGCATAGTGGAAAAGGAAGTAAAACACCAGAAGCCAACCTGACATCAGTCCTGGTCTCACCTCCTCTGCTCTCAAACTCCCAGCCACATGGCAAGTCACCAGCACTGCAGATGCCCATCTCAGTAGCTAAATCAAATTCATCTTGGGAAAAGAGCTTTAAATATTCAAAGCCCCATTAATCCTCATGCCTTGTAATTAAATATGTATGTTAAGAAGGCTGGACAAAAGCAAAACATTTTCAGTATGTGAATTCTTTATATTTGGAGCACTATAATGCATTTCTATGTACTGACCTTGTAGAAAACGATGTAAAAAATTCCGGCCGGGCGCGGTGGCTCACACCTGTAATCCCAGCAGTTTGGGAGGCTGAGGCGGACGGATCATCTGAGGTGAGGAGTTCGAGACTAGCATGGCCAACATGGTGAAACCCTGTCTCTACTAAAAATGCAAAAATTAGCCAGGCGTGGTGATGCACGTCTGTAATCCCAGCTATTCGGGAGGCTGAGGCAGGAGAATCGCTTGAATCCAGAAGGCAGAGGTTGCAGTGAGCCGAGATCATGCTGCTGCACTCCAGCCTGGGTTGACAGAGTATGACTCTGTTATTAAAAAAAAAAAAAAAAAAAAAAAATGGAGCGTGCTTCTCCAAACTCTCAAGAACACCACTGCTGCCACGTGGTTTCTGTGGGGGCTTCTGACACCTCTGTCAAAGAGCCCTTACCTGTTGCGGCCTCATTTGCTTCTCACAACCACCCTGAAGGGGGCTGGGACAGAAAACAGGATCCCCATTTCTCTGATGAGGAAAGTCAGAGTAAATGATGTGCGGACAGTCACACAGTGGTGGCTTAAGAGTCTGAATGTTATCTGTTCTCTGGTTAAGTGCTGCTTAACCATCAGTGCCTTTAGGAAAGCTGAGGCAGGGAAGCCAAATCTGTACAATGCACGCCAGTGTTCCTAAACTGATGTTCTAAATTGTGAGGCTCACTTAGAACTGCACTTGTCAACTATTTCTTTAAATACATGTGAGCTGGGTTTGGAAGATTTGTCAAACAAGCTTTCAAAGGTAGCGCTATTTGCGGCAATGACATATTACCTACAGAAGATCTTAAAACAGCGGTCCCCAACATTTTTGGTCCTAGGAACCAGTTTCGTGGAAGACTATTTTTCCACGGACAGGGCGTGGAGAGATGGCTTCAGGCATTAGACTCTCATAAGGAGTGTGCAACTCAGATCCCTTGCATGAGCAGTTCACAACAGGGTTCACGCTCCTGAGACTCTAATGCTGCTGCTGATCTGACAGGAGGCAGAGCTCAGGTCGTAATGCTCACTCACTGGCCCAGTGCTCACCTCCTGTGTGGCCTGGGGATGGGGACTGGGGATCCCTATCTTAAAAGATAAAAGCAGAGCCCTGATTATTCTAATTGGATTCATCACCACAGTCAAGTGAATGTTATAGAAACACCAGGTTCAAAATCAAAATCTAGAAATTAAAGGAAGACCAGGTACGGTGGCTCATGCCTGTAATCCCAGCACTCTGGGAGGTTGAGGTGGGCAGATCACCTGAGGTCAGGAGTTTGAGGCCAGCCTGGCCAACATGGTGAAACCCCATCTCTACTAAAAATACAAAAATAAACTGGGCATGGTGGCGGGCGCCTGTAATCTCAGCTACTTGGGAGGCTGAGGAGGGAGAATCACTTGAACCTGGGAGGCGGAGGTTGCAGTGAGCTGAGACTGCGTCACTGCTCCATCCTGGGCAACAAGAGTGAAACTCCACCTCAAAAAAAAAAAAAAAAAAAAGAAAAAGAAAAGAAAAGAAAGAAAAGAAATTAAGGGGACATGATGTGGGATTTTCAGAAACCAAAGAGTCCACTCACATCTACTTTTGGACAAAGATACTGTAGAAAGACTCTCATATTGGCACTTGTGGACCTAAATGACATCTTAAGTTTCTTCTAGTTCTAAAAGGCTGTGACAAGCCTCTCTGCCTGCCCCTTGTGAAATCCTGAGATTAACAGATCTCATTACAGAGGAGGAAACCAACACAGAGAAATTAAGTGCCCCCAAATGACCAGGAAATCAAGAATGACAGAAATGCCAGTGTCTTACTTTCCAAGCATCTAAGGAAGGAGAAGATAAGTGAATCCACTAGCATTTCCAAGGACCTAAGTTTAAAGGTGCTAAGAGTTTTGCAAACATCCCCTCCTTTAATCTTCAGACAACCCAGTGGGTGAGGCAGAGATCATGATCTCACCATTTTACAGATGAGGAAACCAAGTCACAAAGAGATACAAGGAAGATTATGTAGGTCGTGTCCAGAATCCCGGACTGTCATGCCACAGTTAACATCTTGCCATATTCTTTTTTCTGTTTTCCAGGAGGGAAAAACAGCCGTTTTGACAATTTTCACTTTGCTTGATGGAAGGAACTAGCGACCGCAAATGGAACCGAAGAGGTAATTAGAGCAGTAAATAAGCAGCAGCTATTCCTGCTCTATGTCCTGGATTCCCACAGTTGGCTGGTGGGGACACCAGGCTTTCACGCACAGAACTGTGTAAAACTGAAAGCATTTCAAAAATGATTAGTCTTCTTTCGATTACTTTTATATTGAGAGAAAAAGCAGAGTAGAAAGCTGTTAAAATGTAACTAGACAGTAAATTGAGCCAAGGTAAAACCTGTACATAAAAAAACAGACTCACATATCTGGAAATCATAAACAAGGGGCTGCTCTATTTCAGACAAACCGCATGTCAAAGGAAATTGCCCAGCTACACCTCTTTTCTATCCTAAAGCTTTTTAAAAAAATTTAAATGTTCGTATCTCTGTTGACACTAGTGAAAAGAAGAACACATACTGAATGTGCTAAGAAATACAGAAGTTATTATAAACAAAAAGCAAAAACTCCCCTCTTGTCAAGCCTTCCTGTAGCAGTTTGTGTTTCATGCTTAGGTTTTGAAGAAAAAAGTTAAAGGCGCATGTATTTACCAGCTTTATCCTTTACATTTATACAAAGTGAGCAGAAGGCTCACTCTGCGCACCTTACCTTGCTTTACACATCTGACAGTGTATCTTCTGGAGACTTCCTTATCCATACTTATTATCAGGCTTGTCTTATTTTTTTTTGGACTGGGATATCTGTAAAACTGTGGGTGACTTAGGATTGGGCAATTCTCAGTTTATTTAGCTTTCTTATTAGTGAAAGAGTTGCTCTTAATAATATGATACGAATTCCCAAATGATGATAACAGCTACTAACATTACTGTGCAAAGCACTGTGTTCTTCAATATAAAGTTTAAGTCTGAACTCAAATGTTGACTGAATGAGAGAAGCGGGAAAAATATTCACAAAACTAGGTAAAGGAAATACTCCTTTTTCTTCAAGTGGATCTGAGAAGCCTGGCATCTTACTTGGTTCTGCTGTGGCTTCCTCTCTCATAAAAGAACAGGCTGCCGATTCTGTGAAACAAAATGATATCCTATTATATGGCACCACCATCAGTGCCTTGTGAGCCAATATGCAGAACCAAAAGCACAGGAGGGAGGTGGAAGGGGGTCCTGGAGTGCAGCGCTAAGGGTCTGGGGAGGTGGATGCTTGACGGGGGCAAAGGGCAGGCCTGGCTCCAGAAGCTGATATGGCAGCATTTTGGCTAGTTTGTGAGGTATAGGAAAAGTGACAGAAGTTACGCTCAGTTTTTGTAACCATGACTCACTCCAAGACTTTCTCAACAATAACCATATTTGTAGTATTAAAAAAAAAAAAAAAAAGAAAGAAGAAGAAAAGTGAAAGGCAAAACATCCAAAGCCGAGGAGGCAGGGCGCCTAGAAACCCACATCCCTTCTGTTGTCAAGTGATCAATAATTTCCCACTTTCTGGAGGCCATTTTCTAAAAAAAAACAAAAAACAAAAAACCCTAGGCTTGTAGTCAAGTAGTTTTCCTTTTCTCTTGGACTTCCTACAAGTTTTTAAAGCATAAGAAATGTAGTTTTAGGGCTGTAATTACATGATAGACTTGAGTAAAATCATTTAGATATGCAGAGTTTAATAAATAGTACAAAGGCCAGGCATGGTGGCTCACGCCTGTAATCCTAGCACTTTGGGGAGGCCGAGGCAGGTGGATCACCTAAGGTTAGGAGTTCAAGACAAGCCTGGCCTGCGTGGCAAAATTCCGTCTCTACTAAAAATGCAAAAAAATTAGCTGGGTGTTATTCCAGCCACTTGGGAGGCTGAGGCAGGAGAATCACTTGAATCCAGGAGGCGGGGGGTTGCAGTGAGCCAAGATTGCGCCACTGCATTCCAGCCTGGGTGACTCTGTCTCAAACAAAAAAAAAAAAAGAACAGAAAAGAGAAGAGAAGAGGAGGGCAGGTAACCCCCCTTATTTGCCGAGTTCACCTGTATTATATTTTACTTACATCTTTAAAGGTTTTATGGCCAGGCGCGGTGGGTGGCTCATGCCTGTAATCCCAGCACTCTGGGAGGCTTAGGCGGGCGGATCACCTGAGGTCAGGAGTTTAAGACCAGCCTGGCCATGGTGAAACCCTGTCTCTACTAAAAATACAAAAAATTAGCCAGGCATGGTGGTGCACACCTGTAATCCCAGCTACTTGGGAGGCTGAGGCAGGAGAATCTCTTGCACACAGGAAGCGGAGGTTGCAGTGAGCCAAGATCGCGCCATTGCACTCTAGCCTGGGCAACAAGAGTGAAATTCCATCTCAAAAAAAAAAAAAAAAGATTTTAAAGATCCTTTTTACTTCCTGTTTCTCTAAAAGCATGGTTAGCAATGCTCAGAAGCTAGGTCAGTTTTGGTGACTGACTGCTTTGTTAAGGTTTCCCAGGTAGTATTAAAGACCTGGAATCTATCAGCTGCTGCCACAGAATGAAATTCTCCTCTCCCTGCACCATCTACCACTTAGACCAGGGGAGGAGGCGCCACCTTCACCTCCCCTAGAAACTTCAGCAGCTCCCATCAGCAGTGCTTTCCCTGTACATCTGCAAGCATCACATAACCCTAAATAGTAAGCAGGACTGGCACTGTTATCCCATTCTACAGAAGAGCAAACAGAAGTCCACAAAGGCAGTGGGAAGTGCCCAGGGCTAGTGAGAGGTAGAGTGAAGATCTCGCCCTTCTCTGCTGATGCTCCTGCAATACAGCCCACACTAGAGCTCATGCCCCGACAGCCTGCAGGGATGTACACACGCATGTTCTGCCAGGACAGCTCTGCCACACCAGCCTGACACTTAATAACACATACGCACATGTGTAAAATGTACACATTCATCATGGAATTGCGATTTGGGGGCTGAAGACAACCTACAGATGAGTCAACTTGGACCCTGTGGTTCAGGGCTTATCCAGCACACAGCCAGGAGAGGCTGAAGCTCCACCTCCACACACCCCCTGCAGCACCTTTTCTGCCTGTCGTCTCTTCCCAGCTCACACAGCCGTGCAAAGAACTCTGTTCTCACGGGTTGATCTGCCATGTTTTTAAGTTCCGACAGAAGCACACCCATTTCTCTAACCGTGTGTGTAGACGGTGAGCCTGGGTGATCAACGTGACAGCACTTCTGCTCATGCCAACAGGGTGCTCTGCCAGGTCTACCCATGGTGAAGGGGAGACAAGCCACCTGACACCTCGCCACTCGGGCCGACGGCAGCATTTGACTGCTAGGACACTGTCTTGTGACCCACTTTACTCACTGCTCCTTACTTCTCAGTTATAAGCAGTAATTAGTAATGTCAGTGTTCCTGTTCTGGCTGGATTGCTCCTGGCTGGATTGCTCCAGGCCCATTAATGATACAAGAGCAGGAACAGATGAATGCGTAAGTGTACAAGAGAGGTTTCAAGGTTAAAGGCAGTAATGGAGAGAGCTATGGTGGGGGTGGGGAAGGCAGTGCTGGTGTGTGTAGAAGAGAAGGGGAGAGGGGGAATGTGTGTGTGAGAAAAACAGAGTATGTGTGTTAGTTTTAAGTCTATTCTTTAAAATGCCCAGCTTCTCCTTAGGGGCAACATGTATGGCAAAGCACAACTTCTTAGCGTCCTCAATCAAGTGAAGTAGAATCTTCTATCTGGCATGGACACATGGTTCTGGCCACCCGGCAGGGAGTCCATCAGTACTAACTCTAGACACCGGAGAGTTACTAGTGTATGAAATTGAGGTCAGAGGAAACTACACCAATATCTTTCAAACATATTTTCGATGTTTTAAATAACTTCTCTTACAGAAGGCAATGTCTGCTTGTTCAGCAGAACTGCTACCTTCCCACTTAATGCTTTTACAGCGGAAGTCAAGACAAGTAATGAAAGACAGACCCCAGGGGCCGACAGTCAGGCCCTCCTACTCTAGTGGAAGAGATACAATACTTTATATTGTTACAATTGCCTCTGCATACCTACAAATCTCCATGTTTTCAAGGAGGGATTTCAAAAGGTATAATTTCCGACATTCCTACCCAGAGTTTTGCTGAAAAATAGAATGACAGCAAGTAAGCCCGCAAATCATGCCTGGAAAAGGCTTAGCACGGCTATTTGAAAAATATTTGCTTGGGAGCTGGAAGAGGGAACTATGAATCGAGGCTGGCAGCCAAATGGGAATTTTTTAGTTGTTTATATGTACACTGCCTTCTAAGCAGACAAGGATTTGCCACTAAGCCTTTTACTTGTTCCTCACATACCAAAAGCTAACTGTTACACATACTAGGAAAGTAACAACTTTATTTGCTGATTTCACAACCCAAAGCAGACATTTTTAAAAAGCGGTCATAGCAACGCCGGGTGAATCAGAACCCATCCTTGTTAGTCAGACATACTCTGTGGGAAAAGGCAGCAGTTGGAAACAGTCTTGAATTCTAACTACTAAAAGCCATACTAATTCCCGCGGGGCCCTGACTTCTGGTCCAAGGTTTCTCACTGGCTGTATCCTGTCCGACAGTGCCAGAGCTTGTGCTGCAAGCAGAGCCCGTGCAGAAGGCGAGCGAGGAGAAAGGCAGAGCTGCTCAGTTCCAGCTCCTTCCACACACCACAAAACGCCATCCCTCGCCTCCAGCCCGAGGCAAGGCACTCCTTTTTAGGTGGTAAAATAAGCCTTCCAACACACCAGAAGAAATAGCTTGGAGTTTGAAAATACACAAGCATATTTTAATAATCACATTTCTATTTTTCAAGTTCTCTTAATACAAACAAAACAAAAATTCTTTTGCTCATGTTCAGACATGACTAAGTTAATGACAATGGGTATACAATGTGACACATGCACACTCCTCCCTTAACCCTTGGTGAGCATCCTCAAAAGCGATTCACTGCTACCCATTTCTTATCTATCCTTCCAAATAGATTTTATGTCTGTGTCAGCAAGCATCTCTTCCTCCTCCCATTTAAGACACAATTGTGGGCATATTGCACCCATTGTTCTACGTCTTGCTTTTTTCACTTAATATCTTGGAGACAGCTCCATATTTGCACAACGGGATTCCACGTCATTCTTTTAAACGCTATGGTATATGCTACGGGTTGGCAAACTACAGCTCACTGGCCAATCTGGCCCTCTGCCAATTTTTGTAAATATAATTATACTGGGACACAGCCACATTCATTTGTTTACATATTGTCTGTGGTTACTTTCACGCTATAAAGGCAGAGTTAGGTAGCTGGGATAGATACCATATGGTCCGCAAAGCCTGAAATATTTACTACCTTGCCTTTTACAGAAAAAGTCTGCTGACCCCTGGTATGGATGTTTACAGAAAAAGTCTGCTGAACCTCAGTATGGATGCTGACCCCCCGGTATGGACCTCCACTGTACTGAGGTACCAAAATGTACTGAAATTGTTCCCTGCTGATGGGTATTGCATTGGATTTCCTTAAGAATAAAATTAAACTCCTTTAATGCTAAGAAGCTCCAAGACATTTGAGGAAGGAAAGAGCAGGAACTAGCTAGGAAGAAGCCGGCATGAAGAAGCCAAGCTTAAAGAGGGAACTTCAGAGCAAGCTACAACCTCCCCAAGTGTCAATTCCTCTTTTTAGAGGAAGTAAGAAGGGAACTGTAGGTCTTTTGATAAGAGGAAATTCCCCTTTGCTATATCAAAGCTGCTCCCTGTGCTTGTGTTGTTCTAAAGTTAGGCAAGACTGCCTGAAGCATACTGTGACCAAATTAGGAAGCAAGAAGGCTGATGTCTCTAAAGCTGGTCACCCATGGCCAGGCAGCCCAGGCATGCAAAGACAGAGATGGACGCGGGTAGAGACTCTCTGGCCAACAAGGAGATGCTATTTGCTTAAGAAATCAGCCTTAAAAATGACACAACGAAAATTAATAACTGTTCTATAAGATGGAATTCACTTGCTGTTGTTGACCAAAAAAACAAAGGCTTCCAACATTTCCACAAGCAAAGAACATGAGAGAAGCACAGTGAGACGAATGCTCCCAGGCATCATGGGTTTATTCCAAAGGCAGTAAAGGTCTTGGAAAGTGCCAAGGAAATTATACCACTTAGCTCTTTGATAGATCAAGATAGTCAGTTTTACACTATTGAGAAAAGAAGAATCCAGAAAGGTCTTACTAAAAAGGGCATTTTGTAAACTTTCCATTTTAGGACGGCCTACTCAATTTCTTTATTTGCTGGAACAGTTTTCAAACAAGTCTTTCAGCTTCAAAACAAGGTCTAGGTATGCAGTACTTGAATCATTCACACTGAGCTTGCTTCCGCCACTGCTACTCAATGATATTCTCTTTAAGGAATGACTTCTGAGTTAACTTTTGATTCAGATCCAATGAGCTCAGAATCTATTCTGACCACGAGCACTATCTGGGTAATAACATTTGACCTTGAAATCCCTGCTTTCCTCCAAAACTTCCAGATCAGCAAGATTCTTGGACACAATTTTTATTCCCTTGGCAATGTGCTTAGTTCAGTTCCAACATCTGCTATGAGATCAGACAGTCAGAATTAAGGTAAGTTTAAACGACAAAACAAATCTCAGTTCTTGTTTATAGGAAAACCTTCAAGGGCTCCAAGCCAAAGGATGAGGCCCACTTGTGGCGCAATTTGAGGACCTGCCTGCCCTGGAGCAGAGATGTGTATGGTGGCCATGCCCTTCAGCCTATGGAAAGTACATTCTCTGTAGCTGCGTAGCTTGTGTTGGGCTGGTCTCCTGGTCTGCCAGGGTGCACTGGGCAGAAATTTTACAGCCACTCTCTCAAAGTGTTCTAGGTGTTGTCAAAATAGCTAAGCATTTGTCTACTAACTACTCCTGTTTTGATTTTGAACATTTATTTATAATCATCTAAAGGACCCAAGCATTTTATAGAAAAGACAATATACTTTCCAAAGACCCTGGTTAACTGACATACAAATCCACCAACTAAGAACTGTATTTCTATTAGTTAAGGCTTCTGTGGCTCAACTTTAACTGAGCCAAAAAATACACTAATGGGCCAATGGGGACACAGATGGGTTAGGGAACTACCCCTGAACCCAAAGTTCATATATAGCCAAGAAGTTCAATGACTTCAAGCTACACGAAGTTAGCACTTAACCTATCCACGGTTCTTCATCTGTACAACAAGCATGTCTGGGTTATATGACCTCCTGGGTCCGGCTTATAAATCTAACATCTACAACTGCAAGTCAAGAGTACCAAATACCAATATACAAAACCACCTGCGCAGACCCAGTGCAGCAACTTGTACCAAGGTTTGAACCACACATTCACACGTCCAGCAGCCACAGAGACGAAAACGACACGCCAGCCTGTCCTGACCTCACACTCCCCAGTCTGAGGGCCCGGCAGAAGCGCCACATCGCCTTCCTCTCCTGTTTTTTCTTATGGCTGCTGCTGCCTCGGAGCCCGGACTAAGCAAGGCTGTTAGGCACGGGGTGAGCACGGTTGCGCCTACTGCTGAGAGTGCCTCTCCCTGCCGGTCTCCTGCTCTCTCTCTGCAGAGCAGAAGACACCGCAGCTATAGACAAGTTCTATTGCCCTTTTATGGTAGAAAAATGAATTGCTTGCTAGCAGTGGTGCCGAGAGAGATGACAGAATGGAAAGTTGTCATTTGTTGTGGTTTTGGCAGCCACAGAATAGTGTTCTCCCCTAGTCATCCTCGGATGGATGGTGCACACCAGGCATTCACAGAGGGAAAAGCAAAACCCCTGGTCAAACTGTTCCCTTATGTGTTCTTCCCTTGCTTTGCCTGTAAACGGATGTGTTTATTTATGAACAGTGTCAAGCCCCATTGTGGAAATGTACTTTTTACAAAACAAGGTATCAAAAGGCTGTTTGTGTTGCACTGAAAGACTAAGCAGAGGTGCCACAGAAAACATGTTTCCCGTCAGAACGCATCCAAGGAACAGACTTCATTTCCTCACACAACAAGGATGTAGGACTAGGCTGGGAAGGGAGGGTACCCCACTTGAAGGAGGGGCTGTGGCTCTCAGCACAACCCAGCACGGCCTTGATCCCTGACTCCCAGGAGGCACGGAAGGACAAGAAAGCAGCCACCAGCTCCAGACAAATCCAGCCCAAGGGGAAACACACTGACATCCACAGTCCATGTGGTGACGAAGAGCAGTTGGTACCGCATGGCTTTAAATTGTTTGTATTTCTGTCAGGAGGCCCATGGAAAAAAAGCAGGGCTCTCAGCAGCTGGGAAAACATGTTGCAAAAGGAGAATTAAGCAATTCTCTGTATGCACATCACAGAGAAATTAAGCTGATCTGAGTGAGAGAAATTAAGCTTATTCGACATGCCTTCGGCTGGAAAACAAGCCTTTTTAAATGACTGGGAAAAAACTTGTGAAGGTTACATGGTTTCCTCCTTATGTAAAGCACCTGAGGACTAAAACAAATTCACTGGCCGGTGGGAATGCAGCAAAGCAGCAACTGCCCAATGATCTACTCCAGGGCACCCACACACACCACAGGAAGGAGGAGCAGGCCGGGGCAGCCTCCTAGACACGCGTGCCCAAGATCGTGTCCTATGGTCTCGCTTCGGCCGCTCTTCACCAAAGCCTCTTCCTTGGCTGCTGCCATCCTCGCTTTTGACTACTGCCCCACGTCTCCCCTCTTGCCCCCAACCTGCCCTTAGAACCAGGTTCCTTCAGGCCAAATCCCACCTAGGTCTTCTGGAAAATGGGAAAAGTAATCACAGCAAATACCTGCAACATTGTACGAACGGGCTCTGGGAGGGCTGTAGGAGGACGGCATGTCCCCAGGTTACTAGAAATGACTTGCCATAGTGACTACATTGGCAAGGTGTTCCAATTCCCTTGATATTCTATATCTGATCTCTCCCTCCCTCCCACTCCCTTTCAAGGATCTACAAAATTCACCCTCCCACAAGCAGCATGTGATCCCACTGTGTCCCTCCATTACGCCAGCAACAGCTCCAGGGACGGGGGTAGGGGAAGTCTCCAAAATAAAATCCACCCTCCTTGTTTTGTTCTGCATTGCAAAGCCCTCAACAGGGTCTATTTATCTTCAAAGTCCTGCTTCCTTCTGCTCTGGACACACCTGTCTACTTGCTGACCCTTCACCCAGCTTTGCTCGTGTCATTCTCTGGGCCTGGAGTAAAGTTCTCCCCATCTCCGCCAATAAGACCCCACCACGGCCTGGTCAGGCCCAGACCCATGTCGCTCATGCAGAGCCGCATGTTCCTCACAGCAGTCACCATCACTCTCTCATCCCACTGATGGTCAGTTAGGGCCGTGGTTGCCCTTTCTCTTTCTTACTCCCTTTGGCACAGAAATGCTCAATACATATCTGCTGAACGAACGACCAGACTTCAACCAAAGCAGAAATCAGCCCACATGTCTCCATATAGGCAGATGACAGGCAGCTGGTAATGATCGTGTTTAGAGGAGAAGATGAAGTGTCAGGCAAGGTGAGGGGCCAAACCCTCATTGGCCTCTTCTGTACCATGGCTGGGCTAAGGCTTTTTTATTCTTTTGTTTGTTTAAAGAGATGAGGTCTTGCTATGTTGTCCAGGCTGGCCTCAGCCTCCTGTGCAGCTGGGACTACAAGTGCGCACCACCACTCCCAGCCTGGGGAAAGGTTTTGATGGAGTCCAGAGACAGAAGGTGGGGAAGGGAAGAATCTTTACAAGCAATTTGAGGTGCTTAGGATGCAAGGGTGCTCGCCTGGAGAAGACAGAAGCTAGGAGCACAACAGGTTAGGTCAGAGTAGTAGGTGCTGGCCTTGAGGGTGAAAAGTAGGTTTTTATGGGAGGCAAGAAGGCCTTGAAGCTAAGAGGGCTGTGGGAACACGAGATGTTTTTAGCAGCGAAGTCTAACAGAGCAGGGGAGAGAAGGGCAAAAGGACAAGCTGTAGTCAAAGATAAGAGCGGAAGAAATTGTGATCTATTTCACCCTCTTTGGGCTAGAATCTGGATCAGCTTCTCAGACATAGGCAGCTTTTGAAACTTCAAATGCTTTTCATACAAGCTTCTGACGGGAAATAAAACTGAAAAAAAAGTACTTTTATGAGGCTATGGGGATTTCATCTGAGAAACTCTCTTAGCCTGTTTATTTTTGAAAAGCAAATGCCAATCCTAGTTTTAAAATCCTCGGTTTTCTAGAAATCAGTGTTTGGGCTAGAGGGACACTCAAAAGGTCATGTGGGCTTTCTTCTGGTTGCAGCTGGACTGCATGTAAGCAGTTGTACTGGAGCAAGGAGGGTCTGTTACAGGCTATACAATGCTCTCAACACAGAACCCCAGGCTTCCTGGGAACCCAATTCATCGGTTACAATGAAGTCCAGTGAGCTGTCTTAGATTCTTTTATACACACACACACACACACACACACACACACATACACACACACGCATGCATGCTGGAGTACAGTGGCATGATCATGGTTCACAGCGGCCTCGATCTTCTGGGCTCAGGTGATCTTCCCGCCTCAGCCTCCCGAGTAGCTGGGACTACAGATGCACAGCACCCATGCCTTATTAAATTTTTTTCTATTTTGTGTAGAGACGAGGTTGTGCTTTGTTGCCCAGGCTGGTCTTGAACTCATAACCTCAAGCAATCCTCCTGCCTCATTCTCCCAAAGTGCTGGAATTATAGGCATGAGCCACCGCTCCGGCCTCTTGGATTCTTCATAGGTAGTTTAAGTCTGTTTTCCCAGAGAAGCTGGAAAACACCAGGTCCCTACCACTTATATAGAAGAATCTTGTGCAGAGAAACTACACAGGAAACCTTCCCTCCTCTAGGATGAAGAGCTCTTTAACCTTCTCACAAAAAGCTGTTAACATTTTCCTGTTATGTTGCACATTTTCTCATCTCTTAAAAAACTGAACAAGCCACAAAACAGGACATTCGAATAAGGGTCTTTCCAGTCCCCAAGAGTGAACTGGAAAGCAGCAAAGCAAACCAAAACAATGAGAGCACAGATAAAGCTAACACTGAAGACAGCTAGAGTTTTTGACTTGTTTTTTTTAAAACTAACTTTTTATTGTAGAAAATTTTAAACATATACAAAAGCAGAGGATGTAATGAACCCTATGCACCCATTATCGTGTTTAATAATGATCGACTCATAACCAATCTGAGCTTATCTATACCCTACCTGTTCACTCATCCCTCCTCCTTCAGTATAATTTTGAAGCAAATCCCAGATTACAAATCTTTTCATTTATAAATATTTCAGTTTGTATCTGCAAAAGATAAAGACTCTTGAAACTAATGCAGCATATCAAAATTACACCTAAAAACACAAATAACAATGAGAAACCCTGGATTTGACTCCTGATGCTGTCACTTACTAGCTGTGTGACTTTGAGCAGATAAGGAGTAAAAAGCCCCTAAAACCCAGGAAGAGTTTTATTAGCAAATACCTAGACCTCAGCCTGTTTTAACTATGATGCCAAACTCCCTGCTCAAGCTATTCTTCCCATACTGGCCCTGATGATCTGACAGAATTGAACACTAGCTTTTTGTTGTGTTCTTCACCCACTACCTCAGCAGATTGGATTTCGTTTCTCATCACGGCTCTGCATTACCAAGGATATTCACAGTCCATCTTCCCAGGGGAATTGTACAGAAACAGAGCACGAACTGTTATTTAGTTTCAGAAGAGATGGCAGGGACTGCTGCCTTAGCCTGTTACACTGGACATGAAGGGCAGCAGGCTTTCTGGGGCTGGGTGGTTGATTCCACTTGCAGTGATGTACTGGCCACAGATACAGACGCACATTTTCTAACTGTGGTCTGTGGGAAGGCCATGTGGCCTCTGGGAACTGGAGATGTGACAGAGACCCTCTGTATTCTTTATCTTTGTCTCAAAGTCAGGGAAGACACTGAGGAATAAAAGGCCTTTTACGTTCTCAGCTACCACATTGCAACTGGAATCTGACCTTGAATTCAAGGATAAACACAAGAAATTCCACCCAACAGCAGCTTCAGCTTAGGCTTTGCTCTCATCTTGCTCGATGCCCTAAACACTCCTCTTTGCTACTGTTCCCCTTCTCCACATTCCCCGCCCTGACACAGACACCCACGGGGACAGGGGGTGTTTTCATGCTTGCGGTATTACCATAGCAACAATTTCTCTTCTACCTGGAAGGCTGGAAACCCTGCAGTGCTCTGTGCTGAGAATGCAAAGAGGGAACACTATCACTTTCCACCTCAGCACACACCACAAGCCGCACACGTGCACTCACACACAGCCCCTTCTCAAGGACATCACAATGAGATCATGACAACAAATCAGGATGCTGACACCTAACAACACAAAATCAGTGCAATGACAAAAAGGAGGTAAAACATTTCTTATAAAAAGGTATTTTGTAGGTATCAATTCTTGAGGGATTTTTATTGTGAAATTTCTAACATGCATCTCTCCCTTGATGAGGCCACAGACACAGAAAAATGTCATTAAATTATTTTAGTAAAATATACAAAGGAACTTAATAGGTGGTGTGTGGTTTCTAGAAAGAGGGCCACTCCAAGCTTCTGATCCCCACAGGCTGTGACAAGCCTGAGAAGCAATAGCTAACTAGTACACAAAACCACAAAAAGAGCCACTAAATTTTAATTAAGTACCCATAGAAACTCGTTAAAAATCCACAGAGAATCTTTTTCTGTGAGTACTACAGACAGTGTGTTTTAGTAGAGACCAAAAATAACAACAACAAAGAGACAAGTAGGTGTGTCCTTCCACAAGGACAGTCCAAGGTGAGCAGCCCTGGCATCCAAGCCTGCCCGCTGCCATGGGTGGGCAGGATGACCAGTGCCCTCCCAGTAGGACAAAAACTCATGCCCAATGCACCAAGAAGACAAACCCTGGATTTCCATCTCTCCACTGCAACTAATTTGGAGTTCTCTAGTATAGCGTATCGCCGTCTTTGTTTCTAGGCCCCTCCTGTACTCATTTCTTCTGAATGTCATCCCTGAGATTCTAAACCTTCTGAGTAGGAGTAAGAAATCAACATGAAACCTGAGAGAAGGAGCACAGCAGTGCTGTGGACAGAGAGTGCAGACCCTGAGAGTGGGAGCACACACACGACAGCCTCCCCCAGCACGTGGCTCTCCCCAGGTTGCACAGGGCCCTTCTCTGAACTTGAATAACGTGGACTAAAGGAGAGCTGTCATTTCTTATAGAATGTATCAGTTAGCAAAAAAATCAGGTTGAAAAATCTACCCCTTTACATGGCAGAACACTGGGGAGCTGGTAGAAATGAGTTGAGTGGTGAGTGATGAGTCATCTTCTGTTCCCTGATGGGATTTTCCACCTGCCCACTTTAGGGGAACTCCATGCTCTTGTGGCAGCAGGTTCACAAAACTGGAGGCAGTTCCCCCTTTCTAGGATCTCCGTTCATCTCCTGAGGCCGCACATCTGCACACACCATCCTCACTGGGCAGCTATTACTTCGTGACACAAAGTGCCAGGCACTGCACTTGACACTTTACCCACGCTGTTTCCATTGGTTTTGCACAAAAGCTCTACGAGGTAGGTGCAACCGTTCTTATTGTACACGGAAAGGAAATGTGGCTTAGGGAGATCAAGTATTCACCCTATGTCACAAAGCTAGTGAGTGGAGGAGCTAGAATTAAAGCATAAGTGGGTTTAATATCAAAATCCCTTGTCTTAACCACTGAGCTATACCGTTTCCCTCACTGTGATGCAGCAACAGCCACGCATTTCACTGCCATTCATGGCCTCACAGCACCCAGTGCTGTGCAGAGCTGCACATCAATCAACACTTCTCACGTAAGGGCTTCAAAAGAACTGTTGAAACAGACAACTTACTATGAAAGCCCAGCAAAAGACGTGTCCCAAACAATGCCTCTTCATGTGAATGGAACAGGAGGTTCGTGACTGGTCTCCTGAGAAGGTGGAAACACTAACCCAGGAAGGCAGCTCAGGACCAGAAGGGAGCACCAGGATGTTGTCTGGGACAAGGAAGAGCCAGGCCCATTTCCTAGGGATCAGGGAGGTCGGCGACATCTGAGGCCCCAGGTCGCTGCCGGGTTCTCGGAGCCCACGCTGACTCTAGACTTCCTTGGCTCTGAAATGCAGGTGGGTGTGGGCTCTGCCACCTGCCGGGGGGTCAGCAGTTGCCTCTGCGAGTTTCGAGGGGAGAAACCTGAGGGGCTGCAGCAGCCCTGCAGAGGGAGTGGGAGTGGCAGCATAGTCCATGTTCACTCACAGCTCCCAGCCTCCTCCAAGGCGGGCCAAGGGGAGAGGCAGGTGCTTCTACCATTAGCATCTGACATGAGGGATAAAGTAGCTGAAATACAGGGGTAAAAAACTATTTCCACAGGGCCAAGCAGAAACAAAAATAAAATTTTTATTCATATTGGCGTTTTGTTATAATGCGTATGTATTTTTACCTTTCCCTATTTCGGGTTGTCAGCTCTCTCCCTTCTGAATAATCACTGAAACAGCAAGCATGGTATTTGACTCTTAATGGGAAGGCAGGGTGGGAAGGGAGGCAAGCAACATTTGCCTTTTATTATTTTTCTTCTTCTTTAAAAGAATCTAACAAACACATCTACTCTATGCTGTATTTACTGTGCTTCAATAGCAGGTAAGGGAAGAGGATGTGCTTGCGTGTGTAATTAACCAAAACCTTCCCAGGATCAAGAAGTCTGTGATGAATAGATTCACTATGCTTTTAAATTTTAAAAAGTGAAATTTTAAAAAGTGAAAACTGACAGAAGTACTCAGACACAAGTAGAGTTAAAAATCCTGAAGCCTCCTTGCTATGACGCCAGCCCTGCTCAGTACGTGACGGAAGGGAGGCTCACAGGGATGGTGTCTGCGACCCACTCAGCTCTGCCATTTACCATCACCTGACTTTAAGCCAGTGTCTATTTTGTAGGGCTGCTGTGGGGACCAATATGAGCTGAGAGCTCTGCCAGGCACCCTACATGATATACCTGTAAGGGAGCGTCCTTCTGCGGCCTGAACCTGAAGCTCTTCAGAGGGACCCATGCTGGGCTCTGAAGAAAGTGACTCACCTTGGAGGAGCAAGGGCAGGTCACATTCCATGATGAGAAATTCTCACACCACCCTCCTTCATATTTGACTCACATCATGCAGCATGGACTTCCACTCCAGTAAATGAGTCCTCATTTGTGGGCTTAAAAATCTTTTTGTTACCCAGCTATTTGGTTCTTGTCAACGCTACTTCCTGAATAAAGGTCTTCCCTGATAGTAGGAACAAGTGGCCCAAGCTTCATTCATCTCTAGATAAATGTGAAGGCCGTGCTCAGCACAGGAGTCAGCTGACTGGCTGGGCCCCAAATTAGAGTGCTGTTAATAAGTGCCAACCACCCGCCATCACAGCTGGAGCTGCCCTGGCATTGATAGCTGGTCCACACTCATTTACATTCTCTTCACGCAGCCATGCAGCTACTGTAGGAGGCTGCAGATGCCTGTTTTTTAACCAACAAACTGGTTCACTGCAGATGTGAATTTTGGTTGTACTTCACGGCTGTAAAGTTAAAAACAGCAAATGCTACAAAGAATAGGATGGGAACCTAGAAAGGGCAGAAAAACAAGCAGGGAAGAAAGCTGGCAGGTGAGAAAAGATAAATAAATACAAGTGACATTGGGAAAAGATGGGTGGTTACACAACCACACACACATTTGCAGTTTCCACGAAAAGACTACACCAGATGTTCTTCAGTTACTCTGATTAAACTCTCACCACCTGATGGTCTCTCGTCGTTAGCGCTTGCTTCATGAGTGTGCCTAAACCTCCACCTTGTGGCCCTAAGTTTCTGGAAAACTTGACTTACACAGCTCTGAGTTTATAAAGCAAAGTTATGGCTGTGGCAAGGCAGAAAAGACTCAACAGTGAAACTTCTGACCCTAAGAATACATATTCCAGAAGCATCACCTTCAAATCTCCTTTTATGTAACACTCTTCAGTCTCACACCAAACACACCCAATTCATTCCTAAAAGCAGCACACTGAAAACAAACTAATGAATTCTTTATCTGAGAACACACAAGGGAGCTGAGAGCCTTGACAAAAGCATTCCATCATATCAATGAAACAAAGACTCTCTCCATTTCATCAAAGATACAGTGTCTTATTCTTCAGGGATTCCAGAGGACTGATTCCAGCCATTCAAGTCCTCCTCCAGAGGCCGTCTTATATTAATACGTTTATATTAATGCCGTATTAATATAAACGCCTCATTTCAGAGCGACAAGTTCCTGAAAAGCCAACTGGAATTTATATTACTGGCAAAGACACTGCAATGAGAAAGCAGGTGCCCTTAGTCTCACACGGGTCAAAATTAGCTTGTGGCTCATGTCTTAAATATCAGGAATCCTCAAGGATTAGCGACTGCTTTAGCCATCTTGCTACAAAGAATGGCATAAGGAGAATTTGCACAACTGAGAAAGGTAAAAGCGTATGCGCTAATAACATGGACTTCTTAGATAAAGTCTAAATGCACGTAGCGATTTGCTTTGGTACTGAGCCCAAAAGAACTGTGTCAATTCTGCTTACAAAACAGTGTTTTGCTGACACATACTTTTCAAACACCCAAGAGGAAGAAAACCCTTTCCTCATGGAGCATCTGTGCCACCTAGTGGCAACTCGTTCCACAGCCCACAAATAAGGACAGAAGATTAGGCATAAACTCTCCTTTCTCATCCAAAGGACAAGGTGGGGACTTCTCTCATTCCTCTGGTGGTCACTGAGCCAGCTCCACCAGGCCGTCACTGCCTCAGGTCCCCATATAACATTTTTCACTTTATTTTCCATGATGGGCCAAACACCTACAATCCTTACCCTAACATTAGAAACTAAAATGTGAATGCTGTTATCCATAGGTGAAAGTCAAGTTCTGAAACATACTGTAATCCATCATGTAATCATAACACACATTCTCTCCACTGCAAAACGTTGCTGAGGGGCATAAAAAGATGTGAATAAATGAAAAAACATACTTTAAACTTAGCATGGCCCAGCATTTCTAAGCTAATAATAATCTCCCTGATGGGCACCTTACCCCTCTCCTCCTCTTTCCTCCTTTTGCTGCTCATTTCAGACTCCAAAATCTTTTTCCAGCCTAGATCTCTCCCTGTGTTACTGACCCGGATCACTGATCTAGGGTCACTGATTTATGGAGCACCTACTATGTGCCAGGCATTGTAAAAACACGTACACACTGGATGTCTCCCCTAAAAACTCAACATGTCCAAAACAAAAGTAATCTCTCCTGAATCTTTTGGATTCCATTTCCAGTTTTGTAAACAGCATCATCAACTACATAGTGGTCCAAACCAGACACGCCTGTGAGACCTCTGGCTTTCTCCCCACCTTCACATGCAACATATCACCTTCTAATCCTCTACCTCTCAAATCTGCTCCTGTTCTCCAACTCCAAGGGCAGTTATGGTCCTTATGATCCTTATCAGTCAGGATGTGCTAGGTTATGCTGCTGGAACAAACTCAAACCTCAGTAGTTCAAAACAGACTTTGTTCTCACTCATGCTGCACATCCCTCTTGGCAGAGGGAAAAAATGAACCATATGCCCTTTAAAAAAAACTGCGGTAGGCTGGGCACGGTGGCTCACCCTGTAATCCCAGCACTTTGGGAGGCCAAGGCAGGCAGATCACCTGAGGTCAGGAGTTCGAGACCAGACGGACCAACATGGAGAAACCCCGCCTCTACAAAAATACAACATTAGCCGGGCGTGGTGGCACATGCAGGTAATCACAGCTACTCGGGAGGCTGGGGCAGGAGAATTGCTTGAACCTGGGAGGCGGAGGTTATGGTGAGCCAAGATCATACCATTGCACTCCAGCCTGGGCAAGAAGAGCGAAACTCCATCTCAACAAAAACTAAAACAAAACAAAACAAAACAAAACAAAACAAAACAAAACAAAACAAAACACCACTCTGGGAGGCCGAAGCAGGTGGAGGATTACGAGGTCAGGAGATCAAGATCATCCTGGCTAACATGGTGAAACCCCGTCTCTACTAAAAATGCAAAAAATTAGCCGGGCATGGTGGCATGTGCCTGTAGTCCCAGCTATTCAGGAGGCTGAGGCAGGAGAATCGCTTGCACCCGGAAGGTGGAGGTTGCAGTGAGCTGAGATTGCACCACTGCACTCCAGCCTGAGCAACACAGCGACACTCCATCTCAAAAAAAAAAAAAAAAAAAATTGTGGTGAAAACACACAATACAAAAACTACCCAATTAACACATTTTTAAGTGTACAGGGTCTGTTAGCAAAATGTTGTACAGCTGATCTCTAAACAACTTAATCTGGCATGACTGAAACTTCCCACTGCACAGTGACTCCCCACTTTGCCTTCTCCCAGCCTCTGGCACCCAGGGTTCTACTTTGTGTTTCTATGAGTCTGACTACTTTAGATCCTGCATTTAAGTGGAATCGTGCAGTATCTGTCCTTCTATGACTGGCTAATTGCACTGAACACAATGTCCCTCAAGGTGGTTTATCTGTGTTGTTAGTATGTGCCAGGAGTTCCTTCTTTTCAAAGGCTGCATAATATACCAAATTTTAACCATTCATCTGTTGACGAACATGTCAGTAAGTGGTTTCCATCTTGTGGCTACTGTGAATAATGCTGCAATGAACACAGGAACATGCTGAGATCCTTTCCCAAAGGATTTCAATTCCTTTCCACCGGCTGCCTTTTCACTCTGTTGATGGTTTCCTTTGCTGAAAGCATCTTAGTAGTCACTTGCCTGTTTTTTGCTTTTGTCACCTTGTTTTTGGTATTATACCCAGGAAATCATTGCCAAGACTGATGTCATGAAGCTTTCCACCTACGTTTTCTTCTAGTTTTTATAGTTTCAGGTCTTACACTTAAGTCTTTAATCCATTTAAAGAGTTGATTTTTGTGTTATGATATGAGATATGGTATCAGCGTCTAAGTTCATTCTTTTGCATGTGGATATTCAGTTTACAGAGCACCATTAATCAGAGACTACCTTTTCCCCCGGTGGGTGTTCTTTGCACCCTTGTTGAAGATCAGCTGATCATAAATGTGTGGATTTATTTCTGAGCACTGTATTATGTTCCATTGGTCTACATGTCTGCCTGTTTAAATTACTGTAGCTTTGTAATAAGTTTTGAAGTCAGGAAGTGTGAGGCTTCCAGCTTTGTTCTTCTTTCTTAAGACTGTCTAGGATATTTGGGATCCTTTGTGGTTCCATATGCATTTTAGGGATGTCTTTCCATTTATTTATGTCTTCTTTAATTATTTCAGCAGTTTTTTATAGTTTTCAGTGTATAAGTCTTTACCCACTCCTTGGTTAAGTTGTTCCTAAGTATTCCAACTTTTTTGATGTATTATAAATTAGATTTTCTTAATTTCTCTTTTTGGAGTGTTTGTTAGTGTACAGGAACGCAACTGATTTTTATGTGCTAATTTTGTATCCTGCACCTTTACTGAATATATTAATTCTAACAAGTTTTTTTGTGGAAATTGCAGATTTTTCTATGTATAAGATCATGTTATCTGTGAACTTGCACGGATATAGATGCTTTTGCTTTTTCCTGCCAAATAGCTCTAGCTAGGGCTTCCAGTGTTATATAGCATGGAAGTGGTGACAGTGATATCCTTGCCTTGTTCCTGATCTTAGTAAAAAAAAGCTTTTCAGTGTGTGTGTGTGGTTTTTTTTTTTTTTTTTTTTTTTGTGACAGAGTCTCACTCTGTCGCCCAGGCTGGAGTACAGCGGCACAATCTCTGCTCACCGCAACCTCCACCTCCCTGGTTCAAGCGATTCTCTCCTGCCTCAGCCTCCCAAGTAGCTGCGATTACAGGCGCACGCAACCACACCCAGCTAAATTTTTGTATTTTTAGTAGAGACAGAGTTTTGCCATGTTGGCCAGGCTGGTCTCGAACTCCAGAATTCAGGTGATCCACTTGCCTCGGCCTCCCACAGTGCCAGGATGACAGGTGGGAGCCACCATGCCCGGACAGTGTGTTTAGTTCTCATACTTTGTGAATTTTCTTGCTGTTTGTGATTTCTAAGTGTATCGCCTTGTGGCTGGAAAAGATACTTGGTATGATTTTGATCTTAAATTTGTTAAGACCTGTATTATGATCTAATATTCTCCATCCTGGAAAATGTTCCATGCGCAACAGAGGAGAAAAAGTGTTTTCTGTGCCTGTTGGCTAGAATATTTTGTATGTGTCTGTTAGGTCTATAGTGTTGTTCAAGTCAGCTGTTTCCTTACTAATCTTCTGCCTGGTGGTGCTAACAATGATTGAAAGTGAGGTATTGCAATCTCCTACTATTTTTGTGTTATTTTTCCCTTCGGCTGTCAATATTTGCTTCACATATTTGGGTGCACTGATGTCGGGTGCATATACAGATGGTCTCCAACTTACAATGGTTTTACACTTTTTGACTTTACTGTGGTGTGAAAGTGATACACATTCAGTAGAAACTGTAATTCAAGTACCCATACAATCATTCTCTTTTTCACTTTCAGTACAGTACTCAATAAATTACATGAGATACTCATACTTTATTCTAAAATAGGCTTCCTGCAAGAAGATTTTGCTAAATCGTAGGCTAATATAAGTGCTCAGGCTTTTGTTTTCCTTTTTTCAGGAGCTTGCAAGCTCTTGCTTCTTCTGGTGCCTGTCTGAGGTATCACAGGCCCTCTGGAGCTGCTGTAAGCTGCCCAGCTCTTTTTTGGCCTCAGCAGCTCCAAGGCATCTAGAGTAGGTTGGGTTCTGCCAGCAGTGAGTTGGGTGAGACAGAAGCCAGTCCCTCAGGCAGCCCCTTGAGAAGCCCAAATGCTGAACACATGCTCTACTCTTCCCCTGGACCCAAAAAGCAGCCTTCGAGGTGCACTGGACTCTGCCTACTGTACCGTGGGTCCTCTGGCGCAGTACAAACCACCCAGCTTTCTCTTGTTCTCAGCAGCCCCCAGGGACCTAGACCATGCCAGGTCCCATCAGTGCTTCATCGAGTGAGACAGGAACGAGAGTCTTGGGCAGACTCCAGAAAACCTAGAATGCTGGACTCATGCTCCAACTCCTTCCCTCCCGAGAAGAGCAGGGAGAGGGCAATGAGGAGTCAGTACGTGCTAGTTTCACCATCCCATTTGTCCTCAGAGGTCCCCAACCTGGTGCCCTTTCCTGTGAGACAAGACAGAAACCAGTCCCTTGAGCAGCCTCCTGAAAGGTCTGAATATTAGATATATGTTCCAGTCTTCTTTTTCCTCCCCAGAAAGATGCCAGGAGTTGGGAGCTTCCTCCCAATCACATGGTGCTGTGCCAGGGGGAGGAACTCTGGAGAGCCAGCGTCACAAATTCCCCAGCCTTTGATGCAACTGGTTTCTGGATTTCTCACAGAGAGAAATGGTCCTTCCGTTGTTGTTGAACTGTTCTCTCTATGGGAAAAAGAGGGTCTGGAGCTTTCTCTTCTGTCATCTTGACACTACCCCACACCACATGCCTTTACGGCTTTTTCTGCAAGTGATCTAACTACTCACATGTTTCACTGACCACAAGAAGCTACATGGCTACCTTCAAGTTCAGCAGGCCATGTATATTCCTCCCATAGACAAACAAAAACATATGTGGTGTTCCTATTTGGGATCTTAAGAGCCCCTGGGAAGCTCCCACCAACATGCCAAGTTGATACTCACTAGATGCTGTTCCAGACTCATGTGTGCCCTCAGGCTTTTATTTTTTAAATTTTTTTCTTTTAAAGACAGAGTCTTAGTCTGTTGTCCAGGCTAGAGTGCAGTGGCGCAATCATGGCTCAGTGCAGCCTCAATCTCCTGGGCTCAACTGATTGTCCTGCCTCAGTCTCTTAAGTAGCTAGGACTATGGGCACACACCACCATGCCTAGCTGAGTTTTAAAATTTTTTTTGTAGAGATAGGGTCTATGTTGCTCAGGCTGGTCTCGGACTCCTAGTCTCAAGAGATCCTCCTGCCTCAGCCTCTCAAAGTGCTGGGATTACAGGCATGAGCCACTGGGCAACCAATGCAGCTGCTTTTAAATGTCTTCAGGCTGGGGGTGGTGGCTTACACCTGTAATACCAGCACTTTGGAAGGCTGAGGTGGGCGGATCACTGGAGGCCAGGAGTTCAGGACCAGCCTGGCCAACATGGTGAAACCTCATCTCTACTAAAAATATAAAAATCAGTCAGGCGTGGTGGCGCATACCTGTGATCCCAGCTACTTGGGAGGCTGAGGCAGGAGAACTGCTTGAAGCCAGGAGGCGGAGGTTGCAGTGAGCTGAGATCGTGCCACTGCACTCCAGCCTGGGCAACAGAGTGAGACCCTGCCTCAAAACTTAAAAACAAAAACAAAAACAAAAAACGTCCTCAGAGAATAATGGTCTCTCCTCTTCTTTGGCCTTCCCAATTGTACATAAGCACTTTCACTGGCAGACCTTCTTTGAAACCTTACCAGGAAATGTAGTTCCCAGCTCCTTCTAAGCAACTCATGAAGACCCAAGAGGCTGTGCAGTGCTGTACATTTCTCACCTGGACTACTCAATAGGCAAGTAGACTTTCCTTATATTTTATCTCTCCCCACCTCAGGACAGTGTGCTGCATGGGCCTGCCCCTACTCAGCTTATGAGCCTCCTTCACACTCCTAGCACCAGTAAGCGTCCACATTGCTGCCACTCCCGGGGCCTAGAACATTTCTCCATCTCCACTCCACTCCCACCCTTTCCATCCTTTGGCTACTTCCTCCTTATCTGCTGCATCTTAGCGTAGGCATCACCTCCCCAGGCAGTCCAACACCTGACCCACTGGAAGCACACAAGGGACACGCTAGCACTCTGCTTTCTTAAGAGCTGCAAGATGCCAGCGACTGTTGTGACAATTGTTATAGCAACAGCCTGGGGTGCGAACATATAAAATGGCCAGAAATATTAATGCTGAAAACAAAAGAAATAAAGTTTTGATCCATTAGTTTAGTTTATTCTTCCTTTTCTAATCTCTACCTTAATTTCTTTACTCTCCCCAAGGCAAAGATATTGCAGTGTTCAACTCTAATCATGCAATTTTAGAAAAATGGCTTAGAGCGTATTTGTCTAGGTGGATGCTAATATTCACTAAAAACTCTAAGTGGCTTCTAAATAGCTGAAAGATTTTAAGACATTCTTAGTTCACAGGGCGCCAAGTTAAAGGGAACAAAGATCTGCAACAGTAATGCACCTAGACAGCTCTGCTCCCACGTAATATAGTCAGTTCTCATGAGGAGAAACAGTCAAATAAATAACCTACCAGATGTGATGGAGATGCCACTAAGATGCCCAGTTCCTCAATCAAAGAAGCGTCGTTTGGACTTTGAAAATGGCAAAAGGTGTGTGTGTGGGGAGGGAGGGGTAGCAGGGGCTATTTGAGCACAGGTGGTGAAGAGAGCAAGCAAGAAAAATGTTGACACAGTGGAAGAAAAACTAAACACTTCCCACTTTACATTATAGTATCTGTCCTAAAGAAGATGATATAAAATAGGAATCCAGAGCTTTGTAACTGGAGTGGCAAGAGTGGCTGCCATCTCAGTAACCATGTCAACCGTTACTCACAAAGTACTCGTCCTCATTTGCTTATGAAAAGGAAAGCACTCAAATCCTTCTTATACATCAGCAGTCAGGTAAACAGCAGATATTTGGGCCATGAGGGCAGCCCATAATACCATAATTCAATATACATCTAGAAAAAAATGTGCCTCCCTACCTTTCGGCAGTGAGGATTAGGACAGCTGAACCTCTTCACATCACTGTCCAACAGAGCCGGAAAGCTACAGGACGGGCACCTAGAGTCAGAACAGCAGAACTGACATTACTTCAAACATTAAAGCCTGATCTGGTTCCAGCTCCATGTGGCTGTTCATATGAAGATGGAGTTTTGAGCTGGACATTCACATCCCCTTTATACTCCTTAGTTTTCCTTAAAAACACAGATTGAACCTCTTCTTTGTGCTGGCTCTTATCAGGAAACATAAGCACCACATGAGGTCCTGACTGAATATAAACCACTCAATAAACACGTCCCAACCTTAATGAGAACTCCTTGCATATACCGATTTCCCTCCAGCCCAGGGCACCATGATTGTATCTACGGGCCAGAAGATTTGGGGGTGCCAAGATATGTAGACAGAAGTTTGAGCTACAGTCTGGGCGCGGTGGCTCACGCCTGTAGTCCCAGCACTTTGGGAGGCTGAGGTGGGTGGATCATTTGAGGTCAGGAGTTGGAGACCAGCCTGGCCAACATGGCAAAACCTCGTCTCTACTAAAAATAAGCTGGAATGTGGTGGTGCACGCCTGTAATCCAGGCTACTCAGGAGGCTGAGGCATGAGAATTGCTTGAACTCAGGAGGCGGAGGTTGTAGTGAGCCAAGATTGCACCACTGTACTCCAGCCTGGGCGACAGAGCGAGAATCCACCTCAAAAAAAAAAAAAGAAGTTTGAGGGGCAGATTTTTCCATTAATAGAATTACTGGTTACTCAATGGTTCTGAGGCGTAAAAAATAAAAATAAATAAGTAAAATTATTGATAATCTTATTTCTCAGCAAGAAATGTCAAAAAACCTGGAAGATAAACACAATTTTCATCATCTGATGCAAGTGCCCAGGTAGTTTTCACAATGGGGAAGAGTTGGCAGATGGCACGCTCTGCCTGAGAACGAACCTGACAAGCTCGTCGGCGTAGGCTGCCGCAACCTCCTCCTCGGCTTTTCGCTCATAGTACTTATACAGGATGGTCTGGGGGAGCACCTTCTCCAGCTCACTGGTTGGGAACGAACACGTGCAGCTGCCTTCCATGCAGCTGAGCTCCAACTAGAAAAAGGCGAAAAGGCAAAGAAAAAAAAATCAATACCATTTATAGAAAAATAAAAAGCGTCAGTGGTTAAAAACATAGATCCTGAGACAACATAGCAAGGATCTCTCTGCCTGTTCATCTCTGAGAAATCACACTTAAATCATGGAAACCATGAAACAAAAATCCAGTACATCTTTGATATCACTAAAGGACCTCTATTAGCCCAAATCACAATCCACAAAGACTGAAAGTGGCGGAAGGGCAAATGGCTTAGCAGACCACACACAGAAGCCCATAGCTTAGGGTCTGAAAAGGAGATGCTGGGGAGAAGTTGTTCCCCTCTACAGATATTAGAAAGCTGGAGAACCTCTGGAAAGCAGAGCTGAGTGGTGGGGAGGGGCAGGGACTCAAAGTAATAAACTGAAAACAGGGACATGGGTGGAGCCTCTAGTTCCTACCCGCTTCAGAAGGAATTGGCTGACTCTGAGAGAAATGAGGAAGATCTCCTGAACAGCTGGACCACACGGCTCTGGACTGGAAACCACTCATAGAGGAGAGCAGAGCTGAGGGGTGGCCTGAAGTCAGAGTCTGAAATGGAGTCTGCATAATGAACAGAGAACTCTCCAGACCTTTCCTCCCCCTCAGTTTCAGAATGTTGGAAAATGGGCTCACACCCACCAGGCAGGAGGCAGACTGAATCACCCCAGGTAAGAGACTTCAGAGCCATTCAGGTTCATAATATAAAAGCTAACTGGCTCCTATGCACCTAGAGTCAAACTCACTGGTCTATAAGCCCCACTACTCACACAGCTTTCAAACAGCTCTTTAACATGAACAAAAAGTGTCAGACATGAGGAATGCTTCCCACATGAAAGACAAACACCAAAGAAAACAAATGGAAAAAGACGACATTTTAAAAATAACTAGCTAAAATTTATGAGGCATTTACCATGTGTCAAACAATAAGTTCATTAAACTCATCACCTCATTTAGCTTTCAAAACAATGCTATGATTATTTCCATTTTACAGAGGAAGAAACAGTGGCTTAAGGAATTTAAATTGCTCAAGATCACAGGGCTAGTATGGCTGATGGGGGCATGGCCCAATGCATTCTGCTTGACTCCAAAGGTCACGCTCTTTGAAAAAACATAAACTTTATTTATTTATTTTTCTGAGACAGAGTCTCGCCCTGTCACCAAGGCTGGAGTGCAGTGGTGCGATCTCAGCTCACTAAGCCTCCCGAGTAGCTGGATTACAGGCACCCACCACCACACCTGGCTAATTTTTGTATTTTTAGCAGAGATGGGGTTTCACCATGTTGGCCAGGCTAGTCTCGAACTCCTAATCTTGTGATCCACCCAACTTAGCCTCCCAAAGTGCTGGGATTACAGGCATAAGCCACAGCGCCTGGCCTATTTTTCTTTTTTAGAGATGGAGTTTCACTCTTGTTGCCCAGGCTGGAGTGCAATGGCACGATCTCAACTCACCACAACCTCTGCCTCCCAGATTCAACCAATTCTCCTGCCTCAGCCTCCCCAGTAGCTGAGATTATAGGCATGCGCCACCAGGTCTGGCTAATCTTGTATTTTTAGTAGAGATGGGGTTTCTCCATGTTGGTCAGGCTGGTCTTGAACTCCTGACCTCAGGTGATCCGCCTACCTCGGCCTCCCAAAGTGCTGGGATTACAGGCGTGAGCCACCCGGGCAAAAAGTCATCTTCTTAATCACTGTGTTAGTTTTCTATTGCTGCTGGAACAAAATACCACAAACTCGGTGGTGTAAAACAATGTAAAATTCCCATACTGTGTTTGTTATGCTGGTGTCCAGAGAAACTCACTTTGGAGAGAGAAATATGATCTTGTGTAAAGTAAGTTATGTTATTTTAATATATATTTAATCCAATAGGCTGCAAGGTTCTCTCTTTCTGAGGTAACCTTCCCTCTGAATACAAATAAGATGATGAACGAAGGAGGTGCTCCTCTGCGGCTAGGCGTGGGAGTGTGGAAGAATTCTACTGTGCCCTGAAAAGAAATCTGCTGTGCTCAGAGAACCCACATAATCACATACATCAGGTAATGTACACATAAGCATACCAGCAGAACTCCACCTCACCCTCAAAGAGGCACTTACACTTATCTATCAACATGGTCTCCTTAGACTCCAGGAATGTGTCCTATATACATGGGACATATTACACAGTTCTTACCTTTCCAGATCCAAAGACTGCCTCTTGGGCATATCTGATGAGACACTCTTTGCAGAACAAGTGAGCATCTGCGCACTGCGTCAGCTCCTCGAATGGAAATTCCCCATAGCAGCAGCGACACTCAATCAGCTGGCCATCCTGCAGGCAGTCAAGAAACACACATGAAATGTCCTGCACTTAAGGAGAGGGGGAGCCTTGTCTCCCATCCTCATCTCTCTGCCACCCCCCACACAAATTCTGAGGTAAAGCAACCCATTTTAGGGGCCATAAAACAATGATATGCTGTTTCGTGCTATATAAATCTAGCTCAAGATACTAACACAGTATTAATCCATACCTAAAACAGCGAGGTTTTCGTGTTTTTTTTCTGGTATTCTTTAGAGTAATTCTTTATATAAAGTTATCATATTCAATCCCATGGTGCAAAGGGAACTAGAACATCTGTACTCAGATGCTAATGTGATTATAAACAGCAAGGATAAGGAGTATGAGAGATGTTACCCAAAAAACTTTCAAAAGTTGAATTTTGTTCTTGTCATAAGGAGTGTGAATGGGTCTATCGAGGTCTGCGCTTTATTTTAAGGGACTATTGAAGCTATAACTAAAGCAGCAACCTCAAGTAATGTACCAGGCTATTGACTCCTTTTATTAACTATAGCAACGGATCCAATCACCAACTCATTCTTTTTTTTTTTTTTTTTTTTTTTGAGATGGAGTCTCACTCTGTTGCCCGAACTGGAGTGCAGTGGCACGATCTTGGCTCACTGCAACCTCCACCTCCCAGGTTCAAGCGATTCTCCTGCTTCAGCCTCCCGAGTAGTGGGGATTACAGGCACCCGCCACTATGCCCAGCTAATTTTTTGTATTTTTAGTAGAGACGGGGTTTCACCACGTTGACCAGGCTGGTCTCAAACCCCTGACCTCGTGATGTGCCTGCCTTGGCCTTCCGAAGTGCTGGGATTACAGGAGTGAGCCACTGCATCCAGCCCCATTCTTTTATTTATTTATTTTTAATTTTTATTAGAAATGGGGTGCTGCTATGTTGACCAGGTTAGTCTCAAACTCCTGGGCTCAAGCAATCCTCCCATTTTGGCCTCTCAAAGTGCTGGAATTACAGGCACGAGCCACGGTGCCCGGCCACCAACCCATTCTTAATACCACATTAGAAAGGGTCAGTAGCCAGGTGTAGTGGCTCACACCTGTTCCCAGCACTTTGGGAGGTTGAGATGGGTGGATCACCTGAGGTCAGGAGTTCAAGACCAGCCTGGCCAACATGGTGAAACCCCGTCTCTACTAAAAATACAAAAATTAGCTGGGCATTTTTTTTACATACAGAAACCCATCTTGCCCTGAGGTTAGACATACCTCGTTAACTCTAAAGTGATATCTAAGTTGTAAACTTTCCTTTATGAGTGTATCTGATGAATGTCAGGTAATGATTTTTAACAGGAACATCTATTATCTTCCCTTCAATTCTGATTCAGTGTGGTATAAGAGTGACTATACTAGATCACGTATCTGACTATAACTTGGCTGAACTGCAAACTCACCAAACAGGAGGTTATCCAAAAACAAATTTGCCATCAAAAATGCTGACAAAACATGGTAAGAGAAAACAGCCCATGAAAATGCCCAGAATAAACAAGGTGAGATTTCAAACTACCTTTTGATACTGTTCTTCATTCATCTGTAGGGCAAGCAAAAAGTCTTCATGCTGAAGAACAAAAAAGGCACACATTCAGACACAAATTTAGTAAAAATGACACTAACCATTTAGTATTTATTTCCATAAACATAACTCCAGTATTGCGATCTCTTCAATTACACAGTTTAGCAGTTCAAAAAGGTTACCTGTGAATAAATTTTAAGTGGATCAGAGAGCTAGAAAATACAGGACAATATTTCTTAAGTATGACTCAAAATGTAGAATAAATAAGGGAAAAGGCTGACACATAAAACACTTTGAACAGCAAAGAATAGCATCAACAAAAACAAACTGAACAAATAAAAACTAAGTTTGGCCGGGTGGGATGGCTCATGCCTGTAATCCCAGCACTTTGGAAGGCCGAGGTGGGCAGATCACCTGAGATCAGGAGTTCGAGACCAGCCTGACCAACATGGAAAAACCCCATCTCTACTAAAAATACAAAATTAGCTGGGCATGGTGGCGTGCACCTGTAATCCCAGCTACTTGGGAGGCTGAAGCAGGAAGATTACTTGAACCTGGGAGGCAGAGGTTGCAGTGAGCCGAAATCGCACCATTGCACTCTAGCCCGGGCAACAAGAGTGAAACTCCATCTCAAAAAACAAACAAACATACAAAAACTAAGTTTAACAACAGACTTCGCTGGCGAGGCTGTGTGGTAGTGGGCACCCCCACACATTACTGGTGAGAATGCAAAACAAGACAACCACACTGGTGGGGCACTGGCACAGAGTCATCAATGCCACTTCCAAGAGTCTAGCCCAAAGATGCAACTGGGCAGAAACAGGGAATGATGTATGCACAAACTTATCATGGCACTATTTATAATAGCAAAAACCTGGAAACAACCCTAAACATCCATCAATAGGGGAATGACTGAATAAACTGTGGTATTACATAAAATGGTATACCAGCCAGTTTCAAAAAGGAAAGAGAAAAATCCCTATGAATTGCTGCAGAGTGACTGCCAGGATGCATGGTTAAATGAAAAATGCAGTCGCAGAAGAGTCTGCCAACATTTGGGATTACATTAAATTATTTATGAGACAGAGTCTCACTTTGTCGCCCAGGCTGGAGTGCAGTGGTGCAATCTCAGCTCACTGCAGCCTCGACCTCCCAGGCTCAAGAGATCCTCCCACCTCAGCTTCCCGAGTAGCTGGGACTACAGGTGTGAGCTAGTACACATGGTGGCACACACCTGTAATCCCAGCTACTTGGTCTGCTACTATCTGGATAAGAAAGACGGGTAAATAAAAATACGTATACTTATTTGCTTTTCCATAAAATAAGGAAAGGTAAACCAAAGACTAACAATAATGGTTATATATAAACAAAGCAGGGGGCCAGGTGCAGTGGCTCACGCCTATAATCCCAGCACTTTGGGAGGCCAAGGTGGGGGGATTGCTTAAGGTCAGGAGTTTGACACCAGCCTGGTCAACATGGCGAAACCCTGTCTCTACTAAAAATACAAAAATTAGCCAGGCATGGTGGGGCGCACCTGTAATCCCAGCTACTAAGGTGGCTGAGGCAGGAGAAGCCCTTGAACCCAGGAGTCAGACGTTGCAGTGAGCCGAGATCCTGCCACTGCACTCCAGCCTGGGTGACAAAGCGAGACTCCGTCTCAAAAAACAAACAAACAAAATGCGAGAAAGGGACAGCACAAAAGCTAGATATTTCTGAATATTCCTTGTTTTATAGTTTTTATTTCAGAACTAAAATTTTTACAACCTTAGACAAAAAAACAAAACCAATTCTCTAAAAGTTCAAAACAAACAGAAAGAAATAACCCACCCTTTTTTTTTTTTTTGAAACTGAGTCTTGCTTTGTTGCCCAGGCTGGAGTGCAGTGGCATGATTTTGGCTCACTGCAACCAACCTCGACCTCCCATGTTCAAGCAATTCTCGTGCCTCATCCTCCCAAGTAGCTGGGATTACAGGTGTGTGCCACCATGCCCAGCTAATTTATTTTTAGTAGAGACAGAGTTTTGCCATGTTGGTCAGGCTGGTCTGTAACTCCTGATCTCAGGTGATCTGCCCACCTCGGCCTTCCAAAGCATGTAATCATGCTGGGATTACAGGCATGAGCCATCCCACCCGGCCAAACTTAAGTTTTTTTAGTCTTGAACTCCTGGCCTCAAGTGATTGCCTGCCTTGGCCTCCCAAAGTGCTGGGATTACATGCATAAGCCACTGTGCCTGGCCAGAAACGAATAAACTTGTTTATCAAGTTAATGGTATAAGCACCGAGATTTATTTCAAGTGACTTTAAAATATTTTAAATATTGAATAATGTTATTAATATTATTAAGAACCAAGACTTTTAGCATCAGAGAAAAGAAAGTTGGCAGGGCATGGTGGTGCATGCCTGTAACCCCAACAATTTGGGCGGCTGAGTTGGGAGGACGGCTTGAGGCCAGAAGTTCGAGACCAGCCTGGACAGCATGGGGAAACCCAGGCTCTACAAAAAAAGTTAGCCAGGTGTGGTGGTGCACACCTGCAGTCCCAATTACTCAGGAGGTTGAGATGGAAGGACTGCTTGAGCCCAGGAGGTAGGTTGAAGCAGTAAGCCATGATTGCATCACTGCACTCCAGCCTAAGTAACACATGGAGCTCCTCTGTCAAAAAAGAAAAGAAAAAAGCAAAGAAGGTACTTTGGAAAATTGTTGAGTCCAGGTCTGAGAAAGCAGAAGCTGAAACGGGGTCATTTGGCTGTGCCCAAAAGCAAAGATGTTGTCAGAGACTACAGGGGTCGGGTTAAGAGAGACTAACTTGAAGGGGCAGCCAATAGTCAGAGATGGGACAATGTGAATATCACCAAGAATAAAAGACTACAATGAACTACATTCATCAATTTGCCAATACTTTAAATACTTATCTGATAAGATTGGTGATATCAATGAATGTCATTCTATAACAGATGGATCAAAACAATAAATTCTAATTTCTGCTTAAAATCTAGAATTTTGGTCAAAAATAATCACTTCATTCATTTTTGAGAAAATGCCTGCCAAATACCTATTTTGAATAATCATAGTTTTTCTGTCACTTTTTTCCAAGTAAAAAGTGGCCAATGCAGCTGCTTTGTGGCTCAGTTGCATAAGTGCTTTCCTCATACCTGGATATAAGACAAGCTTCATATCCTGGGATGTGGCAGAAGCACTTTATGAAGACTTCATTTTATTACACAGAATATTGAAAAGATGTTTCCAACGGTCAAAACTTGGTAAAGTAATTTTTACTGCTTTATCAAAGACATTTTCAGGTGAAACTGGTGTGTCTTAAAAATGTAAGTGCATGGTGGTGAAGAAAACAATGATTGTGACGATGGCTCTACGACACTGGCCTGATTCATGCCAAGGCACCACTGCTTTTGTTCTGCTGGTACAAACTCAATATGGTGAAAAAGCAAATATAGCTGAGCTTGATCAACAGAGATGTGAACTGTGGGGACCCACTTATGTGCTGATTTTCTTCTGCTTCTGCCACCCTGAGACAGCAAAACCAACACACCCCTCCTCCTCAGCCTACTCAACGTGAAGACCATGAAGATAAAGACCTTCTCATGCTGATCCACACTTCCATTTAATGAATATGAAATATATTTTCCTTCTCATTTTCTTAATAACGTTTTCTCTAGCTTACCTTATTCTAAGAATACAGCATGTAATACACAAAACATACCAAACGTGCTCATCGACTATTATGGGTAAGGCTTCCTGTCAACGGTAGGCTGTTCACAGTGAAGTTTTGGGGCAGTCAAACATTATATGCTGACTTTCAGCTGCACAGGGGGAAGCACTCCTAACTTTCATGTTGTTCAAGGGTCACTGTAATGTCTTAGCATAGTTATAAGAGGTTTGACCTCGCAGACCCCCAAGAGAGTCTTGGGAAACCCAGGGATCTCTGGGTCACACTTTGAGAGCCACTGGTTTAGAAGATACTTATTAAACAACCAATATATACATTCCAGCTGACTTGCACATTTGATACTATATTTAGAAAAATTAAAGAGCGAAATGGAACCGAGGCTGAGGGAGGAGGTAAAATAGATACACTAAGCTCCAATTAAAATTTTCTAACATGAATCTGATTTATGAAACCACAAACATAAGTATTATGACAAAATCCAGGTTTTTTCTTTTAAAAACTTTGCATATATCCAAATTTAACAGTCTGAAGAAAAGGGAAATCTTAAAAGACAGTTTTGTACTAACTAAACCCTAAGAGCAAACCAGAATCCCAGAAACACACCCCAAGACCAGAGCACATCTTCCTACCTCTGCCATCTCTTTGATTTTCTGCTCATAGAACTCCTGCTCTTGTTGCACAGCTGGAAGGAGAGCACGTCGGTCATAGGACCTACAATGTCGTCGCTTATTTTCAAGAAAGAACATCCTCTTTTCTATTTTTATGTCACCTAGAAGATATACGACAATGCAAAAGCATGCAGACAACTATGTGTTAGGAACCTGGGCCAGCCATGTCCATTCTTCCCGGCCTCATCCTCCACCTTCTCTCTGATGGTACGTTTCATGACTTTTCTATCACATTCTACCATTTGGGAAGACTGGGCTTCTTACCATTAGCCAACCTACCATCCATTTTTTGACCTTTCTGATTCTTTCCCTCTGTTTATGCTCCAATTGGAAGGCATCTCCTATCCTGTCACTAGTGTACTATGTGAATATACCACAATTTATTATCTATTTCACTACTGAGGACATTTGGGTTTGCTGTTTTGGGTTAATCTGAATAGCGCTGCTTATAGCCATTTGTTGGTGAATGTATGTCCGCAATTTACCTGCGAATTGCTAGATCATGGGATAGGCTTACTTCCAGCTTCAGAAAATAATGCCAGTTTTCCAAAGTGGTTGTACCAGTTTACACCCTTCCTCCATCAGCAATGCATGTGAGTTCCAGTCTCTCCATGTCCTTACCAACACCTATCATCGGTTTTTAATTTTAGCCATTCTGGTGGGTGCAAATGTGCTGTATGATTTTCAACCATTTTTATTTTCAAAGCATTCAAATATACAAGGGGCTGAAGGAACAGTACCTAGATTCACCACAATATATTATAACATGAGAATAAAAGAGAGCAGAATAACAAATATTAGACACGTAAATGATCTGTTTAGGTTTTGTACTTGTTTCACTGATTTGGCAATTTATGATTTTCTTTTTGGAGACAGAGCCTTGCTCTGCTGCTCACGCTGGAGTGCAGTGGCACATTCACAGATCACTGCAGCCTCAACTCCTGGGCTCAGGCAATCCTCCCGCCTCAGCCTCCTGAGGAGCTGGGACTATACAGGCAGATGCCACCACACCCAGCTAATTTTTTTGTATTTTTTTAGAGATGGGATTTTGCCATGTTGTCCAGGCTGGTCTTGAAGTCCTGGGCTAAATGATCCACCAGCCTTGGCCTCCCAAAGTGCTGGGATTACAGGTGTGAGCCACAACGCCTGGCCAATTTATGTTTTTCTAGAAAACTTTATCTCATTCAGATTTTCAATTTACTCTTGTCTGTTCTTGGTAATCTCTTGATTTTAATATTTACTATCTGGTTCCTAATACATTTTATTTTGATTCTCCTTTTCTCTTGCTCATTCTCATGTTTTTTTTTTTGTTTGTTTGTTTGTTTTGTTTTTTTTTGAGACAGAGTCTCACTCTGTTGCCCAGGCAAGGGTGCAGTGGTGCGATCTCGGCTCACTGTCAGCTCCGCCCCCCGGGGTTCACGCCATTCTCCTGCCTCAGCCTCCCGAGTAGCTGGGACTACAGGCGCCCGCCACCATGCCCGGCTAATTTTTTGTATTTTTAGTAAAGACGGGGTTTCACTGTGTTAGCCAGGATGGTCTTGATCTCCCGACCTCGTGATCCGCCTGCCTCGGCCTCCCAAAGTGCCAGGATTACAGGCATGAGCCACCGCGCCCAGCCTCTCATGTTTTTTTAAATTCAAACCTTTTCTTCAGAAAACCAGTTTTTGGGGCCAGGCGCAGTGACTCACGCCTGTAATCCCAGCACTTTGGGAGGCCAAGGAGGGCACATCATCTAAGGTTAGGAGTTCGAGACCAACCTGTCCAACATGGTGAAACCCCCCAGGCATGATGGCGCACACCTGTAATTAATTCCAGCTACTTGCGAGGCTGAGGCAGGAGAATCGCTTGAGCTTGGGAAGTGGACTCCGTCTTAAAATTAAAAAAAACAACAGCAACAAAAAAAATCAGTTTTTGGTATTATGAGAATAGAAAAGCACGTGGTTAGACAGTAAGCTTTGAAGCCAGATTCCCAGCTGGGCTACTCGCTAGCTGTGTAACATCTGCCAAGTTACTTAACCTCTCTGTGCTTCACTTTTTTTCTATAAAATGATAATAATGGCACATACATCTCATAAGGCTATTTGAAACATAAATGAATTAATCCATTAAAGCACTTAGAAAAGTGACTGGTACATATTAAGTGCTCAATGTTAATTACTGTAATTATCAATGCTACAAATTAAAAAAATTTTCACCTATTATTTCTTTCGTCTTTACTCAGTTCTTTTTGTAGTTTATCATGTTAAAGTAATAAGATTTATTTTCAGTCCTTTATTTTAAAAAATAAATGCAATTGGCCGGGTGCGGTGGCTCAAGCCTGTAATCTCGCACTTTGGGAGGCCGAGGCGGGCGGATCACGAGGTCAGGAGATCGAGACCATCCTGGCTAACATGGTGAAACCCCGTCTCTACTAAAAACACAAAAAATTAGCCGGACTCGGTGGCGGGCACCTGTAGTCCCAGCTACTCGGGAGGCTGAGGTAGGAGAATGGCGTGAACCCAGGAGGCGGAGTTTGCAGTGAGCCGAGATTGCGCCACTGCACTCCAGCCTGGGCGACAGAGCAAGACTCCGTCTCAAAAAAAAAAAATAAATAAATAAATGCAATTAAGTCTACAAACTTCCCTCTAATGTATTTTCCTGCATGACCATAAAAAGGACAGAGGAGGGAGAACCGTGTCTCACTCTTTGAGTCAAGCAATTATAGCCCAAAGAGCAGTGTTTAGACGGAAAACAAACTGAAAAGGAGAAAAATGGGATCCCTGGAACAGATGAGGGATTCTTAGCCTGTGTCCTTATAAAAAGCTGTCAAAAAAGGCTAAGTGTGAGTCATAAACATTAAACTACTAATGTAAATCAAGTGTAATTTCTATCTTATACTTCCAGGGTCCTTCAAGATTATCTGATAAGTAAAATTAAAGAATCAGCACCTAAATTAAAGTGCTATACCTAAAACAAGAAACTGAATCAAATGAAATGAAGTTAATGGGAAAATGTGAGATGCAGCAAAACTGAGACAGGTTTATGACCTGACAGCAATGTGGGTGAAAAGAGCAAGGCTGAATGTGAGCAGACCTCATGTGGAGTATGATGTGCAGTCTTCTATACCCCAACTTTCAAAGAGACCCTGACAAGCTAGAGAAGGGCACACAGGGAAGAGGAGAAGGGCAGTCAGGCTGATGAAGGGACAACAGTCAGAATCTCTCTCCACAGCCAAGAACTACAACCATGGCAGGACATTTCAGGAAGTACATGCTGACAAATATAAAGGAAGAACTGTCTAAAAGACAGAGCTGACCAACAAGGAAGTCAACTATCTTGCAAAATAGCACTTTCTCCACCACTGAAGTCAGAAACAAATACTGTATGGCTATGTACAAGGATGCCTGTTCTGAACTCTGGCTAAATTTGGCTGAATGAAAAACCACCTGCACACTGTCCCTAGTTCTACATTCTGCCACAGGCCAGGGCGAATGTCATGTCAGCAGAGCCACTGCTCCACAGACTGGCTTAGGAACCTCAGGAGTCACAGCCTAAGGGATTTTCTTTTAGAGCCTGAAAAGTTCATAGTAAATACAAATACTTTCCAGCTTTATAGTTACCTGAGTTTCCACTTAGTCATACCTGAAATCAAGTGTGGTAATTAAGTACACATGTAACAGAAAGGGATGATCTCTAGAAAAGTTGTAGTAAACGCCTTTACTGGGTGGAAGCAACTCAGATAAAATCTGAGTTGTTATAACACTCAAGTTTACATTTTTGGGGATCAGACCTAAATAACCTCTTCAAAAGGGTTTTCAGCAGTTATTTCATCAATAAGAATGACAGAATTTTGGAGAAACGTGGCTATTAGCCATTCTCTCAGTTGCATAAGTGACCCTCTGCAGTAAGCCCTCATTCATAAGTCTGGGTAGTTTTTACCTAATAACACAGCCAATTCGCATCAAACCTTTGAGACCAGTTTTTCCCCCCAAGCTTAACAGCACACTCAAATACCTTCTCACACATGAATTTTCTAACACCACACAAAATTTTCCTCTCACAGTTTATCTTAAGTAGGAAGAAGGAAGCCAACAAGTGCAGCCACTTCCTAAAAATTTTGATGTGCTGAGAAAATAGTTCCTGTCAGTCACTCCTTGGACTGGCCTGTCCAGATGCTCAGCAGACACCTGTAGCACGGCTTCCTTCACTGACTGTGAAGAAGAAAAGGTACAGTGTTGCAGCTACACACTGCCACCAACACAGTTTGCATTACCTTGTTCAAACTTGAAATCAATGTAAGAATACTGGTTCATTTGTTTTCTCTTCTTCCTTTTTCCACTGGTTTCTGGTGACAGCTCCTGCCATTTTTTAATGGCATCAGACAAGGCCTAAAAATTGAGAAAAGGAAAGGTTCCTTCTGTAAATAGAAAATAAGAATACACGAGACAGGCAATCCCTGAATGCCATTTTAACACAGTTTCAGCTGTCTACCCAGCATGGCTAACAATTGGTAGTGGCAGCTGGGTGCGGTGGCTGACGCCTGTAATCCCAACACTTTGGGAGGCCAAGTGGGCAGATCCCTTGAGGTCAGGAGTTCGACACCAGTCTGGCCAACATGGTGAAACCCTGTCTGTACTAAAAATACAAAAATTAGCCGGGCATGGTGGCGCACGCCTGTAATCCCAGCTACTCAGGAGGCTGCGGCAGGAGAATCGCTTGAACCCAGGAGGCGGAGGTCGCAGTGAGCCGAGACTGCACCACTGCACTGCACCACTGCACTCCAGCCTGGGCAAAAAAAAAAAAAAAAAAGGAATAGGCAGTGGTAAAATAAATAGGCAGCATTTCTTTATTTTCATTTTCTCTGACTTTCATAAACTGGTACGGTGGTGGAAGCAAAACACTTACTGACAGATTAAAGAGTAACTAGGGAAAAGAAAAACTGTTGGCTGGGTGCAGTGGCTCACACCTGTAATCCTAGCACTGTGGGAGGATGACGGGGGTGGATCACTTGAGCTTAGGTGTTCAAGGCTTGCCCGGGCAACATGGGGACACCCCGTCTCTACTAAAAATACAAAAAAATAGCTGGGCGTGGTGGTCCACAGCTGTGGTCCCAGGTACTCGGAGGCTAAGATAGGACAATCACTTGAGCCTGAGAGGCAGGGTTGCAGTGAGCCATGATTGCGCCACTGCACTCCATCCTGGGTAACACAGGAGACCCTGTCTCAAACAAAACAAAACTGTCCAAGCTGTCCTTGAATAAGTACAGGTAAAATCACATGACAATGGGCTGGTGAGTCCCATTCTGTAGGCAAATCTTCCATGTTGTTTCTCTGGTCAATGCTCCTCTTTACTCTCCCCTAACCTGCTTCCCCCACACTCTTCTCTGTGTGCACCTATATCCACCCCACCCTGTAACAGGATGCTGGAGTTCAAAATCCTTCCACTGGTGAGGATCCCTTTTCTTTCCTACCTTCAGCTTCTCTCTGTTAGATTTCCCTTATCAGGATTTAAATGTGTTCAAATCAGGGTGGGCGCGGTGGCTCACGCCTGTAATCCCAGCACTTTGGGAGGCCGAGGCAGGTGGATCACCTGAGGTCAGGTGTTCAAGACCAGCCTGGACAACATGGCAAAACCCCGTCTCTAGTAAAAATACAAAAAATTAGCTGGACGTGGTAGCAAGCGCCTGTAATCCCAGCTACTTGGGGGGCTAAGGCATGAGAATCAGTGAACCTGGAAAGCGGAGGTTGCAGTGAGCTGAGATCGCGCCACTGCACTCCAGCCTAGGCGACAGAGCGTGACTCTGTCTTAAAAAAAAAAAAAAAAAGTGCTCAAGTCTTTGCCATCCTAAAAACAGGAGGGAGAAGGGGTACCTGATTTGAAACGGAAGGAAGGGTGTGTGAGGTAAGGCCATTCCGCCTGCAAGAGAAGAAGGAAGAGTGGGAGCCTTTCAGGAAGACTGGGTGGGACTCCTGACTGTGGCAGGGGATAGGAGGCCTTGGGGCTCATGTCCTGTGGCTACGCTGTTAGGGTGCAGGGCAGGCTGGGGTCCCAGTCTGGGCAGCAATGAGAAGCGGGGTGGCTATGATGCAGTGTTTGCCTGAAACTCCTGCTGAAACTTAATCCCCAGTGTGGCGGTGTTGAGAAGGTGATCTCATCTCTCTTTCAATGCCAGCCCCTCTTTCTTCTTCCCCTCTTTGTAGAGAAACTTATCAAAGGAGCTGTTTATCTGCTGTTTCACCACCTCACCCTTATGACCACAAGCTTTCCAGCTGTCTCTAATTTGGCATCTATCCTGCCTTTGCACTTACTAATCTATGCTTATTATTGAGTGGCCAAGTCTATAAGTCTACCATCTACATTTTAGTCCTCATCTTGCACAAACTCTTAGCAGCATTTAATAACATAGGCTGGGCATGGTGGCAACCCAGTGCTTTAGGAGGTGGAGGTGGGAGGATAGCCTGAGGCCAGGAGTTCAAGACCAGCCTGCACAATCTAGCAAGACCCCATTTCTACAAAAAATGAAATAAAAAGATCATCCAGGTGTGGTGGCGTGCACCTGTAGTCCTAGCTACATGGGAGGCTGAGGCAGGAGGATGGCTTGAGCCCAGGTCAAGGTTGCAATAAGCCACGATTGGGCCACTGTACTCCAGCCTGGGTGAGAGAGAGAGACCCTGTTTCTAAACAAGAATAACCATGATGATGATGATAATAATACAGACTGCTCCAGTCTCTCAACTTCCTCCTTCCTGTCTGCCTGCCTCCTCCGCTTGGTCTTTGCATGTCAGGAGTCCTCTCTTCTCACCTGGTATCTCTGGGTACCTCATCCTGGCTGGTGAGATTTTCCATATGCTGATGACTCTCAAAGTCCTATCACCATAAAACCCAAGGAGATTAAAAAAAAAAATCCTATCTACAGTCTGTATTTTCCAAACTTTCTAGTCCATTCAACCTCCCAATGAATTATTTTTACTCAGATGTCTCACAGGCCCTTCTCAGCACATTGGCAACCAACGTTTCCCAGACTGAATTCGTGATTATTTCTCTCCAAAGCAGATGTTTATACTAGTTCTCACCCCAATAAATGATACTAACATCTTCCACGACCCCTTTCACCAAACTCCTATGTGGGTCTGTGATTAAATGTCCCTTCCTCAGGGTGGCCCTTCTGGAGACCCTTGGTCTACCTTAGGTTGCCTCCCGTTTTACCCTTTCAAAGCCCCTCTATTTTTCTTTCAGTCTTTTTTTTTGGCCAGGCACGGTGGCTCATGTAGGTAATCCCAGCACTGTGGGAGGCTGAGGTGGGCAGATCATCTGAGGTCAGGAGTTGCTGACCAGCTTGGCCGAAATGGTGAAACCCCATCTTTACTAAAAATACCAACCAGGCGCGGTGGTGAGCACCTACAGTCCCAGCTACTCAGGAGGCTGAGACAGAAGAATTGCTTGAACTGGGGAGGCAGAGGCTGCAGTGAGCCGAGATTAGGCCACTGCACTCCAGCCTGGGCAACAGAGTGAGACTCCGTCTCAAAAAAAAAAAGAAAAAGAAAAAGAAAAAGAAAAGGTGGAAGGGGCTTGGCCTAGACCTTAGCATGAGCCACAGTCCTTGGCTTGGTTCTTCCCTTCCTACAGGTAAGACCCAATGAGTATTTTAACCACTACGATAACTCCACGTTTGTCCTTTGGACAAAAGAAACATCACTGTGTTTGCTGAGAATCACAAGAATTTCAGTAGAATACAATTTAACGGCAGTAAGAGCGACCAAGAGGAGTAAGCCAAGGTCTCTGCTGGTGCGTGCGCTCCTGTTCTGGCCACAGCTACAAAGCAGGCACTGTGTGCTGTCCTTCATGGAAGACGCCTGTGTTACCCACCACAAACCAGCACCCTCCTCACCCTCAACCAAGGCCTTTAAGTGCCATCTATTTTAGGATCCTGCGGGGAGAACGCTGGGAGCTGTCAGTAGCTGCCCACTCTCTTCTGAGGGGGCACTGCTGTGTTCCCGGACTCTCTACAGACCTTACGTCCTATCACTGGTAACTGAGCCACCTGGGGGATGGATGGTCGTGTGACCTGTCCCAAGTTGGAAAGCAAATCAGGAAGGAGCAGCATTAGAATGCATCTTTCACACTCCTGCATTCCACAGTAGAAGGTATTACACTCCATGTTTTTACGGTCAAAGCAGAACTTCTCTGCTTCTCATCTATCTATTATTTCTTTTCATTTAGTCCGTCACGATGAGCAAATACCCATCTATTTATCTTCACCCTAATAAATTCCTTAGCAATCATAAACCATCCCAATTTCCACAAGCTGAACTGTTCATTCTGTTACCATGGGAAGATGTAGTCAAGAGGTGTGACCCCAACAGGAAGACCAAGTAGAGTACCTTTCGGGTGATTGCATAGTGTCCTTTGAGCTCGTGCAGGGCCCACTTGATGTCCTGACTACTGAGCACTTTGAAGTCGGCCATGAGGAGGTCAGCAGCTTGGATGAAGCAGCGCTGGTCAAGAGGGGTCAATTTAGAATAGTCAAAAAAGTCTATTTTAGGCAACTGAAATGAGAGAGAAGCATAAAATCAGAGGCCAGGCAGTACATTTCCCATACAGGGGAAATCATTTTAAGAATTACATGTGTAGAAAAGAATAACATTTGTTCTAATTACTCTATAAGGAAGTTACCAGCCCTATAAGACAGATGAGAAAACGGTGGCTCAGAGAGGTTAAACAAACCTGTCTGGAGCCGACAGACTAGTTTTACTACTAAAGAAGTATAGTTGGGGATTTAAACCAATCTTACAGCCATCTTCTTTCCATACCATATTTACGAACAACTATTTTTTTTCTATTACAGAATACGTAAGAGAGACAGTCAAAGAATCTATGGGGAGTTGGAAGATCAAGCAACAGATCTTAATAAAGTTAGTTCTCAACCATACTTGACCATATAACACACTAAATGCCAGTTTAGATCACAAATAATGACAATGATTGAAGTTTTTAAAAACCAAACTGTTTACATCTTGATATGAGATCTGGTTAAACAGATGTATAGTATACGCTGTATACAAATCTCACATCAAAAGAAAAAAGATATTCCACTCTGGGTAATGACCTGCATGCTGAAGTACTTAGAGGGAAGTGTACTCATGTTTTTGCAATTTACTTTGAAATGCATTATCATGAAATGAAACATAACAAAGTTGTGCTGATGGACAGACAGAGGACATATGTATGATAAAGAGGATACAGTAAACTGTTAACTAGTACCAGTGGTAGGTATATAAATGATCAACGTAAAATATTTCAATTTTTCTGTAGGTTTGAAAATTTTCATAATAAAATGTTAAGAGTTTTGGCCAATTCTTGTTTTGCTTTAGGAATTTGCTTTGTAGGATTAAAGATATGGAGAATTCGTTCAATTCTTTGTGGGAAAAGGAAGATAAGAATTACAAGGAAAGATAGAAGTTAAAGACAGACAGAATTCAAAGTGGCTCAGACTGGGAGATCGCACTGAAGTATAGATATATTCTGAAATCCTATGTCCCTCGGCTAGTCTTTAAAAACTTGTCCCAACAAAGCACTTTCTTCCCACAGAGATAACAACAACAACAACAACAACAAAGCACAGCATTTCCAGGCAGTGACTGCAAAACATGAACATGACACTTGCCTTTGTCTCATCTTGGCTGGCCAGCAGACTGCTACTGGGATTTATAATGATTCTGTCTTCTCTCTTTGGATAATCTGGGTTTTCCAGAAGAAAATTACAAAGTCTGCAGAAACAAATGATGTTACTTTCATACTGCTTCCAAATCCCACACCTGCCCATTGCTTCAAATGCAATGGTTGAAGAATATAGTCCTTAGTCACACATTACAACTGGCCTATCAAGAAATTAAGATGTTTGTAGCCCAGAAAAACTAAACCAATAAACAAACAACTGCACTGAATTTCTATCTTTGTGAAAGACAAAAAAATTTAAAAAGCAATGAACATACTGATTAAGGCAAACTCCTCTGAAGTTTATGTATCAATTGGGTGTTAATGTAATGAAGTCACTGAAACTATTATTGGTTAAACTACAAAACTGGAAAATTTTAAGAAAAGCAGCTACTCTTTGTCGAGAAAACTATGAACAAGTAAGAAGTGGAAAACTGTGTGTTCACATTTACAGTAAAAAACAGTCTGCTAAGAGATGTAATAAATGAAATATAAAAGACCTTCTGTTAATTCATTAATACTTTTTATACCCCTGTGGTAACATAAATCTCTATGGTAATAATAAAGCTCTATGAGCCATTGAGTTACACGTGGTTTATTTAGCTAGCTGCCAAGCTAGACTGATGAACAGATCATGTTTTCCTATGAACAGACTCTCTTCACACAAAACCCACTAGCTTTGTCTATTATCACCATGAAATACTTCCAAAGTAAGGCTATATAGAGTGAGATAACACACACTGATGTATCACCACCCAGACCCAACACATGTTAACTATCCAGGCTCTTCACAGTCAAATCAGACAACCACCTTGGAACAACTGCACAGTAGTGCAGACAGAGTGGGTGGGGTACAGCTCTAGCCACATTCAGTAGCAAGGAAGCTTCTTTGCTCGGAGGGTAATGGGGACTTCCCCTTTTCTCTGTTCTTTCTCTTGCTCCAGTAGATTTCTAAGATGACCTCCTAGGTGCTATACCTGCAGTTCTCACACACTTCCCTTTCTACTGGTTCTCTTTTGCCAGATGTCAATAGTAAGGCCTGTAATAGTAGAACAGGAGGTCTGGCAGAAAGAGGGTAGAGAAAAAGTGCTCAGCTCTGCTCCTTTTCTCATCCAGGTGCCAGTGTTTGGGGACCGGTTTGGAGAGGTTCATTGATTCTGCAGCCCCCGCCGGGGACCCACGTCAAAGCCTTCTCCCTCATCCTGACATCTCAATGCATTTCCCTTTGCCGTTACTTCAGGAGTCCCATATACTCTTCATCTCTAAGCTCCCCGCTTCCCTACCACCACAGCCTGCCCAGTCCACGGAACACAACGCCTGAGGCCCAAAGAGAGGAAAAAAAGCAGCAAACTCCTCCTATTACAGAGGGCGACAAGAATTCAGAGTACATTTTCCTATAAAACCATTGTCATCAGTGGTAATTCTCCATCCTAGAATTCACTGGTGTGCACTGAGGTTATGCAAACCTTTGAAGGCTGACCTGAGAATTAGCCACCAGCAAAAATCGCGTCTGTAGGGAAAGGCCTGAGTTCCAGACAACTCATTACATGTGCATATTTGATGTGGCGACAAACCAGACACGGACTAGCTTTAAAATGGTCTGTTTTTACGTGTTTTCTCAAGTAAATGATACATAAATACACCTCTACATGAAATACAGATGGAACAGTAGATATGATTTCTTGAAAAAACAAAACATGTTTGAGAGGTTCATCTCTCCCCAATTCATTTTATATTTGCAACAATATTAAGAACTTCAAATACTGAAATGCTACAGACATGAAGTTCCACATGACAGAAATCAGAAGCTCTCACTATAAACTGTCAAAATTCATTTCTAGTTTAATCCCTTCATTATGTTTACCAACACAACTCTTCTGGAGGTTAAGTGACATTTGGAGGCACAGAAAATGAAGGACAAAGTTTTTCTTCTACAGAAACAAGTGGTAGCCTCTGTTCTAATATCTGCACCCTGGGGCAAAAGCAGTGGGGAAGCCTGTCGGACTTCAATCTGCCCACCTCTTCATATGACCTCATGTTTGAGCTGATCTGACATGCTAGCAGTTCTAGAGAAGTCACTCCTGCAAAGTAAGCCAGGCTAGTACTCCAACCTTTCAACCCTTAGATAGTTGTTGCTGCCTTCATCCAACTGAAGCTGACCACGTGTGAGTGAAAGGTCTAAGTTAACCAGCCAAAGTAGATTACCTGCCATGTGGTTCTCTAATGAATAGGCTTCCTGCTTAAAATGGCCAGACGGTTCCATCTGAAGGCCATTTAAAGATGCACATAAAGCAACTGAGACTGAGCTACAACAAAATCCCAGCCTGCTCAACTCAGCTTTGGGCCTTATTTCCAGTTTCCATTAACATTTTAGTTTAGTTGTGGAGTTAACACTGTCCTAGGAGTCCAGAGAATAATGGAAAGGAAAGCAGTGTCAGGAAAACAAGACTGGCTTGAAAAGATGCAATACAATGACTGTACATTCCCTTGCTTTTTGGATTTCACGAGAATTTTAATGTGTTTAAGGATCAGTGTTTGTTTCTGAGTGACACAAAAAGCACAGAGGGTCAGCAAGTCCCTAAAAATAAGTACACGTGTGAGACTCAGGAAGTAGGAGAACAGAACTGTAAGAGAAGGTATCAATTTGATTACGTTTTAGTGATTTTTCTAGACAATCTTGAAGATATATTTAAACATGATGTTCATTTGCAGAAGGAGAGAAAAACATTGAATATACTCAATTTCTATGAGGTTAAACTGTTAAAAAATACTAAAACATGGTATCTGGTATTCAAATCATTGTTCTATAAATGAGCTAAGTTTATACTTTTCTCTATCATTTACATTTTCTGTAATGAACAAACCTGTATTACATTTCATAACCAGGAAAACATTAACCAAAAAAAAAAAAAAAAGGAATTCAAAGAGAAGAGAGAAGTAAACAATTCACACGCAAGGGAAATACAATTAGTAAACAAATATTTGAAAAACACAGCCAATTAGCAAAGAAATGTCACTTATGCTACTTCATGCCTACTCTAGTTAACTACAAAAAATAACATCATAACTCAGTATTGTCGAAGAGTTGTTAAAGCAATTCACACATATAAGTTGCTTTTTAGATGAGTAGAAGCCTACAAGAAAGTTTTCATTGTAAAAATGTAGTCATTGCTGCTCAATTTTCCTATAAACCTAAAACTGCTCTAAAAAAATAAAGCTTAGTAATTTAAAAAAATGTAGTTATTATCATGCCACTTAGAAACCCAAAAAGAAAGTATTTTAAAAGCTTAGGAGGGGAAAAAAATCTCCAACAAACAATTCTGCTGGAAGACACAAACATAGCCAATAGGAAGGTGGATGCCAGGGTGTGGGGCAAGTAGAGTTCAGGAGACAAGCAGGAGAATGTTCACAGCTACATTATTTGTGACAGTCAGAACTCAAATGCCTATCAAAAGTAGATGGAAAATTTCATTGCTAAGTGGTATAAATGGAATACCATTTAGCAATGGAAAATATATAAACTGTGGTTCTACCCTACATGAATAAACTTAACATAATGCTGAGTGAAAAGAAATCAGACTCAAAAGACTATAGACTATACAAAATCTTTATGTAGTGTTCAAAAAGGATAGCAACGTTCTATTTCTTGAAGATTTCTGGGTTGTGGTTACACAAATGTTTGGTTTGTGATAAATTATTGAGCTGTGCATCTTTACTTTGTTCATTTTTCTTTATGTATATTATATTCTATAATAACCAAGTTTAAAAACTATACACAATAAAGAATATGTGGAAAGGCTTCAGAAGAGTGAGTAACTGGCATGTAAATAACCAAATGGCTTTCAAGGTTAAATACCCAGGTAGAGTCTGTCGTTGAAAAATAAAAAATGCTTTAAGAGTTTGGGTAATCCAAGCCAGGTGAGGTAACACATGCCTGTAATCCCAGCTATTCGGGAGACTGAGGCAGGAGAATCACCTGAACCTGGGAGGCGAAGGTTGCAGTGAGCTGAAATCATGCCACTGCACTCCAGCTTGGGCGACAAGGGCAAAACTCTCTCTCAAAATAAATAAATAAATAAATAAATAAATAAATAAATAAATAAAAGGTTTGCAGGGCATGGTGGCTCACGTCTCCCAGCACTTTGGGAGGCTGAGACAGTGGGATAACTTGAGGTCAGGAGTTCGAGACCAGCCTGGCCAACATGGTGAAACCCTATCTCTACTAAAAATACAAAAACTAGCTGGGCGGTGGGCACCTGTAATCCAAGCTACTCAGGAGGCTGAGGCAGAAGAATCGCTCGAACCCAGAAGACGGAGGTTGCAGTGAGCCAGGATCACGCCACTGCACTCCAGCCTGGGCAAGAGAGTGAGACTTCGTCTCAAAAAAAATAAATAAATAAAAAAGAGTTTGTGTAATCCAAAAACTTCAAGACAGGAGTCTAAAGTCGTTTCAAACTGACACTGCCCTTGGGGACTTGAAAGAAGCAAAAGCAATAATCTCTAAAGAAACCAACTCTATCAAGAACTCAAGATATGAGCTTAGAGTCAAATTTAGAAAATACACAAGAAAACTAGGCACCATGGGAGCCAGCAGGAAGAACAGAATATGATTCCCAAGAACTTAACATATCAGAACAATCAAACTCACAGAGAAGCTATGTTTATTGGTTAAAGAAATTAAAAAAAGATTAAAAATATAGGCAAAGAGCAAAACTCTAGGAAAATAACCAAGACAATTAAAAGCTAAAATTTCATAACTGAAAACCAGTAACACGGTAGATGAGTTAAAAGGAGATTACACTCTACTGAAGAGAAATTTGTGGGCTAAAAGAACACCCCTGAAGAAATCATCCAGAACGCATCTCAGAGACAAAGAGGTGGACTTAGAGACATGGAGATTGTGGGAGAAGAGTTACAGAAGACAGGAAACAGCTACAAAATTTCCAGAACTGACCAACACCACCAATCTATGGCCTGGTAGTGTACACTCTTAACGGTTTTGCCTTACTGACAAGCATGTTAAGTAAAATTGATAAAGATTAAGGGAAGGCCAGGTGCAGTGGGTCACACCTGTAATCCCAGCACTTTGGGAGGCCGAGGCAGATGGATCACCTGAGGTCAGGAGTTCAAGACCAGCCTGGCCAACATAGGGAAACTGTCTCTACTAAAAACACAAAAATTAGCCAGACATGATGGCGCATGCCTGTAATCCCAGCTACTTGGGAGGCTGAGGCAGGAGAATCACTTGAACCTGGGAGATGGAGGCTGCAGTGAGCTGAGATCACACCACTGCACTCTAGCCTAGGTGACAGAGTGAGACTCCGTCTCAAAAATAAATAAATAGCTCTCCCTCTCCCTGTCCCTGTCCCTGTCCCTCTCCCCACAGTCTCCCTCTGATGCCCAGCCGAAGCTGGACTGTACTGCTGCCATCTCTGCTCACTGCAACCTCCCTGCCTGATTCTCCTGCCTCAGCCTGCCGAGTGCCTGTGATTGCAGGTGCGCGCCGCCACGCCTGACTGGTTTTCGTATTTTTTTTTGGTGGAGATGGGGTTTCGCTGTGTTGGCCGGGCTGGTCTCCAGCTCCTAACCGGGACTGATCTGCCAGCCTCGGCCTCCCGAGGTGCCGGGATTGCAGATGGAGTCTCGTTCACTCAGTGCTCAGTGTTGCCCAGGCTGCAGTGCAGTGGCGCGATCTCGGCTCGCTACAACCTCCACCTCCCAGCCGCCTGCCTTGGCCTCCCAAAGTGCCGAGATTTCAGCCTCTGCCCGGCCGCCACCCCGTCTGGGAAGTGAGGAGCGTCTCTGCCTGGCCGCCCATCGTCTGGGATATGAGGAGCCCCTCTGCCCGGCTGCCCAGTCTGGGAAGTGAGGAGCGCCTCTTCCCGGCCACCATCCCTTCTAGGAAGTGAGGAGCGTCTCTGCCGGGCCACCCATCATCTGAGACGTGGGGAGCGCCTCTGCCCCGCCGCCCCATCTGGGATGTGAGGAGCGCCTCTGCCAGGCTGCGACCCCATCTGGGAGGTGAGCAGCGTCTCTGCCCGGCCGCCCCGTCTGAGAAGTGAGGAGCCCCTCCGCCCCGCAGCCACCCCATCTGAGAAGTGAGGAGCCCCTCCGCCCGGCAGCCGCCCCGTCCGGGAAGTGAGGAGCCCCTCCGCCCGGCAGCCGCCCCGTCCGGGAGGTGGGGAGCACCTCTGCCCGGCTGCCCCTTCTGGGAAGTGAGGAGCCCCTCTGCCCGGCCGCCACCCCGTCTGGGAGGTGTTCCCAACAGCTTATTGAGAACGGGCCATGATGACGATGACAGCTGTGTCGAATAGAAAAGGGGGAAATGTGGGGAAAAGATAGAGAAATCAGATTGTTGCTGTGTCTGTGTAGAAAGAAGTAGACATAGGAGACTCCATTTTGTTCTGTACTAAGAAAAATTCTTCCGCCTTGGGATGCTGTTGATCTATTACCTTACCCCCAACCCAGTGCTCTCTGAAACATGTGCTGTGTCCACTCAGGGTTAAATGGAATAAGGGCGGTGCAAGATGTGCTGTGTTAAACACATGCTTGAAGGCAGCATGCTTGTTAAGAGTCATCACCACTCCCTAATCTCAAGTACCCAGGGACACAAACACTGCGGAAGACCCCAGGGTCCTCTGCCTAGGAAAACCAGAGACCTTTGTTCACTTGTTTATCTGCTGACCTTCCCTCCACTATTGTCCTGTGACCCTGCCTAATCCCCCTCTGCGAGAAACAACCAAGAATGATCAATTAAAAATAATAATAATAATAATAATAATAAATAAATAAATATAAATCTGATGACAGTGGTTGCCTCTGTACAGAGGTGGGATCAGACAAGGCCACTAATGGCTCCAACAGTGTCATTGTACAAATTAGAAAAAAGTACCTACATTGGGCTAAGCACCTGGAAAGGGGCCCTTCCTTCTCAGCCTTGGCAGGGAAGAAACTCACCTGCAACCTTGACTGAGAACTACAGTATAAGATAGGAACTTTGGGGAAAGGTGTTTAGTGAACTATTTTGTTTAAATTTACCACCAGGCTGAGCACGGTGGCTTATGGCTGTAATCCCAGCACTTTGAGAGGTGGAGGTGAGCAGATCATGAGGTCAGGGTTTCAAGACCAGCCTGACCAACATGATGAAACCCTGTCTCTACTAAAAATACAAAAATTAGCCGGACAGGGTGGAGTACGCCTGTAATGCCAGCTACTCAGGAGACTGAGCAGGAGAACTGCTTGAACCTGGGAGGTGGAGACTGCTGTTTAAGCCAAGATCGCACCACTGCACTCTAGCCTGGGCAACAGAATAAGACTGTCTCCAAAAAAAAAAAAAAAAAAAAAAAAAAAAAATTACAATTATTTCACCTCTGCAGATTAGAAGGAGGGGAAAGAGTATATTTTTCATTTTATATTCTTCAGGAAAACTTATTTTTTAAAAAAGCATATTTACCACTTATAAAAAATTTTTTTAAAATAAGAGACAAGGTCCCACTCTGGCTCCCAGGCTGGAGTGCAGTAGCGTAACACAGCTCACTGCAGCCTTGAATTCCTGGACTCAGGCAATCCTCTTGCCTCAGCCTCCCAAAGTGCCAGAATTAAAGGTGTGAACCATATGTCTGGCCCGTATTTATCCCTTTTATAATGAAAATTAAGAAATATGGCTGGGAGCGGTGGCTCACACCTGTAATCCCAGCACTTTGGGAGGCCGAGGCGGGTGGATCACGAGGTCAGGAGATCGAGACCATCCTGGCTAACATGGTGAAACCCCATCTCTACTAAAAATACACAAAATTAGCCAGGCGTGCTGGCAGGCGCCTGTAGTCCCAGCTACTCGGGAGGCTGAGGCAGGAGAATGGCCTGAACCTGGGAGGCGGAGCTTGCAGTGAGCCGAGATCGCACCACTGGACTCCAGTCTGGGAGACAGAGTGAGACTCCGTCTCAAAAAAAAAAAAAAAAAAAAAAAAATGCTTCCATGTATTTCTCCAAACAGAGTGGTTGCAGAACATTTTGTTACAATCGTAGGGAAGAAAATGTCTTAACATCTTGACTAAAACACAGGTAGTATCAACGCTTAGAAACAACTCAGTTATCATAATTCTATAACCATGCAGTATTCCATAAAATCCAGAAAACAGTCTGTGTATCACTAATGTCAGAACGAACAAGGTCATTAAAAAAGACATAATGCCAAGTGAAATAAGCCAGTCAGAAAAGAACAAACACATGAGGTCCCTGATAGTAGCCAAATCCATATAGAAAGAAAGTAGGATGGTGGGTGCCACTGGCTTGGGAAGGGGATGGGGAGTGAGTGTTTAATGCGGACAGAGTTTCAGTTTGAGAAGATGAAAGAGTTCTGAAGATGGATGGTGGTGATAGTTGCATAATAATGTGAATTTACTTAACAACACCAAATTGTATATTTAAAAATGATTAAAATGGTAAATTTTTTATTACATATATTTTACCACCACCACCACCACCACAAAAAAAGCATGGTAGTATACTTACACATTCAGATCATAATAATTCTTAAAATGAATTATTTCCTCAATAAACCCATTTGCTACATCTGGAAATCTTGCTTCCTAGAAACAAATAAGAACATAATTTATATTTCATTCACTAGAATGGTTTCAAATGGCAATACAAGACAGATGGCAAAAAGTATAATAAAATGACTAAAGACTAGAAAAGGGCTGTGAAGCAGGTCTGTGTGTGTCTTCAAATTCAACACTAGTTCCCAGATTCATCTGTCTACATAGAAGATGAGGTCTAGAAAGGTCTTGAGAGATCTGGTTCTCTGTCCCCATTTTACAGATCCATTCTTCATTGCTTCAACAAATATTGAGCATCTCTGTCTAGACAAAGGGAATCCAAACACAAATAAGTTACAATCTCATGCCAGCCCTCAAGCAGCACACAACCTAGTGCCTAGATAAAAACACCTGGGTGGCCGGGTGCAGTGGCTCATGCCTATAATCGAAGCACTTTGGGAGGTCGAGGCAGGCGGATCACCTGAGGTCAGGAGTTCAAAACCAGCCTGGCCAACATGGTGAAACCCCGTCTCTACTAAAAAAATACAAAAATTAGCCAGACGTGGTGGTATGTGCCTGTGATCCCAGCTACTCGGGAGGCAGAGACAGAAGAATCGCTTGAACCCAGGAGGCGGAGGTTGCAGTGAGCTGAGATCGCACCACTGTACCCCAGCCTGGGTGACAGAGTGAGACTCGGTCTCAAAAAAAAAACAAACCAAAAACAAAACAAAAAAAACCCGCCTGGGTAAAGTAGGGTTAACGGACTTGTTTGAAGGCAAATAGTGGCTACCAGATGTAACACCTTTTTTTTTTTTTTTTTTTTTTTTTTTTTTTTTTTTTTGTGAGATAGAGTCTCACTCTGTCGCCCAGGCTGGAGTGCAGTGGCACGATCCTGACTCACTGCAAGCTCTGCCTCCTGGGTTCACACCATTCTCCTGCCTCAGCCTCCCAAGAAGTTGGGACTACAGGCGCCCGCCACCACGCCCGGCTAATTTTTAATTTTTTTAGTAGAGACAGGGTTTCACCGTGTTAGCCAGGATGGTCTTGATATCCTGATCTTGTGATCCACCCACCTTGGCCTCCCAAAGTGCTGGGATTACAGGTGTGAGCCAGCACGCCCAGCCCTTGTGTTACTCTTAATATCACCACTAATAGAACTTTGTTGGATGACAGAAACACTGTCCTCCATGCTTGATGATGAGGTAAGCTGTTAGCCTCATGTGGCTACTAAGGTTAAGATGTGACTGATGCCACTGGAAAATTTTATTTAACTGTAAGACATTTAAATGTAAACAGCCACAAGGAGCTAGTAAGTGCCATATTGGACAGCATAGGTCTAGGTAATTCAATAAAACTGCTTTAAGGGTTTCCATTTGGAGTGAACTCAAGGAATTTGAAAAAAACAAGGGACTGCAGGTATGACAGCACCAGGCCACCATGATATGCAGTTAGAATCCCAGAGAGCTTCCTGAAGGTTAAGTATAGTAAAGGAACCCTGATTCCATTTTCATGTCTTCAGAGTGTCTCTTCTATTCTGTACATCTAGATATATACTTCTTAGGAAAATGAAGTCCACGCATACCAACAACTTTTTTTTTTGCAATGAAAAAAAAAAAAGAAAAAAACTCAGTATATGTAGTGTCTACATTTACTTGATAAAATAAAACTTACCGTTTCTTTCACTAGTAGTTCAACGAGCTCTTGATCTACCTCTGCAGCTTCTTGCCCCCAAATGTTTTCCAAATTGGGCTCTTGAGATTCTTGCATTGGAAAGGCTGGACCTGGCTCTTCATCATCACTTGCTAACTGCTGGTCTTCAAACTCTCCTAGAGGATGGGCAGGCTGAGGAGAAGAGGGGCCTGAAATCCCACCTTGCTGGGGTTCCGGCCTTGGAAAAGCGGGCCCTGGGAATTCATGCTGAAACAACAAGCGGCCCAGTTCTGCTTCAGGCTGCCGTTCCTGAGGAACGACCTGGTTTGTTATTTCACGGGGCTGTTGGTTCAGAGACTGGAAGTAAGGATGATCTAACCAGCAGTCTTCTTCGATGGCCTGATCATCTGCTAGAGCAGCTGACTCTCCTAGATTTGATAACAGCTCTGTCTCTGAGTCTTCGGATGACTGGTTCTGAGTTTCCAAAGGATCGCTTTCTGTGTAAAGAAGGCTACCTTCTTCCAAGATGATGACTTTCTGCTCTGATCTGGGGTTGACAATGTCATTTGCTGCTTGGTTATGACTCGGTCCAGGCTTGGGTTCTCTTTCTGTTTGGCCACTTGGCTTAGTGAATTCAGAGATTCCAGGAGGCCCAAGATCCAGAAATTCACCGTAGTCATCCTCAGAATCATCCTGTGCCCCAGAATCAAACAATGGGTTGTTACACACTGAAAAATAGCTGCTCTTATCTGATTCAAATGCTGCTCTAGACTTTTTAGGCCTTTCTTCTCCCAACCTTTTCAGATCTTGCCACTGGGCAGCTGGTTTGATGAGATTGGGTCGTGATCTCTGAGGTTTATTTGTCTAAGAAAAAATGAAATTTTAATAATTCAATTTCTTTCCTATGCCTATCCCTCCTTATGTACTTATATTGAGCTTCCGAGATAGGACAGGAAAGAAACAAAAACACCATCTCCCTTAACAATACCTATTCTTTACATTTATCTTAACACTGAAATTTGATTACACTATATACTATCTGTAAGAATCAAAGTAGTCATTCATAGATTAAAGCTTGAGATATAGTTTGAATTATAATTTATTTTTATTTTTGAGACACAGTTTTCCTCTGCTACCCAGGCTGGAGTGCAATGGTGCGATCTCGGCTCACTGCAACCTCTGCCTCCCGGGCTCAAGCAACTCTTGTGCCTCAGCCTCCCAAGTAGCTGGGATTACAAAAATGTGCCAACATGTCCAGCTAATTTTTGTGTTTCTAAGAGAGATGGGGTTTTGCCATGTTGGCCACGCTCGTCTCAAACTCCTGGCCTCAAGTGATCCGCCTCCCTCAGCCTCCCAAAGTGCTGGGATTACAGGCATGAGCCACTGAACCCAGCCCTGAATTATAATTTAACCTGAGACTACTAAAACAAAAATAACTCCACAGCAGATACAACAATGAAAGAATGCTAACACATCAGAAGAATAAGAAATGTTCAAAAAACATATAAAAAAATCTAAATCTCATTAGTAACTAGCAAAATGAAAAATTAAAACAAGACAGTATTTTTTTCCCTGTAAGACCGGCAAACTTTTAAATTAGATAATACCAAGCATTGGTGAGGATGGTGAAAAATCTTTTTTTTTTTTTTTTTTTTTTTTTTTGAGACAGAGTCTCGCTCTATTGCCCAGGCTGGAGTGCAATGGCATGATCTCAGCTCACTCCAACTTCTGCCTCCCAGGTTCAAGCAATTATCCTGCCACAGCCTCCCGAGTAGCTGGGATTATAGGCGCACACCTCTACATCCAGCTAATTTTTCTATTTTTGTTAGAGACAGGGTTTTGCCATGTTGGCCAGGCTGGTCTTGAACTCCTGACCTCAGATGACTGGCCCACCTCAGCCTCCCAAAGTGCTGGGATTACAGGTGTGGGGCACCGCGCTTGGCCGATGTGTGAAAATTCTTATACTATCATTTACTGCTGGTGAATTTAGGAGAGAAATTTGGCACTATTTATTAAAATAAAAAACGTAGGCCAGGCGTGGTGGCTCATGCCTGTAATCCCAGCATTCAGGGAGGCCAAGGCAGGCGGATCACGAGGTCAGGAGATCGAGACCATCCTGGCCAACATGGTGAAAATCCGTCTCTACTAAAAATACAAACATCAGCTGGACATGGTGGCGTGTGCCTGCAATCCCAGCTACTCGGGAGGCTGACGGAGCAGAATTGCTTGAACCAGGGAGTCAAGAGGTTGCAGTGAGCCAAGATGGTACCACAGCACTCCAGCCTGGAGACAGAGCAAGACTCTGTCTCAAATAAATAAATAAATACACAAATACATAAATATAAATAAAAAATGTATGTCTGTCATCATTTTTTCATACTGTTCTATAAACTCTATCGAAAAAGGGCATATACAAGAATATTCAGCATAAACAGAAAAAAGCCTAGAGACATTGTGAAGTTTGTCCCTGAGTGAATGGTTAAATAAACTATTACTTATTTGTTCTACAAAATACTCTACAACTGACCCCTACCAAAAAAAGAGGTAGCTCAGTCTGTACTGAAATGGGAAGCTTCACTAAGAAATGCCATTAAGTGAAGAAAAGCAAGCTGCAAAATCATACACAGAATGATTCCATTTACTTAAAATATGTCAATAAGACACAAACAAAATCATTTCTAAAAGTATGTATATGTACCCACATGTATATACACATGGATACATACAAATTCAAAGAAAAGACCTGGAAGGATACATGCTAAACTGGTAACAACAGTTCCTCTGGGAAGTCCCTAGAAGAAAGGAGATGGTGAATCTCAGGCTTTAGGGTGGGTCCCTGAGGACTATGCCACTGAAGTAAGGGCCAAGCTGGAAATACCCTGGACCTCCCAGGAACTGAATCGCAGCGTGGAGAGTTTAACTCCCTGAATGTGAGGTGCTGGTGCTCTTACTCTTCTTCAAGAAACCAATTAAGATCCTCTATAGAGAAACAACATCATACAGAATCCCAAAATTTTCATATACAATGACTTACACTCAATCAAAAATAACTAGGCATACAAGAACTTAATGCAGCAACAGAAAATCAAAACAAGAGAAGTAACAGACAACAGAAACAAATATACAAGGGTTTCACACAGTGAAATTAACAACATGAATTCTAAAGTAACAGCATGTTTAGGGAAATCAAAGACTAGATTGAGAACTGCAGCCAAGAAGAAGAAGAATCGAACGCAAATTCCAGAATGGAAAAATACAATAACTAATACAAAAACTAAAAATACAATAACTAATGCTACATATGGATATATAGCATTTTAAGTAAATACAGTTGAAGAGAGAAATTAGTGCATTGAAAGCCAGGTCAGAATAGCCATAGTAAGGCATAGACAAAATGCAACATTAGATAAGAGAACACGTCAAGAACAAAAAGGTCTTCAAAACACATAACTGGAGTTGTAGAAGAGAAGAAGCTGTTTCTTTGGTAGAGGAGGAGGAAGGAAAACAAGGGAGGGAAGGGAAGGAGGGGGACACATAATGGTTAGTTCAAATAACCATTCGAACTAAATAAGGGAAAAAACATAAGGAGTCACAGATTAAGACAAAGTAGAACAACAGTCTGTTTTGTTTAATTCTATAGAATATATTCAAAACCTCAAAGAATACATTGGTTCTGAAGACTCTACAAAACAAACAAACAAACAAAAAACAACCCTCGAAGAAATAAAGAAAACTTCTGGCTAGGCACGGTTGGCTTATGCCTATAATCCCAGCACTTTGGGAGCCTGAGGCAGATGGATCACCTGAGGTCAGAAGTTTGAGACCAGCCTGACCAACATGGTGAAACCCCATCTCTACTAAAACTACAAAATTAGCTGGGAGTGGTAGCGCATGCCTGTAATCCCAGTTATTTGGGAGGCTGAGGCAGCAGAATCACTTGAACCTGGGAGGCAGAGGTTGCAGTGAGCCAAGATCGCGCCATTGCACTCCAGCCTGGGTGACAGAGCAAAACTCCCATCTCCAAAAAGAAAAAAAAAAAAGAAAACTTCTAAACTTTTTATGAAGTCAGAATCATGCTTATAAAAAAATAAACATGTCAAGGATATCATACGTACACACAAACCTACGGGCCAATCTCCACCTGTAAGATCTACGGAGAAAACACTAATATTAGCAAATGGAATCCCCAGCAGCACATTACTACTACATTACAATGCCACAACCAAGGGGAGTCTTTTCAAAGACAATAACTTACCAACTAAGAGGTCAAGGAAGAAAAACCACATGACAATCTCTGTAAGATGCTGAAATTGAATGTAACAGAATCCTACATTCACTTCTAAAAAAATTTTTTTAAGTCAAAGTAAATGACTAGTTCCTTAACATAACTAAAGAAATGGTATCTAAAGCAAAAAGGCACCATCACATTTAATGAAGAAACATTAAGTATTCCCATTTATGTCTGTGGCCATTCGTGCTCTTCTCTATCAACACTATTAAAATTTTTGAGGAAGTACCGTAATATAATTAGACACGTGAAAGAAGCATAAAAATTGGAAAGACAGATCAGATGCACGTTTTCAAGAAATTAAGAGTCAACTGAAAAATCACTACAGATAATAATGGTAAGGTGATTGAGTATAAAATTAATGTAAAAAGCAACAAGGGCAGGGCACGGTGGCTCACGCCTGTAATCTCAGCACTTTGGGAGGCTGAGGTGGGTGGATAACTTGAGGTCAAGAGTTAGAGACCAGCCTGACCAACATGGTGAAACCCCATCTCTACTAAAAACACAAAAATCAGCCGGGTGTGGTGGCACACACCTGTAATCCCAGCTACTCTCGGGAGGCTGAGGCAGGATAATTGCTTAAACTCGGGATGTTGCAGTGAGCCGAGATCAGGCCACTGCACTCCAGCCTGGGTGATAGATTGAGACTGTCTTAAAAAAAAAAAAAAAAAAAGAGCAACGAGAACACTTACTCTCCATTTTGGAATGAAGCATTGCCTGATGCTAGACTCACAATAAAGACAGTTGAGATCCTTACACTAAATTTGTTGTAATTTTGTCCTTTGACAGGTCTGGCAACCCAAAGGGACAGAGACTGTTGATATCTTGAGGTAACTCAAGGAACACAGGAAAAACGGCTAACTCCCTTTTTTGGGAAGTAACGTTTTCCTCATGGAGCTGCAAGTGTCGGAAGTCCTTCTCAGGTCTGAGCTCTGCTGTCTTTTTAGCACCTGGTCTCTTTGACTTTGAGGGTACCAAGGTTAGGCTGCACTGTGAGAGAGCATTTGACTTTGCAGTACCTAGGGTTAATCTGGGCTATGGCAGGGCACAGGACTTTTGGGAATGTGGGGGCTCACAAATCACTGGCAATAACTGTATTTTTTGCTCCCTCTTTGCAGAGGTCTTTACGGCTTGAGTCAAGCCCCCAAGATTATGGCCAGACAGAAATGTGGGTGCAACTCCATTTGCTGCTAGCATACAGGGGTGCAGTTTTAAAGCTAACTGATACCAGCTGTGTTGAGTGCAGGGAGGGTATAAACTCAGGCTTTTGGAATCTGTGGGTATGTGGATTCCTTTTCTTGCAGGCTTAGGTGAGGGAGGCCTCAGGTGTCTTGACTGAGTCAGATGGAAACTGCAAAGTGATTGGCTAGGTAGGACATCTTGGAGCCAACGTCATCCCGGTCCTGAGATATACAAGGTCCAACATAAAAACAGCATCCCTAATTTCTAAAAATTGGAGTACTCTGCCTTCTGGTAGTCTTGCCTTTTCATGTATAAAACTTCTGGCTCCAGAAGCTACAAATAGTTACACAAGTGGCAAAACTTTACCAAAAATAATTCAGAATTATGATGACCATGATGTGGAATGTTCCAGATGAAAAAGAGTGTTCATCCAAGAAATTCACTTGAATCCTAAGACTCCAAATTACACGGAGAGAACGAGATTCTTACTGGCATTCAGAAGCCTCAAAGAGACAACAGAATTCTAAAATAGCTTTTTTGAAAGATTAACTGCAAAAAGCTAATGAAAAACTAGAAACGCAAGATTACCTCCCACACCAAAGACAGATAAACTAATGTAACTCCTACTGCTCCCATTTTACCTGAATACTGCATCTACTCCTGAATATTCACAGTCTACTAACTCTGAGTTGCCTTTCTTCTCTGAAAAGAACAGTTCAACTGTTTCCTTATAAAACAGAACAACCTGAAAATGTAGCATGAAATTCCTGACTTACATGCTACGGATAAAAACAGGTCATAGTTTAAAAATGTCCTAAACCTGGGGAAGACTTTCAGACATTTTTTAAAGAATTCAGAGTCTTAATTATAACTTATGATCCTAGGATACCTGACTTATTACCAGCTAACACATGGTGGGACCAGGGGAAGGAGAGGGAGTAAAAACGGATAAAAGCAGCAGAAGCAGAATATTATTTTCCTGAGGATGATATTCAGGACCTGACAAGTACTATCCAGTCTACTTATGGGCCAGGCAAAGCCTGAAATATCAGACGTGACCCTTAGAAAGCCATTTCCAAAATGTTTCAGCTCTACGGTGTTATCTGAAAGCAAAATAGATGCCCCTTTATAAACTAAGACAGATCCTAAGGTTTTGTCTGTTTTTTAAAAATTAGAGACAAAGGTCATGCACGGTGGCACACACCTGTAATCCTAGCTACTCTGGAGGCTGAGGCACAAGAATCACTAAACCTGGGACGTGCATGTTGCAGTGAGTCAAGATTGCACCACTGCATCCTGGCCTGGGCAACAGGAGACTCCATCTCAAAAAAAAAAAAAAAAAAAAAAAAAAAAAGGGGAAAAAAAAAGAAAAAATAAATAATAACTAGATACAAGGTCCCAGGCTGAAGTATAGTGGCACAATCATAGCTCACTACAGCCTTGAATTCCTGAGCTCAAGTGATCCTCCTGCTAGGCCTCTCAAAGGACTGAGATTACAGGTTTTGAGCCACTGTGTCTGCCCTGACCCTTAAGGTTAAGGAAACAAAAATCACCTATGAGGTCAGGGTTCAGGGTGACTGGTATAGCAACTCCCTAAATTCCTATGCTCCAAGAAAAATCAAACTGTTGCTAAGCTCCATACCAATAGGCGGTATCAGGCAAATATCAGACCCCTCCCTAACTCTGATTTACAACCCAGAAACCCACTACAACTCTTAACACAGACAGAGGACTGGCCTTACAAACATCGTTTTCTGATGAACTACTACATATAGATCTTAAACCAGTTTCTGCCAGCTTATAGAGGCTGCACACAAACTGTCTTTGTGCCCTACAGTTCACCTTTTGAAGGAAAAAGCCAAATTCCACCTCATTTTAATGCTGAAACTCTACCCCAGGGAAGCTCTGGTTAGTCTTTGGCAGTCCTGAAGTCAGTAACTCATTAAGAAACAAGCTAAATTCCAAGTAGCTGGGATTATAGGTGCTCACCACCATGCCCAGCTAATTTTTGTATTTTTAGTAGAGACGGGGTTTCACCATCTTGGCCAGACTGGTCTTGAACTCTTGGCCTTGGCCTCCCAAAGTGCTGGGATTATAGGCGTGAGCCACCGTGTCCAGTTTCTTTATGATTTTCTTAACCTTTCCTCAGCTTACTTTATTATAAGAATGCAGTATATTTTTTATATACATACACACACACACACACACACACACACACACACACACACACACACACATAATATACTAACTAAAGCATGTTAACCATGTTATTGGTCAACAGTATGCTATTAGTAGTTAAGTAGTTATTAAGTAGTACTAAGTAGTTAAGGCTTTGGTCAACAGTATGCTATTAGTACTTAAGTTTTTGGGGAGTCAAAAGTTATATGCAGATTTTAAACTGCACAGGGGTTGGCACCCCTAACCACCATGTTGTTCAAGTGTAAACTGTATTTGAAAACTGGCAAATAAAGAATTTTAACGAAGGCTATAAGATCTGCTTCTCTGTGTCTCCGTGTCTATATATGCGTTATGTGTGTGTGGTATTTCTCTACCAAAATATATGAGAGAACTCTGATAATCGGTTTAAGGAAAAAGGAAGCACTTCAATCTTTTATCAGAAAAACAGGACCTAACTCCAATGCCTTTTAGTTCACGTGACTTAGGTATTTTTGGTAAGTAAGACCATTTGGAAAACAGCTGTGTTCTGATCAGCAAAAATGCCCATGTATTTTTTTTTTTTTTTTTTTGAGACAGGGTCTCCCTCTGTCATACAGGCTAGAGTGCAGTGGCGTGATCTTGGCTCACTGCAACCTCCATCTCCTGGGTTTAAGCGATTCTACTGCCTCAGCCTCCTGAGTAGCTGGAATTACAGGCACGTGCCACCATGCCTGGTTAATTTTTGTATTTTTAGTAGAGACGAGGTTTCACCATGTTGGCCAGGCTGGTCTCGAACTCCTGACCTCAAGTAATCCACTCGCCTCGGCCTCCCAAAGTGCTGGGATTACAGGCGTGAGCCACCACGTCGGGCCTATATGGATGTTTTTTATATTCCAAGATTAGATAAAGTTCCTAGAAATCTGATATGTCTTGGTATAAATGCTATCAGTCATAATTTTGGTTCAGAAATAACTAAATTTCCTTGTCAACTGTGTCATTATAATGAACTCTCATCAGGTTTTTAACCACAGCCATTTTAAGTCTTGCTGTCCACAGTTATTTTGTTCTGACACTTTCTGAAAGCTCTTTGCAAGCAATTATAATCCTAAAGTGCTGTGTGTTCAAAGATGTATATGCGAAAAATGAAACGAACTCTGACAAATACAAGTTTGAGTTCGTACTATCGGACTAAATATCCAAAATTCTAATGAAGAAACTAATGGATTTGTGTAACTGCTAACCAAGATCAAACAGCAAAAATTAATTACATGAGACTGAATTGATAAAAGAAGAATCATGGGTTTTTATGGCTTCTTTATTTGAAACACTGCTGGTTCTTTTAATGTTTTGTTTTCCAGATTTAAGGAAACTTTTTTCTTTTAAGGTTATTATAGCTTATAGCAATTTGGTATACTTTTATAATAAAAATAAAAATATTTGCTTTTCCTCCCAACAGGATCCCTCCAGAATTTGCAAACTATTCATGAGTATTCTTATTTTTATGGCAATATCATTATTTGCATATCTGTCCTTTTAATAAAAGGACACAACTGGAAACTGGTTATGTTACCAAGGCTTTGACTGGAATGCCATATTTCAAAATGTGCAAACAATGCCTGGCTTTAAGCATTCCCTGTCTTACAGTGAGTAAATCTGTCTCTTCCTGGCAGGCTCAGGAACCTCCAGATGCTGGATACAGCACACAAAGACTAATGTCTGCCCTGGTTTGGTTTCCTAGCAGAGACATTTTTTAAAGACCAATTTGAGATTCCTCATCAAAATTTCCAGCAAAGCAAATTTAAATATGTGCTTTCAAATATGTGGTTAGTCAGGCAAACTGGTCTTACTGTGATTATCTTTGGTAGAAATGGGAGTGACTTAGAGAGGAAAATTACATTTCAAAAGAAAACTCCAGTATGCCTGTTATTTAGATTGCAGCACTGTTCACTGAGTTTTTATTATCTACCTGTTAGATAGCAGGAACCTGCTTAGTTCCTGAAGCCCTATAAGCTGAAGCTGGACAAATCTACGCAAATCGCAAGGAATAAGTCTCATGCCTAATGCATGGGCCACACAGAGTTCACTAGGATGGCCAATGCCACAACCAGAGACATTCACAACAGCAAACCACATTGGAGCAAGACTCCCCCTCATAAATGTGAGACTCTTACTCTCCTTAATCTTTCCTTACTTATGCCTCTCACGTGGCAGGACAACGTTGCAGTGAAAATTTCACCATCAGTAGTAGCCTCTGCAGATAACCTGCACTCCCCGCTTTAATTTAACCCAGTCATGGGATGCGAGATTACCTACTAACTCAACAGAGAAGATTCTGTGCAGTTGATGGCGCTTCTTGCTTGCACACAGATAAAACACAGCAAGTATTGCAGAGCAGACTACTTGGTTAAAACAAGGTAGACTCCTTGTCTAGCTATTTGGTTTTAGTTGGGGCCCTAGCCGAGGAGCAGCCTCCACCCAAACTCTGGGTATTACCCTCCTTAGAGTCCTAACGGCAGTCTCCTTGGTGTGCTGTGCACCCTCAGAAAGTTTTAAATGTTTCCATACAGCTACCTGTCAAATGCCAAATGGTCTTTCTCCAGCTGGAACAACAACAACAAAAAAAAGTGTGATAATGAGGACACCAGAACCTATAAAGTATATGCTGGGACCAGAAACCCAAAATGATGGTAACTGAGAGTGGCACTGATGCCCGAAGGTTTGGTCAGGTCCTGGGTGAAAGCCTAACAAAAAGGGAGGAATTGTTAAATAAAAATTATAGGAGGCCACTGTTTTGGACTAAGTGTGTGCACTAGACCCCAAAAGACCAGACTAAAACTCAAAACGGAAGCATCCATGTAAGTTTCATACTACCAAACCTAAACCTGGGAAGTTCATTTGATCTTCCTAGAAATTGAAAGAAAGAGTGAACAACCAGTTTCTTAAACAGGGCAGTTTAAATCTTCATTGGGAATCATAATGAATTTCCCTCTGCTTTAATTCTTACACAGGAAAGGTGGCCTGAAGCAGCCTGATGTTAACTCATCAGTTATTTTTCTCTTTTCTGTCTCCCTGTCCCAGCCTGACAAGAAAAGTAACTTTGAAAGGACTTTGCTTCTGCTCTCTTCAGCCCTTCTTTGTCTATAAAGCCAACCACTTCTCCTCAGCTCAGTGGAACACCTACTGAATTTTATGGAAGGAAGTGTTCCTTGGTCCTAGAACCACAATAAAGCCAACTGGGATCTTTAAACTAAAAAAAAAAAAAAAAAAAAAAAAAAAAAGCAACAGATTTGTAGTTTAAAAAAAACAGTTTAAAAAGTACAATGAAAGGGCCAGGCATAGTGGCTCACGCCTATAATCTCAGCACTTTGGGAGGCTGAGGGGGGCGGATCACGAGGTCAGGAGTTCAAGACCAGCCTGGCCAAGATAGTTAAACCTATCTCTGCTAAAAATACAAAAATTAGCCAGGCCTGGTGGCGGGCGCCTGTAATCCCAGCTACTCAGGAGGCTGAGGCAGGAGAATTGCTTGAAACCAGAAGGCGGAGGTTGCAGTGAGCCAAGATCGCGCCACTGCACTCCAGTCTGGGAAAAGAGCAAAACTCCGTCTCAAAAAAATAAAAAAAATGAAAGTACAATGAAAGAAAAGATGTCAGTCACAAAAGCAACAGAAAATATAAAATAACCAAGAAAAACAAAAAATGCTTAAGATCTATATTAAGAAAAATTCAAAATGCTTTCTGGCTGAGGAATATTAAAGTAGCCTTGACTATATGAAAAGACAAAATTTGTTCTTGGTTAGAAAGAGTAGTATCATAAAAATTGCTCTATAAATATAACAGGAAGATTTGTTTTGGATTACGCAAACTGATTATATATATATCTTTATATTTTGGAACTAAAGAAGTTGATTGTAAAATCCATATAAAAATTTAAGTGCAAGAATATCCAGGATGATTCTGAAAAAATGTGGGATAATATGGAAAATATAAGGCCAATCCAACAGTAAGATACACTATAATGTTGTAGCAATGACAACAGTGGAATTTGGTGCGTTAATAGTCAGATGGAACAATGGTGCAGATATTCAATCCAGAAACAGACTGAAACATACAGCTTCTAAATCTAAGAGTACACGAGGTAGAATGGAAAAGGGGCTGTTCTCAGAACGAGTACAAGAGGTGCTGTTCTACAACAAGGCCCACAAGAGTGGCTGAAAAATCAGATCACCAACTTGCAATAATGTCTCATTGTAAGTTTAAAGAAAACTCACTTCTGTCAGGATGACATCATCATCCAGGTCCTCTTCTTCATGCTGCTGAGGAGCTGGGGTGACCAGCATTGGAATCCTTTCCTCATCTGAGGAGTCAGATATGGTGATGGGCCCATCTCGGAGATTGATCCACTCTACAGGAAAGCAGAGAACACTGTTACTGGGAGGTTGGCACTATCACATCCAACTCTTTAAGTTTTTCCTGACAGGGGTACAGCCTAAAGCCAACTTCATGGCTACTAGTGTAACGTACCTCCTCAAGCAGCCCGTGCACTTAAGCATTAAGAGCCATGTTTCTATGCTGACTTTTGCCAATAACACATTTTGGGAACTGCTAGAGAACATCTAACAATTACTATGCTCAAGATTATCAACTTTTTCTCATACTAGGTTGGAGAAATCTGTTTACAAAATTTTCTTGACTGCCAATTTCTTTAAAGTGAAATAATGGTCTCCCAATCCATCTCTATTCCTCCTGGGAATAAATGTCTATTTTATTTAAATTGTTTGGTCTGAAAAAATTATCATTCAAAAAATAGTAAAATTTTAATTGTTTAAAATATTGAAATTTGCTCATCTTAAACACAAACTTTAAGAATCATTTAAGCAAACCTATGTCAATGCTTTAGTCAAGCACCCATTTAGCATCTATGACAGTCAGCAATTTAACTTTCCAAGTTTCCTTTAAAATATATATAATCTAACCATCTAAATGTAGTAATTCTATTCAAGGTTTTTACTTCCTTTTATCAATTTGAAAACAGGCCATGTTTGATATGAATTACTGGGTAACACAAACTGGTATTTTTTCCTGTCTAGTTCCATGGGAATATCAAAGGTTAAGAGGGACAATTTTAAAAAAAAGCATTGGCCGGGAGCAGTGGCTCACGCCTGTAATCCCAGCACTTTGGGAGGCCGAGGTGGGTGGATCATGAGGTCAGGAGTTTGAGACCAGCCAGACGAACACGGTGAAACACCGTCTCTACTAAAAATACAAAAATTAGCCATGCGTGGTGGCGCATGCCTGTAATCCCAGCTATTCAGGAGGCTGAGGCAGGAGAATCGTTTGAACTCGGGAGGCAGAGGTTGCAGTGAGCTGAGATCGCAACACTGCACTCTAGCCTGGGTGACAGAGTGAGACCCCATCTCAAATTTTAAAAAAAATGCATTAAGTGACCTAAAAGAAGAGAAGAAGAAAGAAACGAAATGACGCACCTCATCACTGCAATTTTTGAAATTCTTCCATTAAAGCTGTAATGTTTTTCTTTTGTGTGGTGTGTGTGTGTGTGTGTGTGTGTGTGTGTGTGTGTGTGTGTGCGCATTTGTCTGGGACAGGGTCTTGCTCTATTGCCCAGACTGCAGTACAATGGTGCGATCATAGCTCACTGCAGCTTCAACCTCCTAGGCTCAAGCAATCCTCCCATGTCAGCTTCCCAAGTAGCTAGGACAACAGGTGCACACTACTTTGAACAGTTACTTAAAAAAAAAATTTTTTTTTGTAGAGATGGAGTCTCACTATGTTCCTATGCTGGCCTTGAACTCCTGGCCTCAAGTGCTCCTCCCACCTCGGCCTCCCAAGAAGTCACTGGGATGACAGGCATGAGCCACCATGCCTGACTTAATTGTGGATTTTTAAGGATGAGGAGTTGCCAAGCTCCTCACTTAGCCATTTCAGAAGACACACGCTATGGGGGATCATTCTGAAGAGATACTGAGCAAAGAAAAGCTCTAGCCATTGGTACATGAGGCACAGGAGTCAAGAGAGAAAATGTACACCACTGAAAATGGCCATAGTGAATAAGACCCCTGCACCCGCAGGAAATTGTAGATTCCTCTCTTGAAGAACTGACCCAAGAAAAAGACACACAATCTTGGTGTACCCAATGAAAAAGTTGGTTTAGGCTGGGCACGGTGGCTCACGCCTGTAATCCCAGAACTTTGGGAGGCCTAGACAGGCAGATCACTTGAGGCCAGGAGTTCGAGACGAGCCTGGCCAACATGGTAAAACCCCATCTCTACTACAAATACAAAAATTAGCCGGGTGTGGTGGCATGCAACTGTAATCCCAGCTACCTGGGAGACTGAGGCAGGAGAATCGCTTTAACCTGGGAGATGGAGGCTGCAGTAAGCCAAGATCATGCCACTGCACTCCAGCCTGGGTGCTAGAGCAAGACCCTATCTCAGGCTAAAAAAAAAAAAGGAAACAAGGGAGGGAGGGAGGGAACTGAAGGAAAGGAAGGAAAGGAGAAGAGAGGAGGAAAGGAAGGAAAGGAAGGAAAGGAAAGAGGGAGGGAGGAAGGAAAGAAGGAAGGAGAAAGGAAGGAAAGAGAGGAAAGGAAGAAGGAAGGAAGGAAGGGAGGGAAGGAAGAAAGGAAGGAAGGGAGGGAAGGATGAAAGGAAGGAAGGAAGGAAGGAAGGAAGGAACCTATCACCTTATAATAAAGTCCAGTGTTTGACAAGATACCACACAACACACCACATGTAAGGTTCCAATTAGCTTTTCAAAGTATACTTAAAAAAAAATTGAAAGAATAACACAGCATGGTCTATAAATCAAGTGTACAAGCTCTATGAATTAATACAAAGGGCCATCTGTGTATAATCACCACCACAAGGTCAGGAAATATTTCTAGCACATTAGTAGCCCCCTTGTGCTTTCTCCCAATTTCTGCTCTCCTTCGTCCTCAAAGGGAGGATTTCTAATTGCGCAGATAAGTTTTGCATGTTTTTGAGTATATATTCTTCTCTTTCTTGCAAATAATGTTTGAGATACATCCATACTGCATGCTGTTATAATTCTTTCTTGTATATAATCCACTATATGAATATAACATAAAATTATTCCTTCTTCTGTTGATAGACATTTGAGTATGTGGCAGTTTAGGCTACTGTGGATAGTGCTATTGTGAACATTCTTGTGCAAGTCTTTGGTGTACTCATTTTAGCTGGATACATTCTAGGAGTGGAAATGCTGAGTCATGGGGTAAGCATATGCTCCATTTTGGCAGATAACACTAAACAAATTTTCCAAATTGTACCAATTTACACTCCCATCTGCAGTGTAGGATAGTACGTTGCTTCACGTCCTTATGGGAACACAATCATGCTCATTCATTTATATACTGTCTATAGATTGATATGGTTTGGCTGTGTCCCCACCAAAAATCTCATCTTGAATTGTAATCCCATAATCCCCACAAGTCACGAGCGGGACAGGTGGAGGTAATCGGATCATGGGGGCAGTTTCCCCCATTCTGCTCTCGTGATAGTGAGTGAGTCTTGAGGTGTCCGATGGTTTTATATGCACTGGCATTTCCCCTGCTTGCACTCACTCCATCCTGCCTCCTGAGAAGGTGCCTGCTTCTCCTTTGCCTTTCGCCATGACAGTAATTTTCCTGAGGCCTTCCCAGCAATATGGAACTGTGAGTCAATTAAACCTCTTTCCGTCATAAATTACCCAGTCTCAGGCATTTCTTCCTAGCAGTGTGAAAGCAGACTAATACAGTTGCTTTCATGCTACAATGGTATAGCTGAATAGTTGCAACAGAAACCATATGGCCCGCGAGGCTAAAATATTAACTACTTAGCTCTTCAAATTTGCTGAGCCCTAGTTATCTTGGTTCCCTGCAACCTCCACCTCCTGGGTTCAAGCGATTCTCAGGCCTCAGCCTCCTGAGTAGCTGGGATTACAGGCTTCCAACACCATGCCCGGCTAATTTTTGTATTTTTAGTAGAGATGGGGTTTCCCCATGTTGGCTAGGCTGGGTTTGTTTTTGTTTTGTTTTTTGTTTTTGCGACAGGGTCGCTCTCTGTTGCCCAGGCTAGAGTACAATAGCATGAACACAAGTTCTCTGCAGCCTTGACCTACTACTGGGTTCAAGTGACCCTCCCATCTTGGTATCCCAAGTACCTGGGACCTGGTAAACCCAAGACCACCATACCCAGCTAAATTTTTTATATTTAATTTTTTGCAGACATGAGAATCTCACCATGTCGCCCAGGCTGGCCTCGAAATCCTAGGCTCAAGTTATCCTCCCACTTTGGCCTTCCAAAGTGCTGGCATTACAAGCATGAGCCACTGCGCCTGGCTGAGCTTTTTACTTCTTGTCTAATGTATTTTAGGCCATAAGTTTTCCTCAAAACATGGCATTACATGTATCTCATAAATGTAATAGGCTACATTTTCATTATCATGTAATTCAAAATATCTTCTAATTTTCATTGTGATTTCTTCTCACACTGGGTGCAGAATCCCACCTATGTTTATTACATTTGTTGACCATGTTCTTCCAATCTTCTATATTCATACAAGTGTGTGTATGTGCTTGTTCTTTCAGTTACTGAAACAAGTCTTAAAAATCCCCACTATAATGGTGGATTTGTCCAATTCTGTTTTTAGATCTGCCAATTTTTGCTTTGTATATTTTCCTATCATGTTACTAAGTATACAGGGATTAGCTTATCTTCTCAGTGCACTGAATCTTTTATCATTATGAACTCTATCAATGCTTCTGGCTGGAGTTTCTATCAGTTGTATTTGATATTACACAGATATATCAGCTCTTTTTGTGTGTGTGTGTGGCTATCTGCATGATGTACCTTTTTTCCTTCCTAACAAAATTTTTTTAAATCTTTATTTTACCTTCATTTTTAAGCCTATTTTCACTAGGTACAGAATCGTAGATGAGTAGGTAAAAACACTATTTAGCAATTAAAAAGGAATGAGTTACTGATATATGCAACAACAGGGATGAATCTCAAAAACATTACCTTTCACAAAAGAATTCCAGTACAAAGAATATATACAGTATGTATAATTCCATTTATATGAAATGACAGAGTCAAAAAAAGCAGATTAGTGGTTTCCTTAGGCCTGGAGTGAGGTAAGGACTAACTGCAAAGAGGCACAAGGGAATCTTTTTGGAGTGATAGAAAATGTTCCATATCATAATTCAGGTGGTATATTCATTTTATACACTTTTAACAAAACTACAGAGGTTGATGCATAATAAAAAATTATTAATGTTGGCCAGGAGCAGTGGCTCACACCTGTAATCCTAGCACTTCGTGAGGCAGAGGCAATTGGATCACTTGAGCCCAGCAGTTCAAGACCAGCCTTGCCAGGCAACATAGTGAGACCCTCTCTTGATTAAAGAAAAAAAAATTAATGCAGCTAATAAAAACAAAACTCTATATACCTGAAAAAAGTTCTCATGATGGGTGCAGAGTATACATACTCGTCTAACAAAATATATCTCCAAAGTCAGTAATTTTCCAAAATGAATTAGTTGTTCTTAAAGAAACTGTTCAAGTATATTTAAGATCCAATTAAAAAACAACTATAAAATTAATTGGATATACATGTACAGAAAATTTTGAAATGATCGTAAATACAAGTTATAACTAAGATTTAAAATTGCCTGAATCCAATAAATTATGGCTACAATCACTACCAAGTTAGAATACATTATTAATAAAATCCTAAAAATGAGTCCTCCTTTTGCACTCATAATGTGCATAGCTTGAGCAATTTTATTACTCTTGATTTGACCTAATAAAATTTGCTCAATTTTAAATGCTCTGAAAGCCAAATACACAGTTGACTCTTGAGCAACACTGATTTCAACAGTGTGGGTCCCCTTATTTGCAGATTTTCTTCCACTTGTGTCACTCCTGAGACAGCAGGACTGCACGAGACTTTCAGGAGCCTATCCCTTGCACCAGTGTGCCATGAATGTGAGATGTGGAGTCAAAGGAGGTTATTTTGGACCTTTAAGATTTAATGACCGCCCTGCTGGGTTTTGGACTTGTGTGGGACCTCTTGCGTCTTTCTTTTGGCCAATTTCTCCCTTTTGGAACAGGAGTATATACGCAATGCATGTACCCCCATAGTATCTTGGGAATAATTAACTTGTTTTTGACTTTACAGGCTCATAGGTGGAAGGGACTAGACTTGTCACAGATAAGACTGGACTTTTGAGTTAATGCTAGAATGAGTTAAGACTTTGGGGACTGTTGGGAAGACGCAATTGTATTTAGCAATGTGAGAAGGACAAGAGACTTGGGAGGGGCTGGGGTGGAATAGTATGGTTTGGATCTGTGTCCCTGCCCAAATTTCATATTCAACTGTAAACCCCAATGTTGGAGATGCGGCCTGGTGGGAGGTAATTGGATCATGGGGGTGGTATTTCATAAATGATTTAGCACAATCCGTTCTGGTTGCAACAGTGAGTTCTTGTGAGATCTGGTTGTTTAAAAGTGTGTGGCACCTCTTCCCCAACCCCTCTTGTTCCTGCTCCAGCCATGTGAGACAAGCGTGCTTCCCCTTTTCCTTCTGTCATGATTGTAAGTTTCCTAAGGCCTCCCCCAGAAGCAGAGGCCGCTATGTTTCCTATACAGCCTACAGAATTGTGAACCAATTAAACCTCTTTTCTTTCTTTACAAATTACCCAGTCTTGGGCATTTCTTTACAGCCAGTGGAGAACGAACTAATACAATGACCAACCCCTCTTCTTCCTCCTCCTCTTCAGCCTACTCAATGTGAGGATGATGAAGATGAAGACCTTTAGAATGGTCCACTTCCACTTAAGGAACAGTAAATATATTTTCTTTCTCTTCCTTATGATTTTCTTAATCACACTTCTTTTCTGTAGCTCACTTTATTGTAAGAATACAGTATACAAAACATACAATATATAACGCATGTGTTGACTGTTTATGTTATCAGTAAGGCTTCCAGTCAACAGTAGGCTATTCGTACTTAAGTTTTGGTGGAGTCATTTTTCTTCTTTTTTTTTTTTTTTTGAGACGGAGTCTTGCCCTGTCGCCCAGGCTGGAGTGCAGTGGCACAATCTCAGCTCACTACAACCTCTGCCTCCCAGGTTCAAGTGATTCTCCTGCCTCAGCCTCCCAAGTAGCTGGGACTACAGGCATGCACCACCACGCCCAGCTAATTTTTGTATTTTTTAGTAGAGATGGGATTTCACCATGTTGGTCAGGCTGGTCTCGAACTCCTGACCTCGTGATCCACCCGCCTCGGTCTCCCAAAGTGCTGGGATTACAGGAGTGAGCCACCACGCCTGGCCTGGGGGAGTCATTTTTGTAAGGTCAAATGTAATTTACTCTCTACTAGAAAAATCATCTTTGTAAACACAAAATATTATCAATGGGAGAAAACCAGTATAACCTCTTCCATGGAATTTATAATTGCAAAAAATGAACGTAAGGATTCTACACCTCAGCATGATTTTTTTCCTTTTAGCCCAAGTGTAAATGTGAATTCGAATTTAACAGGAAATTTCACAAACATGTAAGAATGTTACAGAAATGCAAGCACTATTCCCTTTACAAATCAATAAAATTCCCCAAAACTTTAAAAACTGTAGAACAGTCTGGGTGCAGTGGCTCACGCCTGTAATCCCAGCACTTTGGCAGGCTGAGGCGGGCGGATCACCTGAGGTGGAGAGATCAAGACTAGCCTGAACAACGTGGAGAAACCCCATCTCTACTAAAAATACAAAATTAGCAGGGCGTAGTGGCACATGCCTGTAATCCCAGCTACTCAGGAGGCTCAGACCGGAGAATCATTTGAACCCAGGAGGCGGAGCTCGTGGTGAGTCGAGATTACGCCATTGCACTCTGGCCTGGGCAATGAGTAAAATTCCATCTCAAAAAAAGAAAAAAAAAAAACAAAACAAAACTGTAGAACAAAAAAATACATGTTCCAAAATTCCCCTCAAGGCTAAGCCAGAATCTTCTGGCAAAAAAGAAATTAAGCATCATGGGAAGACAAGACTGGTTCAGCAACACCTGCAGTATTTCAGAACATAAAGGCCTAGTGGAGCACTCCTTTATAATCACCACGCCTTCAAAAACTGATGCTGACACTGTCTCTTAAGACTCAATGACTGCATATTAACAGCGTCTTGCCAGCAAATTAATAGCTTATTAATCCATTTGTAATGAATGAGTCTTACACTTCATTCATGCCAGCAATATCATTATCTGATATAATTCTAGTCTAACTAGTCTTTTTGTCAAAAACGAAATGTCCCTGGATTCTAAATGGTACAAAATAGGTTCATTTCAAAAGATACAGCTGTGATACTAAAAGAAAAAGCCACAGGGAAAGGGATGAAGTGAGAACAAACAACTTACCTTGTCCCCGATGGCAGTGAAAGTTGTTCAAGTGAATTACCTCTTCATTGTTGTTTCCCTCTTCCATTTTCAAATGCAGACATGCATATATGGGACTGCTAATATCTAAACATGGTGACCATCTGTTTCAAAAGAACTGAAAAGGAAGCAAAGAGTAACAGTAAGAATGAGGGAGTATCAAAACTCTTGCCATGTATCTGGTCAGGGGAACATCTGAAGCTTATGCTGAAAACATTCCTTAAGAAAACATATCCAAGGAGGTGGGTCAAAAAAAAAAAAAACCACACAAACTCAAAACCTATGACATTAAAACATATTTTTAAAATACACATATTAAAGAGACAAAGTACTGACAGAGAAATGACATCTTGATACAAATATGCTAACAAAGAAATGGGCTAAGGGTATTAACAGGCAATTCAATTCACAAAAAAGAAAACACAGAAGATGCTCAACCTCACTAATAATCAGGGAAAGGCAAATCAGAAAATGAATTATGTTTCAGCCAGACGCAGTGGCTCACGCCTACAATCCCAGCACTTTGGGAGGCCGAGGCGGGCAGGTCATGAGGTTAGGAGTTTGAGACCAGTCTGACCAACATGGTGAAATGCCAACTCTACTAAAAATACAAAAATTAGCTGGGCGTGGTGGCACGTGCCTGTAATCCCAGCTACTCTGGACACTGAGGCAGGAGAATCGCTTGAACCCGGGAGGCTGAAGTTGCAGTGAGCCAAGATCGTGGCACTGCACTCCAGCCTGGGCAACAGAGTGAGACTCCGTCACAAAAAAAAAAAAAAGGAATTATGTTTCAAACCACTGGGGTGGCAAAAAAGGCAAGTATGTAAGACATGGGAAATCATCTTATACATTGCTGGTTTGAAGAGTAACTTGGAAAAGATATTCTGAATAGCAATTAGCAATACGCCCTAAATTACAAATGTACATTCCCTGTGACTTAGCAATTCCACTTCCAGGTATATCAGCTAAAGAAACCTCTGTGTGTTCTCCAAGAAATACGCATAATAGAATATACGGACAGGGATGGTCATTATAGCAAATATGTAATAAAAGCAATTGGAAATGACCTTATTGGACATCAGTAAAGGAATAAATAAAATTCATATGATACAACACAGTTAAATTAACTAATGTTAAATGAAAATAAGTGTGATACCATTTATGTAAGTTAATACAAAAATTTAAAATACATTAAATTTAAATATTAAATTAAAAAATACAGCCAGGCGTGGTGGCTCACACCTGTAATCCCAGCTCTTAGGGAGGCTGAGGTGGATGGATCACCTAAGGTGAGGAGTTTGAGACCAGCCTGGCCAACATGGTGAAACCCCATCTCTATTAAAAACACACACACAGGCTGGGTGCGGTGGCTCAAGCCTGTAATCCCAGCACTTTGGGAGGCTGAGATAGGCGGATCATGAGGTCAGGAGATTGAGACCATCCTGGCCAACACGGTGAAACCCCATCTCTACTAAAAATTTAAAAAATAATAATAAATAAATAAATAATAAAAATACAAAAATTAGCAGGGTGTGGTGACGGGCACCTGATATCCCAGCTAGTCAGGAAGCTAAGGCAGGAGAATGGCATGAACCCGGGAGGCAGAGGTTGCAGTGAGCCGAGATCACACCACTGCACTCCAGCTTGCATGACAGAGCGAGACTCTGTCTCGAAAACAAACAAACAAACAAAAAAAAAATTAAAAATACAGTATGCGTAAGAATGACCTCAGCAACTTCAGGACAGTGACTATTTCTGGGTAAGGGAGAATGAAAAGGAACTTGAACTTGAGTTACATATAACATCTTTTTTCTTTCTTTTAAAGATATTTAAAGCAAACAAGACAAAACATGAACATATGTTAAATCTGGGTAGCAGAGTGGGGTAGTAGACTTGTATTTTTGTAATCCATCCCTCTCTTCCTTTAAAAAGAAGTATCATGGTGTTAAAGCCAAGACATTACATCTCCATGGACCAGCAATGGAACAGAAACACAGAAGTTATTGATGGGGCCAAAGCAGCAGAACTACTGAACTCTGGGGATAGGAAACAGAGAAATATTTGGGAAATGGACTCATATGAGAGTAATGGGGACAAAAAAAACAACAACCCATGTCTATTATGGAAGGAGAAAAGGTGGGTACCAATGAGGGAGTGGGTAGATTAACTGTTAAGTGACATGAGGGAACCTTTCCGGGTTAAGTCACACTCCACATATTGATTGTGGTGGTAGTCACCTGGGTATATGCATTTGTCAAAACTCACTGAACTATATACTAAAATGGATGGATTTTATTTTAATTATATATCAATAAAGATTTCTTTGAGGGCTAGGAGCGATGGCTCACACCTGTAATCCCAGCACTTTGAGAGGCTGAGGAGGGCAGATCATTTGAGGTCAGGAGTTTGATACTAGCCGGGCCAACGTGGTGAAACCCATTTCTACTAAAAATATAAAAATTAGCCAGGCGTGGTGGCAGGCACCTGTAATCCCAGGTACTTGGAAGGCTGAGGCAGGAGAATAACTTGAACCCAGTAGGAGGAGGTTGTAGTCTTTTTTATTTCTTTTTGAGCCAGTCTCTCTCTGTCATCCTGGCTGGAGAGCAGCTACACGATCACGGCTCACTACAGCCTTGAACCCCTGGGCTCAAGCAATCCTCCTGCCTCAGCCTCAGAGTAGCTGGGACCACAGGCATGCACCACCATGCCTAGCTGAATTTTTAAAATTTTTTTGTAGAGACAGGGTCTCACTATGCTGCCCAGGCTGGTTTGGATATCCCGGTCTCAAGCATTCCTTCTGCCTTGGCTTCCCAAAGTGCTGCGATTACAGGTGTGAACCACCAAGCCCAGCCTGTATCAATAAAGATTTTAAAAAATAAAACAGACGGCAGGGCACGACAGCTCATGGCTGTAATCTAAGCACCTTGGGAGGCCGAGGCAGGCGGATCACTCGAGGTCAGGAGTTTGAGACCAGCCTGGCCAACATGGGCGAAACCCTGCTTCTACTAAAAATACAAGAAATTATCCAGATGTGGTGGCAGGTGCCTGTAATCCCAGCTACTTGGGAGGCTGAGGCAGGAGAATTGCTTCAACCAGGGAGGCAGAGGTTGTAGAGTAAGCTGAGATCACGCCATTGCACTCCAGGTTGGGAGACAAGAGCAAAACTCTATCTCAAAAGAATAAACTAATTAAAAAAAAAAAAAAACAGATAAGTATCCATTCAAACCAGCAATGGTGTGGTGAAACTATACAGGCTATTGGACAGTAGTAAAAATAAAACCACACATAAAAATGTCATAAGGTAGAACTACCAGAGGTAAAACAAAGATAAAAATAGACTCTTCAGGCTGGGCTTGGTGGCTCACACCTGTAATCCCAGCACTCTGGGAGGCTGAGGAGAGCGGATCACTTGAAGTCAGGAGTTCGAGACCAGCCTGGTCAACATGGCAAAACGCCGTCTCTACTAAAAATACAAAAATCAGCTTGGTGTGGTGGCATGCACCTGTAATCCCAGCTATTCAGGAGGTTGAGGCGAGAGAATCGCTTGAACCCGGGAGGCGGAGGTTGCAGTAGGCCAAGATTGTGCCACTACACTCCAGCCTGGGCAACAGAGCAAGACACCGTCTCAAAAAAAAAAAAAGACTCTTCATAAGAAGCAATTAACACTAAAGTAATAAAATATGATCTTTAGGTAGTAGAGAAAAAATAATTGTAAACTTCAAATTCTATGATCCCTTAAATTCTTTTTCAAGAGTAAGGGTAGCGGCTGGGTGCAGTGGCTCATGCCTATAATCCCACCACTTTGGGAAGCCAAAGCGGGACAATCACTGGAGGTCAGAAATTCGAGACCAGCCTGAGCAAACTTGGTGAGACCCCATCTCTACAAAAAACTGAAAAAAATTAGTTGGGCATGGTGGCACACATCTGTGATCCCAGCTACTCCTGAGGCTGAGGCTAGAGGATTGCTTGAGCCCATGAGTTCCAAGTTTACAGTAAGCTATGACCAACCCACTGCACTCCAGCCTAGGAAACAAAGCAAGACTCTCTTAAAAAAAAAAAAAAAAGTAAGGATGGGATAAAACAATTTTTACACATTCAAAGACTAAGAGAGTTTACCTCCCACAGATACTCAAAGAGCTATTAAAAAAATGAACTTCAAGACCGGGCATGGTGGCTCACGCCTTTAATCCCAGGACTTCGGGAGGTCGAGGCCAGTGGATTGCTTAAGGTCAGGAGTTGAGACCAGCCTGGGCAACACAGTGAGGACTATCTATACTGAAAATACAAAAATTAGCTGGGTGTGGTAGCAGGTGGGAATCTGTAATCCCAGCTACTTGGGAGGCTGAGGTAAGAGAATTGCTTCAGCTTGGAAGGTGGAGGTTGCAGTGAGCTGAGATTGTGCCACTGCACTCCAGCCTAGGCAACAGGGTGAGACTCCATCTCAAAAAATAAAAAAATAAAAAATAAGGCATGGTGGTGCATGCCCGTAGTCCCAGCTACTCAGGAAGCTGAAGCAGGAGGACTGCTTGAGCCCAGGAGTTCGACACTGCAGTGTGCCACCATCATGCCACTGCACTCCAGCCAGGGTGAGAGCGAGACCCTGCCTCTGAAACAAACAAAAAGCATGAAAAAGAAACATGGGGCTGGCATGGTGGCTCACACCTGTAATCCCAGTACTTCGGGCGGCTGAGGCGGGCAGACTGCCTGAGCTCAGGAGTTTGCCACCAGCCTGGGCAACACAGTGAAACCCCGTCTCTACTAAAATACAAAAAAAAAAAAAAAAAAATTAGCCAGGCGTGGCAGTATGTGCCTGTAATCCCAGCTACTCAGGAGGCTGAGGCAGAATTGCTTGAACCCGGGAGGCAGAGGTTGCAGTGAGCCCAGATTGCACCACTGCAGTCCAGCCTGAGCGACAGAGTGAGACTCTGTCTCAAAAAAAAAAAAAAAGAAAGAAAGAAATAGAAACATGAATCCAGGCTGGGCACAATGGCTCACACTTGTAATCCAGGAAACCAATCCTTGGGAGACCAAGGTGGGAGAATCACTTGACGCTAGGGGTTCAAGACCAGCCTGGGCAATATAGCTAGACCCTGTCTCTACGAAAAATAAAAATTAAAAAACTAGCTGCGCGGGGTGGCATGTACCTATAGTTTTAGCTACCCAGGAGTCTGAAGCAGGAGGATCTCCTGAACCCAGGAGTTTGATGTTGCAGTGAGCCATGAGTGTGCCACTGCACTCCAGCCTGGGTGACAGAGTGAGACACTGCCTCAAAAAACTAAAACAAAAACAAACAAAAAAATCCTTGAGTCTAGAGGATGAGTGATGCTCTAAAGTGTGTCACGCCTGGCCTCCAAATTCCTATATTGAAGCTCTGACCTCCAATATAATGGTATTTGGAGATGGAGTCTGTGGGAGGTGATTAGAATTAGATGAAGTCATGGAGGTTGGGCCCTCATGATGGCTGGGCACTCTGAGAAGAAGAGATCTAGAGAGCTTGCTTTTTCTCTCCATCATGTGAGAACACAGGGAGAAGGCAGTTGTCTGAGATCCAGGAAGAGAGAACTAACCAGAATCCAACAATGCTGAAACTCTATTCTCAGACTTCCAAATTCCAGAACTGTGAGAAAATAAATTTGTTTTAAATGTCACCCAGCTGATGCTATTTTGTTAGTCTATGGTATCAGTCAGCTTGAGCTGACTAATACAGGTGGAATTACAGAAACAACACATATAGCACAGAAAATAATGAAACAGGGTCTTAATTTCAAGTAACAAATGTCTGTGGCACAACTTTTTAAAAATGTTTAAAAGGTGAAACTAAAATTCTATACAACTATAAAGGGTGCGTGTGTATGTTTAGAGACTGATATTCACCAGATAGCTGTATAATGATAATGTCCTTGGGTCCTGTTCCAGAGGCTAAAAGAGAGAATAAAATTACAAGCCAAAATGAGGATGCTACTATGTATGAACCATTTTTCTTATCACTTTACATGCATAACACAGCTAATCCTAACAAGAACCCTATAATCCTGGCATGTTTATTAACCTTATTTTACAGAGACTTTGGCTCTGGCCATGACAAAGTATTAATAGCCTATAGTAGACCAACCCTTTGCCTCTTCTTATAAATCCACTACAGAAAGGACGAATATATAAAACACATCTTTGAAGGCAATGGTGAAAAACCAGCTGGCAGGATTTCAGGGGCTCTGATCCATGAAAAATGAGAAGCACATCAGGAGATGACACATTCATCCTATATTTTTTGTCTCCTGAAGGCATATGCCAAATCTTAAGTGTGAAAAAATGGACCTGAGGCAGAAGCAGCAATTTCAATGGGCTGAGGAGTTGAAGGTCAGAGTTTGGGGCTGCCAAAGTAGCTGAGACTTAAGGGACAAAATTCCAGCAAGGAAGAATCCACTGAGAAAGAACTCTCCAAAAACCAGAATAACCTCCTCACCCCCCACCAAGTTGTTAACCTATGCCACATACATGCAGGACTAGACTCCCCAAAATCCAACAGCAGAGAAGCTAAAGAGCTGAGCAGAAATCTCAGCAAACATGTATTGTTGAGAGGGATTTTTTTTTTTTTTTTGAGATGGAGTTTTGCTCTGCCACCCAGGCTGAAGTAATGGTGCGATCTTGGCTCACTGCAACCTCTGCCTCCTGGGTTCAAGCCATTTTCCTGCCTCAGCCTCCTGAGTAGTGGGGACTACAGGCACACGCCACCATGCCCAGCTAATTTTTGTATTTTTAGTAAAGAGGAGACTTTGTTATGTTGGCCAGGGTGGTCTCGAATTCCTGACCTCAGGTGATGCATTTGCTTTGGCCTCCCAAAGTACTGGGATTACAGGCATGAGCCACAACTCCCAGCCTGTTGAGAGAGATTAAAGGTCAAGCCCAACCAAAGTAGAGGAATGCTGGTAAACACTGAGCTTTCATCTAAGATCCTAGGAGAGCCAAATCTTAAGGGTTAAGAGCAAAATGAAAACAGACTTAATAAAGAGCAAACCATGACAGGATCAAGATGATTTGCCGGTACTCTAATTTGCACACCTAAAAAACTTAAACCACAATGGAGGAGTATCATTTGGAACTTCCAGTTTTTTCATTCATAATGTCCAGACTTTGATTAAAAAAAAAATTACCAGGTGCGGTAGCTCATGCCTGTAATCCTAGCACTTTGGGAGGCTGAAGCAGGAGGATCACTTGAGCCCAGGAGTTTAAGACCAGCCTGGGAAACATAGTGAGATCTTGTCGCTATTAGGGGGAAAAAAAAAAAAAAAGGCTGGGTCCAGTAGTGGGAGGCCGAGGCAGGCAAATACACACACACACACACACACACACACACACACACACACACACACACAGCTTAAATTGACAGACCTTAAGGAAGCAAGATGAACCCACTTATAGCTGGATAGACTTGAACAGTACTATCAAAGAGCTTGACCTAACTGACACTTTATCCAGTAACTGCAGAATACACATTCTTTTCAAGTGTATGAGAACATTCACAAAACAGACTGTATGCCATGCCGTAACAAATTTTGAAGGCTTGAAATCACACAGCATGTTCTCTGACAACAGTCAATAAAAGATAATTAGGTAATTCTGAAATGTGAGAAATGAAGCAACTTTGTTTTTTTTTTTTTTGGGACAGAGTCTTGCTCTGTCGCCCAGGCTGGAGTGCAGTGGCTCGATCTTGGCTCACTGCAAGCTCCGCCTCCCGGGTTTACGCCATTCTCCTGCCTCACCCTCCCGAGTAACTAAGACTACAGGCGCCCACCACCACGCCCGGCTATTTTTTTGTATTTTTAGTAGAGACAGGGTTTCACCATGTTAGCCAGGATGGTCTTGATCTCCTGACCTCGTGATCCACCCGCCTCGACCTCCCAAAGTGCTGGGATTACAGGCATGAGCCACTGTGCCCGGCCAAAGCAACTTTTAAAATCCACACATTAACGAAGAAATTACAATGAAAATTAGTTAACTATTTTGACTAAATAAACTGAAAGATAATGAAAACAAAATATATCAAAATTTATGTGAAGGAGGTAAAATAGTTTATTAGACACAATTTACAGTTCCAAATGCCTTTTTTTTTTTTTTTTTGACGGAGTTCCCCTCTGTTGCCAGACTGGAGTGCAGTGGCACAATCTCAGCTCACTGCAGCCTCTGCCTCCTGTGTTCAAGTGATTCTCCTGCCTCAGCCTCCCGAGTAGCTGGGACTACAGGCGTGCGCCACCACGCCCAGCTAATTTTTGTATTTTTAGTAGAGAAGGGGTTTCACCATGTTGGCCAGGATGGTCTCAATCTCTTGACCCTGTGATCTGCTGGCCTTGGCCTCCCGAAGTGTTGGGATTACAGGCGTGAGCCACCGCGCCTGGCCGCAAATGCCTTATTTTAAACAAAGAGGCTGGGCGTGGTGGCTCATGCCTGTAATCCCAGCACTTTGGGAGTCTGAGGTGGGCGGACTGCTTGAGCTCAGGAGTTCAAGACCAGCCTGGGCAACATGGTGAAACGCTGTCTCTACCAACAAACAAACAAATTAGATGGGCATGGTGGCATGCACCTGTGGTACCAGCTACATGGGAGGCCGGGGAGGGAGGACTGCTTGAGCCTAAGAGGCAGAAGTTGCAGTAAGCTAAGATCACACCACTGTACTCCAACCTGGGAGACAGTGAGAGCTGTCTCAAAAAAAAGAAAAAAAGAAAAAAGACTGAAAATCGGCCAGGCGTGGTGACTCACGCCTATAATCCCAGCACTTTGGGAGGCCAAGATAGACGGATCACTTGAGGTCAGGAGTTTGAGACCAGCCTGGCCAACATGGTGAAAACCTGTCTCTATTAAAAATACAAAAATTAGCCAGGCTTGGTGGCGAGTGCTTGTAGCCAGGAGGCTGAGACAGAGGAATCACTTGAACCCAGGAGGCCAAGTTGCAGTGAGCTGAGATTGTGCCACTGTACTCCAACCTGGCTGACAGAGTGAGACCCATCTCAAAAAAAAAAAAAAAAAAAAAAAAAAAAAGACTGAAAATCGGCTGGGCGTGGTGGCTCACGCCTGTAGTCCCACCACTTTGGGAGGCTGAGGCAAGCAGATTGCTTGAGCACAGAAGTTTAAGGCCAGCGAAACCCCATCAAACAAGATTACTTGGGCTGGGCGCCGTGGCTCACATCTGTAACCCCAGCACTTTCGGAGGCCAAGGTGGGCGGATCGCCTGAGGTGGGGAGTTTGAGACCAGCCTGACCAACATGGAGAAACCCCATCCCTACTAAAAATACAAAATTCACCAGGCGTGGTGGCACATGCCTGTAATCCCAGCTACTCAGGAGGCTGAGGCAGGAGAATCACTTGAACCTGGGAGGCGGAGGTTGTGGTGAGCCGAGATCATGCCAATGCACTCCAGCCTGGGCAACGAGAGCAAAACTCCGTCTCAAAAAAAAAAAAAAGATTACTGGGAGAAATTAAATATCAAATAAATGTAGAGACATACCATATTCACGGGTGGGAAAGTTCAATTTTGCAAAGATGTCCTTTCACTCTAAATTGATGTGTAGATTTAATACAACCTTTATCAGGTTTTAAGAATAGATATATACTAGATGACTTTAGAATTTACAGGAAAACAGCCAAGAATAACCAAAGCATTCATGGAGAAAAACAAAAGGAGGATTTACAGTAGGAGATATTGTATTACTATTAAGTTACACTAATTAAGACAATATTGTATTGACAAAAGAAAAACAGACCAATGGAACAGAGTGCAGAACAGATTCTTTTTTTTTTTTTCTTTCCCCCCGAAACAGTGTCTTGCTCTGTCGCCCAGGCCGGAGTGCAGTGGTGTGATCTCGGCTCACTGCAACCTCCGCCTCCTGGGTTCAAGCGATTCTCCTGCTTCAGCCTCCAGAGTTGCTGGAATTACAGGCATGCACCACCACGCCCGGCTAATTTTTGTATTGTTAGTAGAGACAGGGTTTCACCATGTTGGCCAGGCTGGTCTCGAACTCTTGACCTTGTGATTCGCCCACCTTGGCCTCCCAAAGTGCTGGGATTACAGGCGTGAGCCACCACACCTGGCCCCAGATTCAGTCTTATATGAATGTTTATGACAAAAGTAGCATTGCAGAGCAGTGGAAAACATGACCTTTCTACTATATGATGCTGTACTCAAAAGCCATATATGGGGTGGGAGTAGGGGGTAACAACCCCTTCCTCATGCCTTACACAAAAACAATTTTAGATAACTACACATTTAAACAGAAAGGTAAAATAAGTTTCTAGAAGATAACACAAAATCTCCACAATCTTAGAGGTGCAAAAGATACCCTAAACAGGACATAAACAGTACTATCCATAAAAGAAAAAACTGAAACACTATACATTAAAATTAAGCATGTCTACTCACCAAAGAAATTCAGAATGAAAAGGCAAGCCACCAGGAGAAAATATAAAAACTCTTGCATGTTAACTGAAAAGAAAAAGAATCCCGGCGGGGTGCAGTGGCTCATGCCTGTAATCCCTGCACTTTGGAAGGCCAAGGCAGGCAGATCACTTGAGCTCAGGAGTCTGAGACCAGCCTGGACAACATGGCAAAACCCATTTCTACAAAAAAAGCAAAAAAATTTAGCCAGGCGCAGTAGCGGGCACCTAGTCCCAGCTACTCAGGAGGCTGAGGTGGGAAGATCTCTTGAGCTCGAGAGGTGGAGGTTGCAGTAGGCTGTGATCCCGCCACTGCATTCCAGCCTGGGCAATGGGAGTGAAACCCTGTCCCCCCACCAAAAAACATCTGCCCAAAGGAAAAATGGGGCAAACAATTTGAATTAACAACGGCTGAGTACCCCGAGGAAACGCAAAAGGCCAATAAATAAATGAAAAAGTGTCCAACATTATGAGACATCAGAGAAATGTAAACTAAAACCACAAGGGGCCGGGCGTGGTGGCTCACGCCTGTAATCCCAGCACTTTGGAAGGCCGAGGCGGGTGGATCACCTGAGCTCAGGAGTTCGAGACCAGCCTGACCAACATGGAGAAACCCTGTCTCTACTAAAAATACAAAATTAGCTGGGCATGGTGGCCCATGCCTGTAATCCCAGCTACTCAGGACGCTGAGGCAGGAGAATCGTTTGAACCCGGGAGGTGGAGGTTGCGGTGAGCCGAGATCAAGCCATTGCACTCCAGCCTGGGCAACAAGAGTGAAACTCCGTCCCAATAAAATAAAGTAAAATAAAATAAAACCACAAGGAAATTCTGGGAAGACAGTAGTAGTAACAGCAGAATAGTCTTTGAATCTCCTCAAATTCTTACATAGTAACAGAAAAAATTCCATGGACAACAGTTACAAAAAAACTAGACAAGAAAGAATCTCCACAAACACCAAATTACTATAAACACAAGATTTAAATGTGCTTCTTGCTGTGTCACCCAGGCTGGAGTGCAGTGGTGCGATCTCGGCTTACTGCAACTTCCATCTCCCAGGTTTAAGCGATTCAATCCTTTCCTTCCTCTCTGAGAAAATCTCAATTTTCTTTGCCTTCCTGGGAGAAACCACTGTGCCTCAGAGGCAGTAAGCCCCAGATCGGGGCTTCTCATTAAATGTCTACAAAGAGTTAATAGTCAAATAATATCAGCATTTTCTCAACTTATAGAATGTGAAGTTATAGATACTATCAAAATATACAGATATCAAAACCAGGTTAGCAAAGTTTTACAACAGAAATTTCTAGCATTGATAACTGAAAAAAGATATTCCTTTTTTTTTTTTTTTTTTTGAGACAGAGTTTCGCTCTTGTCATCCAGGCTAGAGTGCAATGGCACGATCTCGGCTCACTGCAACCCTCTGCATCCCGGGTTCAAGCAATTCTCCTGCCTCACCCTCCCGAGTAGCTGGGATTACAGGCATGCGCCACCATGTCTGGCTAATTTTTGTATTTTTTAGTAGACACAGGGTTTCACCATGTTGGCCAGGCTAGTCTCGAACTACTGACCTCTGGTGATCCACACGCCTCAGCCTCCCACAGTGGTGGGATTACAGGCATGAGCCACCATGCCTGGCCCCAGGTATTCCCACTTTTAAAACTGACATATATCAGCGTAAGTTTGGGTCTCTCATTTGAAATAATGATATTGATGTTATTAATAAGTAGCATGGTATTTAAAAGAACAGCTCTGGTATCAAATTTGAACTGCATCTAATCAAGTCCTTTTTTTTCCCCAAATAAGATTTTTTTTTTTTTTGAGACAGAGTCTCCCACTGTCACCTGGGCTGGAGTGCAGTGGTGCAATCTCAGCTCACTGCAACCTCCACCTCCTGGGTTCAAGCGATTCTTCTGCCTCAACCTCCAGAATAGCTGGGATTAAGGGTGCCCGCCACCAAACAAGCTAGTTTTTTGTATTTTTAGTAGAGACAATGTTTCACCATGTTGGCCAGGCTGGTTTCAAACTCCTGACCTCGTGATTTCCCCGCCTTGGTCTCCCAAAGTGCTGAGATTACAGGAGTGAGCCACCACACCCAGCCAGATTTTTAAAAAGTATTTTGAACACTATTTTCAAGCCAAATTTTGAGACGGAATCTTGCTTTGTCACCCAGGCTGGAGTGCAGTGGCACGATCTCAGCTCACTGCAACCTCCGTCTCCCAGGTTCAAGCGATTCTCCTGCCTCAGCCTCCCTGAGTAGCTGGGACGACACATGCGTGCCACCATGCTGGTTAATTTTTGTATTTTTAGTAGAGAAGTGGTTTTGTCATGTTGGCCAGGCTGATCTTGAACTCCTGACTTCAGTGATCTGCCTGCCTCAGCCTCCCAAAGTCCTGGGATAACAGGCGAGTCACCGTGCCTGGCCCCAAGCCAAATTTCTTATTTTTTCTTTGACCACAACTGGCTTCCTTCAATTTTACACTGAAAATCAAAGGGAGATGTGAGTCATTTTTACAGCTAATTTAGTTGAAATGTCAGGCTTGTAGTTAAGCAGACTGCTAGTAACGGTTCAAAAAATTCCTCATGAGTGGCACACCAGTGGCCCCAACCTGTGAGAAGAAAAGAATTCTGATGATGGAATTTCTACTCTTAACTAAATGTAAGTCTCTGTATCAGGTCATTTAACTCTCTGACACTCAAGTCTTTTAATCTGGGCTTCGGATAATACTGCCTATGTTTAAATCTTGGTTTCCCATTTAGTCAATCGGTGGCTCCAGATAAATTGTTCAATCTCCTAGGCCAATTTCCTCATTTGTAAAATGAGAATACAGTTGTTTTAAAATTAGTTGCGGGTAGGTAGAGTGGCATGTGCCCAAGTCCCAGCTTTACTGTGGTTGCTGAAGCAAGAGAATCCTTTGAGCCCAGGAGTTCAATGCTGCAAGTAAGCTATGATAGCACCATTGCACTCCAGCATAGGCGGCAGAGGGAGAACCTACCTCCAAAAAAATTCATTAATTTTAAAAAATAAAAACTTTTTAAAAACTAAATCAGTTGAATTACATGAAGTTTTAGCACAGTGCCTGATATATACTAAGTGTGACATTGTGCTATTTTTATTAACTGTTACCTGCGAAACAGAAAAATCAAAATAGCTATTCTTACATTACAAGGCTATGTTGAAAAATGAGAAGCCACTTTGTATATGGTAAATACCATCAAAATAGCTGCATTGTAATCACAAGTACACAGGAAATGCAGTGCTTATTAATAAAATACAGTTCAAGGGGGGAAAAAATCTTTATTTTCCCATTCCAAGTTACTTTTTTTTTTTTTATTGAGACGAAGTTTTGCTCTTGTTGCCCAGGCTGGAGTGCAATGGTGCAATCTCAGTTCACTGCAACATCCCCTCCAGAGTTCAAGTGATTCTCCTGTCTCAGCCTCCCAAGTTACAGGCATGTTGCCACCATGCCCAGCTAATTTTATATTTTTAGTAGAGATGAGGTTTCGCCATCTTAGGTTGGTCTTGAAATGCCGACCTCAGGTGATCCACCCCCCCGACACTCACCAAAGTGGTGAGATTACAGTCGTAAGTCACTGTGCCTGGCCTCTTTTCTTACTTATAGTTGTATTTCCAATGCCTAGCACAGTTGTTGAACGAGTGGCTCCAAAAACTTCTTCCTCTGTCAAAGACTGGAGCTGTTATTCACCATGGCCATAGAACCAGAGTCAGGAAACATGGCCTAGGCAACAACAATTAGGATTTTCTTCAGTTATCAAGTATTGCCCATTACAGAAAATATGGGAAACAAAGGAAGTCAGGAAGAAAAGAGAATCGCTCACGGTTCTCTCACCCAATTTTCTGGTTTTCAAAATCTCACCTTCACTTCCTCGTGACCAGAATGCTTGAGGCTGTCTTCTACAAATCATTTTTTTCTCCTTGTTCTATTCATGCTGCTTCTCCATTTTTCCTTATGTATATGCTCCTAAACTACTACTGTATGATCCTAGGGCTCTGTAGTGCCCCTGGCTCTCCAGAATACTTCCTGTAAATATGCCTGCCACTTCTGCAACAGATTTGGGGGTCACTAAAGACTTTCAAATTTAATGAGTTAATCCCTTTGACTTCCCAGCAAAAAGTGGGCAAAGCAGGCCAGGTGCAGTGGCTCACACCTGTAATCCCAAAACTTTGAGAGGCCGAGGTGAGTGGATTATTTGAGGTCAGGAGTTCAAGACCAGCCTGGCCAACACGGTAAAACCTGTCTCTACTAAAAATACAAAAACTAGCCAGGCGTGGTTGCAGGCACCTGTAGTCCCAGCTACTCGGGAGGCTGAGGCAGGAGAAATGCTTGAACCCGGGATGCAAAGCTTGCAGTGAGCCTAGAATGCGCCACTGCACTCCTGCCTGGGTGACAGAGCGAGATTCCATCTCAAAAAAAAAAAGAAAAAGTGGGCAAAGCAGAGCTAGGCACAGGCTGGAAGAAGATGACATGCCCGTGTCACACCAGGCCTCCACAATACCTCTTCCCAGCATGTTTTTAAAAATGTCTATAAACGATTGTTTTTCATTCAAATACCAGTTGCTCATCCTAACCATTCTTTGGATATCCATCCTTTTGTAAGTCTGTACTAATACAATTAATATTAAATCAATACAGAAAAAGTTTACTGTTAGCTCTCCATATCCATATGTGAAAGCTGTGGATATGGAGAGCTGACTGTACTGCTACAGCATTTTATGTAACAAGAATTGGTTATGCATCATCGGGAATACATCAAAACAAACTCTCAAATGGATTTTGTCTCAAAGAACTCAGAGTCCCATCAATCAGAGAATAAAGTCACTAGTGTAATAAAGAGACTATAGCCGGGCACGGTGGCTCAAGCCTGTAATCCCAGCACTTTGGGAGGCCAAGGCGGGCGGATCACGAGGTCAGGAGACGGAGACCATCCTGGCTAACACGGTGAAACCCCGTCTCTACTTAAAAAAAAAAAAAAGCACAAAAAAATTAGCCAGGCGTGGTGGCGGGCGCCTGTAGTCCTAGCTACTCAGGAGGCTGAGGCAGGAGAATGGCGAGAACCCGGGAGGCGGAGCTTGCAGTGAGCTAAGATCGGGCCACTGCACTCTAGCCTGGGCGACAGAGCAAGACTCCGTCTCAAAAAAAAAAAAAAAAAAAAGACTATAGGGGAAGGGCAGGTAGTCAGTGAAGGTTTCACAGGAATAGCCATATCAAGCTAAAGTGAGAGACGTGTCAGATCTGGGTTTATCCTTTAAAAGCACAGCAGCCCCTGACTCTACTAAAAAAATACAAAAATTAGCTGGGTGTGGTGGCTCATGCCTGTAATCCCTGTTACTCTGGAGGCTGAGGCACAAGAATGGCTTGAACCTGGGAGGAGGAGGTTGCAGTGAGCTGATATTGTGCCACTGCACTCCAGCCTGTGCGACAGAGGGAGACTCTGTCCAAAAAAAAAAAAAAAAAAGAGAGAGAGAAAAAGAGAGAGAGAGAGAAAAAAAGAAAGAAAGAAAGAAAAAGAAAGTGAAAGAAAGGAAGAGAAAGAGCGAGTGAGCACAACAGCTTTCACTTAGGGCTCCTGGGCCCAGAGTCATCAGGTAAAAAGTCTGAATACCCTGCTGAGAGATCACACAGAAAGACCTGACACTACACGTGGAGGGAAAGAGCCAGTGGAGCCCGGCCTTCCAGCAGTCTTTGACAAGGCATGTGAACGAAGAAGACATTGTGGAAGCGGATGCTCCAGCACTGGCCACCTCTGCTGACAACATGTCGACCAGAGAAAAATGGCCCAGGTGAGCACTTCTCAATTCTCCTGATTCATAAAACTGTCAACAAACAAAATTATTCTATGAAGCAGTAAGTATTAGGGTGGTTTGTTATACATCAACAGATAACTGAAACAGAGCTCAGATTTTATTTTCTAGCCAATGGGAAGCAATGCAATGACAGCTGTGCTTTAGAAAAATCAACCTGGCTGCAATGTGTAAGATGGCATGTAGGAGACAACCGGTGCCAGGAAACAAGAGCCAACAGTACCTAGGGGGAGGAGAAGAATACAAGACACTGACTGCAGAGTTAGAGTCGATGGGATCTGTGTATGTCACTGGCCATCAGGGCAAGAAGAAAGGAATCAAAGTTGACCTAGACGCTGAGATCAGGTGACCACAGGATGGTGATGCTATTAAGGAAGAACAAAGCAGATGATGAGTTCAGAGAAAGAAAACGAAAATTGTGTTAACTTTAATATGTGGACAAAATATGGTAAAATAACATCCATCATTATGGATATAAATATGCAAACAATTAGTCTAGAGTTTAACAGCTCTAAGAATCCTATTATCTGTGTATTTTTACAATAGGAAAGGTTTTAAATCAAAAATTAAACTCAAAATCTTCAGTGGGCGGGCTAAACAATTTAACATAAAACATCAAGATTTTCTTCAACTGTCCAATGAAAATTAGTTTAGAAACTAGGACAGATAAGTAAGTACATCCTCATGTGTGGAGGGTAAAATCAACGTTTTCAACGATCTTTTTAGAACTGAATCTTCTGTGACCAAAGGACATGCTTCTGCTTCTAGCCCAAGTACTGCCTTGCAGGCTCCATCCCTTGACATGTTTTCATACGGCATTTGAGTTATTTCTTTTAAACCACAAATCTCACCATGGTGAAACCGAAATCCTTACCATGGCCTACAAAACGCTACCATCACCTGACCTTGCTGACATAGCGGGCCTTACCTCATACCTTTTCCCCCCGCATTCACCATTCAGTAGTAACAATGGTTCAGTTCCATGACTTGCTCCTTCCTTCCACTGCAGGCTCTTCCCCAGCTAAACTACTCTTCTTCACTGCCTCTTGGACCAAATTAACTCTATTCATTGTTCGGTTCTTTGCTTTCTCCTCAGAGAAAAATTGTTCCTGATTATCCCCTAGATGTTCCTCCCTGGTTCAATCACACAACGTACCTCATTTCTTCAAAGTACTTCCAACAATACTTTAATATACTTATTTAGGAAACTATGTGTAATTTTGGTCTCCTCTGCTAAAACTTAAGTTCCAAGAAGGCAGAACCAAAGTGTCACTTGATCCCAAAGCCCCAGGACATAGCATATCGGATGGCACAGTAGATGATCTTCAATAGTAGATGTACTTTCAGAATAAATAGCACTCACTAATTATAGAAGGATAATTAGTGGCATGAACTCTGGGTCCAAACTGAGTTCAAGTTCCACGCTGACCCTTACAAGTTTTGGGACTAGATATTTTTCAGCACCTCAGTTTCTTTTTTTAAAATTATTATTATTTTTGAGACGGAGTCTCGCTCTGTCACCCAGGCTGGAGTGCAGTGGCACAATCTCGGATCACTGCAACCTCCGCCTCCCGAGTTCATGTGATTCTCCTGCCTCAGCCTCCCCAGTAGCTGGGATTACAGGCGCACGCCATCACACCTGGCTAATTTTTGTATTTTTAGTAGAGACGGGGTTTCACCATGTTGGCCAGGCTGGTCTCGAACTCCTGACCTTAGGTGATCTGCCCGCCTCGGCCTCCCAAAGTGCTGGGATTACGGGCGTGAGCCACACCATTCCCAACTATGTTCTATTATCTTTAACAATAATGCAAATATAATGATATCAGGTATGAGAATGAATTATGTCTCTAAAGAGCTAGAATATAGCAATGCCTAGAATTTTGTAAACACATTAAATAGTAGCTGGTAGTAGAATCAGCAAATACCAGCTCTCTCAACTATCCTATTCATCAACTTTCGATCTGCCTCACTCACACCTAACCCTTCTTTATCAGATTTCTCCACAGGGGCTTCAGGAGTTCTCTTTTATTAGCTGCTGCTGCTCTAATCAGGGTAAAAATCTAAAGCCTCGAATGAGGTTTGCCAGGGGGTCCAAAATCTGGCCCAGACTCTCCAGGCATTTCCTCAAATCCACCACTACTCCCCACACCCCAGGCGCAATAAATTATGAAATACAAAACCAAGGCAAAGCCAGGCCATGTATTAGCCTTCTTCCTTAAAGCAAGCCGACTAAATTGAGATGTTTCATAGAATCTTCCCGCTTCTCTCCCTTCTCAGCGCGTAAAGAATGTTCTGGCAGAGCACGGTGGCTAAAGCCTGTAATTCTTGTGCTTTGGGAGGCTGAGGGTCACTTAAACCCAGGAGTTGGGCAGCACAGCTAGACTCCGTCTCTTAAAAAAAAAAAAAAAAAAAAAAGTTAGCCGAGCGTGGTGGTGCGCGCCTGTAATTCCAGCTACTCGGGAGGCTGAGGCAGGAGAATTACTTGAAGCTGGCAGGCGGAGGGTGCAGTGGGCAGAGATGGCACCACTGCACTTTAGCCTGGGAAATACAGCCAGACTCCGCCTCAAAAAAAAAAAAAAAATGCTCAATGAATGGGCTGGGGTGGGTGGGGCAGAGAGGAGCTGACGGGACATACTACATCTAAAACGCCACTGTTTCCGAGGGACGCGGATATGCTCTGGTCCCCCACCTACATCCCATTCAGTAAACAAAGGTACCCACCGAAACATACAGCAGCACAAACCCATTTTTATAAGACCCTGTGCCTGACTATTGCAGGAAGATGGAGGACAAACAACAGCTGGAGAATAGATGAGCTGATGTTTGGCTCCTAACCTCTAAAACAATGCCAACCCAGCCCCTTCCAGGAGTAACAGCTTGAAAACAATACATGGCATTTAGATAGTTTTTAGCATTCCTGGCAATTCCGTTACTAATTCATGGGTCTTCCTCACAAGGGAAGAAACCCCATTTTTGAGGCACAGGCCCACCAGGGCAAAATGACCTGGCCAGGCTGGAGCCAGGTGCATGTGAGGGCCACTGTGAGGCCCTCTGCTCTGCTCACCCTCTACGTCACAGTGCTTCTTCTGTAGGTGAACGTGTGGGTTTTCAGCCAGGGCGCTTCTTACTGAAGGGCCCGAGGGTCCCGGAGAACATATCTGAAACGTCTTTTGAAAAGACTGTAGCACTTTGGGAGGCCGAGGCGGAGGGATCACCTGAGGTCAGACGTTAGAGACCAGCCTGGCCAACACGGAGAAATCCCGTCTCTACTAAAAATACAAAAATTAGCTGGACGTGGTGGCAAATGCCTGTAATCCCAGCTGAGGCAATCCCTGTGAGGCTGAGGCAGGAAAATCGCTTGAATCCGGGAGGCAGAGCTTGCAGTGAGCCGGGATCGCGCCACTGCACTCCAGCCTGGGCAACAGAGCAAGACTCCGTCTCAAAGAAAAGGAGAAAAAAAAAAAAGTAAAAGAAAAAAGAACGTTCTCTTTGCACGATCTAAGTACCTAGGACAGCTGCTACCCAGGCCCTTAGGGATTTACAGAGCCCTGTCGGATTTGTCAGAAATTTCTGTAACCCGCACGCCGCGCACGCTCCAGGGTTGGTTGCAAGTGGCCCAGAGTCTTGGATCCCTGGTCCTGTTCCACCGGGAGCAGAACCACCTCGACGCGGGGACAGCGGCCTCGCTCGCTGCCCAGCGCCCGGACACCCGAGCCGGGCCAGCCCCCAGCGCCCCGCAGAAGGGTTTGACGCACTTGCGGCGCCCTCGCGAGTGCCGGGTGACAGTCGCCAACTTTCGCGGAACACGCGCTCCAGATGTGAGGGAAGAGGAGGAAAAACGCCGCCCGCCTGGGCTGGGGTTCACAGGCACGGCCCGCCTCCCGCCGCTCCTCCAGGCCGCGCTCGGGTGCACGGACACCGCCTCCGCGGCGGCCTCGGGCCCGGGGGAGGGAAGCGCGGTCTCCCGGGCTGTTGCCCTCGCGCAGCAGACCCGAGGGGCCGGCCCGCGAAACTTCGCGAAGTGGCGAGAGGGGGCCACCCGGCCGCTCAGCGCCTTTGTCGCTCCAGCCTCGCCACCGCACCGGGCTCGAGACGCCCAGCCCAGCCCCTTGGCCCGATCCCGCCCGGGCCTCGGCCCGCGCCCCTCAGCTCGGCGGCCCTCACGGCCCGCGCCCCCGCCCCCACCCCCGGAGCTCCACAGAGGCGCCCCTCAGAGAGGCCGCGTCGCCTCACAGACCCGCCCAGGAGCTCGAGCGCGCCCCGCAGCCGACACTCACTCGTCACTCAAGTCGCCGGCTAGCCAGGCAGGTTCGGCGGCCTTCGCTACCGCGCCGCTTACTCCTCAGAAGCCGCAGCTGCGAGCTCCGTGGCAGCCGCTGCACTCCTTCCGGCCCTGCCGCGGCGTCACCTCGCGCCTGCGCACAGCGCCCCCTCCCGACTAAGGACAGGAAGAACCATAGAGGCACTCCGGGTACTGCGGAGGAGGGACCGGGGGGCTCACCATAGAGAGGGCCGCCTAGTCGCGCCTGCATCCGGGCTCTCCGCCTGCGGAGACTTGACTCCCCCACGAGGCAGGAGGGTGAAAGGAAAGGAGACCCCCATATCCGACCCCACAAGGAGCCACCATCTCCCCAGAGCTGAAAAGGGTATGGGGCAGGTGGTTGTGGATGTTTACTCGATATCTACTGATTTGCCCTAATTCGTTTGGCAAGTCATTCATTCATTCTGCAAATATATTCTGCGGATTTCCTGTGGGCCACACACTGTTCTAGGAATTGGGGAAATTAAGAGTAAAGTGGGTCCCATGGCTGGGCACAGTGGCTCACGCCTGTAATCCCAGCACTTTGGGAGGCCAAGGCGGGTGGATCACTTGAGGTCAGACGTTGGAGACCAGCCTGGCCAACATGGTGAAACCCGTCTCTACCAAAAATAAAAAAATTAGCCAGGCATGGTGGCGGATGCCTGTAATCCCAGCTACTCAGGAGGCTGAGGCGGGAAAATCACTTGAACCTGGGAGGCGGAGGTTGTAGTGAGCCAACATGGCGCCCCTGCACTCCAGCCTGGGCAACAGAGCAACCCTCCATCTCGAAAAAAAAAAAAAGTAAAATGTGTTCCTGGCCTCAGGAAGTTTAGGTTTTAGTGAGCAAGTGAATAACTGACTAAAATACTGCTCCTGCTGGGCACAGTGGCTCATGTCCATAATCCCCGCGCTTTGGAAGGCCAAGGCAGGAGGATCGCTTGAGGCCAGGAGTTCAAGACCAGCCTTAGCAAAATAGCAAGACCCCAACTCTTAAAATAATTGCTGGCCAGGCGTGGTGGTTCACGCCTGTAATCCCAGCACATTGGGAGGCCGAGGCAGGCAGATCACTTGAGGTCAGGAGTTCGAGACCAGCCTGGCCACCATGGTGAAACCCCGTCTCTACTAAAAATACAAAAATTAGCTGGGCATGGTGGTGCGTGCCTGTAATCCGAGCTACTCGGGAGGCCGAGGCACAAGAATTGCTTGAACCGAGGAGGGGGAGGTTGTAGTGCAGTGATTATGCCACTGCACTTCAGCCTGGGTAACAGAGTGAGACTGTGTCTCAAAAAAAAAAAAATTGCCAAGTACACCTTCAAGTAGAGATATCAAGTCAGTAATTAGATAAATGAGTCTGGGCTGGGCATAGTGGCTTATACCTGGAATCCGAACATTTTGGGAAATGGAGGTGGGAGGATGGCTTGAAGCCAGGAGTTTGAGACGATCCTGGGCAATAGAGTAAGACCCCATCTTTACAAAAATAAAAATTAGCCGGGCATGGTGGTGCGCACCTATAGTCCCAGCTACTCAGGAGACTGAGGTGGGAGGATTTTTTTGTTTTGTTTTGTTTTGTTTGTTTTGTTTTTTTGGACAGAATCTCACTCTGTCAGCCAGGCTGGAGTGCGGTGGCACGATCTTGGCTCACTGCAACCTCCACCTTCTGGGCTCAAGCGATTCTCCTGCCTCAGCCTCCTGAGTAGCTGGGATTACAAGCATGTGCCACCACGCCCGGCTAATTTTCGTATTTTCAGTAGAGACAGGGTTTCACCATGTTGGCCAGGCTGGTCTTGAACTCCTGACCTCAGGTAATCTACCCACCTCGGCCTACCAAAGTGCTGGAATTACAGGAGCGAGCCACTAAACCCGGCCAGAGGATTGTTTGAGCCCAGGAGTCCGAGGCTGCTGTGAGCTATGATTGCACTGCTGCACTCCAGCCTGGATGACAGAACAACAGCCTGTCTCAAAAGAAGCAAACAAAAACAAAACAGGGAAATGAGAGGAACAATAGTCTTGATGCGGCAATGAGTGTTCCTTCTCTAAGACAGTAGAGTGTGGCTTATGGGGGCTTGCATGGGACAGAAAAAGACCACTACTCATAGTGCTTTGGGGAACAGTGTCCTGAGGGAATAGTCATGTTTCAGTGAAGTAGAAATTGAAGGGCTGCTTACAGAACAGGACGAGGATCTAGGGATCTTACAGATGTCAGGCCCTGAGTTAGAGGGTGCAGTGCATGGGAGACATTAGAGGGTGAACAGGAGAGAGAGTTTAAGATAGATACTTACCTGAGATGAGATCCTGGAATCACCTGGAAGGTAAAACAAAGGCATTGGCCTTGATGAGCTTATCCTCCATGCTGGTCCTCTTGGGGGAGGTGGATAATCGCTGTCAGTTACAGCCTTCTTCTTAGGATGGTCCTCATAAGCCCTTTGAGATGTTGGAAGAAAGCAGTATTGGAAGGAGAGCTTGGTGATCTTAGCAGGAGTGCAAGGTTCTTTCCGGACCACTGAACCCCTCTGTGGTTGGTGTCACACCCAAGGCAGGTGCGATCGAGTAACCTCTCTGAGTCTAGCTTTTTTTTTTTTTTTTTTTGAGATGAAGTCTTGCTGTGCCACCCAGTCTGGAGTGCGGTGGCGCGATCTTGGTTCACTGCAAGCTCCGCCTCCTGGGCTCACGCCGTTCTCCTGCCTCAGCCTCCCGAGTAGCTGGGACTACAGGCGCCCGCCACCAAGGGCTAATTTTTTTTTGTATTTTTAGTAGAGATGGGGTTTCGCCGTGTTAGCCAGGATGGTCTCGATCTCCTGACCTCGTGATCCACCCGCCTTGGCCTCCCAAAGTGCTGGAATTACAGGCATGAGCCACCGCACCTGGCCTGAGTCTGGAATTTTTTATTTGTTCAGGCTTTTTGGAGACTCTGACTCAGACGTGATGGCAATGAGAAGAGAGACTTTATTTTTGTCTTTATTTATTTATTTTTGAGACGGTGTCTCCTTCCATCGCCCAGGCTGGAGTGCAGTGGCACGATCTTGCCTCACTGGAACCTCTGCCTCCCAGGTTCAAGCGATTCTCCTGGCTCAGTCTCCCAAGTAGCTGGGACTACAGGCACCCACCATCACACCCGGCTAATTTTTAAAATATTTTTTGTAGAGACGGGGTTTCACCATGTTGGCCATGCTGGTCTCAAACTCCTCACCTCAGGTGATCTGCCTGTCTCAGCCCAAAGTGCTGGGATTACAGGTGTAAGCCACCATGCCAGGCCTTTATTTTGAAGTTTAATTTAAAAAAACATTAATAGATAGCCAGGTGTGGTGACACATGCCTCTAGTCCCAGCTACACAGGAGGCTGAGGCAGGAGAATCACTTTAACCCAGGAGGCAGAGGTTGCAGTGAGCCGAGGTTGCGCCACTGCACCCCAGCCTAGGTAACACAGCAAGACTTCGCCTCAAAAAAAAAAAAAAATTATAGAAACAGAGTCTCGCTTTGTTGCCCAGGGTGGTCTCGAACTCCTGGCTCTAAGTGATCCTTCCATCTTGCCCTCCTAAAGTGGTGGGATGGCAGATGTGAACTGCCATGTCTGGCGGGGAATTTTTTATTTGTAAAATGGGAATTTTAAGATATTATCTATTGCCCGGTGTTCTTGCAAGGATGAAATGGGATCATGTGTGAATTGAGAAGCTCTCATAGGAGTTATTTGTTTACATGCTCTTCTTGTCTTAAGCATTTTCGGAGTCATAAAGACAACTATCATATCTCTGCATTTTTCCCAGTGAGGGCGAGAGGAAGCTACTCCCTCCTTCTAGGTTGTCTGGAATCATTCTGGTTACTTTTGAACTGGAATCATTCTGGTTACTTTTGAACTGGAATCATTCTGGTTACTTTTGAAGCCTCTGGCCTTTTTTTTTTTTTTTTTTTTTTGGAGACGGAGTTTCACTCTTGTCGCTCATGCTGGAGTGCAATGGCATGATCTTGGCTCACTGCAAACTCTGCCTCCCGGATTCAAGTGATTCTCGAGTCTCAGCCCAAGTAGCTGAGATTACAGGTGCCCGCCACCACATCCGCCTAATTTTTGTATTTTCAGTAGAGGCAGGGTTTCACCACGTTGGCCAAGCTAGTCTTGAACTCCTGACCTCAGGTGATCTGCCTGCTTCGGCCTTCCAAAGTGTTGGCATCACAGGCGTGAGCCACTGTGCCCGGCCCTGTTTTTTTTTGGAGGGGGGTGGGGTGGGGTTGGGGGTCTCACTCTGTCACCGAGGCTAGAGTGCAGTGACTCAGTCAATCATAGTTCACTGCAGCCTTGACCTCCCAGGCTCAAGTGACCCTCCCACCCCTGCCTCCTGAGTAGCTGGGACTACAGGTGTGTGCCACCACGCCCGACTAATTTTTTAATTTTTTTGTATAGATGGGGTCTCGCTGTGTTTCTCAGGCTGGTCTCAAACTCCTGGCCTCAAGTGATCCTCCTGCCTCGGCCTCCCAAAGTGCTGAGATTATAGGCTTGAGCCACACCGCACCTGTCCTATTTTTGTCTGTTTGTTTGTTTGTTTGAAAGGAGTTTTGCTCTTGTTTCCCAGGCTGGAGTGCAATGGTGTGATCTTGGCTCACTGCAACCTCTGCCTCCCAGTTTCAAGCAATTCTCCTGCCTCGGCCTCCCGAGTAGCTGGGATTACAGGCATATGCCACCACTCCCGGCTAATTTTCTATTTTTAGTAGAGACAGGGTTTCTCAATGTTGTTCAGGCTGATCTCGAACTCCCGACCTCAGGTGATCCGCCCGCCTTGGCCTCCCAAAGTGCTGGGATTACAGGTGTGAGCCACCACACCTGGCCTGTTTTCTTTGTCTTAATGTTAACCAGCACCAAGAATCAGAAAGGGCAAGATAGCTACCTGCAGACTAAACTATTGTCAACAAGTGATGTTTTGCTGTTTTCCTGGGAAGAAGCATGGAAGTTCTGTCTATGAAAATCCGTATCATCTGTGCTGGCTGTAATTCCATGCAGTTACGGCCAAAGGCGTGCAACCTGCACTCACCCCATGAGCCTGCCAGAGAGCCGAGGCTGTAACTCCCCCACCCCATGAGTCATCACGGCACGGCTTCATTGCATTTTCTGATTACAGTTAGTTTAATGTGCATCTGACCTGTGAAATCATTGACAGCAGTGGAGGACCGCCATTATTCACAATTTGTCCATCGTCATTTTGTTCCCAAGAACTGTCATCAGCCGTATCTACATGAAGGTGTGCTGGTGTTGTCATAGAGGACATTATTCCCAAACTCAGTCTGCTTTCAGAAGCAGTAATTTCCTGCCATTTTGGCCCATTACTTGTAAAAAAAAAAAAATCAATGGTACTGAGGTGTAATTTATACGTGGTACAAGGCACCCCGTTTAAGTGTACCTTTCTATCAGTTTTGACAAATTTATACACTCTCGTAACCCCCCCACAATCAAGATAGAGATCATTTCCATCACCCCAAACTATTCCCTTCTGTTCCTTCCAGTCTATCCATAACCCTCATCCCTGGCGCTAGGCAACCACCTGCTTTTGGGCACTTGCTGTTTGTCACTTATTTATTTATTTTGAGATGGAGTCTTGCTCTGTCACCCAGGCTGGAGTGCACTGGTGCAATCTCGGCTCACCGCAACCTCTGCCTCCCGGGTTCAAGGGATTCTTCTGCCTCAGCCTCCTGAGTAGCTGGGATTACAGGCCCCACCCCCCACCACCACACCCACCTAATTCTTTGTATTTTTATTTTATTTTATTTTTGTTATGGAGTCTCACTCTGTCGCCCAGGCTGGAGTGCAGTGGCGTGATTTTGGCTCACTGCAACCTCCGCCTCCCAGGTCCAAGCGATTCTCTTGCCTCATCCTCTCGAGTAGCTGGGATTACAGACATCCACCACCACGTCCAGCTAATTTTTGTATTTTCAGTAGAGATGAGCTTTTGCCATCTCTACTAAAAACATGGCCAACTAAAGTTGGCCAGGGTGGTCTCGAACTCCTGACCTCAGGTGATCCGCCTGCCTTGGCCTCCCAAAGTGCTGGGATTACAGGCTTGAGCTACCGCACCCAGCCCTTTATCTCATTTTAGACTAGAATTTATCTTTCTGTAGTTTCACATACATGGGATCATATGGCATGTACTCTTGTGTCTGGTTTCTTTTGCTCAGCATGTTTTTTGTTTTTTGAGACAGGGTCTCACTCTGTTGCCCAGGCTGGAGTGCAGTGGTATGATCTTAGCTCACTGCAGCCTTGGTCTCCCAGACTGAAGCCATCTTCCTGCCTCAGCCTACTGAGGAGCTGAGACTACAGGCACACATCACCATGCCTGGATAATTTTTTCGATTTTTTTTTTTTTTTCTGAGACGGAGTCTCGCTCTGTCGCCCAGGCTGGAGTGCAGTGGCGCGATCCTGGCTCACTGCAGGCTCCGCCCCCTGGGTTCACGCCGTTCTCCTGCCTCAGCCTCCTGAGTAGCTGGGACCACAGGCGCCCGCCACCTCACCCAGCTAATTTTTTGTATTTTTAGTAGAGATGGGGTTTCACCGTGTTAGCCAGGATGGTCTTGATCTCCTGACCTTGTGATCCACCCACCTCGGCCTCCCAAAGTGCTGGGATTACAGGCGTGAGCCACCGCGCCCGGCATTGTTTTGATTTTTAATAGGGACGAGGTCTTGCTATGTTTGCCCAGTCTGGTCTCGACCTCCTGAGCTCAAGTGATTCTCCCACCTCAGCCTCCCAAAGTGCTGGGATTACAGGCGTGAGCCCCCGTGCCTGGCCTCCGCATGTTTCTGAGATTCTTCTATGTTACATGTATCAGTAGTTCATTCCTTTTTACTGCTGAGTAGTATTCGACCACAAAGATATGACACAATTCACTCATCCATTCACCAGCCGGTGCACATTGAGTTTCTTTTATTTTGGGGCAATTATGAATAAAACTGCTATGCACATTGGTGTAAAAGTTGTTGGGTGAATACATGTTCATTCTCTAAGTGTGGAATTGCTAAATCATATAGTAAGAACCAAACTGTTTCCCAAACTGGTACATCATTTTACTTTCCCACTGGCACTGACGGAGAGGTCCAGTTGCCATTCTTGGTATCACTAGTCTTTAATTTCAGCTGTTGTAATGGACAGGTAATGGTCTATCACTGTGGTTTTGATTTGCATTTCCCGGGTGGCTAATATGTTGAGCATCTTTTCTTGTGCTAATTGGCCTTTTGAATATCTTTCTTTTTTTTTTTTTTTTAGACACAGCATTGTCTAGGCTGGACGGCAGCGGCATGATCATAGCTCACTGCAGCCTTGAATTCGTGGGCTCAAGCGATCCTCCCACCTCAGCCTCCTTAGTAGCTGGGCCTACAGGCACATGCCACCACTCCTGGCTAATTTATATGATTTTTTTTTTTTTTAGAGATGGGGTCTCGCTATGTTGCCCAGGCTGGTCTTGAACTTCTGGCCTCAAGTGATCCTCCCACCTTGACCTCCTAAAACACTAGGATTACAAGTGTGAGCCGCTGTGCCCAGCCCTGGCCTTTTGTATATTTTCTTTTGTGAAATTTCTGTTCAAATTTTTTAAATCCCATTTTAAAAATGGGATTTTTTTTTTTTTTTGCCTTCTCAGTTGACTTGTAAGAGATCTTTCTATAGTATGGATATAAGATTTTAGTATTGCATACATTTCCTCTTTGTCTCTGGCTTTTCATTTCCTTTTTTAATTTTGTTTTTTATTTTTTATTTTCCGAGGCTGTCTTATGCCACCGTTTTCTTTTCTTTCTTTTTTTTTTTTTTTTGAGACATGGTCTCATTCTGTTGCCCAGGCTGGAGTGCAGTGTGCAATCTCGACTCACCACATCCTCACCCTCCCGGGCTCAAGTAATCCTCCCACCTAGGCCTCTCAAGTAGCTGGAACCAGAGGCACGCACCACCACACCCAGTTAATTTTTGTATTTTTGGTAGAGATGGAGTCTCTTGATCTTGATGAGAGCAACATAGTGAGTACTGGGGTTACAGGCGTGAGCCACCGCGCCCGGCCGAATTGTACCTTTAAAAATAACTAAAAGAGGCTGGGCACGGTGGCTCATGCCTGTAATCCCAGCACTTTGGGAAGCCGAGGTGGGCAGATCACAAGGTCAGGAGTTTGAGACCAGCCTGGCCAACATGGTGAACTCTCGTCTCTACTAAAGATACAAAAAACTAGCAAGGCGGGGTGGCGGGTGGAGGGTGCCTGTAATCCCAGCTACTCGGGAGGCTGGGGCAGGAGAATCTCTTGAACCCGTGAGGCAGAGGTTGCAGTGAGCCGAGATCACACCATTGCACTCCAGCCTAGGCCACAGGGTGAGACTCCGTCTCCCAATAAATAAATAAATAAAAGAGGCTAGGCGTGGTGGCTCATGTCTGTAATCCCAGCATTTTGGGAGGCTGAGATGGGTAGATCACCTGAGGTCAGGAGTTCGAGACCAGCCTGGCGAACATGGTGAAATCCTGTCTCTACTAAAAATACAAAAATTAGCCACGTGGTGGCATGTGTCTGTAATCCCAGCTACTTGGGAGGCTGAGGCAGGAGAATTACTTGAACCAGGGAGGCGGAGGTTGCAGGGAGCCGAGATTGCACCACTGCACTCCAGCCTGGGTGACAGAGCAAGACTACGCCTCAAAAAAAAGTTATTATTGACTATAGTCACCCAGTTGTGCTTTCAAATACTAGGTCTTATTCATTCTTTCTATTTTTTTGTACCCTTTAACCATCCCCACCTCCCCCACCCATCCTCGCACTACGCTTCCCAGCCTGTGATAACTGTCCTTCTACTCTCTATGCCCATAAGGTCAATTGTTTTGATTTTTAGGTCCCACCAATAAGTGAGAACATTCAGTGTTAGTCTCGCTCTGTCGCCCAGGCTGGAGTGCAGTGGGGTGATCTCGGCTCACTGCAAGCTCTGCCTCCCAGGTTGACGCCATTCTCCTGCCTCAGCGTCCCGAGTAGCTGGGATGTGCCTGGCTTATTTCACTTAACATAATAATCTCCAGTTCCATCCATGTTGTTGCAAATGACAGGATCTCAATCTTTTTCATGACTGAATAGTACTCCATTGTGTATATGCAGCACGTTTTCTTTATCCACTGATCATTGATGAACACTTAGGTTGCTTCCAAATCTTGACTATTGTAAATAGCACTGCAATAAATATGGAAATGAAGATATCTCTTTGATATACTGATTTCCTTTCTTTTGGTTATATACCCAGCATTGCGATTACTGGATCTTATGGTAGCTCTACGTTTAGTTTTTTGAGGAACCTTCAAACTGTTCTCCATGCTGGTTGTACTAAGTTACATTTCTACTAACAGTGTCTGAAGGCTCCGTTTTCTCCACAACCTCGCCAGCGTTTGTTATTACCTGTCTTTGGATAGAAGCCATTTTAACTGTGGTCAGATGATCTCTCATTGTAGTTTTGATTTGCATTTCTCTGATGATCGATGATGCTGCATACCTTTTCTTAAACCTGTTGCTCATTTGTATGTCTTCTTTTAAGAAATGTGTATTCAAATATTTTGCCCATTTTTTTTTTTTATTTTTGTTTAGACAGAGTCTTGCTCTGTCGCCCAGGCTGGAGTGCAATGGCACAATCTTGGCTCACTGTAACGTCCACTTCCCACGTTCAAGCAATTCTCCTGTCTCAGCCTCCTGAGTAGCTGGGATTACAGGCGTGTGCCACCACGCCCAGCTAATTTTTTTATTTTTAGTAGAGATGGGGTTTCACCACGTTGGCCAGGCTGGTCTAGAACTCCTGACCTCCAGTGATCCGCCCTCCTTGGCCTCCCAAAGTGCTGGGATTACAGGCGTGAGCCACTGCACCCAGCCAAATTCTGGTTCTTATTACTCCACCAATATAGGAAGAGGAAGGCCCAACACTGTTACTTAAGCAATAGTGGTTAAATAAGTAGAATTGCTGGATCATATAGTGAGGACCAAACTGTTTTCCAAAGTGGTCGTAGCTTCTCCTGAGCGATAGTGTTTTTAAAATAACGCACTTTATGTGATACTTGTATTAGTTGCATTCCTGTGAAAATAGATAATTACTGAAATGGGCCGGGCACGGTGGCTCACGCCTGTAATGCCAGCACTTTGGGAAGCTGAGGCGGGTGGATCACCTGAGGTCGGGGGTTCAAGACCAGCCTGGCCAACATGGTGAAACCCCGTCTCTACTAAAAATACAAAACTTATCAGGGCATGGTGACGCGCGCCTGTAACCCCAGTTACTCGGGAGGCTGAGGCAGAAAGGCGTGAACCCGGGAGGCGGAGCTTGCAGTGAGCCGAGATGGCGCCACTGCACCCCAGCCTGGGCGACAGAGCGAGACTCCGTCTCAAAAAAAAAAAAAAAAAACCAACAACAAAAAACAAAAAAACAATGAATGTACCCCAATCAGCAGTAAAATTTCTTAATTTTATTCAATCTATATCTGTGAGTACCTGTCTTAAATAGTCTGAATGATGAGATGGGCCTGGTGCGATTATTCATGTTTGGGGCTGGACTGTCCACTTTCTTTCTAGGACATCATCTTGAGAGAATGACTGACTGACAAACTGGGATAATTCAGATTTGGGGACTTTGCAGACACTTTCTCAAAACTGAAGAAACTGAAACTATCACTTCAAGGAAAATAACTGTGTATTTGCTGCCGATGATAACATTTGAGCTTTCAAGAGAAGATTAGAATTTTAGACGGTTTATATCTGCCACTGGGAGCTTCACAGTTTCCCATTACTGGAAAACTTTTCTGGTGTGACGGGTGGTGATAGTAATGAACATGATTTTCTGATTTTATGAAATCCATCAACATTTGAAAAAGCTGCTGTGATCTTGTGATATAATAAGAAATATGTATTTTGGTCTTTACTCCAGGCCAGAGCTCCTAAAACACGGGTAATTTGCTAAGTGATAAGAGCGATAGGATCATCTTTCATCGTAAATTTGGTTTTTGTCCCAGGATCTTGCAATAGCTCCAGGGAGGGCCAGGTGCAGTGGCTCATGCCTGTAATCTCAGCACTTTGGAAGGCTGAAGCTAGCATATCACTTGAGGTCAGGAGTTCAAGACTATCCTGGCCAACACGGTGAAACCCTGCCTTTACTAAAAATACAAAAATTAGCCGGGCATGGTGGCATGCACCTGTAATCCCAGCTACTCGGGAGGCTGAGGCAGGAGAATCGTTTTAACCCAAGAGGCAGAGGCTGCAGTGAGCTGAGACTGTGTTCCAGATTGGGCCACAGAGCAAGACTCTGTCTCACAAAAAAAAAAAAAAAAGAAAAAGAAAAAAGAAAAAAAGAAAAGAAAAGAAATAGCTCCAGGGAGATGAAGGTGAAATTAGTGTCTTTTGTTATTTATAACAAGCCCCTTCCAACCATATTTGAGGTTATGCTGATTGCCAGGGGACCCAGTCACGTCATTAGAGGGCTTGAGGTTGGGCTAATCACAAATGCCCCAGTGATTTAACCAATCTTGCCCAGGAAATGAAGCCACCATAAGAAAAAAAAAAAAATTGAGGGGCACGGAATTCAGAGAGCTTCTGAGCTGGTGAATATGCCAAGGTGCTGAGGCGGGGGGTGGTGGTTTACCCAGATATTGCTGTGAGCTATGATGGTGCCACCGCACTCCAGGCTGGGTGACAGAGCGAGACCCTCTCTCTACAAAAAATAAAAGGCGGCAGCAGCTCTGTTTTCACTCTATTCAATCTTGCAACTGCAAAAATAAATAAACAAATAAATAAAAGAATGCATGTAATCTCAGCACTTTGGGAGGCCAAAGCGGGAGGATTGCTTGAAGCCCGGAATTCAAGTACAACCCGGCCAACATAGTGATGAGAGGTGACAGCGTGCTGGCAGCCCTGGCTGGCTCTTGGCACCTCCTGGCCCTCGGCGCCCACTCTGGCTGCGCTTGAGGAGCCCTTCAGCCCTCCGCTGCACTGTGGGAGCCCCTTCCTGGGATGGCCGAGGCCAGAGCTGGCTCCCTCACTCAGCCTGCGGGGAGGTGTGGAGGGAGTGGCACGGGTGGGAACCCCGGCTGCGTGCAGCGCTTGCGGGCTAGCTAGAGTTCCGGGTGGGCGTGGGCTTGGCGGCTCTGCACTCCGAGCGGTCTGCCGACCCCGCGGGCCCCAGACAGTGAGGGGCTTAGCACCCGGGCTAGCAGCTAAGGAGGGTGTGCCGGGAACCCCAGCAGTGCCGGCCCACCGGCACTGTGGGCTCCTGCGCAGCCTGAGCCTCCCCGACGAGTGCCGTCCCCTGCTCCTCGGCGCCGGATCCCATTGACCGCCCAAGGGCTGAGGAGTGCAGGCGCACAGCACGGGACTGGCAGGCGGCTCCACCTGCGGCCCCAGTGCGGGATCCACTGGGTGAAGCCAGCTGGGTTCCTGAGTCTAGTGGGGACCTGGAGAAACTTTATGTCTAGCTAAAGGATTGTAAATACACCAATCAGCACTCTGTATCTAGCTCAAGGTTTGTAAACACACCAATCAGCACCCTGTGTCTAGCTCAGGGTTTGTGGATGCACCAATGGGCAGTCTGTATCTAGCTAATCTGGTGGGGACTTGGAGAATCTTTATGTCTAGCTAAGGGATTGTGAATACACCAATCAGCACTCTGTATCCAGCTCAAGGTTTGTAAATGCATCAATCAGCACTCTGCACCTAGCTCAGGGTTTGTAAATAGACCAATCAGCACTCTGTATCTAGCTAATCCAGTGGGGATGTAAAGAACTTTTGTCTCACTCAGGGATTGTAAATGCACCAATCAGCACCCTGTCAAAACGGACCAATCAGCTCTCTGTAAAAAAGACCAATCGGCTCTCTGTAAAATGGACCAATCAGCAGGATGTGGGTGGGGCAAGAAAAGAGAATAAAAGCAGGCTGCTGAGGTAGTAGTAGCAACGTGCTGGGGTTTTATTCCGTTGTGTTGGAGTTTTTTTGTGGGGGTGGGGGTGGGTGTGTTTGTTCTGTTTTGTTTTTGTTTTTGTGGTGGTGGTGTTGCTTTTTGGGTTTAGGTTGCTTTCACAGCAAAGGTCTGCAGCTTCACTCCTGTAAGCCACCGAGACTGCGAACACTCCAGAAAGAATGAACGCCTCCAGACGCGCTTCCTTAAGACTTGTAACACTCCTCGCGAGGATCTCCAGGTTCCCTCCTTGAGCTAGCGAGATCACGAACCCACCAGAAGGATGAAACTCCGAACACAACATCAAAAGGAGCAAACTCCGGCCACGCCGCCTTTAAGAACTGTGATATTCACCGTGAGGGTCCGTGGCTTCATTCTTCAAGTCAGACGAAGAGCCCACGAATTCCGGACACAGTAAGAACCACCCCAATCTCTATTAATATCAATAAAATTTAAAATAAAACATGAAATAGGCTAGGCACAGTGGCTCACTACTGTAAACCTAGCACTTTGGGATGGTGAGGTGGGTGGATGACCTGAGGTCAGGAGTTGGAGACCAACCTGGTCAACTGGTGAAACTTCGTCTCTATTTAAAAATAGGCCGGGCGCGGTGGCTCACGTCTGTAATACCAGCACTTTGAGAGGCCAACGTGGGTGGATCCCGAGGTCAGGAGATTGAGACTCTCCTGGCTAACATGGGGAAATCTCATCTCTGCTAAAAATACAGATTAGTTGGGTGTGGTGCTGCATGCCTGTAGTACTATCCACTTAGGAAACTGAGGCAGGAGAATTGCTTGAACCCCCCGAGGCAGAAGTTGCAGTGAGCCAAGGTTGCGCCACTGCACTTCAGCCTGGGCGACAGTGAGACTCCCTCTGGAAAAATTAAATATAACGGAGCATGGTGGCGGGTCCCTGTGATCCCAGCTATTTGGGAGGCTGGGGCAGGAGACTCACTTGAACCCGGGAGGCAGAGGTTGCAATGAACCGAGACTGCGCTACTCCTCTCCAGCCTGGGTGACAGAGTGAGACTCCATTTCAAAAAATAAATACATAAAAATCAGAAAAAAATTACCTAAGCTGGGGTGCAGTGGCTCACATCTGTAATCCCAAGAGTTTGAGAGGCCAAAGCGGGTAGACCCCTTGAGGCCAGGAGTTTGAGACCAGCCTAGTAAACATGGCAAAATCCTGTCTCTAGTTTAAAAAAAAAAAAAGTTGCAAAAATTAGCTGGGCATGGTGGCACACGACTGTAGTCTCAGCTACTCTGGAGGCTGAGCCAGGAGAATCACTTCAACCCGGGAGGCGGAGGTTGCAGTGAGCCGAGATGGCACCAGTGAACTCCAGCCACAGAGCGAGACCCTGCCTGTAAGGAAAAAAATTTTCTGGGTCTAGCTGACACGTATCAGCACTAGTTGGAGCAGAAGTTCAGAACTGCACAGTGGCCTAGACCATGAGGATGGTAAGAGTCTTCTGCCGGTTCTTAGAGTGGACTCAGCTGTGCAAACAGAGACAACAGCAGTAAGTTGTTGAAATAAGGACTCCCCCATCATGCCTTCCCTGTATCTATGCAATTTCCAATGTGACTTTGGTATGCCTCCCAAAGGGGGTGGGGTCTATATCTTCCCTGCCCGGCTAATTTTTTGTATTTTTAGGTAGAGATGGGGTTTCACCTTGTTAGACAGGATGGTCTCGATCTTCTGACCTCGTGATCTGCCCACCTCAGCCTGCCAAAGTGTTGGGATTACAGGCGTGAGCCACCGCGCCCGGCCAAAGAGCTGCAATTTGAATCATAAATGTGCTAAAGAATGGGGCTTTGTTCTATAATCCTCGGTATCTCCACTGTGGCAACAGCCTTTCTTTTCTTTCCCTTCCCTTTCCTCCCCTCTCCTACCCTCCTCCCTTGCTTCCTTCCTTCCATCCTCCCTCCCTCCCTTCCTTCCATCCTCCCTCCCTCCCTTCCTTCTGTCCTTCCTTCCCTCCCTCCCTGCCTTCCTGCCTTCCCTAATTCCTCCCTTCCTTCCGTCCCTCCTTCCGCTTTTTTCTCTTTCTGTCTTTCTTTCGAGACAGGGCCTCAGTCCAACCCCCAGGCTGGAGTGCAGTGGTAAAATCATGGTTCACTGCAGCCTCCACTTCCTGGGTTTAGGTGATCCTCTCACCTCAGCCTCCCAAGTAGCTGGGACTGCAGGCACATGCCACCACACCCAGCTAATTTTTTGTATTTTTTGTAGAGAAGGGATTTTCCTGTGTTGCCCAGGCAGATCTTGAACTCCTAGGCTCAAGCTGTTCTCTCATCTCAGCCTCCCAAAGTGCTGGATAACAGGCGTGAGCCACCGTGCGCAGAGCTGCAGCTTTTCTATTAGTGCTCGCCAGAGACTCCACCTACCATTGTTACCTTTAGCACCATGACATCTTCCGTTGGTATATGTGGTACCCTGGGATATACCATATAACGTGGCTTTACGCAGCAGGGCCAGCTGGAGCACACCAGAACCTGCTGCAGAACTCTCTCTCAATCAAGGGAACAACAAAAAATGACATCCTAGGCTGGGCATGGTGGCTAACTCCTCTAATCCCAGCACTTTGGGAAGCCGAGGCGGGGGGATCACCTGAAGTCAGGAGTTCAAGACCAGCCTGGCCAATGTGGTGAAACCCCTGTCTCTACTAAAAATACAAAAAATTAGCCTGGTGTGGTGGTATGCTCCTGTAATCCCAGCTACTTGGGAGTCTTGAGGCAGGAGAATCGCTTGAACCTGGGAGGCAGAGGTTGCAGTGAGCCAAGATCAAGCCACTGTACTCCAGTCTGGGTGACAGTGCAAGACTCTGTCACAAAAAAAAAACAAATGCCATCTGGGGCCGGGCATGGTGGTTTACACCTCTCATCCCTGTACTTTGGAAGGTCAAGGCTGATGGATTGCGTGAGGCCAGGAATTCAAGGCCAGCCTGGCCAATATAGCGAGACCCTATCTCTATTTTTTTAAAACTTTCTGCTGAACTAGAAGTTTAAAGAAAAATAATAATAATAAATAAAACTGATGTATCGTGGTGGCTTCTGCTTGTAATCCCAGCACTTTGGGAGGCCAATGTGGGCAGATCATTTGAGGTCGAGACCAGCCTGGCCAACATGGCGAAACCCCATCTCTACTAAAAATACAAAAATTACCCGGGCGTGGTGGTGGGCACCTGTAAATTCCAGCTACTCTGGAAGTGGAGCCAAGAGAATTGCTTGAATCCGGGAGGCGGAGGTTGCAGTGAGCCAAGATCACACGACTGCACTCCAGCCTGGTGATAGTGAGGCTCCATCTCAAAAAAAATAATAAAATGTCTTTGGAGAACAGGCAAAGGAGGCTGGCTTGGGGTTTTTATGGTGGTTGGTGGGTGTGGCTGGGTGAGGGTTTGTGCACTCGGGCTTGTGTGGTTTAAAGCTCCCATTGGTGGCAAAGGAGGGAGCACTGAGGGTTTTTATCAACTTCCCCAGATGTCAGTCACAGGGGAAGATGGAAAATGATACTTAAAAGCCTTCAGCACTATATAAGATTTGGCTGGGCGTGGTGGCTCATGGCTGGAATCCCACACTTTGGGAGGCCAAGGTGGGTGGATCACTTGAGGTCAGGAGTTCAAGACCATTCTGGCCAACGTGGTGAAATTCCGTCTTTATTAAAAATACAAAAATTAGCTGGGCGTGGTGGTGCGTGCCTGTAATCCCAGCTACCGGGGAGGCTGAGGCAGGAGAATAACTTGAACCCTGGAGGCGGAGGTTGCAGTGAGCTGAGATCGCGCCATTGCACTCCAGCCTGGCAACAGAGCAAGACTGTCTCCAAAAGAAAAAAAAAAAAAAGATAAAACAAGGCCAGGCACAGTGGCCTACACCTATAATCCCAGTGCTTTGAGGGGCTGAGATGGGAGGATTGCTTGAGACTAGCAGTTTGAGACCAGCCTGGACAACATCGCAAGAACCTGTCTCTACAAAAAAAAATTAAAATTAAAAAAAAAATAGGCCCCGTACAGTGACATGAATGTAATCCCAGTGGGAGGCTGAGGTGAGAGGATCACTTGAGACCAGGAGTTTGAGACCAGCCTGGGCACAAAGTGACACCTCGTTCTCTATAAAAAATACTTTTGTTTTGGAGACAGAGTCTCTCTGTGTTGCCCAGGCTGGAGTGCAGCAGCATGATTTCGGCTCACTGCAGTCTCTGCCAACCAGTCTCAAGTGATTCTCGTGCCTCAGCCTCCCGAGTAGCTGGGATTACAGGCATGTGCTGCCACACCCAGCTAATGTTTGTATTTTTAGTAGAGACGGGGTTTTGCCATGTCGGCCAGGCTGGTCTTGAACTCCTGGCCTCGAGTGATCCACCCACCTCAGCCTTCCAAAGTGCTGGGATTACAGGTGTGAGCCACCATGCCTGGCCAAAAAAATTTTTTTATAATAAATAGGAAGCGTGTGGTAGCTCATGGCTGTAATCCCAGTACTTTGGGAGGCTGAGGCAAGAGGATCACTTTAGGCCAGGAGTTTGAGACCAGCCTGGGCAACACAGTGAGATCCTCATTCTCTACAAAAAAAAAAAAAAAAAAAAAAAAAAAAAAGCCAGGCATGATGGTGTGCACTTGTCCCAGCTACTAGGGAGGCTGAGGTGAGAAGATGCTTTGCACCCAGGAGTTCAGGGCTATAGTGAGCTATGATCATACCAGGTGGCAGAACCAGACCCTGTCTCTGAAATAAAAATAAAATAAGACCAAAGTGTGTTTTCTACTCTCACACCACTCTATACTTAACACAAAGCAATTTTTGTGGTTTTTTTTTGAGACGGAGTCTTGCTCTGTCGCCCAGGCTGGAGTGCAGAGGTGTGATCTCGGTTCACTGCAACCAACCTCCTGGGCTCCAGCGATTCTCCTGCCTCAGCCTCCCAAGTAGCTGGGATTACAGGCACCTGCTACCACGCCTGGCTAATTTTTGTATTTTTAGTAGAGACGGGGTTTTGCTATGTTGGCCAGGTTTGTCTTGAACTCCTGGCCTCAAGTAATCCGCCCGCCTCAGCCTCCCAACGTGCTGGGATTATAGGCGTGAGCCACCATGGCCGGCCTGTTTACCAGTTTACTATAAGGGGCATTACGAAAAATGCAGAGGAATGGCCAGATGCCGAGGCCGAAGGGGCAAGTTTTGTGGGAAGGGGTGGAGCTTCCATGCCCTCTCTGGGTACACCACCCTCCCGGCATCTCCACATGTTCAGCATTGAAGCTCTCCGAGTGCTGTCCTTTTGTTTTGTTTTGTTTTTTTGAGACAGAGTCTTGCTGTGTCGCCCAGGCTGGAGTGCTGTGCTGTGATCTTGACCCACTGCAACTTCTGCCTCCCAGGTTCTAGCTTTTCTCCTGCCTCAGCCTCCCAAGTAGCTGAGATTACAGGTACCCGCCACCGCATCCTACCTAATTCTTGTACTTTTAGTAGAGATGGGGTTTTATCATGTTGCCAGGCTGGTCCTGAACTCCTGACCTCAGGTGGTCTGCGCCCCCCCTTGGCTTCGTAAAGTGCTGGGATTACAGGTGTGAGCCATTGCGCCCGCCAACTCCACATTTTTAAACAAAGCTTCTCTTCCTTAACCAATTAGAAAAAAAAAAAATCTTTGAATCTACCTATGACCTGTAAGCCCCCACTTTAAGATACCCCACCTTTTAGGGCCAAACCAACGTATAGCCTCCATACTGATTTATGACTTTGCCGTAACCTCTGCCTCCTTATCTTCTGTTTTTTTTTTTTTTTTTTTTTTGAGACAGAGTTTTACTCTATCACCCAGACTGGAGTGCGGTGGCGTGATCTCGGCTCACTGCAAGCTCCGCCTCCTGGATTCACGCTATTCTCCTGCCTCAGCCTCCCGAGTAGCTGGTACTACAGGCGCACGCCACCATGCCTGGCTAATTTTTTGTATTTTTTTTTTTTTTAAGTAGATACGGGGTTTCACTGTGGTCTTGATCTCCTGACCTTGTGATCCACCCGCCTCGAGTGCTGGGATTACAGGCGTGAGCCACTGCGCCCTGCCTCTGCCTCCTTACCTTTAAAGACGCCTACCTGCAAGCCAGCAGGGAGTTCTGGATGTAAACATGAGCTGCTCGACTCTCCTTGCGTGGCGCCCTGCAAATAAATGCCCTCTTTTTTCTCACTGCAAACCTTGGTGTGGGTGGTTGGCCTCACTGTGCCAGGCATCTGGACCCCATGAAAGTCGGTCCTTGTTTCCTCTCATTGATTTTTTTTTTTTTTTTTTGGGGGATGGGGTCTCACTCTCTTCTCCCAGCTGCTGGAGTGCAGTGGCACAATCTGCCCACTGCAGCCTCCACTTCCTGGACTCAGGTGATTGTCCCACTTCAGCCTCCCGAGTAGCTGAGACCACATGCATGTGCCACCACGCCTGGCTAATTTTTTGTATTTTTAGTGCAGGCAGGGGTCTTGCTATGTTTTCCAGGCTGGTCTCAAACCCCTGAGCTCAAGCGGTCCGCTCGCCTCGGCCTCCTAAAGTGATGGAGATACAGGTGTGTGCCACCGTACCAGGCCCAAGATGTTATCTTTAATTTCTATAGAGAACTAAATATCTGGTGACTGTAACTCCCTTGGCTATTGGTTTTAAGCTCCTTTTTTTTTTTTTTTTTTTTTTTTTTTGGAGACAGAGTTTCGCTCTTGTTGCTCAGGCTGGAGTGTAGTGGCGTGATCTCAGCTCACGGCAACCTCCGGCTCCTGGGGTCAAGCGATTCTCCTGCCTCAGCCTCCTGAGTAGCTGGGATTACAGGTGCATGCCACCACGCCCAGCTAATTTTTGTAGTTTTGTTTTGTTTTGTTTTTGAGATAGAGTAGTTTTTTTGCCAGGCTGGAGTGCAGTGGCGCCGTCTCGGCTCAGTGCAACCTCCACCTCCCGGGTTCAAGTGATTCTCCCTCCTTAGCCTCCCAAGTAGCTGGGACTACAGTGTGTGCTACCACGCCCAGCTAATTTTTGTATTTTTAGTAGAGATGGGGTTTCACCATGTTGGCCAGGATGGTCTTGATTTCGTGACCTTGTGATCCGCCTGCTTTGGCCTCCCAACGTAGTTTTTAGTAGAGATGGGGTTTTACCATGTTGGCCATGCTGATCTTGAACTCCTGACCTCAGGTGAGCTGTCTGCCGCAGCCACCCAAAGTACTGGGATTACAGCCATGAGTCACCGTGCCCGGTGGATTAAGGCTCTCATACGCATCTTGAGATCGGTTCCTTCTGGCTCTTTCATCCCCTCACAACCCTGTAGTTGCTTCTCTTGTAGTTACCCGCCATGATCCAATGCTATGTAATCGAATCCATGCTCAACACTTTGCTATAAGTGCTAGGCTCTCTCCTGTTGGAAATAAATAATTTCCTTTTTTTTTTTTTTTTTGGAGATGGAGTTTCGCTCTTGTTGCCCAGGCTGGAGTGCAATGATGCGATCTTGGCTCACTGCAACCTCTGCCTCCCGGGTTCAAGCGATTCTCGTGCCTCAGCCTCCCAGGTAGCTGGGATTACAGGTGCCCACCACCATGCCCGGCTAATTTTTTTGTATGTTTTTAGTAGAGACGGGGTTTTGCCATGTTGGCCAGGCCGGTCTTGAACTCCTGACCTCTGGTGATCCGCCCGCCTCCACCTCCCAAAGTACTGGGCTTACAAGTGTGAGCCACCACGCCTGGCCGGAAAGAAATATTTTCTGAGATTTATAAGCTTTTTTAAAAAATTAAGGGCTGGGCACAGTGGTTCACACTTGTAAGTGCAGCACTTTGGGAGGCTAAGGCAGGAGGATTGATTGAGGTCAGGAGTTGGAGGCTACAGTGAGCTATGATTGCACCACTGCACTCTAGCCTGGGAGACAGAGTGAGACCCTGACTCAAACAGTAATTAAATCAATAAAATTTAGAAGTTAAGATTCTTCAGCCTCTTTTGGGCTGGGCATGGTCGCTCAAGCTTGTAATCCCAGCACTCTGGGAGGCTGTGGCAGGCTGATCACTTGAGGCCAGGAGTTTGAGACCAACCTGGCCAACATTGTGAAACCCCATCTCTACTAAAAATACAGAAATTAGCCGGTGTGGTGATGCATGCCTGTAATCCCAGCTGTTCAGGAGGCTGAGACAGGAGAATTGCTTGAACTCGGGAGGTGGAGGTTGCAGTGAGCTGAGAGCATGTCACTCTATTCCAGCCCGGGCGACAGAACTAGACTCCATCTCAAAAAAAAAAAAAAAAAGATTCTTCAGTCTCTTTTGATCTTCCTGTGCCCACTTTATGGTGCCCGGAGCTGCTGATGTTCAGATTTGCCATGGGCGGTGCTCCCCTACATCTGAAGATGCAAAGATCTCTCTTCTTCCTTGTCACCTAATCCTGCTGGCCTTCTCAGGCTCATCTGCAGAAGACCCCACTCAAAAGTAGGGTCTGGCCAGCTGCGGTGGCTCACGCTTGTAATCCCAGCACTTTGGGAGGCTGAGGCAGGTGGGATCACCTGAGGTCAGGAGTTCAAGAACAGCCTGACCAATGTGGCGAAACCCTGTCTCTACTAAAAAATATCAAAATTAGCCAGGCGTAGTGGTGGGCGCCTATAACCCCATCTACTCGGGAGGCTGAGGCTGGAGAATAGCTTGAACCTGGGGGTTGAAGGTTGCAGTGAGTCAAGATGATGCCACTGCACTCCAGTCTGGGTGAAAGAGCAAAACTCCATCTCAAAAAAAAAAAAAAAAAAGGGGGGGTCTTCTTCAGAAGATATGTTTGCATGATTTCCATGAGGAAGGCATGTGCTCTGTCCCTTTCTTCCCAATGCTCACTGCGTCTTTTTTTTTTTAATATATGTTTGCATGATTTCCATGAGGAAGGCATGTGCTCTGTCCCTTTCTTCCCAATGCTCACTGTGTCTTTTTTTTTTTAATATATGTTTGCATGATTTCCATGAGGAAGGCATGTGCTCTGTCCCTTTCTTCCCAATGCTCACTGTGTCTTTTTTTTTTAATATATGTTTGCATGATTTCCATGAGGAAGGCATGTGCTCTGTCCCTTTCTTCCCAATGCTCACTGCGTCTTTTTTTTTTTAATAGACTTGACTTTTTTAGGCCAGTTTTAGATTCGTAGCAACATTGAGCGAAAGGTACAGAGAGTTCTCACATGTTCCCTGCCCGTGCTAATAGCCTCTCCCATTATCATCTTCCACCAAAGTGGTACATTTGTTACAATCAGGGAACCTATATTGACATCATTTTCACCCAAAGTCCACAGTTTGCATTAGGGTCCCTCTTGGTGTGGTGCATGTCATGGGCTTGGATAAATGTGTCAGAACATGCATCCACTCTTAGAGCTCTCTCAGAGGCGTTTCCCTGCCCGAAAAATCCTCCGTGCTCTGCCTCTTCATGCATCCCTCCCTTCATGCATCCGTCCCAGGGACAAAAGGTTGTCCCTGGCAACCTTTTGTTTCCAGACCCTAGCAACGGATCCTTTTACTGTCTCCATAGTTGGGCCTTTTCTGAATGTAATATAGTTGGAATCATACAGCATTAATTTTTTTTTTCCACTGAGACAGTCTCGCTCTGTCACCCAGGCTGGAGAGCAGTGGTGCCATCATAGCTCACTGCAGCCCTAACGTCCTGGGCTCAATTGATCCTCCCGCCTCAGCCTTCTGAGGAGCTGGGACTATGGGTATGCGTCACCACGCCCAGCCAAGTGTCCTGGATTTTTTTTTTTTTTGAGACGAAGTCTCACTCTTATCCCCCAGGCTGGAGTGCAATGGCGCGATCTCGGCTCACTGCAACCTCTGCCTTCCGGATTCAAGCAATTCTCCTGCCTCAGCCTCCCAAGTAGTGGGATTACAGGCGCCTGCCACCATGCCCAGCTAATTTTTGTATGTTTAGTAGAGATGGGGTTTCACCATGTTGGCCAGGCTGGTCTCAAACTCCTGACCTCAGGTGATCCGTCCGCCTCGGCCTCCCAAAGTGCTGGGATTACAGGCATGAGCCACCATGCCCTGCCATGTTCTGGATTTTTGTCATCCTAATAGGTTTGTAGTGATATCATTGTTTTAATTTGCATTTTCCCAATGACATACGAAATGAAGCATCTTCTCATATGCATGTTTGCCACCTGTGTATCTTTGGAAAGATGTCTCTTAAGGTTTTTTGGCCCATTTAAAAATCAGGTTGTTTTCCTGTTGTTGAGTTTTAAGAGTTCTTTGTATATTTTGGTTAACAGTCCTTCTTTATCAGCTATGTCTTTAGCAAATATTTTCTCCCAGTCTGTGGCTTGTCTTTTCATTCTCTTGACAACATCTTTCAGAAAGAAGAAATTTTTTAATTCAATGAAGTCCAACTTAGCAATTCTTTTTTTTTTTTTTTTTTTTTTTTTTTTGAGATGGAATTTCACTCATTTCCCAGGCTGGAGTGCAATGGCACTATCTCCGCTCACTGCAACCTCCGTTCCCAGGTTTAAGCGATTCTTCTGCCTCAGCCTCCCGAGTAGCTGGGATTACAGGCATGTTCCGGCACACCTGGCTAATTTTGTATTTTTAGTAGAGATGGGGTTTCTCCTTGTTGGTCAGGCTGGTCTCGAACCCCCGACCCCTGGTTATCTGTCCACCTCAGCCTCCCAAAGTGCTCGGATGACAGGCGTGAGCCACTGCGTGCAGCCCAATTCTTTCTTTCATGAATCCCACCTTTGGCGTTGTATCTAAAAAGTCATTGCCAAACCTGAAGTTATCTAGATTTTCTCCTGTGTTACCTTCTAAAAGTTTTATGGTTTTGAACTTTACATTTAGGTCTCTGATCCATCTGAATTAATTCTGTGAAGTGTGTAAGGTCAGAGTCTGGACTCAGTTGTTTGCATGTGGATGTCCATCCAGTTGTTCAGCAACATTTGTTAAAAAGACCGTCTTTGTCTTTGCTCATTGTATTGCCTTTGCTCTTCTGTCAAAGGTCATTTGACTCTATTTATGTGGGTCTGTTTCTGAGATCTCTGTTCTATTCAATTGATCTATTTTGTTTTTTAAGAGACAGTGTTTCGCCATGTTGTCCAGGGTGGTCTCATTCTCCTGACCTTAAGTGAACCACCTGCCTTGGCCTCCCAAAGTGCTGGGATTACAGGCGTGAGACACTGCACCTGGCTCATTGATCTATTTATCTATTTTTTCACTAATATCACACTGTCCTGATTACCGTAGCTTTACAGTAAGTCTTGAAGTACCATCATACTTTATCAATTTCTCTGTGCCATTCCACCCTTTTTTTTTTTTTTTTGAGACAGAATTTCATTCGTTGCCCTGGCTGGAGTACGATGGTGCAATCTCAGCTCACTGCAACTTCCACCTCCCTGGTTGAAGCGATTCTCCTGCCTCAGCCTTCCAAGTAGCTGGGATTACAGGTGCCTGCCACCACTCCCGGCTAATTTTTTGTATTTTTAGTAGAGATGGGGTTTCACCATGTTGGCCAGGCTGGTCTTGAACTCCTGCCCTCAGGTGATCCACCCTTCTCGGCCTCCCAAAGTGCTGGGATTCCAGGCGTGAGCCACTGTGCCCGGCCTAGTTCCAGCACTTCTAACCTCATGTATTTTGATGCTTCTGTTAGGTGCATACACATTAGGGATTAATTATGTGTTTTTGGAGAATTGACTCCTTTATCATTCTGTAATGCCCCCCCCTTTTTTTTTGGACACAGGGTCTCATTCTGTCACCCAGGCTGGAGTACAGTGGTGTGACCATGACTCACTGAAGTCTGGAGCTCTCAGGATCAAGTGATCCTCCAGTTTTGGTCTCCTAAGTAGCTGGGACTACAGGTATGCACCACCATGACCAGCTGATTTTTTTTATTATTATTTATTGTAGAGACAGGGTCTTGCTATGTTGCCCAGGTTGATCACAAACTCCTGGGCTCAAGCAATCCCCCCAACCACCTTGGTTTCCTAAAGTGCTGGGATTATCGATGTGAATGGAACACCTGGCTGTAATGCCTCTTAAGCTCTGACAACTTTCTTTGCTTTGAAGTCTGCTTTGTTTAGTATTATCACAGTATGGCTTTCTCCACCTCTTTATTTATTTATTTATTCAGAGACGGCATCTCGCTCTGTCACCCAGGCTGGAGTGCAGTGGTGCCATCTTTGCTCACTGCAACCTCCGCCTCCTGGGTTCAAATGATTCTCCTGCCTCAGCCTCCCGAGTAGCTGGGACCACAGGTGCACACCGCCATGCCTGACTAATTTTTGTATTTTTTTAGTAGAGACGGGTTTCACCATGTTGGCCAGGCTGGTTTCGAACTCCCGACCTCAGGTGATCCGCCTGCCTTGGCCTCCCAAAGTGCTGAGATGAGAGGCGTGAGCCACCGTGCCCGGCTGACTTTTTAGAAAAACATCATCTACAAAGCTTCTGGATGTTTTTTCCATTTTATTATGCCTTGTAATTTTTTTCCCGATAACTGGACATAATTTATTGGGTAAAAGGAGCTGCTATAGATAGACCTGGGGGAGAGTGGTGGTAAGGTGTGGTGGGAGGAGAAGCCTTCTATAATGCTCCTCTGAGCAGGTTTTAATCTTTGTTTTAAATTACTATTTTTTAAAAAAGATGAGGTCTCACTATATTGCTCAGGCTGGTCTTAAACTCTTGAGCTCAAGCAATCCTTCCACCTCAACCTCCCAAAATACTGGGATTCTGAGCATGAGCCATTGTGCACAGCCAGATCTTTTTTTCTTGAGACGGAGTCTCACTTTGTCGCCCAGGCTGGAGTGCAGTGTGGCTATCTCAGCTCACTGCAAGCTCCTTCTCCCAGGTTCACGCCATTCTCCTGCCTCAGCCTCCTGAGTAGCTGGGACCACAGGCGCCCGCCACCACGCCAGGCTAATTTTTTGTATTTTTAGTAGAGACAGGGTTTCACCGTGTGAGCCAGGATGGTCTTGATCTCCTGACCTCGTGATGCGCCTGCCTCGGCCTCCCAAAGTGCTGGAGTTACAGGGGTGAGCCACCGCGCCCGGCTGTGCCCGGCCAGATCTTAATCCTTTAGTGAGCCTGTGCCTCTGGACTGGACTTCATAAGTGCTTATTAACACCCCAAGTCACCCGCTGAGGCGGGACAGGACGGCTCCTGGGGACTGGGGTTGGGTTTTTCCTTTTCTCCAGGTGGAAGGCTAGGGCCAGCTGGAGTTGGGTATTTTTCTTCCCCCAGGTCAGGTAGGCACTGATGAAGCCCCAGCAGGTTCAGCTGTGGTTAAGTAGTTTCTCCTGAGGGTTGGCCTTGTTAAGAACAGAAAGCCCGGGCTTGTCTCTTTTCCCCTCCCCCTGCTGGAGGCACGAGGGGATTTTTCTCTAATATTCACTCTGAGAACCTGGTTGAGCCTCTGTAGGTAAAACTCAGAAGAGCACAGGGCGCCCTGTCTGGGTCCGCTCGGAGGTTTGTTTTGTTTTGTGACGGAGTTTCGCTCCGTCGCCCAGGCTGGAGTGCAATGGCGTGATCTCTGCTCACTGCAAGCTCCGCCTCCCGGGTTCAAGCGATTCTCCTGCCTCGGCCTCCCCAGTAGCTGGGACTACAGGCGCCTGCCACTACGCCTGGCTAATTTTGTGTATTTTTAGTAGAGACGGGGTTTCACCGTGTTAGCCGGGATGGTCTAGAACTCCTGACCTCGTGATCCCCCGCCTTGGCCTCCCCAAGTGCTGGGATTACAGGCGTGAGCCACCGCGCCCGGCCCTGCTGGGAGTTTCTGTCTCAGACTTCTTCAGCCGGGCACAGCAATTCAGCTCCTCAGCCTTCTGCTCTTCCCACCCCTCTTCACTGGGTCCGGTGTGGGGCTTCTGCCCGTGGGTTTCTAAGCAGGTAAGTTTTAATTCTCTGTATCCGCCTGTCTCTCCAGTTTTGCGGCGGGGAGTTTGCCCTGTGACCTCCCTCCACGGATGGATTTCAGAGGAGTTGTTGACTTTTCAGTTTGTACAGCTTTTTACTTGTGAGCTCAGTGTGGTGACTTCCAAGATCCTTCTGTGCCAAACTGCAAGTCCTATCTGGCTGTTTGTAGGCACTTGGTCCACCCATATGTGAAACCGTAGGGTTGTAGGGGTTTGATAAGGCTGGTGGATTTCTCCCCCATGACCCTTGGTAGCTTTGGTCAGTTCTTGATGGAAGTGGGGATATTTAAATGAGCCTGTCAAATATGCTCCTGTAACAGGAGGACATAGTTTTTTCAGGCCCAGATATGGTGGCTCCAGCCTGTAATCCAGCACTTTGGAAGGCCGAGCAAGGAGGATCACTTGAGGCCAGGAGCTTGAGACCAGTGTGGGCAATATGGCAAACCCAGTCTTTTTGTTTTTTGAGATAGAATCTTGCTCTGTTGCCCAGGCTGGAGTGCACTGGCGCTATTTCGGCTCACTGCAACCTCCGCCTCCCGAGTTCAAGCTATTCTCCCGTCTCAGGCTCCGAAGTAGCTGGGATTACAGGCGCCCGCCACCATGCCCAGCTAATTTGTGTGTGTGTGTTTGTATATATATATATATATATATATATTTTTTTTTTTAATTGAGATAGACTTTTGCTCTGTCACCCAAGCTGGAGTGCAGTGGCCAGATCTCAGCTCACTGCAACCTCCACCACCCAGATTCAAGCGATTCTTGTGCCTCAGCCTCCTGAGGAGCCGGGACTTCAGGCGCGTGCCACCACGCCCAGCTAATTTTTTGGTATTTTTAGTAGAGACAAGGTTTCGCCGTGTTGGCTAGGCTGGTCTTGAACTCCTGACCTCAGGTGATCCGCTGGCCCTGACCACCCAAAGTGCTGAGTTTACAGGCATGAGCTACCACGCATGGCCCCCAGTCTATTTTTTCAAGATTTTTGTTTTGTTTTGTTCTGTTTTTGAGACAAGGTCTCACTCGTCCAGGCTGGAGTGCAGTGGCTCAATTACGACTCACTATAGCCTGGACCTCCCAGGCTCAGGTTATCCTCCCATCTCAGCCTCCTGGGTATCTGGGAGTACAGGCATGTGCCACCATGCCTGGCTAATTTTTTGTAGAGACAGGGTTTCACCATGTTGTGCCAGATGGGTCTCAAACTTCTGGGCTCAAGCGATCCTCCTGCCTCGGCCTCCCAAAGTGCTGGGATTACAGGCGTGAGCCACTGTGCCTGGACTTTTAAAGAGTTTTTTTCAGCACCTGATATATGCTGGAAACTGCTAGATGCTGAGGATGCAGAAATGGATGCTTTTCTGCCCCCAGGACATTTCTTGCTTGGAGAGGATTCATTCATCTTTTTTATTTTTTTGAGATGGAGTTTTGCTTTGTTGCCCAGGCTGGAGTTCAGTGGCACTATCTCGGCTCACTGCAACCTCCGCCTCCCAGGTTCAAGTGATTCTTGTGCCTCAGCCTCCTAAGTAGCTGAGACCACAGGTGTGTGCCATCCCATGCTCTCCTAATTTTTTTGTATTTTTAGTAGAGACAGGGTTTCACCATGTTGGCCTTGAACTCCTGGCCTCAAGTGATCCACCTACCTGGGCCTCCCAGAGTGCTGGGATTACACGCATCAGCCTCCGCTCCTGGCCCCCATTCATCTTTGAAGTGCAACCTCCAATGCCCCCTGCTCTGTTGATCTCAGCTTGTAGCATGTTCCTAAGGAGGCTACTGAGATATCCCCTGCTCCAGAGTTCATGGTTTTGAATTAGACCAAGACATAGCCAAAAGGTAGAGCTGATATCAGGATGAGGTATCCAACCCCCCCCCCCCCCCCACATCCCATGTTTACATTTCATATTGTTACCCTCTGCCCTGGAGAACTTCCTTGAGGCCAGGAGTTAGTGTCAGGAGACTGCAGAGAAAATATTTATTTCCCTTTTTTTTTTTTTTTTTTTTTTTGAGATGGAGTCTTGCTCTGTTGCCCAGGCTGGAGTGCGGTGGCATGATACCGGCTCACTGCAAGCTCCGCCACCCCGGGTCACGCCATTCTCCTGTTTCAGCCTCCCGAGTAGCTGGGACTACAGGCGCTCGGCTATTTTTTTGTATTTTTAGTGGAGACGGGGTTTCACTGCATTAGTCAGGATTGTGTCGATCTCCTGACCTCGTGATCCACTCATCTCGGCCTCTCAAAGTGTTGGGATTACAGGCGTGAGCCACCACGCCCGGCAAATATTTCCCTTTTACAGTCCCCAGCTGATAAAAGAGAAGGTCGTTCTTTGCACGCCGACCTCAGAAGCAGAGAAGGATGCAATCTCATGAAGACGTGTTTAATAAATGAATGAGGAATTCTTGCCACAGCTCTGTGGTGTCTGATATCAACATCTCTACGTTCATCCCTGGCCGACTCGCTCTACCTCCATCAATCAAAAAATTCTTTTTTGTTTCTAATAACATAGGACAGAGCCTCTGATTAAATCAGCCAAAAACCCAGCAGCCCAAGTGGATGTTCCTTGCTATCTTATTGGTATCAAAGTTCCATTGTATGTCCAAATGACAAAAAAAATAGGTACAAGGCTATGAAATCTATCTGAGTTGTCAACGACTTTGTTTCTGTTGGGTTTTGTTTTAATCTAAGAGGTTGGACTCAGCGCTGTTGCCACTTGGCTCCAGAGCACCATGATTCTACGATTCTGTGTTGCTATGGGGATGAGATGATGTGATTCAAATGCACAGCATGTTCTGTTGCTAAGGTAATTACAGGCATCCTCACCCTCTTGATCAGGGCTGGCTTTGCCATAGATTTTAGCCATGGATAAACTGAGCGTGAGGTCTTGGGTGCAGACAGAGAAGGAAGAATAAGCTTTGTGTGAAAAGTTTCAGAGGAAGTTTGCCTTTTCTTTCTTTCTTTCTTTCTCTTTTTTTTTTTCAGATGGAGTCTCACTCTGTTGTCCAGACTGGAGTACAATGGCGTGATCTCAGCTCCCTGCAGCCTCTGGCTCCCAGGTTGAAGCGATTCTCCTGCCTCAGTCTCCCAAGTAGCTGGGATTACAGGCGTGTGCCACCAAGCCCAGCTAATTTTTTTTATTTTCACCATGTTGGCCAGTGCTGGAACTCCTGACCTCAGGTGATCCACCTGCCTCAGCCTCCCAAAGTGCCGGGATTACGGGCGTGAACCATCGCACCCGGCCAGAGGAAGTTTTTTTAAAAAAAAGTATACTTGCTGCTTGACCTGGGCGACCTCATGGTGACAGCTAGCAGAGTGGACAGCATGATTACTTGTGTCTTCAGGGAAGTGGCCGGTGACTGCTGTTTCGCAGGGGCCTGATGGTCTGATGGGTAGATGGCTTGCCCAGAACCGCTGGCTGGCAGAGAGACCCAGAAAGTTTGAGTGCTCTGGGACGTATCAGAACCTTTCCTATTTGCAGTCCAAGGGGAAGGGGATTGAGTGAAAAGAGACATGAAGGAGCTTTCTGGGAGCATGGACACTGCTGTATCCTGATTGTGTTTCATTTACATGGGTGTCTAAACCCATCAAACTGCACGCTGAGGTCCTGTGTGTTCGCATACAATGTACAGTTCATCAATAAAAGCAATCCTTTAGCTCTTCTAGGATGAGAAGGGAGGTGAGGGATGGGCGATGAGGACAGAAGTGGGAATGTGATGATCTTCCTGCCTCAGCCTCCCAAACTGCTAGGATTACAGGCGTGAGCCACCATGCCCAGCCTATTTACTTTTAAGACAGAGTCTCACTCTGTTGCACAGGCTGGAGTGCAGTGGTGCAATCATAGCTGACCGCAGTCTTGAACTCATGGTTTAGAGGAGGTTTGCTCAAGCAATCCTCCCACCTCAGCCTCCCAATCAGCTGGGACAACAGGCATACATCACCATGCCTGGCTAATCTTTACATTTTTTGTAGAGATGGGATGTCGCTGTGTTGCACAGGCTGGTCTGGAACTCCTGGCTTCAAGTGCTCCTCCCACCTCAGCCTCCCAAAGTGCTGGGATTGCAGGCCTGAGCCACAGCGCCCCACCAAGACTGGAGTTTTGAACTACAGTGGTTTCCCCTCTTACTAACAGTCAGTTAGCCGAGGTCAACCGCAGTCCAAAAATACTAAATGCAGAAAAGAGAAAGCAATCCTTCAGACTAGGCAGGGAGAAAGCAGCCTTGAAGAACCACTGGAGAGCAGCCTCTCCTGTCTCTGAACAAGACTGTTTCACGTGCTAGAGAGCTGGCTTAGCATTTGCTACAGTGTGCATTCCCTGCTTTTGGGGGGCAGGGCATGAAGCTTGGGCTTGGGTTTCATACACACGACCCTGCAGGAGCCTCTGAGGATGTCAGTGCCAGCCTCACCCTCCTTTGCCCTCAGTCCAGGCCATCTGAGTTTCTTGTTCTCTTTCCTTCCAGGACTGGGACACAGTGTCCAGAGAGCATAGCATTGGAGTAGGAGTTTGGGAAGCAGATTTCTAGTCCCTACCTGGTATGGTTAGGGTTTGGGTCCCCACCTAGAATCTCATCTTGAATTGTAATCCCATAATCCCCACGTGTCAAGAGTGGGACAGGTGGAGGTAAACGGATCGTGGGGGCAGTTTCCCCCATTCTGCTCTCGTGATAGTGAGTCTTGAGGTGTCCGATGGTTTTATATGCACTGGTATTTCCCCTGCTTGCACTCACTCCATCCTGCTTCCTGAGAAGGTGCCTGCTTCTCCTTTGCCTTTCACCATGACAGTAATTTTCCTGAGGCCTTCCCAGCAATGTGGAACTGTGAGTCAATTAAACCTCTTTCCTTCATAAATTACCCAGTCTTGGGTTTGTTTATTTATTCTTTTTTGTTTTTGTTTTTGAGTCCGAGTCTCACTCTGTTGCCTAGGCTGGAGTGCAGTGGTGTGATCTCAGCTCACTGCAACCTCCGCCTCCTGGGTTCAAGCGAGTCTCTTGCCTCAGCCTCCAGAGTAGCTGGGACCACAGGTACTTGCCACCATGTCTGGCTAATTTTTGTATTTGTAGTAGAGATGGGGTTTCACCATGTTAGCCAGGCTGGTCTCGAACCCCTGACCTCAAGTGATCTGCCTGACTTGGCCTCCCAAAGTGCTGGGATTATAGCCGTCAGCCACTGAGTATTTCTTTCTTTTTTGAGACTGAGTCTTGCTCTGTTGCCCAGGCTGGAGTGCAGTGGCGCGATCTCAGCTCACTGCAAGCTCCGACTCCCAGGTTCATGCCATTCACCTGCCTCAGCCTCCTGAGTAGCTGGGGACTACAGGTGCCCACCACCACGCCCGGCTAATTTTTTTGTATTTTTAGTGGAGACGGGGTTTCACTGCGTTAACCAGGATGGTCTCTCTCTCCTGACCTCGTGATCCACCTGCCTCGGCCTCCCGAAGTGCTGGGATTACAGGCGTAAGCCACTGTGCCTGGCCGAAGGGTATTTCTTTATAGCAGTGCGAGAACGGACTAATATACTACCTGGCCACTAACTTACTGAACATTGGCTAAACAATCTGGGCTACAGTTTCCCCAGGTGCAGAACAGGGTTAGTTGCTCTCTCAGGGCTACCATGAGGGGACAAAGCTCACTGGAGGTGTCCTGTATACAGAGGTGAAACAGGTGCTCTGCAGAGGAGACAGGAGGCTGCCTTATGATTAAAAAAAAAAAAAAAAAAAGGGCAGGGGGTTGTTGAAAAAACATTGGCAGCCACCAGGCAGTCAGGAGCCTCCATGGCTTATATTTTTGGAGGAATCAAGAAATTCATCTTGGTGGCTCACACCCGCAGTCCTAGCACTTCGGGAGTCTGAGGCAGGAGGATCGCTTGAAGCCTGGAGTGTAAGACCAGCCTGGGCAACAGAGTGAAACCTTGCCTCTACAAAAGATACAAAAATTAGCCAGGCATGGTGGTGTGCGCCTGTAGTCCCAGATATACTTGGTAGGCTGAGGTGGGAGGATCTCTTGAGTCCAGAAAGTCGAGGGTGCAGTGAGCTATGATCGCGCCACTGCACTCCAGCCTCAGCAACAGAGTGAGACCCTGCTTCTAAAAAGTGAAAAGGAAAACACTGGAATATAAAAATGTATTATTTATATGTAATATATAATATGTATTTTAGGCCCAGTGCGATGGCTCACACCTGTAATCCTAGCATTTTGCGAGGCTGAGGTACACAGATCACTCGAGGTCAGGAGTTCAAGACCAGCCTGGACAACATGGTGAAACCCCTTCCCTACTAAAAATACAAAAAAAATGGCCAGGCACAGTGGCTCACGCTTGTAATCCCAGTACTTCGGGAGGCCGAGGCGGGCAGATTGCCAGGTCAAGAGATGGAGACCATCCTGGCCAACATGGTGAAACCTCATCTCTACTAAAAATACAAAAATTAGCTGGATGTGGTGATGTGCACCTATAGTCCCAGATACTCGGGAGGCTGAGGCAGGAGAATCACTAGAACCTGGGAGGCAGAGGTTGCAATGAGCCAAGATCGCCCCACTGCACTCCAGCCTGGGTGACAGAGCGAGACTCTGTCTCAAACAAAAAAAATTAGCCAGGCATGGTGATACATGTCTGTAATGCTAGCTATTTGGGAGGCTGAGGTGGGGAGATCACTTGAACCTGGGAGGCAGAGGCTGCAGGGAGCCCAGATTGCCCCACTTTACTCCAGCCTGGGTGACAGAGCAAGACTCTCAAAAAAAAAAAAAAATGTGGCTGGGCACAGTGGCTTCTACCTGTAATCCCAGCACTTTAGGAGGCCGAGGCAGGCAGATCACGAGGTCAGATCAAGACCATCCTGGCTAAACGGTGCAGCCCCGTCGCTACTAAAAATACAAAAAATTAGCCAGGGGTGGTGGTGGGTGCCTGTAGTCCCAGCTACTCAGGAGGCTGAGGCAGGAGAATGGTGTGAACCCGGGAGGCGGAGCTTGCAGTGAGCGGAGACTGCGCCACTGTACTCTAGCCTGGGTGACAGCAAGACTGTCTCAAAAAAAAAAAAAGATATTATCCGTTACATATTACATATGACATAAACTATATATTTATAATATGAACTATGATGTAAAGATCTTTATAATATAAAACATTTTATATAATATACAGTATTATAGTATATAATACAAACCATATTATATAAAATATATAATACAAACGATATCATATAAAATATATTTTGTAATTTATATATAAATAGCTTTGTATTTATATGTTTTTATATAAATATGAAAATCTGCTGGGTGTGGTGGTGTGTGCCTGTAGTCCCAGCTACTTGGGAGGCTGAGGCAGGAGAATCACTACAACCTGGGAGGCAGAGGTTGCAGTGAGCCAATATATGTAATATATATAAACATTTATATTACATATAAAATATATTATGCAATATATTACATATAAATAACATTTTACATTACATATATAATTTTTTTTTTCTGAGGCAGAGTCTTAACTCTGTCACCCAGGCTAGAGTGCAATGGCGCTATCTCAGCTTGCTGCAGCCTCCACCTCCTGAGTCAAGCGATTCTCCTGCCTCAGCCTCCAGAGTAGCTGGGATTATAGGCACCTGCCACCACACCCAGGTAAATTTTGTATTTTTAGTAGAGACGGGGGTTTCACCATGTTGGCCAGGCTGGTCTCGAACTCCTGATCTCAGGTGATCCACCCACCTTGGCCTCTCAAAGTGCTGAGATTACAGGTGTGAGCCACCGTGCCTGACCTATTTTATATTTATATTTTATATATCTATATTTTTATATTTTACATACAAATATATTTTATATTATAAATATATATATATTCGTTATATATAATATAAAATATCAAACCATGGAGACAATGTTAAGCATCTTCCTAGTACATGCCCCTGATAAAATGCCATTTTTCCTGTTATTTTTTTCCCAGTGGAGACGTGGAAACAGGATGGCACAGAAGACGCGGAATGAGCCAGTGCGGTTAACAAGAGGAAGCACATGAATTGGAAAGTTCAGTGAGCTCTTGTTTAGATAATAGGATCCATATATCACTAGTGATATTTTCCTTCATTCTCTTGTGATCCATAGATTCCTTCTCCCTCTCTTCCTTTCCTCCCTCCCTCTCTCTGTTGGCATTTTATTTGTAGAAAAAAGTGTAGAATTTGTTACACCCTGGATTTTGCAGATTGTCTCATTGTGGTGTCATTTGACATTTTTCTACTGCCTTGTATGTCCTGTAATTTGTTAATTAGATCAAGAGGCTTAGACTCAAGTTCTTTTTTTTTTCCAGGATTACTTATAGGTGATGTTGTATACAGCCATGTAGATGGACAGGGTGTCTGGTTTTCTTATTTTTTTCAAAAAGATGTCAGCAGTCATTGGTGATCATTACCTAAGGGTGTTTTTGTTTGTTTTTGAGATGGAGTCTCGCTCTGTCACTCCAGCTGGAGTGCAGTGGCACAATCTCAGCTCACTGCATCCTCCGCCTCCCAAGTTCAAGTGATTCTCCTGCCTCAGCCTCCCCAGTAGGTGGGACCAACGATATTAATAATCATATTGCATGTGAATGTCTTAGTATGACTTTATATGATTGATAGTAGCAGGATGATACTTTATGTTTACATTGATTTGTTACAACATACGTTTATTCTGCTTTTCAAATAAATGGAAAAAATGAACATCTATAAGCAGGGATATATATATATATATATATATATATTTTTTTTTTTTTTTTTTTTTTTTTTTTTTTGAGGCAGAGTCTCACTCTGTGGACTGCAGTGGTGCGATCTTGACTCACTGTAACCTCCGCCTCCTGGGTTCAAGCAATTCTCCTGCCTCAGCCTCCTGAGTAGCTGGGACAACAGGCATGCACCACCACGCCCCACTAACTTTTGTATTTTTATTATTTATTTATTATTTATTTTTTTTGAGATGAAGTCTTGCTCTGTCACCCAGGCTGCAGTGCAGTGGCACAATCTTGGCTCACTGTGCAACCTGTACCTCCCAGGTTCAAGCAATTCTCCTGTCTTGGCCTCCCAAGTAGGTGGGGTTACAGGTGTCTGCCACCACACTTGGCTTATTTTTCTTTGTTTTTGGTAGAGACAAGGTTTCACCATGTTGGCCAGGCTGGTTTTTGAACTCTTGACCTCAAGTGAGGTCTGCGTCAGCCTCCCAATGTGTTGGGATTACAGGCGTGAGCCACCGTGCCCAGCCAATAAGCAGGGCAATTAGAGTCCTTTGTCTCCAGCCCTATGCGGCATATCCAGGCAGCTATTACTGCTTATTATTTCTTTTCCTATCCCTAGAACAGCAAAGGTTTATCCTTTGGTGAAATGGGAGAAAATGAAAACATTAACTTCAACACTATGCGTAGTTTAACTCAGGTGGGAGGGAACTCCTGGTTAATATCACTTGTCTGTTTCACCTGTCCCCCCGGCGTTCCCTGCGTCCTATCTTTTCCCTGTGGTGGAGACCGCTGGTTATTTCCCAATATCTGTTCTCTCCTTCTAATGCAATAGAGCCTTCAATTTTTAGCTAGGAGTTGCCCTCCCAGAATGGAGACTCCATTTTCCAGCCTTCTTTGTAGATGGAGGTGGCCACGTAACTGAGATCTGTTCAATGGGATATGAGCAGAAGTGACTTGTGCCTTTTCTGAATCAAGCTCTTAAAAGAAAGGGCATTTGGGCCGGGTATGGTGGCTCATGTCTGTAATCCCAGCACTTTGTGAAGCTAAGGGGGGCAGATCACTTGAGGTCAGGAGTTCGAGTCCAGCCTGGCCAACATGGTGAAACCCTGTTTCTGCTTAAAAATACAAAAATCAGCCAGACATGGTGGCAGGTGCTTGTAATCCCAGCTACTCAGGAGGCTGAAGCAGGAGAATTGCTTGACCCCAGGAGGTGGAGGTTGCAGTGAGTGGAGATCCCACCACTGCATTCTAGACTGGGCGACAGAGCGAGACTCCATCTCAAAAAAAAAAAAAAAAAAATTGGGGTGGGGGGCATTCTGTCCCTTCCTTTTCCCCTCTTACTGCTGGCTGAAATACAGACCTGGCCATCTTGAACCATACCTGCTCTAGGGATGGTAGAGCAGTTTTTTTGTTTTGTTTTGTTTTGTTTTGAGACAGTGTCTTGCTCTGTTACCCAGACTGGAGCGCAGTGACATGATCATGGCTCGTTGTAGTGCTTTGACGTCCTAGTCTCAAGCAGTCCTCCCATCTCAGCCTCTGCAGTAGCTGGGAGTACAGGTGCATGCCAGCATGCCCGGCTAATTTTAAAAAAATTTTGATACGGAATCTTGCTCTGTCGCCCAGGCTGGAGTGCAGGGGCACGAACTCGGCTCACTGCAAGCTCCGCCTTCCAGGTTTACGCCATTTTTCTGCCTCAGCCTCCCGAGTAGCTGGGGCTATAGGCGCCTGCCACCACGCCTGACTAATTTTTTGTATTTTTATTAGAGACGGGGTTTGACCATGTTAGCCAGGATGGTCTCGATCTCCTGACCTCGTGAGCTGCCCGTCTCAGCCTCCCAAAGTGCTGGGATTACAGGCATGAGAAAAACGTTTTTTAGAGATGATGTCTTGCCATGTTGCCCAGGCTGATCTTGAACTGGGCTCAATCAATCCTCCCACTGTAGCCTCCCAAAGTGCTGGGATTACAGGTATGAACCACCAGGCCCAGCTAGAGCACTCATTTGGGAGTCTAGTTTTCTGACTTCTTTGGAGCCACATGGATTTTTTTTTATGAGAAATAATCACTGGTGATTTCTTTTTTATTTTTTTGAGATAGTCTCACTCTGTTGCCCAGGCTGGGGATTAGTGGCATGATCTTGGCTTACTGCAACTTCTACCTTCTGGGTTCAAGCAGTCCTCCTGCCTTAGCCTTCCAAGTAGCTAGGACTACAGGTGTGTACCACCACACCTGGCAAATTTTTTTTTTTTTTTTGAGACAGAATCTTGCTCTGTTGCCAGGCTGGAGTGCAGTAGTGCATTCTTGGCTCACTGCAACCTCTGCCTCCTGGGTTCAAGCGATTCTCCTGCCTCAGCCTCCCGAGTAGCTGGGACTACAGGTGCGCACCACCCTGCCCAGCTAATTTTTGCATTTTTAGTAGAGACGGGATTTCACCATGTCGGCCATGATGGTCTTGATCTCTTGACCTCAGGATCCACCTGCCTTGGCCTCCCAAAGTGCTGGGATTACAAGCATGAGCCACCACTACAGGCCATTTTTGTATTTTTTAGTAGAGACAGGGTTTTGCCATGTTGCCCAGGCTGGTCTCGAACTCCTGGCCTCAAGTGATCCGCCCACGTCAACCTTCCAAAATGCTGGGATTACAGATATGAGCCACCACGTTCGGCTTTATCAGTAATTTTTAGGGCACTTTTATTTTGGGAACTCTATTACAGCAGTTTTATCCATGTCCTAAATTACATAGTTGCATATATTTTTAGCTCTCATTTTGTAATTAGAATTACAATGTTCACCTTCCCTTTCATTTTATAGGAGTTTTCATGTTATCTTGATATTAGAAGATGATAGCTGTAAGAGTTTTATTTTCTCTCTTACTAGGGAAGAGAGGAAAAAATAATAAACAAATTTTATCTTTGGAAAAATGAACAAGTGATAGACAAATCTCTGGTGACACTAATCAATATAAAAGAGAAACATTGTTGGAAAACTCTGTAGAAATAGATCTAGGAATTTAATTTTTTTTGTGTTACTGTTTCATAGTTTCATAGCAACCATGAATTTATTGGGAAGAAAAACATTTTCAACCATTTTTTTTTTTCTTTTTTTTTTTTTTTGAGAGGGGGTCTCGATTTGTTGCTCAAGCTGGAGGGCAGTGGCGCCATCTCCGCTCACTGCAACCTCTGCCTGCTGGGTTCAAGCAATTCTCCTGCCTCAGCTTTCCTAGTAGCTGGGATTACAGATGCCTGCCACCACACCCAGCTAATTTTTGTATTTTAGTAGAGACAGGGTTTCACCATGTTGGCCAGGCTGGTCTTGAACTCCTGACCTTGTGATCTGCCCGCCTTGGCCTCTCAAAGTCCTGGGATTACAGGCATGAGCCCCCTTCCCCAGCCTATTGTTACTTTTTTTTTTTTGAGACAGGGTTTTGCTCTGTTGGTCAGGTTGGAGTGCAGTGGCGTGATCATAGCTCACTGCAGCCTCAAGCTCCCAGGTTCAAGCGATCCTCGTACCTTGGCCTCCCAAAGTGCTGGATTACAGGTGGGAGCCACTGTACTAGCCTTTGTACCATAATAAAATAAAGTCAGCCCTTCATATTTGGAGGGGATTGGTTCCAGGACACAACCCGTTTGTATTAGTTCATTCTCATACTGCTATAAAGAACTATCTGAGACTGGGTAGTTTATAAAGAAAAGAGGTCTAATTGACTCACAGTTCTGCAGCCTGTACAGGAAGCGTGGCTGGGGAGGCCTCAGGAAACTGACAGTCATGGCGGAAGGCAAAGGGGAAGCAGGAATGTCTTACATGGCCAGAGCAGGAGGAAGAGAGAGAAAGACGGGAGGTGCTGCACACTTTTAAACAACCAGCTCTCATGATAAGTCACTCACTCTCACGAGTACAGCACGAAAGGGGAAACCTACCCCCATGATCCAATCGCCTCCCACCAGATGCACCTCCAACACTGGGGATTATAATTTTTTTTTTTTTTTTTCCTGAGATGGCGTCTTGCTTTGTCGCCCAGGCTGTAGTGCAGTGGTGCAATCTCAGCTCACTGCAGCCTCTGCCTCCTGGCTTCAAGCAGTTCTCCTGCCTCATCCTCCCAGGTAGCTCGGATTACAGGCATGTACCACCATGCCCAGCTAATTTTTGTATTTTTAGTAGAGACGGGGTTTCATCATGTTGGCCAGGGTGGTCTCGAACTCCTGACCTCAGGTGATCCACCTGCCTTGGCCTCCCAAAGTGCTGGGATTACAGGCGTGAGCCACCGTGGCCAGCTGGGTATTATAATTTAACATGACCCAAACCATAATCACCCTCATACCCAAATCTGCCATACTCAAGTCCCACAGTTGGCCTTGTGGAACTGTGTACATGAAAAGTTGGGCTTCTATATGTTTGAGTTTCACATCCCTCAAATACTGTATTTTCTGAGTTCGGTTGGAAAAAACCTGCATATAAGTGGACCTTCGAAGTTCAAACCCATGGTGTTTGAGGGTCTACGTGGTGTATTTTTCCCTCACTGATCTAAAATGCAAATTTATAGAGAAATCTTGAAAAAGTAATAGGCATAACAAATATCTGAGTTAAAAATATGTCCTGATTAAAGGACAATTTGGAAAAAAAATGTATAACAAAAATGACCTAAATAGGAAGAAAGGAACAAATGACATAAAACCCCAAAAGGATTATTCCTTTTTTATATATATGTGTGTGTGTGTGTGTGTGTGTGTACACACACACACACACACACACACACACACACACACACACATATATATATATATATATATATATATATATATATATATATATATATATATATATATATTTTGAGACAGTCTTGCTCTGTCGCCCAGGCTGGAGTGCCATGGTGTGATCTCGGCTTACTGCAACCTCTGCCTCCCGGGTTCAAGTGATTCAAACAATTGTGCCTCAGCCTCCTGAGTAGCTGGGATTACAGGTGTCCACCACCATGCCCAGCTAATGTTTTTATTTATTTATTTTTATTTTTATTTTTGAGATGAAGTTTAGTTCTTTTTGCCCAGGCTGGAGTGCAATGGTGCAATCTTGGCTCACTGCAACCTCCGCCTCTTGGGTTCAAGCGATTCTCCTGCCTCAGCCTCCCAAGTAGCTCAGATTACAGGCATGCGCCACCACACCTGGCTAATTTTTTTTTTTGTATTTTTAGTAGAGACGGGGTTTCGCCATGTTGGTCAGGCTGATCTCGAACTCCCGACCTCAGGTGATTGCCCATCTTGGCCTCCCAAAGTGCTAGGATTACAGGCGTGAGCCACTGCACCTGGCCAATTTTTGTATTTTTAGTAGAGAGGGGGTTTCACCGTGTTGGTCAGGCTGGTCTCAAACTCCTGACCTCAGGTGATCCACCTAGCTTGACCTTCCAAAGTGCTGGGTTTACAGGCATGAGCCACCGCGCCCAACCCCAAAAGGATTATTCTAAAAAGAGTCTACACCCACAAGATTTGTAAATGAATCATTTTTATGGAGATGATTTCTACTGTTTATTTTGGTTTTGTTTTGTTTTTTTTTTTTTTTTTTTTTTTTGACGGAGTCACACACTGTCGCTCAGGGCTGGAGTGCAATGGTGCGATCTCGGCTCACTGCAACCTTCGCCTGCTGGGTTCACACCATTCTCCTGCCTCAGCCTCCTGAGTAGCTGGGATTAAAGGTGTACACCATGACACCGAGCTAATTTTTTGTATTTTTAGTAGAGCCAGGGTTTCACCGTGTTAGCCAGGATGGTCTCGAACTCCTGACCTCGTGATCTGCCCGCCTTAGCCTCCCGAAGTGCTGGGATTACAGGCAAGAGCCACCGCGCCTGGCCTACTGTTTATAATTCACTCTAGAACCACGCGGTAGAAACCACAGGTAGAATCTACCACAGGGTGGAAATCTACGTAGTTGAATGTGCAAAGGACTCCAATTCCTGATGTGCAAACCTGATCCAGGAAACCAGACAAAAAACCTTTTACAAAGAGACAAAATCTTTTTGTAGAAACAAAAGGAAAAGCCGGCTGGGCATGGTGTCATTCACCCCCAGCTCTGTGTCAACCAGAAGCCCGGCGCCACACCCTGCCAGCCCATGGCCACCTCCCACGTGACTGCAGCCGTGGCTGTGGCTGGAAGTGCAGGGTAGCCTAACCGGAAGCATGGCGTCGTGGGGGGTTCTGGGAGTTGTAGTCCCTGGGGGAGCTGCTTTTACGCAGTGTTTTGAGGTGCAGGACTGCAATGCCCGCACTTCCGGACCCCAGACTCTTCCTACGGCGACTGACACCTCAGACACGCGTTGTGGGGGGCGGCGCTCTGGCTCCGGGGCTGTGCCCAGCGCGAGCGTGGCCGGCACCCACTTGCTGCAGAGCCGGCACTGCACTGGGGTTCTTGGGGGCGGCTCCTCCAGACGTCTCTGCGGGTTGTCGGGTGCTGCCGAGTTGGGTTGGGGGACGCTACAGGTAGTGGGTCCGGAGCAGCGGCTGGCCCCTCATCTCACTGCCCTTCCTCGGACCCCACCGTCCTCTGGAAGCTTGTGCAGGGCACCTGCCACTGTGACCACCTGGACGCAGGTGAGCTAGGGGCTTGTTCTCTGCACAGGGGATCCCGCTCTTCCCCAAGAGTGGGTTTGTTGCCGTCCCTTCCCCTGGAGCTTCTCTGCCCATCCAGGCCCCTGAAGTCCACTACCCTGCGGTGCCTGGGTCTCTAGGGGGAAGAAGGGGGCTGTTGGGGAATGTCCCCGTCTCTTGCAGAGGGTAACCCCCTTTTTTCTCTCCTACTTGGCTCATGCAGACCCCCGATCGCAGCCAGTGGTGGGCACTGAGCTAGGAGGGAAACGAAGGCAGGGTGTGGAGGGGGGTTATTTCAGGCGTCTGGGCTCATTCAAAACATCTTCTGAGTGCCTGGGTCCGATCTGGGGGAGCACGGAGCTGGGGTCCCTTGTTGGATGCAGTCCTACAGAGGTGTTGGTCACGTTAACATGTGGGGGCGATCCAGGGGTAGCCGCCCTGTTAGTTACCTCAACTATCAGGATGCATGGACACCCAGGGGAGGGAGGATCAGTTTCAACTGGGGAAGGAGTGACTTCAGGTCAGACTTAAATAAGATGTTGCAGATGAAATGGCAATAGGGTCTTTGAGGACCAGGGAGGAGCATCCCTGAGGGGTAATGATGGGTGGTACTGAGGACTCAGCACAGGGGAGGCGCCCAGGGCCGTGAGGCTGGGGGCGGGGTGGGGGGCTGACCAGCAAGGTCCGAGGCTGGGGTCTCCCTCTTGCTCCAGCTGCAAATGCAGTACTTCAAGGCAGAGGCATGATCATATTTGGGTGTTGGTCAAAGTATCCCTGCAGGAAGTAGAGTTATGAGGGTTGGACTGAGGGTGTGAGACAATTGAGTAGGGAGACACCAGATGAAGGCGTACAGTGTGAGCACCTCTGTTGTAGACGGGTGAGGAGAAGGAGGCGGCTGCCGCAGTTCTGTGTAGACTGTTCTTTTCCAGCCCTTGGTGAAGAAAGGTGAGCAACACTTGGGGTGGTGTGATGTGATGGAGTTAGCAGAGGATGTCTGTCTTTGATGTTTTTTTTTTTTTTTTTAAGATGAAACTCACTTGAGTTGGGGAGAGAATGAAACTGGTACTATGGTTTTAAATCGTGATAGGAGCAAATGTTTTCGTGGTGGTGGTTTTTCTATCACGACTTGCACTTGGGTCTTACTGAAAGAGGTTTTTCTTTTCTTTTTTTTTTTTTTTTTTGAGACTGAGTCTCACTCTGTCGCCCAGGCTGGAGTGCAGTGGCACAATCTCAGCTCACTGCAACCTCCAACTCCCCGGTTCAAGCGAATTCTCCTGCCTCAGCCTCCTAAATAGCTGGGATTACAGGCGGGCGCCACCACGCCTGGCTGATTTTTGTATTTTTAGTAGAGACGGTTTCACCATGTTGGTCAGGCTGGTCTCGAACTCCTGACCTCGTGATCCGCCCGCCTCGGCCTCCCAAAGTGCTCGGATTACAGGCATGAGCCACCTTGCCCGGCCTGAAGGAGCTTTTCCTATGACATGTCCATAATTCTTTTTTGCTATTTTTGATTAGTAATATTGGAAGAGATCTAAATACATAGCAAAGTAAAAGAAAATGGAGCCTTTGTACTCATGATCCAAATTGAGCAGATGTCAAAAGTTTACTTCATTCTGAGCCGAATGGATGTGAAAAAAAAAGTATGCTGGGTTCAGATTTTCTTACAGAACTAAAACCTCCTAAATACTGTTGACGACCCTTTGTACTCTCCCTCACTGAGATTAAACTTAAAATTGCTATATATCTTTTATTTTGGGGGGTTGAGTCTCTTGTCGCCCAGGCTGGAGTGCAGTGGCTGGATCTGGGCTCACGGCAACCTCTGTCTCCCGAGTAGGTGGGATCACAGGCGCCCACGACCACACCTGGCTAATTTTTGTATTTTTGGTAGAGACGGGTTTCCCCATGTCGGGCAGGCTGGTGTTAAACTCCTGACCTCAAGTGATCCACCCACCTTGGCTTCCCAGAGTGCTGGGATCACAGGCGTGAGCCACTGCACCTGGCCAAAATTGATACGTGTTTTTGTTTATTTACTAGACAGGAGTGTAGCCATAAACAGTATAAGATTGCTTTGTATGTTCATCACCTTTGCCTGTATTTCCTTCAGGGTTGTCTTTTTCTTATTTTTAGCATTTTTTTCATATTTTTTAGATATAAATTCACTTTGAGTTACAGACATTGCAAAAATCTTGAGTAGAATGTAATGAATTCCTGGTGTTTCCCCGATGGCTGTATTTTTTAGGATGGATCCACTTAATGTTGAGTGGCTTATTCTGGTTTTCTGTTTGCCAGTCAATTTTAGTAATTTATATTTTCTAGGAAAGTGTCCCATTTAATTTTGAATTTATGGCAATTATTTAGAGTAATCTTATAAACCTCGACCATGGCTGGGCGCTGTGGCTCACACCTGTAATTGCAGCACTTTGGGAGGTCAAGGCGGGTGTATCACATGAGGTCAGGAGTTGGATACCAGCCGGGCCAACATGGTGAAACCCCGTGTCTACTAAAAATACCAAAAAAAAAATTAGCTGGGCAGTAGTGGCACACGCCTGTAATCCCAGCTACTCAAGAGGCAGAGGCAAGAGAATCGCGTGAGCCTGGGAGGCGGAGGTTGCAGTGAGCCGAGATCACGCCACTGCACTCTTGTCTGCGCGACAGAGTGAGACCCTATCTCAAAAAAAAAAAAAAAAAAATCAAACCTTGACCATATCTGAAATTGTCTTTTTCATGCCTTCTCTTGCTCAATTGTGCCTGGAATCTGGTCGATTTTATTAATTTTAAATACAAACCAGTTATTTTATTAGTTTTAATAAGACCTTTCCAAAAATTGATTTTTTTTCTTTTTAACTTATTACTGTAGTCCTAATATATGTGTTAAATAAAAAGAATGAAACTTAATGACATTCAGCTCAGGTGGTTAGCATAGAAAAGAGAATAGGGGCTGGGCATGGTGGCTCATGCCTGTAATCCCAGCAATTTGGGAGGCTGAGGCAGGCGGATCACGAGGTCAGGAGATCGAGACCGTCGTGGCTAACACGGTGAAACCGCATCTCTACTAAAAGTACAAAAAATTAGCCGCGTGTGGTGGCAGGCACCTGTAGTCCCAGCTACTCGGGAGGCTGAGGCAGGAGAATGGCGTGAACCCGGGAGGCAGAGCTGGCAGTGAGCCGAGATTGTGCCACTGCACTCTAGCCGGCGCGACAGAGCGAGACTCCCTCTCAAAAAAAAAAAAGAAAAAACAAGCTCAAACCCCCGAAAGTAAAAGCATATGAGGAGAAATTAAAAGGAAGAGACGAACATATACTCTGTTTTATGGAATTAAGTGTTTTCCCACTTAAAAAAATAGAGCAAGTTAAAACAAAAAAAATTTCTGCCACAACGTATCACCTGAATCTAATCATGAGACATTAAACCTAAATTGAATAATTTATTTTTTTTTTCTTTTTGAGACAGTTGCTCTGTTGCCCAGGCTGGAGTGCAGTGGTGTGATCTCGGCTCACTGCAACCTCTGCCCCCCGGGTTCAAGTGATTCTCCTGCCTAAGCCTCCCCAGTAGCTGGTATTACAGTCACCCACCACCACACCTGGCTAATTTTTGTAGTTTCAGTAGGGACAGGGTTTCACCATGTTGGCCAGGGTGGTCTTGAACTCCTAATCTCAGGTGATCCACCCGCCTTGGCCTCCCAAAGTGCTGGGATTACAGGCGTGAGCCACCACGCCTGGCCTGTTTTATTTTCTAATAGAGACAGGAGTCTCGCTATGTTGCCCAGGCTGGCCTTGAACTCCTGGGCTCAAGGGATCCTCTCACCTTGGCCTCCCTGAGTGCTGGGATTACAGGTGTGAGCCATTATGCCTGGCCCCAGTTGTTTGAATCATAGCCGAAGTACATGCAGATTTGTAGTGATTTAGAGATCTCTTGCTGTACATACCTGGGAAACTGCACCCAACATCTGCTGGCCATGTATAAGACAAACCATGTGGCTTTCAAGACCCCAAGGCTAGCTGGGCACGGTGGCTCATGCCTTTAACCCCAGCACATTGGGAGGCTGAGGCAGGCGGATCCCCTGAGGTGAGGAGTTCACGACCAGCTTGGCCAACATGGGGAAACCCCGTCTCTACAAAAATTCAAAAATTAGCTAGACATGATGGCAGGGGCCTGTAATCCCAGCTACTCGGGAGGCTGAGGCAGGTGAATTGCTTGAACCCGGGAGGCGGAGGTTGGAGATCGTGTCACTGCACTCCAGACTGGGTGACAGAGCAAGATTCCATATCAAAAAAAAAAAAAAAAAAAAAGACCCTAAGGCTCTCAGAGATACCCAGGAGCTGTCCCTGCCCCCTCTCCTTCTGGGTAATGGCCCCCATGCCACAGCCCTGGGATGGCCTCTAACCTGAGGGCCTTCCTGCCTGCACAAAGCCTCGCCCAGGTGTGTACTCTGCCACCTTGTGGTGGGACCTTTTTCATCAGCCGCCTGCATAAATGTGGTAAAATGTTAATATTTGGGAGATGTAGATGAGAAGGGTATTTGGAAATTCTTCATACTATTCTTGAGACTTTCTTTTGAGTCTCAAGTCACTCAAGTAAAAAGTTAAAAAGAAAAAGCTAAAATTACTTATTGGAAAGGATTTGTTAAAAACAAACAAAAATTTGGTTGTATTTAAAATGAATAAATTTAGACAAACTTCAGTCTGCACTGGTCGAGGGAGAATAGAAATCGGCTATTTTAGAATGGAAGAGATGATTTCAGATACAGTAGATAGATTTTTTTTTTTTTTTTTTGAGACGGAGTCTTGCTCTGTCGCCCAGGCCGGAGTGCAGTGGCGTGATCTTGGCTCCACCGCAACCTCCATCTCCCTGGTTCAAGCAATTCCCCTACCTCACCCTCTGGAGTAGCTGGGATTGCAGGCGCACGCCACCATGCCCGGCTAATTTTTTTGTATTTTTAGTAGAGATGGGGTTTCACTATGTTGGCCAGCCTGGTCTCAAACTCCTGACCTCAGGCAATCCACCCACCTCAGCCTCATGACTTCAGGCAATCCGCCTGCCTCAGCCTCCCAAAGTGCTGGGATTACAGCATGAGCCACCATGCCTGGCCTTTTGTTTGTTTGTTTGTTTTTTGAGATGGAGTCTCCCTCTGTCGCCCAGGCTGGAGTGCAGTGGCATGATCTTGGCTCACTGCAATCTCCACCTCCTGGGTTGAAGCGATTCTCCTGCCTCAGCCTCCCCGAGTAGCTGGGGCTACAGGCATGCGCCACCATGTCCAGCTAATTTTTTTTTTTGTAGTTTTAGTAGAGACAAGGTTTTACCATGTTGACGAGGCTGGTCTCAAACTCTTGACCTGAGGTGATCCACCCACCTTGGCCTCCCAAAGTGCTGGTATGACAGGTGTGAGCCACCGCACCTGGTCAGTAGATGTTTATAAAAAGTGAGATGTTACTATAAATCATTTAATGGCATAAATCTGAAATTAAGACACATTTGTAGAAAATTGTAAATTGCTAAAATTGACTGACATATACAAAACCCAAATAAACCACTTACACATGTCGCAAAAGTCTTGAAGAGAGTTTGATAAAATTCCTAAAAAACATACAGGCTTGGTATTTCTTTGGGAATACTTTTGAGTATGGATTCATTTCATATTTAGTGTATTTAGTGGTTTAAATATTTTTTTGCATTCTTTTTATTTTCTAATTTTATTTTTTGAGTCAGTGGGATCTATGGAATGTATGTATTTTTCTTTTAGTATTCAGGATTGCTTTTGATGCTTGCCTTTTTTTTTTTTTTTTTTTTTTTTTGAGATGGAGTTTCACTCTGTCACCCAGGCTGGAGTGCAGCAGTACAATCCCGGCTCACTGCAACCTCTGCCTCCTGAGTTCAAGTGATTCTCACGCCTCAGCCTCCCAAGTAGCTGGTATTACAGGCACCCACCACCACACCTGGCTAATTTTTGTATTTTTAGTAGAGACAGGGTTTTCCCCATGTTGGCCATGCTGGTCTTGAATTCCTGGCCTCAAGTGATCCACCCACCCTGGCCTCCCAAAGTGCAGGGATTATAGGCGTGAGCCACTGTGTCTGGCCAAAATTGCTATATATCTATGTTTTTGTTTATTTACTAGACAGGAGTGTAGCCATGAACAGTGTATAAGATTGCTTTGTATGTTTATCACCTTTGCCTATATTTCTTTAGGGGTTGTCTTTCTCATTTATTTTTAGCATATATTTTATATATAAATTCACTTTGTCTTATGAACACTGCAAAAATCTTGAGTAGAATGTGGTAAAATTCCTGGTGTTTCCCCAATGGCTATATTTTTTAAGATGAATCCATTTCATTTAATGTTGAGTGGTTTATTCTGGTTTTCTGTTTGTCAGTCAATTTTAGTAATTTATATTTTCTAGAAAAGTATCCCATTTAATTTTGAATTTATGGCAATTGTTTATACTGATCTTACAATTATAAACCTCGACCGTATCTGAAATTGTCTTTTTCATGTGCACAAATGGTTTATCTTTGCCTTCTCTTACTCAATTGTGCCTGGCTTCCGGTCAATTTTATTAATCTTAAATACAAACCAATTACTTTATTAGGTTTAATCAAACCTTTCCAAGAATTGATTTTAGTTTTTTCTTTTTAATGTATTATTAAAGTCCTAATACCTTTTTTTTTTTTTTTTTTTTTTTTTTTTTGAGATGGAGTCTCGCTCTGTCGCGCAGGCTGGAGTGCAGTGGCATGATCTCGGCTCACTGCAAGCTCCGCCTTCCGGGTTCATGCCATTCTCCTGCCTCAGCCTCCCGCATAGCTGGGATTGCCAGTGCCTGCCACCAAGCCTGGCTAATTTTTGTGTGTGTGTGTGTGTGTGTGTTTTTAGTAGAGACTAGGTTTCACCATGTTAGCCAGGATGGTCTCGATCTCCTGACCTCATGATCCGCCCACCTCGGACTCCCAAAGTGCTGGGATTACAGGAGTGAGCCACTGCACCCGGCTAGTCCTAATACATATGTTAAATACAAGGAGTGAAACTTAATGACATTTAGCTCAGGTGGCTTCCACAGAAAAAAGAATAGGGAGCATCTACCCCCATTGTCCAGTCTGTGTCTTCCAGAAAAAGATATTTAAAAAAGAGAAAAAAAGAGCAAAACCCCAAAGGTAAAAGAGAATGAGCAGAAATTTAAAAAGAAGGGAGGAAGATGGCCAGGCGCGGGGGCTCACGCCTGCAATCCCAGCACTTCGGGAGGCCGAGGCAGCAAGATCACCTGAGGTCAGGAGTTCAAGACCAGCGTGGCCAACATAGTGAAACCCCATCTCTACTAAAAATACAAAAATTAGCTGGGCGTAGTGGCACGTGCCTGTAATTCCAGCTACTTGGGAGGCTGAGGCAGGAGAATCACTTGAACCCAGGAGGTGGAGGTTGCAGTGAGCTGAGATCACGCCACTGCACTGCAGCCTGGGTGACACTGTCTCAAAAAAAGAAAAAAATCTTTTACTGTGATGGAAGATGTATTGGTTTCTCTTCCTTTTGTCTTTTTGGTTTTGGATTTTGTGTTCGTTTGCAGCGCATCTCCGTGACATACACTTGCTGATGCTGACCTGAGATGGAATTAATATCTGTTTGTTGCTGAGATGGAATTAATATCTGTTTGTTGCTTTGCTTCTTTTCAGTGGGTTGTTTTTTCCGTTTCCATCTCTGGCTAGTCTTGAAGGCTAGACTTGCGTAGGAGAGCAGACACGAGGACATGAGCCAGTTCTGCTGAGCTGTTACTGTGTAAGGAGCAGGGAGCGCTGGAGGGTGGTTGAACCGTGTCCAGCCAGGAGTTGAGTGGGCGGTGGGCTGGTCACCATGGTTACCGCAGTGGGCCACTAGCTTCACAATTCCGTAGCATCGCTTTGTGCTGCGAATGGGACCTTCCGCTCTTGATCCCCTCCTTGTGTTGACGGCTGCTGCTTGCATCTCCAGGCCTGTGGGTGGAGGGGTTCTCTTTGTCTTCTCAGTCCAGGGTGGGCCCTGGGTCTCTGAGTCACAGTGATCCTGTCCCTCCCCTCGTGTCAGGAGACCTTTAAGCCTGAGCCCAGGATATATTCCTGTCCCTGGTTCAAGGAGGAAGGCACAAGGTCTTGCCTGTGTTCTGGTGGCAACAGGGTTGACTGCCATTCCCCTGGCAGCTTGAGGCTTTTGTTCCTCAGAAGAGAAAGTTCGGGAGGGGGCTTCGCATGTTTCCCTCCACGGCAGCCGCATCCCTCCTCCAGACCTTCACTCCCAAGGAAGTCTCTCTGGTCTTCTGCCCAGCCCCGATCTTTCTCGTGAGCACCCAGAGAGCATTTGTATTAATCAGTTTATTTTTATGTTTGTTTTTTTTGATATGGAATCTCGCTCTTACCCAGGCTGGAGTGCAGTGGTGTGATCTCGGCTCACTGCAGCCTCCACCCCCTGGGTTCAAGCAATTCTCCTGCCTCAGTCTCCTGAGTAGCTGGGATTACAGGCATGCACCACCACACCCAGCTAATTTTGGTATTTTTAGTAGAGACAGGGTTTTGCCATGTTAGCCAGGCTGGTCTCGAACTCCTGACCTCAAGTGATCCACTCACCTTGGCCTCCCAAAGTGCTGGGATTACAGGCTTGAGCCACTGTGCCTGGCCCAGAATTTTTTCTTTATAGATGTATGTTTACAAACTTATTACATGTGCTGTAGTTTGTAGTCGATGTATACAGACAAGAAACAGGCCAGGCACAGTGATGCATGCTTGTAATCCCAGCACTTTGGGAGGCCAAGGCGGGAGGATCTCTTGAGGCCAGGAGTTCGAGACCAGCCTGAGCAACATAGCGGGACCCTGACTCTACAAAAAGCATATATATATATATATGTTTTGAGTTTTTAGACGGAGTCTCACTCTGTTGCCCAGGCTGGAGTATAGTGGCGCAATCACAGCTCACTGCCACCTCCACCTCCGAGGCTCAAGCGATTCTCCTGCCTCAGCCTCCCAAGTAGCTAGGATTACAGGGACAAGTCACAGGAAGCCAAGATTGTGCCGTACCACTGCACTCTAGCCTGGGCAACAGAGCCAGACCCCATCCCCCAAAAAGTTTTCTTATCATTTTTTGGGGGGATGCAAGCTCGCTTTGTTGCCCAGGCTGGAGTGCAGTGGTACAGCACAATCTCGGCTCCCTGTGATCTCTGCCTCCCAAGTTCAAGAGATTCTCCTGCCTCAGCCTCTTGAGTAGCTGGGATTACAGGCATGTGCCACCACACCTGGCTGATTTTTGTATTTTAGTAGAGATGGGGTTTCACCATATTGGCCAAGCGGGTCTTGAACTCCTGACCTTAGGTGATGCACCTGCCTCGGCCTCCCAAAGTGTGGTGATTACAGGCGTGAGCCTCTGCATCTGGCCTGTTTCTTCAGAATAGATTTCTAATAATTACATTTTTGGGTAATGGGTGGGGATTGTAGTAAATTGCACATTGGTTACTGAGACATAGATACACATATTCATTAAGAAAAACTCCAGTCAGTCGTGGTGGTTCACCCCTGTAATCCCAAGGTTTTGGGAGGCTGAGATGGGCAGATTGCTTGAACCCAGGAGTTTGAGACCAGCCTGTGCAATACAGTGAGACCGCCTTCTCTACCAAAAAATTTAAAAATTAGCTGGGCGTGTGACACACCTATAGTCCCAGCTTCTCGGGAGGCTGAGGTGGGAGGATCGCTGGAGCCTGGGAGTCCAGGGCTGCATTGAGTTCTGATTGCATCGCTGCATTCCAGCCTGGGTGACAGAGTGAAACCCTGTCTCAAAAAACAAAACAAAAATCCAAGTCAGGCCTCATGAGATTGAGTCCCTATGACATTTCCAAGGTGAGGGCTTTGCTCTGATAATGGGGATCCTTCAGAGAAGGCTTTCTCCCACCTGTGCCCGCGAGGCGGGGGGTGGGGGTGGTCTCAGCAGTTGATCGGGAGCCCACGGGCAAGCGTGGCCTCTCATATCCTCTCTCCCCACTCTGATGTCTGCCTTCACAGATACCTGCTTTCCCACAACAGCAAGGAAGAACCATGGCCCAGGTGAGTGTGGCATTTCTTTCTACTGCACTTTTTCAGCAGGGATTTTGGATGCTCATAAGAACATGACTAATAAAGGCTGGGTGTGGTGGCTCACACTGGTAATCCCAGCACTGTGGGAAGCCAAAGCGGGTGGATCACTTGAGGTCAGGAGTTTGAGACCAACCTGGCCAATGTGGTGAAACCTTGTCTCTACTAAAAATACAAAATTAGATGGGTGTGGTGGTGGGTGCCTGTAATCCCAGCTACTTGGGAGGCTGAGGCAGGAGAACCACTTGAACCTGGGAGGTGGAGATTGCAGTGAGCTGAGATCATACCACTGCACTTCAGCCTGGGTGACAGAGTGAGACTCTGTCTCAAAAAAAAAAAAAAAATCTGATAAAATGCAAACAGAAGTCAGGATCAGTGAAAACAGGAAGAGAATGGAAGGTCACGGCTGTGGGAAGGACAGGGTGGAGAGACTGTAGAGGCTGCTGCAGTTGTGAGATGCCTTGTAAATTCTTTTTTGAGACAGAGTCTGGCTCTATCATCTAGGCTGGAGTGCAGTGGCATAATCTCGGCCCACTGCAACCTCTGCCTCCTGGGTTCAAGCAATTCTCCTGCCTCAGCCTCCTTACAGGCACCTGCTTACAGGCACCTGCTACCACACACAGCTAATTTTTGTATTTTTAGTAAAGATGAGGTTTCACCACGTTGGCCAGGCTGGTCTCAAACTCCTGGCTTCAAGTGATCTGCCCACCTCGGCCTCCCAAAGTACTGGGATTACAGGCGTGAGCCACTGTGCCCAGCCCGATGCCTTGTAAATTTATATCTGACATTCCTGTCACTTAAAAAAGGCAGGCAGATTCCATCTAATATATGACTTGTGTTGTCTGTTTTGGACAACCGTGTCTAATTCTCGGGGGGAATACAGCTCTTTCAAGATTTAAAGATGTATTTGATCTTTGTATGTAAGATGTGGCAGACCCGTTCCTCAATAACAACCACCTTGAAAGAAACACAACAGGAAATCTCTTGTGACTTTTCTTCCTCTCTGTATAAACAGCAGATATTATGCCAAAGCAGCCGTCTGTGATTCTGGTTGTTTGGGGATGCCGAACACTCAGGTCTACAGAGACAGCCTTGTGTGGTGCCAAGTGACCTGGATGTAACACTGCATTATCTAGAGGAACGAATGAATGAACTGCGTGTTCTTGAAACAGCCTGCCATGTGTACCGCCACACCACCCTGAACGTGCCTGATCTTGTCTGAAATTGCTTGCCATAATGGGTTTTATTTTTTTAATTAAAAAATTTTTTTGAGATGGAGTCTTGCTCTGTCGCCCAGGCTGGAGTGCAGTGGCACTATCTTGGTTCACTGCAATCTCTGCCTCCCGGGTTCAAGTGATTCTCCTGCCTCAGCCTCCGGAGTAGCTGGGAATATAGGCATGTGCCACCATGCCCGACTAATTTTTGTATTTTTAGAGATGGAGTTTCATCATATTAGCCAAGCTGGTCTCGAACTCCTGACCTCAGGTGATCCGCCCACTTGGCTGTTAGCTCTCTTTGCATGTGAGTGACATCAGTGTTTTCCATCAGCCTGGAAGCATTCTCCTCCTCCTGCTCTGAACCCCGGGTTCTAGGAATGTGTGAGTGTGGAGTGCACTGGTTAGAAGTTCTAATCCTTGAAGTTGGAAGAGCCAGAAATCCAACTAGAAGTAGGTTAGGATTAAAAAAAAAAAAAGTAATTCTAGAACTTTGGGAAGGTGAGGCAGGAGGATTGCTTGAGGCCAGGAGTTCAAGACCAGCCTGGGTAATGTGGCAAGAGCCCATCTCTACAAAAAATAGAAAAATTATCCAGGTGTAGTGGCACATGCCTGTACTCCCAGCTGCAGGGGAGGCTAAGGTGGGAGGATCACTTGAGCCTAGGAGGTCCAGGCTGCAATGAGCTGTGATCGTGCCTTTGGACTCTAGCCTGGGCAACAGAGGGAGAGCCTGTCTCAAAAAAAAAAAAAAAAAAAATCTATAAGGCAGCATGCGAGTCCTGGGAAGAGCAGGTGTGCAGTCAGGCTCCAGAGGCATCCGGCAAACCAGGTATCGCCAGGAATCTTTCTTCCCTGGTCTGTGCTTCTGTGACTTTTTTTTTTTTTTTTTTTTTGAGACGGAGTCGCGCTCTGTTGCCCAGGCTGGAGTGCAGCGGCGCAATCTCAGCTCACTGCAAGCTCCCCCTCCCGGGTTCACACCATTCTCCTGCCTCAGCCTCCCCAGTAGCTGGGACTATAGGCACCCGCCACCACGCCTGGCTAATTTTTTCTATTTTTAGTAGAGATGGGGTTTCATCATGTTAGCCAGGATGGTCTCAATCTCCTGACCTTGTGATCCGCTCACCTCAGCCTCCCAAAGTGCTGGGATTACAGGCATGAGCCACTGCACCCGGCGCTTCTGTGACTTTCTTCTCATGCTGACTTTGTCAGTGTGCCCAGAAATAGTGTAGCCCCAGCTCCTCTCCTCACAGCTGCAAGTTCTGCCACGGTGAGGGACTGAATCTCCCTTCAGTGATCCAATTTTGAAAGCTTTTCGGGGAGGATTCTGTTGGTCCAGCCTAGCTCAGGTGTATTAGGCCCTCTGACCAGGCAGCTGTGCACAGGGGCAGGAAGGGGCTGGTCCCAGAGGAAGATGAGGCCTCGTGAACATTACCACTGTCCACTCCAGGAAGGAAAACGTTCACAGAGCCTGGGTTTCTTTGTGCTTTGTGAAGCCAGGGATGTCTAGGTGTTTCACACCAGAAATGTCTCAGAGCAGTAGGAGAGGCTACAACAAGGTGGCGAGCCACACCCACCCTGTCTGTGAAGCTGGAGGTTTCCCTTGTTGTCTTTGTCGGAAGCCACTGTTTTTTGTTTTTTGTTTTTTGGAGAGTGAGTCTCGCTGTGTCACTCAGGCTGGAGTGCAGTGGCGCGATCTCAGCTCCCTGCAACCTCTGCCTCCCGGGTTCACGTCATGCTCCTGCCTCAGCCTCCTGAAAAGCTGGGAGTACAGGCGCCCGCCACCACGCCCAGCTAACTTTTTTGTATTTTTAGTAGAGATGGGGTTTCACCGTGTTAGCCAGGATGGTCTGGATCTTCTGACCTCGTGATCCACCCGCCTCGGCCTCCCAAAGTGCTGGGAGTACAGGCGTGAGCCACCGCGCCCGGCCAGAAGCCACTGTTTTGTAGAAAGCCGAGTCCCACTGGGAATGACTCCCTGTTAGGGGAATCTGTACTAAAGATGACAATGACTGGGTTAAATGCTGTCTGTCCAGCACTCCGTGGTCTCTCTGCTTTTCATATGTTATATCATGAATAAACCCATGAGAGGCATATCTATAGAAATTATATATTTACATGGAAATTTTATGTTTATATAGAAATTAGATATGAATAAATTACATAGAAATTAAGACATTATGTAGACATTGTATGTGTATGTATAAAAACTACATAGACTGTCTATATATATACTAGACATGTATGTAAACTACATAGACTATATATATATATATATATATATATATATATATAATGTATATACATATACATACACTACATAGACTCGTGATAGCTCACGCTTGTAATTCCAGAACTTTGGGAGGCTGAGGTAGGCGGACCACCTGAGGTCAGGAGTTCGAGACCAGCCTGGCCACATGGTGAAACCCGTTTCTACTAAAAATACATAAATTAGCTGGGTGTGTGCCTGTAATCTGAGGTACTCAGGTGGCTGAGGCAGGAGAATCACTTGAACCCAGGAGGCGGAGGTTGCAGTGAGCCGATATTGTACATTGCACTCCAGCCTGGGCAACACAGTGAGACCCTATCTCAAAAAAAAAGTCACTGGCTTCAGCAGCCTTTAGCCCTTGGTCATAAGTTTTTCTAGAGATCAGAGTGTGGTCTGGAAGAGAACCCAGGCTCTGTAGGGTGATTGGGGCTCTGGGCTTCTTTGTGGATTGCCTCTCCCCACTCCCACATAGCTCCCGGTCCCTGCTGCTGCCCCCGGGCTGTGCCCTGCTTGTTGCCCCTCCTCTGCACGCGCTTGTCTCACCACTGGGGACAATTTGGGTCGCCCATTTGCCTATGAACATCCGTCATCACCCCAGCAGCATGTGTCCAGGGGGCCCACCACAGCTCTTTATACCCAGCATCCCCCCTTGACCTCTGCCACAGTGATGAAAGCCCCCCGACTCTCACATACTTTTTTTTTTTTTTTTTTTTTTTTTTTTGAGACAGACTCTTGCTCTGTCACCCAGGCTGGAGTGCAGTGGCACGATCTCGGCTCACTGTAAGCTCCGCCTCCTGGGTTCAAGTGTTTCTCCTGCCTCCCGAGTAGCTGGGATTACAGGTGCCTGGCACCATGCCCAGCTAATTTTTTTTTTTTTTGTATGTTTAGTAGAGATGGGGTTTTACCATGTTGGCCAGGCTGGTCTTGAACTCTTGCCCTCAAGTGATCCACCTGCCTCGGCTTCCCAAAGTGCTGGGATTACAGACGTGAGCCACCCTGTCTGATCTCCTTCAAATTATTTAAACTTTGATTAAACAACATAGTGAGACCCCAACTCTACAAAAAATTTAAATAAAACCAGCTGGCCTATGCCTGTAATCCCAGCTACTCGGGAGGCTGAGGCGAGAGGATCACTTAAACCCAGGAGGTAGAGGCTGCAGCGAGCCATGATCACACCACTGCACTCCAGCCTGGACAGAGAGAGACCCTGTCCCAAAAAGAGAAGATCTAAGGCCAGGGGCAGTGGCTCACACCTGTAATCCCAGCACTTTGGGAGGCTGAGACAGGTGGATCACCTGAGGTCAGGAGTTCGAGACCAGCCTGACCAACGTGGAGAAACCCTGTCTCTACTAAAAATACAAAATTAGCCAGGTGTGGTGGCACAAGCCTGTAATCCCAGCTACTCAGGAGGCTGAGGCAAGAGAATTGCTTGAACCCAGCAGGCAGAGGTTGCGGTGAGCCAAGGTGGCACCATTGCACTCCAGCCTGCGTGACAAGAGTGGAACACCCTCTCCAAAATAGAAAATCTCTCTTTCTCTCTATATATATCTCTATATAATATATAAATAGATAATATCTATATGTTATATATATATTTTATATACATCCTCATATTTTCTAATAGGTATAAATTGAAGATGTTTAAATGGGGGTCTTTAATTCATTGAGAGAGGGGATGGGATGGGTGAAGGAGGCCAAGCCCTGTTCTGCATCTGTGGAACCCCTTCTCTGCATTTCTCTTGCTGTTTTAATTTTGAGCACTAGCTTACATTGAGGATTAGAATCATGTGATAATTTAGCTCCTGCTATCCTCCCTTCCGGTGGCTCCCACCTTTTTTCCACATCAGATCATCTGTAGTTCCCCTCCGTAAATACCGTGAGGTGGGAGTCTGCATTTCCTACAGGGAAAAAAAAAATCACTTCTACCCGTGGCTGGTACGCTCTCTCCCTCTCCCACACACGCCTTACACCCGGCATTTTCATTCTCTTTGTAGTTTCTACGAGACTTTTCTGTGCCTCCTTTGCCCATGCCAGGCCTCTTGCTAGGAATATCCTTCAGACATCAGATCATTCTGTTTATCTTTCGTGATTCTACTCCCCTGTGATCTCCTAGGAAGCTTCACTTGACAGTACGTTGGATCTGGCTGCTGTCTTCCTCGTGCCCATTCTGTATGTAACTACATGTCTACCACCGCCTATAGTGTAATCTTACGGTACAGCTGTCTTCCTGTGTTCATCTGGCAGCAACACTCCTAACTACCTTCAGAACAGGAACAATTTTGTGTTCAGCCCTCGACCCCAAGCGCCTGGTAGAACACCAGCAGTGTGCGAGGTCCCTGAAAGACACTTGATCATTGAAGGAATGAATGGAGATCCAGTAGTGAGATTTATTTATTTATTTTTGAGATGGAGTCTCACTCTGTTGTACAGCCTGGGGTGCAAGGGCGGGATCTCAGCTCACTGCAAGCTACGCCTCCTGGGTTGAAGCAATTCTCCTGCCTGAGCCTCCCTGGTAGCTGGGATTACAGGCACCCACCAGCACGTCCATCTAATATATTTTTTGTAGAGATGGGGTTTCACCATGTTGGCCACGCTGGTCTCAAACTCCTAACCTCAAGCAATCCACCTGTCTCAGCCCCTCAAAGTGCTGGGATTACAGGCGTGAGCCACTGCACCCGGTTGATATTTTTTCTAACAATTTTTTTTTTCTCTTCCACAAAGTGTAGTACAAAGTTAGGGGTGTGCTCAGCTTTCTATGTAACCTAATATGGGGAAAGCTGACCTCGGAAGGGGGTAAGATCAATCTCCTCTACGCCTTTGCCATGGTACCCAGTGCCAACCACTCCACATTAATCAGCCATGTGCTGTTCCAGGGGTCACTGTCATTCGGGGACGTGGCTGTGGGCTTCACCCGGAAAGAGTGGCAGCAGCTGGACCTGGAGCAGAGGACCCTGTACCAGGATGTGATGCTGGAGAACTACAGCCACCTGCTCTCTGTGGGTGAGGAAGACTTCCCCGTGGTCCTCGGGTTACATGAACTCTTTTTCTTAGTTGTATAAAACTGGGAAACTGCTCACGCACTGAAAGTGCTAAGCTGGGCATGGTGGCTCATGCCTGTGATCCCAGCACTTCAGGAGGCCGAGGTGGGAGGATTGCTTGAGCCACAGGTGCAAGACCCGATCTATACAAACGAAAAATAAAAAATTAGCCAGGCATGGTGGCATGTGCCTGCAGTCCCAGCTACTTGCGAGTCTCAAATGGAAGGATCCCTTGAGGCCCAAGTTCAAGACTTGCCTGGGCAACATGGCAAAACCCCATCTCTACCAAAACATTAAAAAATTAGTTGAGGGTGGTGATGCCTGCCTGTAGTCCCAGCTACTCGGGAGGCTGAGATGGGAGGATCACTTGAGTGCAGGAGGTTGAGGCTGCAGTGAGCTGTGATTGTGCCACTTCACTCCAGCCTGGGCAACAGAGCAAGACCCTGTGTGAAAAATAAAAGTGCTTGGCCTTGGGTTTCAGTGGTCAGAGTCTCGATCCCACTTGGAGTCCTCGTGAAGTTACCTGCCAAGCGAAACAGCTCTCTGTGGCTGAGATGTCCACCTTTTGTTTTGCAGGCTGAACTGTCTGCTTGCTTGGAAGGCCCAGCTGGCTCAGCACAAATCCTTTAACCGTTTCTCCCCAAGAGGGTGTCAAGTCAGCAAACCAGCTGTGATCTCCAGTTTGGAGCAGGGGAAGGAGCCATGGATGGAGGAGGAAGAGATAAGGACGTGGAGCTTCCCAGGTGAGCAGGTGGCCTGCAGGGGGCCGGGGGATGAGGCTCCTGGAAGTCTGCAAAGCAGAACCCATGGATGTTGTCTTGTTTTGTTTTTTGAGATGGAGTCTCGCTCAGTTGCCCAGGCTGGAGTGCAGTGGTGCGATGTCAGCTCATTGCAACCTCCACCTCCCAGGTTCAAGCCATTCTCCTGCCTCAGCCTCCTGAGTAGCAGGGATTACAGGTGCCCGCCACCATGTGTGACTTATTTTGTATTTTTGGTAGAGACTGGGTTTCACCATGTTGGTCAGGCTGGTTTCAAACTCCTGAACTCAGGTGATCCACCTGCCTTGGCCTCCCAAAGTGCTGGGATTACAGGCGTGACCCATGGCGCCTAGCCGGATGTCCTCTTGTTTCAGGCAACTGTTCTTAAAAGCTTGGGATCTTGGCTGGGCATGGTCGCTCACACCTGTAATCCCAGCACTTTGGGAGGCCAAGGTGGGTGGATCATGAGGTCAGGAGATCAAGACCATCTGGCTAACACGGTGAAACCCCGTCTCTACTAAAAATTAGCTGGGTGTGGTGGCACGCACCTGTAGTTGCAGCTACTCAGGAGGCTGAGGCAGGAGAATCGCTTGAACCTGGGAAGCAGAGGTTGCAGTGAGCCGAGATTGTGCCACTGTGCTCCAGCCTGGGTGACAGAGCGAGACTCATCTCAAAAAAAAAAAAAAAAAAAAACCCTGGATCTTTGCAAGCAGCTGTGGACATTTGGCCTTAAACCTTGAGATGCCTTAGTGATCCTGCCACCTGCACACATCACTACACGATTCCTTTCCTGTCTCTGGATTTTAGAGAAAGGCATAGTCTATTTTTTTCTTTTTTTTTTCTTTTTTTTGTTTTTTTTTTTTTTGAGACAGTCTGGCTGTTGCCCAGGCTCGAGTACAGTGGTACGATCTTGGCTCACTGCAACCTCCGCCTCCCAGGTTGAAGTGATTCTCCTGCTTCAGCCTCCTGAGTAGCTGGGATTACAAGCACGTGCCACCACCATGCTCGGCTAAATTTTTTTTTTTTTTTTTTTTTTTTCAGTAGAGATGGGGTTTTGCTATGTTGGCTGGCCAGGCTGGTCTTGAACTTCTGACCTCAGATGACCCTCCCACCTCTGCCTCCCAAGGTGCTGGGATTACAGGCGTGAGCCACCACGCCTGGCCCTCTTTTTTCTTGTTTTGAGAGACTGTCTTGCTTTTTCACCCAGACTGGAGTGCAGTGGAGTGATGGTAGCTCACTGCAGCCTCCAACTCCTGGGCTCAAGTGATCCTCTTACTTCAGCCTCCTTAGTAGCTGCTACTTCAGGCACATGCCATCACACTGAGCCACTGAGCTCATTTTTTTTTTCATTTTTGTAGAGATGGGGTCTCCCTATGTCGTCCAGGATGGTCTCAAACTCCTAGGCTCAAGCGATCCTCCTGCCTTAGCCTCCCAAGTAGCTGGGACTACAGGCATGAGCCATATGCCTGACCATCTATTTTCATTTGTCCTTTGATTCTGCTCTGCTGTCCCCCACTAAGACCTCGATTGCCAAGTCTTCCTGTAGAATCTTCAGTATTTTCCCTGTGGTTATAAAACAGGTTTTCTCCTGTGTTCAGAGATTCATTGATCTGCCCTATGTTAAAATAGCTGTTATTTTGTGCTATTTGTTCTTCTTTTCATCGTTTTCTTTTACTGTGAAATGCCTCAAAAACATATTTTCTACACGTATAATTTAGTCGCCTCTCTCTTCTTCACACCCACAAACTGGTGAAAGCCATTGCTGTCCTTTAGTGTACTTAATGACTTTATTTATTTGTTTTTGAATAAATAATCCAGTGTTGCCCACACTGGAGTGTAGTGGCATGATCTCGGCTCACTGCAACCTCTGCCTCCCGAGTAGCTGGGCCTACAGGTGCGCACCACCATGCCTGGCTAATTTTTGTATTTTTAGTAGAGATACCGTTTCACCATGTTGGCCAGGATGGTCTCGATCTCCTGACCTCGTGATCCGCCCGCCTCAGCCTCCTAAAGTGCTGGGATTACAGGCGTGAGCCACTGCGCCCGGCCAACTTGATGAGGTTAAATCACTGCTGTCTCCCTCCCAGCTCACCTTCGTGTGGCATTGATTGATGCTGATCACCAAGTTTCTGCTGCAGAAAACGAAGGGGCTGGGTTATTTGGAGCTGGCACCATCTTTTCTATTAAATGCTCATTTAGGGGCCAGGCATGGTGGCTCACGCCTGTAATCCCAACAGTTTGAGAGGCTGAGGCAGGCAGATCACATGGGTTTAGGAGTTTGAGAGCAGTCTAGCCAACGTGGTGAAAAGCCATTTCTACTAAAAATAGAAAAATTAGCTGGGTATGGTGGCATGTGCCTATAGTGTCATCTAATCAGGGGACTGAGGGGAGAGGATCACTTGAGCCCAGGAGGTTGAGGCTGCAATAAGCTGTGGTTCCTCCAGCCTGGGCAACAGAGCTTGACCGCATCTCAAAAAAACAAAAATCGAACATCAGCTGGCACCAGTAATGGAATCAGAAGTAATTAAACCCTCCAGGCATGGCAGCTGTCACCTGTAGTCCCAGCACTTTGGGAGGCTGAGGCTGGAGGATCGCTTGAGTCCAGGAGGTCGAGGTTGCAGTGAGCTATGATCACGCGAGACCCTGTTTCTTAAAAAAAAAAAAAAAAAAAAGAAAAGAAAAGAAAAACTTGGCTCATCTTGAAGGTTTTTTTGTAGAGATGGGGTCTCACGATGTTGCCCAGGATTGTGTTGAACTCCTGGGCTCAAGCGATCCTCCCACCCCGGCCTCTTAAAGTGCTGGGATTACAAGTGTGAGTCACTGTGCCTGGCCGATCTTAGAGGTTAATGTCAACTTTGTCTACTTCACGCATCTGGTTACTCTACTGTCCAGCCCAGTACATTACCTTTTATATGACTTTTAAATTCTTCTTTCAAAACCATGTAATATGGCTCCATTCTGCCTAATGGGCTGTACTCAGTATAACCCCATGGGGAGAAGAGCTATTATTTCATTTGTCTGTGTTTCTGCAAGAAGCTCTGGGGGACACTCCTTTAAATCCCTCTTTGGATCAGGACAAGAATTCTTTGTCACGCGTTTGTTCGGGACGCTGCTAATTAATTGATGATCCACACCAAAATCACGTGGGGAACTTCAAAAATATCCCTGGCTGAATCTCACCCTAGAAATCTGACGGGGGAGATGAACAGGTGGTCTTTACCTCTCAGAAATTCAGCAGTTCAGCTCAGGAACTTCTTTCTTTTTTCTTTTTTTTTTTTTTGAGACGGAGTTTCACTCTTGTAGCCCAGGCTGGATGCAATGGCACGATCTCAGCTCACCACAACCTGTGCCTCGCAGGTTCAAGCGATTCTCCTGCCTCAGCCTCCCGAGTAGCTGGGATTATAGGCATGTGCCACCGCACCTCGCTAATTTCTTGTATTTTTAGTAGAGAGGGGGGTTTCTGCATGTTGGTCAGGCTGGTCTCAAACTCCTGACCTCAGGTGATCCGCCTGCCTCGGACTCCCAAAGTGCTGGGATTACAGGTGTGAGCCACCGCACCTGGCCAGGAACTTTTTTTTTTTTTTTGAGAGAGAGCCTTTCTCTGTCACCCAGGCTGGAGTGCAGTGGCACAGTCACTGCAACCTCCGCCTCCTAGGATCAAGCAGTCCTCCTGCCTTAGTCTCCCAAGTAGCTGGGATTACAGGCACGCGCCACTGTGCCTGGCTAATTTTTCTATTTTTAGTAGAGACAGGGTTTCACCATGTTGACCAGGCTGGTCTCAGACTCCTGACCCCAGGTGATCTGCCCACCTTGGCCTCCCAAGGTGCTGGGATTACAGGTGTGAGCCACTGCACCCAGCCAGGAACTTTTTTTTTTTTCTTTTCTCCTTTTATTTTTTTGAGACAGTGTTTCGCTCTTGTTGCCCAGGCTGGAGTACACAATGGCATGATCTCGGCTCACTGCAACCTCTGCCTCTTCGGTTCAAGTGATTCTCTTGTCTCAGCCTCCCAAGTAGCTGGGATTATAGGCATGTGCCACCACGCTTAGCTAATTTTGTACTTTCAGTAGAGACGGGGGTTTCACCATGTTGGTCAGGCTGGTCTCAAACTCCCGACCTCAGGTGATCCGCCTGCCTCGGCCTCCCAAAAGTGCTGGGATTACAGGCGTGAGCCACTGTACCCAGCCAGGAACTTCTAAACAGAGGACTGACATCCTTGAGTCAGACATAAGCCTCAGAGGTGAGGCAGCAGGTAGCGTCTTTAGTTTAAAATGTCAATAAAGATACACCAGGTGTGGTGGCTCATGCCTGTAATCTTAGCATTTGGAGAGGCTGAGGCAAAAGAATTGCTTGAGGCCAGGAGTTCGGGACTAGCCTGGGCAACATAGCAAAACTCCATCTCTACAAAAAAAGAAACTAGGCATGAGCCACTGTGTCTGGCTAATTTTTATAATCCCAGCTGATTGGGAGGCCAAGGCAGGAGGATCGCCTGAGGCCAGAAGCTCAAGACAAGCCTGGGCAACATAGTGAGACCCCCATATCTACAAAAACAATTTTAAAAACTAGCTGGACATGGTGGCATGCACCTGTAGTCCCAGCTACTTGAGAGGCTGAGGTGGGAGGATTGCCGGAGCCCGGAAATTTGAGGCTGCAGTGAGCCATGATTGCACTACCGTGCTCCAACCTGAGTGACGGAGACCCTGTCACCAAAACAAAAACAACAAAGTGGTAATACAGGCATCACGAGACAGCAGGGAATCTGACTCTGAGGCCAGGGTGGCTTGTGTGTACTCTAGTATTCTTCTGTTGGACATCATAAAGATCCATAGGTCCATGTGAGAATAAGTCACTGCAGAAAATGCCGCTAGCTCTAAGATAATTCCTTTAACAATAAAGAGCTCATGGCTGGGTGCAGTGGCTCACGCCTGTAATCCCAGCACTTTGGAGTGTCGAGGCAGGCGGATCACCTGAGACCAGGAGTTCAAGACCAGCCTGACGAACATGGTGGAACCCTGTCTCTACTAAAAATACAAAAAATTAGCTGGGCGTGGTGGTGGGTGCCTGTAATCCCAGCTGCTCGAGAGGCTGAGGCAGGAGAATTGCTTGAACCCAGGAGGCTGAGGTTGCAGTGAGCCGAGATTGTGCCACTGCACTCCAGCCTGGTGAAAGAGTGAGACTCCATCTCAACAACAACAAAAAGGACCTCATGCTTTGAGAAAATCCAGTTGGTACACAGAATGAAAGGGAGCATAGGTCGGGAGAACATGGGAAGGGTGGATAGTGAAGGCCTCTGTGTAACCTAGGCCTCAAGAAAGGGACCGGGCACTTGGTTTTACTACTTTTTGGGACAGAGTTTCCCTCCATCACCCAGGCTGGAGTGCCGTGGTGTGATCATGGCTCAGTACAGCTTCAACCTCCCAGGCTCAAGCGACCTTCCCACCTCAGCCTCCTGAGTAGCTGGGATTACAGGCAATTAGGCTTAAAACCACAAAATGAATGCTCCCTTCAAGCTTTTCTGCAATAGTTTTGTGATACAGTACTCCAAGATTAACAAACTTACGGCCAGGCGCAGTGGCTCACGCCTGTAATCCCTGCACTTCGGGAGGCCAAGGCCAGCAGATCACCTGAGGTCAGGAGTTCAAGACCAGCCTGGCCAACATGGTGAAACCCCGTCTCTACTAAAAATACAAAAATTAGCTGGGTACGGTGGCTGGCACCTGTAATCCCAGCTACTCAGGAAGCTGAGGCAGGAGAATAACTTGAACCTGAGAGGCAGAAGTTGGAGTGAGCCAAGATCACTCCAGTACACTCCAGCTTGGGCAACGGAGTGAGACTCCGTCTCAAAAAAAAAAAAAAAAAAAAAAAAATCCCCACAAGTTTGTGTTATTTTTTCTAGAAGAAGTTTGGCAAGTTGCTACCCAGCCAGATAGCCAACAGCAACACGAAGACCAACATTTGAGCCATACGTTTCTAGACAAGAAAGACTGGACCGGAAATGAGCTTCATGAATGTAACGAACTTGGAAAAAAACTCCATCAGAACCCAAACCTCCTTCCATCAAAACAGCAGGTCCGCACACGTGACTTGTGCAGAAAGAGTTTGATGTGTAACCTGGACTTCACTCCTAACGCCTACCTGGCGAGGAGGAGATTTCAGTGCGACGGCCACGGAAACTTCTTCTCTGTTCGAAACTTGAAACTCCACCTTCAGGAGCGAATCCACGCGGAGGTCACCAGTGTGGAAGTGCTTTAAGCTGTGACGAGGGAGTTCCTGCAGCTCAGGGAGCCAGTAGTGAGAAACCCCACGAATGCACGAAGTGTGGGAAAGCCTTGTGCTGCAGATCGGACCTCAGGGTACATCACGGGGTCCACGCGGGGGAGAAGTCCTCTGCGTGCAGTGAACGGGGGAGTGGTTTCAGGGAGAAGCTTTGCCCTGACAAACAGGGAACTCACACAAAGGAGAAACCCGCTAGAGACAGCAGAAGTGGTAAAACGATCTTCCGGAAGACACGCCTGTGTGTCCCGGGCACAGTTCACGCCGGAGCGAAGCCTTACAAGTGTTGGGAGTGTGAGAAAACCTCCCACAAGTCGCGCCTCATCGAGCACCTTCGCTCCCACACGGGGGAGAAGCCCTGCGGCTGCAGGGAATGCGGAAAGGCCTTTTTCCAGAAGTCACACCTCATCCTGCGTCAGAGGACTCACACGGGGGAGAAGCCCTGCGACTGCGCGGAGTGCGGGAAAGCTGCTCCCAGGACTCCTGCCTCCTGACCCACAGGCGGACTCGCGGGGAAGAAACCGTACGAGTGCTCCGACTGCGGGAAGACCTCCCGGAAGGCGAACCTCATCCGCCACCACGGGATCCACACGAGGGAGAAGCTGCATGGGTGAAGAGACCGTGGGATCGTCACAAAGTCACATCACGAGGTCGCCGAACCTCTAGGAGGGACATCGCCAGGGAAACAGCCCTCAACCAAAACTACGACGCCACCCTAGGCAGAGGTCCCATATCGGGGTGAAATTCGGCCACTTTGGTGGCTTAAGGAAGGCATGGTCAGCTGGGCGCTGTGGCTCACGCCTGTAATCCCAGCGCTTTGGGACGCCGAGGCGAGTGGATCACCTGAGGTCAGGAGTTCAAGACCAGTCTGGCCAACATGGTGAAAGCTCGGCTCTACTAAAAGTACAAAAAATTAGCCGGGAATTGTGGCAGGCGCCTGTAATTCCAGCTACTCGGGAGGCTGAGGCAGGAGAATCGGTTGAACCTGGGAGGCGGAGATTGCAGTGAGTCGAGGTCGCACCACTGCACTCCAGCTTGGGTGACAGAGTGAGACTCAGTCTCAAAAACAAACAACAAAAAAGCATGGTCTGTTAAAACTAACGACGGAAGGGTAATGGTATGCTAGAGTGATCTATTTTCGTAGGTGTACTTTTTTTTTTTGAGACGGAGTCCTCGTTCTATCGCCCAGTCTGGAGGGCAGTGGTGCCATCTCGGCTCACTGCAGCCTCTGCCTCCCGGGTTCATGTGATTCTCTTGTTTCAGCCTCCCGAGTAGCTGGTATTACAGGTGCCTGCCAGCGTGCCGGGCCAATTTTTTGTGTTTTTAGTAGAGATGGAGTTTCACCATGTTGGTCAGGCTGTTCTCGAACTCCTGACCTCATGATCTGCCCACCTCAGCTTCCCAAAGTGCTGGGATTACAGGCGTGAGCCACTTTAGCCAGGATATACTTAATTATAAAGACAACTGTGGATATGAAGTTTTTTTTTCTTTTGAGATGAAGTTTTACTCTTGTTGCCCAGGCTATGGGAAGAAATGAAATCATTACGACTAACAGATCTAAAAAGCGTGAGAACATCCCAGAGGGACGCAGGGGTGTGTTCCAAGTGTGCTACAGACAGATAATTTTTATTTTTGTGTTGCACTGGTGAACAGAACATAATTGTGAATCTGTAGACATACATACCATAATATATAGAAGATCTATGGATACTTTCTATGCTAAATTATACCCTTCTGTGTTTGTGATATAGAACTGGAATAAGATGAATATATTATTAAAGCAGAGAGGCCCACTGCAGCAGCACATACCATTTCTTCTGTTTGTCATCACGTATTACAGAGCCCCTGAACTTGGAAGCTAACAATTTCATGACATCTGATAACTCACAGTCAACTAGTTTATAAGTTATATTTTTGGCTGGGCTCGGTCGCTCACACCTGTAAACCCAACACTTTGGGAGGCTGAGGCAGGCAGATCACATGAGGTCAGGAGTTTGAGACCAGCCTGGCCAACACGGTGAAACCCCGTCACTGAAAAATATAAAAATTAGCTGAGCATGCTGGTGATTTTCTGTAATCCCAGTAATCCCAGCTACTTGGGAGGCTCAGGCACGAGAATTGCTTGAGCCCAGCAGGCAGAGGTTGCAGTGAGCTGAGATTGTGCCACTTCATTCCAGCCTGGGCGACAGAGCAAGACTCTGTCTCAAAACAAGTTATATTTCTATATTAGGACTCCATTTTCTGGCAATACGGTGGACCGTCTAAAGTGAAAATCACCGGGGCAGTGGCTCGTGCCTGTGATCTCAGCACTTGGGAAAGTCAAGGTGGACAGGTCACTTGACCCCAGGAGTTCAAGACCAGCCTGGGCAACACGGTGAGACCCTGTCTGTACCAAATACATATATATATTAGCTGGGCGTGGTGGCACGTGCCTGTAGGACCAGGTACTTGGGAGGCTGAGGTGGGAGAATCCCTTGAGCCCAGGAGTTTGAGGCTACAGTGAGCCATGGTCGTGCCACTGCGCACCAGCCTGGGTGACAGTGAGACCCTCTCTCAATAGAAATGAAGTGAAAACCCACTGAAAACAACTGGACATGACGGACAACAACCGCTGACATCCTTTTAGATACATAATTCAGCTCTCAGGAAAATAAGTATCCAGGTGCCAGCTATGTAGAAGGTACTGAAAAACAAAGTCTGTGAGTTGATGCTGTAGCTGTTCTATGGGTTTTTGTTTACTTGGAACTTGAATGTTAAATGGTATAGAAGGGTAAGAAACAAGAACTTGGGGGCTACACAAGACAGAACTGGCCTTGAAATAACTCAGATGCGCAGAACTTTCCACAGGCTGTACATCAAGGGAGACGGCAGACTGGAGACAGAAAGCTTGCCTGTCTGTCCTTGGGCTCTGGGTAGGGCAAGATTTTACCTGGATGAGTCCATGTGCACTGGCCTGCATGTCATCTAAGTTAGAATTTGAACTTGCCCTACTCATGTTCCAATTGAGAAACTGAACAATCAGGCCGGGTGCAGTGGCTGTAATCCCAGCATTCTGGGAGGCTGAGGAGGGTGAATCACCCGAGGTCAAGAGTTTGAGACCAGCCTGCCCAACATGGTGAAACCCCATCTCTACTACAAATACAAAAAGCTGGGCGTGATGGCAGACGCCTGTAGTCCCAGCTACTCGGGAGGCTGAGGCAGGAGACTTCGCTCGAACCTGGGAGGCAGAGGTTGCAGTGAGCCGAGATCGCACCACTGCACTCCGGTTTGGGCAACAAGCAAAACTCTTGTTAAGAAAAAAAGGTAGACACAGCATGAGTCCACTTATATAAGGTACCTAGAATAGTCAAACTGATAAGAGACAGAAAAAAAGTAAAACGTTGGTTATCAGAGCTTGGGGGTAAGGGGGATGGAGAGTGAGGGTTAATGGGGACAGTTTCAGTTTGGGAAGATGGAAAAGTGCTGGAGATGGATGATGGTGATGGTTGTACAATATTTTGTTTTTCTCTTTTTTTTTTTTTTGAGATGGAGTCTCGCTCTGTCGCCCCAACTGGAGTGCAGTGGTGCAATCTCGGCTCACCGCAACCTCCACTTCCCGGGTTCAAGAAATTCTCCTGCCTCAGCCTCCTGAGTAGCTGGGATTATAGGTGCACACCACCATGTCCAGCTAATTTTTGTATTTTTAGTAGAGATGGGGTTTTGCCACGTTGGCCAGGCTGGTCTTGAACTCCTGACCTCCTGCCCGCCTTGGCCTCCCAAAGTGCTGGTGTTATAGGCGTGAGCCACCATGCCCAGCCTGGTTGCACAATATTTTTGATGTAATAAATGCCACTGAATTGTACCCTCAAAAATAGCGAAAATGGCAAATTTTATGTTACGCATATTTTACCACAATTAAAAAAAAAAAAGTGTAGGATCCACTCCCAGCTGGTGCTCTGGCCCTGCCCTGGCCCCACAGTGGAGGAAGGTGCTTCTCTCCCATTAACGTGGACACGCCTTGACCAGGACTTTGAGCGTGTGGTTTTTCCCTTCCCTAGCCCGGGCCTCGGACCTTCTATGACAATCCGCTTTCCTCTTATATGTGATTTTACTTTCCCAGACTGGAACATTTGCTTTCTGTTCACTTTACTGAACAACACTTAGACATCCAACCTCTCTCTGTCCTCTCTCTTCCCTGAAGCTTCCTTGGCACACAACACACCTAGGCAAGCCTGGGTGGGTACAGGAGTGGTTCACTGCATCCCTGGAACAGGCTCAGGGGTTTTCGGGCATAAAGGCCTCCTCCCTGGCTTGATGGTCAACCTGTGCCCAGTGTCACATCCATCAAATGACTTTGTATTTCACAGCTTCTCTTCCACCCCCACTCTCTTGGGAGAGGTCAGGCCCTTCCAGCCCAGAGTGGGGGTCAGTGTGGACCTGGGATTTGATGTATACTCTAAGCTTGGGGAAAAAAAATGGTTAAAAAGTCCCCCAAGGGCAGCAGGAAATCGGGCTCTGGTCCCAGATGCATTTGTGATGAAAGGGATTAGACTCTGCAGCTCCTGTTAAAATCAACCACCGCGTCCATGGGTTGATCCAAGAATTCTGTGCAAAGTCTGTAAAACTCCGTCCTTGGTCTTGCTTGCTTTAATGACAGTCTTTCACATTTTTGTCCTAACATGTTTCTTCTCAGCCTGATTTTTTTAACAAACTGGCAACTTTGAAATGTAAAACAGTGAAATCTAGAATTTTCTCCCAGAGAAAACTTTTCCAGAGAGAACACACACACACACACACGCCCATCAATTGAGAACCATATGCTAAGAGCAACTATGTTTACTTTACAAAAGAATAATGTCTTGGCTGGGCACGGTGGTTCACGCCTGTAATCCCAGCACTTTGGGAGGCCGAGACAGGCAGATCACTTGAGCTCAGGAGTTTGAGACCAGCCTGCGCAACATGGTGAAACCCTGTCTCTACAAAAAAAATTAGCCGGACGTGGTAGCATGTGCCTGCAGTCCCAGCTACTCAGGAGGCTGAGATGGGAGGATCGCTTGAGCCTGGGAAGTGGAGGTTGTGGTGAGCCAAGATTGCGCCACGGCACTCCAGCCTGGGAGACAGAGTGAGATGCTGCCTCAATAACAATAATCACAACATCTTGAAATAACCGTTTCTGTCTCTTTCTTGCCACTGGAGACAGAAGAGTTAGCCAGGTTGCAGTTTTTTTTCCCGTTCCTCACTCCTGGAGACACCCAGGCCACTGGGTTCTGAGCTCCTTGTCTCCAGGGAGTTAAGATGAACATGCTAGAGTCAGCTTGCTTCAAGTCTCAGCTCTACCATTTGCTAACTTTGGGTAAATCATTCAAGCCTCAGTTTCCTCATCTGTAAAACAAGATTATCAATGTAACTACATCCTACATGGAGTAGGCAGCAGACTACAAGGGTCTCTCGAGACCAGCAGAGGCAACATAGTCTTGCTCTGTCACCCAGGCTGGAGTGCAGTGGTGCGATTATAGCTCACTGCAGCCTTGAACTTCTGGGGCTCCAGCGATCCTCCTGCCTTATCCTCCCAAGTAGCTGGGACTACGGGCACATGCTATCACGCCTCACTAACTTTTTAACTTTTTCATAGAGATGGGGTCTCGCTCTGTTACCCAGGCTGGTCTCAAACTCCTTGCCTCAAGCATTCCTCTTGCCTCTACCTCCCCAAGCAGTGGGATTACAGGCGTGAGCCACTGCACCTGGCTAATTTTTAAATTTGTAGCAGAGATGGGTGTCGCACGATGTTGCCCAGGCTGAGTCTATATTTTCATACGGTCATTATTCCCCATGTTAAACTTAGAGGCAAAGTCTTATTATTATGGTTGTAGTTGAGAAAACCTGGGCTCAGCAATATAATAAGGTTCATCTGAGGTCAGCCAGTTTATAGCACACCTGAGTTGGGACTGGACCCCACCCCCCCACCCCCCCACCGACCCCCCGCCCTCAACTCTTCTGTCGGGTATAAGGTGCTGCCTACATAATGCAAAATATCCACAGTAAATTACAGCGAGGTGAGGCTGGAGCTGTAGTCTGCATGACAAAGCAGTCTTTAACACACAAACACACTGCAGTAATCACTGTGTACAGTATTCCCCTGTGAGAGTTAGTTGGCTTTTAGGTTGAAAATAAGCTGAGTCTCTGAAACAAGAAACATGTCAGATTGCTTTGCCAAAAAGAGATTCACACAATTTTTTTTGAGACACTGTCTTGTTCTGTTGCCCAGGCTGAGTGCAGTGATGCAATCATGGCTCACTGCAGCCTCGACCTCCTGGGCTCAAGTGATCCTCCTGCCTCAGCCTCCTGAGTAGCTGGGACCACAGGCATGCACCACCGCACCTGGCTAATTTTTTATTTTTTGAAGAGATAGAGCCTCACTATGTTGTCCAGTCTGGTCTCGAATTCTTGGGCTCAAGCAATGCTCCCGTCTCAGCCTCCCAAAGTGCTGGGATTACTGGGATTACAGGCATGAGCCATAGCACCCGGCCTCAGACACGTAGGACGAAATCTCCAAACTGCTTCTCTATAAAGGACAGAGGGTGACTCAAGAACATGAGCTCGGCCAGGTGTGGTGGCTCATGCCTCTAATCTCAGCACTTTGGGAGGCCAAGGTGGGTGGGTCACTGGAGGTCAGGAGTTCGAGGCCAGTCTGGCTAACATGGTAAAACCCCATCTCTACTAAAAATACAAAGCCAGGCACGATGGCAGGTGCCTGTAATCCCAGCTACTCAGGAAGCTGAGGCAGGAGAATCACTTGAACCTGGGGGGCGGAGGTTGCAGTGAGCCGACATAGCGCCATTGCACTCCAGCCTGGGCGACAGAGTGAAACTCCATCTCAGAAAAAAAAAAAAAAACGTGAGTTCAAGGAACCTGACCCTCACGCTGTCTTATTTCCACCTTGGGCGTTTATTTCCTTGTTTATTTGTGTTTCTTTTCTCCTCCCCAGAAAGCTGACTTCATGAGACCGAGGATCTCGTTCGTTGATCGATGCTACATATTCAGCATGTTAGATAATGAGGTTGGTGAGATTGATGAAATCCCGCCCACCAGGGCCGACCCACAAAGAGCCACTTTATGAAGAACATGCTCCTGAACTCCACTCCACAACCAGCTTTTGAAAAGAAAAATCTGAAAAAATTTGACCTCAGTTAAACTGGTCCAAATGCCTGAGCATAACCAAAATCTTTCCTCATTCACTCTTCACGTGGACCGTGTTTAATTTGGTTGCTGGTGATCATATTTGTTTTAGTAAAGGCTGTCACTCTATCTTGGGCGAAGATTTGGGTTCTGTGGACTGATGTTATTTTATTTTGTTATTTCATTTTATTTATTTTAATTTTAATTTTATTTATGTTATTTTATTTTATGTTTTACTTGAGACAGGATCTCACTCTGTTACCCAGGCTGGAGTGCAGTGGTGTGATCACAGCTCACTGCAGCCTCAAACTCCTGGGATCAAGTGGTCCTCCTGCCTCAGCCTCCCGAGGAGCTGGAACCACAGATGCATGCCACCACGCCCAACTATTTTTTTTTTTTTTTATTTTTGGTAAAGACAGGGTCTTGCTATGTTGCCTCGGCTGGTCTCTAACTCCTAGGCTCAAGCCATCTTCCCACCTCAGACTCCCAAAATGCTAGGGTTGCAGGTGTGAGCCATTAGATGTCGTGATTTAAAACAAAAACCTCTTCTGTGTTTGACACGGGGCCTTTGCACTCGTGCTCTGGCCCTCTGCCGTGGTGCCGCAGTTCTCACTCTGGGATTTTTATTACCTCTGACGTGCCTTCCTGTGGTGACATCTATAGGCAGCTGCATAAATCATGCCCACAAAGAAGGACAAACCGAGGAGCCTGGAGAAGTCAGGGTTCCTCTGGAAATAAATATTCTGTATTCTGTTGCACGCACACATATGTGCCCTTTTCTTTTTTTGAGATGGAGTTTTGCTCTTGTTGTCCAGGCTGGAGTGCAATGGCATGATCTTGGCTCACTGTTATCTCCTCCTCCTGGGTTCAAGCAATTCTCCTGTGTCAGTCTCCTGAGTAGCTGGGATTACAGGCACCCGCCACCATGCCTGGCTAATTTTTTTTGCATTTTTAATAGAGATGGGGGTTTCACCATGTTGGCCAGGCTGGTCTCGAACTCCTGACCTCAAGTGATGCACCCACCTCGGCCTCCCAAAGTGCTGGGATTACAGCCACGATGCTTAGCCCATATTTTCTTATTATCAAAAATCCTAATACTTTATATAGCCTCTAACCCACAATTCCCCTTCCATGAACTTAAAATGTTTACAGAAATTGTGGAGATCTCCCCTTCTTATGGCCAAGATGGATAACCCTTCTTGCCTTAAATACCTACAACTGTACAAAACATAGGAAACAGCAGTTTCTTTTCGTTTTTGAGAAGGGTCTTGCTCTGTTGTATAGGCTGGAGTACAGTGGCAAAATCAGGGCTCATTGCAGCCTCAACTTCCCAGGCTCAAGCGATCCTCCCACCTCTGCCTCCTGAGTAGCTGGAACTACAGGTGTGAGCCAGCATGGCTGGCTAATTTTTATAATTTTTGTAGAGATGGGGTTTCACCGCATTGCCCAGGCTGGTCTTGAACTCCTGAGCTCAAGCCATCTGCTCACCTCAGCCTCCCAAAGTACCGGGATTACAGGTGTGAGCCACCAAAAGCTTTAATTCTTTTTTTTTTTTGAGATGGAGTCTTGCTCTGTCACCCAGGCTGGAGTACAGAGGCACTGTCTCGGCTCACTGCAACTTCTGCCTCCCCAGTTCAAGTGATTCTCCTGCTTCAGCCTCCCAAGTAGCTGGGATTACAGGTGCTCACCACCACGCCTGGCTCATTTTTGTATTTTTAGTACAGATGGGGTTTTGCCGTGTTGGCCAGGCTGGTCTCAAAGTCCTGACCTCAGGTGATCCGCCCACCTCGGCCTCCCAAAGTGCTGGGATAACAGGTATGAGCCACCACACCCGGCCCACTGCTCCCTTTTGACCAATAATTTGGGAATGTGATTTTAAAAAAGCTTTAATTCTTTATATAGCCTCTAACTCACCCTTCCAGGAACTTAAAATGTTTTATTTTTTTCTTGAGACAAGGTCTCACTGTGTCACCCAGACTGGAGTGCAGTGGTGCCAACATGGCTCACTGCAGCCTGGATCTCCTGGGCTCAGGCAGTCCTCCCACCTCAGCCTCCCGAGTAGCTGAGACTATAGGCGCACATTGTCATGCTCGGCTACTTTTAGTATTTTTATTTTCTTGGAGAGATTGGGGTCTTGCTGTGTTGCCCGAGCTGGGTTCGAACTCCTGGTCTCAAGCAGTCTTCCCCCTTCAGACTCCCAAAATGTTGTAAAAATTGTGGAGACTTCCCCAACTTATGGCCAAGATGGATTAACCCTCTTGCCTTAAATACCTAGAAAACCGTACAACACATACGCAAAGGCAGTTTTTAGACACCGGTCAATAGGTGGCACTAAAGACCATGATCTCCGTTAGGGGAGAAACCAATGAGGCAAAGTGTTTCCAGCTGCCGCGGGAGGAGGGCAGCCGGGCAGAGCCCAGTGTTCTCCCTGAGTGCAGGAGACAGAGCTGAAAGTGTGAGCAGGCCTGGCCAGGTGCGGTGGTTCACGCCTATAATCCTAGCACTTTGGGAGGCCGAGGTGGGTGGGTCACTTGAGGTCAGGAGTTCGAGACCAGCCTGGCCAACATGGTGAAACCCTGTCTCTACTAAAAATACAAAAAATTTAGCTGGGCGTGGTGGTGCATGCTTGTAATCCCAGCTAGTCAGGCGGCTGAAGCATGAGAATCACTTGAACCTGGGAGGTGGAGGTTGCAGTGAGCCGAGATCGCGCCACTGCCCTCCAGCCTGGGCCAGAAAGCGAGACTCTGTCTCTAAAAAAAAAAAAAAAAAAAGTTTGAGCAGGCCAAAGCAGCTGGAATTTGCAGGATGGAATCCTGCGGGAGAGATATGCAAAAAAACCCAAATTCTGCAGCTTTGCAAAGGAAACCTCTTGACTCTGAAGCTGAGTGGGATCACCTCACACATGGAGGAAATTACCCGAGCAAGACTAGGGGAAGGAATCACACAATAGAAACAGGCAGAATAATTCCAAAGTCCACAAAAAGCTGGGAACCGTTCGTGTTTCCAGCAGGCAAAGTGAAAAACCTCATAATACCTGGGGCATTGAATCAAGTGTTCAGAGGGGCGTTGCCTTCGTGGTGCGGCAGAATTGGCCCTAGACTAAGGGTTGGTCTAGTTCTGCAAGTCTCAAAAGGACCACGCATCTGGGTGCGGAGGTTCACGCCTGTGATCCCAGTACTTTGGGAGGCCGAGGCGGGTGGATCACCTGAGGTCAGGAGTTCAAGACCAGCCTGGCCAACATGGTGAAATCCCCGTCTCTACTAAAAATACAAAAATTAGCTGGGCGCGGTTGTGCGCACCTGTAGTCCCAGCTACTAGGGAGGCTGAGGTGGGTGGATCGCTTGAACCCAAGGGGCAGAGGTTGCAGTGAGTTGAGATTGTGTCACTGCACTCCAACCTGGGTGACAAACCGAGTCTCACTCTCAAAAAAAAAAAAAAAAAAAAAGATTACGCTATTTCCAAGTCACTTAACCATGTCCCAGAATAAGCTCAAGAATATATTTTTTAAACAAGAATATTCAGCACCCAACCAGGTAAAATTCACAATATCTGGTGCCCAGTAAAAAATCACCAGGCATGGCAGGAAGTGTTGGCTCACACTTATAATCCCAGCACTTTGGGAGGGTGAGGCAGGAGGATTGCTTGAGGCCAGGAGTTCAAGATCCAGACTGGGCAACATAGCGAGATCTCATCTCTACAAAAGTAAAACTAAAAAATTAGCCAGGTGTGGTGGTGCACACCTGTAAGCCCAGTCAGTTGAGAGGCTGAGGTGGGAGGATTGCTGAAGCCCAGGAGGTTGAGGCTGCAGTGAGGTATGGTGGTGCCGCTGCCCTCCAGCCTGGGTGACACAGCAAGATCCTGTCTCTGAAAAAAAATAATCATCAGGTATGCCAAGAAGCAAGGATTATATCCCAGGAAGAGGAGAAAAATCAATGAAATGAAATGACAAAGATAGAACTAATAAAGAGATTAAAACACTTACTACAACTATTTGGTATGTTCAAGAAGGTAAATGAAAATATGAGCATGTTATGGGTAAGTATGATGGCTCACACCTGTAATCCCAGCACTTTGGGAGGCTGAGGCGGGCGAATCATGAGGTCAGGAGTTTGAGACCAGCCTGACCAACAAGGTGAAACCCCGTTTCTACTAAAAATACTAAAATTAGCTGGGCGTGGTGTTGCACGCCTGTAATCCCAGCTACTCAGGAGGCTGAGGCAGGAGAATCTCTTGAACCCGGAGGGCGGAGGTTGCAGTGAGCCAATATTGCGCCATTGCACTCCAGCCTGGGCAACAAGAGGGAAACTCCATCTCAAAAGAAAAAAAGAAAGAGAAAAGAAAACTCGCTGGGCGTGGTGGCTCACACTTGTAATCTCAGCACTTCCGGAGTCTGAGGCAGGTGGATCACTTGAGGTGAGCAAGGTGTCAGAGCCCCAGCACCAGGAAGTGGTTGATTGGAGGGTTGGTAAAAAGAATTTGCTGACATCAGGCTGGGCATGGCGGCTCACATCTGTAATCCCAGCACTTGGAGAGGCCAAGGTGGGTGGATCACTTGAGGTCAGCAGTTCAAGACCAGCCTGGCCAACGATGGCCAGGAGAAATGTAGCGATGGTGTAACCCCATCACTGCTAAAAATACAAAAATTAGCTGGGCATGGTGGTATGGGCCTGTGATCCCACCTACTCGGGTGGCTGAGGCACGAGAATTGCTTGCACCCAGGAGGTGGAGGTTGCAGTGAGCCAAGATGGCACCACCGCACTCCAGCCTGGGGCACAGAGCAAGACTCTCTGTCCCTCAAAAAATAAATCAAATAAAAAGAAGAAAACTGATGTTCTGAGAGATTAAGTGAATTTCCCAAGGGCAGACAGCTAGAAAAGCCCAAGATAGGATGGGATCTCCTGTCTCCTGAGCTTCTTTCTATCCATTCAAGGTCATATCTAGATAAGAACATGAGGGTTTTTTTTTAATTATTATTTTTTAGAGACAGGTTCTCGCTCTGTCACCCAGGCTGGAGTGCAGCGGTACAACTATCTCACTGCAGTCATGAATTCCTGGGCTCAAGCAATCCTCCCACCTCGGCCTCCCAAGTAGCTGCAACTGCAGGCACGCGCTACCATGCCTCGCTAACTTTTTACATTTTTGTAGACATGGGGTCTCGCTCTGCTGCTCAGGCTGGTCTCAAACTCCTGGCCGGCAGCAATCCTCCTGCCTCGGCCTCCCAAAGTGCTGGGATTCCAATTGTGAGCCACTGCACCTGGCCAACATGAGAGTTCTTGGGGCTTTGGAACAATTCTCTGAATTCAACTCTGACATCTGTCCCGGGTCATTGAAGCTTTTGGGCGACAACATCTCTTCCTTGATGGTTTTCTTTTTGTTGTTTTTTATTTGTTTTGTTTTTTTTGTTTTGTTTTGTGTCTTTGAGACAGTTTCGTTCTTGTTGTCCAGGCTGGAGTGCAATGGCGTGATCTCAGCTCACTGCAACCTCCGCCTCCCGGGTTCAAGCGATTCTCCTGCCTCAGCCTCGTGAGTAGCTGGGATTACAGGCGCCCGCCTATAATTTTTGTATTTTTACTAGAGACAGGGTTTTACCATGTTGGCCAGGCTGGTCTTGAACTCCTGATCTTAGGTGATCCACCTGCCTTGGCCTCTCAAAGTGCTGGGATTAGAGGTGTGAGCCACCGCGCCCAGCCAGTGTTTTTTTATTGGATGGTTTTTCCTGGGTTCTGAATCTCATGGGGATGTCTGCCCAATACAAGGAGACCCCCCCCACAAAGAGAACCCACATCATGGACAAGTGAAGACAGATAAAAATATGGGACCCTGGAGCGAGAGATGCCAGCTCTCTCATTATGTGGGGTTTAGTTGCAATTTCTCCTTAATTAACTCACTTAAGTCTTCATTAAATGTTGCCTCCAGCTCATCCGTAAGTTGAGACGGAGCCGCTCACATTTCTTGTTCATGAAAAAATCAGCGTCCTATACCATTTTGTTTCTTTTCTGCTATAGCATTTCACACATGCCTAAGCAGTTTGGGGCTCTCCGTATGTGTGTGTGTGTATATATATATGCATATATATATATATATCATTAGGTATATATACGTGTATATATACGTATATATATATTACGTATATATGCGTGTATATATACGTGTATGTATATTATTACGTATATATACGTGTATATATACGTGTATATATATATTACGTATATATACGTGTATATATACGTGTGTATATATATTACGTATATATACGTGTATATATACGTGTGTATATATATTACGTATATATACGTGTATATATACGTGTGTATATATATTACGTATATATACGTGTATATATACGTGTGTATATATATTACGTATATATACGTGTATATATACGTGTGTATATATTATTACGTATATATACGTGTATATATACGTGTATATATTCACGTATATATACACATATATACGTATATATATATTCGTATATATACGTGTATATATACATATATATACACACATACACACATACATATATATACACACACACATATATACACATACATATACATATACATATATATATTTATTTATTTATTGTTGTTCCTGCTGAAAAAGTGAAACATTGATTTAGTGACCACAGAGTTGGCCAGAGAGCAAAAACAGCAAGAACAGGTTTTGGGTGAAAACTGCTGGAGAACTTCTTGGCAAGAAGTCCTCAAATGGGGTAGCCTGGAGGTGGCTCGCTAATGCTGACACCAAATGTGTGTGCCACAGGTGGTGGTGGTTATAGTTGTTGCTGGTTTTTAGCAGGATGGGAGGGAGATGTGCTTTAAGAATCCCAGTTCTGGCCGAGTGCAGTGCGGTGGCTCACGCCTGTAATCCCAGCACTTTGAGAGGCTGAAGTAGGCAGATCACCTGAGGTCAGGAGTTCGAGACCAGCCTGGCCAACACGGTGAAACCCCATCTCTACTAAAAATACAAAATTAGCCGGGCTTGGTGCTGCGTGCCTGTAATCCCAGCTACTTGGGAGGCTGAGGCAAGAAAATGGCTTGAACCCAGGAGGCGGAGGTTGAAGTGAGCTGAGATCGCACCATTGCACTCCAGCCTGGGCAACAAGAACGAAATTCTGTCTTAAAAAAAAAAAAAGAATCCCAGTTCTTGGGGAGGAAGTTGGAATAGAACCAGTTGGGTCATGTGATAGACACTTCCACTGTGTTTTCCAAAGGAAATTTACATTCAGGAAGGAAAACATGTTGAAGAGCGGAAGGAGAGCCAAGAGAGTTGCTCAGTACTTGGGTAATGCATTTCTTATTCAGAGGAAAGTGAGTTTAGCAGGGAAGGAGGGTTCCAGTTCCTCTCTCACCAGTGCTTGGCATGGGTCAGCCCTCCTCATTTTGGACATTTTCATTAATGTGTATTGGCATCTCATTGTGGTTTTATTTATTTATTTATTTATAATTTGTTGTTGTTGTTAGAGACAGGGTCTCACTATGTTGCCCAGGCTGGTCTCAAACCCCTGGGCTCAAGTGATCCTACCGCCTCGGCCTCCCAAAGCATTGAAATTGCAAGCATCAGCCACCACACTCGGCCTACTTTTTAATTTAAAAAAATTTTTTTAGAGACAGGGTCTTGCTATGTTACCCAGGCTAGAGTACAGTGGCTGTTCACAGGCACGAACATTGCACACTACAGCCTCAAACTCCTGAGCTCAAGTGATCCTCCTGCGTCAGCCTCCTGAGTGGGTGGAACTGCAGGCGTGTGCCCCTGGGCCCTCACAGTGGCTTTAATCTGCATTCTCTAATGATGAATAACGTTAAGCATCTTTTCATGTGCTCGTTTGCCATCCATACTGAAAGTTCGTTTTAAAGACAGGATCCATACACCAGCATGTTTGTATTGTGAAAGAAGGTAAATTCTCAGGACCCCAAACTCACTATGCCAAAGAGAAAGTCAAGCTTGGAAACTGAGTCATGCAATACTGCCTTCCCTTTTGTTCCCAAATGGAGAGCTGTATTTTCATAACCCCATGTTCTAGCCTCATGCATAAGCCAGGTGCCCACCAAGACAGAACGTTACGTATCTTCCCAGATGGCTCCCTCACAAGTTGCTCACAAAGTGAGCCCCTAATTCTTTCAGGATACATCTCCCCCTATAAACTAGCCCTAAAAGCAAGTTCTGTTAAATCTCACACTGACAATGTCGATTACCAGCTTATTTTCACATGGATAGGACAAGGACAAGATCGTAAATCATCCTTCCACCTACCCTGAGATAAATGCAGCATGGCCCTATTCCCCTACTCCCTCTTTTCATGTTTACTTTATGTTATGTAAAATGCAGATTTACTGAGCTCAAGATGAATGCAGCATAAACTCTTTACTCCCTCTTTTCACGTTTATCTTATGTAAAATGTGGATTCACTGGGCTTAGGATGAATGCATCACAGACTCTACTCCTTTTCAAGTTTACTTTATCTTGCGTAAAATGTAGATCTACTGAGCTCAAGATGAATGCATCATGGACTCCTCTACTCTTTTCACATGTTTATCCTATGTAAAATGTGGATTTACTGAGCTCAAGATGAATGCATCATGGACTCTTTACTCCCTCTTTTCATGTTTATCTTATGTAAAATGTAGATTTACTGGGCTTGAGATGAATGCAACATGGACTCCTCTACTCCCTCTTTTCATACGTTTATCTTATGTAAAATGTAGATTTACTGAGCTCAAGATGAATGCATCATGGACTCTTTACTCCTTTTTTCACATATTTACTTTACCTTATGTAAAATGTAGATTTCCTGAGCTGGAGAGGAATGCCTCATTGACATGTAAAATGTAGATTTATTGATCGCTAATCAGAGCCTTGGGAGAATGGGACCATTTGCCTCTCTGCCTACCCTCCCTTCCTTTATCCCTCCTGCTTGCTCTTTCCCCTTTAAATAGTGAAGTTCCCAAACCCTCTTTGGAAACTCACAGGTCACAGATGCTCCTGTGGCTGATGTTCCTCCCGGGCGTGTCCTCAAACTGCTGCATCAACCTCAGTCAATGGGGACTCATGACTCATTCCCTTTTTCGGTTAATATTATGTTAATGGGAAAGATCTATTAGGGAGAGAGAAATTGATGGCACAGGAGAGGGAAGAGGGAGTACGTGGAGTGACGTGCTTGAGAGGGTGGCAGGAATGGAATCCAGTTTAGATGGCTGAGGGGCTGGCTTTAGATAGGATGTGGATGGTTCATTTTTTTTTTTTTTTTCTCAAGATGGAGTCTTGCTCTGTCACCCAGGCTGGAGTGCAATGACATGATCTCAGCTCACTGCAACCTCCACCTCCTGGGTTCAAGCGATTCTCCTGCATCAGCCTTCCAGGTAGCTGGGATTACAGGTGCGCACCACCACGCCCAGCTAATTTTTTGTATTTTTAGTAGAGATGGGGTTTCACCATGTTGGCCATGCTGGTCTCAAACTCCTGACCTCATGATCTGCCTGACTCGGCGTCGCAAAGTGCTGGAATTACAGGCGTGAGCCACTGTACCCGGCCTGATGGTTCATGTTATAGCTAAGGCAGGAAGGCAGAGTGAGTGGATGCAGAGGCTGGGAGAGGGCCGATGTTGTCTAGGGAACCTGGGGACACTCTCCTCTGGTCGTTAGTATTTTCTCAGTTAAGGAGAAGGCAAGGTCATCTGCTGAGGATGAAGACATGTTGGGGTTTGAGAAGGAGATCAGGAATGCAAGAATGATCTGGGGAACAAGGGGGGCAAAGAGGGGGCCAGGTGCTGTGGCTCACACCTGAAATCCCGGCACTTTAGGAGGCTGAGGCAGGAGGGTCGCTTGAGCCCATGAGTGCAAGACCAGCCTGGGCAACATGATGAGATCCCGTCTCTACAAAAAATAAAGCATTAGCCAGGCATGGTGGTGCATGCCTGTGGTCCCAGCTCCTGGTTGGGGGGGATGCTATGGTAGGGGAAATCACTTGAGCCCAGGAGGTTGAGGCTGCGGTGAGCTGTGATCGCACCACTGCACTCCAGCCTGGGTGACAGGGGGAGACCTTGTCTCAAAAAAAAAAAAAAAGGAAGAATGACCTTCACGGTGTTCTAAAAAGCAGTGGCTTCCAGTTCAGAAGGGGTTTGCTGCCCTCTGTCTAATGAGTTGGGGTTCTCTTTTCTCCTCCACGTTCTAGGGTTTTGATGCCTCTTAGCGTCACCATCTCTCATTTGGGGAGCAATTATGAATCGTTAGTAAAAGCTCAACTTTTTTAAGATGCAAAACCAGCAAGAAAATTCAGCATGTCCTGGTTTTCTAGACGGCATCCTCAAAGACCACACCCAGGCACTTAATAATTAAGCCTTTTGGGCAAAGTTCTCATTAGAATAAATCAAATAGGCCGGGCACCGTGGCTCACACCTGTAATCCCAGCACTTTGGGAGGCCAAGCCAGGCGGATCACCTGAGGTTGGGAGTTTGAGACCAGCAACCCCATCTCTACTAAAAATACAAAATTAGCCGGGCGTGGTGGTGCGTGCCTGCAATCCCAGCTACTTGAGAAACTGAGGCAGGAGAATTGCTTGAACCCGGGAGGCGGAGGTTGCAGTGAGCCGACATCGCACCATTACACTCCAGCCTGGGCAACAAGAGTGAAACTCCCTCTCAAAAAAAAAAAGAACTAGGGAAATAGAGTGTGATTTCCTGGCAGGAATTTTGACTGGCATGAGACATTTGACTTGAAAGACCTGTGGAAGACAGCGGGCAGCAGCTGTAGTTTGATACCATCGGATATGACCTGGGATTCCCATTAACCAAATTTGTTGTCATCATGACCCAGTCACCCGATCCAGTCACCCTGAGCCCCACTGCAACTGCTTCAGGTGTTTCCTGGCCAGCGTCGGGGCCGACGAGTAGTGTGATTTGCAAATGCCTGCATTATTCATGTTTTTGATCTATTCTAATGAGAACTTTGCCCAAAAGGCTAAATTATTAAGCGCCTGGGTGTGGTCTTTGAGGATGCCGTCTAGAAAACCAGGACATGCTGAATTTTCTTCCTGGTTTTGCTTCTTAAAAAAGTTGAGCTTTTACTAACGATTCATAATTGCTCCCCAAATGAGAGATGGTGACGCTAAGAGGCATCAAAACCCTAGAAAGTGGAGGAGAAAGAGAACCCCAACTCATTAGACAGAGGGCAGCAAACCGCTTCTGAACTGGAAGCCACTGCTTTTTAGAACACCGTGAAGGTCATTTATGGTGGCCATCCCATTCCCATAGCTTGTCAGCCAAGGTGTTTTTTTATTAGGCTGGTGCAAAAGTTATAATTGCAAAATTATATTACAGTTGCAATAATGCAAAAACCACAATAACTTTTGCACCAACCTAATTAATGAACATGAATCACCTCTAGCGATGGGAGAACACTAAATTCAGGAAATGAAACATGCTCAGCTGCGACCTGGAAGTCCCAGAGAACTGTCCTGGGCTTGGGCAACACATACCCTGTGCATTTAGAGACAGTGAGTTTAACTGTGCATTTAATACATAGGTAACAACAATACTGAAATCTTTTGTTCTTTTATTCATTTTCGGAAAAGAAAATGCATATACACATCTAGATGTAGGTCAAATATGCCGCACTCTTGATAATAACAGAGTTGTCTTCATTTGGATAAAGATTTTAATCACTTCAGTCCCATAATTTCAGGGCAGTTTAAGGGCTATTCATGAATAGCATAGGTATTTGTACAAAAGTCCAGTATTTTTCTGCTGGGTGCACTGGCTCGTGCCTGCAATCCTAGTGTCTGGGGAGGCTGAAGGAGGAGGATTACTTGAGGCTAGGAGCTGAACACCAGCCTGGGCAACATAGCAAAACCCCAGTCTCTACAAAAAAAAAAAATTTAATTAGCTGGTTCTGGTGGTGTGTGCCTGTAGTCCCAGGTACTTTAGAGGTTGAGGTGAGAAGGAGCCATTGAGCCCAGGAGTTCAAGGTGACACTGAGCTATGAGTGTGCCACTGCACTCCAGCCTGGGCAACAGAGTGAGATGAAGGACAGAAGGAAGGAGTGGGGGGGAGAGGGAGGGAGGAAAGGAGGAAGGGAGGGAGGAAAGGAGGAAGAGAGGAAGGAAAGAAGGAAGGGGGGGAGAGAAGGAGGGAGGGGGAAGACAAGGAGGGAAGAAGGAAGGGAGGGAGGGAGGGAAGAAGAAAGAAAAGGAAGTTAGGAAAGGAGGGAGGGAGGGAAGGAAGGATGTTGAATTTCCTGCCTCCTTGATAGGATGGGAGGGATTGGAGTGAAAATTTCGTTGACTTATTATATTAAAAAACCAAATGTGTTGTTTGATTTTCTGACATCTGACCTGTGTACTGAGAATTTAAACTCACTCAACTCCCAGTAATAACTGCTAAAACCATTTGGGTGAATTTCTCTGTAGTCTTTTACTGATATGTGGTGGATACATATTGTGTCAATTTAGCAAAACTGGGACTGCATTTCCTAAATTTCCCCTCCCTGTCTAGTTCCAGTTTATTGTGAGCAAGAAGACATATCTGTGGAGGGTGGAGGTTGGCACTGGTTACCATGTAACCCGCTCCCACAATTGTGTAAGGTCCAGTCCCTATAACCGCCGTCCTGTGTCTATAAATATATATTTTCCAATTTACAAAATACATTTAACGTAGTGCCTGTTTCACTTTACAATATGTGGTGGATATTTTTCCATATCATTAAGTAGACTTGTAGACTATCCTTTTATTTTTTATGGCCCATCAATTAACAAATCCCTGCACATTGGACGTTGAGGTGATTTCCAATTGCTAAGAGAAGCAAAATCTTTGTGTCCATCCACAATAGTTTGTTTGTTCATTTTCCTTGCAGTTCTTTAAAAAAAATTCCTCCTTGCCTTCTGGCCTGCATTGTTTCTGATCAGAAGTCTGATGTCACTCGGTGCAGTGGCGTGCACCTGTAATCCCACCTACTCAGGAGGATCGCTTGGGCCCAGGAGTTCAAGACAAGCCTGGGCAACATAGCAAGACCCCATCTCAAAAAAAAAGAAGAGAAGTCTGATGTCAATCTTTTCTTTGTTCCTCTGAACATATTGTGTCTCTTTTTTCTGGCTGCCTTTATGACCTTCATCTTCTCTTTATCACTGGTTTTAAACAATTTTATAATAATGCGCCCTTTATACGTGTTGGCTCTTCCTCCTCCTCCTTTTTCCTCCTCTTATTTTTTCTGGAGGTTCATTGAGCTTCTTGAGCCTGCTTTCATCCAATGTGGAAAATTTTCTGCCATTATTTCTTCAAATATTTTTCTGGTCCCTCCTCTTTCTCCTTTTCTCTGAGACTCCAATTACATGTATATTAGGCCACTTGAAGTTGTCCAGTAGCTCACTGATGTCTGGTTTTATTTCTTCCAGAATTGTTTCTCTCTGTGTTTCAGCTTGTATCTTTTCTATTGTGATGTGGGGGTGTTTGGGAGGGGACTGGTTCTGTTTTGGGGGGTTGTTTTTTCTAAGATGGGGTCTTGCTATGTTGCCCAGGCTGGAGTGCAGTGGCACAATCTTGGTTCACTGCAGCCTTGACCTCCTGGGCCCAGGTGATCCTCCCCGGTAGCTGGGACCACCACACCTGGCTACTTTTTAAAATTTTTTTGTAGAGATGGGGTTCCACCATGTTGTCCAGGCTGGTCTCAAACTCCTGAGCTCTAGTGATCCACCCACCTCAGCCTCCCCAAGTTCTGGGATTACAGGAGTGAGCCACCGCACCCGGCATCTTTTCCATTGCTATGTTTTCAAACTCATTACTCTTTTTTTCTTCGGTGTCTAATTTGCTAATCCCATCCAGTGTATTTTTCTTCTCTAGCTTCACTGTGTTTTGTTGTCGCTATTGTTTTGTTTTGTTTTTTTGGAGACAGGGCCTACCAAGGCTGGAATGCAGTGGCAAGATCACAGCTCACTACAACCTCAACCACCTGGGCTCAAGCGATTCTCCTGCCTCAACCTCCTGAGTAGCTGGAGTCACAGGCATGCACCACCACACCCAGGAGAACTTTTTAATTTTTGTAGAGATGGGGGTCTCACTATGTTGCTCAGGCTGGTCTTGAACTCCTGGCCTCAAATGGTCTCCCACATTGGCCTCCCAAAGTGCTGGGATTACAGGTGTGAGCCACCGCGCCCGGCCACTCCCATCTTTATTTCAGCCTTTTCTTCCCCCAACAATGCTCTAGTGAGCTCACGAAGACACAGCCAGCCAAAGGTCTAAAGGGATTTTGCCATCAGTTTCACTGAGTAATTTAGAGCAAGTGTCTAAGAGTGAGGGGGAAAAAAGACATAGCCAGTAGTCTCTCAGATAATTTTAAGGAATTGTCCTCTCCTGCAGCATTTCAATAAGAAATGATGTAGCTTCTGTCTTCCTTTGAGGGTCAGTTAGAAGGCACTGGGAACGTGAAGTCTGACACCCATAACAGCTCTGGGCTACCCAGAAAGTCAGACCAGTACTCATGCTACTGAGTCCAGGCCGAGCACGGTGGCTGATGCCTATAATCCCAGCACTTTGGGAGGCCAAGTCAGGTGGATCACCTGAGGTCAGGAGTTCGAAACCAGCCTGGCTAACATGGTGAAACCCTGTGTCTACTAAAAATACAAAACTTAGCCAGGCATAGTGGTGTCCGCCTGTAATCCCAGCTACTTGGGAGGCTGAGATGGGAGAATTGCTTGTACCCGGGAGGCAGAGGTTGCAGTGAGCTGAGATCGCGCCATTGTACTCCAGCCTGGGCAACAGAGTGAGACTCTGTCTCAAAAACAAACAAAACAAAACAAAACAAAAAGGACTGAGTCCAAAGTTCCACATAGCTAGGCTGACTTCATACCATTGGTATTCTGAATACAGTACTGACAGAAAGCTTCAGGAATAAAAGAGAGAAGAGAGGAACTCAGGAAGCATGAGTGTTCCCCACGAGGGGGTGCCAGGCCCTCCTAGACACACCTGTGAACATACCCCTTCCCCAAGGCCATTGGCAGCTGGAGTCTTAAAATATTTCCTGCAGCTCTGGCTGGGCACGGTGGCTCATGGCTGTAATCCCAGCACTTTGGGAGGCCGAGGCAGGTGGATCACTTGAGGTCAGGAGGTCGAGACCAGCCTGACCAACATGGTGAAACCCTGTCTCTACTGAAAATACAAAAATTATCCAGGCATGGTGGTGTGTGCCTGTAGTCCCCGCTACTCAGGAGGGTGAGACAGAAGAATCACTTGAACCCAGGAGGTGGAGGTTGCAGTGAGCCGAGATGGCACCACTGCACTCCAGCCATGGCAACAGAGATTCCATCTAAAAAAGAAAATTTAAAAATTTAAAAAATATATTTCCTGCAGCACTGTATCCTCCCCTATGATCTCATTCCCACCTGCACCCTTCTCCAGTCCCCTCCTACCTGCTCCCACCTGCGTTACCCCAGAACAGCTTCTTCTGCACTACCCAGCAACAACTCACCGCCCTGCCCATAATCCGCACGTGCTTGCCCTGGCAGCCTCATCCTAACCTCTCGGAAGCACTCAACTTGCCGGGTCCATCCTTCCTTCTTGAAGCATTCATACCCTTGCTCCCGCCCCTGACATTGGCTGACCCAGGACAAGAGCACAGAGGCCCACGCGCCACGTGTGTGAATTGCAAGTGAAACTGACAAGCGGTTAAATACAGTATGTTTGCGCCATCCTCCAGCCTTGACAAGAGTATTCTCATAGCAACAAAACCATAGCTGTGACATCTTTGCTTTGTTTTCTTCGTTATTATATATTTTGGGCAGAGGAGTAGGCTGACATTTGCAGAATCATTTTTTATTTTATTTTATTTTATTATTTTATAATAAATAATAAAAGCTCTGTCACCCAGGCTGGAGTGCAGTGGTATGATCATGGCTCACTGCAGCCTTGATCTCCCAGGCTGAAGCCATCCATCCTCCCACCTCAGGCTCCTGAATAGCTGGGACCACAGGCTCGTACCACCCCGCCTGGCTAATTTTTAAATTTTTTTGTAGCGATAGAGTCCCACTATGTTGCCCAATCTGGTCTCAAACCCCTGGGCTCAAGCCATCCTCCCTGCCTCAGCCTCCCAAAGTGCCAGGATTACAGGCGTGAGCCACTGCCCTCAGCCTTTGCAGAATTCTTTATGCATTCTCATAGCATCCTGTCCATTGGCTGGGGCCAGAACAAGTCCTTATTCATAATTTCTTCTCACTGGGGTTCTGTGCTCTGTGTCTTACAAAATAAGCCATTACTCCAGGCCGTGTAGGAAAAGCAGGGAACCAGAGATTTCAGCACACATCTGAAGGCTGGTACATTCTGGCCATCTAATCTCTGAAATGTAGTTTATCTTCATCTGTAAAATAGGAGCATCAATAGCTGCCTTAATGTTCTGAGCAGTGAGGTATCTTGTGGAAAATGTTTGCTGCTTTGCTGAGTACAGAAGTGCTTGACATGTCAGCACAGAGGTTTAACACATGTTAGCATAAGTATGCAGTCTTGGCCAATGTTTAATCTGGGCACCCCATGGCCCACTCAAATTGACATACAAAATTAACTGTCACAACTACCACATGAAATTCTTGTAAATATCACGCTAATTGATGAGTATCTTTTTTTTTTTAGACTGAGTTTCGCTCTTGTTGCCCAGGCTGGAGTGCAATGGCATGATCTCAGCTCACCGCAACCTCCACCTTCCGGGTTCAAGTGATTCTCCCGCCTCAGCCTCCTCGCCAGTAGCTGGGATAACAGTCATGGTGATCCACAAATTAAAATGCCCAGAAAGCCAGGCGCAGTGGCTCACACCTGTAATCCCAGCAGTTTGGGAGGCCAAAGCGGGAGGATGGCTTGAGCCCAGGCATTTGAGACCAGCCTGGGCAACATAGTGAGAGCCCCCCCCCCGTCTCTACAAAAAATAAAATAAATTAGCTGGGTATGGCGGCGTGTGCCCATAGTCACAGCTACTTGGGAGGCTGAGGTGGGAGGATCACTTGAGCCCAGGAGGCAGAGGCTGCAGTGAGCCATGATTGAACCACAGCACTCAAGCCTGGGTGACAGAGTGAGTCCTTGTCTCAAAAAAAAAAAAAAAAATTAAAGAGGTAGGGGTCTCACTCTGTTGCCTAGGCTGGTCTTAAACTCCTGGCTTCAAGGCAAACCTCCCAAAGTGCTGAGATTATAGGCTTGAGCCATCTCACCCTGCCTGACCTGGGATATCTCTCCCTTTTTCATCACGGGGATAATAATATTTCAGAGTTGTTGCCATGGTTAAATGACACGACATCATATTCGTGAACTGGGCAATGTTGCACACACCTGTTGTGAGCAGGGCAGGCTTCATGGGTGTGAGACCTGTAGTCTTCAGGGTCCTGCACTTAGAAAGCCTGCACACTTGATTGCATCCACTGAGGCCCCCATAGTGAAATTCTTTGAACAAGAGGACTTGGATTTCCTTTTTTCTTTCTTTTTTTTTTTAGGGGTGGGGTCTTACTATGTTGCCCAGGCTGGAGTGCAGTGGCTATTCACAAGCATAATCCCACTACTGATCAGCACAGGAGTTTTGACTTGCTCCGTTGCCAGCCTGGGCTGGTTCACCCTCCTTAGGCAACCTGATGGTTCCCTGCACCCAGGAGGTCACCATATTGATGCCAAACTTAGTGGAGACACCCAATCGGCAGAGCGCCCTGCTGCCCAGAGCTCCCGGGTTCAAGCAATCCTCCTGCCTCGGCCTCCCGAGTAGCTGGAACTACAGACACCAGCCACTGCGCCCGGCAGGACTTGCATTTTCACTGCGTACCGGAGCCCACAGATTACGGCGCCAGCGGTAATTAGGGGACTTGTGCCATTTCCACACCTATCGTAGGTCACAAGGGATGCATTTTGCCCTGGCCCGTGGGTAATCAAAGCTGTAAACCCAGGAGAGGTCAGCTCTTATAGACGGGGTCTGTGTGTTCCTGGGGATCCCCCATCCTTGTTATTCATTCATTTCATCGGGAAACACACAAGCTGTCCTTTTCACGCAGCCCTAAGACACTTCACGGTCTTCATTTGTAAACAGCAGTCACTTCGTCTCACGAAGGAGCTTGTCCCAAACCCCTGTGTGTAAACTTATTTAACCAATTATTGCTCAGTCTGTGAGTGGGAAAGGAAATCCACTTGTAGAGAAGTATCTCATTTATAAATAAACATTCTTGTAACTCTGGATCCCACCCCATCCCCCACGTCACCACACAGAGACAGCTGGATGCAGAAACTCAGATTCAGAGAGCCAGTTCATTCAATGCACAAATGTGTTCATTGAATAGTTACCCGGTGACAAGGAATGTGCCAATGAAAGACCGAAGATAAAAATGGATGATGGGGCAAGATGTGCTTTGTTACACAGATGCTAGAAGGCAGCATGCGCGTTAAGAGTCATCACCACTCCCTAATCTCAAGTACCCAGGGACACAAACACTGCCGAAGGCCGCAGGGTCCTCTGCCTAGGAAAACCAGAGACCTTTGTTCACGTGTTTATCTGCTGACCTTCTCTCCACTATTATCCTATGACCCTGCCACATCCCCCTCTCCGAGAAACACCCAAGAATGATCAATAAATACTGAAAATAATAATAATTAAAATGTGAAAAAAAATGGATGATGGGGCTGGGCACGGTGGCTCACACCTGTAATGCCAGCACTTTGGGAGGCCAAGAAGGGAGGATGGCTTGAGCCCAGGAGGTCAAGGCTGCAGTGAACCACAATCGCATCATTGCACTCCAGCTTGCATGACAGAGCCAGACCCTGAATCTACAAAAACTAAATTAAAAAATTAAGGCCAGGCACAGTGGCTCATACCTGTAATCCCAGCATTTTGGGAGGCCGAGGCAGGTGGATTACTTGAGGTCAGGAGTTCAAGACCAGCTTGACCAACATGGTAAAACCCTGTCTCTACTAAAACTACAAAAAATTCGCAGGGTATGGTGGCGCACACCTGTAAATCCAAGCTACTTGGGAGGATGAGGCAGGAGAATCGCTTGAATCTGGGAGGTAGAGGTCGCAGTGAGCCTAGATCTTGCCATTGCACTCCAGACTGGGCAACAAGAGCAAAACTCCATCTCAAAAAAAATTTTTTTTTAATTTAATTTAATTTAAAAATTAGCCTGGGGTGGTGGTACATGCCTGTAGTCCCACCTACTCAGGAGATTGAGGCAGGAGGACTGCTCAAGCCCAGGAGCCTGGATAATTATTTAGTTATTTTCATTTTTTGTAGAGATGGGTTCTTGCCATGTGACCCAGGCTGGTCTCAAACTTCTGGGCTCAAGCAATGCTCCTGCCTCAGCCTCCCAGAATGTTGGGATTACAGGCATGAGCCACCGAGTCCAGCCATCCTTGGGTTTTTTCAAAACCCACCTGGCTAGGTTGGAGGTGACCCCGAGTGGAGAAAGGTTAGGAGGCCACCACAGTTGTTTCCATTCCCAAAAGAGATGCTGGTGGCTTGGGCTAGGGTAGTGACGGTGGCCCATGAAGAGAAGATGAAGTTGAGAGATGTTTAGGAAGTGATGTCTGTTGAGAGAACATGAAAGTGGGTCCACGGTGCTCTCAACTAGCCCATCATGCATGATGGAAGGAGGATCTCCCATACATTCAAGAGTTTTGTCTCCACAAGGGCAGCCAGGCTGGGCGCGGTGGCTCACACCTGTAATCACAGCACTTTGGGAGGCTGAGGGGGGCGGACTACTTGAGGTCAGGAGTTGGAGACCAGCCTGGCCAACATGGTGAAACCCCATCTCTACTAAAAATAAAAAAAAAAAAAAATTAGCCAGTCATGGTGGTGGGCACCTGTAATCCCAGCTACTCGGGAGGCTGAGGCAGAAGAATCTCGTGAACCTCGGAGGTGGAGGTTGCAGTGAGCCGAGATCGCACCACTACATTCCAGCCTGGGTGACAGAGCGAGACTCTGTCTCAAAAAAAAAAAAAAAAAAAAAAAAAAAAAAGATCTATTTCCACATCTTCCTCCTATTCTTTCCTGGGAGCAATTAGGAATTGGTGGCCAAAATAATGAAGACTACTGAATCACTGTTTAAAAATGGTTAATATATACATATACATGATATACATATACATTACATTACATAAATATGCAAATATAAACAACATATCATTATGCATATGCAACATATGTCAGATGCATAGCATGATATGCAACATAAAATACATAATATGAAATTTACCATCTTAATAATTTTCTTTTTTTTTCTTTGGAGAGACAGGGTCTCACTCTGTTAACCAGGCTGGAGTGCAGTGGTGTGATCACAGCTCACTGCAGCCTCAAACTCCTGGGCTTAAGTGATCCTCCCACCTCAGCCTCCCGAGTAGCTGGGACCATAGGTGCACGCAACCATGTCTGGCTAATTTTTTTTATTTTTTGTAGAGACGGGGTAGTGCTTTGTAACCCAGGCTGGTCTCAAACTCCTGGCTTCAAGCAATTTTCACGCCTCAGCCTTCCAAAGCGCTGGGATTGCAGACGTGCACCGCCGCACCCAACCCATCTTAACCCTTTAAAGTTCAGTGGCATTAAATATATTCACATTGTGCAACTGTCACCACCATCCATCTCCAGAACTTTCTCATCTTCCCAATCTGAAACTCTGTCCCCATTAAACACTCACTCCACCCAGCCCTGCTAACCACCATTCTGTCTGTCTCTGTCAATTTGAATATTCTAGGTACCTCATATTACTGGAATTATACAATATCTCTGTGTGAATCTATATCTATATCTATATATATATATATGTATTTTTTTTTTTTTTGAGACGGAGTCTTGCTCTGTCATCCAGGCTGGAATGTAGTGGCACAAACTTGGCTCACTGCAACCTCCACCTCCCGGGTTCAAGCAATTCTCCTGCCCCAGCCTCCCAAGTAGCTGGGATTACAGACACCCACCACCATGCCCAGATAATTTTTTTGTATTTTTAGTAGAGACAGCGTTTCGCCACGTTGGCCAGACTGGTCTCGAACTCCGGACCTCAGGTGATCTGCCCACCTCAGCCTGCCAAAGTGCTGGGATTACAGGTGTAAGCCACGGCGCCCGGCCTGAATCAATATTTGATGCTCAGATTGCACATAATGGAATTCAAGTTATCATCTTAAGCGCCTCATTGATTCAGAAAACATGTTCACTGAATATGTTCTTTTTAAAATTTAAATAAATATAATATTTTTCTACAGAGAATGGGAGTGTCACTACATCACCCTGGCTGGTCTCGAATTCCTGGGCCCAAGCAATCTTCCCATCTCGGCCTCCCAAAGTGCTGGGATTATAGGCATGAGCCACCACTCCTGGCCTGGTCTCTGGTATCTTTATTTTCTATCAGAAAAATAGCATGAACATAAAAAGTATCTTGGTTTAACCCATATGCTACTTGGATTTAAATGAGCAGATTTTTAAAAAATGTTTTATCTCTATGGACAATTGTAAACACTCCCAAAGAAAAAGAAAGGGCTCAGCTAGTTTCTATGGCAACTTAATGTCAGAAACCTAATTCAAAACTCTTAAGACTTATTTTCAGAAACCTTTTTTTTTTTTTTCCTGAGACAAGGTCTCACTGTGTCGCCCAGGCTGGAGTGCAGTGGTGCAATTGTAACTTGCAGCAGCCGTTACTTCCCAGCCTCAATCAATCTTCCCACCTCAGCCTACTGAGCAGCCGGCACCACAGGCATGCGCCACCATGCCTAGCTGATTATTATTATTTTTTTTTCCGAGACAGAGTCTTGCTCTGTCACCCAGGCTGGAGGGCAGTGGCATGATCTCAGCTCACTGCAACCTCCACCTCCCAGGTTCTAAGTGATCCTCCTGACTCAGCCTCCAGAGTAGCTGGGATTACAGGCATGCACCACCACGCCGGGTTAATTTTGTATTTTAGTAGAGACGGAGTTTCACCATGTTGGCCAGGCTGGCCTCGAACTCCTGACCTCAGGTAATCCACGTGCCTCGGCCTCCCAAAGTGCTGGGATTACAGGCGTGCGCCACTGGACCCGGCAGGGGCTGATTTATGATTATTATTTTTTTGTAGAGACAGGGCCTTGTCATGTTGTCCAGGCTAGTCTTAAACTCCTGGGCTCAAGCAATCCTCCCACCTTGGCCTCCCAAAGTGCTGAGATTACAGGCATGAGCCACCACACTCAATCTTCAGAAACTTCTTTAAGGGGCTGGGCGAGGTGATGCTGGTTGGGAATCGTATTTTCAACTTCTTTTTGCTATTTTTATTTATTCATTCATCAAATCACTGCTGAGCGCCTAAATCTAGGTCAGTCCTAGGCTAGGCACTGGGGAATAAAATGTGGATGAGAGGTAGGGTGTCGGCTGGAGGTTTGGTCATTTAAGAGAGGCTGCAGGTATCCCTGAGAGAAACTGTTCACTGACGACACTAGGGCGTATACCATCCTGGTAGGAGAATATATTTGGGGCAAAGTGAAGATGCCCACTGTTTTACCCAGGAAAGAGTCTGAGGTCCTGCTCTAGGTATCCTGAATTGTCTACTTCTTTTTTTTTTTTTTTTTGAGATGGAGTTTTGCTCTTGTGGCCCAGGCCAGAGTGCAATGGTGCGATCTCGGCTCACCGCAACCTCCACCTCCCCAGTTCAAGCGATTCTCCTGCCTCAGCCTCTCAAGTAGCCGAGATTACAGGCATGCGCCACCATGCTCGGCTAATTTTATGTTTTTAGTAGAGACGGGGGTTTCTCCACGTGGGTCAGGCTGGTCTTGAACTCCCAACCTCAGGTGATCTGCCTGCCTCGGCCTCCCAAAGTGCTGGGATTACAGGCGTGAGCCACCACACCCGGCCTGAACTGTCTACTTCTAAGCCACTGTATGTTTCTGATTGCAAGGTGGGATCTATTTTTGCACTTTTTAAAAACTTGAGGCTGGGCACAGTGGCTCATGCCTTAATCCCAGCACTTTGGGAAGCCAAGCAGGGTGGATCACTTGAGTCCAGGAGTTTGAGACCAGCCTGGGCAACATCGTGAGGCCCCCGTTTCTACCAAAAAAATACAAAAAATTAGCCAGGTGTGGTGGTGTGTGCCTATAGTCCCAGCCTCCTGGGAGGCTGAGCTGGGAGGATTGCCTGAGCCCAGGAGGTCAAGGCTGCAGTGAGCCGAGATCACACTACCACATTCCAGCCCGAAGAGCGAAACTCTGTCTCAAAAACAAATAAAAATAAAAATGAAAAACAAACAAATAAAAAACATGAATCCAGCTTTTAAAAAGGAGACCCTAGGCCAGGCCCGGCTGCTCACATCTGTAATCCCAGCACTTTGGGAGGCCGAGGCAGGTGGATCACTTGAGATCAGGAGTTCGAGACCAGCCTGGCCAACATGGTGAAACCCTCATCTCTACTAAAAATGCAAAAATTACCCAGGTGTGGTAGCATGTGCCTGTAATCCCAGCTACTTGGGAGGCTGAGGCAGGAGAATTGCTTGAACCTGGGAGGTGGAGGTTGTAGTGAGCCAAGATCATGCCTCTGCACTCCAGCCTGGGTGACAGAGCAAGACTCCATCTCAAAAAAAAAAAAAAAAAAAAAAAAAGGAGATCCTGACACATGCCACAACATGGATGAAACTTGAGGACATTATACTCAGTGAAATAAGCCAGTCTGAAAAAGACAAATACTATATGATTACACTTATATGATGTCCCTAGATAAAGCAGTCAAACTCTTTTTTTTTTTTGAGGCGGAATCTCGCTCTGTCACCCAGGCTGTAGTGCAGTGACGTGATCTCGGCTCACTGCAACCTCCAACTCCCAGATTCAAGTGATTCTCCTGCCTCAGCCTCCCAAGTAGCTGGGATTACAGGCTACCACGCCCAGCTAATTTTTGTATTTTTAGTAGAGATGGGTTTTCACCACGTTGGTCAGGCTGGTCTCGAACTCCTGACCTCTTGATTTGCCCACCTCGGCCTCCCAAAGTGCTGGGATTACAGGCATGAGCCACTGCGCCCGGCCAGTAGTCAAACTAGTAGAAGCAGAAAGTACAATGATGCTTACCAGGAGCTGGACTAGGTGGGGGAACAGGGCAGTTGTGGCAGCTCAGTGGATACAGAGTTTCCGTTTTTCCAGCTGAATAAATTATAGAGATCTCTCGTTCAATAATGCGCCAAGAGTTAACACTATTGTACTATACATACACTTAAAAATGGTTAAGATTGGCCGGGCGCGGTGGCTCACGCCTGTAATCCCAGCACTTTGGGAGGCCGAGGTGGGCGGATCACGAGGTCAGGAGATCAAGACCATCCTGGCTAACACGGTGAAACCCTGTCTGTACTAAAAAATACAAAAAATTAGCCGGGTGTTGTGGCGGGCGCCTGCAGTCCCAGCTGCTCAGGAGGCTGAGGCAAGAGAATGGCGTGAACCCAGGAGGCGGAGCTTGCAGTGAGCCAAGATCATGTCACTGCACTCCAGCCTGGGCGACAGAATTGAGACTCCATCTCAAAAAACAAAAAAAAAAAATGGTTAAGATTATATACTTTATGGAATGTGGTTTTACCACAATAATTAAAAAGAACAGTCTAGCACAGTGCTGGCCATATAAAGGCTCAATAAATGTTTGCTGAAAGTTAAAAAAAAAAAAAAAAAAAAAAAAGCCAGGCGCAGTGGTTCATTCCTGTAATCCCAGCACTTTAGGAGGATGAGGTGGGAGAATTACTTGAGCCCAGGAGTTCGAGACCAGCCTAGGCAACATGGCAAAACCCTGTCAAAACCCTGTCTCTCCAAAAAATATGCATATTTAAAAAATTAGCCAGGCATGGTGGTGTGTGCCTGTAGTACCAGCTACTCGGGAGACTGAAGTGGGAGGATCGCTTGAGCCTGGGAGGTCAAGGCTGCAATGAGCTGAGATCGTGCCACTGCACTCCAGCCGGGGCAACAGAGCAAGACCCTGTCACAACAGAAACAAAATCTTGAGGTGTCTAGTCCTGGCCTCAGCCTCAGAATATTTGTTTCTGAACATGTTAGTTTTGGGGGTTGGGGATGCTGGTTTGATTTCCTCCTTTTTGCCTTTTGAGTGTGTGCAATTTATGGTATAGCTGGGAAACGTCAAAGTCAAGAGTTTTGTAGGAAAGTCACGTCACTTAGCCCTGTCTCCTGTGCCGGGTGAGACCTGTGTGTGCACTTGGTGACAATGGCTTTGAGTCTGTCAACTCCAGACTGAGGTCAGCCTTACACACCCATAGTTCCCAAAGCTGAAAACAGGCCTGCCTCCAACGGTACCTGCTAATATCAGGGGAGCCTTTTCAGCTTACAGAGCACCCTGTATGTGTTTGTCTTAGTTCAGGCCACCATCTCCACCTTACCAGGCATCTAGAACCTTCTCCACACTTTGCCAACAGGGTTCGTTTGCAGAATTGAAATCTTAGTTAAGGTTTGTTGAAGTTTGTTGTTGTTTTTTTTTTTTTTTTACAATTGGCTGTTCCCACCCACATTCCCTTGAGACATAAATAGAAAAAAAAAAAAAAAGAGGTTTCATGAGTAAGACAAGACATTTGAGCTGCATCCACTTGATCCTTGAAAAGGAAATCTAAGAGGTTGTAACTATCACTTTTTCTAGCCTATATAAGGTAGGTCAGTAAGGTAGCAAAAACACATCTGTTGTTTTGCTCCTTCAACTCTTTTTCCTGATTCTTCCTGGGGGGAAACCGAAAACGGTGAGTAACTGGTGGACACATCAGACCCCAGACTCTTTTCTTCACTGCATGCATTCATATTAGGCTCAGGTGCTTAGACTCCTGTTTTCCGGTGGCTCTGACACCTGGAAGGATTTTAATCTCTGGGAGATGGGCTTTTCATCCATCTGCTTCCCACCTTTCAGGACAGGTGCATGCCTTCTTCCACAGAATGTCTGCAAGCAGCCCAAACTGTATCCTTTCCCACGTGGAATTTGCAACATTGCATCTCTCGGGCTGCTGTAGGAAAATGCCAGTGCATGTGTAACATGGTTTACGGCTGCCTATGCAAATGACTGATTATGTCAGTATAATTTTTATAAGAAAACAATTGAATCCTTCTTTGGGTCATTTTTTTTTTCCATTTTTGGCATGTATTCAAAAGAAGGCTCTGAGACAAAAAAGGCTGGGGTGTTTTCCGTATCTGGTTTTAATTTGGATATTCTGTCCCGTCACTTAATACAAAACCATGCTTATCACATTTTAAAAATTCTAGACAGGCCTGGCTCGGTGGCTTGCATCTGTCATCCCAGCACTTTGTGAGGCCAAGGCAGGCAGATCACCTGAGGTCAGGAGCTCAAGACCAGCCTGGCCAACATGGCAAAACCCCGTCTCTACTAAAAACACAAAAATTAGCCAGGCATGGTAGTGCGCACCTGTAATCCCAGCTACTGGGAAGGCTTAGGCAGGAGAATCACTTGAGCCCAGGAGGCGGAGGTTGCGGTGAGCCGAGATCACGCTCTTGCACTCCAGCCTGGGTGACAGAGTGAGACTCCGTCTTAATTTAAAAAAAAAAATAATCTAGACACACATACAGTTTCAGTGGGCCTGGGAAGATGTGTTTCCCCTGGATGTGCACATTCCTGTTTGTGGCTTATCGCCTCTCATTTATTCTGTGTGAGTAGGTAGAAAATGAGCATCACGGACGTGCTCAGTGCTGACGACATTGCAGCAGCGCTCCAGGAATGCCGAGGTAGAGGGGACGTGAGGCGGGGGTGGGATTTCCTCACAGCTTTGCACCTCCAGCGAGTCAACACAAAATCAAAATGTAGGCCAGGCGGCCAGACGCAGTGGCTCACACCTGTAATCCCAGCACTTTGGGAGGCCGAGGCGGGTGGATCACGAGGTCAGGAGTTCGAGACCAGCCTGGCCAAGATGGTGAAACCCCATCTCTACTAAAAATACAAAAAAATTAACCGGGCGTGGTGGTGGGTGCCTGTAATCCCAGCTACTCGGGAGGCTGAGGCAGAGAATTGCTTGAACCCGGGAGGCAGAAGTTGCAGTGAGCTGAGATCATGCCACTGCACTCCAGCCTGGGCAACAGAGCAAGACTCTGTCTACAAAAAAAAAAAAAAAAAGTAGACCAGGCATGGTGGCTCACATCTGTAATCCCAACACTTTTTGGAGGCCAAGGTGAGAGGACTGTTTGAGCCCAGGAGTTTGAGACCAGCCTGGGCAACATAGGAAGACTCCATCTCTACAACATAACAATAAAAATAAAAACTAGCGGGGCATGGTGGCATGTGCCTGTGGTCCCAGCTACTCTGGAAACTAAGGTAGGAGGATCACTGAAGCCCAGGAGGTTGAGGCTGTGGTGAGCTATGATCGCTACACTGCACTCCAGCTTGGACGACAGAGTGAGACTCTGGCTCTAAATAAATAAATAAATAAATAAATAAGAGGTTGGCTGGAAAATTCATGGAATCAGAGAAGAAAACTGCTATTTATTAGATAACTAAAATTATAGAGATCTGGGATCTGAGCACACGATTACACATCTGTAAGACAAAAGAAACCTACTAAACATGAAAGCAAGACATCACTGAAAGGCCAGGTGTCGTGCTCACACCTGTAATCCCAACACTTTGGGAGGCCGAGGCCGGTGCATCACTTGAGGTCAGGAGTTCAAGACCAACCTGGCCAGCATGGCAAAACCCTGTCTCTATTAAAAATACAAAAATGAGCTGGGCATGGGGGTGCACACCTGTAATCTCAGCTACTTGGGAGGCTGAAGCAGGAGAATCAGTTGAACCCGGGAGGCAGAGGTTGCAGTGAGCCGAGATCACGCCACTGCACTCCAGCCTGGTGACAGAGTGAGACTCTGTCTCAAAAAAAAAAAAAAAAAAAAAAAAAAAAAAAAAAGCGCCAAAGGCCATTTAGCCTGTTGAAATCCAGTGATTGCATTTCCCCCTACCAATTAGACCAGGGATGCTGGGGGCTCAGCCACACAGCCTGTAAAGTGGGCCAGGGGGAGGGGGAGGCACAGAAGAGATGAGGAGGGAAAAGGAAAATGGACAAAACCAAGTGGAGGAGGGAAGACTGGGGCGGAGGGGACATGGGATGCCATCACAGAGCCATCAAGTCTTGGCTGTCCCAAAATCTTGGACCAGTTGAGCATCCCCGTAGCTCAGGGATATTGTTGAAGTGTTTTTAATTATCTGTGTTTTTAGTACCTTGGCCCCAACATAGAATGTGATCCAACAAGCGTCAGAATAACCAATTCTCTGTTCTTCAGACCCAGACACTTTTGAACCCCAAAAATTCTTCCAGACATCAGGCCTCTCCAAGATGTCAGCCAATCAGGTGAAGGATGTTTTCCGGTTCATAGACAACGACCAGAGCGGGTACCTGGATGAAGAAGAGCTTAAGTAAGCTTTGTCCTGAGTCTGTCTGGTACCCGGCACTGCTGAGTGGGCCTGGGGTGCAGTGGGGGCCAGGTTGCTCAGTATTTCTTCAATGGCCAGCCTTGGTGTTGGTCATTCGGCCAAGCATCATTAAAGCAAAGGACATGAGTCAGTTGACCGCACATCTACCCATGCAAAGCCCTCAATATGGGCAGAGAAGACTGCAGGTGCAAAGATTCTTTTTTTTTTTTTTTTTTTTGAGACAGGGCCTCACTCTGTTGCCCAGGCTGGAGTGCAGTGGGGTGATCTCAGCTCCCTGCAGCCTCCGCCTTCCAAATTCAAGTGATTCTCATGCCTCAGTCTCCCAAGTGGCTGGGATTACAGGTGCCTGCCACCACATCCAGCTCATTTTCATATTTAGAGTAGAGATGGGGCTTCACTATGTTGCCAGGCTGGTCTCAAACTCCTGACTTCAAGTGATCCTCCTGCCTTGGCCTCCCAAAGTGCTGGGATTACAGGTGTGAGTCACTGTGCCCAGCCACAAAGATTCTTTCATGTAAGGGATTTCCTTTGGCAAATGGACTTTAAAAAACTAAAAACTTGGCTAAGCGCAGTGGCTCACGCCTGTAATTCCAGCTACTCAGAAGACTGAAGCACAAGAATTGCTTGAAGTCAGGAGGCAGAGGTTGCAGTGAGCCCAGATCGTGCAGCTGCACTCCAGCCTGGGTGACAGAGAGAGACTCTGTCTCAAATAAATAAATAAATAAAAATTAAAAACACTAAAAACTTAAAAATGGGCCAGGCACTGTGGCTCACACCTACAATCCCAGCCCTTTGGGAGGCTGAGGTGGGTGGATTGCTTGAGTGAGCCCAGGGGTTCCAGACCAGTCTGGGGAACATGACAAAACCTTGTCTCTACAAAAAAAAATACAAATGTTAGTGGGGCATGGTGGGGTGCACCTGTAGTCCCAGCTACTCAGGAGGTTGAGGCAGGAGGATTGATTGAGCCCAGGAAGTCGAGGCTGCAGTGAGCCATGATGGTATCACTGCATTCCAGCCTGGGTGACAGAGCAAGACCCTGTCTCAAAAACAAACAAACAAACAAAACCTTAAAAATGAAGTGCCCACCATTGGTTTCTACAGCTTAAGGAAACCTTTGCTTGCTAAGACCTTGGTTAATTATTGCCGGTGCTGGAAACAGGTGATATGCTTAGAGGAAAAACAAAAGTGTAAACACAGAGATGCATGATCTTTTTGAAAATCCCCATGGATCTTTATTATCCTGTAGGTTTTTCCTCCAGAAGTTTGAGAGTGGTGCCAGAGAACTGACCGAGTCAGAAACCAAGTCCTTGATGGCTGCGGCGGATAATGATGGAGATGGGAAAATTGGAGCAGAGGGTATGTCCACACGTGTACGTAGCATAAAACACTCTAGCTCAGGAAGCATCCGTGAGGGCTTGGGCTGTGAGATCAAACCAATGTGGCTTAAAATCTCCCTTTCTTAAACTTACCGAGCCTCAGTCTTCTCATCTGTAAAATGGGACTAAAGTAAGGATGCAAATGATGTGTGTAAAAACCCTGGCATAATGCTCGGTAGGTACTATAGAAGCTGGTCACACTGGTCATTGTCTATGAGCTGCAAAATATCCTTCACCTGACTAGGGGACTAGCTAGCCACCTGGCCAATTATTTGCACCTGCCAACCATAATGCACCTGCATAAAGCGCGAGGTATTTCTACCAGTGGGGTTTGAACCCCTCAGAATAAGGGAAAGATTTACATCCTCAGACCAGGGTCCATTGGCATGCGTAGGAAGCCCTCTTCGTCTTCAAGGGTTTAGACAAATATATTTTATTGGACATTAGCCCGCCAAGGGGATAATATTAAACAGAGAACAAATAAGCCAACCTCATTTATTGAGTCTTCCATAGGCCGAATCCTAGGTTTGAGCTTTAGAATACACTAGCACAGCTGTAGGACTATTTTCACTTGATTTTGTCATGTTGCTAGCGTGCTTTTTAACTGCTTTGTGCCTGCCAACTCAGCAGAACATATGATGGTCCTTCTGGTGGTGCTAATTTGAAATTTAAAACTGCTACGTTAGATGCTTATTAAAAAAAAAAAAACCTGTTCAAAATTATACCACTATCGCTTACTACATGGGAGTTAATGCAGATAGATAGCTCATAAAAACAGATTAGGTAAGGGGGGATTGCCTTATTTAAACATAACCAGGGGCTGGGCGTGGTGGCTCAGGCCTATAATCCCAGCAATTTTGGAGGCCAAGGTGGGCAGATCCCCTGAAGTCGGGAGTTCAAGACTAGACTGACCAACATGGTGAACCCCATCTCTATTGAAAATATAAAAAATTAGCCGGTCATGGTGGTGGGCACCTGTAATCCCAACTACTCGGGAAGCTGAGGCAGGAGAATCGCTTGAACCTGGGAGGCAGAGGTTGCAGGGAGCCAAGATGGCACCATTGCACTCCAGCCTGGGCAACAAGAGTGAAACTCTATCTCAAAAGAAAAAAAAAAACATAACCATGAAGGATTTCCAAATAAACAAAGCTTACCAATAAATATAAAGCAAGTCCCCAGTTTTTTATATCAATCTGTAACATCCATACCTTGTTATTATTACTATTATCCTTCTTTTAGTAACAGAAACGTTTGGAGTTTGGTTCAATGGAGGAAAGTCAGTTCAAAGTCCCACCCTATCAAATATATCCTAAAAATGCAATACCCAGCTACGGAATAGAGAAAGAAAATCTCCCCTTCCTGTCTGAAATTGACCAGACAAAAAGTTAAATGTTCACAGATGGTCACAGGTAATTCCACTGAATTCATGCATTATCAGGGAGAAATGATAGGCTTGACAAGTTCTAATTCAAAGACCTCTATTGCAAAGCTGAAGATGTTTGTTAAATAAGATTATTCAGAGAAATGGAACCCTGTGAACTTCCTCGAGATATAGTCATTGATACCCAGGGTTTTTTTTTCTTTCTTTCTTTCCTTTTTTTTTTTTTTTGAGTTGGAGTCTGGCTCTCTCGCCCAGGCTAGAGTGCAATGGCGTGATTTCGGCTCACTGCAACCTCCGCCTCCCAGGTTCAAGTGATTCTCCTGCCTCAGCCTCCCAAGTAGCTGGGACTACAGGCACGTGCCACAACGCTGAGCTAAGTTTTGTATTTTTAGTAGAGACAGGGTTTCACCATTTTGGCCAGGATGGTTTCGATCTCATGATGTCATGATCCACCCGCCTCGGCCTCCCAAAGTGCTGGGATTACAGGCATGAGCCACTGTGCCCGGCCAGTTTTTCTTTCTTTTGTGCCCTCCAAGGGGGCCATGCCCATCATCTGACAATTTTCTTTGCTTCCTTCCCTCTTTGGAATTCTCATTGGCCACGGCACGTCTGTAAAGAACCAAGCCACCTCCACTGACCCTGTTCTCACCTCTTCTGTTCTAGAATTCCAGGAAATGGTGCATTCTTAAAAGCCCCAGTCTCTGGAGAAAAGAGAGAAAGGGATAATCACCTGGAAGGATTCCAAAGCCCTGGGAATGGGGAACCCCACATCCCATCCCTACCTAATTTGTTAATTTTCCCTGAAAACCTTCTGCAGTTTGCTCATTGTTTTAGTGAGGTCACGAGGGAGTCACTCCTGACTTTCTTGGTGGTGGGTATATGCCCTGACAACTTCTGTAAGCCCCCCTTCCCCCAACAGGCAATGCCTCTAAAAATCACCCAATAAAGACAGGCTTCTCATCATCTGCTGATGTGTGGGCGTGTTTTTTCCTCAGCACGACACTCAAGCAAACTGGGACCAAGGGCTTTTTTGTAGGATTTCTGGTCCCATCAAGCTTGGAGCGGGCCACACTGGTGTTATGGTCCAGCAAACAAGGAAATCAGGTTTTGGAGGGTGTTTTTGGTTGTTTCTTTAGAGTCACAAATAAATGCCATTGTCAAGCTATTATTTTTCTCAGCAAATCTTGTGACACTGAAATTAATAGGAAGGGATTTTAGCCAGCATAAAATCACTCTTTTTTTTTTTTTTTTTTTTTTGAGACAGAGTCTCACTCTGTCACCCAGGCTGGAGTGCAGTGGCTCAATCTTGGCTCACTGCAACCTCTGCCTTCCAAGTTCAAGCTATTGTCCCACCTCAGCCTCCCAAGTAGCTGGGATTACAGGTGCACACCACCACACCCGGCTAATTTTTGTATTTTTAGCAGAGTTGGAGTTTCACCATGTTGGCCAGGCTGGTCTCAAACTCCTGACCTCAAGTGATGCGCCCACCTTGGCCTCCCAAAGTTCTGGGATTACAGGCGTGAGCCACTGTGCCCAGCCAGTCACTCTTACCGGTATGTTTTCTGCCATGTGTTAGAAAGCCACTTTGATTTAATTAAAAGCAAAAGGTACAAGACAAAACAGAATACGTGTCTGTAGTGGTCTGTAAAGCTCAGGAGAGACTTGCGATTCCAGGTTAGTACAAACGGACCCATTTCCTCTTTATTATTTATTTATTTTGAGACAAGGTCCAGCTCTGTCGCCCAGGCTGGAGTGCAGTGGCACGATCTCAGCTCACTGCAACCTCTGCCTCCTGGACTCAAACCATCCTCCCACCTCAGCTTCCTGAGTAGCTGGGACTACAGGCATGCACCACCACACCCGGCTAACGTTTGTGTTTTTGGTAGAGGTGAGGTCTCACTGTGTTATTTAGGCTGATCTCGAACTCCTGGGCGCAAGCGATCCTCCCACTCAGCCTCCCAAAGTGTTGCGATAACAGGCGTGAGCCACCGCACCCGGCCTTACTTTTTATTGTTTATTTATTAGAGATGGTGGGGGAGGGTCTCACTATGTTGCTCAGGCTGATCTCGAACTCTTGGGCTCAAGCCATCCTCCCACCTCAGCCTCCCAAAGTGTTGGGATAACAGGCATGAGCCACTGCGCCCGGCCTTACTTTTTATTGTTTATTTATTAGAGATGGTGGGGGAGGGTCTCGCTCTATTGCCCAGGCTGGTTTGGAACTGCTGGTCTCAAGCCATTATCCCACTTCAGCCTCCCAAAGTGCTGGGATTGCAGGTGTGAGCCAGCACAGATCCATTTTCAAGTCCTTTTTCTCCTTTTCATTTTGAGACAGTCTCACTCTGTCACCCAGGCTGGAGTGAGGTGGCATGATCTCGGCTCACTGCAACCCCCGCCTCCCAGGTTCAAGCAATTCTCCTGTCTCAGCCTCCTGAGTAGCTGGGATTACAGGTGCCCACCACCACGTGCAGCTAATTTTGTATTTCTAAAGACAGGGTTTCACCTTGTTGGCCAGGCTGGTCTCGAACTCCTGATCTCAGGTGATCCGCCCGCCTAGGCCTCCCAAAGGATTCCAAGCCACAATTAGGCATAAGACACCATACCTGGCCATCTTCTTCTTCTCTGAGAAACAAGCTATCAAAAAAAAAAAAAAAAAAAAGAGAGAGAGAGAAACGAGCCCTCAGAGAGGCTCACCTGCTGTCACCCAGTCCTCTGACACCTCCCGCTTCTCTTTCTCAGCCACTGGCTTCCTGGCTCTAAGGCGATTCACCTAAGCCCAATACACCTAGCCTTGCCTTCGGTTTGAGGTGAGCCTCCGGGGTTCTGTTACAGGGCTGTCATTAGGGCTGGGCAGTCTTAAGCCAGGAAATTCTCACCAGGCTGGTTTCCAGGTGGCACATTAAAGCTCTTCTCTTGGGCTAACCCTGTGAGTTGAGGACTCCTGGGAACAATTGAGGCATTTTCTGGAGAGCTTGTGTAAAAGCTCACACTTTTTACTAAACCCTCCAGCTCACAAGAGGCCTTGGGGCTCTTCCAGATTGCTTCGGGCACACTAACCAGCTTAGTGGCTTTTGAGCCTTTGTTTTCCAGAGGGTCATGTTAAATGTGGTTCCTCAAAGTATGGGGCACATACTAGCAGGGGGCCTCAAGATGACTTAGGGTGACAGGCACAAACTTTTTTTTTAACAGTATCACTCTCAGCATAGTGACTTTTTTTGTTTTTGTTTGTTTTTTGAGACAGTCTCACTCTGTCGCCCAGGCTGGAGTGCAGCAGCTCGTTGCAACCTCTGCCTCCCAGGTTCAAGTGATTCTACTGCCTCAGCCTCCTGAGTAGCTGGGATTACAGGCATGCACCACCACACCCAGCTAAGTTTTGTATTTTTAGTAGAGACGGGGTTTCACCATGTTGGCCAGGCTGGTCTCGAACTCCTGACCTCTGGTGATCCACCTACCTAGGCCTCCCAATGTGCTGGGATTACAGGTGTGAGCCACCACACCTGGCTGAGCCTTGATTCTTAAAACAATCCACATTTTGCCTTCACCGCCACAGCGTACACTGGTATTCTGCTCTGCTATTTTCTTTTCACTCCACCGACAGTCCCCAGCTAAGGATTCTTTATCTCATCAACAGTTCTAAATGGGTGATTCTGTCGTTCCATGGGGCTTCTGGCCACCATAGACACCTCAAAGAAACAACGTGGATGATAGCGCTTTTTAAATCACAGTTGTGAGTTTTCCACGGACCAAGAACTCCATTACCCACTGGAGCTGCCAAGACAACCTCACCCTAATCTAGGTTAAGAGCATGGATTTCTCTCTCTCTCTCTTTTTTTTAATAGAGATGGAGTGTCTCACTATGTTGGCCAGGGTGGTTTTGAACTCCTTGTCTCAAACGGTCCTCCCTCCTCAGCCTCTGAAAGTGCTGGGATTACAGGCATGAGCCGTATGTCCAGCCTAATTTCTCTTATTTCTTTTCTGTCAATCAGGAGGGCACCTGAATAGGAAAAATGACTAAAGGGGTTATATGGAGCTGCCAGGGGACACTGTGTCATTAAGTCTTACATAGCAAGACCCCATCTCTACAAAAATAAATTCGTGCCCAGAGAGGTTTACTCGTATTCATAGGAGGAATTAAATACCCCAAGAGCATTCCCCAAATCCAAACACCACAGTTAAAAACTGGTGTGAGTAAAGACGAGACTATTAGCATTGGATTAGGTCAAGACTATTAGGCCTGACTGTCTTAGGGAAAATGCTTAGATGTATACAAAGGGATAAATAGCCAGAAAAAAATTTTTTTTCTTTTTTTGAGTCAGAGTCTCGCTCTGTTGCCCAGACTGCAGTGCAGTGGCGCAATCTCAGCTCATGCAACCTCCACCTCCCAGGTTCAAGCAATCTCTCGCCTCAGCTTCCTGAAAGCTGAGATTACAGGTGTGCACCACCATGCCCAGCTAATTTTTGTATTTTTTGTAGACACAGGGTTTTGCCATCTTGGCCAGGCTGGTCTCAAACTCCTGGCCTCAAGTGATCCACCCGCCTTGGCCTCCCAAAGTGCTGGGATGACAGGCGTGAACCACTGCACCTGGCTGGATTTTCTATAGGTAGAATTTTAGTTGGTTATTCACAAATTATATTCATTTTACTGTTTCAAAACTACAATTCAAAGGGACAATTATTTTTGTCCATTTCAAATAACAGTACACTACTTTTTCATTCTTCCAACCCGATCTTAGGGACTTCATTTCAGAGTCTCTGTCAACAGACAATAAGCAGCAATAATGAAGCACTATCTCTATTTAACACCCAAGAAGTGCCAGGTGGTACACTTACATGAAACCTAATAATCTCGTCTTTACCCATACTGAAGTGTAATTATGTTATTTGGATTCTGGGTGTGCTCCGGTGGGGTTGAGTGGGATTTATTTCACCTGTGCATACAAGTAAAACTCTCTGGGGATTAGAAAAAAATTTTTTTAGAGATGGGGTCTTGCTATGTTGCCCAGGCTGGAGTGTGGTGATGCAATCACAGCTCACTGCAGCCTCCAACTCCTGAGCTCAAGTGATTCTCCTGCCTTAGCCTCTCAAGTAGCTGGGACTACAGGTGGTCACCTGTATTTTTGTATTTTTTGTAGAGACAGGTTCTTGCTATGTTGCCAGGGGTGGTCTGAACTCCTAGCCTCAAGTGATCCTCCCACCTGAGCCTCCCAAAGTGCAGGGATCACAGGCATGAACCACCATGGCTGGCCTCTTTGCACATTTGAGCATATTCATTAATTAGCACTTTTTGATTTCGTTGTTATTTTTCTAAGTTTGCATTTTGTAAAAAAAAAAAAAAAAAAAAAGGAGCATTTCCAAGTCTTTGATGGGAAGTATAATTTGAAAATAATTTTTTCAAGTTACCTGAGTTTAGTCATTACATGAATTTCATACAAATTTCCTATTCAACATGTATCTCACAATAAAAAGAATGAAAGGAGATGCAGTAAAATTTTAATCCTAGTTATCTCCAGCTGGAAGGATTACAGAACAGGGAGAGAAGACTGGAGCCTTTATGAACGTGCAGCTGGGCCAGGTGTAGGGGCTCATGCCTGCAATCCCAGCACTTTGGGAGGCCGAGGCGGGTGGATCACCTGAGGTCAGGAGTTCGAGACCACCCTGGCCAACATGGTGAAACCCCATCTCTACTGAAAGTACAAAAATTTGCCAGGCGTGGTGGCAGACGCCTGTAATTCCAGCTACTTGTGAGGCTGAGGCAGGAGAATCACTTGAACCCAGGAGGTGGTGGTTGCAGCCAGCTGAGATCACACCACTGTGCTCCAGCCTGGGTGACAGAGAGAGATTCCATCTCAAAAAAATAATAAATAAATAAATAAAAAGAAATAAAATAAAGTGCAGCATGGTAACTACAGAAAATGAAGGAAAAAAATTAAAATTAAAATTTTAAAAAAGACCAGTCTGGACAACATAGGGAGACCGTGTCGCTACAAAAAAACTTAAAAATTAGCTGGGTGTGGTAGCATGCACCTGTGGTCCCAGCTACTCGGGAGGCTGAGGTGGGAGGATCCCTTGAGCCTGGAAGTTGAGGCCACAGTGAGCCATGATCATGCCACTACACTCCAATCTGGGTGATAGAGTGAGACCCTGTCTCAAAAATAAATTAATAAAATAAATAAAATGAAAAGAGATGCAGAGTTTGCCCAATAATTATCATTAAACCAAAGTAGTAATAAATTCTTTATTCTTTATTTTTTATTTTTATTTTTGAGACAGAGTCTCGCTCTGTTGCCCCCAGGCTGGAGTGCAGTGGCGTGATCTTGGCCTACTGCAACATCTACCTCCTGAGTTCAAGTGATCTTCCCACCTCAGTTTCCCAAGTAGCTGGGATTATAAGTGCCTGCCACCATGCCCAGCTAATTTTTGTATTGTTACTTGAGATGGGGTTTCACCATGTTGGCCAGGCTGGTCTCAAACTCCCAACCTCAGGTGATCCACCCGCCTCAGCCTCCCAAAGTGCTGGGATTACAGGCATGAGCCACCGCACGTGGCCCAAAGTAGTAATAAATTCTGATTTCAAAAAAATCTTTCATGCCTAGAGTGTGTCCCACACTCAAATTAATGAAAGCTTGGCATGCTATTCTGTTCCCAAAATTTCTATTCATTGTTTGACTCATTTGCATGTATTTTCATGTACTGAAGGAGACTGTTAAATATAACATACCCAAAACGAAATCAAAACTCTAGAGAAAATTAGAACAATCCAGAAAAGGGATTGACAGACATATAACCAACTTTATCTTTGCGCTTGCCTTCTCAATTTTTACCTAATTTGTAGATGACCACAGGTCTACCTCAAGAGAGCTTGTTCTCAGCACCAAAATGATGTACGTCGACTTTGTTGTTGTTGAGACAGAGTTTCGCTCTTGTTGCCCAGGCCAGAGTGCAATGGTGCAGTCTCAGCTCAACGCAACTGCCGCCTCCCCAGTTCAAGCAATTCTCCTGCCTCAGCCTCCCGAGTAGCTGGGATTACAGGCATGCACCACCACGCCTGGCTAATTTTGTATTTTTAGTAGAGACAGGGTTTCACCATGTTGGTCAGGCTGGTCTCGAACTCCCGATCTCAGATGATCTGCCCACCTTGGCCTCCCAAAGTACTGGAATTATAGGTATGAGCCACCACGCCTGGCCATATATTGACTTTGAAATGAAAGTCCATGGCCAGGCGTGGTGCCTCACACCTGTAATCCCAACACTTCGGAAGGCCAAGGTTCAAGGATCACTTGAGCCCAGGAGTTTGAGACTAGCTGGGGCAACATAGCAAGATCCCATCTCAAAATTTAAAAGTTAGCTGGGCGTGGTGGTGCGGCTATTGTCCCAACTATTCAGGAGGATGCCTTGACCCACGGAGTTGGAGGCTACAGTGAGCTGTGATCGCACCACTGCACTCCAGTCTGGATGATAGACCAACAACCTAGCTCAAAAAAAAAAAAGAAAGAAAGAAAGAAAGAAAGAAAGAAATGAAGGTCTAGATTGCAACGTAGGTCACAGAGTTGAAAAACTAGGCATCCTATTATTTTCCCTAATTGCTGATAAAACAGGACTGGAAGTGTGGGCTTTCATTTTGACCATTTTTACTTAATTGTAATTTTGGCTTATAGTTTGGGAGAGTAGTTCATATTTTGGTAGGACATGATTTATTTATTTATTTATTTATTTATTTATTTATTTATTGAGATGGAGTCTCACTCTGTCACCAGGCTGGAGCGCGGTGGCACGATCTCGGCTCACTGCAACCTCCGCCTCCCGGGTTGGCAATTCTCCTGCCTCAGCCTTCCAAATAGCTGGGACTACAGGCGCCTGCCACCGCACTAGGGTAATTTTTGTATTTTTAGTAGAGACGGGGTTTCACCATGTTGGCCAGACTGGTCTTGAACCCCTGACCTCAGGTGATCCACCCACCTCGGCCTCCCAAAGTGCTGGGATTACAGGCATGAGTCACCACGCCCGGCCAGGACATGATCTTAAAACCAGCTTTGTGTGTTTGCTTTGGCAGCCTGTATACTAAAATTGGAACAATACAGAGATTAGCATAAAAAAATAAAAATTTAAAAACCAGCTTTGTGAATGTTTAGTTGTTGACTAATAAGAATTATTAAAATACTTCAAACATTATCTAGTATTTTGCTTCAGCATCTGTACATGATGAAGTATTTATAAGATTTTGTAAATACTATAAGTACCACTAATTAGTAAATACTTTAGCAATTTGTAAATACTAAGTATTTTAATATTTAGCACTACTATATAATTGCACAAAATCTAATTAATTAGTATTTTGTAATAGTTATTTGCTAAGTACTGCTACTCAGTAAATATGTTAGTATTTTGTAAGTAGTCATTTGCTAAGTACTGCTACACAGTAAATACTTTCATATTTTGTAAGCAGTCATTTGCTAAGTACGGCTATTCAGTAAATGTTTTAGTATTCTGTAGGTAGTCATTTGCTAAGTACTGATACTCATAAATGCTTTAGGATTTTGTAAGTAGTTATTTACTAAGTAGTAGTACTTAGTAGAGACGTAGTAGCAGTATTTACAAAGTAGTTCTTTCTAGCTCATAAGCAACGGATAGCAAAACAGTGATGATAGGAAATACTTGCCTATTTGTACAGGTTTACAAGCTACGTAGTTAATTCTCTGTCATGACTGCAGTTTAAGTTTATGGAATGGGTACTCAGGAATCCAACTGCAAGCAAAAACCTATCTTCTATCTCTTCTGCTCATGTTAAGGTATGAGGTTACTTTGCAAACACTTAAGAAGACAGATGAAATTGGAATCACCAGGATGGTTTCCACCTGGCCTGTTAATTTATTCACTGGAAAGACTCTTCATTTGCATATGTTTTCACAGGTTTCAAAAAGTCAACTTGTTTTTGGCGGGGTGTATAGATTTTGACATTGTTTTCCTAGGGGCTCTACAATGACTGTAAATCTATTCACCTTAAATTGTTATGTTTTTGAGACAGGGTCTCGGTGTGTTGCCCAGGCTGGCATACAGGGGAGCAATCATGGCTCACTGCAGCCTCCACCTCCCCAGGCTCAGGTGATCCTCCCACCTCAGCCTCCTGAGTAGCTTGGACTACAGGTGCATGCCACCCCGCTCAGCTAAGTTTTGTATTTTTAGTAGAGACGGGGTTTCACCATGTTGGCCAGGCTGATCTCAATCTCCTGACCTCAAGTGATCTGCCCGCCTTGGCCTCCTAAAGTGCTGGGATTACAGATGTGAGCCACTGTTCCTGGCCGGAACTGTGACTTTCTACTTGGAACTGAGCTCCCTTTCCAACACCAAAATGTGTCTTTCCCACAGCTCATTCCCTTGGAATTTTGAGTTCGCAAATTCTTTGTGCAAAACGTCTAACTTCTATTTCTGTAACTGAACTTGATTCGAATTCCCATTGTGCTGGGAGTCAGAATCTTAATTATGTCAGGTAATTAAGCAACCTCTTCTCCCTTCTTACCATAGGCTGGGGGAGAGAGTCGAGGCCCCAGATGGGACTGGAGTATTCTCAGTCCGAATAGTGAACACAGAGTCATCCTCAATCCTCTCTACTCTCGTGGTCTTGAGGGGCCACTGCTACCTCCTCCTGGTCCTGACCTTGAGGCTTCTCAGCACTGGCTTTCTCTGAATTCCTTTTATGCACAAGTAAATCATTCAGCTTCTTCCTGAACAATAAGGATATCTCGTCCAGATACCCCTGTTCCCTGGTTACTCTACTGTTACTGAGCCATGCTGGACCCAGAGGGGAACTCTGCAAAGCTCACCACCTCCCCCAGCTTCCCCAGGGAGAAAGACACACACACCCTCTCCTCTGAGACCTCCAAACCTATGCGGGTATCTGTCATCACTACCACTCCTGCCTCGTACCCGTCCACACCCAAGGACTGTGTTTGGAGAGGCAGATGCATTGAGCTCTAAGCGTTCTTGCATCCTTAACTTTGAAACCATAAAAGCATGTTCTTTTCTTTGATCTCTGCATGTTTAATTTTGTTTTTTGTCATCTCCCTCTTTCGATGCCTCCTGCAATGAATTCTATGTGGGAGGAAGGGAGAGGCAAACATGTACAAGGACACAGAGGTATCCTGGGAGAAACTGTGACTCATACTATAAAATATTAATCTCACTCACTTGTATAGCACCTTGTGCTTTATTTTTATTTATTTATTTATTTATTTATTTATTTATTTATTTTTTGAGGCAGAGTCTCACTCCATCCCGCTGCTGGAGTGCAGTGGCGCAATCTCAGCTCACTGCAACCTCCGCCTCCCAGGTTCAAGCAATTCTCCTGCCTCGGTCTCCCGAGTAGCTGGGACTACAGGCACCTGCCACCACGCATGGCTATTTATTTTTATTTTTTAGTAGAGACGATGTTTCACCATGTTGGGCCTCAAACTCCTGACCTCAAGTGATCTGCCAGCCTCGGCCTCCCAAAGTGCTGGGATTACAGGCATGAGCCACCACACCCAGCCAAAACATGTATTTCTCATGGAATAATTTCATGCACTAGAGCAAGCTAATTGGGAAAGTCAATAGCAAGGAGCAGTAGCAATCGTTTATGAAATAATGATGAGGTGCTGGCACCTGATGCACATTCATAGTCCCATTTAACTCTTCAAGTGAAACTCTCACTTGGCAGGAATTTACTATTAGCCATTTTCCAAATAAGAGATACAGACAAGAGAGTCTCCATCTCTTCTTTGGTGCAAGGAGATTGGTGCAGTCGGTGAGTGGCAAAAGTGGATATGTACCCAGATCTGTCTCCAGTCCAAATTCCAACTCATCACTTCCCTAAAAGTGGTCTATTCTGCCAGGCTGGATAAGGGAAGTGGTTCTGCTTCCAAACTTAATATGTGACAGATAAGGCAATCTAAACCAAAGTCTTCTTGAGCTTGGTCAAACCATATGCTGCCAAGGCTTGAATCCACATAACTGTAACAAGCCATCCCAACTATGCCACAACCCACACACCTCAAAGGCAAGGGAATCCCAGGCAGCAAGGTCCAGGAACAGCCACTCTGGGGAGTCTGCCACCTCTGATATTGCTCCCGTGGCACACACGGTGCCCCATCTGCCTCCAGACCTGCGCTGAAGGAATGGGGGAAAGGGGCAAACTTTGTAGGTGTGGGTGATCCAGTGGTCACTTGAGGTCTCTCAAACAAGGACTCTGTAGATGATGTTAATGGGCCAAACGGAATGCACATCTGCCCTTAAGTGTGTTTCTTTTCTTTCTTTTCTTCTTTCTTTCTTTCTTTTTTTTTTTTTTTTGTTGAGACAGGGTCTGGATCTGTTGCCCAGGCTGGAGTGTAGTGGTGCAATCTTGGCTCACTGCAACCTCCACCTACTGGGTTCAAGTAATTCTTCTGCCTCAAGCCTCCCAAGTAGCTGGAACCACAGGCATGTGCCACCACGCCTGGCTAGTTTTTTGTATTTTAGTAGAGACGGGGCTGGTCTGGAACTCCGGGCCTCAAGTGATCCACCCACCTTGGCCTCCCAAAGTGCTGGGATTACAGCTATGAGCCACCGTGGCTAGCCTTGTTTATTTCTAAATGAGGCTTCCTTTGTGTCTCTACATTTCCTTCTACAAAAAAAACTGCCATGGCACAGGGGCTTATGCCTACAATCCCAGCACTTGGAGAGCCCAAGGCCAGTGGATCACTTGAGTCCAGGAGTTCGAGACCAGCCTGGGTTAACATAGTGAGACCCCAGCTCTACGAAAAATTTAAAAATTAGCCAGCCATGGTGGCATGCACCTGTGGTCCCAGCTATTCGGGAGGCTGAGGTGGGAGGATCACTTGAGCCCAGGAGTTCCAGGCTGCAGTGACGTCTGATCTGGCCACTGCAATCCAGCCTGGGCAACAGAGCAAAGTGCTGTTTTAGAATAAAATACTTTTTAAATAAACTAAAAACAAAACAATGGACCTGGTGTGGGTGGCTCACATCTGTAATCCCAGCACTTTGGGAGGGCAGGTGAGGCAGAATAGGGAATGAGGGTAACCAAGGGTTAAGGCATAAACAAAAGAACAGCAGGTGCAGCCAGTTCTAGGCAAGATTAGGCAGCATAGAGGCCACGTGTTCATTCCCTCAATCAGAGGCTGATTGATGGACGACGGGGGGGGGGGCGGGGGGGAGGGTGACAGCCTCTGATTGACGGGGGGGGGGGGGGGGGCGGGTGCGCGTCTCCACTTCAGCCTCTGATTGGTCACAGGCCAATCCTTCAGAGGGTGTAACCAATCGGAGACCTCTAACGGGCACCTAGGGGCGTTACCTAATTCTTCCAGCTTAATAAAAATCCTAATGGGGGCTCTTGAGCTGTTTGCTCTAGCTTGCTCCTGCTCTGTGAGTTGTACTTTCGCTTCAATAAATCTGTTTCTTCCTTACTTCAGTTTTTTCTTTTGTTTCTTTTCGTTGCTTTGTTCTTTTGTTACTTTGTGCATTGCATTTTGTTCAGTTCTGTGTTCAACAAGCCAAGAACCTGGGCAATCCACGGTCAAGACCTTCCATCCAGTAGCAGAGGCAGGAGGATCCCCTGATGCCAAGAGTTAGAGAGCAGCCGGGGCAACAAAGTGAGACCCTGTCTCTACTATCTATCTATCTATTTTTTAATTATCTGGGCATGGTAGTGCATGCCTGTGGTCTCAGCTACTCCTCAGGCTGAGGTGGGAAGATCCCTTGAGCCCAGGAGTTGAGGCTGCAGTGAGCTATGATGGCACCACTGCACTGCAACCTGGGTGACAAAGCGAGATCTTGTCTCTAAATTAAATTTAAAACAATACCACCAAAACAACAACAGGCTGGGCGGTGGTGTCTCACGCCTGTAATCGGAGCACTTTGGGAGGCCGAAGTGGGAGACCATTTGAGGCCAGGAGTTCGAGAGCAGCCTGGGCAACACAGACCCCACCTCTACAAAAAAATAAAACTGGCCTTGGTGGCGCGCGCCTGTAATCCTAGCTACTTGGGAGGCTGAGGCAGGGGGATTGCTTGAGTCTCGGACGTTGAGGCTGCAGTGAGCTGAGATCGCGCCACTACACTCCAGCCTGGATGACAAACTGAGACCCTATCAGAAAAAACAACAACAAAAAAAAAACAGTGCCCGCTCGGTTTTTCCTGAAACGCGCAGCCCTCGCCTGTAGCCAGGAGAAAACTCCGCGAGCCAGGAAAACACAAACTCGGCCAGGAAACAGCCACCCGGGGGTGCCTGAAGAGGACGCTGCGAGGCGGATTCTTTTTCCGGGCCTGCGGCGAGCGCTTCCGGGGCGGTGGCGACGGAGGCGGAAGTGCGGTGTTTTAGCCGGTGGCTGCTGTCTCTGGGCGGGCCGTGGGAGGCTCCCGAGGTGGGGGCCGGGGCGGGATGGCTGCAGCGGCGGCCGGGGCCGGGAGCGGGCCCTGGGCGGCCCAGGAGAAGCAGTTCCCGCCGGCGCTGCTGAGTTTCTTCATCTACAACCCGCGCTTCGGGCCGCGCGAAGGACAGGTATGCGGAGGGGGCGGCGCGCGGGCGGGCGGCGCCGGTGTTCCCCGGGAAGGTGGCCCTGTGGTTCTGCCCACCTCGAGGGGCACTGACCTAGCCTGCATTGTGCCAGGTGCGAGTCCGGGCAGGGGGCTGCGGCGGGGACCTGACAGCAGGCAGGGACCGCTTCAGGTCCTAGGTCGATGGAATAAAGCCCCGTCGGGTCTATATCACTCCACACCCCAGGTTGAGGCTCTTTGCGCTTTGCTTTGCGTCAGTTCTGGGAAATTAAAATTGAACTTGGCTTTGTTAAGTGGGTAGTCCCCAACTAGAAGCGTGGAACCAGGGTGGCAGACGCTAGCCTTCAAATGATGCAAGCCTGGAGGTCCCTGTAATAGTTTTCGCCCAAATGAGGAAATAAATTAATTTCGGGAGGGGGGTGTGTGTGTGTGTGTGTGTGTGTGTGTGTGTGTGTGTGTGTGTGTGTGGTTTTTCTGAGGTGGGGACGGCGACTTTCTCAAAGGATGTCCGGAGCTGTGTTTTGTTTCCAGCAAGTCAGACTTCTGTTAAAGACTGTCCAGGCTGGGCGCTGTGACTCACGCCTGTAATCCCAGCACTTTAGGAGGCCGAGATGGGAGGATTGCTTGAGGCCAGGGGTTCCAGACCAGCCTGGGCAACATAGCAAGACCCCCAACTCTACAAAAAAAAAAAAAATTGAAAAGTGAGCCGGGCGTGGTGGCACGCACCTGTATTTCCAGTTACTCAGGAGGCTGAGGCCAGAGGATCGCTTGAGCCCAAGTGATTGAGGCTGCAGGTGAGCTGTAATAGCGCCACTGCACTACAGCCTGGGCAGCACAGACCCCATCTCCAGAAAAAGAAAAAAAAGCAACTTGTCAGTTCAAATGGCTGGGAACTGACTGGATTTAATTTTCAGGGAGCTATGTGTCTGCAGATGGGCACACCTTTATTTCTTACAAGCATTGGTGTATTACAAATTAGCACTAGGAAAGAAACCTAGAGACTTGAGTTTTCATAAAAATTACCTGGTGCTACTTCAGATGTGACTTACTGACTATCGAAATTGCCTTTCTGACTGGTGGGCAGTATTTGCACAATGATGAGATCATTCCTGTTCTTCTTCTTATTTTAAATAATAGAGACGTCTCACTGTGTTGCCATGCTGGTCTTGAACTCCTGAGCTCAAGTGATCCTCCCGCCTCAGCCTCTGAAAATACTAGGATTACAATTCCTGTTTTTCTAAAACCGGTTTTTGTTTTGTTTTGTCATTAGCATGTGTGACACAAGAGGTCGACATTGAACTTAGCGTTTTCAATAGCTAAGATGAAATGTTTCTATTCATGTTGTGCTTCTGTTTCCTCATGTTTCAGGAGGAAAATAAGATTTTATTTTATCATCCAAATGAGGTAGAAAAGAATGAGAAGATTAGAAATGTCGGATTGTGTGAAGCTATTGTACAGTTTACAAGGTAATACCTCTAAGTGTGCTTTTAGCGTTCAGTGAATTCTTAAAACTGCTGCTGGAGAATTGTCCCAAACATATTTTTTTAACCTTTGTAGGACATTTAGCCCATCAAAACCTGCAAAATCTTTACATACACAGAAGAACAGACAGTTCTTCAATGAACCAGAAGAAAATTTCTGGATGGTCATGGTATTTACATACACAGTGTATCTTTCTGAAATTGTATGGTGAAGTTATGGGTGATCTTTACTGTTCAGAATTTAGGAAAGTTCTCTGGCTGTTGCATCCAAGTAAAATTAAAATAAAATTGGTTGCAATTTTAAAATCAAGTTCTTCCTATTTGCTTTATTCATTCTTGGGGCTGTTTTAAGAAGCTATGTTTCTGATGCTGTAGCATGTTCAAAGTTTTTAAATTAAGGCAAAATAAACATGGTCTAATGAATTCATTGTATAATTTCAGTTTATCAAACTTTGTAGGTTGTTCGGAATCCTATAATTGAAAAACAGAGTAAAGATGGAAAACCAGTTATTGAATATCAAGAGGAGGAGTTGTTGGTAATGTGTCATTGTTTGTTTATTTATTTATTTTTTTAAATGTATTGCTGAGTATGTTGAATGCCTTACTTGGTCGGATTTAAACTAGGAGGCTTTTGCAGAAGTTTCTCGGGGTATATAGCAAAGGTTTATGTTTATCATTTACATGAGCACAATCTTTTTAAAATGTATATGCACCCAATCTCACTAATACCTTCTACTCTTCATTTATATTGAAAGCCCTCCTAAAGTAAGGCTTACTGATTCACAAATTAGAGTTTAAACACTTCTGGCTGGGAACAGTGGCTCACACCTGTAATCCTAGTACTTTGGGAGGTCAAGGCAGGCAGATTACTTGAGGTCAGGGGTCCGAGACCAGCCTGGCCAATATGGCGGAACCCTGTCTCTACTAAAACTACAAAAACTGGCCAGGGATGGTGGCGCACACCTGTCATCCCGGCTTCTCAGGAGGCTGAGGCAGGAGAATCGCTTGAACCGGGGACGCAAATGTTGCAGTGAGCCAAGATTGTACCACTGCGCTCCAGCCTGGACAACAGAGCGAGACTCCATCTCAAAAAAAAAAAAAAAAGAACGCAAACACTTTTTTTTCAGCACGCAACTATTGTGGGACAAAGTTTATAAACATTATACTGTTTGGCCAAGAGTTAGTGTACCTTTGCCATCTATCCAGTAGACATTGTTTTTCCCTTGAACTGAGCTGTGTGCTGTGTTTTCGCGTCTGCAGGACAAGGTTTATAGCTCGGTGCTGCGGCAGTGCTACAGCATGTACAAGGTAAGCGTGGCGTTCTTTCTCAACTCAGAGTCCAGCCACTTACCCCTATCTCTAGGCTCCAGGGTTGTTTAAAGAGAAATCTGTAAATGACTGCAAAGTGACTCTGTATTTGTCTTAGAGAAGAAAATAATGAGGCCTTTGAAACAGGTAGTGAGGTTTATGCCTACATTTATTCAGTAAGTATTGAACTCCCTTCTCTTTTCTCAGCCTTATAGTAGGAATGTGTCCCCATTGATGAAAAAGTGTGTCTATGTGCTCAAGGAATGTACAGAATGCAGATAATTTTATGATTTAAAAGTTTCAGTGAGGCAGGGCACAGTGGATCACACCTGTAATTTCAGCATTCTGGGAGGCTAAGGTGGGAGGATTGCTTGAGCCCAGGAGTTCAGGACCAGTCTGGGCAATATAGCAAGAACCCATCTCTACAAAAAATTTTTATAAAAGTTAGCCAGGTATCATGGTGCATGCCTGTAGTCCCAGCTACCTGGGAGGCTGAGGTGGGAGGATCGCTCGCGCCTTGGAGGTCGAGGCTGCAGTGAACTGTGATTGCACCACTGCACTCTACCCTGGGCAACAGAGCGAGATTCCATCTCAAAAAAAAAAAAAAAAAGGATAAAAAGTTTGGTGATTCCATTTATTAACAGAACACTGAAAAATAAAAAAACAGAAATGTGGGTGATATTATGTATGTAAATTGAAACTTCAGGGTAAGTTGAAATTTTTGAAAGATGCCTAGAGCAATTAGGTGGTTTCATAAATAAGACAGCATCACTTAACAGTATTTTTTGTAACTTACATTTTTAACTCAAGTTTTCTCATGTAAATATTCTCTGTTGGAAAGAACTGGGAGATTTAATGAGCTGAATTAATAATCTAAAGGAAAAAAAGAACTTGTTATACTGAAAAAGTGAGCATAGGAAACTGATTTTTTTTCCTGCAATCTTTTACCTCACTAGCTTTTTAATGGTACATTTCTGAAAGCCATGGAAGACGGAGGCGTCAAGCTTCTGAAAGAAAGATTAGAGAAATTCTTCCATCGGGTAAGTATTTTGAATTTCATTTATAACTTTAGTAAGCATTCAGCAGGTTTTTAGAGAAATATAGACAGACAAGTTTGTTTCTTATATACAAAAAACCCAGAACTTGAAAGTGGCAAAGAGCCTGAGACAGACCGTCGCAAAACTGGAGCAGCGAGGAAACGCATGAGGCTTGTGCTCTGGAACCTTCCCTCCAGCTGTGGTGTAAGGCAGAGCTTCCTGCGTTTGCCCGGGGCTCTTAAAGGGTCCTGGAGACATCGTTTGGCCTCCCTGTGTTTTACCTGCATCTGTCCTTCTGGGCTTACTCAGCAGCCATCTTTTGTGTGATAGATTAGTTGATAAGGAAAACTTAATTATTGGAGTTGCACAATCTCAGGGATTGGTTCTGTTCACTAAACGGGCGTGAACCGTCTTGATGTAGGTAAGAGTTACTGGCCTTGACAGACTTTGTCAGATTAGCGATTGGGGAGATTTGTTCCAAGTGCTGTCCTCTTTCGTTGTAATTGAATTTTGCATGTTTCACCCTACCTTGTCAAGCTCAGTTTATCTTTTTTTTAAAAGGAAACAAAGAGACAGGGTCTTGTCTTGGTTGTTTTGCCCAGGCTGGTTTCAAGCGATCTTCCCTCCTTGGCCTCCCAAAGTGCTGGGGTTAAAGGCATGAGCCAACTCGCCCAGCCTAGTTTATCTCGAAGCAACAATTCTCAATTTATTTTCTTCTGAAAATACCTTCTGTATCTATTTTTGAATTCGACTTTCTAAAACAGCTTTCATAGCTATTTTTGAATTTTTTTGTTTCTCTGAATTACTTTTCTTTGTTTTGTCATTTTAATGACCACAGTTATCCACTCGCATATTATCTCCTGGTTTCTGTTCTTGTCCTCATTTCTCTCTTACCCATCAACATATGGATAGAACTGTTGTCCTGAGTACATATCATTTAGACATGATTTTAGTATAAGATGGCACTCTTGGCTGGGTGTGGTGGCTTACGCCTGTGATCCCACCACTTTGGGAGGCCGATGCGGGCAGATCTTGAGGTCATGAGTTCGAGACCAGCCTGGCCAACATGGTGAAACCTCATCTCTACTAAAAAATACCAAAAAACTAGCTGGGCGTGGTGGCGCACGCCTGTAATCCCAGCTATTCTGGAGGCTGAGGCAGGAGAATCGCTTGAACCCCGGAGGCGAGGTTGCAGTGAGCCGAGATCACACCGCTGCACTCCAGCCTGGGTGACAGACCAAGACTCCATCTCGGGGGGGGAAATAAAGATGGCACTCTCTGTAGTATTAATGGATAGATCCCTCATTAGGTTAGTCTAATTTGAAGAGCATTAAGGCAGGGAGTTAATTTTTTTTTTTTTTTTTTTTTGAGACAGAATCTTACTCTTGTCACCCAGGCTAGAGTGCAATGGTGTGATCTTGGCTCACTGCAACCTTAGTCTCCCAAGTTCAAGTGATTCTCCTGTCTCAGCCTCCTGAATAGTTGGGATTACAGGCTACCACGCCCGGCTAATGTTGTAATTTTATTAGAGACGGGGTTTTGTCATGTTGGCGAGGCTGGTCTCAAACTCCTGACCTCAAGTGATGTGCCCGCCTTGGCCTCCCAAAGGGCTGGGATTACAGGCGCGAGCCGCTGTGCCTGGCCAGGAATTAAAAACTTGAAAGTGCTAGCTGGGCACAGTGGCTCATGCCTGTATTCCCAGCGCTTTGGGACGCCTAGACACGAGAATCACGGAGGCCAGAAGTTCAAGACCAGCCTAGGCAACATAGCAAGACTCTGTCTATACCAAAAAAAAAAAAAAAAATTTTTGGCCAGGCGTGGTGGCTCACACCTCTAATCCCAGCACTTTGGGAGGCCGAGGCAGGCAGATCACGAGTCAGGAGATTGAGACCATCCTGGCTAACATGGTGAAACCCCATCTCTACTAAAAATGGAAAAAAATAGCTGGGCATGGTGGCAGGCGCCTGTAGTCCCAGCTGCTCAGGAGGCTGAGGCAGGAGAATGGTGTGAACCTGGAAGGCGGAGCTTGCAGTGAGCTGAGATCGCACCACTGCACTCCAGCCTGGATGACAGAGCAAGACTCTGTCACAAAAAAATAAATTTAAAGCAGTAAAACACAATACTGAATAAACATTAAGTAGATATGTTTGAACTTTGTATCTTGGAATTGGTACTGAGACTGAGTTGGCACTCAGTTACCCATGTCTTCACCACGGCCTCATTGTTGCGCTGTTTGCTAGTATGTAATTGTACCATAAATGTGAGTCTGACATAAGATTATTTTCAGTTATCAAGGAGCATTATATTCAGTGTACTATTAGTAAATTTTATGCCTTATTTTTTTTCCCACAGTATTTGCAAACGCTACATTTGCAGTCATGTGACCTACTTGACATTTTTGGTGGAATCAGCTTCTTCCCGTTGGATAAAATGACTTATTTGAAAATCCAGTCCTTTATTAATAGAATGGAGGAAAGCCTGAATATAGTCAAATACACTGCTTTTCTCTATAACGATCAGCTCATCTGGTAGGTACACCCCGAGGCATGGTATTAAAAGAAGAAATTAAGATAATAAAAACAGCAGTGACTGGATTGATGACAGGTTGTCAAACAGGAACTTGCAGCGGGGAGGATGGGTAGGAAGCATCTTCATAGATATTGTCAAAATAAAGCAGTGATTATTTAAAGCAGAACTAGGGTGATTTGGGTTCAAATTTCCAAGCAGAGGAGTTTAAAACTGGTTGCATGAAAGATGAAAGGCTGGGCACGGTGGCTCACACCTGTAATCTTAGCACTTTGGGAGGCTGAGGCGGGTGAATCACGAGGTCAGGAGTTGGAGACCAGCCTGGTCAACATAGTGAAACCCTGTCTCTACTAAAAATACAAAAAGTAGCTGGGCGTGGTGGTGCATGCCTGTAATCCCAGCTACTCAGGAGGCTGAGGCAGGAGAATCACTTGAACCCGGGAGGCGGAGGTTGCAGTGAGCCGAGATGGCACCACTGTACCCCAGCCTGGCAACAGAGAGAGACTCTGTCTCCAAAAAAAAAAAAAAAAAAAAAAAAAAGAGAAAATGTTCCTATCAAGTAAGGTTTAGGAATCCTGTTTTTATTTTGGAGTTTTTTTTTTTTTCTGAAATGATAAAAGCAGAATTTTTATACCTTTTTTTTTTTTTTTCTTTCTTATAGAGACGGGGTTTACTGTGTTGCCCAGGCTGGTCTCAAACTCCTGGCCTCAAGCGATCCACCCGCCTCAGCCTCCCAAAGTGCTGGGATTACAGGCACGAGCCACTGCACCTACTTTCTTTTAAAGAAACTAGATTTCTTTTTTTTTAATCCAAGAAATCCAAAGTGTTATATAAACCAGGAAATTACCTGCTATCGTGAAACTAGGTTTGTGTCCTGCAGTAGGAACAACGTGGGCACAAGACTGCCCAGCATATGTGACCCCTGAGAGCTGGGTGGCAACCGAGGTTGTGCACATTTGGCCTAGAGTAGGTGGACAGAAGTCATCAAGGCTTGCAGCTGTTCTGGGACCCTCAAGTTTTATGTTCCCGTTGACTAGAGCCCACTTTCTTTCTTTCTTTTTTTTTTTTTTTTTTGAGACGGAGTCTCACTCTGTTGCCAGGCTGGAGTACAGTGGCGCGATCTTGGCTCACTGCAACTTCCCCTTCCTGGGTTCAAGCGATTCTCCTGCCTCAGCCTCCCAAGTAGCTGGGATTACAGGCATATGCCACCATGCCCGGCTAATTTTTGTATTTTCAGTACAGACAAGGTTTTACCATGTTGGCCAGGCTGGTCCTAAACCCCTGACCTCAGGTGATTCCCCTGCATAGGCCTCCCAAGGTGCCTCGATTACAGGTGTGAGCCACTGCACCTGGCCTAGCCCAGTTTCTTAATTAGGGGTGTGGCCATATGGTACTACTATAAGGTAAATTCAGCTAATAGAAAAGGCAAAACTAGTTCCCCTAAAATTTACCTTCCCTGCCAAAATCTTGTAGCTCCATTTTAAGAAGAGAAACAAGTTACTGTAAAGAAATTTGAATCCAGTTAATAAACAACTTGGTGGGTTTCCACATGAACTTTATCTCCTAGGAAGACAACAGAAATTTCGGGTGAAACCCATCTACTTTTTTTTTTGTTTTTGAGATGGAGTCGCTTTCTGTTGCCCAGGCTGGAGTGCAGTGGCATGATCTTGGCTTGCTGCAACCCCTGCCTCCTGGGTTCAAGCAATTCTCCTGCCTCAGCCTCCCGAGTAGCTGGGATTACAGGTGCATACCACAACACCCAGCTAATTTTTTTGTAGAGATGGGGTTTTACCATGTTGGCCAGGCTGGTCTCGAACTCCTGACCTCAAAGGATCCGCCCACCTTGGCCTCCCAGTGCTGGGATTACAGGTGTGAGCCACTGTGCCCCGCCTCCACCTACTTTCTAATTTGACAAATAGTTTATCAGGCAACCTTACACTGTACTGACTCAGCTATAGTTGCTTTCTGTGATATGTACACAATGTTACTAAAGTGAAATTCTGCTGTGAAATGTAGGAGATGGGAGGCTAGTTGTGCTTCTGTAGCATCAGGTCTGCAGAGGGATGGCTCCTCCACAGATGGAAATGACAGGACGTGCTTGCAAGTCACACGCAGCCACAGCGATAGGGAGATGTCATGTGACAAGCCAGAATCCAGCAGTAGTGGCCCATGGCCTTGCTTCCACCAAAAAGAGAAGGGTAGCTGAGATTCTGATCTCTGGGACAGAACACAAGCCCCGCCATGGGTGCAAACTCCTGAGAGTGAGGAAGAGGGAAGGCTTAGAGCAGAGGGTCTTCCAGGAGCTCATTCTGGGAGACCCTGGAGCCAGAGTGACCAGCAGGGTTGGCCCTTTGAAGCCTGGAGTCACAGGACAATCTGGCGCCCAGCTCTGGGGATCCTGTTGGCATCGTCATCTTGGAATAGCATCTGAGGGGTTGAGCAGGGCACAGCTCTGGTGGCTGCACAGAACTGTTCTGTTGTCACCTCCAGTGTGCTCGTGGGGAAAGGTCAGTCCCAGGAAGTAGCAACAAAAATAACCTTCAAGCAAAACAGGCGCCAATGCTTACACCTGTCATCCCAGCACTTTGGGAGGCTGAGGCAGGAGGATCACTTGAGACCAGGAGTTCAAGACCAGCCTGGGCAGCATAGTGAGACTGTATCTACAAAAAATGGAAAAAAAAAAAAATAGCTGGGCATTGTGGTGTGCACTTAGAGTCCCAACTACAGAGACTACAGAGGTTGAGGCTGGAGAATCACTTGAGCCTGGAAGTTTGAGGTTGCAGTGAGCTATGATAGCACCACTGTACTCCAGCCTGGGTGACAGAGCAAGACCCTGTCTAAGAAAAAGAAAAACAGCACGTTTTGACGGAATTGCTTATTCCAAAGCTGTTATATTAAATACCAAAAAGACTTTTAAGCCAGGCGTGGTGCACATACCTATAGTCCCAGCTACTGGGGAGGAGGAGGCAGAAGGATCGCTTGAGCCAGGAGTTACTTGGAGACCAGCCTGGACAATATAATGAGGCTCTGTCTCTACCAAAAAGTGGAAAAAAAAACTTGTCACAAGCAGAGTATATATTACCCTTATGTATTTACTTAGTATATTGCTTTGATTTTTTTTTTTTGAGACTGAGTCTCATTGGCTTGGTTGCCCAGGCTAGAGTGCAGTGATGTGATCTCAGCTCACTTCAACCTGCGCCTCCCAGGTTCAAGCGATTCTCATGCCTCAGTCTCCCAAGTAGCTGGGATTAGAGGTGTGTGCTATCAGGCCTAGCAAATTTTTATATTTTTTAGTAGAGACGGTGTTTCGCCATGTTGGCCAGGCTGGTGTTGAACCCCTGACCTTAGGTGATCTGCTCACCTTGGCTTCCCCAAGTGCTGGGATTACAGGTGTGAGCTTCCGCGCCCGACCACCTTCACGGTATTTCAGTGATCTTGAATAGAAAACGCCCAGATCCAGCCTCATTGTCTGTCTCCTTTTAAAAAACCGGTTCCAGAGTCTGATACCTGCTAGTTTCTCTGTGCTTTTTCCATGTGCTGCTCCTTCCTGCCTCATTTCAGATCAGGTGGTTTGCCTGAAAGCTTGTTTTTCTCCTCCTCCTCTTTCTTCACCGAAGATCCGGAGAATTAAAATCCATGTACATTTCTGAGACCTAGGATCACGTTCCCTGTCTACAGCATACCCATATTTTCCCAGGGGACTAGGGGAGAGAATGTGGCATTACCATATAACCCAGGAAGCTAAGAGACATCTGCTCCTAAAATGAAACAGTGTGGCTTTGGAGGTTTCCTGCATAATCCTACACGGAATTCAACCAGCGAGTCCAATCCCTTGTGACTTTTTTTTTTTTTTTATCTCAAATGGCATGTAAAATACAGGACTGTAGGAGTAGCCTTTTGCAGGTCAGGATAAAGTTCCAGTGCCTGGACTCAAGTTTAACCCTTTACCTTCCTTAACTTCGCAGTCAGGTGGTGAGCCTCTTGATATAATGTTAAAGAGAAAAGCACCAGTAGTCCCAGCTACTCAGGAGGCTGAGGTGGGAGGTTCGCTTGAGCCTGGGAATCGGTGGCTGCAGCAAGCTGTGGTCACACCACTGTAATCCAGCCTGGGCGACAGACGAGACTCATCTCTTGAAAAATGAAAAAAGATGAGGCCAGGCACAGTGGCTCACATATGTAATCCCAGCACTTTAGGAGGCTGAGGCGGGAGCACTGCTTGAGTCCAGCAGTTCGAAACCAGCCTGGCAACGTAGCAAGACCCCCATCTCTACATAAAATACAAAAATTAGCTGATGGTGGCGCATGCCTGTAGTCCCAGCTAGTCTGGAGGCTGAGATGGGAGGACCGCTTGAGCCCTGGAGGCCAAGGCTGCAGTGAGCCATGATCGCACCACTGCTTCCAGCCTGGGTGACAGAGCAAGACCTTGTCTCAAAAAAAAAAAGAAAAAAAAATTTTTTTTAATAAAAAATGAGTTTTATCCAGGGCTTCAAATTCTTTGGAAAAGTTTGACAAAGTATACCACGTAAATTCAGATTTACCTCAATGCTAAGAATTATGTTTAGGAAAAAGGAAACTCATTTTGATCTCAGGTACAAAAATAGATTGCTTTGAGTTTTAAGTAGCTTTAGACTTTAAAAAGTTAGAATTTATTCTGTGTTACTAAAAATGACTTGAAAAAAAAATTTTTGTTTAATGAGCTTTATCACAGCAGTGGAAAGACAGAAGACAGTTCCAAACGTTTAACCCAGTGCTTTTCTGTTGTTGCAGGAGTGGATTAGAACAAGATGACATGAGAATTTTATACAAATACCTTACCACCTCCCTTTTTCCAAGGCACATCGAACCTGAGGTATGATGGGTACCATAGCTGCGCACAATTACATGCAGGGGCACAGAGAGGGCAGGTGGAGTGAGATGGTGGTGCATGGGGGCGTTTCTGATCGTTTCTGATGTATGTTTTGTCTTACTGTGATATTTGTGTCACTGTATATCAATTAGCACAGAAAACCACATGCAGCTCTCCTCCAGTATGTGACATTCAGATGTGATACAGAAAGCATCGTTTTGTGTGTCTGTGTGTTGGTTTTTTTGTGTGTGTTTTTGTTTGTTTGGTTTTTGAGACGGAGTCTCGAACTTTCGCCTGGGATGGAGAGGTTCAAGCAATTCTCCTTGCCTCGGCCTCCCAAGTACCTGGGATTACAGGTGCCTGCCACCACGCCCAGCTAATTTTTTTGTATTTTTAGTAGAGACAGGTTTCACTATGTTGGCCAGGCTGGTCTCGAACTCCTGACCTTGTGATCTGCCCACCTTGGCCTCCCAAAGTGCTGGGATTACAGGCGTGAGCCACCGCCCCCAGTCCACAAGCATGTTTTTAAGAGGAGTGAGTCATTGAGTAGAGGAAAATTGGATTTTACTTTACTTTTAATTTATGTATTTTATTTTATTTATTTATTTATTTATTTATTTATTTATTTATTTATTTATTGGGACAGAGTTTTGTTCTTTTCGCCCAGGCTGGAGTGCAGTAGTGCAATCTCAGCTCACTGCAACTTCCGCTTCCTGGATTCAAACAATTCTCCGGCCTCAGGCTCCCGAGTAGCTGAGATTATAGGCACCTGCCACCATGCCCGGCTAATTTTTATATTTTTAGTAGAGACGGAGTTTCACCATGTTGGCCAGGCTGGTCTCGAACTCCTGACCTCAGGTGATTGACCCGCCACAGCCTTCCAAAGTGCTGGGATTACAGGCGTGAGCTACTGCTCCTGGCCAAAAAATTGGATTTTAGATCGGGTTCTAGGAACCTTTAAAATGCCAGTGATCTTTAAAACAATCGACTTGTGTAGTCTTTTCCTCTATCAACAGGAGACCTAATTTTCAGTAGATGTTTTAGTGCCTACCCGGCTTTCCACTCTAGTACTTAATTTCCCGGTTTCCTGCAGAGAACTTTTAAATGATATCACTGTGTTCTCCCCAAAGTATTTTCAGAGCTTAACATACAAAAATCATTTTGGCTCAGTTGAACTCACTCTCTTCGCTTGTTCGTTCCCTCCCTCTTGTCCTCCTGCTTTCCAAGTTTTTTTTTAAGAGACGAGGTCTCACTTTGTTGACTCGCATGGTCTCAAACTCCTGGGCTCAAGCGGTCGTGTCACCTCAGCCTCCCAAGTAGCTGAGACTACAGGTGTGTGCCACCACACCTGGCTAATTTTTTGTAGAGATGGGATCTCGTCATGTTGCCCAGGCTATTCTCAAACTCCTGGGCTCAAGTAATCTGCCTGCCTTGGCCTCCCAAAGTGCTGGGATTATAGGCATGAGCCACCTCACCTGGCCAAAAATTTAAAAACTAGCCAGGTTTGGTCACACATGCCTCTATCAGGAGGCTGAGGTGGGAGGATTGCTTGAGCCTAGGAGTTCAAGGCTGCAGTGAGCCATGATCATGCTGCACGCATTCCAGCCTGGGCAACAGAACAAGATCCTGTCTCTAAAAGAAAAAGACAAATGGCATGGAACCAATTAGTAGATAATGCTGTTTTTCAAAGCTTGGAAAATAAATAAAAAGTCTGATAAGTCATTCTCAACATTAAATGTATTTGCAGTTAGCAGGAAGGGATTCTCCAATAAGAGCAGAAATGCCAGGAAATCTTCAACACTATGGAAGGTAGGACTTCTGTTCTTTGATTTATGATACTGGGTTTTCTTTCTTTTTTGACTCAGAGTCTGGCTCTGTTACCCAGGCTGGAGAGCAGTGGCAAGATCTCCGCTCACTGCAACCTCCGCCTCCCCGGGCTCAAGTGACTGTCATGCCTCAGCCTCCCAAGTAGCTGGAACTACAGGCATGAGCCACTATGCCTGGGTAATTCATTTTGTATTTTTAGTAGAAACAGGGTTTCATCATGTTGGCCAGGCTGGTCTTGAACTCCTGACTTCAAGTGATCCACCTGCCTTGGCCTCCCAAAGTGCTGGGATTACAGGTGTGATCCACCATGCGTGGCCTATTATCTTTTTGGTAAAGATAATATGGACATTGAAATATCTTTGTGCCATCTGATTGACAGTAATCAACAAAGGAAAGTTTGTTGTTTCCAATGAGTTAAAACTTACTTCAGCATACCCTTTTTTTTTTTTTTTTTTTTTTTTTTTTTTTTTGAGATGGAGTGTCTCTCTGTCGCTCAGGCTGGAGTGTGGAGTACAGTGGCACGATCTCAGCTCACTGCAGCCTCCATCTCCTAGGTTCAAGCAATTCCCCTGCCTCAGCCTCTTGAGTAGCTGGGATTGCAGGTGCCCACCACCACGACCAGCTAATTTTTGTAGTTTTAGTAGAGACGAGGTTTTGCCATGTTGGCCAGGCTGCCCTTGAACTCCTGACTTCAGGTGATCCACCCAGCTCAGCCTCCCAAAGTGCTGGGATTACAGGCATGAGCCACCACGCCCAGCCAGCATATTCTGATATGGTGTTTGCCAAATAGCACCTGGCATCAAAAGCAACTGGTGTGTATGAAGTGGGAGTGTGTTCTGTTTCTAGATTCCTGATTCTCCTTCACCTCGTTGAATCAAGTCATGTCTGTTCTTGCTTTTAAGATTTCTTACCGGACCCTTGAACCTCAATGATCCAGATGCAAAATGCAGATTCCCCAAAATTTTTGTAAATACAGATGACACTTATGAAGAGCTCCATTTAATCGTTTATAAGGTAACAACTGTTTTCCTTCCAGCGTTAATGATTGTGCTGAAGTGGATCTTTCTTGCATGTGTACACGAGTGCATGTGCAAACCTCTTAAATGTTTCTTGGAAAAGATATTGGAAGTTCTGATTATGGTAAAACTCAAAATGGGTGTTCTTCCAGCGTAATAAGTTTATTTTCAGCTCCTTTTAAACAGTTTTGTTATTAGTGAAAGAGGAACTGTTTAAGATTGTGATTTATAAACGTGTGAAGTCTCACGTGCTCTCAAACCAAAGGCTGTCAGAGGTTGGTGCTGCCTGTTCTCGAAATGGCTCTGGATGGGGGCCGTAGCCACGTGTCTGTGCATATGCTGCTTTTGCTCTGATTTTAAAGCTGTAGGCTTGCTAATTCCATAAGGATTGTATTTTGTTTCTGTCAGGACATGGTCTTGTAAGGATATGTACTCAGGTTGTGTTTCTAATTAAAGGCAGTTTTTGATTCAAGAAAGAAGACGGAGCATGTGCACGTGTTTCTCCTCTTTCCTGCCTGAGGCTGTGGAGAAGTTTTCATTTATAAAGGCTCAGAAATGATGCCGTGGGGGAACAGGAAGGAGCGGGATGTGTCAGGATGAGGGAGTCCTGTCCCTCTCTGGAAGGTAGACGGGACTTGTAAACCATGCCTGATAGAGGGCGGTGCCGGAGCAGGCCTGGAATATGAGTGGCAACCCTGTGCTAAGGCAAGGACCCACAGCCCTGTGGAAGCCCAGAGAGGCTCCTGACTTGGAGGAGGTCACCTGAGGAGTCAGAGTGGGGCCTGGGCCTGGAAAGGTGGGGAAGGGAAGTGAAGTGTGGCAGAGAGGCCAGTCAGCCTCCCCTTCCCCCATCCTTGCACAGACAGGCCCACAGCTGAGCATCCATCCCTGGGTGACAATCGAGGGTCTGTTTAAAGAAAGGAAACAGTCTGAAGAGACCCAGAGTGGCTAACGTGGATGTCTGCCCCTGAGAATGAGGCCCTGCTCATTCTGGCATTTCTTTCTCCCAGACAGAACTGAGACCTTCATCCTACACTCAGAGTGAAGCCTCCATCTCTGGTCAGCCTTCTGGTTCCCTCATTGTTAAATATGGCTGCAAAAACAAAACTAGAGGTCTCGAAAGAAACATGATTCCGAGGACAGACAAGAACTTTAAAAATTAGTATCCACTAATTAGAAGAGTTGTATCTATTAATATAAAATTGAAATGGGCCAGGTGCAGTCCCAGCACTTTGGGAGGCCAAGGTGGGAGGATCACTTGAGGCCAGGAGTTGGAGGCCAGCCTGGGCAACATAGTAAGACCCTGTGTCGACAGGAAAATGTTTAAAAATTAGCCAGGCATGGCAGTGCTCATGTGTAGTCCCAGCTACTCAGGAGGCTGAGGCAGGAGAACCGCTTGAGCCCAAGAGTTGGAGGCTGCAATGAGCTATGATCACACCACTGCATTCTAGCCTGGGTGACAGAGTGAAACCCTCTCAAAAATAATGAAACTGGTATCAACAGTTTCATATCCAGCACCAGACATTATGTGACAGTGGAAGAGAGACTTTCAAAGTTCTGAGAGAAAATGAATTTGAGCGTAGAGTTCTTTGCCATGCCAAGCTGTCAACCACAGATAAGACAAAAGAAAGACATTAGCCAGGGCATGGTGGCTCATGCCTATATCCCAACACTTTGGGAGGCCAAGGTGGGCGGATCACCTGAGGTCTGGAGTTCGAGACCAGCCTGGCCAACATGGGGAAACCCTGTCTCTACTAAAAATACAAAAAATCAGCCAGGCGAGGTGGCACACGCCTCTAATCCCAGCTACTCCGGAGGCTGAGGCAGGAGAATCACTTGTACCCGCGAGGCGGAGGTTGCAGTGAGCTGAGCTTACGCCACTGTGCTCCAGTCTGGGCAACAGAGCAAGACTCTGTCTCAGAAAGAAAAAAAAAACACGTTCAACATGAAAAGCCTCAAAAAGTTTACCGTCATGCACCTTTCCTGAGGGTGTTACACAGGGTCATCCGTCAGCAGAATAAGTGAGCACACCAAGAAGGAACACTTGGGAATCCAGAACAGTAGTTCTCATGTGTGAGACGGTACAAGGAAATCTTGGGGTGATAAGGCTCTTCAGGTCTGCTGGCGGCACCCCACCTCCAGCAGCTCCGTGACAGCAGGAGGAGGGAGGGCTCTAGGGTTCAAGCCGCCAAGATAAAAAGATGTTTCATTCATCACATGGTGTGCTTGAGAGTCACTTAAAGTTGGGCTGTGACAGACTGGCAGGGAAGGGGAGATTGCAGGAAGAGCATACAGAAAGATGTGGTCTGAAAAAGCAAACCAAAATGTTGGAGGTGTAATTCAGAGCAGGAATTGGAGTAGGAAGAATGTCCGTTTGTGTATCGAGTGAAAGTTTGAGACCCCATCTCAAGAAAAAAATCATCCTCCTTTGAATGACCCAGGTAATGGCTGAAATCTCCATAACCCTGGTGTGTAATATGCTGTCGGCTGCATTTCTATTTTTAGAGTCAATCTACAGACATATTGTGGGGTGTGATGATGGGATTGTGGCTATGTTAAAGGGTCCTTACCTTTTTCTTAATGACTTTGAGATACAATGCACGTACCATACAACTCACCCTCGTACACTTAAAATGTACAGTTCAGTGATTTCTAGTTGCAAAGTTCATGAGTCTCCAAGACCATCCTCACTTCTGACACCCACTGCGAGTTTGGGAGTCCCCGTGACCACCTTTAGGGTAAGAGTTCTCTAGAAGTACTACAGGACTCAGAAAAGGCTTTCTACAGCAGTACCCCCGAGCCAAAGGCCATGTGTTCCAAAACCCCCGGGAGGTGCCTGAAACCGGGGACAGTACCAAACCCTTCACTTGCTGTGTTTTTTCCTGTACATACATGCCTGTGATAATGTTTATAAATTCAGTACAGTAAGCGATTAATAAGGCTGGGCGCAGTGGCTCACACCTGTAATCCCAGCACTTTGGGAGGCCGAGGCAGGCAGATCACTTGAGGCCAGGAACTTGAGACCAGCCTGGCCAGTGTGGTGAAACCCTGCCTCTACTATAGATAGAAAAATTAGCCAGGCATGGTGGCATGCACATGTAATCCAAGTTACTCAGGAGGCTGAGTCAGGAGAATCTCTTGAACTTGGGAGGCGGAGGTTGCAGTGAGCCAAGATCGTGCCACTGCACTCCAGCCTGGACAAGAGTGAGACCCCATCTCAAAACAAGTAATAGTAATCATAATTGGACGATGACACTCTACTGCAATAAAAGTCATGTGAATGCGGTTTGCTTCCCCCTTCCCTCAATATTTTATTATACTGTCCCTCACATAACAGAAACCATGGGAAACAAAACCAGGGGGAAGGAAGAATGGCGGCACTCACAGCTGCGGTTTATTACAGTGGAAGAATACAGGTTAAAATCAGCCCGGGGAAGAGGCGTGTGGGGCAGGGCGCAGGAGCCACCAATGGAAGGACCAGGAGTCCTTCTATTTGCTTTAGGTTGGTTTGGGTTGGTTTGGTTTTTTGGGTTTTTGTTTTGTTTTTTGTTTTTTTTTTTTTTGGTTTTTTGGTTTTTGAGATGGAGTCCCACTCTGGTGTGAGCTTCCGGCTGTCCTCTCCCGTTGGGGTCATGTGGACAGCCCAGTGAGTGTTTCCCCATCGAGGATGTGTGGCTGTCTCTATGGAGTGTTGACATCCAGGGAAGCTCACCTGAGCCTCGAGATCCAGAGATTTGATTGGGGGTTGGCCACAGAGACACAGCTGGCCCCACATGGCCAGCCTTAGTCTCCAGCCCTCCAGAGGTGGAGCGGGTGCTGTGCGGGCTTGGGTGTAAGGGATATTGGCCTGTAGTTTTGTTTTCTTGTGATATCTTTGGGCAATGCTGGCTTGATAAAATGTGTTGGGAAATGTTCCCTCCTATTTTTTTGGAAGACAGTGAAAAATTGGTGTTAATTCCTCTTTACATGTTTCATAGAATTCACAGTCAAGCTCTCTGCACCTGGGCTTTTCTTTGTGGCAAATTTTAAAGTTAACCATTTATGCCCAGTGTTCCATTATTGGAACACTAAGCTTGTGAGAGTTATTTATATCCTGCTGAAGGTCATTGCCAAGGTCTCATTTTTCACAAAAAAGATTTACAACCTCCAGCATAAATGGGTTAATCTCTGTACTTGTTACAGGTTTATTTTGATTTTGTTTCTTCTTGAGTCAGCTTTGGTAGTTTGTGTCTTTCTAGGAATTTGTCAGCTTCAATTAATTTATTTGATTTGTCGGCACGTGGTTTTTCATGGTATTGTAGGTAAAGCCGGATACTCCTTCGTTTTTCCTGTAAAGTCAGTAGTGATGTCTCCTCTTTCATTCCTGGTTTTAGTAATTTGAGTCTTCTCTCTTTGTTCCTTGTTGTATAGTCTAGCTAAAGGTTCTTCATACTTCTGGAATCTTCACAAGAAAAAGGAAAAGTTTTTCAATGTTGGGTCTTTTCAGAGAACAACTTTTGGTTTCATTTATTATCTCTGTGATTTTTCTCTGTTGAGTTTGTTTCTGCTCTCATGCTTTATTATTTCCTTCCATTTGCTTTAGGTTTGTTTGGGTTTTTTTGTTTTTGTTTTTGTTTTTTTTGAGACGGAGTCCTGCTCTGTCACCCAGGCTGGAGTGCAGTGGCACAGTCTCAGCTCACTGCAACCTCTGCCTCCCAGGTTCACATGATTCTCTTGCCGCAGCCTCCTGAGTAGCTGGGATTATAGGCGCACCACCACGCCCGGCTAATTTTTTTGTACTTTTAGTAGAGATGGGGTTTTGCCATGTTAGCCAGGCTGGTCTCAAACTCCTGACCTCAGGTGATCCGCCCACCTCGGCCTCCCAAAGTGCTGGGCTTACAGGTATGAGCCACCACACCCGGCCCCACTTGCTTTAGGTTTAGTTGACTCCTGTTGTCCAGGATCTTAAGACGAAAGGTCAGGTCACTGATTTGAGATCTTTCTTCTCTTGAGACAGGATTTCGCTCTCGGAAGTGGGAAGAGGTACTGGGGCAGGTGGGAATGTGAGTTCAGGAGCGGAGGCTGTGGCTGGTGGAAGGCGGCCAGCGGAGGAAATAGAATGCTATAAACCATAGAGGAGGAGGGGGAAGGCAGACGAGGGGTCACACCTGTCATGACATGAGCAGGAAGTCAGTACGATGCCCAAAGAGGATACGTTGAAGAGTTAGGATAACGCTGTTGTCTAATGACAGTGTAAAGTGGTTGCCGGGGAGGAGGGTCAGAGAACGAAATCTGTGGCTTTCATCATCAGGCCTGGTGTTCTGCTCAGCCTCTCTTAACCATACATTGCTTTGATAACTTTTAAACATTTTTGGTTATCTGTGGTCCTGGTTGTTGTCGGTTGCTAGGTCTAATGTCATAACTGTAATTACTTGCTATAATAAAGTGAGACAGGATGATATCCATTTGCTGTCTTTGTAAACGTGTGTCAATGGAAATCGTCACAGAATAATGGACAGTTTCTGCCAATTCTCTATTCTCTCTGGACTATACACAGAGAGACTAGAACAGTGAACCCCTAAGTCCCCATCACACAAGTGAATAAGATTCTGGTCTTCGTTGCTTCTCCATGTTGTGTTGTCGGGTTTGCAAGAGCATTTTAAGTCATCACGTCAGTCACGAACACTTCCCTGTGCCTCTCTGATGAGGACATCCGTGGTAACCTCCCCACTGGCGCTGTCACACCTGACAAGGTCAACAGCACTCCCCTCGCATCATGGAATGGGCAGTCTGTGTCCAGATGGCTCTAGTTGACCAAAAAGCAGCTTCTTACAGTTGACTTCTCCCCATTGACTTTGAACAGATTGTTATTATACGAAAGTCTCCTTTTTTCCACCATTTCATAACCTCTGGTTTGTTCTGTCTTCCCAGGCCATGAGTGCGGCTGTGTGCTTTATGATCGACGGTGGGTACGCGCCTTTGTCTGATTTCAGCCTAAGCTTTTTGTACTTTGCTGCATCCTATTCTTAAGTGATAAATATGTTTTGGGGGTTTCGGTTGTTTGGGCTTTTTTTGTTGGAGACGGGGTTTCACTCTTGGAGTGCAGTGGCATGATCATAGCTCACTGTAGCCTCGACCTCCTGGGTTCAAGTGATCTTCCCACCTTGGCCTCCTAAGTCGCTGGGACTGCCAGTACACACCGCCGGACCCAGCTAATGTTTTTGTGGTTGTTTGTTTAGACAGGGTCTCACTATGTTGCCCGGGCTAGTGTCAAACTCCTGGGCTCAAGCGATCCACCCATCTTAGCCTCCCAAAGTGCTGGGATTTCGGGCGTGAGCCCCCACACCCAGCCCATTAAATGATAAATGTGTTGTCATAAGCAATATAGAGGCATAGAGAGGAGCCCTGTTCCCCATCTGGGACCCCCCTGTCTCCTTAACTAGCCAGTGCTCATATTTTTTAAGTCCTAGTTTTCCCGCTAGTCAGCAGTAGAGTGTGGGCATCTTTCTGTGTCCCACCGACTGCGAGCTGGAGACAGCAGTGGTACCTCTCTCGGGGGGGTTCTGAGGATCGAATGAGGTCATGTCTGTGAAGCACCTGGCCCATGAGTGCTACGTAATGTTTGTTAAATAAACATACGACCTTCTGAGGTCTTTCTGGGGTAGGCAACCGTTTACCACCCTACAGGGTGTGCCTCGGTCAGCTTTTCACGGTGAGATAGGTCTTCGCCCTTTTTTCATCTGAAATGTAACCGGTTTTCTATCTTCTGTTTCTCTTCTATTTGAGGAGCAGAAGGGGGCCTGAGCATTCATTGTTTGTTTTCCCAGACCAGTGAAGTTTTCGTTTGAATACTGTTGTTCAGCGTCGCACAGTAAAATGAATCTTACTGGTATTTTTTGTCATGACTTGCCAGCCTCTGTCCACCCAACGTTGGATTTTTGCCGAAGACTGGACAGCATCGTTGGGCCCCAGCTCACAGTGCTGGCCTCTGACATCTGTGAACAGTTTAACATCAACAAGAGGATGTCCGGGTTTGTACTTTGCTTTCGGTTCACTTTCAGGCATTGAACGGCTTTTGAAATACACGTAGTTTTCACTTACAAATACGGGTGGTATTAACAGTCCTGTGTTCTCGTGGACTGTAGAGGATGGTGCTACGTGCCATTCAGGCCTCTGTCTGAAAGGGTCCCGGGGACAGTCACCCTGAGTGTTTCTGCCCCACGCTGGCAGCTGGGGCTGGGCCTTCTGGTAAATACCTTCCCTCAGCTCCCCCCGAATGGAACGTCCCATTTCACCAGCCCAGATTGTTACGTTCACTTGGACAGTAGTCATCGGCGTGGTCTTGGTGTGCACAGACTGAAAGCATTTTGCCTCTCGTTGTGTGAAAATGTGTAGGGGAAACTGGCTGGGATGTGGGGCACTGGGCCTGGGTACTCAGTCTGGCAGCCTGAAGTGTCTACACTGAGTGGGAGAGGCGGGATTCACTCCTCCGGCTCTCTAGACACTGAAATGTCCTTGAATTCTTTCTCCCTGGCTTTTTTTTTTTTTTTTTGAGACAAATTCCCACTCTGTCGCCCAGGCTGGAGTGTGCAGTGGCTTGATCTTGGCTCACTGCAGCCTCCGCCTCCCAGGCTCAAGCGATTCTCATGCCTCATCCTCTTGAGTAGCTGGGATTACAGGCGTGCACCACCATGCCCGGCTCCTTTTTGTATTTTTAGTAGAGACGGGGTTTCACCATGTTGGCCAGATTGGTCTTGAACTCCTGACCTCAAGTGATCCACCTGCCTCAGCCTCCCAAAGTGCTGGGATTACAGGTGTGAGCTACCGCACCCGGCCATGCTTATCTTTTCTCAATATAAAATAGTTATTATAAAGTGAAAGTGAGGCGATGGAAAGCACTTTGCGAAGTTGAAGTCCTGCTTTTAAATGGGCTCTCTACACATTTGAGAAGTTACTAAAAGGCTGTGAATTTCTGCATACGCTCATGGTCTTAATGTTCATACGTTGTTTTTTGGGTTTTTTTTTTTTTTTTTTTTAAGACAGAGTCTCAGTTGCCCAGGCTGGAGTGTGCAATGGTCTGTTCTCAGCTCACTGCAACCTCCGCCTCCCAGGTTCAAGCGATTCTCCTGCCTCAGCCTCCTGAGTAGCTGGGTGCCATCATGCCTGGCTAATTTTTGTAGAGACTGGGTTTTACCATGTTGGTCAGACTGGTCTCGAACTCCTGACCTCGTGATCCACCCACTTCGGCCTCCCAAAGTGCTGGGATGACAGGCGTGAGCCACCGCGCCCGGCCCATATGTTATTTCTGCATGGTCTTGTATAACCGTGGGCCTCTAAGAGCGCAGAAGCGAGCAAAGGTGAAAGCACCTCTAGGTTTTGTACAACAGTGTGTGGATTACTGCTGTCAACAGCTTACATCTTTGTTGCTTTTTGTTTTTATTTTTTGAGACAGAGTTTCACTCTTTCACCCAGGCTGGAGTGCAGTGGCATGATCTCAGCTCACTGCAACCTCCAGCCCCTGAGTTCATTCAAGCAATTCTCCTGCCTCAGCCTCCCGAGTAGCTGGGACTCCAGGCGTGTGCCACCACACTCAGCTAATAATTTTTGTATTTTTAGTAGAGACAGGGTTTTGCCATGTTGGCCAGGCTGGTCTTGAACTCCTGACCTCAGGTGATCCACCCACCTCGGCCTTCCAAAGTGCTAGCATTACAGGCATGAGCCACCATGCCCAGCCAACAGCTTATATCTTGACAGTGCTGCTGAATCATTGAATCCTTTGGCCGTGAAAATACCAGGTTTTCCTTTGTGAAGGAGGCAAAAGTGAGTTAAATCGGTTTGGATCATGCAGGTTATCAACTAACAGATGGAAAGTGACAAAGTGTAGTGACCATAGAGAACGTGTCACCTGTTTTGTTTTTTTGTGGGTTTGTTTTTGGAGACAGGGTCTCCTGCTGTCGCCCAGGCTGGAGTGCAGTGGTGCAATCATGGCTCACTGCAGCCTTGACCTCCCAGGCTGTAAGTGATCCTCCTACCTCAGCCTCCCCGGGAGCTAGGACTACAGGTGTGTGCCACCACGCCTGGCTAATTTTTGTATTTTTGGTAGAGGCGGGGTTTCGCCATGTGGCCTAGGCTGATCTCGAACTCCTGACCTCAAGTGATTTGCCTGCCTCAGCCTCCCAAAGTGCTGGGATTATAGGCGTGAGCCACTGCTCCTGGCCTCACAGAGTGTTTTGAGGATAGAAGCTTACACCCGATTTAAGTTCCTTGTCTACCCAGACAACTAAATTTACAACTCTTTCCAAACAGTTTTTCTTGTCATTATACTTTCCTTAACCTTAGGGAACTATGAAAACAAATTCTGGTTTTATAAGAAGTTTCTTTACATGTTCCTGGAAACTCAATCCTCCACGTTCTTTCTTTGCCTGGACGTAGAGTATTTCATGAGTACCCCATTGGTCCGGAGGTCGGATTTCTGGTACCCCCAGCCCTCCAGAACGTGGCTGCTAACCCTGAAGCAAGCAGAGGAGGCCTCTGAGCCCAGGGGCGGGGCTGTGCTCAGGCCCCATCCAGGCCCCAGGGTGGACACTGAGGGTGCAGGGAGGGGAGGGGAGGGGCCCCAGGAGCAGTGAGGCCCAGCTTTTCCCACTAGGTCCCCGAGGAGGTCACAGACTCTGACCTGGGAGGCAGCGTCGTAGCACTGCCTAGTCAGTTTAAGAAATAAAAAGGTACATCCCATTTAAAATGTTCATCAGACTGCAGTGGAAAAGGCGACTGCGTTTTACAGTGATGTCCACTGGGGATGATATGAGGGAAAGCTTCGTTACATAGTGTCGTAGGCTTCCCTCATGAGGCAGGTTAATTTCCACGGGACACTCATTCCCCGCACTGTGGGAGGAACGAGGTGTTACTCTCCTCAAGCAGGGGTCAGCAGACTTTTACGGTAAAGGACCCAATAATAAGTATCTCAGATGTCACGGGCTGTATGTAGATACGTGTTAAAACTACTCAACTGTCATTTTGGTGGGAAAGCAGACAGACAACACATGAACATGTGGCAATGGCGAGGTTCCCGTGAAACTTTGTTTAGAAAAAGAGGGCCAGGGCCGGGCGCGGGGGCTCACGCCTGTAATCCCTGCACTTTGGGAGGCCAAGGCGGGTGGATCACAAGGTCAGGAGATCGAGACCATCCTGGCCAACATGGTGAAACCCCGTCTCTACTAAAAATACAAAAATTAGCTGGGCGTGGTGGCGGGCGCCTGTAATCCCAGCTACTCAGGAGGCTGAGGCAGGAGAATCGCTTGAACCAGGGAGGCGGAGGTTGCAGTGAGCCGAGATCGTGTCACTGCACTCCAGCCTGGGCGACAGTAAGACTCCATCTCAAAAAAATTTTAAAAGAAGAATCTAGTTGTATCCGGCCCGAGTGCTACTGTCTTCGTGACATGTTTTCACAGGTCTGAGAAAGAACCCCAGTTTAAGTTTATCTACTTCAACCACATGAATCTCGCCGAGAAGAGCACAGTTCACATGAGGAAAACGCCCAGCGTGTCGCTCACTTCCGTGCACCCGGATTTAATGAAGATTCTCGGTGACATCAACAGTGACTTTACCAGGTGATTCCAGCCACTTCTCCAATCAGGCGTCCCCTTTCTAAGACGAGAAAAGACACAGAAAATCCCTTCAAGCCCTTTCCATGGGGTTCAAGCGTGAACCACCTTCATGGGCGCCGCTTCCAAACAGACCCGGGAGCCCTGAAGTCACCGGTTCCCTCGCGCGGCACTCCCTGAGCCTTTTAAATGCCACGTGCGCCCGTTCCATTTCCTGTTCTTGGTTTGGAACGCTTATTCTCACAGTCTGGCCGTATGAGTAACGAACGATTGCATTTTGACCCTCGTCTTGCAGAGTGGATGAAGATGAGGAGATCATTGTGAAGGCCATGAGTGATTACTGGGTTGTTGGAAAGAAGTCTGATCGGCGGGAGCTCTATGTTATTTTGAATCAAAAAAATGCAAACCTGATTGAAGTAAATGGTAAGTAGGATTTGGTATTTCAGGAGAATTTGAGAAGTTGTCTTTTCATTGCATTAAGAAACATGGTTAAAAAATAGGTAAATAGAACAAATCATGACTGTTGAGATTCTAAGCAGGTGCCTCTGCTCCACATTTGATCCATTTTCTGTTCCTTGGAAAACTATGACAAGACCTTCCTGTAGCACAGGAAACTTGGCAATGGCAGAAAGAAAATTATTTTCTACAATTCTAAAAAAAAAAAAAAAATGACTTTATATTAAGAAATGTCCCCCTTTTTTTGGAGACAGGTTCTCACTTTGTCACACAGGCTGGAGTGCAGTGGTGCAATCATAGCTCACCACAGCCCCCAACTCCTAGGATCAAGCAGTCCTCCCACCTCAGCCTCTAGAGTAGCTGAGACCACAGGCATGTATCACCAAGGCATGTGTCACCAGACCCAGCTAATTTCTTTTTTTTTTTTTGAAACAGAGTCTTGCTCTGTCGCACAGGCTGGGCTCAAACTCCAGGCCTCAAGTGATCCTCTGGCCTCCCAAAGAGCTGGGATTACAGGCGTGAGCCACCTTGCCCAGCCCAAAATGTCCTTTTTTAATATCCTGTGATAAAAACATATCTTTTGTAGGGAGAAGCTGCCGGGTTCACGTAGCCGTTTACAAGTATCCCTCTGTACACAGGCAGAAGGAGGCAGACATTTTCTCCTGCCTTCCCGCCAAAGCGGCCAGCCTTGCCCACTGCACGGGGTGACCCGGCAGCTGCGGTGCTGATAGCTCGGCTGCCCTGGAGAGAGGGGACCTCACCTCGGCAGAGCTGCCCCCTTGGGAGATGCCCCACGTGTACACTGTGTGGAAATTCAGTGTAAGCGTTTTTTTCCCCTTGTATCTTGGGCATACTACATTTTTCTCTTTATTAGTAATACCTGTGTTAGTCATTGTGCGCACTAGAAACATCAGTTAATGCAAGCCTGATCTAAACTGTGAATGTGGTAAGATCAAAATCCTGACCCCTCTGCGGAGCACTTGGTCTGCAGCTCAAGGTTGCTGTCCGTTTCTTTGTTGTTCCATTAGTTGTCCCAGGATGACAACCTTGTGCTTGGTGTGTGTCACCAGCCTTGTGCTTCTAACCCCCTCCCCTGGGTGTCCCGGGCACTTTGCAGTTTCTCAGGCCCCGGGCAGCAGTGTTGATAGGCTCAAAACTCCTGAGGCCTGGTAGGTTTTGTAGGTGGATTTTTTCCCCTCTTCTACTTGTTAACATTTCTTGGCTGGGCACAGTGGTTCATGCCTGTAATCCCAGCACTTTGGGAGACCAAGGTGGGCGGATCACTTGAGGTTAGGAGTTCGAGACCAGCCTGGCCAACATGGCGAAACCCTGTCTCTACCAAAAAATACAAACATTAGCAGGGCGTGGTGGTGTGCACCTGTAGTCCCAGCTACTTGGGAGGCAGAGGCTGCAGTGAGCCAAGATCACACCACTACACTCCAGCCTGGGTGACAGAGCAAGACTCTGTCTCAAACAAAAAAAAAAAAAAAAAATTCTTGCCTAGTCTTCTGGGATTTAAGGTCAAAATCAATGCAAATCTCTCTTCCTAATTTTACCCAAGAAGAATTTAATTATATATCATGTAACCTTTTAAGTGACTGCCTCTTCCTTCCTCACTGTTGTGTCCTTGTTGCAGAAGAGGTCAAGAAACTTTGTGCAACGCAGTTCAACAACATCTTCTTCTTGGATTGACGGATGACGGCTCACCGAGAGCATATCTAAAAAACACTCTGCAAACATTTGGTCACATGCAAGTTAGTGGTCATATGACGGACTGCATTCAGGACAAGGGTAAAGCAATACTTGCTTTGAAGAATCACATTTCGACTCGGTCTGCTGATCTGAGGTTTTTAGATTTTAAATATTTATGTGGAATTAATTAAAGGTAGTTGGCTATATCGCTATCATTTCATTCTTTTGACATTATGTGAATATTTTACTGGAAAATAAGACTAATAAATTGTTAAAAGTTTTTAAAATTCTGGTTTGGTGTTGAGTCTCTCTCCTGCTGCCTATTTATAGATTACACTGGCCACCAGCTCCGTGACCCAGGCTGGAATGCAATGGCTCACTGCAGCCTCAACCTCCTGAGCTCAAGCAATCCTCCCACCTCAGCCTCCCAAGAAGCTAGAACCACATGTACACACCACCACGGTCGGCTGATGTTTTAATTTTGCAGAGATGGGGGGGTCTCACTATGTTGCCCAGGCTGGTCTCGAACTCCCGTAATCCAGCCATGTAGGAAACCTGAGATGCAGTGGGCCAAGGGGTATGTTAAAACACTGTGACGAGTTCAGTGCTAAGAACTGTAATGCTCAGGAAATCTTACAGCACGTGCCATCCTAAGCCTGTGTGTGTGTCCTCGTGTCTCTCTACTTTTTCTTCTTCTTGCTGGTGATGGTCTTGCTGGATGGGGACACGGTCACATCCTCCTTGGGAGGGTCCAGTATGAGGTGAGAGGATGACACGTCTGCCGGCTCCTTGAGCACTGTGATGTCCACCTCATAGTCATGTCTCTTGGCCTCTTCCTCTCTCAAGATGAAGATGTTCAGCCTAAAAGCAAACATGAGAAGGTGGTAGCTTTTTTTATCCCCCTCCAAACTGCAAAACCAGTTTTAGGCTATTTATAGTATACAGCCCTTCATACCTGCATTTCAACAGCATGTGTAAACAAAACTGTAAGTTGCTACACTCTGCCTGAAATAACTGATGCCATGTCGACACAGTCCAAAATAAACTTCTCATCTATCTATGAAAAGAAAATTTTTTCTCGAGACAGACAGAGTTTCGCTCTTGTTGCCCAGGCTGGAGTGCAATGGTGCAATCTCGGCTCACTGTAACTTCCGCCTCCCGAGTTCAAGCGATTCTCCTGCCTCAGCCTCCTGAATAGCTGGGATTATAGGCTTCCGCTACCACGCCCGGCTAATATTTTGTATTTTTAGTAGAGATGGGTTTCACCAGGTTGGCCAGGCTGGTCTCAAACTCCTGACCTCAGGTGATCCACCCACCTCGGCCTCCCAAAGTTACGTGTGTGTGTGTGTGTGTGTGTGTATTATGTGTGTGTGTGTGTGTATATGTGTGTGTGTGTGTGTGTGTGTGTGTATTTTTTTTTTTGAGATAGGGTCTTACTGTGTTGCCCAGGCTGGAGTGCAGTGGCACAAACAAATCACTGCAGCCTCAACCTCCCAGGCTCAAGCAATCCTCCTGCCTCAGTCTCCAAAGTAGCTGGGACTACAGGCGCCTGCCACCACATCTGGCTAAATTTTTGTATTTTTTGTAGAGATGAGGTCTTGCTGTATTAACCTAGGCTGGTCTCAAACTCAAGTGATTCTCCTGCCTTGGCACCCCAAAGTGCTGGGGTTACCGGCATGTGCCATGATGCCCAGCCCATTTGGGGACTTTATGGAGGGTCCAATATGTAGACCTGATTAAGTCACTGGCTATTAGTTATTGAACTCAATCTCCAGCCCCTCTCCCTTCCTGGGAGGTTGGGCTGGAGCTGAAAGTCCCAACCTTCTAATCTTGTGGTTGGTTTCCTGGCAACCAGCTCCAGCGAGAAGCTATCGAGGGCCCCTCCCCTGGCTACCAGTCATCTCAATATAGTCATTACCCCAAAGAGTCCACAGGTTTTGAACTCTTGGGTCAAGAAATAGAAAATAGCTGCATGCAGTGACTCACCCCTGTGACCCCAGCACTTTGGGAGGCCAAAGCTGGCAGATCACTTGAGGTCAGGAGTTCGAGACCAGCCTGGACAACCTGGTGAAACCTCGTCTCTACTAAAAATACAAAAATTAGCCAGGCGTGGTGGTGCATGCTTCTAATCCCAGCTGCTCGGGAGGCTGAGGCAAGAGAATCGCTTGAACCCGGGAGGCGGAGGTTGCAGTGAGCTGAGATCATACCACCCCACTCTAGCCTGGGTGACAGTGAGACCCTGTCTAAAAACAAAAAATAAAACTAGAAACTAAGACCAAATATTAGAACAAAAGATGCTCCCATTATCCCATTACTCAGGAAGTTACAAAGGCTTCAGGTGTTCTGCCAGGAACAGAGACCAAATATTCATTCCTTTTTATGTCAACGACGCCCATAGGAAATTACGGCTTGTCCGGAAAGCACTTGGTCCTGATGCGTTCTGGCAGCTACGGAAGACAGGAAGAGAGAGAGCAGCTGGGGAAGGAGAGGAGGGACCTCGTAAGTTACCTTGCTTCCAGTTCGTCATCTTCCATCTTCCGCTGCTGGGCCTGTGCTGTGCTACGTAACCTGTCTGCCCTTATTTTCTCCTTGATAGCTTCTTCACGTTTATACGCATGAAAGAGCGTGTTCACAAAGAAGACGTACATATTATTGACCCACGTGTTGAACTCTTCCTCTCGATCATCCTTGGGTCTCTCATATTTCTCTGGAATAGAGTTTCATGAAGCTGAACATGAATACAATCCTGCTGTCAATTGGGGGTCTGCGTGCTTTTTCTCGTTCTAGCCTCCCTGGGGTGGGCCCCCTTCTCCTCGGCCAGGAGAGGGGAGAGGAGTAAGGACGCTGCTTCCATGACCACCTGGAACAAGGCAGGGGCTCAGCAGACCCTGGCTGGGATTGTCAGCCTTCCCTTTGAGTTTCCTGCTACCTCGTTTTTTCTTTTTTGTTTTTTTTTTTTTTGGAGACAGAATCTCACTCTGTCACCCAGGCTGGAGTGCAGTGGCGTGATCTCTGCTCACTGCAACCTCCACCTCCTGGGTTCAAGCGATTCTCATGCCTCAGCCTCCCGAGTAGCTACAGGCGTGCGCCATCACACTCGGCTAATTTTTGTATTTTTAGTAGAGATGAGGTTTCACCATGTTGGCCAGGCTGGTCTCGAACTCTTAACCTCACGTGATCCACCCACCTCGGCCTCCCAAAGTGCTGGGATTACAGGCATGAGCCACTGTGCCCAGCCACCTCTTTTTTTTCTATCTTAAGAATTTGGGTTTTCTGATACTTTAATTTTCCATGTTTCAAGAATAAAAAAACTCGTTTCTCTTGCTTTTTTCTTTTTTTTTTAAAGACAAGCTCTCTATGGCCCAGGCTGGAGTGCAGTGGCATGACCATGGCTCACTGAAGCCTGGAGGAACTCCTGGGCTCAAGTGATCCTCCTATCTCAGCCTCCCTAATAGCTGAGAATACAGGCATGTACCACCACACGAGGCTAATTGTTTTAAGTATTACTGTGAGGCAAGATCTTGCTCTGTCATCCAGGCTGGAGTGCAGTGGTACCATCATGGCTCACTGCAGCCTCCAACTCCTGGGCTCAAATGATCCTCCCACCTCAGCCTCCCAAGTAGCTGGGACCACAGGCGGGTGCCACCACACCCAGCTAATTATTATAGAGACAAGGTTTCGCTATGTTGCCCATGGTCTCAAACTCCTGAGCTCTAGTAATCCTCCCATCTCGGCCTCCCAAAGTGCTGGGATTACAGGCATGAGCCTCTGCACCCGGCCTAGGTCTTGGGGACAAAATATTCGAAAGCTTTTATTTATTCAGAGTTTGAAACCCCTTTAGAGACAAGGATAGCTGTGTATCCCAAGTGAATCCTCTCTCCTAGAGAACTAGACAACGGGTTACTCTCACAAAAGTAATTTCCTAGTAGTTATAGTTATCCCTCTCTATCTTTCTTGTCTAGGCTAAAGAATCTCTAAATCTTAAACTACCGTAATTTTTTCCATCTTTTTAAGCAATTCTGGTTATCTATTCACTTGGAAGATTTTAAAATTCAGAGAATCAAATTATACGCAATCCAGGACTCTAAGGTCAGAACAAGACTGAATGTGAAGGAAGATTCCTTTTTGTTGGTTGGAGACAGGGTCTTGCTCTGGCACCCAGGCTGGAGTGCAGTGGTGCAATCACAGCTCACTGCAGCCTCGAGCTCCTGGGCTTAAGCAGTCATCCTGCCTCAGCCTCCCAAGTTGCTGGGACTACAGGAGTGTGCCACCATACCCGGTGAATTTTGATATTTTTTTTGTAGAGACGGGCTCGCTATGTTGCCGAGGCTGGTCTCAGACTCCTGGGCACAAGTGATCCTCCTGCCTTGGCCTCCCACAGTTCTGGGGTTACGGCTGTGAGCCACTGCACCTGGCTGCAAGATTGTCTTATGTTCATTCATGAACTCTCAACTAGACACCCACAAGCTGGAGGACAGTAAGTCACGGCTGCCACATGCAGTAATCAGACGAAATGGTACTGGAAGAGATGCCACGTGGGTCAAGGGGATCCTTGACAAGACACAGGGCAGGAGCCACAGGACTGGTGACTGGCACACGGGACTTAAAGGAACAACCAGAGAAATCCAGGACAAAATCCAGTTGGAGCTGGGACTAGAGATCACTTCCCTGCTAATCAGATCAGCAGGAAAACACATTAGCTGGGGTTCCATTTTCAGTTCTATTTCTGTTACAGGAACTGTGCGTCTTGATTACGGCACCGCAGGAATGCCCTGTCTCTGCTGGGATGCTGAGCTCTGCGGGAGAAAATGACACAACCCACAGATTTGCACCAGAGGGAGAAGAAACCTAGGATGACGAGGGGTCACAGAGGCCGAATCTCTGTGAAGAGTATTTCAAGAAGCTGACGCTTTTCCTGACTATGGAGAGATCGGTTCAAGTGACAGCAGGATTCCTGGCGGTGGCAACACGGAGTCACTGCTGATGAAAAGGGGCCTTCAGTGGCCTGGGGAGGACAGTGCCACATGGAGCAAAAGCTAAGGGACACACAGGAGAGGTCCTGGAGAAGGTGAGCACGTACACAGCCCCCCAAGATACCTAGCAGCAAAGGTGAGCATGTACACAGCCCCCCAAGATGCCTAGCAGCAAAGGTGAGCATGTACACAGCCCCCCAAGATGCCTAGCAGCAAAGGAGCAGGGAAAGAAAGTGGGATCTAGAGGGGAAAGTGGGAGAAGAGATTTTCCTTTTTTCCTTTTTTTTTTTTTTGATATGGAGTCTCACTGTCACCCAGGCTGGAATGCAATGGCATGGTCTCAGCTCACTGCAACCTCTGCCTCCTGGGTTCAAGCAGTTCTCTCACCTCAGCCTCCCAAGTAGCTGGGACTACAGGCGTGTGCCACCACACCTGGCTAATTTTTGTATTTTTAGTAGAGATGGGGTTTCACTATATTGGTCGCGCTGGTCTCGAACTCCTGACCTTGTGATCTGCCTGCCTCGGCCTCCCAAAGTTCTGGGATTACAAGTGTGAGCCACCATGCCCGGCCAAGAGAAGAGATTTTCCTAACTGGGCATATGCAGCACATGTGTGCCGATGGGAATGATCCACTGGAGGAGGAGTAACGGGAAACGACAGGCACTGTAGAGGGGGATACACAGGGGAGGCCTTTGAGAGGACAAGGGCCCGGGATGGAACCTTTAAAAGTCCACCATTGAGTGGGCGGCCGGCCATAGAGAGACACCGTCAGAAAAGGGGGAGGGCCAGGCGCGGTGGCTCACACCTGTAATCCCAGTGCTTTGGGACACCAAGGCGGGAAGATCACTTGGGCCCGGGAGTTCAAGACCAGCCTGGGCAACATAGCAAGACCCCATCTCTTTAACAAACAAAGACCAGGCGCGGTTGGGCTCATACCTGTAACCTCAGCACTTTGGGAGTCAAGGCGTTCAGATCCAGGAGTTCTTGGATCCAGGAGTTCAAGACCAGCCTGGGCAACAGAGCAAGAACCCACCTCTTAAAAAAAAAAAAAAAAATGCCCAGGGGCGGGTGGGCTCACACCTGTAATCTCAGTACTTTAGGAGGCTGAGGCAGGCAGATCACCTGAGGTCAGGAGTTTGAGACCACCCTGGCCAACATCATGAAACCCCATCTACTAAAAATACAAGGTGCAGTGATGGGTGCCTGTAATCCCAGCTACTAGGGAGGCTGAGGCAGGAGAATCACTTGAACCCAGGAGGCAGAGGTTGCAGTGAGCTATGATGGCACCACTGCACTCCAGCCTGGGCAAGAAAGTAAAACCCTGTCTCAAAAAAAGAAAAAGAAAAGAAAAGAAAAGGGGAAACACCAGGGCTTGTTTAATCATGAAAACAAGGCCACGTGCAACTGGCAAGGCCAGCAGAGTAACAGCGGGAAATTCCCATGACATTGATCATCACTGGATGACCCTGAGGAAAGCAGAGGCATGAGGTTGGAAGTTCACACGGACACGGCTGAGGAATCAGACCAGAGGGAGGAAGCGCAGTCAGCAGACAGAGAGGCCTCAAGAGCGATCTTCCCAGGATAAAGGAAAACATAATAAAACAGGAGGATGAGGAAGTGAATAAGGGTTGTGTGTTGTTTTTAATTTGAGCACCTTTAAAAATCCGAGAGAATGAGACCCTTGAGAGAGAAAAGTTGCCTGTAAGAAAACAATGTAGTCAACGGCATCAGACTCTGAGATGGGCGTGCAGGGCCCAGGGGAGGCCCAGCTGTCCCATACTGGCATCTGCCCTAACAGACTGAGTCAGCACAGCAAGGTCACGCCTTGAACTTGAACTCCAAACCAGGGAGGAGAAACAGAAGCAGCTGTACCAGCCTCATTATTTAAAAAGATGGTTGTGCTGGGTGTGGTGATGCCTGCTTGTAATCCCAGTTACTCGGGAGGCCGAGGTGGGAGGATCGCTTGAGCCCAGGAGTTCAAGACCAGCCTGGACAACATAGCGAGACTCTGCCTCTAAGAAACTAAAAATTAAAAAAAGATGGTTGTAAAACAGTATAGACATTATATAATTCATAAGCAACAGTTTGTAAATATTAAGGTTCTACAATTAAAATACTCACTGCTCTCAGATGAGAAAAAGGTGATCCCTTTTCCAGTCAATTTAAAATTCATTTTGGAGACTCTTTCATGACTTACAGACTTCTTGATCTTGGGCTTTTGCATTTTAAAAAAATCATAAAGCAAAATATTACGTTTACATCATTATGGGGTTAAAACTGCTTTTTTATACTTTAATTAATTAGAAAATTATTAATGAGGCTGTTCTCCTTGAGCTAATTTGACTTTAATTTGACTTTTTTTTTTTTTTTTTTTTGAGACAGAGTCTTGCTCTGTTGCCCAGGCTGGAGTGCAGTGGCGCGATCTCGGCTCACTGCAGCCTCCGCCTCTCGGGTTCCAGCAATTCTCCTGCCTCAGCTTCCCTGGGTAGCTGGACTACAGGCATGCGCCACTACACCAGGCTAATTTTTGTATTTTTAGTAGAGATGGGGTTTCACCATATTGGCCAGGCTGGTCTCGAACTCCTGACCTCAGGTGACCTGCCTGCCTTGGCCTCCCAAAGTGCTGGGATTACAGGTGTGAGCCACCACACCCAGCCAATTTGACTATTTTAACCTGAATAAAATATTTATATTATTAATGAAATGAACAACAGAATTATGGCATTTACTGAAAGCCTCTCAAAAAAAAACCCCAAAACTTGAAAATGTCACCTGGGTCTGTTGGTACAGTATTTATTGTATAAAATTAACGATACCGGCTAGGCGTGGTGGCTCATGCCTGTAATCCCAGCACTTTGGGAGGCCGAGACAGGTGGATCACAAGGTCAGGAGATCGAGACCATCCTGGCTAACATGGGTGAAACCCCATCTCTACTAACAACACAAAAAATTAGCCGGGCGTGGGGGTGGGTGCCTGTAGTCCTAGCTACTCAGGAGGCTGAGGCAGGAGAATGGCGTGAACCCGGGAGGCAGAGCTTGCAATGAGCCGAGATCCAAGATCGCACCACTGCACTCCAGCCTGGGCGACAGAGCGAGACTCTGTCTCAAAAAAAAAAAAATTTAACCATACTTAGATTCATATACTAATGGCTTTAATTATTATTACATTTTTTGGGACGGAATCTCACTCTGTTGCCCAGGCTGGAGTGCAGTGGTGTGATCTTGGATCCCGGCTCACTGCCACCTCTGCCTCCCAGGTTCAAGCAATTCTCCTGCCTCAGCCTCCTGAATAGCTGGGATTACAAGCACCTGCCACCAGGCCTGGCTAATTTTTATATATTTTAGCAGAGATGGGGTTTCACCATGTTGGCCAGGCTGGTCTCGAACTCCTGACCTCAAGTGACCCACCCACCTCGGTCTCCCAAGGTGCTGGGATGACAGGCGTGAGCCACCTCGCCCGACCTAACGGCTTTAATCACCACATGTATGCCCTAACCCCCATATTTCTACCTCCAGCCGGAGTTTGCCCTTGAACTCCAGTCTTGCCTCCAGCCATGCTACTTGGGCATCAGTTCAGGCACCTTAAGCTTAACTTGTCCAAAATCAACCACTTAATTTTGCTCCCAAAACTCAGCCCCCTGCCTCCGTCTTCCACATCATCATAAATGGCAACTCCATTCTGCCAATGCTCAGCCAAAAAATCTTGGACTCATCTTTGCCTTCTCTTTGCCTTTCAACCCCTGCACCCTTCAAAACACCTCAGACCTCAGCCCACCTTAGTCCCAGTCACCATCACCTCCCAGCGGGATGGTTCCAAGAGCTTCCTCACTGGTTTGTCAACGGTGAAGCCACAGAGCCTCCTGACACCTCTGCTCAGATGGTGTCCCATCCCATCCCACTCACCCAGAATAAACGCCAGGACCCCCCGCCCCGGCCACATGCCCTTCCTGTCACTTAGACCTCGTAAGTGGGAAGAAGCATAGCTTGCGGTAACCGGTGCTAATTCTGGAGTTAAAGTGCCTGGGCACAAACCCCCAGCTCCATGCCTTACTGGTTATGCAGCTGTGGCCAAGCTATTTAACCTTTCTGGGCCTGGGTTCCCTCCTAGAGAGAATCACAGTACCTGAAGGTCATGGGGATGCTGAGCTGGTCCCTGGGGACAGCTCGGCGCCTGGTAAACACCCATAAACGCTATTACTGCTGTTCACTTGCTGCCGTGTCCCCTCCTCACTGGAAAGTAAAGCCCATGAGGGCGTGGGTTTCTGTTCACTGCTAGGTCCCCAGAGCATGGAAAAGAGCTCTTCGCAGAGCAGGCACTCGGTAGCGGGTGTCTCTACACGGTTAGTTGCCAAGACAAACCTCTGATTTCCTTATTTTGTTAACATCAGGCGAGAGTTCTAACTTGCTGGAAGATGACCTGGCACTGTCAGAGTGAGCAGCATCCGATTCGTGGCTCATGACCGCGCTGGGACTCTTGTTCTGGGCGTCCTAAGCAAGAACAAACACACGCGTCAGAGGGCTTCTGGTTTCCATAGAGATCCATACAGGCATACATACATGCACACACGCAATATTTTAATGGGCTGTAACTGATTTACAATGAACTACACATAAACTGTACCCTTTGATGTGTTTTCACACATCTATACCTGTGAAACCATCGCCTCAGTCAAGAGAGTGAACCGAATCAGGCACAGTGGCTCCCGCTTGTAATCTCAGCACTTTGGGAGGCCAAGGTGGGCGGATCACCTGAGCCCAGGGGTTTGAGACCAGCCTGGGCAAGAGAGCAAGACCCTGTCTCTAAAAAAAATAAATAACAGGGCAGGCGCTTCGCTCATGCCTGTAATCCCAGAAGTTTCAGAGAATGAGGCGGGCGGATCACTTGAGGCCGGGAGTGCAAGACCAGGCTGGCCAACACGGTGAAACCCTGTCTTTACTAAAAATACAAAAATTGGCCAGGTGTGGCGGTGTGCACCTGTAATCCCAGCTGCTTGGGAGGCCAAGGCAGAAGAATCACCCTGAACCTGGGAGGCAGAGGCTGCAGTGAGCCAAGATTGTGCCACTGCACTCGAGCCTGGGCAACAGAGCAAGACTTTGTCAAAAAAAAACAAACAAGAAACACACACACACACACAGAGTGAACTTTTAAGTACCCAGCCTGATGCCCCTCATGGATGCGAAGGCTTCTCTACGCTGGCGACTGGAAATGCAAACTACTCCCAGCCCCGCGTGAGTCCTTGAGGTCCCTCCCCTGCTTGCTGGCGGCTCTTCCCTTAGGTTCCAGCTGTTCCCTCACATGCATGCACACTCAGCTGACGGCTCAAGGGGAGCCTTCTGCACATGTCTGGAGCTTGCTGTCCCTCTTCATAGCACACTTACCTCTGTGGAACAGAATTCTACCTTTGCCTCCCCAAATTACTAGAGCGTGTGAAACCACTGTGAGCTGAGCAAGAAGGATCAGCTTTGATAAGTTTGAAGCTGAGCCTCTCTCTGATCTCTAAATCACACTCCCAAATTGTTGGTCAAAAGGGAGCACGACATGAACGTTCAGTTTCCAGTGTCTTTTTAGTAGAGACGGGGTTTCACCACGGTGGGCCAGGCTGGTCTCGAATTCCTGACCTCAAGTGATCCGCCCACCTTGGCCTCCCAAAGTGCTGGGATTACAGGCGTGAGCCACCGCGCCTGGCCTGGGTGTCCATGCTTGTGAGCAAGCCCTGCGGACCTGGTTAGCATCCCACGCACACTCAGGAACTATTCGACACATCTGCTCTTGAGCAGGCTTTCCACTCTTAGAAACACTGGATCCATATAACGAAACATCTCCTAGTAAAACACCTCTGATTTTCTAAAGTGTGGTCTAGCGGCCCACCCAGCATGTCGGTATGCACTGTCACCTTCATCGGCAACTCTCTGCTGTGGCTAGGAGTCCACTTCCTGGATCATGGCCAGGAAACACATTTCCCCTAACTTAAAAAAATCTATATACACTTCCAAAATGTGAAAAAGACATCTTGGCCGGGCATGGTGGCTCACACCTGTAATCCCAGCACTTTGGGAGGCCGAGGCAGGAGGATCACTTGAGCTCAGGAGTTTGAGACCAGCCTGGACAACATGGCAAAACCCCATCCCTACAAAAAAATACAAAAAGGCCAGGCACAGTGGCTCAGGCCTAATCCCAGCACTTTGGGAGGCCAAGGCAGGCGGATCAACTGAGGTCAGGAGTTCGAGACCAGCCTGGTCAACATGGCGAAACCCCGTCTCTACTAAAAATATAAAAAATTAGCCAGGTATGGTGGCACACGCCTGTAATCCCAGCTACTCAGGAGGCTGAGGCATGAATCACTTGAATCCAGGAGGCGGAGATTGCAGTGAGCCGAGATCGTGCCACCGCACTCCAGCCTGGGCAACAGAATGAAGCTCTGTCTCAAAAAAAAAAAAAAAAAAAGAATTAGCTGGGTGTGGTGACACATGCCTGTAGTCCTAGCTACTCAGGAGGCTAAGATGGGAGGAACGTGTGAGCTCAGGAGGTCAAGGCTACAGTGAGGCATGATTCCACCACTGCACTCAAGCCTGGACAATAGAGTGAATCCCTGTCTCAAAACACATAAAATAAAATTTTAAAAGGAAAATGGAAAGACTTCTTAAATTACTTTCTGGAAGGGTTAGTAAAGCCAAGATAGTTTTGATGATGGTTTAACCATTCCAGAATAAAGCCATTCCTTGCTTTGTAATTCTTTTTGTTTGTTTGGTTTTTTTGTTTTGTTTTGAGAAGTCTTGCTCTGACGCCCAGGATGGAGTGCAGTGGCACAATCTCAGCTCACTGCAACCTCCACCTCCTGGGTTCACGCCATTCTCCTGCCTCAGCCTCCCCGGTAGCTGGGACTACAGGTGCCTGCCACCACGCCCGGCTAATTTTTTTGTAGTTTTAATAGAGACAGGGTTTCACCACGTTAGCCAGGATGGTCTCGATCTTCTGACCTCGTGATCCGCCCGCCTCGGCTTCCCAAAGTGCTGGGATTACAGGCGTGAGCCACCGTGCCCAGCCCTCCTTGCTCTGTAATTCTAAGATTACCTAATTCTAAGATATTATGTGTTACCTGATTTAGTATTGTATAAATAGTTTCATGTTTATTTCCAGACACATCATCAGCTGGAACATTTGTATAGGATTTAGTCATTTGGTCAGTAACACAGATGAATGCAAAGCTTAAGAGAGCTTCAAAGAATTCCAGGAAAACCAGCTGAAATAAAATAAAACACAGAGAGTTTCCATCATTCTGACACACCTGGAGACAGAGCATTGATTGACTGGTGTTCATTATTTCCTGACATCTGAATATGCACGTTTGCCCACACACACACAGACATGCAGACACGTGCACAAAGACACACACACATGCACACACACGCACAGACACGCACACACATATATTAGGTACTTGTGTTCAGAGTGCTTTCAATCAAATCTTGGTTCTTAGGCTGGTCACAGTGGCTCACATCTGCAATCTCAGCACTTTAGGAGGCTGAGGCAGGAGGATCATTTGAGCCCAGGAGTTTGAGATCAGCCTGGGCAACACAGTGAGACCCATTCTGTACAAAAAATTGTTTTTAAAAAATCAGCTGAAGGCTGGGCGCGGTGGCTCATGCCTGTAATCCCAGCACTTTGGGAGGCCGAGGCAGGTGGATCACGAGGTCAGGAGATCAAGACCATCCTGGCTAACACGGTGAAACTCCGTCTCTACTAAAAAAAATACAAAAAAAAAAAAAATTAGCCGGGCGTGGTGGCGGGCGCCTGTAGTCTCAGCTACTCGGGAGGCTGAGGCAGGAGAATGGCGTGAACCCGGGAGGCGGAGCTTGCAGTGAGCAGAGATTGTGCCACTGCACACTCCAGCCTGGGCAACAGACTGAGACTCCGTCTCCAAAAAAAAAAAAAAAAAAAGCATCAGTGAAAAGGCTAATGAAAAAAAGAAAAAAAAAATCTTGGTTCTTTGTCCTTGGTATCCATGGCAAAACCAACAGCCTGAATTGGATCTGTACCATTTGTGATGGCTCTTTACAAACCTCAGGTTCAAAGTTGCTGTCAATTCCATCATATATGAAACGATTATCCTCTGCTATGACCTCCATAAATGTAGCTGCTGTTAATTCTTTATTTATCATTTTAAAGTCCTGTAAAAAAGAAAAACCATAACTGCCTATAATTGTAAACAGCTATATGTTTTAATGTCAATTTATATCAATACAATAACTAAGAAAGTGTACCAGAAATTAATATCTTTTTTCTTTTTTTTGAGAGACGGAGTCTCGCTCTGTCGCCCAGGCTGCTAGGCAGTGGCGCAATCTCAGCTCACTGCAACGTCCACCTCCTGGGTTCAAGTGATTCTCCTGCCTCAGCCTCCCAAGTAGCTGGGACTACAGGAACACACCACCACGTCCAGCTAATTTTTGTATTTTTAGTAGAGATGGGGTTTCACTATATGTTGGCCAGGCTGGTCTCAAACTCCTGACCTCAAGTGAGCCGCCTGCCTCGGCCTCCCAAAGTGCTGGGATTACAGGCGTGAGACATTGCGCCCAGCCATAAATTAATATCTTAAAGACTGATAATTTTGAAAAGCATTCTGGATTAACATGGGCATTTGCGGCCAGACATGGTGGCTCACACCTGTAATCCCAGAACCTTGTGAGGCCGACGTGGGAGGATCACTTGAGCCCAGGTGTTGGGGATCAGCCTGGGCAACATAGCAAGACCCTGTCTTTACACAAAATTAAAAATGTAGGCCGAGCATGGTGGTGCATGCCTGCAGTCCCAGCTACTCAGGAGGCTGAGGTGGGAGGATCACTTAAGTCCAGGAGTTTGAGGCTACTGTGAGCTGTGATCATAACACTGCACTCCAGCCTGGGTAACAAAGCAAGAACCTGTCTCAAACACACACACACACACACACACACACACACACACACACACACACACACACACGTATTTACCTCTCTATCCCTTCTCTAGTGCCTCCAAAATAACAGCAGAGTATTTGTTGGCATCAGAACAGGACATAGAACATGGGAGACCAGAACACGGTCCAGGTGTGAAATATTAACACGATGCTGTAGGCCGAAAAGCACGTCGGGAAACAACGTGCTGCACAACAAAACCGATGTGACCGCAGAATAATTGACATGAAGAAGAGTTAAGCTCCTGACCACACGGCACTGGTTGAAGTCACAGTTTCCAAGAACCTATCAATAACGTTATGTGGGGCCGGGCGCGGTGGCTCACACCTGTAATCCCAGCACTTTGGGAGGCCGAGGCAGGCGGCTCACGAGGTCAAGAGATCCAGACCATCCTGGCCAACATGGACAAACCGCATCTCTACTAAAAATACAAAAAAATTAGCTGCGCATGGTGGCGTGTGCCTGTAGTCCCAGCTACTCGGGAGGCTGAGGCAAGGGAATCACTTGAGCCCAGGAGGCAGAGGTTGCAGTGAGGTGAGATCGTGCCACCGCACTCCAGCCTGGGTGACAGAGCAAGACTGTCTCAAAATAATAATAATAATAATGTTAAGTGAGGACTTACTGTACTCAAATGTTCAGGTTTCAATGTTTTTTTTTTTAAATCACTCATACCGACCAGCCTGGGCAACATGGTGAAACCCTGGCCAACATGGAGAAACCCCGTCTCTACTAAAAATACAAAAATTAGCCTGGCATGGTGGCACGCACCTATAATCCCAGCTACTTGGGAGGCTGAGGCAGGAGAATCACTTGAACCAGGAGGCAGAGGTTGCAGTGAGCTGAGATCACGCCACTGCAGTCCAGTCTGGGAGACAGAGCAAGACTCCATCTCAAAAACACAACAACAAAAAAAAAACTCATACCAAGAACCAGGAAGATCTCAAACTGAATGAAAAAAAGAGAATCCACAGATGCCATCTCCAAGATGACAAAGATGTTACAATTGACTGACAGAGACTGTGAGACAGTCATCACAAAAATGCTTCCATGAGGCTGGGTGTGGTGGCTCATGCCTCTGATCCTAGCACTGTGGGAGGCCGAGATGGTTGGATCACCTGAGCTCAGGAGTTTGAGACCAGCCTGGGCAACAGGGTGAAACCGTCTCTACTAGCCGAGCGTGGTGACATGCACCTGTAATCCCAGCTACTCGGGAGGCTGAGGCAGAAGAATCACTTGAACCCGGGAGGCGGAGGTTGCAGTGAGCCAAGATCAGGTCGCTGCACTCCAGCCTGGGCGACAGAGCAAGACTGTCAAAATAATAATAATAATAATAATTATTATTATTATTATTATTATTATTATTCAATGGGCAATTGCAAACATGCTTGAAACAAATGAAACCATGAAAAGGGCCAGGTGCAGTGGCTCACGCCTGTAATCCCAGCACTTCAGGAGGCCGAGGCACAAGGACTGCTTGAGCCCAGGAGTTCAAGATCAGCCTGGGCAACATGGCAATAACCCGTCTCTACAAAAAATAGAAAAATTAGCTGGGTATGTTGGCACACACATGTAGTCCCAGCTATTCAGGAGGCTGAGGTGGGAGGATTGCTTGAACCCGGGAGGTTGAGGTTGCAGGAAGCCAAGATTGCACCACTGTACTCCAGCCTGGGTGACAGAGTGAGAACCTTGCTCAAAAAAACAAAACTATTTTCCTATAGTTAGACACTAGGTTATTATCCATTTTTCATATGTATACAACATTATGAAATTTGTAAAAACACTGTATCATTAGTATTTGATTCTGTTTAATCATTTGTATTCCCACAAGTACAAATTAAAAGTACCATGGAACAGGCCAGGCACAGTGGCTCACGCCTGTAATCCCAGCACTTTGGGAGTCCGACACGGGCGGATCACGAGGTCAAGAGATTGAGATCATCCTTGCTAACATAGTGAAACCCTGTCTCTACTAAAAAATACAAAAATTAACTTGGCATGGTCATGCACGCCTTTAGTCCCAGCTACTCGGGAGGCTGAGGCAGGAGAATTGCTTGAACCCGGGAGGCGGAGGTTGCAGTGAGCCGAGACCTCACCACTGCACTCCACCCTGGCAAAAGAGCGAGACTTTGTCTAAAAAAAAAAAAGTATCATGGAACAAAAACAACCAATAGTTAGTATGAGAACATTGTATAAATGTTGTCACTATTTTCCCAAGTAATAACTTTTAAAAATTCCTTTTTCGATAAACTGTAATTGTTTTAAATGATATCCATCCTCCCCACTTCCTTAGTTTTTTTTTTGAGACAGAGTTCTGCTCTTGTTGCCTAGACTGGAGTGCAGTGGCACAATTCCAGCTCATTGCAACCTCGGCCTCCCAGGTTCAAGCAATTCTCCTGCCTCAGCCTCCGAAGTGGCTGGGATTACAGGCTCCGGCCACCATGCCTGGCTAATTTTTTTGTATTTTTAGTCGAAAGGGGGTTTCACAGCATTGGCCAGGCTGGTCTCAAACTCCTGACCTCGGGTGATCCACCCCCTCCGCCTTCCAAAGTCCTTCCTTTTTAAAAAGATTTCAGTTGACTTTATTGCTATTCTAGGATCAGGCAACACTTCAGTCCATCAAAAAGACTAAGGTGTTCCTCCATTTTCCTTTTTTGTTTTTTGGGGGATTTTTTTGGGACAGGGCCTCACTCTGTCAACCAGCCTGGAATGCAGTGGCACGATCACAGCTTACTACAGCTTCCCGAGTAGCTGGGACTACAGGCGTGCACTACCACGCCCGGCTATGATTTTTTTATTTTTTGTAGAGAGGGGGATCTCACTATGTTGCCCAGGCTGGTCTTGAATTCCTAAGCTCAAGTGATCCTCCTGCCTCGGCCTCCCAAAGTGCTGGAATTACAGGGGTGCCCCGCTGTACTCGGCCCTATCTTCCTTTAAATGGCTGGATCTGCATAAATAAAGATATTGTAGGCCAGTCAGGCACAGTGTCTCACACCTGTAATTCCGGCACTTAGGGAGGCTGAGGCGGGTGGATCACCTGGGGTTGGGAGGTCAAGACCAGCCTGGGCAACATGGTGAACACCCGTCTCTACTAAAAATACAAAAATTAGCCAGGTGTGGTGGCGGGCACCTGTAATCCCAGCTACTCTGGAGGCTGAGGCAGGAGAATTGCTTGAACCCAGGAGGTGGAGGTTGCAGTGAGCCAAGATCACTTCATTGCACTCCAGCCTGAGTGACAAGAGCAAAACTCCGTCTCAAAAAAATAAAATTAAAAATATATATATATTTATTATATATATATTTATTTATATATATATATATTTTTTTTTAAGACAATGGCCCATGGCATATATAAATATATATGTCCATGCTGGTCTTGAACTCCTTGACCTCAGGTGATCCGCCCACCTCGGCCTCTCAAAGTGCTGGGATTGCAATATATATATATATGCATGCCATGGGCCATTGTTATAGGCCATGGACCATTGTCTTGCCCTAATCTGTTAGCATATTGGGCAGGTGACGGCTGTTTCTGTTCCTTCCACGACCACAGACCACTGTTCTGCCAAGAGACTCAGTAAACATTTAATGGTCCTGAAAATCCAGCCCAGATCTTCACCTGATTATTTGCATATCACAGCTGGAATATCCTGCCTTTCTTTAATTAAAATCAAAGTGCCTGTAAATAGAAAGCCAATATCGAACTTAGGTGGTTACTTTCAGCATCCAGAGGAAGTGTCTCATCTTCATCGTAGGCTCGTGGGGAGGCGCTGCACTGGGTCTGCAGTAAGCGAGATAAATCTCCCAGCACTTATTCATGTAACTCATAGAGTAGAGCGTCCGCTGTTGCTCACGGAATAAATTGCCTAAAAATACAACGTTCGAAAAATGATTACAGATTTATGTTTTGAGAAAAAAATAGCAGTAAATATAATCCTATTGCTTTTGTTTTTTTCCCAGACAGAGTCTTGATGTCACCCAGGCTAGAGTGCAGTGGCACCATCTTGGCTCGCTGCAACCTCCGCCCCCCAGGCTCAAGCGATTCTCCTGCCTCAGCCTCCCGAGTAGCTAGGATTACAGGCATGCACCACCATACCTGGCTAATTTTTTTGTATTTCTAGTAGAGATGGGGTTTTGCCATGTTGGCCAGGCTGGTCTTGAACTCCTTGACCTCAGGTGATCCTCCTGCCTCGGCCTCCCAAAGTGCTGGGATTGCAGGAGTGAGCCACTGCGCCCAGCCCAGATTTATATTTTGAGAAAAAAAAATGGGGCGGTAAATAGAATCCTACTGGTTTTGTATTTACCTTTTATCTGGAAGGCATTTGGACGAATGTTCTCGGTCATCAGTTTTGTAAAACACAAGAAGAGGGATGGGCTTCTCTTTCTGTGATAATCATCAAAAGATACCATAGTTACTTCTCCTCCAAAAGAGGGAACTTAATTCCCTTCTCCTTGAGCACGGGCTAGACTTAATAATTTGCTTCTAATGTATAGAGTATAGAAAGGGAAGGCAAAGTCAGTGGCTCAAACCTATAATCCCAGCATTTTGGGAGGCCAAGGTGGGCGGATCACTCGAGGTCAGGAGTTTAAGACCAGCCTGGCCAACATGGTGGAACCCCATCTCCACTAAAAATACAAAAAATTAGCTGGGCTTGGTGGCAGACACCGGTAATCCCAGCTACTTGGGAGGCTGAGGCAGGAGAATCACTGGAACCTGGGAGGTGGAGGTTGCAGTGAGCCGAGATCGCGCCACTGCACTCCAGCCTGGGTGACAGAGCGAGATTCCATCTCAAAAAAATAAATATATAAATAAAAGTTTTTTTAAAAAAAGATATAAAACCACTTTTGCTGTAAGAAAGACAAGAAATTCTGACATAAGAAAGAAGACTTGGTTGTGACTATTTGTTTCTGCATTAGAAACCCCGAGAGATATTTGCAGTATTGAACTGACCAGATATGAAGGGCTTTCAAAGTTTTGATCCAGTATGTCATGGCTTTGTGGTTAATATTTGTGGAAAGGTTGTGTTCTGAGTCCTTCATTTCAAGAGTATGTTAAAAAAAGACTGCTGAGGCTGGGCATGGTGGCTCACGCCTGTAATCCCAGAACTTTGAGAGGCTGAGGCAGGTGGATCACCTGAGGTCAGGAGTTTGAAACCAGCCTGGCCAACATGGTGAAACCCCGTCTCTACTAAAAATACAAAAAAAAATTAGCCAGGCATGGTGGCACATGCCTGTCATCTCAGCTACCCAGGAGCCTGAGGCAGAAGAATTGCTTGAACCGGGGAGGCAGAGGTTGCAGTGAGCCAAGATTGTGCCACTGCACTCCAGCCTGGGCGACAGAGCAAGACTCCATCTCCAAAAAAATAAAAATGACTGCTGAAGAAAAGAGGGCATTATGACAATAATACAGCTTAGCTGTGCCCCATCCCCCAACAAGGGTCCAGAAATAGTACTTACTGGAATTCTTCATGATAAATGTGGTACGCCAAATGCAGGAGGTAATTCAAAAATGTTCTCAAAAGTATTGTTGTAAATGGAGAATGGATTTCTTCAACTGGTATGTCATTATTGGCTAAAATAAGAAAATTGGAGAGGATGCCTGACATTTGCTAGAACCTTCCATTTTATTTGCGCCTGGTATACAATTCGAAGAACTGAATATATGCGCTTATTTCAAAATGCTCTGAACATGTGTATAAGCGTCCAACCAAAAATTTAAAACTCCGTGAAAGCCAGGCACGGTGGCTCACGCCTGTAATCCCAGCACTTTGGGAGGCTGCAGCAGCAAATTGCCTGAGGTCAGGAGTTTGAGACCAGCCTGGGCAACATGGCGAAACCCTGTCTCTACCAAAAATACAAAAAATTAGCCAGGTGTGGTGGCGGGCACCTGTAATCTCAGCTGCTTGGGAGACTGAGGCAGGAGAATCGCTGGAACCCGGGAGGTGGAGGCTGCAGTGAGCCGAGATTGAGCCACTGCACTCCAGCCTGGGCAACAGAGCGAGACTTCATCTCAAAAAAAAAAAAAAAGATGTCAATCTTGTCCCACTGTTTTCCAGAATAGTCTGAGACACAATCTGATGAATGCTGCTAATTCTAAATGGATTTTAAGTATGTTTCAAACACTAAACTTTGACGTAAATAGGCATTTGCTCTAATACTTCATTTTTCAAGCGGATAATTAGAAGCTTGCAGCTCTGCCTGCCAGGATTTGGCTGAAAGAAGTTAAACTTCCAAAGTTGTTAAATTGATGACATCAACTTCCTAATTTGAAATCAAGACCAATCCTAAGACTACTTAGGGCCTTTTCTAGACTCTTCCAAGCCATTGCTGATTCTCCCTGTTTTGTTTTTTTTTTTTTCTTTTGAGACAGAGTCTCACTCTGTTGCCCAGGCTGGAGTGCAGTGGCACAATCTCGGCTCACTGCAACCTCCGCCTCGCGAGTTCAAGCGATTCTTCTGCCTCAGCCTCCCGAGTAGCTGGGACTACAGGCACGTACCACCACACCCAGCTAATTTTTTGTATTTTTAGTAGAGACGGGGTTTCACCATGTTAGCCAGGATGGTCTTGAACTCCTGACCTCATGATCTGCCCACTTCGGCCTCCCAAAGTGCTGATTACAGGTGTGAGCCACCGCATTTTTTTTAGAGACAGAGTCTCACTCTGTCACCCAGGCTGGAAATCTCGGCTCACTGCAACCTCCACCTCCTAGGCTCAAACGATTCTACTCCTGTCTCAGCCTCCCAATAAGTAGCTGGGAATACAGGCATGTACCACCATACCTGGCTAATTTTTGTATTTTTAGTAGAGACGGAGTTTCACCATATTGGCCAGGCGGGTCTCAAACTCCTGGACTCAAGTGATCCACCCGCCTCGGCCTTCCAAAGTGCTGGGATTACAGGCGTAAACCACGAGGCCTGGCCATCTCCCCATTTCTGACCTGACAATTTAGTGCTCTTTTACTATAGATCGCTGGTCAGGGGGAGAGAGGGAGGCAAACTTTCTGTAAAGGGCCAGAGAGTAAATATTTTAGGCTTGGTGGACCAGACCGTCTACATCACAATCCCTCAGCTGTGGTGCTTCGGGGTAAAGCAGTCACGAACACGTAAGCAAACGGGCATGTCTGTGTTCCAGTAAAGCATGATTTAGGGGAACGGGGGTGGACTGGATTTCACCCTGAGACCGTGCATTGCTGGCCCTGCTTTTGTAGGTGACCTCGTGCTGTTGCTGTTATGTCACGAGACTGTCTCTTTATCAAGTACCTCGTAATCACGGGGGAAATGACCACGCGCTGATTTCTGGAACACTCGTCTCCCAACCTGGGCCTTCCCAGCTCCCTCCACATTTCCTAACTGCTTTCCAGGTGACACTGTGATACTGTCCTTGAAACCAGAGGTCCCCAACCTTTTTGGCACCAGGGACCGATTTTGTAGAAGACAGTTTTTCCATGAATGGTGGAAAGCGGTGGGGGGCTGTTGGTTTCAGGATGATTCAAGCACATTCGAATTACTGCACGCCTTATTTCTATTATTATGACACTGTAATACATAATGAAACAATTCTACAACTCGCCATCAGGTAGAATCAGTGGGAGCCCTAAGCTTGTTTTCCTACAACTAGACAGTCCCATCTGGGGGTGATGGGAGACAGTGACAGATCATCAGGCATTCCATTCTCCTAAGGAGCGTGCAACCTACATCCCTCCCATGCTCAGCTCACAGTAGGATTTGCGCTCCTATGAGAATCTAATGCCCTGCTGATCTGCAGGAGGCGGAGCTCAGGCGGGAATGCCAGCGATGGGGAATGGCTGTAAAAACAGATGAAGGTAGGCTGGGTGCGGTGGCTCATGCCTGTAATCCCAGCACTTTGGGAGGCCAAGGCGGGCAGATCATCTGAGGTCGGGAGTTCGAGACACGCCTAACCAACATGGAAAAACCCCATCTCTACTAAAAAATACAAAAATTAGCTGGGCATGGTGGCACATGCCTGTAATCCTGGCTACTCAGGAGGCTGAGGCAGGAGAGTCACTTGAACCCAGGAGACAGAGGTTGCGGTGAGCCGAGATCGTGCCACTGCACTCCAGCCTGGGCAACAAGAGTGAAACTCTGTCTCAAAAAAAACAAAACAAAACAAAACAAAAAAACAGATGAAAGTTCACTTGCTTGTCCACTGCTCACCTTCCACTGTGTAGCCTGTTTCCTAACGGGCCATGGACCAGTACTGCTCCCTGGCCTGGGGGTTGGGGACCCCTGCCTTTTGTGTGTGTGTGTGTGTGTGTGTGTGTGTGTGATGGAGTCTCGCCCTGTCACCCAGGCTGGAGTGCAATGGCACAATCTTGGCTCACTGCAACCTCCGCCTCCTGGGTCCAAGCGATTCTCCTGCCTCAGCCTCCCAAGTGGCTGGGATTATAGGCATGCACCACCACGCCTGGCTAATTTTTTGTATCTTTTAGTAGAGACGGGGTTTCACCATGTTGGTCAGGCTGGTCTTGAACTCCTGACCTCGTGATCCGCCTGCCTCGGCCTCCCAAAGTGCTGGAAGTACAGGCATGAGCCACTGTGCCCGGCCTGGTCCTCTGCTTTAAACCAAAAGATGTGAAGGATCTGGAACACTCACCACTTAATATCCTGTCCATATCAGCAAGAGTTAGTTTGTGGTGATGAAATTTGCAATCTTTTAGAAATCTCCAGAAGTGAAGCTTTGTCATCAGAAAGGTATTATCCAGAGAGTGGCCGCATCCCAGGCTGCTGTAAAAGCTGTAAATTCTTCTTAATTCTGTAATATTTCTTAAGACGGCATATTCCACCTGAAAGGAAGAAAGTCATACGTGGATTAAGAACAAAAGACAGCCGGGCGTGGTGGCTCACGCCTGTAATCCCAGCACTTTGGGAGGCCGAGGCAGGCAGATCACCTGAGGTCAGGAGTTCCAGACCAGCCTGGCCAACATGGTGAAACCCCATCTCTACTAAAAATACAAAATTAGCCGGCCGTGGTGGCACATGCCTGTAACCCCAGCTACTCAGGAGGCTGAGGCAGAATTGCTTGAACCTGGGAGGAGGTTGCAGTGAGCCGAGATCATGTCACTGCATTCCAGCCTGGGCGTCAAGAGTGAGACCTTGCCTCAAAATAAAGAAAGAAAATTTAAATATTTTAAAAAGAACAAAAGACACAACACCTGTGTCCTACATTAAATGCGATAATACAAGTAAAGTAATGGCATTTAGCTCTTTCCACTGTAAGAACTTAAGAAGTGTTTGTTTGTTTTGTTTTGAGATGGAGTCTTGCTCTGTCACCCAGGCTGCAGTGCAGTGGCACGATCTTGGCTCAATGCAACCTCTGCCTCCTGGGTTCAGGTGATTCTCATGCCTCAGCCTCCAGAGTAGCTGTGATAACAGGTGCCCACCACCATGCCCGGCTAATTTTTGTATTTTTGGTAGAGATGGGGTTTCACCATATTGGCCAGTCTGGTCTTGAACTCCTGACCTCAGGTGATCCGCCTGCCTCGGCCTCCCATAGTGTTACGATGACAGGCGTCAGCCACGGCACCTGGCCAAGAAGCATTTTATTCTTTCCACCCACCCCCCTTGGTCAATAAAATGCCATCTCCGACCAACAGTAAAAACAAAACAAAACAAGTTATCTGGAAAGTAGACTTCCTTTCACATGGCAATGGGCTGGCTTCCCCTCTCAGTGGCGGCAACAAAATTCTATTGTCTGCAGATCCTTATCCTTCATCAACAAATGTGCAAAAATCCTCAACAAAATAAGTTGAATCCAGCAATATATAAAAAGAATAGTAGCCATGCATGGTGGCTCATGCCTGTCATCCCAGCACTTTGTGAGGCCGAGGCGGGAGGATCGCTTGAGCCTGGGAACTCGAGACCAGCCTGTGCAACATAGTAAGACTGTGTCTCAACTGAAAATTAAAAATTAAAGAAATTAACTGGCCGGGCGTGGTGGCTCAAGCCTGTAATCCCAGCACTTCAGGAGATCAAGGCAGGCGGATCACAAGATCAGGAGATCGAGACCATCCTGGCTAACACGGTGAAACCCTGTCTCTACTAAAAATACAAAAAATTAGCCGGGCGTGGTGTAGACCCAGCTACTCGGGAGGCTGAGGCAGGAGAATGGCGTGAACCCGGGAGGTGGAGCTTGCAGTGAGCAGAGATCGTGCTACTGCACTCCAGCCTGGGCGACAGAGCAAGACTCCCTCTCAAAAAAAGAAAAAAAGAACCAGACACAGTAGCAAGTGCCCGTATAGTCCCAGCTACTCAGGAAGCTGAGGCGGGAGGATTGCTTAAGCCCAGAAGGTCAAGACTTCAGTGAGCTGAGATCGCACCACTTCACTCCAGCCAAGGTGACGGAGCAAGACCCTAAGACCCTATCTCAACAAGAAAAAAAAAAAAACAAAAAAAAAGATAATATAGCAGCACCAAGTAGGGTTTCTCCTAGAATTGCAAAGCTGGGTTAACATTTGAAAAATCAATCAATGTAATTCACAGACTGAGGAAGAACCAAATGATTCTAACAACTGAAGCGTTTCACAGAATTTCACATCCATTCATGAAAAGCACCCTCAGCAAATTAGGAATAGAAAGGAATCCCTCAACCTGATAAACAGCATGTACAAAACACATGCAACTCACACCACACATAGGGCTGAAAGTCTGAAAGAAGCAATATTCCGCCAGGTGCAGTGGCTCACGCCTGTAATCCCAGCACTTTGGGAGGCTGAGGTGGAAGGATCACCTGAGGTCAGGAGTTCGAGACCAGCCTGGGCAACACAGTGAAACTCCATCTCTACTAAAAATACAAAATATAGCTGGGGGTGGTGGTGCATGCCTGTAATCCCAGCTACTCAGGAGGCTGAGGCAGGAGAATCCCTTGAACGCGGGAGGCGGAGGTTGCAGTGAGCTGAGATCGTGCCATTGCACTCCAGCCCGGGCGACAAAAGGGACTCCGTCTCAAAAAAAAAAAAAAGGAGCAATATTCACGGTGGTTGCTTTACTCACCTCCCTCTGTCACACTTCACCTTTTAGGATTTTTCCCCAGACCTTGACGCCCTTAAGCTGCCCCAGATTCCCCACACATGCAGCCCTGCCCTCTACACAGCGTCCTGTTCTCCAGAACCACTCACCCCATGCCCTACCCTCATAATGAGACATTCAGAGAATGCGAAGAACAGGATGCAGGGTCCTAAGGGAGACAGAGCCCTACCTGGGCGGCTTCAGGCATTTGTTACGCTGAGCATTCATTCCTGCTTTTGAAAACGCAATTCAACTGAATAAACACATACAATCTAAAGCATTGTTCTAGGCCGGGTGTGGTGGCTCACACCCATAATCCCAGTATTTTGGGAGGCCGAGGTGGGCCAATCACCTGAGGTCAGGAGTTCCAGACCAGCCAGGCCAATATGGTGAAACCCCGTCTCAACTAAAATACAAAAAAATAGCCGGGCGTAGTGGCCCACACCTGTAATCCCAGCTACTGGGGAGGCTGAGGTGGGGGAGGCTTGAACCCGGGAGGCAGAGGTTGCAGTGAGCCAAGACTGCGCCACAGCACTCCAGCCTGGGCGACAGAGCAAAACTCGGTCTCAAAAAACAAAACAAAAAAGAAGACATTCAACACGTGACAGCAGTCACCAGCTATATTTTCCCAGGATGCAACTCATACCAATCAAAAAGATTTTACCTGCTTCTTTTCTTCAGGTTGGACTGTCTCAGGGTACATGTCCAGGAGCAAATTTAGATCCAGCTCAATGCTCGATCCCAACACAGAATGACTTTCACTGCCATCAAGCTTTCTGATCAGTTCTAATGAATGAAGGCAAACACAGGGGATAAGTACGGTTTGTTTGGTGGGGTTTGTTTTTTTTTTTTTTTTGAGACAGGGCCTCACTCTGTCGCCCAAGCTGGAGTGCAGTGGCATGATCTCAGTTCACTGCAACCTCTGCCTCCCAGGCTCAAGCCATCCTCCCACCTCACCCTCCCGAGTAGCTGGGACTACAGAAGTACACCACAACGGCCAGCTAATTTTTGTATTTTTTTGTAGACACAGGGTTTCACCATGTTGCCCAGGCTGGTCTCGAACTCCTGAGCTCAACTGATCCGCCTGCCTTGGCCTCCCAAAGTGCTGGGATCACAGGCATGGGCCACCACACCCATCCTTGGAGATAATTATGAAAAGCAATGTTCAAATTTCTCAGTATTATGTCACAAAGATTTTCCACCAAAATGGGATACAAGAATATTCCAAAAACCTACTAAGAACACAGGCTGGGCACAGTGGCTCATGCCTTTAATCCCAGCACTTTGGGAAGCCAAAATGAGAGGTTAAGGCTGCAGTGAGCTATGATCACGCCACTGCACTCCAACCTGGGCAACAGAGTGAGATCCTGTCTCTAAAAAAAACATTTTTTAAAAGCAGTTGCCAGCTAGGCACAATGGCTTGCAGCTGTAATCTCAGCACTTTGGGAGGCCGAGGCAGGAGGATTGTGTGAGGACAGGAGTTTGAATCAGCCTGGGCAACATAGTGAGACCCTGCCTCTACAAAAAGTTTAAAAATTAGCTAAGCCTGGCCAGGTGTGCTGGCTCACACCTGTAATCCCAGCACTTTGGGAGGCCAAGGTGGGTGGATCACGAGGTCAGGAGTTAGAGACCAACCTGAGCAACATGGTAAAACCCCGTCTCTACAAAAAATACAAAAATTAGCTAAGCATGGTGGCACACGCCTATAATCCCAGCTACTCAGGAGGCTGAGGCAGCAGAATCTCTTGAACCCGGGAGGCGGAGATTGCAGTGAGCCAAGATTACACTGCTGCACTCCAGGCTGGGCGACAGAGTGAGACTCCGTCTCAAAAAGAAAAAAAAAATTAGCTAGGCTTGGTGGTGTGTGCCTGTATTCCCAGCTATGGGGAAGGCTGAGGTGGGAGGATCACTGGAGCCCAGGAGTTTGAGGCCACAGTGAACAGTGATCGTATCCTGCTCCATCCTGGGTGATAGAGCGAGATTTTGTCTAAAATTTTTTTTTAAAAAAGGAGTTGCTCACAGAGGACTTCTGTTTCCTGAAGTGTTCGGTGTATTTTCATGAGTGAACACCATGGATAAAAACAGATGAATTTTATTTCTTTTTTTTTTTCCATTTTATTTATTTACCAGACGGAGTCTTTCTCTGTTGCCCAGGCTGGAGTGCAATGGTGCAGTCTGGGCTCACTGCAATCTCTGCCTCCCGGGTTCAAGCGATTCTCCTGCCTCAGCCTCCTGAGTAGCTGCGATTACAGGCGCCTGCCACCACGCCTGGCTAATTTTTTTTTATTTTTAATTGAGACGGGGTTTCACCATGTTGGCCAGGCTGGTCTCGCACTGCTGACCTCGTGATCCGCCGGCCTCGGCCTCCCAAAGCGCTGGGATTACAGGCATGAGCCACCACGCCCGGCCAATGAATTTTATTTCAACAGGTGAATGCTTCCTACCGGCGCTCCTGGACAGTCTTGGGGCAACTCCTGAAGACAGGTCCAGGCAGCTGATGAATTCAACTTCAAGATCCGGAAACCCAGCTATGTGGTCATTGGAGAATGCGCCTTCGTACACACGCCCGTTCTTGAAAGTTAATCGGCCCTGCAGACAGAAAAACTTTTTACAGTTTAGGAAAAGATTTCTTAGAAAAACACTGGTAAGGCTGGGGGCGGTGACTCATGCCTGTAATCCCAGCACTCTGGAAGGCTGAGGCGGGCAGATCACAAGGTCAGGAGTTCGAGATCAGACTGGCCAACATGGTGAAACCCCATCGCTACTAAAAATACAAAAATTAGCCGGGCCTGGTGGCAGGCACATGTAATCCCAGTTACTCGGGAGGCTGAGGCAGGAGAATCGCTTGAACCTGGGAGGCAGAGGTTGCAGTGAGCCAAGATCGTGCCACTGCACTCCAGCCTAGGTGACAGAGCGAGACTCCATCTCAAAAAAAAAAAAAAAGGAAAGAAAAACATGGGTAAATGTACATCAATAGTTTTTTCAAGGGTGTGGAGCTTTTCGTTTTGAAAATATGCACTTACTCTACACATAATCAGGCTCCTGGGTCTCATGCACTGTATAAGTCCTCTCTCTCGTCCTCCTTTTCCTATTCCTCCCCCTCCCCTCTCTCTCTCCCCGACAATCTTTCTCCAACTTTAAGCACCTATGGCCACAGAATGTGTCTTATTAAACTACGCTAGTGACCAGCAGAACGCCCATCACACAATACAGACTCCCTGATTTTTTTTTTGAGACGGAGTCTCGCTCTGTGCCCAGGCTGGAGTGCAGTGGCACGATCTCGGCTCACCGCAAGTTCTGCCTCCTGGGTTCACACCATTCTCCTGCCTCAGCCTCCTGAGTAGCTGGGACTACAGGCGCCCGCCACCACACACAGCTAATTTTTTGTATTTTTAGTAGAGACAGGGTTTCACCATGTTAGCCAGGATGGTCTCGATCTCCTGACCTCGTGATCCATCCGCCTCAGCCTCCAAAAGTGTTGGGATTACAGGCGTGAGCCATCGTGCCCCACAATTTTTTTTTTTTTTTGAGGTGGAGCCTCGCTGTCACTCAGGCTGGAGTGCAGTAGCACAGTCTTAACTCACTGCAACCTCCGCCTCCTGGGTTCAAGCAATTCTCCTTCCTCAGCCTCCCGAGTGGCTGGGATTACATGCGTGCACCACCACACCCAGCTAATTTTTGTATTTTTAGTAGAGACGGGGTTTCATCATGTTGGCCAAGCTGGTCTCGAATTCCTGACCTCAAGTGTTCTGCCCACCTCGGCCTTCCAAAGTGCTGGGATTACAGGCCTGAGCCACTAAGCCTGGCCAAGACTCCCTGAGATTTGTCAAACCCAGGCCAATAGTCAGTTACTGATTCAGAAGTGGGCAAATGACCCAATTTGGCTCTGTGAAATGAAAGACCTTTTTAGAGAGCTTCTGTAAAAAGTTCCTCCTTTTCTTCTAGTTAGCATGGTATGTGGATGTGAAGGCTGGAACCACAGCAGCTGTCTTGCAATCATGAGGGAGGAAAAAACACAAGGGTGAAAGTGACATGGTGGGAGATATCGTGGATAGATGGAGGAGAAATCCTGACAGCTCTGAGTTGCTGAATCAAACCATTATTCTGTATTTCACATGGCAGACGACACTAGATTCTCTGTTACTTGCAAACCAAAACCATCCTCATACACACACACACACGTACACACACACCAAACACTGATTAAATAACCACTAAATATATAGGAAATCAATGACCATTGAAACTATTTTGGCAAGCATAGTGGCTCATGCCTGTAATCCCAGCACTTTGGGTGGGAGGATCACTTGAGACCAGGAGGCCAGCTTGGCAAACACGGCAAAACCCCTGTAACTACTAAAAAAAAAAAAAAAAAAAAAAAAAAAAGAGCCGGGCGTGGTGGCGCACACCTGTAATCCCAGCTACTCTAGTGGCTGAGGCACAAGAATCACTTGCGCCCGGGAGGCAGAGGTTGCAGCGAGCCGAGATCATGCCACTGCACTCCAGCCTGGGCAACAGAGCGAAACTCTGTCTCAAAAAAAAGAAAAAAAAAGTCATGTAATCACCTTAGCAAAACAGTAAGTCATCCTATACAAAACAGATAATGTAATTTAATCGAGAATGACATGCCTTTTGTCAAAAAGAGTTCTGTAGATGGATGGTGATGGTTGCGCAACAATGCGCATGTGCTTAATGCCACTGGACTGTGCACTCAGAAATGGTTAAGATGGGAAATCTCATGTGTACTCTACCACAATTAAAATTAAAAAGAAATCTAGAGCGCCTATATTTACATCAGACAAAATAGACTTCAGAGAAATGAAAATTACCAGGGTTGGCCAGGCGTGGTGGCTCACGCCTGTAATCCCAGCACTCTGGGAGGCCAAGGAGGGTGGATCACCTGAGGTCAGGAGTTCGAGACCAGCCTGGCCAACATGACGAAACCCTGTCTCTACTAAAAATACAAAAATTAGCCAGGCATGGTAGCCGACGCCTGTAATCCCAGCTACTCATGAGGCTGAGACAGGAGAATCACTTGAACCCGGGAAGCAGAGGTTGTAGTGAGCTGAGATCATGCCACTGTACTCCAACCTGGACAACAGAGCAAGACTGCATCTCAAAAAAAAAAAAAAAAGAAAAGTAGCAGGGTTAATGAGGAACATTACGTGATGATCAAAAGAGCCAATGCACCAATACAGAATAATCCTCAATGTATATGCACCTAACAAAGCTTCAAATATTTGAATCAAAACTGATAGATCTGAAAGCAGAATAGACAAATCTGCAATTATCCTTGGACATTTCAATTGCTTTACATAATTTCAATGGCTTTACATAATTGTTTGAAATGTGATCCTCCCAGGTCTATACTCACCATGCCATGTTTCTTATTGGAAACCCATTCTCCATCATACATGGCTCCACTGGCATAATAAAACTTGCCACGTCCGTGACGATATCCATTTACAAACTCCCCTATGTATTCATTTCTCAAAGGATACTGGGAACTGCGGATTCTCTTTAGAAACCATGTGTGTGTTCCAAAGCCATTCTGAAAAGAAAGCACACTGCCATCAGAAATGCACAAAGCAGTTTCTCTCTTTACCCGGATCCCCTTAAAATTAGGATAAATACAATGAAAACTGGAAAGGGCAAAGAACTTGGACTCTGGAGTCACACAGACTTGGGTTCAATTTCAGCTCAGCTACTTACTAAGGAGTCTTTTGAAATAAGGCAGATCACTTAAGCCCTCTAAGTTCCTCGTCTGTAAAACAGAAATGACACCTACCCCTCAGGTTAGATATAAAGCAGTTTGAAACCAGCCTGGCCAACATGGAGAAACTCCATCTCTACTAAAAAGTGAAGATAAGTGTACATAAAGTGCCTGGCTTGATCGTGAAGATTTTCATTGTTATTTTAAATGTTGGGGTTTATTTGCTTTTATATATTTTTATTTTTTGAGAAAGGGTCTCACTCTGTTACCCAGGCTAGAGTATGGCACAATCTTGGCTCACTGCAGCCTCAACCTCCAAGACTCAAGTGATCCTCCCACCTCAGCCTCCCAAGTAGCCAGGACTACAGGCACCAGCAACCACTCCCGGCTAATTTTTATATTTTTAGTAGAGATGGGGTTTCACCATATCACCCAGGCTGGTCTCAAACTCCTGGCCTCAATCCTCAGGTGGTCTCCCAAAGTGCTGGGATTACACGTGTGAGCCACTGAGCCCAGCCTAAATTTTTATTTTTTAAAGATACCAGTTGGGCTGGGTGCTGTGCCTCATGCCTGTAATCCCAACGCTTTGAGAGGCAGAGATGGAAGGATCACTTGAGCCTCAGAGTTCAAGACCAGCCTGTGTGATAAAGTGAGACCTCGTTTCTAAAAAAAAAAAAATTATTTTTTTAGTTAGCCAGGCATGGTGGCAGTGGGCACCTCTGTAGTCTCAGCTACAGGGGAGGCTGAGGTGGGAGGATCGCTTGAGCCAAGGAGGTAGAGAGCCCTGATTGCACAACTGCAGTCCAGCCTGGGCAACAGAGCAAGACTCTGTCTCTAAAAACAAACGAACACGCTGGGCGCTGTGGCTTACGCCTGTAATCCTAGCACTCTGGGAAGCCGAGGCAGGTGGATCACTTGAGGTCAGGAGTTCGAAACCAGTCTGGCCAACATGGTGAAACCCCGTCTCTACTGAAAATACAAAAAAAAAAAAAAATTAGCCGGGCCATGGTGGTGGGTGCCTGTAATCTCAGCTACTCCAGAGGCTGAGGCAGGAGAATTGCTTGAACCCAGGAGGTGGAGGCTGCAGTGAGCTGAGATCCTGCCACCGCACTCCAGCCTGGGCAACAGAGCAAGACTCTGTCTCTAAAAACAAACAAACAGGCTGGGTGTGGTGGCTCACGCCTGTAATCGCAGCACTTTAGGAGGCTGAGGCGCGCGGATCACTTGAGGTCCGGAGTTCGAAACCAACCTGGCCAACATGGTGAAACCCCGTCTCTACTAAAAATACAAAAAAAACAATTAGCCCGGCCGTGGTGGTGGTGGGTACCTGTAATCTCAGCTACTCCAGAGGCTGAGGCAGGAGAATTGCTTGAACCCGGGAGGTGGAGGCTGCAGTGAGCCAAGATTGCGCCAGTGCACTCCAGCCTGGGAGACAGACAGAGAGAGACTCTGTCTCAAAACAAAAACAAAAACAAAAACAAAACCCAAAAAGAAATATACATGTGTTGAGAATCGGCGGAGCATCCGCCTCTGGGTATAAGCTGCTACCCCGCCCGGGCGTACCTGGATGCCCCTCTCCCACCGCCCGGTGTACTCTTCGTTGGTGGTCAGCCACCTCATCCTCCCCTCCCCGTGGCGCATGTTGTCTTCCCACTGGCCTTCGTATATATTTCCAGATTTATAACTAGGATGAAAGAAACCAAAGAAAAACAATCAGTTACCTCCTACACAACATTTACCTTTAAGACATTCTTTTAAACACTCCCCTTGAGCTCCTTTGAAGAAATCCACCCCTTGTACTTATACAATCTTCTCTGTATTTAAATTCAGGCCAGGCGTGGTGGCTCACGCCTGTAATCCCAGCACTTTGGGAGGCCGAGGCTGGAGGATCACCTGAGGTTGGGAGTTTGAGACCAGCCTGACCAACATGGAGAAACTCCATCTCTACTAAAAATACAAAATTAGCCCAGCTACTTGGGAGGCAAAACTCCATCTCAAAAGAAAAAAAAAAATGCAAAAATTAGCCGGACATGGTGGCAGGCACCTGTAATCCCAGCTATTCAGGAGGCTGAGGCAGGAGAATCACTTGAACTCAGAAGGTGCAGGTTGCAATGAGCCGAGATCATGCCACTGCACTCTAGCCTGGGCAACAGAGCGAGACTGTCTAAAAAATAAATAAATAAAATTTTTAAAAAATCAATGGATAGGCTCATGGTCCTAAGGGAGCAGAATGAGTCACTTTATTAAATCTTCTGACTATTTAATAAGGGGACAAAGTGGGTAAGAGCCGGGTTTTTAAAATTTTTTAATAATTCCCTATTGTATCATGATTAGTGAATATTTGGCCAGTTTTTGAGATGAGATCTCACTGTGTCACCAAGGCTGGAGAGCAGTGGTGTGATCATGGCAGGAGAATTGCTTGAACCCAGAAGGCAGAGGTTGAAGTGAGCTGAGATGGCACCACTGCACTCCAGCCTGGGTGACAGAACAAGACTCCGTCTCAAAGAAAAGAGAAAAAATCCACTCTGCTTAGAGAGAAAATGTTCCGTGCAACTTTTGCATCTTACTTTTAAATATCCGAGGTGAACGCTATTGGGCCCACAAACCCTTCTTCATCTACACCCCAAGCGCGGCGGTGGTCATACCTACCATCTTATTCCCCAGCCCTTTTTGATGTTTTGTACCCAGTCTCCCTCGTACCAACACGTACCCTCTTGATTGTAATAAATGGAGCCCTGAAACAAATAATGTCATCTTTAAAACTATCAAGCCTCATGACACAAATGCTTTGTCAAATGTAAGGATATTAACTTGAAAAGTAGAACCTACACAGAGGTCAATGTCATACATAGGCAAGACATGTAAACTGCTATTTTTCTGTTTTGCTATCAAGAAAATGGTAAAACTGCTGCACAAAGGGAAATGAGATAATGTCACAAATCAATTGCTCCTTAATAAAGTGCCATATTGGCCAGGCACGGTGGCTCACGTCTGTAATCCCAGCACTTTGGGAGGCCGAGGTGGGCGGATCACAAGGTCATGAGTTCAAGACCAGCCTGGCCAACACGGTGAAACCCCGTCTCTACTAAAAACACAAAAATTAGCTAGGAGTGGTGGAGCGTGCCTGTAATCCCAGCTACTTGGGAGGCTGAGGCAGGATAATCGCTTGAACCTGGGAGGCAGAGGTTGCAGTGAGCCCAGATCGTGCCACTGCACTCCAGCCTGGGCAACAGAGCAAGACTCCATCTCAAAATAAAATAAAATAAAAAGTATCACATTAAGGCACAGAATGACTGTATTCATCATATTCGAGTATATTCATTCTATCCAGTAACTATTAGTCAATTAAGTACCTAGAGAAATCCTGTCTGTTGCCACCTGGAGTGAACAGTTGCGCCTTCCATGTAACGGAAGGTCACTCTCTCTTAGGCACCAGATCCACTGTTGTTTTACCCATTTGGACATGCTACTCATTTTACCGCCTCCGAGTATAAGTGAGCATAGAGTACCCTTTGTTTGATCTACATAGAAAAGCCTCAAAAGGCTTTTTCACAGGTTTATCTGTGTGTGTGAGAGAGAATTTTTCTATCTTCTTTCTCATGATCAGGCAAACTCATTCCTTCTTGCAGCCATGCAGATGCTGCTGTCTAGAAGTCACCACCCCCAATCCCTCCAATATGTCTCAAGCAATCTGCTGTAAAACACACACACACACACACACACACACACACACACAACAACAACAACAACACAACTCAATAAATAGCCTATTAAAGCATGCATACGGCCAGGCACAGTGTGGCTCACGCCTGTAATCCCAGCACTTTGGGAGGCTGAGGTGGGTGGATCACTTGGGATCAGGAGTTCAAGACCACCCTGGCCAACATGGCGAAACCCCATCTCTACTAAAAATACAAAAATTAGCTGGGCGTGGTGGTGCACACCTGTAGTCCCAGCAACCTGGGAGGCTGAGGCAGGAGATTTGCTTGAACCCGGGAGGCAGAGGTTGCAGTGAGCTGAGATGGCACCATTGCACTCCCGCCTGGGCGACAGAGCAAGACTCCATCTCAAAAAAAAAAAAAATTAATAAAATGGTTAATTTATGTGATGTGAATTTCGCCTCAATAAACAAAAAGTGAATATGCCCTGGACAGCGCCGCTAGCCCCTACCCCCTTCTCTCCCTCCATGTGGCCACCCAGCCCCTCCCCTGCCCTCCACATGGCCACCCCACCCCCTTTCTGCCCCCCCGACCTCCCCGACCTTGCCCCCTCATGGCTGCCCCCCCCATGTCCGCCCACCCCCTTCACTCCTGCCCCACCTGCCCTCCACGTGGCCACCTCGCCCACCTTCCCGTGCCGCTTGCCATTGCACCAGTGGCCGATGTAGGACACAGGCTGGGTGCTGCACTTGAACATCCCGAATCCGTTCCTCATGCCGTTGACCACTTCGCCTTCATACATGCTGCCGTCCGGCCACGTGTACACGCCGTGGTTCATCGGGACATTCTTCACAAAGTCGCCCTGAAGCAGAACGGCCATGGGGTGACAGAAGGAAGTGTTGGGGGGTGGGGGCGGGAATCCCTAGTCCTGCGGGCGGTTCCAGGAGCTGCTTGACCTCTGATTCTGTTCTTGCCTCTCCTGTGGACACACTGAACATCCCCCTCACACTCTCTCTCTTCCTTCCTTGTCTGCTCTCATCGCATCCTCTCTCATCTGACCCGACCAGTGGGCGGAAGCTCAGGCAGGAGGAAATATCTGGGAGGTTGCAGGTTGACTAAGTTCGAAGAAACAAGCAGGTGACGTTGGAAAGTGCTGGCTTCCAATCCTGACCTGGGGAACTTCAGATTCTTAGAACCCACCTTGGCAAGGTGCAGTGGCTCACACTTGTAATCACAGCACTTTGGGAGACTGAGGCGGGAGGACTGCTTGAGGCCGGGAATTTGAGGCCAGTCTGGGCAACCTAGGAAGACCCTGTCTCTAGAAAAAGATTTTATTTGTTTTTGTTTTTATTTTTGAGACAGAGTCTCACTCTGTCGCCCAGGCTGTAGTGCAATGGCGCCATCTCGGCTCACTGCAACCTCTGCCTCCCAGGTTCAAGCAGTTCTCCTGCCTCAGCCTCCCAAGTAGCTGGGATTACAGGCACCCATCATCACACCCTGCTAATTTTTTTTGTATTTTTAGGAGAGACGGGGTTTTGCCATGTTGGCCAGGCTGGTCTCGAACTCCTGACCTGAGGTGATCCACCTGCCTCGGCTTCCCAAAGTGCTGAGATTAACAGGCATTTAACAGGCATGAGCCATCATGCCTAGTTTTTGTGGATTTTTTGTTGTTGTTTTTTTGTTTTTTTGAGACAGGGTCTCACCCTGTCACCTAGGTTGGAGTGCAGCGGCACAATCATAGCTCACTGCAGCCTCGACCTCCCAGGCTCAAGAGATCCTCCCACCACAGCCCCCCAAGTAGCTGAGACTACAAGTGTGTGTGCCACCAAGCCTCACTACTTTTTAAATTTTTTGTGGAGATGGAGTTTCTCTATGTTGCCCAGGCTGGTCTGGTCTCAAACTCCCAGCCTCAAGTGATCTTCCCACCTTGGCCTCCCAAGTAGCTGGGACTACAGGTGCTGGCCACCAAGGTGCAGTGGTGCACGCCTATAATCCCAGCACTTTGGGGGTGCTGACGTGAGAGGATCTGTTGAGCCCAGGAGGTTGAGGCTGCAGTGAACTATGACCACTGCATTCCAGCCTGGGCGACAGAGCAAGATCCTGTCTCTAATGAAAAAAAAAATAACCCGCTCGAAGGAGGTGAATTCACTGTTCCCTCCAAGGCTTAGTGATGACTGGGGACATCCCTCTTTCTTTTTCCTTTTTTTTTCAAGATGGAGTTTTGCTCTTGTTCCCCAGGCTGGAGTGTAATGGTGTAGTCTCGGCTCACTGCAACCTCCGCCTCCCAGGTTTAAGCAATTCTCCTGCCTCAGCTTTCCGAGTAGCTGGGATCACAGGTGTGCACCACCATGCCCCGCAAATTTTTGTAGTTTTAGTAGAGACAGGATTTCACCATATTGGCCAGGCTGGTCTTGAACTCCTGACCTCAGATGATCTGCCCACCTTGGCCTCCCAAAGTATTGGGATTACAGGCGTGAGCCACCATGCCCGGTCAGGAAATCCCTCTTTCTGCCACGGTCATCAAAATAGTCTGTAAACAAATCAGCCAACAGCCTGCCCCAGGGGCACCTGCCAGGGAACGCGCTCTGCCCAGGACGCCTGAGTGGGCAGCAGGCAGCACAGTGCACAGCACCCAGCAGCATCGGATTCTCTTCCAGGAACCTGAACTCCCTGGAGGCAGCCACAGCAGCAGAGAAAAGAGGACAGCACGCCGTGGCCTGATCACCAGCCAGGACCCATGAGGCCAGTCGGCCTCTGAGAATGCTTCTAGGAGCCCCCCGAGTCCTGCCCAGAAGCCCCCCTGACTGGGCTGGAGTGGGGGTCTGTGCCTGCAAAAATGACCTCCCCCCCTGCCGGGAGTTTCCCGAGACAACGAGGCACAGGGCGGTTCTTGGTAAGTTGTCACTTAAGGACCAGAAACTGGCCCAGTGCGGTGGCTCACACCTGTAATCCCTGCACTTCGGGAGGCTGAGGTGGGCAGATCACCTGAAGCCAGGGGTTTGAGACCAGCCTGGCCAACATGGCGAAAGCCCGTCTCTACTAAAAATACAAAAAGTAGCCCGGCGTGGTGGCGGGCGCCTGTAATCCCAGCTACTCTGGAGGCTGAGGCAGGAGAATTGCTTGAACCCAGGAGGTGGAGGTTGCAGTGAGCCGAGATCCCCCCGCTGCACTCCAGCCTGGGTGACAGAGCAAGACTCTGTCCCACAAAAATAAATAAAATAAAGACCAGAAACCTTACATGTCAGCCACCGGCTAGAAGGCGGGATGTCGCGTGGGAAGGGAGCTGGCATGAACCCAAGGTGGGGGCCCAATCCTCAGGCTCCCCTGGAACTTGGAGATCCTCCTCGCCCCGCCAGTGACGGTCAGCCCCTCCCTCCCTCTCCCCGCTCCTCTGCAGCATGCCTCTCACCGCCCAGCTGCAGGTGGCTTCCCGGCCCAAACTTGACTCCGTTTCCATCATTGCCTGTGTGTTATTTGAATAAGTGCGTTATGCGCATGTGTTTTAAATGTCATCATTACCATTTATAAACACCATCTGTTAGCAACTCTGCATTTGGGATTTTTAGAATAGCATTTCAGGTGCTCACTCACTTTGTGGGTGGGAATTGAGCCTGGTACAATCTCTTGGCGAACAATTTGGTCCTTGCAATCAGCTTAAAAATACACATTCCCCTCAACCCCACAAGACAGGTTAAATAAAAGCCACATAATGGAATACATGCAGCCACTAAAAACAGATCTACATGAATGGATATGGTTTGATCTCAAAATTAAAGGTACAGGCCAGGTGTGGTGGCTCACGCCTGTAATCCCCAGCACTTTGGGAGGCCAAGGTGGGAGGATCGCTTAAGCTTAGGAGTTCGAGACCAGCCTGGGCAACATGGCAAACCCTGTCTCTACAAAAAAAAAAAAAAAAAGTAAAAATAAATTAGCCGCGTGCTGCGGAGCACACCTCTAGTCACAGCTACTCAGCAGGCTGAGCCAACAGGATCGCTTGAGCCTAGGAGTTCAAGGCTGCAGTGAGTCATGATCTCACCACTGCACTACAGCCTGGGTGACAGAGCAAGACCCCATCTCAGACTCACTAACTAACTAAGTAAATATGCCAAAGAGAGTGTATAATAAACTATGTGTGTTTGTAAAAAGCAAGACAGGCTACAGAAGTTCCAGGCTGCAGTGTTATGATCGTACCACTATACTCCAGCCTGGGCAACAGAGCAAGACCCTGTCTCAAAGAAAAAAGTAGGACAAGCTACATACATGTACGTGTGCTCTCTGTGCTTAGAACACATAGAATACCTCTAGAACACACAGATGAAACCAATAACAATTACTGGCGGGTCCCATGCAGTCATGAGTTACTAGATCCTCTGGTTCTGCAAATTTTTCTTAACCCATATGCTGAATGACATCTACGAAAACAGTCTGTTCAATTGTGGGAAACTGATTGTTCCATCCAATAATCACAGCTTAGAACTATAACTGGTTATATGCCTCACCTCATATTTTAATCCATCGGCCCAAATATAAGTCCCCTGTCCATGCATGAGTCCTTCTGAAAACATACCCTTCAAAACAAAACAAAGCAACGACAAACACTTAGAATACAGCTGACACATATACATATTTGAGATAGGGTCTGGTTCTGTCACCCAGGCTGGAGTGCAGTGGTGTGATCATAGCTCACTGCAGCCTCGAACTCCCAGGCTCAAGCAATCCTCCCACTTCAGCCTCCCGAGTAGCTGGGACTACAGGCATCCACCACCATGCCCAGCTAATTTTTGTATTTTTTGTGGAGACGGGATTTCACCATGTTGGCCAGGCTGGTCTTGAAATCCTGAGCTCTAGCAATGCGCCCGCCTTGGCCTCCCAAAGTGCTGGGATTATAGGCATGAGCCACCGCGCCTGGCCTGCAGCTGATGATTCTCTCCCACAACTGCCTTATCCCGATTTCACATGCGTGAAGATGCTTGTCTGCACACTCAGCACCAGCTGAGTCCTAGTGAGTCCTACTCTGAGCTGCCTCCATGCTGGGCTCCATCCTTCTCTAAAAAGGATCTAAGAGGTCCTCATCTTCATGACCTAAGGATGACCTCAGCTACAAAAATGTGTTCTCAACCGGGTGCGGGGGCTCACACCTGCAATCCCAGCACTTTAGGAGTCTGAGGCAGGAGGATAACTTGTGCCCGGCAGTTCAAGACCAGCCCTGGCAACGTAGCAACTCCTTGTCTCTACCAAAAAAAAAAAAAAAAAAATTAAATTAGCCAGGCGTGCTAGCTCACACCTGTAGTCCCAGCTATTCAAGAGGCTGAGGAGGGAGGATCATTTGACTCCAGGAGGTCGAGGCCACAATGAGTTATGATTGTGCCACTGCACTCCAGCTTGGGTGACACAGTGAGACCCTGTCTCAAAAAATATAAAATAATCAGGAAAAGAAACAAATCTAAAATAACTTTTGTTATATTGAGCATTATTTTTACCTTAAATAGGTAATCAGGTTTCAGAATAAAATCGGCATGAAGAGCTTCCGATTTCTTTTGAAGCATCAGTGGATTTTACTGAAGATTTACAAATCTACGACCATCACCCCACACCTTCCTCCCCTTCCTGCAGGTTCTCAAATGGGCAACTTACACGATAGGTACAACCGCCTTGAAAGGCTGCGAAGCCTTCTCCCTCATACAGCCCACGAACCTTTTCCCCTTCATAGCTACAAAGAAATAAAGGTAATTCAAGGTAATGAACAATGTGAATAAACCCAAGTGACAGTGGGTTAAACTATATAACTATGTAATGGGAAGAATGAAGTCAGAAAAAAAAAAATATATATATATATATATACACAGAGCTAGAAAGTAGAAGAGGTTACCAGGGGTTTGAAAGTAGGGTGAGGAATGAAGGCGTTTCGGGGTTTTTTTGTTTGTTTTTTGGGGATTTTTTTTGAGATGGAGTCTCACTCTGTCGCCCGGGCTGGATGGAGTGCAATGACGTGATCTTGGCTCACTGCAACCTCTGCCTCCCGGGTTCAAGTGATTCTCCCGCCTCAGCCTCCTGAGTAGCTGGGATTACAGGCACATGTCACCACGCCCAGCTAATTATTGTGTTTTTAGTAGAGATGGAGTTTCACCATATTGGCCAGACTGGTCTCAAACTCCTGGCCTCAAGTGATCTGCCCGCCTCAGCCTCCCAAAGTGCTGGGATTACAGGCTTGAACCACCGCATCTGGCCAGGAGTTACTATTTAATAGACGGTCGTACAACACTATGAACGTACTTAATGCCATTGAATTGTACACTTAAAATAATTAAGATAGTACATTTTGTTATATGTTTCACCACAATAAACTCTATATATACACACGCCATGGGGCTGTATGTTTGCTATTTGGGTGATGGGCTTACTTAGAAGCCCAAACCTCAGCATCACACAACATGCCCATGTAACAAACCTGCACATGTAACCCTCTAAATCTAAAATAAAATAATTTTTTTAAATACATAAAATTACCTTCAGGCCAGGCACAGTGGCTTACGCCTGTAATCCCAGCACTTTGGGAGGCTGAGGCAGGTGGCTCACCTGAGGTCAGGAGTTCGAGACCAGCCTGGCCAACAGGGTGAAACCTTGTCTCTACTAAAAGTACAAAAATTAGCCAGGCATGGTGGCGGGCACCTGTAATCCCAGCTACTCAGGAGGCTGAGGCAGGAGAATTGCTTGAATGTGGGAGGTGGAGGTTGCAGTGAGCCAAGATCACACCACTGCACTCCAGCCTGAACGACAGAGTGAAACTCTGTCTCAAAGTAAAATAAGATAAACCGCCTGACTGGCAGTGTTATACCCGATGGCACCCCCATTAAAATCACCTTTCCACTATGAGTTTGGTCAGAATGGACTCTTCGTATTGGGTGGCATCTTCGTTCTGCTGAACGTTTTGGCGGTCTTTTTTGGGTTTCACTTCGTTGAGCTGCATTCCCAGCAATGGGACACCAGCTGGGGACATCTCTTGCCTAGTGGTGTTGCCATCTTGTTTGGAAAAGTCTAGATTATCAGAGAGAGATGAGGGAGAGCGGGCAGACTTCTCCCCTTTTTTGTCTGCTTTTTTCTTTTCTTTCACCATTGCCTTGGGAAGATCCAATGGTTACTTGAATCAAATGATTTCTTTGGTTCAGAGCTGCTTGTTTCAAAGCACTGATGAGTTTTATCTGAAAAATAAAAATTACGTCTCCAAACACTTGGGGTTTTCATTTGTAGTTAAAATTTCAGTTTTACAACACAATGTCATTATCATTCTCCTGACAAAGTCTGAAAAATTAGTTACCAGGGCCGGGTGTGGTGGCTCACACCTGCGATCTCAGCACGTTGAAGGGCCAAGGTGGGAGGATCATGTGAGTCCAGGAGAGGGAGATCAGCCTAGGCCACGTAGTGAGATGCCACCTCTCTACAAAAAATAAAAATAAATTAGCCAGGCGTGGTGGCACATGCCTGTAGTCCCAGCTACTAGGGAGGCTCAGGTGGGAGGACTGCTTGAGCCTGGGAGGTCGAGGCTGCAGTGAGTAGTGTCACACCACTGCACTCCAGTCTGGGTATCAGAGCAAGACTCTGTCTCAAAAATGACTATAATTACAAGTTTCAAGTACCATCAGTTTATAAAAATACAACCTCAACATCGCATTGCTTGTTCCTAAAATTTTTTTATTTTTAATTTTTGAGACAGAGTCTCACTCTGTCACCCAGGCTGGAGGGCAGTGGCACAATCACAGCTCACTCTAGCCTCAACCTCCTAGGCTCTGACGATCCTTCCATCTCAGCCTCCCAAGTAGCTGGGACCACAGGCATGCATTACCACACCTGGCTAATTTTTTGTAGAGACAGGGTCTTGCTATCTTGCCCCGGCTGGTCTGGAACTCCTGAGCTCAAGCAATCCGCCTGTCTCAGCCTCCCAAAGTGCTGGGATTATAGGTGTGAGCCACTGTACCTTGCCCCAAAAATTATTTAAGTTGGAACCATTGTCTAGCATTGTTTCTTGAAAGGTAACCCTACACATGAAATAGGCTACTTCACCTCTCAGGTCTTGCATGCAGCCAATTCACACTTTAAAAGCCCCTCTCTGGCCGGATGCAGTGGCTCACACCTGTAGTCCCAGCACTTTGGGAGGCCAAGGCAGGTGGATCACGAGGTCAGGAGATTGAGACCACCCTGGCTAACACTGTGAAACCCCGTCTCTACTAAAAATACAAAAAATTAGCCAGGCATGGTGGCACATGCCTGTAATCCCAGCTACTCAGGAGGCTGAGGCAGGAGAATCACTTGAACCCAGGAGGTGGAGGTTGCAGTGAGCCGAGATCACACCACTGCACTCTAGCCTCGGCAACAGAGCAAGATTCTGTCTCAAAAAAAACAAAACAAAACAAAAGCCCCTCTCCTTATAGGTCAGCATTGTAAAGTGTGCAAGAGCTGGATTCGGAGTCCTGCATTGCCCATTACCAGTTCTATGGGTTTGTTTATTTATTTATTTATTTATTTTTGAGACGGAGTCTCACTCTCTTGCCCAGGCTGGAGTGCGGTGGTGCGATCTTGGCTCACTGCAAGCTCCACCTCCCGGGTTCATGCCATTCTCCTGCCTCAGCCTCCTGAGTAGCTAGGACTACAGGCGCCCACCACCACACCTGGCTAATTCTTTTTGTATTTTTAGTAGAGACGGGGTTTCACCGGGTTAGCCAGGATGGTCTCAATCTCCTGACCTCGTGATCTGCCCGCCTTGGCCTCCAAAGTGCTGGGATTACAGGCGTGAGTCACCGGGTGTGGGTGCCCGGCCCAGTTCTGTGTTTTTTGGGTTTGTTTTTTTTTTTTTTTTTAGACAGACTCTCTAGCCCTGTCCTGCAGGTTGGAATGCAGTGGCAGGATCTTGGCTCACTGGCTCACTGCAACCTCACTGCAGGTTCAAGTGATTCTCCTGCCTCAGCCTCTCGAGTAGCTGGGATTACAGGCACCTGCCTCCATACTCAGCTAATTTTTGTATTTTTAGTAGAGATGGGGTTTCACTGTGTTGGCCAGGCTGGTGTCGAACTCCTGACCTCGTGATCTGCCCGCCTTGGCCTCCCAAAGTGCTGGGATAACAAGTGTGAGCCACCGTGCCTGGCTGGTTTCCTTTTTTTTTTTTTTTTTTTTTTTTTTTTTTGAGACGGGGTGTTGTACATTTTGCCCAGGCTGGTTTCAAACTCCTGGCCTCAAGCAATCTTCCCACCTTCTCCTCCCAAAGTGCTAGGATTGCGGGCATGAGCCACTGAGCTCGGCCAAGTGCTGTGTTCTGAAGCAAGCTGCTTAATCTCCTCTGCCTCACAAATAGAAATAACAGAACCTTGTCTCATAAGAATTAAACCGATGACACACAGAAAAATCCCTAAGTACAGGATACAGAGCAAAGTCAATAAATTGAGTGATTATCTCGTCCCTTTCCTGTTTTCAAACTTGAAATCATTGGTTTCCCACTCCCTCTAGCACTGCCATCGATTGAGTGCCTCTCATATGCCGGACAAGCAAGGACCGGTGTGCTGGAGTTGCGTTTCCAGCGCATGGTTGCTTGAGCTGTATTTCCAGCGCATCGTTGCTCGAGCTCCGTTTCCAGCGCATATCTTTGCTTGTCTGGCATATGAGCTGCGGTGCAGGGTTTCAAAGCCATAGTTTTCATGGCTTTCCTAATCTGGCCCCGCTGAAAGCACCCTGGTCCATCAGGCAGGATGCATAGGTGAGCCCTGTGGTGAAGGCCAGGTCTGGTCCCTTTTCGTAGGCCCCGACGGGTGCAGTGGGCACTTCTTGCCCTCTTCTTCCTGGATGCCATCCTCTGGACACCCCACCCTCCAGCTGAACCCATCTCCAGCCTTCTCTCTTCCTCCATTATTTATTTATTGAGACAGGGTCTCGCTCTGTCACCCAGGCTGGAGTGCAGTGGCACAGTCTTGGCTCACTGCAACCTTCCGGGTTCAAGTGATTCTTCTGCCCTAGCCTCCCAAGTAGTTGGGATTACAGGTGCCTGCAACCACTCCCGGCTAATTTTTGTATTTTTAGTAGAGCCAGGGTTTCACCATGTTGCCCAGGCTGGTCTCAAACTCCTAACCTCAGGTGATCCGCCCGCCTCGGCCTCCCAAAAGTGCTGGGGTTACAGGCGTGAGCCACCGCGCCCGGCCAAGCCTTCTCGCTTCCTTCCAACACCCTTGCTCCTTCCCGCCCCCGACTACTGTCTCAGCGAAGCCGCCCCTGGGTCCCCTAGCCCAAGGTGCTCTCACCTCTAAATTTAGAGGGGCCTTTACTACGAGCTTTTCGGTCTTCTGTCAGTGATCTACAAATAAGTGAACTACAAATCAAGCCAATTTCGTTTCTCAGTGCGTTTCCTAATGTTTCCTCTGTTCTCCTGGGCTTAAGGAGAGGCCATCTCTCTCCTGTGTCTACGGTGAGCCGGGAAGAATCGGCTCCCTGCACTGGTCTGCCCGGCCTAGGCCCTCCTCGCCCATCACGCACGTGCTCGGGTCCTGGGAGGCCGCGTCAGTCCGGCCGGGAAGGAGCAGGACCCAGTCGCCATGGCTGTCCCGGCGTACGCAGGACCGCGGCCTGGGGCGCTCACCTCGCTCCAGGAGCCCAGAGACCTCGCCGGGCTCGGGCTGAGGTGTTGCCGGGCTCTCGGCGTCCCAGACCCGGCTCCGGTCTCCAGGCAACCGCGGACGCCGCCAGGCCCACCCTGTGCTCTTAAAGGGGCCGCGCGCCAGCGCCAAGCAGGTGTCCCGCCCTTGCTGGTCCTGAAGGCCGGGGGAAAGGCTGGACGCTGGAGGCAGCAGGCCAGGGTTTTCCCAGCTCTGCTAACTGCTTCATCATAAAATAGGAATAACGCAGGCATTAGTTTTCCATTGCTGCCGCAAACAAATTACCATAAATTTAGTGGTTCGAAGCAACACAAATTTATTACCCTACAGTATGTAAATTAGTCCCACAGTGCTGGTTCCTTCCAGAGGCTGAGGGAGAGAATGCGTTTTCTTGCCTTTTCCAGCTTTTCCAGAAGCGGTCCCCAACCTTTTTGGCACCAGAGACCGGTTTCGCGGAACACAATTTTTCCATGGATTGGGGTCGGGGAGGGATGGTTTCAGGACGATTCAAGTGCATTGCATTTATTGTGCACTTTATTTCTACTATTATTACATTGTAACATATAATTAAATAATTCTACAACTCACCATCACAGAGACTCAGTGGGAGCCCTGAGCTTGTTTTCCTGCAACTAGACAGCCCCATCTGGGGGTGACGGGAGACAGTGACAGATCATCAGGCATCAGATTCTCATAAGGAGCGTGCAACCTACATCCCTCGTGTGTGCAGTTCACAATAGGGCTCGTGCTGCTATGAGAATCTAATGCCCACCGCTGATGTGACAGGAGGCGGAGCTCGGGTGGTAACGCCAGCGACGGGGAGTGGCTATAAATACAGATGAAGCTTCGCTGGCTTGCCGGCCCCTAACCTGCTGTGCACCCCACTTCCTAATAGGCCATGGACCACTACTGGTCTGTGTCCGGAGTGTTGGAATCCCTGTTCTAGAGACTGCTTGCAATCCTTGACTAGTGGTACCTCCTTCCATCTCCAAAACCAGCAAGACAGCCTCTCTCTGGCCAGCAGGGAAAGGTCTCCACCTTTGAAGGACTCACCCAATGGACTGGGCCCACCCAGACAATCCAGGATAATCTCTCTGTTGCAAGATCCTTAACTCAGCCAGGCATGATGGCTCACACCTGTAATCCCAGCACTTTGGGAGGCCGAGGCGGTCGGATCACCTGAGGTCAGGAGTTCGAGACCAGCCTGGTCAACATGGTGAAACCCTGTCTCTACTAAAAATACAAAAATTAGCCAGTATGGTTCTGGACACCTGTAATCCCAGCTACTCGGGAGGCTGAGGTGGGAGAATCACTTGAACCTGGGAGGCAGAGGCTGCAGTGAGCTGAGATCATGCTATTGAACTCCAGCCTGGGCAACAAGAGCGAAACTTCATCTCAAAGAAAAAAAAAAAAAAGATCCTTCACTCAATCACACCTGCCGAGTCCCTTCTGCCACGTGAGGCAGCGTGGTCACAGGTTCTGGGGATTAGGACACAGCTGTCTTGGGGGCTGTTATCCTGCCACAGCTCCCAATCTGGAGAGTTCATAAGTGGGATCCTGCAGACCACGCCAGCACAGTGCCAGACACGATGGCACAGTGACTACTGTACTGCCTCCTCCATCTGAGGGATTCTAAAGCAGGAAGGGGAGCCGCCCACAGTCTGGAGAAGGGGTGGGGGCAGCAGGGGGAGCCACATCTGTCATCTCTGGGCCCCCAAGAGGGCATCTTTACTTCCATTTTCAGCCAAGTTCAAACAGGACAAGGTTCCATGAAAACTATTTGAAAAGACAGACAGGGATTCTTATATTCCCAGAACCATTCAAGGCCAGTAACTGGAATGTTCTACAGTTCACATCCTGAGGAAACCAAATCACAGCATCAAATTATGGGAAATCAAACTCTTTTTGTTCCCCTGCGAGGACAGCATTTTGCGACCTTGGCCGCACAGAGGAATGTTTCAAATAGTGACCCCTGTCCCATCCAGTCATTTTCTTCCAGCCGGGCAGAGAATCCCCCGTGTTTAAAAATTTAATGTGAATCAGGGCTGAGAATCACTAACTGAAAAGGACCCTACTTTTAAATTTATGAAATTAAACAAAGATGAATTTAATTATCATTAAGGGTTGAAAGTTATAGACTAAACTATGTCCAGCCAGAGCAGAGGCCTGAGTAACTTCCAAAGTGGTTTGGTTTTTTTTTTTTTGTTTTGTTTTGTTTTGTTTTTTGAGACACAGTCTTGTTCTATCTCACCCAGGCTGGAGCGCAGTGGCGCAATCTCGGTTCACTGCAACCTCCGTCTCCCGGGTTCAAGCGATTCTCCTGCCTCAGCCTCCTGGGTAGCGGGGATTACAGGCATGCGCCAGCACACCTGGCTAATTTTGTATTTTTAGTAGAGGCAGGGTTTCTCCATGTTGGTCAGGCTGGTCTCGAACTTCTGATCTCAGGTGATCCGCCGGCCTCGGCCTCCCAAAGTGCTGCGATCACAGGCATGAGCCACCATGCCCAGCCCAAGTGTTCTTATTTTTATAAAATGTGTTCTTGCCTGGACACACACACACGAGCGCATGCAAACATAGAGAAAAAAAATTTGCAAGCAATGCTCCATCTGGTTTGAAAAGGTTCTCAAGATCACTTTTAAATGGGTGTGATGTGTATTTTTTTTAAGTAGCAGGTTCATTTTAAAACAAAAAAGGTTAGTGAAGACTCTGTCTTTCAAAACATAAAAATCTGCGATAAAACCAATTATTCCATACAGTGACTACGGTCAGTTCTGAGAAATGACACCCAGGTTGGCGATGTGTCTCATGGTTGGCCTTCCATGGGGACAGTTCCAGGGGTGGTCCATCTCCCCCATGTGGGTGATCAGTTTCTTCATCTCGCTTGTGTTAAGAGCAGTCCCAATCATCACCTGAGTGTGAGACACAATGGTTCAACGTTTTAGTAGTTTTTTGACGTCAGAATGGCAGCTCTTCAGAAGCATTCTTCTCTAAAATAAGGCTGGACAAGATTACAGCTCAAAAACTACCTTCCCTGAAAAACCTTCCCCCAGAGAAGCCTAGGTTCTAGATCTCAGCCCTCCACCCTTCTGTGAAATCAGGCTCCTTGTGGCTCCTTCAAGGTGGCACCGCCTCCACTCCAGACGCCGACCACACCTGTCTCAGCAGCCACCCTGCCCTCTCACCCTGGCAGGTGCAGCAGCCTCCCAGCAGGCCTCCCTGCCCCACTGCGACCCCTCCGAGCCGCTCTCCACTCAGCAGCCAGTGATTACTTTTAAAGGGCTGTCAGGTTATTCATTCCACTTCACAGCTCTCCCCCTCACCTGAATAAAAGCCCCCGTCTGTCCCCTGACTTGGCCCTCGCTGGGCTGTGCCTGCACCCCCACCTCCAAGCACGAATGCCTCCCTTCCTCACCCCAGCTGCACTGCTACTCCCTTCCTCTTGCACAGGCCCATCACGCAAACACCTGCCTTGGGACTGTGGCACTCCCGGGACCCTCTCCCCCAATGGGTGCAGGCGTCACTCCCCCTCTGTCGAGCTCCGACCTGCTGCCCATAGCACTCCAGCCCTGGCCCTGCTGCCTCCCTGCCATGGGTCCTCTGACAGGAAGGAGAGGACACAAGCCTGAAGCCCAATGTCACCTTCTTTCTTCCTGCAGCACCCTGAGGGCTCGCCATGTGCCAAGCACAGTCAGAAGGCTGGGGTGACAGCAGGTTGGAGAAGGACAGACAATCAACAAGTCAACAGAGAACCAAGACAGGTGGCACCAGGCGAGGCGGCCTGCTCAGGTGTGGGGATGGGGTGAAGGGTGACGGTGGCAAACCCAGGTAGAGAGGAGAGTAGGGAGAAAGGGTGTAAGGCAGGGAGGAGACTGAGGCGAGCGTGGAACTGGAAGGCAGCTACATGGCTGGAAGCTACATGGTGGGGAGATGGGGCTGGAAGGGTGGGCAGGGCTCAAAGCAGGAGCCTCCTGGGCAGGCAGTGACAACACCGGAGATGGACGGGTAGGCCAGGGCGAGAGGGAAGGAGCAGCCTGTGGTTCCCCGGGCCACTGAGTCACACTAAACTCAGGACATCAAAACTGCCCGGCTATGAGCTCAGCTCCACGCTCTCACTCACAGACTCCAAGACTGGAAGATCCATATTATGTCTTTTATTTTGGTGAGGTCAGGGGTGGTGGAGAGACTCTGTCTCCCAGGCTGGAATGCAATGGTGCGATCTCAGCTCACTGCAACTCCGCCTCCCAGATTCAAGCAATTCTCCCGCTTCAGCCTCCCGAGTAGCTGGGATTACAGGCGCCCACCACCATGCCCAGCTAATTTTCGTACTTTTAGTAGGGATGGGGTTTCACCATGTTGGCCAAGCTGGTCTCAAATTCCTGACCTCAGGTGATCAACCCACCTCCGCCTTCCAAAGTGCTGGGATTACAGGTGTGAGCCACCACGCCCAGCCCCTATTAGGTCTTTATCCAAGAAACACTGTGGCTAGAAGTCAGACTCTGGGCCCTCTTCTAATTAAACTCTGCCCTTGAGTCATTTCATCTAATCTCATGGCTGTAAATTACACCTGAAGCTCACACAGCAGGCTCCATCCCACCCACTCCCCACGTGGCCCCCAGCTGCTGCTCTCCTCAGCGGCCGCAGCCACCGCACCCCTTCCAGTCTGTTCTCTCTCCAGCAGCTGCAATCACGGGACTCCTTCCCGTCTGTTCTCTCCAGTGGCTCGTGCCACACACAGCACAGACCCCCAGGGTCTAGGTATGACCGGCAACACTCTACGTGGCTGTCCTCTGGACGCCGCTCTGCTCACTCCCTTCCCCTCTCCAGGGACACAATCAGCCTCTGGCTTCAGTCTTGCTACTTCCTTCGCTTGGAAAGTTCTTACCCAAGAGGGCTCCATTCTACCTTTTTTTTTTTTTTTTTTGAGACAAGGTCTTACTCTGTCACCCAGGCTGGAGTGCAGTTGCGTGATGTTGGCTCATTGTAACCTCGACCTCCCTGGCTCAAGTGATCCTCCCACCTCAGCCTCCTGAGTAGCTGTGACTACAGGCACATGCCACCACACCTGGCTAATCTTTTAATTTTTTGTACACATGGGGTCTGCCTGTGTTGCCCAGGCTGGTCTCTTAACTCCTGGCCTCAAGCAATCCTCCTGCCTTGGCCTCCCAAAATGCTGGGATTACACGTGTGAGCCACCATGCCTGGCTTCCATCCCACCTTTTAGATGGCAGCTGAGATGCCACCTGCCCAGATGCCATTCCCTGACCACCATCTCACCTGGTCACCATGTTTTTCTCTTGTCATTTCCTGCCCCAAAACGCTGTTTTAGGCCAGGTGCGGTGGCTCACGCCTGTAATCCCAGCACTTTGGGAGACCAAGGCGGGCAGATCATGAGGTCAGGAGATCAACACCAGCCTGACCAACATGGTGAAACCCCATCTCTATTAAAAATATAAAAATTAGCCAGGTGTGGTGGGTGCCTGTAGTCCCAGCTACTTGGGAGGCTGAGGCAGGAGAATCGCTTGAACCTGGGAGGCGGAGGTTGCAGTGAGCTGAGATCACATCACTGCACTCCAGCCTAGTAACAGAGCGAGACTCCGTCTCAAAAACAGACAAAGAAAAATGCTGTTTGAATCTCTTGACTGTGCTTACTGGCATCTAATGCGTGTCATTTATTTGTGGTGATGCCTATTTCTCCCCACTGTCTGCTCCACAGGGGCAGGGGCTGCAGCCGCCTTGTTACCTCTGTGTCCCGAGCACCTGGAGCAGGGCGGGCCCCACATCAGGGGCTCAAGGAGCACCTGCTGAATAAATAAAGGAATGGCGTCCTGGCCCTTCCCAGTGGCCAGCTGATACACAGTCACTTTTCTTGGACATCAGGCTAATCCCCACTGCAGGCAGAACCACTGCTGCCACCTTCCCACACCAACCGAAGCAGCGGCAGTGACGCCACGTGCAATGACAACCACGGCACCCCGTGAAGCACCTGCTGCCTCGATGACTCTGCAGAATCGTGTCCAATGTCGCCGAGTCCTGGCAGCAGCAAATCTTTATCTCCCAATGTTGTTATGACCCATAAGGTCCATAGACGAACAAGGTACCTCAAACGCTAACTGCGTTGGAGTCAACCAAAGCTCGGAGATAGAATACTGGCCGGGCCAGGCACAGTGGCTCATGCCTGTAATTCCAGCACTTTGGGAGGCTGAGACAAGGGGCAAAAGGAGACCATGTTTCTACAAAAAATTTAAAAATTAGCTGGGCATGGTGGTGCATGCCTGTGGTCACAACTACTTGGGAGACAGAGAGAGGAGGATCGCTTCAGCCTGGTACGTCAAGGCTGCAGTGAGCTGTGATTGTGCCACTGCACTCCAGCCTGGGGGACAGAGGGAGAATCTGTCTAAAAAAAAAAAAAAGAAGAATTCTGGGTTTTTTTTGTTTTTTTGAGACGGAGTCTCGCTCTGTCGCCCAGGTTGGAGTGCAGTGGTATGAACTTGGCTCACTGCAAGTTCCGCCTTCTGGGTTCACGCCATTCTCCTGCCTCAGCCTCCCGAGTAGCTGGGACTATAGGCGCCCGACACCACGCCCGGCTAATTTTTTTGTATTTTTAGTAGAGACGGGCTTTCACCATGTTAGCCAGGATGGTCTCGATCTCCTGAACTCGTGATCCGCCCGCCTCAGCTTCCCAAAGTGCTGGGATTAGAGGCTTGAGCCACCATGCCCGGCCAAGAATACTGCTTAACAGAGGTAACAAAAGAGCAATAATTATGAGTTCAAGGTCACAGAGAACGCAGACGACACAGATGCTCAGCTACGACGCTGCACGTAGCTCTCTGTGTAAAATGACCCCTGGCAATCACAAAGGCGTTTACAACCTTGACCAAATCAGGAGCTGGGCTGAGACCTTCCTCGACTGCAAGCTTGAGCAGCTGAGCTGACAGCCAGGCTTTCTTTACTTACCGACTTCCGGCAGGCTCTGGAGGCAAACATCTGCTTGACTCGGGAAGGCCGGCACATGACCCCAGGGCTGTCGCTCAGCATGAAGATCAGTTCATCGACGTCCTGGGGTCCGAAGGTCCAGTTTTTACTAGTTGGCAAGGAAATCAGTTTAGCCCTTTCAGTGACTGGAGCTAAAAGAATACAATTTTGAGAAAAATCCATGACTTGACAAACACGTTTCACTTGAAAGCTACTTAGGATGAACATCTGAGGCCGGGCGTGGTGGCTCACGCCTGTAATCCCTGCACTTTGGGAGGCTGAGGCCAGCGGATCATGAGGTCAGGAGATACAGACCATCCTGGCTAACATGGTGAAACCCCGTCTCTACTAAAAAATAGAAAAAATTAGCTGGGTGTGGTGGCAGGCACCTGTAGTCCCAGCTACTCGGGAGGCTGAGGCAGGAGAATGGTGTGAACCTGGGAGGCGGAGCTTGCAGTGAGCCGAGATCGGCACCACTGCGCTCCAGCCTGGGCGACAGAGCAAGACTCCATCTCAGAAAAAAAAAAAGTGAACACCTGAAAGAGAGGAAACTCACAAAATGCTTTTTGGAGGAACTTTTTAATCTTTTATAAAATTAAAAAAAACTGGTCTATATGACCTGAAAGATTATTCCCAGCTCTAAAAAGACAAGAATCTATAGTTCTGATTTTTTTTTTTTTTTGAGACAGAGTTTCACTCTTGTTGCCCAGGCTGGAGTGCAGTGACGTGATCTCGGCTCACTGCAACCTCCACCTCCCGGGTTCAAGCGATTCTCCCACCTCAGCCTCCTGAGTAGCTGGGATTACAGGCACCCGCCACCACGCCCGGCTACTTTTTGTATTTTCAGTAGAGATGGGGTTTCACCATGTTAGCCAGGCTGGTCTCAAACTCCTGACCTCAGGCGATCTGCCCGCCTTGGCCTCCCAGAGTGCTGGGATTACAGACGTGAGCCACCACACCCAGCCGCTATAGTTCTAATTAATAACTTACCATTTTCATCGATAACAAAATCAAAGCCATTCTTTCTAAATATTTCCAGATTTTCTATCAGAACAGCTTCATTAACAGCAGTTAAGTTGAGAGTCTGAGGTCTGAAAAACACAAAAATGATTCAAACCATATCCTGAAGTCAAACATTTAGCTTTACAGCAGAAATGAAATGAAAACAACAATACTGTATTTTGAATTCATGTCAAAATAACAACACAAATAACAACACTACTCAGCTAAGTGTCACAAAACTTCCTGAGAAGTTCCTTTTAATTTTCTCTTTCTTAAAGTTCTTTTTAGAAGTTAAAGTAGCTACAGGCCAGGTGCGGTGGCTCACGCCTGTAATCTCAGCACTTTAGGAGCCCGAGGCAGGCAGATCTCTTGAGGCCAGGAGTTTGAGACCGGCCTGGTCAACACAGCGAAACACTCTCTCTACTAAAAATATAAAAATTAGGCCAGGCATGGTGGCGCACGCCTGTAGTCCCAGCTACTTGGGAGGCTTAGGCATGAGATTCGTTTGAACCCAGGAGGGAGGCAGAGGTTGTAGTGAGAGCCAAGATCACGCCACTGTACTCCAGCCTGGGCGACACAACAAGACTCTGTCTCAAAAAAAAAAAAAAAAAAAAAACACCCATAAAAACAAAAATTAGCTGGAAGTGGTGGCTCATGCCTGTAATCCCAGCTACTCGGGAGGCTGAGGCACTAGAATTGCTTGAACCCAGGAGGTGGAGGTTGCAGTGAGCCAAGATCACACCACTGCACTCCAGCCTGGGCAACAGGGCAAGACTCTGTCTCAAAAAAAAAAAAAAAGTTCAAGTAGCTACAAAAGTAGTTTGCTTTTTCCTCAGCCTGCCACGCCAATGACTCCCACTTTTTCTGAATCCTTTCCTTAAGGATAACAGTATCACAAAAATGCTATTTTTCCTCCTTCTAATACAGAATTTGAAACACTGGGTTAGGTCATTGCCAGCATTTGTAAACAGAATGAACAGACAGCTTTTATTTTGCTATCCTGTTCCTTCCTCTGCCTGTATTATATCTCCATCCCTCTCTCCTCCTGGATTTACTGTTTGTTTTTTTTTAACCTTTCGTTATTTTTTTCAAAGATAGAGACAGGGTCTCACTATGTTGCCCAGGCTGCTCTCAAACTCCTGGGCTCAAGCGATCCTTCCACTTCAGCCTCCCAAAGTGCTGGGATTACGAGTGTGAGCCACTGCATCTGGTCCTGAGTGCTGGATAAGACAAACACTGCTCAAGGCAGGAGACAGCTGGTGAGCAAACACAGGCTTGGTCCTGGAGCCAACAGATTACCGGGGAAGAAAGACGTTGAGCAAATACTCAGGCAAGTCGATTATGATGAGAAACGACAGGAAGGTCAGGAAGAAAAAGCAGCCAGTGTCATAGAGAGACTTCACCCTGGGGTCAGGAAGTGACCTTTGAGCTGAGTCCGGGGATAAGAGAGTTAATCAGGTAACGGGGGAGAAGTGGGTGCAGGGTGCAGGACAAGTATTCTAGACAGGGACAACAATCTGTGCCAAGCCCCAGGATGGACCGCTGATGTTTGCAGAGCCACACATAAAGATATCCTTCATTCTGCTTAGTGGCCACATAGGGATTCATCAGGCCTGCCAAGGGAAAAAGAAAGACAGCCAGAGAGGCTTGAGTACAGGGAACAAGGGGAAGACGAACGGGAAAAGCTACAGAGGTCAACAGGGCCACCCTACACAGGGGCTGGCAGGGCAGGGTGGAACTGGGTCTTTATCCTTTAATCTTGAAGTGTGGTCCATCTGGGACCCTAAGTGGTCTGTGATTACCTGGGCCAACTTGAAATGTCACAGATGAGAGGTTATCTTTGCCGAATGGCTAAAAAATACAAGACCTCAGCCGGGCATGGTGGCTCACACCTGTAATCCCAGCACTTTGGGAGGCTGAGGTTGGTGGATCACCTGAGGTCAGGAGTTCAAGACCAGCCTGACAAACATGGCAAAACTCCCTATCTATTAAAAATCCAAAAATTAGCCAGGTGTGGTGGCGGGTGCCTGTAATCCCAGCTACTCGGGAGGCTGAGGCAGGAGAATCACTTGAACCCGAGAGGCAGAGGTTGCAGTAAGCCGAGATCACATCACTGCACTCCAGTATGGGCGAAAGAGTGAAACTCTGTCTCAAAAACACAAAAACAAAAAACCTCTATTAAGAGGAACAGGGAAGGGATATAAAGTAGCTTACTAAATGTCTATTATTACCATTGCCTCCTACTGAGAATAAAAACAATTCACGCATTCCACAGGAGAGTACTCAGCAAACTACACAGGAGAGTACTCAGCAAACTACACAGGAGAGTACTCAGTAAACTACACAGGAGAGTACTCAGCAAACTACACAGGTTCAGTGGTACATTTCTCCATGTGGGATCTACTTGTTGGGATCTGAGTTTACTTCACTACGTGGTTTAATTTCCCACACGAAAATCCATGACCTCTTCTTCTAACTTTGCTGAAGACAAGACTTTGGTTTTACATGATACTATCACACCTGACCTTTGTGAAGTAGTCAGGGTAAAACATTCCAGTTTGGCCGAGGAGAGAGAAATACCAAATTCTGCAGTGACTATCTTAAAATAATTTTTAAATTTTATTTTATTTTATTTATTAATTTATTTGTGAGACAGAGTCTCACTGTCTCACTCTGTCACCCAGGCTGGAGAGCTGTGCAGTGGCACGATCATGGCAGCCTCAATCTCCTGGGCTCAAACGATCCTCCCACCTCAGCCTCCCGAATAGCTGGGACCACAGGCACACACCATCAAGTCTGACTAATTTTTTACATTTGTTGTAGAGACAAGGTTTCACCATGATGCCCAGGCTGGTCTCAAACTCCTAAGCTCGAGGGATCTGCCTGCCTCAGCCTCCCAAAGCTCTGGGATTACAGGCGTGTGCCCCTGCATCCAACCTGCAGTGACTATCTGACTTCTGATTACTCTACTGTCAATCAACACTGGCGCACAGGCTGTCTGTCTTTCTGAACACACACATTCCATACACTATGCATACTAATACTCCATACTATCAATTGCCCTCATCAGAAGGATCTTCTGGCTAACCAGTGATCAACATTTTTAATAGCGAAAAATACCTGATACTTAGAGAACATGTTAACCACGTGAACTGGGGCAGGTTACTCAACCTCTCTGCATGTGCCTCAGTTTTATCGCTTGTGGAATGGTGATGGTAACAGTAACAACCCCATAGGTTTTTGAGGATTAAAGGAACTAATACACATACATTATTTCAACAGTGCCTGGCAGATTCTAGGCACTGAATAAATGGTAACTATCACTATTATGTAAAAAGTATAAAAATCTGCTATATGAATACTTATGGAAAAATACATATATACATATAGACACACATATAAACTATTAGGTCTCTTTTTTTTTTTGAGATAGAATCTCGCTCTGTCACCCAGGCTGGAGTGCAGTGGTGCGATCTCGGCTCACTGCAACCTCTGTCTCCCAGGTTCAAGCGATTCTCCTACCTCAGTCTCCTGAGTAGCTGGAATTACAGGCGTGCACTGCCATGCCCAGCTAATTTTTTGTATTTTTATTTTTTATCATTATTATTATTTTTTGAGACGGAGTTTCACTCTTGTTGCCCAGGCTGGAGTGCGATGGCACGAACTCGGCTCGCTGCAAACTCCGCCTCCCGGGTTCAAGCGATTCTCCTGCCTCAGCCTCCCAAGTAGCTGGGACTACAGGCGCCCGCCACCACGCCTGGCTAATTTTGTATTTTTAGTAGAGACAGGTCTCACCATGTTGGTCAGGCTGGTCTCGAACTCCCGACCTGAAGTGATCTGCCCACCTCGGCCTCCCAAAGTGCCGGGATTATAGGCGTGAGCCACCGTGCCTGGCCTTTTTGTATTTTTAGTAGAGGCGGGGTTTCACCACGTTGGCCAGGCTGGTCTCCAACTCCTGACCTCAGGTGATCTGCCTGCCTCGGCCTCCCAAAGTGCTGGGATTACAGGTGTGAGGCACCGCGCCTGGCCAACTAGATATTTTTTATTTTTTACACCCCTCCTTCCTAGATCTCTTCTTTTTTAAAGTAGATACAAGGTCTTGCTGTGTTGTCCGGGCTGGTCTCAAACTCCTGGCCTCTTGTGATCCTCCTGCCTTGGCCTCTATTAGATCTTCAATTTGAGGGGGAGTCTGGGAATGAACACTAAACACACTCACGCTATGAGCCTCTGCCCCTGGAGCACGGTGTGCTGCTGCAGCATCTCGAAGTTATACTTCTCGTCCGTGGCATGCTGGTCCACTATGAAGATATCCTCATTCAGTTTGGTTATTATAAATCCCAGGTTAAACTGACCAATGATTTCCATTTCTGCAAACATCGTTTTACTGCAGGTAGAAAATGTTAATTATCAGACATTTTACAAGATTATTTTTCTGATTATGTTATAGAACACTGTAATAAAAAAAAAGTCAAACAATACAAAAACAAAATAAAGTCCCTAGCCATCCCGCTTTCTTTTTTTTTGAAACAGAGTCTCGTTCTGTCACCCAGGCTACAGTGCAATGGCACAATCTTGGCTCACTGCAACCTCCACCTCCCGGGTTCGAGTGATTCTTCTGCCTCAGCCTCCTGAGTAGCTGGGATTACAGGTGCGCCACCATGCCCAGCTAATTTTTGTATTTTTAGTAGAGACAGAGTTCCACCATGTTGGTCAGGCTGGTCTCGAACTCCTGACCTCATGATCTGCCCGCCTTGGCCTCCCAAAGTGCTGGGATTACAGGCGTGAGCCACTGCGTTCGGCTTAACCATCCCACTTTCTAAAGATAACATTAATTATTCATTCATCCAACTCTCCGGAGAAGACATCAGTTGCTACTATTAACGATTTAAATGGAATATATCCTTCTAGACCCTTGTCTCCATATATAATTTTTTTTAATTTTAAAAAACAAAAATGGAATCTTAATTCTCCATTCTGTCATCACTTAATGCATCTGAAACAAGTTTTCAGACCTGTACACATAGATCTACTTCATTATTTTTTCTTTTTTTTTTTCTTTTAAGACGGAGTCTCACTCTCTGTTGCCCAGGCTGGACTGCAGTGGCGTGACCGTGGCTCACTGCAACCTGCGCCTCCCAGGTTCGAGCGATTCTCCTGCCTCAGCCTCCCGAGTAGCTGGGACTACAGGCATGCACCGCCAAGCCCGGCTAATTTTTTTATTTTTAGTAGAGACAAGGTTTCACCATGTTGGCTAGGCTGGTCTTGAACTCCCGACCTCAAGTGATCCACCTGCCTCGGCCTCCCAAAGTGCTGGGATTACAGGCGTGAGCCACCGCACCTGGCCTACTTCATTCTTTTTAATGGCCACATAGGAATTCATTGCATGGATGTACCATAATTTGTCTGACAAATCCCCTACTAAAGGACATTTCAGTTGTTTCCAATTTCAATAGCGCACTCAAAGCTGCAACAAATACTTCTGTGCATAAACCTACTCATCTGTGGGTGCATTTCCGTGAGACAGACGCTAGAGGGAGAACTACATATGTACTTCTTGACGGGAAATCTGTGAAAAGTCACACTCCCACCAATGGTGTGTAAGAGCACCTTTCTGCCAATGCTGGATATCAATCCTTCTCATCTTTGCCAGGCCCACCACTGGGTCCTTTGCGGGTGGCTTCAACATCTAATGTCATTAAATACTAACTTAGTCAATCTGGACAAAAGACAGACACCACCGCTAACCTTCACACGAGAAATTGACACTGTCATTCTCAGTCCCACACAATTAAATCCGGTGAAAATGGATTTTCCGCAGTATCAGCGCGGTGATGACAAGAAATGGCTCTGTTAAAGCAGCCATGGACGTTTTCTGGTTCTCACCTGGTGGCCTGAGCTGAGGATGAAAGCAGCTGTAATGTAATCCCAGCACTTTGGGAAGACAAGGTGGGCAGATCATTTGAGGTTGGGAGTTCAAGACCAGCCTGGCCAACATGGTGAAACCCCATCTCTACTAAAAATAAAAAAATTAGCCAGGCATGGTGGTGGACACCTGTACTCCCAGCTACTTGGGAAACGAAGGCAGAAGAATCGTTTGAACCCGGGAGGCAGAGCTTGCAGTGAGCTGAGATCGTGCCAGTGCACTCCAGCCTGGGCGAAAGAGTGAGACTCTTGTCTCAAAAAAAAAACAAAGGAGCTGATATTGTTGTTTCTTTCTATAAGTGCTCCAGGAAGACCCGGTCCCATGCCACCATGCTCGTCACCATCACAATCAACCACAGGGGACAGTTTGGTGAACTGTGAGACCTCCACATGGCATGGATTACTGAGCCCACATTTCCTATGGTGAGGGGCTCCACACAGAGCTCAAATCCAAGTCATAACCAAACCAGTCCCCAAATCCTATCTTTGAGGGTCTGTTTCCTGGTACCAATTCCAGATCAGGCAGAGTGCAATCAATCAAGAGACAAAAACCACACCAGTGATTTTAACAGGGACTTTTTTTTTTAAGACAGGGTCTTGCTCTGTCACCCAGGCTGGAGTGCAATGGCATGATCATAGCTCACTGCAGCCTCAAACTCCTGGGCTCAAGTGAGCCTCCTGCCTCAGCCCCCTGAGTACCTGGGACTACAGGCGTACAGCAATGTACTTAGCTAATTTTTTTTTTTTTTTTTTTTTTTTAGAGATGGGGCCTCATTATATTGCCCAGGCTGGTCTCAAACTCCTAGCCTCAAGTGATTCTCCTGCCTCAGCCTCCCAAAGTGCTGGAATTACAAGGTGTGCACCACCATGTTAGGCCTGAGGAGGAAAAATGTATAATAAGGCATTACACAAACTAGTAAAAGGTGGTTAACTACTATGCTAAGAAATACAGGAATGGAAAATGCTACTATCCTAGGGAAGAGGGAGAGTCCTCAGAAAAGGAACTCTTTTTTTCTTTTTTCTTTTTCTTTTTTTTTTTTTTGAGATGGAGTTCGCTCTTGTTGCCCAGGCTGGAGTGCAATGGTGCAATCTCGGCTCACCACAACCTCCACCTCCCGGGTTCAAGCAATTCTCCTGCCTCAGCCTCCCAAGTAGCTGGGATTACAGGCATGCACCACCATATCCCACTAATTTTGCATTTTTAGTAGAGAAAAGGTTTCTCCATGTTGGTCAGCCTGGTCTCGAACTCCCAACCTCAGGTGATCCACCCACCTCAGCCTCCCAAAGTGCTGGGATTACAGGCATGAGCCACCATGCCCAGCAGAAAAGGAACTCTTGTAAGAGGCTCCTACCCACTCAGGCTGAGTTTCAGACCTCCTTGGAGCAGGAGTGGCCGCAGCCTGCTGGATGGAGAGAAGCTGCCAGAGTGAGTGATGACACAGGAACTCCTGCCGCACAGGAGGGAAGGAAAAGAACATCCCAGAAGCATCCCAGATGCCAGCACAAATACCACCTCCCCTGGCGCCGATCCCAGGCTCTCCCAGGAATTGTCTGAATATGCCCTGGTTCCCAGTACATAGATAATCTGCTCAAAAGCTGGTGCTGGCCTAAAAGACCCAAGTCTTCCATGTGTTTGGAGTCTGTGTCCTGCCACAGAGAACAGGATCTGGCCAGGCGCAGATGCCGGAATTACAACTGCGCACTACCGCGCCCAGCCAATTTTATTGTAGAGACGAGGTCTCCCTATGTTGTCCAGGCTGGTCTTGAACTCCTGGGCTCAAGTGATCCTCCCTCCTTGGCTTGGCCTCCCAAAGTACTGGGATTACAGGTGTGAGCCACCACACCTAGCCTCAAAATACTCTTAAGAAAAAACTTTACCTGGCCGGGTGTGGTGGCTCACACCTGTAATCCCAGCACTTTGGGAGGCCAAGGTGGCTGGATCACCTGAAGTCAGGAGTTCGAGACCAGCCCAGCCAACATGGTGAAACCCTGTTTCCACCAAAAATATAAAAATTAGCCAGGCATGGTGGCGTGCACCTGTAATCCCAGCTACTCAGGAGGCTGAGGCAGGAGAAACGCTTGAACCCGGGAGGTGGAGGCTGCAGTGAGCCAAGATCATGCCACTGCATTCCAGCCTGCGCAACAGAGCAAGACTCTGTCTCAAAAAAATAAAAAATAAAAATAAAAATTTTAGATAAAAAGAGAAAAAGTAAAAAATTAAAACTTTACCTTATCTCTTTTCTTAGTTCATCTTCGGCTGCTTGATTTTCTCCAGGACAAATCTTTGCCCTAAACTTCCTGTAATTCTGTTCCCCTTCACTTTGCTGTGCTTCATGATGTAACTGCTTTATTCGTTTAGCTAAAGAACTCATAGAAAAGTCCAGGGGCACAACTTTCTTATTAATTTTCACAGCTACATCAACCTGAGAGGCTGACATGTCCTGAGTATTTACTAACTTTTGACAAATGTCAGAACTGGAAAGAATTTCTTCTTTTTTAAAACGCTTTGTGTTTGGGGTTGCGAGATTAGTTGGCTGAGGCAAAACTCGAAATTTACATCCGGTATCTTCCTGGTTTGAATGGCAGTCCACATCTGAAAAAGAGTCGTCAGTTTTAGGCGCTTTCTCCTGAGAGTCCACATGTTCCTGCGAGCCCCTGTCCCCTGGGGAGCTGGCCGCATACTCGCTGCTGCAGTGACTGCCCGTGTCTGGGATGCTGAACCCCTCAGAATCCACGGAAGTGCTGCCGTGCCCCGAGTCCTTCTCCACCTCCGCTCTGTCCGTAGGGTCACTGGGTCCGTGACTGGAACTCACTGCCTCTTTCTGAGGTCTCAGGACGCCTTTGTCAGAGATGGCACCTGAAGTGCTAGAAGACAGCATACCCCTTTTCTGTCCTAGAGGGCTCCTTCTTGGTTCTGGAGTCTTTGGGCTGTGAGGCTTGTTCTCTGTTGTGTGACGAAGAGAAAAGGCCTCTCGCAGTCTGGAAATGGACACGTCTTTTTTTTCTTCTCCAGTCCTTAATGAAGGGGATTGATCCTGCTTTTCTACCATGGGCTTTTCCAAATCCGCTGCATGCATTTTTATTAAGTTACCTAAGCAAACGTGGACGGAGAAGAGGGTCAGGGACTATCCTGAAATGGTGAGAGGACGTGCTTATGTGAACAGATACTTCACAAAAGAGGAGATCCACATGCTAATTACACAGATGAACACAGTTCAATGTTCAAAATAAAACTATAATATGGGCCAGGTGTGGTGGCTTACGCCTGTTATCCCAGCACTTTAGGAGGCCAAGGCAGGGGGATCACATGAGGCTAGGAGTTCAGGACTGGTCTGGACAACATGGTAAAACCCTGTTTCTACTAAAAATACAAAAATTAGCCGGGTGTGGTGGCATATCTGTCATCCCAGCTACTTGGGAGGCTGAGGCACGAGAATCCCTTTAGCCCGGGAGGCAGAGGTTGCAGTGAGCCAAGATGCCACCACTGCTCTCCAGCCTGGGTGACAGAGCAACACTCTGTCTCAAAAAAAAAAAAAAAAAAAAAAAAAACCACAACACAATGCAATATGGCCATATACTCACCAGAATGGTAAAATTAAAAAAACAACAAATGCTCACAAAGATCAGGATCAAGAGGAATGCCTGAATACCTCTGGTAGGAATGAACCTGGTACAGCTGCTTTGAAAAGTTCTCTGGGAATACCTCCTAAATCTGAATGTATGCACACCTGCAACCCAGCATAGCTACTCCTATCAGAAGTGCCTATTGGCCGGCACAGTGGCTCACGCCTGTAATCCTAGCCCTTTGAGGTCAGGAGTTCAAGACCAGCCTGACCAACATGGTGAAACCTCATCTCTACTAAAAATACAAAAAAAAAATTAGCAGGGCATAGTGGAATGCACTTATAATCCCAGCTACTAGGGAGAATGAGAATGAGGCAGGAGAATCACTTGAACCTGGAAGGCAGGGTTGCAGCGAGCCAAGATCACTCCACTGCACTCCAGCCTGGGCGACAGAGTGAGACTCCCTCTCAAAAAAAAGAAAGAAGTGCCTATCTATGCTCGTCAAAAAGACGTGGATGAGGATGTTCATGACAGCATTCTTCATTATAGCCCCAAACTGGAAACAATTCAAATATTCACAAATGATGATATCTGACTATAATGGAACACTGTATAGCGAACGAATAAATGAATTTTGCCACATGACTTGGGTGAATCTCACAAACAAAATAATGAGAGAAAGAAACAAATCACAGAAAAGGACAGACTGAATAACTTCAAATTAAAAACAGATTAAACTATACCGTTTTGGGTTTTTTTTGTTTGTTTGTCTGTTTTTTTGAGACGGAGTCTCGCTTTGTCACCCAGGCTGGAGTGCAGTGGCACAATCTTGGCTCACTGCAAGCCCCTCCTCCCGGGTTCACGCCATTCTCCTGAGTCAGCCTCCTGAGTAGCTGGGACTACAGGCGCCCGCCACCACGCCCGGCTAATTTTTTGTATTTTTAGTAGAGACAGAGTTTCACCGTGTTAGATAGTCTCGATCTCCTGACCTCGTGAGCCGCCCGCCTTGGCCTCCCAAAGTACTGGGATTACAAGCATGAGCCGCTGCGCCTGGCCTAAATTCTACTGTTAGAAGTCAGGAAATCCCAGCATTTTCAGAGGCCAAGGCTAGAGGACTGCTTGAGCTCAAGAGTTTGAGACCAGCCTGGGCATCATGGAGAAACCCCATCTCTAATGACAATACAAACATTAGCCAGGTGTGGTGGTGGGCGCCTGTAATCCCAGCTACTCAGGAGGCTGAGGCAGGAGAATCTCTTGAACGTGGGAGGCTTCAAGGTTGCAGTGAGCTGAGATCGCATCATTGCACTCCAGCCTGGGTGACAAGAGCGAAACTCCATCTCAAAAAAACAGACATGACAAGGGAGTTAAAAATGCAGTCACTGCAGACTTCTTCTAATCATATATCTTATATGACTTCATCCGTTTACAGTTTACAAAAAACTAGAGGTACTTGGAGGCAGCTACTTGGGAGGCTGAGGCAGGAAGATGGCCTGAGCCCAGGAGTGTGATGCTGCAGTGAGCTACAATGGCACCACTGCAGTCCAGCCTGGGTGACAGAGCAAGTCCCTGTCTCAAAAAAGAATTAAAAATGATAAAATAATATAAGAGACTTTGTTTTCATGTCAAAAAAAAGTTTACTTGGAAAAAATAAGGAAACACATTAGCTAAAAGCTTTAGAAGCTGTTTGTACACTGTATTTTTCTTACCTTCAACATCCAGCAGTGGCTGCTGACTGACATTTAGCTTGTTGACATCACTATCAAACATTCCTATCAAAGAGGTCTTTAAAACTGCCAACAAAAGCTTTTCCTCTTGTAGCAAAATTTGCCTTTTATCTGGAGTAACATTGATATCAACGCATTCTAAGGCAAAAAAGAAAACATATTTATTATGTTTAAATTCACTTTTATTTTATTTATTAATTATTATTTTCAGACAGCGTCTCACTCTGTCGCCTAGGCTGGAGTGCAGTGGCGCGATCTCAGCTCACTGCAACCTCCGCCTCCTGGGTTCAAGTGATTCTCCCTGCCTCAGCCTCCGAAGTAGCTAGGATTACAGGCAAGTGCCACCACACTGGCTAATTTTTGTATTTTTAGTAGAGATGGGGTTTCACCGTGTTGGCCAGGCTGGTCTCGAACTCACAACCTCAAGTGATCCACCCGCCTTGGCCTCCCAAAGTTCTGGGATTACAGGCGTGAGCCACCGCGCCCAGCCAAATTCACTTTTAACAATAGAAATTTCCCCATCTATTATTTCATTCACTTGTATTTATCACAAGTGCTATTAAAAACATTACAGTGTCCAGGTTAAGATTCATAAGTTATGAAATCAGCTTTTTCAAATAAATGAGCAAAAGACAATTTTTGAATAGACAAAATACGGAAGGGCTTAATTAGGTAAATTGTTAAAGGAAAAGCAAATAAACACATAAAAATAATTTTAAATATGCAAACTAAAATAAGATATTTTAATCCCCTACTGAATTTAGCTTAACAATTATAATACCTAGTACATTATAGGTAGGTGTGTAAATTGGTACATCTAGAACACAATACAGAAAAAGCCTTAAAATGATCATATTCACTGACCCAGTAATTCTACTCCCGGCAATTTATATTCAGAATAATTAAAGATGTAGGCTGAGTGCAGTGGCTCACACCCTGTAATCCCAGCACTTTGGGAGGCTGAGACGAACAGATAAGTTAAGGTCAGGAGTTCAAGACCAGCCTGGCCAACATGGCGAAACCCCGTCTCTACTAAAAACACAAAAAATTAGTCAGGCATGGTGGCAGGTGCCTGTAATCCGTGCTACTCAGGAGGCTGAGGCGGGAGAATCGCTTGAACTCAGGAATCGGAGGTTACAGTGAGCTGATATTACACCACTGCACTCCAGCTTGGGAGACAGAGCAAGACTCTGTCTCAAAAAATATCTAATAATAAAGATGCAGATAATGATTTAATTATAAGGAAAGTATTTATAATTTCCAAAAACTAAAAACAATTTAATTTTGAAAAATTTAAAAATTAAAATACCAAACTATAACCATGCATTGGAATATAATTCACCTATTAAAACCACATTTCTGATCAATTTCTAATAACATGGAAAAGAAAACATTCACATCTAAGGATAAAGAGCAGTATACAAAATTATTTTCTCATCCCAAAGAATATGGGAGTAGGGGAGAGAGAGAGAAAGAGAGAGAGGACAGAAGATATTTTTTAAGGTATGTACATATGTGTTTCTAAGTATCTAGAAAAAATACTCAATTACAATAAACCAAAATTTTAACAATCAGAAAAAAAAATCTATATGAAATGAATTATTTATGAAATTAGGAAGAACATTTCATCTACTTTCTCCCTTGGTTGACATTAAAAAAAATTACATTTTCCTAACAATATAATTAACATAGTCTCAAGTAGAAAGCGGGAACTCTGTTTAAAAAAAAAAAAAATTATAGGGCCAGGCACGGTGGCTCATGCCTGTAATCCCAGCACTTTGGGAGGCCAAGACGGGCAGATCACGAGGTCAGGAGATCGAGACCATCCTGGCTAACACGGTGAAACCCTGTCTCTACTAAAAATACAAAAAATTAGCCAGGTGTGGTGGCACGCACCTGTAGTCCCAGCTACTTGGGAGGCTGAGTCAGGAGAATCGCTTGAACCCGGGAGGCAGAGGTTGCAGTGAGCCGAGATCACGCCACCACACTCCAGCCTGGGTGACAGAGCAAGACCCCGTCTCAAAAAAAAACAAAAACAAAAAACTTACATGACCATAAATTGTTATCTCATTCCAGTCATAGCAGAGCTGTAGAATTTCATTTTATTCTTTGAGGCATTAGTCACTAGTTGTACTGAAATGCCAATGGAACTTACCTGAATCAACAGAAATGTTAAGAACAACAAATGGATACTGGTGTCGATTATACATGTGGTAGACCTCATTCACGAGTCTGCAGACCTGCACAAAATACAAGGAGTAGAAAAGAATAAATGACAAATGTTCCCAGCCCCCCGCATTCTAACAACATTCTATTCTAACCAACCAGCATGTTCTTAGAAGGGGATACTTTTTTGTTTTTTTTTTTTTTGAGTCAAGGTCTCGCCTTGTCACAGCCTGGAGTGCAGTGGAGCAATCATGGCTCACTGCAGCCTCAACCTCCCAGGCTCAAGTGATCCTCCTGTGTCAGCCTGACATGTAACTTGGATTACAGGCAGGATTTTTTTTTCTTTTTTTTTTTCAACGGAGTCTCGCTCTTGTTACCCAGACTGGAGTGTAATGGCACGATCTTGGCTCACTGCAACCTCTGCCTCCGGGGCTCAAGTGATTATCCTGACTCAGCCTCCAGAGTAGCTGGGATTACAGGCACACGCCACCATGACCAGATAATTTTTGTGTTTTTAGTAGAGATGGGGTTTCACCATGTTGGCCAGGCTGGTCTCGAACTCCTGACCTCAGTTGATCCGCCCGCCTCAACCTCCCAAAGTGCTGGGATTATAGGCGTAAGCCACTACACCTGGCCTAAGGATACATTTTTTTAACAGCTTTACTGAGATATGACTAACATGGAATAAACTACACATATTTAAAGTGTGCAATTTCATAAGTTTTGACATATACACAAACACCTGTGAAACTATCCCCACAATCAAGATAATGAATATATCCATCACCAAAAGTTTCCTCACAATCTCAAAGTGATATTTCTCTAATCATAGATTCCTAAAACTGAATATTTTTCCAACTTAAAGTTGCTCTATGAGAAATTCTAGTGAAATGCAAGTGCAGCTTAAATGTTCATAAAACATATTCAATGTACATAGAAAAGTATCTATGACATTAAAATGTCATTAGAAATAAACCAAAATATCACATTATTAATAGTTATAATTAATAATTATGAATCCATCACACTATAGGTTAAAAAATTTAGAAGTTCAACCACATCTGGCAGATTACAAGCAAACTCTAAAGCATCATTGAAAAACAGGGGCTGGGAGCGGTGGCTCACGCCTGTAATCCCAGCACTTTGGGAGGTCAAGGCAGGTGGATTGCCTGAGCTCAGGAGTTCTTGACTAGCCTGGGCAACACAGTGAAACCCCATCTCTACTCAAATACAAAAAATTAGCCAGGCATGGCAGCATGTGCCTATAATCCCAGCTACTTGAGAGGCTGAGGCAGGAGAATTGCTTGAACCTGGGAGGGAGAGCTTGCAGTGAGCCAAGATCACGTCACTGCACTCTAGCCTGGGCGACAGAGCTAGACTCCGTCTCAAAAAAAAAAAAAAAAAAAAGAAAGAAAGAAAAAAAAACAAAATATTACTGAGGTACAATGTGTTGCTAAGATACAAACTCAAAAAACCCATGTCATCATATCAAGATGATCAATTTAAATCTGAGGCAGAAGTAATCTGAGCCCTTATTTTCCTAGGAAAATAGAAAGAAGAGAAAATATAGAAATCTATAGAAAATATAGAAACCATGGGCCGGGCGCGGTGGCTCATGCCTGTAATCCCAGCACTTTGGGAGACAGAGGCGGGTGGATCACGAGGTCAGGAGTTCGAGACCAGCCTGGCCAATGTGGTGAAACCCCGTATCTACTAAAAATACAAAAATTAGCCGGGTGTGGTGATGCGTGCCTGTAGTCCTAGCTACTAGAGAGGCTGGGGCAGGAGAATGGCGTGAACCTGGGAGGCGGTGCTTGCAGTGAGCAGAGATCATGCCACTGCACTCCAGCCTGGGGGTGACAGAGCGAGACTCTGTCTCAAAAAAAAAAAAAAAAAAAAAAAAAGGAAATATAGAAACCATGTAATCAGTCTATACTGAAAGGTGACATAGAATGTTATAAAATGTTTAGTTTCTTCAAATAGTTTTAGTTTTTACAATAATAAATATACTGGTAATATGTGTTTATATATTTATGTATCTATACACACAACACATATAATGTATATATGCAGATACAAACACACTCACGTATATGCAATTTAAAAAACTATACAGAGGCCAGGCGCGGTGGTTCACGCCTGTAATCCCAGCACTTCGGGAGGCCAAGGCAGGCAGATCACGAGGTCAGGATTTCAAGACCATCCTGGCCACATGGTGAAATTCCGTCTCTACTAAAGACACAAAAACTTAGCCGGGCGTGGTGGCGCGCGCCTGTAATCCCAGCTACTTGGGAGGCTGAGGCAGGAGAATCGCTTGAACTCGGGAGGTGGAGGTTGCAGTGAGCCAAAATCGCACCATTGCACTCCAGACTGGCCAACAGGGCGAGACTCCATCTCAAAAAAAAACCCAAAAAACAACAACAAAAAAAACTGTACACAGATAGATGCGCTCCTTAACTTATGATAGGGTTATGTCCTGATAAACCCATAAGTTAAAAATATTGTATCTGCTGGGCGCGGTGGCTCACACCTGTAATTCCAGCACTTTGGGAGGCCGAGGTGGGCGGATCACGAGGTCAGGAGATCAAAACCATCCTGGCTAACAAGGTGAAACCCCGTCTCTACTAAAAATACAAAAAAAAATTAACCAGGCGTGGTGGCAGGCACCTGTAGTCCCAGCTACTCGGGAGGCTGAGGCAGGAGAATGGCGTGAACCTGGGAGGCGGAGCTTGCAGTGAGCCGAGACCACGCCACTGCACTCCAGCCTGGGTGACAAACAAGACTCCGTCTCAGAAAAAAAAAAAGAAAGAAAAGAAAATACTGTATGTCAAAAATGCCTTTGTGATAACCTAACCTACTGAATGTCCCATCTCAGCCTTGCCTCAGAATACTTACATAGTCTATAGGCAAAATAACCTATTTTATAATAAAATGTTGAATATCTTCTGTAATTTATTGAATACTATACCGAAAAACAATGGTTCAATAGGTACTTGAAGTATGGTATCTACTGCAAAAAATAACTTCTGCAACAAGGTAAAGTAGTAGAAAAAAATATATATATATTTTTTTGAAACACAGTCTCGCTCTGTCACCCAGGCTGGAGTGCAGTGGCATAATCTCGGCTTACTGCAAGCTCCATCTCCCAGGTTCAAGTGATCCTCCTGCCTCAGCCTCCCATGTAGCTGGGATTACAGGCGTGGAACACCATGCCTGGTTATTTTTTGTATTTTAGTAGAGACGGGGTTTTGTCATGTTGGCCAGGCTGGTCTCGAACTCCTGGCCTCAGGCAATCCACCCGCCTCGGCCTCCCAAAGTGCTGGGATTACAGGCATGAGCCACTGCGCCCGGACAGAAAAGTCTTCAGTTGAAACATCTGAAGCTGGGGGCCATCTGCGGTAGACTTCTGTAAATGCACAAAATAAGATAATGTTAAAGCCATGTTTCTCAAAGTCCCGAGCTCCACGTAAACTGCCTATTATCAGAAAAAAGTTATCAATTAAAAGTCAAAGGCATAAAGAACAAACTAACACAAAAAAATTTTAAATACCTTTGCTGGGTCACAAGGCCGCCGGTTGATAAAGAAAAACTGTCTGTCTGTTGAACTCCTTCCAACTCCATGCGTGCATTGTGAAATGAAACCTGAGATGCTATTCAACATTAATATGGTAAGGGCAGGATTCCAGAGTGAAAGGGATTAGAAATACGATCACATGGCACATTCTTAAAGTGAAATGAAAACAAAACACCAGGTGACATGCTGATAAGGATCACTATTGCAGTTCACGGGTATCTGTGCTCCAAATCTTGATGAGTCATCAAAGAACCAAACCTTCTGGAATATTCTAAAGCTCCTACAGTCAACCAATGCACCACAGGTGATGCAGTGCGTCCAAAACTGATGTGTTGCAGCTCTCCTTACCCTTCCTGATAAATCCTCAGCCTCTGTAAGTGGGTCTCGCTTCAAATGCATTCTCAGAACCTCCGTGCTGCCACCCCTGGTTTGTCAATGAAGTCTAACCACTTGTGCTCAGAATTTTGCCCACATTCCCTCCCCTTTCAAAACCTCCCGGGTAGGACGCTTATATCTCATGTCTTGGTAAAGCGCTTGCTTCACATGAGACCCACCCCAGGGATACCGGCATTTCCAGAAGAACACCACCTTCACATAAAGACATAAAGCTCCATGTTTACCATTTCAGGCATAAGCCAAAAGCAAGTGGAGGAAGAGTAAGAAATATAGATCTCAAGGCAACAAACAAACAAACAAAAAGAAATACAGATCTTAGGCTGGGTGTGGTGGCTCATGCCTGTAATTCCAGAGCCTTGAGAGGCCAAGGTGGGTGGATCACCTGAGGTCAGGAGTTCAAGACCAGCCTGGGCAACATGGCGAAACCCCGTCTCCACTAAAAATACAAAAAATCAGCCGGGCATGGTGGTGAACACCTGTAGTCCCAGCTTCTCGGAAGGCTGAGGCAGGAGTATCGCTTGAACCTGGGAGGCAGAGGTTGCAGGGAGGCAGAGGTTGCAGTGAGCCAAGATCACGGCACTGCACTGCAGCCTAGGCAACAAAGCAAGACTCCATCTCAAAGCTAAAAAAAAAAAAAATATATATATATATATATATATACACACAGATAGATAGATATCTTTACAGGACCAATCCTATTTATGGAAGTGTCTATTTTCTTATACGAAAAGTAATGACACTGAACTGCCTTCATCAGATGCCAGGAAAGTCAAAATCATTTAAAATGATAAAATAATTTACAAGTTAGTCTAACTAAACAGAGCCTTAAAGAAGACCTGCTCAACAGAAAACCACCTGAAATATACCACTTACTCAAAACATGGTTTGAATTAAGCAACTGACTCCTTTGTATAAATCATCTTTCTTAGCCACAGCATTGCTCACAGTTTTATAAAGGACATAAAAAACTATTATCCCTAGCCAGGCGTGGTGGCTCATGCCTGTAATCCCAGCACTTTGGGACACCAAGGTGGGCGGATCATCTGAGGTCAGGAGTTCGAGACCAGCCTGGCCAACATGGTGAAACCCCGTCTCTACTAAAAATACAAAATTAGCCGGGTGTGGTGGCACGTGCCTGTAATCCCAGCTACTCAGGAGGCTGAGGCAGGAGAATTGCTTGAACTCAGGAGGTAGAGGTTGCAGTGAGCCAAGATAGCACCATTGCACTCCAGCCTGGGCAACAAAGCAAGACTCCGTCTCAAGAAAAAAAAAAAAAGACACGAAACTATTAGCCTTAGAATCACTATCTTTAAAAAAAAAGCTCTCAGGATAAAATGTTCAATTGTAGTTCTCTTGCCAGCAATCTACTTACTAAAAAAGATTATGCAGAGCATCGGAACAGCTCAAACCGTACTCTTCACACACGGAGTCACTAGGGGGCAGCTGAACAAAAGGAATGAGGCTTTGCAACTGAAAAAAAAAAAAAAAAATTCACAGTTACTTCCTAATAAAGACAGAGTGGACTTAATCTGTTTTCTTTCTTAGTCAAGCTATTGACATTACAAGCGCAAAAAAAATTAAAAGAATCTTTTGTTTTGTTTTGTTTTTTGAGACAGGGTCTCCCTCTATTGCCCAGGCTGGAGTACAATGGCTCAATCATACCTCACTGCAATGTCAAACTCGTGGGTTCAAGCAATCCTCCTGCGTCAGCCTGTCGAGTGAGTAGCTGGGACTACAGGTGCACACCACCACACCTGGCTAATTTTTTAATTTTTTTGTAGAGATGGGATCTTGCCGTGTTATCCAAGCTGGTCTTAAATTCCTGGGCTCAAGCGATTCTCCCACCTCAAAATTGTTGGCCGGGTGGTTCAAACACATAATCCCAACAGTTTCCTCTCCCAGAGTGCTGGGATTACATGTGTGAGCCGTGGGAACAACAATTTTGATTTTATGATATAAGAAAGATGAAACAAGTACCTACTTATTCAGAACCCACACATTGCCCACAATAACTTATATTTTTTTCAGAGAGAGAGTGAAAAGACGCAGTATACGAGTGTCTCTGGAAGAATAAAATGAAACACATTCAGCTCTCAAACATCAATTTTTGTGATAGGTACTTTGTTTTTTTTTTTTTTTTTTTCCTGGGATGGTGTCTTGCTCTCTCGCCCAGGCTGCAGTGCAGTGGTGCAATCTCAGCTCACTGCAACCTCCATCTCCCGGGTTCCAGCGACTCTCCTGCCTCAGCCTCCTGAGTAGCTGGGATTACAGGTGCCTGCCACCACGAACAGATAATTTTTGTATTTTTAGTAGAGATGGGGTTTCACCATATTGATCAGGCTGGTCTCAAACTCCTGACCTCGTGATCCGCCCACCTCAGCCTCCCAAAGTGCTGGGATTACAGACGTGAGCCACTGCGCCGGGCCTTGTGATAGGCACTTTAAAAATCAATTCTTAATCTGGGCGCAGTGGCTCACGTCTGTAATCCCAGCACTTTGGGAGGCCGAGGCAGGCGGATCACTAGAGGTCAGGAGTTCGAGGCCAGTCTGGCCAACAAGATGAAACCCCATCTCTACTAAAAATACAAAAAATTAGCTGGGCCTGGTGGCATGTGCCTGTAATCCCAGCTACTCAGGAGGCTAAGGTAGGAGAATTGCTTCAACGCGGGAGGCAGAGGTTGCAGTGAGCCAAGATGGCGCCACTGCACTCCAACCTGGGCAACAGAGCAAGACTCCAGCTCAAAAAAAAAAAAAACCGGCCGGGCTTGGTGGCTCACACCTGTAATCCCAGCACTTTGGGAGGCCGAGGCTGGTGGATCACGAGGTCAGGAATTCGAGACCAGCCTGGCCAACACGGTGAAACCCCGTCTCTACTAAAGATACAAAAAATTAGCCTGGCGTAGTGGAGCATGCTTGTAATCCCACTACTCGGGAGGCTGAGGCAGGAGAATTGCTTGAATCTGGGAGGCGGAGGTTGCAGTGAGCCAAGACAACACCACTGCACTCCAGCCTGGGCAGCAGTGCGAGACTCCCTCTCAAAAAAAAAAAAAAAATCAATTCTAAGATTTTATTCTCCATTCTACTGGAAGGGACAATGGAAACCCGCTATAATCACTAGAGCAATAAGAGGCGTTGAAGTAACCGGCCATCACTACCTGCTTCTGCCCAAACACAGAGCCGATATTTTCCTTTATGCTGGGGCTTCCACCTGTGCATACCACAGGCTGTCGTTTTCCTTGTCCAAGCTGATTGGTGCAACTTACACGGATGCCTGCTGAAATGATACAGTATGCATGTAAGACCTGGACCATTTTGGCATACTCCTGTTTAAAAAACACAAACACAATATTCTACATTACTTTAATATTATAGGAATTACACAGCTCAAGTTACAACATCCAACGCAAGGTTCTCACATCATCGCACAAATCAAGGGAAGCACTGTTGACAGAATGATCTGTAAAGAGGTGTCTTCCTATATTCTACAGAAAGGAACGCAGAGCTTTTGGCTCCTGGTCACAGTCCTCTCACTTCCCAATGTGCCATGCATCCTGGTAAAACAACTAAAAAGTACAGCCTGTAATCCCAGCTACTCAGGAGGCTGAGGGCAGGAGGATCACTTGAGACCAGGAGTTCAAGACCAGCCTGGGCAACACAGCAAGACCCTGTCTCTACAAAAAATTTAAAAAAAAAATTAGCCGGGCGTCATGGCATGTGCCTGTAGTCACAGCTACTGAGGAGGCTGAGGTGGGAGGATCGCTTGAGCCTAGGAGTTCAAGGCTGCAGTGAGCCATGATTGCACCACTGCACTCCAGCCTCGGTGACAGAGTGAGGCCCTATCTCTAAAAATGAAAATTAAAAAACTGAAACGTACATTGTGTTTGATTTTATAATCTCTCCTTTTGAAATGTATCTTCGTATAATAGAAACACTGGCACAAGCATTTTGGTATGCAAAGAGATACACAAAAATGTTCACTGAAACAATCTCTATGAACAAACAGAAACAACCTAAGCAAGCATCATTGAGGAGTTGATTAATTATGGTATAGCCATAGCGCAGCAGAATGACAACAAATAAGGCAGTGTGCACCGACTAAAAAAGACAATCACAATATGCTAAGTAAAAAGTCAGTTATAGGGCCAGGCATGATGGTTCACACCTGTAATCCCAGCACTTTGGGAGGCTGAGGCGGGAGGATCACTTGAGCCCACGAGTTCGAGACCTGCCTGGGCAACACAGAAGGACCCATCTCTACAAAAAAAACAAAAATTAGCCGGGCATGGTAGCACGGGCCTGGAGTCCCAGCTACTTGGGAGGCTGAAGTGGGAAGATTCATTGAGCCTGGGAGATCATGGCTGCGGTAAGCTGAGATTGTGCCACTACATCCCAGCCTAGGTGAGAGAGCAAGACCCTGTCTCAATTAAAAAAAAAAAAAAAAAAAAAATACAACTTTCAACCACATACAATTCTGTATTACTTGCATGTTGTACATTCTATATTACTTGCTTTCATTATATTAACTTATGAATTTATCTTGAAAATTATTCCAACAGTTATAAACACATGAAATTAAAAGCAGCCTGAAAAGATATACAAACTGTAAATAACAGTTATCTCTGACAAATAGAAGTTCTACATTCCTGTATTCTGCTAAGGCACTAATTTTTTTACCATAAGATACAAAAAAAGAGTAAGTTTTCTCTACTTTAGAAAATTTAAATTTGTGAAAAAATGTAATAAAGTTAAAATTAGCAGCCAAGTGCAGTGGCTCACACCTGTAATCCCAGCACTTTGGGAGGCTGAGGCAGGTGGATCACTTGAGGTCAGGGGTGCAAGACCAGGCTAGCCAACATGGTGAAACTCCATCTCTACTAAAAATACAAAAATTAGCTGGGCGTGGTGGCGCACACCTATAATCCCAGCTACTCGAGAGGCTGAGGCAGGAGAATCACTTGAACCCAGGAGGTGGAGGTTGCAGTGAGCCGAGATCGCACCACTGCACTCCAGCCTGGGCGACAGAGTGAGAAGACTCCATCTAAAAAAAAAGAAAGTTAAAATTAGCACCAAATGCTTTACAAGTAAAAAAAGTTTTTAGCTGCATATGTTTAAGTAACTTTTTAGATTATGAAAAACACACATACAAAATGGGAAGGCACAAAGAAGACAGCAAAAACTGCATGAGATCTCACATCCAAGGATAACTGCTGAGAACATGAAAGTGCCGAGTCTTCCAGCCTTTATACTATACACATTTAGGCTTGTTGTTTTGTTTTCACAAAATTGTAATCAAATAATACAGACAGTTCTATAATCTGCTTTTTAAACACAACGACTATATAACATTTAGCTATTTTCATTTGCATTCAAATTCATAAGGGTTCTAATAGCTCATTTCTCAGAAAACCAAGAGAAATATTCTTTTTTTTTTTTTTTTGAGATGGGGTCTGGCTCTGTGCCCAGGCTGGAGTGCAATAGCTTGATCTCGGCTCACCGCAACCTCTGCCTCCCGGATTCCAGCGATTCTCCTGCCTCAGCCTCCCAAGGAGCTGGGACTACAGGCACATGCCACCATGCCCAGCTAATTTTTGTATTTTTAGTAGAGATGGGGTTTCACCAGTTTGGCCAGGATGGCTTTGATCTCTTGACCTCGTGATCCACCCGCCTCAGCCTCCCAAAGTGCTGGGATTACAGGTGTGAGCCACTGTGCCTGGCCGAGAAATATTCTTATTAAAATATAAGTACATAAGGCCAGGCATGGTGGCTCAGGCCTGTAATCCCAGCACTTTGAGAGGCCAAGGTGGGCAGATCACCTGAGGTCAGGAATTCGAGACCAGCCTGGCCAGCCTGGACAACATGGTGAAACCCCGTCTCTACTAAAAATACAAAAATTAGCCAGCTGTGGTGGTACACGCCTGTAATTGCAGCTACTCAGAAGGCTGAGGCAGGAGAATCGCTTGAACTCAGGAGGTGGAGGTTGCAGTGAACCAAGATCGCGCCACCGCACTCCAGCCAGGGCGCCAAAGAGAAACTCCATCTCAAAAAAAGATAAAAATAAAAAATAAAAAATATATATATATGTATATATATTTTTCCAGACAGGATCTTATTCTGTCTCCCAGTCTTAAGTGCAGTGGCGCAATCATAGCTCACTGCAGCCTCAAGTTCCTGGGCTCAAGTGATCCTCCCACTTCAGCCTCCCAAGTAGCTGGAACTACAGGTACATGTCACCATGCCCAGTAAATTTTTTTTTAAAATTTTTCATAGAGACAGGGTCTCACTGTGTTGCCCAGTCCTAATAAACACTATGTGATGAAAAGAAAAAAGTAAATCATCCTAAAGTTAAGTCTTTAATGTTAAATCTTTAATGAGAAATGCAAATAAAGCATTTCTCAATAATTTATGGGAAGAGAATCAACTGAAGAATAAACATCTTTAGTAAATCTTTTGCTCATGTGCATTAACCAATACTCTTGAAAACCAGGATTAATTTACTGTACCTTCTTAATATTCCTTTGAAATTCCTTATGGCGCACAGGTAGTGTGGAAAATAACTGCTGCACGCTGACTGTGGTCCCTCTGGGGCGGGGGTAGGGGGTTTTCTGGATAATTTTCCCATTGTGATCAAACATCAGTCGAGTTCCAACCTTCGCCGATGCGTGGCAGGTAGAAATGGTGACATCGCTGTGAGAGAATACCAGGCATGGTGTGTTCAGTGAGAGACCCATGATGTTGGGCACTGACTACTCTTTTCTTCACTTGCTTTTCTCTCAAAATTTTCTTAAAAAGCTGACGATCCCTCTGAGATAATCAAGATCTAAATGGTTGAGGAGTCATCATAAAATCTAAGGTTTGGCATCTAAAAGACAGTGAGACAGAGAGCACTAAACATGCTTTGCTTTGATAAAAGCTTTGATTTCGTTTTTCAGGTTGAACTGCAAAACCATAAATGATCTTAAGATTTATTTATTCACAAACACAGATTTGTTTTGTTATTACTCTTCGAACAAATTTTTTTTAAAGAATCTAACAAATATTATAATTAAAATGTATATGTAGGGCAGAGCGTGGTGGCTCATGCCTGTTATCCCAGCACTTTGGGAGGCCAAGGCAGGCAGATCACTTGAGGCCAGGAGTTTGAGACCAGCCTAGGCAACATGGTGAAATCCCATCTCTACTAAAAATACAAAAATTAGCCAGGAGTGGTGGTGCATGCCTATAGTACCAGCTCCTCAGGAGGCTCAGGCACGAGAATCACTTGAACCTGGAAGGCAGAGATTGCAGTGAGCCGAGACTGTGCCACTGCACTCCAGCCTGGGTGACAAAGAGAGACTCTGTCTAAAAAAAAAAAAAGATATATATATATATATATAATTATTTATAAAAATTTCATATCTGTGCTATAATTAAATAGTGCTTTGGTGAAATGTTTCCCTAAAAATTGATAATGAAAACCAATGGTAACTATCATTTATTATCTACATGTTAGGTTAAAATTGAGAATTACTGTTTTAATAAGGGTAACCATCTTTTTAACAATACTATTTGCTTCATTTCATTCATTTATTGCTCACATTTCAGAAGTACTATGACTTAGATTGGCAGCGAGACAAAACAGAATTCAGAAGCTAGAAGTTGAGATGTTGAGATAGAAAACTGAAAATAATAATGATTCCAATTAATTTTCAGAGAGGTTTCTCTAAGGGGTCAAGTGAGTGGATAAAAATATTGTATCACCTCAGTGCACAAAGTGAGCTCAGAGCTTCCCCCCGAAAGCCAAAAGTTTCAACCTGAGTTAGGTCGGCAAACTCTTGAATCTTAGATGTGTGATGTTTCAGAGCTGAAAGAGAGTGTAAAGTAAGGACTAAGATATCTCAAGTGCTATAACAACAAAATATACATGATATCTAGTAACTGGCTTTAAAAAACTGTTTTTGCATTTCCCAAGACAGTGTTACTCAAAATTCTGAGACATGTGACCCAATTATTTTATAATAGGATTAGAAAAAGTCAACTTACTTAAGCCTTCGAAGTTTTCTTCTTCTACCCCACATCCATTGTCTGAAACTTCAATAAGATCCACTCCATAGTCCTTAAGCTTTAGATCTAGAAAGTTTAAAATATTTACATATTTATTAAAAACGGACCCATGCTATCAGTTTTTATATTGACATTATTTATAACATATGCAAATTTAAGAGTCATAACTATACCTTTAGTTAAACATACTAGTGTCATTTTGTATATTTCATTGTTATAAAGTCCTTTCTGGCTATTTACTAGCCCAGACTAAATAGTTTAGCTTTTTCTTTCTTTCCTCTTTTTTTTTCCCTAGGCTAGTGAAGTGAAGCAGTTGGAGTGGAGAAGGAACAAAAAAAATCTGTAACTGGTGGTGATCAATTAGCTGTAAACCGCGTTGCACTTTGACCATCCTTTTCTTTTGAAAGAAATAATTTTAACATACCCAATAAAGAGAACGGGGACCGGGTGCAGTGGTTCATGCCTGTAATTCCAGCACTTTGGGAGGCCAAAGCGAGCAGATCACCTGAGGTCAGGAGTTCGAGACCAGCCTGACCAACATGGAGAAACCCTGTCTCTACTAAAAATACAAAATTAGCCAGGCTTGGTGGCGCATGCCTGTCATCCCAGCTACTCAGGAAGCTGAGGCAGGAGAATCACTTGAACCCAGGAGGTGGAGGTTGCAGTGAGCCGAGATCGTGCCATTGCACTATAGCCTGGGCAACAAGAGCAAAACTCTATCTCAAAAAAAAAAAAAAAAAGAGAATGGGTTCTGGAATCAGACTTCCTGGATCCTATTTTATCAGCTTTATAATCTCAAAAAAAGGAAATTTCCTATCCCCTAATTTCCTCATTTGTAAAATAGAGAATAATAAGTTCTATCTCATAAAGTTATTCTGCAGATTAATAATTCTTTGGTTTTTTTTATTTTATTATTCTTTTCTTTTCTTTTGAGATGGAGTTTTGCTCGTCACCCAGGCTGGAGTGCAGTGGTACGATCTTGGCTCACTGCAGCCTCCACCTCCCAGGTTCAAGCAATTCTCCTCCTTCAGCGTCCTGAGGAGCTGAGATTACAGCCATGCACCACCACATCTGGCTAATTTTTGTATTTTTAGTAGAGACAGGGTTTCATCATGTTGGTTAGGCTGGTCTAGAACTCCTGACCTCAAATGATCAGCCCCCCTCAGCCTCCCAAAGTGCTGGTATTACAGATGTGAGCCACTACTCCAGCCCTATTTTGTTTTATGTTTTTGAGATGGAATCTTGCTCTGTCCCCAGGCTGGCATGCAGTGGCACGATCTCGGCTTACTGCAACCTCCGTCTCTCGGCTTCAAGCAATTCTCGTGCCTCAGTGTCCCAAGTAGCTGGGATTACAGGCTTCTGCCACCAGGTCCAGCTAATTTTTGTATTTTTAGTAGAGACAGAGTTTCACCACTTTGGACAGGCTGGTCTCGAACTCCTGACCTCAGGTATCCACCCGCCTTGGCCTCCCAAAGTGCTGGGATTACAGGCGTGAGCCACTATGCCTGGCCTACTTTATTTTTCAATAGAGACAAGGTCTCACCATGTTGGCCAGGTTGGTCTTGAACTCTTGGCCTCAAGCAATTCCCCCACCTCGGCCTCTCAAAGGGCTAGGATTATAGGCGTGAGACACCACGCCCAGCTGTTCTGCAAATTAAATATTTCTGTGCAATTCTTAGCATAACACCTGCCTGGCACACCGTAAGAACACAATAAAAGCTGTTATTATTATTACTACCTAGCTAAGTACTAGGCACATAATAGGTGCTAACTTCAACTTAAAAATAATAATTTATTACTACATCAACACTTGATAGTCTTATTTCAATAACAAATGTTTCTTAACTACAACAACATTCACAGATCATTTCTTGTGGCTTAAAACTCTCCCAAACTTACCAATATTAGTGGCACCAGCATCCAGACTGTTTTCTACTAACTCCTTTACCGCAGTGCTTAGACTCAGTACCACCTGCCCAGAGCAAATCTGATGGACTGACTTCCGATCAATAGGTTTGATGGCCTTAGCAGGTTCTGTACTAGAGAAATCAGTTACAAGAAACAAATCAAGTATTCAGCTATATATTTTCATCCTGATTTTAACTGTGGGAAATGACTCAACACTGTAAATAATTTATGGGTCTAATCTATTCATTTATTATATTAGCAAATACATTTATTATATCCAGAAATAGAAACACTGTTTTACAATCCTTAAACATGTACCCAAAATACTTCTGGATAGATACTTCAAATTCAACAGATCCTTACTATCTAATTATACTAAGATCCACATGGAGAAAACATACATTGTATCTCTCAAATTACCAAAATCTTTGGCAACAATGGTGTCTTCTTTCTTGAAAAGTGAAAGCATGGCTGGCTGTGGTGGCTCATGCCTGTAATCCCAGCACTTTGGGAAGCAGAGATGGGTGGATAACTTGAGGTCAGGAGTTCGACACCAGCCTGGCCAACACGGTGAAACCCCGTCTTTACTAAAAATACAAAAAATTAGCCAGGCATGGTGGTGGGCACCTGTAATCCTAGCTACTCAGGAGGCTGAGGCAGGAGAATCGCTTAAATCCAGGAGGCGGAGGTTGCAGTGAGCTGAGATTGCGGCATTGCACTCCAGCCTGGGCAACGAGCAAAAAAAAAAATGAAAGTAACATAATTTCCCAACATAATTAGAAAAACCAACAGTATGCTGGGAAATACACAATGTTTAAGTCAAAATCATCTCAGAAATTGGGTACCAGTTATATAACTATTCCTTATACACAGTTGCCTTTGATACCCCACTCCAAACTGAAGCTGCCAGCTGCTGTCTTAGCAAAGACCCTCAAAGCTCTTGCTGTACTAGCTTTAAGAGTTTTATAAAGGTTTTATCTCCCCTTATTCCCTGCTCCAATACATCCTCCACTCTATCACCAGAGCTATTTTTGAAATCACAAATCTGGTCAAATAATTTTTCTGCTTAAAAATTTACTAGTGCCCCACTTCCTACTATATGAAAGTTAAAATTTAGTCATCATTGGGGCCAAAACTACCTTCTTTTCAGAATCTCTCTAATCCTTTCCCTTCATCAAGTCCCCTACATTATTATTATTATTATTATTATTATTGTTATTATTGTTATTATTTGAGACAGAGTCTCACCCCGTTGCCTATGCTAGAGGGCAATGGCATGAGCTCAGCTCACTGCAACCTCCGCCTCCCAGGTTCAAGCGATTCTCCTATCTCAGCCTCCCAAGTAGCTGGGATTACAGGCGCCCACCATCACACCCAGCTAATTTTTGTGTTTTTAGAAGAGATAGGGTTTCACCATGTTGGCCAGGCTGGTCTCGAACTCCTGACCTCAGGTGATCCGCCTGCCTCGGCCTCCCAAAGTGCTAGGATTACAGGGGACCGCAACCAGCCATCCCCTATATTGTAGCACAGTGAACAACTGTCCTGAACATCACAAGCTCTTTGAGACACTACAGTGTATAAGCAGGTCTCTGTCTAAACCGCTCTCCTCTTCCTCCTCTGCCCAAACAATGTCTGCTCAAAGAATGTATCCCGTGTGTTCATTAACTTAGCAATTTCCAGCAAACAGTTTAATTGATAACTTGTTAAGAGAAGGCAGGAAACCTCCATGAAAGAGAAATCACTGGGTATTTCCTACAGCATTTAACACATCGTAGGCCTTTAATAAACCCTTCTGAAATAAACAAACCTCTTTACTCTTCATTCCACCTTGCTAAGAATCTCACCTAAGTCTGTCTACCATGTGAAACTGCAGATGACCTCACAGAAAATGGAAAGAAGTATCTCTAAAAATAAGTTTATTTGGCAGCACACTATAGGCTACAGGTCCACTTCTGATTTTTTTTTTTTTTTTTTTTTGAGACCGAGTCTTGCTGCGTTGCCCAGGCCGGACTGCAGTGGCACGATCTCAGCTCACTGCAACCTCCGCCTCCTGGGTTCCAGCGATTCTCCTGCCTCAGCCTCCAAAGTAGCTAGGATTACAGGCTCCCGCCATCATGCCCAGTTAATTTTTGTATTTTTAGTAGAAACGGATTTCACCATGTTGGCCAGGCTGGTCATGAACTCCTGACTTCATGATCCACCCGCCTTGGCCTCCCAAAGTGCTGGGATTATAGGCGTGAGTCACCGCTCTCGGCCCACTTCAGATATTTATTTTGAGGAGGGAGCGCATTTAGACACAGACCCCAAATTTATTTAAATGTCTCAATACATTTAAATGTAGTTACCTAAATATATCTAATATATTTAAATGCAGAGAGCAAATTTGCGTTTACAAATCTGACATGGAATGCAAATGTGCTAGCCAAGATTCGGTGTAGCTTACCAGCCAGAAATCACACATCCTAACAGGTAGAAACGTATTGCATTTTTAAAAACTGCGCAGCTATGCAAATAAGGATGTGTCTGGACGCTCTACCGTCCCCAAAATAACCTTAATTTTTTAAAAAGGCCAGGCACGGTGCATCATGCCTTTAATTCCAGCACTTTGAGGGGCCAAGGCGGGCGGATTGCTTGAGCTCAGGCGTTCGAGACCAGCCTGGGCAACGCAGCGAAATCCCCGTCTCTACAAAAAAAAATTAAAAATAAAATACTATAAAAATAAAAATAAAAGGGGAGAGAGAACAGGTAGAAAGGAAATGCATTCAGTCTATGGGGATTTCACGCTCCCGCTTCAAGTCCACGGCCCTGTGATGGGATGTGGGCAAGGCCTGTCTGGGACAGGCCGAACCCAACTCCTCACAGGGCCGAATCCTTTGCCCGCAGCCCAGGACCCCGAAGGAGCTTGCCTCGGCCTCAAGGCGCACCCAAGGGGCACGAGATCGCTGCAACACTGAGGTCGCCACTCCGGGGCCTCCAGGGGGCTGCCTCGCCACGCGCCTCGGCCATGTTCCCCCCATTTCCAGGGAGGTTGGAATGCCGTGGGTCTCAAAGAGGGCGCGCGAGAGGGGACACCGGAAGACTGCGAGCCCCGCTCACCTCGAGCTCTCAGCTCGCTCCATGGATGCAACACCCGATCCGCCTCGGGGACTGGGAAAGTTCCCTCCAGGGCTCCCACAGGCGCTCCGCCTCCTGAACTCCCATTGGCTGCTTTCGACGTTGTGCTCCACCCTTTCCGGGCGGGGCGGCAAAAATACTTCCCGTCTCTCCTTTTCGCCTATTGGCTCTGTCAAAGGTCGACTTCGTGACGTCAAAGAGCCTGGGCCAATCAGAGCACACCGGACTGCGTTTTCCCGAACGCCCGCAGCAGGGTCAGAAGGGAGGTGGCCGGTCTCCGTCGTGACCTCTGACGGTTTCTGAGCGTTGGCCTTTGGCACGCGCTACCCCCTTTTGCTTTGGTTCTGCCATGCCGATGTACCAGGTAAAGCCCTATCACGGGGGCGGCGCGCCTCTCCGTGTGGAGCTTCCCACCTGCATGTACCGGCTCCCCAACGTGCACGGCAGGAGCTACGGCCCAGCGCCGGGCGCTGGCCACGTGCAGGTAGGAGCGCGGGGCCCCCCGCCCAGTGCGCACGCGCGGCGACCGGCTGCTGGCCCGGGTCCCCCCAGGCCGGAGCGAGCGCGTCCCAACCGGTTCACGGCCCCACCCCGGCATCTGTGCCGGCCGGCCAGGGACTCACTCAGACTTTTATGTTTTAAAAGATTTATCCAGGCCGGGCGCCGTGGCTCACGCCTGTAATCCCAGCACTTTGGGAGGCCGAGGCGGGCGGATCACCTGAGGTCAGGAGTTCGAGACTAGCCTGGCCAACATGGTAAAACCTCGTCTCTACTAAAAATACAGAAATTGGCCGGGTGTGGTGAGGCGCCTGTAATCCCAGCTACTCGGGAGGCTGAGGCAGGAGAATCGTTTGAACCCTGGAGGCGGAGTTTGCAGTGAGCTGAGATCGAGCCATTGCACTCGAGCCTGGGCAACAAGAGCTAAACTCTATCTCAAAAAAAAAAAAAAAAAAAAAAAAAATATATATATATATATATGTATGTATCTTTCCAGGTCGGGCGCGGTGGTTCACGCCTGGAGTCTCAGCGCTTTGGGAGACTGAGGCGGGAGGATCAATTGAATCCCAAGAGTTTGAGACCACTCTCAGCAACATAGCGAGACCCTTGTCTCTATTTTTTAAATGTTTTAATTAAAATACAAATCTGTCCATATTTTTTCTTTTTTTAATATATGGTTGCTTAAACATTTTGGTTCAGAGATTCTACCCTCTGAAAAGTGAATAGCACATAAATGCTCATTTTGAGGAATTACAAAGCGAACCCCAGGGTCACCATGGCCCAGGTTGACACACATTGTCACCACTCCATTCTTTCCACTTAAACCTTCCCTCTCCACCCCCAACCCCAGGTCCTGATTTTTATGGTAATTATGTCTTGCTTGTCTCTATTATTTTGTCAACTATTTATCCCTAAACAATATAGTCTGGTTTTTTGTTTTTTTTTTTGTTTTTTTCAGATGGAGTCTCACTCTATCACCCAGGCTGGAGTGCAGTGGTGTGATTTTAGCTCACTGCAACCTCTGCCTCCCAGGTTGAAGCAATTCTCTGCCTCAGCCTCCTGAGTAGCTGAGATTACAGGCGCTGTCCACTGGACCCGGCTAATTTTTCTATTTTTGGTAGAGACGGGGTTTCACCATGTTGGCCAGGCTGATCTCGAACTCCTGACCTCAAGAGATCCACCCGCCTCGACCTCCCAAAGTGTTGGGATTACAGGTGTGAGCCACCGTGCCCGGCCCCTAAACAATAGTCTTCATATAGGTAAGCATACAGCGTATAGTCTGATGTGTCTGGGTGTTTTTTTTTTTTTAATGTAGAGATGAGGTCTTACCACATCTCTACATAAAAGGTGGTTATGGAGACCCAAGGTGGTCTCAATCTCCTGGCCACAGGCGATCCTCTAACCCCAGCCTCCCAAAGTGCTGGGATTACAAACATGAGCCACTGGGTCCCAGCCCTGGCTTCTTTTTCGTAGATATTATTTTAGGAGTCATTTTATTGTAATATCAGAAGTATTCATCATCTCTGTACTATACCGTTCTATTGCATGACTCTCCACCATATACTTATCCATCCTGCTTGCTCAGGGACACTGGATTGTTTTCCATTTTAACTTGCTATGAACAGTCCTGCAGTGAATACTCTTATACAGAGGAGCAGGCATGGGGTATGTACTAATGAATGGGACTGCTGGCTCAGCGGCCCGCCTGGCTTTCCACTCTATTAAATTGTTTTCCAAAGTTATACTGGTTTATGCGCTCGCTCACCGCTCACCAGCAGGGTAGAAGAATTCCTGATGTTTGCACCCTGCCCAAAGCTGGTGGGTGTAGCGTGGTATCCTAAGGTAGTTTTAGTTTGGATTTCTCCAGACTTCTCTAACTTGAGGACCTTTTCATATTCACTGGCCGCTGTGATTGTGCTTTTGTAATGTACCTGCTCAAGTCTTTCACTCTTTTCTCATTGCAAACGTACATCCTAGGTTTCCAGCAGGAGAAACAGGCCTGTCCATTTCTGACACAAGATGGGTGAATCGGTAACTTTTCTGGTCTGTTTTCCCACTGCTTGTTATCCTTCTGTTTTCTTTAATGGCTTTCTGCCTAGATCAGGAGGGACAGACTTTCTTTTGAAACCCAATAACACAACTGTTATTTCAGTACAGAGCTAAGACAGAAATAGCAGACATAGTTCAATGGTCCCTGCACCTAGAGAGTGCCGTGGAAACAGGGCCCAGTCACCCTCCAACTGCACAGTCCCATGAAGCCAAAAAGACAATCCAGGTTGGAGAATGTCACCTTTCATTTAAGGCCAAGTTTTGCAGAGTCTGTTTTATTTGTTTTTAAGTCTGCTGCCTAACTTCTTTTGGGTTTTTGTGAACTTAGAGGACACATAATCTCACTCTTCTAGCAGTTTCTCTAGGAGGTGATAACAATGCGGACAAATAATTAGCCATAAAACATCTTGGCCAGGCGCAGTGGCCCACGTCTGTAATCCCAGCACTTTGGGAGACCAAGGCAGGAGGATCACTTGAACCTAGGAGTTCAAAACCAATCTGGGCAACATGGTGAAACCCCATTGTTACAAAAAGTACAAAACTTAGCCAGGTGTGGTAGCATGTGCCTGTAGTTCCAGCTACTCAGGAGGCTGAGGTGGGAGGATCACTTGAGCCCAGGAGGTCAGGGCTGCATTGAGCTGTGATCCTGCCACTGGACTCCAGCATGGGCAACAGAGTAAAACCCTGTCTCAAAAAAAAAAAAAAGAAAAAAAGCAATCAAGTATCTCCAGGGTAAATGAAAGCAACATGAAGAATAAGCTGTTTATAAATACATATAAATTAAAACTAATGGAGAAAAACAGTATACCACATCACAGTCTAGTCTCAGCAAGGAAAACAACAGGCCAACATTAGAAGACACGAATGACATAAAACAGATCTTGAACATTTTGTTATTACTCAGATCACGAAGGACTAGATCACGCTGCACTCAGGGCTTAAAAATCACAAGCCACGTTACACATACAGTACTTCAGACATTCTTCATTCCTGACCGAGGTTTTTTTTGTTTTTGAGACAGAGTCTCACTCTGTCACCCAGTCTGGAGTGCAATGTCGCAATCTCAGCTCACTGCAGCCACTGTCTCCCGGGTTCAAGCAATTTTCTCCTGCCTTAGCCTCTCCAGTAGCTGGGATTACAGGTGCCCCCCACCAAGCCCAGCTAATTTTTGTGTTTCAGTAGAAATGGAGTTTCATCATGTTGTCCTCTCGAACTCCTGACCTCAAGTGATCCACCCGCCTCGCCCTTCCAAAGTGCTGAGATTACAGGTATCAGCCACTGTGCCTAGCCAGCACTCAATAATTTAATTGGCATACTGAACTCTGTTCCACCCGGAAGTCAGTGGACTTCACATTTCTCTGACGTTTGATCTTAAATAAGAGCAGCAGACTAGGAGAGGTGAGAAAGTGCTGATTAAGCCCGAAGGTAAATAGGAGTTAAGCAAACAAGAGAAGAAGGAAGAGTGATGCAGATGGAGGGAACAGCACATGTGAAGATCTGTGGTCAGAGCCAGGGTGGTGGTTTAGGAACTCCTCGGACAGTGTGGCTAGAGCACAGGCAAAGGACGAAATTGGGTGAGGTAAGGTAGCCAGAGGCCAAATGATACAAAATGTCTGTGAAGCCATGTTAAATGTTTGACATTTTATCCTAAGCACCTAGCAGGTTAGCAAGGGGGAGACATTGACAATATCTGATTTTTTTTTTTTTTTTTTTTTTTTTGGAAACAGTCTCACTCTGCCGCCTAGGCTGGAGTGCAGTGGTGTGATCTCTGCTCACTGCAACCTCCGCCTCCCGGGTTCAAGCGATTCTCCTGCCTCAGCCTCCTGAATAGCTGGTATTACAGGCACCCACACCACACCTGGCTAATTTTTGTACTTTTAGTAGAGACGGGGTTTCACCATGTTGGCCAGGCTGGTCTCGAACTCCTGACCTCAGGTGATCTGCCCCTCTCGGCCTCCCAAAGTGCTAGGATTATAGGCATCAGTCAGCGCGCCCAGCCTTGAGTTTCTTTTTAAGTCTTTCCAGCTGCCATCTTAAAGGATGGTTTGCAGGGGTGGACTAGAATGGGTGCGAGGTGGAATAGGCTAGGTGAAGAATGGTGGCCTGGCCACGTGTGGTGGCTCACGGCTGTCTTCCCAGCACTTTGGGACCTGAGGTGGGAGGATGGCTTGAGGACAGGAGTTTGAGACCAGCCTGAGCAACATAGCGCAGTTCTTTGTCTCTACAAAAAAATTTAAAAATTAGCCAGGCTTGGTGGCACACACTTGTAGTCCCAGGCACTCAGGAGACTAAGGCAGGAGGATCACTTGAGCCCAGGAAGTCAAGGCTGCAGTGGGCCATGATCACACCCCTGCACTCCAGCCTGGGCAATAGAGTGAGACCCTGTCTCCAGGACAAAAAAAAAAAGACAAGAAAATGATTTGTGGAATTGATTACTTGGCCCCATGGACGTGCTTCCAAGCTAAAATAAAGTGTTTCAACCTGTGTTCCCTTTTCCCTATTTGTATAAATTACTCAGTTACATTCTCATTGCTACTTATTTAAGCAAAGTATTCTTAGTTTGTTAAGAACAAAGAACTACAAATTGTGTTCATTTTCTATCCTTCCCTGTTGTTAAGACTAAATTACCTGAAATAGGAACCATACAATTTCAGAGTGGCTTTTAGCCACAACTTTTATTTGTTGAAGCTTTTTTTTTTTTTTTTTTTTTTTTTGAGACGGTGTCTTGCTCTGTCGCCCAGGCTGGAGTTCAGTGGTGCGATCTTGGCTCACTGCAACCCCCGCCTCCCGGGTTCAAGCGATTCTCCTGCCTCAGCCTCCTGAGTAGCTGGGACTACAGGCATGCACTACCACACCTGGCTTATTTTTGTATTTTTAGTAGAAACAGGGTTTCACCATGTTGGCCAGGCTGGTCTCAAACTCTTGAAATCAGGTGATCCACCTGCCCTCAAGCCTCCCAAAGTGCTGGGATTACAGGTATGAGCCACCGCACCTGGCCTTGTTTTAAGCATTTGGGGATCAATTTGCAGGGACCTATTGGACTATGGGGAAAATGAGATGTTTCTGCTCCTGTATTTTAATGTCTTTTTCCTTTTTGTTTCTTTACTTTGTAATTAAGGCTTTGCAGACTTGCATCCCATAATGTCTTCTTTTATTTTTTTTTATTTTTATTTTTTGAGATGGAGTCTCACTCTGTCACCCAGGCTGGAGTGCAGTGGTGCCATCTCGGCTCACTGCAACCTCCACCTCCTGGGTTCAAGTGGTTCTCCTGCCTCACCCTCCCGAGTAGCTGGGATTACAGTTGCGTGCCACCATGCCAGGCTAATTTTTGTATTTCTAGTAGAGACGGGGTTTCACCATGTTGGCCAGGCTGGTCTTGAACTCCTGACGTCAGATGATCTGCCTACCTGGACCTCCCGAAGTGCTGGGATTACAGGCGTGAGCCACCACACCCAGCCCATAATGTCTTCTTTTAAAGGGTGGGAGGTTTGGTGAGTGCATGGCAAAGTAAGACAAGTGATCAAATTTAAACAACACTGGTCTGATGGGAGAGGAAATGAACATTTGGCTGTTGGTTTGTTTAGGAAGAGTCTAACCTGTCTCTGCAAGCTCTTGAGTCCCGCCAAGATGATATTTTAAAACGTCTGTATGAGTTGAAAGCTGCAGTTGATGGCCTCTCCAAGATGATTCAAACACCAGATGCAGACTTGGATGTAACCAACATAATCCAAGCGGATGAGCCCACGACTTTAACCACCAATGCGCTGGACTTGAATTCAGTGCTTGGGAAGGTAGGTTCGTTTTGAAAGCTGAAACGTTAGTAGGTACTGAGTGGTTAGTGCAGGGAAATTGTGCTGCTGTGATTAAAGCCTTAGCTTTCAGGCCGGGCGTGGTGGCTCACGCCTGTAATTCCAGCACTTTGGGAAGCCAAGGCGGGCAGATCATGAGGTCAGGAGATCGAGACCATCCTGGCCAACGTGGTGAAACCCCATTTCTACTAAAAATACAAAAAATTCGCCGGGCGTGGTGGCGGGCACCTGTAGTCCCAGCTACTCGGGAGGCTGAGGCAGGAGAATGGCATGAACCCGGGCAGCAGAGCTTGTGGTGAGCGGAGATCGCGCCACTACACTCCAGCCTGGGCGACAGAGCGAGACTCCGTCTCAAAACAAAAACAAAACTAGCTTTCTGGTTTTCAAAGGCAGAGCCAAGAGCATGTTCATATTTTTTTCTTCTCTAAATGAGTGTGCCTTTGCACAGAACAGAGTCCCAGGGCAGGAGTGAAGTCAAAACAAGCTCTAAAGCCTCCTCTTGACTTCTCAGAGCACGTAGAGGACAGGGAGGATCTGTAGGTAGAGAAGGAGTGGAAGAGAGTTACAGCCTCTGCCAGTCCGGGCATGGGTCCAGCAGCTTCTGAGCCCTGGAAGAACAGATCTCAGCTTGCTTGCTCAGTGTTCCCCAGAGGTTCAGCAGAGGCAGCCCGGACTCTCTCTGATCACAGGCCAACTTTCAGAACTGTGACTGCCCAAGTACAAAAATCCTACCCATCCTTTTGAAATGTACTGCTTAGGCCAGTCAGTCTCATATTTCAAATGCGTTTTGCTTGAACTCAGTTTGCTGTATTACAAGTAAGTTGCATCAGCCAGCTCTCATGATTGAAGTTTACAGGCTTCAGCTAATTTAGGGGAGAATCTGATATGCAAAGAAAGACCACCTCGTTTGTTAACCACAATGTGATATTTATTTGAGGATGCAAAAGGGTTTGTCCCAAGAATCCCTATCAATAGCCTCCTCTAGAATGGGTGATAGAATAGCACTACTTAAAGCCCTAAAAAATGCAAGCATTGTGGTGTCTCACCCAGGGCTGGGATATTTGGTAACCTCAGTACCTCTGCATTCATGTATTCCTTCCTCTGCTCCCTCATTCATTCAGTACTTGTTGGCATGCACTGAGGACTCAGATGAGGTGCAACCAGGCCCTCAGGGAGCCGGAGCCTAGCAGATGAGTTTTCGAGCATGCGCGGCTGAAATGACTGAGAAAAGACCCTGAGTCATTTCTCAGGGTGCTGGGGAGGTATCTCAGAGCATGTGGTGCTCAAGATGAATTTTGATACCTCAGAAGACCCAGCGTCAAGTAATACAATATGTTCAGGGAACTGCAAGGCATTCTGCCTAGGCCGACGTGTGGGATATTGGTCAGGAGTGGCAGGCGGGGTACAGAAAGCCAAGGAGTTTGGCCGTGAGTGTTCACATCAGTGCATTCATTATTACGAGTGAAAGCGTAGAATAAGAAAGTCTTTATCTAAAAAGGCTGTCATGCATGGGTTTGGATTATGACAGGCCCATCCCCCTGGACCTCTCATAGTGCCCCATGCCAGAGCAAACTGTGGCCCCGAACCATTGCCTGGCTTCTGTACCCGTGGGCCACTGGCACTGAAGAGGGTTACACAGTGGGAATAAACAAGGCTGTCAGTCTGAGCACTTCAGTTAACGCCTAGTATTTTAGCATCTCCCCATCCCTCATCATCAATGATATCTTGGGCCAACACCCCTTCTTAAGGGGTTCTTCATGGAAACATCTTAATGAACACAAATTGGCCGTGGTCAGCTGTTGGAAAGATTGAGTAGCTGGAATAACTGCAGGTTAAAAGGGACAAATAAAAGTGTCATTCCTAGGCCAGGCACCATGGCTCCCATCTGTAATCCCAGCATTTTGGGAGGCCAAGACGGACAGGTCATTTGAGGTCAGGAGTTCGAGAACAGCCTGGGCAACATGGCAAAACCCCATCTCTACTAAAAATTAAAAAAAAAAAAATTAGCTGGGCATGGTGACAGGCACCTGTAGTCCCAGCCACTTAGGAAGCTGAGGCAGGAGAATCGCTTGAACCTGTGGAGGCAGAGGTTGCAGTGAGCAGAGATCATCCACTGTACTCCAGCCTGTGTGACAGAGTGAGACTCTGTCTCAAAAAAAAAAAAAAAGTGTCATTCCTCATATGTTGTTTTATTTGACAGTAGAGTCAACTTTTTATTTGTTGGGGGTAAGGGGGTGGAGTCCGCTCATATCCCAGCTCCACTCCGTCCTGAGCGAGTGACCTTGGATAAGTTACTGGCTGCAACGTGGAGATGACGCTAGTGCCGTCTTCATGGAAGTGGCGGAGTCGGTTAGATAACCCTGGTTAGGTTCTTAGACTCGCGCCCGGCACAGTGGCACTCTCCGATGACTGTTATTCGTACATTGTCTTGGTCTTTCCCCAGGATTACGGGGCGCTGAAAGACATCGTGATCAACGCAAACCCGGCCTCCCCTCCCCTCTCCCTGCTTGTGCTGCACAGGCTGCTCTGTGAGCACTTCAGGGTCCTGTCCACGGTGCACACGCACTCCTCGGTCAAGAGCGTGCCTGAAAACCTTCTCAAGTGCTTTGGAGAACAGAATAAAAAACAGCCCCGCCAAGACTATCAGCTGGGATTCACTTTAATTTGGAAGAATGGTAAGTAGACGGGACTGAGTTCAACTTACACACAGCTGCCCCTTGAACACCATGAGTTTCACCTGCATGAGTCCATTTACATGTGGATTTTTTTCTTTTTCTTTTTTTTTTTTTTTTTTGAGACAGAGTCTCGCTCTGTCACCCAGGCTGGAGTGCAGTGGCACAATCTTGGCCCACTGCAACCTCCACCTCCTGGGTTCAAGCGATTCTCCTGCCTCATTCTCCTGAGTAGCTGGGATTACAGGCGCGCACCACCAGGCCCAGCTAATTTTTTTTATATTTTTAGTAGAGACGGGGTTTCACTATATTGGTCAGGCTGGTCTCAAACTCCTGACCTCATGATCCACCTGCCTCAGCCTCCCAAAGTGCTGGGATTACAGGCGTGAGCCACCAGGCCCGGGCCTCATGTGGATTTTTTTCAATAACTATCTTGGAAAATTTTTTGGAGATTTGCAGCAATCTGAAAAAACTGGCAGACAAACCGCATAGCCTAGAAATATCAAAACAAGGCCACGCGCAGGGGCTCACGCCTGTAATCCCAGCACTTTGTGAGGCCAAGGCAGGCAGATCACAAAGTCAGGAGTTCAAGACCAGCCTGACCAACATGGTGAAACCCCATCTCTACTAAAAATACAAAACTTAGCCGGGTGTGGTAGCAGGCGCCTGTAATCCCAGCTACTCGGGAGGCGGAGGCAGGAGAATCACTTGAACCCAGGAGGTGGAGGTTGCAGTGAGCCAAGATCACGCCATTGTATTCCAGCCTGGGCGACAGAACGAGACTCCATCTCAAAAAAGAAAGAAAAAAGAAAAATATCAAAACAAGAAAAAGATATGAGGCATAAAATATTTACATACTAGTCTATTATTTACATACACAAAATATACACAAATCTATTTTAAAAAGTTAAAATGTATCAAACCTTACACACACACACACACACACACAATACATGGCACCACTTGCAGTTGAGAGAAATGTAAACAAACGTGAAGATGAGCATGAAATCCCAACTGCGTAACATTAATTGTGGAACAAACAGACTGTACTGCTGGAATAATTTCACAGCCGCCTCCAGCGTGGGGAGTGTCTGCTTCAATCTGCTTCAGACACCCTGTGACGCTAATCATCTCGGTGTGAGCAGCTAATTCATCTCTCCAGGAAATTGCATGTTGCAGTCAAAAGTGACCTCTTGGGAGGCCGAGGCGGGCAGATCACGAGGTCAGGATATCGAGACCATCCTGGCTAACACGGTGAAACCCCATCTCTACTAAAAAATACAAAAAAAAAAATTAGCCAGGCATGGTGGCAGGCGCCTGTAGTCCCAGCTACTTGGGAGGCTGAGGCAGGAGAATGGTGTGAACCCGGGAGGCAGAGGATGCAGTGAGCCGAGATCACGCCAGCGCACTCCAGCCTGGGCGACACAGCAAGACTCCGTCTCAAAAAAAAAAAAAAAAAAAGAGATCTCTTGAGGTTCTTGGCTATTTTTCCATCGTGCATTGCCATAAACCTTGACTAACACTGTGGGACACTTACAAAGTGTCTCTTGTGATACTGAAAATGTTCCCAAGAAGCAGAGAAAAGTCATGAGATTACATGAGAAAGGTGAATTGCTTGATATGTACCAGAAGTCTGCAGCTGCCACTTCAAGATAAATGAATTCAGTGTAAGAACCATTGTTTAAAAAAAGGGAAATTTGGTCGGGCACAGTGGCTCACGCCTGTAATCCCAGAACTTTGGGAGAACGAGGAGGGCAGATCACGAGGTTAAGAGATCAAGATTATCCTGGCCAACATGGTGAAACCCCATCTCTACTAAAAATACAAAAATTAGCTGGGCGTGGTGGTGCGTGCCTGTAGTCCCAGCTACTTGGAAGCCTGAGGCAGGAAAATCGCTTCAACCTGGGAGGTGGAGGTTGCAGTCAGCTGAAGTCGCACCACTGCATTCCAGCCTGGCGACAGAGCGAGACTCCATCTCAAAAAAAAAAAAAAAAAGGGAAATTCATGAAGGCGTCACTATAGCTGCACCAGGAGGTGCAAAAACCTTGCACTTTTTGCAGAATACCTATTCATCTCACATTGAAAATGTAGATTTTGGCCGGTTGTGGTGGTTCATGCCTGTAATCCCAGCACTTTGGGAGGCTGAGGTGGGTGGATCACCTGAGATCAGGAGTTCAAGACCAGCCTGACCAATATGGCGAAACCCCATCTCTATTAAAGGCACAAAAATGAGCTCAGCATGGTGACCTTCACCTGTAATCCCAGCTACTCAGGAGACTGAGACAGGAGAATCGCTTGAACCCAGGAAGTGGAGGTTGCCGTGAGCCGAGATCACACCACTATACTCCAGCCTGGGCTACAGAGCCAGACTCCGTCTCAAAAAAAAAGAAAAGAAAATGCAGCTTTTATGTGGGGTGCAGGATTACTGTTAGGCATACCTATAGACTCTCATAAGATTTTAGAAAAAGCAAAGTCATTATATGACAACTTGAAGCCAAAGGATGGTGAAAGATCTAAAGCTGGAGAGTTTAATGCCAGCAAATGATGGTTTGATAATTTTAGGAAGAGGTTTGGCTTTTAAAAATGTCAAGATAACAGGAGAAGCAGCTTCCGCCAACCAAGAGGCAGCAGACAAGTTCCCAGATGCCATAAAGAAAATCATGGAGGAGATGGGATACCTGTGTCAACAGGTTTTTAATGCAGACAAAACTGCCCTAATCTGGGGGCATGGGAGGGAACCACAAAGGACATCTATTAAGTAAAGAAGGGAAGTGAGCCCCAGGATTGAAGGCACGCAGGGCTAAGCTAACTGTCCTGTTTTGTGCAGGTGCAGCTGTGTTTATGATCAGGCGAGCTCTTACCTATAAAACTGCTAACACCTGAGACTTAACGGGAAAAGATAAACACAGCTGCTGATCTTTTGGTTGTACAACGTCTGGACAAGAACGCTTTTTCTGGATTAATTCCATTGATGCCTTGTCCTTGAAGTCAGGATGTACCTTGCCAGTAAGGTACACCTTTTTAAAGTTCTTCAATGCTGCAGGCACTCAGAGCCCCACGAGTTAACACCAAGGGCGTCAAAGTCGTCTACTTGCCCCCAGGCTCATTACACACAGTACTCTATGAAATTGTCAGTGCTATGAAAGAGAACCCTGGCTGGGCATGGTGGCGCATGCCTGTAATTCCAGCTACTTTGGAGGCTGAGGCAGGAGAATTGCTTGAACCCAGGAGGTGAAGGTTGTAGTGAGATCGCGCCACTGCACTCCAGCCTGGGTGACAGAGCAAGACTCCATCTCAAAAAAAAAAAAAAAAAAAAAGAGAACCCTGATTAGAACATCTTGAAGAGTCTGGAAGGATTACATCATTGAAGAGGCCATCATCGTATAAAAAGCTGTGAAAGCCATCATGGTGAAACAGTACATTCCTCCTGGAGAAACCTGTGTCCAGATGTGCGTGACTTCATAGGATTTACGACAATCAAGGAAACCATGAAATAGATCATAGATGGGGCAAAAGTGGGTGGTGAAGAGTTTCAGGGTATAGATCTTGGAGAAATTCAAGGGCTGACAGACACTGCACAGAAGAATTAACATAAGACAGCTTAATGGAGAGAAGTGCTTCCAAACCAGTGCCAGACGTTGAGGAAGAAGACCTAGGAGAAGCCGGGCTGGAAAACAGATTTCCATTAGACAGTCTGGGAGAAGGCTTCTGATTATTCAAGGCTGCTTTTGACTTCTTTTACGACCTGGAGTCTTCTATGATATAAGCACTGAAACTAAAGCAAGCAGTGGAAGGGTTGATGCTGCACACAACTATTTTTAGAGAAATCAAAAGGCAAAAAGTCAGACAAATTATGATGTATTTCCCTAAAGTTACACCGTGCTTGCCTCTCGTCCTTTCCTGCCTCCCTTTCTACCTCCTCCACCTCTTCCACCCAAGACAGCAAGACCAACCCCTCTTCCTCAGCGACATGAGGACAGTGGGATGAAGACCTTCATGATGATCCACTTCAACTTAATGAATAGTAAATTCATTATCATTTTCTTTTAAAGAGGCAGGGTCTTGCTTTGTCTCCCAGGCTGGAGTGCAGTGGTGCGATCATAGCTCACCACAGCCTCAACCTTCTGGGCTCAAGTGATCCTCCCACCTCAGCCTCCCAAGCAGCAGGGACTACAGGTGTGAGCCACCATGCCCAGCATCCTTATTATTTTCTTAACATTTTCTCAAGTTTATTGTAAGAATATAGCATATAATATACAGACCATACAAAACGTGTTAATCAACTGTGATGGGTAAGGCTTCCCATGAATAGTAGGCTATTAGTGCTTAAGTTTTGAAGGAGTCAGAAGTTTTATGTGGATTTTCGACTGCACAGCAGTCGGGGGTCAGTGTCCCTAACCCCCCCACTGTTCAAGGGTTAGCTGTACTATATGATGAGATGTGCAACATGGTTTTGATAAGAGGCAGCAAGGGTTTAGGACATTCTGTGGCATACTGGCCACATAGCGATTTGCATCAGGTCAGATATTCTAAGTCTAGAAAGCCTGTGGGATAGTTCTAGAGGAGGAGCAGAGATGAAGCAACGCAAAGATGCCCTTGTTCGTCTGCAAAATTTAGGGTCTCTGAGTGAGACACAGCTCAAGGGGGGGACTGTGAGCATTTGGGGAAGGGGGTTCTGTCCAACCAGGCAAAGCGGGGAGTCATGGCTATCACAGCCATCTTGCCCTCACATTCAAGAACTTACCATCATAGGGACACTGAAGTTATCTTCTCATATGGCCATATAAAGATAGGATGTTATGTATTGACTATCCCACAGATGTATGCCTCTTCTGGTTTATGTTGATATGGAGATAAGCGAGTTCATGTCATTCATATCTTAATTGCCCTCAGTCTCACAGAAGGCGATTATGAGGCCAAGAGCCTGGGAGATGCAGCTCCTGGGTTTCCAGCCCTCAGCCCCCAAAACCTTAGGCAGCAGGGATTGGAGCAGGTGGTCTGAGGTCCCTTCTAGCTTCAGAAGTGTCATAATCAAATACCAGGAATGACTCTTTGGTTACTTTTTTAACATAGTTTGCACTTAAACCCTTTTCAGTAGTAAGCATCTTAGAGACAGACTGAAAATGTGATGTTCTTCTTGAAAACACCCTTTCCCATGTCATCAGTCTGTGGTGTTTGGTGACTGTCCCCTTCCCCACTGTGCGAGTACTTCCCTCAGGGCTGCTCTGGTGATGCTACCTGGCGTGTTTTTTCTTTTCAGTGCCGAAGACGCAGATGAAATTCAGCATCCAGACGATGTGCCCCATCGAAGGCGAAGGGAACATTGCACGTTTCTTGTTCTCTCTGTTTGGCCAGAAGCATAATGCTGTCAACGCAACCCTTATAGATAGCTGGGTAGATATTGCGATTTTTCAGTTAAAAGAGGGAAGCAGTAAAGAAAAAGCCGCTGTTTTCCGCTCCATGAACTCTGCTCTTGGGAAGAGCCCTTGGCTCGCTGGGAATGAACTCACCGTAGCAGACGTGGTGCTGTGGTCTGTACTCCAGCAGATCGGAGGCTGCAGTGTGACAGTGCCAGCCAATGTGCAGAGGTGGATGAGGTCTTGTGAAAACCTGGCTCCTTTTAACACGGCCCTCAAGCTCCTTAAGTGAATTGCCGTAACTGATTTTAAAGGGTTTAGATTTTAAGAATGGTGCTCTTTCATGCCTATTATCAGTAAGGGGACTTGTATTAGAGTCAGAGTCTTTTTATTTAGGCCAGTTGTCAAGTGTCAATAAAAGCATCATGTAATTTATGGTTTTCATTTTATTTAAAATTCAGCAAAATCATACGCCATCTACCGTGATGACTGCCAACTCCATGGCAGACCCTTTCTGGGATTCAAAAACCAATTCATCAGATCGCTGCCTCTGAGGGATGTACAGATTGGCTGGGGAGCTGAGTGCTACAATAAAGGAGGAAGTACCGGGGAACAGTGCAGGGCAAAGGCAGGAAAGAGATCTGAGCTGCCTGGAGATCATCTGGGGTGCGGAGTACAAAGCTTTGCAAGGGTGTGGTTTTGGAATGACGCTAAACTGAAGGTGGAGAGAACAGATAAAAAGGTTGGAAGTTGCACACTGTACACTGTTAAGAAGTTGAGCTTTTATCTTAGAGGCAGCAGAAGGTTTGGAGCCAAGGAATGAAATGATGAGGCGTCCTTCAGGTAATGAACTTCAGCTGCAGTGTGAAAGGGGCAGGAAGACTGGCAGCTGTCAAAACTGGAACAGTCCAGTGAGTATGTGCAGGCCCGGGCTTGGGCAGTGACGAGGGCAGGGAGCACACATCAATTTCTGCGGTACCTTCTAGAGGAAGACCAGACAGAGGGTCAACAGAGTTGAAAGGAGAAAATAATTGAGGATGAGGTCCAAGTTTTTAGTTTCAGAGACTAGGCATATGGTTAATATTTAGGTAGGAAATTCAGGAAAAGGAGCTTGTGGGGCAGGAAGGGAAGGAACGGCAGCTTGGGGCACTCTGACATCTTTAACAAGTCTTGTAAAGGCTTACTAAATACAACGAAGCATTGTACCAACTATACCCTAATAAAGATTAAAAATTTACATTCCAGTTAACTACCTTAAAAGTTAAGTCCACTTTCATCCCACGCCCCCATCCTTTCCGTCATCCCTCACCCCTTTGTCTTGAGAAAGGAGGTTTAGCTGCTTCTTTAGTTCTGCAATTTCTTTTTCTTGCTCTATTATCTTCATCTGTAGGGTGAGGTTAACCTGTAAGGAGAAAATATTTTAAACTCCATTAAAATAACTTTTTTTTTTTTTTTTTGAGACAGAGTCTCGCTCTGTCGCCCAGGCTGGAGTACAGTGGCATGATCTTGGCTCACTGCAACCTGTGCCTCCCCAGTTCAAGCTATTCTCGTGCCTCAGCCACCCAAGTAGCTGGGATTACAGGCGCTCTCATACAAGCCCAGCTAGTTTCTGTATTTTTAGTAGAGATGAGGTTTCGCCATGTTGGCCAGGCCGGTCTCAAACTCCTTACCTCAAGTGACCCACCCGCCTCGACCTCCCAAAGTGCTGGAATTACAGGTGTGAGCCACCACACCCAGCCAAGGTTTCATTTTATACAAAAAACTTTTGCAAGATAGTAGAAATCCTTACCATAAATACTAAATAACTATGGTCTCTAATAGCTATCTTAACTGAGCATCAGAAAATCCCCTTCATATATGAAGATAAATGTTTATACTTGGTTTCAAGAACCACATCTGTGGCTGGGCATGGTAGCTCACACCGGCTAATTTTTGTATTTTTAGTAGAGATGGGGTTTTACCATGTTGGTCAGGCTGGTCTTGAACTCCTGACCTCATGATCCGCCTGCCTCAGCCTCCCAAAGTGCTGGGATTACAGGCGTGAGCCACCACGCCCAATGCTTGTAACTCTTAGAGTAGACAGGCGGTGGGGAGTCAACCTGCTTACGTGGACAATGAATATAAGCATGCTACTGGTATTCAACCTAGTGCTTGATACAGTCAGGGAACTCTGAGAATGGGTTTAAATATTTTGTTTGCACAAATATGAGTCTAAGCTCGACTATTCACTGAAACAGGGTTCACTATTTATATTGAGACGGAGTCTCGCTCTTTCGCCGAGGCTGGAGTACAGTGGTGTGATCTCAGCTCACTGCAACCTCCGCCTCCCAGTTCAAGTGACTGTCCTGCCTCAGCCTCCCAAGGAGGTGGGATTACAGGTGTGCACCACCACGCCCGGCTAATTTTTGTACTTTTAGTAGATGGGGTTTCACCATGTTGGCCGGGCTGGTCTTGAACTCCTAACATCAGGCAATCCTCCCACCTCTGCCTCCCAAAATCCCATGCCTGGGATTACAGGCATGAGCCACCCCGCCTGGCCAGGATTCACAATTTGAACAAATTCTATTTTAAGCTTCATATTTTCCTCAGCATTTAAAAAAAAAACATGTACAGAGACCATGTCCAGGGCAGCAGCTGCAGCCGGACCCCCACGCCAGGCCACCCCTGCCTCTCCCCGGTGGTCCAATGACTGTGTACTGCGCAGGGAATGCAGCAACCCCATCGGGCACACTCTTCAGCACTACCCGGGGAGGTACCAGGATCATGTACAACTGGAAATTCCCAATAGAGTGCTGAACTCACCAGTGACCAAAACACCCTCGAGGGACCCGCCCACCACTTCCGGGGTCACCAGCCCTGCCAGTGATGAGCCCCCGGCAGACATACAGACAGCCCAGAACAGCAGGCAGGTGGTGAAGGGTCAGAGTTTGACCTGGACATCTAAAGGCCTAGCCATGAGAAGGTGCAAACCCTGCGGGCCCCTCCGGCCTTTCCGGGAAGGAGTCTCACCCACCAGGCCCCAGGAAGTTTCCTACCGGCCTTCGCTGTGGGGTTGGCCCCCAGCCCTCCGCTCCTCTTTGTGAACACCAGCAGATACCTCCTGTGCCTGCTGAGGCCACAGCTGCTACCCCAAGGGGAGTGAGTCCTGCCAGCACACCCTGCAGCTGAGTGCCAGGAAGTGGACGAGAACAAACAGGCCCCGCCTCCAGAACCATCATCTGGCTCTTCCAGCCCCAGCCTCCGGGGGCACCACCCAACCGCTTCCTTCCCCAAGAGAGGCAATAAAAACCACCTTCACTCCAGGACCAAGAGAAAGAAAAGCACATACATTTCCAGAATTTTGGAAAAGTTCACTCTGCAGCAGCTGAATGGCAGATGGTCTCTGCGATGAGTTCCTTCTCGTTAAGTGCTGGATATACTTGGCTTGCACTGGACACCTTTTACGGAGGGATTCCGGCAACTGACCAGTTCTTAAACCTGTTAGAACTTCTGCTCGCTCCATTTCTGTTCCAAACGGCTGAAAGAGCTCTAGCAGGACCACACCCAAGCTGTACATATCTGACTGGAAAAAGAAAAAAAGGGGAACTCAGTAGTGAAATACAAAGTTAGAAGAACGTTTCCATTTCCGTGTTCCACCCTCCAAACAGGAGAGGGTTTCTAAGAATGAGGATATACGGTCACCCACAAGGAAGGGAACAGAGCAGGATAGCTCATCAGTGACAGGGACTTTCACAACCTCAAAAAGGGGCATCCGTGGGCACGCAGAATGGATGGTCAGGTGGAGGGCAGGGATAATCCCCACCCACAGCAGTCACGACCATACAACTGTCTTCAGCACCCCTTAACAATCCAGGCCTGACCCAGGCAATGATGTGAGCTCACGCCTGCTAGTGTCAGCTGCGGGGGAGCCACAGAAGGTCGCGGGTTCTCCTCCGGTCTCACCTCTGCCTCCACTCATTCTTACCAAGTGTCCTTGGTGACATTTAACAAACTGCATAAAATCTGTGATACTACTCCTAAAAACAGATTTTTTAGGAAGGTCTTCACTAAACAAGATTTTAGGGGCAGCCATCATTTTTTCTGACAGCTCTTTCCTAATCACTAAAAAGCTCAATGCGCCATCAAAAGGAAGAAAATTTTACTAGCCTGTTGTTTTGAAAAATGGATTTTAGCATTTCTTCCAGGAACAAGGGAGATTCAAACTTTACAGCATGTTCGTTCTATTTCAAGGGGAGTCAAGGGGCAGGCTTCCCCTTGGTGTTTATTTACCAAAGCTTGAAAAAAACCAATGAGAAGAAAGGCTGAAAACAGGCTTCCATGAATTCTAGCTTCCTGAGGTGAACAGTGATGTTTTAAAGGGAAAGCTCATTTCAAAATCGATTTAGGCCAGGCGCAGAGGTTCATGCCTTAATCCCAGCACTTTGGGAGGCCAAGGGAGGAGAATCATTTGAGGCCAGGAGTTTGAGACCAACCTGGACAAAGCAAGACCCATCTCTACAAATAATTTTTTTTATTAGCTGGGTGTGGTAGCACAACTCTTGAAGTCACAGTTACATGGGAGGCTGAGGTGGGAGGATCACTTGAGCCCAGGAGTTGGAGGCTGCCATGAGCTATGATGACACCACTGCAATCCAACCTGGGCAACAGAGCAAGACCCTGTCTCAAAAACAACAAATGAACAAACAAAAAAATTGTGACATCTGTGGATTTTGAAATGGTAAAGTAGGCAACACAGAGTCTACTGAAAAGTGAGGTTTCTTCTTAGGACAGTTTGATCCAGTTAATTATCTACAGTACTCAGTTATCTCCAAAAACATCTCTATGACAGAGCTTCTGCATTTCATTGTACTGTTTGTTTTTTTTTTTTTTGAGATGGAGTTTTGCTCTTGTCATCCAGGATGGAGTGCAATGGTGCAACCTCGGCTCACTGCAACCTCTGCCTCCCAGATTCAAATGATTCTCATGCCTCAGCCTCCAGAGTAGCTGGGACTACAGGCATGTGCCATCGCACCCAGATAATTTTTGTATTTTTAGTAGAGACCAGGTTTCACCATGTTGACCAGGCTGGTCTTGAACTCCTGACCTCCGGTGATCCACCCACCTCGGCCTCCCAAAGTGCTGGGATTACAGGCGTGAGCCACTGCACCCAACCCTGTATTGTTATTTAAGACTGCAGAATAAGTTGAATGAAAGGGCAGAAAGCAACAAATACTACCTTGGCATCATACTCAGATCCTTCCAACTGTTCGGGTGAAGCGTACAGACAAGTACCCACTCTGGACGTATGTGTTGGTGTTCCTATCATTTCAAAAGCCACATATTAAACATTGCAGTTAGCGCTGTCAACATTAAAGAACATTTACTATGAGGAAGCAGTGTAGCTCCTAAGAGAACAACAGTTGCTTTGTATCTTTATCTTACCTTTGCTATTAAATCTTTATGATTCTCTTTAAATACTAACATGTGCAACCATGTCTTTTGCTTATGCAAAGAAAACAAAACAAAACCAAAAACTTACTCTTCCCGTTTCTGTTGGTCCAGTCTGTGTTCTTCTGTAGGATGTCTGTGCAGGCCAGACCAAAGTCTCCTATTTTTACTTGCTGATCAGGGCCATGAAGAAAAATATTTCTTGGCTATCAACAAACAAAACAAGTCAACTCCTTGGCTTTCTTAAAACAAATAGTAATATCTTGTAAATGTTTTTAAGTGTTTGGAACTCAGGAGCAAGCAGCCCCTCAAAAGTTAAATATTTGAGGAATAGTTCCCAAATTTGCCTACACATCAGAATCATCCAGGAGTTTTAAAAATCTCAACATCTGGCCGGGTGCAGTGGCTCATGCCTGTAATCCCAGCACTTTGGGAGACTGAGGCAGGCGGATCACCTGAGGTCAGGAGTTCAAGACAAGCATGGCCAACATGGTGAAAAACCGTCTCTAAAAAATACAAAATTAGGTGTGGTGGCACGTGCCTGTAATCCCTGCTACTAGGGAGACTGAGGCAGAAGAATGGCTTGAACCCAGGAGTCAGAGGCTGCAGTGAACCAAGATTGTGGCATTGCACTCCAGCCTGGGCAACAAGAGCAAAACCCTGTCTCAAAAAAAAAAAAACCTCAACATTCAACCATTCCCCAGGCCAGCTGCATCAGAACTCCTGCGGGTGAACGCAAGCATCAGTATTATTAAAAGTCCCAAGGCTATTCTAAATTTGGAGAATATTAATGTAGAGCATGCTTTGTACACAAGTGCTTCCCAACCCTTACTGCACATCATTACCCAAGAAGCTCTTAGAAATGACTGTCCTCGGCCGGGCACGGTGGCTCACACCTGTAATCTCAGCACTTTAGGAGGCTGAGGCGGGCAAATCGCCTGAGGTCAGGAGTTCAAGACCAGGCTGGCCAACATGGTGAAACCCCATCTCTACTAAAAATACAAAAATTAGCCAGGTGTGGTGGTGCATGCCTGTAATCCCAGCTACTCGGGAGGCTGAGGCAGAATTGCTTGAACCTGGGAGGCAGAGGTTGCAGTGAGACGAGATCGCATCACTGCACTCCAGCCTGGGAAACAGAGTGAGACTCTGTCTCAAAAAAAAGAAAAGAAAAGAAACGACTGTCCTGTCGAGTCCAGAGACGTGATTTTCTATGTGTGAGAAAACATTTTAAATGGCTTTTTCAAGGCATGATAAATCTAAGCACCGGCAGCCAGCCTGCAAATGTAACAAACCACATGGCTCATCCACCTGGAAGATCACAATAAGTGAACAGGATGTAGAGGAGTCAGCCCATAAAAGGGAAGAAAGTTTCATTACTGGGAAATCCAAACTTAAGCGGGAAAGGGACCAGGGTATAACCTTCTAAGGGGATAATGCAACTTAGGCGACGTCCGGGAAGATCGTAACCCTGTAGTCCTTGACCAGTGAGGAACTGAGGTAGGGTCTTGCATGCTAGGAGATAAATCACCTGTTGTAACTGCCCTGGGTGTACCTGCCTACCAGACACGTGACCTTGCAAGAGGGCTATTAAAAGTCTCACTTTCACTGTTCTTTGTGCCTCTAAGTTCACTCTTTGGGTTTGGACGGGTGAGCATGTTTCTCGCACTACGAAAAAACTGATTTTTTTCTTTAAGACAGAGTCTTGCTGTGTCGCCAGGCTGGAGTGCAGTGGTGCCATCTCGGCTCACTGTAACCTCCACCTCTCAGGTTCAAACAATTCTCCTGCCTCAACCTCCTGAGTAGCTGGGACTACAGGCGCACGCCACCACAGCCAGCTACTTTTTGTATTTTTAGTAGCGACAGGGTTTCACCATGTTGGCCAGTATGGTCTTGATCTCTTGACCTCATGTTCTGCCCGCCCTGGCCTCTCAAAGTGCTGGGATTACAGGCATGAGCGACCGCACCCAGCCAACTTTGATATTTTTTAAAAGCTCCCAGATAACTCATATGTATTAGCCAGGGTTGGGAACTAATAGATCACACTAAATGGCTTTATTTAAGCAAAGAGTACAGACCCAAAACATCTCCCAAACTATTCCTATGCCGGAGAAAAACTGAACCCATAATGGGGAGAGGGAAGATTCTATTATAATAAAAACTAAAAAATAACTTAAGGTTAAAAGTTTTCTTACTTTAAAAGTAATAATTTTAACTTTGTATTTTAATGTATAAATTCCTCTGTTTTAGCTTTGATCATTGTTTCAGCTACACTTGAACTGGAGAGAAATCAGAAATAAAGGTGTAAGATGATAGCTTGAATATGTTTTTATGATAGAGTAGAAAACCCTAAAAACTGCTGACATTTGACATTCTATGATCAAGGAACAAAGTCTGGACGCTTGGTTCCAAACTGATGGATTGCCTTCACAGATCCAATTCTCGACAAATTCTAGAACAGTTCTAGAACTGAACTGAAAGAATCATCACAAAGAGACTGAAACTGACCAATTCCATAACAACATTTTCCCCTGAAGTCTTAAGTTTTTCTCATGGGGAATATAACCAGGAAAGGAAGCAGAGACCTGGTGGTTGACAGTGCCAAGTCCCTGGAAGATGGCCCATCTGCAGCACTTCACTCGAAACTCTATGAAGCCATCATGAGAGAAGACTGCACTACGATCGAGGTACTCCTGAGAAATCACCCTGTCAACCAGCCCATCACCATTCTGCCCAACTCCGCCAGCAACAGATTACTTCTGACCCAGGTACCCTCTTTTCTGCTCAGTCACTTCTGGAAAAAAGTCAGGCTGCTTAGAAAGAAGCATGATCTAAAGCTGGTGAACCCACTAAGCTCACGGCCCTTATGAGAATGAGACACGACTCCAGCTCACTCCACACACACTGCAGTGCTCCCCAAAGCCTGCAAAGCCTCCCCTACACATGTCACACACAAACCAACATGAGAAAACACCAGACCCTGTGTGACTGGAAGACCATTCATGTCATCTCTCAAACATACCCACAGTGATGATCTCCATGTGGTCAAATTAGTTTTTCCCTTTTTTGGCCAGACGCAGTAGCTCATGCCTGTAATCCCAGCACTTTGGAAGGCTGAGGTGGGTGGATCACCTGAGGTCAGGAGTTCGAGACCAGCCTGGCCAGCAGGGCAAAACCCCGTCTCTACTAAAAATACAAAAATTAGCCGGGCTTGGTGGCAGGAGCCTGTAATCTCAGCTACTCGGACGGCTGAGGCAGGAGAATTGCTTGAACCCAGGAGGCAGAGGTTGCAGTGAGCCAAGATCGTACCACTGCACTCTCTAGCCTGGATGACAGAGCAAGACTCCATCTCAAACAAACAAACAAAAAATAGTTTTTCCCTTTTTAATATATACATTTTCATTTTCTAAATTTTTATACAATGATTATTACTTTTACAATTAAATTCAAAAAGGAAGTCACCCTCCCTTGTACCCTACTGTCTTATCTTGCAGCCACGGTGTGAAACCACTACTTACACGTGTGTATTTTAAGAGCTGGCACAAACAGCTCTGCTAATCATAGACAGAACATATGCTGCGTTATATTTGAAAACCCTGAAGATTCAGGTTTTACTGCTGATAATACGACTTTGGCAACGACACAGCACCTACTTGTCCATCACCCTGTGGGTTAATTTAAGGAATAAGTGACTTCATAGCAAGTACCCTTAATATCACACCACAGGCTCTTCTGAAGAATCAACTTTCAAAAATTTCCAAAGCTTTTGAGTGTTATTTCTGTTGCCTCAGTAAATGTGCATTTCTGTGAAACACAGATTTTATAGGATGGAATTCACTGAATTTTGATCATTTAAAACAGGTAGTAGAAAGGAAACTTTCAATGCACATACCAGAAAAAGAGTGAGCCAATGAGACACTAAATAAATGTATTGCCTTTGAAACGGCAAGCTAACACAAACAGTATTTTTAACTACACAGGGCCACTTGTAATGTGTTTTGTTTTCCCTCCAAAGCCGACAGAGTCTATCATCCCCATCCATCTGGCTGCCAAGTACCACAAGGCCCAGAGTCTGCTCTGCCTGTTACGGCACGGTGCTGACCCAGAAGTCAGGTAAGTTAACTCCACCGAAAATCATTTCTTTTTTTTTCTTTTTTGTTTTGAGGCAGGGGTCTCGCTCTGTTGCCCAGGCTGGAGTGCAATGGCACAATCTCGCCTCACTGCAACCTCTACTTCCTGGGTTCAAGAGCTTCTCCCACCTCAGCCTCCCGAGTAGCTGGGATTACAGGTGTGCGTCACCATGCCCAGCTAACATTTGTATTTTTAGTAGAGACAGGGTTTCACCATGTTGGCCAGGCTGGTCTTGAACTCCTGGCCTCAAGTGATCCACCTGCCTCGGCCTCCCAAAGTGCTGGGATTAACAGCCCTCAGCCACAGCACCCAGCTTCACTGACAATCATTTCTAAGTGAGGATATACCTGATATAGATTTTTTTTTCAGTTCATACATTTTTTCCACTTATGTTTGGACTTGTTCGTTCTTATGAATGAACCAATGTCTTTACTGAGTAGATGAGATACTCTGAAAAACTGAGAAAAATGCAACATCATAAATATTTTGCCAAATTAATGCACATTCTGAGGATTAAGAGCTCAATGGTGGTGTTGTGAGGAATGCAGTAAAGTCCTTGCCATGGCCTTCAATAAGTTTAACCACCAAAGTTAGGTGTGAAAAATAAAATATAGGTAGACAATGGATTTTCTTTATTTTTGGTTTTTGTTTTTTGAGACAGAGTCTCGCTCTGTCGCCCAGGCTGGAGTGCAGTGGCACCATTCTCCTGGGTTCACGCCATTCTCCTGCCTCAGCCTCCCAAGTAGCTGGGACTACAGGCGCCTGCCACCACGCCTGGCTAATTTTTTGTATTTTTAGTAGAGATGGGGTTTCACCATGTTAGCCAGGATAGTCTCAATCTCCTGACCTCGTGATCCGTCCACCTCAGCCTCCCAAAGTGCTGGGATTACAGGCGTGAGCCGCCGTGCCTGGCCGACAATGGATTTTCTTGTTTATTACTCTCCACTAGAAGGTAAGCCGCATGAAAGAGAAGTTGACCTTGTGCACCACTGTATCTCCAGCACCTCAACCAAATCAATGCCTGACACTTAGCACGTGCTCAGTAATACTATCCGAGTGAATGAAAGAATTAAGTAGTATAGGCCGGGCGCGGTGGCTCACGCCTGTAATCCCAGCACCATGGGAGGCTGAGGTGGGTGGATCATGAGGTCAGGAGTTCGAGACCAGCCTGGTGAAACCTCATCTCTACTAAAAATACAAAAACTAGCCAGGCGTGGTGGCGGGCGCCTGTAGTCCCAGCTACTCGGGAGGCTGAGGCAGGAGAATCGCTTGAACCCGTGAGGCAGCAGTTGCAGTGAGCCAAAATCACGCCACCACACTCCAGCCTGGGCGACAGAGCAAGACTCCATCTCAAAATAATAATAATAATAGAACTTCTTGCCCCAAATCCTTACCATGCTCCAGAAGAACCCACCTGACCTGTCTTGCTCCCAGCCTCTCCCTGAGCACCCCACCCCAGCTCTGCAAGTCCTCTGGAAGTCCCTTCCACATCTCAACCATCACAGACTCGCCCCATTCTCCTTAGGGGACCCTTTCCTACCCTGCATACTGCATGCACTATGTGAGGCTTCTGCACCTCTCTAGAACTCTGCCGGCTTCCACTATTTACTGAGCTGTTTCACTGTTTCACGTCTATCTTCCCTGCTAGACTATAAGCCCTACAAAGGTAGGGGCCACCTGCTGTTTCACCATATCCATAGCCTAGGGCCTCACGCTAAACAAATCTATGTGAACTAAAATCATTTTCTAATTTCAGCAGAGCAGTTAGATTTACATAATAAACCTTCCTTTTGCTCTGCCAAAACAAAGGAATTTTTGAAAGCGCTTCTGAGATGAGGGCCAAGTTGTAAAATGCCCATTCCACCTGGCCTGGAGCAGGGAATGAACTTCGGAATGACCACAGGTCTTCAGATTCAACCCCTGTCACTTCTGCTCCCTACACACTCACGCAGAAAAATGTCGGGTAGGAGAGCAGAGACAGAGCCTCTAAGAAAGGAGTCAACGGGAGTTCGGGCCTTCACGGCTCACTTCTGTGGCAATAACAGATCACACTCAAGTCCACACAATTTCACAGAAAGCCAGTAACCCAGCCCAGCACTGTGTGAGGTGCCAGACTGCAGAAATCACTAAGATACAGCCTTGAAGGGACACAGCCCTAGCGGGGACGGCACAGGTAAAACAGGCTGCTCCAAGAAGCTGGGCCTTCTTCACAACATTGTATAAAAGTGAAAATAATTTTTCAAAAAAAAAAATTATATATACATAAAATGAAGCTAGGCCCCATCACGTAGTGATGCATCCCACCACATCCCACGAAAAACCCTGGGATAGCCTGAGAAACTACCCAGCGATACAGATTTTGAAACACGTCCTTAAGGTAATTGAAGGGTCTTACTTTAAATAAATACTGGCTTCTTAAGCATTAACTGTCCACGTAGAGCCGTTCCCACTGTGAATTCAGTGTAACGTGTAATCAATACCCATTCTAGGGACACGACAGGCCTCACCACACTCAACTTAATGCTACTGCACTGGCCAGTCACTTCCACCACGTGGGCAAAACCAGGCAACAGAACGCACAGGATCCTGACAGACATTCAGAATAGCAGCATCACATGTCTCCGCATCTTGTGTGCGCACGGAGCTCAAGTGAACACTCAAGGGGAAATCAGCAACAAACGTTCACCACTCCACCTGGCCATAGCATATGGTTGCTATCCAGTTCTCTCCATTTTGACCCAAAATGGTGCCGATGTCAATGCTATTAATGAAGCCAGCATGACACCCCTTCACATGGCCGCAAACATGCTGAATAAGGAGATGATGGAAACGCTCATTGCCTATGGAGCAAACGTCAACTGTGCTGTCTCTTCCACGGGGAACACGCCCCTGAAGCTTGCAGTGTGCACTGCATCAAGCAAAGCAGGCCGACTCCTCGGGGCGGGGGTCAGCTGCATCCGTCTGCTACTCACTCACGGAGCCAAAGTCAACGCCCAGGACTACAAGGGCCAAACAGCCATCCATGAGGCATGCTTTGGAGGCAGAGAGGCAATCATCAATCTCCTGCTTGAATTTGAAGCAAATGTTAACATTTTAACAAGAAACGGGGAATCTCCAATTTATATGTACCTTCAGCGCAGTTGCAATGTAAGAGATACGGCACTTCTGGCCAGGCTACTTTATCACACTTATCCTCTGAGAATGACCAATAACCAAGGAATTCTACCTGCAGGAATCATGCTACCAGAATTCCGCCTCTTAAGGGACACCCTAATAAAGCAATCGCAAAAACCTTTATCCCTACAGGGTATCTGCAAAAGAAACATCAGGAATATTTATGGTGAGAAATACAAACAGCACTTGAAGCAATTCCTCCCAGTGACAATATGGAATTCTGTCTACTGCTGTTATGACTTGGCATATACCTCTTGAAATAAGACCTCCCAGTTTCACAGCAGAGGGACTTTCAGCCACTCAAACTGCATTTTCTGGCTAGACATGTCCCAGAAAATGCTTCACCTATCACCTGTGACATCCCAAATGTACAAACTACTGATTCTTGAACATGTTCCAAAATACAAAGTGATTTGTCTATTAACATTTTTGTTCCTAGGTTTTTTTTTTTTTCATGCCCTTTCCATGATTTAACTTTGGGCTGAAAAGTAAGCAAATTAATTTAAATCTCTTCAGCCAAAGACACAAATATATTTTCTCTCTTTCTTGATAGCCTTTTGTGGATAAAAATCAAATAGTCATTATAGACTTTTCTAAAACAGCAAAAAAACTTCCGATTTTGTTAAACTTTAAGATGAATAATTATAGAAATAGAGTTTACCTCTAAGTCTGCAATAATAAATGAGCATTTCTGTCAGCACTAAATACATTTAGCACCCCTGATTATAGCAGTACTCAGAGCACCTGAAAAAAAGTACTTATACTCCACAGAGGATTTTCAAATGCCCCAAAATTACTACTTTAAAATTCAACTTATAACCAAGTGCAGTGGCTCACACCTGTAACCCCAGCACTTTGGGAGGTCAAGATGGGAGGATCACTTGAGCCCAGGAGTTCAAGATCAACCTGGGCAACATAGTAAAACTCCATCTCTACAAAAAAAAATTTAAAAATTAGCTGGGCATGGTAGCACATGCCTGTAGTCTCAGCTACTAGGGAGGCTGAGGTGGGAGGATCGCTTGAGCCTGGGAGTTGGAGGCTGCAGTGAGCTGTAATCGTGCCACTGCGCTCCAACGTGGGTGACAGAGCGAAATGCTGTCTCAAAAAAAAAAAAAAATTCGACCTAATGTTTCCATACTCTGGATCTATCGAACAATGACTTATCTGACAGTAATTATAACCTCCTAAGCAAATGAACTAGGACATGTAATCTTATTTAGTTTAATCAACCAACATCAAGTCGTCCCTGATACAAAGCTCCCACTGCTTTCAATGATTTCATCGCCCCCACTTACCTTCAGATCTCGGTGCACAATTCCCATGTTATGTATGTAAAACACACCTTCTACCAATTCTTGAAAAATTTTTGTTGCAACATTGGCCATAACATAAGGACCTTGAAGTAAAAAAAAATAGTTTTATTTCTCTAATTTTTTTACTCATTACATGGGCATCTAAATATTAATGTCATTCTAAATACATTAACATCTGACACTTAAGAACAATCTAGATTTTCAACAAAGTCAATGCTGCAGAATGGTCTAAAACCTAGAAATAAGCAGGAAGGCTTCCTCAGCTGGCAAAGAAACCATCACAAACCAGCACCCAACAGTTGATGGACTTTGTCAACCAGAAACAAAGTACCTCTAACTTCAATCACAGCCCTCCCCTGTATTAATGACTTTTTAAATAATTCTCGGGTATCAGGCAACTAGAGTCGATAAAGTTTAAGTTCCCTTGAACCCTTGACATTCTGGGATTTAATGCTAATAAATCTGGTATCCTAGCCCACAGTGGATTAAAGATATTATTACAAATAATGGAATAAGAAAAAAGATAAAATATGTTAGCTCCAGGAATATGATTCAATCATCTGGAATGCCTCACTTTCCAAAAATGACACAGCATATGGCCCAAAAAATGTAAGTAAATTAATTCATCTATTAATATGATGACATACATTTAGAGGATGGAGAGGTTTTACAGGACTAACACAAAAATTGATAAAGAAAACATTCTGGCCAGGTGCAGACGCTCACGCCTATAATCTCAGCACTTTGGGAGGAGAGGACAGGAGGATTGCTTGAGATCAGGAGTTGGAGACCAGCCTGGGCAGGATAATGAGACCCTGTCTCTACAAAATTTTGTTTTTCAAAATCAGCCAGACATAGTGGCATGCACCTGTAGTCCCAGCTACTCAGGAGGCTGAGGTGGGAGGATCGCTTGAGCCAGGGAGGCCAAGGCTATAGTAAGCAGTGGGTGTACAACTGCACTCCTGCCTGAGCAACAAACAGAGCAAAGCTCTGTCTCAAAAAAATAAAATAAATAAAAAATAAAAATGAAAAAAAGCACCTGGAGGCAACTCCTACATGAGATGGGGAAGGTGTGACTGTGTCTATTTCCCGGCCCGGCAGACCCAGATGGTACTCACAGGCAGACTCGTCCACATACTCCCGGCCCCGCTTGTTTCTCTCGACTATCCAATCCCACAGCGAGAGCTCACACAGCTGCATCTGGATGTGCAGCATCAGGTGGTACTGTGCCTAGGAGAGGACACAGTGATGGCTCCCATCTTTGCACGATTCACTCGCATTATTCATTTAGCCAACAAATATTAATCTGCCTATTCTGGGCCAAGAGAGTAGGCCTCTAGGGAAGTCATTAAACCTGTGTGGACTTCTCTTTGCAAGACAGAAGTGTCCTCAGGACACAGGCCCACCCAAGAAGCCCAAAGTCTAATGAAAGTGACAGATAAGGAGACTGATAATTAAAACCGGGTGTTGTAATACCAGCAGAAGGGGGGCCAGGCTGAAGTCAGGCAGGGGTCCAATGGCAGAAGCTCTCAACTGTGACCCGGAGAAACTGGTCCTGAAACTGGTCTGCTCGCTACATAAACAGTTTTTAAAGCTAAGAGAAAGCATCAAAGAATGGCTGTATGATATTCTACTACTCTATATATTTCTACAAAGTATATATACTTTGTCTGGCTTCACGTTGTACATAACTAATAACTTATTCAATAAAAAGTTAAGCAAACACTAAGCTTACTGTAGCCCACTGTATATACCATCTGATTTAGGCATCTAAGAAAATTTTCCAAATAAAATACAGAGAAATGAAATGATTCTGATTAAAAGTCCCCCAAACTCAAGTCATCCAGATTCAGGCGAAAGAGTTCAAAGTTCTAAGTTTCATAAAAAAGCACAGGCTTAGCCAGGCGTGGTGGCTCACACCTGTAATCCCAGCATCTTGGAAGGCCAAGGCAGGTGGATCACGAGGTCAGGAGTTCAAGACCAGCCTGAACAACATGATGAAACCTCGTCTCTACTAAAAATACAAAAAAATCAGCCAGGCGTAGTGGCGCGTGCCTGTAATCCCACTACTCAGGAGGCTGAGGCAGGAGAATCGCTTGAACCTGGGAGGCGGAGGTTGCAGTGAGCTGAGATGGCACCATTGCACTCCAGCCTGGGTGACAGAGCAAGACTCCATCTCCAAAAAAAAAAAAAAAAAAAAAGCACAGGCTTGGTAGGATGCAGTGGCTCATGCCTGTAATCCCAGCACTTTGGGAGGCCGAGGCAGGTGGATCACCTGAGGTCAGGACTTTGATACCAGCCTGGCCAACATGGTGAAGCCCTGTCTCTACTAAAAATACAAAAAAATTAGCTGGGCGTGGTGGTGGGCGCCTGTAATTCCAGCTACTCGGGAGGCTGAGGCAGGAGAATCGCTTGAATCCAGGAGGCAGAGGTTTCAGTGAGCCGAGATCATGCCACTGTACTCCAGCCTGGGTGACAAGAGCAAAACTTTGTCTCAAGAAAAAAAACACAGGCTCAGAAACACATATTCCGTGACAAGAATTAATTCTGTGCTGTGTCTTTGTAGATGGTATATACAGTTTTATAATCTTAACAAGACAGATTATGTGTAGACCCTGACAATTTTCATGTTTTTAGTTTTATTTTTTTATTTTTTTTGAAACAGTCTTCCTCTAGTTGCCCAGGCTGGAGTACGGTGCCTCCCGGGTTCAAGCGATTCTCCTGCCTCAGCCTCCTGAGTAGCTGGGATTACAGGCGCACAGCATCGCGCCTGGCTAATTTTTGTATTTTTAGTAGAGACGCGCTTTCACCATGTTGGCCAGGCTGGTCTCGAACTCCTGATCTCAGGTGATCTGCCCTCCTTGGCCTCCCAAACTGCCGGGATTACAGGCGTGAGCCACCACACCCGGCCTAATGTTCATGTTTTTAATATTACTACTTAAAATACTGGGGAAAGCATGGTGGCAGCGTGGCCATGGAAGGAGGGTTGTATCAGTATGACCCTCAACAAGAGCCTCCTGAAAACTACAACTAACATAAAACCAATTTTAAAATTAAAAAGAATATCCCGAATACTGAGCTGCTAATCCTACTGGGACTCACCTAAAGTCATGCTGCAAAATCGTTTTGCATAAATATATCTTTATAGCATGATGCTAACATACAACACAAACAGAGTGTGAGTGAGGCCGCCAACTCTAGGGTACACACTCAAGATGATCTGAAGCTGTAAATGGCCAGGTCGGGGAGGCCAGAAAAGGACGTGGAGGAGTTAACTAAGTGAAGAAGGGAGAACCAAACGCAAAGGCCCCATGGCAAGGGGAACATGGCCAGTACAAGAGACTGAACGCAGGGCAGAAGCGCCAGAGCTGAGAGAGGGCGAGAGAAGGCCACACACCTGCACAGTCACCAATACTGGCCAAATTAGGAGGGTCTGGGAAAGTAATCTACCTCTGTCTGACCCAAAAAGTTGACATTTTCTTCGGAAGATTCTTCGGTGGATGTGAAACTCTCCTCTAGGTGGGAATTACGCCTGAGTGGCAGCTGCTGTTCCACAATTGAACTGGCAGACAAACCAGCCAAGCCATTTTCCTGGAGCTCCAGGGTCGACTCAAGTTCACCAGATTCTCTTATGACTAAATTGGTGGTGTACTTCACCGACTTGTTATTCTGATTTTCAGTGTCAGATTCTCCAAAGCGTTTTTCTTTTTCTGGGGTGGGCTCAGCAAAGATAATGGATGAGCTGCTACTTTCATCATTTTTAACACCACATTGCTCTCTGAAAAAAAAAAAAATAGTAAACATAAAAGTCAATGGGCCGAGCACAGTGGCTCATGCCTGTAATCCCAGCACTTTGGGAGGCTGAGGCGGGCAGATCACTTAAGGTCAGGAGTTGGAGACCAGCTTACCCAACATGGTAAAACCCCATCTCAACTAAAAACACAAAAATTAGACGGGTATGGTGGCATACGCCTGTAATCGCAGCTACTGGGGAGGATGAGGCAGGAAAATGACTCGAACCCAGGAGATGGAGGTTATAGTGAGCTGAGATCATGCCACTGTACTCCAGCCTGGGCGACAAAGTGAGTGAGACTCCGTCTCCAAGAAAAAAAAAAGTCGGCCGGGTGCAGTGGCTCATGCCTGTAATCCCAGCATTTTGGGAGGCCAAGGCAGACAGATCACAAGGTCAGAAGTTCGAGACCAGCCTGGCCAATATGGTGAAACGCCATCTCTACTAAAAAATACAAAAATTGGCCGGGTGTGGTGGCATGCGCCTATAGTCCCAGCTACTTAGGAGGCTGAGGCAGGAGAATCGCTTGAACCCGGGAGGAAGAGGTTACAGTAAGCCAAGATTGCGCCACTGCACTCCACCCTGGCCAACAGAGTGAGACTCCATCTAAAAAAAAAAAAAAAAGCCAATGTATAGGTCTGGCACAATGGCTCATGCCTATAATCCCAACACTTTGGTAAACCAAGGCGGGAGGATTGCTTGAGCCCAGGAGTTCAACACTAGCCTGAACAGCATGGCAAAACCCCATCTCTACAAAAAATACAAAAATTAGCCAGACATGGTGGCGCAAGCTTGTAGTCCCAGCTACTCAGGCAGCTAAGGTGGGAGGATTGCCTGAGTCCAGGAGTTGGAGGCTGCAATGAGCTGTGATCATACCACTGCACTCCAGCCTGGACAAAAGAGCAAGATCCTGTCTCAACAAAAATAATAAAAAATAGGCCAGGTGCAGTGGCTCACAACTGTAATCCCAGCACTTTGGGAGGCCAAGGCAGGCAGATCACCTGAGTTCAGGAGTTTGAGACCAGCCTGGCCAACATGGCAAAACCCCGTCTCTGCTAAAAATACAAAAATTAGCCAGGCATGGTGGTGCAGGCCTATAATCCCAGCTTCTAGGGAGGCTAAGTCAGGAGGATCGCTTAAACCTGGGAGGCAGAGGTTGCAGTGAGCTGAGATCACATCACTGCACTCCAACCTGGGCGACAGAGCGAGACTCCATCTCAAAAAAAAAAAAAAAATACCGACAGGAAATATCTGAAAGGAAGAAATAATTTAACATTTTGTAACGGAAATAAGCAAAGTCTAAAACACTCCTCCTGAGCTCCTTGTAGCAAAAGACAAAGATAGCCCAGTGCAGGCCAGGTGCAGTGGCTCACGCCTGTAATCCCAGCACTTTGGGAGGCCGAGGTGGGCACATCACGAGGCCAGGAGATCGAGACCACCCTGGCTAACACGGTGAAACCCCGTCTCTACTAAAAATACAAAAAACTAGCTGGGTGTGGTGGCGGGCACCTATAGTCCCAGCTATTCGGGAAGCTGAGGCAGGAGAATCACTGCAACACAGGAGGCGGAGGTTGCAGTGAGCCAAGATTGTGCCACTGCACTCTAGTCTGGGTGACAGAGCGAGACTCTGTCGCCAAAAAAAAGAACAAAAGCCCAATGCAGGTGACAAGAGGTAATGTCCTAATATGTAAAAGGACATACCTGTCCTCTTCCTGGTCGGAGAGCACTTCCAGAGATGGCAACTCAATGGCAGCTCTGTCTGCTGAATGAAAACAAACAACAATCATCTTCAAACAGCCCAGTTTTTCAAATTGTAGTCAAAGACAGAGTTAAAATATACAAATAGTGTCAAATGAGACTACAAGTCTAAAAATGTCATGACCTTCTGGCAAAATACAAAAAGTTTATTCAAATGGCACGTGTTAGGAACCGTAAAAACAAAGCCATGCAACTATACGAGGGGTCAGCAAACAGCACAGAGGACTTGACAGTAAATATTTTAGGTTTTAGGGCCCTCTGGGACTCTGCTGTAACTGAACAATTCTGTTATGGTATAAAAGCAGCCATAGGCCCAGTGGCTCATGCCTGTAATCCCAACTCTTTGGGAGGCCGAGGCTCGAGGATCACTTGAGCTCAGGTGTTTAAGAACAGCATGCACAATATAGTGAGATTCCTCATCTCTATTTTTAAAACAAAATTTAATGTAATTTTTTTTTTGAGGCAGTCTCGCTCTGTTGCCCAGGGTGGAATGCATTGGCACGATCTTGGCTCACTGCAACCTCCACCTCCCGGGTTCAAGTGATTCTGCTGCCTCAGCCTCCCGAGTAGCCGGGACTACAGGTGCTCACCACCATGCCCACCTCATTTTTGTATTTTTATTAGAGATGGGGTTTCACCATATTGGCCAGGCTGGTCTCGAACTCCTGACCTTGTGATCCTCCTGCCTCGGCCTCCCAAAGTGTTGGGATTACAGCCATGAGCCACACTGCCCCCAGCTAACTTTAAATTTAAAAAGCAGCCATAGACAATATATAAATGAAGAGCCTGTGTTCTAATAAATTTTATTTATTGATATTTAAATTTTGGGCCAGGCACAGAGGCTCATGCCTATAGTCCCAGCACTCTGGGAGGCCGAGGCAGGTGGATCACTTGAGGTCAGGAGTTCAAGACTAGCTTGGGCAACATGGTGAAACCCTGTCTGTACTAAAAATACAAAAATTAGCCAGGCGTGGCGGCACACACCTGTAATCCCAGCTACTCGGGAGGCTGAGGCAGAAGAATCACTTAAGCCCAGGAGGCAGAGGTTGCAGTGAGCAAAGATCGCGCCACTACACTCCAGCCTGGGTGACAGAGCGAGACTCTGTCTCAAAAAAAAGAAAAGAAAAAAATAATTTCACATAATTTTCACAAAATCTTCTGATTTTGTTTAACTATTTAAAAATGTAAAAACCAACCAGGCGCGGTGGCTCATGCCTGTAATCTCAGCACTTTGGGAGGCCGAGGCGGGCGAATCACGAGGTCAGGAGATCGAGACCATCCTGGCTAACACGGTGAAACCCTGTCTCTACTAAAAAATACCAAAAAAAAAAGTTAGCTGGCCGTGGTGGCGGGCACCTGTAGCCCCAGCTACTCAGGAGGCTGAGGCAGAAGAATGGTGTGAACCCAGGAGGCGGAGCAGCCTGGGCGACAGAGTGAGACTCCGTCTCAAAAAAAAATATGTAAAAACCATTCTCAGCTTGTGGTATGTACAAAAACAAAGGCAGGCCAGATTTGGTGCACGGGCTAAAGTTTGCCAACGCTTCAACTACCATACCATCAAAAACGGCTTACCTCGTGGCTGAATCACATGAACATGTTCTATCCACGCGGTGTGATAGCCAACAATATTGGGGTGCTGAAGACCTGCCAGCACCTTCACTTCCCGTAGGACCTAGAAAAGAAATGGAAGTAGATCTGCCTTTTGCTGATAACTTGTTAAATGTTTATGCAATACTTCTTGTTCCAGAGCAAAATACAGATGGCCCCTGACTTACAATGGTATGAAGACATCACAATTTTTGACATACTTTGAATTTTGATCTTTTCTCCAGCTTGCAGTATGCGGTGCATGAGATATATGGTATTTTATTATAAAATATGCTTTGTGCTAGATGATTCTGTCCAACTATTGAGTAATGTAAGTGTTCGAAGCACATTTAAGGTAGGCAGGGTAAGCTATAATGTTCGGTAGGTTATGCATATTAAAATGCATCTCCAATTTACAATATTTTCAATTTATGATGGGTTTATCAGGACATAATCCCATCATAAGATGGAGGACCATCTGTAATGAAAACTCCTCTGTACAAGGCATCTACACTATGTTAAAATAATAGAAATTTTTTTTTTTTTTTTGAGACAGAGTCTCACTCTGTTGCCCAGGCTGGAGTGAAGTGATGCCATCTTGGCTCACTGCAATCACTTTGCTGGGTTCAAGTCATTCCTGTGCCTCAGCCTCCCGAGCAGCTGGGATTACAAGCATGCACTACCACACCCAGCTAATTTTTGTGTTTTTAGTAGAGACAGGGTTGTGCTATGTTGGCCAGGCTGGTCTCACACTCCTGGCCTCAAGTGATCTGCCTGCCTTCGCCTCCCAAAGTGCTGGGATTACAGGCGTGAGCCACTGCACCTGGCCAATATAATGGAAATATTTTTAAGAAACAAATGGCAATTGTTATAGCAACTAAATAACATATTTATAGGGCATTTTATACTTTTTATGGCACACTTATCACCATTCTCTCTTTTGATTCCTACCCCAGTCCTCCAAGGTAAGTAAAATCACTACCGTCACTACTATTTCAGGGCAGGTGACAGAAGTGGCTCAGAGGACTGGACAACTCGTCCAGAACCACACAGCATGTCAGGGAGAAGACTGACCTGGAACTGGGCTCCTGTTTTTTCATAACTAGCTATATTATATATCGATCATTTATTTTAAGAAGTTAACATATTTTAAAAATTATATATATATATATATATAAATTAGCCAGGCATGGTGGCAGATGCCTGTAATCCCAGCTACTTGGGAGGAAGGAGAATCCTTGAACCCTGCGGGGCGGAGGCTGCAGTGAGCCGAGATCACGCCACTTTACTCCAACCTGGCCAAAAGAGTGAAACTCCATCTCAAAACAAAAAATAATAATAATTTAATTTTGGTACTTTACTATAACCCCATTCCTAGTAAACTGGAAATCCACACCGCCTACTTTTGCCAAATATACACATATACATGTATAACTCTTTCAAAAAGAACTAAATACACAATTATTCAAAATAAGTAATTTTTAAAAATCATACCTTCATGCAAACTGTTTTAGTTGCACCCTTAATCAGGATTTTTTTTATTGCATAATACTGACCATCTAATTTATTCCTGACCTGAAAAGTAGAAAAAAAGACAAAGTATATTGTGTCATTAAACTTTAACTGAATAAAGAGGTTCTTTTAATCTGAGCTTAGACAATCCAAACTAGCCAAAGAGGTAAAATATAGCTAAAGACATGTCTCCTTACTATGTTCAGGGAAGTCAGCCGGACTAAGAGCTTTTCAGATAGTGTTGGAAGTCTAGCTCCTAAGAAGCTCTAGGCTGAAGAACGGGAATGTTAGCAAAAGGTGTATGTTAGCTCAAAACACAGTAGTACAACTTTTTTTGGTAACACATTTTTTAATTAAAATTAACTATAGGTCAAAAATTCAAAGTTTCCAAAATCCATGTAAACAATCAACACGGTTAGAAAAACATTACAAACTGCCCACTTCCCTGTACATGACAAATGTTAAAGAAAAGTAAATATACAAGATTTCTTGGAATTTTCCTTTGAGTACATTATATAATAATAATGAAAACAGGCCGAGCACGGTGGCTTATGCCTGTAATGCCAGCACTTTGGAAGGCCGAGGTGGGTGGATCACGAGGTCAGGAGATCAAGACCATCCTGGCCAACACGGTGAAACCCCGTCTCTATTAAAAATACAAAAATTAGCTGGGTGTAGTAGCACATGCCTGTAATCCCAGCTACTCGGGAGGCTGAGGCAGAAGAATCGCTTGAACCAGGGAGTCAGAGGTTGCAGTGAGCTGAGATTGCGCCGCGCACTCCAGCCTGGCGACAGAGCGAGACTCCATCTCAAAAAAATAAATAAATAAAAGAATAATGAAAACAATATCTGAAAACACAATTATTTAGGGTAGTAGGTCAAAACAAGTACGTGGAAGACAACCTTGTATACTCTTCCGTATCCACCTTTTCCTAAGATGGCAAGTTCTTCAAATTCATTTAAGTAACGTGAAGTTTGTGCTTCCAAGGCTACTTCCCTTGATCTGAAAGTTAAATACAAACAATCAATATTAAAACATGAGAGAATCAAAATGTTCTAGGATACCTCATGCTCACAGGATTACTAACCTCACAAACCTCATGTATCACTAAGCTGTGCTGATTTGGAAAGGATGGGCTAAAATGAAATTTTTCATCCCTATGAAGAAAACAAAATCAGGTGTTTTACCAGTAACGGGTATTCCAAGTAGAAATTATTACCGATGTTGTACAGCAGAAATCCTAAGAATCACTAACAGCCAGCAGTTGGTTAGCTAAGCTCAGAAATAAATTTACTGAAATTTCAGCTGGGCATGGTGGCTCACGCCTGTAATCCCAGCACTTTGGGAGGCCGAGGAGGGCAGATCATGAGGTCAGGAGTTCAAGACCAGCCTGGCCAACATGGTAAAACCCCGTCTCTAGTAATAATTCAAAAATTAGCCGGGTGTGGTGGCGGGTGCCTGTAATCCCAGCTACTCCGGAGGCTGATGCAGGAGAATTGCTTGAACCCAGGAGGCAGAGATTGCAGTGAGCCGAGATTATGCCACTGCACTCCAGCCTGGGTGACAGAGCAAGACTCTGTCTCAAAAAAAAAAAAAAATTACTGAAATTTCTTTTTTATTTATTTTTCTTCTAAGACAGGGTCTTGCTGTGTTGCCCAGGCTAGATTGCAGTGGCTATTCACAGGTGTGATCCTGCTACTGAGCAGCACCAGAGTACTGACCTGCTCTGTTTCCAACCTGGGCTAGTTCACTCCTCCTTAGGCAACCTGGTGGTCCCTTGCTCCTGGGAGATCAAGGTCACCATACTGATGCCAGACTTAATGTGGACACCAGACTGGCATAGTGCACTACAGCCCAGGACTCCTGGGCTCAAGCAGTCGTCTTGCCTCAGCCTCCCAAGTAGCTGGGACTGGGTATGCACCACCATAAGCAGCTTCTTAAATTTCTTAATGATGTAGACCAATTAGATTTTTATTTTAATGTAGAGTGCTTTATCAAGATATAATTCACATACTGTCAAATTCACCTCTCTCAAATGTACAATTCAGTGGTTTTTAGTACATAAAGTTGTGCAACCATCACTGCTACCTAATTTCAGAATATTTTCATCACCCCCAAAATAAACCCTATATCCATTAGCTTTCACTCCCCATCCTTCCCTTACCCCACTCCCTGAAAACCACTATTTACGTCTCTATGGATTCACCTACTCTGGATATTTCATAGAAATGAAATCACACAATATGTGGCCTTTTATGACTGGCTGTTTTTACTTAGGATGTTTTCAAGATTCATCCATATTGTAGCATGAATCCGTACTTCATTCCTTTTAATAGCTGAATAACACTTTATTGCAGGGATAGACCACATGCTTATCTATTCATGGGCTGATGAATATTTAGGTCAGACCAGTTAGATTTTAAACTAGTATTTAAACTAGCGAGAATTCAATGGTCCCCCTAACAGAGCCTGGGTATCAGGAATCTGAATTAACAGTGTGACCATGGAATCCACACTCAGTGGCGAGAGGCAGGGGATCAAAGAGGAGGGAATAAGAAGCAAAGCAAGTCTCAGAGCAGTACTTAATTGCTGAGAACAAAGTTTTTAATGTTCATAAATAATACTAACAATATTATGTTTTAACCTCAAATCAGTATTTTCTTAATTTTGATTTCTTTTCAATAGTCTGCATAATCAAGAAAGTTTTTCACACATACCTGATTTTCTGGATACGAGAAATATCCTCACAAGGATCCTACAATTAAAAAATTGTTTTTAAAAAGCATTTTGAAAACTTGCATGGAATAAAGAACCTATCAAAATTCAATATCACATTAACAACCCCAAATGCATAAACAATATTTTAAAAACCACTGGCTTTTTCAGTATTACTTAAGAGTTTACAACTGAAAATACTTCAAAGCTGAGAACAGACCAGCAAGCAGACAAGACTGACGTCACCTTCAAAATCCATGCAGGAGCTCCCCACCCCTCCTGCCTGCCCACCTCTCTCGCGTGTATGGTGGCACCTGGCACCCTGCTTCTGCCCGTGCCCCCTCAGTCCATTCGCAACACAGCAGCCAGTGTGACCCCACTAAAATGTAAGTCAGATTGTGTCACTCCTCTAATCAAAATCCTGTACCACCTCCCATCTTACTAAAAACCATAAATTAGGTAGGGCGCGGTGGCTCACGCCTGTAATCCCAGCACTTGGGAGGCCAAGGCAGGCACATCACGAGGTCAGGAGTTCGAGACCAGCCTGGCCAACATGAAGAAACTCTGTCTCTACTGAAAATACAAAAAATTAGTTGGGTGTGGTGGCAGGTGCCTGTGGTCCCAGCTACTTGGGAGGCTAAGGCAGGAGAATCCCTTGAATCTGGGAGGCAGAGGTTGCAATGAGCCAAGATTGCGCCACTGCACTCCAGCCCAGATGACAGTGCGAGACTCTGTCTCAAAACGAAACAAAACAAAACAAAAATAAATTGAAATTGTCTCAAGATCCCAGTCCATCTGTGGCCTCTCCTTTGCCTCTCCTCTCTTTTTTTTTTTTTTTTTCAGGCAGGTTCTCACTCTGCTGCTCAGGCTGGAGTGCAGTGGCACAACCATGGCTCACTGCAGCCTTGAACTCCTGGCCTCAAATGATCCATCTCAGCCTCCCAAAGTGCTGGGATTAAGGCATGAGCCACACCACCATGCCTGGCCTAGAGTTTATACTTTTAAAAACTTGTTTTATAATCAGAATTTCACAGTGCTTTAAAATATAATTATCTTAAAATTAAAGTATATTTTTGTCATACCCAAAGTATATTTTTTAGGGCTTACCTGACGAACTCTCTCTTTAGCAGACCTCATTAAGTGAGTAATAGCTCTGTTGTGATGTAGTCTCAATGAGCTAAACTCGTCACTACAAGTGAAAGAAGACAGCAGCCCCATTTTGATAAACGTCTGGCAAAGTACTATAAAAAGAATATGAAAAACTATTATTAGAAACATCTTTAATAAAATGGCAATTTTAAAGTGTACACAGAGAATAACGTGTAATAATAGCAATATATACAAAAACCTCAATAGGAAAAATACTATATTTATAAACACGTTAAACTTGGAGAATGTTCTCTAGAATAACGTAAAAGAAATTTTTTTTTGAGACAGAGAGTGCAGTGACAACTATCTTGGCTCACTGTAACCTCCACCTCCCGGGTTCAAGTGATTCTTCTGCCTCAACCTCCCAAGTAGCTGGGATTACAGGCGTGTGCCACCATGCCCAGCTAATTTTTCTATTTTTAGTAAAGACGGGGTTTCGCCACATTGGCCAGGCTGGTCTCGAACTCCTGGCCTCAAGTGATCTGCCCAACTCCACCTCCCAAAGTGCTAGGATTACAGGCATGAGCCACCAGGCCCAGCCCTTAGATAAATTTTTTTAAAAAGCGAAGAAACTTGGGGAATGATTCTCTAAAAGAGAAGGAACAACTAGTACACTCATTCATGAAAAGCACAACTATAATTACTTCTCTTTTTTTTTTTTTTTTTTGAGATGGAGTCTCACTCTGTCACGCAGGCTAGAGTGCACTGGCGCGATCTCGGCTCACTGCAAGCTCTGCCTCCCGGGTTCATGCCATTCTCCTGCCTCAGCCTCCTGAGTAGCTGCGACTATAGGCGCCTGCCACCAGGCCCAGCTAATTTTTTTGTATATTTAGTAGAGAAGGGGTTTCACTGTGTTAGCCAGGATGGTCTCGATCTCCTGACCTCGTGATCCACCCACCTTGGCCTCCCTAAGTGCTGGGATTACAGGCATGAGCCACTGCACCCGGCCTATAATTACTTCTCTTACCCTGTACAGTCACTTGTTTACCAAGACTAGTCAGTAAAGTACTAAGCCATTTCTAAAAAAAGGGCAAACAAAAAAAAGAGTAAACAAACTCTTCTGACATTCCACACATTACCCTTTGCTGTTAGGCAGTAAGAGAAGAATAAGAGCAGGAGGGCAAACATATGATGAGAACTTACAACAAAAGTGACCATTCATCGTCACGAAATACCTTTAACCAACATACAAAGAGCCCATGGTACACGTGTGTAAACCAAATATCAAGCTCCTTAGAAAAAGTAAGTTTCCACAAAGGTGCCTTGGCTCCTACTCATTCAACAAATACAGATACCAATGAGGACATTTTTTTTTCTTTCTTTTTTTTTTTTTTTTGAGACAGACTCTCACTCTGTCGCCCAGGCTGGAGTGCAATGGCACGATCTCGGCTCACTGCAACCTCCATCTCCAGGGTTCATGCGATTTTCCTGCCTCAGTCGCCTGAGTAGCTGGGATTACAGGTGCACACCACCACGCCTGGCTAATTTTTTTTTGAGACAGAGTCTCACCCTGTTGCCCAAATTGGAGGGCAGTGGAGCGATCTCAGATCACTGCAACCTCCGCCTCCTGGATTCTAGGGATTCTCATGCCTCACCCTCCCAAGTAGCTGGGATTACAGGCACCCGCCAACATACCTGGCTAATTTTTGTATTTTTAGTAGAGATGGGGTTTCACCATGTTGGCCAGGCTGGTCTCGAACACCTGACCTCGTGACCCGCCCACCTCAGCCTCCCAAAGTGCTAGGATTACAGGCGTGAGCCACCGTGCCCCACCAAGGATATTCTTTCTGCATCAAAAACTCTACAGTTATGAAAGCCACATTTGTTGCTAAAAAAAAAGAAAAAAGAAATAGAAAACTCTCCATTTAGATTATCAACTCACTGATTACATCAAAAACATTTATTTAAATAACCTTGTTTTAAACTTCAGTCATCTAGACTGGGCATGGTGGCTCACACCTGTAATCCCAGCACTTTGGGAGGCCAAGGCCAGTGGATCATGAGGTCACGAGATCGAGATCATCCTGGCTAACACAGTGAAACTCCGTCTCTACTAAAAATACAAAAAATCAGCCGGGCGTGGTGGTGGGTGCCTGTAGTCCCAGCTACTTGGGAGGCTGAGGCAAGAGAATCGCTTGAACCCAGAAGGTGGAGGTTGCAGTGAGCCGAGATCGCACTACCGCACTCCAGCCTGGGCGACAGAGCAAGACTCCTTATCAAAAAAAAAAAAAAAAAAAGTCATCTAAAGAGGCTGTATATAAGGAATTCAAAATTATCTTAAAATCAGTAAAATTCACAGGATTGCTTTAATCATGTACAAGATTACTGTATTTTTCTAATCTGCTTCTCTATTTGATGAGACTAATACAATAATTCCCAGTCACCAATGCTTCAGAACCTAAGGAATACACTTCCTTCTGTTCACCCCACCTCCCACCACATATGCCACTGCTTGGAATGCAGAGTGTATTATTTGCTTTATTCAAGAAGCAGTAGGTGTACAATGTACAGATATTTGTACCATTTTTCATGTCCCATCAAGTTTATCAAAATGATAATGTATCTTTAACTAAAAACGCATTCAGTTTTAAGACCACATAAAAGTATCTATAAGTTTGAGACTGTTTTGGTAAAAAAAAAAAAAAAAAAAAAAAGAACCTCAGAATCTCTGGCTGGAACTATTCTTTTTTTTTTTTTTCTCTAGAGGCAGAGTCTTACTATGTCACCCAGACTGGAGCACACTGGTTACTCACAGGAGTGATCAAAGCACACTGAAGGCCGAGGCGGGTGGATCACCAGGTCAGGAGTTCGAGACCAGCCTGAACAACATGGTGAAACCCCGTCTCTATTAAAAATACAAAAATTACCCGGGCATGGTGGCACGTGCCTACCCCAGCTACTCGGGAGGGTGAGGCAGGAGAATCACTTGAACCCGGGGGGCGGAGATTGCAGTGAGCGGAAATCGCGCCAATGCACTCCAGCCTGGGCAACAGAGTGAGACTCCATCTCGAGAAAAAAAAAAATTGTGAGCATTATCATAGTATAGATGCAAAAGAACTATATTTCATTTATTCAATTTTATGCAATTATGGGATCCACAGTTATATTTGTAAGGAATTACTCAAAGAAAAATGTAAGCTGAATTGAAGTAGGGAAATCATTAATATTTATTTCACTCCAATTTTTGTATACCAGACGCTTTCCAGACTCACAGCATTAAACAACATATTTTTATTTTGTATTTTTAATTTTTGTGAGTATATGGTAGATGTATATATTTATGGGGGTACATGAGATATTTTGATACAGACATGTGATGTGTAATAATCACATCAGGATAAATGGGGTATCCATCATCTAAAGCATTTATCCCTTCTTTGTGTTACAAACAATCCAATTATATTCTTTTCGTTATTTTTATTTTGTTGAGACTGAGTCTTGCTCTGTCGCCAGGCTGGTGTGCAATGGCGCGATCTCAGCTCACTGCAACCTCCGCCTCCCAGGTTCAAATGATTTTCCAGCCTCAGCCTCCCAAATTACAGCTGGGATTACAGGTGCCCGCCACCATGCCCAGCTAATTTTTGTATTTTTAGTAGAGACAGGGTTTCACCATGTTAGCCAGGATGGTCTCGATCTCTTGACCTCATGATCCACCTGCCTCAGTCTCCCAAAGTGCTGGGATTACAGGCGTGAGCCACCGCGCCCAGCCCATTCTTTTTTTTTTTTTTTTTGAGATGGACTTTAGCTCTTGTTGCCCAGGCTGGAGTGCAGTGGCGTGATCTCGGCTCACTGCAACCTCCGCCACCCGGGTTCAAGCAATTCTCCTACCTCAGCCTCCCAAGTAGCTGAGATTACAGCCATGTGCCATTACGCCTGGGTAGTTTTGCATTTTTTTTTTAATAGAGATGGGATTTCACCATGTTGGTCAGGCTGGTCTCAAACTCCTGACCTCAAGTGATTCACCCACCTTGGCCTCCCAAAGTGCTGGGATTACAGGCATGAGCCACTGCACCTGGCCATCTTTTTTATTATTTTTTAAATGTACAATAAATTATTGTTGACTGTAGTCACTCTGCTGTGCTATCAAATACTAGATCCAATTTATTCTAACTATATTTTTGTACCCATTAACCATCCTCCACTATCCTCCCAGCCTCTGGGAACCATCATTCTACTCTATCTCCATTAGTTCAATTGTTTTAATTTTTACCTCCCATGAATAAGTGAGAACAGCAACACAGTATTTTTACAAGCTTTATTTATTTATTTTTGAGACAGTCTCACTCTTTCACCCAGGCTGGAGTGCAGTGGCGCTATCTCGGCTCACTGCAACCTCCACCTCCCCAGTTCAACTGATTCTCCGCCTCAGCCTCCCGAGTAGCTGGGGTTACAGGTGCCTGCCACAACACCCGGCTAATTTCCATATTTTGAGTAAAGAGGGGGTTTCGTCATGTTAGCCAAACCGATCTCGATCTCCGGACCTCGGGTGATCCGCCCACCTCAGCCTCCCAAAGTGCTGGGATTACAGGCATGAACCACGGAGCCCAGCCTTTACAAGCTTTATTTAGCAAGATTCATTTATTCTTACTTACGCTTAAACACCTGTCTTGAACGAAGTGGGTTTGGTTCATGCACGTGGCTCAAGTGCTCCAGCAAAGAAACCAGCAAGAGTTGGTTTGCAACTGCAAAAGGGAAGGTTGGCTGTTGTAGGGGTTCTTTTAACACCTGGATTTCTGCTGGAACATCAGATTCTAAAAATTAAAAAGGAAAATATTTTTAAATTAATGGTAAACCTGTCTCATAATGACAAAACCGTATATTCTAATTAATGAAACATGAAATATTTAAATGTAAGCAGATAAAAACCAAAAGAATAGTTATGCTGAGTTGGGTTAATCAAGAAAGGCTTTCTGGAAGTGAATTTGGAGCTGAATCCTGGAAGCTGGAGGATCAGCAGAAAGATGCCGTGAGACAGAGGAGAAACAGTTTTCTGATGTGTCCAATAGTACAAATAAATCAATACGCAAGGAAGTGGGACTAGGATGGCTTCCTTCCTTTGAGAAGACAGCCAAGACCCAGGCATAAAGAAAGAAGTTAGGCAGAGGATGGCCGGGCGCGGTTGTTCATGCCTGTAATCCCAGCACTTTGGGAGGCTGAGGCCAGTGGATCACCTGAGGTCAGGAGTTTGAGACCAGCCTGACCAACATGGAGCAACACCATCTCTACTAAAAATACAAAATTAGCCGGGCAGTGGTGGCAGGCGCCTGTAATCCCAGCTACTCAGGAGGCTGAGGCAGGAAAATAGCTTGAACCTGGGAGGCAGAAGTTGCGGTGAGCCGAGATCAACCATTGCATTCCAGCCTTGGCAACAAGAGCGAAACTCCGTCTCAAAAAAAAAAAAAAAAAAAAAGAAGTTGGGCAGATGACAGAGGGAAAGATAGGAAAAATGGAAACTTTTCTCGATGAGCGTGTGCTACTTATCTACATGTACAATCTCCTTCAATGCTCAAAAAATAATATAAGGTAAGTGTTCATCCTCATTTTACAGATGAAAACACTGATCTCAGAGAGGCTGAGGAACCAGTGAACAAGGCAGATCAGACTGACTCCCGAACCCCATCCTCTTTGCACTGTATGAGACCATGCAGACAGACGAGTTGGCACTAAGGCTGAAGGTCGTTAAGTTCTCACTTACTGTTTATTTAAGACATGACTAAACAGGTAAAAAAAAAAAAAAAAAAACCTAGCTGGGCACAGTGGCTCATGCCTGTAATCCCAGCACTTTGAGAGGCCGAGGCAGGCAGATCACCTAAGGTCAGGAGTTCGAGACCAGCCTGGCCAACATGGAGAAACCCTGTCTCTACGAAAAAACAAAATTAGCCAGGCGTGGTGGCGCATGCCTGTAATCAATCCTAGCCACTCAGGAGGCTGAGGCAGGAGAATCCCTTAAACCCAGGAGGCAGAGGTTGAGATGAGCTGAGATCGTGCCATTGCACTCCAGCCTGGGCAACAAAGTGAAACTCTGTCTCAAAAAAAAAAAAAAAAAAAAAAAAAACTAGCTGGGTGTGGTGGCTCACATCTGTAATTCCAGCACTTAGAGAGGCCGAGGCAAGCAGATCACCTGAGGTCAGGAGCTCAGGACCAGCCTGGCCAACACGGTGAAACACCGTCTCTACTAAAAATACAAAAATTAGGTGAGCGTGGTGGTGTGCACCTGTGATCCCAGCTACTCAGGAGGCTGAGGCAGGAGAATTGCTTGAACCCAGGAGGTGGAGGTTGCAGTGAGCCGAGATCCAGCCATTGCACTCCAGCCCGGGCAACGGTGTGAGACTCAGTCTCAAAAAAAAAAAAAAAAAAAAGGCCGGGTACGGTGGCTCACGCCTATAATCCCAGCACTTTGGGAGGCCGAGGCAGCTGTATCACAAGGTCAGGAGTTCAAGACCAGCCTGGCCAAGATGGTGAAACCCCGTCTCTACCAAAAATACAAGAAATTAGCTGGGTGTGGTGGCAGACGCCTGTAATCCCAGCTACTCCGGTGGCTGAGGCAGAGAACTGCTTAAACCTGGAGGGGCGGAGGTTGCAGTGAGCCGAGATCGCGCGACTGCACTCCAGCCTGGGCAACAGAGGGAGACTCCATCTCAAGGGAAAAAAAAAAAAAAAATATATATATATATATATATATAAACTCTGTCTGGACATTCTGGGCCTCTTTGGAAGAAAAGGCCATATGTCAGCACAACAGTATTCTCGGTAACCCAGGAAAAGAAAAATTTTAAAAGCTTATCTAAGATCACTCCCTTCAAAAATTATCTTTAGTTTGCAGAAACCCTTATCACAATGTTACAGAAAAGACACACTTGCATGTTTACAGCAGGGACTTTTCCTATGACATAACACTTTCTATATTACTGAGCTATAATATACCACCTTATATGTGGGGAAAAAGTTATTTGTCCATTAAAAAATAGTTTTTTAAAATTTTCTTCTGTTAATAGCCTACTGGAATTACTACCACACTCTGCTTTTGTTTCTCTTTCTGGTCAAAAATCATAGGCTTGGCTGGGCACAGTGGCTCACGCCTACAATCCTAGCACTTTGGGAAGCTGAGGCAGGAGGATCCGTTGAACCCAGGAGTTTGAGACCAGACTGGGCAACAAAAGGAGACCCCATCTCTTTTTTTTTTTTTTTTTTTTTTTTGAGACAGAGTCTCACTCTGTTGCCCAGGCTGGAGTGCAGTGGCACGATCTCAGCTCACTGCAACCTCTGCCTCCCGGACGACCCCATCTCTTTAAGAAAAAAAAAAATTATAGGTAGTATTAAGGATAAAAATGCAACAACATTTCCATGTATTAATTCCATTTGAATCAATCAAAACCATTTCAACTCGGTTTGCACCTTTATTTTTTCTCATATGCTTTCTCTTACAGGAATAACTTGTAGCTTTAAATCAATTGCAACACATTTTTTTGTTTCATGCTTCAAATCAAAGTGTATTCTCTGCAGTCATTCTATTGGAATTACCATATAGTTAAAATCTCCCTGAATCGTGCTCACTTCAGCAGCACATATACTAAAAACTGGAACGACACAGAGATTAGCACAGCTCCCGCACAAGAATGAAACACAAATTCCTGAAGCATTCCATAAAAAAAAAAAAAAGAAAAAAAAAACCTGAATCAATGTTGTTGTTGTTGTTGTTGTTTTTCCTCTGTCTCCCAGGCTGGAGTACAGTGGTGCGATCTCGGCTCACTTCAACCTCTGCCTCCTGGGTTCAAGCAAGCGATTCTCCTGCCTCAGCCTCGAAAGTAGCTGGGATTACAGGCGACCGCCACCACGCCCAGCTAATTTGTATTTTTAGTAGAGAGGGGGTTTCACCATGATGACCAGGCTGGTGTTGAACTCCTGACCTCAGGTGATCCGCCCACCTCAGCCTTCCAAAGTGCTGGATTACAGGCGTGACCCCACTGGGCCAATGTATTCATTCTTAATAGCACAATTTAATTTTTAATATTGCTAAAACACCTGGCAGCAACTAAAGACTCTATTTCACTTTCATCAAAATTGTGGACTCTTTCACCTAGTTAGAGTCAATGTTTTAAGCATCTCTTACTCTATGCTAAGTAACTTAGCTACCCCGTATCTCCTAGTAAACAAAAGCCTCAAGAAAACTTGGGGGCTGAGAGTGGTGGCTCACATCTATAATCCCAGCATTTTGGAAGGCCGAGGCGGGAGAATCGCTTGAGGCCAGGCGTTCGAGACCAGCCTGGGAAACACAGCAAGACCACATCTCTGCAAAAAAAAAAAAATTAAAAAATTAGCTGGGCACAGTGGTGTGCACCTGTGGTCCCAGCTACTCGGGAGGCTAAGGCTGGAGGATCACTTGAGCCCAGGAGTTGGAGGCTGCAATGAGCTATGATTGTGCCACTGCACTCCAGCCTGGGTGACACAGCAAGCCTGTCTTCAAAAAAAAACTTGGGCCTTTTTATTAAACCAAAGACGTTTATTTATTTCCACGCTGCCTCACTATAAGAAATCTTTAGTTCTCCTTCCAATGAAGCAAAAGACAAGAAAAGCTCCAATGAAGCAAAAGACAAGAAGAGCTACAAATTACAACTCTTAACCCAAACTATTCAGCGTATAGTTTGCAAAGTCTCCTTGCAGTAATGAAAGAAGATCGTTCTCAACCAATGACAAAACCCAGGGCATGGGGGCAAGACGGTGGCCTCGGGGATGTCCCCAGCCATCCGAAGGCCTCAGTCCCCAGAGAGGAAACCAAGGAACAGAAATGTAAACAAAGGAGGGAGAGGCAGACGTTCTTTTCAATAAATATTTACCTTACCCGACGGCCCGCCCGCCGCCCCCCCTCGCACTGCGCGGCTGGGCCGCCGGTTCAACCCTGGAGGCAGCCAAAGTCGCCCAGGTCCTCAGGCAAACCTCAGGGCTGCCTTTGCCGCCCAGAAACGCAGGTGGACAGAGAGAGCAGAGCGGCGACGCCGCGATCCGATCCCTCACCGTCATATTCGGGGTCCGGGCCCTCGGCGGGAAAGTCGATGGCCGGCGGCGCAGCCACAGCCCCAGCCCCGTCGCCCTCCTCTTCGCGCTTGCGGACCCCGGAGTTGCCCCCCTGCATCGCCGGCCGCGCGCGGGCCGCAGCCCAGCCCGCCGGCCAGCCCAGCACTGCCACACTCCGATGCTGCAGCTAGCGCCGTCCGACCCGGAAGTAACCCCTCACCAGACGGAAAACCAGCCTCCGCCACGCGCGCACCTTCACTGGGGGCGGGGCTGTAGCAGACTCCGCCCTTTATCAGACAAGAAGAGTTGGGCGTGTCCGGCCCCGGCGTACCCCCGGCGCATGCGCTCTGGTGGGCTCGTCTACCGGCGGCTGGGTTTCAGGGGCGCCCAGGTGAACCCTGGCCTAGTTCCCAGCTACCCCAGAAGGGTCTTAGCGCTCACGTCTCACGCCCAGACTCGAATGTCAGTGTAAGAATCAGGTGTCTGCAAAGACTAATCGAAACATATTTACCTTTTGTGGGTACAGCAATGACTTTGGTCATTTGTTTTCCAGGAAAAAAATTTTAAAAAGCATTTTCAAAACCTGTCTCAAGGAGACCTGAACCTATTTTGGTCAACTGTTATGCCACAAAAAAACGGGAGATGCCGCCGGGCGCGGTGGCTCACGCCTGTAATCCCAGCACCTTTGGGAGGCTGAGGCGGTGGATCATGAGGTCAGGAGATCGAGACCATCCTGGCTAACACGGTGAAACCCCGTCTCTACTAAAAATACAAAAAATTAGCCAGGCGTGGTGGCGGGCGCCTGTTAGTTCCAGCTACTCGGGAGGCTGAGGCAGGAGAATGGCGTGAACCCGGGAAGCGGAGCTTGCAGTGAGCCGAGATTGCGCCACTGTACTCCAGCCTGGGCGACAGAGCAAGACTCACTCTCAAAAAAAAAAAAAAACGGGAGATGCCAACTACATTCCAAAACGCGCAGTGAATCCAACCTAACAGAAATTCCTCTTAGAATTTACAACTGAAATGTTTTCCTTAAAAAAAAAAAAAAAAAAAATTTAGGTTGAGGGATACAGGTGCAGGTTCGTTTTCCAAACTAAAACCCCCCGCCCTGGCCACACTCCATCTACTATGGGTTGAAACCCTCAGATTCAAAAATCCACCCTAAGCCGGGCGCTGTGGCTCACACCTATAATCCCAGCACTTCCGGAGACCAAGGTTGGGGGATCACCTGAGGTCAGGAGTTTGAGATCAGCCTGGCCAATATGGTGAAACCCCCGTCTCTATTAAAAATACAAAAATTAGTTGGGTGTGGTGGCGCGCTCCTGTAATCCCAGCTACTCGAGAGGCTGAGGCAGGAGAATCGCTTGAACCCGGGAGACAGAGGTTGCAGTGAGCAGAGATCGGGCCTCTGCACACTGCACTCCAGCCTGGGTGACAGAGCAAGACTCCATCTCAAAAAAAAAAGAAAAAATTATCCTTAATTTTCATGGATCAGCTACAGCTGGAATAAAAATCTTTCAGCTTTTGGACCTCACCCACAGCACGATGTGTAAAAGTGGTATTGTTTAAGAATTCTATTTGAACTTGTTTTCCATAGACAGTCATACTTGGATGCATTCAGCTTGGTAGAGGCAATTAAAGGTGTAGTTCTCTTAAACAGCAACTCAAAGTACTGTAAAGATAGATAAAGAAAATAAAGAAAAATAAAAAATAAAGGTATAGTTCTCCAGATAGATTAGATTCCAAACATTAGAGATGGGCCAGGCGCGATGGCTCACCTCTGTAATACTAGCACCTTGGGAGGCCGCGGCAGGTGGATCATCTGAGGTCAGGAATTCAAAACCAGCCTGGCCAACATGGTGAAACCCCCGTCTCTACTAAAAACACAAAAAATTAGCAGGAGAATCGCTTAAACCCAGGAGGCGGAGCTTACGGTGAGCTGAGATTGAGCGACTGCACTCCAGCCTGGGCAACAAAGCAAGACTCCGTCTCAAAAAAAAAAAAAAAGAGATTAGAGATGTTCCTTCCTGTGCCTTGCTGATGTTCTAGAAGAGCACGCCCCTTCTGAGGAGTGTTTTGTCTGTATGTATTCGCAGCTTTAAAAATACAAATACTGTAAAAATATATATATATACAAATACAAATACTGGCCGGGCGCGGTGGCTCACGCCTGTAATCCCAGCACTTTGGGAGGCCGAGGCAGGCGGATCACGAGGTCAGGAGATCGAGACCATCCTGGTTGACGCGGTGAAACCCCCATCTCTCCTAAAAATACGAAAAATGAGCCAGGCGTGGTGGCGGGCGCCTATAGTCCCAGCTACTCCGGAGGCTGAGGCAGGAGAATGGCGTGAACCCGGGAAGTGGAGCTGGCAGTGAGCCGAGATCGCGCCACTGCACTCTAGCCTGGGTGACAGAGCGAGACTCTGTCTCAAAAAAATAAATAAATAAAATAAAATAAAATACAAATACGAATACGTTTTTTCTTGAACAATTCCACTGTCAGAAATTTATCCTAAGAAAAAGGTTAAAAACAAGCAAAAATACTTAGTTTAAAAGCTAATGATTGAAACAATGCTTATAATGCCAAAACTGTAAGACAAGATAATCGGCTAAATTAACGACGAACATTCATACAATGGCGCACTTTACTTGCATTAAAAATATTAGCATGGGCCAGGCACAGTGGCTCACACCTATAATTCCAGCACTTTGAGAGGCTGATGCAGGAGGATTGCTTGAGGCCAGGAGTTTGAGACCAGCATGGGCAATTTAGTGAGCCCTCCTCTCTATAATTTAAAACAAATAATAATAACGTTGATATGCTAATCTGGTTCTCACCATGTTCGACCATCACTGGAAATGCCCATTGTTACTGAAGGCATAGAGAAAAAAAGCAACACACTCTATACAGCTGCTCTCGAACCCCTGACCTCGTGATCCACCCACCTCAGTGTCCCAGAGTGCTGGGATTACAGGCATGAGCCACTGCACCTGGCCGAAATTAATTTTTTTAAGAAATACAATATCGCACATCAGCTTGCAATATTAAACATAGTTAACCAAAGAGGAACCCCAAATAACCAATAAGATAGAAAAGCTGCACAAGTTTCATTAGCTACAAGTAAATGCAAGTTAAATGATGAAATATCGTTTCAAAATATATTTGCAAATTTAAACTTTCTCATACCAAGTGTTGGTGAGGATACGAAAAAAGAGAAACAATCGTACGTTGCTAACGAGCAATTTAGCAATGTTCAATAAAGTCAGATGGTCAATTAAGATTCTCTCCTTGACTTATCTCTAGTCAGGCCCCTCTGATTTCTCAACTAGGCCCTGATTTTAGAGCTCACATATTCATCTCTATATTGTCCAATTCTCGCAAGAATCCTAGTAAGTCGCTTTAGCCTGAATCCCTCATTCTCAATATCTGATCATCCTCTATAACTGGTTGGGTTCCTCCTCGCCTAACATCCCCCAGGTGATGTCTTGTCACCCTGGCCTGCTTTCAGCAAGAATCCTATTAGGTGGATTTAGCCAGAAATCCCCCCTTAACCGCTGATATTTCCTCGTGGTAATTTTCCATGCACTGACCACCCCCGACAACACACACCCTCATCTTTGGCTATAGATTCTCACATTTCCTTGTTGTATTTGGAGTTGAATCCGACATCTCCCCAACTACAAAATGCCATTGTAGTACCCCTCTGATATAGTTCGCCTGTGTGTCCCCTTCAAGTCTCATGTTGAAATGTGAACCCATAGATACCTTTGTTTCCAGTTGAGCAGACCATTGGGAGGTGGGCATTGTAAACAAGTGAATATCTAACACCTGTATGCTACAATGAAAAAAAAAACAGAGGCCGGGCACGGTGGCTCACGCCTGTAATCCCAGCATTTTGGGAGGCCGAGGCAGGAGGATCACAAGGTCAAGAGATCAAGACCATCCTGGCTAACACGGTGAAACCCCATTTCTACCAAAAATACAAAAATTAGCTGGGCATGGTAGGGGGCGCCTGTAATCCCAGCTACTCGGGAGGCTGAGGCAGGACAATTGCTTGAACCCTGGTGGTGGAGGTTGCAGTGAGCCGAGATCGTGCCACCGCACTCCAGCCTGGGCAACAAGAGGGAAACTCCATCTCAAAAAAAAAAAAAAAAGAACTGTGAACCCCAATATTGGAGGTGGGGCCTAGTGGGAGGTGTTGGACATGGGGGTGGATCCCTCATGAATGACTTAGCGGCATCCTCTTGGTGATGAGTGAGTTCTCACTCTGTGAGTTCATGTCAGATCTGGTTGTTTAAAAAGAAGTCTGAGGCCAGACATGGCAGCTCATGCCTGTAATCCCAGCACTTTGGGAGGCCGAGGCAGGCAGATCATTTGAGGTAAGGAGTTTGAGACCAGCCTGGCCAACATGGAGAAACCCAGTCTCTACTAAAAATGCAAAAGTTAGCCAAAAGTGCACCTGTAGACCCAGCTAATCAGGAGCCTGAGTCAGGATAATGCTTGAACACAGGAGGTGGAGGTTCTAGAGAGCAGAGATCGCGCCACTGCACTTCAGCCTGGGTGACAGAGGGAGACCCCATCTCAAAAAAAAAAAAAATAGGCTGGGTGCCATGGCTTACGCCTATAATCCCAGCACTTTGGGAGGCCAAGGCTGGTGAATCACCTGAGGTCAGGAGTCTCAAGACCAGCCTGGCCAACATGGTGAAACCCCGTCCCAACTAAAAATACAAAAATTAGCTGGGTGTGGTGGCACCTGCCTGTAATCCCAGCTACTTGGGAGGCCGAAGCAGGAGAATCGCTTGAAACTTGGAGGCAGAGGTTGCAGTAAGCTGAGATCGCACCACTGCACTCCAGCCTGGGCCACAGAGGGAGATCTGTCTCAAAATAAATAAATAAATAAATACAATTTAAAAATAAATAAAATAAAAGGGGTGCCTCCCTTCTCTCTCCCTTTCTTCTTCTCTGGCCATGTGACACACCTGCTCCAACTTTGCCTTCAGCCATGAGTGGGAGCTTCCTGAGGTCTCACCAGAAGCAGATGCTGGCACTATGTTTTTGTACAGCCTGCAGAACTATGAGCCAAATAAATCTCTTCTCTTTATAAGATACCCAGTATCAGGTTTTGGGTTTTTTGTTTGTTTGTTTAAGATGGAGTCTCGCTCTGTCACCCACGCTGGAGTGCAGTGGCACAATATCGGCTCACTGCAACGTCTGCCTACTGGGTTCAAGCGATTCTCCTGCCTCAGCCTCCCAAGTAGCTGGGACTACAGGCACACACCACCATGCCCAGCTAGGTTTTGTAGTTTTAGTAGAGACGGGGTTTCACCATGTTGGCCAGTCTGGTCTCGAACTCCTGACCTCAGGTGATCCACCCACCTTGGCCTGCCAAAGTGCTGGGATTACAGGCGTGAGCCACCATGCCTGGCCGCCTCAGGTATCTTTATAGCCACATGAACAGACTAACACACCCTGCCTTAAATAAGTTCAGTCCTACCATGTTTAACAAGTGTTACAAGTGTTATGAATAATTTTTTTTTTTAAAGAGAGTCTCACTGTTGTCGCCCAGGCTGGAGTGCAATGACACGATCTCAGCTCACTGAAAACTCCACCTCCCGGGTTCAAGCAATTCTTCTGCCTCTGCCTCCCCAGTAGCTGAGATCACAGGCGCCCGCCACCACGCCCAGCTAATTTCTGTAATTTTAGTAGAGATGGGGTTTCACCATGTTGGCCAAGCCAGTCTCAAACTCCTGACCTCAGGTGATCCACCCACCTCGGCCTCCCAAACTGCTGAGGTTACAGGTGTGAGCCACCACACCTGGAGGAATTTTTTTTTTTTTTTTGAGATGGGGGTCTCATTTTGTCACCCAGGTGGAGTGCAGTAGCGACATCTTGGCTCACTGCAGCGTCAACTTCCCAAGCTCAGGTGATCCTCCCAGTTTGGCTTCCCAGGTAGCTGGGACCACTAGCATGTGCCACTATGCCCAGCCAGTTTTTTGTATTTTTGGTAGAGACAGGTTTTGCCATCTTGCCCAGGCTGGTCTCAAACTCCAGAACTCAAGGGATCTGCCCTCCTTGGCCTCCCAAAGTTCTTGGATTAAGGCATGAGCCACTGCACCTGCCCAATTCATAATTTTTTATGTTAACATGTTGCATACCCATGATCCAGTAAGTCCCCTCTAGGTTCCCTTTGGACACTCTTATGTATGTCCATGGATATTATATAAGCCTGTTTATTGCAACATTGTTTTTAACAGCAAATTGGTAAAAAACCTGCCAGGCGCGGTGACTCACGCTTATAATCCCAGCCCTTTGGGAGGCCGAGGCGGGTGGATCACAAGGTCAGGAGATCGAGACCATCCTGGCTAACACAGTGAAACCCCGTCTCTACTAAAAATACAAAAAATTAGCTGGGCGTGGTGGCGGGCGCCTGTAGTCCCAGCTACTCGGGAGGCTGAGGCAGGAGAATGCCATGAACCTGGGAGGCGGAGGTTGCAATGAGCCAAGATCGTGCCATTGCACTCTATCCTGGGCAACAAGAGTGCAACTCCATCTCAAAAAAAAAAAAAAGAAAAAGTGTTAACTCACTCAATTCTCATAACAAACTTACTAGCTAGATGCTATAATTATCTCATTTTATAGATAAGAACAGGAAGGCAAAGAAAGCTTTTTTTTTTTCCTTTTTGACATGGAGTCTGGCTCTGTCACCCAGGCTGAAGTACAGTGGCACCATCTTGGCTCACAGCAACCTCCGCTTCCTGGATTCAAGCGATTCTCCTGCCTCAGCCTCCCGAGTAGCTGGGACTACAGGCGCACGTCACCACACCTGTTTAATTTTTGTATTTTTAGTAGAGACGTGGTTTCACCATGTTGGCTGTGGCCTCCCAGAGTGCTGGGATTACAGGCATAAGCCACTGTGCCCAGCCTAAAAAAAGCTTGTGTTTTTTTGTTTTGTTTTTGTTTTTGTTTTGAGACAGGGCCTCACTCTGTCGCCCAGGCTGGAGTGCAGTGACGTGATCTTGGCTCACTGCAACCTCTGCCTCCTGGGTTCAAGCTATTCTCCTGCCTCAGCCTCCCAAGTAGCTGGGATTACAGGCTCCTGCCACCATGCTCAGCTATTTTTTGTATTTTTAGTAGAGATGGGGTTTCACCATGTTAGCCAGGCTGGTCTCAAACTCCGGACCTCGTGATCTGCCTGCCTCGGCCTCCCAAAGTGCTAGGATTACGGGCATGAGCCACCGTGCTGGGCCCAAGAAAGTTTTTTAAATAACTTGTCCAAGGCCAGGCCACTCATAGTGCATCCAGGATTTTTTTTCACATCTCAGCTTTCATTGTTATCTGTCTTTTTATAATAGCTTTATTCAGATATAATTTACATACCATAGAAGTCACTCTGTTAAAGTGACTTTTAGCATACTCAGAGAATTTTTTTTTTTTTTGAGACGGAGTCTCGCTCTGTCGCCCAGGCTGGAGTGCAGTGGCGCGATCTCGGCTCACTGCAAGCTCGACCTCCCGGGTTCACGCCATTCTCCTGCCTCAGCCTTCTGAGTAGCTGGGACTACAGGCGCCTGCCACCACGCCTGGCTAATTTTTTGTATTTTTTAGTAGAGACGGGGTTTCACCATGTTAGCCAGGATGGTCTCGATCTCCTGACCTCGTGATCCACCCTCCTCGGCCTCCCAAAGTGCTGGGATGACAGGGGTGAGCCACCCCGCCTGGCCATACTCAGAGAATTGCACAACCATCACCACTATCTAATTTTAGCCATTCTCATTGCCCCAAAAAGAGATCTCTGGCAGGCAGAATTTAAACCCATGTACTTTGGCTCTAAATTCAGCCTCAAAAAGTGCAGAATGATATCATGTATGTAAAAAATTTTGTATATACAAAAAAATATATGTTGGCCGGGCATGGTGGCTCGTGCTTGTAATTCTAGCACCTTGGGAGACCAAGGTGGGCAGATTGCCTGAGCTCAGGAGTTCAAGACCAGCCTGGACAAAACAGTGAAACCCTGTCTCTACTAAAATACAAAAAGTTAGCCAGGCGTGGCGGTGTGCGCTTGTAGTCCCAGCTACTCAGAAGGCTGAGGCAGAAGAATCGCCTGAACCCAAGAAATGGAGGTTGCAGTGAGCTGAGATCGCGCCACTGTACTCCAGCCTGGGCGACAGAGCAAGACTCCATCTCCAAAAAAAGTATGTTATTTAGGGACACATACATTACTAGTAAAAATAAGATGAGAGTGACACCTGACTTGAAAAATGTGATTACATTTGGAGAGGGAGAGAAGACAGTGGGATCAGGAAGGGTTACCACTGGAATATATCTGTATCTGTAAACTTTATTTATTTATTTATTTTTGAGATGGAGTTTCAATCTTGTTGTGGCTGGAGTGCAATGGTGTGATCTCGGCTCACTGCAACCTCTGCCTCCCGGTTCAAGTGATTCTCCTGCCTCAGCCACTCGAGTAGCTGGAATTACAGGCACCTGTCATTGTGCCCTGCTAATTTTTGTATTTTTAGTAGAGACAGAGTTTCACCATTTTGGCTAGGTTGGTCTCGAACTCCTGATGTCAGGTGATCCACCTGCCTTGGCCTCTCAAAGTGCTGGGATTACAGGCATTCACTGCACCTGGCCCATTATTTCTTTAAGAAAAGCAATTTTCTTCCAGGTAAATTGCCTGTAAATTCTCCTTGACTCATGCCTGTAATGCCAGCAGTTTGAGAGGCTTAAAGGGGAGGATTGCTTGAGCCAAGGAGTTCAAGACCAGCCTGGGCAACATAGTAACACCCCCATCTCTACAAAACAAAATTAAAAAAAAAATTTTTTTTTAATTAGCTGGTTGTTGTGGCATGTACCTGTACTCCTAGCTACTCAGGAGGCTGAGGTGAGAGGATCAGGTGAGTGTGGGAGATGCAGGCTGAAGTGAGGTATGATTAGAGCCACTGCACTGCAGCCTGGGTGACAGAGAGAGCAATTCTCAAACAAATATAGCTTAACATCAGTGGTTGTTAAATTTGATTGTGGAAACATTGGTGTTTATTCACATTATTCTTGGTAACTTTTTATATGTTTGAAATGTTTCAATTTTTTTTTCAAGACAGCAAATATATTAGTCAGGATTCTCTGCAGAAAGAGAACTAGGAGAATAGAATGTGTATATATTTAGAGAAATTTATTTGGCTGGGAGTGGTGGCTCACGCCTGTAATCCCAGCACTATAGGAGGCGAAGGCAGGCAGGTCACTGGAGGCCAGGAGTTCAAGACCAGCCTGGCCAACATAGCAAAACTCCATCTCTACTAAAAATACAAAAAATTAGCTGGGCATGGTGGTGCACGCCTGTAATCCCAGCTACTCAGGCTACTCGGGAGGCTAAGGCAAGAGAATTGCTTGAATCCAGAAGCTGAAGTTTGCAGTAAGCCGAGATTGTGCCACTGCACTCTAGCCTGGGTGACAGAGCAAGACCCTGTCTCAAAAAAAAAAAAAAAAAAAAACAGAAAGGGAGAGAGAAATTTATTTTAAGAAATTAGCTCGGCCGGGCACAGTGGGTCACGCCTATAATCCCAGTACTTTGGGAGGCCAAGGCAGGCAGATCACCCAAGGCTGGGAGTTCAAGACCAGCCTGACCAACATGGAGAAACCCCGTCTCTACTAAAAATACAAAATTAGCCGGGCATGCCTGTAATCCCAGCTACCTGGGAGACTGAGGCAGGAGATCACTTGAACCCGGGAGGAGGAGGTTGAGGTGAGCCGAGATGGTGCCATTGCACTCTAGCCTGGGCAACATGAGTGAAACTCCATGTCAAAAAAAAAAAAAAAAAGGAAAAAGAAAAAGAAAAGAAATTGGCTTATAGGATCATGGAGGCTAAATCCAAAATCTGCAGGGTGGACTGGCAGACTAGAGACCCAGAGAAGGAAGAGTCAGTGTTACAGTTTAAGTCAGAAACTTGTCTGCCGGAAACTTTCTTGCTCAGGGCAGGTCAGTCTTTTTGCCATATCTGAGTTTTCAACTGATTGAATGAAACCTCCAATACTCCACATTATAAAGACAATCTGCTTTACTCAAAGTCTTAGGTCAGGCACAGTGTCTCATGCCTGTAATCCCAGCACTTTGGGAGGCCAAGGCGGCAGATCACCTGAGGTCAGGGGTTCTAGACCAGGCTGGCCAACATGGTGAAACCTTGTCACTACTAAAAATACAAAAATTAGCCAGGCATGGTGTAATCCCAGCTACTTAGGAGGCTGAGGCCAGAGAATCACTTGAACCCTTGCAGTGAGCCAAGATCACGCCACTGCACTCCAGCCTGGGCAACAAGAGGGAGACTCCATCTCAAAAAACAAACAACAAACAAAAAAAAACAGGCCGGGTGCGGTGGCTCATGCCTGTAATCCCAGCACTTCGAGAGTCTAAGGTGGGTGGATCACAAGGTCAGGAGACCGAGACCATCCTGGCCAACATAGTGAAACTCTGTCTCTGCTGAAAATACAAAAATTAGTCGGGCTAGGCCAGGCGTGGTGGCTTACGCCTGTAATCCCACCAGTTTGGGAGGCCGAGGCGGGCGGATCACAACGTCAGGAGATGGAGACCATCCTGGCTAACACAGTGAAACCCCGTCTCTACTAAAAACACAAAAAAATTAGCCGGGCGTGGTGGCGGGTGCCTGTAGTCCCAGCTACTCGGGAGGCTGAGGCAGGAGAATGGTGTGAACCCAGGAGGCGGAGCTTGCAGCGAGTGGAGATCTCGCCACTGCATTCTAGCCTGGGCGACAGAGGGAGACTCGTCTCAAAAAAAAAAAAAAAAAAAATTAGCCAGGCATGGTGGCACTTGCCTGTAATCCCAGCTACTCAGGAGGCTGAGGCAGGAGAATCGCTTGAATCAGGGAGTCAGAGGTTGCAGTGAGCCAAGATCACGCCACAGCACTCTAGCCTGGCTACAGAGCAAGACTCCGTCTAAAAAAAAAAAACAAAAAGAAAGAAAAAGAAAAAGAAAAAAGAAATCAAGTCCACCAATTTAATGTTAATGTGGCCACTGCGCCTGGCCCACATCTAGTTAACTTTTTTAGTTTTCATAGAGACAGGGTGTCACTATGTGGCCCAGGCCCGTCTTGAACTCCTGGGCTTAAACCATCCATCCACCTAGGCCTCCCAAAGTGTTGGGATTACAAGCATGAGCCACCATGCCCCTCCCAGAATAATCTTTGACCAAATATGTGGGCATTGTGGGCCACCCAAGTTGACACATAAAACTAACCATCACAGGCCGGGTGTGGTGGCTCACACCTGTAATCCCAGCACTTTGGGAGGCCAAGGCAGGCGAATCACCTGAGGTCGGGAGTATGAGATCAGCCTGACCAACATGGAGAAACCCCGTCTCTACTGAAAATACAAAATTAGCTGGGCATGGTGGCACATGCCTGTAATCCCAGCGACTTGGGAGGCTGAGGCAGGAGAATCGCTTGAACCCAGGAGGCGGAGGTTGCGGTGAGCCGAGATCATGCCTTTGCACTCCAGCCTGGGCAACAAGAGTGAAACTCTGTCTCAAAAGAAAAAAAAAATAACTTTGGCAAGTTCACCCCTTGTCAACAGCATCCATGCGCATTTTTAATTTTTATTTATTTATTTTGTTTGTTTGTTTTTTGAGACAGAGTCTTGCTCTGTTGGCCAGGCCGGAGTGCAGTGGTGCAATCTCGGCTCACTGCAACCTGCGCCTACCTCCCAGGCTCAAATGATTCTCCTGCTTCAGCCTCCCAAGTAGCTGGAACTACAGTTGTGCACCACCAAGCCCAGATAATTTTTGTATTTTTGGTAGAAACGGGGTTTCACCATTTTGGCCAGGCTGCTCTGGAACTCCTGACCTCAGGTGATCCGCCTGTCTTGGCCTCCCAAAGTGCTGGGATTATAGGTGTGAGCCACTGCACCCAGACTATATGCATCTTTTTCAACCATGATACAACTATCCACTTGACGTGATACAACTATCTCGTATACAATGAAAACCGCACTAATCTCTTTCCCAGAAGAGGATGTAAGTTTCTTGGGTGATGTTTATGCTTCTCCTTGGTATCTCATAACTTAAATAGTATGCTATAAGGTTAACAATATTGAAATACTATGATATAAAGTCAATATATCTTTTGTTACATAAGAGGATAAGTGGGGAATGAAAACAAAGACATTTGTGATACACACACACACACACACACATCCATCACAAAACAAAAAGAAACATCAACGGCAATTGCAGCTCTCGGTTCTGCAACTGGTGATGGGTCGTAGCTGGTGTTTATAACCATCTTCTTCCACCACACATTCCGTATTCCCGTTCTCCTCAACAAACACCTCAGCTGGCCATGGGTCACCTGGTGTGGCGAACCAAACCTCCTTTCCTGGGCCATTCATAGTCCTGCCAAGATTGGGTTGTTGCAGTTTTCCATTGACTCTAATCATAGGGCATTCTGATACTAAGAGATACCCTAAGCGCTCTCCTGTATTTCAGACATACCCTTTCCTAGCTCCATTGTGGAGTAGCAGTCCAATTTCTCTTTGGTAGTCAGGATTAATCACCCAAGTCAGCCCAGTAACGTCTTTCTTTGCCTGTTGATTCAGAGGCAAGAGGAACTGAAAGTGGCCAGGTGGCACTGAAAAGTCAGTTCAATGAAATCACTGTTGTCAGTCCATTTTCTGTTGCTTATGACAGAATACCTGAAACTGGGTAATTTATAAAGAAAGAAATTATTTCTTGCAGTTATGGGGGCTGAAAAGTCCAAGGTCAAAGGGCTGCATCTGGTGAGGCCCTTCTTTCTGATAGGACTCTGCAAAGTCCCGAGGTGGTGTAGGACATCACATGGCCAGGGGGCTCAGCATGCTAGCTCACACCTCTCCTCCTTTTATTTATACAGCTTTATAGCCACCAATCCCATTCCCATGATAACTCCTTAATCCATTAACCCATTAATTAATTATTATTATTATTATTTTAAGATGGAGTTTCACTCTTGTTGCCCAGACTGGAGTGCAATGGCGCGATCTCGGCTGACGGCAATCTCTGCCTCCCCAGTTCAAGTGATTCTCCTGCCTCAGCCTCCCAAGTAGCTGGGATTACAGGCATGTGCCACGAAGCCTGGCTAATTTTGTATTTTTAGTAGAGACGGGGTTTCTCCATGTTGATCAGGCTCCTCCTGAACTCCCAACCTCGGGAGATCTGCCCACCTTGGCCTTCCAAAGTGCTGGGATTACAGACATAAGTCACTGCACCCGGCCCTAACCCATTAATTTATTAATCCAAGGACAGATTAATTCATTCATAAGGGCAGAGCCCTCATGACTGAATCACCTTCTTTTTTTTTTTTTTTTGAGACGGAGTCTTGCTCTGTCGCCCAGGCTGGAGTACAGTGGCATGGTCTCAGCTCACTGCAAGCTCCGCCTCCAGGGTTCACGCCATTCTCCTGCCTCAGCCTCCCAAGTAGCTGGGACTACAGGCGCCTATCACTACGCCCAGCTAATTTTTTGTATTTTTAGTACAGATGGGGTTTCACCGTGTTAGCCAGGATGGTCTCGATCTCCTGACCTCGTGATCCACCTGCCTCAGCCTCCCAAAGTGCTGGGACTACAGGCATGAGCCACCGCACCTGGCCATGACTCTATCAACTCTTAAAGGCCCCACCTCTAAATACTGCCACATTGGGGATTAAATTTCAACTTGTGTTTTGGAGGGGACAAATAGTCAAACCATAGCATGTCTCCTGGTGGAGGCATTGCTCTCTTTGGAACTAAGACCTCTAGGCTAGCAGAGCATAAGGTTATGGGAACAGGAAGGAAAGATTTAACTAGTGAGCCGTGTGCAGTGGTTCACGCTCAAAGTGTAATCCCAGCACTTTGAGAGGCTAAGGCGGACAGATCACCTGAGGTCAGGAGTTTGAGACCAGCCTGGCCAGCATGGTGAAACCCCATCTCTACTAAAAATACAAAAATTAGCTGGGCGTGGTGGCACACGCCTGTAGTCCCAGCTGCTAGGGAGGCTGAGGCAGGAGAATTGCTTGAACCCGGAAGGCGGAGGTTGCAGTGAGCTGAGACTGTGCCACTATACTCCAGCCTGGGCAACAGAGTGAGACTCCGTCTCAAAAAAAAAAAAAAAAAAAAAAAAGATTTGGCCAGTGGGTCACTAGGGGTAATACTAAGCGGTGCCATTCTCATTTCTAACACTTGATTCCTGGACCCATGCAGAAAGAAAGTGCAAGGGCCCTGGGGTAGAAATGAGCTTAGTGTGTTTCAAAGAAAGAGGACAAGAGTGAACAAAGAAGGCAGGAGTAGGCCAGACACGGTGGCTCACACCTGTAATCCCAGCACTTTGGGAGGCCGAGGCAGGCGGATCACCAGGTCAGGAGATCAAGACCATCCTGGCTAACACAGTGAAACCCCGTCTCTACTAAAAAAAAAAATACAAAAAATTAGCCTGGTGTGGTGGTGGACGCCTGTAGTCCCTGCTATTCAGGAGGATGAGGCAGGAGAATGGCAGGAACGCAGGAGGCAGAGCTTGCAGTGAGCTGAGATCGTGCCACTGCACTCCAGCCTGAGAAATAGGGCAAGACTCCATCTCAAAAAAAAAAAAAGAAGGCACGAGTAGAAGCAGGAGATCAGCCTTGCAGTGAGTCAGTCTTTCAAACGCACTAACAGCAAAGTACAGACTCCTTCCCTATGGCCTATAATTTCCATAAATACCTGTTTGTGGCTGGGCGCGGTGGCTCATGCCTGTAATTCCACCACTTTGGGAGGCCGAGGCAGGCGTATCACCTGAGGTCGGGAGTTCCAGATCAGCTGACCAACGTGGAGAAACCCCTTCTCTACTAAAAATACAAAAAATTAGCCAAGCGTGGTGGCACATGCCTGTAATCCCAGCTACTCAGGAGGCTGAGGCAGAAGAATTGCTTGAAACAGGGAGGCGGAGGTTGCAGTGAGCTGAGATAGCGCCATTGCACTCTAACCGGGGCAACAAGAGCAAAACTACGTCTCAAAACAAAACAAAACAAAACAAAACACAACAACAAAAAGAACCTGCTTGTTGATTCATCCAATTAAAATAGTATCTTTTAACTCCCTGTTACATAGATAAGAAATGTTATGGCCAGGTGTGGTGGCTCATGCCTGTAATCCCAGCACTTTGGGAGGCCAAGGCGGGTGGATCACCTGAGGTCATGAGTTCGAGACCATCCTGGCTAACACAGTGAAACCCCTTCTCTACTAAAAATACAAAAAATTAGCCGGGCGTGGTGGTGGGCGCCTGTAGTCCCAGCTGCTCAGGAGGCTGAGGCAGGAGAATGGTGTGAACCTGGGAGGCGGAGGTTGCAGTGAGCCGAGATCGCACCACTGCACTCCAGCCTGGGTGACAGAGCGAGACTCCGTCTCAAAAAAAAAAAAAATTCACAAGTAAAGAGACAGCTTTCAAGAGCTGTCACAGTGGTCTATGGGATCACACTGATGAATGGACAGAAAAGTAAGATGTAAGATTCATTACTTAAGCATTCATGACGGAGTGCTAGGGAGGGGGGCTTGTTCTTGAGGTCACAGCCTCTGCAGCAGGGACAGAGAGTCACCCAGAAGGACAGAAATCTAAGTGACTGATTGAATCATTGTTGGCCTGGCTGCATGGATGGCCCTTACCCATCTTCTTCACCTATGTCATATCTACCATGTATCTTTTCCCTCATGATGAAGCAAAGACAAACTCTCTAAAGCAGTGTAGGTGTGTGTCTGTGTATATCTACGTCTATATATGTATCTTACCTGTGTGTATATCTACTTTTATATATGTATCTTGCCTGTGTGTATGTCTGTGTGTGTCTGTGTCTGTGTGTTTATGCACAAATTGCTTGCCCACTCTGTTCCCTACCACCCTCATCACCAAACCCCCTAATTCGAGATCTTCCCCACAATATCCACATGGACTTGCAAGTCAGTTCTGTCAATTAGGAGAGAGGTCACTAATGTCAAAGGAAACCCCCAATTAGCTACCTTTCTTAATCATCAGGATTTCAAGAATACTTAATTATGGTTACTCAATAGAAGGTAAGTGCTGTAAACCATAATAGTATAAAATTAATGGTCTATCTATTCATGTTTGGAAGTAATAAAAAGAAATAAACATTTATTTTCTTTTTTTTTTTTTGACAGAGTCTTGCTCTGTCACCCAGACTGGGGTGCAATGGCGCAATCTTGGCTCACTACTGCAACCTCCGCCTCCTGGGTTTATGCAATTCTCCTGCCTCAGCCTCTCAAGTAGCTGGGATTACAGACGTGCTCCACCATGCCGAGATAATTTTTGTATTTTTAGTAGAGACGGGATTTCACCACGTTGGTCAGGCTGGTCTCGAACTCCTGACCTCAAGTGATCCACCCACTCTGGCCTCCCAAAGTACTGCTGGGATTCCAGGTGTGAGCCACCGCTCCCGGCCAACATTACTTTTTCTTCTTTTTTCTTTCTTTTTTATTTTTTTTTAGACATAGTCTTGCTCTGTCTTGCCCAGGCTGGAGTGCAATAGTGCGACCTCGGCTCACTGCAGCCTCTGCCTCCCAGGTTCAAGTGATTCTCCTGTCTCAGCCACACAAGTACCTGGGATTACAGGCGTGTGCCACCATGCCCGGCTAATTTTAAATTTTTAGTAGAGATGGGGTTTCACCATGTTGGCCAAGCTGGTCTTGAACTCCTGACCTCAGATGATCCACCTGCCTCGGCTTCCCAAAGTGCTGGGATTGCAGGTGTGAGCCACCGCGCCCAGCCAACATTTCTTATCTATATAGCAGAGAGTTAAAAGATACTGCTTCAGTTGGATGGATCAATAAACAGATAGCTACAGAAATCATATAAGGTAACTAATAACGTGTTTGGATATAGCTGTAGTTGTATATATTTTATCATCTTCAACTGATGTTAAGGAAATTGTAGGCCGGGCGCAGTGGCTCACGCCTGTAATCCCAGCACTTTGGGAGGCCGAGGTGGGCAGATCACGAGGTCAGGAGATTGAGACCCTCCTGGTTAACAAGGTGAAACCCTGTCTCTACTAAAAAATACAAAAATTAGCCGGGCGTGGTGGCAGGCGCCTGTAGTCCCAGCTACTCGGGAGGGTGAGGCCGGAGAATGGCGTGAACCCCGGAGGCGGAGCTTGCAGTGAGCCGAGATCGCGCCACTGCACTCCAGTCTGGGCAACAGAGCGAGATTCTGTCTCAAAAAAAAAAAAGAAAAGAAAAAGAAAAAAAGAAAGAAGGAAATTGTACATGTATACATGTATAGCACCAGGGCCTAATGTTTTCTTTTCTATTTTTTTTTGTTTGTTTGTTTTGAGACAGAGTCCTGCATTGTTGCCTGGGCTGGAGTGCAATGGCACTATCCACGATCTCGGCTCACTGCAACCTCTGCCTCCCGGGTTCAAGCGATTCTCCTGCCTCAGCCTCCTGAGTAGCTGGGATTACAGGCGCCTGCCACCATGCCTGCCTAATTTTTTGTATTTTTAGTAGAGATGGGGTTTCACTATATTGGCCAGGCTGGTCTCGAACTCCTGACCTCATGATCCGCCTGCCCCAGCCTCCTAAAGTGCTGGGATTACAGGTCAGCAACCACACACGGCCTTTTTTTTTTTTTTTTTTTGAGAAGGAGTCTCACTCTGTCACCCAGGCTAGAGTGCAGTGGCGCGATCTCGGCTCACTGCAAGCTCCACCTCCCGGGTTCAAGCCATTCTCCTGCTTCAGCCTCCCAAGTAGCTGGTACTACAGGCGCCCGCCACCACGCCCGTCTAATTTTTTGTATTTTTAGTAGAGACGGGGTTTCACCGTGTTAGCCAGGATGGTCTCCATCTCCTGACCTCATGATCCGCCCGCCTTGGTCTCTCAAAGTGCTGGGATTACAGGCATGGGCCACTGTGCCCAGCAATTTTTTTTTTTTCTTGATACAGAGTCTTGCTCTGTTGCCCAGGCTGGAGTGCAGTGGAGCGATCTTAGCTCACTGCAACCTCTGGCTCCCAGGTTCAAACAATTCTCCTGCCTCAGCCTCCTGAGTAGCTAAGATTACAGGCACATGCCACCACGCCCAGCTAATTTTTGTATTTTTAGTAGAGACGGAGTTTCACCATATTGGTCCGGCTGGTCTTGAACTCCTGATCTTGTGATCTGCCCACCTCAGCCTCCCAAAGTGCTGGGATTACAGGCGTGATGAGCCACCGTGCCGGGCCACCAGGGCCTAATCTTGTTTGTGTAGTGTCTCTAATTCCTTCATTTTGACCACAGCTCTTACGCACCCTGTATATAGTAATTATCCATGAGAGGGAGAGTTTGGGAAATGATACCCTTGTCAAGTTCCCTCTTACATTGTACTAAGGTTGGTCTGTGTGATGATTCATGTACGGAGAATTGATGGTATGTAACTTCTCAGAGAAGTTCAAAAGACACTGTGGCTTTCATCTTACTCTCTCCCTCTTTCATCTGTTGCCCTGGGGTGAGGAAGCCATGCTGTGAGTAGCCCTAGCCAGCCCTCACTGTGGGAAAGTGAGCCTGCCAAGAAGAAAGTGAGTTTGGAAAAGATTCTTCATCCCCAGTAGGCCCTTGAAATGTCCTGTAAACTCAAGAGTCCGAACTGGCCAGGAGCAGTGGCTCACGCCTGTAGTCCCAGCACTTCGGGAGGCCAAGGCAGGCAGATCACTGTAGGTCAGGAGTTCCAGACCAGCCTGGCCAATAGGGTGAAACTCCGTCTGTACTAAAAATGCAATTTTTTTTGCTCTTACTGCCCAGGCTAGAGTGCAGTGGTGCAATCTCATCTCACTGCAACCTCCACCTTCCGGTTTCAAGCGATTCTCCTGCCTCAGCCAACCAAGTTGCTGGGATTACAGGTGCCTGCCACCACACCTAGCTAATTTTTTTGTACTTTTAGTAGAGACAGGGTTTTACCATGTTGGTCAGGCTGGTCTCGAACTGCTGACCTCATGATCCACCCACCTCAGCCTCCCAAAGTGGGCGTGAGCCACCGGGCCTGGCCCTTAAAAATACAAAAATTAGCCAGGCACGGTGGCACACGCCTGTAATCCCAGCTACTTGGGAGGCTGAGGCAGGAGAATTGCTTGAACCTGGGAGGCAGAGGTTGCAGTGAGCCGAGATCGTGCCATTGCACTCCAGCCTGGGCAACAAAAGCAAAACTCTGTTTCAAAAAAAATAAAAAATAAAAAAAAATAAGCCAGAACCATTAAGCCACCCTGCTCTGATCCGTGACCTTCAGAAACTGTGGGAGAAATGTTTCTGGGTAGTTAATTTGTTACATTGCAATAATTAATACATGTTAAACTCTATTTGAAGCATCTTATTGTGGTAAGAAATAGCCTAAGCCATCCGGGCACGATGGCTTACACCTGTAATCCCAGCACTTTGGGAGGCTGAGGCGGGCAGATCATTAGGTCAGGAGATCGAGACCATCCTGGCTAACACGGTGAAACCCTGTCTCTACTTAAAATACAAAAAATTAGCCGGGCATGGTGGCGGGTGCCTGTAGTCCCAGCTACTCCGGAGGCTGAGGCAGGAGAATGGCATGAACCCAGGAGGCAGAGCTTGCAGTGAGCCAAGATCGTGCCACTGCACTCCAGCCTGGGAGACAGAGCAAGACTCCATCTCAAAAAAAAAAAAAAAAAATAGCTTAAGCCAAGGCCTTGTGAAAATTGTTGATCTGGCTGGCTACCAAGCAACAGTTGTGATGTCATCAGGATTTGAACCCTCAATTAACAGGGTCTTGCCAACTGTCTGATGGTAAGTCCCAGATACGAAGGCACTTGTCAGGTGAGCACAACTACTTCTGCTTTCTTCTTTACTTCTCCAAATAGGGTGAATAACTAAGAGATTCCCAAGCCAAATTTGGCTCTTGGTATTCCTTAGGTCAACTAACATATTTTAAATGTCAGTTTCTAGTAGATCCTGTCAATTAAGAGCGAATTGCCCTCATTTCAATCCCTGGGCATATCCCTTTTGGTTTTAAAGCCTCCACCCCAGTGTAATGTACAAAATAGATGTTACTAAGGGTTTTTTGTTTGTAACAATTTTTATATAGGGTCACAAAATTGTCAGGTATAAGATGTAGGCATATCTTGAATTTTATTAAAGTGAAACACTTTACAGTAATCAACATTGAATACATTTATAAAATATTTCAACTGAAAATATCAGGAGCCATATTTTAAAAAGTACTTAGTATTGGCCAAGCACGGGGGCTCATACCTGTAATCCCAGAACTTTGGGAGGCCAAGGCGGGCGGATCACAAGGTCAGGAGATCGAGACCACCCTGGCTAACACGGTGAAACCCCATCTCTACTAAAAATACAAAAAATTAGCCCGGCGGGGTGGCACGTGCCTGTAATCCCAGCTACGCTGGAGGCTGAGGCAGGAGAATCGCTTGAACCCCGGAGGCGGAGCTTGCAGTGAGCCGAGATTGGGCCACTGCACTCTAGCCTGGGCGACAGAGCCAGACTCTGTCTCAAAAATAAATAAATAAATAAATAAATAAATAGTACTTAGTATTATTGAGTGCCTCTAATTCTTCATTAAATATGAGCTATGTAACATAGATATAGAGCAGTTTTAGCTAACATTGTTTGTTATTAAGCTGCCTTGGACTAAATTATGAAATACTGCACTGTTTTAAAGTACTGTAAAAATTCTTTTGGAATTCCCTGAATGTGCTTTATGTTTATGCTCTTATTCTCATAACCCTCAAATCCTCACCCCCTAATGGTAGATTTTATTTCTACAATTATTCAAAAGCCATTATACCAGAGTAGGTGCTCAAATTATACAAAACGTCATTCTTTTTTTTTTTTTTGAGACACCATGCTTGGTGAAATTTGTCATTCTTACTCAAGTTTTAAAGATAATTTTTATTATGTAGAGAAGATACAGTATGTATATATACATTTTTCTGACCACATTTCACCCCCCTACGCCCCCCAAAAAAAACTTCATAGGCCAGGCGCGGTGGCTCATGCCTGTAATCCCAGCACTTTGGGAGGCCAAGGCGGGTGGATCACGAGGTCAAGAGATCGAGACCATCCTGGCCAACATGGTGAAACCCCGTCTCTACTAAATGTACAAAAAATTAGCCAGGCCTGGTGGCGGACGCCTGTAGTCCCAGCTACTCGGGAGGCTGAGCCAGGAGAATGGCATGAATCCGGGAGGCAGAGCTTGCAGTGAGCCAAGATCGCGCCACTGCACTCCAGCCTGGGCGAGAGAGCGAGACTCCGTCTCAAAAAAAAAAAAAAAAAAAAAAAAAACTTCATGAATAGGATAAAGTTTCCCTCCCCTATTGACTGTTGGCAGTTTAGCGTATGTTATTAATACTGCAGGTCTTTTTATAGTAATGTGTATACATCTTTTTCTATTCATTTACATAAGCATATACCACAAAAAAACAGTATTGTTTTAAGGGGTTTTTGTGTAAAAGAATTACTTAAAAAAAAAAAAAAAAGAATTACTGGCTGGGCGCGGTGGCTCACGCCTGTAATCCCAGCACTTTGGGAGTGAGGCCAAGGTGGGTGGATCATTTGAGGTCAGCAGTTGGAGACCAGTCTGGCCAACATAGTGAAACCGCGTCTCTACTAAAAATACAAAAATTTGCCAGGAGCCTGAGGCAGGACAATCGCTTGAACCCGGGAGGTGCAGATTGCAGAGAGCCGAGATCGCGCCACTGCACTCCAGCCTGGGCGACAGAGTGAGTCTCTGTCTCAAAAAAAAAAAAAAAAAGTACTCATATCTCTTTTTCTGTAACTTTTAAAATCCACTCCCAAATACGTCTTGGGGGAACTTCCTATGTCAGTATAGCATGGTAGTCCATAACTGGATTCTTCAATAACAGTAAATCTAGCTATTTCCCCCAGCGGAATGGGAATTGTGTCCAACATTTCAAACATCTGGAAAAGTATCATCTATACGCAGTGTAATGTTTACAGCGAATTCTGCCACTGCTCGCTGATTTTAAACACATTACCCTGTGTCTCAGTTTTTTATTTGTAAATGATATTTTACCACCTAATTTACAGGGCTGTAGTGAGGATTACATCGATTGACATATTTATGGCAAGCTCTCAGAGAGTCTTGTACCTAATACCATTATTTGCTCTGATCCTTTAGTTTAGGCTCCTAGGAGACTTGATTCTGGCTGACGTGCTGCGACTGTCATCTTTCAGATCAGAGTAACTCTGAGTCTGGTGGGAGTGTCTTCCCCCGACACCCCGTATACCTCCGCTTTAAGATGAGAGAATCTTCTGTCGGTGCTAGCGTTCAGCGGCTAACGGAGGTGAGCTGGACACACGTTCCCCAACACCCTCCTCCTGGCCCGCGACCTAGATCCCCACCGGTCCCCACCATCATACCGGGGGCCGGGCCGCCGCGGGGAGGTAGATGGCGGGCGGCGCAGCCACAGCCCCGGCCCCGCCGCCTTCCACTTTGCGCTCGCGGGCCCCAGAACTCGTCCGCCGGACAGCCAATCGCGCCTCGCTCCTTGCCCACAGCCATTGCCGTCCACCCCGGAAGTAGCCCTTCTCCAGACGTAAGACCCGCCCCACCCACGCGCGCGCCGCAGTTTGGGGGCGGAGCCCGCCGCAGACCCCGCCCCTTCTCCTTTCCGACTGGGCAGGCGGGGCAGGAGGGGCGGCTACCACGCGGGAGCACCCATGGCGCATGCTCTCTGGTGGGCTAGTCTTCGGACGGCGGCCTGCGGAGGTCGGGTGAGAGGGTGATCGCGCTGCTGAAAGCCGACTGCGCCTACGTGGACTGCGGGTTCGCTCCGGGCCGCTCCTCCCTGCTGTTCACGAGGAAACCTAAAGTCTGTGTTGACCCATGAAACCTGATCTCGTTCTTTCTCCCCTCCTGAGAGTTTACCAGCTGAGTTTCCTGACTTTTATATTCGTTAACACTAACATATATAGAAATATAAATAAAATACAGTATACCTGTATATGCAAGTTGCAGAACAACACATAAAATAACATATTCTGTGAGACAATAAAAATATAAGTTCCAAATAATAGGTATTTTCTGCGGGGACTTGTCTGTATTACATATATATGTATGTATACATATTTGTATGTGTAAATATACTATATATACATATACGTGTATGTATGCAGAAAATATATATTTATGGGTGCGAATTTATCCTTTTTTTTTTTTTGAGATAGAGTCTCGCTTTGTCGCCCAGGCTGGAGTGCAGTGGCGCGATCTCGGCTCACTGCAAGCTCGGCCTCCCGGGTTCACGCCATTCTCCTGCCTCAGCCTCCCGAGTAGCTGGGACTACAGGTGCCCGCCACCAGGCCCGGCTAATTTTTTGTATTTTTAGTAGAGACGGGGTTTCACTGTGTTAGCCAGGATGGTCTCGATCTCCTGACCTCGTGATCCGCCTGCCTTGGCCTCCCGAAGTGCTGGGATTACAGGCGTGAGCCACCGCGCCCGGCCCGGGTGGGTATTTATCCACCTAAACATATAAAATATATTTTTAGGCTGGGTGTAGTGGCTCACACTTGTAATCTCAGCAGTTCAGGAGGCAAAGGCGGGAGAATGGCTTGAATCCAAGAGTTCAAGACCAGCCAGGGCAACATAAGGAGACTGCGTCTCTATTTTCTTTCTTTCTGTTTTTTTTTTTTTTTTTTTTTTTTTGAGACACTGTCTCCCTCTGTCACCCAGGCTGGAGTGCAGTGGCATGATCTTGGCTCACTGCAACATCTGCCTCCCAGGTTCAAGCAATTCTCCTATCTGAGCCTCCGTAGTAGCTGGGACCACAGGTGCACACCGCTACACCTGGCTAATGTTTTGTATTTGAGTAGACATGCAGTTTCACTGTGTTGCCCAGGCTGGTTGCGAACTCCTGAGCTCAGGCAGTCTACCTGCCTTGGCCTCCCAAAGTGCTGGGATTACAGGTGTGAGCCACTGCGCCTGTGTCTCTATTAAATTAAATATATATAGATACATATATATATATATTTATTTATTTTAATTTTATTTTATTTTGAGATGGAGTCTCGGCTCACTGCAACCTCTGCCTCCTGGGTTCAAGCTGATTGTCCTGCCTCAGCCTCCCGTGTAGATGGAATTACAGGTGCGGGCTACCACACCTGGCTGATTTTTGTATTTTTAGTAGAGGTGGGGTTTCACCATGTTGGTCAGGCTGGTCTCGAACTCCTGACCTCAGGTGATCCACCCACCTTGGCCTCCCAAAGGGCTGGGGTTACAGGCGTGAGCCACCGCACCCAGCTTATTTATTTATTTATTTATTTATTTATTTATTTATTTATTTATTTATTTTAGATACAGTCTAGCGCTGTGGCCCAGGCTGGAGTGCAGTGGTGCTATCTTGGCTCACTGCAACCTCTGCCTCCCAGGTTCAAGCAATTCTCCTGCCTCAGCCTCTCAAGTAGCTGGAATTACAGGCACTTGCCACCATGCCCAGCTAATTTTTGTATTTTTAGTAAAGATGGGGTTTTGCCATGTCAACCAGGCTGGTCTCAAACTCCTGACCTCAAGTAATCTGCCCGCCTCGGCCTCCCAAAGTGCTGGGATTACAGCCAGGAGCCACCACACCTAGCCTTAAATACATATATATGTATGTATACATATATATACACACACATATATATACCCAGAAACCGCAATAAATATATGTAACACCAGAATATATAAGTATATAGTATATTGAGATATGTATATATACACACACACACACATGCCCCCACAGGAAATACATAGTATTATGTGGCGTTTATGTTTTTATTGTCTTCCAGTACGTTGTTTTAGGAACTCTCCATCTTAGGGCATGTAAATTCCTCTTTTTTTCCCCTTCCTTACTCAATCTGCATATTCAGAGCTGTTCGGGGAGAAGTTAGAAACCAAGGGGACATATTCTGGGGTCTCTAGCAAGGATAGATTTGTACTGATCCCTAACCTAGTTAACCTCCTGCCCCTTTTTTCTAACCTTAAAGTGATTAAGGGTACCTAACTCCCAAGCTGGTTGTGTAGGTCGTCCGTGAGTTAAGGTATATACATCACACGAAGAGGGTTTTTGTTTTGTTTTGTTTTGAGACAGAGTCTCGCTCTGTCACCCAGGCTGGAGTGCAGTGGCTCAATCTCGGCTCACTGCAACCTCCGCCTCTCGGGTTCAAGTGATTCTCCTGCCTCAGCCTCCTGAGTAGCTGGGACTACAGGCATGAGCCACCACGCCCAGCTAATTTTTGTATTTTTAGTAGAGACAGGGTTTCACCATGTTGACCAGGCTGGTCTTGAACTCTTGACCTCAGGAGATCTGCCCACCTTGGCCTCCCAAAGTGCTGGGATTACAGGTGTGAGCCACCACACCCAGCCCTGAAGAGGGTTTTGATCTATTGTAGGTTTCCAGTAACTTTTAGTCCTTGTTGGTATCAATATTTTGTCTTGCTAACGCTGATGTTTTCATTTTTGCCCTAGGAGGCTTGACTCAACCTGCCGGACACTAAAGGACATCACTCTGAGCCTGAGGGAGGGGCTCTCCTTTGGTCTCCCTCTTTTGTCCAGCCTTGCCCCAGGATATTTTTCTAAGCTGAGTTAGCCACTAGGCACTCCACATCGCTGCCCGCATCACCACGCTGCGGCATCTGCTGTTGCATCTGCGATCCACAAGGCCTACACCATTCGCCATCGCACCTGGCTGTTTGTTGCAGATATTTCTCAGGTCTCTTTTACGCCCTGCTACACTCCTCACCTGATATCGCAAGGACTCTTTTTTTTTTTTTTTTGAGACGGAGTCTCACTCTGTCACCCAGCCTGGAGTGCAGTGGCAGAATTTCAGCTCACTGCAACCTCCACCTCCCGGGTTCAAGTGAGTCTCCTGCCTCAGCCTTCTGAGTATCTGGAACTACAGGTGTGTGCCATCATGCCTGGCTAATGTTTACATTTTTAGTATAGATGGGGTTTCACCATGTTGGTCAAGCTGGTCTTGAACTCCTGACCTCAGGTGATTCACACACCTCGGCCTCTCAGAGTGCTGCGATTACAGGTGCGAGCCACCGCACCCAGCCAAGGACTCTTAAGTGTAACTGATCCACCCTACTTTTCTCCCTGGCATGAACGACTGTGCCCAGCCTTGTTTTTGTGTTTTAGCCATTCCTATTTATTTATTTATTTATTTATTTATTTTGAGACAGATTCTCACTCTGTCATCCAGGCTGGAGTGCAGTGACATGATCTTCACTTACTGCAACCTCTGCCTCCCGGGTTCAAGTGATTCTCCTGCCTTAGCCTCCAGAGTAGCTGGGACTACAGGTGCGCACCACCATGCCCGACTAATTTTTTTTTTTTTAGTTTTTAGTAGAGATGGGGTTTCACCACTTTGGCCACGCTGGTCTGGATCTCCTGACCTTCTGATCCACCAGCTTTGGGCTCCCAAAATCCTGGGATTTTAGGCGTGGGCCACCGTGCCCGGCCACCATCCCCTTTTAGTTGTTGGAACTCGTAAAACGGAAATCTAGTTAAATCTTCCTCCTAGTGTTGCACATAATTAGTGAGTTAACATGTATAACTCATATAGATTATATAGAAGAGGGACCTGCTGTATAATAGTGTCAAAATAACAGGTATTATTACTATATATGTAATATATACAAATATATATATATATATATATATTTTTTTTGAGATGGAGTCTTGCTCCGTTGCCCAGGCTGGAGTGCAGTGGCATAATCTCAGCTCACCAGAGCCTCTGCCTCTTGAGTTCAAGCGATTCTCCTGCCTCAGCTTCCTGAGTATCTGGCACTACTGGCATGTGCCATCATGCCTGGCTAAATTTTGTATTTTTAGTAGAGACGGGATCTCACCATGTTGGCCAGGCTGGTTTTGAACTCCTGACCTTGTGATCTGCCCGCCTTGGCCTCCCAAGGTGCTGGGATTACAGGCGTGAGCCACCGTGCCCAGCCTATTAGTCTATATTTTTTATAAATGCCCCATAAGCCACTCTTTGTAGGAGACCTCAATGCCACCACAGACACTGGCTGCCAACATCGAGATGAGAGAAACCACCCTGGTGATAACCACCCTCTTTTTTTTTTTCTTTTTTTTTGAGACAGAATCTGACTCTCACCCAGGTTGGTTTGCAATGCCAAGATCTTGGCTCATTGCAACCTTCGCCTCACAGGTTCAAGCAATTCTCCTGCCTCAGCCTCCCGAGTACCTGGGATTACAGGAGCCTGCCACCTCACCTGGCTAATTTTTTTTTTTTTTTTTTTTTGAGACAGAGTCTCGCTCTGTCGCCCAGGCTGGAGTGTAGTGGCGCGATCTCAGTTCACTGCAAGCTCTGCCTCCTGGGTTCACGCCATTCTCCTGCCTCAGCCTCCAGAGTAGCTGGGACTACAGGTGCCTGCCACCATGCCTGGCTAATTTTTTGTATTTTTAATAGAGATAGGATTTCACCGTGTTAGCCAGGATGGTCTCGATCTCCTGACATCATGATCCGCCCACCTCGGCCTCCCAAAATGCTGAGATTACAGGCGTGAGCCACCGCGCCCAGCCTAGCCGGGCTAATTTTTGTATTTTTAGTAGAGACTAGTTTTCACCATGTTGGCCATGCTGGTTTCAAACTCCTGACCTCAGGTGATCCACCCCCCTCAACCTCCCAAAGTTCTGGGATTACAAGCATGAGCTACATCAGCCTTTTCCTTTCCTCCTTCCCTTCCCCCTTCCCTTCCCCCTTCCCTTTCCCCTTTCCTTTCCTTTCCTTTTCCTTTTCCTTTTTCCTTTCCTTTCTTTTTGAGATGGAGTTTCGCTCTTGTCGCCCAGGCTGGAATGCAATGGCGCGGTCTCAGCTCACTGTGACCTCTGTCTCCCAGTTCAAGCAATTCTCCTACCTCAGCCTCCCGAGTAGCTGGAATTACAGGCGTCTGCCACCATACCTGGCTAAATTTTTTGTATTTTTAGTAGAGACGGGGTTTCACCATGTTGGCCAGGCTTGTCTCGAACTCCTGACTTCGGGTGATTTGCCTGCTTCAGCCTCCCAAAGAGCTGGGATTACAGATGTGAGCCACCGCCTCCAGCCACCACACTTTTTTTTTTCTTTTGAGACAGAGTGTCACTCTGTCACCCAGGCTGGAGTGCAGTGGTGCGATCTCAGCCCACTGCAACCTCTGCCTCCCATGTTCAAGCGATTCTCCTGCCTCAGCCTCCCGAGTAGCTGGGATAACAGGGGTGTGCCATCACGCCCAGCTAATTTTCGTAATTTTAGTAGAGAAGGCGTTCACCATGTTGGCCAGGCTGGTCTGGAACTCCTGACCTCAGGTGATCTGCCCGCCTTGGCCTACCAAAGTGCTGGGATTACAGACGTGAGCCACCGCACCTGGCCTAAGCGCTTCTTTTTTTTTTTTTTTTTTTTTTGAGACTAAGTCTCACTCTGTTGTCCAGACTGGAGTGTGATCATAGCTCACTGTAGCCTCAAACTGCTGGGCACAAGTGATCCTCCCACCTCAGCCTCCTGAGTAGCTGGGACTACATGTGGATGCCACTGCGCCTGTCTCATTTTAAAATTTTTTGTAGAGATGGGGTCTTGCCATGTTGCCCAGGCTGATCTTGAACTCCTGGACTGAAGCAATCCACCCGCTTCGGCCTCCCAAAGTGCTGGGATTACAGGAATTAGCTCCCTGCCCCGCCTCACACTTCTTTAACTCTCTTTCATTATACGAAGTTGAGATATTTTTCAGCGAGAGTGTGAATCTTCTCCAACAACTATTTGAGATAAGCTATACCCTCGTCTTGCCTCCTTTATTCCCTTTTATTCTCGTTTTTGCATATGTTGTCCCATCTGCCTAGAAAGTCCCTCTGTCCCCAGTCCCCAGAGGAACATATGTTTGATACTAATTATAAGACAGTGAATAACATACTTAACCTCTAATCTGTAAAATGGAAGTACTAATTTTATCTGCTTTGTAGTCGTGTTGCAAACAGTAAATGAGTTAACATATCTAAATCATTTAGGAGAGGGACCTGGGACATAGTACCTCTCAACGGTTACCTGCTATTAATATCAACTCTAGGACAGGCATGGTGGCTCATACCTGTAATGCCAGCACTTTGGGAGGCCAAGGCAGGAGGATTGCTTGAGGCCAGGAGTTCGAGACCCACCTGGGCAATATAGCAAGACTTTGTCTCTACGAAGTATTTAAAAACTAGCCGGGTACTGAGCTATGATTGCTCCAGTGCACTCCAGCCTGGGCAACAGAGTGAGACCCTGTCTCTAAAACATAAAAATTTTAAAAACCCTACTCACATTACTTTTTTTTTTCTTTTTGCGACGGAGTCTTGATCTGTCACCCTAGGCTGGACTGCAGTGGTGCAATCTCGGCTCACTGCAACCTCTGCCTCCCAGGTTCAAGAGATTCTCCTGCCTCAGCCTCCCAAGTAGCTGGGATTAAAGGCACCCGCCACCATGCCCAGCTAATTTTTATATATTTTTAGTAGAGACGGGGTTTCACCACATTGGCCAGGCTGGTCTGGAACTCCTGAGTTCAGGTGATCACCCGCCTTGGTCTCCCAAAGTGCTGGGATTACAGGCATGAGCCACCGTGCATGGCCTCCTACTCTTATTACTCTTATTGACAATCCTTCTTTGCTCCTAGGAGGCTAACTCATCCTGCCAACCCCGATTGACGTCACTACACCAGTGATAGCGTCTCATCATCGATCTTTCACCATTAGAATCTCCCTAAACAGAAAGATTTCTTCTGAGAATTTATAATTTTCTCTTTCCACCAACTCATCAAGGTGAGTTCGACATTTTGCTCTCCTTCTCTCCTGTTCTTCCTCAGACCTCCTGCTTGAAGCCTGAAGTGTTCCAAGCATAGAGATGATGGACGTGGTATGGGACAATCAGTGCACCCGCAGGAGGGGACGGCGGGAACCAAGATTGGAAGGAACATGTAGGTATACTCACAGGTCCAGGGAGGGGTCTCACCAAATGCCATGAAGGGCCATAGGGGAGTGCCAGGTTTGGTCAGGTGGCAGAAGCCTGAGCCAGAGCCTGCACTGGGGTTTCTTTTCTATATTTATTTATTTATTTATTTATTTATATTTATCTTTTTGAAATGGAGTTTCACTTTGTTGCCCAGGCTGGAGTGAAGTGGTGCGATCTCTGTTCACTGCAACCGCCACCTCCCAGGTTCACGCCATTCTCCTGCCTCAGCCTCCCGAGTAGCTGGGACTACAGGCGCCCGACACCACGCCTGGCTAATTTTTTTTTTTTTTGTATTTTTAGTAGAGACAGGGTTTCACCATGTTGGCCAGGTTCATCTTGAACTCCTGATCTTAGGTGATACACCCACCTTGGCCTCCCAAAGTGCTGGGACTAAAGACATCCTCCTGGTTGAGCTCTTTGGTGTCCTGAGGATTGGCTACCCCTGGGAGGGGGAGTTTCTTTCAGGCCAGCAAGCTTTGTAAGATGTCAAAGCATCATAAATACAGAAAATTTTAAAAACGTAATACATATAGCTTCTGTTCCTTCCACCCAGAACACTCTTCTGACCCTGGACCCCGTCCCTGCTTCACCTGACTTTCTCTTTTTTTTTTTTTTGAGATGGAGTCTCACCCTGTCTCCCAGGCTGGAGTGCAAGGGTGCGATCTCGGCTCACTGCAACCTTCGCCTCCCGGGTTCAAACAATTCTCCTTCCTCAGCCTCCTGAGTAGCTGGGATTACAGGCATGCACCACCACGCCTGGCTAATTTTTTTGTATTTAGTAGAGATGGGGTTTCACCATGTTGGTCAGGCTGTTCTCAAACTCCTGACCTCGTGATCTGCCCACCTTGGCCTCCCAAAGTGCTGGGATTACAGGTGTGAGCTACCGCGCCCAGCCTCTTCACCTGACTTTCTGATACTCATCCCTCAAGTGTCTGATGAAATATGGCTTGCTGTGGCTGGGCGCAGGAGGCGCCAATGTGGCTTGAACCCGGGAGGTGGAGGCTGCAGCGAGCCAAGATCACCTCACTGCACTCCAGCCTGGGCGACAGAGCAAGACTCTGTCTCAAAAGATATATATATAGGGCCAGGCGCAGTGGCTCACGCCTGTAATCCCAGCACTTTGGGAGGTCAAGGTGGGCAGATCACCTGAGATCGGGAGTTCGAGACCAGTCTGACCAACATGGAGAAACCCCCGCCTCTACTAAAAACACAAAATTAGACAGGCATGGTGGCGCATGCCTGTAATCCCAGCTACTCGGGAGGCTGAGGAAGGAGAATTGCTTGAACCCAGGAGGCTGAGGTTGCAGTGAACCGAGATCACGCCATTGCACACCAGCCTGGGCAACAATATTGAAACTCTGTCTCAAAAAAAAAAAAAAGAAATATATATATATATTTCTTTATATATATATTTATATATATATTTATATATATTTCTTTATATATATTATATAGGTTTATATTTATATATATTATATAGGTTTATATTTATATATATGCCAGGCACAGTGGCTCACACCTCTAATCCCGGCACTTTGGGAGGCCAAGGCAGGTGGATCAACTGAGGTCAGGAGTTTGAGACCAACCTGGCTAACATGGTGAAACCCCATCTCTCCTAAAAATACAAAAATTAGTTGGGCACGGTTGTGCATGCCTGTAATCCCAGCTACTCAGGAGACTGAGGCAGGAGAATTGCTTGAGCCTAGGAGGCGGAGGTTGCAGTGAGCTGGGATCATGCCACTGCACTCTAGCCTGGGCGACAGAGTGAGACTCTGTCTCAAATAAACAAAAAAACAAAACTAACTATATATATATTATATACTATATATATTATATATATAACATATATAACATAATATATATAACATATAGTTATATATATAGTATATAACATATATAGTGTAAAATATATATAACTAACTTCTATTAGTAATCCTCTTGAGAGGACCTTACGCTTATAACTTAACTAAAAAGTATTATGTATTTATCCTGTCAGCAATTTATGTTCCAGGAAGAATTTGTTAGGGATCAATTTCATCACAGTTACAATCTAATTTGAAGACATATGACGCCTATTCAGTGGTGAGTTATAAACCCCCTTGCAGCAAGCCTTCCTTGGCCTCCTTTGATTGTGTTCTTCATTAAGTCCTCCAACTTACTTCGGTTTATTGCATATGATTTGCTATTTTGTTTCAGCTTCTGTGGTAAGAGTCACTGTTTATATTTAGTTGATATTGTCAGTACATAGAGATTAACTAACTTTACACACTTTTCTTTTCTCTTCTCTTCTCTTTTCTTTTCTTTTTTGAGGCAGGGTCTTGCTCTGTTGCCCAGGCTGGAGTGAAATGGCAAGATCAGAGCTCACTGCAGCCTCAAACTCCTGGTCTCAAGCGATCCTCCCACCTCCGCCTCCCTCAAGTAGCTGAGACTGCAGGCATGCATCATCATGCCCACCTAATTTTTTTAAGTTTTTGTAGAGACAGGGTCTCCCTATGTTGCCCAGGCTGGTCTTGAACTCCTAGACTCAGGCGATTCTCCTACTTTGGCCTCCCCAAATGCTCAGATAACAGGCTTGAGCCGCCATGCCCAGTGCCATACATAGCGTCTAGTCAGCTACCGTATTATACTATAATTGGGTTTCTATTGATTATATTGATTCTCATTCTCACCCCCATATTAATTTTATTCTTGTTTTTTTATATTAGCCAAAAAAACAGGAACCATATTTAATCATTATGTTAGCATACACACACACACACACACACACACACACACACACATATATATGTTGCTGATTTAATAGTCTGGTAAAAAAATTTTTTTGGAGACAGTGGGGGATGGGGGTGCAAAGTGGGGTGGTGTCTAGCTATTTTGCCCCAACTGGGCTTGATCCCTCCCACCACAGCCTCCCAAATAGCTGGGACTACAGGGGTGCACCACAGCACTCTCAATCGGCATTTCTTCCTGAAATGCTGGCTGGCATCCTTTTTCTATTCGATATCTGCCTGGAAAAAATCCTACTTAGTCCTCAAGGACGTATTTTTTCTTCTTCTTCTTCTTCTTCTTCTTCTTCTTCTTCTTCTTCTTCTTCTTCTTCTTCTTCTTCTTCTTCTTCTTCTTTCTTCTTCTTCTTCTTCTTCCTCTTCCTCTTCTTCTTCTTCCTCCTCTTCTTCTTCTTCTTCCTCTTCCTTCTTCTTCTTCTTCTTCCTCTTCCTCTTCTTCTTCTTCTTTCTTCTTCTTCTCTTTTTTTTTTTTTTTTTGAGACAGATTCTCGCTTTGTCGCCCAGGCTGGAGTGCAGTGGTGTGATCTCAGCTCACTGCAACCTCCGCCTCCTGGGTTCAAGTGATTCACCTGCCTCAGACCTCCTGAGTAGCTGGGATTATAGGCACCTCCCACCACACCCAGCTAGTTTTTGTATTTTTAGTAGAGATGGGGTTTCACCATGTTGGCCAGGCTGGTCTTGAACTCCTGACCTCAGGGGATCTGCCCACCTTGGGCTCTCAAAGTTCTGGGATTACAGGCATGCGCCACCACGCCCGGCCTCAAGGACCTATTTCAAGTGCCATTTCTGTTGTAAAACTTTTCCTGAACAGCATCCACTTCAGGGGTAAACCCATCCACTAAGTATTACCTTCCTCATTTGAGGCATCATGACAATGTGTAATAACTAATTAACACCCACAGCTCCGGGTTCCAAACAAAATAGTCTCTGGAAAGTAGGCACAGCATCTCCAATGACCCCCTCTTAATTCTAAATTAATATTTTGTCAATCCATAAAGGAGAGATTTGGGATCTGTCTCCTAAAAACAAGCTGGGTCTAAGACCTGGCCAGCCACAGTCTCAGATTTCCTTCCTAGGAGACACCGGTCCTCAGAAGATTAAATATATCCCTCCTTGAACACTTTCACACTTTAATGTCTTATGTTGGTGTGCAGGGAAGTGGTGTTAATCATCCATTAGGATAAACTTGGCTTAAGATAAATTAAAACAGCCTTTCATTTCATGAGAGTCTGAAGTAAGGTTCAGAGAACTTAACAGATAAATATAAGCTGGAGCTGGAATTTACATCTAGTGTGTCTGTTTCCAAACAGTGCTCTCTGTGACTGAGTCTCCGTGTGGGCTGCTGGGACAAGTCTATTGATTGGTGTCATCTGAGCACTCTGAGTAAACGGAAGGTACTCTTTCTTCCTTCCTTTCCTTTCCCTCCCTCTCTCCCTCCCTCCCTTCCCTTCCTTCCCTCCCTCTCTCCCTTCCTTCCTTCCCTTTCCTTCCTTTCTTCCTTCCTCCCTCCCTCCCTCTCTTCCTCCTTCCTTTCTTCCTTTCTTCCCTCCTTCCTTCTTTTCTTCTCTCTCTTTTTTTTTGCCTTGGGACCAAGTCTCACTCTGTTGCCCAGGCTGGAGTGCAGTGGCAGGATTTCAGCTCACTGCAACCTCCACCTCCCGAGTTCAAGTGATTCTCATGCCTCAGATTCCCGAGTAACTGGGACTACAGGCATGCACCACCATGCTCGGGTAACTTTTGTATTTTTTGATAGAAACCAAAACCATGTTGGCCAGGCTGGTCTCGAACTCCTGATCTCAAGCGATTCTCCCGCCTCAGCCTCTCAAAGTGCTGGGATTACAGGCATGTGCCTCTCTCTTTCTTTTCTCTTTTTTCTTTCTTTCACCTTGCTTCCCTCCTTCCCCCACCCCTCCCCTCTCCTTTCCTTACCTCTTTCTTCCTTTCTCTCTTTTTTTCTCTTCCTCTCCCTCTTTCTCTCCCCCTCCCTTCTTTACTTTTTTGTGGTAAAATATGGTAGGTACTTCTTTTGAATGTATTTTGTGACCAATCTATTTTTCACTGTTTATATATTTTCTTCTTTGTTTTTTTCATAGTGGTTGTAAAATCTATAAGAGTTAAAAGACCTTGTTCATGTTTGCTCTCAGGGTTTCAGAAAAAGGAGGATCAACTACAAGGTTATTTTGTTTTTTTAAGATGGAGTCTCACTCTGTCACCCAGGCTGGAGTGCATGGCGCGATGTGGGCTCACTGCAACCTCCACCTCCCGGGTTGAAGTGATTCTCCTTCCTCAGCCTCCTGAGTAGCTGGTGCGTGCCACCACACCCGGCTAATTTTTTTTGTATTTTTAGTAGAGACGGGGTTTCACCATGTTGGTCAGTCTGGTCTTGAACTCCTGACCTCGTGATCCACCTGCCTCAGCCTCCTGAAGTGCTGGGATTACAGGCATGAGCCACCATGCCCGGCCTGTTGTTTTTAAGACAGGGTCTTGCTTTGTCACCCAGGCTGGAGTGCCATCGTGCCATAATAGCTCACTGGACCCTTGACCTCCTGGGCTCAAGCGATCCTCCCACCTCAGCCTCCTTAGTAGCTGGGACTACAGGCATGCACCAGCACCTGGCTAATTTTTTATTTTTTGTAGAGTCAGGGTCTCCCTATATTGCCCAGGCTGGTCTTGAACTCTTAGCCTCAAGCGATCTTCCTTCCTCGGCCTCCTAAAGTGCTGGGATTACAGGCATGAGCCACTAAGCCCAGCCTGAGAGATTCTAAACACAACTCCATTCTGTTGTGGATGTAGAAGAACTCCAAAGGATGGAGTGGGTAGCGGTGGAATTAAGCTGGTGCTAGATGAGTCCTTGAGGATTATGTTTGCAGTAGTTCATTGTCACCTATGATGGTTCATCCAGTTTTTGCAGGGGTCAGACTGGTAAATTAAATGAGCAGATGATGGAGACACCAGCCTTGCATCCTTTAACCCTCTGAGCATGGCACTATTCTCTGCGATTTTCTCCCATCAACCTCCACCCTCAGCCCCACCAACTTACTCTTTTGGCCAGAGGGGGCAGTTTCAGGGCTTCCACTTGTTCCACTTGGCTTTTTTTTTTTTTTGGTCACCCAGGCTGGAGTACAGTGACGCAATCTCGGCTCATTGCAACCTCCGCCTCCCAGGTTCAAGCGATTCTCCTGCCTCAGCCTCCTGAGTAGCTGGGATTACAGGTGCTTGCCACCACATCTGGCTAATTTTTGTATTTTTAGTAGAGATGGAGTTTCGCCATGTTGGCCAGGCTGGTCTTGAACTCCTAACCTCAAGGGATCTGCCCGTCTGGGCCTCCCAAAGTGCTGGCATTATAGGTGTGAGCCACCGTGCCCAGCCCCACTTGGCTTTCTGTGCTACAATAGCTCTTAATGCTGTAAGTCAAGGAACCAGTTGCTAAGTATGACTATTTGAGTATCACATTTGGGAACCAGGGAATTGACCACTGTGGGCTCAGTGAACCCAGTGAGGGATGTGGGTCAGGACCAAAGGTATTAACTTGATCCCTTAGCAATAAGGGAACCCTGAGGGTGCTTTAGAGCTGCGTTAACTTGGACTCTGTAAGCAAAAGCCTGGAAATATCTGAGCAGACCCCTATTCCCCAGCATATAATTACGGAGTAAATTAAATGGCCAGAGGGGCCGGGTGTGGTGGCTCACGCCTGTAATCCCAGCACTTTGGCAGGTTGAGGCAGGCAGATCACGAAGTCAGGAGTTTGAGACCAGCCTCGCCAACATAGTGAAACCCCGTGTCTACTAAAAATACAAAAAATTAGCTGGGCGTGGTGGCAGGCACCTGTAATCCCAGCTACTTGGGAAGCTGAGGCAGGAGAATCACTTGAACCTGGGAGGCGGAGGTTGCAATGAGCTGAGATTGCGCCACTGCACTCCAGCCTGGGCAACAGTGCAAGACTCCGTCTAAAAAACAAAAAAAATGGCCAGAGGTCTCTTTGGGGCAGGACTTGGAAAATCCCTACTGTGTACACTTGCATGGGATCTGGCTTCTCCTTTACTGGATGGGTATTTCGATTTTTGTTTTTGAGACAGGGTCTCACTGTTACCCGGGCTGCAGTGGTGTGGTCACATCTCACTGCAGTCTACACCTCCCAGGCTCAAGCAATCCTCCTGCCTCAGCCTCCTGAGTAACTGGGACCACAGGTGCCACCATACTTGGCTTTTTTTTTTAATTTATTTTTTTGTAGAGACAGAGTCTTACTGTGCTCAGGTTGGTCTCGAATTCCTAGACTCAAATCATCCATCTGCCCCAGCTTCCCAAGCATTGGGATTCCAGGTCTGAGCCACCTCACCCAGCCTGGATGCATGTTTTGGAATTGAGAACTGGCTCAGGTGGGGGAATCTGGGCAGATGTTCGTGTTTTTCCACTGAGACAGCTAACCTCAGTCTTCTACACAACCAGGTTATTATAGACATATAGGTATACCTGGCCAGGCGTGGTGGCTCACGCCTGTAATCCCAGCACTTTGGGAGGCTGTGGTGGGCAGATCACTTGAGGCCAGCAGTTCGAGACCAGCTTATTACTTGGTGCCAGTAAGAACACTGGGAGTATTCTCCAAAGCAGAGTCTCCCCAAGGGAAAGTGACAGTAGGGTTTTATGGGGTGATGGAGAGGGGAGATGGGTGCATCATTGCATGGAGAGGAGGGATCCCAATGGTGCAGATGCAGTGAGTCATCCTGCCAGCCCATAGGTTGCATGTGATGGGAATGAAGCTATAACTTCTCACGGGATGGATACTTTAGCATGGTCATGCAGAGAGTTCACTCAGGTTCATCTGTACGTTGTTGGGGTCTGTCAGGAGCTGGTTTAAACTAACAAGGTGACTGCATTCCATCCAAGGTTTGGGGAAGAACAGGTGCAGAGCAGGAGGCTGTGAAACAGGCTGATTGCACAAGTTGATTAATCCCTGGAGATTAATCCCAAGTTCCTATAATCCCTGGAGATCCTCCTTGTCTGCTTACAATGATATATACTGTGCTTTTGTTGACAGCCTGTCTTGCCCTGTGTTTTATTAGCCATTGCCTTGGATCCCTGCAAGTCAGTGCCTCCCATCTGCTACTCTGGCTTGCTGCTCACTGTACCAATCATGCCCACCTTCTGCTGCGTAAGCACTGCTACCCAGTCTCTGACACTCCAGGATGCCATCATTTTCTTTCTTTCTTTCTTTTCTTTTTTTTTTTGAGACAGTCTTCCTCTGTCATCCATGCTGGAGTGCTGTGGCATGATCTTGGCTCCCGGGTTCAAGTGATTCTCTTGCCTCAGCCTCCCAAGTAGCTGTGACTACAGGCACATGCCACCATGCCTGGCTAATTTTGTATGTTTAGTAGAGACGGGCTGCTATCATCCTCTTTGCTACCAGACAGCCCAGTTCTGTAACAGCATCTCCTGTTATTAGCCCTGGCTTATACATGACAGCCACCTCGGGGTACCACTTTTCCAACACAGCTGATGCTGTCTCTGCCCTCCGTGGTCCTGGTAAAACGGTGTTTTCCAGGCCTTGTGATGGAATGTCACCAGCTGGTAGCATGCATTTTAGCATGTCCTCTTCCCTGAGAGTAGCACTCGCTTCCTCCAGTATCTGCCATGGAATTCATGGCATCTAAAATTAGGTCCCTGTGGGTCCTTTTTTTTTTTTTTTTTTTTTGGAGACAGGCTCATGCACTGTTGCCCTGAAGACAGAGCACAGGCTGAAGTGTGCCGTTGCATGATCATAGCTCACCGCAGCCTCCAATTCCTGGCCTCAAGTGATCCTCCCAGTTCAGTCTCCCAAAGTGTTGTGATTACAAGCATAAGCCACTGCGCCCAGCCATGTGGGTTATTTCTTTTTCTTTTCTTTTTTTTTTTCGAGACAGAGTCTTGCTCTGTCACCCAGGCTGGAGTGCAGTGGCACAATCTCAGCTCACTGCAAACTCCGCCTTCCGGGATCATGCCATTCTCCTGCCTCAGCCTCCCGAGTTGCTGTGACTACAGGCGGCCGCCACCATGCCCCGCTAATTTTTTGCATTTTTAGTAGAGGCGGGGTTTTACCATGTTAGCAAGGATGGTCTCGATCTCCTGACCTCGTGATCCGCCCGCCTCGGCCTCCCAAAGTGCTGGGACTACAGGCGTGAGCCACCGCGCCCGGCCTTCTTTTTCTTTCTTTTCTTTTTTTTTTTTTTTTGAGATGGAGTCTCACTCTGTTGCCAGGCTGGAGTGCTGTGACACAATCTTGCCTCACTGCAAACTTCAACTCCCTGGTTTAAGCGATTCTCCTGCCTCAGCCTCCTGAGTAGCTGGGATTACAGGCACACACCACTACCCCACAGCTAAGTTTTGTATTTTTAGTAGAGACGGGTTTCACCATGTTGGCCAGGATGGTCTTGATCTTCTGAACTCGTGATCCTTCCACCTTGGCCTCCCAAAGTGCTGGGATTACAGGCGTGAGCCACCGCGCCCAGCCCATGTAGCTTATTTCTATTGTCAAATACCAGTCCCATGATGTATCAGAACCTGCCCACCCAGCATCCTTGACAAAGTGTGAGATCTGTATTAAAGGAAAGTGCCCACATATCTATAAACTCTCTCTTATCTGCTCCCCAGCCCTCACCCCTCACCCCTTGATCTAGGCCCCGTAGTATCCATTCCCGGGCTTATTTTCAGTTTCTGCTGGTGTGTATTAGCCTGGTCTTGCAGTTCCTTCAATTTTTGATTCCACTCCTCCCTTAGCAGGCGTGATGGTATCTGATCTTGGTGATTTATCTGGTGGCCAGGGGGATACAGGAACAGAAAGAATGCATTGTTTTCTTGTTTTTTGTTTTTCTTGAGACAGAGTCTCACTCTTAACTGTCGCCCAGGCTGGAATGCAGTGGCATGATCTCAGCTCACTGCAACCTCCGCCTCCCCGGTTCAAACGATTCTCCTGCCTCAGCCTCCTGAGTAGCTGGGATGTGCACCACCACACCTGGCTAATTTTTGTATTTTTTAGTAGAGACGGGGTTTCACCATGTTGGCCAGGCTGGTCTTGAACTCCTGATTTCAAGTGGTCTGTCTGCCTCGGCCTCTCAGAGTGCTGGGATTACAGGCATGAGCCACCATGCCCTGCCAAGAATGCATTGTCTTGTAGGGTACCTACCTCATTTGAGGTGTCTGCATAGTCTTCGGGTTGGTGGTACCATTCTTGAACAAAGAGTTCAGAGGAGCTTGAAGTTCTACGGACATTAGAGTCCTGTCCTTTGTCTCAGGGTCTCACTCCTTCCTTATTAGAGTCCTGACTTTGGTGTTAGAGACTGATAGTAGCTGAAAATTCAACCTTTTCTAATGTTCTGCTCCTTTTAGGTTAAGTCCTCTGCCTGGTTTTCAGGACTGTCTGCCCTCTGATTATAGATGACAGACTGCTGAGGAGGCTCTGCTCTCTGGCTTTCTCACTTTATATTACTGACTAATTGCCTGGAGCCCCATTGTTCCCTCTCTTTTTTTTTTTTTTTTTTTTTGAGACGGAGTCTCGTTCTGTTGCCCAGGCTGGAGTGCAGTGGCGCGATCTCAGCTCATTGCAACCTAGGCCTCCCAGGTTCAAGAGATTCTCCTGCCTTAGCCTCCCCAGTAGCTGGGACTACAGGCACCCGCCACCATGCCCGGCTAATTTTTTGTATTTTTAGTACAGATGGGGTTTCACAGTGTTAGCCAGGATTGTCTCAATCTCCTGACCTCATGATCTGCCCGCCTCGGCCTCCCAAAGTGCTGGGATTACAGGCGTGAGCCACTGTGCCTGGCCAATTTTTGTATTTTTAGTAGAGATGGGGTTCAGTATGTTGGGCAGGCGGGTCTCAAACTCCTGACCTCAGGTGATCCACCTGCCTCAGCCTCCCAGAGTGTTAGGATTACAGGTGTGAGCCACCGCACCTGCCCCAATTTTCCCTCTTTAAAGGATCTGTTATTACCATCCGGGCACAGTGGCTCATGCCTGTAATCCCAGCATTTTGGGAGGCCAAGGCAGGGAGATCATTTGAGGTCAGGATTTCAAGAGCAGCCTTGCCAATATGGTGAAACCCCATCTCTACTAAAAATACAAAAATTATCTGGGCATTGTGGTGGGTGCCTATAATCCCAGCTACCTGGGAGGCGGAGGCAGGAGAATCACTTAAACCTGGGAGGTGGAGGTTGCAGTTAGCCAAGATCACACCACTGCAGTCCAGCCTGGGTGACAGAACGAGACTCCCTCTCAAAAAAAAAAAAAAATTCTATTACTACCAAATTTCACAAGTCTATTATTATTATTATTATTATTATTATTGGTAGAGACTGGGGCTCACTATGTTGCCCAGGCTGGTCTTGAACTCCTGGCCTCAAGCGATCTTCCGGCCTCAGCCTCCTAAAGTGCTGGGATTACAGGTGTGAGTCACCGCACCTGGCCCAATTTCACAGTTCTAATGACTACTTCTCCTATATCCTCAAAAACCAGAGAGATTGAATAAGCCAACACATCCCCTTCTACTCATATCCAGCCCTAACTAGTCCCCCTAGATGGGCGCCTGATACTGTTGCCCAGCTGTGAGTGTCCCATCCATTGCCTGGAGATTTATTTATTTATTTATTTTATGGTTTTTTAATACGGAGTTTCGCTCTTGTTGCCCAGGCTGGAGTGCAATGGTATGGCCTCAGCTCATTTCAACCTCCGCCTCCTGGGTTCAAGCGATTCTCTTGCCTCAGCCTCCCAAGTAGCTGGGATTACAGGTGCTTGCAACCATGCCCGGCTAATTTTTGTATTTTTAGTAGAGACGGGGTTTCACCATGTTGGCCAGGCTTGTCTCGAACTCCTGACCTCAGGTTATCTGCTCATCTCAGCCTCTCAAAGTGCTGGGATTACAGGCGGGAGCCACTGTGCCTGGCACCTGGACATTTTTACACTCTGTTTCTTAGGGACTATTCTTGGTATCCACTGTCTTTTTTTTTTTTTTTTTGAGACGGGAGTCTCGCTCTGTTGCCCCAGGCTGTAGTGCAGTGGTGCAAGCCCACCTCCCAGGTTCCAGCAATTCTCCTGCCTCAGCCTCCTGAGTAGCTGGGATTATAGGCGCGCGCTACCACACTCAGCTAATTTTTTGTATTTTTAGAAGAGATGGGGTTTCACCATGTTGGTCACGCTGGTCTTGAACTCCTGACCTCAAGTGATCTGCTTGCCTTGGCCTCCCAAAGGGCTGGGACTATAGGTGTGTGCCACTGAGCCTGGCTGGTACCCACTGTCTTAAACCAGGATATCTAGAAGTGAGGCTTGAGACAGAATTTAGGCGCACAAGATTTAGGTACAATTTGGCCTTGAGGGGAGCGCTCTAGGGAGGAAGGTAATGAAAGGAAAGGGCAGTGAAAGGAGTGGAGCAACAATATTGTCTCAGTGGGAGATGAGTCTCCCCTTCAGCTAAGAACAGCCTCAGGAGAAGAGGCAGCTGTGAGTTATAAGCAGCGAACACCACAGCAGCAGACAAGGGATGGAAGCATCCGCCAGTAAGGAGGACCTGGGTGGGGCATTAACAGTGCCCACTGCAGGCTCCCTAAGTCTGGAGGTCCTCAGAAAATAAAATTCACCCCTTCCTGACACCTATTGTTCCATGATCCTGTGAGCCTTCGGACTTGAGGGTGGGGCACTTGGAATCAGTTTGCGTCTTGCATAAAAACCATTTCAATAAAGGAAACAGGTTAAGTAATTTCTGTAGGTCACAGAGCTTATAAGAACAGAGGAAAAGTGACTTCTCCAGGCAGCATTCACTCTGGATTACACTCTGATCTGGAGGAGAACAAGGTTTTGGGGCCAGTTTATCATCTCAGCCAAGGCCCCAGCTGTTTGTAGGCAGGGATGTCTTCATATGCTTTGTGACTTCTCCATTAATGTTGCCAGTTTGCTAGAGTAAGTGGTGCTAGCTCCTTAGAGGAAAAGGGTCTCTATGTTTGCTTTGATGGCATGGGGCAAGGTAGAGGGGGAGGTGTAACCCCCCATCCCCTCCAACCTTAGAGCCTGTTCTGGGTAGACAACGCCAAGAGATGATTTAAAAAGAACTCCTTTTCTGACTGGGCGCAGTGGCTCACGCCTGCAATCCCAGCACTTTGGGAGGCTGAGGTGGGCAGATCACTTGAGGCCAGGAGTTCGAGTCCAGCCTGACCAACATGGTGAAACCCCATCTCTACTAAAACTACAAAAAAAAAAAAAATTAGCCGGGTACAGTGGTGTGTGCTTGTAGTCCCTGAGGCAGAAGAATTGCTTGAACCTGGGAGGTGGAGGTTGCAGTGAGCCGAGACTGTTCTAGGAGACAGGGTGACATTCCACCTTAATTCACAAAAAATACCTTTTCTATTTAAGTTGCTCAGGTAGTCTCCTAAGATTTTTTTTTTTTTTTTTTTTGAGACAGACGGAATCTCACTCTGTTGCCCAGGCTAGAGTGCAGTGTCGCGATCTCGGCTCACTGCAACCTCTGCCTCCCAGGTTCAAGCGATTCTCCTGCCTCAGCCTCCCAGTAGCTGGGATTACAGGTGCCATCACCACAGCCAACTGATTTTTGTATTTTTAGTAGAGACAGAGTTTCAGCATATTGGCCAGGCTGGTCTCGAACTCCTGATCTTGTGATCTGCCCGCCTCGGCTTCCCAAAGTGCTGGGATTACAGGCGTGAGCCACCACGCCCAGATTCTACTAAGATTTAAGGGGCAGCCTGGAGGGACCAGTTTGTCAACAGCGTGAAATGGAAAATGAAGCTGGGTTGGTGTGGTGGCTCATGCCTGTAATCCCAGCACTTTGGGAGGTCCAAGCAGAGGATCCCTTGAGGCCAGGGGTTCACAACCAACCTGGGCAACATAGCGAGCCCGTCTCTAAAAAAATAAAGATTAGCCAGGTGTGGTGGGCTGTGCCTGTGGGGACACACTGTGGGCTGCGCAGAAGAGGCAGCATGGGTGGGCTTTCTACAAGCAGATGTAGTAGTGGGGTAGGGCTGGGTACTGGAATTGAGGAGTGTGTTATGGTTGAAACACATAAAAGAGGAAAGGGAACTTGGAGTTTCTGATACCTAGCTAAGGAATTTAGACTTTGCTGTGAGCCATAGAATGCTCAGAGTGGGGGAGTCAAGTGATCTGACGGTTTTTGGAAGACCACCCAAGCCACTGTAGGGTGGGGAGTGCAGCAACAGAGAAGAGACTGTTGAGATGGAATTGTTGAGCGAAGAAAGGCTGACTCAGGGAGGGTCAGGACAGCAGCCGCTGGGGAGGCCAGGTAAACATGAGTTGGTGTAAAGGGTTAGATCACCAGGGGAGGGAAAGAGGCAGTGAGAGAGGAAAGGTCTGGTGAGCACAGAATACCAGGTCCTTAATCAGTGCAGGGAGAAGCAGGCTCATGGTGGAGGGGAGATGCAGAGATGAACTAGCTCTGTTAGGCCTCGAGGTGGAGACAGCCAATAAATGATTGGATGTGTGGATCTGGCACTCTGGAGCAAGAACTGGTCCAGTTGTCTCCTAAGCCTGTACAATGCTAGGATTTGAGATAAAATCTGGACGGGGTGAACAGGGGTCTATCCCCTTCAGAGCCAGGTTTAAAATTCCACACCTGAGGTCAGGAGTTCGAGACCAGCCTGACCAACATGGTGAAACTCTGTCTCTACAAAATACAAAAAATTAGCCGGGCGTGGTGGCGGGCATCTGTAATCCCAGGTACTTAGGAGGCTGAGGCAGGAGGCACAGGTTGCAGTGAGCCGAGATGACACCATTGCACTCCAGCCTGGGCCATAAGAGCAAACTCCGTCTCAAAAAAAAAAAAGAAAAAGAAAATCCCTTTCTGTAACTCAGTGTGTGAGTCTGATGGACAGTGGCGCACCGGTGGGGTCAGGCGGACTTGAAGGCTGCATCAGGTCTTGGGCGGTGGCTCCGGAGTGTAATCCCAGCGCTTTGGGAGGCTGAGGTGGGACAATCGCTTGATCTCAGAAGTTGGAAACCAGCCTGGGCAACATAGCGAGACCCCCGTCTCTACAAAAAAAAAAAAAAAAACAAAACTTAAAAAATTAGTCGGGTGCAGCGGCTCACGCCTGTAATCCCAACACTTTGGGAAGCCACGGAGGGGGAGCTGCTTGAGCCCAGGAATCTTAGACCTGCCCGGGCAACAGTAAGACCTCTGTCCCTACAAAACAAAACTCCACACCAAAAACAAACAAACAAAAACCCTAAAATTAAGTGGGCGTGGTAGCGCGCGTCCGTAGCCCCAGCTGCTAGGGAGGCTAAGACAGGAACATCGCTTGAGCCCGGGAGGTCGCAGCTGCAGTGAGTTAGGTCGTGAAATTGCACTCCAGCCTGGGCTACAGACCCTGTTTCTTTTCTTTTCTTTTTTGAGACAGACTCTCGCTCTGTCGCCCAGGCTGGAGGGCTGCAGTGCAGAGGCGCGATCTCGGCTCACTGCAACCTCCGCCTCCCGGGTTCAAGCAATTCTCCTGCCTCAGCTTCCCGAGTAGCTGGGACTACAGGCGCGCGCCACCACGCCCGGCTAATTTTTTGTATCTTTAGTAGAGACAGGGTTTCACCATGCTGGCCAGGCTAGTCTCGAACTCCTGACCTCGTGATCCGCCCGCCTCGGCCTCCCAGAATGCTGGGATTAAGGCGTGAGCCACCGCGCCCGGCCCAGACCTTGTTTCTAAGAAACAAAAAATAAAGGCTGCGTCCGCTAGGCCAAGGGAGGCGCAAGGTAGTTGCAGAGGGCGAAGCCCACGAAGCGGAGGATTTCTCGGAGCCAAGTCCGTTTTCGGGGGACGGGGATCCCAGACTCCTGCGTCCCCAGGTGCCCCGCTTCTGGAAACGCATCTGGGGTCAAGCGCAGGACGAGGCGAAAGCCCAAAGTCCTACGCCCGCCGCGCGCCGTCTGGCTCTGCCCAGGGAAGCACAGGGCGGAAGGAGCCCTTTCGCCGGCGCGCAGACGCGCGACCAGCCCAGCCAATCAGCGCGCTCCCTCTGCCGGCCCGACCGGCGCTCTGGTGACGCGCGACGTCTGCCTTCGCCCACGGCTCTTGGGCGACGACCCCTCCCACACTCGCCGTGCTTGTTAGCTGCGCGCCGCGCTTCTTGTGCGACGGCCCCTGGGCGGCGGCGCGTTCGGGCGCGGCCCTGGCGCGCCCCCCGGCGGCCCGGAGGGGCGCGGCGGGCGCGGCGCTGACCCGGAGGCGGCGGCGGCGGTGCCCGGATGGAGGCACGTCATTGTCCCCCGCCGGGCGGCTGGGCTGTGTGCGGCGGCGGCGGCGGCGGCCGAGGGGGATGGAGCGAGCGCCGAGCCGGGTCAGGTAAGCTCCCGCCTCCTTCCCGCCCGCCGCAGGCCGGCATGGGGCCCGCGCAGCGGCCCGCTCGCCTGGGCCGCCGCTGGCTCGGCCGCCCCTCAGCCGGCGCGGCCCGCCGGGGGCTGGTGCGGCCCCTCGCCCGCCTCCCCCTACACAGCCGCGGGCCGCCCGGGACCCCGCCGCTCTGGGGGCTGCGGCGCCACCGCCCGCCCGGGCCAGGCCGCTGGGGAGGGGGCGGCGGCCGCGGCGGGCGGGCACCGGGGTAGCCGGGCTGCGCGGCGAGGCCGGGCCCCCCTGGTTGCCATGGACACTGCGCTCCCACCCCCACCCGGCCCCAGCCCGCCCCTTCGGCCTGGGGGCCGGGCAGGCAGGCGGGAGGCTCGGGGCGGCCGGGGTGGGCGTGTGCTGGCCGCTGACCGCGGAGTCCGGCGTCCCCGGCCCGCCCGCCGCCCCCCGCGTGGCTGCCACCTCCCGCCCCGGAGCCCCCTCAGAGCCCCGGGCCGGCCTCCCCGCCCCCACTGCATCCCTAACAGAGGCAAAGTTTTCCCACCTTGGGCGCCCCCTCCCCAGGCCTAGCCACCTGGCTGCTCCGTGGAGAGTCCGAGGTGCCCACGCCGGGCGGAGCGGCCACCCCGAAGGGAGAGGAGAAGCCGGGTGGCGCGTCCCCAAAAGCATGTGTGCCTCTCTAGCGTTTTTTATTTTCGGGGCAGGAAGAGCCAGCTTACCTGGAACGGGGGATCCGTTGCAGATGTTGGAAATGAAAATTGGACGGAACAAGTTTTCCCATCTAGGACTTTAACCCCTCTCACATGCATGCAGTGGAGATGACTTTTGTTAATGACTCTTAGGAGGCCGTGGGGTCACTTGTTTATGGGAAAACATGTTGGTTATGTAAAGTCAATACCCTGACAGCAAAACTGTTTGAGAAACTAGTTAACGCCTCCTTTTCAAGGTAACCACAGAATCCTAGGTTCTCGTTTTGGTGGCCTCTCAAAACGTTTCGAAGAGTTGTACATTTTAAACCTAATTCTTTTTACTTTGTCACTCATTCAAATTGCCTAGGGGATATGAATGATCAGTTTCACTTATTTGTTTTAAATTAGGGTCAGTTTCACTTTCTCTTCTGTATCTTTGAATCAAGTCTACAGTAAGTATTTGGTTTATAAAGTTTAAGGCCAGTCGTTTGGTTTACTTAAGTATAATTAAGACGAAGGTTTTGTCTTTTTAAAGCGTGTGTGTTTTCTCTTATAACGGAAATGCTATGAGAACGTGGATTACATTGTTTACGAAGAAGCAGAGCGTAACAGTTTCTCTTTAAACGTGCTAATATTATTACCTCAATGTATGCAGAGTGCCACAGTGTCTAAATAGTGAAACTCCACAAATGAAGAAAGAATAATGCATTCTAGCATTTGATAACAAGGGAGACATACCATATAAGAGACTGGGAATTTTAAAGCTTTGAGTAAGACTAGTATTTAAAGCAAAGGAAACACTTGTGAAGTCTCATTCCTCCACACAGATCCAACCTCGATTCATGTTCATGTTGTTTTTTTGAGGCAAGATCTCCCTCTGCTGCCTAGGCTGGAGTGCAGTGGCGCAGTTGTAGCTCACTGTAGCCTCAATCTCCTGAGCTCCAGCAGTCCTCCCACCTCAGCCTCCTAAGTAGGTAGGACTACAGGCACATGCCACCACACCCAGCTAATTTTTTTTTTTTTTCTTAAAGAGACAGGGTCTCACTGTTGCCCAGGCTGGTCTGCAACTCCTGGGCTCAAGCCATCCTGCTGCCTTGGCCTCCCAAAGTGTTGGGATTACAGGCTTGGTCCACCATGCCCCACCTGTAGGTTGTTGTTTTAATGCTCTTGTAACTTTTATATATCATCAGAAGCTGTTGCTTACAAGTTCTGATATTTGTAACAGTAATATTTAGAAGCTTTACTGAAAGTGAGGAACATGCAAGTATATGAATCTTAAGTCCTACATAACATTGTTTAGCTTCAAGAAAGGTTATGTGTGTAGCAGATGGAGTTTAGTTTGATGCCTGATGGTTTTAGGTCAAGACTTCATTGGCTGAATATACAAATGAAGGCGAATGGATAGCTTTGGTTGGTTTTTCCACAGTTACAATGCTGTATGGTTAATGATGACTTGAATTGTGCTTTCGTTAAATTTTTTTTCACTTAAGAGGCTTTTGTCCCTTTTAAAAGGTAATTGGAGCAAATAAAATGGTTTTATTTGGTCATTTGTTAGTGATTGTTCTGAAGGTATGTTTATCCCCTGAAAATTAAGGTTTTTGTTGCTGTTTAGTGTTACTGTAAATAAGGCTGGATTAACCTTTTCTTATATTTCTTACAACTCTATTTGGGCTTTCTTCTTCCTTTTCTTTTTTTTTTTTTTTTTGAGACGGAGTTTCACTCTTACTGCCCAGGCTGGAGGGCAATGGCGCGATCTCGGCTCACCACAACCTCTGCCTCCTGGGTTCAAGGGATTCTCCTGCCTCAGCCTCCCGAGTAGCTGGGATTACAGGCATGCGCCACCACGCCTGGCTAATTTTGTATTTTTAGTAGAGACGGGATTTCTCCATGTTGGTCAGGCTGGTCTTGAACTCCTGATTTCAGGTGATCTGCCCGCCTCGTCCTCCCAAAGTGCTGGGATTACAGGTGTGAGCACCTGCGCCCGGCCTCTTCTTTCTTTTTTTCCTGCATTTTTTTCTTCTGTCCCCACACTGTTTCATAATTTCTTTTAACTATTAGATGAGGAAAAATGTAAACTGTATTTGGAGGATAAGGCTCAAGCTTTCTTCCTGATTGAGGGTCAGCTACCTTTGATTGATTTAAATTTTCAATTCAGTTTTCTTAGTTCATTGAAATTGACAAACATCTTTTCTATTTCTACTTGAGTTCAGAAACTTTAAGATTGTATTTTTTTGGGTGATAATCTTACCCTAGTTAAAAATTACACCAGCCTGGCCAACATAGTGAAACCCGGCTCCACTAAAAATACAAAAATTAGCCGGGTGTGGTGGCACGCACCTGTAGTCCCAGCTACCCTGGAGGCTGAGGCAAGAGAATCACTTGAAGCCAGGAGGTGGAGAAGGTTGCAGTGAGCTGTGACAGCGCCATTGCATTCCAGCCTGGGTGGCAGAGCTAGACTTTGTCTCAAAACATAACAAAACAAACAAACAAAAAAATTACAAGTAACAAAATTGATGCTTTTAAAAAACAAATTTGGCCAGGTTCTGTGGCTCATGCCTGTAATTCCAGCATTTTGGGAGGCAGAGGCAGGAGGATCGTTTGAGGCCAGGAGTTCAAGACCAGCCTGGGCAACGTAGTGAGACCCTGTCTCTACAAAAAAGAAAAACCCCAGAAAGTTATTGTGAGCAGCCAGTTTGGAAAGTACATGGGTATTTTATTATCCCTACTTCATAGCATGGGTAGTACTTTTTTGTACTTTTACAGTATCCTTTTCTTTTAAAGACAGAGTCTCGCTCTGTCGCCAGGCTGGAGTGCAGTGGCGCGATCTCAGCTCACTGCAACCTCCACCTCCCGGGTTCAAGCGATTCTCCTACCTCAGCTTCCCGAGTAGCTGGGATTACAGACACGCACCACCATGCCCAGCTAATTTTTGTATTTTCAGTAGAGACAGGGTTTCACCATGTTGGTCAGGATGGTCTCAATCTCCTGACCTCGTGATCCACCCGCCTTGGCCTCCCAAAGTGCTGGGATTACAGGCGTGAGCCACTGCGCCCAGCCTCAATATTAAAAAAAAAATTTTTTAAGGCCATTTCTACTCCAGAGTTTTTTAAGGATCAAATGATATACTGTATGTTAATCATTCAGCACAAGCTGGTGCTAAAAGCAAACGCTAGTTGTTTTCTGTTCCCAGACTTTGTTCATTAAGTTGTTCTCCACATGTATGGAAAGCTTTCTCTACACCAGGTCAGAGGATGTGAATAAGAACATGGTAGAGAACAGCAAGTAAAACAGCTGTGGAGTAGATGCCAGCACAGTACCGTAGAAATCAGCACAGGGTGCTGTGGGGGCCTTGAGGAGGGGTTTCTAACCCCGTCTTGGGGGAATGGTGATGTCAAGGAAAGTGTCCCAGAGAAAGTAAAGTCTAAACTGAGAAGTGGAAGTGTGAACTGGCTGGAGGTGGAAGGTTGGAAAAGAGTCGGAGAAAAGAACAGCATGTGCAGAGCCCAGAGACAGCAGGGACAAAAGAAAAAAAAACAAGACTTCAGCATGGTGGGAACGTGACGGAGAGGGTGTTTGGCGAGGTTATTAGGTCAGACAATGTGAAGTCCAGACATTAAGATGTTGTGCTGTGGGCAGTTGGGCCACTCCTGAAAGGTGTTCTTTCTTCCTTTCCTTTTCTTTCTTTCTTTTCTTGAGGCAGAGTCTCTCTATGTCAGTCTGGAGTGCAGTGGCATGATCTCGGCTCACTGCAATCTCTGCCTTCCAGGTTCAAGCAATTTTCCTTGCCTCAGCCTCCCAAGTAGCTGGGAATACAGGCGTGCGCCACCATGCCTGGTTAATTTTTTTATTTTTAGTAGAGATGGGGTTTCCCCATGTTGGCCAGGCTGGTCTCGAACTCCTGGACTCAAGTGATCCACCCACTTTGGCCTCCCAAAGTGCTGGGATTACAGGGGTGTGAGCCACTGCGCCCCGCCCGGCCTTTTTTTTTTTTTTTTTTGAGACTTAATCTTGCTCTGTCACCAAGGCTGGATATCAGTGGCACGGTTTTGGCTCTCTGCAACTTCTGTCTCCCAGGTTCAAGCGATTTTCCTGACTCAGCCTCCCAAGTAGTTGAGATTACAGGTACGTGCCACCACGCCCGGCTAATTTTTGTATTTTTAGTAGAGATGAGGTTTCACTATGTTGGCCAGACTGGTCTCAAACGCCTGACCTCAGGTGATTCACCTGCCTCGGCCTCCCAAAATGCTGGGATTACAGGTGTGCACCACCATGCCTGGGTAATTTTTGTTTTTCGTAGAGACAGGGTCTCACCATGTTGGCCAGGCTGGTCTCAAACTCCTGACCTCAAGCGATCTGCCCACCTTGGCCTCCCAAGGTGCTGCAATTATAGGCATGAGCCACCGCGCCCGGCCTCCTGAAAGGTTTTCTACATAGGAGTGGCATGTCTAGATGTGGCTACTGTTGGGCGATTTTAGAAATATCCCTAAAAGCCTTCTGTTGACAGGGTGGCATAACCAGAAGGAAGCCTGGCTGGGAACGCTGGACCTGGCTCTCAGTCCCAGTTGCTGACTGGTTGCTTCATTTTATAGGCCCTGGGGATTCTGTCTGATCTCTCATACGTTCTTTATAAAAATTAAGTTAATGTATGTCCAGCAGTTGATGCAATGCCCAGTACATAGAAAATGCTCAATTAGTGGTAGCCCTAATATTTTAAAATAGGACTCAGAAAGAAAATTATAATCAAGTCCTTTCATAACAGATATTTGTGTTTGAGTTTGATATCAGTAATGGCTTACGGGTTTTATTTAAAAAGTCATACATTCCATATAAATGAGCCTCTTCAGAAAAATGGTTTTAAAGGTGAGATCTCTATAATTATAATTTTAAAAAATATAATGTATTTCACTTGGTGCCATTTGCACTTTAAGCACAAAATTAAGTCTAGATTTTTTCTGTGTAGTTGATGCTTTTCTCTGAGGAATTATACTCAAATTGAAGATGTAGTCAAATGTATTACTGTGTATAATTTTTCTAGTTTTAAGCAGTATAGAAGGAAAATATAGGTACTTAGTAAATAAACAGAACTGAGAATTGAAATGTCCAATTATAAACTGAAATGCCAGACTTTTAGGGGGCATGAAATGAAAATGAGAAGTTCTTTTAATCAAATACTTCACTGAAGATTTTAAAATAAAGATTGTTGACATTCAGATTATCATGATGCTAAATGTCCCAAGGGGATTATTACAGAAATGTTAGAAAGTACTATTGTTTTTATATTTGAGTGATGTGTTTGAAAATCACTTTAAAATGGCTGGAATGATCTTCCAAGATCTAACGGTAGGGTAAGGAGATTGCTTTTCTCACCTGATGAAACAAATACATACTTTTCATCTTTTGCAGAGTTGAACAATGACCATAGTTGACAAAGCTTCTGAATCTTCAGACCCATCAGCCTATCAGAATCAGCCTGGCAGCTCCGAGGCAGTCTCACCTGGAGACATGGATGCAGGTTCTGCCAGCTGGGGTGCTGTGTCTTCATTGAATGATGTGTCAAATCACACACTTTCTTTAGGACCAGTACCTGGTGCTGTAGTTTATTCGAGTTCATCTGTACCTGATAAATCAAAACCATCACCACAAAAGGATCAAGGTACTGTTTTTCAAAAGAGAGAATTACCGCCAGAAACTCCTGTGTAAATGCTGCTGGGGCTTGGTGGTTTCAGAGAGGGGCTTATTTTGCAAGGCGTGAGGCCACCTGAGTGGCCAGCAGAGTTGTATTACTTGATGGGCTTTGTTTTCCTGTTACTTGTTCGTCATTGACTGACAACAGGGTAGATTGTTTTTAGTTGCTAGAATATTATTAGTTTCTTTTATTCCAATTTTTTTTTTTTTTTTTGAGACGGAGTCTCGCTCTGTCACCCAGGCTGGAGTGCAGTGGCGCGATCTTGACTCACTGCAAGCTCTGCCTCCCGGGTTCAGGACATTTTCCTGCCTCAGCCTCCAGAGTAGCTGGGACTACAGGCGCCTGCCACCAAGCCCGGCTAATTTTTTTTTTTTTTTTTGTATTTTTAGTAGAGACGGGGGTTCACCATGTTAGCCAGGATGGTCTCGATCTTCTGACCTCATGATCCACCCACCTCAGCGTCCTGAAGTGCTGGGATTACAGGCATGAACCACCACGCCAGGCCCTTTTATTCCAGTTTTTTTTAAGAATAAACTTTATCTTGGTGAGAATTGAGATGGGCAAGCATTATAATAACTTGTTAACCAGTAGTTATTCTAGTTTCCTAAGTAGATGACTTTTACAAATTTAAAGGTGTTTTGTAAAATGGTTGTCTTTTGACAAATGAGCTTTACCCAGTTTTTTTTGTTTTTGTTTTTGTTTTTTTCCTGGCAGTTAAAAATCATTCGTAGTAATAAAGCTCTTTGAAAGAGAGCAGATAGGCTAGGCATGGTGGCTCCACCTGTTATCCCAGCACTTTGGGAGGCCAAGGCAGGTGGATCACCTGAGGTCAGGAGTTTGAGACCAGTCTGGCTAATATGGTGAAACCCCATCTCCACTAAAAATACAAAAATTAGCTGGGCATGGTGGTGTGTGCCTATAATCCCAGCTACTTGGGAGGCTGAGGCAGGAGAATCGCATGAACCTGGGAGGCAGAGGTTGCAGTGAGCCCAAGATCGCACCATTGCATTTCAGCCTGGGCAACAGAGTGAGACTCTGTCTCAAAAAGAAAAAAGAAAAAAAAAAGAGAGCATGTAACACAAATGTTACATTTGTTATAATGATACAAATGTGGTTACATTCGTTAAAACTCATCCAGATAAATGAGACAGTAACACTTTAAGTTGGTACTTCAAGACTTTTGCATTTGAGGACATGAAGATTTGAAATACAATAGAATTTCCTAGTTAGATTGTTGTTTGGCTTAGAGCATGCAGCCCAGACAGCTTTGAATGCAGCCCAACACAAATCCGTAAACTTTCTTAAAACATTGAGTTTTTTTGAGATTTTTTTTTAAGCTCATTAGCTGTCGTTAGTGTTAGTGTTAGTGTATTTTACGTGTGGCCCAAGACAATTTGTCTTCCAGTGTGGCCCAGGGAAGCCAAAAGATTGGACACCCCCTGGCTTCGAGTAGTTTGATCGCCATGTTGTTTTTGAGTCCTTTAGTAAGTTTCTTTTTTTTTTTTTTTTTTTTTGAGACAGAGTCTCGCTCTGTCGCCCATTCTGGAATGCAGTGGCGCGATCTCGGCTCACTGCAATCTCTGCCTGCTGGGTTCAAGCAATTCTCCTGCCTCAGCCTCCCGAGTAGCTGGGACTACAGGTGCGCGCCACCATGCCCAGCTACATTTTTGTATTTTTAGTAGAGACGGGGTTTCACCATGCTGGCCAGGCTGGTTTCAAACTTATAATCCACCCGCCTCGGCCTCCCAGAGTGCTGGGATTACAGGTGTAGGCCACTGCACCCGGACAACAGTAAGTTTCATATTGTGATGTGGGGGTGGGTGTTGCAGTTTGGCTTGCTGAAGGTGTTTTGGGTAGGGGAAGTTTATATCATGAAACACAACCTAATCGAATGTTGCACATGGAGGTGGAAAGTCCTTTGGCTTCTCTCCAGCAGGACTTTCCCACAGGACCTCTTTCTCCACGGCCTTCAACCTCCTGTCATGTTGCTGGGGCTTCTCTCTCTTCTTAGGACTGAACTCACATCTCCCCACTCTCCCCTTTTCTGGGGCTCTCATCTCATTCTCCACAGAATCCTTTCTTTTGTCCTAATTTTGCTCTCCTTTCCCCACCAAGCTGTAGCCTGCCTACGCCTGCCTAAATAACCACTAATAAGTCTCTTCAGATGGAGAATGATTCTACATGGCATCTCAGCCTTTTGGTTTTTTTTGTTTTTGTTTTTGTTTTTTTTTTGAGACGAAGTCTCTCTCTGTCGCCCAGGCTGGAGAGCAGTGTTGCAATCTCGGCTCACTGCAACCTCCGCCTCCCGGGTTCACACCATTCTCCTGCCTCAGCCTCCTGAGTAGCTGGGACTACAGGTGCCTGCCACCACACCTGGCTAATTTTTTGTATTTTTAGTAGAGACAGGGTTTCACTGTGTTAGCCTGAATAGTCTCGATCTCCTGACCTTGTGATCCGCCCGCCTCGGCCTCCCAAAGTGCTGGGATTACAGGCATGAGCCACTGTGCCCGACCCAATCTCAGCCTTCTGTTAGAGCACTGGGGGACTGCCAAAGCCTTTGAAAAATTAGTCTTGCCATTGATGATTTTCAGCTTTCCTAAATAAGTTGTTTCTTGAGCTTCATCTTGAGTTCCATTATCATACTTAGTTATTAGTAATCTGTTGATAATCTTCAAAATTTTTAGGTCATAGGTAGTCTCCTCACAAGTGTGTACAGTGGTACCTGATAGCCTGAGTTCAAAACCTGCTTCCTTAGTGGTAAAATGGGAATGACATCAGCACCAGCCATTAGAATTGCAGCCATTTGGCCTAGTAAGGGCTCCCTACATGAGATGGTAAGGACGGCAGTGATGGTGGCAATGAATTAGCATCCATGGCAGATGTTACAAGGAATCAAATGTATCTCATTTTTTCTATTGATTGTATTATTTATTTTTTAAATGTTCAAAGTGGATATAAAAGAGTAATTATAATGAACTCTCATGTAGCCGTCAACCAACTTTGACATTTATCAACTTACGGGCAGTGATACCAGCACCTCCTTATCTCCCCACGACATTATCTCAAATCCAATACTTCATCTTTCACTTGTATTTTAGTGTATACATCTAAAGAGTTTTTTCTAAAAATCAAAAATGTATTTACATGAAACAGTCATTCAGTGTTCATATTTCTCTGGTTGTTGTTTTATGTATATATAAAATATATATACATAAAATACGTGTGTGTGTATATATGTATGTGTGTGTGTATATATATATATATATATATATTTTTTTTTTTTTTTTTTTTTTTTTTTTGAGACGGAGTCTCTCGCTCTGTCTCCCAGGCTGGAGTGCAGTGGCACTATCTCAGCTCACTGCAAGCTCTGCCTCCCGGGTTCACGCCATTCTCCTGTCTTAGCCTCCCTAGTAGCTAGGACTACAGGTGCCCGTCACCGCGCCTGGCTAATTTTTTGTATTTTTAGTAGAGACGGGGTTTCACCTTGTTAGCCAGGATGGTCTCGATCTCCTGACCTCATAATCCGCCTGCCTCAGCCTCCCAAAGTGCTGGGATTATAGGCGTGAGCCACTGTGCCCGGCCCTATATATATATTTTTTTAAGCAGTTGTTCAGAGCAGCATCCAAATGAAGTCTACACTTTGCATTTGGTAGATATTTCTCTCAAGTTTCTTTAAATCTGTAACCCTCTCCCCTTTCTGTCCTTGCAGTTTGTTTACTGGAGAAACCAGATCATTGAAAATTTCTCATGTTCTGGTTTCTGTCTTTTAAAATGTCCCTCTTCCCCCTGTATTTCAGGTAGGCTGGTCATGAGATTTCGGATCTTGTAAAGATTGAGGTTTGACCAGGTGTTACTATTTATTTAGCTTCAGTATGCAAAGCTTGGTTTCTGACTCTTTCTTGTTTATTTTTCTAGCCCTAGGTGATGGCATCGCTCCTCCACAGAAAGTTCTTTTCCCATCTGAGAAGATTTGTCTTAAGTGGCAACAAACTCATAGAGTTGGAGCTGGGCTCCAGAATTTGGGCAATACCTGTTTTGCCAATGCAGCACTGCAGTGTTTAACCTACACACCACCTCTTGCCAATTACATGCTATCACATGAACACTCCAAAACATGTAAGTGTTCCGTGTTGTGTTTGTAGTATTGTAGTGCGCTAACCTACTTTCATTTTTTCCTCTGAAATGAAAGTGAAGAATTAATCCAAGAGTGCTATGATTACTAAGAAGTTGGTTTATTCTTTTAGAAACCAAGGAGGAGGACTCAGGATTGGGATTCAGGTTGCATGAAAAACATTTTGCACCTAATTAGACCTGTGAAGGTATTTAAAAAGAAACATTTTATCAGCTTTTGGCATTTCTGAACTCCTTGTTGGTTTTCTACACTTACTAAAAAAATGTGACAGAAATATCTGACATTAGCTGGGCTCACACCTGTAATCCCAGCACTTTGAGAGACCGAGGAGAAAGGATCACTCGAGCCCAAGAGTTGGAGACCAACCTGGACAACATAGTAAGACCCCATCTCTACTAAAAATAAAAATAAAAATTAGTCTAGCATGGCAGCACACACCTCTAGTCCCAGCATACTCAGGAGGGTGAGACAGGAAGGTCACCTGAGTCTGGAAGGTTGAGACTGCAGTGAGCTGTGATCGCACTGCTGTACTTCAGCCTAGACAACAGAAAGAGACCCTGTCTCAAAAAAAAAAAAAAAAAACGTCTGATGCCAGCAACTTGGGACAGGCGAGGTTAAGAAATCCTGCCTCTCCTGGCATTTATATCATGTTGGAAGGCTCAATCATTTACATGCTTATAAGCCTTAGAGGAGAGGGACTCTCTTGTCACTGCCCGCAACCTCCTGGAATTCAGACTAGACTTTCCCTTTAGCATTTGAGAACTTCATCTTCAACCTACATGGCAGGAAATCAGTTAAAGCTTATTAAAATGTCTTTAATTAGATGGAAGCCAACTCAGTGGTTGACTATCAACCTTCAGAATTTGGAACATCCGTTTTTGAGGTTTTGGCCTTCTCCATATGTTGTAAATATCCTTCATTCTTTATAAATGCAGTCTCCCTGTTCTTTGATCTAAATTAATGGCTCAGATTCATGTGTGTATGTTCTGGGGCTATTAGTTACTAGGATTTAAAAAAAAAAATCCTTGGTTTCTTTTTGAATAGTTCTTTACTTAATGGAGAATTTAAATTGGTTCTTTTAAAACTGATTTTTTTTTCCCTCCAAAGAGCCAAGTAATGCTTGTAAAGAATTTGGAAAGTACAGAAAAACTTAAAGAAACCAAAGAAAAATCACCTAGAATCTCACCACCTACCTAGGGGTGTTTGTTATGCCAGAATTAACGTTCTGTTTGCCCTCATTTTCTCCCTTTCTCAGTCCATAATTCATTCCCCACAGACAGCTTTCCTATCACTTTTGCGCTTAATGAAAGTAGGGTGTGGATGAAAACCCAGCACTAGCACCTGGACAGCAAGAGAGAGGACCAAGACAAAATTCAGAAGCTCCCGATGTCCAGAATTAGGTGCCTATCTTTTATGCTACTGGTAGTTTTTGTGCTTGCTTCCTCCCTCCCTCCCTTCCTCCCTCTCTTTCTCTCTCTCTTTTCCCAGCTTTACTGAAGTATAATTGATATATACCAAATTACACATATTTAAAATACATAATTTGATGCATTTTGACATTTGTATACACCCGTGGAACTAGCATCAAGATTAAGATAATGAACATGTTCATCACCCTCAAAAGTTCCCCGATGCCCCTTTGAAATCACCCTTTCCATCCTTTCCCCACCCTCCTGCCCGGCAACCACTGATCTGCTTTCCGTCACTATAGATGAATTAGTTTAGATTTTCTAGAGTGTTGCTTATGTGGAATTGTACAGTATATATTCTCATATTATCTCGCTTCTTTCACTCAGCATAATCCTGTCAACATTATTCCATTTGTGCCATGTAGCATCACTTGATCGTATTGTTGAGTAGGATTCCATTTTATGGCTAGATCACAATTTGTTTCTCCATTTGTCTATTGATGGGCATCTGGGTCATTTTTCACTTTGTGCCGTTACAAATTAAGCTGCTATGAACATTAGCAAACAAGCCTTTGTTAGGACATGTTTTCATTTCTCTTAGGTAAATATCTAGGAGTAAAATGGCTTGGTCCTGGGGTGGGTGTGTACTTTAACATTTTAAGAGACTTCCAGACTTTCCAGAAGGGATTGCAGTGTTTTATAGTCCCACCACTGGTGAATGAATCTTCCATTTGCTCCACATCCTTCCCAATACTTGGTGGGGTCAGTCTTCTTCAGTTTTAGCCATCTCCATAGGTGTGTAGTGTGGTAGTATTTTGTTGTGGTTTTAATTTGTACTTTCATAATGAATAATGCTGAACCTCTTTTCTTTTTTGTTTTGTTTTTGTTTTGAACATCTTTTCATGTGGTTATTTGCCATCCGTATATTTCCTTTGCTAAAATGCCTGTTGAAATCTTTTGCCCGTTTGAAAACTGGTAGTTTTCTTATTGTTGAGCTTAGAGAGTTCTTTATATATCCTCGATATAAGTCTTTTATTATGTAGGCTGGGATTTGTCTTTTGATTCTTTTCAGTGTCTTTTAAAGAGTGCATTTTTTGTTTTGGGAAATTTCATTTCTTTTTTTTTCTTTTTATTCGTTGTGCTGTAGGTGTTTTAAGAAATCTTGGCTGGGTATGTGGCTCATGCCTGTAATCCCAGCACTTTGGGAGAACGAGGCAGGTAGATCACTTGAGCCCAGGATTTCAAGACTAGCCTGGGCAACGTAGGGAGAACTCATCTCTATATATAAAAAAAATCAAAAATTAGGCCAGGTGTGGTGGTTCATGTGTTTTGGGAGGCTGAGGCGGGTGGCTCACTTGAGTTCAGTAGTTTGAGACCAGTTTGGGCAACATGGTGAAACCCTGTCTCTATAAAAAATACAAAAATTATCTGGGCTTGGCGGTGTGCGCCTATAGTCCCAGCTACTTGGGAGACTGAGGTGGGAGGATCACATGAGCCCAGGAGGTTGAGGCTGCAGTGAGCCATGATTGTGCCACTTTATTCCAGTCTGGGTGACAGTAAGACCATGTCTCAAGGAAAAAAGAAAAGACAAGAAAAAAAAAAAACTTTGCCTACCTACAGGTCACAAATATTTTTCCTATACTTTCTTCTAGAAGTCTTAAAGTTTTAGCTTTTGTTTTTGGGTCAGTGGTCCATTTTGAGTTAATTTTTGTTTGTGATGTGAAGATGGAGCAAGTTTATTTTTTTGCATATGGATGTTCGGTTGTTCTAGCACCATTTGTTGGAAACATAATCCTTTTGTCACTAAATTGTCTTTGCACCTTTATCAAAAATCAGGTGATTGAAGCACTTTAGACAGAAGAAAAAAAATCAGTAAGCCATATCAATACGATCTATTTCTGGACTCTATTATGTTGTACTGATCACTTGTTTGTCTTGACACCGTAACACAATGTTTTGATTACTATATATTTTAAAGTTTTGTGGCCAACTGCAGTGGCTCATGTCTGTAATCTCAGTGTTTTGGGAGGCTGAGGCAGGAGGACTGTTTGAACCCAGGAGTTTGAGACCAGCCTGGGCAACATGTCAAGACCCTGTCTCTCCAAAAAAAAAAAAAATTAGCTGCATCTGGGAACTCATGCCTATAGTCCTAGTTACTTCGGAGGCTGAGGCAGGAGGATTGCTTGAGCCTGGGAGTTTGAGGCTGCCGTGAGCTATGATTGCACCACTGTATTACAGCCTGAGTGATAGAGTGAGATGCTGTCTCAAAAAAAAAGTTTTGGAACCAGGTAAGTCCTCCAACTTTGTTCTTTCTCCGAGTTATGCTGTAGCCTGGGCAACATTGTGAGACCTCGTCTTTACAAAAAATAAAAAAAATTCTCTGGGTGTGGCGGCAAGCGCTAGTCCTGGCTACTTGGGAGACTGAGGTGAGAGGCTCGCTTCAGCTCAGGAGGTGGTGACTGCAGTGAGCCATTATTGTGCAGGTACGCTGCAGCCTGGGCAGCAGAGTGAGATCTTACGTCAACCAAAATAAAAAAGTTGTTCTGGCTCTTCATGGTTGCTTGGCCATTTGTATTTTCAAATGAATTTTAGAATCACTTTGTGAATTTCTACAAATAATCTTCCTGGTATTTTGATTGGGACTGTGCTGAATATTTAAATCAATTTGATGTGAATTGACACCTAAACAGTATTATTTTCTGACTCACAAGCAAGGTATACCTATTCATTTAGGCCTTGTTTTTTGTTGTTGTTGTTGTTTTGTTTTTTTTTAGTGACATTCTTGCTCTGTTGCCCAGGCTAGAGTACAGTGGTGCACAGTCAGAGCTCACTGCAGCCTTGACCTCCTTGGCTCAAGGGATCCCCTTGCCTCAGCCTCATGAATAGCCAGGACTACAGGCATGTGCTACAACACCTAGCTAATTTTTTGTTTTTTTGTAGAGACAGTCTCACCATGTTGCCCAGGCTGGTCTTGAACTCCTACGCTTAAGCGGTTCTCTTGCCTCAGCCTTTTTTTGTTTTTGTTTTTGTTTTTTGAGACGGAGTCTCGCTCTGCCGCCCGGGCTGGAGTGCAGTGGCGCTGTCTCGGCTCACTGCAACCTACGCCCCCGGGTTCACGCCATTCTTCTGCCTCAGCTTCCTGAGTGGTTGGGACTACAGGTGCCTGCCACCACGCCGGCTAATTTTTTTGTATTTTTAGTAGAGATGGGGTTTCACTGTGTTAGCCAGGATGGTCTTGATCTCCTGACCTCATGATCTGCCTGCCTCGGCCTCTCAGAGTGTTGGGATTACAGGCGTGAGCCACTGCGCCCGGCCCTTTTTATTTGCTCTGTCACTCCAGGTAGAGTGCAGTGCCACTATCTCCACTCACTGTAACCTCCACCTCTTCGGTTTAAGTGATTCTCCTGCCTCAGCCTCCCAGGTAACTGGGATTACAGGCACGCACCATCACTTCTAGCTAATTTTTGTATTTTTAGTAGAGATGGGGTTTCACAGTGTTGGCCAGGCTGGTCTCAAACTCCTGACCTCAAGTGATCTGCCCGACTCGGCCTCCCAAAGTGCTGGGATTACAGGCATGAGACACTGTGCCCAGCCTCTTGCCTCAGCCTTTCAAAGTGTTGGGATTTCAGGCATGAGCCACTATGCCTGGCCTAGGCCATCTTTAGTTTCTCGTTGCCCAGGCTGGAGTGCAGTGGCACAATCTCGGCTCACTGCACCCTCTGCCTTCTGGGTTCAAGCAATTCTTCTGCTTCAGCCTCATGGGTAGCTGAGATTACAGGTGCCCACCATCATGCCCGGCTAATTTTTGTATTTTTAGTAGAGATGGGGTTTCACCCTGTTGGCCAAGCTGGTCTCGAACTCCTGGCCTCAAATGATCCACCTGCCTCGGCCTCCCAAAGTGCTGGGATTACAGGGGTGAGCCACTGCACCCGGCTGGAATAAATATTTTCATTAACTATTACAAAGGGTATTTTATTTTTAAAATTTCAACTTACTGATTGTTTATTGCTAGCATATAGAAATACATTTTTCAGATTTTGATCTTATATCTTGGAACCTTAAGTCACTTATTAATTCTAGTAGGTTTTTTTTTTTAAGATCCCTTAAGATTTTATAGACGCAACTATGTGATACGTGAATAAAGATAATTTTACTTCTCCATTTCCAGTCTGTGTAGGTTCTTTATTAATTTTTCTTGCTGTTTTTTTCTAGTAAAGAGACCTCCATTACATTGTTAAATAGAGGTGATAAGAGTAAAAATCCATGTCTCTTTCTCAGCCTTAGAGGAAAAGCATTCAGTCTTTTACCATTAAGTATGGTGTTGTAGGTTTTTCATAGATGCCTTTTACCAGGTTGAGTTGTTTGATGCTTGAATGTTAAACCAACCTTGCATTCCTGAGATGACTCACACTTGGTCATGATGCATTATTCTATGTATTACTGGCTTTGATTTGCTAAAATTGTAAAACAGTTTTGTCTTCGTAAGTATTATTAGCCTATAGTTTCTTATAATGCCTTTTTTTTTTCTTGTTTTGGCATTAGGGTAATGTTGGCATCATGGCATGTGTTGGGATATGTTTTCTTCGCATCTGTTTCCTGGAAGAGTTTGTACAGAATTGATGTTATTTCTTCTTTAAATGTTTGCTAGATTTCAGCAGTGAAGCCATCTGGACCTTGCAGTTTCTCATGGGCAGGTTTTAAACTACATTCTTCTTTTCTTTGTTTTGTTTTTAGAAGACAGGATCTTGCTCTTTTGCCCAGGCTGGAGTACAGTGGCAAGATCATACCTCACTGCAGCCTCCACCTCCTGGGCTCAAGCAGTGCTCCCACCTCAGCTTCCTGAGTAGCTAGAGGTGTGCATCACCACACACAGCTAATTTTTAAATTATTTTTGTAGAGACGAGGTCTCACTATGTTGCCCAGGGTAGTCTTGAACTCCTGGCTTCAAATGATCCTCCCCGCTTGGCCTCCAAAAGTGCTAGGATTATACCACCATACCCAGCTTTCTGTCTCCTTTTTCGTTTGATCAATCTGACCAGAAGTTTTTTAATGTTACTGATCTTCTCAAAGAACGAGCTCTTGGTTTCATTGTTACAGTTTTCTGTTTCATTACAGTTTTGTGTTTTATTGATGTTTGTTGTTATTGTCATTATTCCATTTCTTCTGCTTACTTTGGATTTAATGTGCTCTGTTCCAGTGTCTTAAGGTGGAGTCTTAGGTCATTTGATTTGAGATCTTTCTTCTTTTCCAATGTAAGTGTCAAATGCTATAAATTTCCCTATGAGTGGTACTTTAGTTGTATCCCAGATATGTTGATATGTCATGTGTCAGTTTTTTTTTTTTTTTTTTTAAAGACAGGGTCTCACTCACTCTGTTGCCTAGGCTGGAGTGCAGTGGTGTCATCATAGCTCACTGCACCCTCAACCTTCTGGGTTCAAGTGATCTTCCCACCTCACCTTCCCAAGTAGCTGAGACTACAGACATGCACCACCATGCCTTTTGTTTTGTTTTGTTTTTTTGTTTGTTTGTTTGTTTGTTTTGAGACAGAGTCTTGCTCTGTTGCCACGCTGGAGTGCAGTAGTGTGATCTCGGCTCAACTGCAACCTGCGCCTCATGGGTTCAAGCGATTCTCCTGCCTCGGCCTCCTGAGTAGCTGGGATTACAGGCACATGCCACCACACCCAGCTAATTTTTATATTTTTAGTAGAGATGGGGTTTCAACATGTTGGCCAGGATGGTCTCTTATCTCCTGGCCTTGTGATCCACCCGCCTCAGCCTCCCAAAGTGCTGGGATTACAGGCGTGAGTCACTGTGTCCAGCCTAATTTTTTTTTTAAATAGAGATAGGGTCTCACTAAGTTGCTCAGGCTCATCTCAAACTCCTGGCTTCAAGACAGTTGTCTTGAACTGCTGGCGCCCAGGCTAGAGTGCAGTGGTATGATCTTGGTTCGCCGCAGCCTCCACCTTTCAAGTTCAAGTGATTCTCATACCTCAGCCTCCTGAGCAGCTGGGATTACAGGCATGCGCCACCACACCTGACTGATTTTTGTATTTTTTAGTAGTGATGGGGTTTCGCCCGTGTTGGCTAGGCTGGTCTCAAACTCCTGACCTCAGGTGATCCACCTGCCTCGGCCTCCCAAAGTGCTGGGATTATAGGTCTGAGCCACTGCACCTGGCCTGTTATGCCCTCTTGATGAACTCATTTCGTTACCATTTATGAAATGACCCTCTTCATCCCAAATAATATTCTTTGCTCTGAAATCTACTTCATCTGAGATAAATTTAGCCACCCCAAGCTGGGCATGATGGCTCATGCCTGTAATCCCAACACTTTGGGAGGCTGAGGCAGGAGGATGGGTTAAGCTAGGAGTTCTAGACCAGCCTGAGCTACATAGTGAGACCCTCTCTGTATAATATAAAATATTAAAAAATTGGGCTGGGTGCGGTGGCTCACGCCTGTAATCCCAGCACTTTGGGAGGCCAAGGCGAGCAGATCACGAGCTCAGGAGATCGAGACCATCCTGGCTAACACGGTGAAACCCCGTCTCTACTAAAAATACAAATATTAGCCAGGCGAGGTGGCGGGCGCCTGTAGTCCCAGCTACTCGGGAGGCTGAGGCAGGAGAATGGCATAAACCCCGGGAGGCAGAGCCTGCAGTGAGCCGAGATCGCGCCACTGCACTCCAGCCTGGGCGACAGCGAGACTCCATCTCAAAAAATAAAAAATAAATAAAAATAAAATATTAAAAAATTAGCTAGGCGTGGTGGTGTTCTTCTATAGTCTTAGCTACTCGGGAGGCCGAGGTAGGAGAATCACTTGAGCCAGGGAGTTGAAGGATTATGCCACTGTACTCCAACCAGGGCAACGAAAGGAGACCCTGTCTCAAAAAAAAAAAAAAAAAAAGCCACTCCAGTTTTCTTTTTCGTATCGTTTCTCTTTTTTTTTGAGGTGGAGTCTCACTTTGTCACCTATGCTGGAGTGCACTGGCATGATCTTGGCTCACTGGAAACTCTGCCTCCTGGGTTCAACTCTGCCTCCTGCCTCGGTCTCCTAAGTAGCTGGGATTACAGACATGCGCCGCCGTGCCCGGCTAACTTTTGTATTTTTAGTAGTGATGGGGTTTCACCATGTTGGCCAGGCTGGTCTTGAAATCTTAACCTCAGGTCATCTGCCTGCCTCAGTCTCCCTAAGTGCTGGGATTACAGGCGTGAGCTACCATGCCCAGCCCACTCCAGTTTTCTTATGATTCATGTTAGCATGATATATTTTTTCCATCTTTTTATCTTTAACTTATTTTTGTCTGTATATTTAAAGTAGATTCCCTTTTTTCTTTTTTTGAGACGGATTCTCGCTCTGTCACCCAGGCTGGAGTGCAGTGGCGCGATCTCGGCTCACTGCAACCTTCACTTCCCAGGTTCAAGTGATTCTTCTGCCTCAGCCTCCCATGTAGCTGGGACTACGGGTGCACCACCACACCCGGCTAATTTTTGTATTTTTAGTAGAGATGGGGTTTCACCATATTGGCCAGGCTGGTCTCAAACTCCTGACCTCGTGATCTGCCTGCCTCGGCCTCCCAAAGTGCTGGGATTACAGGAGTGAGCCCCCGTGCCCAGCTTTAAAGTGGATTTCTTATAAATAGCTTATTAATTTGATCTTGCTTTTTATCCAATAGTAGCCTCTGCCTTTTATTTTGAGGCATTATACCTTTTACATTTAATGAGATTATTGGTATGAATGGGTTTAAATCTACCATCTTGCTATTTTTTTTCCTATTTGTCCCATTTATTCTTGGTTGTCTTTTAAAATCTTTTTCCTGCCTTCTTTTGGATTGATATATGATTTTATTTAATCTGCTTCATTGGCATATTTTTGATATTTTTTTTCATGGTGGTTACTTTAGGTTATATCTTTAACGTATCAGTTTACCTTCAAATAACATTCCACTTCTCAGGCCGGTGCCAGTGGCTCATGCCTGTAGTCTCAGCACTTTGGGAGGCTGAGGTGGGCAGATCACTTGTGGTCAGGAATTCGAGACCAGCCTGGCCAATATAGCAAAACCCCGTCTCTACTGAAAATACAAAAATTAGCCGGGTGTGGTGGCTCATGCTTGTAATTCCAGTTATTCAGGAGGCTGAGGCAGGAGAATCGCTTGATCCCGGGAGTTGGAGGTTTCAGTGAGCCGAGATTGCACCACTGCACTCCAGCCTGGGCAACAGAGCGAGACTCTGTCTCAACAAAAAAAAAAAAAAAAAAAAACAGGCAGGATGCAGTGGCTCATGCCTGTAATCCCAGCACTTTGAGAGGCTGAGGCTGGAGGATCACCTGAGGATGGGAGTTTGAGACCAGCCTGGTCAATATGGTGAAACTTTGTCTCTACTAAAAATACAAAAAATTAGCCTGACATGGTGGCAGATGCCTGTAATCTCAGCTACTTCGGAGACTGAGGTGGGAGAATCGCTTGAACCTTGGAAGCGGGGGTTGCAGTGAGCCAAGAACACACCACTGCACTCCAGCCTAGGCAACAAGAGCGAAACTCTGTCACAAAACAAAACACAACAATATTCTGCTTCTCGTGAAGTATAAGAACATTTTGGTAATATACTCCATCTTTCCTTTCCCATCTTTGTGCTATTGTTGTCATGCGTTGTTGTATTATTTTTTTCTTTAAATTCATTTTAAAAGTTTTGTTTTAGATAGTTTAAAGCTTTTAAGAAATCATTTCTGTTTACCTACTTGTTTACTGTTTTCACTGCTTTTCATTCCTTTTTATGTATTCAGATTTCCATTTGGTATTTTTCCTTACTTTTGTTTTGTTTTGTTTTTTGATGCTCAGGGGTTGTTTATTTTACTTTGTTGTTGATTTTAGTTTTTGTTTTTTTTTTGGTTTGAAATGTCTTTATTTTGCTTTTTTTAAAAAACTCAACTTTTTATTTGTGGTAACTAGATTCACATGCACTTGTAAGAAATAATATAGAGAAATCCCATGTACCCTTACTGAACCTCCCCCAGTGATAACACTGTAATGGAATATCACAAGCACAGTAGTGACATTGATATAGTCAAGATACAGAGCATTTCCATCACCTACAGAACCCAGCATGTTTCCCTTTCCAAGCCCACTTGTGTCCCTGCCTTCCCCTTAACCTCTGGTGACCACTGATTCTCCATTTCTATGATTTTGTCATTTCAACAGTGTTACGTGAATTATATAGTATGTAACCTTTTGGAATTGGCTTTTTCACCTAGCATAATTCTCTCAAGATTGATCCAGGTCGTTGCATGTATTAATAATTCTTTCATTGGTAGGTAGTATTTCATGGTATGGATACGCCACAGTTTCTTTTTTTTTTTTTTGAGAGGAAGTCTTGCTCTGTTGTCCAGGCTGGAGTGCAGTGGCACGATCTCAGCTCACTGCAGGCTTCGCCTCCTGGCTTCACGCCATTCTCCTGCCTCAGCCTCCCGAGTAGCTGGGACTACAGGTGCCCACCACCACGCCTGGCTAATTTTTTTTGTATTTTTAGTAGAGACGGGTTTCACCGTGTTAGCCAGGATGGTCTCTATCTCCTGACCTCGTGATCTGCCCGCCTCAGCCTCCCAAAGTGCTGGGATTACAGGCATGAGCCACTGTGCCGGCCTGATAACGCCACAGTTTCTTTAACTACTTTTCCATTAAAGGATATCCGGTTGTTTCTAGTTTTGGGATATCGTGAGTGGAGCTGCGGTAAACACATCTAGGTTGTTTCTAGTTTTGGGATATCGTGAGTAGAGCTGCAGTAAACACATCCGGGTTGTTTCTGGTTTTGGGGGATTGTGAGTGGAGCTGCGGTAAACATCCAGGTTGTTACTAGTTTTGGGATATGGTGAGTGGAGCTGCTATAAACGTGAGTGTATATAGCTCTTTTTGTCAGCATGTCTTCATTTCTCTGGGATAAATGCCCAGGACTGCAAATGCTGGGTTATATGGTAGTTGCATATTTGATTTTATAAGAAACTGCCAAAGCAATATATGAGAGTTCCAGCTTCCTTGCATCTTTGCCAACATTTGCTGTTGTCACTAGTGTTCATTTTACCTGTACTGATAGGTGTGTAGTGGTAACTCAGTGTGGCTTTCATTTGCATTTCCCTAATGCTTAAAGGTATTGAACATCTTTTCATGTGCTTATTTGCCATCTGTTTGTGTTCTTTGGTGAAACGTGCCTGTATCTTTCCCTCATTTTCTATCATGTTCTTTGTTGTTGTACTGTCAAGTTTTGAGGATATGTGGTTTCCAAATGTTTTCTCCCCATCTGTAGCATGTCTTCATCCACTTAGTGGTTGTTTTACAGACAGAGGTTTTTAATTTTGGTGAAGTTCAATTGGTCAGCCTTTAGTGGATTGTGCTTTTAGTGTCAAGTTTAATATCTCTTTGCCTAGCTCTTGATCCTGCAGATTTTTTCCTATGTTAATTTTTTCCTGTAAGTTGTATTGTTTAATGTGTTACATTTAAGTCTGTGATCCATTTTGAGTTTTTTTTTTTAGAAACTGAGATTTGAGCTGAGTTTTTTTGTCTGGATGTCATTTGCTCCAGCGTCATTTTCTTGAAGAAGCTGTCTTTGTTGAATTGCTTTTGTATCTTTGTAATTAAAAAAAATTATTTGGGCATATTTGTGTGTCTGTCTCCAGGTTTCTGTTCTGTTGTGATGATGTATGTGTCCACCACTCTACACAAGTCCTTGTTACTGTAGTTATGTAGTAAGTCTTGTCATCGGTTAGAATGATTCCTTCCACTTTATTCTTCACAATAGTTTCGGCTATTCTAGTTACATTGCTTTTCGTTACAAATTATAAAATAATCTATATAAAATATTTTGCTGGGATTTTGATAGGAAGTACACTAAACTTGTGTCTTAATTTGGGGGGATTAACATCTTTACTATGTCCCTGAAGTCTGCTTTACTCTTTATTAATGTAACCATTCCTGCTTTTTTTGTTGTTGTTGGTTTCTTTGTTTTTGAGACAGAATCTTGTTCTGTGACCCAGGCTTTGTGCATTGGTGTGATCATAGCTCACTGCATCCTCAAAATCCTCAAAATCCTACATCATCAAAATTTTGGTCTCAAGCTATCCTCCTGCCTCAGCCTTCCTGCTAGCTTTGGACTACAGGCGTGTCCCACCATGACCAGCTAATTTTTTTATTTTTACTTTTGTAGAGATTTGGTCTCGCTGTGTTACCCAGGCTGGTCTCGAACTCCTAGCCTCAAGTGATCCTCCTGCCTTGGCCTCTGAAAGTGTTGGAATTACAGGTGTGAGCCACTGTGCCTGGCCCTGCTTTTTTTTTTTTTTTTTCCTCCTTGAGATGAGGTCTCACTCTGTCACCTGGTCTGGAGTGCAGTGGTGCGATCATGGCTCACTGCACCCTCCAACTCCTGGGCTCTAGGAATCCTCCATCTCAGCCTTTGGAGCAGTTGGGACCACAGGCATGCACCACCATGCCCAGATAAAATTTTTTCCCTGCTTTGTTTTGATTAATGCTTGCATGACATATCTTTTTTATCCTTTTACTTTCAGCCTGCCTGTGTCATTACATTTGAAGTGAGTTTTTCTGTAAACAGCGTATCGTTGGGTTGTGCTGTTCAATCCATTTTGTGAGTCTGTGTCTTTTAACTCTCTGCTGCTCTAGGCTGGGTGTCCTTCACCCTCATTTATTTAGAACATTGACTTTTAAGGTGATTATTGATATTTTAAGACTTAAGGCTTATTCTGCCATTTAATGTTTTGTTTTTTGTTCTGTTCTTTTTTATATGTCTGTGTTTTCTTGCTTCTCTGTGGGTTATTTGAATACTTGAAAGTGTTTTTCAAAATTACATCATTTTGCTTTACTTGAGTCTTTCTTTCTTTTTTGGGGGTGGGTCGTGGACAGGGTCTCTCTGTCACCTAGGCTGGAGTGTGGTTGCACCATCTCAGCTCACTACAGCCTCAGTCTCCCAACCTCAAATGATCCTCCTGCCTCAGCCCCGCAAGTGGCTTGGACTACAGCTGTGCGCGACCATGCCTGGCTAATTTTTGTAGAGACAGGGTTTCACCATGTTGCCCAGGCTGGTCTCAAACTCCTGGGCTCAGGCCATCCGCCCACCTCAGGCTCACACAATGCTGGGATTACAGGCGTGTGCCACTGGGCCTGTAGCCTTTTTAGTGGTCACTTTTAGGGACCACATTTACACACACATAACTTTTACCACGGTTTACTGGTATTGTCATTTTACTAGTTTGAGGGACGTATAGAAACATTACTTCCCTATGTCCTTTACTCTCCACTAGTTATAATTGTTATAAAATGTTTCTTCTAGGCCAGGCGTGGTGGCTCATGCCTGTAATCCCAGCATTTTGGGAAGCCGAGGCAGGTGGATCACCTGAGGTCAGGAGTTTGAGACCAGCCTGGCCAACATGGCGAAACCCCATCTCTACTAAAAATACAAAAGATTAGCCAGGCATGGTGGCGGGCGCCTGTAATCCCAGCTATTCGGGAGGCTGAGGAAGGAGAATTGTTTGAATCCAGGAGGTGGAAGTTGTGGTGAGCCAAGATTGTGCTACTGCACTCCAGGCTGGGTGACAAAGTGAGGCTCTGCCTCAGGAAAAAAAAAAAAAAAAAAGGACGAGGCGCGGTGGCTCATGCCTGTAATCCCAGCACTTTGGGAGGCCGAGGCGGGCGGATTACCTGAGGTCAGGGATTCAAGACCAGCCTGGCCAACATGGTGAAACCCTGTCTCTACTAAAAATACAAAAATTAGCCAGGTGTGGTGGTGCACACCTCTAATCCTAGCTACTTGGGAGGCTGAGGCAAGAGAATCACTTGAACCCAGGAGGCAGAGGTTTCAGTGAGCCAAGATCATGCCATTGTACTCCAGCCTGGGTGACAGAGTGAGACTCTGTCTCAAAAAAAAAAAAAAAAGGTTTCTTTTATATACATTTAGAACCATATCAGACAATGTTATAATTTTTGTTTGAGAAATTCTTAGTTCTCAGTATGATGAGTGATTTTCAGTTGAAAGCTGGATTTTAAAACAATTTTGTTTTTTGAGTCAGGGTCTTACTTTGTTGTCCAGGCTGGAGTGCAGTGGTGTAATCATGGCTCACTGCAGCTCCCACCTCCTGGGCTCAAGCAGTCCTCTTGCGTCGACCTCCGAAAGTGCTAGAATTGTAGGCATGAGCCCCCGCGCCTGGCCATGGATATTTTGGTGTTATCTTATAAGACACTGAGTCTTATCTAACCTTTGTTTTAGCCAACTTGCTCTGACACTGCTCTGGCAGAGGAAGTGATGTCAGATGGAGTAGAAGCCCACATTCCCCACTCAGCCTCCGTTGGCACCCCAGGTGGGAATTGGGGATCGTTGTCCCTGCTGGGTGGAAGTGGAAGTTCCTGCTCCCCACATGGTCTCCACGGACACTGCAGTGGGAGTGGTTTTGTTACCACTGAGTGATGGTGACAGTCCTGCCTCTGACCCTCACCGGGGGCTGGGGAGGCCATAGTGGTGGCAGAGTTTAGAGGTGGCTTTTTACTACTGGGTGGGTGGAAATCTGGGCTCCCCACATGATTGTCACAACGTGGGGTGGGACAGGGTTTGTTCATCCAGTATGGTTGCAAGTCCCAGCTCCTAGTCAGCCTTCTCCACCGTTAACCCAGTATGGGTTAGGGTGCCTTGCTACAGCCTGTTGAGTGTAAGTCAAGGCTGTTTACTTGCCTTTTCTGGTGTGGGTGGAGGTGAGGCCATAGTTCTTCTGTGATGTTTTAATGTCTTTTGTATTCTTTTATGAGATGGTTGCTCAGGGGCAGCCACAAGAGGAGACACAAGAGAGGCTCAGGAAGACAAAGATTTTATGCTCACAGGGCACACCATGCAGGGCCATGTGGTGAGGAAGCAGAAGACAGGAGCAAGGGGAAGGCATTATTGGCCAGAGCCTTCGTTGAGGTTTCCGTGGGAAAAGCAGGGTAGGGCAGGGGGAAGAATTTGGGATTGGCTGGTTTGAATAATTTTTGTGGGCTCTGAGCCACAGGTGTGGTCCAGAGTTGCCTGGCACCTGGCCCTGAGATGATTAGGGCAGAGGAGTTTTGCCTCCTGGGGTGCACAGGCAGGTGGATGGAGAAGGAAGGGCTCTGGATTGGTTAGTGTGTATAGCAAAGGCTTGCACGAACGCTGAGCCCTTTGCTACCTCTAAGAATTGGCTAGCCTGAGGGGCAGCCTCTCCCCAGCCAGAAAGATCTTTAGGATGTCAAAACATCATAATAATTCTTACAATTCCAGCAGTTTGGGAGGCAGAGGAGGGTGGATCACTTGAGCCCAGGAGTCCGAGACCAGCCTGGCCAACATGGTGAAACCCTGTCTCTACTGAAATACAAACATTAGCCGGGTATGGTGGTGCATGCCTGTAATCCCAGCTACTCGAGAGACGGGTGGGGAGATCACCTGAGCCTTGGGAGGTAGAGGCTGCAGTGAGCCGTGATCCCGCCACTGCACTCCAGCCTGGGTGACAGAGTGAGATGCTGTCTCAAAAAAAACAAACCAAACAAAAACAAACATCATAATATACAGAAAAAAATACACACAGAAGCTGAAGTAGAGCAATGATTTCTAAAGGTTTCTGTCACACGAGGCTGCCCCTTCCTCATCCTTTGGCTGGAGAGAGTGGGAGCGGGATTTTGCTGGGCTTGGTTGCCTGCAGTTGTTGGGGCTTCCAGGTTGCTGACTTTAGCTCTAAGTCTGGACTAGAAGAAGCACAAAGAAACCCCAGGAAACTCACCACCATGTCTTCCTTGGGTCTTGAGGTCCGTAGCATGTCTCTTTCTCTTTCTACCTTTCACAGCCTTTTAAGGTTCATTTTATACACAATGGTCAGGATTTGTTGTACTTGGCAGGAGGAATAGAAAACTACCTCTATTCCGTCTCCCAGAAGTGCAAGTCTCATGTTTGTTTTTGAATGATATTCTCATGGGGTGTAGAATTCTATGTTAACATTATTTGTCTTTTTTGAGACAGGCTGTCACTCTCACCCAGGCTAGAGTGCAGTGGTGTGATTATAGCTCATTGCAGCCTCAACCTCTTGGGCTCAAGTAATCCTCCCACCTCAACTTCCTGAATAGCTGGGACTACAGGCGTTCACCACCATGCCTGGCTAATTTTTTGTAGAGACAGGATTTTGGCCATTTTGGCCAGGCTGGTCTCGAACTCCTAGGCTCAAGCGATCCACCCGCCTTGGCTTCCCAAAGTGCTGAGATTACAGGGCAGCCACCACACCTGGCCCGTTCTTTTTCTTTTAATACTTGAAAGATATTATTCCACTGTCTTCTGGCCTGTGCTGTGCCTGATAAGAAGTCTGTTGTCGTTTTTACCTTTGTTCCTATATACATAATGATTTTTTGCTTTTGTTTTTGTTTTGTTTCTTGTGTTTTTTTGAGACTGAGTTTCACTCCGTGGCCCAGGCTGGAGTGCAGTGTTGCGATCTCAGCTCACTGCAACCTCTGCCTCCCAGGTTCAAGTGATTCTCCTGTCTCAGCCTCCTGAGTAGCTGGGGTTACAGGCGCACACCACCATGCCCAGGTAATTTTTTGGATTTTTAGTAGAGACAGGGTTTCACCATGTTAGCCAGGCTGGTCTCAAACTCCTGACCTCAAGTGATCTACCCGCCTCAGCCTCACAGAATGCTGGGATTACAGGCATGAGCCACCAAGCCAGCCTATGTAATGTTTTGTTTGTTTGTTTGTTTTTTGAGACGGAGTTTTGCTCTGTTGCCCAGGCTGGAGTGCAGCGTCGAGATCTCGGCTCACTGCAACCTCCGCCTCCCGGGTTCACGCCATTCTCCTGCCTCAGCCTCCTGAGTAGCTGGGACCACAGGTGCGTGCCACCACACCCGGCTAATTTTTTTGTATTTTTAGTAGAGACGGGGTTTCACCGTGTTAGCCAGGATGGTCTCGATCTTCTACCTTGTGATCTGCCCATCTTGGTCTCCCAAAGTGCTGGGATTACAGGCGTGAGCCACTGCGCCCGGCCCAGCACTGTTTTTATCTCCAGTGCTTTTAAGATTTTTATCACTGGTTGTAAGTAGGGGTCCTTTGTGTAGTTTTCTTCATGTTTCTACTCCTGGAATTTGTTGAGGTTCTTAGATCTGTACATGTATTATTTCTGTCAAATTTGGACAACTTTCAGTGACTTTTGAAAACTTAATAACTTTTTTGGTGTAAGATCTTTTGAATATTAATATAGACTCATGTGAACTGACAGCTCAGTCAGGGTACGAAACCATGCCTCTTCCCAAAAACCTCCTTTGTGCTTTTCGTTTGTAGATAATTGTTATTTCTTGAAATATTTATGCTGTCCTTTTACCTTCAGACTCTAATGATGTATATCAGGGGCAACTTAAAATTGTCCCATAGCTTACTGGTATGCTGTGTTGTTGTTGTTATTTTGAGATTTTCTCTCTCTGTGTTTTATTATGGATATTTTCTACCCATAATGAATATCTTCAAGTTCACTAATCTTTTCTTCTGTGGTGTCTAATCTGTTATTAATTACATCTGGTGTTTTTGTTATTGTTGTTTGTTTTTATTTTTTTGAGACAGGATCTTACTCTGTCACCCAGGCTGGAGTGCAGTGGTGCTATCATAGCTTACTGCAGCCTCCAACTGCTGGGCTCAGGTGGTCCTCCCATCCCACATCAGCCTCTGGAGTAGCTGAGACTACAAGCACGTGCCACCACACCTGGCTAATTTTTGTATTTTTAGTAGAGATGGGGTTTTTCTGTGTTGCCCAGGCTGGTGTCAAACTCCTGGGCTCAAGTGGTCCGCCTGCCTCAGCCTCCCGAAGCACTGGGATGACAGGCGTAAGCCACCGCACCTGGTGCATTTTTCATCCCAGAGATTGTACTCTTCATGTGTATAAGCAGATTTGCATCTATTTCCATGTTTCTTCTTCTTTTTTTTTTTTTTTTTGAGACAGCGTCTTGCTCTGTCGCCCAGGCTGGAGTGCAGTGGTGCCATCTCAGCTCACTGCAAGCTCTGCTTCCTGGGTTCACGCCATTCTCTTGCCTCAGCCTCCCGAGTAGCTGGGACTACAGGTGCCCACCACCACGCCCAGCTAATTTTTTTGTATCTTTAGTAGAGACGGGGTTTCACTGTGTTAGCCAGGATCGTCTCGATCTCCTGACCTCGTGATCTGCCCTCCTTAGCTTCCCAAAGTGCTGGGATTACAGGTATGAGCCACCAGGCTCAGCCACCATGTTTCTTCTTAATGTATTCTTCCATTTTTCATTTCCTTGAACATAGGAATATATTTGTAATATCCTTTTTAAAGTTATTGTCTTCTGATTATATTTTCTGTGTTATTTCTGGGTCTTTTTCTGTTTATTTTCTCCTTGTTACCGGTCATTTCTGCATCTTTGCGTGCCTTGTACTGTTTGATTGGATGCCAGACAGAATGAATTTTATGTTATTGGGTGCTGGGATTTTTGTATTTCTTTAAAAAATATTTTTGAGCTTTATTGCAAGACAGAGTTAATTGGGAATAGCTTGATCCTTTTGTTTTAAGCGTTATTAGGTGCGTCTGGGTAGCCTTTAGTCAGGCAGCTCCTCAGCCTCGGTGCTGCCAACACTTTGGGTGACTCTTTGCTGGGAGGGGCTGTCCGGTGCATTCGAGGCTGTTGAGCGGCATCCCTGGCTTCTCCCCACTAGATGCTGCAGCATCACTTAGCATGCGCTAAGAATGATTTTTACATTTTTAGAAAGTTGTCAAAAAAGATATGCCATAGAGACCACCATCTGTGGCCAGCAACGCCAGAGTATTTACACAGAGATTATTTTCTTTTTTCTTTTCTTTCTTTGTTTTTTTGAGACAGGGTCTCGCTCTGTTGCCCAGGCTGTAGTGCAGTGGTGTGATCACAGCTTACTGCAGCCTCAGCCTCCCTGGGATCAGGTGATCCTCCTGCCTCGGCCTCCTGGGTAGCTGAGATTACAGGCTTGTGCCACCACACTGGGCTAATTTTCTTTTTATTTTTTGTAGAGACAGGGTTTGACCATGTTGCCCAGGCTAGTCTCAAACTCTTGGCCCCAAGAGATGCACCCACCTCAGCTTCCCAGAGTGCTGAGATGATAGGCATGAGCCATGGCGCCTGGCTTCCACAGTGATGTCTCATCCCTGCTGTGGGAGACTTTCTTTTAGTGTTTGAGATAAATAGTGGTGTGAGGGGAAAAACCTTGCTTTTCCTGTATAGAGAGTAGCTAGGAGCACTGGCTTTCAAATTTGAAAGAGTATGATTTGAATCCAATTATGTGTCTGTCCCATAATAACTCTTTGACATTGGGCAAACTTTTAAACTCTCTGAGCTTTTTTCCTTTCTTGTGAAAGAGAGCTAATATATACTTATCACTTAGGTTTGTTAGAAAAGTAAATGAGGCTGGGGTGGTGGCTTACACCTATAATCCCAGCACTTTGGGAGGCCAAGGTGGGTGGATTGCCTGAGGTCAGGATTTCGAGGCCAGCCTGGCTAACATGGTGAAACCCCATCTCTACTAAAAATACAAAAAAAAATTAGCCAGGCATGGTGGCGCATGTAGTAGTCCCAGCTACTTGGGAGGCTGAGGCAGGCAAATGGCTTGGACCCGGGGAGGCCGAGGTTGCAGTGAGCCAGGGTCACACCACTGCACTCCAGCCTGGGTGACAGAGTGAGACTCCATCTCAAAAAAAAAAAAAAAAAAAAAAAAAAGAACAAAAAAAAGTAAATGAAAATGCATAAAAGTAGATAGCTCAAGGCATGCATATAGCAGCTATTATTTCATTTCAGGTGTGTGCCCCTGATTTGTAATTAGCCTTGATGTGTGTATATGGTTGTATTTTGCTAATTTGGAGGATTATCATCTATCTTTCAGGTCATGCAGAAGGCTTTTGTATGATGTGTACAATGCAAGCACATATTACCCAGGCACTCAGTAATCCTGGGGACGTTATTAAACCAATGTTTGTCATCAATGAGATGCGGCGTAAGTATTAACTATTGTAGTTTTATATTTGTATTTATTACCTAGTTATACTTTTTTTTTTTTTTTTTTTCGAGACAGAGTCTTGCTCTGTCGCCTAGGCTGGAATGTAGTGGCGCTATTTCGGCTCACTGCAGCTTCCACCTCCCAGGTTCAAACGATTGTCCTGTCTCAGCCTCTCGAGTAGCTGAGATCACAGGCGTGTACCACTATGCCAGGCTAATTTTGTACTTTTAGTACAGATGGGGTTTCTCCATGTTGGTCAGGCTGGTCTCAAACTCCTGACCTCAGTTGATCCACCTGCCTCCGCCTCCCAAAGTGCTGGGATTACAGGCGTGAGCCACCATGCCTGGCCTATTACCTAGTTATTCTTAATGTCCAACTGGTGAAAAAAACCGAACCCGTCATGTATTAGAAAACAAATACATTTTGTCGTACGTGGCTATGTCTTTGATAACAAATTTTTAGTAAAACATTTGCTATATAAACACATTTTGAAACTTTAAAGCAAAAGATGACAATATATTAAAGACTATTCAATTTAATATAACAAATTTTAAACTATTAAAAATCAATATGTTAAAATAATTGGTAAGTTTTATAGTGTCTTTGCTCTGAAACTTGGATTTCTATGCTGAGTAATACTAATTCTGATATTGTCTCACAGGTTTTTGTAAACAGTTTTTAATTAGTTTCAGTTTGGTGAATGAATACTTTACTATACGCAGTGACAGAAATTGTCAAAATAAAGTTAATTAGGCTACTCTGGACACACTGCCTGTGGATTAGCCCTGCTCTGCAAGCAGCAGTAAAAATAAAATAAGAAATAAATAAGGTTAATTCTCTTTTTTCGGTTCTTCTTTTTTTTTTTTTTCAAGTGAGACTGTGTCTCACTGTTTTGCCCAGGCTAGTCTTGAACTCCTGGCTCAAGTGATCCTCTTGCCCCAGTTGAGTAGCTGGGATTACAGATGTGCACCACTATGCCCAACTTAATTACAGTCTTAAAAGAATATATACTCAGAGCTTAGCAAATTGGTGGATAAATTTTACTTTTTTCTATTTAATTTTTGAATTTTAAATGGGTAAGTGCATGAAATTTTCTTACATTCTGTGTGTTTTTGCAGTAAACTTTTGCATCTTGTTAATTGAGTTGGAATAAAAAATGCATACAAACAAAACTATAACTCTTAATCTGGCATCTAACTGGGTAATTATAGGGATGTGTAATTATACAGTAACAAACTGTAATCTTTTTGCCTAGAAAGCCACTGAAGATTAAAGAGGTCTTATATTGGCCCTTGGCATTATTGATAGACCACAACAGACAAGCCAAAAACCTTTGAAATATTGTTGAAGCCTGGCAAAATTTAGCCAGGCAGGTTTGGATTGTTTACACATGCATGCATGCATTCATTCATCCATTCATTTGAGATGGAGTCTCGCTCTGTCCCCAAGCCTGGAGTGCAGTGGCACGATCTTGGCTCACTACAACCTCTGCCTCTCAGGTTCAAGTGATTCTTCTGCCTCAGCCTCCCAAGTAGCTGGGATTACAGACGTGTACCACCACACCTGGCTAATTTTGTAGTTTTAGTAGAGACGGGGTTTCACCATGTTGGCCAGGCTGGCCTTGAACTCCTGACCTCAGGTGATCCACCCGTCTTGGCCTCCCAAAGTGCAGAGATTACAGACGTGAGCCACCATGCCTGGCTATTTATACATGTATTTATTTGTTTTTATTCATTTATTTTTGAGATGGAGTCTCACTCTGTCGCCTAGGCTGGAGTGCAGTGGTGCAGTCTTGGCTCACTGCAACCTCCGCCTCTCGGATTCCAGCGATTTCTCCTGCGTCAGCCTCCTGAGTAGCTGGGACTACAGGTGCTTGCCACTACCCCTGGCTAATTTTTGTATTTTTAGTAGAGATGGGGTTTCACCATGTTAGCCAGGATGGCCTCGATATCCTGACCTCATGATCCACCCGCCTCTGCCTCCCAAAGTGTTGGAATTACAGGTGTGAGCCACCACGCCCGACCACATATATTTATTTTTATACATATTTATATAGCAGACATGACTAACATTTTTAAACCTAGTCTTTTAAGAAAATGTCATTGCTCTGTGTGTGTGTGTATCCACTGATACACACATGGTTCAGTCATGAAGTTGTCACGTTTGTAGGTCTAAACTGGTGGAGTGTTGGCAGTTTCATGTGATTTAAGCTAGAACATTTTTATACATTCATACACATGTAAAATTCAGTATATATGTTTTAGTGTGATATTGCTTATACTTTTGTGTTAATTTTTTATTGTAATTTAAAAAATAATTTGGTCTTTTAGCTGTTTAATCAATTAGAAACAGGACTGAAATGTTTCTGTGCACCTGCAAATATAATTTCTTCTGTAGGTCATTGGGATAGAATTAGATAGGTTGGGAGATTTATATTTTGAATGGATTCTGTATTATAGAGATGTAGCACCAATTTAAAATCACCAGCATAGCATTTTGGACAAACTTGAGACAAAACAGCCAGTTTATTCAAGTGTAACTTTATTAACTTGCTAGAAACATGAGTCACTCTGTAGCTACTCTCTAGACTCTCAGAAACTCTAGCTGCTGTGGACTTTTAATGGTGTAAAGCAGGGGTCCCTAACCCCTGGGCCGTAGACTGGTACCCAATGTGGCCTGTTAGGAACTGGGCTGCACAGCAGGAGGTGAGCAGCAGGTGAGCATCCCCACCTGAGCTCCGCCTCCTGTCAGATCAATGGCAGCATTAGATTCTCATAGCAGCGCCAACCCTATTGTGAACTGTGTGTGCATGGGATCCAGGTTCCATGCTCCTTAGGAGAATCTCATGCCTGATGATCTGAGCTGGAACAATTTCATCCCAACCCCCTCTTCTGGTCTGTGGAAAAATGGTCTTCCGTGAAACCAGTCCCTGGTGCCCAAACGGTTGGGGATTCTAGTCTAAAGGGCCTGATCCTGCTTATAGCTTATATTAGTGGCTTATGTTAGTGCTATTTCCTCATAAAGTAAGTATTTGGGAGTTTTCCAACCAACATATTATTATAAGATATATTTTGGGGGGTACAACTTAGGCTTATTACGTGTAATGATAAAGCCTTGTCTTTACCGAAATTTTACAGGTATAGCTAGGCACTTCCGTTTTGGAAACCAAGAAGATGCCCATGAATTCCTTCAATACACTGTTGATGCTATGCAGAAAGCATGCTTGAATGGCAGCAATAAGTAAGTACAACAGAGCGCCAGCCATGTCTTCATTGGGGATCTCTGGTTGTAGTTTATTCTTATCAGAATTCATTTTCACCTTTTTTGTTGGAAGCACACAGAACAGTGTTCACTTTACCTTTTGGCTTTGCTCTGCCTCTTCCTTAGGTGATGTGCATTATTTTAAAATGGTTGAAATTTACACGTGTGTCTTACGTAACAGTTTGAGTTGGCTCAATCATAGATGTCAGGAAATAAACATTGGTCTTGCAGCTATTTAATTTCTCATTATCAGCAGACGTCTGCAGATCTCAAACTAGCTGCTTCTCCTTTCTAGTTGTGCCTGACATTTTCTTTTCTCTGCTGCCCTCCAGCCTGTGTTTATTTCCTGAACCCCCACCCCAATCAGTTACTGATTCTTGTAGCTAGTTCCTTAAAATCTAAATGCAGACTCAAGAGGAAGAACGAGGGGACAGATAATGCATCCCAAGCCGCTTGGTGCTGTCTGAGACACCTGGTAGATCTCCCTCTGCATTCTCCCTGCCCTGGCACCGCCCTGTCTAGGACTTCATTGTCCGGGTGATGACATACTTGGGTCGGAGGAAGACTCTCTGCCTTTTCCGCCTCCGCTCCCTTTCCTCCCACACAGGCCGCAGTGCCCGGAGGCTGCCATCTTCCTGCTTCAGGACCAGACTCCTGCCTTGCTTCCCGAGTCCCTTCCTGACAGACACAGCTCCCACAGCTCTGCGTCTCCTCCCGCCACTCCCAGACCTCCCTGTGTTCTGGCCAGGAAGGGATGCTCTTGGGCTGCCACACGTGCCATCCTTTTATTTTCCATGGCTGTCCTGTTTGAATTCTTGATCTTTTGTGAGCTCCCATGTGTTTGAAATCTGGTCACAGCATCTGGAGTTTTTGCAAAGCTCTTCTCTCATGTCACTGTTCAACGTTTTTCAGATTAGACAGACACACCCAGGCCACCACTCTTGTTTGTCAGATATTTGGAGGATACCTAAGATCTAGAGGTAAGCTTTTGCTTATAAGTTGATAAAATGATACACACATGTGGTTAAAAAATGGTAATAGTAGGACAGGGTTAGTCCTACTAGGAAGGAAGGAAAAGTGCTTCTCTCCAGCCCAGATTCTCATTCCTTTTACCCAGAGGCAGCCTCGGTGCCAGGTTGTAGTAAATCCTCCTGGTAGTTTCCTGTGCATGAATAAACTGGGAGCATACTGTGTGCACTGCTTCCATTTGTCTCTTCGTATTAGCAGTCTTTTACATTTCAGCACACAGGCCTAACAGCCTTCGACAGTTGGAGTAGTGTTCCATTTATTTTAGTCCCCTATCGATGGGATTTAGGTTGTTTGTGTTTTGTTGTTGTTCATGGAGCATCCGTGCACACATGCTTTATGTCTGGGTAAAAATGTATATGTAGGATGAATTCTTAGTATTAGAATTTCTGGATCACAGGGAGTGTGTATTGTAAATTTTAATTCTGTCAGGTTGTCTTCTAAGAGGGTATACCAGTTTTGATTCTAATCAATAGTATATGAGGGGCCAAATTCATTACACTTTTCACCCATATTATGAGTAGTATTAATTTAAAACTTTTTTTGTTCAATTGATAGAAAAATTACAGTTAAAAAATTTTAAATTTCAAAATTGTATTTTGTCATTTCAGTAGTTGATGTTGCTGTAATGATTATACTTTGCTCATCTTTTGCATTTTATTTTTATTTCAGTCAAATGTTTAAATTGCAAGGGCGTTTCAGATACTTTTGATCCATATCTTGATATAACATTGGAGATAAAGGTAAATTTCATAATTATGGGAGTAATTACATTTTTAAAATAAGTCATTTTATGTAACTGTAGTTCATTTATAATTTAGACTACTTGTTAGAGAATATAAATTGAAAAATTCAATATGCTAAGATTTCATTTGGAGGAATTATTCAAGCTTTGTAGTAAGCATCATAAAAAAGCTTTTAAAGTTTTTTTATTACTCTTTGAATTTTCTTTTTCTTTTCTTTTTTTTTTTTTTTTTTTGAGATGGAATTGCACTCTGTCACCCAGGCTGGCATGCAGTGGCGTGATCTCGGCTCACTGCAACCTCCACCTCCCGAGTTCAAGCAATTCTTCTGCCTCAGCCTCCCGAGTAGGTGGGACTATAGGTGCATGTGCCACCATGCCCAGCTAATTTTTGTATTTTTAGTAGAGATGGGGTTTCACCTATCGGCCAGGATGGTCTTGAACTCTTGACCTCGTGATCTGCCCACCTCCCAAAGTGCTGGGATTACAGGCGTGAGCCACCGCGCCCGGCCTGAATTTTCATTTAATATCTTAATAAAACTAGATTTTCTATATTAGCCAAGTACAGTTGGTTATTATTATTTTTTTTTTTTGAGATGGAGTCTTGCTCCATTGCCCAGGCTGGAGTGCAGTGGCGCAATATCAGCTCACTGCATCCTCCACCTCCAGGGTTCAAGCATTTCCCCTGTCTCAGCCTCCCTAGTAGCTGGGACTACAGCGACTGTGCCCAGCCTGCCTCTTGCATTTTCTGAATTCCTAATTTTTTTGTTGTTTTTGAGCTTGCATTTTTCTGATTACAGATGTAATACATGCTTATGATAAAAATGAGTAACGTTGCAGATATATGTAAAATCCTTTCCTTTTGAATGCATTATTTTTAACAGTTTGATATGTACTGCTCCAGAATGTATTGTTCACTTTTTATATAAATGAGATTGTGTCTGATGTCTGTCTGGCCACTCACTGTTCCGTGTAATTCTGTTGAGACCTTTCTGTGTGAGCGTGCTCTCTGGGCAGTGTGTGGTGCAGTGAATGGATAGACTGTAATTCCTGTGCCGAATTCCTTGCTGGTGGATATTTGGTTTGCTTCCAGTTTTATGTATTGCTGCAGTGAGCATCCTCTATATTTTTGTTCACTTTAATTCTGCTCATTTTTAAATGGGAGAGGATATAATTTGGTATGTAGATTTATAAAAGTGAACATCATACTACTAAATGAAAATTTTGTTTCTTTTTTCTTTTTTTTTTTTTGAGACGGAGTCCTGCTCTGTCACCCAGGCTAGAGTGCAGTGGCTCGATCTCGGCTCACTGCAACCTCCACCTCCTGGGTTCAGGCGATTCTTCTGCCTCAACCTCCCAAGTAGCTGGGACTACAGGCGCGTGCCACTGTGCCCTGCTAATTTTTTGTATTTTTAGTAGAGACGGGGTTTTACCATGTTAGCCAGGATGGTCTGGATCTCCTGACCTCATGATCTGCCTGCCTTGGCCTCCCAACGTGCTGGGATTACAGGCGTGAGCCACCACGCCCGCCCGGAAAATTTTCTTTTTACATAAAAATTTTCATTTGCTGTTATATCTTTGAGTCTTCTGTTCCTTCTTTTAAAAAATAAGGGGCACGGCTGGGCATGACAGCTCATACCTGTAATCCTAACAGTTTGGGAGGTCGAGGTGGGAGGATCGCTTGAGCCCAGGAGTTTGAGACCAGCCTGGGGGAATATAGTGAGACCCCTGTCTCTACAAAAAAATGAAAAATTTAGCTGGGCATGGTGGCCATGCCTGTGGTTTAGCTGCTCGGGAGGCTGAGGTGAGAGGATTGCTTGAGCCCAGGAGGTCGAGGCTGCAGTGAGCTGTGATTGTGCCACTGCACTCCAGCCTGGGTGGCAGGGCAAGACCCAAACACAAGTGACGGTGTGCGGTGATGTGGTGTTTGTGCCTCTTCTCTTCCCAGGCTGCTCAGAGTGTCAACAAGGCATTGGAGCAGTTTGTGAAGCCGGAACAGCTTGATGGAGAAAACTCGTACAAGTGCAGCAAGTACGTTGGGTGGTGACTTGATTCTTGATGCCGGCTTCTCCAGTGGGGATGGCCGGCAGGCTTGGTTTGAGAGAGTTTGGTGTGTCTAGGTTGCTTGAGTTTCTGATACCCTCTGGGAAGACACTGCGTCCCTGTCGTCCAAAGGCGAGAGCCCGGAGTGTCTTGATGTGTGTGTTTCTGCAAGATGCGCAGCTCTGTGCCTGTGAAAGCCTGGGGCATGACATTATTGGGCAGATTCGGTGGGAGGAGAGAGGTAAAATTGTCTTTGCACCCCATGGTAGTGCTGCTTCAGGTGTGGCTGGGCACGCACTGTCTGCCAAATAGCATTTTCATTGACTTTCTTATGATAAGAGGGCTGCCGTCGGGTGGGGAGTCACTTTCTTCTGGGATAGGGAGGCTCCTTCTCTCTTAGGGTGGGTTCCCAGGGTTTGGGATAGCATTTGCTGAAAAACTCTAATTTTGATCATTCATTAATATGTTTCCACATGAAGTCAAGAGTGCCTATTTTAAGAAAGCTCTTTTGTATGTTTTTAAGTAGATTTCCACTTTGTGGTCAGGTAATAGAAGTAATTTTTTTATTGTCAAATCTTCAAGACCAGAGGGATTTTGCCTTTGTTTTAAATTCCACAGACATTTCTAATATTTATTTTTATTCCTTTTGTTTCTGGTTAGGGCTCTCTTTTCATATAATAATTATTATTATTTTTAAATTAGATGAATTTAAGACATATTTTCACATAATTATACCAGTCTGAACATGTTCGTTTTTCAGTTTCTTTTGAATTGAGAGGAAGTTGTGTTAACCTAATTTTAACATTATTGGTGGCTTGCGTGGCTTGGTTTTTCAGAATTGTCCTAACTTCCTTTCCTTTCATGCTAATTAAGCAGTTTCCCCCTGTATTTTTAATGTTAATATTTTCACTGTTGGTTGAAGGCTGGTGGTTCTCATCCAGTGTCCTTTTTGGAACCTTAATATGTAATGTTTGAGAATAGTAACAAGAAAGACCAAAATACCACAAATTGTGTGTATATATTCGTCTTCTTATACTTTTGTTTCTGTTTGTTTCAAGGTGTAAAAAGATGGTTCCAGCTTCAAAGAGGTTCACTATCCATAGATCCTCTAATGTTCTTACACTTTCTCTGAAACGTTTTGCAAATTTTACCGGTGGAAAAATTGCTAAGGTATGTGGATGATGTCATTAATCATGTTTTATGTCGAGCCTTTCGAAGCTTAACGTGTCTGTAGCTATTAAGGATTAAGGACTCGACTTTCTCATGACAAAATTGCTAACTATTACCTACATTTGGGCTTCATTGTCTGTTTTGTTGGTACCCGTGGTTGTGAGGGGATACAGGGAGAGCCTGTATAATCTGAAATCCAAAGAGGACTTCCTGCTAGACTTTGCCAGTTTTCACCAAAGTTCATTTTGTCTTGTTTGTTTGTTTTCTGATTGGTAGTACACTGAATTTTCCCATTTTCTTCCCACTTTCTGAAGATTGAAAGTGGTCAAAAACTAAATAGCATGCAAGAGAAATAAACGATCCATTCCTGAATTATTAAAATTAAATAATCGGCCGAGTGTGGTGGCTCACGCCCGTAATCCCAGCACTTTAGAAGGCCTAGTTGGGCATATCACTTCAAGCCGGGAGTTTGAGACCACTCTGGCGAACGTGGCAAAGCCCTGTTTCTACTAAAAATACTAAAATTAGCTGGGTGTGGTGGCAGGCACTTGTAATCCTAGCTACTCGGGAGGCTGAGGCAGGAGAATCGCTTGAACCTAGGAGGCAGAGGTTGCAGTGAGCCGAGATTGTGCCACTGCACTCCAGCCTGGGCAACAGAGTCAGATTCTGTCTCAAAAAAAAAAAAATTATGTTCAGAGTTGTCATTTTGTTAGTCTGTCCTTTGATGGGTTTGAAGAATTCACTTAATATAGATCCTGACTTGTTAAAAGAAAATAATAAATGCAGCAGGATGGCCTTAAATACACTTAGATTCCGCTATCCTCCCGGTTAACCATGCCCTTTGAAAGGTGGCTAGGCCAGGTGCAGTGGCTCATGCCTATAATTCTAGCACTTTGGGAGGCCAAGCTGGGTGGATCACGAGGTCAGGCGTTCAAGACCAGCCTAGCCAAGATGGTGAAACCCCTGTCTCTACTAAAAATACAAAAATTAGCTGGGCGTGGTGGCGCACCTGTAATCCCGGCTACTCGGGAGGCTGAGGCAGGACAATCACTTGAACCCGGGAGGCGGAGCTTCCAGTGAGCTGAGATCGTGTCACTGCACTCCAGCCTGGGTGATAGAGTGGCACGCCATCTCAAAAAAAAAAAAAAGATGGCTAAATGCACTAGGTTTTTTAAATGCATTAGGTTTTTGCTAGAATATCACAGGGCTCAGGTGTTCTGTGGGTCTCCCCTCCTAGGAAGCTCTAAGTACCCTCTACCTGAATATGTGGAATGATCTGTGCCCTCGGAAATGTTTCTCCTGTTTCCATTTCCTTCTAGGATGTGAAATACCCTGAGTATCTTGATATTCGGCCATATATGTCTCAACCCAACGGAGAGCCAATTGTCTACGTCTTGTATGCAGTGCTGGTCCACACTGGTTTTAATTGCCATGCTGGCCATTACTTCTGCTACATAAAAGTAAGCTGTGCAGATTTGCTATTAACTATTGTTACATACATGCTATAAGACAGCAGTAGCATTCTTGGGGTAGGGAGAGGTGGAACTTTTACAGTTAAAATGTGAATACCCGAGGTAAAAATATTTCTCTTGGCCGGGCGCAGTGGCTTACTCCTGTAATCCCTACACTTTGGGAGACTGAGGCTGGGGGATCACTTGAGGTCAGGAGTTCAAGACCAACCTGGCCAACAGGGTGAAACCCCGCCTCTATTAAAAATACAAAAATTATCTGCGTGTGGTGGCACCTGCCAGTAATCCCAGCAGCTCCGGAGGCTGAGGCAGGAGAATCGCTTGAACCCAGGAGGTGGAGATTGCAAGATCACGCCACTGCACTCCAGCCTGGGTGACAGAGTGAGACTCCATCTCAAAAAAAAAGAAAGAAATATTTCTCTTGACTATGTTCCATGTTTAATTAAATCTAATCTCTCTCTTTTATTGGCTCTCATTTATAGGCTAGCAATGGCCTCTGGTATCAAATGAATGACTCCATTGTATCTACCAGTGATATTAGATCGGTACTCAGCCAACAAGCCTATGTGCTCTTTTATATCAGGTATTGTCATGAAAACAAATTGCCAGATTTTCTGGTATGTCATTTCTTCTTGTCTTATCAACATGTTTGAATTCAATATTCAGTGTTTTAAAAAAAAAAAAAAACCCAGCAGCTTAAAGATCAACTCTAGCCTGGGCATGGTGCCTCACGCCTATAATCCTAGCACTTTGGGCGGCCAAGATGGAAGGATCACTTGAGCCCAGGAGTTCGAGACCGACCAGCCTGGGCAACATAGTGAGACCACATGTCTACAAAATACGAAAAAATTAGCCAGGTGTGGTGTTGTGGGCCTGTGGTCTTATCTGCTCCGAAAGTTGAGGTGGGAGGATTACCTGAGCCTGGGGAGGCCGAGGCTGCAGTAAGCCATGATTGAGCCACTGCATTCCAGCCTGAGTGACAGAGCAAGACTGTCTCAAAAAAAAACCAAAAACCATCAACTCTGCCATGTGCCTGGAGAGTAAGAAAGGTAGTGTCTGAGCGGGATGATGAGTTTGCTCCGCATCGCACTCTGTGGCCATGAGCACTGAAGGTGCAGCTGCAGGGAGAGGTGGTGGCTGACAAGGGTGGGCTTCTGCTGCGGGCAGTAATGGAGTGGGCCAGGAGCCACAGGACAATGAGTGGAGACCTCAGGAAGGGACCTCTGAGCACCTGGCGTGGTCACAGCCAGCACCTCCCAACCTGGAGCACAGGTCAGTTGCCTTCCAGGCCAAGGCCAGCACCCGCACCCAGCTCTGTCCTGTTGTGGCTGCATACGCTTTTCACTCACTCACTCGCTCCATTTTTGGAAAAAATGTTTGATAGCTGAAAATCAAGAATATTCTCAAATGTCCAACTGGCAGAATGCTCATGTCTGCACATTGAAATATTAAACACTGGCATTGGATTTCGGCAGTTGGGCTGAAGCACAGATGATGATCAGAGGAGGCCTCAGGCCAAGTTGAGGGGTAGGATTTTGTTTCTAACTTTTTTGGACACTAGATTTTCCACAGTGGCATATATTTATAATTAGAAAAATATAAGCCTGGGCAACAAAGCGAGACCCCATTTCTACAGAAAATAAAAAAATGAGCCAGGCGTGGTGGTGCATGTCTGTGGTCCCAGCTACTCAGGAGGCTGAGGCAGGAGGGCAAGGCCACAGTGAGCAATGGCTGTTCCTCTGCAGTCCAGCCTGGGCGACGCAGCAAGACCCTGTCTCAAAAAAAGGAAAATATAAATAAACAGAAAAGAAATACCTTTCAGATGAAACAGCATCTTCAGAAAACACAGTTTAAAGAACGTCATTTACCCAGTTATCCTTGTTGTCTCCTGATCTGAGTGCCTGACATTAGCCTGAAGGAGGGGATGTGTATAGCTCCATACTGTGTAGCATAAACATGCTATTTTTTTCATCAGGTTTCCGCCTGAGGGGTTAAATGCTGTTGACTTTGTAAATGAATCTCTCCTAAGGAGGTGTCCTGTGTCACCCTAAGTATCGCTCTCCTTGTTTCCAGGTCCCATGATGTGAAAAATGGAGGTGAACTTACTCATCCCACCCATAGCCCCGGCCAGTCCTCTCCCCGCCCCGTCATCAGTCAGCGGGTTGTCACCAACAAACAGGCTGCGCCAGGCTTTATCGGACCACAGCTTCCCTCTCACATGATAAAGGTAACAGTCCTTAGGGAGAAGAACATTTTTATGTTAATTTTTAAAATGTAACTTCAAACTCTCAAGTTGAATTGTAGTGGTTGCTGTGTCCTCAAATACATCTGAATTTCTTCTCACAGTTTAATCAAACCCTCTTACACAGTATTTCAAATATACAGAAAACGGCCGAGCGCAGTGGCTCAAGCTTGTAATCCCAGCACTTTGGGAGGCCGAGACAGGTGGATCATTTGAGCTCAGTTGTTTGAGACCACCCTGGGTACCAGGGTGAAACCCCGTCTCCACAAAAAATACAAGTATCAGCCGGGTATGGTGGTGTGTGCTGTGGTCCCAGCTGCTCAGGAGGCTGAGGCAGGAGGATCACTTGAGCCCAGGAGGCAGAGGTTGCAGTGAGCTGAGATTGCACCACTGCACTCCAGCCTGGGCAACAGAGTGAGACCCCGTCTCCAAAATAACCCCCCAAAAAAACAAAAACCCCAAAATATACAGCAAACCTCACCAATGGGGAGGAAAGAGGAAAGCCTGGGTGTCAGCACCTTTAAATTTTAGGTCCCCTCTGGACTTCCATTCTTCTCAAAGGGTTAAACACTTGGAGATTCTTTAATTCCTGTCGGATTGCAGGAAAGCGATCTGTTTACAAGAACACGTTTGTTAGGTCCATTTAGTCGTTTCAGGGGTGTGGTGTTTCTGTCTGCTCTCCCCCTGGGTTTGATTTTACTCCCTGTTGGTCCTGTCGGGGCGAACAGTAGTGAGCTAGTGTCACAAGGAACACAGGATTCTAGAGTGGGGGCCTCATCTGAGCTGTGGCATCTTCACAGCTTTTCGACTTGAGTTTGTTTTGGATGATCACACACACGGTCTAGCTGCATGCTTTATTTTATGGACATCAGGCAGTATATTTGAGGTATAACAGAGTCACACATCAAATGCCCAGCGGGCTCCCCTTTTGGGCTCTGCTCCAGAGTGACATCAGGACTCTGGCAAACAGGAGGGCATGTGCCCTGTAGGAAGGGGTGGTTGGCATTGCTTTTCCAAAGCCTGTTTTTGTTTTTACCATGAAGCTTTCCAGTGTTAGGATGGCAGCTAATTCAGGTATGTGAGGAGACGCTGGGAAGGCCACACGTGATCTGTTAACTGACTTTCACGCCTGCGCCTCCACGGGGGTGCAGCAGCCATGGGGGAACCTGCAGCGAGTCTCACTGCGTGAGGAGAATGTGGAGACGTTGTGGGGCAGTGGTGGGGTCATGGCTGAGTGAGTGGCGGCTGAAGCAGCCCCTACTCTCCGCCCACGTGACCGTCTCCTTTGCTCCGAGGCGAGGGTGATTCCTCCTTCCTGGCACTCTGCATCAGCGAGCTCCCAGGAAACCCAACCAGGTAGCAAGTGTGTGACTCCATGCCACAGGTCCTGCTGATTTCGATCAGATCTGGGACAGAACGAGTTTGGTCGGAGGATTGTTTTCTGTGAAACATGTATGTCCTGTTTGTTGATTTATTGCCAGAAAACTAGGGCCTGTGGAAAGTATGCGCGGGTAGGAGGGATTGAGAAAAACAGAGAACATTTCCAGGTGTATGAAACTTGTTAGTCCTGAAAAAAAAAAAAAGCAAAATGGGAAGGACCCATCAGCCAAAATGGGTTCTGTTTGTGTGACCATGTTTCTGGAGCTCTGACCAGGTGCGCTCTGCTTACTTCCAGAATCCACCTCACTTAAATGGGACTGGACCATTGAAAGACACGCCAAGCAGTTCCATGTCGAGTCCTAACGGGAATTCCAGTGTCAACAGGGCTAGTCCTGTTAATGCTTCAGCTTCTGTCCAAAACTGGTCAGTTAATAGGTCCTCAGTGATCCCAGAACATCCTAAGAAACAAAAAATTACAATCAGTATTCACAACAAGTTGCCTGTTCGCCAGTGTCAGTCTCAACCTAACCTTCATAGTAATTCTTTGGAGAACCCTACCAAGCCCGTTCCCTCTTCTACCATTACCAATTCTGCAGTACAGTCTACCTCGAACGCATCTACGATGTCAGTTTCTAGTAAAGTAACAAAACCGATCCCCCGCAGTGAATCCTGCTCCCAGCCCGTGATGAATGGCAAATCCAAGCTGAACTCCAGCGTGCTGGTGCCCTATGGCGCCGAGTCCTCTGAGGACTCTGACGAGGAGTCAAAGGGGCTGGGCAAGGAGAATGGGATTGGTACGATTGTGAGCTCCCACTCTCCCGGCCAAGATGCCGAAGATGAGGAGGCCACTCCGCACGAGCTTCAAGAACCCATGACCCTAAACGGTGCTAATAGTGCAGACAGCGACAGTGACCCGAAAGAAAACGGCCTAGCGCCTGATGGTGCCAGCTGCCAAGGCCAGCCTGCCCTGCACTCAGAAAATCCCTTTGCTAAGGCAAACGGTCTTCCTGGAAAGGTGAGTGCACGTCAGGGTCTTCAGCCTCGTTTGTGGCGGTTCCCTTGGCTGGATTTCAGGAGGCATGGAGCTGGCGACTGAAGCTGAAATATTTTTGTTTTTATTGCAGTTGATGCCTGCTCCTTTGCTGTCTCTCCCAGAAGACAAAATCTTAGAGACCTTCAGGCTTAGCAACAAACTGAAAGGCTCGACGGATGAAATGAGGTAACGTAAGAGTACATCTGAGGCACGTGTGGCAGCATAGTAGGAAATCCAGTAGCCTCCAGATGTGTCAGTATTTGAATGCTGTAGAAATTTTATAATGAACATTTTGAATCCTAGAATGATTTGAATTATAATGTATAGGATTTATTAACTTGCCTTTTAGAAGAGTAAAGAAAAAATGTGGCATACAGGACTGAGTCCACGGAAACTTGATGTACTCACCATGCTATTTCTCCTCCTGCGTGGCCACCTCTCTCTGGTTAGCGGTGTTACTGGCACGCCTTCAAGTGCCATCTCATTTCATCTTTCTCATGAGAAATGATGATGTGAGGGTGTGCTGAGGGTCTAGGCCAGGGCTCTCAGTCCTGTGAAGAAGCACATACAGACATCCGTCCGTCCACAACAGGGATGCCTTCTGAGAAATGCATCGTTTGGGGATGTGGTTGTCATGCCAGCACCACAGTGTGTCACACAGACCTAGATGGTGTGTCCTGCGGCTCCTAGGCCACAAACCTGCACAGCCTGTGACTGCACTGGATCCCGTAGGCAGCTGTAATACAGTGGTATTTGTGTATCTAAACATAGAAAAGGGACAGTAAAAATATGGTATAAGAGGAAAACTGGCACACCTGCACAGGGCACTTACCATGAATGGAGCTGGCAGGACTGGAGGGTGCTCTGGGTGAGCCAGTGAGTGAGTGCTGAGTGAATGTGGAGGCCTGGGACGGTACACTACTGTAGACTCTGGAAACACTGCACACTTCAGCCGCACTCAATTTGTTAAAAAAATTGATTTCTTCAATAGTAAACACACCTTAGCTTACTGTAACTTTTTTACTTTATAGACTTTTAATTTTAAACTGTTTGACTCTTTTGTAATAACACTTAGCTTAAAACACAAACATACAGCTGTACAAAAATAACTTCTTTTTTTGTTTGTTTTTTTGTTTGAGACGGAGTCTCGCTGTGTCACCAGGCTGGAGTACAGTGGTGCGATCTCAGCTCACTGCAGCCTCCGCCTCCCAAGTTCAAGCAATTCTCCTGACTCAGCCTCCTGAGTAGCTGGGACTACAGGCATGCGCCACCCCACCCAGCTAATTTTTTTTTTGTATTTTTAGTAGAGACAGGGTTTTACCATGTTGGTCAGGCTGGTCTCAAACTCCTGACCTCAACTCATCCACCCGCTGTGGCCTCCCAAAGGGCTGGGATTCCAGACGTGAGCCACCGTGCCCGGCCAGCAGAGTCGTTTATTGCCATTGTCATGTATTATGTACTAATCGTATGTGCTAGACTTCCATGGGACTGGCAGTGCAGTGGGTTTGTTTACACCAGCATCACCACACTCACGAGGCACGCGTTGCCCTTGGACTGTTACAGTGACGGGAGTTTTCAGCTATGTTGTGATCTTATGGACCGCCATCATATGTGGTCTGTTGTTGACCGTATGTATGAGGTACATGACTGTACTTTGTAAAGGCCCTTCAAGGATTCTGAAATTATAGATAATAAAACCTGCCCCACAATTTAAAAAAAAAATCATGTCATGTTAGTGAAGAATGTGAATGTAACGTTGGTCAGGAGTGAGAGGAAGGGAATTTGTCATGCAGCGTCAGTGGCTTCACCTCGCAAAGCAGCAGCAGGACGGCCCCGTGGCGAGAGGCTGTGCAGGCGGTGCTTGCATCTCTGCACAGGTTGGCTGTGAGTGACAGCTCAGAGTGCGGCCGGATGTCACCATACTCGGTGCCAGGCGCGGGTTCATCATCAGGAAGTCGTGTTCTCATGGCGAACAACTTCTGGTGAAGTTCTGATCAAATCACAGCATGAGCGACTCTAGATTTATATACTGGGTGCCTTCCTGGAAACGTCAGTGTCAGTGAAAACCGTGCCAGTGACACACCCGTAGTTTTTACCCGCACGGTTGTTGGCACTCACCTGTGGGGGTGCTGTTCATGCTGGCGGGGCTCCCATCACTGTGGCAACCCCAGAATGGCCCCCGGCGGGTGGGAGTGCCCTCACTGAGGCCCTCTGTTAGGAGGGCGTAGATATTAAACCGGAATGGGGCGAACCCTGTGGGCAGGGAACACTCATTCCCAACCTAAGGATAGGCCAGCTTGGACACTCGCTCCCTCGGCCAGGGGACTCTGGCCTCACCTAGGCCAGGTAGCGTGAGGGTGAGGTAGGTGGCTGTGCAGACAAGCCCAGGCCACAGCAGCTTTCATTATTAACCCCGAGGATATATCGAAAGCTCTGCGGGAATCAAAGGACAAAGTTAATTTACTACAGAACGTTTTGCTAAAGCCTCTGATTCCTCATAATTTGTCAGTAATTGGAGGAGCTGCTGGCTGTGTTTGGAGGTGGCCCCTCTACCTTTGAGGGTCCAAGAGAAATCAGAGAAAGGGAGTCGAGAGGAAAGGAGGAGGCCCTGTCATCACTGGACTTTTTTTCTTTAGTCTTAGTTATTAGGAAGAACTAGAGGAATTGCGGCCAGGCGCGGTGGCTCACGCCTGTAATCCCAGCACTTTGGGAGGCTGAGGCGGGCGGATCACCTGAGGTCAGGAGTTCGAGACCAGCTTGGCCAAGGTATAGTGAAACCCCATCTCTACTAAAAACACAAATATCAGCTGGGCATGGTGGTGGGCACCTGTAATCCCAGCTACCCGGGAAGCTGGGTCAGGAGAATCGCTTGCACCCAGGAGATGGAGGTTGCAGGGAGCTGAGATCACACCACTGCGCTCCAGCCTGGGCAACAGAGTGGGACTCTGTCCTTCAAAAAAACAAAACAAAATGAAACAAAACAAAAAAAAAAAATAGAGGAATTGGAAGAACTAGAGGGATATCCAGAAACAGGAAGAGCCTAGAACTCTAGGATTATTGTTTTGAAAAATAGGCTAGGAGCTGGGCTTGATGATATAACATTTTATTTTTATTTAATAAGGGAAAGAGAAAATTGGGAGTTTCCAGAGATAGTAGTACTAGCCTAATATTGGGCTTCGGCGAGATGTATTTAAAGAGACGAAATAGCTGCTAAATGACGAGTTAATGGGTGCAGCACACCAGCATGGCACACGTATACATATGTAACTAACCTGCACATTGTGCACATGTAGCCTGAAACTTAAAGTATAATAATAATAAAATAAAGAGACGAAATAGCAAATGAACGTTTTGAAGTATTTGTCCTTGTAATGCAATGACATGAGCCTGTCAAGCCCACGCTAACGGGCGTGTTTGTTTGTTTGGGGGCTGCAGTGCACCTGGAGCAGAGAGGGGCCCTCCCGAGGACCGCGACGCCGAGCCTCAGCCTGGCAGCCCCGCCGCCGAATCCCTGGAGGAGCCAGATGCGGCCGCCGGCCTCAGCAGCACCAAGAAGGCTCCGCCGCCCCGCGATCCCGGCACCCCCGCTACCAAAGAAGGCGCCTGGGAGGCCATGGCCGTCGCCCCCGAGGAGCCTCCGCCCAGCGCCGGCGAGGACATCGTGGGGGACACAGCACCCCCTGACCTGTGTGATCCCGGGAGCTTAACAGGCGATGCGAGCCCGTTGTCCCAGGACGCAAAGGGGATGATCGCGGAGGGCCCGCGGGACTCGGCGTTGGCGGAAGCCCCGGAAGGGTTGAGTCCGGCTCCGCCTGCGCGGTCGGAGGAGCCCTGCGAGCAGCCACTCCTTGTTCACCCCAGCGGGGACCACGCCCGGGACGCTCAGGACCCATCCCAGAGCTTGGGCGCACCCGAGGCCGCAGAGCGGCCGCCAGCTCCTGTGCTGGACATGGCCCCGGCCGGTCACCCGGAAGGGGACGCTGAGCCTAGCCCCGGCGAGAGGGTCGAGGACGCCGCGGCGCCGAAAGCCCCAGGCCCTTCCCCAGCGAAGGAGAAAATCGGCAGCCTCAGAAAGGTGGACCGAGGCCACTACCGCAGCCGGAGAGAGCGCTCGTCCAGCGGGGAGCCCGCCAGAGAGAGCAGGAGCAAGACTGAGGGCCACCGTCACCGGCGGCGCCGCACCTGCCCCCGGGAGCGCGACCGCCAGGACCGCCACGCCCCGGAGCACCACCCCGGCCACGGCGACAGGCTCAGCCCTGGCGAGCGCCGCTCTCTGGGCAGGTGCAGTCACCACCACTCCCGACACCGGAGCGGGGTGGAGCTGGACTGGGTCAGACACCACTACACCGAGGGCGAGCGTGGCTGGGGCCGGGAGAAGTTCTACCCCGACAGGCCGCGCTGGGACAGGTGCCGGTACTACCATGACAGGTACGCCCTGTACGCTGCCCGGGACTGGAAGCCCTTCCACGGCGGCCGCGAGCACGAGCGGGCCGGGCTGCACGAGCGGCCGCACAAGGACCACAACCGGGGCCGTAGGGGCTGCGAGCCGGCCCGGGAGAGGGAGCGGCACCGCCCCAGCAGCCCCCGCGCAGGCGCGCCCCACGCCCTCGCCCCGCACCCCGACCGCTTCTCCCACGACAGAACTGCACTTGTAGCCGGAGACAACTGTAACCTCTCTGATCGGTTTCACGAACACGAAAATGGAAAGTCCCGGAAACGGAGACACGACAGTGTGGAGAACAGTGACAGTCATGTTGAAAAGAAAGCCCGGAGGAGCGAACAGAAGGATCCTCTAGAAGAGCCTAAAGCAAAGAAGCACAAAAAATCAAAGAAGAAAAAGAAATCCAAAGACAAACACCGAGACCGCGACTCCAGGTGAGCCTGGGGCCTTGTGCTCCCCGAGGCGCTGGCGCTGCTGTCAGCAGTGGGGCCTGTCCCTTCTCACTCGACTCAGGAACAAGTGACCAGCCAGGCCACAGTTGTATCCGTCTGATTTGTGTCTTTCATTTCTGTGGGTTTTGAGAGTTCACTATTTTTACAGATTTGTAAAAATTTGCCCTGCTTTGAAGCTGTATCTTTATTCTTCATGGTGTCGTTAAATGCCTAACAACCTTCTTTTTCAAAATGATAGTGCCATTTTTGGTGAATGCTTTATAACTCTTCCAGGAGTAAGCATGCAGTGTTCCATCAATGAACAATTGGGAGTCTTTGACCTTAGAATTGGTGTTAATATTCTTACTTGTCAGATGTAGTTATGTTTTCATATCTGTTATATTTTCCTGAAATTCAGTGGCTGTGAGGGAGGCAGACAACAGGAGGCACACTTTTCCTGTGCCTGCCCGCCTGCCCAGCGTAGGCATCGGAGACACCTTCGTTTCCTCGGCCTTTGTTTTTGTCTCCATTTTTCAACTTGAAATCCAATTGGGAAATTTGCTTCTGTATTTTTTAAGAGACAGGGTGTTGCTCTGTCACCCAGGCTGGAGTGCAGTGATGCCATCATAACTCACTGCAGCCTTGACCTCCTGGGCTCAAATGATATTTCTGCTTCAGCCCTCAGCCTCTGGAGTAGCCGGGACTGCAGGCGTGTGCTACCATCCTCAGCTAATTTTTTATTTTTGTAAAGACAGGATCTCACTATGCCGCGCACGCTGTTCTCAAACCCCTAGACTCAAGCGATCCCAAAGCACTGGGATCACAGGCATGAGCCACCTCACCTGGCCTGTTTTTGTATTTTTAAAAAGCTAAATTGGTTGGTGATTGTCTTGAAAATGACGTATCCATGATGAGATGGATGAGCAGGAGCAGAATTAGTAATTTTAGTTGACATCTCTTGAAACTGAAACCCTGGGAAAGATTACCAAAAGCCATATGGAAAATAGGCAGTGGTTATTGGAGGGAAAAATAATATTGCTGCCAGGTGTCTCAGGCACATGGGAGGGAAGGAGGCTTAGTATTTCCTTTCCCTTCAAGTAACTACTGGTTTCGGGAAAAGTTAGCAGAATCCTCCCTGCAGTGTTTGTCCAACAGCCTTAGTTCCTGAGAAAGCTGAAGCAGAGATGGGACTGTTCAGGATGGAGCTAAAGTTGGTGAATTTATGGCCCTGGACTGAAACAGTCATTACAGTGAAGGCAAACTTGTTAAATTTTTGAGACAGGGTCTTGCTCTGTTGCCCAGGCTGGAGTGCGGTGTTGCAGTCGTAGCTCACTGCAGCCTCAATCTCCTGGGCTCAAGTGATCCTCCTGCTTCAGCCTCCCGAGTAGCTGGGACTACAGGTGTGCGCCACCATACCTGGCCTACGTGGCTAATTAGATAAGAATTGTGCGTGTCTGCACAGTGAATGTTCTCGGTGAATGGGTGGAAAGGCCAAGCTCCAGGGTCTGCTGCTGGTGGTTTTGTGTTTTAGGGTTTTGAATTCTGGCTTTTCCTTCTGCAGGCATCAGCAGGACTCAGACCTCTCAGCAGCGTGCTCTGACGCTGACCTCCACAGACACAAAAAAAAGAAGAAGAAAAAGAAGAGACATTCAAGAAAATCAGAGGACTTTGTTAAAGATTCAGAACTGCACTTACCCAGGGTCACCAGCTTGGAGACTGTCGCCCAGTTCCGGAGAGCCCAGGGTGGCTTTCCTCTCTCTGGTGGCCCGCCTCTGGAAGGCGTCGGACCTTTCCGTGAGAAAACGAAACACTTACGGATGGAAAGCAGGGATGACAGGTGTCGTCTCTTTGAGTATGGCCAGGGTAAGAGGAGATACTTGGAATTAGGAAGATAGAAACTATTTCTTAATACATTTTCTTTGCAAAGGTGATTAACATGTAGAAAGAAAACCTCAGGTGGCATCAAAGGGCACAGTTACTCAGAGCACCCCTGCCCTGCCTGGTCTGGCCTCAGTGCTCATCCCTGCAGTGTGGTTCCGTTGCACAGTTAAGCCCTTAGCGTTTATTGAAGGCCTAAGTGACACAGGACTGAGGGCAGCACTACCTGTGTCACCAAAGCCCTGGAACGTACAGCTCTAGGCATCTGACTTTGCCTTGCAAAGGACCAGAACTCTTGGTTTGGTTTGGTTTTATTTTATTTTATTTTATTTATTTTATTTTTTGAGACGGAGTCTTGCTCTATTGCCCAGGCTGGAGTGCAGTGGCGGCGATCTCAGCTCACTGCAACCTCTGCCTCCCAGGTTCATGCTGTTCTCCTGCCTCAGCCTCCTGAGTAGCCGGGACTACAGGCGCCCGCCACCACGCCCGGCTAAATTTTGTGTTTTTAGTAGAGACGGTGTTTCACCGTGTTAGCCAGGATGGTCTCGAGAACTCTTGGTTTTAAAGCATTTTTGATAGAAATACTTTTGCAGCGTATACGTTACTCTCCCGAATCCTTAAACCTGTAGCATTCTGAGTGCACCCTGATGCTCGGTACTGATTTGCTCGCTTGGTTCCTTAGAAGCGTGGGCACCAGCCTCTGCTTGAGTGACACTGCAGAGGCCTCCATGTGGCAGAGCGCTGGCTGCCCCTGCCAGGTGTCCTGGATTCTCTTCTGCCCTGTGGGGCTGTGTCTCCGTCCTGTGGCCACACGCTGTGCTCTTACTGCACTTGAGGCAGCCCCCCACTTCCTCTCCCGTTGGTGTCCGGTGACCGCTCACCCTCGAGAGGAGCTGTGAGCCTGTTAGAAGCGGATGTCACTCGAGTCAGTGGACCTAGAGCGGAGGCTGGCAAACTGCAGCCCTGGGGCCAACTTCGGCCAGTCACCAGACTTTGTATGAACTTGGAGTTAAGAATGGTTTTAACCTTTTTAAGTGGTTGGAAATAATCCCAAAGAACAATGCGTTTCACATGAAAATGATGTGAAATTCAGACCTCAGTGTCTGTGGCTTGATTGGGGCGCAGCCAGGTGCGTTCCCACGCTGTCTGGCGGCTTCGCTGTCACTGCCTGGCAGAGGTGAGTGGCTGCGGCAGGGCAGGGACCGTGTGGCTCGCAAAGCGGAAAATGTTTATTATTGCCCCTTGACAGAAAGGGTTTGTCACCCCTGCCTGGACGCCCATTGTTTGTGTTCACGTGTGAAGCGCATCCCCTCCTCCCAGGGGCTTTTGACGAATCTTCAGGGCTGCCCTGAGGCCTTTTGCTTCTCGGCTGAGTTGTGGGTTAGGTGGAGCTGTGTGTTCTGGGGAAGGCCTGTCCCTCCCAGCAGCCCAGAGCCAGCATGCATTGTTGATTGAGGGGTAAACGGTCCTTAGAGTGTGTGAGAGAGAGCTGGGGGTTGCGGGGTGAGCCCCATGGGGGACATTTGCCCATGGAGTGCTGGGGAAACAGCCGGAGATGAGGACAGGCACCAGCACTGCCGGTGAGGACGGGTTGCCTGCGGGCCTTGTAGACGTTCTGGACATTTCAGAATTGGTTTTGCGTTCCCATTTCAGCGAATCGGGGAAGGAGATTCGTGAGGGCTGCTTGGTACCCGAGGATCCGAGGATGCAGTGGATGGGCTCATTCTGAGTGTGGTGCAGGCTCCCAGGATCATGGGCTTCCAGCTGGGGCTACTGGGAGACAGTGATGGCCCCCGAGGCAGCTGGTCCAGCGGGAGGGAGGTTGAACGTGATCTTGTTTGCCTCGTGTCTCGGGTGCTGTGGTCAGGCGTTGTCTGTGTGGTGGCCCTGTGTTTCCGTCCCCGTCCCACTGCACCGATGACAGGGTTTGCAGCTGGCGCTTCTGCTGCGAGCAGACTGAGGAGCCTTTCTTGTCCTTCTGAGAAGGCCGCTGCCCGGCCCCGCCTCACCCAGCGTCCTGTGGTCCTGCGGGTCCCCCTCTACCCTGGACTTCGGCCCCTTGTCTTTCTCTTTCAAACTCCTCCTCTGGCTCTGTTCCGCCCAGTTCAGTTCTTGGGCCTGATATCTGTTCTAACATCAGGCTGCGTGTGGGTTGGATGGAGCCCTCAGTCATCACGTAAACCCTTTGACATCAGTAAAACCCTGGGAGCAGCCGCTGAGCGCTGGGACATCCCTGCTCACCTCACTGGGGAGTGGCCTCAGGCGCTCACAGGGAACCGCAGTGACTCTGACCATAGCCACTTAACGCACACACACAGCAGAGGCCCTGGCGATTTTGCAACCATCATTAAAATCTCTTTCCTGACCTTTGCTTTCTAGGTGATTGAAAACTCAGCCTCAAAACAAAAAATTCACTAGTTATGGTAAGCTGTTTTCCTGTCTGTTTCCTCATTGTTTGTGGTGGCGCTGAGGGGACGCAGGCAGAGGAGTTTTAATTCTGCGGCTCTGCCTGGGGGCTGGGCTCATAGGAGTTGGCAGAGCCATGGAGAGGCCCCGGCAGGTTCCCAGCCAGCCCAGACCCAGGCCACGCGCTTGGGGACAGACCTAGACCCTCCACCTCATCACGTTTGCATTACTGGCTGGGGAAGACCCGCATCCTTCACGCAGGCAGAGTCGCCCTGTTCCCTTGTGCCTCACTTGGGAAAAGCCAACCCGGCTCACAGCGGCAGAGCCCACGGGCCTTTGATAAACATCTGGGAAGGGAGAGGCCCGGTCCCCAGCACAGGCACCTCACTCAGGAGAGCGGAGCCTTGCTCCCTCGTCCGTCCCGTCCCCTGTGCTGCTGTCTGCGCCCCGAGGTGGCACTGAGCTGGAGCCAGCACCCCCCCAGCAGCCACCGTACAAAACCATAGGAAGGTGGCCCAGGGCCGGGCGGCAGATCAGGACCTCGGAGCTGTGGGGCTTTGTTGGATCACTTCACACAGCGGTCCTGGGAGAGTCACTGGTTTTATACCTGACCCTTGTGGAGCTAGAGGGGACAGTGAACCATTTTTCCCTTGAAAGGAAACTTTGTCCAAATGTGTCTGTCACATGTAGTCAGCAAGAGGAATTTAAAATGAATTGCCAAGTGAAGAGTCTGTGGATTAATTGGCCGTTAATTAACAGGCTTTATCAATGTGTCCTCAAGGGAGAGGCCCAACCCTAATTAAGGAGCTAAACTTCCTGAGTGAGGGGCTGTGAGGATGGAGGTGGAGGAGGCATCTGGGGCGGGTGGTGGCCGGGCCCAGCAGATGGCGCCTCCCTGGCTGAGCTGCCCGCACCGCCAGTTCCCTCATTTCCACTCAGGAAGGCAGAGAAGGCAGAGTGATCTCCTCAAGGAAGAGCTTCCCCAGCCTTCGGGAGCAGCTGGCAGGGCGTCCGGGAATAAGCCCTACACGCCGCCGCCTGCCTCCAACTCACTAACCCTGCGCCTCTTGTCTTTCAGATTCAACGCGTTCAACAGAAGCCATCCCCAGCCCAGCTTAAATTATAAAGATAGACAATAACTCTGTTCCAATCTGCGTGGTGCTTCTTTAGTAAATACTGTACAGATTTTACCATGGAGAACTTTTTTTTTAGTTTTTACCTTTTCTTAATTACCCTTATTCCGAATGGACGAACACTTTCTACCACTGCTGACCATTGTAAAATACCGTGTATATAAATCCCATTGAAATAATGCCCTGGAATAGAACATCTCAAATGCTGCTTAATTACAGACTCAGGTCGATTACTTGTATTTCATGTAATGTTCCTCCAAGTTAGACATCTGGTGCAAGACCAACCGGGAGACCATGGAATTGTCAAAAGTACAAACTGACAGTGTGTATATTTAATTTAAAGACTTATTTAAAAACTCACAAGCTCTCACCTAGACTTTGGAGAGCAGTCTGTTTTCTGTAATGTCTGATACTAGAAACTAATTTGCTTATTTTAGTTGTATTCAAGATTTGAAGATGTATTTTATAGACAAGTTCTGTTTTTGAACTTTGTGGAACTGTTCCAATCAATCAATTTCCCAGTTATGATGAGTATTTACATTATGAATGTATAACCCAGACATGATTTGTAAAGCCGACAGTATGTTTCTATTACACAACACTTTTTGATACAGCGTCTCTTGTCTTCACTGATACTGGAGTCTCCGTTGTCTGCTTGGTCCCTTCGAGTTTCTAGTTACAGACACAATCATACTGTGATTTTATTTTTAATATGGATATGCTATCAAACTGTGATACACTTATAATTCACTGGTCCTGCATCAGGAGATGGAGTGGGGAAAACTGTATTTAATACAGTTTGTATCTGAATAATCTGTATGGTTTATACAGTTTGTGTTGTTCAGAGATGTTTAAAGTTTGATCTTTGTTTTTCTAAAGATTAAAAAAGCACTTGCCCCACTGTAAATATACAGCATGTAAAATTTCTATAGTATATAAATGGCAGCAAATCACACACTTGGCGTCTTTTTACTGTTGTTTTCCCCATTTGCTTCCAGACTCCTTCCTGTCATCATCTGAATTCACTTTCTTAAAACCTTCAAGTAAGTGCTCCTGCCGAAGTCGGCACCTTCGGCCAGGCCATCCCACCTCGGACGGGCAAAGGAAAATTGGAGGGGTGTTTGCTGGACCCAACAATATCTGTTTTAAAGAACCAAGTCTTAGGCTTGTTTTAACAATACATGTGATTTTTATTTAGTGAACACAGTATCTGCAAGAGCTCTGACAGCCATCCACCCTCCAATCTTACTTCACTTTACAACCAAGTATCAATAGAGGCTGTTCCTTCATGCGAGCTGTGGGAGTATATACATCATTGAATAACAGACACTCCAGAAATCAACAGATGTACATTATTTACATATTACTATATTTACCGCAAATAGAAATATTTTCTAAGAAAAAAAGTCAATTTGTGGTTTCTGGTCTACCACAGACCTAACTTCTCAGCAAAGCATATCTATGTAGATATCTGCGTTTGTAACTTTAAAAATAGGCATTGCTTTCTATGAAGCACTAAGTGCTGCTCCATCTATAAATAGCTCCTATTTTCAGTTTGGTACCACATTAAACTGCCCCAAAATGTTCTGTGACCCCAAAGACACAAAGTTGCTGCTTATCTGGGTCCAGGGTCAGTACAATTAAACTCAAATATGAACCAGGGCGGCCAGCAAGACAGGCTGGAAGGGCTGTGGCAGTCGCCGCCGCCTCCCCGCGGGGCTCCCCTCACTGCCTCCTGGCCTCTGTCTCTGGAAAAAAGTATCTTTGGCCAGAGTTGGGACTAACAATTCAAGCCCTGCGCTCAGACGTCAGGGTGGGGAGGAGGAGGACTGTGATTGTGACGCGGCCTGCCCAGGGTGAGGGACAAAAAACAGATGTGTCCTGTTTCAGGGCCGTCCTGGTAGCGGCTGGCCCTGCGCAGTCACTGACCCAGAGTTTTCTGGACCAGGCCTGCCTCAAGGATCAGCAGGCATGATGGTCGCACAGCCTTCATGCTAATACTGTCCTAACACAGCCTGGAGCTAGGCGATTTCCTTTGACCACAAAGTACCTGGAGTCTAACTCAGCACCACAGCCTCTGCATGGCTCCCAGGTGCCCACCACCTGGCGAAGCTCATTCACAGATGACAGCAAAGGGGGAGCTTGATCATCTGGCGACTCCTTCCTGCTGCTTCTCCCAACACCCAAAACAGAAAGCTCTGCATCCCCAGGTCACACCTGGGTTGGTCAGAAGAAGGAAACAGCTTGTCCGAGCACAACATGCTGACAGAGCTGGCTGTGGCCAGTCTTGGGTGCCGGGCCAGCCTGAGGGGTGGGCACCGCCGGAGCCGGCCGTCAGTGTGTGGTCTGGGTGGGGGTCCAGGCAGCATTTATTTTCATGGAAGACTGGAGGCCAGAGTTGCATATCTACCAGTCAGGCATTTCAAGAACGCTGACTTGCCTTTCTCAGAACTAAAACTTCCGATTTGAGGTATCAGTAACAAAGCCTAAGAACGTGGGAATGAAAGTCTGATGCAGGACAGGGGTTTCTGGCCTCGGACCCCTCTGCAGTCTAGTGTGACTTAAAGCTACATCAAGGTCAGCCGCAGGGAGGCGAAGGGCCCGCAGCCGCTCGGCCTCCACTTCAAGGCAACTCAAAGAACAGTCTCCGCTGCTGAGAAGGAAACCTAGGTGCACAAAGTCTGAGGTTTTGTCTCTGGACTGGGCATTTTGCACAGGAGTACAGATGCCCTCCAGAGGGTGCAGATTCAAGGTGTGTGTGCCTATGCAGGTGGGGCAGGAAGAGGAAGTCCATAGAGGAAAAGCCAGCCACCAACCCAACAGCCCACTGTGTAACAGGGTCCTGGGGACGCAAATCTCCCGACAGAGAACAGCGTCTGCCACCGGCCCGGGTCGGCCCAAGCACACAATGCCCCCGGTCCAGCCCTGAGCCCTCTCTGTAGGTGGGGCCCAGATCCAGCCTTCCTTGAGCGGAGCACTGGGCACCTCCTATCCTTACATCCACAGCAACCTGACAACCTCCCAGGCGGGCGTGGAGTTTGACCAGTTCCACCACCGGCGTCTATCTGGGTTCTCTACGTGCCGGGCCTCTGCACCCCAGGGCCTGTTCTTCCCTCCTCGTAGGGAGGGCACCTCTCTCAGGACACGGCGCACTACATGGGGTGAGACTGTTTTTAGTTAATTCTGTGTCTATTCATTAAGAAATCTGGTCAAATTAGAAAGTCTGTAAAATAAGCGTTCATTTTGCCACAGGTTTTAAATAGCGATGAATATGGTCAAAAGCCGGTCTAACCTGCTGACCTGTATGAAACGCTGCCATGTGTGTGCATCTAAACAAAACATCAGCAGTTTCACGTGGCTCAGCGTATGGACCATCTGTGTCCAGGGAAAAGGCTGTTTCCTAGGAGTTAGCAGTTACAGCCTAAACACCCCCAAACCATTAACTGTTATAATTTTAATGATTTGCTTAAAGTATTTGTGGGGCCAAAAAGCCTGGTTGAAGGGAGGCCTCATGGGAGTCACCCTGGAGCCCCCAAGTGCCATGGCCGTCCCTCCCCCAGCCCGTCCCGAGCCCACCTGCTGCCCCCCGGGGCTTGTCTGACAGCCTGACAGGGCAGGGCTGCACGCTGCCCCCGTGCCGGTGCCCCCAGCCCTCCCCTTGGGTGCTGTGTAGATGGATATTTTTTCAGTGCACAGTATATACTTGTGTCCAGGAGTTAACTTTATAGCTGCCATTCTAAAAATACTACTGTTAGAAAGTATCTTTTGTTATAATTTCAGAATATAAAAAGGCATATAAAAGCTATAATCCTATATATCTGAGAAAAATTCTGAATAAAAAACTGGTAGCTTTTCCTTTCCTGTTTTGCTATAAAACAGTGGCTTTCTAGAACGGTTAATACTGCCCCGAGTGAATGCGTTTGGCATGGTACGAATGAGGCTCCCGTCTGTGGAATCCGTCCCGTGTCTGCTGTGGAGACAGCGGAAGCTGCTGTCCTGGCTTCTCCCCCTAGGGGCGCCGGGATGGTCGCAGGAAGGAAATGCTTCTGGACATGCGCAGCCGACCATGACCCCAGCCACGGCAGGAGGCCTCGAGGATCAGTCTGGGCCACGGTACGCTCTGGAGCAGCAGCTTGCACTGCAGGGCGACCACCTCCCAGGACCCCAGCCACGGCACGAGGCCTTGGGGATACCACCTGGGCCACGGTATGCTCTGGAGCAGCAGCTTGCACCGCAGGGCGACTGCCTCCCTGCCACGCCTTCCGCGGAGGGGCCGCCCGCGGTGTCTTTCTGCTGGGGTTGGGTCTTTTACCTGGGTCTTTTAGCCAGGAAAGCTATTTTTTATTGGCAATCCTTCGTTTCCTCGTTGCCAACATGTCATAGAAGGGATCTCTGCTGATACTGGCTCTGGTGAAAAAAGGAAAACACACAGGTTAGGTCGTGGGTGACACACAGACCTCCCCTTTCCCACCAGCCCCAGAGGCCCCTCAGACAGGACCGCAGGCTCAGATCTGAACGTCGGCTTTGGCAGCCCGGCCCTCTGGGGTTTCTGGAGACAGAAGGTCCACTCTTGCACACGGAAGCATCCATGTTCCAGACCATCCCCCGCCCTCCAACCGGCACGAGAAGACGGGCCTGGCCCCGCCCCCGAGGCCCCACTCACTTGATGGATTTCATCCACTCCTCCTTCTCCTCCGGGCTCGGGGCTGAGATCCGGTACACCACATGGTTCCCCTCTACCACGCGGCCGTCGGCCTCAGTCTTACAGGCCTTGATGACCTGCCCTTTGTGGCTGGGATTGTAGAGCTCAAAACAGTTCTGGTGGAGAAAGAGAGAGGGGAGGCGGTCAGGGGGGCTTGGGGCAGGTTCCCTGCAGGCAGTGAGGATGGCTCCCAGGTGGCTGGCAGGAGAGAAGGTTCAGGAGGAAGAGCTTACGGGTTTCCGGGGGTCCTCCACCTCCCTGATGCTGAGGTTTTCCAACGGGATGATTCCCCTGGGCTCCTTATCCTACAAGAGGAAAGTACACGGCGGGGCTCACTGTGGGTCACCAGCCTGAGGGTCCCTCGGCCCCAGGGCAGCTCCGGGACTGCTGGGAGGCGGCAAGGAGGCCTGGCCCTTACTTACTGTTGTGTATTCAAAGTAATAGAGGCAGTTATCGGTCAGGATGAACCACCGGCGCTTCCAGGTCTTCACACGCCCTCCTAGAAGCAGAAGGGCCCCGTGAGTCTGCGCTCCGTGCACAGGGAGCCCGCGGGTCCAAGAGGGGGCCCTGGACCTGCACAGACCACTGCGTTTTCAGAAAGGCCACCAGGCGCCAGGCTTGGGTTCAGGTGTCCTTCAGCGTTCCCACCGCAGGGCCCCACATGCACCCACCCCGCCCACACCGGCGCCCCCTCCACGGCACTGATGGGCCCCTTGATGACACAACCGCGCTACAATTCGCTTCCTGGGAGAGTTAGTGGGATGGATGGCGTCATTTTCCCACATGAGATGGCAGTGTGATGAAGTCAGGACTGCGCGCCTGGCTCTGTCCAGGACCTGACCCCACCATGTCAGGTGGTTATCGCATTACAGAGGCCCTTGGGCAGCCCTGGGATCCATCAAAATCAGTCACCCCTGGGCCCAAGGAATCGTGAGACTGAATTAATTTTGTAACAAGATCTGGAGCACACGTGCACACGCACGTACCCCCATCTGTACCTGCCCTCCTCTCCCTAAGGGAAGGAAATCTCTGATCCTTAAACACTGAGCAGAGACAAACTGACTTCAGCTGCTATAGCCTTGCCGGTGTTTGTTTTTTAAATAATTCAAAGAAATACACGCTGGTGACAATGAACTCAAGTGCTCCCTGGGGTACTAGGCCCTCTCTGCCCCATGCCTCTCCAGCGCTGCGGAGCTCACCCGGCTTTCTCTGTGACAGGCCGGCAGGGGAGTAGCCCTCCCTCCCTAAGTGGGGGCCAGCACGGGCGCTGAGGCCTGGAGGCAAGACTGTGTGCGAAGGGCTCTGTGGATGGATCACCAGGACACAGGGGGCTTTCCCTGTTGGGGCCTGGTTTGCAGAGACCCTGGGTGAGGAGGAACCAGCTGCAGGTGGGAGGAAGCCTGGCTCAGCGGAACTGGAGGCCGGAAGCGGGTCTCTGCAGTCCCTCTGGGACCCTCTGGCCCCTGCCTCACTCAGTGCTGCCGTCCTCCTTTGATGCCTAAGGCAGCCTGCAATGCGGTTGCCACCGCCAGCCTGGAACAGGAGCCCAGCCTCCAGCTGTTCCTCCTCTCCCCACAGGCCCCAGTCTCATCAGTGTCCCACCAGCCTACCTGTTAAAGGGTCTGTCTAGACCCTGGTCTGGGCAAATCTGCCCCCAAGCTCTCTGCTGCATCTCCCCAGCCCTCAGACCCTGCCCCCAACATCTCTCCTGAGCCCTGGCGGGGCTTCCACTCCCCGAACCCCTGCAAGCTGCTCCGTCACTGGAACCCTCTGCCCCAACTGTGGCACCGCCTCACTGGTCCCCTTTAAGACCCAGCCAGGCCCACAGCAAGGCCCAAAGTCCTTGTTGCCCTCGTGTCCCTGTCTCACCGCGGGCTCCATGCTCTCTGCAAGCCCTTGGCCTTCACCTTCCCCACCTCCACTGCAGCACACCAGGGAGGCCCAAGTCCACAGGGGAGGGCAGGAGACCCTGGGGGCAACCTGCCTTGTCCCACAGTCCTCCAGTGAGCAGTGAGAGGTGTTCTATGTCCCCGAGACCCTAGGGACAGGAGGACAGTGCTGATTCCTTCCAGGCACTTGCTCCAGCTTGAACTGCTGTGGCAGAATCAGCTGACAGCAACTCCACTACCCTGACATCCGTCACTGTCACGGTCGCCTCTGCTTCCCTCCAGAGACTCCAGAGCAGGCCCCGCTCCAGCTGCACTGGTGCCAGCTGCCATCCCCCAAACAGCGGCCAAAGGCATCTTTTCAAAAACGTGGCAATCATGCCCCTCCGGCTTGAAGCCCCCCAAAGGGTCCCACTGCACTCAGCTTTAAACCCAACTCCTTGGGCGGCAGCAGGGGCTGCCCTTCCTGGCTCCCCAGCTGTGGCCTTTCTCCCTGCCCTGTTATCTGAGTCTCCAGTTCTTGGGGAGCTCATCCAGGAGCCCCCAGGTTGTGTGTTTCTGTCCAGCGCCTGCTCTCTTCCTCCACGCTCCCAGCATGGTGGACAGCAAAGGACCTGTATGTTCCACTAGCCCACACACCTGGCCCCGCCTGGGAGGGGTCTGCCAGGTGGCCTCTCAGCTCCACCTTGGGTCCCCCGCTCACACCTCCCATGCAGAGCCCCATCCCTGTCCAGTCCTCAGGGCCAGGGGGTCGTTGCAGACCAGGACTGCAGGCCCAGGGAAGGGGTGATAAGCTTGGTCTCAGAGCCGAGCAGGCTCTGCTCACACTTGTTTCTGGCCACACCACACAGCATTCTCGCCTGCAGACAAGAGCCTGGCTTCTGGAACCTGCAGATGGGAGCCACTTTCTCTCTGTAAGTTTCTGTCTTCATTGCCGTTAGCAGGCAGGCGCGTACGTGCACACACAGGTCCACATGCACACACTTTCTGTATGGCAGCTCGGATTGGGCCACCTCCTAGGATTTTTTTTTTTTTTTTTTTTCTGGTGATTGATTCAAGACTCGAAGTCTTAAGTTACCAACAATCGTAAGCCACGCCTGTGTACACAGCAGGGCTCCTACGCTCTGGCAAAGCATCCAGGCCTTTTTAAGACCACCTGTTCTAAAAGCAAATCTACAATAAGAATGCAACCAAGCCAGGCCGCACTCCCCGCTGAGCACACGCCTGGAAGCACGTTCTAGATCCTGCACCCATCTCGTCTGCCTCCAGCCAGGGCCCTGGCTCGCCAGCCTTTGGTCTCGAACTTTGTTTCTGAGAACACAGCAGACATACAGGGTGCTGGGAGAGGACAAGGAAGCCAGCCCCTAGAGCAGCAGGTGCTCACCGGGCCGCCCACCACACTGAGGCCACGCCAGCTGGACCAGCCCCTCCAGGGCCCCTGCGCTTGGCACCCGGCGCCCAGCCAGCTCTTGGTTCCCGTGAGCACTGTGTGCACTCATTTCATGGCCTGTTTATCTGCCCAACCAGAAAACAGGTTAGACAACACGAGCTCTGCTGTGCCTTCATTTCATTCACACACTTACGTCTCTAGAGCCGACCTTTCCCTGGTGGCAGGGGTCACATTGGCTGCCAGGCAGGCTGATGGCGTCACTGTCCCTCGAGGGGACACTGGTGGGCAACGCAGGAACCAGAAGGGAGGCATCTAATCAAACGAACATCCCACTTATCCCGGCCCCAGAGTGCCTGCCGGCATTTCCGGTTACATTCCCCCCCACCGGCCCTCACTCTAGAACACTCGCACAATGTGATTTGAATCGGGTCTCTCAGGCACCCGAGCCAAAGACCATGGTACTAGGTTTTCAGGCAAATATCTACAACTCCCCTAAACCTCGGTACAGCCAGAAAAAAGTCAAAGAGCAATGGCCAAGGTCAAAGACCCTAATGGGAATGGCAGACCTGTGGGACTCACACCCTTTCCACCAGCTGAGGAGGCCTGTGCCCGTCACACCGTGTCTCACCCTTCCTTGATGTTTATTTTTTTGAGACGAGGTCTCACTCTGTCGCCGAGGTGGGAGAGCAGTGGCACAGTCATGGTTCATTGGAGCCTCAACCTCCTGGGCTCAGGCCATCCTCCTGCCTCAGCCTCCCTAGTAGCTGGGACTACAGGCACACACCATCACGCCAGGCTAATTTTTTGTAAAGATGGGGTTTCACTATATTGCCCAGGTGGTCTGAAGCTCCTGGCCTAAGCAATCCTCCCACCTCAGCCTCCCAAAGCACTAGGATTACACACATGAGCCACTGCACCCGGCTGATAAAATTTTTAAAAAATCACCAGGATGCTCCACTCCATGTCTCACGTGCTGCCCAGCGGCCGCCTGCTCTCAGAAAGGCTTGCGTGAACCCAGCTACCGCATCTCGCCCGCTTCACTGTGGGCATAAGGCAACCATCCCCGCCCCGCAGGCAAAACAACCCCTCAGCATTTCTAAAACTGCCCGTAATTGCCCTAAATTGCTCCAAAGGCCTTTAGAGCACTCCCGAAATCTCTCCATGCGCTGCTGGGTTAGTATGGGGTGGAGGGTGACGCCGCAGGGACAGGGCTGGCTGTCTGCTTCTCTACTGCTGCGGACCCCTAGAGACACAGGGTGGGGGGCAAGTTGGTTCCCACACAGCATCCCCATGTGCTCCAGGTCCCAGCCACTCTCAGCCCCGCCCCTGGGGGTGGGTGTAGCATTCACCACACCGTGCACGGCGCAGCCCCAGCAAGTCCACAGATGGATCGGATGAATGGCAGCCACACAGCGGAGCTCACACAGACCAACGTGGGGAGAGCGAGAGGAATGAGCCGCTGAGGGGGCGGGGAGCCACTGGGTACCTACCTCCTAAAGCAGGACAAGCAGGGACAGCCCGTCACAGAACAGAAAGGTGGGAGCCACAGGCAGAAGGAAAACAACAAGAAGGCACATTTAAACCACGCGTCAAAAATCACAGCCACACCAAACCGAGAGAGGCACACAGGCTCTGTGGAGATAATGCGCTTGCTTCTCGTGCAGGAAGCTGCCCTGGCTGGATCTGGATGCTAACTCAGCAGTTTTCTGGGACGGGCCGTGCAGCCTGGGCGCTACTCTCTGCCGCGGGCATGGCTCTGAGGCCCCGGCTCGGAGAAGCAGCCGTGGCCATGCAGCTACCGAGAGCGGGCTCTGGCTTAACCGCGTTTCTTTTTAACGTCTCTGCCTGCGGTGGGGGGCATTCCTACGATGAGCCTGGGAGGAACCCGAGGGGCTGCTGCCATGGGCAGAGGGGTCACGCCCGGGTCCCGCTGGGCCGGCGGCTCACCCAGCTTCAGGAGCCAGCCCTCGCGGTCGGGGTTGAAGAAGGTGTGGGTCAGGTCGTTCCCGTCGTCCTCCGGGATCTTAAATGGCTCGTTCTTAATGCTCTCATACAAATTCTGCAAGGAGGGAAAACAGCAGCCAGTTCAGAGACTCGGAGGAAAATGGCTGGCCGGGCAGAAAGCTCAGCGGGACCAGGGCGGCAAGGAGGCTTGGGAGGCGTGTCTAGAGCCGCGGGCGCTGCGGCCGCTCACAGCGAAGAGATCCTGCAGACGGCAGCGGCCGCGGGCCGGGGAGCTCACCCTCAGCAGCTCCTCAGGGAGGTCCCCGCCCTCGTTGATGCCGCGGTTCATGGCGATGAACCGTTCTGCCGTGGGCTTGTCACGCACGTTGTGGTTGTGGAGGCTGGTGTTGAGCATGATGATGGCGAATGACAGCACGTAGCACGTGTCTGCAACGAGTCCGGGGTGCTGGGCTCAGCCAGAACCTCCAGTGGACAGTGGGACCCCGCGTGCTGGGGGCCCGCCTGCAAGAGGTGCCCGGCCCACAGGTCGTCCTCGCTCAGGGAAGGCAGGTCCCCAGGAACACACGCTGGGCTGTGCCCACAGGGGCCGCCCCCTCCAGAGCTGGAGGCTGTGCCTGGCAAGGGGCCAGGCTGTGGGCTCTGCACTGACCTGTGGACTGGAAGACCCCGGGGTTGCACAGGCAGTAGCGAGAAGCGAAAGCCTCCATCATGCGATCAATCTTCTGCGCCTCCCCGGGCAGCCTGAAGCTCCATAAGAACTGCCTGTGGAGACACCAAAGCCATGGGAAGCCGCATCAGAACCAACACCGCCTCACGGCCAAGGGCGGCTTCTGCCCAGCTCAGGAAGGACGTTTTCCTCCCGAGCCTGGGGTACAGCTCTGGCAGGGGCTTGGGGGCGCAGAGACAGAAAGGAGAAGACCCAGGACAGTCTCCTTCCGTTCCATAACTCGAGACACGCTTACTGATGGCTCATCTTTTTGTAACTACAACCAATTCAGCAGCGAGGCCGGTTGTCTCTGCCTAAAAAGTAAATATCCAGGATCCTGGCACTTCTCTGTCCCCATTGCCACCATCTCCTGCTGCTGCCAGGTGATCACCAGAGCCCTGCCTGTCCCGAGCTGCCACCAGCCGGTCCTCCTTTCAGAACTCCCACACATAAGGCAGAGCCATAGCCCACAGGACGGTATCCAAAGCCCCACCTACAGCACTGGGCGCTGCGGTCAGAAGCTGCTGCTGCCTTGCTGGGCAGACACATGCCTGCCTCAGAGACCAGGCCCAGCAGACACTCCCACCCTCAGGCATCCCCTCTGGCTGAGGTCTCCCTGGCTGCCCTGCCTGTAATTGGAACCCCCAGCCCAACAACCCGCCCCGCCCCCGCTCACTGCTTCCCTTCCTTGCGTTCCTTGGCTGCGTGGCACCACCCCTGCTACCTGTCTGCCTTAGCCACCGTCTGCCCGCCCAGGAGTGAGCCCCGGAGGCAGGGGCTGCAGTCCCCATGGCCAGCTGCAGCCTCCCGCACCAGCTATTCAGCAACGTCTGATGCTGCCGTGGATTTAGCACAAGGATCAAGACCGAGTTAGACCTTGAGGCTCCAATTAAGTCTCTGGGCTTTTTAAAATACTGATCCCACCAGCCATCGGGGGAGGATGCAGCCTGGCCCCGCGGGGCTCCTCTTCCTCTGCACGTCCCTCACACAGGGCAGCTCCCCAGGGTCCTTCCTCTGCTCTCTCTTCCCAGGATTCCAGCCACGTCTGGCCCCACTCTCTACCAGGCCCCTTCTTCTCCGCCAGGCCTGCACCAGCAGCCTTCAGACTCAACACAACCACCCCTCCTCCACCCCTCACTCCCTCTCTGCCCCACATTCACCAGCAAAGCATGCACCTGCCCACCCCACAGCAGTGATGCGTCTCGAGTCAGCCCGCATGCCTCTGCCCCACACAGGCTTGCCGTGCCCCTCAGGACAAAAGCTAACATCCTCAGGGCAGCTCCTCAGGCCACAGGACCTGCCTGTATTCCCGCCCATCCTGTGCCTCCATCAGGCCCTCTACGGGGCTATGCCAGGCTCCCACGGCTGTGGGAATTAATAGGAACCTCTCCGGCTCTCGCCAGAGACTGATGGACTGAAAGAAATGGAGTCACAGCTGCAAGGGCCGCACCAGACACCCCTCCCAGACTCACCAGGCCTGCACCCTTCTCTGGATGTACAGCTTCCAGAAACGCAATCTGATAAGCCTGAACTGCGGCTGCAGGATTCTTATATGTTGCGAACTCTCAGCGCACTGTTCAGCCCCAGGCTGCGCTGTGAGCACAACATCACGAGGGTCCCACAAAAACGCTGCCAACATTGCAGTCTGCAGTTGAGGTAAGGCCATGAGCAAACAGTCCACGTAAACGAGAACAAGGTATGAAGCCGAAGATTTGAGAAGATGACGAGGTGCGGCCTGATTTTCTTAGTCCAAGGGCCGGCTGAGGCGACTCCCACCAGAAGCCCTGCCTCCTCTCCCCCGGATGCTGCTGAGTGCTGGCTCAGGGTCAAGGCCCAGAACAGATGAAGAGCCCACGCGACTCAGCCAGGGCACCAAGGAAGGAAGCGAGACAACTTCCTGCTTGCAGAGCAGGAGGAAGACAACGTGCAGGAAGGGCAGCTCAAGGGGGCATCCAGGGAGTGTGTCCCAGACACCAAAATGGCGAGACACCTACATCCTCTCTGGCACACTCAGGTATCCATGCGTTTGGTGCTTTGGGTCAAGTGTGGAAGGAAGTAACCCCATGGAGCACCAACGCCACGCCATACAGAGCTTGGGAACAAGGCACTCGACTACTGCCATACACCATTACAAATAAAAGGAAACGGAATGGAAGGAGCATCAGCGGCCACAGTGAGGAAAGCACGGCCCTTATCTTAAGCGTGTGCCCCAATTCCTGTCTAGGGCTGCTCAGTGTCACACAGCATTAGCTGGATCATCCGGAAAAGGAGCCAGCATCTGTGAGACTCGTGTGGCACCAAGTTACCTGGAGTCAATTCACCGCCACTGCTGCCCAGGCAGTGGTCCTCTGGCCTTCCCCATCCACTCTACACCCAGCAAATGATCATACTTACCTTAAGGCTTGTACAAGGTTGAGATCAGCAAACTCATGGAGTTCAACAAAGGCTTGAAGAACTTTAATATTAAATTCATCCCTGGGAAAAAAAGAAGTAAGTTTCAAACCTAATGTACATTATCGCAATCATTTTAAAAGATGCGGCTGATGAATAATGTGGCTATGAACGTTCATGCACAAGTTTCTGCATGGCCATGCTTTTTTAAAACATTTGTATTTTTTGTAGAGGCAGGGCTGGCCATGTTACCCAGGCTGGTCTGCAACTCCTGGGCTCAAGTGGTCCTCCCACACCTCCCTGGGCCTCCCAAAGTGCTGGGATTACAGGCATGAGCCCCCACACCTGGCCACATTTTTATTTCTATTGAGTAAATACCTAAGAGTGGAATTACTGGGTTCCATGTTAAAGTTTATGTTTTACATTTTGAGTAACTGCCAGAGAGATTTCCAAAGTATCATTTTATATCCTTTTTTTTTTTGAGCCAGAATTTCACTCTTGTGGCCCAGACTGGAATACAATGGCGTGATCTCAACTCACCGAAATCTCTGCCTCCTGGGTTCGAAGCGACTCTCCTGCCTCAGCCTCCTAAGTAGCTGGGATTACAGGCATGCGCCACCATGCCCGGCTAACTTTTGTATTTTTAGTAGAGATGGGGTTTCTCCATGTTGGTCAGGCTGGTCTCGAACTCCCGACCTCAGGTGATCCGCCCACCTCAGCCTCCCAAAGTGCTGGGATTACAGGTGTGAGCCACGGCACCTGCCTGCATCATTTTATATCTTATCAGCAATGAATAAGGGTTTGACTTCCCTGCAGCCTTGCTGGCATTTGTTATGTGTCTTTTTTATTACGGCCAGCCTAATGGGTGTGAAATGGTATCTCCTTGTGGGTTTTTTTTTTTTTTTTTTTTTTTTTCCAGACAGAGTCTCGCTCTGCTGCCCAGGCTGGAGTGCAGTGGCACATTCTTGGCCCACTGCAACCTCCACCTCCTGGGTTCAAGCGATACTCCTGTCTCAGCCTCCCGAGTAGCTGGGACTACAGGCACCCGCCAGCACGCCTGGCTAATTTTTTGTATTTTTAGTAGAGACGGGGTTTCACCGTGTTAGCCAGGATGGTCTAGATCTCCTAACCTCGTGATCCACCCACCTCGGCCTCCCAAAGTGCTGGGATTACAGGCCTGAGCCGCCACGCCCAGCCTCTCCTTGTGGTTTCAATCTGCATCTCCTTGATGATCAATTGAGCATTTTTTCCTGTGCTTATTGGCCACTTGTGTAACGTCTATTCAGATCCTTTGCCAGTTTATAACTGAGTAATTTTTGTTATTTTTACTCTTATTTGGAAGAGTTCTTTATATAATCTAGATAGAAGTCCTTAGGAGATTACAAGGACTGAATCAGTATGATAACTGGTCCTTATAATCTGCTAAGGACTTACATCTAGATTATATAAGGAGAAATATATGAAGATATTTGCAAGTAATACTGATTTATTTCTATTTTTTGTAGAGGCAGGGCTCACTATGTTACCCAGGATGGCCTGTGGGTTGTCTTTTTACCTTTTTTTCAGGCTAGTCAAGTGAAGCAGTGGGAGTGGGGAAGGAACCAAGGAATCTGTAACTGATGATTAGCTATGAACACCACCATGCCCGGCCAGCCTTCAATTTCTTGATGTCTTCTGAAGCACAATATTCTGATGAAGTAGAGTCTACCTACTTTTACCCAGCACCATTTGTTGAAAAGGCTATTCTTCCCCCCACTGAAATTGTCTTGGTACCTGGTTGAAAAATTATTTGACATTAATGTGAGGGTTTATTTCTGGATTCTGAATGCTGTTCCATCATTTATGTATGTGTATCCTTATGCCAGTCTTACAATGTCTTGACTATACACTTTAGTCTTTTTTTTTTTTTTTTTTTTTTGAGAGAGTCTCACTCTGTTACCCAGGCTGGAGTCCAATAACATGATTTTGACAAACTGCAGCCTCTGCCTCCTGGGTTCAAGCGATTCTCCTGCCTCAGCCTCCCGAGTGGCTGGGATTATAGACACCTGCCATCATGTCTGGCTAATTTTTCTATTTTTGTAGACATGGGGTTTCACCATGTTGGCCAGGCTGGTCTTAAACTCCTGACCTCAGGTGATCTGCCCGTCTCAGCCTCCCAAAATGCTGGGATTACAGAGTGAGTCACCGTGCCTGGCCACTTTATTTTGTAATCAGGAAATGTGAGTTCTGCAACTTTGTTCTTTTTTAGACTGCTGTGGTTATTTTGGGTCCCTTGAATTTTCCATAGTAATTTTAGGATGTGCAACTTCTGCAAAGAAGTCAGCTGGGATTTCAATAAGAAGTACAATAAATCTGTAGATCAGTGTTGGAATATTGGCATCTTAGCAATAGTAAGCCCTCCAATCCACGAACATGGGATGCTTTTCCATTTATTTAGGTCTTTTCATTTTTTTCAACAATGTTTTGTGGTTTTTGGAGTAAAAATGTTGCTTTTTTGTTAAATTTATCCTAAGTATCTTATTCCTTTTAATGCTATTATAAATGGAGCTGTTTACTTAATATCTGTTTCAGTTTACTCATTGCTATTGTATAGAAATACAATTGATTTTTTTTTTTTTTTTTTTTTTTTTGAGCCAGAGTCTCACTCTGTAGCCCAGGCTGGAGTGCAGTGGCACCATCTTGGCTCACTGCAAGCTCCACCTCCCAGGTTCACGTCATTCTCCTGCCTCAGCCTCTTGCATAGCTGAGAATACAGGCGCCCACCACCACACCCAGCCAATTTTTTGTGTTTTTAGTAGAGGTGAGGTTTCACCATGTTAGCCAGGATGGTCTCGATCTCCTGACCTTGTGATCTGCCCACCTCGGCCTCCCAAAGCGCTGGGATTACAGGCATGAGGCACCACGCCTGGCCAATTGAGTTTTGTATATTAATTGTATATCATGCAACCTTACTGAATGTATTACTTCTAATAGTTTTTAATGATTCCTTAGGATATTCTATATATATGATTGCATCATCTGCAAATAGAATTTAATTTCTTCCTTTCCAATTTGGATGTCTTTATGTTCTTGTCTAACTGTCCTGGCAAGGCGTGCCAGCACCGGGCTGAACAGCAGTACTAAGAGCAGACCTCCTTGTCTCGTTCCTGATCTTAGCAGGAGAGCAGTCTTTCATCATTAAGTATGATGTTAAAGTGGGGTTTTTTATAGGTACCCTCCATCATGTTGAAGAAGTTCCATGCCTGTCTTAGCTTTTTAAGTGTTTTTATCGTGAAGGAGTTTTGAGTTCTGTCAAATGCTTTTCCTGTATTTGTTGAGAAGATCATGTGGGTTTTGTCCTTTATGTGAAAGATACATTACTTTAATTGACTTGTATGTTGAACTAACCTTGCATGCATGGGGTAAGTCCCCCTTGGTGCACAATCCTTTTTACCTATTGCTTACTATATATTACAGTCATAAGGATAGGGTCTGCCATTTTCTAGCGGTGTCTTTGGTTTGGGTATCAGGTAGTGCTGGCCTCAGAGAATGAGTCGGGAAGTATTCCACTTTCCACTTTCGATCAAATATTTTTTTTAAAAAAGCTAAAAACCAAAACCGCCCAACTTTAGGAACTACTGGGCTTTTGTTTAAAAACACTTTCTTCTGGTCTTTGACAAAAGTCTGTTTGCCATACTCAGGGCATGTGCTGCCTCAGCAGTCCTGCCCTAACCTCTGCTAAGCCAGTCGCAGTCAGAAAGTAAATCTGACCTGCTGCTTTCCATTAAAAAAATTCACTTTCCACCTTTATTCATACTGCAAGTAACAGGAGAAAGAAAACCACTGAGAAATCAGGCTTATTTCTGGGCAAAACAGAAGACGATTAAGATGCTTTCCAAGACAAGGAGAAAGGGGCAGCAGCATTGTCAGTTCTGTTGTGGCTCCCTGAAAAACAGGATTCCAGAGGAGTCCCAGGATCCCATAATACGGTAATGCCTCTCTCCTCCCATGGACACGGGAGAGGAACCGGTTGCACTGGGCTCGCTTGGTATTGAGACGGGCATGTGGATGCCCACAGCCCGTGGCTCTATCATGCCTTTAGGCTGTGATGGCCCCGAAAGTGGAGCGTGAGCCTAGGTCAAGCTGCAGGGCTGAGTGGCCCCAGGTAGGGCTTTGCATCCTCCTCTAACTCACCTTTCACCCAGGTAGTCCCCAATGACGGTCTTATTTAGGCCTTCTCCTTTATAAAGGAACTGGGCGACGTCTTCTGGGGAACTCTGTAGCAGGTCATTTTCTATTAGAAACTGAATTCCCTGAAGAACATTAAAATGGAAGCACTGGTTAGGAGTGTCACTCAAACTCATTTTTCAAAGACAGAAATACACTTAGTGTCAGGATTTTACTGGTATGGACACAGCAAAAATAATACCAGAGACACCCATACAACTGCACAATCTGATTTTCCCAAATCCATACTACATTTTATCCACCAAAGAAACGCACGTTCATTCCTCCTGTTCAGTTTAACAAGTTAAAAGACAGACAAATGGGTTATTGAACAAACCATTACAGGTGGTTATTAGAAATTATAAAGGCAGGAGTAACAGTAATATTAGATTTCCCAAGCTTAGAAAGATAGTTTATTCTGTGTCTGCGAGGAAAACTTTGTGGGTGGTGGCCACTGCCGGTTGGCCAACCTGGCCCCACTCCCAGGGACGCAGCAAGCGGGTGGTGCTGGTCCCCGCTCCCTGCCACCCCCTTCACTAGAGAGGGAGTTTCCTGGCTGCCTTTGGCACTAGAAATGACCTTGTGACCCAGATCTGGCCAGACAGAAAGGCAAGCCTGGAGGGAAAGTTTTTGATTTCCTGGTAAAAAGGAGCCCATGAGCCAGCACTGCTCTTCCTCCTCCTTTCTGCCTTGAACACTTATGTGATGACCAGAGCCACAGTGGCCATCTCACATGGGAAACCCTGAGATGTGTACAGGGACCGCCTTCTTGCCACTTGGGAGCCACCTACTGCTACACAGCTGTGTGAGAAGATAAACCTCGCCCTGTGTAAGATACATTTTGTTGGATTTTCTATTACCTGATGCCAAAAACATACTGACATGCTGTGCCACCAAGCTCATCCAGTCAAAGCTCATGCCCACTCTGAGGGCTGCGGCACAGCTGACAATCTCAAAGGCAATGGGCTGCCCCTGGCCTGAATCAGCTGAGCACTGTCTCATGAGAAGTCCCAGGAACCTATTAATAGAAATGTTTACCTCTAACACAGCCTTGCAGCCAGTTTCAAAATATGTGTTGGCAAGGGTGGCAAGGGAATAGGGAATTCAGAAATCAATTTGCCAGGAGGCCATTTCTACAAATTCAGAGAGGCTTTATCCAGCTAAGACTCTCAGTACCCAAGACCAGGGCTGCCTCATACCCTCACGGTCCATCCAGAAATTTCCTATTTTTTTTAAACACACGAACGTCCACAGCAGCCTTATTTCCAAAAACTGAAAACAGTCAGTAAGAGAACCGATCAGTACATTCTGGCATAATCACATGATGGAAGACTCTACAGCCATGAAATGGAATGAACACTCACAAGAATGAATCTCACAGACATGATATGGAGCAAAAGACGACACGGAAGAGTATTTCAGTTCCATTCACAGAAGGTTTTAAAAAGGCAAAACTTATGGTGATTAAGGACTGGTTACCCTGGGGAGTGAATTCCCTAGGATGAGGCATCAGAAAGGTGCCCTGTAATATTCTACAACTGCGGCTTGTTCTGGGTTGCAGTTATGTGAGTGTATTAATTTATAAAGATTCTTCAAGCTGTACATTTAGAATTTGTGCACCATGTTTTAATGTTATTCTCCAGAAAAATCAGTGAGTCTAACAATCCTAAATCAATTCTCATATGTATCTGGTGATGGTACCCACAGGGGCACCATCTAAATTACAAGACAGACACACACACACACACCACACACCACACACACACACCCCCCACATACACCTCACACACCCCACACCCCACACACACCCCACACACACACCACACACACCCCCCCACACACACACCCCACACACACCCCACACACCACACACACACACCCACCACACACACCCCACACCCCCACCACACACACCCCACACACACCACCTACCACACACACCCACCACACACACCACACACACACCACACACGCACACCACATACACCACACCACAGACACACCACACACACCCACACACACCACACACACCACACACACCCACACACAACCACACACACACAAACCACACACACACACACACACACACAGTAGCAATGCAGGTCTGGTCCTTCGAGAGGCCTAATGCAGCCCAAGTTCCCTGAAAACAGAGCCTAGGGCAGGAAAGACAGTGCTGGGGCTTTGCTATTGGCTCTAAGTGAGGAAAACAAGTGAGGCCGGTGGAGAAGCCAGGTGAGGCCATCAGCTGCAGGTGGGAGGAGAGACAGGACACCCTGAGGGATCACTAGTTGTCCTGTCATCTCTGGGGCTACAGGGCTGGGGGCCTGACCCTGCATGGTGAAGGCCCCTGCCACTGTCAGCTGAAGCCCAGGGAACTGAATGGGCCTGGGCATGAGGCTCCCATGCCTTCCTCTGGATGCTCAAGGCCTGCCCTAAAATTCAGAACACACAAAACACTGACATTTCTTGGAGAATGCTATCTGGCAGGTGACAAAGAGACAAGCAGAGGAGGAGGACACAGAAGCTCTGCGTTCAATCACACTTGTCCTATGAGACAGAGAGGAGAAGGTGCAGAGAAGGCCACAAGACAATGGAGGCAGAGACCACAGTGAGGTGCCCACGGCTGTGGAGACCAGGAGGGTGGCAGCCGCCAGGAGCGAGGCTGGAAGGGATTCTCCCTCAGTCTAAGCAGCAATCCTGCCCACACCCCGATCTCGGACTTCTGGCCTCCTGAACTGAGCGAGAATAGATTTCTCTTGTTTTAAACCACCCCGTTGCTGGTCATTTGTCATGGCAGCCCTAGAATACTAATACACTAGGTAAATACTCATAAAAGAAAGTGAGTGTTCTAACATTATTAGAAATGTTTACTATTTTAAAATACCATTTAAAAGTCAAACAGCAGAAATGGGGGCGGTGGCACCATTTGACCCACTACACCTACTCTATCTTTTTCTGTTTCTCTTCTAGGTGTGGGTCTCAATCCAAAGCTGGATTTTATTTTATATTATTTTATTAATACCCAAGTGTCTGTCTTGTCATTACTTTAGCCCAATCAAATCTACGGTGAGCACTGATTAGTTAGCACTTACTCCTGACCCCTTATTTGGTACTTTCTATTTCACAGGCCTTTCCAGCCTTGTGTTGAATGGATCAAACTTTCTTTATTCAATGTTTGTTAATAATTTAAAAATCCTATTTCTCTTCAGTGATTACTCTTAAAATTTTGACAAGTATTTAAACTTATTTTTATCTATCAACATCTAGAAAACCTTAGCTGTTCCTTCCTTCCTTCCTTTCCCCCTTGCTACTTAAATACTGACATAAATTTGGACTTAAAAAAAATCTTTTAAACAATAAATTTCTCACTTTGACATTCAAAGTTTTGCTTGTTTCTTTGCATGCCTTTCCTTTTTTATCCTATGTAGTCATTTCTTGTTTTGAGGTGTCACGCTCCAATTACACAATTCCTAGACATCAGAGAAGCCCTTGTGTGTCTGAACATGTGTTTCCTCACCTTCTCTTGTGAGTGACAGGACAGACAGAATTTGGGGTTTTAAATCATGTTTCCTCAGGCCTTGGCAGGCACTGCTCCCCTCCTGTCTTTGATCCAGCATCCCTGACAAGCTTGCTGTGCTCCTCATTTCTTCTTAGGTAATCTGATCTTTCCTTCCTGGGAAATTTAATGAATTCCTCTATCCATGAGTTTTACAACATTTTACTTGACACGTCTATGTGTATAAGTCTTTTCAATTTTTATCCTGCTTGGCATTTGGTGGGGCCTTTGAATCTAAGGATTTTTCTTAGTTCTAAAATATTCCAAGATTTCTTTGAAATATTTCCTCTCCTCCACTTTCCATTCTCTCCTTCTGTGACTTCTATTACATGAAATTTGGGCTGCTGGACCCACCGTGCATGTTTTCTTGTAGGTCTCTGCAAAACTGAATAAAGAATTCTTAAACTCTGTTCTAGCACACGTCCACTCTTCAGCCACGTCTTCTCCATATGCTCAAGTGATGATGTGACACACACTCCTAGTTTTCATTTCCAAGGTTCTTTTTCACAATCCCCCATTTTTATATCATGGATAAGAAACATCCTATCGTATCTCTTTGATGATATTTATAATATACACAAATATCCTACTATAAAAAGTTTCCTCCTATTGTTTTTTTGCTTCTTCTGTTTTTATTTTGTTTTGTTTTTTTTGAGACAGAGTTTTGCTCTTATCGCCCAGGCTGGAGTGCATTAGTGCAATCTAGGCTCACTGCAACCTCCACCTCCTGGGTTCAAGTGATTCTCCTGCCTCAGCCTCCCGAGTAGCTGAGATTACAGGTGCCTGCTACCATACCCAGCTAATTTTTTTCTATTTTTAGTAGAGATGGGGTTTCACCATGTTAGCCAAGCTGCTCTTGAACTTCTAACCTCAGGCAATCCACCCACCCCGGCCTCCCAAAGTGCTCGGATTACAGGCGTGAGCCACCGCACCCAGCCTCCTGCTTCTTTTTTAAGAGACAGGGTCTCATTCTGTTGCCCAGGCTAGAGTGCAGTGGTGTAATCACAGCTCACCGCAGCCTCAAACTCCTGGGCTGAAGCAATCCTTCTGCCTTAGCCTCCCAGTAGTTGGACTACAGGCACATGCCACCACATCTGGCTTGATAAAGGATTTAAGAGACAAAGTCTTACTGTCACCCAGGCTAGAATGCAGTGGTGCAATCACATTTCATTGTAGCCTCAAACTCCTGGGCTCAAGTGATCCTCCCACCTTAGCCTCTCAAGTAGCTGGGACTACAGGTGCATACCACCATGCCTGGCTTATTTTTTTAAAAAAACTGTTTATAGAGATGAGGGTCTCACTATGTTAGGCTGGTTTTGAACTCCTGAGCTCAAGTGATCCTCCCACCTAGACCTTCTAAGACGTCAGGATTATAGGCATGAGCCGCCCTCCCCGCCTCTATTGTTTCCATTAAGTCTGTTTCCTCCAGCCTTAGTTCTTCTGTTTGTTGGGTTTCATGTCTCTTTCATGGTGCTGGTTTCCTCAAACGCTTGGTGGTGCTTGGTGGGTGTTTGTCTTTGTATTTTAGGGTCACTGTTGGCCTAACAGAATGCTACTTGCTTCTGGTTTTTGCTGCAGCTGCCTCCAGTGATCTGGAAGAGGAGCAGGTCAGGCAGCCAACGGCTGGTCTCTGGGAGTGGGTATTTCTCCTTGTTGGTGCTGCCACCCACCGAGGACGCTGCCTGTTTTCACGGACTAAGTGCTCCCTCTTGCTTTTCCCACCTGGAGACACAATCACTGCTAGACACAAGGTCAGGAGAGCGTGACCAGTCTCGACGTCCCTCCCACAGTCCTGTTCCCTGAATGTACCTCCTCTGCACTCGGGGAACTCTGAAGCTGCTCTTGCCGCCCCCGGCAGTTCTTTCTTGTATGTGCTGTGGGGAGTGTTTCCTTCTCCAGCTGATCCCATTTATCTTCTTCCAGGGATTCCTCAATTTCTAGTCCACTGAGTGGACCCCTGCTTGTCATATAGATTTATATATTTTATTTAAGGCATTTCTAGGAAATCAGGAATAAAGGAGAGGCTGCAGAGTGTTTTCAGCTTCCTTGATCTAATCAAACCTTCCCTCTTACTCATTAATGAACTCAAGTACTACTTCTAGAAATAATGCACCTCAACAAACCAAAGCTCCCTGTTTAAAGTGTCATCACTCTGAGACTTAGAAAACACCATCCTAGCTGGAAGGAATTTATTTGCTCTGACAATGTCTTCATGCTTCATAGTGTTACAGGTTTAATAGGGGCATGGGGAGGTAGATATAATTTTGAGTTGTGTCTGAAGCATGTGAGATCATCCTTTGCAGCTGTGAACGAAATGTCCGTGTCCCCCCCACAATTCATATGTTGAAGCCCAAACCCCCACTGTGATGCTATCTGGAGACGGGGTCTTTTGGAGGTAATCAGTGTTACATGAGGTCCTGGCCTCATGGGATTTGTGCCCTTATAAGAACATCACCCTAGAGTGAGTAAGTTCTCCTTACTCCCCAGCATGTGAGGATACAGCAAGAAGGCGGCTACTAGCAAGCCAGGAAGAGAGCCCTCACCAGACACCAATCATGCTGGCACCCTCATCTCGGACTTCCAGCCTCCAGAACTGTAAGAAAATACATTTCCATTGTTTACGCACCCCCTCTGTGGCTTTTTTTTTTTTTTTTTTTTTTTTTTTTTGAGATAGAGTCTCGCTCTGTCGCCCAGGCTGGAGTGCAGGGGCGGAATCTCGGCTTACTGCAAGCTCCACCTCCCGGGTTCACGCCATTCTCCTGCCTCAGCCTCCCGAGTAGCTGGGACTACAGGCGCCCGTCACCACACCCGGCTAATTTTTTGTATTTTCAGTAGAAACGGGGTTTCACTGTGTTAGCCAGGATGGTCTCAATCTCCTGACCTCATGATCCACCCGCCTCAGCCTCCCAAAGTGCTGGGATTACAGGCGTGAGCCACCGCGCCTGGCCCCCTCTGTGGTATTGTGTTAGGAAGGCTCAAGTGGACTGACAAGTGCTATATTCAAGTCTACAAAACTTGTAGTTTTGTTGGCCCTTATTATAAATCTGACACACGGTATATATAAAACAGGAAGACAGTCAAGAGCCTGACAGAGAGGGCTTCATAGGCATGAAGAAAAGTTTACGCTCATGAAGCTGAAACCTGATGCACAGTAGTGGCATCACTTTATTTATTTACTTATTTTGAGAGACAGCCTCTTACTCTTGTCGCCCAGACTGGAGTGCAGTGATGCAATCTCAGCTCACTGCAACCTGACTCCCAGGTTCAAGCGATTCTCGCGCCTCAGCCTCCCGAGTAGCTGGGACTACAGGCACCCACCACCACGCCCAGCTAATTTTGTATTTTTAGTAGAGATGGAGTTTCACCATGTTGGCCAGGCTGGTCTCAAACTCCTGACCTCAGGTGATCTGCCCAACTGGGCCTCCTAAAGTGCTGGGATTATACGCGTAAGCCACCGCACCAGGACTCAGTAGCATCCCTTTAAAAAATAAGTATTTATTTGTATGTATTTCATGAGATTAGAATTTATCCATGAACTTACTGGTGTGCTGCCCTGTGCTGCACTACTTGGGTCCCCTTAAAACATAAGACCCAGTTCTGAGCACATCCACTTTCATAAAGAACCTGAGATGCTTCCAATGCTTATTACATCTGCTGATAAATCTAACTCCACAGTTCCAACTCCTTAAAGAAAAGCTGTTACCCAAAATATCAAATCATTTCCAAATTCACAAAATTGACAATTTTCATTCCATCTTGGAGATGATTTATGCCCCATAAGCAGAGAACCAGAAAGCAACAGGAAAGTTTTCACAGTGGCTAGAGTGTATGCATTAAACAAAAACCCTCCTCTGGGTGCAGATGTGCTGGGCCTTAAGAAAATCCAGACATGGCCTGGCGCAGTGGCTCATGCCTGTAATCCCAGCACTTTTGGGAGGCTGAGGTGGGCAGATCACCTGAGGTCAGGAGTTCGAGACCAGCCTGGCCAACGTGGTGAAACTGGGCCGGGTGCACTGGGCTCACGCCTGTAATCCCAGCACTTTGGGAGGCCAAGGTGGGCAGATCACAAGGTCAGGAGATCGAGACCATCCTAGCTAACACAGTGAAACCCCGTCTCTACTAAAAAAAAATACAAAAAATTAGCCGGGCATGGTGGCAGGCACCTGTAGTCCCAGCTACTCGGGAGGCTGAGGCAGGAGAATGGTGTGAACCCGGGAGGTGGAGCTTGCGGTGGGCCGAGATCGCACCACTGCACTCCAGCCTGGGCAACAGAGTTAGACTCTGTCTCAAAAAAAAAAAAAAAAATTATCTGGGTGCAGTGGCGCATACCTGCAGTCCCAGACCTGCAAACCGTGAGCAGGAAATAACGACATGCACTTCTGTAAATATCACCTGCAACTGCACCTGCACTTATGTGAGTTTACAGATCTTAGACCTTGTACAATGGAATTCTGCAATCAGATATTTATCGAAGGAACAAATAATTAACTCATTAGCACAGAGGCTCAATGCCAGAAAAGCAAGGGGAACGTTAGAAGTACAGACCGACTGGGCCAGGCACGGTGGCTCACGCACATAATCCCAGCACTTTGGGAGGCCGAGGCGGGCGGATCATGAGGTCAGGAGATCAAGACCATCCTGGCTAACACAGTGAAACCCCATCTCTACTAAAAATACAAAAAATTAGCCGGGCGTGGTGGCGGGCGCCTGTAGTCTCAGCTACCCGGGAGGCTGAGGCAGGAGAATGGCGTGAACCCGGGAGGCGGAGCTTGCAGTGAGCCAAGATCGTGCCACTGCACTCCAGCCTGGGTGACAGAGCAAGACTCTATCTCAAAAAAAAAAAAAAAAAAAAAAGTGCAGACCGACTGAAGACCACAGGAGTGGCGTGAACCAGCTCTGCAGCGAGACCTTCCCGTGGACACGCCGTTCCTCTCCTCAACCCTGAAGACTCAGGTCTACCCTTCTTTCTCAAAACCAAAATGTCCCCCAAAAAGCTTCACAGATTCTGCCAAATCCCTTAGCTCGGTCTCAAAAACAAGCAGCTACATGTTTCAGGTTTCACGGTTTTCGAGTGTCTCCCTAGAAAATCCAACTTGAGGAAAGAGAAAGATGCTGGCTTAAATGTGGAGGATCCCTTGTTTTTTCACAGACACCTGCTTTTTAAGGTGAATGGAGGAATAAAGTCCTCTTATGTGAACCACTTAACCCACCCAGATTATAAAGTCCGTAACCTCTGGACACCAGGGTTCCACTCCCACCCCTGCTCCTTCCTAGTCACGTGATTCCCTGACCCAGGTCAAGCGGGAAGATGCGAATATGAGCCTCGACAGCAAGGGCACTGCCTGGAGCCAAGCCCGGCCTGTGCTGAGTCGTCCAAGCCGTGCCTGTGAGGCTGCTTCCTCACCCAGCAGCTCACTCTGAAAGAAAGGCCTTTCTGCCCAGGGCACCAGCCCTACAAGGCACTTCTGCTTCACCCCACTCGCGAAAAGCCCCTTTTTGATAAAAATGTGCCTTCAACTCCCAGTCTTTTATGAGGTGACAGGGCGGACCACCTCTGACCTCTGTCCAAAAGGGAAACGGCAGTTCAAATCAATTAGTCCATCTCCTGCAGGCCAGAAAAGGGAGAGCATTCTCTTACCTTTTTGGGATCCATGTTGAATTTCTTTCTTCCCATGGCTATCTGTTTGTTCCTCTGAGTCGTTTTGCTATTGGTGTGAAATAATTTAAAAATCACTCATGCTGTTTTCACAATGCAGCCCAGTCACGGCCCTCCAGTGTACTTTCCCCCGCAACAACGGGCTCAAGGAAGCGAAGCACAGGCCCTCACGGAGGGGCCCCCAGTCTCCGCAGTGGCGGCAGGGGTGGTGCAGCCACCATTGCTGTTCACATTTGATAACTTGAGACACTTCAGAAAAAGCTAATGATGCAAACCAGTGATTTTAATAAAGCACAGTTCCTTATGACGCAGGCAGGTAATTTCTGTGCGGGTCAACCCTGAAGTGCCTGTGCTTATGCCTGAACCTATAAAGGCAGATGATGACTTACAGAGGAGGCAATGGGAGGTAACATCCAGGGAAACACCCCTGGACCCCTCCACGCAGAGTAGGGGGAGAGGAGAGGAATTAACAACTCCACAGGCTCCCCACATCCCAACCACTCTCACCCCACTTTCTGCAAGTTTGACTACAGGATGGAGGTAGAAAGAAAAGAGTAAATAGCTTAAAGGTGTAGCCACAAATTGTTACCTCTCCTCTACGGAAGTTAGATTGTCGATCTCTGTCATCACCTCTGCAATTTCATATTTCAGCCTCTGTCAAAAAAGAAGAATTTCGAGGTGGGGAGTGGGTCTTAACCTTCCTCCCCTGAGACTCAGAAATTTTAGTTCTCTTGTGACAAGCTTCCCTGCGGTCTCACCGGAGCATCACAGGGATGGAAAAACCAATACTATTATCAATACAGCTAGAGCTTCATAGTCAAAGCCACCACAACTTAGGAGAACACAAAATTCTTTGCTCACTTTTCATCAGATACCAGGTTCAGAGGGGTCCACTCTGCAGATCCTAGGGTATTTGTATATAAAATCAGGCAAGCACACTGGGGGGGGAATATCACAGCTGTGAAAAGATAAAACCAAGCCAGGAGCAGTGGCTCATGCCTGTAATCCCAGCATTTTGGGAGGTTGAAGCAGAGGGATCGCTTGAGATCAGGAGTTTGAGAACAGCCTGGGCAATGTAGCAAGGCCTCATTGCTACAAAAAAGAAAAACAGAAAAATTAGCTGAGTGTGGTGGTACATGCCTGTAGTCCTAGCTACTAGAGAGGCTGAGGAGGGAGGACTGCATGAACCCACGAGTTTGAGGCTGCAGTGAGCCATGATCACACCACTGTACTCCAGTCTGGGTGACAGAGCAAGACTTGGTCTCTTTTTTTAAAAAAAACAAAAAAACAAAAAAAAAAAGCCCAGCAAAAGGAAAGCCATGAGTCCTCAGTTCGCTTAACTGCACTATTCAGCCCTGCCATGCAAACAGTTGTCACCTGCCTCCTCCTTCAACACTGCCTGTGTTCCCAGGGAGAAGCTGAGGCTCGGGTGTGTTTAGATCGGTGGTCTCAGGCTGAAGCTCAGGTGTGTTTAGGTCAGTGGTCTCAGGATCACTTGTATCACCTTGAATGAGATGAAGCACCATGGACAGAGCCCGGGGGTGAACAGAACTGACTCAGGGCACTCAGAGAAGCCAAATGCATCCAAGGGGACAGACCCCCTTTCCCTTGATGTGACCCCTACTAATGAGACTGACCTCTGGAAGCCTCCAACTTCCCTGGGCCTCAGTGTGCTCACTGATAAAATGAAGTAGTTAGAGCTAGATTACGATTCCACATTTATCCAGCAGGCTGATTACTAAGGTCCAAATAATATACATCCTTATTCTTCAACCAGAGACCAATTCTGGGTTATCTGATTTTCCCAAGAATGAAGGGTAACCTTAGAAGAAAAATTTCCATGAATTACCTTTCAAATACAAAGACATTTTTATTCAGGACCCTATTATATGCCAAGACACTCGGACTTAAAACGCAAACTCCTAGAAAGGAGCTATTGTCTGGGACAAGGCCTGTCCTTGCCGTGGCCTGTGAAGCCACATTTATTTTGGCAATGACAATGACTAGAAAGCTTCTCAAAGAAGACCTCCATGTCTGATTGACTTTCCCAAGGAAGCCCCAAACGGAAGGAGCCAGGGCCGGCCCTCTGAATCACTTCTGTAACAATCACAGGCTCTCCCACGCCGAGACGGTGGCTTTATTCACATGCTTCTCCTGTGGGACCGCCCTCTACCCCATCCTCTGAGTAAAGTACACAAGTGTGGAAGAGCCCATGTTTGTGTGCCTGTGTTTTTATTTGTCTTTACTTTTTCTTTTTTTTAGACAGGGTCTTGCTCTGTTGCCCAGTCCGCAGTACACTGGCACAATCACAGTTCACTGTAGCCTCAGCTTCTTGGGCTCAGGTGATCCTCCCACCTCAGCCTCCCGAGTATCTGGGACTACAGGTACAAAACTTAGCTGGGCATGGTGGCGTGCATTTTTTGTAGAGATGGGGTTTGACCATGTTGCCCAGGCTGGTCTTGAACTCCTGGGCTCAAGAGATCCTCCTGCCTTGGCCTCCCAAAGTGCTGGGATAACAGGTGTGAGCCGCTGTGCCCGGCCTAATGTGTCATCCTACTCCTACCACCTGGTAGGCACTTGGTACACAGCTGGAACCCAATACATGCCCACATATTCACTCAAAGGGCATCTGAGAGCCAAAAATGGAACAGGCAATGTTCTAGGTGCTAGAACATTAACATATTGGTGGCTGGGCGCAGTGGCTCACGTCTGTGATCCCAGCACTTTGGGAGGCTGAGGTGAGCGGATCACGAGGTCAGGAGATCAAGACCAATCTGCCTAACACAGTGAAACCCTGTCTCTACTAAAAATACAAAAAATTAGCTGGGTGTGGTGGTGGGTGCCTGTAATCTCAGATACTCAGGAGACTGAGGCAGGAGAATGGCGTGAACCCAGGAGGCAAAGGATGCAGTGAGCCCAGATTGTGCCACTGCACTCCAGCCTGGGCAACAGAGCGAGACTCTGTCTCAAAAAAGCAAAAAGAAAAAAACAAACAAAAAAACATATTAGTTAACGAAAGAGGGTCTCAGTGCACAATTTGACAGAGCAATGCGCTCGTGGCTTGCTGCTGCTTTAGATGATACGCTGCCTGTGGCCCTGGGTTTGCGAGCTGGCTACTGCTGACCTCAGTTCTACGATGTCTTGATTTCTACCCGGGGTCTCACTGCCTGTGTGGAGTCTTTGCTTTCCCAACTTGATAACTTTTCACTCTGTCTCTTTGTGTAGTTCTTATATGCACACACTAAACATCTTTTTTTTTTGTTATTTTTTGTTTTTGGGTTTTTTTTTTTTTTTACATTTTTGTGAGGCTACTCTTTTACTATTTTACTCAAAAGCAAAAAACAGAGTTTTGGATTTTTGGTTTTTTTTTTTTTTTTTTACCTCAATGTCATCAATAAGTTCCTTTTTTCTTCGACGAATGTCTAGAAGTTCTTCTCTCTCTTCTAATGAGAGGTCTTCAGGCACTGAAAGAAGAAAAAAATAATTAACTACTTTGGAGAACACATTGGCAACATCCAGCAAGGTTGAGGTGGGTACATGCTGCCACCCAGCAATTCCATACGCAGGTATTTATCCTAAAGAAATGCTCCCATTGAGACTGTATCTGAGACACTCATAGGAGCGCTCTTTATAACCAGAAAACAGCCTAAATATTCATCAGTAAGAACACGAATAAATTGCGGTACATTCATAAAATAGAATCCCATCCAACAAAAATATTTTTTCAGGCCAGGCACGGTGGCTCATGCCTGTAATCCCAGCACTTTAGGAGGCTGAGGTGGGTGGATCACTTGAGGTCAGGAGTTTGAGACCAGCCTGGCCAACACGGTGAAACCCCATCTCTATTAAAAATACAAAAATCAGCTGGGTGTGGTGACGCATGCCTGTAATCTCAGCTACTCGGGAGGCTGAGGCAGGAGAACTGCTTGAACCCAGGAGGCGGAGGCTGCAGTGAGGCAAAATCACATCACTGCACTCCAGCCTGGGCAACAGAGGGAGATTCTGTTTCGGGAAAAAAAAAAAATTAAAAAGAATGAGCTAAGTCTATCAATATGGATGAGTCTCACAAATAAAATGATGACTATGAAAGAAGGCTAAATTCAGGCACGGTGGCTCACGTCTCTAATCCCAGCACTTTGGGACACTGAGGCAGGAGGATCGCTTGAGCCCAGGAGTTCAAGACCAGCCTGAGCAAGATGGTGAGATCCTTTCTCTACAAAAATTAAAATAAATAAATAAATAAATCAACATAGACAGCGCCCAGGAAAAGACCACAGGCCGACGAAAATATGATTCACAGCAGAGCTGACACTCAGCTCAAAAACAGACTGGACTCTTCAATAAATATGTGTGAAAACAGTTATTTATATGGAAAAAATAAAAGCAGATTGTATGTTATCAATCACACATATTTTCAATCAATTACAAGTGGATTAAAAGTATAAATGTGAAGGGGAAACGCTACACAATTTTTAGAAGTAAATACAGGAGAATTTTTTTTATAATTTCAGGGTAGGGAAGGACTTTTTTTTTTTTTTTTTTTTTTGAGACAGAATCTGACTCTGTCACCCTGGCTGGAGTGCAGTGGCACAATCTTGTCTCACTGCATCCTCCGTCTCCTGGGTTCACTGCACTCAGCCAGGGAAGGACTTCTTAAACAAGATAGACAAAATATAAATCACAAAGGAAAATATTAATACATTTAATTATATCAAAGTTAAGAAACTAGGCCAGGCAAGGTGGCTCATGCCTGTATCCAAGCACTTTGGGAGGCCAAGGTGGGAGGATCACTTGAGGCCAGGAGTTCGAGACCAGCCTGGGCAATACAGTGGGACCCCCATCTGAACTAAAGAAAATGAAAAATAGCCAGGCATGGTGGTGCATGCCTGTGGGCCCAGTCACTTTGGGAGCCTGAGGTGGGAGGATCACTTCAGCCCAGGAGTTTGAGGCTGCAGTGAGCTATGATCATGACTGTGAGGCTGACTGTGCCACTGCACTCCAGTCTGGGCAACACAGAATCTGTGTCTCAAAAAAAAATTAATAAATAAAAACTTTATTCTCCAAAAGTTCCACACCACAGAGTGAAGAAGAGCTGAGCCAGAAACTGCCAAAGAATTCGGATTCAAAATATGTAACTCCTACAAATTATATTATTGTTTTTTGTAGAGACAGGATCTCACTCTGCTGGCCAGGATCTCACTGCAGTGAAATGCTGCAATGGCTCACTGTAGCCTTGAACTCCTGGGCTCAAGCAATCCTCCCACCTCAGCCTCCCAAGTAGCTAGGATTACAGACATGCGCCACCATGTCTGGCTAATTTTTTTTTTTTTAAATTTAAAGACAGGGTCTTGCTATGTTGCCCAGGCTGGCCTTGAACACCTGGCCTGAAGCAAAACTCCTACCTTGGCCTCCTAAAGCACAGGGATTACAGATGTGAGCCACTGTGCCCAGCCACAAGTCAATTTTTTTTTTTTTTTTTTTTTGAGACAGAGTCTCGCTCTGTCGCCAGGCTGGAGTGCGGTGGCACGATCTCAGCTCACTGCAACCTCCACCTCCTGAGTTCAAGTGATTCTCCTGCCTCAGCCTCCCGAGTAGCTGGGATTATAGGCGTGCACCACCACGCTCGGCTAATTTTTTGTATTTTTAGTAGAGACGGGGTTTCACCATGTTGGCCAGGCTGGTCTTGAACTCCTGACCTCAAGTGATCCACCCGTCTTGGCCTCCCAAAATGCTGAGATTACAGGCCTGAGCCACCACACCTGGCCCACAAGTCAATTTTTAAAAGACATAACAACTCCGTGCTTAGAAAATGGGCAAATGGGGCCAGACACAGTGGCTCATGCCTGTAAGCCCAGCACTTTGGGAGGCAGAGACAGGTGGATCACCTGAGGTCAGGAGTTCTGGACCAGTCTGGCCAACATAGTGAAACCCCGTCTCTACTAAAAATACAAAAAATTAGCTGGGTGTAGTGGTGGGCGCCTGTAATCCCAGTTACTGGGGAGGCTGAGGCAGGAGAATCGCTTGAAACAGGAAAGCAAAGGTTGCAGTGAGCCGAGATCCCACCACTGCACTCTAGCCTGGGTGACAGAGCGAGAGTCCGTCTCAAAAGAAAAAAGGAAATTGGGCAAATGACTTGCATAGGCACAAGACCAAAAAATTAATATGAATGGGCTGATAAAAGGATGTCAACTCTCTTAATAGTCAAGGAAATACAAATTAAAATCCCAACAAGAGACCTCCATTAGGTTGCACTGAGCCAAGATCGTGCCACTGCACTCTAGCCTGGGCGACAGAGCAAGACTCCCGTCTCAAAAAAAAAAAAAAAAAGGAGACATCCACTAAAACTGTAGTAATCATAATTAGCAATTTAAAAAACTCAAAACCTGTCACAACAAAGAGAATGGAAACAGAAAGAACCGCCACATTTTTATGAGCTTGAAGCCAAACTGGACTAGCCACAGCTGATTTAATCCACATGGAAAAGCAAACTTTGAAGCCCACAGTGGCGTAGACCAAGTAACCTAATTTACGTGAGAGAATCCCCACAAGGCTTAGGCTCTGGCTTCACTACGTAACTCTGGAGGGGGCTGTGAAGGAGGGTCAACTAAAATAAGGAGAACTGGTTGAAAGGCTCTTTGAAATGCCACTGGATGCCTGCCTCTTCTCTCCCACGCCACGGAAGACTGCTTATTTATCTTTAGAGAACAAAACAGAGAGACTAGGGCACTTCTAACACGTTTGAGGGCAAGGGCACCCTACTAAAAACAGGGGTGAGAGATAAAAGCAAACATACTCATCACCAAGCCGCCTTCTCCACTGGGCTCCCCGACTGCAGGCCACGGGCCATTTACTCCTCTCCCACCACCCTGGACAGAGGCTGGGACAAGCGTCTTCTCTGAAGCATCCCACAGGCTTCAGCTCTAAAGATAATGATCTGAGGGGCAGACACCAACAACCAGTACACCCACATCACCCTACAGAGAAACAGTCAACACGGCCTTCTGCTGCACTCAGAGCTTCTAATACACTTTTTACTTCTTCCTTCCCAAACTGGAGGTAAGCCTCTGACATGCAAAACAGATACCGAAACAGACACAAAAAAGCAAAAAGGGATAAAAGTGGTTACACCTTGGGGACAAGAAAGTGACAAGGCAAGGCAATGCTTGCCCCCATTACAAACATTACAGTTGACTCTTTAATACGTGTACAACTGATAAAATATAAAACCTTGGGGAAAAAGCCAGGCGTGATGGCACGCATCCGTAGTCCCAGGTACTCAGGAGGCTGAGGTGGGAGGATCGCTTGAGCTCAGGGGTTCCAGGTTGCAGTGACCAGCCACTGCATCCCAGCCTGGGTGACAGAGCGAGACTCCCATCTCTTTAAAAATAAACAAAAACAAAAAACAAAAAAACCTTGAAAACAACACATGCATTTCAATCTCACCAGACTGTGACCTGTCATCGAGAGAACTTTGGAAAACAATTTGTCTATTAATATCAAAGAAGTGCATCTGCTATGACCCAGCAATTTTACTCCCAGGTATATCAGAAAAATTTCTGTGCACTGCAACAGAAGATATGTACCAATAACATCAAAGAAGCCCATTGTGTAGATTAAAAAAGTAAATAGGCCGGGCACGTGGCTCACGCCTGTAATCCCAGCACTTTGGGAGGCCAAGGCAGGCGGATCATGACGTCAAGAGATCGAGAGCATCCTGGCTAACATGGTGAAACCGCATCTCTACTAAAAATACAAAAATTAGCTGGGTGCCGTGGCGGGCGCCTATAGTCCCAGCTACTCGGGAGGCTGAGGCGGGAGAATCACTTGAACCCAGGAGGTGGAAGTTGCAGTGAGCCGAGATCGCGTCATTGCACTCCAGCCTGAGCCACAAGAGCAAAACTCCATCTCAAAAAATAAATAAATAAATAATTTTAAAAAAAGAAAAAAGAAAGAGACAAATGAAAAGAGAAAAAGTAGGCCATATCTTCTTCCTAAATAAGCCAATGGTCATCTGAAACCAAAAAGCTGTTCATCACAGAAAATAACTTTTGGATGGCAATGGTTATGCCTAAAAAAAGAGAACAAATTTATTAATATTTTCAAGGGTACTGTAGGTACTGTGATCCCTAATCAGTTAAATGTTTTCATTACGATATAAATTAAGAACACAATGTTCAGCTTATGATAAAGTAAACATGGCAAAGCAAAAAAATTTTGCAAAAAGACACTATTTTCTTCAGGTCTTTCTTAGTAAACTTTTGTCTCAAACAGAAAAAAATAAAATATGCTTCACAAAGATACAAATAATACAATTAACATAAAATTTTTAATTTCCTGCTTCCTGTATTAGATCTAAGTGTCGATAAATTCCACACTGTGGTTTTCTTTTTCTTTTTTATTTTTTTGAGACGGCGTCTCACTCTCTCACCCAGGCTGGAGTACAATGGCACGATCTGGGCTCACTGCAACCTCCACCTCCCAGGTTCAAGCAATTCTCCTGCCTCAGCCTCCCAAGTAGCTGGGATTACAGGTGCCTGCCATCACGCCCGGCTAATTTTTTGTATTCACACTGCTGTTTTCTTAAGCAATCCTCTATGTCAAGCAATGAATGAGGAAGGAACTACAATTTACTGATCAACTAACAGGTCATCTCCATTAAACCCCCCAAATAACTAAGAGCAGCCATTATTATCCTCGTTTTATAAATGAGGAAACCAAAGCCAGGGAAAGTCTAATGATTCTTTCCCAGGAGAAAAAGAAAAAATATTTGAAGAAATAATGGCTGAAATGTCCCAAATTTGATGAATGACATGAATATACACCTCCAAGGTGCTCATCAAAGTCCACGTAGAATAAGCTCAAGGAGATCCAAAGTCATGCAACATGCTATTGGGTGGTCTGGTAGCTCAACGATGTCATCGGTAACCCAGTCTGTTCATCCTGCCTTCCAATGTGTCAGTTTCATCCTAAAGTCTGTCTCTTTCTCGCTCTAGGCTTCCCCCAGCAACTGAAACTACATGCTTCCTTAGTCCTATGTCTCTCTCAAGAGTGAGAAGTCTTCCTTCTGAGAAGCCCATAAAGTCTATGCTCTATTCTCCTTGGCTCAGCCTAGCTCCACCTGACATTTTACTGTGATCGGCTAAAGAGCACGAGTGGAATGAATGCGCACCACACTTAGCGTTGAAGGAGAAGAAACACAAAGAAATCGAGATCAAGAGATAACGTGAGAAGTAGGAAAGAATGAAAGCCAATAAAGAATTTCAACAGGCAGAAAACCAACATCGAATGCCCAGAGAGATCAAATAAAATAAAGAAGCAAGCAGGCAGTTCTCAAATCTTCAAAACTATTACTCTTACGCATCTGAGGGAGCATCTTTTTTCTTTTTTTCTTTTTTTTTTTTTTTTTTTTGAGACGGAATTTCATTTTTGTTGCCCAGGCTGGAGTGCAATGGCACAATCTCAGCTCACTGCAACCTTCACCTCCCACATTCAAGTGATTCTCCTGCCCCAGCCTCACAAGTAGCTGGGATTATAGGCACGCACCACCATGCCCAGCTAATTTTCTATGTTTTTAGTAGAGACGGGGTTTCACCGTGTTGGCCAGGCTGGTCTCAAACTCCTGACCTCAGGTGATCCACCCACCTCAGCCTCTCAAAGTGCTGGGATTACAGGCGTGAGCCACCGCGCCCAGCCGCATCTTATTTCAATATGGCAAAAAGTATATCTAATAGTAACCAGCTGACTGACACTATCCTGTTACTAAAAAGTAAATGTACCTGAAGATTCAAATCAAGTCTGTCAACAACATTTACGAAAAGAATTTTCTTCTGCTGAGCTCTCCTGTGCAGATATAGAAAAATAAGAGCCTGCAAGGGGAGAGCTTTAATTCAAGCATCGGCATACATTTCTGTTTCCTTTTTAAGAAAGTCTATCTACAGTTTCTCTCCTCCTACCCTAAAGATGAGCAGGGTTGGTTGTTAACACAGAGTGAAGACGTACAAAGTGAATCTAAACACCAGAATGATTTAACTCTAAAGATCCTAAAATACCTTTTAATCGGAATCAAAGGATTTCCTTGATTTTTATCTTTCAGTAATACCTATCTTTTCCTACCCCCTTAAGGCCCTAAGGAGTTGAATAAGCACTAGCCGTTTACTTTACCAGTACTGCAATCAGAATTTCCACGTCTAAAAGAAAATTTTGTACAGTGGGACAAAGACATGGTGGCTGTGTAGAGAAATGTCTTTATTTTCTAGAGATTCATGTCATAGTATATAGGGATATAATGCTATTATGTCTATACTTCGAAATACTTTAGCAAAAAAAGAATTGAGGCTGAGCACAGTGGCTCACACCTGTAATCTCAGCACTTTGGAAGGCCGAAGTGGGCGGATCACCTAAGGTCAGCAGCTCCAGACCAGCCTGGCCAATATGATGAAATCCCGTCTCTACTAAAAATACAAAAATTAGCCAGATGTAATGGTGGGTGCCTGAAATCCCAGCTACCTGGGAGGGTGAAGCAGGAGAAATGCTTGAACCCAAGAGGGGGAGATTGCAGTGAGCCAAGATCATGCCATTGCCCTCCAGCCTGGGCAACAAGAGTGGAACTCTGCCTCAAAGAGGGAAAAAAAAGAATTGAGCAAAATTATAACAATTATTAAATCTATTTGATCCATTATCCATTTTACAGTCTAAGAGTTTGAATTTTTCATGTTAAAAAAAAATTTAAGTTTCACGTATTTGGCCAGGTGTAATGGCTCAAGCCTGTAATCCCAGTACTTTGGGAAGCCAAAGCCAGAAGATTGCTTGAGGCCAGGAGTTTGAGACTAGCCTGGGCAACACAAAGAAACTCTGTCTCTACAAAAAACAGAAAAGAAATTAGCCAGACATGTCACGCATGCCCACAGTCCCGGGTACTCAAGAGGCTGAAGTGGGGGGATCGCTTGAGCCCTTGAGTTTGAGGATGCAGCGAGCTATGACTGTGCTACTGCACTCCAACCTGAGTAACAGAGTGAGACACTCTTAAGAAAAAAAAAAAAAAAAGGAAAAAAAAAACTTTCAGGTATTAAGTGGCTAGTAACATCTGTAGCAATATCACTCAGGATATTTGGGGAAAGCATTACTAGGAAGTAACAGAATTATCCTTGACACATGAAAAGGAATAAATAAAAGGCATAGGAGTATGTGATAAAGTATTTCTGAACCAGTCTCTGCGGAGCTTCTAAGTACCTTGCTGTCCTATTGTGTCTTTGGACACCCAGATTGTATAGCAAATACCAACACCTAGCTGTTAGACCAGCTGTTTAGTGACGTTCTATCAGTATCCCTCTGCATCCAAAATAACTTTGCAGTCACAGAATCTGCTGATACACAGACAATTTCACACATGTGACCGCCATACTAAAAATGGGAAGATAAGCAATGTTCAGAGAAGGTGTCCTTAATTATCCAGATCTTTTCCACAGCAACAAACCAGCCTTCAATCAAAGTTATCTAAGGCTTGGATTCACTTATTGACATCATGTATGTTTTGTTACTTGGACTCTGTTAGGTAAGAAGAAACAAAGGTCAAGTGGTTTTTTCCTCCCAAGAAATCTAGCGGTTTATTTTTGAATGGATAAAGTAATATATGGATATGGTTACACATACACAAACATATAAAAAGGCATACAATGAAAACTTCCCCTCCAACCTCAATAAAGCTGCTAAAAAAAAAAAAAAGGGCAGGTTAACTGGAAATCACTGGTCTGGCATGAAATCTCTAAAGCTGGTTGAATGCACCCACCACGAGCTTCCCTATAAAATCCTGACATTCCAGACACGCTAGGAAAGGGTCCTTCAGACTCAGTTCTCGTCTGATGGAGGAGGTTGGACACACTGGTTTATTTCTAACAATGCATCAGGCTCTAAAAGAGAATGAGTCTGTGCAGCACATACGGTTTCAACATTCTTACTCTAATTCTTGATAGCAAATATAAATGTTTCCACAAGGAAAAAACAATGTGGAAAGAAGGCAGGAAATCCTCCATTTTAGTAAAAGGGTGCTGCCAGTGAAGCTTTACATAAGAATCAGGAGCAAATTCACATCATTCAGCCAAAATCCTTGCCTTTCTCAGGCACTAGCCTTCCACAAACTTAGATCTGCAAAATCACAGAGACTCACAGTTGTTGAGGTCTATATTTTAGGTTCAGGTTTGTAGGAATTTAAAGTACTTAAGTGTGGACCTTCTGCTTCCAGCCACAATGGAGTAACAGGGACTGGATTTATCCTGTTGCCTGAAATGATGGGGGTAGAAAAACAGCCAGGCACAGTGGTTATGTGCCTGTAGTCCCAGCCACTGGGGAGTCTGTAGCAGGAGGATCTGGAGCCCAAGAGTTGAGGCTGGCCTGGGCAACATAGCAAGAACCTATCTCTAAAAAATAAACAATAAAAAAACAAGCAAACAAAATAACAAAATTCTACACCCTGCAAAATCTCTTTCAAAAATAAAGATGAAACAAAGACATTTTCAGATATAAAAACTTAAACTAATTTGCCACTAGCACATCTGCACTACAAGAAATGTTAAAGCAGTCCTTCATGCAGGGGGAAAGAAAAGATACCAGATAAAAATTTGTTACCGATGCAAAACAATGAAAGTCTTGTAAATGATAACTATGTGAGTGAATACTTTCCCTTCATGACAGATACCTCTTTAAAAGATTTACTGTTAGTGTTCAAAGCAGAAATAATACGACATGTATTGGGTTAATAACAAATATAAAACAGAACAAAGGTTGGGAGGGAGAAAGGAAAGCACACGTTATAAGCTGCTTATCCCACATGTGAAATGGTTAACATCATTTGATGGTAGACTGAGAAATGAAAGGTGTATATATAAATCCTAAACCAACCACTAACAAAGTGTGCAATAATATTAAGAAATTCAGAATCATTCCCTTATTTACCATCTTTAATAAAATCTAAGAGCCCATCAATTGTAAGATGTATGCTTAATTTCAGGCAGTTTAAAATGTATAATTTGTATCTCAGAATCAAGGAAAAATGGGAGATTGTCACAGATACTCATATTAAAAAATAAGCAAGTGGTATCTCCAAGTTGATTCAGTACTTTCTAACTTTCAAGTTATATTATTAATCTAGTTATCTAACAGATTCCAATCTACCAAGAAGCTGCAGCTTTCTAGTTTACTGCTATAAATAGTGACACCCTGACACATTTTATATACATGTATATGCAAACATATGAGATCTTCCACGGAGTTCACTCGCAGTCCTATGACTTCTCCTGGAGAAAGATGGAGTTTCACAGTTATGAACTGTGGCCAGAACCCTCACTATGTTTTAGTCACTGTAAGTCAAATGTGATAATACGTACCCTGAACAAAAATTTGGTCATTTAACTCACAACTGTGTATTTCTGGCTACCTAGTCCTAATTGAAATTGATTCTCTTACCCTTAAGTTTACCTTTATTACTAATCAATACTAATTTTTGTTGTGATATGGAGCTTTTTAGATTTTTGGTCAGTTCAGAGACTGGCCGATTCTGCAGGAAACAGAACACTGGCAAAGCATGGGCTTTGAGCACTAGTCCCAGTTAATCCACTACATGGAAACTCTACATGGAGCCGTGGTTTAACACACACAGAAATAACACCTATCTCATAACACTGTTATATCCAGCAATTTAAACTGGTTATTTTGAGAAAGGATCTTGCTCTGTCACTCAGTCTGGACTGCAATGGCACAATCACAGCTCACTGCAGCCTCAGCGTCCCAAACTCAGGTGATCCTCCCGCCTCAGCCTCCTGAATAGCTGGGACCACAGGCACGTACCACCATGCCCAGCTAACTTTCAAATTGTTTTTGTAGAGACAGGGTCTCACTATGTTGTTGTCCAGGCTAGTCTCAAACTCCTGGGCTCAAGTAATCCTCTACTTCGGCCTCCCAAAGTGCTGGGATTGTAGGTATGAGCCACCTTGCCTGGCTCAACTGTTAAATGAGCATGAGTTTCTGGAGACTACTGAAGCAGTATGATGACACGCAGAACAAAAGGGCAGGCTCTGAGCTGCCAGGGGCTGCGCTCTGCCTCTCCTCACCACTCGACAGTCGGGTGACCTCAGTGGGTGATAAAGCAGCATTCAAACTATGACATCCAGGTGGGTAACAGGGCAGTCACGTGTTAGCAACAACGGAAAGGGCCAGGTGAGTGGCATGCCGCAGCTAGCCAGGATGCTGCACTGAGCTGCAGGGGCAGGCAGGAAAGCCGCAGAGGCTCCAAGGGTCCGATTCTCGCCACCTCCTTGGAACCTTCTTTCTTGTCATTTCTCCTCAATCTCCATGTGGTGATCTTCACTGTTCCAGGACACTGGTTCCTTACCCAGCCTTCTTTGGATTAGGTGAAAGGTGACATTTTCAGACACAAACTGGAGTTGGCCACTGGTGCACCATTATCACTAACAGAAATTCTTAAATAAGTTCAATCAAGAGAAGGGATCCAGTACAGGAGGTGTGAGCATCAAGAGAAAATGATGAGCACTGGTTTCCATAAGTAAATCTTAAAAAAACCTGACTGTGTAAGATAACAACATCTCATAGAGTAAGAACAGAACTAAAATGCTCAACAACAACAGCATGTAAATAAGAAGGGAAGTAATTTGCTCTCAAGTTCTTAGGGTTCGAAGGCGGAGCGGATAGATGATTAACTTTAGACTTGTCAAGTTAAGAAGGCATACTAAAATTTCTAGGGTAAGCAGGAAAGGAATGGAGCTCAAAATGCCCAAATTGGGAAAGGGAAATTAAAACTGGAATGAGAAAAAATAATCCAAAAAAAGGCAAGGAAAGAGAAAGAGAAACACAGAACAACTGTTAGAAATACAAAATGCAAAATATTGGGTGCAGGAAAAAAAATCCAAATATACTGATCTTTACCATGGTAGACAGAAAAACACAGCCATGGTATTTTGAGGTTCCTCCTCTCAAGAAGGGAAGTCTATTTCCCAGTGTTTTCTCTGGACTGGCTTTGGGACTTCCTTTGACCAAGAGAAGATGGCAGATTTGACAGTGGGCAGGGCCCAGCACCCAGGCCTCAAGGTCTTGTCCCTCCCCTGTCCTGGAACCTGAGACCACCATGCCCTGGGCCAGCAACCTTGAAAATGAAATCCATTGTGTAAAGAAACCACACGGAAGAGTCCCTGAGGTCCCAGCTGCTGCAGCACCTCAGCCAAGGCCCCAGACGAACGCGTAAGTGAAGTCATCTGGGACGGGCTCAGCCCCCGGCTGGCCTTCCAGCTGAATATGACAACGTGGGTGAACCCAGACAAGAGCAGCACGTGAACCGCCAGCCAACTTGGAAATTTGGATGGTGAGACAACAGGCCATTGCTAGTTTTTTTTTTTTTTTTTTTTTTGAGACAGGGTTTCGCTCTTGTTGCCCAGGCTGGAGTGCAGTGGTGCGAATCTCAGCTCACCGCAACCTCCGCCTCCTGGGTTCAATCGATTCTCCTGCCTCAGCCTCCTGAGTGGCTGGGATTACAGGCATGCGCCGCCACGCCCAACTAATTTTGTTTTTTTAGTAGAAAAGGGGTTTCTCCATGTTAGGCTCATCTCAAACTCCCGACCTGAGGTGATCCGCCCGCCTTGGCCTCCCAAAGTGCTGGGATTACAGGCGTGAGCCACCGTGCCCAGCCAGGCCATTGCTGTTTTAAACCAATTCCTTTGAAGAAGTTTGTTATGCAGTAAGAAGTAACTGATACATTTACAATGAACATAAGTGAAAAAAAGGAGTAAAGTTTTAAAACTTGGACTTAAAAACCAGAACAAAAAACATCCCACTAAATGCTCTTTAAAAGAGGCATATTTAAAACATACGAATACATAAAAGTTGGTAAAAGGGTAGAAAGTGACATACCAGACAAATTCTTACCAAAAAGTTGGTACCGCTATAAGAAAAAATAGGCAAAAAAACTTTAAGAAAAATAGACTAAAGCTATGAGTCACTAGATAATGATATTTTGTTCAGTTATTCACAAAGTCAGAATTTATATGCATCTAACAAAATAGTCTCAAAATATATAAAGCAAAAATTGACAGATGTACATGTAAAAATAAAATTTTTCCCAAAGGCAAAAAAAAAAAAATGTTGAAGATCTTACCAACACAATAGCAAGCTTGATTTAATGGACATAATATACTTCACTGATTATAAGATGTGCTTTTTTTTCACATTTTAACATATTTGAAGTGAATTGTGACATTTACATATCATTGCCTCCATAGCTGTGAATCTGACTATTGCTAGAGGCAAAACTAAACAACTGCTACTCCTTAACGTTTCATGCAAAAAAACAAAATTTAAGAATAATCTGATGAAGGATTATGAGTCTAGTCATTGCCACAGATTATTCATTGATACTTTCTGGTAAGATCAACAAAGTCTCAGCAGAAAATTCTGCAAAACATTAGAAAAAAATCCGGGAGACAATATAGGAGCACTCTTTAAGAACTGCTGTGTCACTAATGCCTTCGATGGTGACAGCACTGTGTAGAAAAACATAAATATCAACTATTCTGAGTAGACAACTGATTCAGGAGTTGGAATCTGTAAATAAGCTTCAGGAATACCTTGACCAACTTACTGTACTCATATTCCACCTTTTTTTTTTTTGGAGACAGAGTCTCGCTCTGTCGCCCAGGCTGGAATGCAATGGCCCAATCTCGGCTCACTGCAAGCTCCGCCTCCTGGGTTCACACCATTCTCCTGTCTCAGCCTCCCGAGTAGCTGGGACTACAGGCGCCTGCCACCATGCCCGGCTAATTTTTTTATTTTTAGTAGAGACAGGGTTTCACTGTGTTAGCCAGGATGGTCTTGATCTCCTGACCTCGTGATCCACCCGCCTCAGCCTCCCAAAGTGCTGGGATTACAGGCGTTAGCCACCGCACTCAGCTTCATATTTCACTTTTTATATATGTTCACAATAGAAAAAAAAAAAAGAAACCAATATTAAGTTGAAAAAAAATCAGACAGTATAAATAAAGATTCTAAGTGAGAAGGATTCATTGCCCCTGGTTTAGGTGCCAGCTTTTTTCTTCTTAATGGAACATAAGCTAACGACGCATCTTACAATTGATACAGACAAACTCAGTGGGATCATGGCACCCAACAGGTGTGCAATATACATTCAAGCACATGTGAAAAAAGAAAATAAATTTCAAAGGATTGGTGTAGTGGAGATGAAGGTGCTTTGCTCAATCTCTGGAGGTGCCTTCAAGTAAAGCAGAGTTTAGAAAGCTCAAAATTACATCTCCAGATCCTCTTATTCTGCCAAACAGAGGCAGTGTACAGGATTCAAAAGAGAGCAGTGAAGCAGAAGTCCTCGTCCTGCCCTTTTACACAGGCTGCTGCTCAGCTGGCCCACAAAGATGTGAAAGGTGAGGATTTTCTGCAACAGCTTTCTATCTAGTGTTCGTTCTCTAGATTCCTAGGAATTGAGAGTTCATTCCAGCACTGTGGCCTCCTGATTCAGGTTCTGTGGACCCCATCACGGCTGAGGATATGCACGGACCTCCATGGTTGCAGGAGTTGCCTAGCAGGCGAGAATTCCTCTGGTGACTCGATTTTGGAGAGCCAAGCCAGGGCCCACTCCTTTAGCCAACCCATGGCTCCCCAATCAAATCATTCCTTCCTGCTCAAAATACTTAGAGTGCTCTATGTTTCCTGTATCGAACTATAACAAACTACTGTTGTCATAAAGACCACATTCTCTGAACACAAAACAATCAAGTTAAAAATCAATTGCAAAACAGTGACTAGAGGATGAGTGCGGTGGCTCACGCCTGTAATTCCAGAGCTTTGGGAGGCTGAGGTGGGTGGATCACTTGAGCCCAGGAGTTCAAGGCCAGTTTGGGCAACATGGCGAAGACCCTGTCTCTATTAAAAATACAAAAATTAGCCAGGTATGGTGGTGCACACCTGTAGTCCCAGCTACTTGGGGGCTGAGGTAGGAGAATCACCTGAGCCTGGACGGCCAAGGCTGCAGTGAGCCATGATCATGCCACTGCACTCCAGCCTGGGTGACAAAGCAATACTCTCTCAAAAAAGCAAAAACAAAAAACAGTGACCAGGAAAACCCATTTGTTTGGAAATTAAATTAAGAAACACAATTCTAAATAAATCATTGGTCAAAGATAACAACGTAATGTAAATTAGAAAATACCAACAAAGGCCAGGCACGGTGGCTCACACCTGTAATCCGGAACTTTGGGAGTCCAAGGTGGGCAGATCACCTGAGGTCAGGAGTTTGAGATCAGGCTGGCCAACATGGTAAAACCCCATCTCTACTAAAAATACAAAAAATTAGCCAGGCATGGCAGTGCACGCCTGTAATCCCAGCTACTCGGGAGGCTGAGGCAGGAGAACCCCTTGAACCCAGGAGGTAGAAGTCGCACTGAGCCGAGATCTCACTACTGCACTCCAGCCTGGGCAAAAGAATGAGACTCCGTCTCCAACAAACAAATAAAAAACAAGAAAAGAAGAGAAAGATAATGTGAAAATATTACTTGTGTACTAAAGCTAGAACAACTTAGAAAATAACAACTTAAGATGCTACCACAGCGTGGGCAATATAGCAAGGCCCTGTCTGAAAAAAGCCAAAACACATTAGCCAGGTGTGGTGGTACATACCTGTAATCCTATCTATTTGGGAGGCTGAGACAGGATAGCTTGAGCCCAGCAATTTGAGGCTGCAGTGAGCTATGATCGGGCCACTGCACTCTAACCTGGGTGACAGAGCAAGGTCCTATCTCTTAAAAAAAAAAAAAAAAAAAAAAAAAAAAAGCTTATTTTAGAAAATAATTTTGTTGAAAAATGATAAACTAAGCACTCACCTTTAAAAATTAGAGAAACAACTGCTTAAACCCAAAACAGAAAATAATACAGAAATCAATTATTAAAATAAAATCAAGTAAAGCCACTTAGAAAAACAGTTTGGCAGTTCTTCAAAAAGTTAAAACAGTTTGCATTCCAGCAATTCCACTCTAGTTATATACCCCAAAAAGTAAAAACATATGTCCACACAAAAACCTGTACATGAATGTTCATAGCAACACTATTCACAAATAGCCCAAACAACCTAAATGTCCATCAACAGATGAATGGATTTAAAAATATATGGTCTATATGTACAATGGAATGTGATTCAGCCATCAAAATGAAGTACTGGCACATGCTACAACACAGATGAACTGAGAACACGATGCTAGGTGAAATGAGCCAGCCACAGAAGACCACATATTGTGATTCCATTTACAGAAAACATCCAGAGCAGGTCAAGAACAGACAAAACTAATTTGTGTTGATAGGAATCAAAACAGTGGGTAATCTGGGGAGGCAGAAAGTACTGCCTGAAGAAGGGCATATCAGAGCCTCCTGTGATGTTGCACATGGCTATTTCAATTTAGGCAGTAGATGCACAAGGGTGTGTGTACATGACTACATGGAAAATAGCTTGAGTTCTAGGTACGCTCAACATTTGGGCGCTTTACTTATTGCCCTTAAAAGCCTATGTCTGAAAAACTGATCCCTTTTAATCCTTAACAGAAGAAGGGAAGAATTTCCTGAAAAAGACACTGAAATAGCATTCTAAGAACATGCCAAACACTAACAGAACCAATGCTAACTGCCCTAGGATGACTTCAGGACAATCCAGTCTAAGGTACAAACATGAGTCAGGTGGCCTCACTGCCACCTCTACCTTATATCCTGTGGCTCTAAGATACAAAGCATCAAGTAAAGGTCAAATCCCAGCAGCGTTTTAAGGGACAACGGGGGAGACGATTTTTTTCGTTTTAGAGAGACTACTAACTACAGAATAAATGCTTCATAAAATCTAAAACCCATCAATTTTAAGTAAACCATTATTTTTATGTCCTGTTTAAAAGAAAAAACACCAATACTACAAACTTTAAGATGCCATACCATAAGAAACATTCCAATTTCACAGAAATTAAAATGTGCAACTTTTTTTTTTTTTTTTTTTTTTTTTTGAGACGGAGTCTCACTCCGTCGCCCAGGCTGGAGTGCAGTGGCGCGATCTTGGCTCACTGCAAGCTCCACCTCCTGGGTTCACGCCATTCTCCTGCCTCAGCCTCCCGAGTACCTGGGACTACAGGCACCTGCCACCAAGCCCAGCTAATTTTCTGTATTTTTAGTAGAGACAGGGCTTCACCGTGTTAGCCAGGATGGTCTCTATCTCCTGACCTCGTGATCCACTTGCCTCAGCCTCCCAAAGTGCTGGGACTACAGGCGTGAGCTGCCACGCCCGACCTAAAATGTGCATCTTAGAATCAGTGATATACAGCTATAAAGAATGCCTACTTTTTAATGGAATAGCATTTAATTCAAACTTGATGTTTGAGTCAGGTGGAGTGGCACACACCTGTAATCCCAGTACTTTGGGAAGCCAAGGGGGTTGGATCACTTGAGACCAGGAGTTTGAGACCAGCCTGGGCAATATAGGCCACAGTGAGCTATGATCACACCACTGCACTCCAGCCTGGGTGACAGAGCGAGACTCCATCTCAAAAAACAAAACAAAAAAAGGCTGGGCGCAGTGACTCATACCTGTAATCCCAGCACTTTGGGAGGTCGAGGCAGGCAGACTGCTTGAGTTCAGATGTTCAAGACCAGCCTGGGCAACATGGTGAAACTCCATCTCCACAACAAATACAAAAATTACCTGGGTGCAGTGGTATATGCCTGTAATCCCAGCTACTTGGGAGGCTGAGGTGGGAGGATGGCTTAAACCCAGAAAGCGGAGGTTGCAATGAGCCGAGATCATGCCACTGCACTGCAGCCTGGGTGACAGAGCCAGACCCTGTCTTGGGGGGGTGGGGGGAAAGGTGTTAGAAGCAGATAAAAAAAACGATTAATAACTGTTCTATAGGATGATACTTTTGAGCACTACTGTTCTTATTCTTCCAAGACTCCTTCTACCTTAGGTATATATATCTATCTATTGCTTCTCAGACTTTTGGCTAAGATCAAGTGTAGGTATACACATCTATCACTGGATAAGGTAGGTAAGAATTTTTGTACACTACAAAGACGACAGATAAACTTAGCAATAAACTAGCAATCAGGGCAGTCATTGCAAGATTTTTAAATAACTGCTTTGTATTTACATGGTGTTACATGTAAAACTAACAAACATGGTGTTACAACCCTACCCAAATCAGCCTTTTGGACTCATATATAAACATCCTCTTGACAACAAACATGCCAACCCACAATTGCTGCTCTACAAGCAATGGAAGAATCACTGTAGTGGCATGTGTCTTACCAAATGCAGTAGTCAAGGACAGTTTATTCCCCAGTTCCATACAGCAAAACTAAACCTAAGGGCCAAGGACATAGCCAGCTCCTTGGGAACCTTGGCAAAAGTACTTCATTCCAATCATTCATTCTAGCTCATTTTCTTTTCTTTTTTTTGAGAGGTGCGGCAGGATCTCACTGTCACCCAGGTTGGGGGGCAATGGCCCAATCATAGTTCACCACAGCCTCCAACTCCTGGACTCAGGCAATCACCCTGCCTCAGCCTCCCAAGTATCTGGGACTACAGGAGCCTGCTATCATATCCAACTATTTTTTATTTTTGTAGAGATGGGGTCTTGCTATGCTGCCCAGGCTGGTCTGAAGCGATCCTCCCTCCTCAGCCTCCCAAGGTGTTGGGATTACAGGTGTGGGTCACCACGCCTGGCCTAGAGTTCATTTTCTGTAGCAGTTTTTTATAACATGGTCTAAAGATCTTCTCCATCAGAAACACTTGGAGGTAATTGTCTAAAATAGAGTTCCTAGACCCTATCCCAAACCTACCAAATCAGAACCTCTGGGTATGAAGCCCAGGGCTCTGAATTTTAACAAGCTTCCCAAATGACTTTGTTGAACAGGGAAATTTGAGAAGCACTGCTAAAATACAGCACTGAATAGATAAGTCCTTAAATCATGAATGCAACAGATAGAGAGGCAATGTGACACAGTCAATCTTGCAGCTGGACTTGTCTCAAATGTTCTCTCTGCCACTTACTAGCTCTGCGCCTTTAGGCACAGCGTCTTTTACCTAACCGCTCTATGCCTCAGTTTCCTCATTTGTAAATGGGATACTACTACTATCTCAAGCTAATCAAACTCTCTTCTTGAATATTACTAGAAATTTCAAATTAAATACTGCATCTCAAAACAAATCAAAACAAAAAATATTGTAAGATCTTGAACGATGAATATGTTGACCTCAGTCATGAAAAACTAGTAATAGACATTGAGACTTTCTACCCTAGCTAACTGAAAAACAGAGTAAAATAAACAACTTCTGAGATCAAACCTGAATAAAGTTTCTTTCACAGCCAGAAGCTGTCGTTGGCGGTGCGGGGGAGCAGCTTCACAAATGCACGTGACTAAAAACCATTTGAGGACACTTTGGAAGACAGTTTGGCAGTTTCTCTCCAAGCTCAACAGCCTTACAATACGATCCAGCAACTGCCCTCCTTGGAATTTACCCAACTGAGTTGGAAACTATGTCCACATGAAAATCTGCCATAAATATTTATAGCAGCTTTATTTATAATTGCCAAAAACTGAAGCAACCAAGATGTCCCTCAATAGGTGACTCGATAAACTATGATGCATCCAGACAATGAAATATTATTCAGTGATAGTAAGAGATCAGCTCTCAAGCCTTGAAAAGACATAAAGGAACTTTAACTGTATATGGCTAAGTGAAAGAAGCCAATATGAAAAGGCTACATATTGTACAATTTCAACTAGATGGCATTCTGGAAAAGGCAATGCTACTGAGACAACAGAAGGATCAGTGGTTGCCAGGGGTTCAGGGGGACACGGACAGGGATGAATAGCTGAGCACAGGGGACTCCTGGTTGGTGAAACTCTTCTGTATGATACGGTAATGGTGGATCCATGTCATTATGCACCTGTCAGGACCCCAAGGACCCCAAAAGGAAATGCTATTGTAAACCATAAACTTCAGTTAGTAACAAGGTATCAATATTGGTTTATCCATTGTAAGAAATGCACCACACTAATGTAAGATGTTAATAACAGAAAAACTATGTGCTGGGAGGCGGTGAGCAGATGGGAACTCTATACTGTCAGCTCGATTTTTATGTAAATCTAAATTAGTTCTAAAAACTAAAGTCTATTAATAACATTTTTAAAGTAGGGATAATGACATCCAAAGCTACCAAATAATTCTCTAAGACAACTTTGTGAAAGTCATCTCTGACAATTTAATCAACCCAAACTCCCAACAAGTCCTCTTGAAGATGCGACAGAATATGAAAGAAGATTCCTTATCAAATTTCAAATGAGTTTTCAACTACCATGTCAAGGAGACGTCACCTAAAATTTAAGATTAGATTTATCCTTTTCATTGAAGTTTTTTCAAAATCTTTGGCCTTGAGAACTTAAGTTGGGAAGATAAAAACATTTTTATAACTAATTTCCTATATCCATAGGTGGAACTTTGGCTAAAAATGCGTGAAATCTAAGACAGAGTTCATGCTGCTGGTGTCCCCAAAAGAAACCCCCAGTGCTTGTCAGTCATTTTTTTCCAAACCATTTCATTAACTCTGATGGATTCTGACACAACTTCACACATCATCTTGAGTAGTGGTGCCAGGCTTAGGAAAGCAGTATTTTTTCCTCCTCAGCATCTTTAACTAAGTGTCTTCCAAGAAAACAGTTGGGCATATTGCCTTCACTGATAAGAGTTGTTACACTTAAAATGCTTCAAACAGCACCAAAAAGCAGGGTGAGGATTAATCTTTTGTAAAACCTGAAGTATTCTATTTGATATTTGATCACAAAATGGAGAAATCGATATTCCGGAATTTTTTCTCAATTTCCTTTCCAAGTGAAGTTTTGGCAGTACTCATGAAAATATAAATCAAATCATGTCTCTTCCCTGCTTAAAACACATATGACTTCCCGCTGGGTTCAGAACAAAATCCGAGTTCCTCACCTGAGCCTATAGTGCCCTCCCTGATCCGACCCCATCTGCCACTGGGGCACCATCCCCTCCTGTGAACCACTCTCCTGAGCACCTGGCTGGCTCCAGCTCCCTCCAGCTCCCTTGCTCAAAGCAGGCCCTCCCTGATCACCCTGTCTAAAGGACAGACTCTCAGCTCCCTGCACAATCGCTTTCTATCAGACATGGCTGTTGTATTTCTTTCATAGCACTTTTTACCCAGAGTGTTTTGGAAGCAGAACAGAATGATGGCTGAATGCACGTTTTGTGGAGCCACACTGCGGAGCCTGACTCCTGGCTCTACCACTTCATTAGCTGTGCAAGACCGGACACCTGTGCTTTGCTTTTCTCATTTCAAAAACTTTAAAATTTTTAATTGTGGTAAAACGCATAACACAGCTGGGCACAGTGGTGCACACCTATAGTCCTAGACTCTTAGGAGATTGAGGCAGAAGGATCATCTGAGCTCAGGAGTTCAAATCCCAAAGTGCTGGGATTACAGGAGTAAGCCACGGTGCCTGGCCTAAATATATTCTTTTATTTTTAAATGTACAATTAAATTATTATTGACTATAGTTACCCTGTTGTGCTATCAAATATTAGGTCTTGGCTGGGCACGGTGGCTCATGCCTGTAATCCTAGCACTTTGGGAGGCTGAGGCGGGTGGACCACTGTGGCCCAGAGTTTGAGACAAGCCTGGCCAAAATGTCTCTACTAAAAATACAAAAATTAGTCAGGTGTGGTGGCTTGCACTTGTCATCCCAGCTACTCAGGAGGCTGAGGCACAACAATCACTTGAACCCAGGAGGTGAAGGTTGCAGTGAGCTGAGATTGTGCCACTGCACTCCAGCCTGGGCGACAGAGTGAGACGCTGTCTCAAAAATAAATAAATAAATAAATAAAAAATACTAGGGTCTTATTCATTCTTTCTAACTAATTTTTTGTGCCCATTAACCATCCTTATCTCCCCTTTACCCTTCCCAGCCTCTGGTAACCATCCTTCTACTCTCTATCTCCATGAGTTCAATTTCAACCATTTTTTTTGAAGCAAGGTCTCCCGATGTTTCCCACACTGGAGTATGGTGGTCAATAATGACTCAGCAGTCTTGAACTCCAGGGCTCATGCAGTCATTCTGCCTTTGCCTCCCAAGTAATGGCTACACGCATGTGCCACCAGGCCTGGCATCCATTTTTTCTTACGTGTCCAGTTCAGTACTGTTAAGTATATTCACACTGTTTTGCAACCATCATCACTATCCATCTCTAGAACTTTTTCATCTTGTAAAACTCTGTACCCATTAAATACTAACTCCCCAATTCTCCCTTTCCCCATCCCCAGGCACCCACCATTCTACTTTGTCTCTATGAATTCAACTACTCAGGTACCTCACATAAGTAGAATCACACAGTATGTGTCTTGTGACTGGCTTATTTCACCTGGCATAAATATAAAAAAAAAGTTCTCAAGGTTCACCCATGTTGTGGCATGTGACAGAGTTTCCTTTTTTAAAAACATTTTCAATTTTTTTTTAAAGATTAGTCAAATGCAGTAGTGAGAAGGGAGGAAAGAGTAGAATAAGGAGTTAGACCTGTAACTGAACAATCGATATAACTCACTACCTTCGGACCAGCCTTCCTTCCTTTGTAAGGCTGAGTAATATTCCATTGTATGGAGAGACCACATTTTGCTTATCCATTCATCTGGCCATGAACACTCTGATGGCTTCAGCTCTTGCCCATTGTGAAGGGCACTGGGGCAGTGCGATTTCTAATTTTTGGAGGAATCTCCACACTGTTTTCTACAGCAGCTGCACCATTTTACGTTCCCACCAACAGTGCACAAGGTTTCCAATTTTCCACACAGTCATCTCATCTTTAATAGGGATAACAGTAACTACTGCACCTAGAAGTGCCATGTATTAATACTATTAGTAGCATCCCGCTGACTTATTGTTTAGTTTATGTCTCCTCCTATAAGAATGTCAACTCCCAAGGACAGGGTTCTTCCTTGTCTGGTTCATTATTAAATTCCCAGCACCAAGAACCGTGACTAGCACATAGTGGGAACTCAGAGATATCTGCTGAATTATCAGACTACTCAGAACACAGGCTTTTCACAAAAGGTGCTCCAGAGATGAGATGTATGTTTATTAGCTCTTTGCAATTAAAAGAGCTATTTCATTCATTTTCACGGTCTTCGTGAATTCCTGAAAATATATCCCAGCACTATCCGTTGTTGCATGGTATAGAAAAGAGTTTGGGGAAAGGAGGAACCTCCAACACCATTTTAGGAAGATTTCCACAATTTTGTGTCAATCTTAAAGTCAAGAGGGCTTTAATAACGTTGGTGCCTATCTACAACAACGACGGCTCTGATTCCATTCTTTGCAATACAATCTCAATCCCAGTAAAGTGTCCCCATGGTTTTTTGTTTGTTTGTTTGTTTGGTTTTGTTTTGCCGTTGTCTTTAATTACCCAATTTGAAAAATTTAATCTCCTTGGCCTTCAACCCCCAGGGGCCTTGAGAACCAATGGTCTAGGGAAGCACAGTTCCTAAGTGTGACTATCTCACAGCTTTGGTGCTCTCTTCGGGTGTCTGAAGACACAATCTCATGCACTTTCCTAGATTCCTCAGTTAATTCAAGATTACACCCAAGCAGAAGATTAACACTGTTCCTTGGAAGCCAGCAAGGCAGGAACCCATCACAGGGGCCCAGCCCAGAAGACAGCCCATTCTGTCTGGATGTTCTCTCTGCCCACCAGGAGAACTTGGCTCCATGAAGTTTCAGTGCTTCTCAGCCACATAACGCATCAGAGCACAGGAGTTATTCTCAGCATCCTTTTAGGAAGGCTCATGGAGTGCAGGGAAAGCAGTGTCACAGACTCCCCTGACCTTGTAAGAGGAACTAGAGCTTCTCAGAAGACATATTTTGATTCAAAGTTTTTATAGGGCCCATCTTGGACCACACAAATAAGAGAAAAACAGGTCCAAAAGTTAAAGTACACTGACACCTCCAGCTCTGAAATGTCTAAAAAGTAAGATGGATGGATGGATCGATGAGAGACGGATAAACGGCCATGTGATAAAGCACACACAGTGAAAGGTTAATCGTGGAGCCTAGGTGGGGGGTTTACACCTAAGCCACTGTATAGCCTTTCAACGTTTTTGTGTACTTGAAATTTTTCATACTAAAATGTTGAAAAGTATTTTGAAAATTCAAAACATAAGAAATAAATTTTAAAAGCCTTGACTATTAGAGAACTCTACAGATTTCTAAATGATTTTAATGGCATTTTCCCTTAATTTTGTGTATAAGGAATGCTTTAAAAATTACTACTTTTATTTTCTCTTCAAATATTACTAAGTATTCCTAAATAACCTACAGCATCTGGCTCTTCAAAACCATACAAACTGGTGCTTTTTCCAAAGAGAAGTGTCATTTTCAGCCCTGGAGTTCCCCACTATGAGAGCTGGTACCTAAGAGGGCCACATTCCACCTGGCCTAGGAATGACCTCAGAACAAAACAAACTGAGCATACTCTCACCAAACCATACAAAACAAAATTTTTAATAAGCAAAAATAACTTGCTAGTTCAAGAGACAAGTAGAGCCTGTAAGATGTGTTGTTTCCTTCTCATCTAACCTAAAGGACACATGCGATTGACAAGATTTCCCACGGTAATATCAAAGTACCAACTATGATAAAAACTGATGCCAAAGCGAATATTCGCTCTGTGAAAGGCTGTGGCTCCTCGCAACCACAGGCAAAGAGCTGCCTAGTCATACTCTTAGTATAGAGACAATAGTATTTTCTTATCTTGATTTTGATTGGCTTGAAAAAAAAGAGTAAGGTTATTTTGGTAAATTTTTAAAAAGACAAAAATTTAAACAGAACCCACCTTACACAAAACTACAGAGTTATTTGTGTGTGAAGAAAATGGGATAGGATGCCCTCTCTTCCTCTGAGAATTCTGTTACTTCAAGTGTTCTGAAAGAGTACTGGTTGGATTTTAAAACGCCACTCCACAACATGGAGCACATGAGAGTTGACAAGGAAAATCGCAGCTGAGTAACACCAGAAAGTTCTTCCTGATTATTCCCCCTGCTCTAGTGACCCAAGAGCAGAAGATGCTCCACGGTTCAGGGGCACTTGATAGTCCCAAAACGTACAGATAATTTCCCTAAAGACAAATGAGGACAGGCCAGGTGCGGTGGCTCACGCCTGTAATCCCAGAACTTTGGGATGCCGAGGCGGGCGGATCACGAGGTCAGGAGATCAAGACCATCCTGGCTAACACAGTGAAACCCCATCTCTACTAAAAATACAAAAAATTAGCCGGGTGTGGTGGTGGGCACCTGTAGTCCCAGCTAGTCGGGAGGCTGAGGCAGGAGAATGGCGTGAACCCAGGAGGCGGAGCTTGCAGTGAGCCGAGATCGCGCCACCGCACTCCAGCCTGGGCGACAGAGCAAGTCTCCATCTCAAAAAAAAAAAAAAAAAAGACAAATAAGGACAAAAAGGGTGGGCTAGAAAAACATTTTTTAATAGGTGAAAACTTCTTCTCAAACTTGGCAAAAAACATAAGCCTATGAATTCAAGAGGCTAAACAAACTTGAAACAGGATAAACCCAGAGACCTATGCCAAGACACATGATACACATTCTTCTGAAAGAGAAAAATGTTTGAAACCAACCAGGGAAAATAACACCTTACCTATAGAGGAGAAAGATAATTCAAATGACAATGGGCTTCTCATCAAAACCACAATGGCCAGAGGAAGTAGCAAAACATTCTTCAAGTGAAGAAAGAACTGTCAACCCTGAATTCTATATCTGGTGAAGTTATCCTTTGGGAATGAAAGGGAAATTGAGACATTCTTAAATAAAGGAAAACGAAAACAACTTGTCACCAGTAGACCTACCCTAAAAGAATGGCTAGCGGGAGTTCTCTAACTAGAAGGGAAATGATCAAAGAAGTCATCTTGAAATATTAGAAAACAATAACAAAAGAAACAGTAAAAATATGTGTAAGTATAAAAAACTTTCCTTCTCCTCTTGGGTTTTCTCAATCACGTTTCACGGTTGAGGCAAAAACTAACACCATCTGATGTAGTTCTCAATATATATGGAAGAAATATGTAAGATTACAAATTGGAGACAGTGAGGGACACAGAGGGAGGTAAGGGTTCTACATTTCATTTGAACTGGTAAAGTGACACCCCCAGTAGATGGTAATTATATAAAAATATATATTACTTATTATACATACATATATACATATATGCAAACATACACCTAGAGCAACCATTTAAAAAGCTATACAAAGAGATATACTCAATCAAAAACATAGAGGCCAGGTGCAGTGGCTCATACCTGTAATGCTAGCACTTTGGGAGGCTGAGGTGGGTGGATTACCTGAGCTCAGGAGTTTGAGACCAGCCTTGTCAACACCGCAAGACCCCATCTCTACAAAAAAAATCAAAAAATTAGCCGGGTGTGGTGACGCACACCTATGGTCCCAGCTACACAGGAGGCTGAGGTGGGAGGATTACTTGAGCCTGGGAGGCAGAGGTTGCAGTCAGCCAAGATCACACTACTGCACTCCAATCTGGGTGACAGGGTGAGACCCCATCTCAAAAAAATGTGTGTATGTGTATATACACACATACACATACATACACACACATATGTCAAACTGGAATTCTAAAAAATCTTCAAGTAACTCACAGGAAAAAGAAAACAAAAAGCTGAACAGGAAAAAAAAAAAAAAAAGAAATGGCAGACTTAAGCCCTAATATAATCGATAATGACTTTTTTTTTTTGGTGTGACTGAGTCTCACTCTATCACCCAGGCTGGAGTGCAGTGGCATTATCTCCGCTCACTGCAACCTCTGCCTCCCAGGTTCAAGTGATTCTCCTGCCTCAGCCTCCCAAGTAGCTGGGATTACAGGCGTGTGCCACCACACCCAGCTAATTTTTCTATTTTTAGTAGAGACAGGGTTTCACCATGTTGGCCAGGCTGGTCTCGAACTCCTAACCTCAGGTGATCCCACCAGCCTCGGCCTCCCAAAGTGCCAAGATTACGGGCATGAACCACTGCTCCTGGCCAATAATCATCTTAAATGTAAAAGGTCTAAATATAAATGTTAAATATTAAAAGATTGGCAGAGTAGAATTTAAAAATTATACATGACCCACCTAGATGCTGTCTACAAAAAACTCACTTCAAATACACGTATTTTATATTCGAATATATTGGCTGAAGTAAAAGGATGAAAAAGATATCATGCAAACATTAATAAAAAGAAAGCAGGTGTGGCTATATTAATAAAACAGCTACAGTAAACTTCAGAGCAAAGAAAACTACCAGAGACAGATACTATATAATGATCCATCAAAAAGACATAGCAATTCTAAATGTATATGCACCAAACAAAGCTGCAAAATATGTGATTCCAGCAACAACAGAGCTGAGAGATATCAACAATTATAGTCAGAGAATTCAATGCCTTTCTCTCTTGTTAATAATTAATGAACCAAAGAATCAGCAAGTATAGAGAAGAACTCACCACCACCATCAACCAACAAAGTCTCAGAAAGATTATAGAACACTCCCACCAACAGCATAATATTCATGTTTTTCAAGACCCCACAGAAAATTGTAGTAGGCTGAATCATTGACCCCCAAAGATATCCAGGTCCTAATCTCTAGAACTTGTGAATGTTAACTTACATGACAAAAGGAACTCTGCAAATAGAATTAAGAATTTTAGATTAAAAAAAAAATAGATGGAGAGCGAGGCATGGTGGCTCATGCCTGTAATCCCAACACTTTGGAAGGCCGAGGTGGGCAGATCACTTGAGCTCTGGAGTTCAAGTCCAGCCTGGGCAACATGACAAAACCTCATCTCTATGAAAAATACAAAAATTAGCCAGGTATGGTGGTGTGCACCTGTAGTTCCAGCTATTCAGGAGGCTGAGGTGGGAGACTTGAGCCGGGGAGGTGGGAGGTTGCAGTGAGCCGAGATCACACCACACTCCAGCCTGGGCAACAGAGCCAGACCCTATCTCAAAAAGAAAAGAAAAAGCATCTTCAATGGAGATGATTATCCTGGATTATCCAGGGGATCTAAATGCAATAAAAAATGTCCATATAAGAAGAAAGCACAGGAGATGTGACACAGAAGAAGGCAACGTGATGACTGAAGCAGGATGCCAGGCTGCTGGGTTTGAAGATGGAGAGAGGGGTCATGGACAAGGAAATGCAGCTCTAGATGCTGGGAAAGGGAAGAAAATGCATTCTCTCCTCCAGATGGAGCACGGCCCATTGGACACCTTCATTTTGGCCCAGTGAAGCTGATTTCAGACTTCTTACTTCTAGAACAGTACAAGAATAAATGTGTGCTATTTTAAGGCACAAAATGTGTGGTAACTTATTACAACAGCCTCGGGAAACAAATACAGAACTAGGGTGCAGCTATAACAAATACCTAAAAATGTGGAACCAGCTTTCAAATTGTAAGGGACAGAGGCTGGAATAATTTTGAAGATGACGATACAGAAAGCCTAGATTGCCTTAAACAGATCACAGAAATGTGGATGTTAAAAACTGTGCCACTTGCCAGGCACGGTGGCTCATGTCTGTAATCCTAGCACTTTGGGAGGCCGAGGCGGGCAGGTCACGAGGTCAGGAGATCGAGACCATCCTGGCCAACATGGCGAAACTCCATCTCTACTAAAAATACAGAAATTAGCTGGGCGTGGTGGCGCACACCTGTAGTCCCAGCTACTTGGGAGGCTGAGGCAGGAGAATCGCTTGAACCCGGGAGGCGGAGGTTGCAGTGAGCCGACACTGTGCCACTGTACTCCAGGCTGGCAACGGGGAGAGACTCCGTCTCAAAAAAAAAAAAAAAAAAAAAAAACTGCCACTGAGGACTCAGGAGAAGTGAGGAGCAGAGTACAGAAAGTCTGTATCATCTTAGAGAATACCTACATCTTCATAAGCACACCGTTGGTAGAAAAATGGACATTAAATGTACTGCTGGTAGGACTCAAAGAAATGAGCCACCTCTTTTTGGAAACTATTATATACTAGCAGAAAACATAGCTGAATTATCTCCTACAACTGTGTGAAAAGCAGAACGTGTAAGTGATGAACTTGGATATTTAATTGAGGCATTTTCCAAGCAGAGTGTTAAAGGTGCAACCTGGTTTCTTCTTGCGCTTATAGTAAAATGCAGAAGAGAGAAATTAAGAGAAACTATTATGCAAAAAGGAACCAGGGCTTAATTTGGGAAATTCTGAGCCTGCATGGATTGCAAAAGACAATAAAATTAGGAGATTCACTGGCAGGAAAAAGTGCTCTAAGGAAAGACAAGGGTGTGGCTGGCCAATGTTTTGCTAGTATGCTGGAAGAATTAAAAGGTGAGAGTATCCATTCACACAGAAAGCTCTTTGAAGAGATTTAAGCCTGTCACTCATGAATCCCCTCAACCCTCTCAGCAAAAGCCAGGAATAGAAACAGAACCGCACAGGTAAGATCTATGGAGGGCCCTCTTGTCCCCTGTGAAATCCCTGTGAAATACAGAGGAGACCCACAAGGTTTTTGAGGATGTTCAAAAAGTAGAAACTCCACTAGCTTGGAATGAAAAAGACTCATTCCTATCAAATTTCCAGTAAGTTTTTTTTTAAGAGATAGCAAAGACCATTCTCAAATTTATAATGGCAAGTCAAAGGAATCAGAATAGCTGGAACAATTTTGAAAAAAAGACAAATTGGAGGAATTATTCTCCTCAATTTCAAGGCTTACATAACTATATTATTCAAGACTGTGGTGTTGGCAGAGGGATAGACACACAGATGAATGGAACAGAAGAGAGAACTCAGAAGAGCCCACACTCAGAGCCAAGTGACTGGGACTACAGGCATGCACCACCACACCCAGCTAATTTTTGTATTTTTTTTTTGGTAGAGACGGGGTTTCACCATGTTTGAGACCACAGTCTGGTCTCAAACTCCTGACCTCAAGTGATCTGCCCGCCTCGGCCTCCCAAAGTGCTGGGATTACAGGGGTGAGCCACCGCGCCTGGCCTAGCCAAGTGATTTTTGACAAAGGTGTAAAAGCGGTCCAATGCAGAACAGATATTCTTTTCAATAAATATTGCTGCAGCAATTGGCTATTCATAGGCAAAAGAATGAAACTTGACCTAAACCTCATATTTTATACAAAATTAACTCAAAGTAGACCATAAGTTTAAATGTAAAACTATAAAACTTTAAAAGAAAACATGAGAAAAATCTTTGAGAGCGAAGGCTTAGTAATGACTGAGAATCCACAAACGTGACTGAGAATCCATAAAAGAAAAAAATAATAAATTGGACATCAAAATTAAAAACTTTTGCTCTGCAAAGCATTAAAAGGATGAAGAGAAGCTACAGACTGGGAGAAAGTCTCGAAACATCCTGTCTCAAAAAAAAAAAAAAAAAAAAACCAAAGGCTGGCAAAGATGTGGACAATCTGGATCTTTCATACATTGCTGGTGGGAACATAAAATGTTATAGCCCTCCGGAAAACAATTTGGCATTTTCTTATAAAACTAAACATACACAGCCGGGCGCGGTGGCTCACACCTGTAATCCCAGCACTTTGGGAGGCCGAGGCAGGTGGAATGCCTGAGCTCAGGAGTTCGAGACCAGCCTGGGCAACACGGTGAAACCCCATCTCTACTAAAATACAAAAAATTAGCCAGGCGTGGTGGCGGGCACCTGTAGTCCCAGCCAATTGGGAGGCAGTGGCAGGAGAATTGCTTGAACACGGGAGGCAAAGGTTGAAGTAAGTCGAGATCGCGCCACTGCACTCCAGCCTAGGCGACAGAGTGAGACCCCTTCTCCAAAAAAAAAACTAAACATACACTTACCATGTGATCCAGCAATATCACCTGAGAAATTTATTTATTCCAGAGAAATTAAAATGTATGCCCACACAAAAACCTGAACATGAATGTTCACAGCAACTTTACTCGTAATATCCTAAGACTGGAAACAACCAAAGTTCTACAATAGGTGGATGGAGAAATAAACTGTGATATATATCCATACCATGGAATATTATCTAGCAATAAAAGTGAATGAACTATTGATACACACAACAGCCTGGTTGGATTGTAAGGGCATTAAGCTGAATTTTTAAAAACCCAGAAACAACCCCAGTCTGAAAAGGTTACATATTATATAATTTGATGTATGTGACATTTCAAAATGATAACATCTCAGAGGTGGAAAATGGATTAGTCATTGTTTGGGGTTTAGGGTGGTTGAGGAGAAGACAACTGGGGTAGTAGGAGGGAGCCTGATAACTTTGTGGTGATGGAACAGTTCTGTATCTTGATTGCAGCGGTGGCTACATCAATCTACGCATGGGTGATGACACAAAACTATACAAACACCTCATACCAATGTCAGCTTCCTGATTTTGATACTGTATTGCAGTTACATAAGATGTAACCAGTGTGAGGAAATGAGTGAAGGGCAAGTGGAACCTTTATGTACTGTTATCTTTGCAACTTTCTGTGAATCTACAAATTAGTTCAAAATGAAGTTAAAAAAAAATTAGGCCAGGCATGGTGGCTCACGCCTGTAACCTCAATACTCAGGGAGAGTGAGGTGGGAGGACAGCTCTACAAAAAATAAAAAGGAAATTAGCCAGACATAGTGAGGCGTGTCTGTGGTCCCAGCTACTGGGAAGGCTGAAGTGGGAGGATCATTTGAAGCCTAGAATCCGAGGCTGCAGTGAGCTATGATGGTGCCACTGCACTCCAGCATGGGTAACAGAGCAAGACGCTGTCAAAAAAACAAAAACAAAAAAAACTAAAAAACAGTCTTTATATTGCATAAGGTAAGGAAAAACCAGATGTTTCCTATACCCTCGTGACCAGACAGAAGGACTTACACATCTGACCTCCAGTCATACAGGTCCTGGCAGCCATTCCAGGGAAAAGCAGCAGGACAGAGCAGAGTATGTGGCAAAGAGCTTTGGTCCCTCCTGCCAGGGTGCCCTTCACAGCCTCTGAGTGAGATGTGATCAAGGTGCTAATGAAAAAGCAGCCAGACTTCCAAAGGCAGAGATGTCAAGGGACATCACGGAAGGAAGATTAGGGCTTAGTCATTTTAAAATGTGATACCAAATGAGCACCTGTCGATAATGCCTAACTCTGTCTCTGTTCTCAAGGCAAGTGCCTCGTGTTCCCCCCCATATCCCTGTCACAGTGATGACACCTGCTGAAGAGAGGAGTCATTAACATTTTAACATACAGAGAAGAATCCCAGGCAAATGTTACTCTCAACTGCTGAGTCTTAAAACTGAATCAATTTTGGCTGGGTGCCTGTAATCCCAGCACTCGGGGAGGCCAAGATGGGTGGATCACAAGTTCAGGAGATGGAGACCATCCTGGTTAATACAGTGAAACCCCGTCTCTACTAAAAATATAAAAACATTAGCCGGGCGTGGTGGCGGGCACCTGTAGTCCCAGCTACTCGGGAGGCTGAGGTGGGAGAATGGCATGAACCAGGGAGGCAGAGGTTGCGGTGAGCTGAGATCGCGCCACTGCACTCCAGCCTGGGCAACAGAGTGAGACTCCGTTTCAAAAAAAAAAAAACAAAACCCAAAAAAGCAAAAAAAAAACTGAACCAATTTTATATAACCATTATACATTATTATAAAGTGTTCCACATTTTCAGGTGACGGTTAACTCTTATTTGACAAAACAGCTAATATGACAAAAGAACATTTTAAAAGGCAGTTTCAAACAACACTCCAGTTGGCCTGCTCATAATAGTCAATCAATCAATAATTAATAAATGTAAAGTGAACTAAACACTTGCTGGCAGCCTTTACTGACAGGTAATTTTTTCCTTCATTATTTGAAGCAAATAAAAATGAATAAGGATGCTTCACTTCTCCTCTTAAATGCAGATGCGGTCTGGCATGTGAGAAGCGCCTCTGCCTGGCTGCCCTTCGTCTGGGAGGCGAGGAGCGCCTCTGCCCGGCCGCCCCGTCTGGGAGGTGGGGGGCGCCTCTGCCCGGCCGCCCCATCTGGGAGGTGAGGAGCGCCTCGGCCCGGCCGCCCCATCTGGGAACTGAGGAGCGCCTGTGCCAGGCCGCCCCGTCTGGGAAGTGAGGAGCGCCTCTGCCAGGCCGCCCCGTCTGGGAAGTGTACCCAACAGCTCTGAAGAGACAGTGACCATCAAGAACGGGCCATGATGACGATGGCGGTTTTGTCGAAAAGAAAAGGGGGAAATGTGGGGAAAAGAAAGAGAGATCAGATTGTTACTGTGTCTGTGTAGAAAGAAGTTGACATAGGAGACATCATTTTGTTCTGTACTAAGAAAAATTATTCTGCCTTGGGATGCTGTTAATCTATAACCTTACCCCCAACCCCGTGCTCTCTGAAACATGTGCTGTGTCAACTCAGGGTTAAATGGATTAAGAGCAGTGCAAGATGTGCTTTGTTACACAGATGCTAGAAGGCAGCATGCTCGTTAAGAGTCATCACCACTCCCTAATCTCAAGTACCCAGGGACACAAACACTGCTGAAGGCCGAAGGGACCTCTGCCTAGGAAAACTAGAGACTTTTGTTCACGTGTTTATCTGCTGACCTTCTCTCCACTATTATCCTATGACCCTGCCACATCCCCCTCTCTGAGAAACACCCAAGAATGATCAATAAATACTAAAAAAAAAAAAAAAAAAAAAAAAAAAAAATGGAGATGCAGTATTTATGCCCAGATTAATTCTCCAGAATTGCAAGACAGATCATGTACACAACTACAGCAGTCAAATCATACAACCCTATGAATGATGCTAATACTGTCTTTTCTGCTTCCACATATATAATCCTTACTGATTCACAACTGTTATCCTATTCACATATTTTTCCATTGCACAAAAAGCAAAAACACGTCTTCACACAGAAAAAAAGCAAATGAGAAGGTGGACTCAAACTCTTGGACTCAAGCGATCCCCCTGCCTCAGCCTCCTGAGTAGCTGGGACTACAGGTATCCACCACCATGCCTGGTTAATTCTGCTTCTTAAACAAAGACAAAGATGACCTGAATGCTATTAAGAGCCTTGAGTCAGTAGGTATACATGGAATATGTACACAGTCCCTGAAGCGCTATTAACAAAGTGTGACACTGCTGCAAAAATAGGTAAAAAAAAAAAAAAAAAAAGATTGATGGAACCGACTATAGAGCCTAAAAACAAAACCATATATTATTAAAAGTATTTAAAACAAGTCTCTTCAACAAATGGTGCTGGGACAACTGGACATCCGCATGCAAAAGAATGAGGGTCTAGACCCCTACCTTATGCCATATACAAAAATTAACTCAAAATGAGTGAATGACCTAGCATAAGAGCTAAAACTAGGATGGCTATACTTTAAAAAACATACTAACAAGTGTTGGCAAGGATGTAAGGAAATTTAACCATCATACATTGCTGGCGTGAATGGAAAATGGTTCCATTTTTGTCGCTGTGGAATACAATTTAGTGGCTCCCCAGAAAATTAAACATAGAACCACTAGTAATTCTACTTCTACGTATATACCCAAAGAGCTGAAAACAGGTATCCAAACAAGTATGTGTACACGAATGTTCATAGCAGCATGATTTACAATAGCCAGAAGGTGGAAACAAACCAAATGTCCATCAATGGATGAATGGATAACACTTGTAGTATTTCCTGACACTGGGATATTCAGATAAGAATAAACTATGGATATGTTATAACATACATGAAACCTGAAAACGTTATGTGAAGTAAAGGAAGTCAGATGCAAAAGACCACATACTGCTTGATTCTATTTATGTTAAATATCAGAAAGGGCAAATCTATAGAGACAGAAACCACATTAGCCAGTGGCTGGCGCTGGGGTAAGGACTGACTGCAAACAGGAGTGAGGGATCTGTTAGGGGTGAAGAAATGTTCTAAAATTAGATCAGGTGATGGCTGTAATTCCAAAACAAATTATAAACAAATTATTAATCTATCATTATTGAATGTCTATTATTAATAAAGCCTGAAATTAAGACAGTACAATATTATATATATCATATTGTCCAAAGACATGTAAATATTTACTATCACATATCCAATGAATTGTGCATAGAAATTGTTCTGGATACAAAGGTCAAGGTATGGGATAAACTGTTAAGATAGAGCCTACATTAAGATGAAGGAAAAAAAATTTTTTTTTTTTTTTTGAGACAGAGTTTCACTCTTGTTGCCCAGGCTGGAGTGCAATGGCACGATCTCGGCTCACCACAACCTCTACCTCCCGGGTTCAAGCGATTCACCTGCCTCAGCCTCCCAAGTAGTTGGGATTACAGGCATGAACCACCATGCTAGGCTAATTTTTTGTGTTTTTTAGTAGAGTCAGGGTTTCTCCATGTTGGTCAGGCTGGTCTCGAACACCCGACCTCAGGTGATCCACCCACCTTGGCCTCTCAAAGTGCTGGGATTACAGGTATGAGCCACCGAGCATGGCCTGAAAATATATATTTTTTTGAAGAATTTTTTTTTTTTTTTGGAAATGGAGTTCCACTCTTGTCGCCCAGGCTGCAGTGCAAAGGTGCAATCTCAGCTCACTGCAACCTCCGCCTCCTGGGTTCAAGCGGTTCTCCTGCCTCAGGCTCCTGAGTAGCTGAGATTACAGGCGTGTGTCACCACACCCAGCTAATTTTTGTATTTTTAGTAGAGAAGGGGTTTCACCATGTTGGCCAGACTGGTCTTGAACTCCTGACCTTGGGAGCTCAAGACCACAACGCCTCAGCCTTCCAAAGTGCTGGGATTACAGGTGTGAGCCACCACACACAGCCTGAAATTTTTTTAAAAACAAACAAAAAAATTTTTGTCTTTAAACAAAGAGAACCCAATGTGAAACATTCATCCCTAGGTGGCCGAGAACATAAACCCATGTCCCTAGCTTAGCAAACCCTACATCAAGGAATGTGTTTTTTAAAAAAATTAAAAATAAAAAGCAATGCATCTGTGATTGGCTTCCTTTTAAAACTGAAGGGCTCTGAGAGGTCTCCCTAAAGATCCAGACGTCCTCCTGTACACACACATCCACACCCACAAACAATATTCCCTGCAATGCTTTGATTAGAAAGCACTGGAGATACTTCCTCATTCCTTGCTGGGAAGCCTGAACCACATCTCTGTCTTCTGCAGATTGGATACAGCTGTAGAACATCTGGCATTCCATTTCCCATTCACAAACATCTAAAAGGTGGAACACTTGAGGAATTTAATGTTTAGATGAGGGTGGGGAGGTGGGAGAGTGCTATTTTAGGGCGAGGCAGGCAAGCTGGAGTAGAATCCATCTGCTTTTTATCTCACAGTCCAGGAAAGAAGGTGAAGCTGGCAGTCTTGGCTGAAGCCCCAGTGAGGATTCTTCCAGCCACTCCATGGCTAATGCCCTGATTAACTTTTTAGTTAAGTTACTTCCCAACATTTCAACCCGTGTTGTGAGTATTTGTATTCCCAACTCTGACTCTCAGTCAGCATCTCAAAGTAAAGCAACACAACATCTCAAAGGCTGTAAGAACTTGAAGGTTCCTATGCAGCAGAACCTGAGCAAGGAAGGATGGCATTTTTAAAGTCCTAGAGACTGGTTTAAGAGGAAAGGGGGCCGGGCGCGGTGGCTCATGCCTGTAATCCTAGCACTTTGGGAGGCCAAGGTGGGCGGATCACGAGGTCAGGAGATCGAGACCATCCTGGCTAACACGGTGAAACCCCGTCTCTACTAAAAATACAAAAAATTAGCCAGGCGTGGTGGCGGGCACCTGTAGTCCCAGCTACTCAGGAGGCTGAGGCAGAAGAACGGTGTGAACCCGGGAGGCGGAGCTTGCAGTGAGCTGAGATCGCGCCACTGCACTCCAGCCTGGGCAACAGAGCAAGACTCTGTCTAAAAAAAAAAAAAAAAAAGTGGAAAGGGCTGGCACATGGTGTGCCCGCTCTCTTGACAAACCCATGAAATGATAGAAGAGGCTTTTTAAAGAATAAAAAATCACCAACAGCCCAGAGATGCTGAAATCACTACAAAAAAAGAAAGCAGATAGGAACAGATTGATGGAAAAATTATATTCAAAGAAAAACACATGCAGAAGATGGTTGTAAAGTTAGCATTTTGAAGGAATTTTAAGCCTCAAGTCAGTGGATATAATAAGTGCAAATGGTTTAAAAAAAAAAGTCAAATAGTACTGAAAGGCTCATAATGAAAAACATATGTTCATCTCAATAGATGGAAAAATAGCATTTGATAAAATTCAACAGCCCTTCCTGATTTAAAAAAAATCATTAAACTAAGAATAGAAGATGTCTTAACCTAAGTGAAGGACCTCTGGCAGAAACCTACAACAAGCATCAGACTTGGAAGCGTTCCCACTACAGACAGAATCAAAACGAGGATGCCACTATCAGGGCCCTTACTCTACACAAAAGGCTTTAGGCAGCTTTGCCAAGGCTGGAAAACCTCTGGTTGGGGCCCAAGTAAGCAAACCAAAGGGAAGCATTTACAACAACTATGTTTTCAATAATTACGAAGTTTGTATTCCTCCACCCAAACGGGTTGTCAAATTCTCTGTGCATGTTCCAGGCCAATACGATATCTCATAAACTTTATTGAGAATGTTCCTGAACATGATGGTTTCCCAAGCAGAGAATTCCACAGTGAATGTGAACAAGTAACCTTACTGGACCTCGGCTGAACCAGGGTATACAAGTGCTCACTTTCTGGAGAATGAGAACCTGATGTTTGCCTCAGGCCTGTGTTTAATTATGAAAATGTGGTAGGTGGGCTAGATTTCAACAACAACGAGATAATTGCTAGGGTTCACTCTGACTCATTCTCCTATTTAAAAAGTATTTAATAATGAATGTGGAAATGTGAAGCTTTCCCTTATTTTATGTTCTTATTTAAGTATTTAACTCTGCTAACCCAAGGCTCACAAAAGAATGGTCAAAGAAATTATTTCCTTGATTCTCTATTCCCTTTCATTACCTCCAGCCATTTCTGCTCACCTTTTTTCCAGTTTCAAAGAGGCAAGTTAAAGAGAATGATCATATAAGTACAGCACATTCATAACAGAAAATCATGTGTCCCTGGCTTAGAGGGACCTTTTCCATTTTTTATATACATTTGCTTTAAAGCTTATGCTTTTCCATGTACATGGGACAGAACAACATATGTAACATGCCCTCTGGCCAGGGCCCTGTTCAAAATACTCAGCTCCAAATATGGAGTCTTCTAGGGGGAGGGGAGGGGTTGGAAAGAAGTCTTTGTGAGAAAAGAATCAAGTTCTCAAGTTGTGTGGGAGGGTAGGATTCAGGGGTCAGGCCACACTGAGAGATCCAGGCTGGAAGCAAAGAAACTCCCCCCAGATGACCTTAAAAATAAAAAATGAACAGTTTTAACACAAGTAGAGGAAGCAAAAGAACTTCTTATCTGCATCCAAACCATGCTCAACTTTAACATTTCGCTTCTGGAAATCCGGGCTGCCTCCCGCTCTGAGCAGGGTCCTCCCACACTTTCTATCAACCCCTCCCACAGACCAGATCCACAAAAGGATTCCCTCACACTCAAGAACACGGCTGTGTTTTTAAGAATGTAAAAATCCGCCCCTTTTTAAATAGATTTCTTCCTTCCACTTAATCTTATCTTCTTTTCCTTTATTCCTCTGGTGGGAAAAATATCTAATTTTGTTAGACATTTTTATTGGTAATTAGTGAGTTATTGAGGATGCAGTGACAAGGAAAACATAAGACACTGTGCAATCGCTGTCCGAGCCCCTTTATTCTGAAGGCTCCTAGGGCACATACGAACAGGATACAGAAAGCCACTGTGTAGACATATGAAGATAACCACACCCCCTCTGAGCAGAGGGAACAGATGTTTAACAGCTGTCTAGCAACAGAATAAAACAGTGGAACAGAAGTAAAACCTGAATTAGCCAAATAAAGTGTAGAGGACCTAAAGAGGAACTATGTCGTTATCAAAGTTGGCCAGAATGCCAGCCTCTCCTTACTTGCTTCTCTTCATCTGCTACTCCTCTATAGCCAAAGAAAAACAATTAACACCTAATTTTACATATGTCTAAATAATGACAAAACATTTGTTTCTAGTTTAAAAACAGTCTCTTTAAACTTATAAAGAAATTATACTTCACTGATATCAGGTGTGCTCATTTTCCTATGAGACACACAGAATGAAGAAAGCGTGCTTGCTGCGGCAGACTCCAGGAACAAGCAACAGTGGTCCACCGCCCAACTGCACCCTTACAAGCCTGTGCAAGTTATCTAATCTGCTTAAGCCTCAGTTTTCCCAGCGGTCGAGTAGGGCTCATAGAACATATCTCAGGGCTGGGCGCAGTGGTTCACGCCTGTAATCCCAGCACTTTGGGAGGCCAAGGTGGGTGGATCACCTGAGGTCAGGAGCTCAAGACCAGCCTGGCCAACATAGTGAAACCCCGTCTCTACTGAAAAAAAAAAAAAAAAAAATTAGCCGGGCATGGTGGGAGGTGCCTGTCATCCCAGCTACAGAGGAAGCTGAGGCAAGAGAGACACTTGAACCCGGGAGGCGGAGTTTGCCATGAGCTGAGATCACACCACTGCACTCCAGCCTGGGCAACAGAAAGAGACCCTGTCTCAAAAGAAAAAAAAAAAAAAATGGAATTATCTATCTCAGGCTGGGCTGGGTGGCTCATGCCCGTAATCCCAACACTTTGGAAAGGTAAGGTGAGTGATAGCTTGAGGTCTGGAGTTCGAGACCAGCCTAGCCAACATGGTGAAAACCTGTCTCCACTAAAAATACAAAGTCAGCCGGGTGTGGTGGTGCACACCTGTAATCCCAGCTACTCAGGAGGCTGAGGTAGGAGAATCGCTTGATCCTGGGAGGTGGAGGTTGCAATAAGCCAGAGATTATGCCACTGCACTCCAGCCTGGGCGACAGAGTGAGACTACATGTCAAAAATAAATAAAAATAAACATAAAATAAAAAAACCCATCTCAACTCAAGGATGGTTGTGAGACCACCAAACAAACTCAGTCCGAATGGAAAGTGATGCATGTGGCCGTTATTATTGTTGCTATTATTGTTCTGATTATATTAACCACTATTAACATTGGTGCCTCAGCTGGAAACTTACAAGGAGTATATCTCCATAAAGCAGAGTCTCAGGCACCTACAGTTAAGATACCTATTCCCGTTCTACCGCAGGGAAAAGGGAACTTAAGCTGTATAGAATAACTAATGCAAATCCCAAAGAAACAAAACTAGTCAAAAATAAAAACCTGGAATCCTAATTATCATTCTGCTTACTCTATTAGCCACCAGACTTAAAATTCTGTGTCTTAGGGGACTGAAATTACAACAGGAAGAATAATCATCACAGTGGGGTTTACACGGTGAAAAAAATGTAAGAGACCTAAGCGTCCACAATACTAGACACAGCAAGTTTCATGCCACGGATCCAATGCAGCCACATAATGACAATGTAAACCTTTACTACATGAGAAGGATCCAATGCAGCCATGTAATGACAAGGTAAACCTTTACTACATGAAAACAAGTCTACAACATAGTAAATGAAAAAAAATGGGTACAACACTCTAAGTACATAAAATCCCGTATTTTGAAAAAAGTTATACAAACCAAAAGGTTGATAACGGTAGGATTATAGGTAATGTTTATTTTCTTCTTTGTAATTTTCTATAATTTTTTTAAGAGCCTGTACTTACACAATCTCAGGAAAAAAGTCAATAAGGCCACTTTCATCTTGAAATCAGTGATTTTGTGGCTCCACACAGAGCTGTTCTCACAGACTTCCTACTGTGCCTTCACTTTCCCCACAGTCACCCCAGCCACTCGGCTCCCTGAGTTACCCAGGCCTTTCCCCTCTCACCTGTACTAACCCACGCCTTAGACTTCATCAAACACTACTGCCTGCCTGCTCTCTCCAGACAACTGTCTGCAGTCGGATGATGCATGAGTGGGGACGGGCAGAGGGCTTCTGCCCTCCTCACGCTTTCTGTTTAGTTAGTAGGGAACGCAGCACTTAACACTCAAATGTATTATTTCAAAACACTGATAAACTCTACGAGAGAAAAGAGAAAAGGGACTTGGAGGAGGAAGAGGAGTTGGCCAGACCAAGAGTGGGGACTGGGAGAAGAGCCTCCTGGGCAAAGGAAACAGAGTGAGCACGAAGACTCCAAAGAGCCCTGCAGGAGGGCAGAGCCTGCTCACAGCTCAGATGATGTCAAGACAGCGTCTCAGTCTTTGCAGGGTGGTGAGGCCGGGGTGTCTCCCAGGCAGCCTCACCCAGCAGTGCTCATCTCCAGGACTGCTTTACGTGCCAGGAACAGATCCACCTCTCAGGTACACACACACATTCAGCACACTGGAGAAATGTATGTATCAAACCAGTGTGCCCATGTATAAATTAACAATAAGAAATAACAGCTACCAAACAAATATGAGTCTTTGGCCATATAGTTTACTGCATTCTCTCAATGCTGATTGATCAATTCATAGAAACAAATAAAAACTTATCACAGGTAAGAGAATCCTAGATATTAACATGATTATTATCCCCCAAGTGGGGATCCCATTTATAATTGGAAAATTGTCATGTGAGCACATGATCAAACCAAAGGGCAGGAGCTCAAATAATGGTTTAAAGGCATCGGGACCCGGGCCACAAGGCACCCTGCTAACACCACCTGAATCTTCACTGTCGGAACAGGCTCTCCAACGAGCCTGATCTCCAGAGAAATTATTCTCTGGCCATAACCTGCAACAATTTACCTGTTCTGCTTTCTTGCCCCCGTTTGCATCTGAGTTTTAAACTTGCCTCTTTTCCTGATCTCTCTGCACCCTCAAGACTTTGCTTCCCTCCCAGTTCAGCACCAAGATGCACCTTTTTTTGAATGGCTGTCTTACCTTTTACCCTTCCACTAGACCCATTGCCAATCCCCAATCCTTGATAAGCATAACCACCCTTAAACTCATTCCAGACATATGCACAATTCTGGTTATTGAAACAAACCAGCAGGCTAATTGGTTCTCCAATCTTGGGAGTACCACAGCCAGATTCAAGGAGGCCTTAAGAGTTGCAACTACAAGAAGCACCCCGGGACACACTCTTAGATTAAGCAAGCTCTGAGTCTGACTGCTGGCCTTGGAGATGCTCTACCCGGCACTCCCACTTCCTATTCTCCATTTATTCTTCTCCCAACTGCTATTCCCCTGCTCCTTCTAAGGCTATCGTGACAGGTGGACCACATGGCCTGTAATGATGGACCACTTGCCATCACAGAAGCAAAAGAGCCAGGTCCTGGTTCTCCCTGCAGCCTCCTGTTGTGAACCTGGCCAATCGCAGAAGCCCAAACTTCTGCCCAGGGCTCAGACCAAAAAGAGTGTGACAAGAAACAGACAATTTGGAAATCATTTTGCCAGTGCCAGCAACAGCCAGGACTGTAGCAGTGGTGGCTGCAGCAGCAGCCACTGGGCAACCTCAGCCAGACTGTGTGGTCTCGGCTGCGGCTGTGGTTCTGACTGTCCCGCTTCCCTCGTCTACGGTCAGTTTTCTGGGCGTGGCTCTCTGTACTTCCTGTAGGTTCTGTAACTTCCCCCACACCCTTCCAATGATTTCCTTATACACTTAAATTAGCCAGAGTCATTTTTTGTGATTTGCAACTAGGAGCCCTGAGTTTACATCCACTTCGGGTGCCAGCCTCTTAGCCATGGTATTTGGTACTCCTGACCCCCACCTCCTACCTCCCTGCAGCCCTCTGCCCCTTGGCTCAGTTGAAACCACTCTACCACTTCTACTCTCTTACTTCTACAGTCCATTCTCTCTCAGCCTCCTGGTATCACAGGATTCCTCTTTCTTCCCAAGCTCCTTAAATACTACAGCTCCCCAGGCTGCATTCCAGTTGTCTACCTTCCTCATTCTAAATGTTCTCTGAAGTTGCTTTCTCAACTTTAGTGATCACCTAGGTTTTCAGCACACCAGTATACTCAATGCCAGCTAGACATCTCCAATAGGACTGCAGATATATCAGTGTGTCCAAAAAGGAATTAATTACCTTATCCTCTACACACTGTTTCTCCTACTCCACGCCTTCAAGTCTTTACTATCAAGTTAGACAAGCTTTAGCTTTGACCCATATCTAAGAGGTCACCAAATCCTGCCAATTCTACCTTTGTAACTAGTTTTTGTTTTGTTTAAAACAGTAAATGACTTTGGGAGGCCGAGGAGGGCAGATCACGAGGTGAGGAGATCGAGACCATCCTGGCTAACACAATGAAACCCCATTTCTATTAAAACTACAAAAAATTAGCTGGGCGTGGTGGTGGGCACCTGTAGTCCCAGCTACTCGAGAGGCTGAGGCAGGAGAATCGCTTGAACCCAGGAGGCAGAGGTTGCAGTGAGCCGAGATCGCGCCACTGCACTCCAGCCTGGGTGACAGAGCGAGACTCCATCTCAAAAAAAAAAAAAAAAAAAATTCAGTAAATGTGTCTCTTCATCTCAGTCCCAGCGTCTACCCTGTTTCAGGGCCTTACCACCAGTCCCATCTTTCTAACTGTCTTGGTCAGTTTGGGCTGCTATAACAAAATGCGAAAGACTGGGTGGCTTGTAAACAGGAATCAATTTCTTACAAGTTCTGGAGGGTGGGGAGTCCAAGATCCAGGTGCCGGCGGATTCAGTGTGTGGTGAGGGCTGCTCTCTGGTTCTTGCACAGCTGCCTTTTCTCTGTGTCCTCACTTGGTGGAAGGGGCAAGGCAGCTGTCTGAGGCCTCTTGTACAAGGATCTCATTCATGAGCTAATCACCTACAAAGAACCACCTCCTAGTACCATCAGGCCCACCTCCTAGTACCATCACCTCAGGGCGAGGATTTTAACAGGAGTTTTGGAGTACATTAATATTCAATCCATTACAACATCATATCATTATCTTTCTAAATCGCAGAACTGATCAACTATCCAGTAACCTTTATCAAGTGCAGCAGGAGTCTTGTGAGGGGGACCTTCCCATGTGTTAGAGGCCACTGGAGATCCCTGTTAACAAGGGAGAGTTCTGGAGTGGCCCTCTCTTAGTTATCCAAAGATCAGTGAAGGAGGCACCCACTGCCCTGGAAAAAGAAGAGAAGTATCTTCTGGGTTCTGACCAAGGACTGCCTTCCCAAGAATTGAAAACTCACTGGCTAATTCTGCATCTGAGCCACAGAGCCTATTGGAGGAAAAGGAGAGGCCCTCATTCCTTCCCAATAGAAGTTCAAAAGGAACACGATTTACTGATGTCCCCAACTGAGGTTTGCTGCAGGCAAGAACATCAAAAGCCCCATAGAGGAAGTCACCATGGGAGGGTGACTCAGGCTCAACACCAAGGCCTGGATGCTCATGAAGAGGGCTGGTCTCGGGACATCCCACACCTGTGACTGGAAGCCCCTGGGGACCCGGTGACCTGTTGAGCAGCTGTACTTAGTGAGTAAGAACTGGGTGCACGAGTGCAAACTGGGAGAGCTGTAGCTCTAGGGCCCTCCAGCTCTCCCACCGCGTGGCAGGGCTAACCCCTTTGAACAAGATCAACCCTTGGAGTTCTACAGGACAATTCTTGGTCAAGAAAAGTCACCCTGAAGGAGACACTGGACTTCCTGCTAATTGGTAATAAGAGAGCTTGAGTAATTTGTTGAAAATAATAATAAGAATATGAGACGTGGCCCAAGTTGGTAAAGAAGGTCATTCAGTTATCAATGGTTCTTCCCCAGCTACTCAGCAAGAAAATGAGAGCCTCTGATCCCTCACTTCAGTGCCTTGCATCTGGTCCTAAATGATGTTCCCAATTTCATATCCCACCAAAACCTTACTCACACCCACCACTCACTCCCCAAGAGCATCATGCTCCTTTGCCATGCGCATGTATATTTCCTCCTCACAGAATGCCTGTCACTTATCCTTTAAGGCTCGATGACCACCTTTCCCAGCACCTGCCCTGATCCACGCAGTAAGAACTGCTTAGTGGGCCAGGCGTAGTGGCTCACGCCTGTAATCTCAGCACTCTGGGATGCCAAGGCGAGCACATCATTTGAGGTCACGAGTTCAAGAACAGCCTGGCCAAAGTGGTGAAACCGATGTCTCTACTAAAAATACAAAAATTATCTGGGTGTGGTGGCACATGCCTGTAATCCTAGCTACTCAGGAGGCTGAGGCAAGAGAATCGCTTGAACCTGGCTGAGGGTGCAGTCAGCCAAGATTGCACCACTGCACTCCAACCTGGGAGACAGAGGGAGACTCTATCTCAAAAAAAAAAAAAAAAAAACTGCTTAGTGCTTGCTAGATCATGCACCACATCTCAGCCAGTTATTTCCACAGCATCCTCACGAAGCTCCCTAAGAGCGGCCCCTAGGTCCTGCCTAACTCCGTACTTCTCAGAAACCTACCACGGGTTCTTTCTTATACACGGGAGTCGTTAGATACTACACTGAAATAAAAAATACAACATGTCACATGTGAGTAAAGCAATACAACAGCTGGTAGTATCTTGCTGCTCATTTACAATTTTTTCTAGTCTTGGAAATCAAGCAAATTATAAAGCCATTAGAGACAGAAACCCCACTCAAATGTGGAGTTTTCTATTCTCTTCCCACAACTCTATACTACCAAAAGAAGAAAAGTCTCCCGCTATAAAAACAAAACAAAACAAAACGACGAGTAAGTTGAATCAGTACAGGGCAGTAGCTCCAATCTATTGCTGTAAAGAAATTATTTTGAAATGTTTATATTCACATTTCTTCACCTAGGATTGGCTATTGCTTAAAAATGAAACCAGCCTAGCCAATTCACGAAGTCACACATGCATATCCCCTCCAACAATTAAGAGCTTCAGCAAACCTGACTACCTGATACTTAACTACTCTAGGATTACATCCGAAAGGATGAAGACAGCTGCGGAATCTTAAACTGTATCATGCAGACACAGACAAGGGTTTTAGAAATGTTAATATATAGGATATATTAACAGAAAATAACCCCCCCCTTATTTTTTTTGTGAGACAGAGTCTTGCTTTGTTGCCCAGGCTGGAGTACAGTGGCACAATCTTGCTTCACTGCAGCTTTGACCTTCTGGGCTCAAACAATCCTCCCACCTCAGCCTCCTGAGTAGCTGGGACTACAGGCGCACACTACGCCTGACTTTTTTTTTTTTTTTTTTTACTTTTTGTACAGACAGGGTCTTGCTATGTTGCCCAGGCTGGTCTTGAACTCCTGGGCTCAAGGAATCCTCCCAACTTGGCCTCCAAAAGCACTGGAATTACAGGTATAAGCCACTGCGCCTGGCCTGCAAATAACTATTTCTTATGATTAAGTCCACCACCCCTCTTTTTTATTGTTGTTGTTTTTGTTTTTTAGGCAAATTCTCGCTCTGTCGCCCAGGCTGGAGTATAGTGGCATGATCTCAGCTCACTGAAACCTCCACCTTCTGGGTTCAAGCAATTCTCCTCCTGCCTCAGCCTCCTGAGTAACTGGGATTACAGGCGCATGCCACCACACCCAGCTAATTTTTTGTATTTTTAGTAGAGACAAAGTTTCACCATGTTGGCTAGGCTGGTCTTGAACTCCTGACCTCAAGTGATCCACCCGCCTCAGTCTCCCAAAGTGCTGCGATTACAGGCGTGAGCCACTGCGCCCGGCCAAGTCTCCATTTTTCTGACAGTGTACCTGTTACATATGAAGTAGTGTTTCAAAGAGATTTTCAAAATTTACAAATTTCCCAATTAATGTTCTACAAAGACTCTCATGGTCAGTAGGCCTAGATCAGCTTCCGAGTTTTGGTGAAATGCATTTCTTTTCACAACGGCTCACAGAAGGCTCATGTCAAAGCAGAGGAGTACTTGCTGGAGAAGCAGCTCAAAGAATTCCTGATCAAAGGAGACAGCACTTAGAACCAGAGCAGCTCCCGCCTCGGCAGGCGTTGCTTCAGCTCTCCCAGAGCGAGTTCTACACAAACTGTCTTCTCAATCCACTTTTAGACTAGAACTGTTGGTCTGATAGGCACTGGAGGTACAAGTGCAACAACACTGCCGCAGGGAACACAGTTGCCTGGGGAACAGTCTGAGCTATGTTAGTTTTCAGAGGACAGCTCACATCCCACTGATAAAAGGCTGAGAAAATAAATCTACTACACTGACGAAATTAGTTACAAAGAAGGAAGCACCCACCTTTTCCCATCCCATCTGATTTCTATTAAAAACACATGCAGCCCGGTGTGGTGGCTCACACCTGTAATCCCAGCACTTTGGGAGGCCGAGGCGGGCGGATCTCCAGGTCAGGAGTTTGAGACCAGTCTGACCAACATGGTGAAACCCCGTCTCTACGAAAAATACAAAAATTAGCCAGGCATGGTGGCACGCGCCTGTTATCCCAGCTACTCAGGAGGCTGAGGCAGGAAAATCACTTGAACCCGGGGGGCAGAAGGTTGCAGTGAGCCCAGATCGCGCCACTGCACTCCAGCCTGGGCGACAGAGCAAGACTCTATCTAAAAAATAACAACAAAAAAAAACCACACATGCAATGTTTATTTCCAAAAGTATTATTGCCAATTAGAAGGTTCCACGTATATGTCCAAGCAATACACAGAAACTTGACTACTACTTGTAAATGTATGTTTACTCTCTTCCTGTAAGTCTCAAAAGTCAGCCAACTTCCAAGGATAGCAGGAGTGGCAAACCCAAGGCTGAGGAACACGTGTGCAAGTATCATCCTATAATGCTAGAATCTGGCCTGCAAATCAGTTTGGCTGAGATGTTACGCAATGAGTATAGAGTCAGCTATAGGTAAAGATACCAGGGTCCCCACTCATTGTAACATTCTAATTTATAGAAGAAAATGCATTTTAAATATCCTAGACAATCTGTATACTTCATCAAGTCTCCTTAGAGGTTATTATTGAAATCCAGGAAAATGACCACAGAACTTACTCCAACCAGAATAAGAATGAACTACTACTATTTTAAGAGTTAGATGTGAGCTTTTGCATTGCTTTTTAAATTCACTTCAATATTTTTTTAATTGTGAATCTTAGTATACATTTAATTCATTCATTTATAATCAAAAGAAACAACCTTGAAGCACAATTCCTCCCTACAGGTTTAAACAATTTCTACTAAAGGAAATGATTTACTCCTCCTCTAAAAAGAACAAAAGGACAGAGAAATAAGTATTGAAAGATTAAAGAAATGATGGCTAACAAACAAGATGAAGTTCAATAAAGACTAATGAAAGTACTATGCTTAGTAAAGTACACTAAGCTGTATGCTTAGTAAATACATTACAGATAATGTCAATAACCTATACAAACAGGCAGGCATATTGAGTAAGCAAAAGTAAATGTAAAAAGAAAGCCCTTCAGTGAAACTGTTCTGGATGATACTATAACGGTGGGTACTCATCATTACATCATTAAACATTTGCCCAAACCTATAGAATGTACCATAACCAAAAGTGAATCCTAATGAAAACTCCAAGTGACAATGACATGTCAATGTAGGTTCATCGACTGTAACAAATGGACCACTGTGGTGAAGGGTGTCGACAGCCGGGGAAGGCTGTGTGCACGTGGGGGCAGGGAGTATATGGGAGCTCTTTATTTTCTGCTCATTCTTGCTGTGAACCTAAATCTGCTCCAAAAATAAAGTCTATTTAAAAGGGGAAAAGATTGGAAATCAGAACTCCAGGTTAAAAATAATAATAATAATAAAAAAAAGCCAAGCACACTGGTTAGCACCTGTAATTCCAGCACTTTGGGAGACCAAGACGTGCTGATTGCTTGAGGCCAGGAGCTCAAGACCAGCCTGGCCAACATGGCAAAACCCCATCTCTACAAAAAATACAAAAATTAGCCAAGCATGGTGGTACATGCCTGTAGTCCCAACTACTCAGGAGGCTGAGGTGGGAGGATCACTTGAGCCAGGAGTTGGAGGCTGCAGTGAGGCTATGATCGCACCACTTTACTCCAGCCTGGGCAACAGGGCAACCTTTATACTTCATCAAGACAACCTTTATATTTGTTGAGAGGGGAGGGGAGAGGAGAGAAGAGGGAAATGGAAGAGAGAAAGAGAAGAGAAGACGCAGCCCTTCCTTCCTAGTCTCTGCCCACCACTGCCCCGTCTCCATCCCCAGCTCTGACCTCTCCCCTTTAGCCAACATATAAGTTCCCAGAGTTTCAACCACCATCTTTAAGACAATGACTTCCAAAGTTGATGTCTAGCCCTACTATCTCTCCTAAGCTCCAAACCTACATCTCCATATGGAGGGTCCAAGTGAACATTTTCAAAACAGAATGCATTGGCCAATGCAATTGGACAAGAGACTAAAATCAGAAGAAAAATTAGAAAAGAGGAGATAAAACCATCACTTGCTAAAGAAATGACTGTGTAAGTGGAAAAATCCAAGAGAAGCAAATGAAAAACGTTTCTAAAAACAGTAAGATAATTTGCTAAGCAAATGAGATATAAAATTAATATAGAGAAATCAATAGCTTTCATAAATTCAAATAACTAGTTAGACACTAAAGTAGAAAAGAATACTTCATTTATGATAGCAATAAAATACCAAATATCCAAATAAATTTAATAATAAATGCATAAAACATATGTAAGTAGAAGGAAAACTAACACACTTGAATGGTAACAGACTTGAACAAATAAGGCATATCATGTTCTTGGAAAGAAAACTGCAATGTCATAAGGATATACTTTCTAATTCATAAATTTAACGTAATCAGAAACTGCAACATCATAAAGATACATTTTCTAAGTTAATTTATATATTTAATGCAATCAGAATGAAATTAGAGGCTGGGTGCAGTGGCTCACGCCTATAATCCCAGCACTTTGGGAGGCCAAGGCAGGTGGATCGCGTGAGGTCAGGAGTTCGAGACCAGCCTGGCCAACACAGTGAAACCTCGTCTCTACTAAAAACACAAAAATGAGCCAGGTGTGGTGGCAGGCACCTGTACTCCCAGCTACTCAGAAGGCTGAGGCAGAATTGCTTCAGCCTGGGATGTGGAGGTTGCAGTGAGCTGAGATCGTGCCATTGTACTCCAGCCTGGGAGACTCCATCTCAAAAAAAAAAAAAAAAAAAAAGAATGAGATCAGAAGCTGTTTCTTTTCTGTTGATGAGCAGATTCTAAAGATCACAAGGAAAAACAAGCAAGCAAGAATAACCAGGAAAACTCTGAAAATAAAGAAAAATGAGGTGGGGAGGGGAGGAGATTAACCCTAACTGATACTAAAATACCATGGTCTCAATAAGTAAAACCATGTCATGCTGGCATCTGAATAGACAGAATGGAACAGAATAGTAAATCCAGAAAGACTCAGATGGTACTTTAATATATGATAAAAGTGGCAAGGTAAAGATGAACTTTTTAATAACTGGTGTTGGGACAATGCAGCCTTTTGGGGAAAGAAAGTTGAAGCTGTATCTATACCTCACGCCACACATCAGAATAAACTCCAAACAATTCAAAGATTTAAATGTAGAACATGAACACAGAAGTACAGGAAGAAAACAGATAACATCGGCAAATTCTTTTATAATCTTAGAATGGCCTTCCATTCTAAGTGTGACTCATAATTTAGGTGTGAAAAAAGAAAAAAAGGAGGCCAGGCGCAGTAGCTCGCGCCTGTAATCCCAGCACTTTGGAAGGCCAAGGCGGGTGGATCACGAGGTCAGAAGTTCAAGACTAGCCTGACCAACATGGTGAAACCCCGTCTCTGCTGAAAAAAAAAAAAAGCAAAAATTAGTTGGGCATGGTGGCATGTGCCTGTAATCCCAGTGACTCAGGAGGCTGAGGCTGGAGAATCGCTTGAACCTGGGAGGCGGAGGTTGCAGTGAGCCGAGATTGTGCCACTGCACTCCAGCCTGGGCGACAGAGTGAGACTCATCTCAAAAAAAAAAAGAAATACATTTGGTTGCATTAAACACACACATGATCTTCTGCACGACAAAAACAAAACCAAAACCCAAGTAAACCCAAGGAGTCAAAAGAGAAATGGTGAAGTGGAAGATAACATTTGCAATCCATGGGAACTAATCCCCTACTATGCAAAGACCTTCGAGAATTTGAAAAAGACTAACAACCCAACAGATAAATGGGCATATAACCAGAGAAGAGCAAATGCAAACTAAACGGAAATACCATTTCTGACCCATCAGACTGGCAAAAATCCGAAAGTTTGACAGACTACCTGTTGACAAAACTGTGGGGAACCAGGCAATCTCACACATTGTTGATGGGTGTAAAAAACAGTGAGTGTGGAGGGAAGTCTGATAACATCTAACAACATTTTAAACACATTTTCCTTTTAGCATAAGAATCCCACTTCTGAAAATTTCTCTCTCAGATAAATGTGTAAAAAACGGCATATTCACATTCTCTACAACATAATAGCGAAAGATTAGAAACAATCCAAGTGCCCATCAATAAGGTACTGGATAAATAAACCGATCCATTAGCACAATGGAATACTATAGAGCTGTTTAAAAAAAGTGGTGGGGTTGCAGTGGGGAGGGAAAGAAAGGGCTAGAACAAGGCCTAGAGTACAGGAAAAGCTCAATTATGACAGCTATCAGTTTTAAAAAAATAAGGTGCGAAAAGGCTCTGTGTAGCGAAATGATCTCCAGATATTACATGAAAAAGGTGAGGTGTAACAGGAGGCAGTGATAAGAATTTACATTTTTATTATAATTGCATAAATAAACATTAAATGCATAAAGAAGAAACTAATAATTATTTCTAAGAGGTAGGACAGGGGACAGAATAGTCTCATTCATGCTTGCATATACCACTGTAACACAATAAACACACCTTTACACAAAGGAAGGGAACAGGGCAGAGGGGTTTTTTCTTTGTTTGTTTTTTGAGATGGAGTCTCGCTCTGTCACCCAGGCTGGAGTGCAGTGGTACAATCTCGGCTCACTGCAAGCTCCACCTCCCAGGTTCACACCATTCTCCTGTCTCAGCCTCCCGAGTAGCTGGGACTACAGGCGCCCACCACTACGCCCACCTAATTTTTTGTATTTTTAGTAGAGATGGGGTTTCACCGCGTTGGCCAGGATGGTCTCCATCTCCTGACGTCATGATCCACCCGCCTCGGCCTCCCAAAGTGCTGGGATTACAGACATGAGCCACCGCGCCTGGCATTTTTTTTTTTTTTTTTTTAAGACGGAGTCTCACTCTGTTGCCCAGGCTGGAGTGCAGTGGCACGATCTTGGCTCACTGCAACCTCCGCCTCCCAGGTTCAAGCGATTCTCCTCCCTCAGCCTCCTGAGTAGCTGGGACTACAGGCACTCGTCACCACACCCGGCTAATTTTTGTGTTTTTAGTAGAGATGGGGTTTCACCATATTGGCCAGGCTGGTCTCAAACTCCTGATCTTGTGATCCGCCCGCCTCGGCCTCCAAAAGTGCTGGGATTACAGGCGTGAAGAGGGGCCTTCTTAAGGGACTCTATGTAGGTCCAGGATCATTTACATTTTCAACAAGTGAAGGCCTAAAGGGGGATGAGCTCAAGATTGGAGCCAGATGCTCTGAGTCACAGGAATTCCCTGTCATACTACATTCAACACCATCCTACCCAGTGCCTCCCATACTCCTCCCAGACCCCACTGCCACCCTCTAGGCAGTCCCTGTGCTGGGACCCCAGAATGGACCAAGGGTCACCAATCGTGAGGCTGCACAGAGGCCTGGGAACAAAAAAAGAACCAGGTGAGGGAGACCTGGGTTCCACAATGCAAGTTTCACAGCTTGCCATGGGTGTCCTGGGACATGCCCCTTCAGTTCTCTAGGAGGTAAAACTTGTGCCTCCCAAGGTGACTGTGGTCAATAGATGCACACCTAGTCTCATGATTAATTGCAGGTGCTCTAAAAATGGTATTTCTTCCCCAAAACTTGTCAAGCCAGCAACTCTCTGCCCTAAGTCTGGCCTGAAAAGTTAATAGACATTGAGTGCAAAAATTAGGGCTTCTCACCTCCAGGCATAAGAGCGCAAACTGCCCTTGGTAAGATGAGAAGAGCCCAGCGGGCTGGGCCTGTGTCTCTGTGCATAGAGGAGCAGGTCTGTGAAAAGGCAGCCGACACCTGTGACTGGCCAGGTCTGGCTCTACCACCTGACCCCCAGCAGCGGTCAGTGACAACAAAGCTAACCGAGCACATGCTTTGGGTCAAAGCATGGGTGGGATGGGGCAGGATGGGGGTGGGGAAGCAATGTAATAACATGGTGAAGTTAAGCACACTTGAACCTCCAGAAAGCTCTGTTGGTTAAGAGTTTTTTCCACTTCACCACACTTCTTCTGGCAGGTGGCATCTTAAGGGGATGGGTATTTTGGGAATCCATAAGGGGAGGTTCAGTTGGAAATACATTTGGTTTGGGTTTAGTGGAATTTACTTAGGTGGCTTTCAGCTTCTTCTGCGTATAATTAAATTACAGCCAGCCATTCCAAATGGACAAATGACTTCCTAGAATATTCCTTCCGGCCCTATATCAACTTACCCAATGAATTGATGAAAACTGTAGGGTCAGAGGTGGTATTTTAATATGACTATGTCTTAAAGTAACTAACACCAGGAGTGTGAGGATAATGGAGAAGAAATGAGGTTTGAATCGTATGGAGTCAGAGATAATCTAGGAGAAAACTTTCCAATCACCAGAGAAGTGAATTTTTAAAAAGATTTCATTGTCATTGTTGTCTCATCAAAATGGAAATTCTCTCCTGTTAGGAATATACTTGACTGTTCAAAGTAAGTTATAAATACATCATTTTTTGACATTTTGAAGAATTTATTAGAATTCCTGTATTTACAGGTTTTAAACCTGTACTGGTACTAAAATAGTAAGTAAGCCTGTGTTGAAGTTGCATGTTCTATGCAGCCCAACATACAGAATTGCATCTTATGTATCTGATGCATTTTGTCCTGTCAAAGTCGGACACTTTCAGACTTCACAGAAGAAATGGCAGAAAAGAATGTTACCAAAGCAACAAAACAGCCTGGGGGGAAAAAAACAGGTTTTCAGATGACAAAACTCCTAAACCTATTCATCTAGAGTCAGGATTGAATGACGTAACTCAACTTCGTGGCAATTTTTAATGAATTTATTTCAACTGCTTTTGCATGTGCATTAATTACAGACTAATTGCTTTTAGAATGCTTTATTCTGTGTATTCTGAAGTACCCTAGTAGAATCCAAAAACAAACTGAAAGGAAAAAGACCAGAAGATGCTTCAAAATGTCCGAAAAATTATTTTTGTTTTGTTTGAGACAGGGTCTTCGTCACCCATGCTGGAGAGCAGTGGCACAATCATGGCTCACTGCAGCCTCAACCACCTGGACTCAAGCGATCCTCCTGCCTCAGCCTCCTGAGTAGCTGGGACTACCAGTATACACCATCACACCCAGCTTTTAATTTTTTTGTAAAGATGGGGTCTCACTACATTTCCTAGGCTAAATTATTGTTTTAAAATGGAAACTTAAAACTTTAATGGTCAAAACCTTGAAAGAAAGTTTCTTAAATGTTTTCAGTCATCCTGGAGGAAAGACTGGATTATCTTTAGTCTAGTCTTTTATTTTATTTTTTTGAGACAGATTCTTGCTCTGTCACCCAGGCTGGAGTGCGGTGGTGCAATCTCGGCTCACTGCAACCTCTGCCTCCCGGGTTCACGCCATTCTCCTGCCTCAGCCTCCCGAGTAGCTGGGACTACAGTCACCCGCCACCACGCCCGGCTAATTTTTTTTTTTTTTTTTTTTTTTTTTTTTTTTTTTTTTGTATTTTTAGTAGAGACATGGTTTCCCGTGTCAGGCAGGATGGTCTCAATCTCCTGACCTCATGATCCACCCGCCCCGGCCTTCCAAAGTGCTGGGATTACAGGCATGAGCCACCGCGCCCGGCCTTCTAGTCTTTTTACATAAAATGTTACAAAATTGCTACGTGAAGAGATTAGAATAGGTAACCAAAAATGCAGGGGGAAAGTGTAAGGTTGTGTGCCAAAGAAAGAACTGTGTTATATGGTTCTAGGTTTTGAGTTGTTTGTAGTTTTAGCTTTTCAAAATGTACAACTAGTGACTTCTTTTTCATTCTAAATTTTCATTTTGATACCTAAATTTGTATTCTTTTTCTGAAAGAGGGCCCTCAGAATTAGAGAGTTTCAGGCCCCACAAATTCTGGCTCCTCCTCCACTGACTGCTGATACTCTGATGGGGAAGCTCACACTGCTCTCTACTTTCTTTTTCATCCCAGCCTTCGTGACCCTGGGAGAAGGTGCACCCTAGAGAGAATGTGTCCAGCGGGAGCAGGCTTCTTCCCTACTTTCACTCATCTCCAGCCACCACCCAAGCGTTTCTACCTCCAAGACCTTCACAAAGGTTTGTCCAGAATTACCTCAAAAGAGTTTGGGGGCCGGGCATGGCAGCTCACGCCTGTAATTCCAGCACTTCGGGAGGCCGAGGCAGGCGGATCACCTGAGATCAGGACTTGGAGACCAGCCTGACCAACATGGTGAAACCCCGTCTCTACTAAAAGTACAAAAGTAGCCAGCCATGGTAGTGCACGCCTGTAATCCCAGCTACTCAGGAAGCTGAGGCAGGAGAATCACCTGAACTTAGGAGGTCAAGGTTGCAATGAGCCGAGATCGTGCCACTGCGCTACAGCCTGGGCAGCAAGAGTGAAACTCTTTTTTATTTTTTTTGAGACCGAGTTTGGGGAGGAATCACAAATGATCTAAATTTCTAAACAAATACATTTCACAAAATGGATTATCTCCCATTAACCCTCTCCCCAAAAAAGGTACTTGCTTCTTAAAGATTTTCTAAAACACAGGGCAAAATAGGTAATTATCCTCTAAATAATTTTTAATTTTTTTTTTTAACTTTTTTGAGACAGTCTTGCTCTGTCACCCAGACTGGAACGCAGAGACATGATCACAGCTCACTGCGGCCTCAAACTCTTGAGCTCAAGTAATCGTCCTGCCTCAGCCTCCTGAGTAGCATGCCACAACACCTGGATAATTTTTTTTTTTTTTTTAAAAGAGACAGGGGTCTCACTTTGCTCCCCAGGCTGGTGGCGAACTCCTGCCTCAAGTGTTCCTCCCGCCTCAACTCCCAAAACCGTGGGATTATAGCCACGAGCTACCATGCCAGACCAAAATTCTAAGTAAGTTTTAAAAGCCAATTTACAAAACCAAATACCATAGAATTTTTGCGTGACATGACCTTATCCTGTGATCAAATTTATCTTTTGTTTTCCCTCCTCCAGCGAGGAATGCATATATCCTCACACATGTAGATGTGTGACGTGGAATGTGAACATCCTACTTTGAATTTTCTAGTGATTATCTTTAATTTTTTTTTAAAACCATACCACTACCTGTATTTTTCTAATTATCAAAAACAAAAATAAAACAGTAAAAAATAAAGGCTGGGCTTTTACTTTCTCCTAACAGTCCCTGCCCCACCCCCACCTACTTCTCAGTTTCTACTAGTGAATCTGACCCAGATTTATTATTGTTGGCATTGTTACTGAATAACTGGGATTTTTCTCTTTCCATTACATATCTTCTCTTTCAGTATTTACAATATTTGACTTTTCATTTGTAACATCTGTAATCAAGTTTATAATTTAGACTTAAATTTATGTTTACATGATTTCAATTCAATGTCAGTATTTTTTTTAACACCACAAGTTCCGCATTCTTGAGTTATTCAAACAATCTTTTAGTTGGTTAGAATATATCCATGAACAAGTTTTGTTTAAGAAAAATTTACAGAAGGCATACAGAAAAATTTCAGGTACAGGTAGTAGAAAAAAGCTGATGGCCTTAAACAGTAAGGAAAGGTACTGGCTCACATAACTCCTAAGTCCAAAGGCAGGGTGAGCTCCCACTGAAGGCAGTGTGCTAGCTCCAACTTCTGTATCTTCAGAGAACATCTTTCTGCTGCCTTCACAAATTAACAACAATTAGTGTGACTATTTAATTCTTAGTTACAACCTTTTTTCCCTTAAAACTTAGCCTCAGCTCCACGACACTATTTTCTGGCAATGTTATAGAAAAGTCTAAAACCATCCCGATTTCGTTGTAAGTAACCCTCTCCCCAGGTTCTGACTGGCTGTTTGCAGGGTACTCTCTTGCTCTTTCTTGCTCTTCCCACTAATTTTATCTAAGGCAGAATGAGCTCTTTGAATATACAGAAACAGCTCGTTTTTTTTCAGCTCAAAGATACTTTTTCCCATTGAATCTGATTATTGTTTCTGTTCTATTTGTTTTGGTATCTTCTTTACGAACAACATTTATTCAGATCACAGCAATAATTTAACTTTCTACATTGTAAACTTTTGCTCTTCATGAATCGTAAGGGAGTTTAAAATTCTGCAAATGCTTTTACTGTCATTACAGTTTCTTTCAGCTCTTTCATTTCACTTTATAATTTTTATTTATTTATTTTTGAGACAGGGTCTGTCGCCCAGGCTGGAGTGCAGTGCTACAATCACAGCTCACTGCAGTCTTGACAACTTCTGGGCTCAAGCGATCCTCCCACCTTAGCCTCTGAGTAGCTGGGACCACAGGTGCAGCGTGTACCACCACACCTGGCCAAATTTTTCTTGTTTTTTGTAGAGACGGAGGGCTTACCATGGTTCCCAGGCTGGTCTCGAACTCCTGGTCTTAAACTCCTGGGCTCCAGTGATCCCCCCATCTCAGCCTCCCAAAGCGCTGGGAATACAGGCATAAGCTTAGTGCCCAGCCTCATTTTATAACTCTCTCTGCCCTAGTTTTCAGCTTGGCCTGTTGCTTTATCTCATCTTTCAACCACTTATTTGTGTTTCTTGAAGTTTATTAAGAACAGCACAAAGTAGATTCAATCTGAAATTTACTTCTCATTTCTATAATTACTATTTTCTAAATTATACTATTCCTCTGCCTCAAAAATTATATCCCCCTCCTATTTTCTTTTGGAAACATGTTGCTTTATTCTTTATTTCTGAACAATAGTATTTAGACCCATCCTCCCCCAACCCCCCCCCAGCCAAAAAAAAAAAAAAGAATAGCTGGACCTCCTCCTCAGAATGCTGCTAAACGTTGGTGGGTTTTTATTGTTGCTGTTTTCTAACTCTAAGTTTATAGGCTGGAGGATGCATATATAAACTGCACTGCCTATTCAGAGATGTGGTCCATCTTCAAGGGAACGTCAGCTCTGGGAGCCTCCTTCTCTGAGCCTATCGTGTTGCTTTTGTTTTCTAGTTTCTGCATCTAACTCTCCCTGTCTAGACCTGGCTTCCACTCCAGATGGGTGGGATGCCACCCAATGCACCAGGAAGGAGGACTGTGGCGCCCAGGAGAAGCTCTAGCAGTTTTGAGCGTGTTGAAGCCGCGTGTGTCCTCTGGCCTCCCAGTTCAGCTGCTCATCAATATCGCTGCTGCACAAGCCCACCCCGGCTGCCCGTGGCCACTCAGGGTCATCAGGCCTCCCTCGCTCTCTGCTCTCCCAAATTAGCACAGCCAACACCACATCTCCATATGTTCCTCACAACCCTGCACTGAGTTCTAAGGAAACAGAGTGATGAGTCAGGCCCTGGTATTTCTTCACCCTGATCCCACTATCTATTCTGATTCAGCTTTTCATCTCTCTTTTTCTCAATCACTTCCATGGGGATCTGGTGATTCAAGGGAGGGGAGGTAAGAAGTGAGACAAAGCCTAGTGCCCAAGTCACATCTTCCTGGAAGTTGCCAATGACCATTTTTCAGTGTTCTATCTTCTGAATTCTTTTGATGTCAGCTTTCTCTGTTTCTATAGAAATTTTATTTTAAATTTTCTCTTTCACGCTGTTGGGTTTTTTCATCCATCTGGAGGTCCTTGCTGTTTGTACACATTTAAAAATGCGATGAAGCTAGCTATGTCTTCCTTTGGTGTTGCGTGTAGGTAACTTTTCTCACTCGATTTCCCTTTCAAATGGGAAGGTTCACTATGTTCTGTGTTTGTGAGCACAGCTTGTCCACTGGAGGGCTTCTCTTGGGGATGAAAAAGATAGGGCCCTTTACTGGAGAAGCCGCATAAACAAAACAAACAAACAAAAATGTTAAAAAGCTTTACTTGGGGTGTTGGTACACACCCATTGAGTTCCAATTCTCCCCAGGCAAGGAATCCAATCTCTGTAAAGAAAATTTGCTTATGGGTAAAATGCTGTAGACTCCTCAAAACAAGAGGAACAGGAAAGGACAGAGAAGAGTGTAGAAAACCCTCCCAGCACAGTGGCTTCGGAGGGCCTTTGAATTCTCCTTATTTGCAGCACAATTTCCACGATCACCAACAGAACCCAAAATCCAAACACTAACTAGTCTGAGCACAGCCCCGTGAGGGGCTGCCCAGAAGCTGCTCCTGCTTACTCTAAACCCTCCTTCTGTTTTATCTGCTTATAGGTTTCCCATTTGTAGTTTCCTTCCAAAAGTGTGTTACACTCTATCCTTTGCAAAAGGTCCCTTCCCAGGCTCTTTTTTCCCCACCTACGTTGAGATACAATTGACAACTAAAAATTGGATATATTCAAGGTGTACATCTCGATGTCTTGATTAAGGAGACACTGTGAAATGATGACCACAGTCAGGAAGATTAACATACCTCTCGCCTCACATAGTTACCTTGTGCTTGTGTAGTGAGAATACTTAAAATCACTCTGCAAATTTCAAGCATACAATACGTTATCTCTAACTGTAGTCACAGGGCTGTACATGAGGTCTCCAGAATTTATTCATCTTACAAATGCAAGACTGTACGCTTTGACCAACTTCTCCCCACTTGCCCCCCATCCCAGTCTCTTCCCTGTCATTTGTCGAGATTTTGGGGTGAACAGGGGATGGAAATTTGTTGTCCTATGTCCACCACTGGGATCACACTGGAATCCCCGAGAAGTAGACTCTTCACGCTTCTGTTAACAGATTTCAGTATGGCTCCCTTGGGGAATTCTGTTTCTTGAACCCACTATTGGTCTTCAGAGAGAGTAAAAACTTTCTACAGACAACATGATTCTACTCCAGATGCAACTGTTCATAAGATTATCAACTAAAGGATTTCAATAGCAAGGATTTGATGTGGTCCTTCAAATAATACGGGTTAAAATAAACTTCAACCTTTTCAATAGGAAGAAAACACAAGCAAACCTAAAAACCTTCAAGATAGCACACAGCCACAGATTCAACCATGTGACAGAGGTGAGCAAAACCTCTCTGACCACTCCCAACACTAAAACCAATCCAAGTCTCAGTTCCACCCACAGGAGAAGCACAGACACTGACACTGAATCGAGCTGCAACACGGATGAACCTGGGAAAATGACTCATGCCACAACATGGATGAACCTGCTGAGTGAAAAATGCCAAACACAGAAGACCACATATTCTATGATTCCATTTACGTGACATGTCCATGGAAACAAAAAGTCAATGAATGACTGCCAGGGGTTGCAGAGGAGGGGATGACAGCTAATGGGGCCCAGGTTCTTTTTGAAGTGATAAAAATGTTCTAAAATTAGATAGTGCTGATGGTCGCACAACTTTATGAATATACTAAAAGCCATTCAATTGTGTAATTTAAAAGGATGACTATAATGGCATGTGGATTATAGTGATTTCTAAAAAGAGAATAGGTGCTTTATTACCAAATACACTGAAGGTGCACAGTCCCTCGCTCCTGTAATATTTCACTGGATCAGAAATTACTTCAGAGCACAGGGTCTCTGCTACAACACAGAGCAGCAAACCAATCATACATAAATCTGAGAAGAGCCGGGCTCAGTGGCTCACGCCTGTAATCCCAGCACTTTGGGAGGCCAAGGCGGGTGGACTGAGGTCAGGAGTTCAAGACCAGCCTGGCCAACATGGTAAAACCCCATCTCCACTAAAAATAGAAAAATTAGCTGGACGTGGTGGCGGGCGCCTGTAGTCTCAGCTACTTCAGAAGTTGAAGCAGGAGAATCGCGTGAATCCAGGTGGCGGAGGTTGCAGTGAGCCGAGATCACGCCATTGCACTCCAGCCTGGGCAACAAGAGCGAAACACCGTCTCAAAAAAAATAAATAAAATAAAATAAATCTGAAAAGAAAGCTATCAGACTATTCTTTTTTTTTTTTTTCTTTAAAGGAGTAATAATGAGGCAGGAGAGAAGGAGGGGAGACATGTAGGAAGTTTCTTGAAGGGCTACAAAAGCGTTTCTTTCAGTGGGAGGCAGAAAATCAAAACGTGTGAGAAGCATGGAGACGGAACCCTCTCAGTGTAAAATAGGAAAGGATTCTTCAAAATACCGTTCATGGCGGCGCAGACAGAGCAGCAATCTGTGAAGGACCGCAAAATTCTCCGCCCTTAAATTTGTTCAGTAGTGCTCATATATTACATCCACTGAAGTGCCACTGGTTTATTATTTCCGTAAAGTTTAAACAGCCTTAAGACACTGAACAACATTTTTGTGCTGAATAATAAATATGTTTATGACTGATGCCCTGAACCACGGAAACGTAAAAAAGAGCTTCTAAAAATAGAGTACAGGACTTCAAAGAGGCCTGTCCATAAAATCAAATCTACAAAGAATAACTCAGATGGTTACCACAGAATCGCATGAGTTCTTCACAGGCACCATTGGTATTTAATAGTCCCCAAACAGGACGTCTGGCTACAATTACAAGAAATATGAGAAATCTGACCCCCTTAATGTGAAAAAAGAAAAACAAAATGCTTGAGATAAGTATGTGAAAATCACTAGTCTTATGATCATTACATTGATCATAAAAACCACTTTAAAACATAATTCATTTTCAGCTACAGGATGGTGATATGGACCTGGTCCTGTTAAGACAGAGCAGAAGATGCAAATCTTTTATAGAAATTACACTGAAACAGATAGGCAAATGTGGAATGTAGTTTGATTGAACTACTGATTCTGAATTTATTTGCTGTATGGTAAATGCATAAATTTGAGTACTACTGAACAAATTTAAGAGAAACTGGCTTTCTTTCACAGATCCTTGCTATCTCTATACCAGCATGAACATGAACAGTATTTTGAAGAATCTTTGCCCTATTTTACAAGAGGAGCGTTTAGTTCTCTGGGTTCTCATGCTTTACTATTTTCTGCCTCCAAGGAAAATAATGTGTCAGCCTCACATATACTCTCTGGTTACGTGGCGTGTACATAATTAAAAGGGAAAATTAAAATGCCTTCTAGACTAGTCACGAACAAAATTAATACTTTAGAATGGAATTTAAATCAGTCATCTGAAAGGGAGACTCCGAGACCCTGTTGCTATTTCTTGAATACTTTTAGAGGAGTGTCATTTTTTTTCCCACCCTGCCCTTTCCTTTATTGGCTTTTCATACAATGAGTTTGCTGTGCCCATCACCGGATACATGAACAACAACAAAAAAGCTACAGCTGGATCCTGTATTAGTCTCAGCTGCAGTTAAAGCTCTTTTTTTAAATCAATAGGAAAGTGTTGAGGGAGGGAAGAAGAAAAAGATGCATTCCTGAGAGATTTAAGGTTTAGTCTTCATCCAAGGATCTGACAGCAAAAGTATCTCTTGAAAATTATGTAAATATAGTTTGTCTTACTAAATTTTCCAATTGTTAAGTTCATTTCTTTATAAAACCATGGCCAAATATTAAAATAAAATCCTCACTATGTTAAGCCAGATAACTACCTCCGGATGGGTGTGAGTCTGAGAAACCACTGTGGATGCTTGTTCCAAATTTACCCACACACACATTCCACTGACATCTGAACCACTCCGTAACTCCTTCTGGTTACCAACTTAATCCACACTTACCAAAGAACAAGAAAAATGAATGTCACTTTTACCTTGAATCAAAATGATTTTTAACATATTTACAATTAAAAAATTAAAGAAACTGAAGCACTTATCAATTCTGCTTACACATGCAATCTAGTCTATAGGATGCAAATAATGATATTAGACAATAAGCCTGGACTCTTCAAAAAGGTGTCACGAAAACAATTTTTTTTTTTTTTTTTTGAGACAGAGTCATACTGTGTTCACCCAGGCTGGAGTGCACTGGCAGAACCTTGGCTCACTGCAACCTCTGCCTCCTGGGTTCAAGCAATTCTCGTGCCTCAGCTTGAGATTTCAGGTATGCAGCACCATGCCCAGTTAATTTTTTTGTATTTTTAGTAGAGATAGGGTTTCACCATGTTGGCCAGGCTGGTCTTGAACTCCTGGCCTCAAGTGATCCGCCTGCCTCGGCCTCTCAAAGTGCTGAAATTACCAGCCTGATCCATCGCACCCAGCCACCAAAACACATTTTAAAATTAAAAACAGCCGGGCACGGTGGCTCACGCCTGTAATCCCAACACTTTGGGAGGCCAAGGCGGGCAGATCACAAGGTCAGGAGTTTGAGACCAGCCTGGCCAATTTGATGAAACCCTATCTCTACTAAAAATACAAAAATTAGCCGGGCGTGGTAGTAGGCACCTGTAGTCCCAGCTACTGGGGAGGTTGAGGCAGGAGAATCACTTGAACCCGGGAGGCGGAAGTTGCAGTGAGCCGAGATCATGAGACTGCACTCCAGCCTGGGTGACAGAGTGAGATGCTGTCTCAAAAATAAAAATAAATAAATAAACAAAAGAGGCCAGGTGCAGTGGCAGGCACCTGTAATCCCAACTACTCGGGAGGGTGAGGCAGGAGAATCACTTGAACCCGGGAGGCAGCGGTTGCAGTGAGCCAAGATCATGCCACTGCACTCCAGCCTGGGTGACAGAGTGAGACTCTGTCTCAAAAATAAAAATAAATAAATAAAATAAAAAATAAAGAAAGGAGGCCAGGTGCAGTGGCAGGCACCTATAATCCCAACTACTCAGGAGGGTGAGGCAGGAGAATCACGTGAACCCGGGAGACGGAGGTTGAAGTGAGCTGAGAGATCGCACCACTGCACTCCAGCCCTGGCCACAGAGCAAGACTCCACCTCAAAAACAAACAAACAACAACAAAAATAAGACTGATAAAAGATAACTAAATAGAAGGTGTAAATCTTAATTAGAGCCTAGATAGGTTTAAAAAAAAAAGAAAGCTATAAAAACATTTTGGTAACAACTGGGGAAAGCAGAATGTGTACTATTTTGGAACAATATTATGGAATGACTGTTAGTTATCTTAAGAATGATAACGGCTGTAGTTATGTAGGAGAATGTCCTTAGAAGACGAGTGCTAAAGTATTTCTTTGAAAAGCGTTATGATGTTTGTAACTTTTTGAGACGGAGTCTCGTTCTGTCGTCTAGGCTGGAGTGCAGTGGCGTGATCTCAGCTCACTGCAACCTCCGCCTCCCAGGCTCAAGCTATTCTCATGCCTCAGCCTCCCAAGAAGCTGGGATTACAGGCGCATACCACAATGCTCGGCTAATTTTTTGTATTTTTAGTAGAGACAGGCTTTCACCATGTTGGCCAGGCTGGTCTCGAACTCCTGACCTCAAACAATCTGCGCACCTTGGCCTCCCAAAGTGCTGGGATTATAGGCGTGAGCCATCGCACCTGCCCATGTTTGTATCTTGCTTTCAAATGGGTTCAGTCACACACACACAAATTGTAATACAAAGACAGACAAGCAAATGTGGCCAAATGTTAGCAGCTGGTGAATTTAGGTGAAAGACATATAGGATTCATCGTACCATTCCTTCAACTTTTCTGTAGATTTGAACATTTTCAAAATACAAAGTTGGGAAGAAAAGATATAATAATCATATTGCCAATCATCAGTTATTCCTCAGCCCAAATAAAACAATTCTTCCAACTCACTCTACTCAGTATGTAAAGACAGGCAGGCCAGAGGCTTAACACACTGATGACTAACAGTTTTGAATGCCTACTATTACAATCGTCGAGATTTTTGATAAATTCTTCATATAAATAATTTCACTTCGGTTTTTTAACAGCTTAGGGAGATTAAGTAACTTACACAAAATCACAAGGCTAGAAATGACAGAGCTGCAGATATTTACTTAAAAATATGTCAATACCAAATATTTGTCAACACCAATCAGGCTCAAATGTTTAAACAAACTTATGTAAGCATACAGAAAGTATGAATACAAATTCTCAGAACCATTAACATTATAGATGACAATATTCTGCCTTGAACAAGGGGAATTACCCGAAATATCCTCAATGGCTGACCTGATATAGCAAACAGGGAAAAGTTCTGAAATCCTAATTCCTAGAGACCCCAAGGGAAAAGAGGGCCTCTCCAATCCCACAGGACTAAGACTATTTAGGAAGGAATGGCTACATAGTTATCTCCAGCATGATGCATCCCAACAGAGTCGGCCGTGAAGAAGCTGGGCTGAGGACCAGAAAGGCCCCCACCACAGCACTGCAGTAGTCCTGGGGGTCCAGCACCTCATCAAGATAGGGAGGGAGGGATATGTTGGGGACATCAGGAGAAAACAGCTTCTACTTCAAGTCTCTTATGAAATTAAGGACTTACAGACTCCCTATGTGGGGGAGACGCTCAGGTTAGTGTGACTACCCAAGTTTGACCTTTAATCTGTTTTTTTTTTTTTTTTTTTTTTTGAGATGGAATCTCCCTCTGTCACCCAGGCTGAAGTGCAGTGGCGCGATCTCTGCTCACTACAAGCTCCGCCTTCCAGGTTAACGCGATTCTCCTGCCTCAGCCTCCTGAGTAGCTGGGACTACAGGTGCCCGCCACTACGCCCAGCTAATTTTTTGTATTTTTAGTAGAGACAGGGTTTCACTGTGTTAGCCAGGATGGTCTCGATCTCCTGACCTCGTGATCCACCCACCTCGGCCTCCCAAAGTGCTGGGATTACAGGCATGAGCCATTGCGCCCGGCCAACCTTTAATCTGTTTAACCAAAGTTGAAATGGCCCTGTCAATAACTTTACAACTCTAAGGAAACAGCACTCCTGTAAAATCTGTTCTTGAAATTCCCAGTCACTGATCCAATCAACTACATTTCGTGATGGCTGAAACCAAGATAAAACCGCCTACAGCAAGTCCTGAGACTCGAGAACTTCTGCCGGGATATTCTCTCCAAAGGGAGTCACTGGCCACTGGTTCAGGCAGGGGGCCCTAGAGCACACTCCCATTTGTGGAACTCCCAGGCAGGCCTGCACCAAACCTCAAGGGGGCTGAAAGGACTAGGATAGTGGACTTCTCTCTGAAGACACAAATTCTTTGCTCCCCTTTACAGGTATAACAGAAATGGGAGATAAATGTTTTAGCGCAGAACTTAACAAGACTTCTGAAGTAGATGGTCTTCATTACCTTTAGATGCAAGACAGTCCGCTCTTCACCAGAATCATAATAGGTAATACTTGACAGGAAGACATGCAAAGAGAGAAGCCCCCAGACTCCTCTCCTGAGAAGGAAAAAGTGGGGAGCGGTGGAAGCAGTGGGAAGGTAATAGAGACTTAAATCCTAAAACAAATGTCCAAGTACTAACAGCAGCAGAACCCAGGGGAAATAGCTTATGTTCTTTCCAGATGAAAAAAATTAAAAAGTCATGTTCTGCATGTCCAGCCAAATTACTGGGCACTTGTCAGGCAGAGCAACTACTGGGGGAGCCAAGGGAGGGCAGGACACACCACATCCATGTGGACTCTGCTCCCTCTGAGAGCTGTCATCAAGAGTGAAGCTGGCGGGACAACGTGTGGCGAGCAAGAGCTAGCAGACTTCAAGACCAGTCTGACCACAAAAAGGAAGGAAAGAAGGCATTTGACTTTCTTTTGTGAAAACTGAAACATCCTAGTAACCATCTGACTAGTATACAGTTTAACCACTACTTTGAACTAAATTTCAGGAACATAGTCCATAACAGACACCCTGTGATTCCCGAGAAAACGCAACATTTTAGAAGAAGACTTATCCAACGTGAAGATTTTTTTTTACATAAGGCAATGAAAGGCATCATTTATTCTCGAAATGTGTCATGCTCTCAGAAGTGTGGTCATATACTGAATCAAAGTCTACAATCACTCATCTTCCCACGCCTGGGAAATACAGCCTCATCATGTGAACAGGCCAAACATTCAAAAGACACTAAAATTCTTCAATTTTCCCATACTCTAACACAAACAAAACTGAATTCATTTGTCTGATCCTTTCTCAACTCAAAAAAATTTTAATCTAATTACTGAAACTTGGAAAAGGACATTCTTGATTATTTTATTTCCTCTCTGTAAAGAACTAAAAGGAAGTCCTGTCTTCTAACAGAATATTAAATTGCCAATGCCACCTTTGATTACTGCATACTTCTAAATGTACACGTTAAAATACACATAAAGATTTGCCAAATGAAACAATGTATTTCTAAGAATACGAAAACGTATTTTGTTTTATTAAAAGGGGAGAAAGTGTTAGTCTCAAAAAGAAAATATAACCTAGCCAAGTTCTTAAAGTAATATTTATATGGTTAATGAATATTTATGGCAGAGAAAAGGTGTTTTTCTCTTCGCACTCTATGGCGAGGAGATCCTTACTGAATGAATGACAGAATGAAACCTACCTGCTGCTACAGCCAGTATCACACCAGATGCCTTGAGCTCCAAGTTACAGTACACTGCTGTTCAATCATTTAAACAAGAGGGGTATTTACTGTCCCACATGACAGGAAGTGTGGAGGTAGGGAGGTTCCTGGGTGGGTGAAATTCAGCAACAGCACCATCTAGAATCCCGCTGGTCATCCTCAGGGTGTGGGCTTGGAAATGGACAGGCTTAATTAAGAGCCATTGTGAATGCAAGCTGGCTACTCATCCAGGTCCAACAAAGTCTAGCATAAGAAATGCAACAGGGCTGGGCACGGTGGCTCACTCCTGGGAGGATCACTTGAGGCCAGGAGTTTAGGACCAGCCTGAGCAACGTAGCAAGATCTTGTCTCTACAAAAAATATTTTTTGTTTCTTTGGTTTGCTTTTTCTTTTTTTTCCAAAAAATACTTTTAAATTAGCGCAGCGTGGTGGTGAGGGCCTAGCTACTTGAGAGGCTGAGGTGGGGGGATCACTGGAGCCAAGGAGGTTGAGACCGCAAAGAGCCATGATCATGCCACTGCACTCTGGCATAGGAGACAGAGCAAGACACAGTCTCAAAAAAAAAAAAGAAAAGAAAAGAAACGCAACTCCTCATATATTTATTTGTGAAGGAAGAAACTTCTTGCAGACATCCCCCTGCAAACTGCCCTGCATACTGGCCAGACTTGGGTGACACTTTCACCTCTCCTCCACTTATGGATAAGGAAAGAGGGATTATCCCACCTGCTAAGACTATTTAAGATATAGCCCTTTGTGGTGATAAAGTCCTCTTCCCTGATGGGTAAATATGTAAACAATTCATGGTTCTGTGGGCAAGGAAGCAAAGAAGGGTGGATTTGCAATAGGGCATCAACAATGTCTTCTACACAGAGTCAAATATGGCTGTAACAATGACGACAAGCTACAAGGCAACAGGCAACAGAGAAATAAACTGGTTGTTCAATCCTTCTTCTGTCCCCCAAATATCTACATCCCATTTTATGGTTTCAAATCAAGAGTTGTTATTTAAGTTACATTTTATAGAAACGAAAAAATATTGTTTAAAGTCTATCAGCCACCCTAATTCTTGAATCAACTATAAAAATAGCTCAATAATTACCGCTTTGATGAACCCTCATATTATCAAATTGTGGTTTTACAGAATCTCCAGAATGTGAAATAATAAATGCAACCCAGATGTTCACTAAAAAATGAAAACAAGATTGTTTTTACTTCATAGCAACCAAATAGGTCAACCCATTTCCTCCTTCAGAGAATTCTCAGAGGACCACAAACTCCACTCAAAGAGCATGTGTTTCATACGTATCTGTCCAGAGAAAAAGGAAACTCTGATGTCCAAAATAAACGGAGAATATTATATGTTCTCATGAAAGTGAATTATAAAGTTGCAGTAAGCCTGTGTCTGCACATTGCCAAACATCTGGATGAAAACTTGGGGGAAAAAAATCACTAATTACCTAGATATTGGGAAATACTTTCTGATCATCATCCAAATGCTTTGTTTTACAGCAAATTGCTGATTTTATTAATTACAGACATAAGTTTTTCAAAAGAAGACTACAGTAATTAACAATAGCCCTGTTGAGAGTTTAAAGCAGGAACTTTTATTCTCTCCTATTTGAACAGTGTTCCTGGTGACTTACTAAAAACCAAGTCAGCTCAAAGAGTAAATTTACTCGAGGAAAGTAAATCAAAATATCTTCTTGGCCAACTGAAATTGACTCAGGCGAGTCTCTTCCAATATTTACATAATAGTGAAAAGATATTTATCCGAAATAAATGCTTGCTGTATTGGCTCCAGCCAAATTATAAAGCACTACAGAATCTCATGTCTATTCTATGTTAATTGGGTACCTGACATTAACTATAAAAAGTTTATGTTGGGTTAACTTCAAAAACAGGATGGAGAGTCATGTATTTTCTACTCTCATTTAAATGATTTACTATTTTCCCCACAAACTCAAAATATTTTACATACATATATATAATATATATATATATTATATATATATATATTATATATATATAATATATATATATATATATATATATATATAATATATATATATATATATATTTTTTTTTTTTTTTAAGACGGATTTTCGCTCTTGTTGCCCAGGCTGGAGAGCAATGGCGTGATCTCGGCTCACCACAACCTCCGCCTCCCAGGTTCAAGTGATTCTCCTGCCTCAGCCTCCTAAGTAGCTGGGATTGCAGGCATGCACCACCACACCAGGCTAATTTTGTATTTTTAGTAGAAACAGGGTTTCTCCATGTGGTCAGGCTGGTGTGGAACTCCCAACCTCAGGTGATCCACCCTCCTCGGCCTCCCAAAGTGCTGGGATTACAGGCGTGTGCCACCGCGCCCAGCCAATATTTTATATATCTTAAGCAGCTTTTAGGGTACTTTGACAAAACCTACTTTTAAAATTTCATTTCATTTCAAAAGTTTCAACAGTCTCATATTACAAGCTGACAAACCCGCTTTTTAAAGGATCTGCCAATAATTTCTTAAAACTATATCTACCTCTCCCAAAGTTACTTATACTAAGAGTGTGAAAATGCAAACAGCATTATTATTCTAACATGCCTGATAGAAATGATTATTGGTCTCCTGTGAAAACTTCCTTGAGAAGTATTTCACTGCAAAACAAACATACCCTTCCCTCACTGAGCTCCAGCCACTCAGGCTTCCCCTCTATTCTCATAACATGCCACATTTCCAATTAAGGCCCATGGCACGTGCCTTTCCTTCAGCAAAGACACACCTTCCCCCACTAGCTCCTTAGCCCACTCCAGTCTAGCTAGCTCCCTGCCTCTCCCCAAATTGTTTTTCTTTAACATCACCAAGTCCAGTAGACATGTCCCCATCCCCATTTTAGGCCGTCTCTAAGTGCATTCAACACAGCTGATCGATCACTCCTTCTCTCTTCTGCAATGCCACACAATCTTCAAGGCTTCCTAGGCCTCACTGGTTACCCTCCCAGTCCCCTTTGCTGTGCTGTCCTCAGTCCTAGGATTTTTCTCCTCTCTCAACTCTCTTTCCTATGTGAGCTCTTCCACCCGCATGAATTAAAATCTCCCCAATGTTTATCTCCTACCCAAATTAGTCTTCTGAGCAGCAGACTGACACAGCCAACTGCCTACCTACCATCTCCACCAGGATATCTCACTAACAAGTCCATTTTAAATAGCAAAATTGAATTCCTGAGAGTCTGCTTCCAGTAAAGCTGACTAGCTCACTGCAGACCAACATTTCTGCCAAGAACAACTTAAAAAACTGAACAAATTATTAGAAACAACTGTTTGAAGGCATCAGAGAGCTACCCATGCAGTGAGGACTCTGGAGGCCAGGATTCCAGAGGGAAAAGGGGAGTGCAGAAAAGTGAGCCCAATCACCGGGGCCCCTTTTCTCCTTGAGGGATTCGCCAATTCACAGCAGAAGCTGGGAAGCCAAAATACCAAACAGAAACAAGTGACTGAGAATCCAAGAAGGTCAGCAGAATAGCCACCAGTCTTAGGGGACTGAGGGGACAAAAATTAGAGTTCAGGGGCTGCCAAGTAGAAGAGGCCCTGGGAAGCAACCCAAGCTTTCAGTGGGAACCACTAAAGGCTATAACCTAGAAGAAGGGTAAACCAGAATAGACCATGCCTCATAATTTTAAAGTGATATTCCGGCCAGGTGAGGTGGCTCAGGCCTGTAATCCCAGCACCTTTGGAGGCTGAGGCAGGCAGATCATTTGAGGCCAGGAGTTCAAGACCAGTCTGGGAAACATAGTGGGACCCTGGCTCTACAAAAATAAAAAATAATTAGCTGGGCATGGTGGCATGTGCCTGTAGTCCCAGCTACTTGGGAGGCTGAGGTAGGAGGATCATAGGATCATTTGAGCCTGACTGTGCTTCAGCTTAGGCGACAGAGTGAGACCCTGTCTCAAAAAAAAAAAAAAAAAAAAAAAAAAGGGCAAAGTGATATTCCCTTACTTTAACTGCCTGCCAAATCCTCAAATGAAGCCAACAGGCAGGGTCTTGAATTATCTCTATAATTTTTCACATACATTGTCCAGAATTTAATTAAAGCTCAACAGGCATATCTAGAATCAAGATCACATGACTGAAAACCAAGGATAAAACAGACAACAGAACACACTTACAAGGCATCCAAATATCGGAGTTATCAGACACAGACTTTAAAATAACTCTGATTCATACAATAAAGCAGTTGACAAGATAAAAAATGCCAGCAGAAAATTGGAATCTTTAAAAAAAATCAAGAAAACTGGAAAAGACAATAATGGAAATTAGGAACTCAATAAACGAGTTCAACAGCAATTACAGCTGAAGAAAGGATTACTACAATGGAATATAAGTCAGAAGAAGATACAGAGTGAACGATGGAGAGGCAAAGGGATAAAGGACACAGAAAAGAATCTAAGACATACAGGACACGACACAGAGGGCATGTTTAATGCACAGGTAATTACAGTCCTGGAAGGAGATGAGACAGGAAATGCAGCAGAAGCAATCAATGAAGAGATAATGAACAAGAATTCTGTAAATCTAATTTAAGATCAAGCTTTGTCACAGCACTGCCAAAGAGAAGAAAAAGAACAACTAATCCCAAGCAGGATACACTTGAGGAAAACCACATCTGGACACACCACATAACAGCTGAAAACCAAACCCAAAGAGAACATCTTAAAAGCAGCCTAAAGGGAAGAAAAAACACACTAACTGGAAAAGAGTGACAATAAGACTGATGCAGCTGACTTCTCCACAGAATCAGTGGAAGCCAGAAAGCAGTAAAACTACCCCTTCAAAACACTGTAGGAAGGCCAGGCTCAATGGCTGATGCCTGTAATCCCAACACTTTGGATCACTTGAGGCCAGTAGTTCAACACCAGCCTGAGCAACATAGTGAGACCTCCCATCTTTACAAAAAATTAAAAACTGCAATAAATTAACTTGAAAGCCTCCAACTATAATCCTGATGAAACTATCCTTCAAAAACAGAGGCAAGCTTAGCACAGTGGCACATGCCTGTAGTCCTAGCTACTCGGGAGGCTGAGGCAGGAGGACTGCTTGAGCCCAGGAGTTCAAGGCTGCAGTGAGCTATGATGGCGTCACTGCTCTCCAGCCTGGGCAACAGAGCGCGACTCTAATAAAAAAATTGTGTTTAAGTGGAGGCAAAGTAAAGGCATTTTTGACCAAAAAAAAAAATGAACCCTCACAATAGTTTTTTCCCCTGTTCATTAAGCAACACCACTACCAAGCCAGAAACCTAAAGTCATATTTGATTCCTACAGTTTCTATACCTCTAACCTTCTCCAAGCTGACAGTATGTCCATCTGATTCTCCAAAATACATTCCATCCCATAACAAGAGCTCACTTACGAGAAACCTTCACATGTACCCCTGAACCTAATATAACAGCTTTTAAAATATATATTTTGTCACTATAAAGCAACACAAATTAAAGCAATACATCATTTCTTACCCATGAGATAGGTAAATATTTAAAAGTAAGGCAAACACTGTGTGCTGATTAGAATGCTGGGAAATCACACTACTCACAAGCCCCTAATGAGAAAGCAATCTGTTATCTATTAAAACTGAAGCATGCCTATAACTCACAACTGCAATTCTAGAAATATACTCTAGATAAACTCACATTTGTGAGGGGAGAGAAGACTAGGGAGCTCACCTCAGTACCGTTTGTAACACCACCAGTGTAACATTGACATTAAAAAGTTGAACACAGGGCTAGGCCCGGTGGCTCACACCTGTAATCCCAGAATTTGGAAGGCCGAGGCAGGCGGATCACTTGAGGTCAGGAGTTCAAGACCAGCCTGGCCAACGTAGCAAAAACCTGTCTCTACTAAAAATACTAAAAATTTACCAGGGCATGGTGTTGCAAGCCTGTAATCCCAGCCACTCAAGTGGTTAAGGCAGAAGAATCGCTTGAACCTGGGAGGTAGAGGTTTCAATGAGCCAAGATCACACCACTGCACTCCAGCCTGGGAAACAGAGTGAGGACACTAACTTCAGGAAAAAAAAAAAAAAAGTTCAACACAGGACAAGATAGACAAAACGTGATCGCAGTTAAATTAAACAAGGTCTATATATAATCACAAGGATAATCTCTAATGCAAGCTGCAGAAGATTACATACAGTGTGATCTCGGCTTTATAATCTTTTTAAAACCAATTAGGGCCGGGTGCGGTTGCTCACACCTGTAATCCCAGCACTTTGGGAGGCTGAGGCCGGCAGATCATCTGAGGTCAGAAGTTCAAGACCAGCCTGGCCAACATGGTGAAACCCCATCGCTACTAAAAATGCAAAAATTAGCTGGGCATGATGGCGGGCACCTGTAATCCCAGCTACTCAGGAGGGTGAGGCAGAAGAATCGCTTGAATCCAGGAAGCGGAGGTTGCAGTGAGCCAAGATGGCTCCATTGCACTCCAGCCTGGGCAACAAGGGCAAAACTCCGTCTCAAAAGAAAAAAAAACAAAAAGGAGACCTGTACATTGCTTACAGAGGCACACGCACATCTGTTGAAGTATGAAATATATACCAGGCTGGGCACGGTGGCTCATGCCTGCAATCCAAGCACTTTGGGAGGCCAAAGCGGGTGGATCATTTGCGGTCAGGAGTTCGAGAGCAGCCTAGCCAACAAGGTGAGACACTGTCTCTAGTAAAATTACAAAAATTAGCTGGGTGTGGTGGCGCCTGCCTGTAATCCCAGCTACTCGGAAGGCTGAGGCAGAAGAATCGCTTGCACCCAGGAGATGGAGATTGCAGTGAGCTGCGATCACACCACTGCACTCCAGCCTGGGTGACAGAGTGAGACTCCATCTCAAAAAACTAACAAAAACACCATACACCAGAGGGCCCCATATCGAATTCATAATGGCTGCCTCTAAGAAACATTGAAAGCAAAGAGCAAAAGGACCAGGGATTGCTAGACACAAGTGACTTCAACTTTATTCAGTATTTATTAACAAATATTTACTGAAAGGCTACTATGTACCAAGCACTGTTCTAGATCTTGGAGATATAACTGGATAAAAGCAGAAAATATTCTTACTTTCACAGAACTCACATTGTAAGAGAAAAGAAACAAATATGTAATAGGTAAGGCGTGACATGTGCTAAGGGAGAAAAATAGAGCTGACAGTAACAATGAATGTGATTTTAGATAGGTTGGTCAAGGAAGACTTCTGTGATAAGGAAACATTTGAGCACAAACTTGAATGAAGCAAGGATACACCACATGCAGGTATCTAAGAGGAAACCACTACAGGGGCAGCAAGTGCACAGGCACTGAGGCAGGAGTGTGCTTGGCAAGGAGACCAATGAGACAGAGCAGAGTCAGGGAGGAAACGGGAGAGGAGCAACAGACAATGTCAAAGAGATAGCAGGGGACTAGAGTAGTAGTCAAGGGCAGTCCCCAAGGTCAGAATGTTTTTTACATATTGAAAAGGTTATGAAAAAAAAAAAGACTTGTGACAGAGATCATATGTGGCCCACAAAGCCTATGAGGTTTACTATCCGGCCCTTTTATGAAAAAAAAGCTTGGCTGGGCGTGGTGGCTCATGCCTGTAATCCCAGCACTTTGGGAGGCCAAGGCAGGCAGATCACGAGGTCAGGAGTTCAAGACCAGCCTGGCCAATATGGTGAAACCCGTATCTATTAAAAAAAAAAAATTACAAAAAATTAGCCGGGCATGGTGGCACGCGCCTGTAGTCCCAGCTACTCAGGAGGCTGAGGCAGGAGAATCACTTGAGCCCAGGAAGCGGATGTTGCAGTGAGCCGAGATCGCTCCACTGCACTCCAGCCCAGGTGACAGAGCAAGACTCCATTTCAAAAAAAAAAAAAAAAAGAAGAAGAAGAACTTGCAGCCCCTAAACTACAGCGTGTGGGCCATGGCCATGGTAAGGTGGTCTGAGAATAGGATTCTCAATAAACCGAGGAAAGAGCAAACTTTCAGAGAGGAGTGACATGACCTGCGTGTCAAAGGGAATCGCCCTGGCTGCAGTGTGAACAAGGATGACAATGGGAGAACCATGAGAAGGCTTAAGGCAAAAGAAGTGAAAGATGGCACCAAAATTTTGGCCTGAGCAACTGGAAGAACACCACAATATACTGAGATGGAGAGACTTACCAGTAATGCTTTATTTTTTAAAAAACGGACCTAAAAAATGCAACAGAACATTGACAGCTATTATGTCAATTCTGAGTAGTGGGAACAAGAGTGCTGGTTTCATTATTCTTTGTACTTTTCTGTATGTTTTATACAGATGTGTTTTATATATATCCTTCCCTCCATATTTCCCACTACCACCCTAACCCACCAAGCCCCGTAACTCTCACCTGAACCACTGCAACACCTCCCTTCTCCCAAGTCCTCCCTTCTCCTCCAAACCACTCTCCACTCAGGAGTCAAGAATATGCTTCTTTAAAAAGCAGGGGGCAGTGGTTGAGAATACGGATTCTGAAATGGAAGGCTTGGGTTCCAATCACAGCTCCATCACCTGCTAGCTGTGAAATTTCAGACCAATTACTTAGCTTCCCTATGCCTCCATTTTCCAATCTGAAAATAGCAATATGATGAAGAGTCAATAAATTAAGACGCAGAAAGTACACAGGACATACAGCATCAAGTAAATATTAGCTAAAATTATTGAAATGTAAATCAAATGAGATTTCCCCGTTTAAAAATCTTTCAGCGGCTTCATGTACTTAGAATAAAATCTGCATTCCTTAGCTACTGAAAGCCTGACATGGCCCCAGTCTATCTCTCCCGCTTCACTGTCTGTTCAAGCCACACAAAGCTGCTTTTAATTCTCTAGAATACTCAGCTCTTGCCAGCTCCATGCCTTCCCTTCTGTCTGGTCCACTACCCCTATAGATTGCACCTCGAAGGGCATTTCCTCAGAGGCCTTCCCTGGCCACGGGCTTTCCCTACACCTCTCCCATCCCACACTTTCTCTTCCTCAACCTCTTGTTGATTTCCTTTAACACATCTAGCATAATACATGATTATTTTATATATAGCTGTTTACCTCTTTTGTCTGTCTCTCCATCTAAACATGAGCTCCATGAACGTGGGAAATTTATCTGCCGTATTCACCACTGTTAGGCACTGATACAGTTTGGATATATGCCCCGCCCAAATCTCATGTTGAACTGTAATCCCCAATGCTGGAGGCAGGACTTGGAGGGGAGGCGACAGGATCATGGAGGCAGATCCCTCATGGCTCAGTGCTGCCCTTGCAATAGTGAGTGAGGACTCCTGAGATCTGGTCGTTTAAGGGCGTGGCATCTCTTCCCTCTTGCTCCTGCTCTAGCCATGTGATGTGCCTGATCCTGCTTCACCTTCCATTATGAGTAAAAAGCTCCCTGAGGCCTCCCCAGGAGCCGAGCAGATGCTGGCACCATGCCTGTACAGCTACAGCCTGCACAACCATGAGTCCATGAAACCTCTTTCCTTTATATATAACCCAGGCTCAGGTACTTCTTTATAGCAATGCAAAAACGGCATGACACAGGCACTAATAGCTCTTGTGCCATGCATAGAACCTGGTATTTGGTAGAGACACCATCAACATTTGAGTAAATGACTACAAAAGAATATACTCTAAGCATAATCTAAAAGCATCCACTTTTTAAACTCTCAAAAATACAGTAGTTAACTTACTACAGAATGAAAAATAGGTAACATTTTATAACCTTACATTGCATATCACATTATCTTTTTGTTGCGGTCTTCCCAGAATATTTTGTTTGTTTGTTTTGAGACCGAGTCTCACTCTGTCGCCAGGCAGTGGCGCTATCTCGGCTCATTGCAACCTCTGCCTCCAGGGTTCAAGCAATTCTCCTGCCTCAGCCTCTCGAGCAGCTGGGACTACAGGTGCGCATCACTATGCCCGGCTAATTTTTGTATTTTTAGTAGAGACGGGGTTTCACCACATTGGCCAGACTGGTCTCGAACTCCTGACCTCATGATCTACCCGCCTTGGCCTCCCAAAGTGCTGGGATTACAGGCGTGAGCCATTGCGCCCAGCTGTATTTTTTAATCTATAAAAATTCCCTCAAAAAAGGTGTAAAATGGGTATTTTCTTACCATCATACTATTTTTCTATGAAACTGCTTTCCAATTTTAGAAAAAGTGAAGACAGATTATTCAAACTTTTTTGAATTTCAAAAAATAAAAAGGCGCATAGTGAAAAGTTTCCTTCCCACCTATATTCCCCATCCACTCAGTTCCCATCATCTTCCCCAATCAGGTAACCATTGTTATTGGTTCCTCCTTTCACCTTCCAGGGAATCTGCATGCATCAGCCATTACCTCCTCTTTCAAAACACAAGAATGGGAGCACGCAATGCACACTTTCCTACACTTTGCTCTTGTAATTTTGTTTTGTTTTTTTGAGACAGGGTCTCACTCTGTTGCCCAGACTGGAATGCAGTGGCGCAATCTCACTCACCGCAACCTGCACCTCCCAGGCTCAAGCGATTCTCCTGCCTCAGCCTCCCGCGTAGCTGAGATTACAGGCACGCACCACCACTCCCGGCTAATTTTTGTATTTTTTTAGTAGAAACGGAGTTTCACCATGCTGCCCAGGCTGGTCTTGAATTCCTGACCTCAAATGATCCACCCGCCTCGGCCTCCCAAAGTGCTAGGATTATAGGTGAGAGCCGCCGCGCCCGGCCTGCTCTTGTAACTTAAGATATTTTGGAGATCTCTCCATGTCAACTAAGAAAAGAGCTTCCTCGTTCCTTTCTACAACTTTACAACCTCATTAACCATCTGGGCATGGATTTATCTGATAAGTCTCTTGCTTGCTGATGGACACTCAAGGCAATAAATAATCTTGTACCTATGTTATCTCACACGTGTACAAATATATCTGCAGGTTAAATTCCTAGAACTGGATTGCTGGGTCAAAGGATTTACACGCCTGTAATTTTTAAAGCTACTGCCTAAAGCACCTGTATCTATCAGGGTCCACCCAGAGAAACAGAGACATCCAGAGAAACCATCCCTTTAAGAATCTGATATAGAGGGAATTTAATATAAGGAATTAGTGACAGGGGTGATGGAAAAACTGAAAAGCCAAACAGGAAATGATAATACAAAGATTATCAAGAGCAAGCTGCTGTTACCACTTCTCAAATAGAGGGTAAAAGGGAGGAGGTATTTCCAAGACTCAAAGGCTAGGACCAAGGGGCAGGAGCTGGAGCCAAAAGGAGACAAGGTACCTGCCAGAGACACTCCCTGAGGCAGGCCTAAGGGAAATAACCTGTTTTTGTCCTTCTTCCTGCCATTCCTCCTGCCAGTGGCTCCCAGTGGCCAATCCCAGCCGGAAGCCAGCTGACCAAGGGCCTGGGAAATGTTGCCTGCAGGGGTGAGTCCCTGCAGGGAAAGGGCAAGAAACGGATCTGAGCCAACAGGACATGGGCTGACCCTGCCTGTGGCTACTTTACACTCTTACCCGTAAATGTTTGAAACGACCTTGCCGTTCAAATATTTCAAACTTGAAACAGACTTTGTATACTTGGGGGTTATCACCTGTCTGAAGGTGAAAGGTGGGAGCTCAATCTAGTCTTAATTTGCATGTATTTTATTATGAACAAGGCTCAGCATCTCTTCACCTGAAGCACAGACACCTACATTGATCAGGGAGTGAAGGGGTCAGAGAGAAGAATGCCAATTATAGTTAATTCACCTCATCTGCCAGGGATGGTCCATTCAGGACCATCAATCAGACAAATGCCCAAACAGGACACGAAGACAATCCCAATGAGCCAAACTAGCCAGCTACCCTCCAATTAGCTCAAGAACTGTTCTCGAAAAACTGAAAGGCAACAAAGTCCCATAGGAATTAAAAACGACTTAACTACACTCTGCACACACTGTAAGGAACAATGTGTTCTTGTAATCTTGTGCCCCCCACTCGCTCCTCTTGTAACTGCCTTCCAGCCATTCATGCCACCATCCTCTCTCTCCTTATCTTGCATTGAAAGAACAATACAGTGGACAAAAAGCTAAATTAACTTATAAAAATAGCAAGTAGGAATCAATTTTTCAAGTCTTTTAACCTGACCATTAACAAAAAAAAGACCTTTTCAATTATCTTTGGCTTCTACCATAACTACTGTTTGAATAGATTATTTACCCTATCTTTTAAACAAGCTTTAACTGACTCCCCCAGATACAGTTCAACATTATGTACTACACTCTAAAAATATACCAAAAAATGTTATGCTTTATAATCTGCTGGCAGCTGAAACGGTTTTCTTTAAAAGAGCTCAACTTTATTTTTTTAAACATGAATTTTAAAGCATTTAAAAATCTAAAAGGTATTAACTGTAAAGAGGTATGTTAACTTCAAAACTTACAACAGCCAAGAGTTAAATGTAAGCACATAAAGTTTATACAATAATTACAATATCACTCATATTTCAAAACTTTGCTTTTCACCTGTTTCAAAAATAAATATCCTAATATTGCCAAAAATATTTTTAAGTGTCTGTCACAAAGCAAGGGAGAAAGCTAGTCATAAACTAAATCAATAAAGGTTAAAAGTTATTTTCCAGCACCTAACATGCTGGCTAGCATTTTGATGGGCAATCAATAAATAAATCTTCATTGTTGAATGTTCCAGTGAGATGAATTAAATGATACACTTAAAACATTCACGTCTTTGATGGTTTTTTTCCAATCTGAAATACACACTTATTCCAGAAACCTGGAAAATATAAAAAGAAAATAAAATAATCCATAATGTCACCAATGTTTATGTTGTTTAAACCATGATGTATAAAACTGCTTATTTTAATGGTTGTAAAATACTTCAATAAACTTCCCATAATTTACCTCACCATGCCCCTGCTGTTGGCGTTGCTGTTTCCAATTTTTTGCTATTTTAAACAGCATAATACACATCTTTATACGTGAGGGGTTTATTTCAAGGTTGCTTCCCTGTGATATATTCCCAGAAGAGATACTAACAACCCAAGGACAATTTTAAGACTTTTGATACTTCATATCATCCTTTGTTATAGTACTCAAGACCTGCAAATTGCTGGAGCACATTAAAGCCTCCTCTTTTCCTCTTTATTCCTGCTTTAATCTTCAAGTCTACATTTCTTTACTCACAGAGCCCAAAGCACCTTACAAACAAAACTGCCAAGCCAGCTAGCTGCCTTGACGCTAATGTCCAACGTCTGCATATTACAGTTGTCTTTCTTTTCTAACAAGGGAAAACAGCTATGCCCAAATTGTGACAGGCAGGAAACACGACATCCACCGGGAACCCATTCCTTAGGATCTCATGGCTCCAGACAGCCTGACTGTAGGAGGGTTCGCAACTGGGCGCCTTCGTTCCACAGCGCTCCCATCAACACACCCACTCGGTGCCACAGTGCTACCCCTAGCTTCAACTATAAGAACTGAACTCGCCAAATGCCATGACGGGTGCCAACTTCCCACCATCCTGGCTGCATCGCGTCTTTCAGCAAAAAAACATCTCCCTCTGAGCAGCACTTGAATTCTGGAAGGCACCTTGATGATGAACCACTTCATCCTGAAGCATTCAATACTGCTGATTCTTACAGGCAGCTGCACCGGCAGCCTGTAATTAAGATTTCTCTAAACTGCTCCCTTATTACATGGGGTTCTGATGATTCTGATGATTTCTCTGTCAGCTCAAAGGAGATCTTCAGGAAAAAAAAAAAAAGTCTAGAGAACCTCAACTTCGGCTGTTCCTGTAAAAACACGGGCATTAACCCTTTGCTTTCCAAAGCGAACACCCACTCCATACAGAGGCACGTTCCTCTGTTTTTAAAATCTAATTCCCAGCATGACCCAGCAGTCATTTGTATTCCACTAAATAATTTCCAACAAACACGATTCCTCCAGCAAGAGGAAACCGAACGTCAGACACAGACCACCTGGGCCACGACGCGCATCGACCCGACCCACTCGGGAGCACACCTGGCTCCGGGCACACCTGGCTCTCCGGTCTTGCCTCTGTGCTGGGTGCAGCTCGTGTCTCCCACCCTCGGCTCCACGGAGTTTTTTGCTCAATCTGTCGCGTCTGCCGTTTCCTAAAACGTCTACCCTGAACTGAACTCCAGCTGGCCCCCTCCCCGTTCGAGCAAATCCAGCGACCGTTTCTGACCCAAAGCCAAGCAGACTGTCACGCTTTCCAACCGTTTCCCCTGCCCTCCCGTCCTGTACACTCGAGGAGCCTCCAGTGCAAAACTTTCCCCTCCCGGTTTCCCACCGGCTCAGCCGCTTCCGCCCACCTGAGCTGAAAGGGGGCGTCCGAAACGCCGGGCTCCGGAGGGCATGAACGCCCTTGGCGACAAGATGCGGGGAAGGTCGCCCCGCAAGGTCCCCCGCCCCAGAGGAGCGACACCCAAACCCCGGCCCGAGACTCCGGGGCGACCCCAGCCCGCGGCAGCCCCGGCCTGGTACCCAGACCCTCGCCAGCGCCGAACGGCGACCCCGGCCCGCCCCCTCCCTCGGCCCCCGGAGACCCAGCCTCGGCCCTGGCCCGGCGTGCCTCAGGCCTCCAGCGGACGCCGCTGCCGCTGCCCCCGACCCCGTCTCCTCCGGCGAACCCCGGCCCAGCGCCGCGCCCTCGACCCCCAGCCCCCGGCCCCCGACCCCAGGCCGCCGGCGAGCCCACCACACCTCCGACACTCACCGCCACCACCCTCGCCGCCGCCGTCTTCATCCATCTTGAGGCCACTCCCGCAGCCGGCGAGCCGGGGGCCGGCAGCAGAGGGGCCGCGGGCTGGGGACGCCGCCGGAGGGAGCGCGCAGGCGACCGGGCGGCTCCTCAGCGCGCGGCCCGGGTCGCGGCCGGGCCTCCTCCCGCCGGGCGGGGCCTCGCTGGTCGGCGTGCCGTCACGTGACCCATGCCCCGCCTCTGCCCGCGGTGGGCGGGGCGTGAGGCCGCGCAGCCCCGCCCTCGGGAACCGGCCGGGCCGGCGGCGTCTGCGCTGGGGAAGGCTGTAGACCTGGCCCCTGAAGTGCAGGCCGATCCGGTGTGCGTGGAGCGAAGCCTCCTCGCCCTCAGCATTCCAGTAGCCTGCGGACGGGCGTGGGGCCCCGGACACTGGAACGCCACACTCTGCAAAACCCAGTGGCCAGGGGTGCAACTTGCACGTGCACTCGGGGTAAAAGATCAAGAAACGAATGCATTCAGAAGTCAGGCCTGGCCAGGCTCGGTGGCTCACACCTGTATTCCAATACTTTGAGAGGCTGAGGTGGGAGGATCGCTGGAGAACAAAAGTTGGAGACCAGCCCCGATAACATAGCGACCCAGGCATGGTGGCATGTGCCTGTAGTTCCAGCTACTGGGGAGGCTGAGGTGGGAGGTCACGTCACTTGAGCCCAGTAGGTAGAGGCTGCAGTGAGTTATTATTGCACCACTGCACTCCAGTCTGGGTGACAGAGTGAGACCCTGTCTCAAAAAAAAAAAGAACAAGGTCAGGCCTTCTCCTTCCTAAGACATGCATGTCAGAAGAATTCCAGCCTTTCAGCTGTCTTATATTTAATGGAGCCTCTCCTCCTTCCCTCCTGGTGAGTGCATTTTTAAATTAACAAAATGCAGGGCTTGTAAATGAATGTGGTCATGAGGTTGGAACGGAATCCCGATTCAACACACCTGGGGCTCAGCTCTCAAAGGGCATTGTAGGGGTTGGCCAATCTGGCGGCTGATGCCCTTGGAGTTTAGCGCCAGTCTTCCTTGGAGAGCTGCCAGCTGTCCTGGATTTATGATGCAGGAGGAGCTCTGAATTCAGTTTCCCTTGGGCACAGCCAGGGTCCTCAGCACAGGCCTCCTGGGCAGAAGGCCTCCCCTGGCCCCTGCTCCACATCGATGGATCTCCTCTCTCACTCCCCATATCTCTCTTCCAGTAACTCCTGAAGCATTGCTTGTGGCCCCTCCCAAGCCTTTCTGTTGGAACTCAATCGCATTAAAGAAAAGCAAACATTGTAATGGAGGAGATAGCTCATCTCTAATATAATTTTCCAGCAACTGTTTTATATTTACAAGCTGTCCATTGAACCAAAGGATCCTTCCGTTGTCATCTATCAAAGTGGACAATTTCACCTTTTGGTTCAAGGTTGCGGGATGATTTCAAAGTTCAATCTTCTAATAACCTCAAGAATTGAACACCAAGCATTCTCATGCAACCAAACCCACGAGGGACACTTTTTTTTTGAGACAGGGTCTCGCTCTATTGCCCAGTCTGGCATGCAGTGTCTCGAGTGATCCTCACACTTCAGCCTCCCAAATAGCTGGGACCATAGGTACATGCCACCATGCATCGGTTAATTTTTGTATTCTTTTTTAGAGACGAGATCTTGCCATGTTTGCCCATGCTTGTCTCAAACTTCTGGACTCAAGCGATCCTCCCACCTTGACCTCCCGAAGTGCTGGGATTACAGGCATGAGCCACCACACCCAGCCAAGGGACACTGCTGCGTGCAAAGGTGTTTGACAGCTTGAGTGACAAAGAGGCACCAGAAAAGGGGTCTGGGAGTCAGGAGATGTAGGGTTCAACTCCCAACCCCCAGACTCGGCTTCCTGATCTTGTTCCCGTCAGCTTTGTCATCTTGGAGATAAGAGCATCGTTACTGAGAAAAAATGACAGCATTACTTTGAACTTGATAATGAGATATGCAGAGCTTTGAACTCAAAGATACTATCAATTATAAATGCTTTTTCATGTCAATCTTAATTCTTTAGGTGTCTTAGAATGTGATCCACAGGTGCTTTTCTCAGAGTTTTAATCTGAAAGTGGCTTCTCTGATCTCCATCTAATCTAATTTTCATCAGACTAAAGCACAGCCCAGTTATATAAGGAGGATATTACATTATCCCCATGGTTTAGCCTGGGCTTGCATTTCAACAAATTCTGCAAAAATGTTGGGGGGGATAAAGGCTTTGGGTGTCATTTCTGTGCTTTAATGGGGAAATTGGAAGACTTCAAAATCTTCACAACTCGAAGGAATTAATATCTAATGGAAAAATTACATATTTTCAAAAAGAAGTGCTTTCCAGCATCTCTCAAATCCCACCAAGATAGCAATGATCTAATCTGCTTACATACGTATTATCTCTACATATAGGAACTTTAAGTATTTTAGTTACTCACTAAGATAGGCACTCACTTTATGCATAGTTTATGAGTGGTTTGCTCAGATGTTGAAAGTTTTATAAGTGAATTTGTGAGGAAAATAATTCATGCAGCAGGCATTGCTGCAGAATAACAAGTATTAAACCCAATTATTAAATCATTGCAATCATTTGGTCAGATGATAAATATTTAGGCACCTCCTGTATTCCAGACACTGTTCTAGGTGCTGGGAAAATGATGAAAAAGGTAAATTCAGTCCCCAGGTTTTGTTTTTGTTTTTGTTTTTGTTTTTGTTTTTGTTTTTTGACACAGAGTCTCACTCTGTCGCCCAGGCTGGAGTGTAGTGGCGCTATCTTGGCTCACTGCAAGCTCTGCCTCCCGGGTTCTAGCCATTCTCCTGCCTCAGCCTCCCGAGTAGCTAGGACTACAGGCGCCCGCCACCATGCCCAGATAATTTTTTGTATTTTTAGTAGAGACGGGGTTTCACCATATTAGCCAGGATGGTCTCGATCTCCTGACCTCGTGATCCACCCATCTCAGCCTCCCAAAGTGCTGGGATTATAGGCGTAAACCACCGCACCCGGCCCAGTCCCCAGGCTTATGGAACGGATGGCCTAGAAGGAATACAGCCATTAAGCAAATAATTATGTAATTGTAATTTTGATATCTGACTCTGTAGACTTTCTCATAGTATTTGCTGTTTCGTGTGAATTGGCTTTGCAGCCTTAAAACTGCTTTAGGGGCGGGGCGCAGTGGCTCATACCTGTAATCCCAGCACTTTGGGAGGCTGAGGCGGGCAGATCATGAGGTCAAGAGTTCAAGACCAGCCTGGCCAACATGATGAAACCCCATCTCTACCAAAAATATAAAAAATTAGCCGGGCATGGCCAGGCACGATGGCTCATGCCTATAATCCTAGCAGTTTGGGAGGCCGAGGCAGGCAGATCACTTGAGGTCAGGAGTTCGAGATCAGCCTGGCCAACATGGTGAAACCCTGTCTCTACTAAACTACAAAAATTAGCCAGGCACGGTGGCGGGCGCCTGTAACCCCAGCTATTCAGGAAGCTGAGGCAGGAAAATCACTTGAACCCAGGAGGCAGAGGTTGCAGTGAGCCGAGATCACGCCACTGCACTCCAGCATGGGCGACAGGAGCGAGACTCCGTCTCAAAAAAAAAAAAAAAAAATTGTAATTTTGACATCTGACTCTGTAGACTTTCTCATAGTATTTGCTATTTCATGTGAATTGGCTTTGCAGACTTAAAACTGCTTCAGGGCTGGGCGGTGGCTCATGCCTGTAATCCCAGCACTTTCAGATGCCAAGGCAGGAGGATCGCTTGCGCCCAGGAGTTCAGGACCAGCCTGGGCAACATAGCGAACCATGTCTGTACAAAAAAAATAAAATAAAAAATAAATCACACCTGTAATCCCAGCACTTTGGGAGGACAAAACAGGTGGATCCTTTGAGCTCAGGAGTTCAAGATCAGCCTGGGCAACACAGCAAAACCCTATCTCTACAAAAAGTACAAAGTATAATTAGCTGGGCATGGTGACACAAGCCTGTAGTCCCAGCTACTGGGGAGGCTGAGGTAGGAGGATCGCTTGAGTCTGGACGGCAGAGGTTGCAGTGAGTCGAGATCGCACCACTGCACTCCACTCTGGGTGACAGAGCCAGACCCTGTCTCAAAATGTATATATATATATTAGCCGGGTGCAGTGGTGCACACTTGTAGTCCCAGCTATTCAGGAGACTAAGCCCAGAGGTTGAGGCTACAGTGAGCCGGGATCGCAACACCGCACTTCAACGTGGGCAACAGAGTGAGACCCTATCTCAAAACAAAACAAAAAACAAAAAACTCCTTCAGGACAGAGACTGTAGTCTGTATTTATTCTGTCTCTGCTGTCTGCTGCAGGGTGTGGCCATGTCAAAAAAGCGAAAACAACAATATTTGTTACCACTGCTGGATGAACAGGGCCATCAAAAATGGGAAACATTTTGAAAACATGTTGAAACCCATTTATCAGCCTTTTGACCACTGCAGAAATAGTTTAAGAAATCAAGAATGTGAACATTCCGGAAAGGTCAGAGGACTTCTTTGTACATTCATCCATCCTCCAAGTGAAAGTCTGCGAAATCGGACAGAAGTGTCCTCTCCCAGCGCTGAGGGTCACAAGAGCCAAAACCCTGCCAAGGACGGTTTCTTGATGCTTGGCCATAAAGAGGCTTCCCGAGCTACCCAGGCTAGAGCTACTCCAGACCCTGCCTGGAGCAGCTCTCATCTCCCCTAATAACAGTTAAGAAATGCAGGCACAAATGTGACTGTCAGCAGATGGGGACTCAAGTAATCTGTTACATCGGGGATCTGTCACAGTCCGGAGAAGACACGCACTGTGGCCAGCTCACTGTCAGCTCACAGGTAGGAAAGAAAAGGAATGCTTTCTGCAACCTAATTTCATTAAGGAAAGAAAACATCTCATTGGAATGGAGATGATCTCGTGCAAATTAACATACTCCGTTCTGCTCAGGCAAATGACAGGGGTCCAAGAGTCAAGTCACATCCTTATTAAATTTTCAAAAGCCCAGACATTCCAGCCTTCACAATACTCTGTCTCTCGTTCCAGCCGTTCAATGCAGTCCACCTTGGCCTTCTTCTTCTATCCCCAGAATAATCCACACAATTGACATCAGTTCCCTGGCCTCACATTACCAAGGGCAGCTTAATTCCTTTTAGATTGATTAGTGACTTGCATTTTTGTAAGAACAAAGGTAGTCAGATTTCTCTGTGGTAAACTTGGAACAAATAATTTGACCACAGTTTGAGCTATTTGTCATTGGCAGAAAAACATTATATCCACTCAAAGCAGCCTCAATACTAAGAGTTATTATATACAAGGTGTCTTCTATACTACTAAAAACGGTTATTTTTATCTACTTCTTATTTTTTTGAGATAGGGTCTCGCTCTGTTGCCCAGGCTGGAGTGCAGTGGTGCAATCACAGCTCACTGCAGCCTCAAACTCCTGGCCTCAAACAACCCTCCCACCTCAGCCTCCTGGAAAACTGGGACCACAGGCGAGCACCACCACACCCAGCTAATTTTTTATTTATTTATTTATTTTTGTAGATTTTCACTGTGTTGCCCAGGTTGGTCCCGAACTCCTGGGCTCAAGCGATCCTCCTACCTCGGCCTCCCAAAGTGCTGGGATTGCAGGCATGAGCCACTGAGCCTGGCCTGGTTCTTCATTTCTATAGTATGTCCCTGACCTACTAAAAACAACAAAAAAAATTAATTTAAAAAATTAAGTTGGTCAGAGTCTGCAGCGTGCAGCTTAAAATCATCAAGAGAATCCATCCTGGGGTGCAGAGTGTACTATTGGACAGGCAATTAAAAAGAAAAAGGGTGAAAATGACAACCAACAAGATGTAGCACATCTGTGTCTGCGATCATGGTCCTTGGAATAGAAAATGTGCTCCTAGGCCGGGCGCAGTGGCTCCCGCCTGTAATCCCAGCACTTCGGGAGGCCGAGGCGGGCAGATCACGAGATCAGGAGTTCAGATGAGCTTGACCCAACATAGTGAAACCCCACCTCTACTAAAAATACGAAAATTAGCTGGGTGTGGTGATGCGCACCTGTAATCCCAGCTGCTCAGGAGGCTGAGGCAGGAGAATCGCTTGAACCCGAGAGGCGGAGGTTGCAGTGAGCTGAGATCATGTCACTGCACTCCAGCCTGGGAGACAGAGTGAGACTCCGTCTCAAAAAAGAAAGTGTGCTCCTACCAGCAATCAAGCGTCCCAACACCAGTCACAGGGCATTGTGATCTGGAGGGCCTAACAGCACCCACACCAATGTGATACTGCAATTTGGCTTGTAGGACAGCAAAAGCCATCCATGAGTTCTGGTCATTACACCGAGTAATGACCCGTAATTGTCACTGGGTCCCAGCCATGATATATCACAAGGTACTACCTAGGCTCTAAAATCAGATGGCCCAGGCACTTTTGTTTCTTGGCTGTGTGACCTTGGGCAAGTTGCTTCACCTCTCTGTGCCCTAGTTCCTGTGAAATTTCTGTGAAATGGAACCAACAACAACCCCGGCCCATACACTTACTGTGAGAACCGGATGCTGTCATATACAGTGTGTAGCACACAATAAGCACTCAATAAATACTCGTCATTGTTATCCACAGAAGTAGGAATTTTTCCCGCCTTCTGATTCACAAGCCAGAAGGAATCTGTCTGCCAAGCTGGGAGGCAAAGCTGAGTTTCAGTGAGGGCTCCCTCCTTCCACCGCCACCTTCTCGTTGCTGTCTCTCCCTCCAAGTTTGCCTTCTGGAACTCACCCCTGCCATGGTCCGTGGTCCCTGCTCAGGTGTCTCCACTGCATACCTCATCAGTCTGCCAAATAACTGGGTTCTTAGGGCTACAGACACGTGTGTGCATTTTCATAAGGGAATCTGGGGACTCCAAGCCTCATTTTTTGATGTTAGTTTCTTCATTCAGCAACCTGCTTCTGGACAGGCATGGTGGTGCATGTCTGTAATCCCAGCACTTTGAGAGGTTGAGGATTGCTCGAGGCTAGGAGGTCAAGGTCAGGCTGGGTAACAGAGTGAGACCTTGTTGCTACAAACAAAACAAAACCTGTTTCTTAGCCTCTCCACCACATAGGCCCTGGGGATTCAACAGAAGACAGCAGTCAATGACTTTTTAATTTGTATTTATTTATTTATTTTTGAAACAGGGTGTCAGGCCCAAGCTGGAGGGCAATAGTGTAATCATGGCTCACTGCAGCCTCAGCCTCCTCGGCTCAAGCAATCCTCCCACCTCAGCCTCCTGAGGAGCTGAGAGGCACACACCACCACGCCTGGCTAATTTTCAAAAATTGTTTGTAGACACAAGGTCTCAGTATGTTGCCCAGAGTGAGCTCAAACTTCTGAGCTGAGGCGATCCTCCCATACCAGCTTCCTGAAGTTCTAGGATGACAGGCATGAGCCACCGTGCCCAGGCAGTCAATGACCTTCAGTGAAGGACATGTCAGAACTCAGCACCTGGAATCACTATGAGGGCCCCGGAGACATTTACGACACCCTTATAGGGGCCAACTCTCCTTTACTTAGAAAAATTTAAAAAGAGACCAGCCTGGGCAACATAGTGAGACCCTGTCTCTACAAAAGACTTAAAAATTAGCTAGGTGTGGTGTCATGCACTTCCAGTCCCGGCTACTTGGGAGACTGGGGTGGGAGGATTGGTTGAGTCCAGGAGTTTGAGCCTGCAGTGAGCTGTGATCACGCCACTACTGCACTCCAGCCTGGGCAACAGAGTGAGACCCCGCCTAAAAAAAAAAAATAGGTCTATATAGAAAAAATGTCTACACAGAAAATTCCAGCTGGGTGTGGTGCCTCATGCTGTAATCCCAGCACACTGGGGGGCCGAGGCGGGAGGATCACTTGAGCTCAGTTTGAAGACCAGCCTGGTCAACATGGTGAAACCTTGTCTCTACTAAAAATACAAAAATTAACTGGGCGTGGTGGCGGGCACCTGTAATCCCAGTTACTGGGGAGGCTGAGGCAGGAGAATCACATGAACCCGGGAGGCAGAGGTTGCAGTGAGCCAAGATCATGCCACTGCTCTCTAGCCTGGGCAACAGAGTGAGACCGTCTCAAAAAAAAAAAAAAGAAAAGAAAGAAAAGAAAATTCCAAACAATCTACAAAAACCTCCTAGAACTCATAAGTGAATTCAGCAAGGTTACAGGATATGAGATTAATATATATAAATCAATTGTATTTCTATTAATATGTACTAGCAATGAAAATGTGGACTCTAAAATTTGAAACAAAATGCAATGTACAATTTCTTGGAAAAAAAAAAAACACACACGTGAAGACTGGACCCAGTGGCTCACGCCTGTAATCCCAGCACTTTGGGAGGCCAAGGTAGGCGAATCACCTGAGGTTGGGAGTTCAAGACCAGCCTGACCAACATGGAGAAACCCTGTCTCTATTAAAAATACAAAATTAGCCGGGAGTGGTGGCACATGCCTGTAGTCCCAGCTACTCGGGAGGCTGAGGCAGGAGAATCGCTTGAACCTGAGAGGCAGAGGTTGCGGTGAGCCGAGATCGCACCATTGCACTCCAGCCTTTGCAACAAGAACGAAACTCCGTCTCAAAAAATAAATAAATAAATAAAACACGTGAGTGTAAATTTAACAAAACATGTACAGGATTTGTATGTTGAAAATGACAAAACACTGAAATAGAAGAACTCAAACTAGATCCAAATAAACAGGGAGGCATGTTGTGTTCGTGGATTAGAATACTCAACATAGTAAAGATACCAATTCTCCCCAAATTGAGATACAGGTTTAAAGCAATTCCTATCAAAATTCCAGCAAGATGTTTAGTAAATATAGCCAAGATTATTCTAAAACTTACATAGAAAGACAAAGGAACTAAAATAGCTCAAACAGGCTGGGCACAGTGGCTCACGCCTGTAATTCCAGCACTTTGGGAGGCCAAGGTGGGTGGATCACTTGAGGTCAGGAGTTCGAGACTAGCCTGGCCAACATGGTGAAACCCTGTCTCTACTAAAAGTATAAAAATCAGCTGGGCGTGGTGGCGTATGCCTGTAGTCCCAGCTACTCTGGTGGCTGAGGTAGGAGAATCGCTTGAACCCAGGAGGTGGAGGTTGCAGTGAGCCAAGATTGTGCCACCGCACTCCTGCCTGGGCAACAGATTGAGACTTTGTCTCAAAAATAAATAAATAAATAAAATAAAATAGCTCAAACAATTTGGAAAAAGAAAAAGTAGGAGAAATCACTGTACCCAATTTCAAGACTTACTACGTAGCTCTAGTAATGAAGACCATGTGGTATTGGCTGAAAGACAGATACACAGGTGAATGGAATACAGTAGGCAGGAGTAACCTCACACAAGTACAGCCACCTGATTTTTTTTTGAGACACGATCTGGCTGTGTCACCCAGGATGGAATGCAATGGCATGATCTTGGCTCACTGCAACCTCCACCTCCCAGGCTCAAGCCATCCTCCCACCTCAGCCTCCCAAGTAGCTGGGACTATAGGCGCACACCACCATGCCTGGATAATTTTTGTATTTTTTGTGGAGACAGGGTCTCGCTATGTTGCCCACACTGGTCTTGAACTCCTGGGCTCATGCAATCTGCCCACCTCAGCCTTCCAAAGTGCTGGGATTACAGGCGTGTGCTAGGATTACAGACAAACGATTTTTTGACAACAGACTAACAGCCATTCAATGGAGGAAGGATAGTCTTTCAACAAATGGTGCTGGAGCAATTGGATATTTATAGGCCAAAAAAAAGTATAGCAATGTAAGAATAGCCAATAAAATTGAAAAAAAAAAGAAACCTGACAAAAATTAACTTATACAAATATTAACTCAAAATGAATCATAGGGTTGGGTGCAGTGGTTCACTCCTGTAATCCCAGCACTTTGGCAGGCCGAGGTGGGTGGATCACCTGAGGTCAGGAGTTCGAGACCAGCCTGACCAATATGGTGAAACCCCCATCTCTACTAAAAATACAAAAATTAGCCAGGCATGGCGGTGGGTGCCTGTAATCCCAGCTACTCAGGAGGCTGAGACAGGAGAATTGCTTGAACCTGGGAGGTGGAGATTGCAGTGAGCCGAGATCGCACCACTGCACTCCAGCCTGGGTGACAGAGCGAGACTCCATCTCAAAAAAAAAAAAAAAAGAATCATAGATTTAAATGCCAAGTGTGAAAACCATGCTTTTAGAAGGCAACAGGAGAAAATCTTTGGGACTTACAGCTTAGTGAAAAGTTTTTAGATATGACACTTTCTTTCTTTCTTTTTTTTTTTTTTTGAGACAGAGTCTCACTCTCTCGCCCAGGCTGGAGTGCAGTGGTGTGATCTTGGCTCACTGCAAGCTCCGCCTCCTAGGTTCATGCCATTCTCCTGCCTCACCCTCCCAAGTAGCTGGGACTACAGACATCTGCCACCACGCCCAGCTATTTTTTTTTTTTTTGTATGTTTAGTAGAGACGGGGTTTCACCGTGTTAGCCAGGATGCTCTCAGTCTCCTGACCTCGTGATCCGCCCACCTCGGCCTCCCAAAGTGCTGGGATTACAGGCATGAGCCACCGCACCCGGCCAGACATGACACTTTGAAAAGCACAATCCAGCCGGGCATGGTGGCTCACGCCTGTAATCCCAACAGTTCAGGAGGCCAAGGCAGGCAGATTGCTTGAGCTTAGGGGTTTGAGACCAGCCTGGGCAACATGAAGAAACCCTGTCTCTACCAAAAACACAAAAATTAGCCAGTCATGGTGGTGCACATGCCTGTAGTTCCAGCTACTCAGGAGGCTAAGTTGGGAGGATGGCTTGAGCCTGGGAGGCAGAGGTTGCAGCGAGTCGAGATCACACCACTGCACTCCAGCCTGGGAAAAAGAGCCAGAGTCTGTCTCAACAACAACAACAAAAACACATGATCCATAAAAGAAAAAACATCAATAAACTGAACTTCATCAAAATTTAAAACTTATACTCTGTGAAGGACCCAATTAAAAGGATAAAAAAAAAAGCCACAAAGGGAGAAAATAATTGCAAAAATATTTCCAATATTTGCAGGGAGAAATGTGTTGCATATCTGAAAGCTTACTCATTCCTAGAATGTATAAAGAACTCTAAAACTTAGCAGGAAAAAAAAGAATCCAGGGTTGGGCGTGGTGGCTCATGCCTGTAATTCCAGCAATTTGGGAGGCCGAGGCGGGCAGATCACTTGAGGTCAGGAGCTTGAGACAAGCCTGGCCAACATGGTGAAACCCCATCTGTACTAAAAATACAAAACATTAGCCTGGCATGGTGGTGGGCGCCTGTGATCCCAGCTACTCAGGAGGCTGAGGCAGGAGAATCTCTGGAACCTGGGAGGCGGAGATTGCAGTGAGCCCTCAAGGTTGCGCCACTGCACTCCAGCCTGGGAGACAGAACAAGATTCTGTCTCAAAAAAAAAAAAAGTTATGTTCGGCTGGGCATGGTGGGTCATGCCTGTAGTCCCAGCGCTTTAGGAGGCTGGGGTGAGCGGATCCTTTGAGCCCAGGAGTTTGAGACCAGCCTTGGTAACACAGCAAGACCCCATTTCTACAAAGAATACAAAAATTAGCTGGACGTGGTGGCATGAGCCTGCAGTTCCAGCTACTCGGGAGGCTAAGGCAGTAGGATCACTTGAGCCCAGGAGGTGGAGGCCGCAGTGAGCCGTGATCCTGCCACTGCACTGCAGCCTAGGCAACGGAGTGATTTCATTGTCTCAAAACAAACAATCAAAAAAGTTATGTCCCAGCAAAACCACAGACATGAATACTCACAGCAATTTATTCGTAATAACCAAAAACAGGAAACAACCAAGGTGTCCTACAATAAGTAAAAAATTAAACTGGTACGTCCATACCATGGAATACTACTCAACAATAAAAATATGAACAAACAATATGAGCATCAGTTTGGACGCATCTCAAGGGCATTACATTGAGCGATAAAAGCCAATCTCAAAAGATCACATACTATAGGAATTCATTTATGTAACATTTTCAAAATGACAACATTGTAAAGATGGAAAACAGATTAGTGATTGACAAGGGTTGGTATGTTCGTGGGGGAGGAGAGTGGTGTGACTGCAGCAGGGAAGCAGGAGGCTCTCTGGCATTTGAGATCATGGAACAGATCTGTATCATTTTTCAGGAAGTGGGAGACAGTGTCTCACTCTGTTGCCCAGGCTGGTGCAGTGGCACAATCACAGCTGACTGCAGCCTCGACCTCCCGGGCTCAAGTGATCCTCCCACCTCAGCCTCCCGAGTGAGTAGCTGGGAATACAGGCGCGAGCTACCACACCCAGCTAGTTTGTTAAGTTTGTTGTTGTTGTTGTTGTTGAACGGCTGTTGCCCAGGCTGGTCTTGAACTCCTGGCCTCAAGTGATCCGCCCACTTCCGCCTCCCAAAGTGCTGGAATTACAAGCATGAGTCATCGAGCCTGGCCCAGATCTGTATCCTGATTGCGGCGATGATCGCATGGATGGATCTACCTGTGTGATACGATGACACAGAACCACATACACCCTTTATGCCAATGTCGAACTCCTGGTTTTGATATTTTACTACAGTTACATGAGATGTCACCCAGCGGGGAAACTGGGTGGACAGCAGGGGACAAGGGCATCCTGGGGCTCCTCCCCTGGCAGCTTCTACTCTGGGCCCCCATGGAGCTGGCGAGACGCTGAGAGCTGCACTACAGCAGAGGCCCTTCCTTCCTGTCTTTTCCTGACGTCCCATCTGTACTAGAAGTTTCCCCTGTTGTGCAGCTCCCTCACCACGCAGCCCTGAATGAGCTCCCCCACTTCTAACTGCCTCCTAGAAGCCCCAACTTCACAGGGGCTACCTAGGGTTGGCTGGCATTAACTGGGAAAGGCCTCGAGGGAATAAAGATGATTGAACCTCAACAACAAACGAAATGCAGTATTGCTTAAAAGAGAGGTAGAGCTGGGCACAGTGGCTCACGCCTGTAATCCCAGCACTTCGTGAGGCCGAGGTGGGGGGATCACTTGAGGTCAGGAGTTCGAGACCAGCTTGGCCAACATGGTGAAACCTCGTCTGTACTAAAATACAAAAAATTAGCCGGGTGTGGTGGCACACGCCTGTAGTCCCAGCTATTTGGGAGGCTGAGGCAGGAGAATCACTTGAACCTGGGAGGCGGAGGTTGCAGTGAGCCGAGATCGCGCCACTGCACTCCAGCCTGGGTGACAGAGTGAGACTCCGTCTCCAAAAAAAAAAGAGAGAAGACACACACAAGGAAGTGTGTGACAATGGAGGCAGACATGGCAGCAATGCAGCTACCATCTACGGAATACTAAGGATTGCCGGGAGCCACCAGAAGCTGGAAGAGAGGCCTAGAAGGATCCTCCCCTTTTTTTTACTTTTTTTTTTTTTTTTTTTTTTTTTTTTTTTAGACAGAGTCTCACTCTGTTGCCCACACTGGAGTGCAGTGCTGCGATCATAGCTCACTGCAGCCTTCAAGTGAGCTCAAGCAATCCTCCCACCTCCAGCCTCCCGAGTAGCTGGGAGCACAGGTGGGTGCCACCACATATGGCTAATTATTGTTTTTTGTTTGTTTGTTTATTTTTTGAGACACAGTTTCGCTCTTGTCACCCAGGATGGAGTGCAGTGGCACGATCTTGGCTCACTGCAACCTCCGCCTCCCGAGTTCAAGCAATTTTCCTGCCTCAGCCTGGGATTACAGCCGTGCACTACCACGTCCAGCTTTTTTTTTTTTTTTTTTTTGGTATTTTTAGTAGAGACGGTGTTTCACCACGTTACCCAGGCTGGTCTCGAAATCCTGGCCTTAAGCTATCCTCCTGCCTCAGCCTCCCACAGTGCTGGGATTACAGGCGTGAGCCACCACGCCTGGACAACTTCTGTTGCTTTTAAGACCCCGATCTGCAGTCATTGTTACAGCAGCCCTAGGACCCTAATATTGTTTGATTCTGTCTCTTTGGTGGTCTCTGGTAAGTGGAGTCTTTTGCTAAGGACGCCCAGAGAAGACAGTCTCCACCATCCCGGAACTGTGCACACGGCTGGCTCACAGAGAAAATACATCCCAGATTGATTCCATCTGGGAAGTGAAGGATTGTCTTCTACAAAAGGAAACAGGAGACACAACCTCAAGCATGCAACATTTTGCTGTGTGTAAAAAAGGAGCTGGAAAACAAGCAAACAAAAATCCCATTCTGGCGCCGCCACACAAATGCACTGCCCAGGGCACAGTCTCCCCTCGGCGCCCGCCTGCTCATCAGAAGATGGCCAGTCAGCTGGCTGGAAGCTTAGTCACGGCCCTTCTAACCCCTCCACACTGCCAAGTTCAAAGGAGGCTAGAAATGAGACCTACTGGACCTTGGCAGGGAGACACCCTGCCTGAGCAGGTGGGCAGGTGGGTCACAGGGAGAGAGTGCTTTAATTTCTTTTTTTCTTTTTCTTTCTTTTTTTTTTTTTTAAAGACAAAATCTCTTAAACTAAAGAGCTTCTGCACAGCAAAAGAAACTACCATCAGAGTGAACAGGCAACCTACAGAATGGGAGAAAATTTTTGCAACCTACTCATCTGACAAAGGGCTAATATCCAGAATCTACAATGAACTCAAACAAATGTACAAGAAAAAAACAAACAACCCCATGAAAAAGTGTGCAAAGGATATGAACAGACACTTCTCAAAAGAAGACATTTATGCAGCCAAAAAACACATGAAAAAATGCTCACCATCACTGGCCATCAGAGAAATGCAAATCAAAACCACAATGAGATACCATCTCACAACAGTTAGAATGGTGATCATTAAAAAGTCAGGAAACAACAGGTGCTGGAGAGGATGTGGAGAAATAGGAACACTTTTACACTGTTGGTGGGACTGTAAACTAGTTCAACCATTGTGGAAGTCAGTGTGGCGATTCCTCAAGGATCTAGAACTAGAAATACCATTTGACCCAGCCATCCCATTACTGGCTATATACCCAAAGGACTATAAATCATGCTGCTATAAAGACACATGCACACGTATGTTTATAGCTGCACTATTCACCATAGCAAAGACTTGGAAGCAACCTAAATGTCCAACAATGATAGACTGGATTAAGAAAATGTGGCACATATACACCATGGAATACTATGCAGCCATAAAAAATGATGAGTTCATGTCCTTTGTAGGGACATGGATGAAACTGGAAACCATCATTCTCAGCAAACTATCGCAAGGACAAAAAACCAAACACCGCATGTTCTCACTCATAGGTGGGAATTGAACAATGAGAACACATGGACACAGGAAGGGGAACATCACACACCGGGGACTGTTGTGGGGTGCGGGGCGGGAGGAGGGATAGCATTAGGAGATATACCTAATGCTAAATGACGACTTAATGGGTGCAGCACACCAACATGGCACATGTATACATATGTAACAAACCTGCACATTGTGCACATGTACCCTAAAAGTTAAAGTATAATAATAATAAAATGAAAAAAAAAGCTAAAAAATAAAAAAAAGAATCTCCCTCTGTCGCCCAGGCTGGAGTGCAGTGGCACAATTTTGGCTCATTGCAATCTCTGCCTCCCAGTTTCAAGCGATTCTCCTACCTTAGCCTCCTGAGTAGCTGGGTTTACAGGCGTGTGCCACCGCTCCATGCTAATTTTTGTATTTTTTGTAGAGATAGGGTTTCACCATGTTGGCCAGGCTGGTCTCGAACTCCTGACCTCAAGTGATCCGCCCACCTCAGTCTCCCAAAGTGCTGGGATGACAGGCATGAACTTCCATGCCCGGCCTAATGTCTCCTTTTCCTTCCTCCCTTCCTTCCTTCCTCCCTCCCTTCCTTCCTTCCTCTTTTTCCTCCTTCCTTCCTTTCCTTCCTTCCTTTCCCTCCTTCCTTCCTTCCTTTCCCTCCTTCCTTCCTTCTTTCTCTCCTTCCTTCCTTCTTTCTCTCTCTCCTTCCTTCCTTCTTTCCTTCTTCCCTCCCTCCTCCCCTTTTCTTCCTTCTTTCCTTCCTCCCTCCCTTCCTTCCTTCCTTTCTTTTCCTTCCTTCCTTTCTTTCCTTTCTTTCTCTCTTTCCTTCTTTCTCTCCTTCCTTCCTTCTTTCTCTATCTCCTTCCTTCCTTCCTTCCTCCCTCCCTCCCTTTTGCTCTTCCTTCCTTCTTTGACAGGGTCTCACTCTGTTGCCCAGGCTGGAGTGCAGTGGTTCAGTCATAGCTCACTGCAGCCTCCAACTGCTGAGCTCAAGCAATCCTCCCACCTCAGCCTCCTGAGTATCTGGGACTACAGGCATGTGACCCAAAACTTGGCTATTAGATTTTTTTTTTTTTTTGAGATGGAGTCTTGTTCTGTCACCAGGCTGGAGTGCAGTGTCGTGATCTCGGCTCACTGCAACCTCCACTCCTGGGTGCAAGTGATTCTCCTACCTCAGCCTCCTGAGTAGCTGGGACTACAGGTGTGCACCACCACACCCAGCTAATTTTTGTATTTTTAATAGAGACGGGGTTTCACTGCATTAGCCAGTTTGTTCTCAATCTCTTGACCTTGTGATCCACCTGCCTCGGCCTCCCAAAGTGCTGGCATTACAGACATGAGCCACTGCGCCCGGCCTAACAAAATTTTTGTGTAGAGATGGGGGTCTCACTATGTTGTCCAGGCTGGTCTTGAACTCCTGGGTTCCAGTGATTGTCCCACCTCAGTCTCCTAAGTAGCTGGGATTTTTTTTCTTATTTTTTGTACAGACAGGGTCTCGCTATGTTGCCCAGGCTGGTCTCCAACTCCTGGGCTCAAGCAATTCTCCTGCCTCAGCCTCCCAAAGTGCTGGGATTACAGGTGTGCGCCACCGCACCCAGCTGAATGTCCTAATTCCTGAAAAGGCTTTCAGTTCTCTTGGCTTCTCCTGAATGAAGGCAAACTCTTCCAGATGTCTCTCTCTTGTTATTCACTATCCTGCATCATTTTCTCTCCTGGATTTAGGATAAGAAGTGTACTACTGGGGGCTGGGTGCTGTGGCTCACGCCTGTAATCCCAGGACTTTGGGAGGCTGAGGCAGGTGGATCACAAGCTCAGGAGATCGAGACCATCCTGGCTAACGTGGTGAAACGCCATCTCTACTAAAAATACAAAAAATTAGCCAGGCGTGGTGGCGGGCATCTGTAGTCCCAGCTACTCAGGAGGCTGAGGCAGGAGAATGGCATAAACCCGGGAGGCAGAGCTTGCAGTGAGCCGAGATTGCGCCACTGAACTCCAGCCTGGGCGACAGAGTGAGATTCTGTCTCAAAAAAAAAAAAAAAAGTCAGCTACTGGGGCTTGGATTTTGCCTGGCACTTCCATCGATACCCCCATCACCATCACCATCACAATCTTCATCATTTAATAAGTACAGCAATATTACATAACTATTTTTTTTTTTTATAGAGTCTGGTTCTGTCTCCTAGGCTGGAGTGCAGTGGTGTGATCACAGCTCACTGCAGCCTCAACCTCCTGGGCTCAAGCAATCCTCCCACCTTAGCCTCCGGAGTAGCTGGGACTACATGTGCGCACCACCGTGCCCAGTTAATGTTTTTACATATATGTATTTTTTGGAGAGACAGGATCTCACTATGCTGCCCAAGCTGGTCTTGAACTCCTGGGCTCAAGTGATCCTCCTGCCTCAGCCTCCCAAAGTGTTGGGATTATAGGTGTGAGCCACCATGCCAAGCCTTGAATTGCTCACTTTAAAATGGTTAATTTCATGTGAATTTCACCTCAATAAATTAAAAAGGTATGAAACCACACAGCAGAGAAATTCCATGTCTCATTATTTCTAGTGCTATTGGCGCCTAAAAGCCCATTGTCCTTTGCTGGAAGCTCACTGTGTCCACCAGACGTGTTCAGGCCTCAGTAACCATTCCCGGAGCCTCCCGTGGTAACCCTTGCTGGGCAGAGTTTCGGCCTCACTGTCCTCCCCTCCCATTTCAGTGTCATGTCTGACACATCCTGTTAACACTAAAGTTGAAATGGGACAGGATGTCCACAGACTTGAAGGCTCTCCAAGTGGTGACTCGGGGAGGTGGATTCTTGCTGTACCTGCCCCACAGAGGCTGGGACAGCTCCTGGTTGCTTCCAGAAAACCGACAGACAGAACTGCCAGGCCACATACTCAGGTACTCTCTCCAGAGAGCATGACAAGGCAGCTTTCTAATTGCTGGGTGGCCGCCGAGTGCTGTGACCCTCTGAGACACGTCACCCAGCAGGTTCTCCAAGAAGCACCAATTGTCTCACAAGCTGTAGGAGGCCCCAGCAGGACCAACCTGGCCACAAGTGAGGAAGGGGATCTGGGAGCCCTCTTGGCAAGGCCAGAAAGAAACTGAGAGCAAAAAGCAGCCAAAAATGTTCCCAGCAGAGGCACCCAAACAAATCCTTGTATGTGAATACTCACAGCAGCACTGTTCACAATAACCAAAAGGTGGGAACAGGCCGTATGTCCATCCACAGATGGAGAAACAAATGGTAATAAATCCACACAGTGGAATACTACTCGGCCACCAAAAGGAAGGAAGCGGCTGGGTGAGGGGGCTCACACCTGTAATCCCAGCGCTTTGGGAGGCCCAGGTAGGAGAATCACATGACCCCAGGAGTTCAAGACCAGCCTGGACAACATAGCAAGACCGCATTTATAAAAAATAAAATAAAATATAGCCAGGCATAGTGTCACGCACCTGTGGTCCCAGCTACTCAGGGAGCTGAGGTGGGAGAATCACTCGAGCCCAGGAGGTTGAGGTTGGCCAGAGTTGTGATCATGCCACTGCACTCTACCCTAGGTGACAGAGTGAGACCCTGTCTCAAACAAAAAAGAGGGAAGGAAGAGCTGATGCATGAAACAATGTGAATGAATTTCAGAAACATTATCTTTTTTTTTTTTTTTTTTTTTTTAGACGAAGTCTCGCTGTGTTGCCAGGCTGGAGTTCAGTGGCGTGATCTCGGCTTACTGCAACCTCCACCTCCTGGGTTCAAGTGATTCTCCTGCCTCAGCCTCCCGAGTAGCTGGGACCACAGGTGCTGCACCACCAGGCCCAGCTAATTTTTATTTTTAGTAGAGACAGGGTTTTACCATGTTGGTCAGGACGGTCTCAATCCCTTAACTTTGTGATCCACCCACCTCGGCCTCCCAAAGTGCTGGGATTACAGGCGTAAGCCACCGCTCCCGGCCAGCAACATTATCTTCAATAGAGATGGGGTCTTGCTATATTGCCCAGGCTGGTCTCAGACTCCTGACCTCCACTGATCTTCCTGCCTCAGCCTGTGAAAGTGCTGGGATTATGGGAATGAGCCACCATGCCTGGCCCAAAAACATGAGGCTAAGTAGAAGAAGCCAAACACAAAGACCACATATTGTATGATTCCATTTATAGGAAATATCTAGAATAAGTAAATCCATAGAGACAGAAAGCAAATTGATGGTTGCCAGGGGCTGGGGTGGGAGTAGAACGATGAGAAACTGCTTAATGGGAATGAGGTTTCCTTTTCATGATGTTAAAACATTTTGGAACAGCCGGGCACAGTGGCTACAGCCTGCAACCCCAGCACTTTGGGAGGCCAAGGTGAGAGAATCACTTGAGGCCAGGAGTTCGAGAGCAGCCTGGGCAATATAGTGAGATCTTGTCTCTACTAAAAACTTAAATATACAGGCCGGGCGCGGTGGCTCATGCCTGTAATCCCCGCACTTTGGGAGGCCGAGGCGGGTGGATCACAAGGTCAGGAGTTCGAGACCAGCCTGACCAACATGGTGAGACCCCCGTCTCTACTAAATTAGCCGGGCTTGGTGGCACGTGTCTGTAATCTCAGCTACTCAGGAGGCAGAGGCAGAAGAATTGCTTGAATCCAGGAGGCAGTGGTTGCAGTGAGCCGAGATGGCACTATTGCACTCCAGCCTGGGTGACAGAGGGAGACTCCATCTCAAAAAAAAAAATTAAATATACATATATACACGTATATATATTGATACTAGATAGAAGAGGTGGTGGCAGAACAGTGGGAATGCACTAAATGCCACTGAACTGTATATTTTGAAATGGTTATTATTAATGTTTTGCATATATAAAACATACACACACACACACACACACACATATATATATTTTTTGTTTGTTTGCTTTGTTTTTGTTTTTGTTTTTGAGATGGAGTCTCACTCTGTCACCCAGGCTGGAGTGCAGTGGCAAGATCTCCGCTCACTGCAACCTCCGCCTCCCAGGTTCAAGCGATTCTCCCACCTCGGTCTCCCAAGGAGCTGGGATTACAGGCATGTGCCACCACGCCCAGCTAATTTTTGTATTTTTAGTAGAGATGGGGTTTTGCCATGTTGGCCAGTCTGGTCTCAAACTCCTGATCTCAGGTAATGCACCCGCCTAGGCCTCCCAAAGTGCAGGGATTACAGGTGTGAGCCACTGTGCCTGACCCTTTTCTTTTTCTTTTCTTTTTTTTTTTTTTTTGAGACAGGGTCTCACTCTGTCTCCCAGGCTGGAGTGCAATGGCACAATCTTGGCTCACTGAAAACTCTGCCTCCCAGGCTCAAGCGATCCTCCCACTTAAGCCTCCCGAATAGCTGGGACTGCAGACACATGCCACCACTCTGGCCAATTTTTGTATTTTTTTGTAGAGACAGGGTTTCACCATGTTACCCAAGTTGGTCTCGAACTCCTAGGTTCAACTAATTTGCCTGCCTCGACTTCCCAAAGTGCTAGGATTACAGGCATGAGCCACCCACCACACCCAGCCATATATATTTTATGTGACAAAATATATAACATATATATTTTATTGTGATAAAATATGTGTACATTTTACCATTTTAACCACTTGTAAGCGACCAGTTGAGTGGCACTAAGCACATTCACAGTGTTGTGCAACCATCACCACCATCCATCTCCAGAACTTCCTTATCTTCCCAATCTGAAACTCTGCACCCGTCAAACACTCCCCATTCTCCTTCCTCCCAGCCCCCTACAACCACCATACCTTCTATCTCTATGAATTTTACTGCTCTAGGGACCTCATATAACTGGGATCGTATAGCATTAGTCCTTTTGTGACTAAAATGGTTGATATGGTTTGGCTGTGTTCCCACACAAATCTCATCTTTTTTTTTTTTTTTCTTTTTTTGAGATGAATTCTCGCTCTTGTCGCCCAGGCTGGAGGGCAGTGGCATGATCTTGGCTCATGCAACCTCCGCCTCCCGAGTTCAAGCAGTTCTCGCGAGTAGCTGGGATGACAGGAACCTGACACCACACCCACCTAATTTTTGTATTTTTAGTAGAGATGGTGTTTCACCATGTTGGCCAGGTTGGTCTCGAACTCCTGACCTCAGGTGATCCGCCTGCCTCGGCCTCCCAAAGTGCTGGGATTACAGGTGTGAGCCACTGCACTCGGCCCCAAATCTCATCTTGAATTGTAGCTCCCATAATTCCCATGTGTTGTGTGAGAGACCCGGTGGGAGATAACTGAATCATGGGGGTGGTTTCCCCCATGCTGTTCTCATGGTATGTCTCACGAGATCTGATGGTTCTAGAAGGGGAAACCCCTTTCACTTGGCTCTCAGTTTCTCTCTTTGCCTGCTGCTATGTAAGACTTGCCTTTGTTCTTCCCTCACTTTCCACCATGATTGTGAGGCCTCCCCAGCCACATGGAACTGTAAGTCCACTAAACCTCTTTTTCTTTTCTTTTATTTTTTGAGACGGTCTCACTTTTGTCTCCCAGGCTGCAGTGCAGTGGCATGATCTTGGTTCACTGCAACCTCTGCCTCCCGGGTTCAAGCGATTCTCCTGCCTCAGCACCCCGAGTAGCTGCAATTACAAGCGCCTGCCACCATGCCCGGCTAGTTGTTGTATTTTTAGTAGAGACAGGGTTTCACCATGTTGGCCAGGCTGGTCTCGAACTCCTGACCTCAGGTGATCCACCTGCCTCGGCCTCCCAAAGTACTGGGATTACAGAAGTGAACCACCGCACCCAGCCTAAACCTCTTTTTCTTTATAAATTACACAGTCTCGGGTATGTCTTTATCAGCAGCATGAAAACGGACTAATACAATGGTTAATATCATGTTGTGTGAATTTCACCTGTATTTCAAAAATTTTCACAATCCCAGCACTTTTGGAGGCCGAGGCGGGCAGATCATTTCAGGTCAGGAGTTTGAGACCAGCCTGGCCAATATGGTGAAACCCCGTCTCTACTAAAAAACACAAAAATTAGCCGGGCATGGTGGCGGGTGCCTGTAATCTGAGCTACTTGGGAGGCTGAGGCAGGAGAATTGCTCCAATCTGGGAAGCAGAGGTTGCAGTGAGCCGAGATGGCGCGACTGCACTCCAGCCTGAGTGGACAGAGAGAGAGTCCGTCTCAAAAAAACAAAAACAACAACAATATCAGCCTCGTCTTTACCCTATTTTAGCCAAGGACTGAATCTGAGTTGAGGTGACCACAACCCCTTCTGAATCTACTCACCACTGTCATCCCCAGGGACAAGACTGACTTGGCAGGGGATCAGAATCAGTGCGTACGGTGGCAGCTGCAGCCAAGCCCTGTCCTTAGGGGGCCTGTGAGATCCTGGTAGGAGGAAATGCTGTCCAGAGCCTCAGACAACGACTCCATGGGCAGATCTCAAGTTTAAGTGCATAAGAAAAGTGGCTCCACTGTGGTTTCCTCTCTAAGTGTTCAAGAGCAGACAGCTCATTTCTGCTAATGGAAAGGGCTGTATCCGCTTCCCGGATTTTGTGAATGGGGTAAAAACCCATGAGAAAAATCTTCTATGCAGCCCTGCCAATTGCACCCCATCTATTTGTTTTCTGAGCATAACTTCAGGTTAATTATTTATAATGGGGCTACAAATGAAGTGTTAGGAGTAGACAGGCTTCCTCTTCTAATTGCCAGGTTTCTGAGAAGGAGTCTTAGCCTGGAGGGATTTTTGTGATGAGAATGAAAGAAAATGGAAAAAGGTGAAATGTGCTTTGGCCTGCTCCAGAAAACAGCCACAGTACTACCGAGAATTAAAAGGAAAAATTACGGCTGGGCGCAGTGGCTCACACGTGTAATCCTAGCACTTTGGGAGGCCAAAGCGGGCAGATCACGAGGTCAATAGATTGAGACCATCCTGGCCAACATGGTGAAACCCTGTCTCTACTAAAAATACAAAAATTAGCTGGGCATGGTGGCGGGTCCCTGTAGTTCCAGCTACTTGGGAGGCTGAGGCAGGAGAATCACTTGAACCCGGGAGGCAGAGGTTGCAGTGAACCGATATCGCACGCTCCATACTGGCGACAGAGCAAAAACTCCATCTCAAAAAAAAAAAAAAAAAGGAAAAATTAATCTCTAGTAACCAGATTATGGAAAGAGAGGGAAGACCGAGGAAAGATGGTTTCACTGAAAGTCCTCTTGCTACTTGGACTTGGACTTTGTTTTTCATTTGTTTTTTGTTTTGTTTTGTTTTGTTTTGTTTGTGACAGAGTCTCACACTATTGCCCAGGCTGCAGTGCAGTGCAGTGCCACGATCTCGGCTCACTGCAACCTCTGCCTCCCGAGCTCAAGCAATTCTTCTGCCTCAGCCTCCTGAGTAGCTGGGACCACAAGCATGCACCACCACACCTGGCTAATTTTTGTATTTTTAGTAGAGATGGGGTTTCGCCATGCTGGCCAGGCTGGTCTTGAACTCCTGGCCTCAAGTGATCCACCCACCTTGGCCTCCCAAAGTGCAGGGATTACAGGTGTGGCCCACCACGCCCGGCCTGCTACTTGGACTTTATCTGAATCTCCCACAGCCAGAAGTCAAGGGGAGCTGCCCACTAAGTCACCTGCCTGATGCGGAGCGGATGTGTTGCAGATTCTGAAGATGAAACGGCACAAGCCCATCTTCTGGTGGAAATTCCAGAGCCAGGGAAGGGGCTGGGGTGGAAGAGACTTGGCCATGATATCAAACTGAACTTCGGGCAGGGAATGGTGGCTCATGCCTATAATCCCAGCACTTTGGGAGGCTAAGGCAGGTGGATCACTTGAGGCCAGGAGTTCAAGACCAGCCTGGGCAACATAGCAAGACTCCATCTCTACAATAATAAGTTTTAAAAACCTAGCCTGGGCTGGGGGTGGTGGCTCACACCTATAATCCCAGCACTTTGGGGGGCCGAGGCTGGCGGATCACGAGGTCAGGAGATCGAGACCATCCTGGCTAACATGGTGAAACCCCGTCTCTACTAAAAAATACAAAAAATTAGCCAGGCGTTGTGGCAGGCACCTGTAGTCCCAGCTACTCAGCAGGCTGAGGCAGGAGAATGGCATGAACCCGGGAGGCAGTGCTTGTAGGGTGCCAAGATGGCGCCACCGCACTCCAGCCTGGGCAACAGAGCGAGACTCCATCTCAAAAAAACAACAACAAAGAAAACCTAGCCTGATACGGTGGCTCATGCCAGTAGTCCTAGATATTCAGGAGGCCAGGGTGAGAGGATCACTTGAGACCAAGAGTTGGAGGCTGCAGTGAGCTAAGATCACACCACTGCACTCTAGCCTGGGCAACAGAGTGAGACCCTGTCTCAAAAAAAAAAAAAAAAAAAAAAAAAGAAGGCTGGGCGAAGTGGCTCACACCTATAATCCCAGAACTTTGGGAGGTTGAGTTGGGCAGATCACTTGAGGTCAGGAGTTCAAGACCAGCCTGGCCAAGATGGTGAAACCTCATCTCTACTAAAAATACAAAAATTAGCCGGGTGTGGTGGTGGGTACCTGTAATCTCAGCTACTCAGGAGGCTGAGGCAGGAGAATTGCTTGAACTTGGGAGGCGGAGGTTGCAATGAGCTGAGATCGCACCACTGCACTCCAGTGGGTGACTGAGCAAGACTGTCTCAAAAAAAAAAAAAAAAGTTCTATGGAGAGGACATGATTAGTAGCTTAATTTCGATTGCTGGAAGATTTTCCAATCCTGCCATGTAGGTCTGAGATTCTGTGGATTCTGAGGCTCATGTTACTTCCTCACATTGCACTCTGTGCATCTCAGCAAGAATTATTCATTTAGGGGTGAAATTTAATAACACATACATTTATTCTAGACATTGCATTTGCCTGTCCCAGAGGATCAAAACAAAGTGTCTCCTAGAAAACCCAAGACAAGGAGTGAAGATGAGGCTGTGAGTCTCAGGTCAAGAAACACCACAAAAGACTGAAGACACGGAAAGATGATAAAGTGTGATGCCTACCCTCTTCTGATGTTAACCGCCAAACCACCAGCCCCCTGAATGGAGTGGGCACCATAGTGCACAGGAACAAGTTGGTAATGTCGTTTGCAACCAGGCACAGTGGCTGATGCCTGTAATCCCAGCACTTTGGGAGACCAAAGCAGGCGAATCACTTGAGGTCAGGAGTTCGAGACCAGCCTCACCAAGAGTGTGAAACCCCATCTCTACTAAAAATACAAAAATTAGCCAGGTGTGGTGTACACCTACAGTCCCAGCTACTCAGGAGGCTGAGGCAGGAGGATTGCTTGAGCCTGGAAGCTGGAGGCTGCAGTGAGCTATGATGGCCCCACTACACTACACCTGGGCGACAGGGCAAGACCCTGTCTCAATACCAAACAAACAAAAAAGGCCGGGAACAGTGGCTCACGCCTGTAATCCCCGTATTTTGGGAGGACAAGGCAGGTGGGTCACTTGACGTCAGGAGTTCGAGACCAGCCTGTCCAACATGGTGAAACCCTGTCTCTACTAAAAATACAAAAATTAGCAGGAGTGGTGGTGCACACCTGTAATCCCAGCTACTCAGGAGGCTGAGGCGGGAGAATCACATGAACTCAAGAGGCAGAGGTTGCAGTGAGCCGAGATCACACCCCTACACCCCAGCTTTTATTTATTTCATTTTATTTATTTATTTATTTATTTATTTATTTATTTATTTTTGGAGATGGAGTCTCACTCTCTCGCCCAGGCTGGAGTGCAGTGGTGTGATCTTCGCTCACTGCAAGCTCCGCCTCTGGGATTCCCGCCATTCTCCTGCCTCAGCCTCCCAAGTAGCTGGGACTACAGGCGCCCGCCACCAAGCCCGGCTAATTTTTTTGTATTTTTAATAGAGACGGGGTTTCATTGTGTTGGCCAGGATGGTCTCGATCTCCTGACCTCGTGATTCACCCGCCTCGGCCTCCCAAAGTGCTGGGATTACAGGCGTGAGCCACCGCACCTGGCCCCCAGCTTTTATTTTTATTTTATTTTATTTTATTTTGGGACGGAGTCTCACTCTGTCATCCAGGCTCCATCTCAGCTCACTGCAAGCTCCGCCTCCCAGATTCACGCCATTCTCCTGCCTCAGCCTCCCAAGTAGCTGGGACTACAGGTGCCCGCCACCATGCCCAGCTAATTTTTTGTATTTTTAGTAGAGACGGGGTTTCACCGTGTCAGCCAGGATGGTCTCGATCTCCTGACCTCGTGATCCACCAGCCTCGGCCTCCCAAAGTGCTGGGATTACAGGTGTGAGCCACTGCGCCCGGCCATTTTTTAAGAGTGAGAGTCTCTCTATCTTTTTATTTTATTTTATTTTATTTTATTTTAAGTTCTGGGATACGTGTGCAGGATGTGGCAGGTTTGTTACCTAGTTAAACATGCTCTATCTCTTTAAAAAATAAAAAATAAAAGACCGGGCACGGTGGCTCACACCTGTAATCCCAGCACTTTGGGAGGCCAACGTGGGCAGATCACCTGAGGTTAGGAATTCGAGACCAGCCTGACCAAGATGAAGAAACCCTTCTCTACTAAAAATACAAAATTAGTCAGGCATGGTGGCACATGCCTGTAATCCCAGCTACTCAGGAGGCTGAGGCAGAGGAATCGCTTGAACCCGGGATGTGGAGGTTGTGGTGAGCCGAGATTGCACCATTGCATTCCAGCCTGGGCAACAAGAGCGAAACTCCATCTCAAAAAAATAAAATAAATTTTTAAAAACTGGGCCCGATGAGTCACTCCTGTAATCCCAGCACTTGGGAGGTCAAGGTGGGAGAATCACTTGACCCCAGGAGTTCGAGACCAGCCTGGGCAACGTCGTGACACCCTGTCTCTACAAAAAAAAATTAAAATTAGCTGAATGTGGCTAAGCTAATTTTTAAAAAATTAAGATCATAGTTCACTTAGGCTTCCAAATCCCGTCCTCAAGTGTTCCTCTCACCTCAGCCTCCCAAATAGGTAGGCCTACAGGCATGTGCCGCCATATCAGACTAGTGTTTTTTTTTTTTAATTATTAAATGGTGTGCACCTGTAGTGTCAGCTATTTGGGAGGCTGAGGCAGGAGGATGACTTGATCCCAGGAGGTCAAGGCTGCAGTGAGCCCTGATCATGCCAGTGCATGCCAGCCTGGGTAACAGAGTGAGACACTGTCTCCAAAAAAAAAAAAGAGAGAGAGAGAGAGAGATGATCCCCATGAGAGGATGTGGAGGCCTCATATGTTGCTGAAGGGATTGTAAAATGGGGCAGTTGCTATGAAACACGATCTGGCAGTTCCTCAGAAAGTTAAACATAGAATTACCGTACAACCCAGCAATTCCACTCCTAGGTACATACCCAAAAGAGCAGGAAACAGGTGCTCAGACGAACACACATACACACAAGTTTAAAGCAGCATTATTCACAATAGTCAAAAGGTGGAAACTTCGCAAATGTCCATAAATGGACAAACAGATAAACAAACTGAGGTATACAAACCATAGAATATTTCTCAGCCATAGAAAGGAAAGAAGTACTGACACGTGCTACCACGCAGATAAAGCTCGAAAACATTCTGCTGAGTGAAAGAAGCCAGAGGCAGAAAGCTACACATTATACAATTCCACTTATATAAAATATCTATAATAGGGCCAGGTGCGGTGGCTCATGCCTGTAATCCAAGCACTTTGGGAGGCTGAGGTGGGCAGATCACTTGAGGTCAGTGGTTTGAGACCAGCCTAACCAAGATGGTGAAACTCTGTCTCTACTAAAAATACGGAAATTAGCCACGCATGGTGGCACACACCTATAATCCTAGCTACTCTGGAGGCTGAGGCAGGAGAATTGCTTGAACCCCAGAGGCAGAGGTTGCAATGAGCCGAGATTGCGCCACTGCACTCCAGCCTGCGCAACACAGTGAGACTATCTCAAAAGATGTAAAATAACATATAAAATAGGCTGGGCATGGTGGCTCACACCCATAATCCCAGCACTTTGGGAGGCTGAGGCGTGTGGATCACCTGAGATCAGGAGTACGAGACCAGCCTGGCCAACATGGTGAAAACCTGTCTCTACTAAAAATACAAAAAAATTAGCCAGGTGTGGTGGTGGGCACCTATAATCTCCGCTCTTCGGGAGGTTGAGGCAGGAGAATTGTTTGAACCTGGGAAGTGGAGGTTGCAGTGAGCCAAGATCACGCCATTGCACTCCAGCCTGGGTGACAGAGCGAGACTCCATCTCAAAAAAAAAAACCTAACAAAACAAAACAAAACAAAAGAACTACCCAGGCATGGTGGCATATGGCAGTGGTCTCAGCTACTGGGAAGGGTGAGATGAGAGGATCACTTGAGCCTGGGAGGTCAAGGCTGCAGTGAGCTATGATTACATAACTGCACTCCAGCCTGGGCGACAAAGAAGGACCCTCTCTTAAGAAAAAAAAAAAAAAAAGCCAGGCGCGGTGGCTCACGCCTGTAATCCCAGCACTTTGGGAGGCTGAGGCTGGCGGATCATGAGGTCAAGAGATGGAGACCATCCTGGCTAACACACTGAAACCCCGTCTCTACTAAAAAAATTAGCTGGGCGTGGTGGTGGGCGCCTGTAGTCCCAGCTACTCAGGAGGCTGAGGCAGGAGAATGGCATGAACCCCAGGAGGCAGAGCTTGCCGTGAGCCGAGATCGTGCCACTGCACTCCAGCCTGGGCGACAGAGCAAGACTCTGTCTCGAAAAAAAAGAGGCCGGGCACAGTGGTTCACGCCTGCAGTCCCAGCACTTTGGAAGGCTGAGACGGGTGAATCACCTGAGGTCAGGAGTTTGAGACCAGCCTGACCAACATGGTGAAACCCCATCTCTACTAAAAATACAAAATTAGCAGGGTGTGGTGGTGCGTGCCTGTAATCCCAGCTATTTGGGAGGCTGAGGCAGAAAACCCTGTCTCTACTAAAAGTACAAAATTAGCAGGGCATGGTGGTGCATTCCTGTAATTCCAGCTATATGGGAGGCTGAGGAAAAAAAAAGAAAGAAAGAAAAAAAGCAGGATAAAAGAATGTATATATGGGCCAGGTGCTATGGCTCATGCGTGTAAGCCCAATACTTTGGGAGGCCAAGGCAGGAGGATAGCTTGAGCCCAGGAGTTCGAGACCAGCCTGGGCAACAAAGTGAGACCCTGTCTCTACAAAAAATTTTAAAAATTAGCCAGGCATGGTGGTGCACACCTGTGGTCCCAGCTACATACGAAGCTGAGGCAAGAGGATCGCTTGAGCCCAGGAGATTGAGGGCGCAGGGAGCCATGATCGTGCCACCACACTCCAGCCTGGGTGACAGAGTGAGACTCTGTCTCAGGAAAAAAAAAAAGATAATAATACAAGACAATAATAAAAAGAAAAGGGTTACATGTACAATATTTCCAACAAAACAGACCGAAATAATAACATTGGTTACTTTTGGTAAAATGACTTTAATTTTCCTGCCTCTATTTTCCTGAACTTTCTATATATTCTGCTATGTGGACATACATTCTAATAGTCAAAAAAATAAACTTTAGTTTTTAAATGCAGACTGGTTGAACAAAGGAAGAATTGCAGTTTCCACTGTAGCCTTTCTCCATAGTTGAAGGATGCAAGTGAAAAAATAAAACACAATGCTTTCAAATATAGCAACCTCCCTTAGCGATCTTTTCAGAGATGAGAAATTGTTCTCTGAAACAATTTTTTAAAAACAGTATTTACAGTCTGGGCAACATGGCAAAACCCCGTCTCTACTAAAAATACAAATATTAGCCGGGTGCGGTGGCACATGCCTGTAGTCTCAGCTACTCGGGAGGCTGAGGCAGAAGAATGGCTTGAGCCCAGGAGGCAGGGGTTGCAGAGAGCTAAGATCGCACCACTGCACTCCAACCTGGGCAACGGAGTGAGCCCCGTCTCCAAAAAAAAAAAAAAAAAGGAAAAACCGCATTTAAGAAAATATTGAAAATAAAGGTCATGCATGTTTATAGCATCCTGATTTGTCATCGTGTTTTGTTTTAGCCTGCCCTTACTCTCTTTAATTCCGCCATGAATCTGCAAGACATAGCCGGGGTGCAGCTAAAATTTCGCCTTTGCTAATAACTTAGTTTATGAATGTTACAAATATAACTGGTTTGTAAGAGAGAAAGCAGATTCTTGGCAAAAATTGAATGTCTCTTAAGATGGGCTTAATTAAAACAAAACACTCTAAATAAAATATCTCATCAGCACACATGAAAATTTTAGAAGCTGAATATGACAAAGTAGGTTTAAAGACATTAAGAATATTTAAAGCAAACATTCTTCTGTTTAAAGAGTCCCAAAATATGTCCGGGAGTACACAAAACATCAAGACCACAGAACAAAGACTCTGTGCTTGAAATTGTTAAATGCACCTTAAAAAGAACAAGAAATATGACTGTAATCTCGCTGAGATTAGACAAAACCAGGAAGGTGATAAAATAACAGAAGGAAGTACCTTTCAACATAAGAATTTTCAGCTTTATTCAAGAGACCTTAGCTCTAAAAAAAAAATTAAAAAAAAAAGTGACAGTGGCAAGTAGCCACATTCGAGGCAAAACTTAATGGTTAAAAGACAATTTAAGAAGTTATTTCCAGCCAGGCGCAGTGACTCACGCCTGTAATCCCAGCACTTTGGGAGGCCAAGGCGGACGGTTCACCTGAGGTCAGGAGTTCGAAACCACCCTGGCCAACATGGAGAAACCCCTCTCTACTAAAAATACTAAAATTAGGCCGGCATGGTGGCTCACGCCTGTAATCCCAGCACTTTGGGAGGCTGAGGAGGGTGGCATGAGATTGGGAGACCAAGACCATACTGGCTAACACGGTGAAACCCCATCGCTACTAAAAATACAAAAAAAATAGCCAGGCATGGTGGCGGGTGCCTGTAGTCCCAGCTACTCGGGAGGCTGAGGCAGGAGAATGGCTTGAACCAGGGAGGCGGAGCTTACAGTGAGCGGAGATCGCACCACTGCACTCCAGCCTGGGTGACAGAGCGAGACTCTATCTCAAAAAAAAAAAACACAAAAAATACAAAAATACAAAAATTAGCCAGGCATGGTGGTGGGCGCCTATAATCCCAGTTACTCGGGAGGCTGAGGCAGGAGAATCACTTGAACCTGGAAGGTAGAGGTTGCAGTGAGCCAAGATCATGCCACTGCACTCCAGCCTGGGCAATAGAGCCAGACTCCATATCAAAAAAAAAAAAAAAGAAGTTATTTCCAGTTTCCCAGTTAGAAAAGGCTTTCTTTATTTGTTCAGTTTATTATGAAGTTTTACTACATTTTCCAAAGTGATCTTAGCCACATATCATGTAAATAACAAAGAACAAAGTTCTCCCATTTGAATTTCTGAAACAGATGAGATTTATAGGGGCTCCTCTTGGAGTTTCATATTCCAAATGGTCAGTTAAAAACAACCTCTGAAGAGCAACAACCTTTAAAATGTATTTGCCAAAAAGCAAGCATTACATTTTTTTTAAATTTTTTTATTTACTTTTTTTTCTTTTTTTTGAGACGGAGTCTCGCTCTGTCGCCCAGGCTGGAGTGCAATGGTGTGATCTCCACTCACTGCAACCTCCACCTCCCAGGCTAAAGTGATTCTCCTGCCTCTGCCTCCCAAGTAGCTAGGATTACAGGCGCCCGCCACCACACCCAGATAATTTTTGTATTTTTAGTAGAGATGGGCTTTCACTATGTTGCCCAGGCTGGTCTTGAACTCCTGACTTTAGGTGATCCACCCACCTTGGCCTCCCAAAGTGCTGGGATCACAGGCGTGAGCCACAGTGCCCTGCCACATTTTTATTTATTTATTTTTTTAGAGACAGGGTCTCACTCTGTCACTCAGGCTGGAGTGCAGTGGCACTATCACGGCTCACTGCAGCCTCGACCTCCTGGACTCAAATGATCCTCTCATCTCAGCCTCTTGAGTAGCTGGGACTACAGGCACATGCCACCTTGCTTGGCTATTCTTTTTTTTTTTTTTGAAACGGAGTCTTGCTTTGTTGCCCAGGCTGGAGTGCAGTGGCTCGATCTCTGCTCACTGCAACCTCCGGCTCCTGGGCTCAAGCGATTCTCCTGCCTCAGCCTTCCAAGTAGCTGGGATTACAGGTGCCTTCCACCACGCCCAGCTAATTTTTGTATTTTTAGTAGAGCCAGGGTTTTGCTATGTTGGCCAGGCTGGTCTCGAACTCCTGACGTCAGGTGATCTGCCCACCTCAGCCTCCCAAAGTGCTGGGATTACAGGCGTGAGCCACTGTGCCCGGCCTTTTTTTTTTTTTGAGATGGAGTTTTACTCTTGTTGCCCAGGCTGGAGTGCAATGGCGAGATCTCGGTTCACCACAACCTCTGCCTCCCGGGTTCAAGAGATTCTTCTGCCTCAGCCTCTCAAGTAGCCGAGATTATAGGCATGCACCACCACACCCAGCTAATTTTGTATTTTTAGTAGAGATGGGGTTTCTCCATCTTGATCAGGCTAGTCTCGAACTCCAAACCTCAGATGAACCACCCACCTTGGTCTCCCAAAGTGCTGGGATTACAGGTGTGAGCCACTATGCCTGGCCTATTTTTTTTTTTTAAGTAGAGACGAGGTCTCGCTATGCTGTCCAGCCTGGTCTTGAACTTCTGGCCTCAAGCAATCCTCCTATCTCATCCTCCCAAAGTTCTGGGATTACAGGCGTGAGCTAACAAACCTGGCTGCCAAATGTTTAAGTAGCAAATGTTGCAATTAAATATATCATTTTTAATCTTTATATCTGGAATTCTCAGTGCCTGAAAGGGTTCATGTATGATTTTTCCTAGATGGGTAGACTCCAAATATTTACGTTTCCCAAGTAAACATCCTACTTTTCTGTTTCCAAATACATCAAACACTCTTGAGTATTATCACATTCTTTACCCTTTTTTTCCAGGGAGGATCTTGGGGGTGTGCTGGGATAAAGTGAGCTAAAGTATTTCATTACAATGACTTCCATGTCCCTAAATGTTGGTGTTTTTTGTTTTTTGCTTTTTGCTTTTTTTGAGACAGAGTCTTGCTGTCACCCAGGCTGGAGTGCAGTAGCATGATTTCTGCTCACTGTAACCTCCATCTTCTGGGTTCAAGCGATTCTCCTGCCTCAACCTCCTGAGTAGCTGGGATTACAGGCACGTGCCGCTATGCCCAGCTAATTTTTTTTGTTTGTGTGTTTTTTGGAGACGGCATCTCACTCTGTCGCCCAGGCTGGAGTGCAGTGGCACAATCTCAGCTCACTGCTAGCTCCGCCTCCCAGGTTCACGCCATTCTCCTGCCTCAGCCTCCCGAGTAGCTGGGACTACAGGTGCCTGCCACCACGCCCGGCTAATTTTTTGTATTTTTTTAGGTAGAGATGGGGTTTCACCATGTCAGCCAGAATGGTCTCAATCTCCTGACCTTGTGATCCGCCCACCTCGGCCTCCCAAAGTGCTGGGATTACAGGTGTGAGGCACCACTCCTGGCCACCCAGCTAATTTTTGTATTTTTAGTAGAGACAGGGTTTTGCCATGTTGGTGAGGCTGGTCTTGAACTCCTGACCTCAAATGAGACCTGATGGTTTTATAAAGGGGAGTTCCCCTGCACATACCCTCTTGGCCTGCTGCCATGTAAGATGTGCCTTTGCTCCTGCTTCGCCTTCCACCATGATTGTGAGAGCTCCCCAGCCATGTGAAACTGTGAGTCCATTAAACCTTTATTAATTCTTTATAAATTACCCAGTCTCAGGTATGTCTTTATTAGCAGTATAAGAATGAACTAATACACAGGCATATTCACAAGAGCCAAAAGGTGGAACCAGCCCAAGTGTCCATAACGGATGAATGGATTAACAAAATGTGGTCCATCCATACAATGGAATATTATTCAACCTTAACAGGGTAGAAATTCTGACACCTGCTGCAACACGGACAAGCCTGGAAGACAAAGGACAAATACTAGATGCCACTTATGTGAGTCACCTCATACATGCTTTATATGATTCCACTTATATGAGGTCACTAGAGTAGTCAAATTCATAGACAGGGAAAGTAGAATGGTAGATGCCAGGCTCTGGGGGAGGGGGAATGGGGAATGAGGGTTTAATGGGGTCAGAGTTACTGTTTTGCAAGGTGAAAAAATGTTCTCGATGGTGATGATGGTTGCACCATGTGCATGTATTTAATGACACTGAACTGGTTGCTTAAAAAATGGTTACAATGGGAAATTTTACATGATGTATATGATAAAATTTTTTTAAAGACAATAAGGGCTGAGATCTTTTTCCACAGCTCTTATCATATTAAAAAAAAAATTTTTAATGATAATCTGAGCAAGATTACCATTTTAGCCCAGGCAGTCAGAATCCTTTTCATACTTTTATTCACACTCAATTAAAAAGAGGATTTTAAAACCTGCACTTTTTTTTTTTTTTTGAGTCGGAGTCTCACTCTGTCGCCCAGGCTGGAGTGCAGTGGCGCGATTTCCGCTCACTGCAAGCTCCGCCTCCCGGGCTCACACCATTCTCCTGCCTCAGCCTCCCCAGTAGCTGAGACTACAGGCGCCCGCCACCACGCCCGGCTAATTTTTTGTGTTTTTAGTAGAGACGGGGTTTCACCGCGTTAGCCAGGATGGTCTCGATCTCCTGACCTCTTGATCCGCCCACCTCGGCCTCCCAAAGTGCTGGGATTACAGGCATGAGCCACCGCGCCCAGCCAAAACCTGCTCTTTAAAGATAGAATTGTGTTCTAAATCATTGTGCCATTGTGAATAATATTTATGCAAAGAGGATTATGTAATTCATACGCTTCTATTATCCAGAATGAAGGAAGAATATTCTAGATATTCAGGAGCAATGCCTTACATGGCTGAAATATTTATCCCAACTTTTTTATTGTAAATATGTGTAAACTGGGAAATCATACTACTGTGCTAAAACGTTAAAAAACGTTTTGTTTTGTTTTTGTTTTTTTTTAAAGAAGCAAAGATGTAAAGGCAGGGAGGCAGCTACTTGGGAGGCTGGCATGGGAGGATTACCTGAGCCTGGGAAGGTTGAGGCTGCAGTGAGCTGTGTGATCACACCACTGCACTCCAGCCTGGGTACAGAGCAAGACCCCGTCTTTAAAAAAAAAAAAAAAAAGGCAGGGAGGAAGTGGGCCATATGGGCTTCTGGGGAAAAATAGCCCAAAGAAGGTGCTGCAGGGCAAAGCTCTCAGCCCGCAGCTCTCGACTGGGCTTCCAGAAACGCCCAGAGGCTGGTGTGGCCGCAGTCAGAAGGGAGGCAGGAGAGGTCAGAGAACAGGGCATGGAGGAAGCAGGGGCCAGGAGGCATTGTTAGGACTTTGATTTTCAGTCTGAGTCAGAAGGGCAGCCAGGAGCTTTTGTGCAGAACATCAGATCAATTTCAAGAAAGTAGCAGACACAGAGTTCTGTTTTCAGGATTTAAGGTAGCTTGAAACCTGAAGTTGCTTTTCCCTGCTGTTTAATTTACACCAGCAACAGGAGACTCCTAGAATGAAACTAGGGGTTAGGAAGTTACAGGCCATGAAGAAAACTTTAGGAAGTTACAGGCCGTTAAGGAAACACCAGGCGGTGGCTCAGGCCTGTAATCCCAGCACTTTGGGAGGGCAAGGCAGGTGGATCACTTGAGGTCAGGAGTTCAAGACCAGCCTGGGTGACAGAGTGAGACTTTGTCTCAAAAAAAAAAAAAAAAAAAAAGAGAACTTTATGAAAACGTAATAAGTCATTAGTCCACATTGCTAATTTCTCAGTTAAAAGCATGAGCTCTGTTAAACTTGGAAGTTGTCTTGGCTGCTGCTGCTTTTTATTTAATTTTTTTTAAAATAGGGATGGGGTCTTGCTATGTTGCCAGGGCTAGTCTCAAACTCCTGGGCTCAAGCGATCCTCCTGCCTCAGCCTCCCAAAATGCTGGGATTACAGGTTAGAGCCTCTGGGAACCCATACAATAGAATATTAATCAACCTTTAAAAGGAAACTGGGCAAACTGCTCACTGGAATAAAATCTCTTTTCTCCAAATTCCTTTTCAGGAAACTTTTGTTCACATATGCCAGTCACAGAAAAGACAAATACTGTGTGATTCCATTTGTATGAGGTCCCTAGAGTAGTCAAATTCATAGAAACAGAAAGTAGAATGGTGGTTACCAGGAGTCAAGAGGAGAAAGAATGGTGAATTGTTTTTGTTTTTGTATTTTGAGATCGAGTCTCACTCTGTCACCCAGGCTGGAGTGCAGTGGCCCGATCTTGGCTCACTGCAACCTCTGCCTCCTGGGTTCAAGTGGTTCTCCTGCCTCAGCCTCCCGAGTAGCTGGGATTACAGGCACGCACCACCATGCCCGGTGAATTTTTTTGTATTTTAGGTAGAGACGGGGTTTCACCATGTTGGCCAGGCTGGTCTGGAACTCCTGATCTCAGGTAATCTGCCCGCCTTGGCCTCCCAAAGTGCTGGGATTGCAGGCGTGAGCCACCGCGCCTGGCCTGAATCGTTTAATGGATAGAGAGTTCCATTTTGCAACTTATTCAAAATTCTGGAGATTGGTTGCACCACAATGTGAATATACTTAACTCCACCGAACTGTACGCATAAAAATGTTTAAGACAATAAATTTCATGTTATGTATTTTTGCTTACAATTAAAAGAAAATATATGGGAGCAGATATAAATTTCCTCAGGATTTAGAAAATCTATTTCATCAACATTTTTAAAACCTTTCTTCCATTTTAACATACATATATTTTATGATGTTCTTTGGAATTTTATTGAATTATTTTCAATATATCTTTCAATTTGTTATGTCAAAAATAAAGTTCCGACCAGGCGCGGGGTGGCTCACGCCTGTAATCCCAGCACTTTGGGAGGCTGAGGTGGGTGGATCACCTGAGGTCAGGAGTTCAAGATTAGCCTGACCAACATGGTGAAATCGCATCTCTACTAAAAATACAAAAAAGTAGCCAGGCGTGGTGGGAGGCACCTGTAATCCCAGCTACTCGGGAGGCTGAGGCAGGAGAATTGCTAGAACCCGGGAGGTGGAGGTTGCAGTGAGCCGAGATCACATCATTGCACTCCAGCCTGGGCGACAGAGCTAGACTCTGCCTCAAAAATTAATCAATTAAGTAATTAATTAAAGTTCTATCGTGTGATCTGATAAATTTATTTTATTTTATTTAAGACAGAGTCTCTCTCTGTTGCCCAGGCTGGAGTGCAGTGGTGCGATCTCGGCTCATTGCAACCTCTGCCTCCCAGGGTCAAGCCATTCTCCTGCCTCAGCCACCCGAGTAGCTGGGACTACAGGTGTGTGCACCACGCCCAGCCATTTTTTTGTGTTTTTAGTAGAGAGAGAGTTGTTGGCCATGTTGGCCAGGCTGATTTTGAACCCCTGACCTCAAGTGATCCCCCCGCCTCGGTCTCCCAAAGTGCTGGGATTACAGGCGTGAGCCACCGTGCCTGGCCCAATCTGATAAATTTATTAGATAATTCAAGACATCTGTGTACGCCACTGTTTCACAAAGTGTAGTCCATAAACTGGGGTGCCTGAATAGATGCTGGGACCCTAGGAGAATCTGCATCTTTGCAGATTGGGGGATTACACTTGGCCATCTGTACTTCTGTTAAGTTTTTCCAGTGATTTTTATCACCAGTCAAGCTTGAGAGCTACTGATACAGTTTATACAACCGAAGTTAGGGAACGCTCCAAATAAAACAAACATTTTGCATGGTTTGGAATAAAAACACTAGGGAGTCGACGAAAGTGACAATGACCTTATGTAATTTTCTGTTGTTAAAAGAGCACAAAGTCTTCCAAATGTCAAATACAAAATGAATCCTATGAGGATAACAGTCCCCAAGGGGTGATAATTTACAAACGCTAGATCTAGGAACTTCAGTGAACTTAATTTTCATTCGTCTAATTTCATGTGTAACAACTGCTCTGGACATAAAGAAGAAAATGTTGTAAGTTGTCAGGGCATTTCAGTTATCACATCTGCCATTATTCCATCAGTTCCAAGGGCCAATTGGGCTCATTAGTCTGCCAGAAATATCCCATGTCCATGTACAGAGGAATGGTTAAACATTATAGTATGTCTATTCAATGGAATATTACTCAGCCATAAAAAGGGATGAAGCACTGATTCATGCTACAACACTGATGAGCCTCAAACACGTTATGCTAAGTGAAAGAAGCCAGACACAAAAGGCTCACATATTGTATGATTTTATTTATATGAAATATTCAAGGCCAGGCGCGGTGGCTCAAGCCTGTAATCCTAGCACTTTGGGAGGCCGAGGTGGGTGGATCATGAGGTCAGGAGATCGAGACCATCCTGGCTAACACGGTGAAACCCCATCTCTACTAAAAATACAAAAAATTAGCCAGGCGTGGTGGCGGGCACCTGTAGTCCCAGCTACTCGGAAGGCTGAGGCAGGAGAATGGCATGAACCCAGGAGGCGGAGCTTGCAGTCAGCCAAGATTGCGCCACTGCACTCCAGCCTGGGCAACAAAGCGAGACTCCGTCTCAAAAAAAAAAAAAAAAATTCAAAATAAGAAAAGCCATAGAAGCTAGATGCAGTGGCACACACCTGTAGTCCCAGCACTTTGAGAGGCAGGAGGATCTCTTGAGTCTAGGAGGTTGAGGCTGCAGTGAGCTGTGACTGCACCACTTCAGTCCAGCCTGGGGAGCAGTGAGACCTCATCTCAAAAGAAAATAAAAGAAATCCGGCCAGGTGCAGTGGCTCACGCCTGTAATCCCAGCACTTTGGGAGGCTAAGGCAGGCAGATCATGAGATCAGGAGATCGAGACCATCCTGGCTAACACAGTGAAACCCCATCTCTACTAAAAATACAAAAAAATTAGCCGGGCATGTTGGCAGGCACCTGTAGTCCCAGCTACTTGTAGTCCCAGCTACTCGGGAGGCTGAGGCAGGAGAATGGCGTGAACCCGGGAGGCGGAGCTTGCAGTGAGCAGAGATCGCACCACTGCACCCCAGCCTGGGCGACACAGCCAGACTCCGTCTCAAAAAAAAAAAAAAAAAAAAAAAGAAAAGAAATCCATATTCCCTGGCAAGCAGACTCAGAAAAAAAATAAAAATAAAAAGGAAAGAAATCCATAGAAAAATAATATAGATTGGTGGTTGCCAGTTAGGGGTGGGTGAAATGGGGAGCAATTGCTTAATGGGTACAGGTTTCTTTTTGGGGTGATGTTTTGGAACTAGATAGAGGTAGTATTTGCACAAAGTATATTAAATGCCACTGGAATTGTTTACTTTAAAATGGTAAATGTGGCCAGATGTGGTGGCTCACGCCTGCAATCTCAACACTTTGGGGGACTGAGGTTGAAGGATTGCTTGAGCTCAAGAGTTCAAGTCCAGACTGGGCAACAGAGCAAGACCCTGTCTCTCCAAAAAAAAACAAAAAAATAGTAATTACCTGGGCATAATGGCATGAAACTATAGTCCCAGGTACTTGGGAGGCTGAGGCAGAAGGATTGCCTGAGCGCAGTTCAAGTTGCAGTGAGCTATGATCGTACCACTGCACTCCAGTCTGGGTGACAAAGCAAGACCCTGTCTCAAAACAAAACAACACAAAAAAACAAAAAAACACAGGCTGGGTGCAGTGGCTCATGTCTGTAATCCCAGCACTTTGGGAGAATGAGGCAGGAGGATCACTTGAACCCAGGAGGCGAAGGTTTCAGTGAGCCGAGACCTCACCATTTCATTCTAGCCTAGGCAACAGGAGTAAAACCCTGTCTCAAAAAAAAAAAGGCACACAAGCATGTGAGATTAGCAACCACGAGGCTGAAAATTAACTTTGTTTTGTTGTTTTGGGTTTTTTTGTTGTTGTTGTTTTGTTTTTTTGGAATGGAGCCTCGCTCTGTTGCCCAGGCTGGAGTGCAGTGGTGCCATCTCGGCTCACTGCAAGCTCCACCTCCCGGGTTCATGCCCATTCTCCTGCCTCAGCCTCCTGTGGTGGTTTTTTTTTTTTTTTTTTTGGAAGAGATGGGGAGCAGTGGTCTCTGCATGTTGCCCAGGCTGGTCTCGAACTCCTGGCCTCAAGCAATCCTCCTGTCTTGGTCTCCCAAAGTGCTGGGTTCCAGGTCTGAGCCACAGTGCCCAGCAAAAATCAGTATTTAATGTTAATTTTTACCAGGCTGCTAGCTAGAAAAAAAAAGTACTAACCATGGTGCTGAGGGCCCCAGATCACCATAAATGGGCCTACAGAAGATCACTGCATTTTTCCTTTTTTTTGAGACGGAGTCTTGCTCTGTCGCCCAGGCTGGAGTGCAGTGGTGCGATCTCAACTCACTGCAAGCTCCGCCTCCCAGGTTCACGTCATTCTCCTGCCTCAGCCTTCCGAGTAGCTGGGACTACAGGCGCCCGCCACCACACCTGGCTAATTTTTTTTGTATTTTTAGTAGAGACAGGGTTTCACTGTGTTAGCCAGGATGGTCTCAATCTCCTGACCTTGTGATCCACCCGCCTCGGCCTCCCAAAGTGCTGGGATTACAGGCATGAGACACCGCACTGGGCCAATTCTCCTGCCTCAGTCTCCTGGGTAGCTGAGATTACAGGCACATGCCACCACACCCCGACTAATTTTTGTATTTTTAGTAGAGACAGGGTTTTGCCATATTGGCCAGGCTGGTCTTGAACTCCCGACCTCAAGTGATCGTCTCACCTCAGCCTCCCAAAGTGCTAGGATTACAGGTGTGAGCCACCGCACCTGGCCAGATCACTGCATTTATTTGGACAGTAACTTTTAGGCCTGCTATGAGACCTGACAACTACTTAAAATGCCACTTGAGTTATTTTATTTATTTTTAAATTTGTTTATTTATTTATTTATTTATATTTTTGTATTTGTTTTTGAGACAGAGTTTCACTCTGCCACGCAGGCTGGAGTGCAGTGGCGTGATCGCGGCTCACTGCAGCCTTGACTTTCTGGGTTCAAGCCATCCTCCTGCCCCAGCCTCCCAAAGTGCTGGGATCACAGGTGTGAGCCACTGCGCCAGGCCAACGCTATTTTACAAAGAAAGCAGATGAAGGTCAGAAAGGTTAAGTCCCTTGCCAGGGTCATAAGCAAGAAGTGGTGGAGGTGGGATTCAAACCCTGGTCTAGGTCTAAATGATTCCCAAGACCTCCTCCTGAAGCATCACATTGGCTAATGGGGTCTGCGTGTGTAAATAGTTTTCACTGCGGTAAAACACACATAACATAATATTTACCATCTTAACCCCCTTTTCTTTTCTTTCCGTTTTTTTTTTGTTTTTTTTTTTTTTTGGTTTTTTTTTTTTTTTTTTTTTGAGATGGAATTTCACTATGCCGCCCAGGCTGGAGTGCAGTGGTGCGATCTCGGCTCACTACAACCTCCGCCTCCAGGGTTCAAGAGATTCTCCCACCTTAGCCTCCCTAGCAGCTAGGATTACAGGCACGCGCCAACACGCCCAACTAGTTTTCTGTATGTTTAGTACAGATGGGGTTTCACCATGTTGGCCAGGCTGGTCTTGAACTCCTGGCCTCAAGTGATCCGCCCACCTAGGCTTCCCAAAGTGCTGGGATCACAGGCACAAGCCACTGCGCCCGTCCCATCTTAACCCTTTTTAAGTGCACAGTTCAGTGGCATTAAGCACAATGACATTGTTGTGCAGCCACCATCGTCCCCATCCATCTCCAGGACATTTTCATCTTCTCAAACAGAAACTGTGTCCCCGCTAAACACTCGCTCCCCTCTCCCCCTTCTCCTAGCCCCTGGCAGCCATCGTTCTACTTACTGTCTCTCCGGAGCTGTCTCTTCTAGGAACCTCATGTAAGTGGAATCCTACAATATTTGTCCTTTTATGCCTGGCTTATTTCACTGTGCATGTTTGGAAGGGTGGGTTTGTTTTCTAAGTAAAAAAGCAGCTTCATGCGCTTCCCAAAAGGAAATACTCTGTTTGCTTTGAAGACAAAGCCTATAGCAGGGCGTGGTGGCGGGCGCCTGTAGTCCCAGCTACTCGGGAGGCTGAGGCAGGAGAATGGCGTGAACCTGAGAGGCGGAGCTTGCAGTGAGCCGAGACCGCGCCACTGCACTCCAGCCTGGGCGACAGAGCGAGACTCCGTCTCAAAAAAAAAAAAAAAAAGACAAAGCCTAACTCTGGACCTATGGCCGCTGGGGTTGAGGGAGGTTGACACTGCCCCGCTAAAACAGTGGGGACAGCCCTGTGGCCAGATTATTCCCAAAGACACAGAACTGGATCAGACCCACTGAGCGACCAGCAGATGTACAGAGCTGACTCAAAAAGTTAGAGGACTATTTTTTTTTCTTTTTTGAGACGTAGTCTCTCTCCGTCACCAGGCTGGAGGGCAATGGTGCGATCTCAGCTCACTGCAACCTCCGCCTCCGGGGTTCAAGTGATTCTCCTGCCTCAGCCTCCCAAGTAGCTGGGACTACAGGCGCCCGCCACCACACCCGGCTAATTTATGTATTTTAGTAGAGATGGGGTTTCACCATGTTGGCCGGGCTGGTCTCGAACTCCTGACCTCGTGATTTGTCAGCCTCGGCCTCCCAAAGTGCTGGGATTACAGGTGTGAGCCACTGTGCCTGGCCGACTATTTCTTTTTTTTTCCGAGATGGAGTCTCGCTCTGTCACCCAGGTTGGAGTGCAGTGGCACAATCTTGGCTCACTGCAAGCTCTGCCTCCCAGGTTCATGTCATTCTCCCACCTCAGCCTCGCTAGTAGCTGGTACTACAGGCGCCCACCACCACGCCTGGCTAATTTTTTTTTTTTTTGTATCGTTAGTAGAGACGGGGTTTCACCGTGTTAGCCAGGATGGTCTCGATCTCCTGACCTCGTGATATGCCCGCCTCAGCCTCCCAAAGTGCTGGGATTACAGGTGTCAGCCACCGCGCCCGGCCTTGGCCGACTATTTCTTAATGTAACTTAAATTTTGGGCAACACAGTTTTGGCTCAGATATATACTATTTATCATCAATGAATGTAAGTTTTCCAGTTAAAAAAGACAAATTTTGGTTCCGTTAAGGAATTCACTGTTCATAGACATCCATAGAAATCTTCTCTTTTTCTTCCTTTCTTCTCTCACCCTGAGAGGTTCCCTGAACAGAAGCATATCTCCTGTATTTACCAGATTTGAGCTGTTTAACAAGCGGTTACTTTTGCTAATCTTTTGGATTAGTCTTTAGGACTGCCAGAGAAACACGGCCTTAAAAAGGAAATGTTTCTGCCTTAGAACTTCTACTGAGTTGAAAATAGTCATGATCGGTTAAAAAAAATAATGCTGCATAAGCACCGAAACGATTTGTCTCAAAACTGTTCCGGAGGGCTAAAAATAACTTCCAAACAGATAACAAAACCTGGGCAAGGCCCAGTATAAGAAGCCAGACCCAGCCGGGTGTGGCAGCTCACACCTGTAATCCCAGCACTTTGGGAGGCTGAGCCAGGAGGATCTCTTGAGCTCAGGAGTTCGAGACCAGCCTGGGTAACATCATGAAACCCTGTCTCTACAAAAAACACAAAAATTAGCTGGGTGTGGTGCCATGTGCCTGTAATCCCAGCTACTCAAGAGTCTGAGGTAGGAGAACTGCTTGAGCCCAGGAGGCAGAAGTTGCAGTGGGCCAAAATCGACCCTGCCTCAAAAAAATAAATAAAATAAAACAAAATAAGCCAGAGCCAACAGATTCTCAGTTCTTGGCTTAGTTTGCTCTGGAGCCAGGATCAAAGCTGATGCAGAGACTTATTCCTATCGTTGCCAAAGTGCAACAGAGCTTTTTACAGCCTTGGGTAGGAAAGTGCTAAGATGCATGATGTCAACGTCAGGAAGTCTCGCCTGGGCAGTGTTTTCAGTTGCGGGAGGAGGACAATTCTTTTTTTTTGTTGTTTTGTTTTTTGTTTTTTTAGATGGAGTCTCGCTCTGTTGCCAGGCTGGAGTGCAGTGGCATGATCTTGGCTCACTGCACCCTCCACCTCCCAGGTTCAAGCAATTCTCCTGCCTCAGCCTCCTGAGTAGCTGGGATTACAGATGCACACCACCACACCCAGCTAATTTTTGTATTTTTAGTAGAGACGGGGTTTCACTGTGTTGGCCAGGATGGTCTCGATCTCTTGACCTAGTGATCTGCCCACCTCGGCCTCCCAAAGTGCTGGGGTTACCAGCATGAGCCACTGTGCCCGGCCATCAACACACCCACTTAATAGCAAACCCAATTAATGTGGATTTTCCCCATTTGTCATCTTAAGTAACCGGCGTTGTGCCTACACTAGAACTTACAATAAAGCCAGGCGTGGTGGCGCATGCCTGTGGTCCTGGGTACTCGGGAGGCTGAGGCAGGAGGATCCCTTGAGCCTGGGAGGTCGAGGCTTCAGTGAACTGTGATTGCACCACTGCACTCCAGCCTGGGTGCCAGACGACGACCCTGTCTAAAACATAAATGATATTTTATTTATTTTTAATAAATAAAAAATATTTATATGTTTAATAAATAAAATAATGTTTTATATATTAATATATAACATTTTAGACATTAAAATATTTTATTTATTATAAAATATAAATTTATTTTATATAATATATAAAATATAATTATTTTATTGTAAAATTAATAAATAATATTTTATTTATTTTTTAGAGACACGGTCTTGCTCTGCCGCCCAGGCTGGAGTGCAGTGGCGCAATCTCGGCTCACTGCAACCTCCGCCTCCTGGGTTCACGCCATTCTCCTGCCTCAGCCTCCCGAGTAGCTGGGACTACAGGTGCCACCACCATGCCTGGCTAATTTTTTGTATTTTTAGTGGAGACGGGGTTTCACCCTGTTAGCCAGGATGGTCTCCATCTCCTGACCTCGTGATCCGTCCACCTCGGCCTCCCAAAGTGCTGGGATTACAGACATGAGCCGCCACGCCCGGCTAATTTTTATATTTTCCGTGGAGACGGGATCTCGCCATGTTGGAGGGCATCATTATTAATATTCAAGCATGCTTTGTTTATGAAGCAGAAACACCCAAGAGCGTCCAAATCCAGCCAATCTAACCTCTTTCGCTGCATAGTGTGGAAAAGCACGCTGCGCTTCCAAATGGAAGAAAATCGCCTTAAAATGAAGGCGTTGAAGTTCTATTGTGAAGCAGGACGAGGAGTACCCTTCCCAGCTCATCTCCAGGGGACCTCACAGGCCTGGCAGGAAAACAGCCACTTCCTGCCCATGACTGTAAGATGTATTATGTCACTTGGGGAATAAGTTCCAAATCCTATTTTTGGGAAAAGAGGTAACGTTGGAGGCAGTAAGGGGGAGGCCAAGTCCAGCCTGGAGCTGGAAGGAGCCCAGAGACTCCTCAGTAAGCCTGCCGTTCCAGGGAGACAGACGCTTGCAAAACCTGCCTCCATTCCTCGAGCGGTTCCGCTCTCACGTTTTGAGGCCCCCAGTGGCTCTAGAGGGAGAGGGGGCGGTACAGGATGTTCTCATGAATCACCCCTTGTTCGATGAACTGTCCCGTTACCAGAGCCAAGGTCAAGCTTTAAACCTGAGTATGTATTTCCTCTGGAGTGTGCTAAAGGGTAAGTGCACTCTTCTACAAGTCACACGCTCAGGCTGCAGTGTAAGAGAAATTGAAGTTTTTCTTTGTTCTGTTTTTTTGAGACAGGGACTTACTCTGTCACCCAAGCTGGAGTGTAGTGACACGAACGCGGCTCACTACAGCATCAGCTTCGCTGGTTCATGCAGTCCTCCCACCTCAGCTTCCCAAAGTGCTGGGATTACAGGCATGAGCCACCGCGCCCAGCCAAAAGTGAAGTTTTTCTTATCTTTCCTTTTTCTCTTTTTTTGAAACAGTTTCCCTCTTGTTGCCCAGGCTGGAGTGCAATGGAGCGATCTCGGCTCATTGCAACCTCCGCCTCCCGGGTTCAAGCGATTCTCCTGCCTCAGCCTCCCAAGCAGCTGGGATTACAGGCGCCTGCCACCACGCCAGGCTAATTTTTGTATTTTTAGTAGAAAGAGAGTTTCACCATGTTGGCAAGGTTGGTTTCGAACTCCTGACCTCAGGTGATCCACCTGCCTCGGCCTCCCAAAGTGTTGGGACTACAGGCGTGAACCACTGGGCCCAGCCGAAAAAGAAGTTTTTCAAAAGGTTCGAGACAATGAGACATTGAAATCAATTGCTATTGTGCAATAAAGTACTTAAAATGCAAAAGATTAAGCATTTATTTATTTATTTATTTATTTATTTATTTATTTTAGAGACAGGGTCTTGTTCCGTCACCCAGGCTGGAGTGCACTGGTGCAATCATAGCTCACTGCAGCTTTGAACTCCTGGGCTCAAGCAATCCTCCTGCCTCAGCCTCCCATAGTGCTAAGATTACAGGTGTGAGCCACCACCCCTAGTCTACATTTTAAAATATACAAAATAATATAAAATCAAGGCAAAGTGATGCTGCCATTCATGGGAAACCGACTAGGTACCTGGCACTGTGCTGAATTCTTACATCTTTTACTCAACGAGAACTAAGAAATACCTTGTAAACAAGATAAAAATAGGCAAAGACAGTCCCTTTTTGGAGAACAAAAGCTTACAGAAAATCATCGGCAGACTCACAATCTTTTTTTTTCCATCAATTTGAGAAAATAGTGTCCTCTTATATTGATAGGGGGTGGTTAAAAGTAAGACAAAAAAATCACATACTCTGATGTATTAAAGCCAGATCTTTTCCTGAAGAGGCAAAGTTGTCCTGAGTATGTCTACAAGGGCTAAGAGGCTGTCCAATAGAACCTTCTGTGATGAGGGAATTGTACTTTATGCGTACTAATACAGTAGTCACTGGCTGCATATAGCTATTGAGCACTTGAAATGTGACTGGTGTAAGTGGGGAACTGAATTTCAAATTTTATTTATTAAAAATTAGCAGCCAGGCGGCTAGGCGCAGTGGCTCACGCCTGTAATCCCAGCACTTTGGGAGGCCAAGGCGGGCGGATCACGAGATCAGGAGATCGAAACCATCCTGGCTAACACGGTGAAACCCCGTTTCTACTAAAAATACAAAAAAAAAAAAGTTAGCCAGGCATGGTGGCGGGCACCTGTAGTCCCAGCTACTCAGGAGGCTGAGGCAGGAGAATAGTGTGAACCTGGGAGACGGAGCTTGCAGTAAGCCGAGATCGCACCACTGCACTCCAGCCTGGGCAACAGAGTGAGACTACATCTCAAAAAAAAAAAAAATAAATAAATAAATAAATAAATTAGCAGCCAGGCACAATGGCTCACGCCTGATCCCAGCACTTTGGGAGGCTGAGGAAGGTGGCTCATTTGAGGTCAGGAGTTCGAGACCAGCCAGGCCAACATGGTGGAAACCCACGTCTCTACTAAAAATACAAAAATTAGCCGGGCATGGTGGTGCGTGCCTATAATCCCAGCTACTTGGAACGCTGAGGCAGGAGAATCGCCTGAACCCAGGAGGTGGAAGTTGCAGTGAGCCAAGATCGCACCACTGCACACCAGCCTGGGTGACAGAGTAAGACTCCATCTCAAAAAAGTAAATAAATAAATAAATAAATAAATAATAATGATAATAATAATAATGAAAGACAGTGGTGCCAGGCACGGTGGCCCATGCCTGTAATCCCAGAACTTTGGGAGGCTGAGGCAGGCGGATCATGAGATCAGGAGATCGAGACCATCCTGCCCAACATGGTGAAACCCCATGTCTACTAAAAATACAAAAATTAGCCGAGTGCGGTGGTGCACGTCTGTAGTCCCAGCTACTCAGGAGGCTGAGGCAGGAGAATCACTTAAACCCAGGAGGCGGAGGTTGCAGCAAGCCAAGATCGCACCACTGCACTCCAGCCTGGGTGACAAGAGGAAAAACTCTGTCTCAAAAAATAATAACAATAATAAATAAAAGACAGTAAGCTGAGTGTGATGGTTCATGCCTGTAATCTCAGCACTTTGGGAAGCCGAGGTGAGAGGATCACTTGAGGCCAACCAAGAGGTTGAGACCAGCCTGGGCAACATGGTGAGACACTCCCATCTCTGCCAAAAACATTAAAAATTAGCCAGGCATGGTGGCAAAAGCCTGTAGTTCCAGCCACTCAGGAGGCTGAGGCAGGAGGATCACTTGAGCCCAGGAGTTTGAGGCTGCAATGAGCAATGTTGGTGCCACTGCACTCCAACCTGGGTGACAGAGTGAGACCCTGTCTCAAAAAACAAACAAGCAACTCCCAGCTCTGCCAGTTCTGAGCAGTGACCTCACCTCCATGTCTTCAGCAGGAAAATGAAAACGACTGCTTTTCAGGACTGTTCTGAAGATGAGATAATATTACACCCAGCAGCTTCACCACCTGTTCACACCTAGAGGTGGGAGCTCAATGAATAGCTGCTATTAGCTGTTAAGATCATCAGTTGCCTGACTGCAGATGAAATATTCTTAGGAATTATGCCACTATTGTCAGTTTATCTCTTAATAACATATATTAGAAGAATAGTGAATATGGGAGAGAACTATGTGCATAAAGATATGAGCTTTTATAACAGAAAGATATGATTTTATAATATACTTATACCTGGCCAGACGCAGTGGCTCATGCCTGTAATCCCAGCTCTTTGGGAGGCCGAGGCCGGAGGATCACCTGAGGTCAGCAGTTCAAGACCAGTCTGTTCCAACATGGTGAAACCCCCATCTCTACTAAAAATACAAAAATTAGCCAGGCACGGTGGCTCACGCCTGTTATCCCAGCACTTTGTGAGGCCGAGGCAGGCAGATCACGAGGTCAAGAGATCGAGACCATCCTGCACATGGTGAATCCCCGTCTCTACTAAAAATAACAAAAAATTAGCTGGGTGCGGTGGTGGGCGCCTGTAATCCCAGCCACTCGGGAGGCTTAGGCAGGAGAAAGGCGTGAACCTGGGAGGCGGAGGTTGTGGTGAGCCGGATCTCGCCACTGCACCCCAGCCTGGGCAACAGAGCGAGACTCCATCTCAAAAAAATTAAATAAATAAAAGAAAAGAAAGAGCAATCATTTATTGATGTTATAGAATAATACAATAGCAGTTCTCAATCTTTTTTAGTAGATTCCAACATTTTAAGCATGTTTCACTACAAGCCACAAAAGAAATTTAAAGTTGTGATTTCTATAGTAAAAAATTGACTTTTTTTTTTTCTTGAGATAGGGTCTCGCTCTCCCTTGCAGGATGGAGGGCAGTGGCATGATCACGGCTCATTGCAGCCTCAGCCTCCCAGGTTCAAGCAATCCTCTCACCTTGGCCTCCCAAGGTGTTGGGATTACCAGCATGAGCCACCATGCTCAGCCATAATGGACTTGTTCTGTGTCACAGATTTCCCTGTAAGGGCATCTAAGAGGCTCTCATGCAAAGGAACAGGCTGAGGAGGAACGCACTGTGGGCCCGCAAATCAGCACAGGTCCTCCCTGCCCCTGCCCCATCCACCTGAAAGGGCCCAGAAAAGCTCCCAACATTGGGAGCCTGTGAACATCCTTGGCAGAAGTGAAAATTCTGACCAGCCCACTCTGAAGAAAACTACTGCTCTTTTAAATTTTTATCTTATTTTATATCATTTTATTTATTTTTTTGGTAGACATGGGGTCTCACTGTGTTGCCCAGGCTGATCTGGAATGCCTGGCCTCAAGTAGTCCTCCCACCTTGTCCTCCCAAAGTGTTGGGATTACAGGCGTGAGCCACCACACCTGGCCCTAAAACTACTGTTCGTGTTGGTGCAGTGTGAAAATGTGGTTTCTTACTGAAAGCCATGCACCAAAATAAAAAATAAACACAAAAATACATTTTACTTTTCTATCACATTTATCTTCTTTCTTTAAGCACCACCTATGGGTATTGAATTAAAGAGCTGCAGCTGGGCCGGGTGCAGTGGCTCATGCCTGAAATCCCAGCACTTTGGGAGGCCGAGTCAGGCGGATCACTTGAGGTCAAGAGTTCGAGACCAGCCTGGCCAACATGGTGAAACCCCATCTCTACTAAAAATTAGCCAGGCGTGGTGGTGGGCACCTGTAATCCCAGCTACTCGGGAGGCTGAGGCAGGAGAATTTTGCTTGAACCTGGGAGGCAGAGGTTGCAGTGAGCCGAGATCGTGCCATTGCACTTCAGCCTGGGCAACAAGAGTGAAGCTCCGTCTCAAAATAAATTAAGTGAACAAATAAATAAAGAGCTGCAGCTGGGTTGGGTACAGTTGTTCACACTTGTAATCCCAGCACTTTGGGATGCCAAGGTGGAAGGATTGCTTGAGCCTGTTATTTGGGGACCAGTCTGGACAACATAGTGAGAACTTATCTCTACAAAAAAATTTTAAATTTAAAAAAGGAAATAGTTACGATCTTGTTGTAAGGTTTGATACATTACACACACTTGCGTTAACAACCCATACTAAACTAAGTCTGACGTTTTTATGTTAATTTTTGCTTAAGAATTTGGCTAAACAAAATAACCATAAAAACATCCCAAAACAGCACACTCCCTAGGTGAACACATGGCTCCCTCTTGTGGTCAACGCGAACCTCACGGGCACAGCCCCGGGGCTTTCTTCCCAACCTCATCCACTCCTCCCAAATTATTATGCAGCCACATAAATTACCATGAGATTCACAAAACAGTCTATCCGGCATCAGCGTTCCATCCAGTGCAGCCTGCTTCAGTCTTTCACCTTCAGAGGGAGGTGAGACTTTCGCATTCTAGCTTAAAATTTGCCCAGAATAAAGGTCACTTAAACTAAGTGATTACTTGGCATCCTCCAATGACACATGACCTCATCTGCCAACTTAAACACAATATATATAAATATATATGCCCGTATCACTTCAAAAATAAGCATTATTAGGCCGGGCACAGTGGCTCACACCTGTAATCCCAGCACTTTGGGAGGCCGAGGCGGGCGGATCACTTGATGTCAGGAGTTCAAGACCAACCTGGCCAACATGGTGAAACCCCATCTCTATTAAAAATATGAAAAAATTAGCCAGGTGTGGTGGCACATGCCTGTCATCCCAGCTACTCAGGAGGCTGAGGCAGGAGAATCTCTTGAACCCAGGAGGCAGAGGTTGCAGTGAGCTGAGATTATGCCACTGCACTCCAGCTTGGGCGACAAGAGTGAAACTCTGTCTCATAAATAAATAAATGAATAAGTTAGTTAATTATAATTAAGAGATGGGGGTCTCCCTATGTTCCTCTGGCTGGTCTGGAACTCCTAGCCTCAAGTGATCCTCCTGCCTCAGCCTCCCAAAATGCTGGGACTACAGGCATGGGCCACCCTCCCCAGCCAGGAGAAGCTGATTTTAATGGAAATTCCAAATGCTTAAACATTTTTAAATTCACGTATTTGCCAAACCTTGCTTTTACACCGTGCAGTAGGAAACCATGAACATTTGTTTAACAATGAATCTGCCTGTGACTTAACCTACTCCTCCCACTTTCCCAAAGGCATCACAACACAAAGCTAAAAAGCACTGTTCTCCTACGGCCGCATTCTCAATTTCCAGATGAATTAAGACACGGAACAAAGCACCTGCATTTAAAATCAACCAAACTCCCCTCTTTTCTCAGCTCACCCTCACATAATAGGTTTTCCTGAACAAGCATGAGTCATAAGTCTTGGAATATGGGAGTGTGAAAAGAAATACTGCTTTCTGGCTGGGTGTGGTGGCTGACACCTGTAATCCCAGCACTTTGGGAGGCTGAGGCAGGCAGATTGCTTGAGCTCAGGAGTTGGAGACCAGACTGGGCAACACAGTGAGACCCCGTTCCTACAAAAAATTAAAAAATTACCCGGGTGTGGCAGTGTATATCTGTAGTACCAGCTACTCAGGAGGCTGAGGTAGGGGGATCACTTGAACCCAGGAGGTGGAGGCTGCAGTGAGCTATGATTGCACCACTGCACTCCAACCTGGGCAATGGAGCAAGACCCTTTCTGAAAAACAGAAACAGGGCCGGGTGCGGTGACTTGTGCCTGAAATCCCAGCACTTTGGGAGGCTGAGGCGAGCAGATCACGAGGTCAGGAATTCAAGACCAGCCTGACCAACATGGTGAAAACCTGTCTCTACTAAAAATACAAAAATTAGCTGTGCACGGTGGCGGGCGCCTGTAATCCCAGATACTCAGGAGGCTGAGGCAGGAAAATCACTTGAACCCAGGATGCAGGGGTTGCAGTGAGCTGGGATTGTGCCATGCACTCCAGCCTGGGCGACAGAGCGAGACTCTGCCTCAGAAAAACAACAACAACAACAAAAACAGAGCCTACTTAGTAATCTTCCAATTACTGATCTTTTTTTTCTTAGAGCATAATCAGAACTCTTTGTGGGGTTTTTGGGGGTGTTTTTGACATAGGATCTCTTCCTGTCACCCAGGCAGGAGTGTAGTGGGGGCAATCACAGTTCACCGCGGCCTCAATCTCCCAGGCCCAAGTGATCCTTCCTCAGTCTCCTGAGTAGCTGGAACTACAGATGCGCGCCACCACATCCAGCTAATTTTTTGTATTTTTGTAGAGATGGTCTTGCTATGTTGCCCAGGCTGGCCTAGAACTCCTGAGCTCAAGTAATCCACCTGCCTCTGCCTCCCAAAGTGCTGGGATTCCAGGTGTGAGCCAGTTATGCACCACCCAGAATCAGAACTCTTAGGAGGCAAACAAGGAAAAACAAAACAGGTTGAATCCACTGCCTTAAAAACAACTAAAAGCAAGCCAGGCAGAGTGGCACTCATGCCTGTAATCCCAGCACTTTAGGAGGCTGAGGCAGCAGGAACCCGGGCAACATATCAAGACCCCCATCTCGATATAAAAATAGTATATATATATACATCCGAGTGAGGTGGCTCACACCTCTAATCCCAGCACTTTGGGTGGCCAAGGCAGATGGATCACTTGATGTCAGGAATTCAAGACCAGCCTGGTTAATATGGCGAAACCCCGTCTCTACTAAAAATACAAAAATTAACTGGGCATGGTGGGGCGCCTGTAATCCCAGCTACTCAAGAGGCTGAGGCACGAGAATTCCTTGAACCCGAGAGGCGGAGGTTGCGGTGAGCCGAGATTGTGCCACTGCACTCCAGCCTGGGTGACAGAGCGAGACCCTGTCTAAAATAAAATAAACAAAACAAAATGCAATAAAAATAAGAAAGCATCACACTCAAGGACTTCTCAGACACAACAGGCCACCTGGAACATGCCCCCCCAACTCAACCAAAACACTTTGTTAAAAGTCTTGATATACCTTGATAAAGCAAGACTACTGATTGCAGAAAAAAAATTATCCTACGAAGTTTACCATTCCTAAGCAAGCACCTTTGAAAATCTATTCCAAATGTTTCTCATACAGACTACAGCTCTCAATGAATGGTTTGTAGGGCTTAAAGGGCAAATGAAAGTAGTCAGATTTTTTTTTTTTTTTTTTTTGAGACAGAGTCTTGCTCTATTGCCCAGGCTAGAGTGCAATGGCACGATCTCGGCTCACTGCAACCTCCGCCTTCTGAGTTCAAGCGATTCTCCTGCCTCAGCCTCCTGAGTGGCTGGAATTACAAGCGTGCACCACCACACCTGGCTAATTTTGCATTTTTAGTAGAGACGGGGTTTCACTGGTCTCAAACTCCTGACTTCAGGTGATCCACCCACCTCGGCCTCCCAAAGTGCTGGGGTTACAGGCATGCACCACTGCGCCCAGCCGTCAGATGTTTTTTTAAATTTATCTGATTAATGATGGTTTTTAATTTTTTATTATTTTTTATTTTCCTGAGACTGAGTCTCTGTCACCCAGGCTGGAGTGCAGTGGTGTGATCATAGTTCACTGCAGCCTCAAGCTCCTGGGCTCAAGCGATCCTCCTGCCTCAGCTGTCTGTGTAGCTGGGATGATTGGCATGCGCCACCATGCCCAGCTAATTTTTTAATTTTTTGTAGAAATGGGGTTCTTGCTATGTTGTCCAGGCTGGTCTCCAACTCCTGGACTCAAGCAATCCTCCTGCCTAGGCCTCCCAAAGTCCTGGGATTACAGGCATGAGCCACCAAGCCCAGCCATCAAGTTTCAATAAACATAAAATGTTTGGAGAAAAGAGAGAGAACATGCTGGAAACAAAGGAGAGCCAAGTAGGAGCAGCCATTAAACTCATTTAATAAGAATCAAATCTTAGGCTTCTCCTTTTGAGTTTTTATGTTGAATATATTATCCACTGAACAGGGTGTGTTTCAAAACTTCTACCACTCACTGGCAGTTTCCATCTCTGAGTTCATACATACTGTTCAGGTAAATGTATTAAAATTTTTTTCAGCCAGGCACGGTGGCTAACGCCTGTAATCCCAGCATTTTGGGAGCCCGAGGTGGGCGGATCATGAGGTCAAGAGATCAAGACCATCCTGGCCAACATGGTGAAACCCCGTCTCTACTAAAAATACAAAAATTAGCTGGGAGTGATGGCATACGCCTGTAATCCCAGCTACTTGGGAGGCTGAGGCAGGATAATTGCTTGAACCCAAAAGGCAGAGGCTGCGGTGAGCCAAGATCACGCCACGTGTGCACTCCAGCCTGGGCAACAGAGCAAGAAGATTCCGTCTCAAAAAAAAAAAAAAAGAAAAGAAAGAAAAAAATGCATGTAAAGTGCAGGATTTGTTTTGTTTTGTTTTTGAGACAGAGTTTTGCTCTTGTTGCCCAGGCTGGAGAGCAATGGCACAATCTCGGCTCACTGCAACCTTTGCCTCCCGGGTTCGAGTGATTCTCTTGCCTCAGCCTCCCAAGTAGCTGGGATTATAGGCATCCACCACCACGCCCCGGCTAATTTTTGTATTTTTATTACAGACAGGGTGTCGCCACGTTGGTCAGGCTTGTCTCAAACTCCCGACCTCAGATGATCCACCCACCTCAGCCTCCCAAAGTGCTGGGACTACAGGCGTGAGCCACAACCCCCGGCATGCACACCATATTTTAATGTCACAATATGAAAGCATGTCAGCCTGGGCGTGGTGGCTCATGCCTGTAATCTTAGCACTTTGGGAGCTGAGGCAGGAGGATTGCTTGAGGCCAGGAGTCAAGACCAGCCTAAGCAACATAGTGAGACCTTGTCTCTACAAAAAAAAAAAAAAAAAAAAAAAAAAAAAAAAACTGTAAAAATTTATTAATATATCACTGGATGCTTAATAGGGAATTCTGTACTTTTTGCAATTGGTTGAACATTTGTATACTTGCAACCTACAAAACAAAGGAAATAAAACAGTTGGTGGGGCATGGAAAGTTCAACCCCAAAGGAGTAAACTTCGTTTTTTAAAAAAAGGAAGGCCAGGCGCGGTGGCTTATGCCTGTAATCCCAGCACTTTTGGGAGGCCAAGGTGGGCAGATCACCTGAGGTAGAGAGTTCGAGACCAGCCTGGTCAACGTGGAGAAACCCCGTCTCTACTAAAAATACAAAATTAGCCAGGCATGGTGCTGTATGCCTGTAATTCCACCTATTCGGGAGGCTGAGACAGGGGAATCGCTTGAACCCGGGAGGCAGAGGTTGCAGTGAGCCGAGATCGCATCATTGCACTCCAGCCTGGGTAACAAGAGCAAAACTCCATCTCAAAAAAAAAAAAAAAGGCCAGGAGCGGTGGCTCACGCCTGTAATCCCAGCACTTTGGGAGGCTGATGCGGGCAGATCACGAGGTCAGGAGATTGAGACCATCCTGGCTAACACGGTGAAACCCCATCTTTACTAAAAATACAAAAAAAAAAAAAAATAGCCGGGCATGGTGGCGGGTGCCTGTAGTCCCAGCTACTCGAGAGGCTGAGGCAAAACGGCGTGAACCCGGGAGGCCGAGCTTGCAATGAGCGGAGACCGCGCCACTGCACTCCAGCCTGAGCAACAGAGCGAGACTCTGTCTCAAAAAAAAAAAAAAAAAAAAAAGAGAGAAGTAAAAGGAGTGCTTGGCAAGAAAACAGTCTCTATTTTAAAACACTTAAAACTGTCTTCATCTCATTTTGCAATCACAGTGACACCAAAAGGGCATGGCTGTTCAGCAGGGTTTTAAATGCGCCACCAAGGCAGTGTCACTTAGATTAGATGGAGATGGATTGCCTTGTAAGGACTTTTTCTTTGGGACTCTGAGCACCAACCGAAAGGATCACAAGGCAGGACTTCATTGTTTCTTGGGAGCAGAGAGTTGAGTTCAGGTCTAGCCTTATATTGTTTTTCAAGCTCTGCTTCTCATCTTGTGCATCGGCAACCTACCTCGATGTTTAAAAAAAAAAAAGGCTGGGCGCGGTGGCTCACGCCTGTAATCCTACCACTTTGGGAGGCCGAGGCAGGCGGATCACCTGAGGTCAAGAGTTCGAGACCAGCCTGACCAACATGGAGAAACCCCGTCTCTACTAAAAATACAAAATTAGCCGGGCGTGGAGGCGCATGCCTGTAATCCCAGTTACTCGGGAGGCTGAGGCAGGAGAATTACTTGAACCCCGGAGGTGGAGGTTGCAGTGAGCTGAGATCAGGCCATTCCACTCCAGCCTGGGCAACAAGAGTGAAACCCCGTCTCAAAAAAAAAAAAAAAAAAAAAAAAAATTAGCTGTCCACAGTGGCATGCAACTGTTGTCCTGGCAACTTAGGAGGCTGAGGTGGGAGGATTGCTAGAGCCCAGGAGTTCAAGTTTATAGTAAGCTATGATCACTCCACTGCACTCCAGCCTGAGCGACAGAGCAAGACCCTGTCTCAAATAATAAAAACTATCAGGACGACGACGGCATTAATAAAAACACAAGAAGAACCAAGACCACACATATAAAATAAGACATATTTATTAAGCTAAAGAACAAATTTTATTTTTCATTTTCCCCAAACACTAAAATAGCACATGGCATAGTAATTCAGCACACAGCATAAACTGATATATGCAATCGATAATCCCGAAAATGTTTAAGTTTCACTTTGGGAGTCTTTAAAAACTTATGTCCTTAAATGACCTTTATTAAAGTTATCAACAGACGACAACAGGAGTCACCTTGAAAAATTTTAGGGTACAGGATACTGCAATTCTTAGAATCTGGGAAACTTTTTATGTGGGAAATAACTCGATTTGCTTCTCTGTAACTGAGCTACTTTTTTCTCGAGCTCATTTTTGTTTAAGGTAACACTGCTAGGGTTCTGAGTTTGAGAAGGGATCTTCTAAAGGTAAACTTAATATTGCAACTTTCACCACAGGGCCTCTGTCTAAATTGCATTTCAAGTGGAAGGAAAGGGGTATGAGAAGTGAAATCGAATTTTGCTGCAGACCAAAATCATTCTACAAAATGTAGACATGGTAACAGCTTACCACGAATTCAGCAAGATTTAACGCCAAGTACAGTGGTGTAGACTTTACAAGTATCCACTTCCATTGGGTGATCAGACAAGTCAAAAGGACACACAGGATTTGGGACAGTAGCCCTTTAGAATGGATGTTGAAGACAGAACTTCATGGTAAATCCGTATGTTCTAATCTGGTATTTATACAGGCTATGATCGTCTCCTGAAATGTTTCCCAATTCTTTATATGTCTTTTAAAGCACAATTTAACACATGCCAAAAAAGTTCCTTCCGCATCAACTGGCTTTGAATTTAAACTCAATTTACTTTAAGTCTGCCAGGTCGTACAAAACTACAGCAGGAACCTAAGGGCTGCACAGTTTGCATCCAGACTTAATGCGAAAGAAATCATTCTAAGACAACTCTTAAAATTAATCTATTGGTATTGTTCTGCTTGTACCTTAACTATGGCATAATGTATTTGCTAATTCAAAAGGTTGCAGAGCCAGTAACCCCAGTGTTATCTGCAGACCATCTGAGGTGCTTTTAAGCATTTTCTTGAATTCTATTGTTTGCTTTGAAAACATGGGCTTTAAACGGTCAAGGAAAATGCGTTTTGTCTCCTCACTCAGGAGCACTTCGGGATACACGTGCAGCGTTGCAGACAGGATGGAGTGCAGGCAAGCGGGTTCCAACTCAGAGCCCAGACCCTTGGGAAAAGCACTTGGTGGGTCATCCTGAAAACTTCCCATTTCCGGCACTTTTTGATGGCGTGGCAGTCGTGACACCCGAGGCTCTCCTTTGGGGCACTGTCCTCTGTGGCCGTCAGTGGCCCTGGGCCCTCCTCCCAGCCAGTCTCGCCGCCCCAGAGCTTCAACACCACTGCAGGACACCCGAGCAAAACACTCTGTTGGAGCAGGGAACAAACCCACGGCTGTGCTCGGAGTGGCTGCTGAGGCTGGATTTCTTCTTACTGATTCTCTCACATATGGAAGCACTGGGCCGCCACTGTGAAGCCAGAGGCCAGCCCCGCTCGGATCCTTTCTCATTTCCAGTGATAATGCCTCACTTTGTGAATTTCCATCAACCACAGGCTTATTCATCCAGGAGGGTGCATCTGCAGGCCAAGGGCCCTCCGGCATTCTTTTCTTAAGGCTGCATGATAGTTTGTCCGAGTCACCTCCTCCGGCCTGCTGCACTTGTGCCAGGCAGGTGCCGAGGGGCCCTCTTCTGTCCCTCATGCTTCGTGTTCTTGGATGCGGTGGGCCTGAGGTCACGCCTTCGTCAGTCTGGGAGGGCCTTCAATGGATCTCAATATGAACCTAGGAAAGGGAATCAAATTAAAGTTCTAAAATGAAGACACATGGGTCTTAAGAGCATCTACACCCACCAAATATTTCCTAACAAACACTGAGATCTTTATGACAGTCTCCAGTACAGGGTTTCACCATATTGGTAAGGCTGGTTTTGAACTCCTGACCTCAGGTGATCCACCCACCTCAGCGTCCCAAAGTGCTGGGATTACAGGTGTGAGCCACCATGCCCAGCCGTATTAAGGTTTTTGTTTTTTTGAGACAGAGTCTTGCTCTGTCGCCCACGCTGGGCGACCAGTTGCATGCCACCAAGCCCGCTAATTTTTTGTATTTTTAATAGAGACAAGGTTTCACCAAGTTAGCTGGGATGGTCTCCATCTCCTGACCTCATGATCCACTCGCCTTGGCCTCCCAAAGTACTGGGATTACAGGCGTGAGCCACCACGCCCGGCCTAGTGGAGAACATTTCGTGGGCTTAGTTCCCCACCCTCAAATTAGCAAATAATAGAGGCTTTTTTTTTTTTTTTTTTTGAGATGGCGTTTCGCTCTTTTTGCCTAGGCTGGAGTGCAATGGCACGATCTCGGCTCACTGCAACCACTACCTCTCAGGTTCGAGCGATTCTCCTGCCTTAGCCTTTTGAGTAGCTGGGATTACAGGTGCCTGCCACCATGCCCAGCTAATTCATTTTTTGTATTTTTAGTAGAGATGAGGGTTCGCCATGTTGGCCAGGTGAAATTAGCCAGGTGTGATGGCAGGTGTCTGTAATCCCAGCTAGTTGGGAGGCTGAGGTGGGAGAATCGCTTGAACCCAGGAGGTGGAAGTAGCTGTGAGCCGAGATCATGCCACTGCACTCCAGCCTGGGCGACAGCTAGACTCCATCTCACGGAAAAAAAAAAAAAAAAATTGCGAAAAGGCTTTGAAATGAACAAAAAATAACATGACTGGGCATGCTACCTAGTGCATCCTTCAGGTTATGTAATTTTATAGGGACCAGCACCTTCATTGTCTCTGAGCTGCTTTACAACTCTGTCATTTGCCCAAAACCTTAAGAGTAAGGCAAAAAAGTTCCTGTCCAAAGAAAATAGTCTAATTAGTTTAATTAAACTAATTAAATTAGTCTCATGGAATGTACTGATTACTGCCCTATGGATACTGACCAGCTTTGCATCTATCTGTAAACTCACTTTTGAGTGTTGTCTGAATTTTCCTTTAAACTGGTTGTAACATCATATTAGTTCCCTTATTAATTGACACGTTAAATGTAATTTTGACACATGATGTGTTCACTTAAAAAACACCACCACCCTCAGCCAGGCGTGGTGGCTCATGCTTATAAACTCAGCAGCTATAGTCCCAGATTCTCAGGAGGCTGATGTGGGAGGATTGCTTGAGCCTGGGAGGCAGAGGTCACAGTGAGCTGAGATCGAGTCACTCTGCCCTCTGACCTGGGCAATGGAGTCAGACCCTGTCTCAAAAAATAAAAATTAAAATTAAAGAGCAGCAACACTGAAAGGATCAGCTACAGCTGAAAGTGGCTGACGGGGATGGAGAAATGGCAGGTAGGAAACTGCTGTTTCTCTAATCTTATGGAACTAGGAGACTCTTAATGCTAAATGGATGTATAACCGCATTAAGATTTGTTATAAATTTTGGCCAGGCGCAGTGGCTCATGCCTGTAATCCCAGCACTTTGGGAGGCCAAGGCGGACAAATCATGAGGTCAGGAGTTCGAGACAAGCATGGTCAACATGGTGAAACCCTGTCTCTATCAAAAATAGAAAACAGCCAGACGTGCTGGCGGGTGCCTGTAATCCCAGCTACCAGGGAGGCTGAAGCGAGAGAATTGCGTGAACCCGGGAGGCAGAGGTTGCAGTGAGCCGAGATCCCACCACTGCACTCCAGCCTGGCGACAGAGCAAGACTCCATCCCAAATAAAAAAATCAAAAAAAAAAAAACAAAAAACAAAAAAACACTGGGGAGAAAATGAAGGATGCAGTTATTATTAGAGGCTGAAGGAGAAAGCAGGGAGAGTTTAGAGAAAGAGACCTCGGGCCATGTCACAGGGAGCCGGTGATTGGAGCCAGCCGAGAAGCTTCAGCAAGGACAGGATGGCTGGATTTGCATTTCAGATAAATTATTCTGGCTACACTGTGATGGACAGACTGCAAATGGTTCAGAATAGACACACTAGTTAGGAGGCTGTTCCACAGAGCAGGAAAAAGAAAGAAAGAAGGCTGTGATCATAAGGAGGGACAGACTAAAGTTTCATATTGTTGTTGTTGCTGTTTTTGAGACGAGGTCTCACTCTGCCTCCCAGGCTGGAGGACAATGGCGTGATCACAGCTCACTGCAGCCTGTAACTTCTGGGCTCAAGCAATCCTCCTAATTCAGCCTCCTGTGTCACTGGGATTACAGGCAGGCACCACCACACCTGGCAAATTTTTTTTTTTTCAGAGCAGGAACAGAAGTTTATTACAAAGCTCTAGAGTGAGAAAGGAAAGTGCACTTCGAAGAGATCCAAGTAGGTGACTTGAAGAACAAGTGTCTTTTTTTTTTTTTTAATAGAGACAGGGTCTCCCCATGTTGCCTAGAATGGTCTCGAACTCCTGGCCTCTTTTTTTTTTTTTTTTTTTTTGAGACAGAGTCTTGCTCTTTTTTTGCCCAGGCTGGAGTGCAGTGGCGCCATCTCAGCTCACTAAAAGCTCCACCTCCCGGGTTCACGCCATTCTCCTGCCTCAGCCTCCCAAGTAGCTGGGACTACAGGCACCCGCCACCACGCCCGGCTAATTTTTCGTATTTTTAGTAGAGATGGGGTTTCACCATGTTAGCCAGGATGGAATCTATCTCCTGACCTCGTGATCCGCCCACCTTGGCCTCCCAAAGTGCTGGGATTACAAGCGTGAGCCACCGCACCCAGCCGAACTCCTGGTCTCTTAAGTGCTCCTCCCACATCAGCCTCCTGAGTAGCTGGGATTACAGGTGTGTACCACTGTACCCAGCTAAAGTATTTTTTTAAAGTTGTTGACTGGCTGGGCGCAGTGGCTCACGCCTGTAATCCCAGCACTTGGGGAGGCCTAGCTGGGTGGATCACCTGAGGTCAGGAGTTCAAGACCAGCCTGAACAACATGGTAAAACCCCATCTCTACTAAAAATACAAAAATTAGCTGGGCATGGTGGAGCATGCCTGTAGTCCCTGCTACTCGGGAGGGTGAGGCAGGAGAACAGCTTGAGTCCCAGAGGCTCTGTCTCAAAAAAAGAAAAGATGGAGTCTCACTCTGTCACCCAGACTGAAGTGCAGTGGCAGGATCACAGCTTACTGCAAACTCTGCCTCCTGGGTTCAACAATTCTCCTGCCTAAGCCTCCTGAGTAGCTGGGACTACAGGTGCACACCGCCACGCCCGGCTAATTTTTTATATTTTGGTAGAGATGGGGTTCCACGAGTTGCCCAGGCTGGTCTCAAACTCCTGAGCTCAGGCAGTCCACCTGCCTTGGCCTCCCAAAGTGCTAGGATTACAGGCGTGAGCCACCACGCCCAGCCTGGATAGTTAGTTAGTTATTTTGAAATGGAGTTTCACTCGTTACCCAGGCTGGAGTACAATGGCACGATCTCGACTCACTGCAACCTCCACCTCCTGGGTTCAAGTGATTCTCCTGCCTCAGCCTCCTGAGTAGCTGGGATTATAGGCATGTGCCACCACGCCTGGCCAATTTTGTATTTTTAATAGAGACGGGTTTCTTCATGTTGGTCAGGCTGGTCTCAAACTCCCGACCTCAGGTGATCCACCCGCCTTGGCCTCCCAAAGTGGTGGGATTACAGGTGTGAGCCACCGCACCCAGCCAGTGGTTATTTTTTGAGACAGAGTCTCACTCTGTCACCCAGGCTGGACCGTAGTGGTGCAATCTTAGCTCACTGCAACCTCTGCCTCCTAGGTTCAAGCGATTCTCCTGCATCAGCCTCCCAAGTTGCTGGGATTACAGGAACCCACCACCATGCCCAGCTATTTTTTTTTTTTAAATGGAGTCTCGCTCTTGTTGCCCAGGCTGGAGGGCAATGGCACAATCTCGGCTCACTACAACCTCTGCCTCCTGGGTTCAAGTGATTCTCCTGCCTCAACCTCCTGAGTAGCTGTGATTACAAGCGCCCGCCACCACGCCTGGCTAATTTTAGTTTTTGTATTTTTAGTAGAGATGGTGTTTCGCTATGTTGCCAGGCTGGTCTTGATGTCCTGACCTCAGGTGATCTGCCCGCCTCAGCCTCCCAAAGTGTTGGGACTACAGGTGTGAGCCTCCGTGCCCAGCCTAGCCGTTAATATGTGAGAAAATATTAAAATGTCTTGGTTTAGTTCATTCTTCTTTCTTCTCCCTTTTAACATTTTCTATGTTTTATAATATGTATCATATTCTGAGTGAGCAAAATATACACTTTATGAATACTTATATATATCTTGTGGGACATGCTGAAAAGTTTTTACTGATAGAATTGTGACCATTATTCTATATAATTCACTAAAATATATTTGAACCAGGCCAGGTGCAGTGGCTCAGCCCTGTCATCCCAACACTTTGGGAGGCACAGACAGAAGGATGGCTTGAGCCCAGGGGTGTGAGACCAGCCTGGGCAACACAGCAAGACCCTGTCTCTACAAAAAAATTTTAAAAGAGTGGCCGGGAGCAGTGGCTCACACCTGTAATCCCAGCACTCTGGGAGGCCAAGACGGATGGATCACTTGAGGACAGGAGTTCGAGATCAGCCTGGTCTACACGGTGAAACCCCGTCTCTACTAAAAATACAAAAATTAATGGGGCATGGTGGTGCACACCTGTGGTCTCAGCTACTCAGGAGGCTGAGGCAGGACAATCGTTTGAACCTGGGAGGCGGAGGTTACAGTAAGCCAAGATAGCACCACTGCACTCCAGCCTGGGCAACAGAGTGAGATTTTGCCTCAAAAAAAAAAAAAAAATTAAAAGATTAGCTGGGGGTGGTGGTGCACACCTGTAGTCCCAGTCACTTGAGAGGCTGAGGTAGGAGAGGACTGCTTGAGCCTAGAAGCTCAAGGCTGCAGTAAGCTGTGATCACACCACTATACTCCAGCCTGCGCAATTAGAGCAAGACTGTGACTCAAAAAAGAAAAGAAAAAACTGTATATATATGAACCACATAAAAGAATACAGGCCAGGCACGGTGGCTCATGCCTGTAATCCCAACACTTTGGGAGGCCATGGCAGGCAGATCTCTTGAGGTCAGGAGTTTGAGACCAGCCTGGCCAACACAGGGAAACCCTATCTCTACTAAAAATACAAAAATTAGCTGGGTATGGTTGCACATGCCTATAATCCCAGCTATTAGTCAGGAGGCTGAGACACGAGAATCACTTGAGCCCAGGAAGCAGAGGCTGCCGTGAGCCAAGATGGCACCACTGTACTCCAGCCTGAGAGAGCGAGCAAGACTTTGTCCAAAAAAAAAAAAAAAAGCTGGAGTGCAATGGCACAGTCACGGCTCACTGCAGCCTCGACTTCCTCAAGGTTGGGTCATCACCTCACCTTAGCCTCCCAAGCAGCTGGAACCACAGGTGTGTGCCACCACATCCAGCTAATTTTTTGTATTTTGTGTAGAGACAATGTTTTGCCATGTCCTAGGCTGGTCTTGAACTCCTGGGCTCAAGTGATCCGCCCACCTCAGCCTCCCAAAGTGCTGGAATTACAGGCGTGAGCCACCATGGCTGGCCATATTCTTTCAAACCTTACATTTATTTTGCTGATGAAAATGTGCTAAGTATGAACATTATCCTTAAACGGAAGGATTCCTAAATATATTTCAATATATGTTGAAATAGGTATTTTAATTCTTTTTTTTTTTTTGAGACAAGAGTCTCTCTCTGTCTCGCCCAGGCTGGAGTGCAGTGGCGCAATCTCAGCTCACTGCAGCCTCTGCTTCCCGCACTCAAGCGACTCTCCTGTTTCAGCCTCCCAAGTAGCTGAGACTACAGGTGTATGCCACCATGGCCCTGGCTGGTTTTAGCTGTGTCTTCTCCCCTTTGGGACTAGCCTTGCCAGCCCATTAATTTTGTATTTTGAGTAGATATGGGGTTTTACCATGATGGCCAGGCTGGTCTCTAACTCCTGACCTCAGGTGATCTACCCGCCTCAGCCTCCCAAAGTGTTGGGATTACAGGCGTGAGCCACTGCGCCCGCCCAGTATTTTAATTCTCAAGAAAAACAGGTCATATAATATGGGACAGTGCTCAGAAAAATTAAGTTTCTAACCATTTTTAGTAAGTCCTTGTACAAGGATTTAGCATTGTTCAGAAAGGTGAAACATTTCTAGAATTGTGTTAAAGTACTTTAAATACAGTACCATTATTTTTTTTCATTTCCTTAGCAAACTAACGCAGTATAAGGTACCATTAGTAATCACTTATTTTATAACTCAGAAACATAAAAAAATTCATTTAATAAGGTAAACATGTATTCAATCATGATAGAATAAATTGTCCCCTGAAGTTCTTCTAGTACTTTAGTATTCAGTAATAAACTATTTAATTCTCTCATCAAAAAGATTTCAATACATTATTTATTTATTTATTTATTTATTTTGAGACAGAGTCTTGCTCTGTCACCCAGGCTGGAGTGCAGTGGTGCAATCTTGGCTCACTGCAACCTCCGCCTCCCAGGTTCAAGCAATTCTCCTGCCTCACCCTCCCAAGTAGCTGGTACTACAGGCACCAGCTGCCACGCCCAGCTAATTTTTGTATTTTCAGTAGAGACATGGTTTCACCATGTTGGCCAGGCTGCTCTCGAACTCCTGACCTCAGGTGATCCACCTGCCTCAGCCTCCCAAAGCACTGCGATTACAGGCGTGAGCCACTATGCCCAGCCACAAAAAGACTTCAACAGGTTATCAAAAACATTTTGGCTCACAGCCCTCAACTAACCTCTTCTGGTATTAGACTGTTATACATATTACCTGTATTCTGAGGGCCACAAATAACTTCTAAATAATTTCTAGGCATATTTAAGTCATTTATGAGTTTTTTCATAGTTTTTTCTCAGTATGCTAGAGATATATTGTACCAGATAAAATATGCCTAAGTGTATACAAAATCAGCTCTTTTTGGCCTCCTCATGCCATGTTAATCCTACAAAATTTAAAAAACAGTGTAAATGATGGTATTACAAACAAAGGTAGCTACCAAAGCTGAGACCACCAGAATGATGGAAGGAGTCTTCAAGAAAGCATGGTTCAGGAAAAATAAAGTGTAGCCCTGGGTTCCAGAGGGTAAATCTTGCAGCCTATACCTCCCTCTGCCTCCCACCAAAGATGACAAAAGCTGAACACAAAGCCAGGGAGGTCACAGGGGCGCCGTGCCAGGGGAAACGAGGCTGTCCAGGTATACCCGATCCTCACCACAACAGGAGCGGTCACCTTCCTCGCAGATCCCTGCCCAGCTGACCTGCCGGACAACAATGGCCTGACCTACTTAGCTGTTGCCCTCATGAGTGCCTGTACCCTCACCTTCCCTAACCCAAGCTATTCCTGGCCTCCAGGGCATGACGGTGCTGTTGCTTTGTAAACTAAAAATATCTTGGCCCCAATGTTTCTGAAAGAGGTCTGGCAAGGCTAGTCCCAAAGGGGAGAAGACACAGCTAAAACCAGCAGGGCCGCGGTGGGCCTTGAGGGACTGCCGCACGCAAGGAGAGCTCACACACGCTCCCAGATGGGCCAGCTCCACACCCCTCAGGTGTGAACGCTAGCACACCTTAACTCACTGTGCTCATGGCCCAAATGATCAGACTGGAGGTAGCAGAAACAAACCCCCGGATTTCCACACAGCCTAGAGGAGGAGAAACAGCAATGACCACAGCACTTCTAAATTAGGCTGAATCATGATCACAAGGAACACACTAACATCACTGAGTTCCTGCTACTCGCCACTTGGCACGTCTAAATCACACCTGATGGCCAGGTGTGGTGGCTCACACCTGTAATCCCAGTACTTTGGGAGGCCGAGGTGGGGAGATCACTTGAGCCTAGGAGCCGGAGACCAGCCTGAGCAACACAGCAAGACCCCCATCTCTACAAAAAATTAAAAAATTAGCTGGGTGTGGTGCACACACCTGTGGTCCCAGCTACTCAGGAGGTCGAGGTGGGAGGATCGTTTGAGCCTAGGAGTTTGAGACCAGTCTAGGCAACATAGCAAGACCCCATCTCCATAAAAAATAAATCATCTGCCCCTATAAAACCAGCTGTGTACCCCTTTTTTTGTTTTTTTTTTTGAGACGGAGTCTCGCTCTGTCGCCCAGGCTGGAGTGCAGTGGAGCAATCTCAGCTCACTGCAAGCTCCGCCTCCCAGGTTCACGCCATTCCGCTGCCTCAGCCTCCGGAGTAGCTGGGACTACAGGCGCCCGCCACCACGCCTGGGTAATGTTTTGTATTTTTAGTAGAGACAGGGTTTCACCATGGTCTCGATCTCCTGACCTCATGATCCACCCACCTCAGCCTCCCAAAGTGCTGGGATTACAGGCAAGAGCCACTGTGCCCAGCCGTACCCCTCTCTTAACCACTGCCCTGTCTCCCCCTCCCGGTCCCCTGGATGCTCACAGGTGCGATCACAAGGAGAGGAGAGTGTGCAGAGGCCGGGTGCCAGCTCGGCGTCAGGCAACTGACTTTCCGCAGGGAGCATGAGTCTCACTCTGCCGCCCAGGCTGGAGTGCAGCTGCATGATCTCAGCTCACTGCAACCTCCACCTCCTGGGTTCAAGCACTTCTCCTGCCTCAGCCTCCTGAGTAGCTGGGATTACAGGCATGCACCACCACACCCAGCTAATTTTTGTATTTTTAGTAGAGATGGGGTTTCTCCATGTTGACCAGGCTGGTCTCAAACTCCTGACCTCAGGTGATCCGCCCGCCTCGGCCTCCCAAAGTGCTGGGATTACAGGCATGAGCTACCGCGCCCGGCCCCTCCCAGGATTCTGTGAAGATTCGATGTATGAGAAGCAGCCAGAATCTTCTCTGACTACTCTTCTCTGACTAGCATCCTAAGGGCATCCCAGCTGCTGTCGATCAGAATCAACAGCAGCTACTATCATCATCATGACCAAAAGTGTTTCAGGGAAGGACAAAACGCTGCTGAGAGGGTTGGTGCGGTGGAGGACGGAGAAGCGACCACTGCATGTGTGTACAGACACAGCCCCAACATGGGTAAGTACACTTCAGTAGAAGGGCAGAGGCCGTGCCATACCTGGAGTCGGCTGAAGCACGGAGGCCGTGCTGCACCTGGAGTTGGCTGAAGGGCAAATACAGACCACCCACAGCTTCCCCAACATTGCCAGGGAGGGAATTCAGGATAACAGACTCGAAGGAGGGCAGGTTGACAATGACTTAAAAAATTATGAGTGCTGGCTGGGCATGGTGGGATTATTCCCAGCACTTTGGGAGGCCGAGGCGGGCGGATCACGAGGTCAGGAGATCGAGACCATCCTGGCTAACACGGTAAAACCCTGTCTCTACTAAAAATACAAAAAATTAGCCGGGCGTGGTGGTGGGCACCTATAGTCCCAGCTACTCGGGAGGCTGAGGCAGGAGAATGGCGTGAACCCGGGAGGCGGAGCTGGCAGTGAGCCGAGATGGCGCCACTGCACTCCAGCCTGGGCGACAGAGTGAGACTCCATCTCAAAAAAAAAAAAAAAAAAATTATGAAAGCTGTCATCCTGCCTAACATGGTGAAACCCTGTCTCTACTAAAAAAAAAAAAAAAAAAAATTCAAAAAATTAGCCAGGTGTGGTGGTGGGAACCTACAGTCCCAGCTACTCGGGAGGCTGAGGCAGGGGAATGGCATGAACCCAGGAGGTGCAGCTTGCAGTGAGCTGAGATCGTGCCACTGCACTCCAGCCTGGGCGACACAGCAAGACTCTGTCCCAAAAAAAAAAATGAGTGCTGGCCAGGCACAGTGGCTCACCCCTGAAATCCCAGCACTTTGGGAGGCCAAGGAGGGTAGATCAGGAGGTCAGGAGATTGAGACCATCCTGGCTAACACGGTGAAACCCCATCTCTACGAAAATACAAAAAATTGGCTGGGCCTGGTGGCGGGCGCCTGTAGTCCCAGCTACTCGGGAGGCTGAGGCAGGAGAATGGTGTGAACCGGGAGGCGGAGCTTGCAGTGAGCGGAGATCGCGCCACTGTACTCCAGCCTGGGTGACAGAGCAAGACTCTGTCTCAAAAAAATAATAATAATAATTATTATTATTATTATGAGCACTGTCATCCTGGCTAACGTGGTGAAACCCTGCCTCTACTAAAAAAAAATTTTTTTTAAATTAGCCAGGTGTAGTGGTGGGAGCCTGTAGTCCCAGCTACTCGGGAGGCTGAGGCAGGGGAATGGCGTGAACCCAGGAGGTGGAGCTTGCAGTGAGCTGAGATCGCGCCACCGCACTCTAGCCTGGGCCACAGAGCAAGACTCTGTCAAAAAAAAAAAAAAAAATTATGAGTGCGCGCCAGGTGCAGTGGCTCACCCCTGTAATCCCAGCACTTTGGGAGGCCAAGGTGGGTAGATCACCTGAGGTCAGGGGTTCAAGACCAGCCTGGCCATCACGGTGAAACTCTGTCTCTACTAAAAATACAAACATTACCCAGGCATGGTGGTGGGCACCTGTAATCCCAGCTGCTTGGGAGGCTGAGGCAGGAGAATCACTTGAACCCGAGAAGTGGAGGCTGCAGTGAGCCAAGATCATACCATTGCACTCCAGCCTGGGCGACAAGAACAAGACTCCATCTCAAAAAAAAAATTGCAAGTGCTGAAAACCTTTGATTCAAGATTCTAAAGATTTTCTGCCACACATTCAATGAGCAATCACTCATTAAGAACCTACCCTACGCCAGGTGCCAGGTGCTGTTCTAGGTGCTGGTATTAGGTTGGTATACCAAGCAGACAGTCTCTTCTTAAAGCTTCATTTTCTTTCCTTTCTTTTTTCTTTCTTTTTCTTTGTTTCTTACTTTCTCTTTCTCTCTCTCTCTTTCTGTCTTATAGAAACAGTGTCTAGGCTGGGTGCGGTGGCTCACACCTGTAATCCCAGCACTCTGGGAGGCCGAGGCAGGTGGATCTCTTGAGCCCAGGAGCTGGAGACCAGCCCAGCTAACATGGCAAAACCCCGACTCTACTAAAAATACAAACATTAGCTGGGCATGGTGGTAGGCACCTGTAATCCCAGCTACTCGGGAGGCAGGAGAATCACTTGAACCCAGAAGTCAGAAGTTGCAGTGAGCCAAGATCACACCATTGCACTGCAGCCTGGGTGACAAAGCGAGACTCTGTCTCAAAAAAAAAAGTGATCTTTTTGAAATGGTTAGAGGAGTTACATATGATCCAGCAATTCTGCTCTAAGTATACACCCAAGAGAAATAAAAACCGATGTCCACACAAAGCTTACATGCAAATGTTCGTAGTAACATTATTCACAATAGCCAAAAAGTGAAAGCAACCCAAAAGTCCAACATAGAAAGACATAAAAGACAAAAACAAAAGACTAAGCAGGGCCAGGTATGATGGCTCACACTTGTAATCTCAGCACTTTGGGAGGCTGAGGCAGGAGGATTAGTTGAGGCCAGGAGTTCGAGACCACCCTGGGCAACATAGTGAGACCCCATCTAGAAACAAAATGAAAAAATCAACCAGGCATGGTGGCACATGCCTGTAGCCCCAGCTACTCAGAAGGCTGAAGTGGGAGGATGGCTTGAGTCCAGGAGCTGGAGGCTGTAGTGAGCTATGATCGCACCACTGCACTCCAGCCTGGATGACAGAGGAAGACGCTTTCTCAAAAAAAAAAAAGAAAAAAGAAAGAAAGAAAGAGGAAGAGAAAAGAAAAGAAAAAATTGGCCAGGTGCAGTGGCTTACACCTGTAATCCCAGCACCTTGGGAGGCCGAGGAGGGTGGATCCCCTGAGGTCAGGAGTTCAAGACCAGCCTGGCCAACATGGTGAAGCCCCGTCTCTACTAAAAATACAATAATTAGCTGGGCGTGGTACCAGGCACCTGTAATCCCAGCTACTCAGGAGGCTGAGGCAGGAGAATCGCTTGAACCTGGGAAGCGGAGGTTGCAGTGATCCAAAATCACACCACTGCACTCCAGCCTGAGCCACAAGAGTGAAACTCCGTCTCAAAAAAATAATAATAATTTCATATATATATATATATATATATATATATATATATATATATATATATATGATCTAGGACTAAGAAACACTTCGTTCTTCCCACAGGCCATATAACTGAAAAGTTGTAGGCATGACTTGTTAAATTATAGCAGATTCACAGTACCATTTTTAATCTTGCTTTTACTAAATTTAGTATTTGGTATTGATTCCATTTAACTGCCTTGTATTTCAGATTCTGTATAAATAAGAAGGATGCTAAGAACTCCAGGAGATTAAGGCTTGCTTGCAAATAGTATTTTAAAATCATAACCATTCTCAGTATACAACTGTCTGCATCATTTTCTCATTTAATCATCTTTCATCCTAAAGAGGTATTAACCTCCTTAAAATGCCTCACTGCCCTACAAACTAGAGATCTAGGGAGGAGGGGCTCCCTAAACAAATTTGGAAAATGGAGTTCCTTAGGCCTTATTACTCATGAAACAGATTCTAACATTCCTGCAATGAAGAGGATGGGTATGGCTTTTTCTTTTTAGTCTCACTCTGTCACCCATGCTGGAGAGCAGTGGTGGGATCATAGCTTACTGTAGCCTTGAACTCCCAGGCACAGGTGATCCTCCCACCTCAGCCTCCCAAGTAGCTGGGACTACAGGCATGCACCACTACATTCAACTAACTTTTAATGTTTTGTAGTGATGGTGTCTCACTATGTTGCCCAGGCTTCTCAAGCTCCTGGCCTCAAGCGAGGGTAAAGCATGTTCTGAAGAACAAGAAAAAAAAAAAAAAGGCGTGGGGCTGTCCCCCTTATTCCTTCAGATTCTATTTCCTGTTGTACCTCCCTTTACCAGAAAGCCACAAAAATTAAACCTTCAAATCAGGTAAGTTAGTGTTTTTTCACAAATGAACAAAAACTCTAAAACCTGCAGGGGAGTTTAAAGTAGCAGAGGTAAATATCAAGGCCAAGAAGACAGACACCCCACTCCCCACCCCCATGATGTGACATGGCTGCTTGTTGCACTTGGTCAAGCCCAAGCCTACAATCTTCACACTTGTGTCTTTTTTTACAGACGGGGTCTTGCTCTGTTGCCCAGCCTGGAGTACAGTGGTACAATTATAGCTCACTGCCTCCTCGACCTTCTGGCCTCAAGTGATCCACCTCAGTCTCCCAAGTAGCTGGGACTATAGGCATGCACCACCACGCCCAGCTAATTTTTGTATTTTTTGTAGAGACGGAGTTTCGCCCTGTTGCCCAGGCTGGTCTCAAACTCCTCAGTTCAAGTGATCCTCCCACCTTGGACTCCCAAAGTGCTGGGATTACAGGGTTGAGTCACGGCACCTGGCCCACTCAATTCTTTTTTTTAAATTTTATTATTATTTTTTTGGAGACGGAGTCTCACTGTGTTGCCCAGGCTGGAGTGCAATGGCACGAACTTGGCTCACTGTAACCTCCACCTCCCAGGGTTCAAGTAATTCTCCTGCCTCAGCCTCCCAAGTAGCTGGGATGACAGGCGCATGCCGCCATGCCCGGCTAATTTTTGTATTTTAGTAGAGATGGGGTTTCACCATGTTGGCCATGCTGGTCTCAAACTCCTGACCTCAGGTGATCTGCCTGCCTCAGCCTCTCAAAGTGCTGGGATTTACAGGCGTAAATCCCACCACGCCCGGCCACTGCGCCCGGCCAGAGTTTAGCTTTCTTTTAGAAATGACATGATCAGATTTATGGGAGGTTATGTGTTTTTCTTGTTGTTGTTTAATTTTAGAGACAGAGTCTCACTCTGTTGCCCAGGCTGGTGTGCAGCATCATGATCACGGCTCACTGCATCTTCGGCCTCCTTGGCTCAAGCGATCCTCCCACCTCTGCCTCCCAAGTAGCTGGGATTACAGGCACGCACCACGACACCCGGCTAATTTATTTTTTGTACAGACTGGGGTCTTGCTGTGTTGCCCAGGCTGGTCTGGAACTCCTGGGCTCAAGTGATCCTCCCACCTCAGTCTCCCAAAGTGCTGGGATTATAGGCATGAGCCACCACACCCAGCCCTCGATCTGATTTGTTTTTTAGAAGTTGCCTCTGATTGCTTGGTGGAGATGGCAGATACTACAATAGTCCAGGCGAGTGGATACAGTAGGGTAGACTAGAGAGGTGGTTATAAATAGAGAAGCAGATATATGAAAAAGGTAACTGTTTCAATGGTAAAGAGCATACCAATTTTCACCAAAACAGCATCATGTAGCAGGTTTTCTCTTATAGCCATTCTTGTGATTTTTACAAATGACTGCAAATTACGTTACTCTAGACAAAAAGGGGAGTACAGGAGCCAAATACAGCCTGTAGACACTTTTTGTTTTGCCCTCAAAGTTTCTTTTTTTAAAATCTGTTTTTTTGGTGGTGGTTATTATTATTATTTTTTTGAGACAGAGTCTCGCTGTGTTTCCCAGGCTGGAGTGCAGTAGGGTGATCTTGGCTCACTGCAACCTCCATCTCCTGGGTTCAAGTGATTCTCCTGCCTCAGCCTACCATGTAGCTGGGATTACAGGCGTGCACCATCACACCTGCCTAATTTTTGTATTTTTAGTAGAGATGGGGTTTTGCCATATTGTCCAGGCTGGTCTTAAACTCCTGACCTCAAGTGATCCGCCTGCTTCAGCCTCCCAATATACTGGGATTACAGGCATGAGACACCATGCCCAGCCAAAGTTTGTTTTTTAAAAATCCGGATTGGAAATCTAAAAATCTTGACTTCTGATTTCTCTTGGTGCTGACTAGATACGGCAAATACTGGGCCCCTATTTTCGAAGGTGGTAACTGGGGAGGGCTCAGGCCTTCTCGTTTACCAGTCCCCTGAACTGACACAGGAGCACCCTTCACTCAATTCAAGCCACCTGGTGGAGGTTTTGACCCCTCTAATCAGGTATAATTTCAGAATGCTACAAGCCCTTGATCACATGACAGTACCTCAATTTGGACCTCAAAATAAAGAGGCCAGTTAATCTCAACTCATTTACTTACTTGAGACAGAATCTTACTGTCGCCCAGGCTGGAGTGCAGTGGCACAATCTCGGCTCACTGCAACGTCTGCCTCCCAGGCTCAAGCGATCCTCCCACCTCAGCCCCACAAGCAGCTGGGACTACAGGTGCACGCCACCACTGCCCGGCCACCACGCCCAGCTAATTTTTTGTATTTTAGTAGAGACAGGGTTTCACCCTGTAGCCCAGGGTGGTCTCAAACTCCTGAGCTTAAGCGACGCAGACACCTTGGCCTCCCAAAGTGTTGGGATTACTTACAGGAGTGAGCTACTGTGCCCAGCCATCTTAACTCAATTTGGATCAACAGCCGGTGTTAGGTTTCATGTTAATTACCATCACCTGTGTCAGGCACCAGCCACCTGAAGACCTGCTACTGGGACAATCATACTTTGATATGGCCAAACCGACGTTAGAAAGGGACGGCACCTGCAGTGTGGTGGTTCTACTGCTCAGACTGGTTCATTCTGCACGCCAGGGAGCAACCCAAGGACCGTCCAACTGTAAACTCCCCAAAGGAGGGTCCCTCCTTCAGCACAGAGGTATGCAAATGGAATGCAAGAGGGGCTCAGGACTTGGCCAGCTTTCTTTGAGAAAGAATTCTCGAGTTGACAACCTTTCCTTCCACTAGAAAAAGTCATCTGAGGCTGGGCTCACTGGGTTCTGACTGTAATCCTAGTGCTTTGGGAGGGCAAGGCAGGAGGATCACTTGAGGCCAGAAGTTCAAGACCAGCCTTGGCAACATGGGAAGACCCTGTCTCTACCAAAAAGGAAAATATAAAAGAAAGAAAAAGGCAACTGGAATTCAAGGGATGTAGAAATATCAGTCTCTTGGCTGGGCGCTGTGGCTGACGCCTATAATCCCAGCACTTTGGGAGGTCGAGGCGGGCAGATCACTTGAAGTCAGGATTTTGAGACCAGCCTGGCCAACATGGTGAAAACCCAACTCTACTTAAAAATACAAAAATTAGCCTGGCGTGGTGGCGGGCACCTGTAGTCCCAGCTACTCAGGAGGCTGAGTCAGGAGAATCGCTTGAACTCGGGAGGCAGAGGTTGCAGTGAGCTGAGATGGCGCCACCGCACTCCAGCTTGGGCAAGAGTAAGACTCTGTCTCAGGGAAAAAAAAAAAAGAGATACCAATTTTTTACAGCAAAGGCGGTCTCCAGGGTGCTGGGGTGTGAGCATACTCTAAGATCAGCTGAATGGTTCCAGGCCTCTGAGACGTTTTGTGCTTCCACGTCTTCCACTTTATTTTCCCTGGTCTTCACCCTCACAACTCAGTTCCACCTCTGGCCAAAATACGGTACATTTATCAAAACGCTGTTAACTTCCAATCCATTTTTAGCTTCAAGGATAACATAAAACGTCTATGCAGGCCAGATGTGGTGGCTCATGCCTATAATCCCAGCACTGGGAGGCCAAGATGGGAGGATCTCTTGAGGCCAGGAGTTCGAGACCAGCCTGGGCAACATAACGAGACCCCTTTATTATTATTATTATTATTATTATTATTATTATTATTATTATTGAGATGGAGTTTCCCTCTTGCTGCCCAGGCTGGAGCGCAATGGAGCGATCTCGGCTCACCGCAACCTGCGCCTCCCAGGTTCCAGCGATTCTGCCGCCTCAGCCTCCCGAGTAGCTGGGATTACAGGCACGCGCCACCACGCCCGGCTAATTCTGTATTTTTAGTAGAGACGGGGTTTCTCCGTGTTGGTCAGGCTGGTCTCGAACTCCTGACCTCAGGTAATCCGCCCGCCTCAGCCTCCCAAAGTGCATTACAGGAGTAAGCCACCGCGCCCGGCCGAGACCCGTCTTTACAATTAAAAATAAGGGGGGGGGTTGCAAAGTTTGGGAACTAGAAAATTCACCCAACATTTAATAAAGGTCCTCTTCAACACCTTTCCAGCCCATGCAGTCTCGGACCCCACCTCCCGAGCTGCGGGACCTTCCCCAAGGCAAGTCGCTTAACCTGACCCCCAGTGCCGCGTTTGCAGAACGGGGATAAGGACCACCTCAGTGGATCTCCCCAAAGTAGGGTCGCACGGGAAAATGCACGGTGCTTGACATACACTCAGCTTCTAGGCAGTGGCAGCTGCCGTGGCGTCTGCATCCCGCGGGCGAGGCGGGCGCTCGGGGAGGGCCGGGGGCCGGGCAGGCACGGCTCACCCACCTGCAGGCGGACGTTGAGCATCATGGAAGCCACGATGTAGAGGTAGGGGAAGTTGATACGCAGCCGCCAGGCCAGGTCGAAGAAGATGAGCAGCGTGCGAGTCAGCCCCTTGCAGAAGACCCCATAGGAGCGGGCGGCGGCCGAGCGCGAGAGCCGGACAGCCAGGCCCGACAGAGCCGCCGCCATATAGAGACCGGCGCTCCCACAGCCCCCCCGCCCGCCCTCTCCGCGCCGCGTCGCCCCGGCAGCTGACCCTCGCCTGGCGTGCTCAGGGAGCGAAGGAGGCGGCGGCTAGACCGGCGGGCGGGCGGGCCGCAGTGGAGCGGAGTCCGCACGTCACGCTCGGAGAAGTGCCTCCGCGAGCAGCCGCCTGTACCAGCCTGGCCGCGCAGCCTGACGTCACAAAGCCAGCCACGCGCCTGCGCGGCCCACAGGCCCCGCCCCTGGACACGCCCTTGCCACCTTTCTTTTTGGCAGGTAAGACGCGCATGCGCGGGAGAGGAGGCGTGGGGGTCGAGGCTGATGCGCTGTCTCCGTCCGCCCCCTACTGGTGAGTCTGAAAATGAAGACAAAGGGAGGCGATGGACGGTAGCGACGGTTGCAGACAAAGTGAATGTATTTAACGCCGCTGAACTATACATTTAAAAATGGTTGCAGTAGGCCAAGCGCGGTGGCTCATGCCTGTAATCCCAGCACTTTGGGAGGCCGAGGCGGGCGGATCACGAGGTCAGCAGATCGAGACCATCCTGGCTAACACGGCGAAACCCCGTCTCTACTAAAAATACAAAACATCAGCCAGGCGTAGTGGCGGGCGCCTGTAGTCCCAGCTACTCGGGAGGCTGAGGCGGGAGAATGGCGTGAACTCAGGAGGCGGAGCTTGCAGTGAGCCGAGATCGAGCCACTGCACTCCAGCCTGGGCGACAGAGCAAGACTCCGTCTCAAAAAAAAAAAAAAAAAAAAAAAGGTTGCAGTACTAAATCTTTTTTTTTCTTTTTATTTGAGATGGAGTTTCGCTCTTGTTGCCCAGGCTGGAGTGCAATGGCATGATCTCGCCTCCTGCAACCTCCGCCTCCCGAGTTCAAGTGATTCCCCAGGCTCAGCCTCCTGAGTAGCTGGGATTACAGGTGCACGTCACCATGCCCAGCTAATTTTTGTATTTTTAGTAGACAGGGGTTTTCACCATTTTGGCCAGGCTGGTCTCGAACTCCTGACCTCAGGTGATCTGCCCACCTCGGCCTCCCAAAGTGCTGGGATTAGCATTTTTTAAATAAATCAAATAAAATAGGCCAGTTGCGGTGCCCGACTCCTGTAATCCCAGCATTTGGGAGGCCAAGGCAGGTCCATCCTTTGAGCCCAGGAGTTCAAGACCAGCCTGGGCAACATAGCAAAATCCTGTCTCTACAAAAAGTGAAAAAAACTAGCCGGGCATGGTGGTGCACGCCTGTGGTCCCAGCTACTTGGGAGGCTGAGGTGAGAGGAATCCTTGAGCCCAGGAGTTCAAGGCTGCAATGTGGTATGATCACACCAGTGTACTCCAGTCTGGAAAACAGAGTGAGAACCTGTCTCAAAAAAAAAAAAAAAAAAAAACCTTTAGTTTCCCTTATTTTTGCAGCATTATATTTTGCCACATTTATCATTGACATTAAAAAGCTCACTTCCTTTTTTTGGAAGCTATTTTTTCCTTTCAGTGCACATTGCATGCCCTCCTTGAGCACCGCAGTGCACATGCTGCAGAATTGTTGTTTTTCAAGCTATCCTCTTGATAAAAAGTAGAATGAAAATGTCTTTATGCAGTATCTAGGCAAATAATTTAAACATTTTAAAGGGTAGAGTCTTCAGTGGAACATTTGCCAGAAAACACAGAATCAATCTGGTAATGTGTAAACAGGCTTGAAGATCAGCTAAATTTATTCTTAGGCTTGTAGAGATTTTCACTGGTGGAAGTTTGTCAGTCCTGTTTATTTGAACTATGTGGAAAGACCAGATGGGCTGAGGTAACATGTGATTATATATAAAGAGAGAGATAGGTATATGTATATGTACAGACACACACACACACACACACCCAGAATCATACACACATGCATACATATCCTCCCTGGTTACTCATTTTTATTGTCTCTAAATGCCATTGTGGCAGGGAGGCATTTAAAAATTTTATTTCAAGATGAGAGGTCTTGCTATTTTGCCCAGTCTGGAGTGCAGTGGCATGATCACAGCTCACTGCACCCTGAACCTCCCTCGCTCAAGCCATTCTCCTGCCACAGCCTTCTGAATAGCTGGGACTACAGATATGCGCCACCATGCTCGGCTAATTTTTTTTTTTTTTTCGGGGGACGGAGTTTCACTCTTGTTGCCCAGGCTGGAGTGCCATGATGCAATCTTGGCTCACCACAACCTCCACCTACTGGGTTCAAGCAATTCTCCTGCCTCAGCCTGCTGAGTAGCTGGGATTACAGGCATGCACCACCACGCCCGGTTAATTTTGTATCTTTTAGTAGAGATGGGGTTTCTCCATGTTGGTCAGGCTGGTCTTGAACTCCCAGCCTCAGGTGATCCGCCTGCCTTAGCCTCCCAAAGTGCTGCGTTTACAGGCGTGAGCCACCACGCCTGCCTCATGCTCGGCTAATTTATTTTTATTTTATTTTATTTATTTATTAATTATTATTATTATTATTATTATTATTATTATTATTATTATTATTGGTAGAGATAGGCTCTCACTATGTTGCCCAGGCTGGTCTGGAATCCCTGACCTCAAGCCATCCTTCTACCTAGGCAGAGAGTTATTTTAACAAGCCATTCGGTTGCTGTAAACAATGGCAAGCAAAATTACCACAACGCTAAACTGGGCAAGGTAAGAAGCCTGTTGTAATGAGATGCAATGAGAGGTCAAAGAGACACATGGGAAAGCTAACAATATTTGAGGTATATCTGGGTTAATTGTTCCAAACTACAGTGCCGGCTGGGAAATCAGCCTAGGTTCCTGACCTAGCATTCAGCTCAGCCCAGTGTCACTGAGCATCTTTGGGAATACATTTTCCTCATTATGGTTTGAGAAACAAACACAGACAGAACTAATTATAAATCAGTGTGAGCCAAACACAGTGGCTCATGCCTGTAATCCCAACACTTTGAAAGACCATGGCCTTCAATAATTATCATTATTAAAAATAATATTTTTGTTTTTTGAGACAGAGTCTCATTCTGTCACCCAGGCTGGAGTGCAGTGGCACGATCTCGGCTCACTGCAACCTCCACCTCCTGGGTTCAAGTGATTCAGCCTCCTGAGTAGCTGGGATTACAGGCACCTGTAATCCCAGCTACTCAAGAGGCTGAGGCAGGAGAATCATTTGAACCTGGGAGGCAGAGATTGCAGTGAGCCAAGATCACGCCATTGCACTGCAGTCTGGGCAACAGAGTGAGACTCCGTCTGTAAATAAATAAATAAATATAAAAATAAAATGATTGATCAACAGGATCCATGTCCTTTGCCTACAATCTTCACCCTGCTATGAAAATTGTGTCTCAGGTGAGAGAAATAGTCAAGGCTTTTTTTTTCTTTTTTTTTTTTTGAGATAGAGTCTCGTTCTGTCACCCATGCTGGAGTGCAATGGCACTATCTCGGCTCACTGCAACCTCTGCCTCCTAGGTTCAAGCAATTCGCCTGCCTCAGCCTCTTGAGTAGCTGAGATTACAGGCAAGCACCCCCACACCCCACTAATTTTTGTATTTTTAGTAGAGATGGGGTTTCACCATGGGTTAGCCAGGCTGCTCTCAAACTCTTGACCTCAAGTGATCTGCCTGCCTCAGCTTCCCAAATTTCTGGGATTACAAGCATGAGCCACTGAGCCCAGCCAAGCCTTTTTTCTTTTCAGCATGATCTGGTGGTGAGGAAAGCACAGAGAAGTCAGGTTTCACATTTAGCAATTTCTTGGTGCCCTGTGACCTGGTTCTGTAAAATGAGGATAAGGACAGCCATCCTACTGGGTATTTATGAGAAATAAATGAGATCAGGTATACACGGCATTTAGCACAGTCCCAGGCAGATAGAGGACACCGAGAAAGTGGTGGTAGCTATTTTCTTTATCTTTTCTTTCCTTTTTTTTTTCTTTTTCTTTCTTTCTTTTTTTTTTTTTTTTTTTTTTTTGAGACAGAGCCTGGCTCTGTTGCCCAGGCTGGAGTGCTGTGGTGAAATCTAGGCTCACTGCAACCTCCACCTCCCAAGTTCAAGTGATTCTCCTGCCTCAGCCTCCCAAGTAGCTGGGATTACAGGCGCCCACCACCACGCCCAGCTAATTTTTGTATTTTTAGTAGAGATGGGGTTTCACCATGTTGGCCATGCTGGTATTGAACTCCTGACCTCAAGTGATCTGCCCACCTCAGCCTCCCAAAGTGCTGGGATTACAGGAGTAAGCCACCGCGCCCAGCCTCTCCTGCCTCATTTCTTTTTTTTTTTTTTGAGACAGGATCTGGCTCTGTTGCCCAGGTTGGAGTGCAGTGGCAGGTCTCAGCTCACTGTAGCCTCAACCTCTTAGGCTCAAGCGATCCTCCCAGCACAGCCTCCCAAGTAGCTGAGATTATGGATGCACACTACTACACCCAGCTGCTGATTTTGTTTTTGTGTTTGTTTTTGTGGAGACGGGGATTTGCTAGGTTGCCCAGGCTGGTCTCAAACCCCTGGGCTCAAGTGATCCTCCCGCCTTGACCTCCCAAAGTGCTGGGATTACAGGTGTGAGCCACCGCGCCTGGCCTAAATGGTAGCTATTTTCATGGTTAGATCCCTCACGTCCTTAGAAGAATGCAAGTTTAGGCCAGGCGCAGTGGTGGTGGCTGAGATTGCGTCATTGCACTCCAGCCTGGGCAACAAGAGCGAAACTCCATCAAGAAAGAAAGAAAGAGAGAAAGGGAGGGAGGAAGGAAGGAAGGGAGGGAGGGCGGGAAGAAAGGAAAGAAAGAGGTGGGAGGGAGGGAGCGAGGGAGCCAGGTGTGGTGGTTCACACCTGTAATCCCAGCACTTTGAGAGGCCAAGGCAGTAGGATCGCTTCAGCCTGATGGTTTGCGACCAGCCTGGGCAGTATGGTGAAATACCATCTCTACAAAAAAATACAAAAATTAGCCAGATGTGGTGGCACACACCTGTAGTCCCAGCTGTTTGGGAAGCTGAGGTGGGAGGATTGCTTGAGCCCAGGAGGTGGAGGTTGCAATGAGCCAAGATCATGCCACTGCACTCCAGCCTGGGTGACAGAGTGAGACCCCCACCTCAAAAAAAAAAAAAAAAAGAAAAAGAAAAAGAAATTGAAGGATATACACATATATATATGTGTATATAGATGTACACAAACACATATACATACATAAATGTTATATACTATACATATATGCAAATATACACAAACACACATGTGTTTTTATTTGTTCTTTAAATGAAAGGATATACCATAAATTTATTTTAAAGTGGTTTGGCCAGGTGAGGTGGCTTATGCCTGTAATCCCAGCACTTTGGGAGGATGAGGCGGGTAGATCACTTGGGGTCAGGAGATGGAGATCAGCCTGGCCAACATGGCAAAACCCTGTCTCTACTAAAAATACAAAAATTAACCAGGCGTAGTGGTACGCGCCTGTAATCCCAGCTACTTGGGAGGCTGAGGCACAAGAATTGCTTGAACCCGGGAGGTGGAGGTTGCTGTGGGCGGAGATCTTGCCACTGCACTCTAGCCTAGGTGACAGAGCAAGACTCTGTCTCAAAAAAAAAAAAAAAGTTATACTTCCCAGCATATATCTTGGTTTTTAGAATTGGACTTTGGAACCATGTAAATATTTTCCACAGTGGTAAAACAAAATTAAATTTCTAAAAAATACATAAAACCTGAAAGCAAAATGAAACAAGTGAAATCTGTATATCCAGTTAGTGATATAACCACACAAAAAGAAGAACTATTTGAAGAAACATTAAAACTGTAATTTTTTTTTTTCAGACTGAGTTTTGCTCTTGTTGCCCGGCTGGAGTGCAATGGCCTGATCTCAGTTCACTGCAACCTCTGCCTCCCGGGTTCAAGAGATTCTCCTGTCTCAGCCTCCCAAGTAGCTGGGATTACAGGCTCATGCCACCATGCCCAGCTAATTTTTGTATTTTTAGTAGAGACGGGGTTTCATCATATTGGCCAGGCTGGTCTCAAACTTCTGACTTCAGGTGATCCGCCTGCCTTGGCCTCCCAAAGTGTTGGGATTACAGGCGTGAGCCACTGCACCCAGCTAATTTTTTTTTTTTTCTTTCTTGAGATGGAGTCTTGCTCTGTCACCCAGGCTAGAGTGCAGTGGCGTGATGTCTTCTTACTGCAACCTCCGCCTCCCGGGTTCAAGCAATTCTCCTGCCTCAGCCTCCCGAGTAACTGGGATTACAGACATGTATGTGCCATCATGCCCAGTTAATTTTTGTATTTTTAGTAGAGATGGAGTTTCGTCATGTTGGCCAGGCTGATCTCGAACTCCTGACCTCAGGTAATCCACCCGCCTTGGCCTCCCAAAGTGCTGGGATTAACAGGCGTGAGCCACTGTGCCCAGCCCAATTTATTTAGTTTTTATTTATTTATTTTTTCTTGAGACAGGGTCTCGTTGTGTCACCAAGGCTGGAGTACAGTGGCACTATCATAGCCCACTATCACTACAGCCTTGACCTCCCAGGTTCAAGCAATCCTCCCACCTCAGCCTCCTGAATAGCTGGGACCACACCACAGGTGCATGCTACCACACCTAGGTAACTGTTTTTTTTTTATTATTTTAATTTTTATTTATTTATTTTTGAGAAAGGGTCTTGTTCTGTTGTCCAGGCTGGAGTGCAGTAGCATCATCTCGGCTCACTACAACCTCTGCAAGCAATTCTCCTGCCTCAGCCTTCAGAGTAGCTGGGATTACAGGCGCATGTCACGCCACCTGGCTAATTTTTGTATTTTTAGTACAGACAGGGTTTCACCATGTTGGCCAGGCTGCTGTTGAACTCCTGATCTCAGGTGATCCACCCGCCTTGACCTCCCAAAGTGCTGGGATTACAGACATGAGCCATTGTGCCTGGCCTCAGGTAATTTTTTATTTTATTTTTTGTAGAGGGGGGGGGTCTCACCATGTTGCCCAGGCTGGTCTCAATCTCCTGGCCTCAAGCAATTCTCCTGCCTTGATGTTAGGATTACAGGCGTTAGCTGCCGTACCCCAACTCTCCTCTTGTGAAAATCAGCCTTGGATTTAGGGCTCTCCCTACTCCAGAGTGACCTCATCGTAGCCAGTTACCTCAGCAAAGACTCTCATTTCCAAATAAGGCCACATTCTTAGGTTCTGGGTGGATATGAATTTTTCGAGGACCCTATTCAACCCAATGCAGTACTCAATTACACAAAGCAAAAACAATCTCGTGGGAAACCTTTGGAAAATGCTTGGAGAGACACCCATTTTTGTAAACTAGTAAATGAAAGGATGAAGCAATTATATCCTGCTTTACCTGTATGAACTGTGGGCTGTACTTCAAGGTAAGCGGGTAGTTAACAAGAATACATTTTTCTGGCCAGGCGTGGTGGCTCATGCCTGTAATCCCAGCACTTTGGGAGGCCAAGGCGGGCGGATTGCGAGGTCAGGAAATCGAGACCATCCTGGTTAACACGGTGAAACCCCGTCTGTACTAAAAATACAAAAAAAAAGATTAGCTGGGTGTGGTGGCGGGTGCCTGTAGTCCCAGCTACTCGGGAGGCTGAGGCAGGAGAACGGCATGAACCCGGGAGGCGGAGCTTGCAGTGAGGCGAGATCACGCCACTGCACTCCAGCCTGGGCGACAGAGCGAGACTCTGTCTCAAAAAAAAAAAAAAAAAAAAAAAAAAAAAAAAAAAAAAAAAGGGAAGAGAAAGAGTGGAAGGGAACCCATGAATTTAAAAAGACTTGAGATGTAATTTTAAAAAGAGAGGAAGGCTTGAGAAATGTATCTGCCAAGTCCATCGTATGGACTTTATTTTTAAAAAGTTAACTGTAGGCTGGGTGTGGTGGCTCACACCTATAATCCCAGCACTTTGGGAGGCTGAAGTGAGAGGATCAACTGAGCCCAGGAGTTTGAGATCAGCCTAGACTACGTGGCAAAACCCCGTCTCTACCAAAAAGAAAAAAAACAATTAGGCTGGCCGCGATGGCTCATGCCTGTAATCCCAGCAGTTTGGGAGGCCGAGGTGGGGAGATCACCTGAGGTCAGGAGTTTGAGATGAGCCTGACCAACATGGTGAAACCCCATCTCTACTAAAAATACAAAAGTTAGCTGGGCGTGGTGGCGAGCGCCTGTAATCCCAGCTACTCAGGAGGCTGAGGCAGGAGAATCACTTGAACCTGGGAGGTGGAGGTTGCAGTGAGCTGAGATTGTGCCATTGCACTCCAGCCTGGGTGACAGAACAAAATCTTGTCTCAAAACAAAACAAAGGAAAGTCAACTGTGAATAAAAGCAGGGAGGAGAATTGGCAAAAATTGGAATTTGATGATTTTACGGAATTTTATTTATTTATTTATTTATTTATTTATTTATTTATTTTTGAGACGAAGTCTCTCGCTGTGTTACCAGGCTGGAGGGCAGTGGCACGATCTTGGCTCACTGCAACCTCCGCATCCTGGATTCAAGCAGTTCTCCTGCCTCAGCGTCCCAAGTAGCTGGGATTACAGGCACACACCACCACGCCCAGCTAATTTTTGTATTTTTAATAGAGACGGGGTTTCACCATTTGGCCAGGATGGTCTCGATCTCTTGACCTCGTGATCTGCCCACCTTGGCCTCCCAGAATGCTGGGATTACAGGCGTGAGCCACCGCCCCTGGCCTGGAATAATTTTTTTTTTTTTTTTGGTGCAATAATGGAATTACAGTTAAGTTTGTAAAAATAGTTTCTCTTTTAGAAATACATACTGAAGCCAGGCACCTGCCTGTAATCCTAGTACTTTGGGAGGCCGAGGCTGGCAAATCATGAGGTCAGGAGATTGAGACCATCGTGGCCAACAGAATGAAACTCCGTCTCTACTAAAAATACAAAAATTAGCTGGACGCGATGGCACATGCCTGTAGTCCCAACTACTCGGGAGGCTGAGGCAGGAGAATCGCTTGAACCCGGGAGGCGGAGGTTGCAGCGAGCCAAGATAGCGCCACTGCACTCCAGCCTGGCGAAAGAGCGAGACTCCGTCCCAAAAAAGAAATACATATTGAAATGTTTATAGCTGTTCTGTATGATATATGGAACTTACTTCCAAGTAATGACAATGTAGGAGAGTGGGTACAGATGACCCAAGATTACCCATAAATTGATAATTGTTAAATCAGATGACATATACATGGAGATTCACTACTATTCTGTCCATTTTTGCATACATTTGAAATTGTCCATAATTTATTTATTTATTTTTATTTTTTATTTATTTTTTTTTGAGACGGAGTCTCACTCTATCACCCAAGCTGGAGTGAAGTGGCACGATCTCGGCTCACTGCAAACTCCGCCTCCTGGATTCACACCATTCTCCTGCCTCAGTCTCCCCAGTAGCTGGGACTACAGGCGCCTGCCACCACGCCCGGCTAATTTTTTGTATTTTTAGTAGAGACGGGGTTTCGCCGTGTTAGCCAGGATGGTGTCAATCTCCTGACCTCGTGATCTGCCTGCCTCGGCCTCCCAAAGTGCTGGGATTACAAGCGTGAGCCACCATGCCTGGCCTGGGTCATACTATTATTTAAAAATGTTTCTAAACTGGGTGCAGTCACTTACACCTGTAGTCCCAGTACTTTGGGAGGCTGAGGCGGGAGGGGCGCTTGAGACCAGGAGTTTGAGACCAGCCTGGGCAACATGACAAGACCCCATCTGTAATAAAGATTATGAAAATTAAAAATAAATGTAAGAAGATTTTCTGTCCGTTTTCTCATTATCATATACAGGGTGAGCAGGTGCTGATTAAACTTCTATTGGAGCCGGGAGCAATGGCTCAAGACTATAATCCCAGCACTTTGGGAGGCCGAGGTGGGTGGATTACCCGCAGTCAGGAGCTCAAGACAAGCCTAGCCAACATGGTAAAACCCTGTCTCTACTAAAAATACAAAAAATTAGCTGGGCATGGTGGCACATGCCTGTAGTCCCAGCTACTCAGGAGGCTGAGGCAGGAGAATTGCTTGAACCCGGGAGGCAGAGGTTGCAGTGAGCAGAGATCGAGCCACTGCACTCCAGCCTGGGTGACAGAGCAAGACTCTGTCAAAAAAAAAAAAAAAGAAAAAGAAAAAGAAAAAAGACTTCTGTTTCGTCCACAGATTGCAAAATATTGAGGTGAGACTGAAGAAAGGATGTTTCCCAGAGTTCCTGGACTTGGAGCTATTACAGTACCTGTGTGTGACTCTAGTTGTCTCTTTTGAGGAGGAAGTGTGTTATTGGTTTTGTGTGACATTAGAATGATTGAATTATGGTGGGGTAGGAGCATTTAAAAATATTAAATGTATGGGAAGATATATGCGTGTGAGTCGTGAGATCCACCAGATGTACATGGTAGATACGGCAGGACCTGACCATTGTCCTCTAAGACCCACTCTTCTCTTCTTTAGTGATAGTAGAATTTTTAGCAGAGCCTCTATTTCCCAGCCTGCACTGCAGCTTGGAATGGTCATGTGACTATGTCTGGCCAATGGGATGTGAGAAGAAGCACAATGGCTTCCTAGAATCATCCAGAAGAAAACACTTAGCACCCTCTCTTTGTCCCCACTTTTTTTTTTTTTTTTTTTTTTTTATGAGATGGAGTCTCACTCTGTTGTCAGCCTGGAGTGCAGTGGCAGGATCTCGGCTAACTGCAATCTCCGCCTCCTAGGTTCAAGCAATTCCCCTGCCTCAGCCTCTCAAGTAGCTGGGACTACAGGCATGCACCACTATGCCTGGCTAATTTCTTGTATTTTTAGTAGAGACGGGGTTTTACCATGTTGGCCAAGATGGTCTCTATCTCCTGACCTCATGATCCTCCCACCTTGGCCTCCCAAAGTGCTGGGATTAAAGGTGTGAGCCACCGCACCTAGCCTCTTTGTCCTCTTCTAGCTCTGTTTCTCCATCCTGTTCTTGGGACTTAGATGTGCTGACTAGAGCTCCATCTTGGCCCATGAAGAAGGGGTTGGGGCACCAGGCTTCATGGAGAAGAGCTATGTACCAGCCTGGATGACTTACCTCTGGATTTTTACCTGCAAGAGAAAAAAAGCTTTAATTTTGTTTAAATTATTGCCACTGTAGGTCTCTGTCATGTGCACTAAACCTAGTCATCATAAATACAGTGGATATCTCTTGTTTCTGTCTGTCCAGCCACAGCTTCCCATTCTCTTTGGGGGACTTCCTCTACCCTATTCCATATGGTTTGGGTGGGGTGGACTGTGAGTCACTAGGTCCTTCTCTTTTCCGCAACAGGTGGGCAGGTGAACAAATCCAACCAACCAAGACTCCTCGAGTCATCAGGAATGAAAACCTGGGTGGACTGGCACAGGGACCCCTAGGCAGATTATTATTATTATTATTATTATTATTATTATTATTATTTTATTTTGAGACAGAGTTTCACTCTTGTTGCCCAGGCTGGAGTACAACGGCATGATCTCAGCTCACTGCAACCTCCACCTCCTGGGTTCAAGCGATTCTTCTGCCTCAGCCTCCTGAGTAGTTGGGATTACAGGAGCCTGCCACCACACGCAGCTAATTTTTTTGTATTTTTAGTAGAGACAGGGTTTCACCATCTTGGTCAGGCTGGTCTTGAACTCCTGACCTCAGGTGATCCACCTGCCTCAGCCTCCTAAAGTGCTGGGATTACAGGCGTGAGCCACTGTGCCTGGCCAGATTATAAACAGATTCTTATTAATCAAAGCTGTATTTATCCTGAAATATTCATTATGTATTATATTAACAAGTGCAGGAATGCAGAAGAAATACAGCTTTCAGTTTTGCCTAGACCTAAAGGTGTTCCTGACGAAGGTGATGTCAGTGCCCCCAAAATAAGATTCTTGAGGGTCTCTGAGTGGCCCTGAATTCTATCTTTTCTGAGTTCTGGTTACTCAACTTTTCCTTTGTTTTTTATTCTGTGAGCTACCTAGTATTCTTGGCTTTTGTTTTTTTTTTTTTTTTTTGAGATGGAGTTTTGCTCCGTTGCCCAGGCTGAGGTGCAGTGGCGTGATCTTGGCTTATTGCAACTTCGGCCTCCTGAGTTCAAGCAATTCTCCTGCTCAGCCTCCTGAGTAGCTAGGATTATAGGCATGCACCACCACGCACAGCTAATTTTTTATTTTTAGTAGAGATGTGTTTTCACCATGTTGGCCAGGCTGGCCTTGAACTCCTGACCTCAAGTGATCCGCCCACCTAGGCCTCCAAAAGTGCTGGGATTACAGGTGTGAGCCACCGTGCCCGGCCTAAGAGCACAAACTTGATGAACTCTGCATTGCTTGCTCTGTGATGGGCCAGGCCCAGGCCCTGCTGGCCCAGCTGGACCTATGGAGTTATCATCATCTTACATAAGAGGATCCAGGAAATAGTGGGAGGAGCTAAGAAGACAGGAATCGCATGTTATTTAAAGTTTCATTGGTAACCAAGAGGAGAACTAAAATAGAGAGATATACCACAATGAGGGGAATGCTGGTATCAGTGAGCTAAATTCTGATGTATCACAGCCAAAAGACAAGAGATAATGTGTACAATTGATCAAACAATCAGCCTATAAGACAGGGTGAGGAAAAAGAAGAACAAAAGAAACAATTGATCAAGCAATAAGAATATAAGCTAGTTTTTTTTTTTGCTTTTTTTTTTTTTTTTTTTCTGAGACAGGGTCTCACTCTGTCCCCCAGGCTGGAGTGCAGTGGTGCAATCATACCTCACTGCAGCCTCAACGTCCTGGGCTCAAGTGATCCTCCCTCCTCAGCCTCCCAAGTAGCTGGGACCACAGGCACACGCCACTATGGATGGCTAATTTTTTAATTTAGGGTAGAGATGAGGTCTTGCTATGTTGCCCAGGCTGGTCTTGAACTTCTGACCTCAAGTGATCCTCCAGAGTTGGCCTCCAAAAGTGCTGGGATTACAGGCGTGAGCCACTGTGTTGGGCTGTTTGAAAATTTTTTATTTATTACCAAATCATTGGCAAATCTCTGTGGCTCACGCCTGTAGTGCTAGCACGTTGGGAGGCCAACACTGGAGGATCACTGAGGCCAGGAATTTGAGTCCAGCATGGGCAATATAGTGAGACCCTGTCTCTACAAAAAATAAAAATATTGGCCGGGCACAGTGGCTCACGCCTGTAATCCCAGCACTTTGGGAGGCCGAGACGGGCGGATCACTTGAGGTCAGGAGTTCAAGACCGGCCTGGCTAACATGATGAAACCCCATTTCTACTGAAAATGCAAAAAATTATCCGGGCATGGTGGTGTGTGCCTGTAATCCCAGCTACTCGGGAGGCTGAGGCAGGAGAATCGCTTGAACCCAGGAGGCAGAGGTTGCGGTGAACCGAGATAGCGCCATTCCACTCCAGCTTGGACAACAAGAGCGAAACTCCGTCTAAAAAAATAAACAGGCTGGGCGTGGTGGCTCACACCTGTAATCCCAGCAATTTGGGAGGCCGAGGCAGGTGGGTCAGGAGGTCAGGAGATCGAGGCCATCCTGGCTAACACGGTGAAACCTCATCTCTACTAAAAATGCAAAAAATTAGCTGGGCGTGGTGACAGGCGCCTGTAGTCCTAGCTACTCCGGAGGCCAAGGCAGGAGAGTGGCGTGAACCCAGGAGGCAGAGCTTGCATGAGCTGAGATCGTGCCACTGCACTCCAGCCTGTGTGACAGAGAGAGACTCCATCTCAAAAAAATGAATGAATTAATTAAAATAAATAAATAAAATAAAAATAAAAATATTAGCCAGATGTAGTGGTGCATGCCTGTCGTTCTAGCTACTCAGGAGGCTGAGGCGGGAGAATCGGCTGAGCCCAGGAATTCAAGGCTGCAGTGAGCTATGATTGCACCACTGCATGCCAGCGTGGGTTACGGAGGAAGACCCTGTCTCAAAAAAAAAACAAAAAACAAAAAACAAAAAACCCGAAGTTTTTTTTAAGGTCTTTAGTATGAGTTCTTCTGTGCTAGCTGAGGTTTTAAAAATGTACACTACGTTAAACAAGTATTTAAAGTAAATAAAGTCATTTAAACTAAATGACTTTAATTAAAAAAAAAAAACAAATAACTCGCTGGGTGACGGGCTCACGCCTGTAATCCCAGCACTTTGGGAGGCAGAGACTGGCAGATCAGTTGAGGTCAGGAGTTTAAGACCAGCCTGGGCAACATGGTGAAACCCTGTCTCTACTAAAAATACAAAAATTAGCCAGACATGGTGATGGGTGCCTGTAACCCCAGCTACTCAGGAGGCTGAGACACAAGAATCGCTTGAACTTGGGAGGCAGAGGCTGCAGTGAGCCAAGATCGGGTCATTGCACTCTAGCCTGGGTGACAAGAGTGAAACTCTGTCTCAAAAAAAAAAAAAAAAAGCCGGGCGTAATGGCTCACACCTGTAATCACAGCACTTTGGGAGGCTGAGGTGGGCGGATCACTTAAGGTCAGAATGCCTGTAATCTCGGCTATCTGGAAGGCTGAGGCAGGAGAATCACTTGAACCCAGGAGGCAGAAGTTGCAGTGAGCCAAGACTGCGCCATTGCACTCCAGCCTGGGCAACAAGAGCGAAACTCCATCTCAAAAACAAAACAAAACAAAAAATAAAGTTGTTTTTTTTTTTTGAGGTCTAAAGTATGAGCTCTTCTGTACTAGCTGATGTTTTAACAATGTGCACATTGTTAAACAATCATTTAAAGTAAATTATTTATTTAAAGTCATTTAAATTAAATGACTTTAATTTTTAAAAAAATCAGGCCGGGCACAGTGGCTCACACCTGTAATCCCAGCACTTTGGGAGGCCAAGGCAGGCAGATCATGAGGTCAAGAGATCAAGACCATCCTGGCCAACATGGTGAAACACTATCTCTACTAAAAATACAAAAATTAGCCAGGTGTAATGCCTGTGATCCCAGCTACTTGGGAGGCTGAGGCAGGAGAATCGCTTGAACCCCAGGGGCAGAGGTTGTAGTGAGCCAAGATTGCACCACTGCACTGCAGCCTGGCGACAGAGTGAGACTCCGTCTCAAAAAAAAAAAAAAAAAGTACTATCTTGTTCCTCCACATCTTTACAGCACTTAGTGGACTTGCGGACTTGTAGAATGGAGAACACAAAGTTCATTCTCCTCATTGTACAGATGAGCAATGAGGAAAAAAGGCTTAATGACTTAACGATGTCACAGAGCCCATTGGTGATTAACCTGGGGCCAGGTTGGCAGCAGTAGTCGGCAGTTCCTGGGCTTCTATCCCAGTGTGCCTTCCACTATACCATGCTTCCAGTGCAAAATGTCAGCAAGGTTTACATAATTAAGAGAAAACAGTCATTTTCTTTGGGCCATCAGACACTTGTATTTGAAGGGATCCAGAACCTTCCTTGGAGTTTTTATTCTTTTCATTAAGATGGCAAATTAGGGTGGGCACAGTGGCTCACACCTGTAATCCCAGTACTTTTTGGAAGGCTAAGGCCGGAGGATCGCTTGAGTCCAGGAGTTCAAGACCAGCCTGGGCAACATAGCAAGATCCTGTCTCTACAAAAAAGTTAGCTGGGTGTGGTGGCACATGCCTGTGTTCCCGGCTACACAGGAGGCTGAGGCAGGAGGATCTGTTGAGCCCAGGAGGTTGAGGCTACAGTGAGCTATGATGGTTCCACTGCACTCCAGCCTGGGTGACAGAGTGAGACTCTAAAAACAAAAAAAAGAAGGTAAAAAGAAGGATGATAAATTATATTAACACACTATGAGAATTAGCCAGGGGTGGTGGTGTGCACTTGTAGTCCCAGCTATTAGGGACTCCATCGCTTGAGCCCAGGAGGTTGACTGCAGTGATCCAAGATCTTGCCACTGCATTGCAGCCTGAGTGATAGAGACCTTGTCTCTAAATAAATAAATAAAAGAAGAGAAGGAACTATCAACAAATATTGAATGTTAATTGGCCGGGCATGGTGGCTCACACCTGTAATCCCAGCACTTTATTTAGAGACAAGGTCTCACTCTATCACCCAGGCTGGAATGCAGTGGCAAGATCTTGGATCACTGCAGTCAAACTCCCGGGCTCAAGCGATGGAGTCCCAAATAGCTGGGACTACAAGTGCACACCACCACCCCTGGCTAATTCTCATAGTGTGTTAATATAATTTATCATCTGTCTTTTTTTTTTTTTTTTTTTGGAGTCTCTCTCTGTCACCCAGGCTGGAGTGCAGTGTTGCGATCTCGGCTCACTGCAAGCTCCGCCTCCTGGGTTCACGCCATTCTCCTGCCTCAGCCTCCCGAGTAGCTGGGACTACAGGCGCCCGCCACCACGCCTGGCTAATTTTTTGTATTTTTAGTAGAGATGGGGGTTTCACCATGTTAGCCAGGATGGTCTCGATCTCCTGACCTCGTGACCCAACCGCCTCGGCCTCCTGAAGTGCTGGGATTACAGGAGTGAGCCACCCTGCCCGGCCCTCTCAGCACTTTTGGAGGCGCAGGTGGGTGGATCACAAGGTCAGGAGTTCGAGACCAGCCTGGCTAACATGGTGAAACCCCGTCTCTATTAAAAATACAAAATAAAATTAGCCAGGCATGGTGGTGCGTGCCTGTAGTCCCAGTTACACAGGAGGCTAAGACAGGAGGATCTCTTGAACCCAGGAGGTGGAGGTTGCAGTGAGCTGAGATCGCGCCACTGCACTCCAGCCTGGGCGACAGAGCGAGACTCCATCTCAGAAAAATAAATAGATAAATAAAAATAAAATTAAAAACCTGTCTGCTGCTGAAAAGGCTGTGACCAAAGAGGAATTTCAGGGTGAATGGACAGCTCCAGCTCCTGTATTCACCGCTACTCAACCTGAGGTTGCAGACTGGTCTTACGGCATGCAGGTGCCCTCTGTGCCTATCCAGCAGTTCCCTGCTGAAGACTGGAGCAGTCATCCTGCCACGGAAGACTGGTCTGCAGCTCCCACTGCTCAGGCTGCTGAATGGGTAACAGCAACAACTGAATGGCCTTAAGGTGTTCTTGCACGGGCTCTTAAGCAACGTGGAAATAGGTTGATGGAAAATAAACATCAGTTTCTAAAAAAAAAAAAGTGCATTCTGAAGTGTTGAAGGGTAACATGCACTGATTTCTGTAACTTCTTTTGAATTGAATTTAAAAACAATGTGAATTGTTGAATGGATAAACAGATACATGGTAAACCAAGTGTAATAAAATGTTTATTGCAGAATTTGGGTTGACATACGGCTGTTCGCTGTATATTTCTTTCAACTTTTCGGTGCATTTGAAAATTTGTAGGCCGGGTACAGTGGCTCATGCCTATAAACCCAGCACTTTGAAAGGGCGAGGTGGGTGGATCACTTGAGATCAAAAGTTCGAGACCAGCCTGGCCGACATGGTGAAGCCCCGTTGCTACTAAAAATACAAAAATTAGCCAGGCATGGTGGCCTGTGCCTGTAATCCCAGCTACTAGAGAGACTGAGGCTTGAACCTGGGAGGCGGAGGTTGCAGTGAGCCGAGATCGCACCACTGCACTACAGCCTTGGGTGACAGAGTGAAATTCCATCTCAAAAAAAAAAAAAAGAAAAGAAGAAAAAGGCCGGGCACAGTGCCTCACACCTGTAATCCCAGCACTTTGGGAGGCCCAGGCGGGTGGATCACGAGGTCAGGAGATGGAGACCATCCTAGCTAACACGGTTAAACCCCGTCTCTACTAAAAATACAAAAAATTAGCTGGGCATGGTGGCGGGCGCCTGTAGTCCCAGCCACTCAGGAGGCTGAGGCAGGAGAATGGCATGAATCCAGGAGACGGAGCTTGCAGTGAGCCAAGATCGTGCCACTGCACTCCAGCCTGGGCGACAGAGTGAGACTCCATCTCAAAAAAAAAAAAAAAAATTAGCCGGGCTTGGTGGCGGGCGCCTGTAGTCCCAGCTACTCAGGAGGCTGAGGCAGGAGAATGGCATGAACCTGGGAGGCAGAGCTTGCAGTGAGCCGAGATTGCACCACTTACACTCCAGCCTGGGACAGAGCAAACCTCTGTCTCAAAAAAAAAAAAAAAAAAAAAAGGATAGTTAGCCAGGTGTAGTGGTGCACACCTGTAATCCCAGTTACTCAGGAGGCTGAGGCAGGAGAATTGCTCGACCCCAGGAGACAGAGATTGCAGTGTGTGGTGATTGCTCCACTGCACTTCAGCCTGAACGACAGAGGGACTCCATCTCAAAAAAAAAAAAAAAAAACTTGTATAATAAAATGTTAGGGCCGGGCGTGGTGGCTCATGCCTGTAATCCCAGCACTTTGGGAGACCGAGGTGGATGGATCACCTGGGGTCAGGGGTTCAAGACCAACCTGGCCAACATAGAGAAACCCTGTCTCTACTAAAAATACAAAAATTAGCTGAGCCTAGTGGCAGGTGCCTGTAATCCCAGCTACTCGGGAGGCTGAGGCAGGAGAATCGTTTGAGCCCAGGAGACGGAGGTTGCAGTGAGCTCAGATGGTGCCATTGTACTCCAGTCTGGGTGACACAGCAAGATTCTGTGTCAAAACAAAAACAAAATCAAGAGAAAGGAGAGGCAGAGGCACCAAGAATACACTTCTTGGCCGTGCAAGGTGGCTCACGCCTGTAATCCCAGCACTTTGGGAGGCTGAGGTGGGCAGATCATGAGGTCAGGAGATAGAGACCATCCTGGCTAACATGGTGAAACCCCGTCTGTACTAAAAATACAAAAAATTAGCCAGGCGTGGTGGCAGGCACCTGTAGTCCCAGCTACTCGGGAGGCTGAGGCAGGAGAATGGAGTGAACCCGGGAGGCGGAGCTTGCAGTGAGCCGAGATCGCGCCACTGCACTCCAGCCTGGGCGACAGAGAGAGACTCCGTCTCAAAAAACAACAAACAAACAAACAAACAAACAAAAGAATATACTTCTCGTTGTTATCACCTCCATGCATTGTCATCACAGGGGAGCTGGTTAACAAAAGTGGTTTGTCTTGTAACTATTCCTGGCTGTTCACACTGGTGGAAATTGACCCAGTTATAGACCCTGTGCGGGTTTATGGCCACAGTCTCCCTGCTCCGATACGGGCTGGTCATACAACAGACCCCATGACCTGGGAGGCCCCTTCTCTCTTCGGCTTTGTGGTATCTCCCATTTCTGCCTGTTGTAGCTTCTTTCTTTTGGTTTATTTCCTCCTACTGAAGCAACATATGTTCCAGCAGCTTTCTGGGATGTGGTGTGTGGGAGGTAAAACTTTTTTGAGAACTTGCCTGAAAATGTTCTTATTTTATCAGCCTAGTTGATCAATAGTTTTTGACTATGAGCAGAATTCTTGTGTGAAAACTTTTTTCCTATAGAATTTTTTTGAAGGCATTGCCACACCCTTGTAACTGCTGGGAAACCCCAAACCATTCTATTTCCTGTTTCCTTAAGCCATGTGTTTTCTCTTTGGAAGCTTGTAGGATCTTATCTGTTGCTATTCTCAAGTTTCCCAGTGATGCACTCTAGGTTGGGACTATTTCACTCACTGGGTTGGACTTTCCATCCGTAAACTGTTGTCATTAAGGTCTGGGAAATTTCCTTTCAATATTTTCATGATTGTTTTCCTCCTTTGCTTGTTCTTTGTTCTTTCTTTTTCTATTATAGGATGCATTTTTTTGTTTTTTTTGAGACTGAGTCTCACCCTATCGCCCAGGCTGGAGTGCAGTGGCTCTATCTCGGCTCACTGCAACCTCTGCCTCCCAGGTTCAAGTGATTCTTGTCGTGCCTCAGCCTCCCGAATAGATGGGATTACAGGTGCACACCACCACGCCCAGCTAATTATTATTATTATTTCAGATGGAGTCTCACTCTTGTCGCCCAGGCTGGAGTGCAATGGTGTGATCTCGGCTTACTGCAAGCTCTGCCTCCTGGGTTCAAGCGATTCTCCTGCCTCAGCCTCCACAGTAGGTGGGGTTACAGGCATGTACCACCACGCTCGGCTAATTTTGTATTTTTAATAGAAACGGGGTTTCACCATGTTGGCCAGGCTGGCCTCGAACTCTTGACCTCAGGTGATCCACCCACCTCGGCCTCCCAAAGTGCTGGGATTACAGGCGTGAGCCATCGCGCCCACCCACCCAGTCCCAGCTTTTCAACTGAGTATTTTTAATTTCTGCTAAGTTGCTTTTAATTTCCACAAATAAAAAAACACAAAAAACTTTCTAATGCTTCCTTTTTAAGTAGAACTCCCTTCTTATTCATGGATGAATAATATTATCTTATTTCTAGCCTTAAAAATAACCATTTACTGGCCGGGCATGCCGGTAATCTCAGCACTTTGGGAGGCCGAAGCGGGCAGATCACGAGGTCTGCAGTTTGAGACTAGCTTGGTCAATATGGTGAAACCCCATCTCTACTGACAAATACAAAAATTAGCCGGGTATGGTGGCGTGTACCTGTAGTCCCAGCTACTCAGGAGGCTGAGGAAGAAGAATCGCTTGAACCTGTGAGGCAGTGGTTGCAGTGAGCCGAGATCATGCCACTGTACTCCAGCATGGGTGACAAAGTGAGACTCTGTCTCAAAAAAAAAAAAATATGTATATATATGGGTCTAAATATATATAATATATATCTTATCGTTACCTAAAATATATATATAAATACATATTTATATATAAATATAATATAGGCCAAGTGCAGTGGCTCATGCCTGTAATCCCAGGACTTTGGGAGGCCGAGGCAGGTGGATCACCTGAGGTCTGGAGTACGAGACTAGCCTGGCCAACTTGGTGAAAACCCATCTCTACTAAAAATACAAAAATTAGCCAGGCATGGTGGCGGGTGCCTGTAATCCCAGCTACTCAGGAGGCTGAGGCAGAAGAATCGCTTGATCGCGGGAGGTGGAAGTTGCAGCGTGCCGAGAACACACCACTGCACTCCATCCTGGGTGACAGAGTGAGACTCCACCTCAAAAAAAAAATATATATATATATATGAATAACATATATTTATATAAATAAAATAGATATTATTTCTATAAATAAAAAAAATATTTTTTTTCCAGAGATGGGTCTTGCTATGTTGCCCAAGCTGGTTTCAAATGCCTGGACTCAAGCAATCCTCCTGCCTCGACCTCCCAAATTGCTGAGATTACAGATGTGAGCCATGGCGCCTGGCCCCATGTTGATATCTGTTTGTTTTTTTCCTCCTGCCCTGGACAGATCCCACCCTCCACCCTCCTCCCCAGTGGGAAACCATCAGCATGGAACCACGAAGGAAGGGATTGGGGAGGCTCAAGCTTCAGCCTACTAAATCTCTGTTTTTATGTTTTGTTTTCCAGGCCCTATGCCTGGTCCTAAGGCCGAATACCCTCTGTTTCATTCTCTCTAGAGGGGAATCATGTCTTTTCTAAGTGAAGGTGAGGGCAGCCTCCTTGCGGAGTGCATAACAGGTGGCCATGCAGGTCTCCTGCTGCTTCTCAGCTTTCATCCCGTCTTCCTTATCCTACTCTCCCCTTACTCCCAGTTCCATAAGGCCAGGGTGCCATCAATCCCAGCTCTTAAGTGATTCTTTGAAGTAAATCTGTTTTTTTTTTTTTTGAGATGGAGTTTCGCTCTTGTCGCCCAGGCTGTAGTGCAATGGCACGATCTTAGCTCACTGCAACCTCCGCCTCCTGGGTTCAAGCGATTCTCCTGCCTCAGCCTCCCAAGTAGCTGGGATTACAGGCGCCTGCCACGACACCCAGCTAATTTTTGTATTTTTAGTAGAGATGGGGTTTCACCATGTTGAACACGCTGGTCTCGAACTCCTGACTTCAGGTGATCCGCCCGCCTTGGCCTCCCAAAGTGCTGGGATAACAGGCATGAGCCACTGGGCCCAGCCTAGGTCTGGTGTTGACCTGCCCTTCCCACTGCCAGTGTAGGTGGCTAAGTCAGTTACAACCATTCTGTCCACACATTCCTTCTTTCTTATTCCCTCTCTTCTAGGTTTCTGCCTTTTTTTTCAAAAGTCCCCTTTCTGGAGTTCTAGTGGAATGTTGGGTAGAAGTGAAATTAGACACTTACATCCAATCTGTCATCTTAACCTGGAAATGAATACTATATGTTCATTGCCCATTATGTGTCTGCCCCACTAGAATGTAGGTTTTAGAATGCAGAATAGCAGGGATCTCTTTCGTTCATTTCACATTCTAACATCTAGGCAGCCAGTGGAGTGGAATGAATGAATGGCCTTGAGTGGAGGACCTAGGCAGGGTGTATGATTGCATCCTTAGCATAACACATTTAGAAACACACATGGTTGCCAGGGGCGATGGCTCACACCTGTAATCCCAGCACTTTGGGAGGCCCGAGGTTGGCAGATCACTTGAGGTTAGCGGCTCGAGACCAGCCTGGCCAACATGGTGAAACCCTGTCTCTACTAAAAATACAAAAATTACCTGGGTGTGGTGGTGCATGACTGTAATCCCAGCTACTTGGGAGTTGCAGTGAGCTGAGATCGAGCCACTCCACTCCAGCTTGGGTGACATAGTGAACCTCCATCTTAAAAAAAAAAAAGAAGAAGAAGAAGAAGAAAAGAAACACACGTGGTCTAATCGAGTATTATTTGAGTTGATGAATTTTTTTTTTGAGATGGAGTTTTGCTCTTGTCGCCCAGGCTGGATGGCACGATGTTGGCTCACTGCAATCTCCACGTCCCAGGTTCTAGCAATTCTCCTGCCTCAGCCTCCTAAGTAGCTGAGATTACAGGCACCCACCACCACACCCATCTAATTTTTGTATTTTTAGAAGAGACGGGGGTTTCACCATGTTGGCCAGGCTGGTCTTGAACTCCTGACCCTAGTGATCCACCCTCCTCAGCCTCCCAAAGTGCTGGGATTACAGGTGTGAGCCACCGTGCCCAGCCGCATTTATTAATTGTAATTTAAGCTGCACACAGTGGCTCATGCCTGTAATCTCAGCAGTTTGGGAAGCTGAGGCCGGCAGATCACTGGAGCCCAGAAGTTGAAGACCAGCCTGGGCAACATAGCAAAAAATATACAAAATTACATACAAAAATTATCCTTGTGTGGTAAGGTGCACCTGTGGTCCCAGCTACTCGGGAGGATCCCCGAGCCCAGGAGATAGAGGTTGCAGTGAGCTGTGATTATGCCACTACACTCCAGCCTGGGTGACAAAGGCAGACCCTGTCTCAAAAAACCCCACAATTTTAAAAAATTTAACTTTGTGGATCATTTGTTGCCATGGGGAACATTCCAAGCAGATACTCAAGCCTAAACTTGGACAACTGTTCTCACTCAGTTTTAAATTAACTGATTTTCATATGTGGGTTGTACATTAATTTAATTAACTTAATTTTTTTTGAGACAGGGTGTCCCTGTCACCCAGGCTGGAATGCAGTAGCTCGATCACAACTCACTACAGCTTCGACCTTCTGGGCTCAGGAGATCCTCCTGCTTTGGCCTCCCAAGTGGCTGGGACAACAGGTGCATGCTACCATGCCTGGCTAATTTTTATAGAGATGGGGGTCTTGCTGTGTTGCCCAATCTGGTCTTTAACTCCCGGCTTCAAGCAATCCTCCCACCTCAGCCTTCCAAAGTGCTGTGATTACAGGAATTAACCACCGTGCCTGGCATATTTATTTTTATTTTTGGAGATGGAGTCTCGCTCTGTCGCCCAGACTGGAGGGTGGAGTGCAGTAGTACAAAAAAAAAAAAAAAAGTTCCAATAGCAGACTGGGCAACATGGGGAAACTCCATTTCTACCAAAAATAGAAAAATTAGCCAGGTATGGTGGCACCTGCCTGTAGTCCCAGCAACTTGGGAGGCTGAGGTGGGAGGATCGCTAGAGCCCAGGAGTTCGGGACCAGACTGGGCGACATAGTGAGATCCTGCCTCTATTTTATAAAAAAGAAAAAAAAGTCACACCGACTCTGTATGATTTCTTGATTTTGCTTACAAAACGTTCATTATGCATATCAAAAGATAACTAAGAGGAAATATACCAAAATATTTGCACTTTCACCGTCTAATGGCCATTATCTCCAGAACCTGGTACAAAGCACGAGGCATAGCACTAAATACATTAAAAACAAGTAACAGAAAATGCATATGCGACAGAGGAGAACATGCAACACTTTTTTTTTTTTTTTTTTTTTTTTTGCTGTGTCGCCCAGGCTGGAGTGCAGTGGCCAGATTTCGGCTCAATGCCACCTCCACCTCCCCGGTACAAGCGATTCTCGTGCCTCAGCCTCCCGGGTAGCTGGGACTACAGGCATCCACCTCCATGTCCGGTTAATTTTTTGTATTTTTAGTAGAAATGGGGATTCGCCATGTTGGCCAGGCTGATCTAGAACTCCTGACCTCAGGTGATCCACCCACCTTGGCTTCACAACGTGCTGGGATTACAGGTGTGAGCCACCACACCTGGCCGGCAACACATTTTTTTTGGCTGAATGGACATGGTTATTGCTGAGTAAACGTATGGTGTATGATTTTATTCTTCCTTATAGTTTTAGATTCCGAATTTTCTAAAAGGACCTAATGTCATTGCAGATAGTTATCACATAAAGATAATGAAACAGGGGGAGTCAATGCCCTCCAATGGCCTCAAGCAGGAGTTAGTGACAAGGAACATGGCTCCTGCAACCACAGGTTCCTTTTTTTTTTTTTTTTTAAGACGGAGTCTCACTCTGTCTCCTAGGCTGGAGTGCAGTGGCGCAATCTCAGCTCACTGCAACCTCCGTGTCCTCGGTTCAAGCGAGTCTCCTGTCTCAGCCGCCCTAGTAGCTGGGATTACAGGCGCCTGCCACCACATCCAGCTAACTTTTGTATTTTTTTAGTAGAGATGGGGTTTCACCATGTTGGTGAGGCTGGTCTCAAACTCCTGAACTTGTGATCCACCCACCTGGGCCGCCCAACCAAAGTGCTGGGATGACAGACGTGAGCCACTGCGCCCAGCCACCACAGGTTCCTCTTTTTTTTTTTTTTTTTTGAGACGGGGTCTCGCTCTGACTCCAGGCTGGAGTGCAGTGGCGCCATCTGGGCTCACTGAAACCACCGCCTCCCAGGTTCAAGAGATTCTCCTGCCTCAGGCTCCTGAGTAGCTGGAACTACAGGCGCGCGCCTCCACGCCCTGCTAATCTAATTTTTGTATTTTTAGTAGAGACGGGGTTTCACCATGTTGGCCAGGATGGTCTCGATCTCTTGACCTTGTGATCCGCCCTCCTCGGCCTCCCAAAGTGCTGGGTTTACAGGCTTGAGCCACCGCGCCCTGTCTGACAGGTTCCTCGTTTTTGTTTTTGTTTTTTTTTTTGAGACGGAGTTTCGCTCTTGTCGCCCAGGCTGGAGTGCAATAGCAGGATCTCGGCTCACTGCAACCACTGCCTCCCGGGTTGAAGTGATTCACCTGCCTCAGCCTCCTGAGTAGCTGGGATTACAGGCGCCCACCACCACGCCCCGTTAATTTTTTGTATTTTTATTAGAGACAGTGTTTCACCATGTTGGCCAGGCTGGTCTTGAACTCGTGACCTCAGGTGATCCGCCCGCCTCAGCCTCCCAAAGTGTTGGGATTACGGACGTGAGCCACCGCGCCGAGCTGACAGGTTCCTCTTAAAGCCCTGAGTCCCAGGGAAGGGACCTGCAGGCCCGGCCACGCCCAGGCCGCTTTAGCGCGCCAAGATGGCGGCTGCCACGCCCCGCGGCCGGAGCCGAGTGGGCCCGAGCGCTTCCGAGCATTCCCGAAGTCCAGAGAAACTCCGGGAGCGGCGCGGGCGGGAGCGGCGCGGGCGGGAGCGGCCCCGCCCGGAACCTGGGAGCGGCGGCGCCGGCGCGGGGGAGGGGAGGCCGGATGTGAGTGGAGCGGCCATTTCCTGTTTCTCTGCAGTTTTCCTCAGCTTTGGGTGGTGGCCGCTGCCGGGCATCGGCTTCCAGTCCGCGGAGGGCGAGGCGGCGTGGACAGCGGCCCCGGCACCCAGCGCCCCGCCGCCCGCAAGCCGCGCGCCCGTCCGCCGCGCCCCGAGCCCGCCGCTTCCTATCTCAGCGCCCTGCCGCCGCCGCCGCGGCCCAGCGAGCGGCCCTGATGCAGGCCATCAAGTGTGTGGTGGTGGGAGACGGGTGAGTGCGCGGCCGGGGCCGGGCTGGAGGCCGCGGGATCGGGCGCGGAGGGGGGTTGGGCCCGGACTGGGGCCCAGGCAGGCCGGCGTCCGCCGCGGTCTCGCGTAGGCGGTGGGCCTGGGCCTGTGTCGCGGGGCGGGGGCCGCGGGCGGGCGCCCCCACCGGACCCTGACGGCCCGGGCGGCGCGTGCCTGGTTCCGGCTCTCGATGGAGGAGGGCCTCGCCGCTCGCCGGCTAGAGGGAAAAGTGAACTCCACCCTCCGGCTTTCTTCCCGGACGCCGCCCGCCGCCCTCCTCGGGAGCGCTCGTAGAGCAAGCGCTCTTGGAGATTTTGACCATTTTTCCAAAAAGGGACCCTTTATTTTTTTTGCATGAACCTCTCGATCCCCTTTTGAGAATTGGGTTGGGAACGCGGCGGTCAAGTCGATCATATTTGATGCATGCTTGATTGTACGGGCCGCTTTGGTGCCCCCAAACTTTTCTTTAAAAAAATTTTTTTTTCATAGACGGGGTCTCGCTGTGTTGCCCAGGCCGGTCTCGAACTCCTGGGTTCAAGCAATCCTCCCATCCCAGCCTCCAAAATGCTGGGATTACAGGCGTGTGCCACCACGCCTGGCTAATCTTTAAAAGTTTTTTGTAGAAATGGGGTCTCACTGTGTTGTCCAGGCTGGTCTCGAATTCCTGCGCTCAAGTGATTCTCCTGCCTCTCAGCCTCCAAAAGCGCTGGGGTGACACCGCGCCCGGCCTCTCAACTTATTTTCGACAGGTTTTTTGACTTACACTTCTGCCACTGTTAGGATTCTTAAAATTGTTTTCGCCCTTTCCGTGGAGAAAGTTTTGAAGATGCTGGCTGGGAGGAGCCGGCTGTAATGGGGGACTGTTTTTTCTTTTCTTTCTTTCTTTTTTTTTTTTAAACAACGTGGTGTGGTCATTGACAAAAAAACTGTTCTTTGCTTAACGCGTTAGGTATGGGATGTAGCAGAACTGGCCCCCTGTGACTCCAGGCATTGCTTTTCATGATTGTCCGTGATGGTTACAGGCCCTAGAGGAAGACAAAACTTGTCTTATGCAGTTTTTTTCTCCCATAGAAACAAGAATCTCAGTGTAACCCGAGCAAAATCGCGCGTCTCAGCGTTGCTTGTATAGGTTAGTGTTAGCGAGGAAGAATTACTACCAGTTTAATCAAACTCAATGCAACTGGTACATGTTGCAGTAAAGTCCAAGGAAAGTTCTGGCATCACGGTTAACTGGATTGATATTCTTCAAACTTATCATTAGGACAGATTTTGGTTCTTGCAATTCAGATGCAAGAAGGATAATTAGACAGCTGATTTTTGTAAGATGCCCATCTGTCGGATTTGTCTTGGAAGTGTGAAGGAGTATTAGAGTATGTAGGCTATTCAGGCTTTTTTTTTTTTTTTTTTTTTTTTGAGACGGAGTTTCACTCTGTTGCCCAGGCTGGAGTGCAGTGGCACGATTTCGGCTCACTACAACCTCCGCCTCCCAGGTTCAAGCGATCCTCCTGCCTCAGTGTCCTTAGTAGCTGGGATTACAGGCACGCGCCACCGTGTCCGGCTAATTTTTGTATTTTTTAGTAGAGACGGGGTTTCACCATGTTGGCCTGGCTGGTCTCGAATTCCTGACCTCAGGTGATCCACCCGCCTGGGTCTCCCAGAGTGTTGGGATTACAGGCGTAAGCCACGGCGCCCGGCCCAATTTTTTTTTTTTTTCTTTTCTTTTTTTTTTTTTTGAGACGGGGTCTCACTCTGTCGCCCAGGCTGGAGTGCAATGGCGCGATCTCTGCTCCTGCAACCTCTGCCTCCCGGGTTCAAGCGATTCTCGTGCCTTAGTCTCCCAAGTAGCTGGGATTACAGGCGCAAGCCACCATGCCCAGCTAATTTGTTTTTTTTTTTTTTTTTTGTATTTTTTTGGTGGAGACGGAGTTTCACCATGTTGGTGAGGCTGGTCTCAAACTCCTGACCCTCAAGTGATCCGCCCGCCTCGGCCTGTTTTTTTTTTTTTTTTTTTTTAAGTCATATTGCTGATAATTATTTGAAAATTTCTAAAACTAAAACATAAGCATAGCAGATACGTTTATTTAATACTAACCGATTGTGGACCTCTGCTGTTTGAATTGGCTGTTTTATCTAGTCAAATAACTTGTTGAATGTCATGGAATCTGGACCGTCCCTTCAAATCCCCACCCCACCGCTTACATGGGGTAACCCTAAGCACATCCCCCACCTCCCAAGAGAGGCGGTTCAATGGGAGGTCAACAAGACTAAACAAGATGTTGGTTATTAACTACCTCGCAGGTGCCCCTTGCTGAATGCTTAGTAAATGCCAGGTACTGTTATTGCGGTTTCTACTACTGAGACTCTGTGAGGGAGTATTAGGCTTAAAAGTCTGTGGCCTTGAGTTTTCAGTCTGTTTTTTTTTTTTAATTAGTTATGAGCATTTGAACAAGCACAGTTATTTTTTAATACTATGTTTAGTATTGATGTTGACTACAGCTAAGTGATATTAGAAGTGAAATGTACCTGGCCAGGTCAGGTGGCTCACACCTGTAACCCAGCATTTTGGGAGGCCAAGGTGGGTGGATCACTAGAGCTTAGGAGTTCAAGACCAGCCTGGGCAACATGGCGAGACCCTGTCTCTGCTAAAAATACAAAAATTAGCTAGGTGTAGACACATGTGCCTGTAGTCCCAGCTACTCGGGAGGCTAAGGTGGGAGGATCGCTTGAAACCCAGGAGGTGGAGGTTGTAGTGAGCTGAGATTGTGCCATTGCACTCCAGCCCGTGCGACAGAGTGAGACCTTGTCTCAAAAAAGCAAAAACAAAAACTATTAGAGATACGTCTTTGGCCGGGCACGGTAGCTCAAGCCTGTAATCCCAGCACTTTGGGAGGCCGAGGTGGGCGGTTCACCTGAGGTCAGGAGTTTGAGACCAGTCTGGCCAATATGGCGAAACCTCGTCTCTACTAAAAATAGAAAAATTAGCTGGGCACGCCTGTAATCCTAGCTATTCAGGAGGTTGAGGCAGGAGAATCGCTTGAACTTGGGAGGTGGAGGTTGCAGTGAGCCAAGATTGTACCATTGCACTCCAGCTTGGGTGACAGAGGGAAACTGTCTTTTTTTGTTTGTTTGTTTTTAAAGGAGATACATCTTCATCTGTTCCTGCTTTGACCCTTTGCCTGGACCATGGCAGTGTCCTTTCAGGCTGTACGTCCCTCCATCCTGCCCTCCTGTGCCTCTGCTTACACTGGGCTCTTAAGGAAACTCCTGCTCCTTGTCTCATCATCCCTAGGGATGGTTCTGTCTTATCATTTCTAGAATTGGATGCCTTGCCATCTTGTTTGCTCCTTAACTCTGCATACAGGGCTGTGTAAATAATTCCTTCATGAAAATCTCTATTTCAATCTTCTGGGATGAGTTTTTTCCTTCTGGGACCCTGACTGATAGAGACTGATAATACACCCGTATGAAAATATGTCTGCCAGGTGCGGTGGCTCATGCCTGTAATCTCAGCACTTTGGGAGGCCGAGGCAGGCGGATCACCTGAGGTCAGGAGCTCGAGACCAGCCTGGCCAACATGGCAAAACCCTGTCTCTACTAAAAGTACAAAAATTAGCCGGGCGTGGTGGTGGGCGCCTGTAATCCCAGCTACTCAGGATGCTGAGGCAGGAGAATCACTTGAACCCGGAAGGCGGAAGTTGCAGTGAGCTGAGATTGTGTCACTGCACTCCAGCCTGGGCGACAAGAGCAAGGCTCTGTCTTGAAAAAAAAAGAAAAAAAGTCAGAAATAATTTGCAAAGCATGTTAGAAAATTCTAGATTTCCTGAATAGCAATTTAATTGAGATTGGCCAAGAAATATTACATAGGGTTGATACTCTTTTATTCTAAGATAGTCCTTTCTGAGCATGGGGTCTATAATTTTTTTTTCCTCCACCTTACTGCTGCCCCACCTTTTAACTTTCACTTAGTGGACCTTTGCCCCAAGATTTTCTCTCAGCTTTTCCTAGGTAAGACAGCATCACCCGGGCGCGATGGCTCATGCCTGTAATCCCAGAACTTTGGGAGGCCAAGGCAGGCGGATTGCCTGAAGTCAGGAGTTCGAGACCAGTCTGGCCAATATGGTGAAACCCTGTCTCTACTAAAAATACAAAAAAATTAGCCAAGGATGGTGGGGGGCGCCTGTAATCCTAGCTACTCGGGAGGCTGAGGCAGGGGAATTGTTTGAATCAAGGGAGGTGGAAGTTGCAGTGAGCCAATATCGTGCCACTGCACTCCAGCCTGGGTAACAGAGTGAGACTCCGTCTCAAAAAGGAAAAAAAAGACAGCATCTTACATTCAGGTATTTATAAACAACTTTTATTATTTATTTGTTTTTATTTTATATTGGCTCACTGCAGCCTCCACCTCCTGGGTTCAAGTGATTCTCCTGCGTCAGCCTCCCAAGTAGCTGGAACTACACGTGCCTGCTACCATGCCGAGGTAATTTTTTTTTTTTTTTTTTTTTTGAGAAGGAGTTTTCGCCCTTTTTGCAAAGGTTGGAGTGCAGTGGTGCGATCTCGGCTCACTGCAACCTCCTCCTCCTGGGTTCAAGCGATTCTCCTGCCTCAGCTTGTCGAGTAGGTGGGATTACAGTCACGCTCCACCACACTGACTAATTTCGTATTTTTAATAGAGACGAGGTTTCTCCTTGTTAGCCAGGTTGGTCTCAAACGCCTGACCTCAGGTTATCCACCTGCCTTAGCCTCTCAAAAAGTACTGGGATTACAGGCATGAGCCACTACGCCTGGCAATTTTTTGTATTTTTAATAGAGACAGGGTTTCACCATGTTGACCAGGTTGGTTTCGAACTCCTGACCTTAGGCGATCTGCCCGCCTTGGCCTCCCAAAGTGCTGGGATTATGGGCGTGAGCCATCGTCCCTGGCCTAAACAACAGTTTTATTATTTTATTTTTTATTTTTTTATTGCTTATTACTATTTTTTGAGATGGAGTCTCGCTCTGTCACCCAGGCCGGGGTGCAGTGGCATGATATGGGCTCATGGCAACCTCTGCCTCCTGGGTTCAAGCAGTTCTCCTGCTTTGGCCTCCCAAAGTGATGGAATTACAGGCCCGAGCCACTGCGCCCGGCCACAACTATTTTAATAGTGTTGTTTTGGTGTTGGTTGATTAAAGGAATGGGAACGAATGACTTGAAGCCCTCTCTGTTTCACTCTTTATACAAAGTGGAGTCCAGATTGGGCTAGTGGCCTGTCTAGCCCAATGTCTGACTTGGACATACATTACTGTCCAGGAGTTTCTTAGCTGAATGTGAAAAATGCCTTCCGTGACATCATCCTTACAGGAACATTCTTTACATTTATTCTTTACTTCTGTTGAACGGTGGTGGCGTGAACCATGAATTTGTTTAAGCTTTTCAGCTGTTTTGTGTGTTTTCCTCTCAAGGCATGGGGTTTCATATTTTTGACCTGTGGTAAAGGTATTTGAATTCTGCACTGGCCTCCAAATGTAGGTGTAGTATATGGCTCTGATCTTTGTTGATGATTTTATACATAATGTGGTTTTTTTTCTTGATAAGCCAAAAAAATTATACATAATGTGTGTGTGTGTGTGTGTTTTAATTTCAAATGATAGTTACAGTAAAAGTTTGGAGTTGGGCTAAGTGGGAGGAGCATCAGGAAGCCATTTTTAGAAACCTTAAATTCACCCTTTATAACTTTCTGTCTTTTTGCATTAGTCATCTGATACCTTAGTACTGCCTACTTTTTCACATCTCCATCACTACGTAGCTCTTAAAATTGTAGTCTTCCTTGAAAGGAGATGTTTTTGTCAAGAGTCTTTGCCACCAAGGCAGGATTGCATGTGATCAGTAGGAATATTTTCCTGCAATGTCTTAATATGAAAAATTTCAAACAGACTAGTGGAAAGCATTGTACAGTCAACATGCACATACCCATGGCCTGGATTCTATGACAGTATTTTGCTCTACTTGTTCATTTTGCTGTATTTGCTTTATCATGTCTTCCTGTTATCAGAGGGAACCTTTTAAGAGGATTTATAGAGGAGTTGATTTTGTTTTTTGTTTTGTTTTGTTTTGCTCTTTTTGAGGTGGAGTCTTGCTCTGTTGCCCAGGCTGGAGTGCAATGGCATGATCTCTGCTCACTGCAATCTCCGCATCCCAGGTTCAGGCGATTCTCCTGCCTCAGCCTCCTGAGTAGCTGGGCTTACAGGCACCCACCACCATGCCTGGCTAATTTTTGTATTCTTAGTTGAGACAGGTTTCACCATCTTGGCCAGGCTGGTCTGGAACTCCTGACCTCAGGTGATCCACCTGCCTCGGCCTCCCAAAGTGATGGGATTACAGGCGTCAGCCACCATGCCCGGCCTGATTTTGAAAAAGAATAGGGACTGTGTGCAGTTACATATAAATTCTTATTTTTGAACTCTTGTGTGTTCAGCTGGCTTGTATCAACTACACCAGGGTTAGCCTTGATTCTGGAAGGGTGGATTCAGACTTCAGCTCAGTTGTACATAGTGTCTTCAGCCTAAGTGAGAAACTTTATGCACTATCTTAATTTTTTGAAGCTTCTAGTGGTAATAATTGCTGGCTTTTTTTTTTTTTTTTTGGTAGAAACAGAGTCTTGCTCTGTCGCCAGGCTGGAGTGCAGTGGCACGAAATCAGCTCACTGCAACCTCTGCCTCCCAGGTTCAAGCAATTCTCCTGCCTCAGCCTCCTGAGTAGCTGAGATTACAGGCGTGTGCCACCACACCCAGCTAATTTCTTTTGTATTTTAGTAGAGACGGGGTTTCACTGTGCTGCCCAGGCTGGTCTTGAACTCCTAAGGTCAGACAGTCCGCCCACCTTGCCCTCCTAAAGTGCTAGGATTACAGGCATGAGCCACCGTGCCTGGCTTATGGCTAGCTTTCTTTACATTGATTGTGAAGTCAGATATTGGTAGTAGAACATCATAATTTTAGATTGGGTTTTGTGTTTATTTAGCACTGCACTACTCTAGTGGTGTATTTTTCTGGACAGATTTTATCTGCATAGTTAACGCAGTTATATATAAGGCCTACCGTTACAGAATCCCCATACCTTGTTTGTCAGTGTAAATCGAGGACCTTCATGCGAGGTCTTTAATTTATTCAATAAGTAGGAATATATATTTGACAGTTACTAAATTCTACTGCCTTGTCCTTAAGATCTACATACTTTTTTTTGTTTTTTGAGTCAGAGAGTCTCGCTCTGTTGCTCAGGCTGGAGTGCAGTGATGCGATCTCAGCTCACTGCAACCTCTACCCCGTGGCCTCAAGCGATACTTCTGCCTCAGCCTCCTGAGTAGCTGGGATTACAGGCGCCTGCCACCACACTCAGCTAATTTTTTGTATTTTTAATAGAGATGCAGTTTCGCTGTGTTGGTCAGTCTGGTCTCGAACTCCTGGCCTGAAGTGATCCACCCGCCTTGGCCTCTTGCTGGGATTACAGGGAAGAGCCACTGCGCCTGGCCAAGATCTACTCACTTTTAGACAGCAATATATGCTCTGTATTTTGGTTTGCAATTGTAATTGTCATTGGAAGAGTTTGGCTTTTCTGTCCTGAGATCAACGTGTCTTTAAAAGAAGGCAGTGCAGAAAGTTGTTATTTTTTGAGCTTCTTGGATCTTTTATTTTTTTAACGTGAGGAAATTCCTAGCGTTTCTAGATTTGTTGATTGTGCTTTTAAGTTTTGGTTTATAGATTTCAGGAAGTAACACTAAAGTTTACCCTACTCTCCTCAAAAAGTAAGTAAAAAGTTCTCTTGGCTGGGCGTGGTGGCTCACGCCTGTAACCCCAGCACTTTGGGAGGCCGATGGGGTGGATCTCCTGAGGTCAGGAATTCGAGACCAGTCTGGCCAACATGGCAAAACCCTGTCTCTACTGAAAATACAACAACAAAAAAAAATTAGCTGGATGTGGTGGTGCTTACGTGTAGTCCCAGCTACTTGGGAGGCTGAGGCAGGAGAATTGTTCGAACCCAGCAGGCAGAGGTTGTGGTAAGCCAGGATTGCACCATTGGGCTCCAGCCTGGAAGACAGAGCCAAGACTCCGTCTTAAAGTTCTCTTAATGGAAAAATGAAGAACATAATAGCAACATAAGTTATTTGCTTTCATTGTGGTTATTTCTACAGGACAGGGCAGGGGAAGCACAGATAGGTTAAAAAAAATTGTAGCATCATGAGCTAGGGGGAAATCCAATGTAGAAATGGCATGAACTTTCTTCCAGCCGACTCATGTTCGTTTCCTAGAGTGATGACATTGCTCGATGATTGAAAAGAGGTTGAACTGAGCAGTTAATTATATAAAGTTAGAAATTCCAAAGAAGTAGTAACTACCAGAAATTCTCCAGCAGTATCAGTCAAGACTTGTGGCCAAATACGGCTTCCATTCTTCATGAGGGAAAGGCCATGGAAAGGCTGTCACATTGCCCAGTGCAGATGTTGACTTGGTTTGTGGAAGCGCAGCGTGGACAAGGAATGAATATACACTAATAGGAGTGGAATAACCTTTTTCTTTTACCTATTTGAATAAATTAAGTAAAAGTTTTAATCAGAAGACTTAAAGAGGAGTCGATTTTATCTTTTGATTGCACTAAGCTTAAATATAAGGTTGCACTTTAAGAATTCTGTAGTTTAATAATCATATTCTTATAAGACATAGATTTGTAACAAATAGTGATTGGTAATAAAATTTCAGTCAGTATCAGATTATGCCAGTACCTTGAATTTCTTCCCGGTTGAGCCTTTCTCAGCTAAAGATGTCATTCAGGAAAGGAAGTTTAGAGGATTTTAGACACAGCTGGTTGCCTTTATATTAGTAGTTTTGTTCCTCATATACATAGAGACTTAGGACAGAATAGTAAAAGAAGTGATAATGACATTTTATCATAACAGTCAAAACCTTCATAGCAGCTTATCCTTGACACTGAGTGGCAACTATTGTTAAGGTTTTTACACAACCTTTATCTTTTTTTTTTTTTTTTTTTTTTTTTTTTTTTTTTTGAGACGGAGTTTTGCTCTTGTTGCCCAGGCTGGAGTGCAATGGCGCAATCTCGGCTCACTGCAACTTCCGCCTCCCGGGTTCAAGCGACTCTCCTGCTTCAGCCTCCCGAGTAGCTGGGATTACAGGCATGCACGCCCGGCTAATTTTGTATTTTTAGTAGAGAGGGGTTTCTCCATGTTGGTCAGGCTCTTCTCGAATTCCTGACCTCAGGTGATCCGCCCGCCTTGGCCTCCCAAAGTGCTGGGATTACATGTGTGAGCCACCGAGCCCAGCCAACCTTTATCATTTTTAAAAAGGTCCCTTAGAGCCTTAGGCTCCACTTTCTTCCTCAGCTGCCACATCCAAACCATGGGTAAGCGATGCTTGATCTGCCTCCAAGTTCAAGCAGTCCAGGAAACAGCCCACTTATGTTCACTGTCCAGTCCCCATTCTTGGTCCAGGCCACCATGGATGGCTCCTGGACTGTAGCAACAGCTTCCATGTGTGTCTGCCTTGACTGAGTCCCTGGCGTCCTCAGGCTTCCTGCCACACTGCAGTTGGAGGCTTCTTCTAAAATCCAGTGCTTTCTGGGCAATTTAAAACCTGTGACTTTCCAAGTAGGATCTAGTCCCCATGTCCTTAACAAGAAGAGGTAACGTATTTCCCTATGCCACTGCCCACTTATTTTTTTATTGTTGAGATGGGATCGTGCTTTGTCACCTAGGCTGGGTGGAGTGGTGTGATCACAGCTCACTGCTGCCCTGAATTCCTGGGCTGAAGGGATCCTCTTGCTTCAGCCTCCTGAGTAGCTGGGACTACAGGCAAGAGCCACCACTTATTTTTGAATTTTTTGTGGAAACAAGGTCTCCCTATGTTGCCCAGGCTGGTCTTGAACTCCTGGGCTCAGCGATCCTCCCACCTCAGGCCCCTGTGCTGGGATTATAGCCTCCTGTGCTGGGATTACAGGCCTAAGCCACTGCACCAGGCTTTTATTTTTTAATTTAAAAAAATTTATTTTTTTGAGACAGGGTCTCACTTTGTCCCTCAGACTGGATGCACTGGTGCAATCTTGTTTCACTGCAGCCTTGACCTCCCTCCTGGGTTCAAGTGATCCTCGTGCCTCAGCCCCCCAAGTAGCTGAGACTACTGCTGCACACCGCCACACCCACCTAATTTTTGTATTTTTAGTAGAGAACGGGTTTCTCCATGTTGGCCCAGCTGGTCTTGAACTCCTGGGCTCAAGCGATCCACCCACCTCAGCCTCCCAAAGTGCTAGGATTACAGGCATGAGCCACCATGCCTGGCCTAAAAATATTTTTTTCAGCTCTAGAAATGTTAGCTCTTTTGCTGTACATTTCCAGAGCTGCTTTAATAATGACAGTTATCACACGCATAATTTCATGTGATGATTGCATTCTTAATTTTTAAATTTAACAACTGCACTTACTTCATGAGGTCTTGTTCATTGATACATCTTTAGCACCTAGTGTGCTTCTGGTGTAGCACACGGTTGATATAAATTGAAATTGAATTAATGCTCACAGTAGTTTGGGGATGGAGCTGGTAGTTCTGCATTAATTTTGCAGGTGAAAAAAAAAGGCATGAGGAAGTTGAAACTTGCCAAAAAATACAGCCAGTACGTGCTAGAATTGGCCCTGGGTCTCAAATCTGGGCTTCTGACTCCAAAGCTTAGGCTCCTGCTCATACAGGTTTATTTTCACATTCTAAGCTTTTAACGAAATGTATGTCCAATGAGTCATTTCTGTTTAGAAAGCCTTTAGGAGTTGGAAGCTACTTCCTGGTGATGTAATGTTTGACTCTCTAAAGTCTTTGGAATGGGGAGTTCCAACTTTTGTTAAGCCCTCAATAATGTCATGAGTGAATGAATATTGGCAAGACTGGCTGGGCCTGTAATCTGCCTTGAGTGTGAGGGAAAATGGAAAAGCGCTTAACTTTATGGTGAATTCTAATTTATAGTAGTTGAGATTGAACGACAAAAATCTTAAAATTATGATGCTGATGTGTCATTGTGACCTTGGTAAACTGACAGCACAGCAGAGAGAAGGGCTCATTAAGGAGAGCACTTGGCTAACTGAACCCTCAGGATGCCAGAGACTTGAATTCTCATGTAAGCCCTTAAGCTTGCCTTGTCAATGCTGTAAAAATTGGAGACCTTTATGTTTTGCTAATGATGTGGTGACCTTAGTTATTAGGTGATAGCCTCTTGAAAAACATTCCAGGTGGTTGGGAGACTTTCAGCCACCACTCTTCTGCCTGGCGGCACACTGGTAATATTAGGATTAGTCTCTACCCATTGCCAGTTGTGCAGGTGGTGCTCCTTTCTCTGAAGTATTTCTACACACTTCTCTGTTTGGCAAGTTTAACTCCCATCGTCTCTGAGCTGTTAATTAAATGTCTGGGATGTATTGTGATAGTCCCTGCTTATAGACTTATGGTGCTGTGTGAGGATTGGGGCTGGGGGAGGTGGCATTTAAATACAGCTGAATCAATGTGATGGCAGTTACGTGTGGTAGTTTATTGACTAAGCACTTTCTCTCAAGAGAACAGTCATTGCTGATTGCCATAGGGGAGGCTGTAGGGATGTGGTGGGATTTTGAGCTGTCCCACTTAAGGCAGCAGAATAAGTTACTTAAAGAGGAAGGCTGTGTTTGTATATTAGTGTTAATTAAAATACCTTTAGGCTGGGTGTGGTGGCTCCAGCCTGTAATCCCAGCACTTTGGGAGGTCCAGGTGGGCGGATCACTTGAGGTCAGGAGTTCGAGACCAGCCTGGCCAACATGGCGAAAACCCATCTCTACTAAAAATACAAAAAAATTATCCAGGCGTGGTGGTGGACAGCTGTAATCCCAGCTACTTGGGAGGCTGAGGCAGGAGAATCGCTTGAACCTGGGAGGCAGAGGTTGCAGTGAGCCAAGATGGTGCCTCTGCACTGCACTCCAGCTGGGGCGACAGCACGAGACTCGGTCTCAAAAAAAAAAAAAAAAGAAAAAAAAGAAAAAAAGAAAATATCTTCAGGATCAAACTTAAGATTCTTGATGAGAGGCTCTACAGATGTTCACAGAAGAGACGTGAAGTTTTAAAATCTTGTTTCTCTTGAGTCTTGTAGCTAGGTGACAACTGTTTCTTGACTATTAATGCTAACACCGGGTACCTAAACAGAATGTGATGGCTCCTGACTCTATCTTTCTGAGAAATTCTAGTTTGTTTACTTTAAATTTCAGGGTACCAATGTGTATGTGGTGATAAAGGGTTATAGAAAACATTTTCTTTAATGCTAAGTATGTGATGTATATGCCTTGATTTTTTTTCTCTAGAAATTATTTTAACTTAATAGTGAAAGCTAAGATTACATTCATGTTGACTAAGCAACCTTTTTTCTCTTTCTCTTTAGAGCTGTAGGTAAAACTTGCCTACTGATCAGTTACACAACCAATGCATTTCCTGGAGAATATATCCCTACTGTGTAAGTATCTTAAATTGGGAATTAACCTGTTTGTGTTACGGGTTTCACATTTCTTTGACCATTTGTTTTGCTGTAAAGCCATCTTTAATCCTCATATGAACAGATACTAATTTTTTCTTAAACATTCACTGAAACCTAATTATAAGGTATATTAGGCTTTTAAAAAATAGGGCTGGGGGTGGTGATCTCAGCACTTTGGGAGACTGAGGCGGGTGGATCAACTGAGGGTCAGGAGTTCGAGACCAGCATGGTCAACGTGATGAAACCCCATCTCTACTAAAAATACAAAAAATTAGCCAGGTGTGGTGGCGGGTGCCTGTAATCCCACATACTTGGGAGGCTGAGGCAGGAGAATCACTCGAACCGTGGAGGCGGAGGTTGCAGTGAGCCAAGATCACGCCACTGCACTCCAGCCTGGGCAATGAGAGCGAAACTCCATCTCAAAAGAAAAAAAAAAAAGAAACTTAGGGTAATATAAACTTTTCACAACTTTGCTAGTTGATTTTTAGACATCCAGAAAGCAAACTTTAACTGTCTGTGAGGTACAGAGACTGGATGATGTTAAAGAAAACCATAGTTGGACACAAGAACTCTGACCAAAAGTCTGATCAGAAACAGTCCTTGTCAGTGCACGAGTTTCAGATACACTGGCTTTCTGGGAACTGGAAAGGGAAAGATTCCATTACGTTTTAATTGGCCTTTTCTGATAAGTCATCAGTTGGTTACATGTCCGCATTGAGGTGTAGGGCTTTGGAATTGAAACTTGGGTGTGTGTGTTGAAGGGGGAATGGGAGGGTGGAATTGGCTATTGAATTGCTTACTCCCTATAGGCAGCAGAATTGGGTGGAGACAGGAAAGTGCTGCTCTGGTGATGGGTTACCCGGGAGCGCACGTAGCTGAGCCTCATAATGCACCATCCTGCAGCTGCTGTGAGTCCTCCCTGTGCAGGCTGGGGAGGTGTCGCCTCCTCCCCACCTGTGTTCACCTCCTCAGGCACAACACACACCCAGGTGCTCTCTGAAGTGTCGTACCCATGTTTTTGTTGTTGTTGTTGTTGTTTTCCTTTTTTTTTTTTTTTTTTGGAGTTAGTCTCTCTCTCTTGCCCAGGATGGAGTGCTGTGATGCGATCTCAGCTCACTGCAGCGTCTGCCTCCTGGGTTCAAGTGATTCTCTGCCTCAGCCTCCCAGGTAGCTGTGATTACAGGCATACACCACCACACCTGGCTAATTTTTGTTTCTTTAGTAGAGACGGGTTTCACCATGTTGGCCAGGTTGGTCTCAAACTCCTGACCTCAGGTGATCTGCCCACTTCAGCCTCCCAAAGTGCTGGGATTACAGGCGTGAGCCACGGCACCCATTTTTTACTGTAAGTGGAATCATGCTGTCCCTGTTGTCCTAAATTTATGGGGGAGATTTTCCTTATCTACATATGTAGATAAAGGTTTAATCATTAATGATTAATGATTTTGAAGTACTATAACTGATTTAACCCACTGGTCACTTGGACTCTTGGTGTTAACAAACATTGCTGGGTTCAGTGTTGTCCCTTATGTCTTTGTGTACACTTGATAGATTATTAGAAGCAAAATCGTGCCAAATCAAAAGACAATGGATGTTTTAAATTTTGGTAGATACAGCTGGGCGTGATTGCTCACGCCTGTAATCCCAGCACTTTGGGAGGCCAAGACGGAAGGATCACTTGAGGTCAGGAGTTCGAGACCAACCTGGCCAACATGTTAAAACCCCCACCTCTGCTAAAAATACAGTAGTTAGCCGGGTGTGGTGGTGCACTCCTGTAGTCCCAGCTACTCAGGAGGCTGAGGCATGAGAATTGCTTGAACCCGGGAAGCAGAGGTTGCAGTGAGCCAAGATTGTGCCACTGCACTTCAGCCTGGGTAACAGAGTGAGACTCTGTCTCCCAAAAAAAAAAAAAAATTAAAAAATTATTTTTTGGTAGATAACTACCAAATTGCTGTCTATAAAGCTGTCACTTTGCTGGCCTTGACTTAAGTGGCCTCTTAGTACACACTGCCATTAACGTGGGTTGAAGTTATCTAACCGTTTTCATTTCCAATCACAGATGTGGTTAAAATCTTTTGAATTTTTTTTTTTTTTAATTAAAAAAGTTTGCTCACGCCTGTAATCCCAGCACTTGGGGAGGCTGAGCTGGGCGGATCACTGAGGTAAGGAGTTTGAGACCAACTTGGCCAAGATGGTGAAACCCTGTCTCTACTAAAAATACAAAAATTAGCTGGGCATGGTGGCACATGACTATAATCCCAGCTATTCGGGAGGCTGAGGCAGGAGGATTGCTTGAACCTGGGAGGTGGAGGTTGCAGTGAGCCAAGATTGTGCCTCTGCACTCCAGCCTGGGCAACAGAACAAGACATTGTCTCCAAAAAAGAAAAAAAAAATATGTGTTTTTGTAGAGCTATGTTTTGCTATATTGCCCAGGCTGGTCTTGAAGACCTGGCCTCAGGTGATTCTCCACCTTGGTCTCCCGAAGTGTTGGGATTACAGGCGTGAGCCACCACACCTGGCTCTTTTGAATGTTTACTGTACATTTTTAGTCTCTTGTGAATTGTCTGTTTAAATCTTTTGTATTTTTCTACTGAAATTTTTTCTTACTGATGGAACATTTCCTTCCTTCCTTCCCTCCCTCCCTCTCTCCCTCCCTTCCTCCCTTCCTTTCTTCCCTCCCTCCTCCTCTCCCTCCCTCTCTCCCTCCTTCCCTCCTCTCCTACTCCTTCCCTCCTTCCCTCCTTCCTTCTCCTTTCTTTTCCCCTCCCTCCCTTGCTCCCTCCCTCCCTCCCTTTTTTTTTTTTTTTTTTTTTGAGATGGGGTCTTGCAGTATTGCCCAGGCCGGACTTGAAGTACTGGTCCTTCCACCTCAGCCTATTGAGTAGCATGCTCCACTGCACGTAGCCTGATGGAACGTTTTGTAAATAATCCTCAGTCTGTCATTTGTCTTTGTACTTCATTATGGTGTCTTCTGCCATATAGAAATTTAGCATTTAATGTAAATAATACCACCTTACCCGGGCACGGTGGCTCACACCTGTAATTCCAGCACTTTGGGAAGCTGAGGTGGGCGCATTATGAGGTCAGGAGATCAAGACCAGCCTGATCAACATGGTGAAACCCCATCTCTACTAAAAATACAAAAATTAACCGGGCATGGTGGCGTGCACCTGTAATCCCAGCTCCTCAGGAGGCTGAGGCAGGAGAATCACTTGAACCCAGGAGGTGGAGGTTGCAGTGAGCCGAGATCGCACCACTGCACTCCAGCCTGGGTGACAGTGAGATTCTGTCTCAAAAAAAAAATAATAATAATAATGATAATACCACCTCTCCCTCAGAATTGTATGTTGTACTTAGAAAGGCCTTTCCTACTTAAATAATGCAAAAGTATGCTCTAGTATTTTTTTCTAGGATTTTTGTGGCTAAAATTTTTATCTTTAATTCATTTAGGACTTATTTTTGGTATAGAATGAGGCAAGGACCTGATTCTTTTTCCCTTATGGGGAAAAAAAGTCACAATACTATTTATCCAATAATTTTTTTCTTATGGAAATATAATTAACATGTCCATCACCATCACACCTTTTCTTTCTTCTTCTTCTTTTTTCTTGAGACCGAGTTTCGCACTTGTTGCCCAGGCCGGAGTGCAGTGGCGCAACTTGGCCCACTGCAACCTCTGCTTCCCGGGTTCAAGCGATTCTCTTGCCTCAGCCTCCCAAGTAGCTGGGACTACAGGTGCCTGTCACCACGCCCTGGCTAATTTTTGCATTTTTAGTAGACACAAAGTTTCGTCATGTTGGCCAGGCTGGTCTCGAACTCTTGACCTCAGGTGATCCGCCCACCTCGGCCTCCCAAAGTGCTGGGATTACAGGCGTGAGCCACCGTGCCCAGCCTCTGCTTTTTATTATATTTTTCCTTTTTTTTTTTTTCTTTTTTGCCTTCCTGTGCAGAGGAAACACTATTTTCTTCTAAAGCTTGGTTTCTGCTGACCAGTAGCAATTTTTAACATCAGTCTGATTTCCCTCTGTCAGCCTATAGGCTTTGCTGGGTTATCTCTCCTGACTAATTTGTGTAGCAACTTCACATGAATTTAAACATTTGTATCATCAGTTAACACTCACTTTGAAAATGTTATTGGGAGGCTTGTTAAGTCAGGTGTATTTTGTGTGACTGCTCTACACTCAGGCCTTCTGGAAACCCTGCAGAGGGTAGCTCTAGTGGCCAGCTAGCTCTCTTGCTGAAAATGAGCAACATAAGTACATGAAAAACCCAACAAGTAGGATTTGAAAGCGGGGCTAATTGTACCCTTATTTCTTCTGGGGATAAAAGTCTTAAACTTTGTTTAAAGTAAAATGTTTTTATTTCTGACGGTGATTTGTTTCACTTAAATAGCTTGTTGTTTGTTTCTTTCATTTCTCTTAAGTTTTGGGTTGGGTTTGGTTTGTTTCCCGCAAGTTTTGCCCGTGCCGCCTTCCTCCTTGTGCCTGCAGGGACATTTGCTGGTGTGGCAGCCTCCAGGCCCGTCCCCAGCCTTTTTCTTGGCACACCTTCTCTAGGATGGCTGGGACAGTGACTTAGCTTCTACACCTGTGACTAACCATTTTCATTCCATTCTACAGCTTTGACAATTATTCTGCCAATGTTATGGTAGATGGAAAACCGGTGAATCTGGGCTTATGGGATACAGCTGGACAAGAAGATTATGACAGATTACGCCCCCTATCCTATCCGCAAACAGTAAGGATTGCAGCTGACTTTTAATGTGTCTTTTAGAGTATATAATTCTCGAGCGCTTAATTAGTGCATGTTACCTATGGACTTGCTTATATTGCCATCATTTGGGTATTGAGTAAATAGCAAACAGGGTGGGATTGGTTCCATGTAAACATCCCCCTAGATGCAAGCCCAGGGGTTTTGTGTTTTGAGCGTTACCAGCTGTTCCATTGTTGGGCATTTTACAGTCTTCCATTTAGCTTTAGAATAACCGTATGAAAGAGCTACTTTTTGTTTTTGCAAACCAGTTTTTAACACCAATTAGTTTGAAGGCAGGTTTGCTGTGTGACATTTTTGTACCACAGAATCAAATTAGGCAGTTAAGATTCAGGTTTCTTTAAACCAAGTTAGTAACTAATCTCACAGGTTTAATACATTTTTTCCCACAAAATACATAATTTGTATGGATTTTGTGAACCATACAATAGAACCTAAATTTATTCAATGTAGATTGAAGTTTTGGTTTTGTAAAATGTATCCACTGTGTCTAATCAGAAAAAAAAGTTTACTTTTGCTTCTGTATCAGACAACTAAGTGATTTATTTACCAAAGCTAATTAGAGCAGTAGCTGGTGAAAATGGGTACTTAGAAGACATTGTTGTCATTAAAAGTTACTTTTCTTTAAGCAGCGGTTTTACTTGTGTATCATTTGCTTATCTTGTTACATGTTTGTTCTTCATTTTTAAAAGTATCTTTGGAAGCAAAAGTTAAATATGCTTGAGATTCCTTGGGTTGATAACCTGTGTGCATGTCCTAGCTCTGTGACTTCAGGCAGGCTTCATCCTCTCTCCAGTCTTTGCCTGTTTCCTTGTAGGGTGAGATGAGTACGTGTCACGCACGCATAACAGTCCTGGGCACATAGCACACACTGTGGGGCCAGCCGCTGTCAGAATTCTCCTGTTCCTCAGTGTGCGGGTGGGTCGGCCTAAAGAGTGCTGCTTTCCACGTTGTGCCCAAATGAGTGGAAGTTGTGTGGTGCTCAGCACACCTGGGTTGGCCGGAGGGATTGGGGTTGGGGTTGGGTTGAGGTCAGGAAGACATCCTAGAGAAAGGCTGGCTTTGAGCCCTGATTGATGATGAGGCAGCCTGTGATTGATTCAACCAGTACTTCGTTGTAGGGGGTAATATGGGTGAAATAACTTAGTGGTTAAGTCTGCTGTATTAAAAATCAGTCTATAATCCCCAGACAATTCAAATTCTTCAGTATCTTAGGAAACTCTTCTATACCCAGTGGATGTTTAATAATTCAGATTGTAAATGGATTTAAAAACATACTGGCTGGTAGAGTAGGAGACTTCAGCCCACTGGACACATGTGGAAGGGTGTGGTGTCATTCTGAGAAACAAGAGCCACCCTGCTGTGACTCAGGGGGTACCGGGCAGGGTGAGGCCTCTCTAAGGAAGGCCTCACAGTAAGTCAAGGGTGACTTGGCAGGAGTCCCACTTTGTGTTCTGAGGAACACACAGATAAGGAAAGAGAACTCTCCTCAGCTTGAACAAAGCTGTAGAGTGTGACGCCTGGTATCAAAGTAGGTGTTGTCCTCATAGGGCTAGAACTTAAACTTCATGTTTCCTCTGTGTGAGACTGTGGACTGCTTTCCTATAAAATATTTGAGGAGCAAGGAGGGAGTGGGACATGGTTCTTGCCCTCAGGTAGTTCACAGAAAAGTCCCATAAACTGTGTAAGACACCCTGTGCTAGCAAGGGGGTGAGCCGGGCGCTTAAGGAGCAAGAGGGGCGAGCACCCACCCAGCAGTGGAAGCATTCCTGTCTGGACTCCTTCAGAGATAAGGAAATTATCTTGACAACTCAGGGGCAGGCCACAGATGCTCAGATACCAGTGTCTGGAAGGTCTCATCCCTTTGAGCCACACTGTCCTAAGAAGAACTGGATCTGGTAGTAACATGCTGGCACCTGGGTCTCTTGTTGATAAAGGGGAAACCTCTAAATTTTGTACTACATGGAATGTGGTCCCTGATTGCTGGCTCTGTGGTCTGCAGACCTGTTGATGTAGCTCATCCAAGACTGCTTAGACACTCTCCTGAAGGACCAGTTGGAAGATTTCTTATCTAGGGTGTCCTAAAAAGAGATGTTACATTTCTTGTGGTCATTTAACATTGGCATCCTCTCTATTGGGCAGCTCTGTCGGGCTAAGTCTGTTCAGACCATTCATTTCTTCTTCGTTCTCCAAAAGATGGTGAGCAGGTAGTCGCCATTCTTAGTTGAAATTGCCCTTCAGGTTTTTATTTCCCGAATTACGTAATCCTTACATTATTTTCTCTTGAAAATCTTTGCTAAGTTCTGCATACTCATCTTCAGTTGCTATGCACAGAATCAAGTCTTGTCAGAGTAACGCTCAAGTCCAGCATCTTCCCTTGTGTAGATCACCTGTATTTATTTGCCTGCTTGTACCAGCATTGGTGGTGTGAGTGGGAGCCTAAGTGACCTGTCAGTGTCACAGCGAGTCCTGAGCCCTGTGTGTGTCCTGAGACTCAGGCTGTGCAGCGGGTTCGCTGAGATGCTGAGCCTCCATGTTGGGGTCAGCCAGGACCCCAGTGCGTCATGCCAGTTGTTTCATTTTCTCTCTAGGCTAAAAGTTGTTGTTGTTGTTGTTGTTGTTTGAGACAGAGTTTCGCTCTTGTTGCCCAGGCTGGAGTGCAATGGTGTGATCTTGGCTCACTGCAACCTCCGCTTCCCAGGTTCAAGTGACTTTCCCGCCCTAGTCTCTCAAGTAGCTGGGACTACAGGCATGTGCTACCATGCCTGGCTAATTTTGTTTTGTATTTTATTTTTTTTGAGACGGAGTCTTGCTCTGTCGCCCAGGCTGGAGTGCAATGGTGCGATCTTGGCTCACTGCAAGCTTCACCTCCTGGGTTCACGCCATTCTCCTGCCTCAGCCTCCCAAGTAGCTGGGACTACAGGCGCCCGCCACCACACCTGACTAATTTTTTATATTTTTAGTAGAGACGGGGTTTCACCATGTTAGCCAGGATGGTCTTGATCTCCTGAGCTTGTGATCCGCCCGCCTTGGCCTCCCCAAGTGCTGGGATTACAAATTTTGTATTTTTAGTAGAGACGGGGGTTTCTCCACTTTGGTCAGGCTGGTCTCCAACTCCTGACCTCAGGTGATCCGCCTGCCTCTGCCTCCCAAAGTGCTGGGATTACAGGCGTGAGCCACTACGCCTGGCCAGTGCTAGAGGTTTTAAAGTGGTGGGCTAGACTCCTGTGATGGTAGATAAAAAGAAAAACTGTGGTGTTCAGCTTGGCAGTTTTGAGTTTCAAAAGGCCTCAGCTTTTGTGAGGTTGGCTGTTACAAGTGCAGCCAGAGAGCACCAGGCACACACATGTGGTTCCGCAGAACTAGAGTTGTTACTCTTCGCCGCGAGGGAAACACGCACCTGGGGACTGTGGGAATTCGGCCCTCACTCTTACTGGCCGGGAGCAGGGGATATTTGGTGATTTTTGTGGTTTGTATGATGATCTTGGATTTGTCACTACTTAGAAACGATTATGAGTTGTTTTTTTTAAAGTTTACTTACTTTTGGTCCTATTTCAGCACAGTCACACAGGTGACCTTCTCTGATGTTAGTGTTCTGCGAGATTATTCTATTCAATAGTAACACCTCCACCAGGGCGAAGCTGCGAGTGCCAGGCTGGTTCTCATACGTCAGGGCTGCCTGACCCTTTTACAGGATTACAGGCGTGAGCCACTGCGCCTGGCCAGAATGTCTGTGTGTTTTAAAATTCCAAACTTGAAAGTAAAATCCAGGTGGATAGCATTTGGAAGAGAATAAAACGAAGTAGAAACAACACTACTTTTTTGTAGTGAGATCTCAGCTGTCCAGATGCCCGCCCTGTCTTACTCCATGGAAAGTGGACCCATCTGTTGTGGATGGTTCCACCAGTGGGCAGGAGGCTGTGGGAAGAGCAGCCCTGGCTACACTTACCACCGAGGAGGGAGTGGTGTGTGATGCAGGAGTAACAAAGGCGTTGAAGGCACCACGTGTGTAACAGGCACGCGGGAGTCTGGGTTAGTCAGAAAGGGGAAAGCAGTGCTCAGGTTGACTGGAAACATAGGCCGGTGACCGGAGACAGCCTGAGGCTCCAGAACACACAAGTGACCTGTGAGGAAGGAAACTGAGAGACCCTGGAGAGACACCGGTGGTGCCCTCTCAGGTCCTCTTGAGTGTTACGAGGACGGGGAAGAAATAGAGCCTCCCAGCCAGGGTCAGCCAGCACAGCCTCTGTATGTGAAGCGTCAGGACAGCGACGGCCGGGAGGAGGGGATGCTAGGAAGTGAGTACCAGAAGCACTAGACAGGGTTTTGGGAAGCTATATTTAGCTGGGGACGAAGAAGGAACAAGGAAGGAACAGGCAGATGGCATAGCACGAACGCCGGGTGGAAAGTGGAACTGCTCGCTCCTGTCGTGTGTGTCTCTTCTCCATCAAAAAAGAGGCTCTTAAAAATCGAAAGCATGCCACAGATACGATCAGAGGCTCTTTGGAAGCTGCATTTTTGTAACTGGTTCTCGATGATCCTCTCCCATGGTAAAGATTTGGCACCATATGAAGTCCTTGGGAGGACAAATCTTCAACAGTAGCCCATAGATGAAACCCAGATAGCTGTGGAAACTAATGTGCTCTTTGAATGTTAAGTCAGGAAAGCTTGAGTGGCCTGGCACGGTGGCTCACGCCTGTAATCCCAGCACTTTGGGAGGCCGAGGTGGGCGGATCACGAGGTCAGGAGATCGAGACCATCCTGGCTAACACGTTGAAACCTCGTCTCTACTAAAAATACAAAAAATTAGCCGGGCGTGGTGGCGGGCACCTGTGGTCCCAGCTACTCGGGAGGCTGAGGCAGGGAGAATGGTGTGAACCTGGGAGGCGGAGCTTGCAGTGAGCCAAGATCGTGCCACTGCACTCCAGCCTGGGCGACAGAGCGAGACTCCCTCTCAAAAACAAAAAAAAAAAAAAAAAAGAAAAGAAACCCCGTCTCTACTAAAAATACAAAAAATTTAGCTGGGCGCAGTGGCGGATACCTGTAGTCCCAGCTACTGGGGATGCTGAGGCAGGAGAATGGCGTGAACCCGGGAGGTGGAGCTTGCAGTGAGCCGAGATCGCGCCACTGCACTCCAGCCTGGGCGACAGAGCGAGACTCTGTCTCAAAAAAAAAAAAGAAAAAAAAGAAAAAAAGAAAAGCTTGAGTGAGATGAAATTAAAATAATTTTCTCATTTTGAGACAGGGTCTCGCTCTGTCACCCAGACTGGAGTGCAGTGTCACAATCTCGCCTCACTGCAACCTCCACCTCCCGGGTTCAAGCAGTTCTCTGCCTCAGCCTCCCGAGTAGCTGGGATTACAGGTGCCTGCCACCATGCCCGGCTAATTTTTTGTATTTTTAGTAGACACAGGGTTTCACCATCTTGGCCAGGTTGGCCTTGAACTCCTGACCTCGTGATCCACCTGCCTCGGCCTCCCAAGGTGTTGGGATTAGAGGCGTGAGCGCTTTTCTTAAAAGAGTTCCAGGGTTCTATGTTGGAAGAGCGAGTTTGTCAGTTTTTATTGGAACAAAGAAATGAATTGACAGCATTGTGATAAACACTGGAAGTGTCACTTCTAAAATTTGTCCATGGCTGAAAGTGGTGGCTCATGCCTGTAATCCCAGCACGTTGGGAAGCCAAGGTGGGTGGAGCACCTGAGGTCAAGAGTTTGAGACCAGCCTGGCCAACATGGTGAAACCTGGTCTCTACTAAAAATACAAAAAATTAGCTGGGCGTGGTGGTGTGTGCCTGTAGTCCCAGCTACTTGGGAGGCTAAGGCAGGAGAATCGCTTGAACCCAGGAGGCAGAGGTTGCAGTGAGCTGAGATCTCACCATTGCACTCCAGCCTGGGCAACAGAGCAAGACTCCGTCTCAAAAACGCTTGTCCTTAAGGGGTGGCTTCCCCCAGACCTACAAAGTAGCCCAGAATTGGAGGTCTTAGTGTCAGCAACAGTGCTGATTTTGATAATGCAAGTCTGTACATTCAAACCAGTCTCCCAGAACTAGGTGGAAGATAGGAACATTTCTGCATAGGAGACTTGGAATGTTCTGGCAGCATTAAAACCCTGAGGCCCGGCTATGTTCTGGGAGAGCCCTTTGGCAGGCATCATTTACAGACGGGTCCTTTTCCTGTATGCTGTGGCTTCAACTAGGCTGTGTCTGAGAACTCGGATGGAGCACTTGAAAGTGCCCGTGGCTCCCGCCTGCCTTTGCGGTAAGGGACAGTGCAGAACATCTCCGGCTGTGCCAGCTGTTGTAGATTCTGGTGGGTGCTGCCATGGGAGGAGGAGCACGTTGTTGCCCCCCCTCAGGATCTCCCTGACCTCTGTCTTCACCATCGTTGAACTTAACGCCTGCTTTTGACCAGGTAGCGTGGAGTGTTTCAGTGGCATTTGTCATCGAAGATATGTTAGAATCTATTGTATGCTTTTGGATCTCTCCGGAGGGTTAAGACAAAATTCTAATAAAGAATCGATAAGAGGTTATATTGATTTTTGTTGTCCTCAGTCTGTACTAAACTCAAACCAAGTTCTCATGCATTACTAGGTTGGAGAAACGTACGGTAAGGATATAACCTCCCGGGGCAAAGACAAGCCGATTGCCGTATGTAAAACTTTCAGTCCACTTCAGTTTCAAGCTTTCTCTGTTCTCTCATTTCACTTCGTTTTCCTAGGATTTTTTATTAAGCCTCAAGCTCCTTGAGTGTTTTATATTTAATTCACTCAAGGTTGGGGTTTTGCTTGATGAAATAAACTTCATTAGAGTGTGATAGTTTACCCACCGGCTTGAATTAAAGCAGTTTGTGAACTGTGATCTTCTCCTCCCAAGTGAAAGGAGGGGACAGTGAGAGGGCCCCTCTCCTGGCTGGTTGGAGATGCAGATATGGAGACTCCTCCCGGAAGCCCACCTGGCTGTGAGCCGAGCCGGAGCAGGACTAACCTTGTTGCCGGGGCCTTCTTTCTCCGCTTGGGTGTCCCGTGTGGTGGGGCTGTCTGGGCGTGGCTGTGCAGTGCTGCTGAGCTAACCCCACCGTGCTTGAGATGGTGTGCTGGGTGCCGCGGTGATTCTTGGACGAGCTTGTGCATGCGCCAGCATTCTTCAAATGCCAGTTATAAAAAGCTGTTGTGTGGGATGTTTCTTTCCCTTTCAGGTACAAGGTATCAGCTGGAGGGTTGAAAGTGTAGCTTGGGAATTGTGTGCATTTCATAAAGTAGCATAATTGCCTTTTTCCAGGAGAATATTTTAGAAATCTAGCATTTTAGAATTCTTGGGCATTTTTAAATACAGGTGAATATTTGAATTTGGTTTGACACAAAATACAGAATGGATGAAGCATGCAGATGTTTGGCGTGTGCCCCGAAGCACCCTCTACTCTGTCCTCTGCACCCACCCTTTGCGCCTCTGCGTCAGCCACAGCTGCCCCGGGAGCGAGTTCTCCTGAGGCCCTGGCTGTGCTGACTCTAGGGCAGCGTGAGGGTGGTTGTCAGCTGTGAAGGTGCCACTTACACACTAAGTCCTCCTTCCTTGTGGAGGGAAGGGCTCAAGTAGCAAATATTGGAGCCCCCGCTTGGTGCTGGGAGCTGTGACAGGCAGCTCCTGAAGAAGCAGTTTAATTGGAACCAGTGACCATCTAAAACTGTTTGTACTCTAAACCAGATTTTACAGAAATATTGGAATCATACCTTTATACTTGATTTTTTCATTTTAGATAGTTAGGCGTAAAGGAAGCCTCCTGAGGGTCTGGTCTGATCCTCCTGATCCTTGAAGAGCTTCCAGCATCATTCTCCCTTCATGCTCCCCATTTTCATAAGTAACTGGTGGCTTGACATGCTGGGTTTGGTTTGGGAGCCCTCTGACAAACTGAAAGGGTGGATCAGGAAGCGTCTGACCACACCACTGGTAGACACGCTCTGCGTCCAACAAGTCCTTCCCAGCAACATGTAGAAAGCAAAGTGCATGCTTCATTCTAAGGTTGTTGTCTAAATGTTTCCCTGTGTTTCCTTTTTGTAGGATGTGTTCTTAATTTGCTTTTCCCTTGTGAGTCCTGCATCATTTGAAAATGTCCGTGCAAAGGTAGGTGGGGATTTAAAATGTGTATGTAAGTTATAGAATGATCCTCTCAGAAATAAATACTTTAAAATATCACTTAGCCTAGGAATTTTTAGTTATTTAAATTGGTTTTAGCAATTTGCTACTTAAGTACATGATTGGGTTTTTTTTTTTCTTTTGAGACGGAGGTCTCACTCTGTTGTGTCCAGGCTGGAGTTGTAGTGGTGACATCAGAGCTCACTGTAGCCTTGAACTCCTGGGCTCAAACAGTTCTCCTGCCCCAGCCTCCTGAGTTGCTGGGACCATAAATGTGCACCACCATGCGTGGCTAATCTTAAAAGAATTTTTGTATGGCTGGTTTTGTAGACCCTGGCTTGTCTCAAACTCCTGGGTTGAAGTGATCTTTCAGCTTCAGCCTCCCAAAGTGGTGGGATTATAGCTGTGAGCCACTGCATCTGGCCCATCAGCAGTTTATTTTATTTATTTATTTTTGAGAGAGTCTTTTTTTTTGTTTTTGTTTTTGTTTTTGAGATGGAGTTTCACTCTTGTTGCCCAGGCTGGAGTGCAGTGACGCAATCTTGGCTCACTGCAACTTCCGCCTCCTGGGTTCAAGTGATTCTCATGCCTCAGCCTCCCGAGTAACTGGGATTACAGGCATGCACCACCACGCCCGGCTAATTTTGTATTTTTAGTAGAAATGTGGTTTCTCCACGTCAGTCAGGCTGGTCTCGAACTCCCGACCTCAGGTGATCCGCGCGTCTCGGCCTCCCAAAGTGCTGGGATTACAGGCGTGGGCCACCGTGCCCGGCTGAGACAGAATCTTGCACTGTCATCCAAGCTGGAGTGCAGTGGCACAATCTTGGGTCACTGCAACCTCCCCCTCCCGGTTCAAGCAATTCTCCTGCCTCAGCCTCCTTAGTAGCTGGGATTACAGGTGCCCGCCAACACACCTGGCTAATTTTTGTACTTTTAGTAGAGACGGGGTTTCACCATGTTTGCCAGGCTGGTCTCGAACCCCTGGCCTCAAGTGATCCACCCGCCGCAGACTCCCAGAGTGCTGGGATTTCAGGTGTGAGCCACTATGCCCGGCCTAATACGTGGATTTTTAAAGCTTCAGGTTCTGGTTCAGAAGTTTCCTGGGTCTCATTAAAATAATGAGGCACTCAGAATTGGTCTAATAAAAATAACGACCATTTCTTTCTACTCCAGTCTCTTTCACAAACTTCTTAGTGAAAATGACAAGTGAGGCCCTTCAGTAGGGGCATTTTCAGTGGAGATAATAGCGGCAGACCTGAGACCTTGGGCTAGGTAGTTTATTCTCATTTCTGAACAGATGATGAATTTTCTCAGATGACCCTAAGAAATTGTTTTACCAAAAACAAAGTGATCTATTTGCTTTGGGAGGAACTCCCTTCCTTTTGTTTCTCTTCCCTTCCCCCCTTCCCCTGCGGTTGTAGAGCCCGTTCTGTCCGGTCGTGGTTCTGTCCAGCCATGATCCGGGAGTCCTAGCTTGCTAATGGAACACCTGAGATGTTCCTTATGGCTCAAGGCTTGAATTGAAGGTGGGAACCACCTGAAGCCTCCGTGGGGAGGCCTTGCCTGAGGTTAGGTGTCTGGCATGAGTGCCGCCGGCTGGGTGTGATTTAGGTGAAGGACATCTGTAAAGGAGCGTGTCACAACCTCTGTTCCTTCTTCACATCTAGTGGTATCCTGAGGTGCGGCACCACTGTCCCAACACTCCCATCATCCTAGTGGGAACTAAACTTGATCTTAGGGATGATAAAGACACGATCGAGAAACTGAAGGAGAAGAAGCTGACTCCCATCACCTATCCGCAGGGTCTAGCCATGGCTAAGGAGATTGGTATGGAATCCTGTGTTTTTCCTCCTCCTTGTACCTCTTTTATTGTAGTGACAGAGACTGGAGTCCAGTCTGGGAAAGGAGGGTGTGTGTCTCCCACTCAGGGCCTGGTGTACTCTTGGGGAACCAGCTGGCAAGGCCCTGTGGGTCTTAACGTCAGCGTTGGAAGGTGGAAGCAGGGCTGGGAGCCGGCAGAAGGCGCCCGGGCCCCAGGAGCTGCCTCCCGCTGGTGGTGTGATCAGAAGAGAGTGGGGTCGAGTGTACATTGCCGTGTGGTCGTGTTTCCTGTAGGTGCTGTAAAATACCTGGAGTGCTCGGCGCTCACACAGCGAGGCCTCAAGACAGTGTTTGACGAAGCGATCCGAGCAGTCCTCTGCCCGCCTCCCGTGAAGAAGAGGAAGAGAAAATGCCTGCTGTTGTAAATGTCTCAGCCCCTCGTTCTTGGTCCTGTCCCTTGGAACCTTTGTACGCTTTGCTCAAAAAAAAACAAAAAAAAAAAACAAAAAAAAAAAACAACGGTGGAGCCTTCGCACTCAATGCCAACTTTTTGTTACAGATTAATTTTTCCATAAAACCATTTTTTGAACCAATCAGTAATTTTAAGGTTTTGTTTGTTCTAAATGTAAGAGTTCAGACTCACATTCTATTAAAATTTAGCCCTAAAATGACAAGCCTTCTTAAAGCCTTATTTTTCAAAAGCGCCCCCCCCATTCTTGTTCAGATTAAGAGTTGCCAAAATACCTTCTGAACTACACTGCATTGTTGTGCCGAGAACACCGAGCACTGAACTTTGCAAAGACCTTCGTCTTTGAGAAGACGGTAGCTTCTGCAGTTAGGAGGTGCAGACACTTGCTCTCCTATGTAGTTCTCAGATGCGTAAAGCAGAACAGCCTCCCGAATGAAGCGTTGCCATTGAACTCACCAGTGAGTTAGCAGCACGTGTTCCCGACATAACATTGTACTGTAATGGAGTGAGCGTAGCAGCTCAGCTCTTTGGATCAGTCTTTGTGATTTCATAGCGAGTTTTCTGACCAGCTTTTGCGGAGATTTTGAACAGAACTGCTATTTCCTCTAATGAAGAATTCTGTTTAGCTGTGGGTGTGCCGGGTGGGGTGTGTGTGATCAAAGGACAAAGACAGTATTTTGACAAAATACGAAGTGGAGATTTACACTACATTGTACAAGGAATGAAAGTGTCACGGGTAAAAACTCTAAAAGGTTAATTTCTGTCAAATGCAGTAGATGATGAAAGAAAGGTTGGTATTATCAGGAAATGTTTTCTTAAGCTTTTCCTTTCTCTTACACCTGCCATGCCTCCCCAAATTGGGCATTTAATTCATCTTTAAACTGGTTGTTCTGTTAGTCGCTAACTTAGTAAGTGCTTTTCTTATAGAACCCCTTCTGACTGAGCAATATGCCTCCTTGTATTATAAAATCTTTCTGATAATGCATTAGAAGGTTTTTTTGTCGATTAGTAAAAGTGCTTTCCATGTTACTTTATTCAGAGCTAATAAGTGCTTTCCTTAGTTTTCTAGTAACTAGGTGTAAAAATCATGTGTTGCAGCTTTATAGTTTTTAAAATATTTTAGATAATTCTTAAACTATGAACCTTCTTAACATCACTGTCTTGCCAGATTACCGACACTGTCACTTGACCAATACTGACCCTCTTTACCTCGCCCACGCGGACACACGCCTCCTGTAGTCGCTTTGCCTATTGATGTTCCTTTGGGTCTGTGAGGTTCTGTAAACTGTGCTAGTGCTGACGATGTTCTGTACAACTTAACTCACTGGCGAGAATACAGCGTGGGACCCTTCAGCCACTACAACAGAATTTTTTAAATTGACAGTTGCAGAATTGTGGAGTGTTTTTACATTGATCTTTTGCTAATGCAATTAGCATTATGTTTTGCATGTATGACTTAATAAATCCTTGAATCATACGACTGGTAATACTGGTGTTTTTGAGACTTGATGAACAAGTTCCTGGTGTGTGTTTGTTTGCCTTGCTTTAAAGTCCTGGGTTGTTGGAGACAGTCATTTTCAATGCGTGTCTCCACACAGGAGGGACAGGGAGTGCCACCTCCAGGGGAGAACTGGGTGAGCCCAAATACGGCAGGAGTGGAGGTGACATTCATGTTTGGACCTGTCGAACAGTGGCGAAGCTCTGAGGGAGAAGCGCCTATCGGGGTGTGTGTGCACATCCTGGCCCAGAGCTAGGGGCTGAAGATGGAGATGTTGGGACCCTAGACTGGCCCTGGAAGAGTAGAGGTTGGTGAACCACATGCCCTTAAGATCCTTTCCAGAGGCTGAGTGCGTGGCTTACGCCTCTAAGCCCGACGCTTTGGGAGGCTGACACAGGAGGAGCGCTTAAGCCCAGGAGTTCTAGACCAGCCTGGACAAGAAAGAGACCTACCCAAAAAAAAAATGCAAGAGCCTGAACTTGTACTACATAAAGGTTCATGTTAGAATTCGTTTTCTTAATATTCCTTTTTATTGCTTTGAAGATTGTTTTTGAGTTTTTGTTTTTTTTTTAAGATGGAGTTTTGCTCTTGTTGCCCAGGCTGGGAGTGCAATGGTGTGATCTCGGCTCACTGCAATCTCTGCCTCTCGGGTTCAAGCGATTCTCCTGCCTCAGACTCCCGAGTAGCTGGGATTACAGGTGCCTCCCCCCACGCCTGGCTAATTTTTTGTATTTTTTCACCATAGTTTCACCATGGCCAGGCTGGTCTTGAACTCCCAACCTTAGGTGATCTGCTCGGCCTCCCAGAGTGCTGGGATTAAAAGCGTGAGCCACCGCCTCCAGCTGAGTATTTTTTTTTTAAACAGATATAAATAATGCAGATTTTGTTTTTTGAGATAAGATCTGGCTCTGTCTCACAGGCTGGAGTGCAGTGGCGTGATCTTGGCTCGCTGCAACCTATGCCTCCTGCACTCAAGCCATCCTCCCACTTCAGCCTCTGGAGTAGCTGGGACCACAGGTGCGCACCACCACACCCAGCTAATTTTGTGTGTATTTTTTGTAGGGTTTTGCCATGTTGGCCAGGCTGGTCTTGAACTCCTGAGCTCAAGCAATCCACCAGCCTCGACCTCCCAAAGTGCTGGGACTCCAGGTGTGAGCCACCAGCCTCGACCTCCCAAAGTGCTGGGACTCCAGGTGTGAGCCACCATACCTGTCAATATGCAGTTTTTAAAAGTAAAAGTTTTAGTGGTTTCTAAAGAAAAACACTTCCCCCTTCGTAGCCTCTCCAGAAGGAATACTTTGTTTGCTTACCTGATTTTTGGTATTTTACCTGCTGTGTCTAAATTAGGCTTTTTGTTCCAGTGTAACTTCTGAGTTCAGCCATTCTCATCGACATTCCCAGCATGGACGATGAGAGGCTTGCTTTCCCGCTTGTAGCCCTCTCCACCCAAAACCTTTCTCATCCCCTCAATCTGATGGTTTTGGTGGACTCAGTTTAGTGCCGGCATGATCACTACTACATAAACTACTCACTGGCCTTGCCATGTAGCAACAAAACTGTGTTTCCTGCAGAACTTCTGGTTTTCTTTGGGATAATTAGTACTTTGCTTACTTTCCTATGTACTGAATTCAATTGTGAACTTTTTTTTTTTTTTTTTTTAAGGAAGGGTCTTGCTCTGTCACCCAGGTTGGAGTGCAGTGGTGCCATCACAGCTCCTAGGCTCAAGTGATCCTCCTGCCCTAGCCTCCTGAGTAGCTGGGACCACAGGTGTGTGCAACCATGCCCGGCTAATTTTTAAAATGTTTAGTAGAGTTGGGGGGGGGGGGTCTCCCTGTGTTGCCTAGGCTGGTCTTGAACTCCTGGCCTGAAGCCACCATTCCACCTCAGCCTCCCAAAGTGCTGGGATTACAGGTATAAGCCACTGTGCGCGGCCTCAGCTGTGAACTTTCATCTATTGTCTAAACCTCTCAAGATATTCAGATGTGTTGTTATTTTGCCAATACCCATTTTCCTGGAGTCATCTGATCTGCACCTCTCTTAGGTGCTGGTCTTCATTTCCTGCATCCACATTCCCTTTTTTGATTTACTTCATCCTGAATGGTTTCTCCAAGAAATCCCTTGAGAGAGTTGGAAGTACGTAGTCATGCACTATGTAATGACATTTTAGTCAACAGTGTATTGCATGTATGATAGTGTGTGACTGCACCTTATTTTTACTGTACCTTTTCTGTGTACAGATACGCAAATACCACTGTTAGAACTCCTGTTGCATTCAGTATAGTAACAGGCTGTGCAGGTGAGTAGCCTGGGAGCAATGAACAGGCCCTACCTTTGACCCAGGTGTGTAGTAGGCTGACATTAACAATGAAATCACCCGCGTGTTTCTCAGAATGTATACCCATCGTTAAGTAAGGCATCACTCTTATTTTTGAGCCCCTGCATCTTTGAAAACAACTGTTGTACATTACTTCTGGCTGGGCCTAAAATTCTAGGTTGGTGTGAACATCCCTTTTAAGTTATATTTTTGGGACAGGGTCTCACTTTGTTACCCATGCTGGAGTGCAGTAGCATGATCTCAGCTTACTGTGGCCTCAACAACCTGGGCTCAAGCAGTCCTGCTCAGCATCCTGAGTAATAGGGACTACAGGTGTGCACCACCATGCCCAGCTAATTTTGTTTTGTAGAGATGGGATCTGACTATGTTGCTTAGGCTGCAGATTTCTTCTTTTGAGACAGGCTCTTGCTATGTTGACCAGGCTTAGACTCAAACTCCTGGGCTCAAGTGATCCTCCCACTGCAGGCTCTCAAGTAGCTGGGACTACAGGCTTGGCCCACTGCACCCAGCCTCCCTTCGGTTAAAAAAATTTATTTTTGGCCAGGCGCAGTGGCTCATGCCTGTAATCCCAGCACTTTGGGAGGCCAAGGTGGACAGATCATTTGAGGTCAGGGGTTCGAGAGCAGCCTGGCCAACATGGTGAGACCGTCTCTACTAAAAATACAAGAATCAGCCAGGCGTGGTGGTGCACGCCTGTAATCCCAGCTACTTAGGAGCCTGAGGCAGGAGAATTGCTTGAACCTGGGAGACGAGGTTGCAGTGAGCCAAGATCGTGCCACTGTGCTCCAGCCTGGGTGGCAATAGTGAGACGCCCATCTCAAAAATTTTTTTTTTTTTTTTTTAAGAGATGGGGTCTTGCTGTGTTGCCCACACTTGTCTTGAGCTCAAGCAATCCTCCCACTTTGGCCTCCCAAAATGGAATGATTACAGGCCTGAGCCACTGCACCTAGTCCCTTCAGAATTCTGAGGGCAGTTCTTCCATGATTTTTCTTAGCCATTTCTGTTGGGATGTATTTTTTTCTTGTGAGATTGTCCTTTTCTCTTCCACATCCTAGGGTTTCTTTTATCCACCGTGCTGTGCGCTTGATGGCCTCTTTCCGTCTTGGAAACTCGTGACTTTCAAACTCAGATGTCAGACCTGGAGTGTCCTCGTAACCTTTTTCTTTTCCTGGTTTGTTATCTTTGAGCTTTTGATTTTGTCTGATGCTTTTCATCTTCAGGAGCTCTTTTCCACTCTCCCCACTGTGGGCCTTCAGGGTCAGTTCTGAGTCACAGCGCTTTCTCTGAGTCCCAAGCCATAGCATGGGTCATTAGGAGGCTTCTGTCCACATCATGTTTCTTTTGGTGTCTTGTTCCTCTAGTGTCAGGAGTCCTTGGCTCATGCTTAAAAGTTGAAGTTGGAAGCAGTTCCCTAGGAGGGTCACACCATGTAGCGAGTCCATCTTGTACCTTTCTGACACTAGGTGAGTGCAGGAATTGGGTTTAGAAACAAAGCTTGTAGCAGTTGGACGCTGCTACTGTTTTTTTTTTTTTTTTTTTTTTTTTTTTTTTTTTTTTTTTGAGACAGTCTTGCTCTGTCGCCCAAGCTGGAACGCAGTGGCACGATCTCGGCTCACTGCAGCCTCTGCCTCCTGGGCTCAAGCCATTCTCCTGCCTCACCTCCCGAGTAGCTGGGATTACAGGTACCTGCCACCACGCCTGGCTATGTATTTATTTATTTATTTATTTATTTTTTTGAGGCGGAGTCTCGCTCTGTTGCCCAGGCTGGAGTGCAGTGGCATGATCTCAGCTCACCGCAACCTCCGCCTCCCAGGTTCAAGCGATTCTCCTGCCTCAGTCTCCTGAATAGCTGGGGCTATAGGTGCACACCACCACACCTGGCTAATTTTTGTATTTTTAGTAGAGACGGGTTTCACCATGTTGGCCAGGCTGGTCTCGAACTCCTGACCTCAGGTGATCCGCCCACTTTGTCCTCCCCAAAGTGCTGGGATTACAGGCAAGAGCCACTGCGCTCAGCCTGCTACAGCATTTCAATTCAAGTTAGACTTATTTCTGTGAGACAGGGTCTTACTCTGTCACCCAGGCTGGAGTGCAGTGGCATGACCGCAGCTCACTGCAGCTGTGAACCCCTGGGCTCAAGTGTCCGCCTGCCTCAGCCTCCCAAAGTGCTGGGATTACAGGTGTGAGCCACTGCGCCTGGCTTGAAGTTTTTAAAGAGCCCTTTGCAGGCTTTACAAAGCTCTAAGGTGGCATGGCTGTGACAGCAGAGAGGCCCCAAGGAGGTGTCTTCTGAGGTCAGATTTCCCGGGAGAATCTTCTCCTTGAAGACTTGGGAGCCAGGAGGGGCACAGTCTCCTTCCCTCAACTGCTTGTGCCCAGGCCCCACCTTCCACCTCAGAGCAAACGACAGGCCAGGTTTCTTCCCGCTTTCCAGCATACCTGCTCTTTAGCTGGGCGTGTCTGCATCACTCCCACTTCACAGCTGCCCAGGGTCTTGTAAGCTGGGGTCAGTTCATGTCTTTCCTTCCCCCTTAAGGTTCTGTACTGTGCGTCCTCTGACTGTTGTTGGAGTGTCTTTTCCCATCCTGTGGGTCTCTGCTTTTTTGGAGAAATCTCCCTCCTGTCATTCTGTTGGGCTTCCGGTGGGAGAGGGGGTGAAATCAGTGCTTGGGCAATCTTCCATCTGTAGCCAGAACCCCAGGGTTTAAAAAAAACGTGGAAACATCATTGCTCTACAACCACCCAGTATAGTAGCGCTACCTGGAAATCCCCAATAAGAGAGCACGCAGCTGTACACACAAGCACTATGGTGACGCGCGCTTTATTGTTTCAACTCCTGAATCCACTGGCCGACCCCAGAGCCAGAAGAGTAGCAAGAATTCAATCAGCAACTCCTGATGTGGACAAACAACTGGGCAGTGGGAATAGGCAGTTGGGGGGCTGTGGCTCGGCGGGGCCGGGGGCTCCACTTACTTTCCCGATCGGGTTTCGTCTTCATCCCCAGCCAGAGCCCAGGGCTGCCCTTGGTGACGCCCAGGAGAAAACCCCAGCCCGCACCCTCACCACAGTTCCATTTGTACATCCAGGAAGCCCAGTTTGAAAAACAAACCACGCCTGTAAACTGAGTTGGATGAAAAGAGCTGCCTTGGGGGTGGGAGGCTAAGGAACTGTTCACGGTCTTCTGGGTGGGCCCTGGATTCCCGCACTTCTGGAGCAGTCCTCAGACAGCCAAGGGATCCATCCACGGGCCAGGGCTTCCCGAGGCTGTCTCCACGGTCGCTGGGTCTCAGGAGTCGTCCTATCACCTGAGCGTGCTCACTACTTCTGCTACCATTATGGCCACAATGACTTCCCATAAACTTAAGTCATTGAGACCATGGAATTCTGTTCCCATCCGATTCCTGTTGATGGACATTCGCTGTTTTGGCGTCATGGGAACTCCTCGGATGGTAAGTCAGTTTAAGGACAAAAGCGTGAGTCCATCGTTCCTGGGACAGTTTCCAGTGGCCCTGGTCAGGCCACGTCCACACTGGAGACCCCTTGTGCTGGACAGGAGACGCAGGCCGCTCTGTCGGAGACCACGCTGTCCAAGGCCCGCATCAGGATGTCTGGCATGTGGTCGGTGAGCATCTTCGGACCTATGAGTATTTTGCTGAATTCCGCTTCGTGTGACCACTTGGCGCTATAGTGAGCAGCAGAGCAGCAGCCAAACCTGAAGCAGAAAAGGAGAGACAGCTCCCACGCGGCCCCAGGGCTGACCCCGCGCTGCTCCTGCCTGCCCACCACACCCACCACGCCGCACTCACCGCCCCGAGGCGCCCTCCTCCTGCAGGTGGATGATCCTGCCGGGAGGGTAGAGAGGGGGGTACTTGGGAGAAGAGTCCAGTGGGGAGTCGCTGGAGAAGCTGTAGGCCGGGGACCAGCGCGTCAGTAGGCTCTGCTCCCCCAGAAGAGGCTGTGTCAGGACTTCCTGGTCGCCCCCGTCCAGCTCCGTGGGCAAGTTGTTGGGGTTTCCTCCAAACAGTTCGTACCACAAACCGTGCAGCAAGATCTTGTACTGAGGGCGAGACCCAATCAGTAGAATGCTGTCACTCACCCTCTGTCACCCGAGACCTCCCGAAACACCAAGGCGGACCAGGCACAGGAATCTGCCCTTTGACCCAGAAACCCCGCTTGGAAGACTCCAGCAAAGATGCACCGGCGAGCTGTGCTGGGTGGCAGCCACCTCGGCTCAGGACAAGGCTCTATGCCTAGTCACAGATCATGAGTGTGGGCTCTCTCTTGGGCAGTAAAACCATCACACGTGGAGCAATATTAAAAACTAAGCCATACAGACTGTGAGGGATATTTCCCTTAATTATTTTCCGGCAATTCTGGAAATCAGCTTTACCCTTCCTTCCCTGAAAGGCATTAGATATTAATTTCTATGGGCTGGAGCGCAATGGCGTGATCTTGGCTCCACAATCTGCCTCCCGAATTCAAGCGATTCTCCTACCTCAGCCTACTGAGTAGCTCGGCTTACAGGCTCCTGCCACCATGCCCGGCTAATTTTTTGTATTTTTTTTTTTTTTTTTTTTTTGAGACGGAGTCTCACTCTGTTGCCCAGGCTGGAGTGCAGTGGCACAATCTTGGCTCTCTGCAAGCTCCGCCTCCCGGGTTCACGCCATTCTCCTGCCTCAGCCACCAGAGTAGCTGGGACTACAGGCACCCGCCACCGCACCCGGCTAATTTTTTGTATTTTTAATAGAGACGGGGTTTCACCGTGGTCTCTATCTCCTGACCTCGTGATCCACCCGCCTTGGCCTCCCAAAGTGCTGGGATTACAGGCGTGAGCCACCGCGCCCGGCCTAATTTTTTGTATTTTTAGTAGAGACGGGGTTTCTCCATGTTAGTCAGGCTGGTCTCGAACTCCCGACCTCAGGTGATCCACCCACCTCAGCCTCCCAAAGTGCTGGGATTACAGGCGTGAGCCACCGGGCCCGCCCTAGATACTAATTTCTAAAAAAAATTTTAGGCTGGGCACAGCAGTGGCTCACACCTGTAATCCCAGCACTTTGGGAGGTCAAGGCAAGCAGATTGCTTCAGCCCCGAAGTTTGAGACCAGCCTGGGCAACATGGTAAGACCCTGTCTCTACAAAAAATACAAAAATTAGCCAGGTGTGTTGGCGCATGCCTGTAGTGTAGCCCCAGCTACTCAGGAGGCTGAGGTGGGAGGATCAGTTGAACTTGGGAGGCTGCAATGTGCCGAGACTGCGCCACTGCACTCCAGCCTGGGTGACAAAGCGAGACCCTGTCTCAAAAAAGAAAAAACTGGGGGAGGTAATTGGTAAGGAGAAAAATTTAAATTGCGTTTCTTCTTTCTGATTAGGAACAAAACCATGAGAAAGGTCAGAAAACAAAGGGATTAAACAAGTAAAAATCATCTCTACCGACACTAAACAAAACCACCCTTGGCATACGTATTTTCAAATTTTTGTCAAAATTCATATATCTGTATCTCCTTGTCCCCACTCTCTGCCATGAGTCATATCTCTTAAGAATAATTTTTAAGTTTTTTTTCTTTTGAACTTTTCAATGGATATCTATCTTTATCGGCAGACAGAAATTTCTTCTTTTTGGAGACAGAGCCTCACTCTATCCAACAGGCTGGAGTGCGATCTTGGCTTATGCAACCTCGGCCTCCTGGGTTCAAGCGATTCTTCTGCCTCAGCCTACCAAGTAGCTGGGATTACAGGCACTCACCACCACCCCTGGCTCATTTTTGTATTTTTACTAGAGACGGGGTTTTGCCATGTCGACCACTCTGGTCTCGATCTCCTGACTCAGGTGATCTGCCTGCCTTAGCCTCCCAAAGGGCTGGGATTACAAGCGTGACCCACCGCGCCTGGCCAGCAGACATAAATTTCTACCACCATGTTAAAAAACCCTTGACGTGGACATATATCACCATTTTAATAACTGCATGATATCCACAGTGTAGATAAATGTGCCTGTACCTCTTAAGGTCTATTTGGCAGCCTTGCTTTCTAAGCTTTCGGACAACAAAGCCAAAAGGCATTAACAAACTGTTAGTCACAAGACAGGACTAAGAAGTTTGTCAGAAAGCAAAATCAAACAGTTCCTCCAGAGTATTTTCTTTTCTTTTTTTTTTTTTAGAATAGAGACAGGGTCTTGTTGTGTTGCCCAGGTTGGCCTCAAGGGATCCTCCTGCCTTGGCCTCCTGAGGTGCTGGGATTCCAGGCATACACCACTGCTCCCAGCCCAGATCCTGTTTCCTCCCTGTGACATTTCCCGCACTTGCTGCAGCCATTTGCTTTCTTAGACATCACAGAGTCCTAGCCCAGAATCTGATCAGATGGTGGAAGGAGAACTTCCAGCAACAGCATAGAGTGCCCTGCACTGAGGGTGCAATTCCTCCCGGCTCTCCACAGGATCTCAGGGACAGGCCCCGTGTCCTGCTGACCCTCTCAACAAGGCACCCGCTTACCTTGGGTTTATTGCAGTGCGCGACCACTCGCAAGATTCTTCTCTTCAGATCTTCCAAGTTGGTCACACTGAGCCTGTTTAGCAAAGGGGCACACTGAGGCTGGGACCTGGCACTCCCAACCCCCCAGCCCTGGGCACAGCACCAGGTGGGCTTACCTGGGAATCACATCCTTCCCCAGGACGAGTGACACGATGAAGCTCTGAGAATATTCCTGCAGAGCTTTGCTGAAATTCCAAACAGAGAGAGGATGTTAGCTTTACGATGACACTGCCCACAAGGGCTTCCATGAAAGAAATCAGTAACACTGAGGGGTTAGGTTCCCAGGCCTCAGCTCTGTTCTCTCTTCTCTAAAGGGAGGGTAGGGGAAACGTCAGTTATGGCAACTCACTGGCCAGATCCTACTAAAGCCACAATATGTGTTCAACAGAGACGCCCCGCAGCTAAAACCGCAAACTGGACACCAAGGCGGACCAAGCACATGGATCTGTCCTTTGACCCAGAAACCGCGCTTGGAAGACTCCATCAAAGATGCACTGGAGGCCGGGTGCAGTGGCTCACGCCTGTAATCCCAGCACTTTGGGAGGCCGAGGCAGGCGGATCACAAGGTCAGGAGATTGAAACCATCCTGGCTAACACGGTAAAAGCCCGTCTCTACTAAAAATACAAAAAATTAGCCAGGCGTGGTGGTGGGCGCCTGTAGTCCCAGCTACTCAGGAGGCTGAGGTAGGAGAATGGCATGAACCCGGGAGGCGGAGCTGGCAGTGAACTGAGATCGCGCCACTGCACTCCAGCCTGGGCGACAGAGCGAGACTCCATCTCAAAAGAAAAAAAAAAAAAAAAGATGCCCCAGCAAAAATGAAGGGGCAGAGGCAACAGGCGATTCACTGCGGCAGAACCTGCACCGGCAGAGGCTGGAGCCTCCAAACACCCATCCACAGAACTGCCTTCAGCTCCCAACAACGAGTCACATAATAGTGCGTCCCGCACAGCTGGGAGAAGGAGGAGGACTGTGTGTGCCACTGCGGGGTCATCTCAGGACATGCGGTGAAAGTGAACAGCCACGACCAGAGACAGAAGAGCAGGGAAAAGGTGCAGGCTTTCATCAACAGGAGGAGAGGAACACAGACACGCTTCCTTCCAGCCATGGACATAATGGAAACACCAGTCAAAACCACCACATTCTACCTCTGGGGTGACAGAAAGGACTTTTTTGTTTTTGAGATGGAGTCTCGCTCTGTCTCCCAGGCTGGAGTGCAGCGGCACAATCTCAGCTCACTGCAACCTCCATCTCCCAGGTTCACGCCATTCTCCTGCCTCAGCCTCCCAAGCAGCTGGGACTACAGGCGCCCACCACCACGCCCAGCTAATTTTTTGTATTTTTAGTAGAGATAGGGTTTCACCGTGTTAGCCAGGATGGTCTTGATCTCCTGACCTCATGATCTGCCGGCCTTGGCCTCCCAAAGTGCTGGGATTACAGGTGTGAGCCACCACACCCGGCCAATTTTTTTTTTTTTTCTTTTGAGACGGAGTGTAGCTCTGTCACCCAGACTGGAGTGCAGTGGCACGATCTCGGCTCACGGCAACCTCTTCATCCTGGGTTCAGGCAATCCTACTGCCTCAGCCTCCCGGGTAGCTGGGACCACAGGCACACGTCACCACGTCCAGCTAATTTTTGTAAGGAACCGGGTCTATGTTGCCCAGGCTGGTCTCGATCTCCTGGGCTCAAGTGATCCTCCTGCCTCAGCCTCCCAAAGCGCTGGGGTTACAGGTGTGACCCAACATGCCCAGCCTCCTGATGTTTAAGTATCACTATACACTACAGTTACATTTTCTCTTTGGTGTAACAAAAGCCTTTCCTACCTCTTTCCAATGAAAAGGCCTGGAAATTATGACCAGCCCTGTGGTAATGAGAACTACCAGTGCCCCGATTTCAGTTCAGAAATACCATTTCCTGCTAAAAGGAACCAATATTCCTTGGAGAAACGGTTGATTCCAGATATGGACGATGGAAAAAAAAAATACTTGCTCATTTCAAGCCCAAAACTTGAGAATATTCTTGAGAAAGCAAGAAAATGAGGCCAGGCACAGTGCTCAACACCTTTAATCCTAGCACTTTGGGAGGGTGAGGCAGGAGGATCACTTGAGCCCAGGAGTTCAAGACCAGCCTGGGCAACATAGCAAGACCCTGTTCCTTACAAAAATTAGCTGGATGTGGTGGTGTGCGCCTATGGTCCCAGCTACTTGGGAGGCTGAGGCCGGAAGATCACCTGAGCACAGGAGGCAGAGGCTACAGCAAGCCATGACTGTGCTGCTGCACTCCAGCTGGGGAGACTGAGTGACACTCTGTGTCAATTAAAAAAAAAAAAAAGACAGCAAGAAAACAGACGACTGAAATTTAAGTTTTAAAAAATTAATGTCTGCCTCTGTAGACTGCTAGGCAACAATTCATTATTCTGAACACTTCTTTATTGAGGGAAAGATTTAAGCACTTATACATTCTCCTGTTTTTTCCTGTGTGAACTATATGTCAAAGAAACCAAGTGTGCGAAGAAAAGCTCTTTTTGTTCTTTACGTACATACTTTTTAATCATCCCAAAGGGCCGGGATTACAGGCATGAGCCACCACGCCTGGCCTTTATTTCATTTTAATGAAATAAAGTGGTATAATTTTCCTTTATAATCATGGCAAAAGGTTACACAGAACAGTCAGTATGCTGGAATCAGCAAAAAAAAATATAAACTTTTCAGCCAGGCGTGGTGGCTCATGCCTGTAATCCCACCATTTTGGGAGGCCAAGGTGGCGGATCATGAGGTCAGAAGACAGGAGATCGAGACCATCCTGGCTAACACGGTGAAACCCGTCTCTACTAAAAAAATACAAAAAATTAGCCGGGTGTGGTGGCGGGCGCCTGTAGTCCCAGCTACTCGGGAGGCTGAGGCAGGAGAATCGCTTGAAGCTGGGAGACGGAGGTTGCAGTGAGCCGAGATCACGCCACTGCACTCCAGCCTGGGCGACAGAGCAAGACTCCGTCTCAAAAAAAAAAAAAAAAGTAATTTTCAAACTCATAAAAATGTCTTTAAACATGTGCATTATGCATGTGTCCCCACCCAGGGCATATGCCCCCCGAGAGGGCGGAGGGAGTGCTCAGCATACTACGGGCTCTGGGCGATGTGCCTACCAGGCGCATGGATGTCAACAACCGGACCCCTCTGCCAGGGCTGTGAGAATGGGGGAGGTTGTGCTTGCTTGTGGGGAGGGAGGGTATGAGAGATCCCTACAATCTGCTGCTCAGTTTTGCTGTCAGCCTAAAACTGCTCTAAAAAATAAAGTCTGTTTGAAAAAAGACTCTTAGAATTAAATCATTGAGGAAATTACAGGTATGGTCACATAGGTCTAAGAAAGGCTAGACAGACTTTCTTCTGTGAAATAGCGCTTCAAAACACAAACCTCAGCTGGGTGCGGTGGCTCACGCCTGTAATCCCTGCACTTTGGGAGGCCGAGGCGGGCAGATCACTTGAGGTCAGGAGATCAAGACCAGCCTGGCCAACATGGTGAAACCCCACCACTACTAAAAATACAAAAATTAGCCGGCATGCTGGCGGGTGTCTGTAGTCCCAGCAACTCGGGAGGCTGAGGCAGAAGAACCGCCTGAACCTGGGAGGTGGAGCTTGCAGTGAGCCGAGATCACGCCACTGCACTCCAGCCTGGGCGACAGAGCAAGACTTCATCTCAGGAAAATAAAAGAAAAAAAAGATGAGTCTTGACCACATGACTTGTAAGTAGCAAGCTGTTAGAGCAGGAAAACAAAGGCTCACCTCCACAGCCCCCGGGGTGGGGAGAAGGCGTAGCACCTGACCTGCGGGTAGGCGGCTCTGAGCATGGTGGCCAGCAGGGCGGCCGCCCCGCCCCCGAGGCTGTGGCCCACTATGACCAGCCGGTACTCCTAGAGGACAGACAGCAGAATGAGGTGAAGGGTAAAAACAACAGCTCCAAAGAGGACAAGGAAAGAAACGTTAACTAAGATCTCACAGGAGCAATGCTGAAGGCTTGGCTCAAAATCCCGTCGTTGATGAGTCGTTGGTAAACGTATCTGGCAGCTTGAGAAATACCCTAAAAACACAGACAAAGAAGGTGGCCGTTAATCCTCAGACAAGGCAGGCCCAGCAGAGACTCAAAGATGGGATGACGCTGTGCACTGATGTGTGAGTCTCTCCTGGGATCTGAGACTGCAGAATCAGCAGCCACGTCCATCGTGCATGGCTGTGCTCCTGGCACCTTGCACAGCGCCTGACGTGAAGCAGGTGCCAGGTGTGGTGGCGCACGCTTGTAATCCCAGCACTTAGGGAGGCCAAGGCAGGAGGACACTTGAGCCCAGGAGTTCAAGACCAGCCTGGGCGACATAGTCTCTACTAAAATAAAAATACAAGACCAGCCTGGATCCTGACTCTACTAAAAAAAAAAAAATTAACGGGGCTTGGTGGCGAGCGCCTATAGTCCAGCTACTCGGGAGGCTGAGGTGGGAGGGTCGCTGGAACACATGAAGTTCAGGCTGCAGTGAGTTATCGTCGCACCACTGGGCAGCAGAGTGAGACCCTGTCTCAAAAAACAAACAGACAAACAAAAAACCCAAAACAACCAAACATCTTTCCACAGATACATTTCTGTGGCTTTTTCTGTAGCTACACCGTTTTGTGCTGTGTGAACATATCACAATTTACTTCAGCCAAGTTCCTACGGCTGGTCAGATTTAGACTTTTTACATAACATTTAAACATAAAGTTCTACCGCTGTGCCAAGTGGCTCACACCTACAATCTGAGCTATTTGGGAGGCTGAGGCAGGAGGATCACTTGAACGCATGAGGTTGAGACCAGCCTGGGCCACATAGCAAGACCCCATTTCTCTAAAACAACTACAGAATCCACGAAGTTCTGAATCAAAGACACTGATAAGCATCCACTGTTCCTGCAAAGGTAAAACTAAACCATCAGAAGTGAGTTTTAGGGTGGTCAGGTTTGGCTTTAACTTCAAAAAGTAAATAAAATTTTATTTATTTATTTATGAATGAATGAATGAATGAATGACAGTCTCGCTCTGTTGCCCAGGATGGAGTGCAATGGGGCGATCTCGGCTCACTGCAACCTCTGCCTCCTGGGTTCAAGCAATTCTCCTGCCTCAGCCTCCTGAGTAACTGGGATTACAGGCATGCGCCATCACACCCAGCTAATTTTTGTATTTTTAGTAGAGACAGGGTTTCACCATGTTGGCCAGGCTAGTCTCGAACTCCTGACCTCGTGATCCACCCGCCTCAGCCTCCCAAAGTGCTGGGATTACAGGTGTGAGCCACTGTGCCCAGCAAAAATTTAAAATTTTCTAACATATACATCTGTCCTCTGAAACAGGCTTCTTGAAAATTAAGCAGGTGGCTCATGCCTGTAATTCCAACACTTTGGGAGGCTGAGGCAGGAGGATCACTTGAGCCCAGGAGTTCAAGGTTACAGTGAACTATGATTGCACCACTGCACTCCAGCCTGGGTGGCACAGTGAGACTCTTTCTGAAAAATAATCATCATAAAAATAATAAATAAAAGAAAAAAAATAAAGCCATTCCCTACACGCAGTTAAGCCCTAAAAAAATTTTTAAAAAAGAAAAGCAGTGCCAGGGAAGAAATGACCCTGTCAATCAAAAATATCTTCAAAATGCTTCCTCAGTGTGCTCCTGTGCTGGGCTCGGAGAAAAGCGGGCCTGGCCCCTGTCCCGTGCAGCTTCGATTCTAATAGGACGGGGTGGAGGAAATCCCACAGAAGATGGGAGATGGTTTTTGATCATCTCTAATCCAACTACAAGTTTCTTTTTTTGTTTTTTTTTTTTGAGACAGAGTCTCGCTTTGTCGCCCAGGCTGGAGTTCAGTGGCTCGATCTCGGCTCACTGCAAGCTCCACCTCCCGGGTTCACGCCATTCTCCTGCCTCAGCCTCCTGACTAGCTGGGACTACAGGCGCCCGCCACCACGCCCGGCTAATTTTTTGTATTTTTAGTAGAGACGGGGTTTCACCGTGTTAGCCAGGATGGTCTCCATCTCCTGACCTCGTGATCCACCCGCCTCGGCCTCCCAAAGTGCTGGGATTACAGGCGTGAGCCACCGCACCTGGCTGCAACTACAAGTTTCTAAGAATTAAATAATTCTACAAGTAGAATGCTGAACCCAGCCATCATATAAGAAAATTTTTAAAAAGGCTTCAACACTCTGTGTGCATTCAGATGGCACTTCCTTTTTTTTTTTTTTTTTTTTGAGACGGAGTCTCAGGTTCAAGCGATTCTCCTGCCTCAGCCACCTGAGTAGCTGGAATTACAGGCACTCACCACCACACCCGGCTAATTTTTGTATTTTCAGTAGAGATGGGGTTTTACCGTGTTGGCCAGGCTGGTCTCAAACTCCTGACCTCAAAGTGCTGGGATTACAGGTGTGAGCCACTGCACCCGGCCCTGACAGCACTTCTTAACAAATTACCAGATGCCCTTTCTCTCTCCTGCGACGGCGGGATGCAGTCAACTCCAGGCCACACTCACTGGGCACCTACCCTGTGGCTGGTGCTGGGCAGGCAGAGCCCAGCAGGACGTGGACTAAGCTGCTGCTGGCGAGCCTCCCCGGCGCACATCCAACAACAAATGCCAAAGCCCTTTCGGCCACACAGGTTTGGAGTCCAATTACCGTGGACAGCGTCAGAGCCAAACTCAGCGTGATTTGGCACAAATGAAGCCAAGAGGACAGGACAGGCCCTGAGCGGCAGCCTTCCCGACCCAAGGGATGAACTGTCACTAAAATATGAACCCAGCACTTGGGGGCCTCAGCTGCCAGCCAAGCCGCGGATCCTCAGCTTGTGGTCACATAAAGCCTTTGCCTGAGCAGATCCACCCAGGCCAAGCCCCCTGGCCCCTGACGGGTTTCTGGGGCATCTCTGTACTAAGGCTTACAGTTCCTCCTTTCCTCACACAGTAATGGGCAAACTGGAGTCTTTTGTGAACTGGCATACAAAAAAGACAGCAAAGGGCCAGGCGTGGTGGCTCACGCCTGCAATCCCAGCACTTTGGGAGACTGAGGCAAGAGGACTGCTTGAGCCCAGGAGATTCAAGACCAGTCTGGGCAACACAGAGAGACCCCATCTCTACAAAATAAAAAGTAGAAAATTAGCCAGGCATGGTGGCACACGCCTGTAATCCCAGCTACTTGGGAGGCTGAGGTGGGAAGATCACTTGAACCTGGGAGATGGAGGCTGCAGTGAGCTATGATCACACCACTGCACTCAAGCCTGGGTGACAGAACAAGACCCTGTCTCAGAAACAAAAACAGTCCAGGTGCGGTGGCTTATGCCTGTAATCCTAGCAATTTGGGAGGCTGAGGTGGGTGGATCACGAGGTCAAGAGATAGAGACCAGCCTGGCCAACATGGTGAAACCCCGTCTCTACTAAAAATACAAAAATCAGCTGGGTGTGGTGACGTGCGCCTGTAGTCCCAGTTACTTGGGAGGCTGAGACAGGAGAATTGCTTGAACCTGGGAGGCAGAGGTTGCAGTGAGCTGAGATGGCACCACTGCACTCCAGCCTGGACGACAGAGCAAGACTCCATCTCAAAAAAAAAAAAGAAAAGAAACAGGCCACTGACAAAAGGACAAATCCTGTACGATTCCACTTCTGTGGGGTTCCCAGAAGAGACGACTTATAGAGACAAAGTAGAACAGAGGTTCCCAGAGGCCGTGGAAGGGAGGAAGCGGAAGTGAGTGGTGATGGGTTCAGAGCTTGTGTTAGGGGTGTGGGACTGGACACGGGTTCACGGCACTGTGAACGCACTGGATGCCCGGAACTATACACTAACGACCAACGAACAGTGAAACTGACCAATGTGTGTCAGGAATATCTCACCAGTTACAGGAAGCCCCCAAAACTAGAAACCCCTACCCCTCTACTCTGGGCAGGGGGTTTTCATTCCTTCGGGAGGAGCTGAGGCAGCCTCACACCCATAGCACAGTGAGCATGAAACTGTAAGCCTGGCACCGTGCCATCTGCCATCTGCACAGAGAATATGTGAATGACCCGGCAGAGCGCCCGTGGGGTGGGCCTGCCTCCTGAGACCCTGGTGCGCACTCTCTGCTGCTCTGAGCTTTGATGAAGCTGTTCTTCACCATGAGAATGTACTACCTGAATGAATTCAGAGGCTGGGTGTGGTGGCTCACGCCCGTAATCCCAATACTCTGGGAGGCTGAGGCAGGAGGATTACTTGAGCCCAGGAGGTCAAGACCAGCCTGGGCAACACAGGGAGACTGCCTCTCAGAAAACACACACAGAGAGAAGGAAAAGCCACAGAGCTGGGCTCAAATGCCCAACCTGCTACTTATTCCAGTAGCCACGCGACTTTGGGCAAGGCACTCGCTCTCTCTGAACAGGCTTCTCTCTCTTAGAACAAACGAAATCCCACAGCCTCCCAGGGCTGCTGTGAGAATCAGGCAGCGCGGGAGGCGCAGGCAGCGCGGGAGGCGCAGGCAGCGCGGGAGGCGCAGGCAGCGCGGGAGGCGCAGGCAGCGCGGGAGGCGCAGGCAGCGCGGGAGGCGCAGGCAGCGCGGGAGGCGCAGGCAGCGCGGGAGGCGCAGGCAGCGCGGGAGGCGCAGGCAGCGCGGGAGGCGCAGGCAGCGCGGGAGGCGCAGGCAGCGCGGGAGGCGCAGGCAGCGCGGGAGGCGCAGGCAGCGCGGGAGGCGCAGGCAGCGCGGGAGGCGCAGGCAGCGCGGGAGGCGCAGGCAGCGCGGGAGGCGCAGGCAGCGCGGGAGGCGCAGGCAGCGCGGGCTCTGTGCAGTCCCTGACCCGAGGCACCCATCTTCTGTGTGGTCAGCATTCACAGGCAAGACACACGAGTCCGCGCTCATACCTTGTGTGCCAGGCGGTCCTGCACCTCACACTCCACGTCCAGCACCTCACTCTCCGCTGACAGGTCCGTAAGGACATCCTGTAAAAAGGGCGTTGCAGAAGCGGCCGTCAGCCTGTGATGGGCAGGGTGGGAGAATGACAGGTGGTCCCTGCTCCTGACACTTCTGTGGAGGATGGCGGGGATGGCACCATCTCCTAGTTCGGTCCTGGGACTGAACCCTAAACTAAAGAGGGAAACCCAGCGGTGGCTCCTGAGGGCCCTGATGGCACGACCAGCTCTGGGCCAGGCGTGAAGGGTGGAGGGGACCATGGAGTGTGCCTAAGACACGCCCTGCGCCTTCCCCATCACACACACGTATTCTAAGGACCCCGTGGCACAGAACCTGTGCCAGGGTTCTGAACAAAGCCTGGTTCCCGTCCTCAGGAGCCCCGTAACAGGTGAAACCGTGGAGAGGAGGAGGCCTAGACTAGCACCACAGCAAGGGCCAGGCAGTGCCGAGTCAGAGGATGGGGCACAGCCCAGGCGCAGGGGCAGCTCCCTGGAGGAGGTGACGCCACAGCCAGACCCGAAGGAAGAGGTTGTTGTGAAAGCAGAGAGGACAGGCGGCGTCCTCCCAACAGGGGCAGCAGGACCCGCTGGCTGGGGCCCTGGGCACGGCTCCACACCAGCCATATTTGAAAAGGTCCACAGGCGAGTGCTGTGCTGCTGGGCTGGAGGCCCCGGCAGCAGCGTCCAGGCTGCGGAGTGGGCATGGGGGAGGCTGCTGGGTAAAGCACCCAGAGCTGTGATAAGAAACACAAACTTGATGTTAAAGACAGTGGGCCCAAGCATAGAAAAGCGCAAAAACACATCCTCTGCAGCAACGGATGCAGCTGCGGGCCATCATCCTCAGCGAATTAACGCAGACAGAGAAAAGCAAACACCGCATGGTCTGATGCGACGGTGGAAGCTCAACATTGGGTATTCATGGACACAAAGAGGGGACAATAGACACTGGGGCTACTAGAGGAGGGCAGGGGAAGGAATGAAAACCTAACCACTGGGTACTATGCTCAGTACCTGGGAGACGGGATCAACAGTACCCCAAACCTCAGCGTCACACAGTATACCCAGCTACAAATCTGCACATGTACCCTCTGAATCTAAAATAAAAGTTGGAATTAAAAAAAGAACATTTAAAGATAAATCCATAAAGGCAATGGGAAGCCACTGGAGGTATCTGAGCAGGACGGTAAGATCCGATCCGTGTTCTAGAGTGAGTCCTTGGTGGACAGGACAATGGACAGACGCTGAGGTGAGTGGATGGCTACAGCCCAGGAGTCCAAGACCAGCCTGGGCAACATAGTGAGATCCTGTCTCTACAAAAATAGAAAAAATTAGCTGGGTGTAGTGGCACATGCCTGTATTCCCAGCTACTTGAGAGGCTGAGGCAGGAGGATCACTTGAGCCCAAGAGGTGGAGGCTGCAGTGAGCTGACTGTACCATCGTACTCCACCCTGGGCAACAGAGCAAGACCCTGTCTTAGAAACAAACAAACAATCAAACAGACTGGGGAGATGAGACTAGACAAGGACGGAGATGGGAAGCTAGAGGACTGGGGCCAAAAGCGGGGCCATGGCGCTGGAAATGGAGAGAGGGCCACATAGGCTGGGGCAGGAAGTTCACACACAGCAGACAGGGCGCACAGAAACCACAGACGACGCCACTGCTTCTTTTGAGACAGAGTCTCGATCTGTCGCCACGCTGGAGTGCAATGGCGCAATCTCAGCTCACTGTAACCTCCACCTCCCGGGTTCAAGCAATTCTCCTGCCTCAGCCTCCTGAGTATCTGGGATTACAGGTTCCCGCCACCATGCCCGGCTAATTTTTTTTTTTTTTCTGAGACAGGGTCTCACTCTGTCTCCAGGCTGGAGTGCAGTGGTGCAATCTCGACTCACTGCAACCTCCGCCTCCCGGGTTCAAGTGATTCTCCTGCCTCAGCCTCCTGAGTAGCTGGGACTACAGGAGCCCACCACCATGCCTGGCTAATTTTCTGTATTTTTAGTAGAGACGGGGTTTCACCATGTTGGACAGGATGGTGTCGATCTCTTGACCTTGTGATCCACCCACCTTGGCCTCCCAAAGTGCTGGGATTACAGGCGCCACTGCTTCTTAAATGGGCAATGGGGGGACGATGGCAGAGCTGACGTGAACAGGGCGCCCCCCGGGAGGAGCAGCCCTGTGGGAAGTGTGGCTTCTCTGGTGCCTCCCGGGAGACCCACAGATGGCTCCTGAAGATGCAAGTTTGGGGTCCTGGCCCTGGACTTAGGGGGGCTACCCCAGAGCCAGTCAGGAGCAGAAGAGGGCTGAGCACACAGGCTCTGGAGTCTCAACTCATTTTCTGGGTCAGCAGAGAAGAACGGGAAGTGAGACTGAGGAGTGGCCAGGAGGAAACCGGAATGGAGAGAAGAAAGCTTTGACAAGGAAAGCGTCACCTGGCATCTCCAAGGGGCCCAGGAGTATGGACTGAGGAAGACAGAAGAGGGGCCATGGGCTGGGGATGGATGTCGGCAGTCCTGACCTCACCTGGAGAACGGCAGGCCACGAGGGCCTGTGAGGATCCAAACCGGGAGCCTCCAGCGGGGCTGGTGGCCAGGGGCGTGACTCTCTGCAGCAAGACTGACTCACTGCCGCCATCTGGCTCTGGTGCAGAAATTCCCCGGGAGGGCTCCCGGGTGTGGGGCCTGGCTGGGCTCAGGGAAGTTAGGCAGGGAGGGGTCAAGCAGGTGCCCTCTGGGAGCTCCTGTGGCGGGGGGGCCAACCTGCTGGCCGCTCTGCTGCTGACAGTTCTCAGTGAAGATGAAACAGCTTCATCCCTTTTTGCAAAGGGAGTATTTCCCAACCCCAGGCTCACATCCTCATTTTCTGTCCTCACCATTTTCCCCTGTGTCTCATGCGGTTACTGACGGATTTCCCCAGCCGAGCAGCTGTGGGCTCCCGCTCCCGCACCCACTCCCAGGGCTGGAAAGTCAGGTTCCAACGTTACCTGCAGAGACATGGTCCCCCTCACAGCGACCACAACAGACTCTTTCCTGTGATCCAGAGCCACTAAAAACGGCAGCTCGTAAACCTGCAGGAGCAAGAAACAAGCATGGGGCCTAAACAGTGAACACACGCACCAGCACGCAAAGTCGGAGCCCTGCAGTGTCTGCAATGACAGCCCAAGTCCTGCGGCACAGAGAGGAGGGGACACCGCCTCTCCACTCACGCTCACTACACAGTGGGACCCACTCTGGCAGGGACTGGCCTTCATAAACCATGCTGCTCTACATGAAAAAGGATCTTTGTTTTCTTAGCCTCTCTCTGACCTCCCCAGAGATTCGGATTGAACTGGCCCAGGGTGCGGCCTGGACCTCAGCAGTGTTAAAAGCTCCTCAAGAGGTTCTACTGGGCAGCAAAGTGGGAGAGCCGCCGATCTGCGCCAGCAGGCCTCCCGCTGCGGTGCCTATGAGAATCACCTGGAGAGACAGCGAGCGACACTGAACACGCAGCACTGCAGCCATGCACAGCTGGCTTTTTTTTTTGAGATGGCATCTTGCTCTGTCACCTAGGCTGGAGTGCAATGGCGCAATCTCAACTCACTGTAACCTCCGCCTCCCGGATTCAAGTGATTCTCATGCCTCAGCCTCCCGACCAGCAGAGACTACAGGCGCCTGCCACCACGCCCAGCTAATTTTTGTATTTTTAGTAGAGATGGGGTTTCACCATATTGGCCAGGCTGGTCTCGAACTCCTGACCTTATGATCCACCCGCCTCGGCCTCTCAAAGTGCTGGGATTACAGGCGTGAGCCACTGTGCCCGGCCCACAGCTGGCTTTTGCAGCTTCTCCCAAGGTGACAGTGACCCCCCCAGAGTGCCAGACCTGCTACACTACACTACTGATGGCACTCACAACCCAGGACGACGATACGAATCCCAGAAGGCCATGCGGCATTAATACTGAGGGATTTCACTCCTCAACAGAAGGGCGAGGTAAGAAACACAGCGCGCTATCTCTGATGAAGACGTCTCTATCTTATGTGAAACCTGGGTTCTGAACCTGCACCAGGGCATCTGTGTGGCTCCCCCAGAGTCTGTGGCCCCTCTGAAATAGTACACAGGACTTAGAAGTGTGTTTGTGTGTCTATGAATTACGGGAAGAATAATTCATAACTTCCATCAGAATCTCTAACAGCTCCAGGACCCAAAAGAAGTGAAGAGCCGCTGTCTGCAGCGTCCACACCTTGTCATGGAAGCTGACGTGGATGAAGTCCCTGTACTGCAGCCCTGTGGTGTGCAGGATGGAGCCGAAGTGACAGTTGAGCTGATCGCCTCCGACCAAGTCATAGTCTGTGGTTCTGCTTCTGCAGCTAAAAAGAGGACAAAGACGTTACTATGCCGAACAGAGCCACTTGGCAAGGAACGTCCATCCTCACTGCCACATGTTCCCAGAGACGCGAGGACCAGAGCGGACAATTCTCAGGACTTAGCCTGGCTGACATGGAATGGCTTTTTAAAACTTAATTTGATCGACTGACTGATTGAGATGGAGCCTCACTCTGTCACCCAGGCTGGAGTACCGTGGTACAATCTCAGGTCACCGCAACCTCCGCCTCCCAGGTTCAGGCGATTCCCCTGCCTCAGCCTCCTGAGTAGCTGGGATTACATGCGTGCACCTCCATGCCCGGCTAGTTTTTGTATTTTCAGTACAGATAGAGTTTCGCCATGTTGGCCAGGATGGTTTTAAACTCCTGACCTCAGGCGAACTGCCCGTCTTGGCCTCCCAAAGTGCTGGGATTATAAGCGTGAGCCACTGCACTGGGCCCGGAATGGCTTATTAAAGATAATACCTCTCTGTGTACACTTCTTGGATAGAGTTCTGACTTCTGGCATCATGTTAATGATTTCTATATTCAAAAAATTCATCAACAAGGATGGGCAAGTCCCTAAAACTGAATGCCAACAGAAGCAGGTAAAGCAAACCTGTCCAAATGAACAGCACAGCCAACTCCGTAGAAAATAAACAAGAAATCATAGAAGTAACTTTTGAGTACTGTGCTCTACGTTTAAAAAACAAAAAGAGGCCGGGCGTGGTGGCTGATGCCTGTAATCCGGCACTCTGGGAGATCGAGGCAGGTGGATCACCTGAAGTCAGGAGTTCGAGACCAGTCTGGCCAACGTGCTGGAACCCCACCTCTACTAAAAATACAAAACTCAGCCAGGTGTGGTGGCAGGCGCCTGTAATCCCAGCTACTCGGGACGCTGAGGCAGGAGACTTGCTTGCAACTGGGAGGCAGAGGTTGCAGTGAACTGAGATCGCGCCACTGCACTCCAGCCTAGGTGACAGAGTGAGACTCCGTCTCAAAAAATACAATTAAATTAAATTAAAATAAATAAAAATAAAAACTAAAAAAACTACAAACACATCGCAAACTGTACTTAGCAGATGCCCTTTTTGTAGTGGAACTGGGTATAGCAATTCTGAAACTATTTTCTTAGTAATAGGGGACTGAGCATGGGTAACTCACGCTGATGTTGCTGGGAGCCAAGCTTCTCTTTGCAGACATGATGTGGAGAAGCAAAGAGAAACTCTGTGGCTTTGGACTAGAATTAAAAGATATCAGGGCCAGGAGACTGACACCCATGATGCCAGCACTTTGGGAGGCTGAGGCGGGAGGATCGCTCAAGTGTTGGAGACCAGCCTGGGCCACAAAGCAAAACTGTCTCTAAAAAGAAATTTATTAATTTAAAACATTTTTAAAAATTATCTGGGTCTGGCAGTGCATGCCTGTAGTCCCAGCTACTTGGGAGGCTGAGGTGAGAGAACCCCGTCTCTTAAAAGACAAACAAAAAAAAGATATTAGTAAAATCTCATGATCTTTAAAATAAATACATAGGCGTGGTGGCTTACACCTGTAATCCCAGGACTTTGGGAGACCGAGGCAGGTGAATCACTTGAGCCCAGGAGGTTGAGGGTATGGTGTTACAGTAAGCCGTGATGATACCACTATACTCTAGCCTGGGCAACAGTCCCAAAAAAAGAAAAAGCAAAATCCAGAGGTTAGGAAGTGCTCAGAACATGATGGGGTCATATGAAAAGAACACTGGAGCCAGTCTGCAGGACAAAATCTGGAACATTTTGAGCATCAAATAAACACTGTACTTAATACAAAATAAACAGTCATAATTACAACCCACTGAATAATTTAAGAATCTATAAATCCATATTGACAGTAAGATGTAGGGATAAAAAGCTCTTTTTTATAGGAGAATGACAATTAATGTAGAAGAAATGATGAATTTAGAAAAATCACAATTTTGGCCAGGTGCGGTGGCTCATGCCTGTAATCCAACCACTTTGGGAGGCCAAGGCGAGTGGATCACCTGAGGTCAGGAGTTCGACCAGCCTGGCCAACACAGCGAAAACCTGTCTCTATTAAAATTACAAAAAACTAGCCGAGTATGGTGGTGCAGGCCTGTAATCCCAGCTACTCGGGAGGCTGAGGCAGGAGAATCACTTGAACCTGGGAGATGGAGGTTGCAGTGAGCCAGGATCCTGAGACTCTGTCTCAAAAAAAAAAAAAAAAAAAAGAAAGAAAGAAAGAAAAAGAAAAATCATGATTTTGCCACCATCCTGGTAATAAGTGATTCAGACAAGAATCAATGGATGCTGTACTGCCAGATGAGAATTCAGAGAGGGATAGGACATTTACTTACTTGTTTTTTGTTTTGTTTTGGTTTCTTTTTTTTTTTTCTTTTTGAGACAGAATCTTGCTCTGTTGCTTAGGCTGCAGGGCAATGGTGTGATCTCCACTCACTGCAACCTCCAACTCCCTGGTTCAAGCGATTCTCCTGCCTCAACCTCCCGAGTAGCTGTGATTACAGGTGTGTGCAACCATGTCCAGCTAATTTCTGTATTTTTAGTAGAGACGGGGTGTCACCGTGTTGGTCAGGATGGTCTTGAACTCCTGACCTCAGGTGATCAGCCCGCCTTGGCCTCCCAAAGTGCTGGGATTATAGGCATGAGCCACTGCACCTGGTGGGATATAGACATATATATTTATTTAATTTATTTTTTAAGACAGCGTCTTGCTCTGTCACTCAGGCTGGAGTACAGTGGTGCAACCCCAGCTCACTGCAACCTCAGCCTCCTGGGCTCAAGTGTTTCTCCTGCCTCAGCCTCCCAAGCACCTGGGACTACAGGTACACACTGTTACACCCAGCTAATTTTTATATTTTTAGTGAGATGGAGTTTTGCCAGGTTGCCCAGGCTGGTCTCAAACTCCTGAGCTCAAGTGATCCGCTGGCCTCGACCTCCCAAAATGCTGGGATTACAGGTCTGAGCCACCACGCCCGGCCTGGGACAAGATATTTAAATGGTCTCAAGGCTGGCAGTCACCACCTCAGCCAAGCAATCAATGTTAATATAACCAGAAATGGGACAAACTGGCATCATGTATCCCCTGATATGATACACTAGGAAGGATGGTTGTCATGGACCATTCCCGCCAAAAATGCAAAACATAAATCTAATCATGGGGAAACCATCACACAAATGCAAATTGAAGGCCCTTCTACAAAATATCTGCACTGTCCTCTTCAAAATGTCAATATCATGAAAGGAAAGAACGGCTGAGAAACTTAAAACTTGAAGGAGACCAAAGAGACACAGCAACTAGATGTAACGCATCATCCTGGATTGGAGAAAAAAATTGCTAAAAAGGGTATTACTGGGGCTGGGCACAGTGGCTCACACCTTGTAATCCCAGAACTCTGGGAGGCTGAGGCAGGCAGATCACTTGAGGTCAGGAGTTTGAGACCAGCCCGGTCAACATGGGGAAATCCTGTCTCTACTAAACATACAAAAATTACCTGAGACCGGGCCTGGTGGCTGACGCCTGTAATCTCAGTACTTTGGGAGGGTGAGGCAGGTGAACCACAAGGTCAGGAGTTCCAGACCAGCCTGGCCAACATAGTGAAACCCCGTCTCTACTAAAAATAGAAAATTAGCCGGGTGTGGCCGGGCGTGGTGGCTCATGTTTGTAATCCCAGCACTTTGGGAGGCCGAGGCAGACGGATCACGAGGTCAGGAGATCGAGACCATCCTGGCTAACACGGTGAAACCCCATCTCTACTAAAAATACAAAAAATTAGCCAGCAGTGGTGGCGGGCGCCTGTAGTCCCAGTTACTCGGGAGGCTGAGGCAGGAGAATGGCGTGAACCAGGGAGGCGGAGCTTGCAGTGAGCCGAGATTGTGCCACTGCACTCCAGCCTGGGCAACAGAGTGAAACTCCATCTCAAAAAATGAAAATTAGCCGGGCATGGTGGCGGGCACCTGTAATTCCAACTACTCAGGAGGCTGAGCCAGTAGCACCGCTTGAGCCTGGGAGACGGAGGTTGTGGTGAGCTGAGATCACGCCACTGCACTCCAGCCTGGGCAGCAAGGGTGAAACTCTGTCTCAAAAAGAGAAAAATAAAATGGTTCGGGGAAAAAAAATACATGTGCATATATATATATATATATATATATATATATATGCAGGGGGGAGGGAGGGAGGGAGAGAGAGAGAGAGAGAGATACAGCGCATGTGACCAGATGAGTCACAGCTGGTGACTCTAGGTAAAGGATTCATGGGAGTTCTTTGCACTGTTCTTTCAAATTTTTGAAATATCTCAAAATAGCTTTTTTTTTTAAGGGAAATATGGCTATGGAGGCTCAGACTGTGCCAACCCACCAGTCACCACCAATCCTGCACAGCCCCGTGAGGGGGTTTCTGTAGATGTAGAGGGGCCACCCATAGGCCGCTGCTGCAAACTGCATGTAATGATGGCAGTTTTCTAATTCTGCATCCAGATCAGCTTCCTACAAGAGAAGGACAAAAACTACTGTTTATTAAGGGAACTCCTGACACAGAGGATCAACACACTGAGACCTGAAACCTGAACTCATTCCTGACTCTTCCTGCTCCTTCGTTGAATAGAACTCTCAGACGCCCACAGGCAAAACTGCTCCTTCAATAAGGATGACATGGACTCCTCATTTTTTTTTTTTTTTAGAGTCTCGCTCTGTCACCAGGCTGGAGTGCAGTGGCACAATGTCAGCTCACTGCTACCTCCGCCTCCCAGGTTCAAGCAATTCCCCTGCCTCAGCCTCTCAAGTCGTTGAGACTACAGGCACCCGCCACCACACCCGGCTAATTTTTGTATTTTTAGTAGAGACGGGGTTTCACCATGTTGGCCAGGCTGGTCTCGAACTCCCGACCTCAGGTGATCAACCTGCCTTGGCCTCCCAAAGTGCTGGGAAGCCAGGCGTGAGCCACCACGCCCAGCCTGACTCCTCATTTTATAGGAACACAGCAAGCACGGGGAAGTTAACAGTAAAAAACACTCCAATGACTTCTCTGCTGTTTTTGCTGAAATGAGCCGGCGCTTCCTATCTAGATGCCTGAAACTAGTACATTTCCATGCCACTGCCACACACGAGCTGTCAAGAACTGAGTGGCTTAACCCGGAGCAGCGAAGATACATACCGTCTACGTGCAATTTTCTTTCTCAAAAACATAACAACCTGTGGCAGGAAAATTATCACCAAGCAAAGCTGAACTGCTTCTGCCCCCAGCCCCAGAGAAGAAAGCAAACACACCCAGGGAGAATCGCAGTCCCCATCCCAGGAGGAATTGTTCTAATGCATAGAATTGAACAGCAAATTTCCTAAAACATAAGCCTTCAAAGATATGATAAATGTGGCCGGATGCAGTGGCTCACGCCTGTAATCCCAGCACTTTGGGGGGCCAAGGCCGGCAAATCACTTGAGGCTAAGAGTTTGAGAACAGCCTGGCCAACACGGTGAAACCCCGTCTCTGCTAAAAATACAAAAATTAGCTGGGCATGGTGGTGCACGCCTGTAGTCCCAGCTACTGTGGAGGCTGAGGCAGGAGAATTGCTTGAAGTCAGGAGACAGAGGGTGCAGTGAGCCAAGATCATGCCATTGCACTCCAGCCTGGGTGACAGAGACTCTGTCTCAAAAAATAAAATAAAAAATAAAGATATGATGGATGATAAAGTGGCCAGGAATGGGTTCCCACTACCTGAACTCCAGTTGATAACGAAGATGCCTCACCTGACAGGTGATGCAATACAACCAGTGGAAGCCGCCAATCAGATTCCAACCCTGCTGCTAATGAAACTGCTGTAGGGTCCTAGGCTTAGTACCTGGGTGACAAAATAATCTGTACAACAAACCTTCGTGACATGAGTTTACCGGTGTAACAACCCTGCTCATGTACCCCTGAACCTAAAATAAAAGTTAAAAAAATGAAAAATAGGCCCGGTGTGGTGGCTCATGCCTGTAATCCCAGCACTCTGGGAAGCCGAGGCAGGCAGATTACCTGAGGTCATGAGTTTGAGACCAGCCTGGCCAACATGGCAAAACCCCATCTCTACTAAAAATACAAAAAATTAGCTGAGTGTGATGGTATGCGCCTGTAATCCCAGCTACTCAGGAGGCTGAGGCAGGAGAATCACCCGGGAGGTGGAAGTTGTGGTGAGCCAATTGTGTCATTGCACTCCAGCCCGAGCAACAAGAGCAAAACTCCATCTCATAAAAAGAAAAAGAAAAAAAGGGGAGGGGAGGCTGGGCACGGTGGCTCACGCCTGTAATCCCAGCACTTTGGGAGGCTGAGGTGGGCAGATCATGAGGTGAAGAGATGGAGACCATCCTGGCTAACACGGTGAAACCCCGTCTCTACTAAAAATAAGAAAAAAAATTAGCCAGGTGTGGTGGCAGGCGCCTGTAGTCCCAGCTACTCAGGAGGCTGGGGCAGGAGAATGGTGTGAACCTGGGAGGCAGAACTTGCAGTAAGCCGCGATTGTGCCACTGCACTCCAGCCTGGGCGACAGAGCGAGACTCCGTCTTAAAAAAAAAAAAAAAAAAGGTGGGAGAGGGGAGGGAAGGGGAGGAGGGGGAGGGGAGGGAGGGGAAAGGGGAATGAAGGAAGGGAGGAAGAAATTGCTATAGGTTAGCTGTATGATTCTGAAGACCCACCAAAAGGTGTAAGTGTCAGAACTGGACACTCCATGAAGCCAGGCTCACCTGGGAGCTCCCTGGGGCATGGCAGACCACCTGGGCAGGCTCTTGGTTGTTCCTGATATTGTCCTGTTGCTGATGAAGCAGGGCGAGGCCCGCCGCAATGTCGCTGGGCACCAGATCTGTGTCCTGGGTGGGAAACCACAATGGCCTGTCATAAAACCCAGCAGGCACCACCCCCGGGTTCCCTAAAATCCAGTCTTCTATAGTTGATAGGCATTCACGCACACACAGACATTTCTAGACACAGAGGTATGTTAAAAAGACTGCTCCTGGCAGGAGTGCTTCTCTATGTGACCTGAATATGTTTTCACATCCTGCCCTCAGACAAGTCCACTGGAGAATATAAAAATGCTATTCGTCTGTCTTAAAATTTCACTTCATGTGACTCAACTATTTTTAATCTACTTCAAATATTTTGTAAAGTGGAGAAATCAATGGATAAATTGTCCGTTTTTGTAGCAATGCACCATTTTAGCCCACGTTTATACTCTCATTTCTCAAGATGCTGGGAAGGTTTTGTTGAAACACAGTGGATGGTAGAGATTTATGAGACTAAACTCATACTCACAGGGTATGGCAAGCCTCATAAAGGACCCCAAGCTGGGAAAGCAACAGAGAGTGAGTCTTCTTAGGCCTGACATGTCCTTTTTCTCCAGGAAATGGAGGAATTAGGAATTCTCAATCACCTCCGGGTACTTGTAGCCCGTAAGAATGGACAATATACTGCCAGGTGCGATGACTCACGCCTGTAATCCCAGCACTTTGGGAGGCCGAGGTGGGCGGATCACCTGAGGTCAGAAGTTCGAGACCAGCCTGGCCAACATGGTGAAACCCTGTCTCTACTATAAATACAAAAATTAGCTGGGCGTGGTGGCAGGTGCCTGTCATCCCAGCTATTGTAGTACTCTAGCTACTCAGTACGCTGAGGCAGGAGAATCTCTCGAACACAGGAGGTGGAGGTTGTGCCAAGATGGCGCCACTGCACTCCAGCCCGGGTGACAAAACGAGACCTTGTCTCAAAAAAAAAAAAAAAAAGACAATATACTGGCCACTCAGCCACTGAGCCATCAGTTCTGCCTGTGATGTAGATTACGACATCCTCTAGAAATAACCAGCTTCTCTTCTTCCCTCTTCCAGATATCTTAAGACTAGGTTTAAGCACTTCTTTAAGTTACTGAGGGGACACGCTTCCCTCTTCCCTCTACGGAGGCTGCTGCTATGACTTGGTGTCAGGCTCCAGGACCAGCCCTGAATGGTGCCAAGTCGGATAGCACAGAGGTGGGAAGAGAGACTGGCAGGTGTGCAGGATAAGCAGAGAACTCTTCCTCCCTTACCTCATCTCAGTATGGAATTTAACAGCATTTAGCAGAGAATGTCATATAAAAAGATGACACGCTGCATGTGAAAAAAAAAAAACAAGCATTTTCAAATTGCGGAAGAACTCGCTCTAGAATGACGCTCCCTTCTGTGCTGCAATCATCTATTCAAACTGTCTTCCAAAAGTAGCATCGTCGATCATTTCCATCATGATACAAAGTGGTAAGAAGTCACTCACTATCTGATTCCAACCTCGATTCATGCCACTGCCTGTGCTTGGTATCTGCTCAACAGCAGCTGCAAATTATTCTCAAAGGGTACAGCGTCCGTTATGTGGTTCCTTACAGGCTAATCCAGCATTTTGACAGGGTAGTGAGTGGGTGTCAATACGAAGACATGTCCTATTGGGACACAGGGTCTGAGAAGGTGTGGCTCTTGCAGTTAACTGCTCCCTGGAGGGCTCATCACAGACAGAGGGTCTCCGGCCACCCCCCACACACCCAAAGACACCAGGTTCTCAAACGCGGTTTTATGGGAACAGAGGGACCGGCTCCATCAGAAGCATTTACTGAAACAGAAGAAACAGACCAAACCAGATCCCCTCGGCTTACTGAAAAGTAGGTTGAGAAAAGCTCTGCCGTACTCGAAAAAGCAACCCGAGTATGGTCGTCTTTCCCAATGCAACAGCACAAGAGCTTGATTCTGGTTTCCCACACGCTTGTAGCTGCTGTCTTGAGGCCATTAAGTAACTGGCTTGAATCATGACTATCCAGGTGGCTGGGGCCGGCAGAGGAATATGGAGCCATTTTCCCCCCAAGAGGGTCAAAGACAATGATAATGGAAACCACTGTGGCAGCGATGATGATCCAACTGCAAGACAGAGAGAGGAAAAGGCTCGGTGACTGCGGGCCCCAGCCCAGACGCAGATGTCCGGGGTCCCTCCTCCAGGTTCAGTTTCTGAGTCTCTACCACGGAGGGTTCTGTTACCGAGGAAGATGCAGCTCTCCTGGAACCTGCCTGAGGCAAGCAACTTTCTTCTAGAAAGTTCCTTATGAGGCTGGGCATGGTGGCTCACACCTGTAATCCCAGCACTTTGGGAGGCCGAGGCCGGCAGATCACGAGGTCAGGAGATCGAGACCAGCCTGGCCAACATAGTGAAACCCCGTCTCTACTAAAAACACAAAAATTAGCTGGGTGTGGTGGCACGTGCCTGTAGTCCCAGCTTCTGAGGAGGCTGAGGCAGGAGAATCGCTTGAACCAGAGAGTCGGAGATTGCAGTGAGCCGAGGAGGCGCCACTGCACTCCAGCCGGGCGACAGAGGGAGACTCCGTCTCAAAGAAAAAAAAAAAAAAGTTCCTTATGAATCAGTGGTTAACCCAGGCCCTGCCCTAACAGTAAAGGCCACAGAAGGAACAGGGAGGTGTCCGCTGGGCAGAGTTGCAGCCTGCGCCCGGATGCAGCGGGCACTTCTTCTCCATATGGCCCTGGGACCATGACATACGCCCTTCCCCTTCGGTGCCTCAGGGCTCTTCTCATGAAGGTATCACAGAGTACTCTGATAGGCCTCTCATCTATATGTTTAAATATTTCACACTGCAAGACGCCGGATTGAGGAGCACACGCAACCGGGAAATGCCCCTCCCGAAGGGGCTCTGCTGCCCCCTGGCGGTGTGACTCGAGAAACGCAGCAACAGCCCAGGTCTGATTCCTTATTTAGAACAGAGGGTGTTAAGGGGGCGGGACTGGATCATCTCTAAGATTTTTAGCCTAGAAAACACGAAAACCTTATTGTTCTAGAATATTATTCCCTGTCCCACTTCTGGACACCGTATCTCTTTTCATACCTTTAGTTTTAGTTTTTGCTCTGGTTTTGGTCTTTGGTTTTCTTCCGAATTCTTATAAGAGAAGGGTTAGGAATAAAAGACTTTAAGAAAAAAAGAAAAAAAAAAAAGAGAGAGAGACAGAAGGGAATGTAGAAAATAAAGAACCAGTAAGGAAAGAAATCTACATCAATACGTGCATAACGAAAGACGAGTTGTATTTCATGGACAAACAGTGTCTCTAAATTTTCATGAGTTACGCAGAAACTAACTCCAATTTCTAACTATTTGAGGAAGTCCGAGGGACGCTGGACTCTCTGTCATGTTAGAAGGGTTTGTTCACCTATGCCTCAAATCCACTGAAACTCAAAGAGAAGAAGGGAGATGTCACCTGACCACGACGGTTGCGATGATGCCGTTTACAACTGTCCTGTCGCACTGAACACCATCTGCCACCCAGGCAGCCCCCAGAGAGGCCCAGACCATCTCTGGAAAAAACAGCGCCAGGCGGATGTAAAGCAGCTTAGACATAGACTTCCGCGGTCCAGGGTTACAAATCGTTCCTGAAATACAAAAAACGTTCCGACTGCTCAGTTGCTTCCTCAGAGATGAAGAGCTTCCTTTTTGCAAAAATACAGCTTTTGCAGAGCATACATTTGTACTGTGCACACCCGCCTCCTGACTTTTTCTACTTATAATTGGTAATCAGCACCTAAGTCAGACAGCAAGTGAGAAAATGAGGATGGGAAACGTGACAAGAAGTCCTGGGCTCTTTTTTAAGATTTAGCAGGGATTAAAAACACTTCTGGGTTCTCACTGGGGTGACAATATAATCATGGCCCAAACTGGTATACTTCTGAGAGGAAAAAAGGGGACTATTAATAATTATGCTGGGGCCGGGCACGGTGACTCACACCTGTACTCCCAGCACTTTGGGAGGAGGCCAAGGCAGGTAGATCACCTGAGGTCAGGAGTTCGAGACCAGCCTGGCCAACATGGTGAAACCTCATCTCTACTAAAAATTAAAAAATTAGCGAGGCGTGGTGGCGGGCGTCTGTAATCCTAGCTACTTGCGAGGGAGGCTGAGACAGGAGAATCGCTTGAACCCAGGAGGCGGAGGTTGCAGTGAGCTGAGATTGCGCCACTGCACTCTAGTCTGGGTGACAGAGCAAGACTCCGTCTCAAAATAATAATAATAATAATAATAATAATAATAATAATAGTAATAATTATGCTGAGACAACAGGCACAAAACAGAACTGTCCCAGGCAAACAGGGATATATGGTCACCCAAGTTCTAACAGCCATGAAAACAAGCTCCACGTCCCTTTGAGACCTACATTGTTCTAGACACCAACCTAAAACACTTTATGTGCGTAGTTCTGTAATCCCCACAATGACTGGGTTAGTCATTATCTCATTTTACGTATGAGCAAGCAAACTGAAGCTCAGAGAGCGTAATAGCTACCATTCTTTTTGGAGACAAGGTCTCACTCTCTTGCCCAGGCTGGAGTGTGGTGGCACAATCATGACTCACTGCAGCCTCCACCTCTCAGGCTCAAGTGATCCACCCACCTCAGCCTCTCTGGTAGCTAGGACTACAGGTGCACACCACCACGCTGAAATAGGCCTCATAGTCCCATAGACAGTTGTTTTTTTGTGGGCGTTTTTTGGTTAATTTTTGTTTTTGTTTTTTTAGATGGAGTCTCACTCTGTCGCCCAGGCTGGAGTGCAGTAGTGTGATCTCAGCTTACCACAACCTCCGCCTCCCAGGTTCAAGTGATTCTCCTGCCTCAGCCTCCCTAGTAGCTGGGATTAGAGGCATTACACCTGGCTAATTTTTGTATTTTTAGTAGAGACTGGGTTTCACCATGTTGGCCAGGCTGGTCTTGAACTCCTGACCTCAAGTGATCTGCCCGCCTTTGCCTCGCAAAGTGCTGGGATTACAGGCATGAGCCACAGCACCCTACCAGGAAATAGCTTTTAAATTCAAAAAATTATCTTCTGTTAGAATGACTGAAATAGTTACATTTTAAAATATTAGGCACTAACATAAAGAAGGATGAGTTCATGTCCTTTGTAGGGACATGGATGAAGCTGGAAACCATCATTCTGAGCAAACTATCGCAAGGACAGAAAACCAAACACCGCATGTTTTCACTCATAGGTGGGAACTGAACAATGAGAACACTTGGACACAGGGTGGGGAACATCACACACCGGGGCCTGTAGTTGGGTGGGGGAGGAGGGAGGGATAGCATTAGGAGATATACCTAATGTAAATGACGAGTAACGGGTGCAGCACACCAACATGGCACATGTACACATATGTAACAAACCTGCATGTTGTGCACATGTACCATAGAACTTAAAGTATAAAAATAATTTTTAAAATGCAAAAATAAATAAATAAATAAAATATTAGGCACTAACAGCCTCATTTTTGGCACAAAGACAAAATTTTATAAGCTAAATAATTGTAACACTAACCTCTCTGAGGGGGAAAGGGTGCAGGTATGTGGAAAAAAAAAAACACAGTCCTATATTTGGAGCTTGTTATAACAATAGCCAAACACCCCAGAGAAACAGGAAACAGTATCTGCATACACACTGCTTCCTGGAGGGCTGGGATTCTAAAAACAGACACATCCTAATGTCAGCAGCACCTGGACTTGAAACTCCAACTGTGATGACAACTGCTGATACTGCATTAATGAAATACACAGACAAGGAATCAAGAGATGGAGTTGCTCTGATTAAGGTTCCAGAAAATAAGATATTGATCCCAGCACATTGGGTGGCCAAGGCAGGAGGATTGCTTGAGCCCAGGAGTTCGAGACCACGCTGGGGAACACAGAGAGACCTCATCTCTGATTATTTTTTAAAAAAGATAATGATGATGATGATGATGATGATGGTACTGAGAAAATCTCCTTTACACGGTTTTGCCTGCCTAGAAAAAATTTCTGGCCGGGTGCGGTGGCTCACGCCTGTAATCCTAACACTTTGGGAGGCCGAGGTGGATGGACTGTCTGAGCTCAGGGGAGGCCAAGGTGGATGGACTGTCTGAGCTCAGGAGTTTGAGACCAGCCTGGCTGACATGGTGAAACCTCATCTCTACTAAAATATAAAAAATTAGCCAGGCATGGTGGTGTGCTCATGTAGTCCCAGCTACTCAGGAAGCTGAGGCAAGAGAATTGCTTGAACCCAGGATGCGGAGGTTGCAGTAAGCCAAGACTGTGACACTGCACTCCAGCCTGGGCGACAGAGTGAGACTCTATCTCAAAAAGAAAAAAAAAGAAAAAAAAAAAAAGAAAAACTTTCCCTTTTATTTTTCCTTAAGAAAAACAGATGCTAGTATGGACCTGGCTGCCGCAGCAGGCTTCCTAAGGTCGCTGGCCCCATAACCGACAAGCACAGCTGCATTCCTAAATGTAATGTCCTCACCACTGTCTTGGTTAAGTAACCCTATCATCCATCATCAGACACAGCCACTTATGGAAGAGCAATGAAAGGAAGGCCTAGGTCCCAGAATCAGTACACTCAACTCCTATAGCCAATGCTGCAATCTTCTCTGACCCAGCTTAGCAATGAGCTCTTGGGATACAAACACAGAGGAGATACAAGGAGGCATCCCACAATCAAAGCCACACATGGCACAAGGCAGACTTTGTATGTCAAAAGGGTTCTTCTGTCAAAACATGGTAGTCATAAGGGTGGACCATCTCCAATCAAACCTCCCACAAGGTGCAACAGTGGGATTTCATTTGGGAGGTTTTCAAATTAAAAATAGAAACTAGGCCGGGTGCGGTGGCTCATACCTATAATCCGAGCAATTTGGGAGGGCAAGGCGGGTGGATCACCTGAGGTCAGGAGTTCGAGACCAGCCTGGCCAACATGGCAAAAACCCATCTCTACTAAAAATACAAAAATTAGCCAGGCATGGTGGTGGGCGCCTGTAATCCCAGCTACTCGGGAGGCTGAGGCAGGAGAATCGGTCGAACCCAAGAGGTAGAGGATGCAGTGAGCTAAGATCACGCCACTGCACTCCAGCCTGGGTGATGGAGAAAGACTCTGTCTCAAAAAAAAAAAAAAAAGAAAGAAAAAGAAACTACCACAGTATCAAAGTTTTCCTCAAATGCCGGGTGCAGTGGCTCAGGCTTGTAATCCCCAGCACTTTGGGAGGCTGAGGCGGCAGATCACCTGGAGTTCAAGACCAGCCTGACCAACATGGAGAAACCCCATCTCTACTAAAAATATAAAATTAGCCAGGTGTGGTGGTGCATGCCTGTAATCCCAGCTACTTGGGAGGCTGAGGCAGGAGAATCACTTGAACCCAGAAGGCGGAGGTTGCGGTGAGCCGAGATCATGCCATTGCACTCCATCCTGGGGACTCAAAAGCGAAACTCCGTCTCCAAAAAAAAAAAAAAAGTTTTCCTCAATTGAGCTACAGAAGAAGAGGATCAGTCTTCTGGATGGAGAGGACTGAATTCCACCTGCTCCAAATGTTCCCTCCACATCTTGTGATGTTCCTTTCAGAGAGGAGTATCAGCCAAAAGCTAAAGAAGCATTCTTTCAGCTCAGATGACAGGCTACTGGGACTTGATTTACGAAACAAAAGGGACAACAGAAGTTAGCTATGTCGGCCGGGTGCAGTAGCTCATGCCTGTAATCCCAACACTTTGGGAGGCCATGGCGGGAAGTTCGAGACCAGCCTGGCCAACATGGTTTCTACAAAAAAACACAAAATTAGACAGGCATAGTAGTGTGTGCCTGTAATCCCAGTTAATTGGGAGGCTGAGCCAGGAGAACTGCTTGAACCTGGGAGGCGGAGGTTGCAGTGAGCTGAGATCCCACCACTGCACTCCAGCCTGGGCAACAGAGCAAAATTCCATCTCAAAATCAATCCATCAGTCAATCAATCATTTATATTTCCTTTACATGTTCATGTTCTTTGCCCATTTTCCTACTGACCATTGGTTTTTTCTTTGTTTTTTTTTTGAGGGGGGGACGGAGTTTCCCTCTTGTGAAAGTGCTGGGGTTACAGGCATGAGCCACCGCTCCCAGCTTTCGATACATATTTTTAATAAGGCATATGACGTTATGTGTAACAAACTGACAATTTTTTTTTTTTTTTTGAGATGGAGTCTCGCTCTGTCGCCCAAGCTGGAGTGCAGTGGCGCGATCTCGGCTCACTGCAAGCTCCGCCTCCCAGGTTCATGCCATTCTCCTGGCTCAGCCTCCCAAGTAGCTGGGACTACAGGCAGCTGCCACCACGCCTGGCTAATTTTTTGTACTTTTTAGTAGAGACGGGGTTTCACCATGTTAGCCAGGATGGTCTCAATCTCCTCACCTCATGATTCGCCCGCCTCGGCCTCCCAAAGTGCTGGGATTACAGGCGTGAGCCACCGCGCCCGGCCACAAACTGACAATTAAACAAACATTTTTTTCTTTTTTTTTTTTTTGAGACAGAGTCTCACTCTGTCGTCCAGGCTGGAGTGCAATGGCGCGATCTCGGCTCACTGCAACCTCCGCCTCCCGAGTTCAAGCGATTCTCCTGCCTCAGCCTCCCGAGTAGGTGTGACTACAGGGGCCCGCCACCACGCCCAGCTAATTTTTTGTATTTTTAGAAGAGACGGGGTTTCACCGTGTTAGTCAGGATGGTCTTGATCTCCTGACCTCATGATGCACCCGCCTCAGCCTCCCAGAGTGCTGGAATTACAGGTGTAAGCCACCGCGCCTGGCCTTCAATACATATTTTTAATAAGGCATATAATGTTATGTGCAACAAACTGACAATTAAACGAACATGTTTTTATAAAATACTGTTTTCAGTTTGGCTGGGATATCTCTACCCACAAGTTACAGAAAATTCAACTCAAACTGGCTGAAAAGCAGGAAGGGCCACAATGACTCGAGCGACTGAGTGCAGAAGCAAGACGGCATCGGGGCTGCCCTGACCGAGACAAGCCTCCATCTCCTTGTGCTTCTCCCAGCTCTCCCCTGCCCTGTATGTCAGCTTGCCCTGCGCTGTGAGTGGAGACACAGCTTCAGCCAGGAGAGCGACGATAAATGGCTTTTGGATCCTTCCTAGAGGGGCAAGGAAGCACTTCCCCAGAACCTTCCACCAAACTCTCCCTGACTCTCACTGGGCCAAACTGGGTCACGTGTCCATTCCTGAACCAATCACCAATACGTGAGCCCGGCCTAGGGTCTGCTTCTCTGACGCATACTTGGTATGTGTGGGATGGGGGCAAAACAAAACGGGGTTCTGTTTGGAGGAGGCTGTGGGATAGACAACCCAGAACACTCCGACAACCCACAGATGACTTCTGAGCTCTGACCACAAGTACATGATGATGCAAGCATTGTACGAGTGTCTAGGAAGAGGGAACGGAGTGAATATGAGCATCCCTCACAGGGAGGTAAAGACGTCCCAACACCAAAAATATCTCAACACAAACAAACATGTAAGGAAAAAAAAAAGTACACCGACTGCTTCCACTCTGACCCTGCTATTACAGCCACAAACTCAGTGGTCTAACCAGAATGTGAGATGAACAAAAAAGGGCAAATAAGTTAGATAATGCTGTATCTGAAATGACACCAGTCTCAATACTTCACCTTCAATAAGAAGCTTCCCAGCGCTGAAGCCACACTGTACACATGGTTTCTTTCTTTCCTTAAGCATCTGGCACCAATGACAGCCTACATTTGGGGGCCAACACAAACGTGGAGCCTCCATCAATCCAGCCTCCTTGCGTGGATGTTTCTAGAGGCATACTAAAATACACAGAGCTAGCTGGGTGCAGTGGCTCACACCTGTAATACCAGCACTTTGGGAGGATGAGGTGGGTGGATCAGCTAAGGTCAGGAGTTCGAGACCAGCCTGGCCAACATGGTTCAACTTTGTCTCTACTAGACCAGGTGCAGTGGCTCACGCCTATAATCCCAGCACTTTGGGAGGCTGAGGCGGGCGGATCACGAGGTCAAGAGATGGAGACCATCCTGGCTAACACAGTGAAACCCCGTCTCTTCTAAAAATACAAAAAAAAAAAAAAAAATAGCCAGGCACGGTGGCGGGCGCCTGTAGTCCCAGCTACTTGGGAGGCTGAGGCAGGAGAATGGCGTGAACCCGGGAGGCGGAGCTTACAGTGAGCCGAGATAGAGATAGTGCCACTGCAGTCCAGCCTGGGTGAAAGAGCGAGACTCCATCCGGAAAAAAAAAACAAAAAACAAAAAAAACAAAACAAAACAAACAAAAAACTTTGTCTCTACTAAAAAAAAAAAAAAAAAAAAAAAAGAAACTGTCTCTACTAAAAATACAAAAAAATTAGCTGGGTGTGGTGGCACGTGCCTGTAATCTCAGCTAGTTGGGAGGCTGAGGCAGAATTGTTTGAATCTGGGAGGCAGAGGTTGGTTGCAGTGAGCTGAGATTACGCCATTGCAGTCCAGCCCTGGGCAACAAGGGCAAAACTCTGTCTCAAAAGAAAAAAGTAAAATAAAATACACAGAGCTCTGTTTTCTATGTTACTGTGGTAATCAGGCACATGCCACTCTTGCTGGTCATCCCAAACCCTAAGGTCTTTTTCTCATGAAAGATGTTGCTGCTAACATTTCTACCCTCTACATTGCTCCTATGAGCTAACACCTTTTACATTTCAGTCCTTTATTCCAAACTGTCAAGATCTTGATGCCGTCACTCACTGTATCACCAGCGCCTCCCAGTGCACCTCACCACCAGCATATATCTGATATGCATACCTCGTCCATCCCAATTCAAGCAGTGACAAAGGACTAAAACATGGCGGATGGTGGCATGTCACACAGCCCTGCCTCTGACCAATGAATCATTTCTAAGAATGCATTCCTTTATTAGTCACCACAGTGCTCACATCATCCTATGAAGCAGAGGAATCCAACAGGGAAGGTTTCCAACACTTCTGGAGACATTCTCAGATAAATGGTTATCTACAGAAAACTGTAACACATATAAAAAATATGAAGAATAGGTGATCAGACGCGGTGGTTCACCCCTGTAATCCTAGCATTTTGGGAGACCGAGACGAGAGGATCACCTGAGCCCAGGAGTTCAAGATCAGTCTAAGCTATATAGCAAGACCCTGTCTCTACAAAAAATAAAAATAAAAAAAATTAGCCAGGTATGGTGGCACGTGCCTGTACTTCCAGCTACTTGGGGGTTGAGAAGAGAGGATTGCTTGAGCCCAGGTATTTGAGGCTGCAGTGAGCTATGATTGCGCCACTGCCCTCTAGCCTGGGCAACAGAGCAAGACACTGTCTCTAACAACAACAAAATAGTTGTAACCCTCACAATGTAAAAATAAAAGGGACCAGGCGCGGTGACTCACACTTGTAATCCTAGCACTTTGGGAGGTCGAAGCGGGTGGATCACGTGAGGTCAGGAGATCGAGACAAGCCTGACCAACATGGTAAAACCGCATCTCTACTAAAAATACAAAAATTAGCCAGGCGTGGTAGCGGGTGCCTGTAATCCCAGCTACATGGGAGGCTGAGGCACAAGAATCACTTGAACCCAGGAGACGGAGGCTGCAGTGAGCAGAGAGCACGCCACTGCACTCCAGCCTGCGCAGCGGAGGGAGACTCTATCTCAAAAAATAAAAATAAAAAATAAAAGGATCAATAGCCTAGTCTAAAATTGGGCAAAAGATCTGAACAGACATTTCCGCAAAAATGATACACAAATGAGCAATAAGCAAATGAAAGGATGCTCAACATCATTAGTCACCAAAGAAATGTTCCTCAAAGCCATGAGACAAAAAACAAATGGCCTGTGGCCCCAGCTATTCGGGAGGCTGAGGCAGGAGAATCACTTGAACCCGGGAGGCAGAGGTTACAGTGAGCCGAGATTGCGCCATGGCACTCCAGCCTGGGTGACAGAGTGTGACTCCGTCTCAAAAAAACAAAACAAAACACAACAAAACAAAATCATGAGCTACCACTTCACATTCACTAGGATGGCTATAATTAACAAGTCATATAATAAGAGCGTTGGGCAATTAGAACCCTTATACACTGCTGGTGGGAATGTAAAATGGTACAGCTGCTTGGAAAAGTCTGGCAGTTCCTCAAAAGGTTTCACAGAGCATTAACACATGATCCAGCAATTCACTCCTAGGTACACACTCAAGAGAAATGAAAACATGTCTGTATAAACACTTGTATGCGAATGTTCATAGCTGCACTATTCGTAATAGGTGAAAAATGGAAACAATCCAAATGCCTACCAAATGGCAAAGGGATAAATAAAATGTGGTCCATTCATTCGATGCTCTTATTCAGCCATCAAAATGAAGTACTGATACATGCTAAAACATCGATGAATCTTGAAGACATTATGCTAAGCTTAAGAAACCAGACCAAAAGGCCACACAGTGAATAAATTCCACTTATATGATGTCCACAATAGGCAAATGTACACAGACAGAAAGCAAATTAGTGAATGCTTAGGGTTGGGAGAGTTTGGGGAAAATGAGGAGTGACTGCTAATGGGTATGGGATCTCTTTCTTTCCGTTTTGTGACAGAGTCTCCACTCTGTCACTCAGGCTGGAGTACGGTGGCATGATCTCAGCTCCCTAGCAGCTGGGATTACAAGCATGCACCAACATAATTTTCTCTATTTTTAGTAGAGACGTAGAGATGGGGTTCCACTGTGTTGGCCAGGCTAGTCTCATGCTCCTGGCCTCAAGTGATCCACCCACCTCGGCTTCCCAAAGTGCTGGGATTACAGGTGTGAGCCACTGTGTCCCGCCTGGTACAGGATTTCTTTCAGGAGTGAAGAAAATGGTATAAACTTGATGATGGTGATGGCTGCACAACTCTGTGATTATATTAAAAACTGTTGAATTGGAAAGTTTACAGAAGTGAATTGTATGGTATGTGAATTATATCTCAATAAAGCTATAAAAAAATAGGTATCAAATAGAAAAGGCTACTTTTTACCTCTCATGCTGACACACATGATGGCTGACACAGTACATATGACAACTGCCAGGAGAATCATGAGGACGATCAAGTAACTGCTGAGCAAGGCTCCACCAGCACAGTCCAGCTTTCCTCTGTGCATGAGATACAACGTCAGAATGCCAATCCACCTGGCAAAAAAAAAAAAGGGAAGGGTCAGAAATGAAATCCAAGGAGCTGCTGTGTAGAACATGATACAAAGAAATAAAAGGGGACAGGGCGCGGTGGCTCACACCTGTAATCACAGCACTTTGGGAGGGTGAGGTGGGCGGATCACAAGGTCAGGAGATCGAGACCATCCTGATCAACATGGTGAAACCCTGTCTCTACGAAAAATACAAAAAAAAAAAAAAAAATAGCTGGGCGTAGTGGTGCGCACCTGTAGTCCCAGCTACTCGAGAGGCTGAGACAGGAGAATTGCTTGAACCTGGGACGTGGAGGTGGCAGTGAGCCGAGATCGTGTCACTGCACTCCAGCCTGGGCAACGATATGAGACTCCGTCTCAAAAAAAAAAAAAAAAAAAAAAAAAAAAAAAAAGAAATAAAAGGAGTTAATATTTTCCAAAACAAGGCAAGGTTCACTTTGGAATATAATTTTCTTTTTGTAGAGACAGGGTCTTGCTATGTTGCCCAGACTGGTCTTGAACTCCTGGCTTCAAGTGATCTTCCTGCCTTGGCCTCCCAAAGTGCTGGGATTACAGGCATGAATCACTGCACCTGGCCTGGAATATAATTGCCAACAATAAAAGATCTAGGCCCGGCACGGCGGCTCACGTCTGTAATCCTAGCACTTTGGGAGGCCAAGGCAGGAGGATCACTTGAGCACAAGAGTTGGACACTAGCCTGGGCAACACGGTGAGACTCCATCTCTACAAAAAATAGAAAAAGTTAGCTGGGCGTGGTGGCACGAGTCTGTGGTCCCAGCTACTTGGAAGAGTGAAGTGGGAAGATCGCTTGAGCCCAGGAGGTTGAGGCTGCAGTGAGTGGTGATCGCACCACTGCACTCCCGCCTGGGTAGCAGAGTGAGACCCTGTCTCAAAAAAATAAAAAGAAAAGGGGTCTCACTATGTTGCCCAGGTTGGTCTCAAACTCCTGCCCTCAAGCAATCCTCCCGTCTCAGCCTCTCAATGTGCTGAGATAACAGGCGTGAGCCATGGCGCCCAGCCAAGAATCTACTTTTGCATAACAATGATTCATTCCCTGCACAGATCCTCTGGGAACAGACTTCAGGTACCAATGCCACTTCCCACTGATTCCACACTTTGAAAGACAACAGCGTTGTATGTTGAGCCTGTCTGCTTCTCACGAAATGCAGCCACAACCGGCTCGGTATTTTTTCCTATCCTTCGTGTTGCAGATTCAAGTGCCCCGTACAAAGGGAAGGAAGGGCACAAGTGGCTGCTCCCGCCTCAAGAAAGGAGAACTCGAGGCCAAGGCTTTTGCCGGCGGTAACACCCTCGTGGCACCCCAGGGCCAGGTCTCGGCGCTGCACACAAAGGGGTGCTCGCGTCCTGCTGCGCGGACTTCGAAACCCCCTGTTTGTCCCCCGGGGTCAGCCCACACACTCTGGGGGCTTCGGTTTGTCATCCGTCAAATGGACACAGCACCACTGCCCACCTCTTCGGGCAGTGGTGAGAACTCGATAAGAGGATGCGTGGCCAGCGCTGGGACCGCGACAGTGCTTGGGAAGCCACTTCTGTCACCGTCTCAAGGGACAGCTCGCCCCCCGCTCCCTCTCCGGTGGGCTCCACCGCCCCCGTAGCCGCCGTCCTTACCACAGCACTCGCACGACCAGCTCGAAGAACCCTGGGAAGACCAAGTCGTCGCTGGCGATGGCCCAGCGCCGGCCGAAGAGTACCATCCCCGGCATGGCGAAGGTCCCGTAGCTCGCACTCAGGAGAGACCCCGCGCGCCGTTCACCGAGAACAAACCAGCACCCTCCGGACGCCGCCACCAAATTATCGGCGCTCAAGCGCAAACGCAGCGAGGGCGGGGACCTGCGCATGCTCACGCTGAGGCCGAGATCGGCGCAAGCGCACTGAGCCCTACACCGCCTCTTCCGCCGGAGCTGTCTGCGCCTGCGCAGAAACGCTGATCCGGAAGGCGCTGGCTGAGTCGATTGCAGGTCTGCCGGTCGGTGAAATCCGTTCTGGTATTTTCTTTTTCTTTTTCGTGAAGAGTGCAGTGATATCCGTTCTGGTGATATTTCCTTTTCCTTTTTTTTTTTTTTTTTTTTTTTTTTTTTTTTTTTTTTTTGGTGACGGAGTCTCGCTCTGTTCCCAGGCTGGAGTGCAGTGGGTGTGATCTCGGCTCACTGCATCCTCCGCCTCCCGGGCTCAAGCGATTCACCTGTCTCAGGCTCCGGTGTAGCTGTGATTACAGGAGCGCGCCACCACGGCTAATTTTTGTATTTTTAGTAGAGACGAAGTTTCACCATGTTGGCCAGGCTGGTCTCGAACCCCTGACCTCAAGTGATCCGCCCGCCTGGGCCTCTCAAAGTGCTAGGATTACAGGCGTGAACCACTGCGCCCGGCCCTGTTTGTCTGTTTGTTTAAGGCAGCGTATGGCTCTGTCGTTCAGGGTGGAGTGCAGTGGCGCAATCATGACTCACTGCAGCCTTGAACTCCTGAATGCCGCCTTGAATTCCTGGATTCCAGCGACTCTCCCACCTCAACCTCCTGAGTAGCTGAGACCAAAGGCACGTGCCACACTCCCGGCTAATTTATTTTTATTTATTTATTTATTTATTTATTTATTTATTTAGAGACATAGTTTTGCTCTTGTTGCCCCAGGCTGGAGTGCAATGGCGCGATCTTGGTTCACCACAACCTCCATCTCCTGGGTTCAAGCGATTCTCCTGCCTCAGCCTCCTGAGTAGCTGGGATTACAGGCATGTGTCACCATGCCCAGCTAATTTTGTATTTTTAGTAGAGATGGGGTTTCTCCATAAATTTTCCTATTTTTTGTAGAGACCGGAGTCTCACTCTGTTGCCCAGGCCGGTCTTGAACTCCTGGCCTCAAACCATCCTCCCGCCGCAGCCTCCCAAAGTGCTGGTATTACAGGCGTGAGCCACTACACCTGACCGAAATTTTCATTTTATAAGGAGGGACGCTTCAGGCCTGGAGGAATTAGCTAGCCTAGAGACCCAGGCTGTCAATGGCAGGTGTGGGACTCATATCCCGTTCTGTGAGACTTGCAAGCATGGGACAACATTGCTTCCATCTGTGCCCCTTGCTGTAAGGAGCCCGTGTTAGGAACCCCTCGAGTTCAGGGTCTGAAACCACCCTGCAGCTGGCGGGGTGGAGTCTGAGCGCTTTTCAGTACCCCCACTGCCCCACCCTGGTCTGAGCCACCTTCATCTCCTGCCTGGGCTCATCACCCCACTGTGCTTTCTCATTCTGCTGTGCCCTCTTCAGCAGCCAGGGTGACTTTGTGAACCTTCAGATAAAGCCTGCACCCTGCCTGGGACTTTGCAAGGCTGCACTTTGTGCATAAAATTACATTGCAGGCCAGGCGCGGTGCCTCACGCCTGTAATCCCAACACTTTGGGAGGCTAAGGTGGGCGAATCACGAGGTCAGGAGGAGATCGAGACCATCTTAGCCAACATGGTGAAACCTCGTCTCTACTAAAATTTAAAAAAAAAGTTAGCCAAGTGTGGTGGCACGCACCTGTAGTCCTGGCTACTTGGGAGGCTGAGGCAGGGGAATCGCTTGAACCTGGGAGGCAGAGGTTGCAGTGAGCCAAGATCGCGCCCTGCACTCTAGCCTGGCAACAGAGCAAGACTCCGTCTCAAAAAAAAAAAAAAAATTACACTCCAGCCCCTGGCAAAGGCCTTTCCCTGGTAGTCACACATCAAAAGTTTGTAAGGGCTCATTTATCTGTCTCCCTGGTTACTATTTGCCTCTATCACCCACCCCACTGCCTGCCGCCTTTTCCCCCTCTGAAAAGACATCAGGGTCATTTTTGCTCCAGGGGTTCTACATTCTGTGTTTCCTCTGCCAGGAATAGCCCCCCTGCAGGTTTTCTGTTACTGGATGGAAAGTCTTGGCTGTGAGTTGGTCAGGGGCTTGCGTGTTGAACCGAGAATTGCAACACAAGGCCGGGCACGGTGACTCACGCCTGTAATCTCAGCACTTTGGGGAGGCCGAGGCGGGTGGATCACCTGAGGTCAGGGGTTCAAGACCAGCCTGGCCAACACGGCGAAACCCTGTCTCTACTGAAAATACAAAAACTAGGCCAGGCACGGTGGCTCATGCCTGTAATCCCAACACTTTGGGAGGCTGAGGCAGGAGGATCACCTGAAGTCAGGAGTTCAAGACCAGCCTGGCCAACATGGCGAAACCCCGTCTCTCCTAAAAATTAGCTGGATGTGGTGGCACATGCCTGTAATTCCAGCTACTCCGGAGGCTGAGGCAGGGGAATCGCTTGAACCTGGGAGGCGGAGGTTGCAGTGAGCCAAGATCGCGCCCTGCACTCTAGCCTGGCAACAGAGCAAGACTCCGTCTCAAAAAAAAAAAAAAAATTACACTCCAGCCCCTGGCAAAGGCCTTTCCCTGGTAGTCACACATCAAAAGTTTGTAAGGGCTCATTTATCTGTCTCCCTGGTTACTATTTGCCTCTATCACCCACCCCACTGCCTGCCGCCTTTTCCCCCTCTGAAAAGACATCAGGGTCATTTTTGCTCCAGGGGTTCTACATTCTGTGTTTCCTCTGCCAGGAAGAGTCCTCCTGCAGGTTTTCTGTTACTGGATGGAAAGTCTTGGCTGTGAGTTGGTCAGGGGCTTGCGCGTTGAACCGAGAATTGCAACACAAGGCCGGGCACGGTGACTCACCCCTATAATCTCAGCACTTTGGGGAGGCCGAGGCGGGTGGATCACCTGAGGTCAGGGGTTCAAGACCAGCCTGGCCAACATGGCGAAACCCTGTCTCTACTGAAAATACAAAAACTAGGCCAGGCACGGTGGCTCATGCCTGTAATCCCAACACTTTGGGAGGCTGAGGCAGGAGGATCACTTGAAGTCAGGAGTTCAAGACCAGCCTGGCCAACATGGCGAAACCCCGTCTCTCCTAAAAATTAGCTGGATGTGGTGGCACATGCCTGTAATCCCAGCTACTCGGGAGGCTGAGGCAGGAGAATTGCTTGAACCCGGGAGATGGAGGTTGCAGTGACCCAAAATCACACCACTGCACTCCAGCCTGGGCAACAAGAGCAAAACTCCATCTCAAAAATAATAAATAAATAAAAATTGCAACAAAAACCCCACAAAGCAACAACGACAACAACAAAAAACAAATCAACAAAAGACAAACAAATGGCGTAAAAAGCACAGATTGATTGACACGAAGTTCAAGAGACCACACAGCTCAAGAGACCCCTCAATTAGGGTCTTCATTAAGCAGAAAGAATGTGGTTAACACTCATGGCTGAAGTGGAAACTTCTGTCTTGTTATCACAGAAGTGCAGATGTGGCCTCTATGCTGCCTTATCTTGCCCAGAACTGGCTGCACCTGCTGATCTTTTGCTTATGCCTTAACCCTTGTTAACCATTGATTACCCTCATTCCTGATTCTCCTGCCTCATTTCCTTTTTTTTTTTTTTTGAGATGGAGTCTTGTTCTGTGGCCTAGGTGGGAATGCCATGGCGCGATCTGAGTTCTGCAACCTCAGCCTTCTGAGTTCAAGCGATTCTCCTGCCTCAGCATTCTGAGTAGCTGGGATTATAGGCATATGCCACCATGCACAGCTAATTTTTGTATTTTTAGTAGAGACAGGGTTTTGCCATGTTGGCCTTGGCTGGTCTCGAACTCCTGACCTCAAGTGATCCGCCCACCTCAGCTTCCCAAAGTACTGGGATTACAGGCGTGAGCCACCGCACCCAGCCTCTCCTGCCTCTTTTTTTGTTTTTGTTTTTTTTGTTTTTTTTGAGACGGAGTCTCGCTCTGTCGCCAGGCTGGAGTGTAGGGCGCGATCTCGGCTCACTGCAACCCCCGCCTCCTGGGTTCAAGCGATTCTTCTGCCTCAGCCTCCCTAGTAGCTGGGACTACAGGCATGGGCCACCACGCCCGGCTAATTTTTGTATTTTTAGCAGAGACGGATTTCACCATGTTGGCCAAGACGGTTTCGATCTCTTGACCTCGTGATCCACCTGCCTCGGGCTCCCAAAGTGCTGGGATTACAGGCATAAACCACCGTGGCCGGCCCGATTTTTGTATTTTTAGTAGAGACAGGGTTTCGCCATGTTGCCCAGGCTGGTCTTGAACCCCAGACCTCAAGTGATCCGCCCACCTCGGCCTCCCAAGGTGCTGGGATTACAGGTGTGAGCCATGGTGCCCCGCTCCTGCCTCATTTCTATCTCTCACTTCATTCAGGCCTCAGCTCAAGTGTCACTGCATCAAAGAGGCCTTCCCTGACCACCTTAGCTAAAACAGCAAAACTGTCAGGCTCTGTTCCTTACGCTGCTTTAGTTTCCTTCATGGCACATAATGAGCCCCTGACATTACATCATGTTTATTATCTCTTACCTCCTCCCTTAAAAGTGTAAGTTTCACGAGCAGAGGCACCTTGTCCATCTTATTCACTCCTATGAATGTAATAGAGCACATTCTAGGCATTCTTAAATTCTCAATGAATGAATAACTGATTATGTGTAGAGTAAGTGGGGCCAGGCACGGTGGCTGACGCCTGTAATTCCAGCACTTTTGGGAGGCCGAGGCAGGCGGATCACTTGAGGTCAGGAGTTCGAGAACAGCCTGGCCAACATGGTGAAACTCTATCTCTACTGAAAATACAAAAATTAGGTGGGCGTGGTGGCACGTGCCTGTAATCCCAGCTGCTCAGGAGGCTGGGGCAGGAGAATCACTTGAACCTGGGAGGCAGAGGTTGCAGTGAGCTGAGATCACGCCACTGCACTCCAGCCTGGGCGACAGAGTAAGACTTTGTCTCAAAAAAAAAAAAAAAAAAGAGTAAGTAGAAGGAATGAGAGGCAGGGGTGGGGCTGGAGCGGTATGGCAGGGCTTGGGAAGGAGAAGATGGAAGTCAGAGAACAGTACCAGGAAATTAATGTTAACATTGCAACATCAGCCAGGTGGCAAGCTGGCTTGAGGCTGAGACCAGCCTGGGCAACATAGCGAGACCCTGTCTCTTAAAAGAAAAAGTAAAAACATTGCAAGATCTGTACCAAAAGTTTCAGAATAAATGAAACTAATAATAATAAAATTAAAATACAAGCTTGCAAGGTCTGTGAACAAATACATTTTTAGACAAGGGTATTTCACTGGGCTGATGAAAATTCTGGGCATTGACCAGGTGCGGTGGCTCACACCTGTAATCCCAGCACTCTGGGAGGTGGACAGATCACTTGAGGTCAGGTGTTCGAAACCAGCCTAGCCAACATGGTGAAACCCTATCTCTACTAAAATACAAAAATTAGCCGGGCATGGTGGCACAGGCACCTGTAGTCCCAGCTACTCGGGGGGCTGAGGCAGGAGAATCACTTGAGCCTGGGAGTCAGAGGTTGCAGTGAGCTGAGATCGTGCCACTGCACTCCAGCCTGGGCGACAGTGCAAGACTGTCTCCAAAAAAAAAAAAAAAAAAAGCATCTGTGACAGGCTATCTGGAAATCTGGAATTATAGTAAAGAGTATTATATGTCATCATTATTATTTGTGTAATAAATTATCTGCTACACATCTATGCAGCACAGTGTTATCACAACAGGTCTGGGGTATGCACATTCTAAAGAAAGGATTGGCTCTTGACCAGCTCCTAAAACATAACTTCTGAGCCCTTGGAATATTCTACTTGATAGGAGTGTATTTGTATATCTCAGGCCTTGGGCAACATCTAGTAGTTTATGCTAACAGTGGGTTGGTGGTGGCAGCCTTGCGCCATGCTGTATTAGGTTAACCTCTGGGTGGGTGGCTGGAGACTGAGTAGGTAAGGTGAGTCACACGGATGCTCCATGCCTACATGACCGAGCCTAATAAAATCCCTTGGACACCCAGGCTCAGGGAAGCTTCCCTAGTTGGACATACTTTATGCATGTTGTCACACATTGTTGCTGGGCAAATTAAGGATATATATATGACTCCACTGTGAAAGGAAGCTTATGCCTGGCGTCTCCCAGACACTGCCCTATGCACCTTTTCCTTTGCTGATTTGAATCCATATCCATTCACTGTAATAAGCTACAACCATAAGTATGACAGCCTTTCTGAGCCTGAGTGCTTCTAGCAAATCATAGAACATGGCCGGGCTCAGTAGCTCACTTCTGTGATCCCAGCATTTTGGGAGGCCGAGGCAGGTAGATCACTTGAAGTCGGGAGTTTGAGACCAGCCTGAGCAACATGGTGATACTAAAAATATAAAAATTAGCCAGGCGTGCTGCCATGCACCTGTAATCCCAGGTACTTGGGAGGCTGAGGCAGGAAAATCCCTTGAACCCAGGAGGTAGAGGTTGCAGTGAGCCGAGATTGCAGTTGCACTCCAGCCTGGGTGACAGAGAGAGACTCTGTCTCAAAAAAAAAAAAAAAAAAAAAATCACTCAACTTGAAGGTGGTTTGGGGGATCTCCAACACAACATTCTTTGAATCAGTAAAATGTACAATAAATGTATGTGTATGGGCCGGGCACGGTGGCTCACGCCTGTAATCCCAGCAATTTGGGAGGCCGAGGCGGATAGGGCACAAGGTCAAAAGATCCAGACCATCCCGGCCAACATGGTGAAACCCCGTCTCTACTAAAAATACAAAAATTAGCTGGGCGTGGTGGTGCGCACCCGTAGTCCCAGCTACTCAGGAGGCTGAGGCAGGGAGGTCGCTGACCCTGGGAGGCAGAGGTTGCAGTGAGCCGAGATCGCGCCCTGCACTCCAGCCTGGCGACAGACTGAGACTCCAACTCAAAAAAAAAAAAAAAGTATGTATATATGTGCATATATTAGTTTTTTTGATGGGTTAGTTACTAAATACCACCACAGCACGCACTACTATATACTCTAAAAGCGTGGCTGTTGCTGGTGAGTTTTAAGCCTTTAGTTATAAAAGTGGGCCAGGCTGAGCATGGTGACTCACACCTGTAATCCCAGCATTTTGGGAGGCTGAGGCGGGAGGATCACTTGAGCCCGGGAGTTGGAGACCAGCCTGGGTAACATAGTGAGACCTCCGTCTCTACAAGAAATTTAAGAATTGGCCAGGTGTCTTGGCATGGGCCTGTAGTCCTAAGTACTCAGAAGGCTGTGGTGGGAGGATTGCTTGAGCCCAGGAGTTAAAGGAGTTAAAGACTGCAGTGAGCTATGATGGCACCACTGCCCCCTAGCCTGGGCAACAGAGAGAGACCCTCCCTCCAAAAAAAAAAAAAAAAAAAAAAAAGAAGGAAAGAAAGAAAAAAAGTGATAATCTGCTTCTGCTACGTGCAGGCTTTGGATGTGCTTCAAATTGACAAACCATAAAAAATATGTTTTTGGTTTTTTTTTTTTTTTTTTGCTGGACACCATTGATCAGAGATAAAAAGATGTTTTTGAGACAGGAAAATTTGAACATAGACTGTTAGATGATATTTAAGAATTACTAGCCAGGGACGGTGGCTCACGCCTGTAATCCCAGCACTTTGGGAGGCCGAGGCGGGCAGATCACGAGGTCAGGAGATCAAGACAACCCTGGCTAGCACGGTGAAACCCCATCTCTACTAAAAAAAATAGAAAAAATTAGCCGGGCTTGCTGGGGGGGCGCCTGTAGTCCCAGCTACTCGGGAGGCTGATGCAGAAGAATGGCGTGAACCCGGGAGGCGGAGCTTGCAGTGAGCCGAGATGTGCCACTGCACTCCAGCCTGGGCGACAGAGCGAGACTGCATCTCAAAAAAAAAGAAGTACTAACTTTGTTGGTGTGATAAAAAGTCTTTATCAACTAGGACTAGAATGTAGTATCTATGGATGAAATATGCCATCTAGGAGTTTCTTTAAAGTACCCAAGACTGGGCCAGGTGCAGTGGCTCACGCCTGTAATCACAGTACTTTGGGAGGCTGAGGCAGGCGGATCATTTGAGGTCAGGAGTTCGAGACCAGCCTGGCCAACATGAGGAAACCCCATCTCTACTAAAAATACAAAAAACTTAGCCAGGCATGGTTTTGGGCACCTGTAATCCCAGCTACTTGGAAGGCTGAGGCACGAGAATCACTTGAACCTGGGAGGCGGAGGTTGCAGTGAGCCGAGATCCCACCACTGCCCTTCAGCCTGGGCGACAGAGCAAGACTCCGTCTGAAAAAAATAAATAAAATAAATAAACTATTTAAAACTTAAGGGTGAGGTAAAACAAGTTCTCTAATTTTATGTATGCATGAAAACAAAGTTTATTTTCAAATGATGCTTGTTCAACTTTGCCTAATCTCTCCGTAATTACATACACACAAACATATCGTGATACGTATGTGTGGCATGCAAATATATAACCAAAACGCTGAGCCACCATTAATTCAGTAGTAGGTTGTGCCTATGATCGTGTGTATATATATATATATATATATATATATATATATATATATACACACACATATATTTATTTATATATTTACATTTATTTATTTATTTATTTTTGGGGGGGCGGGGAGGACGGAGTCTCGTTCTGTTGCCCAGGCTGGAATGCAGTGGTGGATCTCGGCTCACTGCAACCTCTGCCTCCTGGGTTCAAGTGATTCTCTTGCCTCAGCCTCCCGAGTAGGTGGGACTACAGGCGTGTGTCACCATACCCGGCTTATTTTTTGTATTTTTAGTAGAGACAGGTTTTCACTATGTTGGCCAGGCTGGTCTCGAACTCCAGACCTTGTAATCTGCCCGCCTTGGCCTCCCAAAGTGCTGGGATTACAGGCGTGAGCCATTGCTCCTGGCCTCGACTTTTTTTTTTCTTTTTCTTTTTTTAGACAGGGTCTTACTTTGTCATCCACACTGGAACACAGTGGCCCACTCTCAGCTCACTGTAGCCTCGACTTCCCAAGGTTCAAGTGATCCTCCTGCTTCAGTCTCCTAAGTAGCTGGGACTATAGGTGCACAGCACAACACCTGACTAATTTTTGTATTTTTTGTAGAGACGGGTTTTGCCACGTTGCCCAGGCTGGTCAAATTCCTGAGTTCAAGCGATCCACCCACCTCGTCCTCCCAAACCAAAGTGCTAGGATTACAGGCATGAGCTACCATGCCTGCCAAATCCTTTTTTTTTTTTTTTTTTTTTTGAGACAGAGTCTCACTCTGTCACCCAGGCTGGAGTGCAGTGGTGCGATCGCAGCTCACTGCAACTTCTGCCTTCCGGGTTCAAACGATTCTCCGACCTCAGCCTCCCGAGTAGCTGGGATTACAGGCACGCACCACCATACCCAGCTAATTTTTTTTTTTTTGTATTTTTAGTAGAGATGGGGTTTCACCATGTTGGACAGACTGGTCTCAAACTCCTGATCTCTGGTGATCCGTCCGCTTCGGCCTCGCAAAGTGCTGGGATTACAGGCATGAGCCACCATGCCCCACCTCATGCCTGCCAAATTCTTAAAAGTAATAGTTCTTTTAAAAACAGGATTTGTACTTAGCAATAAGATAATGTTTCTACATAAACTTTTGTTAGTATAAGTAAAGGTATTGTGAACTTAATGTTACAAACAATAACAAAACCCTACAAAACAATTTAATTTCAAAGAAATCTCTTTTGGGAAACTGGTAGTATACAAATTTTATTTTATTTTATTTTATTTTTGAGACAGTGTTTCATTCTGTTCTGCAGGCTGGAGTACAGTGGTGTGATCTTGGCTCGCTGCAACCTCCACCTCCCAGGCTCAAGCGATCCTCCCACCTCAGCCACCTGAGTAGCTCAGACTATAGGCACGTGCCACCACATCTGGCTAATTTTTTTGCATTTTTAGTAGAGACTGGGTTTTGCCATGTGGCCCAGGCTAGTCTTGAACTCCTGGCCTCAAGCCTCCCAACGTGCTAGGATTACAGGCATGAGCCACAATTTTTTGCTTCTTTTTCTTTTTCTTTTTTTTTTTCAGACAGAGTCTCCCTCTGTAGCCCAGGCTGGAGTGCAGTGGTGCAATCTCCACTTACTGCAACCTCCATCTCCTGGGTTCAAGCGATTCTCATGCCTCAGCCTCCTGAGTAGCTGGGATTACAGACGTATGCCACCATGCCTGGCTAATTTTTGTATTTTTAGTAGAGACGGGGTTTCACCATGTCCAGTTTCAGGCTGGTCTGGAACTCCTGGCCTCAAGTGATCCACCCACTTCAGCCTCTCAAAGTGTAGGGATTAAAGGTGTGACCCACTGCGCCCAGCCCACAAATTTTTTTAAGAAGTAAAATTTCGGCTGGGCCCGATGGCTCACACCTGTAATCCCAGCACTTTGAGAGGCCGAGGCAGGCGGATCATGAGGTCAGGAGATCGAGACCATCCTGGCTAAAACGGTGAAACCCCGTCTCTACTAAAAATACAAAAAAATTAGCTGGGCGTAGTGGCGGGCGCCTGTAGTCCCAGCTACTTGGGAGGCTGAGGCAGGAGAATGGCGTGAACCCGGGAGGCGGAGCTTGCAGTGAGCCGAGATCCCGCCACTGCACTCCAGCCTGGGCGACAGAGCGAGACTCCGTCTCAAAAAAAAAAAAAAAAAAAAAAAAAAAAAAAAAAAAAAAAAAATTAGCCTCGCGTGGTGGTATGCGCCTGTAGTCCCAGCTACTCAGGAGGCTGAGGCAGGAGAATCACTTGAACCCGGGAGGCGGAGGTTGCAATGAGCCAAGATCCCACCACTGCACTCCAGCCTGGGCCACAGAGTGAGACTCTGTCTTAAAAAAAAAAAAAAAAATCTTTAAGAAACTCTTATTTCCCAGATGAACTATCGAGATCAAAGCACAGCTCTTACAAAAGTGACTCACAATGACTTTTTTGAAATGATGGAAATATTTCAGATACATAGAAGATGCCTGACACCTAAGGGCCCACTGTGTAGATTTAACACAGAATAACATCCTGCCATATTTATCCCATCATGAATTTTGGGGAAAAATAAAATACCCTTAATATTCTTCTTTGCTTGTTCTTTCAGTCAGTTTCATAATTTGCAAATTACAGAGTATTCTTCATAGCCTTTCTTGGCAGTTTTTTTGTTTTTTTTTTTGTTTTTGAGACTGAGTCTTGACTCCAGCCCAGGCTGGAGTGCAGTGGCATGATCTCGGCTCACTGCAACCTCTGCCTCCTGAGTTCCAGGGATTCCTCTGCCTCAGCCTCCCAAATACCTGGGATTACAGGTGTGCACCACCACGCCTAGCTAATTTTTGTATTTTTAGTACAGACGAGGTTTCACCATGTTGGCCAGGCTAGTCTTGAACTCCTGACCCCAAGTGATCCGCCCACCTCAGCCTCCCAAAGTGTTGGGATTACAGGCGTCAGCCACCACGCCAGGTGACTCTCACCTTTTAAGTGCCCAAGATGAAACTAGGCAGAGCATTTTATTTTAGTATTATAAAAAAGTACCCTTGTCATTGCTTAAAAGGATATGTACTATGTTACGCTGCAAATGGCTTTTAAAGTGCAGGGACAAAAGGAATTGTTTCAAAACTGGAGAAACACCCACAGCACTTCCAGCAGATTCCAGGCTACAGATTCCAGTTAACCCAGATAGTTGTGAGGATGGCTGGGTGGTACGAGGACAGAGGCACACAGAAAACACCCACGCAGATCCAATCAAGCTAGCCTCAGATGGGTGGCTGCTTTTGGAAGGTACCAAGGAGTCAATTTCTTTCTTTTTTTTTTTTTTTTTTTTGAGACGGAGTCTTGCTCTGCCGCCCAGGCTGGAGTGCAGTGGCGCGATCTTGGCTCATTGCAAGCTGCGCCTCCCAGGTTCATGCCATTCTCCTGCCTCAGCCTCCCTAGTATCTGGGACTACAGGAGTCCGCCACCACGCCCGGCTAATTTTTTTGTATTTTTAGTAGAGACGGGGTTTCACCGTGTTAGCCACGTTGGTCTCGATGTCCTGACCTCCTGATCCACCCGCCTCCGCCTCCCAAAGTGCTGGGATTATAGGTGTGAGCCACCATGCCTGGCTCTTTCTTTTTTTTGAGATGGAGTCTCACTCTGTTTCCCAGGCTGGGGTGCAGTGGCATGATCTCAGCAGCTCCAACCTCTGCCTCCCAGGTTCAAGCGATGCCTGTGCCTCAGGCTCCCAAGTAGCTGAAATTACAGGTGTGTGCCACCACACCCGGCTTATTTTTTTATTTTTAGTGGAAGTGGGGGCTTTACCATGTTGGCCAGAATGGTCTGAAACTCCTGACCTCAAGAGATCCGCCCGCCTCAGCCTCCCAAAGTGCTGGGATTACAGGTGTGAGCCGCTGCGCCTAAGGAGGGTTGTGAACCTTCTGGCAAAACTGACCCATATCAAACGAGTCAGAGGGACTCCTGCCAGAACCAGTTTCCAACCAGCTTTTCAAACAGATGTCACAAAGTAAGCAGAAAGTTAGGAGGGCAAATATGATTACTGTATATGTACCAAGCTCCAGCCACGAGCTTTGCCAACAGCAGCTCATTTAAACCACACAGAAATCCCTGGCAGTTTACCTATGTAACTGGAGGCAACGAGGCTCACGTGAAGTCCAGGGCCAGGGAGTACAAGTGAGGGAACCAAGCCTCAACACATGCCTGGGCCCAAAGCATGTGCTTTTCTTACTTAAGGGTTCCCATAAATCACTATGATCTCCATTAAAACCACTTCTCCACCTGCTCTTCTCTTAGCCAGGGCATAAGGCAACAGGGAAACTTCTTCAAAGTTTCTTTGTGATTGAACTGGACAGGGGAATAGATTGGTCTCTCTCTGTTAAGGAGCCAATGGATAGAAGCCTTTATTATTTTTAAGTTTTCATTTTTACTAGTTTTTTAAATGAGATGTGGTCTTGCTAGGTTGCCCAGGCTGGTCTGAAACTCCTGGCCTTAAGTGATCCTCCTGCCTTAGCCTCCCAAAGTACTGTGATTATAGGCATGAGCCACCAGGCCTGGCTGGAAAGCAGCTTTTCCTATATCCATTACTGGGCAAATATCTGAACTTTGCTTTATTTCTCATGATGCTTACATTGAAAAACACACAAACACCTCAATAAAAATATTAATTACCTGGTAACCTTTATTCGGGAAGTGAAAGTAACTGTGAAACAGTGCTTCATAAGGCGTGGCATACAAGGCCTTGGTTTCCAACGCCGGCGAGGATGAGGCCCAGTCCCACACTCCCTCGCAGGCACCCTTGCTAAGATGTCCTCCTGGGTGACCAAAACGGTGGTAACATAGCCAAGGTTACTTTTACTTGGGTAGGATGACTGCAGAAGGAATGGCTACACAGAGCTTCCAGACCTTTCCATGCGTTGTGCTCTCCAGAGGATGCGCCAGGTGTATCAGATTTGCATGCACAAAGACAGGTGTGCGCCCCACCCACCCTGGGCTGGGCAGCAAGAGGTCTGCTCACCTACTGCACCAGACTTCCTAGCCTCCTTCCACACTCCGAATCTTCAAGCAGGATGAAAAGAGACCACAGAAACTGAAGCAAGACTAGGATGCTGCAAAGAAAGATGCTCTGATACACAAAAGCCAAAACATAAGACAAGGAGGGAAGAGTAAAATGAGGGAGACAGACAGGAAGTTAAACTATGCAGTTACACTGCCGATTTAGAAAGATGTTAAGACACACACTAGATACAAATGAAACCCATCCTGCTCCCTTCCTCCAGAAGACGTTGTAATGCAGAAAGCCAAAATACTACATCCTTCTTGTAGTCAGCACTGTTAGTATTCAACACTTTAATATTTATGGTGTATCACATAAAAAACAAAGTCATATACTTTTGCATTAATCAAAAAATAGCAAATCCATATAATGGCAAAATCAGGAAAAAAATTCTAGTATTTCCACAAAATACATAATGTCTTACAGATGATTATGTGAACTTTAAATGTCTGCAGCCCTACAGAGCTTTTGTTGCCAATTGAAAAACAAAAAAATCCCAACACAGGATGTTCAAAAAGCCTAATTCATAAAAAGACAATTTATTCCATGTTTAATATAGTGTTTTTTAGGATGGTAACATAAGTCATGCAACAGCTCTGTAAAACAAAACAAAACAAGAAACTACGATGTCGGCTGCGGGTTAAATAAAAAGAAAACCACACATACAAAAAAGAATGTAAGGAATGGTTAGTGGTGCTGCCAATTAAAAAAAAAACTGTAATTAAATCATCTTACCACCCAAAAGTGATATGGAAAACTGTTTGAATCTGAGCATGGACATGGTTGTAGTCATCTTTTGGAATTATAAGTGAAAGTGATAGGTAACTCCTTGTGTTCCATTTCTCAGAGTAGATTGCTATATCCAAATGATCATGAACACCCCTCCCATCCCACACTCAGATGGAAAGCAGCCAGAACCCCTGCCACTGGATTCTTCAGCACCCTTGGGACAGTCTCCAACTGACACTTCCCAGCAGGGGAGGAGGGCAGGCACCTTTGGTGACTCTTCAGTGAGACTCCATCGACATTCAGAATCTTAAAATGTTGGTAATGAAAACCATGGACCTCCAAGTCATCCTTACCAACCTTAAATGTAGTGTTGTGACATCCAACGAAGGACTTCCACGTCACGTGGGAATAAATTTGAACAGATACATCCAATTGAACATAGTGTCTCAGATTTCAAACAAATACAGCTCATCTTTTGCCAAAAAATAAATATAGTGGAATGCAAGTTTGAGGGATGGAAGAATATATAATCTATCAACTGTCAAGGAGTACAATTTCATTGCAGACACAAAGACTTAAGAGTTTCAAAGAATTTTTTAAAATAAAAAAAAAATTTGCACTTATTCCTCACAAAATCTTCACTTTTGGAACTATCCCAATTGAAGCTACACACTGAATTTATTAATACAGCATTAAGTTTCTTTGTGTAAAAAAATCTTTGTACACAGTAATAAAAAAAGATAAGGCAAGATGCATTAAACAGAAACCTTCTGGCTCTTTTCCTCTGCGTTTTTACAGAGCCACTGATGACTATCTGCAACAAAAGAGTTAAGTTTCTGATTTTCCGTATCAAGCATCTTATGCCTTTGCTGTGGTAAGAATTCTGTCCGAGCACCCTGAAGGACAGATGCTGGTGATGGTCTTTGGCACTTATGCTGGCAAACTGAGCTTCTTTCCCTTGAGTACTAGAATTTCAAAGAGAAGAAAAGAAAACAAAAGGTTACTGATATTGACAAACTTAGCTTCCTTCTTCCCATTCCTAGAAGTCTCCCACACACAAGATTCTACATAGTAAGGTATAGGAAATAAGCAATTGTATTTTAAAAATACAAATTTGATTGAAAGTGCCACTAAATTCATAGTGGCTTTTTGTTATTATGACTTTCACCCTAATCAATATATAGTAAAATATAGCTTATGTAGGGAGGCCTATGAAATTCTGGGTACTATAACATAAAGGCCGGATGCAGTGGCTCATGCCTGTAATCCCAGTACTTTGGCAGGCCAGGGTGGGAGGATCCCTTGAAGCTAGGAGTTCAAGACCAGCCTGGGCAAAAAAAGTGAGAGCGACCCCATCTCTATAAAAAAAAAATTTTAAAAAGAACCAGGTGTGGTGGCATGCACCTGTAGTCCCAGCTACTCAGGAGGATGAGCAGGGAGGATCACTTGAGCCCAGGAGTTTGGGACTGCAGTGAGGAAGGATCACACCACTGCATTCTTGCAGCCTGAGTAACAGAGTGAGACCCTGTCTCTTTAAAAAGATAAAAAAAAAAAAAAACACAAAGGATGGCAGGGTGAGGTAGCTCACGCCTATACTTCCGGCACTGTGGGAGGCAGAGGTGGGCGGATCTCCTGAGGTCAGGAGTTCAAGACCAGCCTAGCCAACATGGTGAAACACCATCTCTAATAAAAATACAAAAATTAGGCTGGGCACAGTGGCTCATGCTTGTAATCCCAGCACTTGGGGAGGCTGAGGCAGGAGGATCACCTGAGGTCGGGAGTTCGAGACCAGCCTGACCAACATAGAGAAACTCCATCTCTACTAAAAATACAAAAATTAGCTGGGCGTGGTGGTGCATGCCTGTAATCCCAGCTACTCAGGAGGCTGAGGCAGGAGAATCGCTTGAACACAGGAGGTGGAGGTTGCGGTGAGCCAAGATTGTACCATTGCACTCCAGCCTGGGCAACAAGAGCAAAACTCTGTCTCAAAAAAAAAAAAAAAAAAAAAAAAAAAAAAAAAAAAAAAAAAGCTAGGCGTGGTGGCTCACGCCTGTAATCCCAATACTTTGGGAGGCTGAGGTGTGCGGATCACGAGGTTGGGAGTTCAAGACCAGCCTGGCCAACAAGGTGAAACCCCGTCTCTATTAAAAATACAAAAATTAGCCGGGCGTGGTGGTGCGCACCTGTAATCCCAGTTACTAGGGTGGTCAAGGCACGAGAATCACTTGAAGCTGCAAGGTGGAGGTTGCAGTGAGCCGAGATTGCGCCACTGCACTCCAGCCTGTGTGACAGAGCAAGACTCAGTCTCAAAACAAAACAAAACAAAACAAAATTAGCCAGGCATGGTAGTGCGCGACTGTAATCTCAGCTACTCGGGAGGCTGAGACAGCAGACTCGCTTGAACTTGGGAGGCAGAGGTTGCAGTGAGCTGAGAGCAAGCCACTGCATTCTAGCCTGGGTGAGAGAGACTCGGTCTCAAAAAAAACAAAAGGAAAGAGATAAGACATATATGCTCTTTTTTTTCTTTTTTTTTTTTTTTTTTGAGACAGAGTTTTGCTCTTGTTCCCTAGGCTGGAGTGCAATGGCGTGATATCAGCTCACTGCAACCTCTGCCTCCCGGGTTCAAGAGATTTTCCTGCCTCAGCCCCCCAAGTAGCTGGGATTACAGGCCATGTGCCACCACACCCGGCTAATTTTGTATTTTTAGTAGAGATGGGGTTTCGCCATGTTGGTCAGGCTAGTCTTGAACTCCTGACCTCAGACGATCCACCCATCTCGGCCTCCCAAAGTGCTGAGATTATAGGCGTGAGCCATCGCACCCGACCTATATATGCTTTTTACCTAGCAATTCCACCATTAGGAATTTTATTGTATAGCTGGATTTTTAGCCTGGGATCTGTGGTTGGGTTTCAGGGGCTCCTGAACCCCTCAAAACTATATACATGCATTTGGGTGCATTTGCGTAAATATCTTTTTTTTTTTTTTTTTTGAGAGAGAGAGTCTCGCACTGTCACCCAGGCTGGAGTGCAGTGGCGCGATCTGGGCTCACTGCAAGCTCCGCCTCCCAGGTTCACACCATTCTCCTGCCTCAGCCTCCCGAGTAACTGGGACTACAGGCGCCCACCACCACGCCTGGCTAAGTTTTTTGTATTTTTAGTAGAGACGGGGTTTCACGTGTTAGCCAGGATGGTCTCGATCTCCTGACCTCATGATCCGCCCGCCTCGGCCTCCCAAAGTGCTCGATTACAGGCGTGAGCCACTGCACCTGGCATAAATGTTTTTTTTTTTCTGAACAAGGATGATAGCTTTCATCAAATATTTGTAAAGTTCACACGTCCTATGTTCATACAAATGCAAAAACACATATACACAAGGATGCTGATTTAATGACTGGATTTTAACAGCAAACCAGTAACGGCCTGACCACCCATGAATGGGGGCTGGGTAAATAAATTATGGTACATGCACATAATGAAACACTCTGTGGCTACTGAAAATTATGTAGATTTCTAGTGACATGAAAAATGTGAGGGGATAAAAGCAGTGTATAGAACAGCAATGTACAGTTTAAGTCATGTGTCTGTGTATGCATAGAGAGGTATCTGGTGTTAATGTTCACTGAAACACCAGATGAATCTTTTACAGTGAAAATGTGTCACTTTAGGAAAAGCTATTGCAAAAGAAAAAGGGTTCTTATATTTAAAAAGACAACATCCTGATCCAGAATGTTATTGGCCAATCATGAAAGTGTTTCTCTGGAGCCAGTTTATGAGAGAGTGCCAGATTAGAAGAGTGCTGGGCAAGGGCACTCCTAAAAGAACACGTCACTCTAGAAACAACGCAGGTCGCACCCAACATACCTTTTGTAATGTACAAGTAGAAGAAGTCACAGTATAGGATGGTCTGGACTACGCCGGCCACCACAGCAATGAGGTCAAAGAAGCCCTCAAAGTAGAAGCGCCAGATCCAGTTGACAAGATACAAAGCACGATAGAGGCCCAGGAAGAACAGGTAGTGGGTGGTGATGGTCTCGGCCTCCCCAGTCTTGCTGATCATAAATAGCTGCGGAAGGATAGCCACGGACTCCAGGTAGATGGAGAAGGTCCAGAGGATCTGGAAGAGAAATGGCAAGCTTCCATCACGACCCACTGCCCACCAGGAGCTCAGAGGAAACACTCTTGCTTTCTTTACCACAAAGCAGCCTAAGATGAGTGGGGAGTGGGGCATGTCGGCCCAAAATAGAACAACAGCTTGGCAACTGCATAACCCAGTGGTCCCAGCCTTTTTGACACCAGTGATCGGTTTCATAGAAGACAATTTTTCCACAGACCAGCAGGGTGGATGGATGGTTTCGGGATGATTCAAGCACATTGCAATCATTGTGCACTTTACTTCTGTTATTACTATAATATACAATGAAATAATTATACAACTCGTCATAATGCAGAATCAGTAGGAGCCCTGAGCTTGTTTTCCTGCAACTAGATGGTCCTATCTGGGGGTGATGGGAGACAGTGACAGATCATCAGGCATTAGATTTTCATAAGGAGCATGCAACCTAGATCCCTCAGATGCACAGTTCACAATAGGGCTCATGCTCCTATGAGAATTGAATGCTGCCAGTTATCTGACAGGAGGTGGAGCTTGGGCAGTAATGTGAGTGATGGGGAGCAGCTATAAATACAATGAAGCTTCACTTGCTCACCCACGGCTCATCTCCTCCTGGGTGGCCTGGTTCCTAACAGGCTATGAACCAGTACCAGTCAGTGGCCCAGGGGTTGAGGACTCCTGGCATAAATCACAGAAACTTAAGCAACCTTTAAGAGGCAAGGCACTGCCAGTGTGACAAGCTGGGTAACCTGGACACCTCTACCTCTTTGAATTTTCATCACCTTGTCTCTCCAGGTTTATTCTTCCCTCTTCAATTTTCTATGAATCTACATACAGAGGTTTCTCCTGGACAAGCTTGTCCTGCTCCAGATCTGGGATACCAAATCAACCCTGCTTTCCGCCAGGATTGACAATACTGATAATTGATAAGCTCCTTCCACTTCCTCACTGCTGTTTTTCCTCACTGACTGATCTTGCCAAACTACTGAAATATTTTCACTATTTTTCTTATTCCTTAAGCTTTCTGGTGTGGTTAAATCAAAGGGGTAGAAGTCACAACTGTAATTATGGAAATTCTCTGCCCAGCGTATGACTTTATTCACGATGATGATAGAAGGACTTTCAGAGGGTCCTTGAGTATTTTAAAAGTCCAGGCATGGCTGGGTGTGGTGGCTCATGCCTGTAATCCCAGCACTTTGGGAAGCCGAGACAGGCAGATCACCTGAGATCAGGAATTCAAGACCAGCCTGGAAAACATGGTGAAACCCGGTCTCTACTAAAAATACAAAAATTAGCCAGGCATGATGGTGGGTGCCTGTAATCCCACCTACTCGGGAGGCTGAGGCAGGAGAATCGCTTGAACCCAGGAGGCGGAGGTTGCAGTGAGCCGAGATCATGCCACTGCACTCCAGCCTGGGTGACAGCGAGACTCTGTCTCAAAAAAAAAGAAAAGTCCAGGCACTCCCAGCACCCATCAGACACCCAGGGTAGCACAGTGACTTGATCGGCCCCAGGATGTGAAGCAGCACCGTTTGCCTGTTCAGCAGGGAAAGAAGAGGCACTCAGGAGCAGATCAGCTCACTGCACAGTACTAGGGGCACCACAAACCAGCTTTCCTAAAGGCAAGAGGTGCAGAGTGCTGCTAAGCAGGGTCACAGACACGACATCAGTGCACATCTGTACATGAAAAGCAAACAAAATGTGGGCTACAGGAGGGAGACCTTGTTCTTCCCACACTGGGACAGGCAGGGCTCTGTGTTTGGTACCACTGAAGTCAAGATAATGAAATACAGTTTCAAGTTTCTATTTCAAATGAATCAGACAGTAAACTGTCAGCAGACACCTAAATATGTGGGTGCTTAATTCTCATCTACGATTTTTTTACACCAGTCATGAACATTGCACTAGAGTTTGCCAAACCAGAAAATAAAAACAAAAAACTCCATGAAAACCTACACGATCTGCAAACATGCAAATAGGTCCATTCTAGATAACCAGACATGACCATGAAATTAACTTTTTTTCTTTAGATGGAGTCTTGCTCTGTCGCTAAGGCTGGAGTGCAGTGGCTCGATCTCGGCTCACTGCAACTTCCGCCTCCAGGTTTAAGTGGTTCTCCTGCCTCAGCCTCCTGAGTAGCTGGGATTACAGGCGTGCGATACCACACCCAGCTAATTTTTGATTTTCTTTCTTCTTTTTTTTTGAGACAGCGTCTCGCTCTGTCGCCAAGGCTGGAGTGCAGTAGCGCGATCTTGGCTCACTGCAAGCTCCGCCTCCCAGGTTCACGCCATTCTCCTGCCTCAGCCTCCCAAGTAACTGGGACTACAGGCGCCCGCCACCACGCCCAGCTAGTTTTTTGTATTTTTAGTAGAGACGGGGTTTCACCGTGTTAGCTGGATGGTCTCAATCCCTTGACTTCGTGTCCCACCTGCCTCAGCCTCCCAAAGTGCTGGGATTACAGGCGTGAGCCACTGCGCATGGCCAGTTTTTGTATTTCTAATAGAGACAGGGTTTCACCATGTTGGCCAGGCTGAATGCCTGAACCTCTGACCTCAAGTGATCTGCCCACCTCGGCCTCCCAAAATGCTGTGATTACAGGTGTGGTGAGCCACCAGGCCCAGACCTAAATAACCTCTTTTTTTTTTTTGAGAGACGGAGTCTTACTCTCTCGCCCAGGCTGGAGTGTAGTGGCACAATCTCAGCTCACTGCAAGCTCCACCTCCCGGGTTCACGCCATTCTCCTGCCTCAGCCTCCCCAGTAGCTGGGACTACAGGTGCCCGCCACCATGCCCAGCTAATTTTTTTTATTTTTTAGTACAGACGGGGTTTCACCATGTTAGCCAGTATAGTCTCGATCTCCTGACCTCGTGATGTGCCCACCTTGGCCTCCCAAAGTGCTGGAATTACAGGCGTGAGCCACTACGCCCAGCCATAACCTCTTTTTTCTTTTCCCTCGAGACAGTCTTGCTCTGTCACCCAGGCTGGAGTACAATGGCGTGATCTCGGCTCACTGCAGCCTCCGCCTCCTGGGTTCAAGTGATTCTCCTGCCTCAGCCTTCTGAGTAACTGAGATTACAGGTGCGTGCCACCACACCCAGCTAATTTTTTGTATTTTTAGTAGAGACGGTGTTGCACCATGTTGGCCAGGCTGGTCTCGAACTCCTGACCTCATGATCCACCCAAAGTGGAGGCTGAACTCCGCCTCGGCCTCCCAAAATGCTGGGATTACAGGCATGAGCCACCATGCCTGGCCCTAAGTAACCTTTTAAACTAACCTCAAGAGGAGAGAAATCGTGATTAACTAAAAATGAGAGGCCTCCCACAGGGACCACCAGAAACTCCACTCGGAAGGTATCATGATTTCCATCGTAGGTTGCCTTAAATTTCAGGTAGATCAGGTACACTGTGGCATAGGAGCAGGCAAGGTAGATAACCTACAAATAAAAGAAAAAACACCAGGTGTCAATACCTTGCCACTGTTCCAGCACCCCCCAGCTTTTTTAATCACCCATGTATTTGGAAAGGCAAGATTTTTTTCCTTAGCTTTGTTTTTGGAATTTTAAAACTTAAATATAGTAAAATTCTCTTTTTTGGAGGTGTTCAGTTCTGAGGCATAACCACCACCAAAATTAGGACACAGAATAGTTCCATCATCCCCAAAATTCTGCCATGCTGCCGCTTCGCAGTCAAACTCCCCCAGGCTTCCTTCACCTCCTGCAGTGCAATCACACTTATGTTCTCTGTCCATAGTTTTGCCTTTTCTAGAAAGCCACATAAATGGAGTCACATAGTATGTTGCCTTCTGGGTCCAATTTCAGTTAGCCTAATGCATCTGAGAGGCAACCAAACTTATTGTGTGTATAGCAGGTCTGCCAATAACATCCTTTGGTTGTAACACTGATGAGAAAAGAAACTGGTTCCCGGCTGGGGCCGCCATCCATGGCGTTTGCATGCTCTCCCCGAGTCCACGTGGGTCTTCTCCAAGAGATACTCTTGGAGAATCTCCCACCAGAGATACTCTGGTTTCCTCTTACATCTCAACGATGCCAGTTAGGTGAACTGGCATGTGTGAACTGTCCTAGTGTGAGTGGGTGTGGGTGAGCGCGCCCTGTGATGGAATGGCATCCTATGCAGTTGGGGGAAAGTTCGCGCCTTGAACCTGAGCTGCTGGGATAGGCTCTGGCCACCTGGGACCCTGAAATGAAGTAAGTGGGTTGGAAAATGAATACAAACTATGGTAAAATAATTCATAAAGTAGTATACAATAATTATACATATGTACCACAATAAACAATGTAGTACAAAAGCACTCAGTGAGCCTGCTATATTTGTTATTGTTTGTTTTTGAACTTTATGGTAGTAGGAGGTACTCCTTATAATTTTTGTTTGTAAACATATACTTCTTGATTTAATCCGCCACCACTATGACCACCATCATGCACGGATTCACCAAAAACTGGATAAATAATTATGTTGCTTTTATTAATCTTTCTTAAATGTATAGCTCATGTTGGCTGGGCATGGTGGCTCACGCCTGTAATCCTAGCACTCTGGGAGGCCGAGGCAGGCGGATCATGAGGTCAGGAGATCGAGACCATCCTGGCTAACATGGTGAAACCCTATCTCTACTAAAAAAAATACAAAAAATTAGCCGGGCGTGGTGGCGGGTGCCTATAGTTCCAGCTACTCAGGAGGCTGAGGCAGGAGAATGGTGTGAACCCAGGAGGCGGAGCTTGCAGTGTGCCGAGATCTCGCCACTGCACTCCAGCCTGGGTGACAGACTGACTCTGTCTCAAAAAAAATAAAAAATAAATAAATAAATAAATAAATAAATGTATAGCTCACATTTGTTTCGGTTTTTTTTTTTTTTTTTTTTTTTGAGATGGAGTCTCGCTCTGTCGCCCAGGCTGGAGTGCAGTGGCACAATCTCGGCTCACTGCAACCTCCGCCTCCCAGGTTCAAGCGATTCTCCTGCCTCAACCTCCCAAGTAGCTGGGATTACAAGCGCCTGCCACCATGCCCAGCTAATTTTTATATTTGTAGTAGAGACGGGGTTTCCATGTTGGTCAGGCTGGTCTCGAACTCTTGACCTCAGGTGATCTGCCTGCCTCGGCTTCCCAAAGTGCTGGGATTACAGGCGTGAGCCACAGCACCCGGCCTGTTTTGGGTCTTTATTTAAAAGTCTGGTGGTGTTTTGGGGACCGGAAATATGCTGTAGGAACTTAACTCTTACTCATGTCAATTAGCCTATGGTAAAACTGGCTTCAGTGTATGTTGTTTCACTTCAAGTTGCAGTGTGTGTTGTTTCACTTCAAGAACCTACCAATGACATTAAGTGAGGGCCTAGTGTTAATAATTTGTTCCTTTTTATAGCTGCGTCCATTGGTGGTCCATTGTATGGATGCACCAGTTTGTTTATTCACTCACCAGTTGAAGGACAGGTGGTTTCTAATTTGGGAGGACAGTGGATAAAGCTGCTGTGAACATTTGCGTACAAGTGTTTGTGTGAATGTAAGTTTTCACTTCTCTTGGGTATGTACTTAGGGGTGGGACTGCTGGGTCATATGTTAAGTGTAAGTTTAACTTTTTTTTTTTTTTTGAAACGGAGCCTTGCTCTGTCACCAGGCTGGAGTGCAGTGGAGCAATCTCGGCTCACTGCAACCTCCGCTTCCCGGGTTCAAGCAATTCTCCTGCCTCAGCCTCCCCAGTAGCTGAGATTACAGGCGCATGCCGCCACACCCAGCTAATTTTTAGTAGAGATGGGGTTTCACCATGTTGGCCAGGATGGTCTCGATCTCCTCACCATGTATGTGAATAAATACAAAACAAAATCTACATGCATAAACAAGACACACATCCATCTACACATGCACTGAGCCCCCTCAGCGCATCTAGCCAAGGCTCACAGCAGAGAGGCCTCTCACCAGGACCTAGACTGTGGCCAGCTCAACATTAATAAAAACTTGATGGGCGTTATTTCCACTAAGGCCTTAGCAGCACCTGGAGAAGAACAGCTGCTTCTCTCCTCTCACCAGCACACAGAAGTTAAAGTAAAAAGACACGAGCACCTCGGGTCTCACGCCAGACTTTCAGGACATCGTGCTTAGAAACTACAACCAAGCAAGCATGGATTCCTCTGAAACCTGGGCATCCTGAGGGGGAGAGAGGATTCTTGCTCACACACCTCTAATGCCTGCAGTTTTAACTTGCCTAGACAAGTGGGGACCTAACCATTTTTAAGTAAGCTCATTATTTCCTGAATACTAGGTTCCCATCATTTGGTAATGAAGAATCCATTATAAGTGACTCAAATTTGCTTTTTAGTAAAGACCAGACTCACATACTGCTTTGTCTCCTTTCAACAGTGCTTATGAAAATGCTCTTGAACACAAAATGTTGGGGGGAGGTTGTTTAGGTGCCATACCAATAGGATTCAGTTGAAATATTACTTCCTTGGGTATGCTAATAACCAAATGGCCTAGAATAGTGCCTGGTGCACAGGTGCTCAGTATTTGTAGAAAGAAGGAAAGAAAGAAAGAAATCAGACTCCTATTACATATCCTGAGAGCCCCTGTTCTTTTTTTTTTTTTTTTTTTTCAGACAGGATCCTGCTCTGTCACCCAGGCTGCCAGGCTGGAGGGCAGTGGTGCAATTACGGCTCACTGCAGCTTCAACCTCCAGGGCTCAAGCGATCCTACCACCTTACCCTCCTGAGTAGTTGGGACTACAGGAGTATGCCACCATGCCTGGCTAATTTTTGTATTTTTTTTTTTTTTTTTTTTTTAGAGACAGGGGTCTAACTATGTTGCTCAGGCTGGTCTCGGATTCCTTGGCTCAAGCAATCCACCCACCTTGGCCTCCCAAAGTGCTGGGATTACAGGCGGGAGCTACTGGGCCTGTTTCATGTTTTTTATATCCATAGGTTCGCAACTCTTATACTTTTCCTTTGTGGCACCCATCATAAATCGCAGTCATTTGTACTGCCATGATCTGTGTACTCTCCCACACCAGCCTAGAGACTTCTGCTTATTTTCTGCCGCATCCTCAGTTCCCAGCTCTGTAGGTGTTCACAAGCATGAATTCAACACTGTGCGAAAGAACTGAAGCTCACGTAGTCCACAACTTCCCCCAGTGTGGGGTGTGTGCCACCAGTGCTACACAAAGTGTTAGGTGGTGTGCAAACATTTTGTATTTTAATAGTTATACACTAGTTTTAATGTGAATTAGAAAAAATATAAGAAAGACAACAAAGGTGTTATAGATACTAATAATTAGGACAAGTTGAAAGGTTTAAAAAAATACGTTACTAAGTAAATGATGGTATAGAGATCATTTAAGCACGGCAAATGTAATAAAAATGACACACACACAACAGTTTAAGTAAAACTGACTCAGTGGCAAAGAAAAAAGATAGAAGCCTATAGACAGTTCCTCACACAGCAGCGAAATGAGACACTGCAACTAGGAGTCCTGCTTTCGTTCCTTGTTATGTACCAACTTGCTGGATTTCTCTGGGGACTCTGTAATTTCCCACGGCTTGAAAATATAATAGTTACCGCTCTTACTTACAGAGTTATCAAGAGCTTTAGATTTATCATACTTAAGGAACCTAAAATAAAAAAGTTCTAACTTCAAAGTATTTTAATTAACTACTGTTTTGAAACCAAAAATGTATGCTTACTGATAGCTCGTTTAGTCCCAGTTATATATACAAGGTGGTCTGAAAGTTTTAAAGTCAAGAACAGCATATTAAGACATTATTTTTGGAGCATTTTAATTAAAAATACACAGCTGACATAAATTAAGTGTCCATAGACCTGTGCACTGTAGATGAAATACATTCCTGTGGATGGCATACCATACCTTCATAGATGTGTTATACAATGAAATAAATGAAGTAAAAAGATCCAGGTAACGAGTTGTGAAGACCAGTGCAAACAGAAGCTGGCTTTTCCCAGAAATACCTAGAGAAACAGAAGGGAAGTATTAGAAGGGCCTGAAGAGCTTTGGGATTCCTGTGGATCACACTGTGCAGGGAGTGCAGACAGGGAAGGAGGGGTGCGTGGGGTCAAGGCCCAGGTCTAGGGATGGCTCTGAATGAACAAGAGCAGTTGTAGTTTTTCTATCCCTTCCCATTCCCAAACATGCTCCTTTTGGGAGGCTCTAACAGGCTTTTCTGTCTCACTATAAAGGGCGACCACAGGAAAGGGGCTTTATTATGCCAGGATGTGTATCATTCAAACGAACCTTTTACTTCTCAAATATATCACCTTAAGTAGGAACAAATTTCTCAATAATTCTGCTGTCATTTAGTGTTATAACTTGTCTCTTACATTCAGATTTTTCTTTTTTGTTTTCCCCTGAGACAGGGTCTCCCTCTGCTGCCCAGGCTGGAGTGCAGAGGCACGATCAAGCTCACTGTAGCCTTGACCTCCTGGGCTTCAGCAATCTTCCCACCTCGGCCTCCAGAGTAGGTGGGACTAGAGGTGTGAACTACCACACCCAGCTAATTTTTAAACAAATTTTTTGTTCACCATGTTGCCCACACTGGTCTTGAACTCCTGGGCCCAGCTTCCCAAAGCGTTGGCATTACAGGTATGAGCCATGTCGCCTGGTCCCTTCTTTGTATGGTAAAACAGTATCTCCATGGTGAGAAATCTTTTGAGAACGGAGATGGAGTCTACTGTCATTAAGGGGGATGAGGAGTAGATGAGAAGCACCGACTCAGGTAAGAGTTGGGCAGGAACTCCCGCTGGAATAATGGCATCGCATCCCATGGTGACTTCTTTGCTAAGAGCGGCAATTACTTGGATATGTTAAGATTTTTAAAGCTTCCCTCTCAGTTAGGCATAGTGGTCATGCCTATAATCTCCACATATAGGGGGGCTAAGGCGGGAGAATCGCTTGAGCCCAGGAGTTTGAGACCAGACTCCATCTCTACGAAAAATAGAAAAGTGATAGCCAGGCAAGGTGGCACACACCTGTGGTCCCAGCTACATGGGAGGTTGAGGTGGGAGGATTGCGTGACTCCAGGAGGCTGAGGCTGAGTGAGCTGTGGTCACATCCCTGCACTCTAGCCTGGGTGACAGAGCAAGACCCTGTCTCAAAAAATAAATTAATTACAATAAAATAGAAATTCCATTGTATTTGTATAAAAATGTTCCTGAATGCTAGGACAACATGAAGGTATGAACCCACAACTACAGCTGGTCTTCAAAAGCAGCTGTCTTTTTTAAAGCCTTGAAACTGTGTTTCCACTTCCAACCACCAACCCACCTCCAGAGCACTGCATGGCACAGCCACACTCAGCCAGGAAGGCTGGACATTTATGTGGTGTGCACACAGCTTTTCTGACATCTATATTTGGCCAAATATTTATGTGACAAAGGACGCAAACTATGGGTTTCAGATGCTGGAGACTGAGCAAATGCATTAAAGAAACTGAAGGCTGACTAAATGTCAGAACCCACCCACCCTCATCTATAATGCATACTTCACACCACTACACATTTTAGTAAGTATGAATTTAACAGAAAAGTCACTTCACCCAAATCATTCACAACACTCCTCTGGAACGTGAAAAGCACATTATTTTTCTTTTCTTTTTTTGAGACTGGGTCTCACTCTGTTGCCCAGGCTGGAGTGCGGTGGCACAAGTACAGCCCACTGCACCTTTGACCTCCCTGGGCTGAGGTGATCCTCCCACCTCAGCCTCCTGAGTAGCTGGGACTACAGGTGGGTGCACCACCACACCTGGCTAATATTTGTATTACATGTTGTTTTTCAATATTTTATGAACAATCATTTTGCAGCTTGCTGAAACTGAAAACCTGAATGTAAGAATGTTACTTTCTCAGATGAATAACTGTAGTCTCAGCCTATTCACATACACATCTAAATAGAAATGGAAAAAAATGTTGATGCCACCCTTCCAGATCCATCAATAGAAACCAAAGGGCCAAAGGAGGAGACACGGACAGTGAATCTGCTCTTAGTCTTTTCCCCGTAACGGATAACTGATTTCTTCCTACAGAGACCAATGTTCCAAAGGGGAAATGACAAGGCTGCTGCTAACCAAGAAACCGGGAGGTTTCAGAGGGGGAAGAAGAAAGAACAGGGAGCAGTCAGACCATACCTGGTGTTTGTTGAAGCCTTGAGAAATCAATTTCCAGCTTATTTCCTATATGGTTCTTTCCAATATTTTAAATATAAACATACAGGATACAAGTAGGTGAATTTTGTGGGAAAGGGTTTTACTCTAACAGAACTTTGGAAGCCAGGCAGATTTGAAATTGTGTCCTCATTCCCAGCATTCCTATACTGAAAACCAGGGACCATCATATTGTCTTTACCAGCCCCCGTGGGGACCCAGCTCATATCCCACCTCCTCTGGGATGTCATCTCTGAAGATACCCTCCCTCAGGACTGTTGATTCATTCAGCAAGCACATAAGGGGAACTGCTTCATGCCAGCTGCTGCCCTAGCTCCAATTACAGTACTTATAAAAATACACTGTGATGATGTGGTTCCTGCCTCTCCTCTCCCCAAAAACCTCACTCAGTACCAAGATCTTTAAAGGCTGGGGTCATGCCTTATTCCATCTTGTATTCCCTGCATGGGACACTGGGCCCTGACACACAGCAGGACTCAGAAAATATTTGCTGAATGAATAAATGGACAAAAGAAAATGGGATTCATTTTATCTTCATGTCATGGGGTCAAATTCTCATTTTGTGGTATTTTGGGAGAACACTTCTGAAGAATGTCCAGGTCATACTGTGTCTCTGTGACTGTAAATAGGGCTCTGCCCTAATTAACTACTAGCTAGAGGGTGAGAGAGCCCCAGGTGCGCACAGGGCAGTGTGTGGTTTGAAGCCGGTCCATGGAGTAGCGTCCACGCAGGACAGCCTTGCTGGAAATCTGCGGATGCTAACGTGGTCCCACACTGTTCTTCCCCAGCCTGAGATCCTGATTAGGAAGTAGCAGCTTCTTCCTTTAAAACAACAAAACTGTCCTGTCTTCATAGGAAAATGGGAATCCTAGCTGAAGACAGAAGGGGGTGGGGCAAGAATCTCCTGGAGGGGTTGGGAGTAGAATACCTGCTATTAAACCAGAGCAGCTCCTAGTCGGCTTCTCTCCACTTTGAGATCAAAGCATGCTAAGGTTACCAGGTAATAAGATCTCCCAGAATACTCACTTTTGTAAATGTTTCTGAAACTGATATCCCCTTACCAAATACACCAAACATCTATATTAAGGAGTACAACTTGTTAAATGGAAATCAGTCATTAAACAACATCATTCTTGTCTTATCCTACTGGGCCAGGTTAAATGTCTTTTGTTTTCTGTTTTGTTTTCGAGATGGGGTCTCTCTCTGTAGCCCAGGCTGGAGTAGACTGGTGCAATCATAGCTTCCAGCCTTGACCTCCTAGGCTCAAGCAATCTTCCCAATGAGGTATTATATATTACAAAATAGTTAGAAGTTTTCGAATGAAGAAATGATAAACACATGAGGTGACGGAAATAACTACCCAGATTAGACTATACAACATACACATGTATTGAAACATCAAACTGTACCCCATAAATAGATCCAATCATAATGTATCAATTAAAAAATTTTAATCCGTAACCCCAAATAATGCAAATTAAAACACATAAACCAAAAATAAGACATGAACATTTTAAAATTTGATATTGTCAAATTTCTCCTAGAAAGGCTATGCCAATTTACGTATCTACTAACACGAAATGCAAAGACCCTTTCTTCACATCCTTGCCAACATTTTCCTACCCAGTGGTATGTACTGCTGTTCTTTTTTCTTTGCTTGCCCGCCCCCCGGTTTTTTTTTTGAGACAGAACCTCACTCAGTTGCCCAACCCAGGGTATAATGGCATGATCACAGCTCGCTGCAGCCTGGGGCTTAAGCGATTCTCCCTCCTTAGCCACCTGAGTAGCTAAGACACAGGTGCACGCCACCACGCCCAGCTAATTTTTCATTTTTTTTGTAGAGACAGGGTTTCACTATGTTGCCCAGGCTGGTCTCAAGCTCCTGGCCTCAAGTGATCCTTTAGCTTTGACCTCCCAAAGCGCTGCCACCACACCTGGCCGCACTGCTATTTTCATATTCAAATTCCTAACTCCTAGCAAGACTAAGCATCCTTTCATGCTTCATTGGTCTTTCGTTATTCTTCAGTGAATTGCCAACTTTGCCCATTTTTCAGCTGGGTTTTTATTTGTAGGAGTACTTTATTATAGATATTAACCTTTTGTCACTTAGGTATATTACAGATTATTTCACTCAGTTTATTGTCTTTAGCTTTGATACTATTCTGAATTAAGAAATCAATTTGGAGAGATGTCATCTTGCTTCCTCACCAGCCTTCCTGGGTGCTCTCCAGGACCGTAGTATGAACATACATGCAGGTCATCTTCTATGTCCATCAGCAAAGTTTAATATTTATTTTTTATTTTTATTTTTTTGAGACAAGAGTTTCATTCTTGTCGCCCAGGCTGGAGTGCAGTGGTGCGATCTCGGCTCACTGCAACCTCTGCCTCCTGGGTTCAAGCAATTCTCCTGCCTCAGCCTCCCTAGTGGCTGGGACTACAGGTGCCTGCCACCACGCCCGGGTAACTTTTTTGTAATTTTAGTAGAGATGGGTTTCACCATATTGGCCAAGCTGGTCTTGAACTCCTGACTCAGGTGATCCACCTACCTCGGCCTCCCAAAGTGCTGGAATTACAGGTGTAAGCCACCGTGCTCGGCCATCTTTTGTACATTTTCCTATCATTTCAACTACATTGCAGCTTTCTTGAGAATAGAAACTTTTCTCTCTTTTGTTTGTCTTTTGTTTTTGAGACAGTCTCACTCTGTCACCCAAGCTGAAGTGCAATGGTGTGATCACGGCTCGCTGCAACCTCGACTTCCTGGGCTCCAGTAATCCTCCCCACTCAGCCTTCTGAGTAGCTGGGACCACAGCGCACCACCACGGCTGGCTAACTTTTGTATTTTTGGTAGAGACAGGGTTTCACCATGCTGCCCAAGCTGGTTTTGAACTCCTGTGCTCAAGTGATCCACCCACCTTGGCCTCCTAAAGTGCTGGAATTACAGGCATGAGCCACTAAGACCGGCCAAGAACAAAAACTTTTTTTTTGTTTGTTTGTTTGATTTTTTGAGACGGAGTCTCCCTCTGTCACCCAGGTTGGAGTGCAGTGCACAGTCTCGGCTCGCTGCAAGCTCCACCTCTCGGGTTCATGCCATTCTCCTGCCTCAGCCTCCCAAGTAGCTGGGACTACAGCCGCCCGCCACCATGCCCGGCTAATTTTTTTGTATTTTTAATAGAGATGGGGTTTCACCGTGTTAGCCAGGATGGTCTGGATCTCCTGCCCTCAAGATCCGCCCGCCTTGGCCTCCCAAAGTCCTAGGATTACAGGCGTGAGCCACCACGCCCAGCCAAGAACAAAAACTTTTAATAGCTACAAGCTGCTGCTCTGAATTGTGTGCCAGTGCCTTGCACATAGTGGGTGGTCAATAAATGAGAGTAATGATTACTCAGAGACTGGCACTCAAAAGAGCACAGGCCAAACAGCTACAGAGGGAGCTGCATATGTGAAGCAAAAGCTTCTTGGAGTACTCCACATCTTACCCACTATATTACTCCAAAAATATCAACTGTCCCATATCTGAAATGTATGGACACCATAAGATCCAGTATGGGGTTTGGTAGGATGAAAAGTTTACAACCTACATAACAGCTAACAACAATCTAAGCAACAGGGGAAGGAGGGAAGGAGACAGACTAGAGGGGGAAGGCCCGGGGTCGTGGATCTCAGAAAGACTCCTCTAGCTACAGTAGATACACACTACTGATAACTAGCTACAGTAATACACACTACTAATAGACACAGCACTACAGTAGATACAGCACTAATAACCATTGGCCTACAGGAAAATTTGAATAGGAAGCCCTTCATCTAAAACCACCGCTTGTTCTTCCGAGGTTATGTAGGTCAGTGTTTAGGACAAAAATAAAGTGACAACTTGAGCATACCGTGGATCGAGCTGCAATGATAATTCAGAATAGGAGAAACTCACATTCCATGTTGACACCCTTCTGTAATGACAACAGCAGATACAGCCACAAGAGAATGCAGCCTCAAACATGATCAACTCACTGCCCCCACTTTAAAACGGTCCTTAAAGGCAGCTGTTCTGGAATCTGCCTATGAGGAACACAGAATCTCCAGCTTCCACACGAGTCAGCCTCATCCCTGATCCTTATGGGGTAAAAAGCACCATGGTTCCGAGACTAAAACAGCATTTTCAAAATCAGTGCTAAAATCCTAAAAATGAACCTTGGTATGAGTATTTTCAAAATGAGAAACACAATCTGGATGCACGTTTCTCCTATTCCAGTCATTTGAGAAACTCATATCAAATTCTTACTCTTTCAAAAGACTCTAAACAACTTTTATAATTTAGTATGGAAAAATAAAGCAGCTTGTCAAAGTTAGCATTTAATTCTGAATAAATGATCTGGGTGATTTACTTAAAATCAGGAAAACACACAAACCAGGACAGAAATCATCCTAAGTCTGAGAACAAGAACAATTTAATAATGTCCCGGGAATACTTGGCAAACACACACACACGAAGTTAACTCATCTATTTCACTTCCTTCGTTAGCATTTTAGCTGAAGTATTTCATATTTTCCTTATATGCTCCTGAATCTCTCAAATGAAAACAGTGAATAGTAAAAAACAAACGGCCAGGCGCAGTGGCTTACGCCTGTAATCCCAGCACTTTGTGAGGCCGAAGCGGGCGGATCATGAGGTCAGGAGACCGAGACCAGCCTGGCCAACATGGTGAAACTCTGTCTCTACTAAAAATACAAAAATTAGCCGAGCGTGGTGGCAAGCGCCTGTAGTCCCAGCTAATCAGGAGGCTGAGGAGAATCGCTTGAACCCGGGAGGCAGAGGTTGCAGTGAGCCGAGATCACACCATTGCGCTCCAGCCTGGGACACAAGATCAAAAGTTCATCTCAAAAAAAAAAAAAAAGAAAGAAAAAAAAATCATTATTCTGAAGTTGCACTAAATTCTCCCAAATATCTTAGTTTGGATAAAAGTTTAGGAGACAGCACACTTCAAGGCTTAATGATTTGCCAGAGGAGGGGATTCTGAAAAACATATGGAAGAAAATGAAGAGACTCACACAAAGATTTTGAAGCAAAACTAAAGATTAAAAGTAACATCGCCGGGCACTGTGGCTCACACCTGTACCCAGCAACTCAGGAGGCTGAGGAGGGAGGATCGCTTGAGCCCAGGAGTTTGGGGCTGTAGTGAGCCGTGACACAGCCATTGCACTCCAGCCTGGGGGACAGAGTGAGACATCGGTCCCACTGTTTTAAACAAACAAACAAACAAACAAACAAAAAAACTAACATCATCTGAGTGTAACAAAAAAGGATCTAAACATCGTGGTTTGGTATCAAATGTTTATTTAGGCTCCCTTAGACATTCATCTATCCAATCCTTTGAGTTACTAATTGTGCTTCAATCCTGGCTCTATCACTAATTTATTCCACTCCCTAAGACTCAGATCCCACCTCCACAGAATGGGAACAATAGCACCTACCTCCTAAGGTCGTTTATTTATTTATTTATTTATTTATTTATTTATTTATTTATTTATTTATTTAGAGACGGTTTCGCTCTCGTTGCCCAGGCTGGAGTGCAATGGCGCGATCTCAGCTCACCGCAATCTCCGCCTCCCAGGTTCAAGCAATTCTCCTGCCTCAGCCTACCGAGTAGCTGGGATTACAGGCATGCACCACCACGCCCGGCTAATTTTGTATTTTTAGTAGAGACGGGGTTTCTCCATGTTGAGGCTGGTCTTGAACTCCTGACCTCAGGTGATCCACCTGCCTCGGCCTCCCAAAGTGCTGTGATTACAGGCATGAGCCATCGCGGCCGGCCCTCCTAAGGTTATTTTAATGACTACCTGGGATAAGCCATATAAAGCACTCGGCTGACTACTTGATATACAGCAAGTGCCTAAACATCACTTACCCAAACTGCAGCAGTTATTTGCTGTCACTGGAAATCATACAGTTGAACCTCTCAGAACTATGTATCAACTGAGAGATAACCTCCAAGTCAAACACACTGGCACATGGACTTTGTAACACCCATCTTAACTGTTCAAAGGTCTTTTTGGTTTTGCTTACTTCCCGGATCTCAGTTATGTTCCAAGGAGACAGGCGAGGCCTGCAGACAGCAGATTCAGAGATGTAAGTGTGACTTTAGACGCCAAAATTTTTAGAAATAAATCAGGTAAATAGAGTCTCTGCACCCAGATAATTCAGGATCATCTTTTACTGCCTCTGAAAAAATTAAGTTCTTGAGTTCAACAAAAATTATTTTGCCGAGCATCAAAAATAAGTTTAAGGGATTTTTAAGAAAGTTAAAGCCTGGGCAACATGGTGAAACCTTGTGTCTACAAAAAATAGCAAAAAAAAAAAAAAAAAAAAAAGTTAGCCAGGCATGGTGGTGCACGCATGGAGTCCCAGCTATTCAGGAGTCTGAGGCAGGAGGATTACCTGAGCCAGGGGAGGTAGAGGCTGCAGTGAGCAGTGATCACACACTGCACTCAAGCCTGGGTGACAGAGCGAGACCCTGCCTCCAAAAAAAAAAAAATAAGTTAAAAACTCTCAATTATTATACCTTTAAAATTAACGAAATGTAAAAGTCCAAAACTATTATCTGGGAAAGACTCGTTTCACTGCCGCCTAGCAGTGCCTGCATGAAATCTGTACTCTTGATCAGGGAACCAGCCAGCTCACTGGTGACGTGGAGCAACGAATTGCAGGAGCCCATAGGAGGCCTCGGCGGTCCCCGGGCGCCGCAGTTTTAAGAGAACCCATTATTAGATGGAGGCACTTAAAAACCAGATCGTTTCCCAAAGCAGCATTAATTACGCCAAGAAAATCACTGACGACCTCTCGGCAAGCCCCTCCCCAGCGGTGTGATCCTGGACCCAAGGGCTTGGGTGATGCCCACACAACACTTAAGGACAGGTCTGACCCGACCCCACTACACCACACCTAGAGCCCGGTCTTGCACGGGCAGGGTGGGGAGCCGAGTGACCTCTCCCGGCGCCCGCCCCACCTCCCGAGCTGGCTGGGCTGCCACGTCAGGCGCAGCCGGCCACGATCCTGCCCATCCTCCTCCCGCCCGTCCCATTGATTCGCGGGTTTCCTGCAACCCCGGGACCCCCACGGGAGATCCCGGCCGGAGAAGCGCCCCCATTCAAGCCCAGAGAGGGGCCACGCCTGTCGGACCCCCCGTCCCACGCCAACTTTTCAGACACAGCAGGGCCCCGCGCAGCCGGGTGCGCTCCGACAGCTCAAGTTCACGCGGGGACCGACTGCAGAGCGGGGTCCCGCGCTGCGACACCCGGCCCGGAGCCCACCCCGAGGGCCCGCAGGCCGCTGCCCCCCGGGTCCGGGCACCCGTTAGGCCGGCCGAGGGGGTGTGTCGGGCCGGCGCAGGCCCCGCGAGCCGTGGGGTGGCCGAGGTCGGCGGGTCCTCGGCGAGACCCGGCCCCCACGCCCGAGCCTCTCCGGGCCTTCCCCCGCCGCTCACCGGCGCAGGAGCGCGTCTTCCAGATCTTCAGCAGCAGGATGACGATGGCCGCCAGGTGGGACAGGTCCCCAGTCAGCCGGAAAATGTTCATGGCGGCGGCGGCGGTGGCGGTCGGCGCAGCGCGGCGGCCCCGGGGCTGGGCGGCTCAGGAGGCGGCGGCCCCTGAGAGGAAGCGGCGAAGATGGCGAGATCGCCCGCGACGTGGCCAGGGACGTGGCCGAACTGCCGGCGCGCGCGCGCGCGGGGCACCCTGGGAGAGCGGGGCCAGGCCCCGCCCCTTAAAGGGGGCGCGCCCCAGCGCAGGCTCAGCAGGTCAGCTCGCAGGGACTCCCTTGCAAGAAGACCCCGGACTCTGCCAAATTTTCCCTGCCGGGTTTCCGGCTTCTCCTCGGGTGCCAGCAGTTTCCTTTACTTTTTTGAAATAACACTCCCTGGGGATCTTTTCTTTCCTCCCACATATCAAAAGAGCTCTACAGGCCTATTGTATGAAAAAGTGTAAGAGAAGGCCGGGTGCGGTGGCTCATGCCTGAAATTCTAGCAGTTTGAGAGGCCGAAACAGGAGGATCCTTTGAGCCTAGGAGTTCGAGACCAGCCTGGGCAACCTAATGAGAGTTCCTCCACCCCCCGTCTCTACAAAAATTTTTTAAAAAATTAGCCAGGCCTGATGGTGGGTGCCTGTAGTACCAGCTATTTTAAAGGCTAAGGCAGGAGGATTGCTTGAGCCCAGGACATCGAGGCTGCGGTGAACCATGATTGTACCACTGTATTCCAGCCTGGACGACTGAGTGAGACCCTGTCTCAAACAAAACAAAACAAAACAAAACAAAAAAAAGTACAAGAGGAAAAAAATTGATTTCTGATTGCCTCACTCAAGATAAGGTCAACATTGAAGGTGGAGGTGGAAGATGCAGTTTATGTAGGGGTCTGAAGATTTTACCATTCTGGGGACTGTCTTTAAGAAAGAGAATCCAAAATTAGGTAGAAAAGTGAACGTCTGACCGGGCGCGGTGGCTCATCCCTGTAATCCCAGCACTTAAGGAGTACGAGACGGGAGGATCACGAGGTCAAGAGATCGACAGCATGCTGGCCAACGTGGTGAAACCCCGTCTCTACTGAAAATACAAAAATTAGCCGGGCGTGGTGGCACGCACCTGTAATCCCAGCTACTCGGGAGGCTGAGGCAGGGAGAATCGCTTGAACCTGGGAGGAGAAGGTTGCAGTGAGCTGAGATGGTGCCACTGCACTCCAGCCTGGCGACAGAGCAAGACTCCATCTCAAAAAAAAAAAAAAAAAAAAAAAAGAAAAAAAAGAAACTTGAATATTTCTACGGGATGGGGACGTCACAAGAAATTGCAAACAAAAAAAGCTGACAAACAGGATCTGCTACATAATTTGCGGGACGGAGTGCAAAACAAAAACGCACAGTTCGCAGTTCAAAAAGCAGGGCGGGGGCGAGGACCTGGTGCGGTGGCTCATGCCTGTAGTCCCAACACTTTCGGAGGCCGAGGAGGGAGGATCGCTTAAGCTCAGGAGTTCAAAACCAGCCTGGGCAATATGGCAAGACCCTGTCTCTGCTAAAAATACAAAAAAAAAAAAAAAAAGAAAAAAAGAAAGAAAAATAGCCAGGCATGGTGATGCGCACCTGTGCTCCCAGCTACTCAGGAGGCTGAAGTGGGAGGATTGCTTGGGCCCAGGGGCCAAAGGTTGCATTGAGCGGAGATTCCACCACTGCACTCCAGCCTAGGCAACAGAGTGAGACCCTGTCTCAAAAAAAAAAAAAAAAAAAAAAAAAAAAAAAGCTGGCCAGCTGCCTTGGCTCACGCCTGTAATCCCGGCACTTTTGGCAGGTCAAGGCTCGCGGATCAACAGGTTAAGAGATCCAGAACAGCTGGGCGCGGTGGCTCACACCTGTAATCCCAGCACTTTGGGAGGCTGAGGCGGGTAGATCACGAGGTCAGGAAATCGAGACCATCCTGGCTAGCACGGTGAAACCCCGTCTCCACTAAAAATACAAAAAAAATTAGCCGGGCGTTGTGGCGGACGCCTGTAGTCCCAGCTACTCCTAAGGCTGAGGCAGGAGAATGGCGTGAACCCGGGAGGCGGAGCTTGCAGTGAGCCGACATCGTGCCACTGCACTCCAGCCTGGGCTACAAAGCGAGACTCCGTCTCAAAAGAAAAAAAAAAAAAACAAAAACATCCCGACCATCCTGGCCAACATGGTGAAACTCCATCTCTACTAAAAATACAAAAATTAGCTGGGCATGGTGGCGCGCGCATGTAGTCCCAGCTACTCAGGAGGCTGAAGCAGGAGAATTGCTTGAACCCAGGAGGCAGTGGTTGCAGTGAGCCAAGATTGCACCACTTCGCTCCAGCCTGGCGACAGAGCGATACTCCGTCTTAAAAAAAAAAAACAACAACAACAACAAAAAAAACCGCAATGCGGGAAAGTGTTGTTAAAATCCTAAAAGATAAAGCTTTTTCCTTTTGCAGTCTCTTTCTCGACTTGCGGTATTTCTTGTTTGCTATTTAACGTCATTCTAAGTAAAGAAGAATTAGAAAATTTTAATAATGACCATGAACTTTCCCATTTGTCTTTATTTTATTTAGAGATGGAGTCTTGCTCTGTTGCCCAGGCGGGAGTGCAGTGGCGCGTTCATGGCTCACTGCAGCCTCGAACTTCTGGCCTCAAGTGATCCTCCTGCCTCGGGCTCCCAAAGTGCTGGGATTACAGGCTTAAGCCATCATGCCCAGACCGGCAATGTCGATTTTGAATGCAAATATCAGATCATTTAACTGAGATGAAAAATCCAAGAAAGTACATGATTCGTAGTTCATGGCTTGTCCACGGAGTGTGCCTGGGGCTGGCCAGAGGAGATAGGCATAGGCCAGACACAGGAAGGTTGGAAGGAAGGGGTGGGGGTCCATCAGGCACAGAGCTGGCTGAGCGCACACCTTGGGCATAGGGATGCTAGATGGGCCAGTGTAGACAGTCACGTGCTCCCCTGGTGCACATGAGCATCTACATTGAACGCGGAGGCGATATGCATTTGGGCTTGACAGGTGCTGCTTTCCTCTCCTGCCAAGTGACCGGCCAGTGCAGGGAGGTTGAGTCAGACATCACCCCTTTCTATGCAACACCACCCCAAGACCTGGCAGAAGGCAACCTTCAAGGGTATTGCAACCTTCATGCAAGGAACCCGCTAGGTACCTGGATCAGGAGTGGGGGTGAGACTTACCTCTGCTGAATTGCCCACCAAATGCACCAGGGCACCACCCACAGTGAGCAGCCACCACCATGGCCTGCCCAAAGAGGCACAGGGCATATGAGTCTGGTCTTACCCACTGTTACCTGGCCCGACGCACTCTGCACCCACGCCCAGGCCCCCAGCTGAACAGAGGGCAGCAGTGGTCACTGGGCAAGGGCAGAAATGGGGAGACCAGGCTGCTAGACTGGTTCTCTGCTCAGAGAACCCATCCTGGGGAGGCAAGAGGTGGAACCATGTGTGTGCCCAGGCTTCCAGTCTCTATTGCGTGCTCCATTGTCTCATCTGGGCTTCACAAAACACAAATCCAAAGCTGAAATTTTCAGGATGGTGACTGCAAAACATTAAACCTTGAGTGTTGGCCCTTCAGAGCACTGTACGCTGGGAAACTGCACTGTTGTACTAGAAGTCAGCTCTTCTCACAGATAATGAAGAACACAAAATTCAGAAAATAATACTTTTATTGATTAACTACCTCACGCACTTCTGTAATAGTCTTTTCTCTACAGATGTATACACATATATACATATATGCGCATATATGCATACACATTTATATGCATGTATGTCTATGCACATATATGCATATATGCACATCCTTATATATGCATATATGCACATGCGTATATACATATATATGTGTATCACATATATAATATATATGCATATATATGTGAGTGTGTGTATATATATTTTTGGTTGTTGTTGTTGATGTTACATCGAGACACGGTCTTCCTCTGTTGCCCAGGCTGAAGTGCAGTGGTGCAATCATGGCTTACTGCAGCCTCGAACTTCTGGCCTCAAGTGATCCTCCTGCCTCAGCCTCCCAAAGTGCTGGGATTACAGGTGCACACCACTGTGCTTGGCTTTTTCTTACATTTTTGTCACCGTACACTCTTTGATTGCCCCTTCATGTTTCCTATAGTGAGAATAGAAAAATTGTCTTTTCTCTAGCATTGTTGATTGAAAAAAAATTTTTTGATACTGTGGAAACATTTCCTTTATCTTCTCTACTTGTTTTGGGTACTACCCTGGAAATTTTTAGGGCCACTGTCACATTTGGGAAACTCTCACATTTCTTTCACAGAAGAGCTGCAAGATTTCAGGGTACTTGTAGTTTTCTTGTGCAGGGACTAACGTGTGATACTTTTTGGATTTGTAATACTAGTTTTGTTTTGTTTTGTTTTGAGACGGAGTCTCGCTCTGTTGCCCAGGCTGGAGTGCAGTGGCGCAATCTCTGCTCACTGCAAGCTCTGCCTCCCGGGTTCACGCCATTCTCCTGTCTCAGCCTCCCAAGTAGCTGGGACTGCAGGCGCCCACCACCACCCGGCTAATTTTTTGTATTTTAAGTAGAGACAGGGTTTCACCGTGTTAGCCAGGATGGTCTCAATCTCCTGACCTCGTGATCCACCCGCCTCAGCCTCCCAAAATGCTGGGATTACAGGCATGAGCCACTGCACCCAGCCTGTAATACTAGTTAACCAGATTGTTAGCACTCCTTGTATGTAAATAGTTCAGTGCTTTTGGATATGACACTTCCCTTGAGAGGCAGCTTAATTCTCCTTCCCTACAATATGGGATGGGCTTAGTGACTTTTTATTCTTTTGAGAGAGGGTCTTGGTCCATCACCCAGACTAGAGTACAGTGGCTTGATTATAGCTCACTGCAGCCTCAGCCTCCTGGGTTCAAGTGATCCTCCCACCTCAGCCTCCTGAGAAGCCAGGACAACAGGCATGTGTTGTCCAGTTGGCCAACTACACATGGCCTGTGACTCACTTTTTTATTTTTTTATTTTTTTGAGATGGAATCTCACTCTGTCACCAGGCTGGAGTGCAGTGGCATGATCTCGGCTCACTGCAACTTCCGCCTCCCAGGTTCAAGTGATTCTCCTGCCTCAGCCTCCTGAGTAGCTGGGATTACAGGCGTGTGCCACCACAGCCAGCTAATTTTTTTGTATTTTTAGTAGAGACAGGGTTTCACCATGTTGGCCAGGCTGGTCTCGAACTCCTGACCTCAAGTGATACACTCACCTCGGCCTCCCAAAGTGCTGGGATTACAGGCGTGAGCTACTGTGCCCAGCCCCAGTGACTCACTTCTTTTATTTTGTTTGAGACGGAGTCTCGCTCTGTTTCCCAGGGTGGAGTGCAGTGGCGTGCTCTCAGCTCACTGCAACCTCCTCCTGGGTTCAAGCAATTCTCCTGCCTCAGCCTCCCAAGTAGCTAGGATTACAGGTGTGTGCCACCACATCCAGCTAATTTTTGTATTTTTAGTAGAGGTGAGGTTTTGCCATATTGGTCAGGCTGGTCTCGAACTCCTGGCCTCGTGATCCACCCACCTCAGCCTCCCAAAGTGTTGGGATTACAGGTGTGAGTCACCACACCTGGCTGACTGACTTCTAATAAAAAGAATATGATAGAGATGCCAGCTTGTCACTTCTGAGACTAGGTCTAAAAGGTGTTGCAGCTTCCTCCCCTCTCTGTCAAACCACTCCCTCTGGGGAAAGCTAGCTGTCTGCTCATGAGGACACCAAAGCAGCCATCTGTAAAAATCCACGTGGTAAGAAACAGTCTTCTTATTAGCAGCCAGAAGGGGGCCTTCTGCCAACAGACAAATGATTAAACCATCCTGGAAGGAAGACTCCAGCCCCAGTCAAGCCTTCAGATGAATGCAGCCTTGGCTGATGTCTTCACTGTAACTGTTGGGGAAAAAATAATGAAAATAATATCTCCTGCTAACCCAGTAAAACTTCTGCTCCAAATGTAGAAAAGAATGAAATAGTTTTATTAATGAATCAGCATCAGACTAGACTGTGATGAGCATCACTGGCAGTCCATCAAAGTGATTTCAAAGGCAAAACACCAGGCCAGGCACAGTGGCTCATGCCTGTAATCCCAGCACTTTGGGAGGCCAAGGTGGGTGGATCACCTGAGGTCAGGAGTTCAAGACCAGCCTTGCCAACATGGTGAAACCCTGTCTCCACTAAAAATACAAAAATTAACTGGGCATGGTGGCGCACACTTGTAATCCCAGCTACTCGGGAGGCTGAGGTAGGAAAATCACTTGAACCCAGGAGGCAGAGGTTGCAGTGAGTCAAGATCATACCACTGCACTCCAGCCTGGGCAACAAAGTGAGACTGTCTAAAAAACAAAAAAATACAGAACACCCTTTTATATAGGAAGGTAGATACAATCCATTACATACCAATTAATAGTCTTTACCCAAAAGAAAAAAGAAAACTTCTTATATTTTTGTCTTGTTTTTATTTTTTATTTTATTTTCACTTTTTGCTGGGATTATAGGCACACACCATCACACCCAGCTAAATTTTTTTTGTATTTTTAGTAGAGACGGGGTTTCACCATGTTGGTCAGGCTGGTCTTGAATGCTTGACCTCAAATGATCCGCCCACTTTGGCCTCCCAGTGTGCTGGATTACAGGCATGAGCCACCGCACCCGGCCTAAATTTCTTTTTTAAAAATAATTTTACTTAATGTATTGAACCATCAGTGGTTAGCTCTCTTCCACATTGCCTGTCTATAGATTTGTGAAAGTGGTAACAGGTATATGTAGGAACCAAAGCATAGAGCTTGTCTGGTGAATCTTCATCCTCATTAAGTTTTCTGGGCAACTTCATATGGATATGGTATGGGACATTCCTTATTCCTTTGGCCCAGAGAGCTTTGTTGAGCCTCACATCAATGTGCAAATTTGGAGTCCCCATCTCCTTCATGGCGAATTTCTGGATCTCTCTGTGTGCCCGAGGGGCACTTCTTGAAGCCCACTCCACCCATGCGCTGGTGTATTCTGGGGTAACCGCCTCACTAATGGCGGAACGACCTTTCTTCTCGCCACCCTTCTTTGCAGAAGCCATCCTGCAAAGCCCCAGTTGGAAAAGGTGGAATCAAATTTCAACATGAGGTTTGGATGGTACAAACATCCAAACCATAGCACCCAGTAAAACTATCTCTTAAGAACCTGGGTAAGCCAGGTGCGGTGGCTCATACCTGTAATCCCAGCACTTTGGGAAGCCGAGGCAGTGGGTCGAGATCGCACCACTGCACTCCAGTCTGGGCGACAGAGCAAGACTCCATCTCAATTAAAAAAAAGAAAAGAAAAGGGGAAGGAGAGGGTAGCAGCCGCCGAGGTCTAGAACTGTCCAGCATGCTGCGTGGACAGCGGTGGGAAGGGTTTATTTACCAGTGAAGGGGAAAGAGCTAGTTGATAGTGATTTGTGGTCACTGATGGAGTGAGAGCTTGGGAAGGCAGGTGCCCAGCATAGACAGGGAATTCACTCTGAATTGGAGGAGTGGGGAGGGAGGCCTGGATGCCCTGTGATGAGGATGGGAGCCGATGCATACAACTTTGTAGAAGAGGCATGGGGTGGGAGAATCCTGTCTGATAGAATCTTTTTTTTTCTTTTTTTTGAGATGGAATCTTATTCTGTCGCCCAGGCTTGAGTGCAACTGCACGAGCTCAGCTCATTCTAACCTCTGCCTCCCGGGTTCAAGCAATTATCCTGCCTCAGCCTCCTGAGTAGCTGGGATTACAGTCCCCCACCACCACGCCTGGCTAATTTTTTCTATTTTTAGTAGAGACAGGGTTTCTTTGTGTTGGCCAGGCTGGTCTCAAACTCCTGACCTCCAGTGATCCACCCTCCTTGACCTCCCAAAGTACTGGGATTACAGGCATGAGCCTCAGTGCAGCCTCTGCTTGATAGAATCTTTTCTCTGTGAAGCATCATCAACTCATACAAAAATCTTTGAGGCCTCCTTGAGACTAAGGACTATTATATCTTTGGCACCTGAAAGGAGGGTGTTATGGACTGAATTGTATCGCTCTCCCTCCACCACCAAATTCGTATGTGGAAGTCCTAACGCCCAGTATCTCAGAATGTGAGTGTATTTGGAGAAAGGTAATTAAGGTTAAATGAGGCCACATGGGGAGGGGGCTTAATCCAATAGGACTGGTTTCCTTAATCGAAGAGGCAGAAGCCTGGACAACATAGCAAGACCCCATATCTACAAAATTAAAAAAAAATTAGCCAAGCATGGTGTTACATGCCTGTGGTCCCAGCTACTCAGCAGGCTGAAGTGGGAGGATTGCTTGAACCCACGAGCAATCCTCCATATGTCTGCATTACTTGGTGTTTACTGCATGAGCCATGATTGTACCACTGCACTCCAGCCTGGGTGATAGAGCAAGACCTTGTCTTTATGAAAAAAAGAAGAGGCAGAGTGCAGTGGCTCACACCTGTAATCCCAGCATTTTGGGAGGCAGAGGCAGGCCTGAGGTCAGGCGTTTGACACCAGCCTGGCCAACATAGTGAAACCCTGTCTGTACTAAAAATACAAAAATTAGCCAGGTTTGGCAGTGTGTGCCTGTAATCCCAGCTACTTGGGAGGCTGAGGCAGGAGAATCACTTGAACCCAGGAGGTGGAGGTTGCAGTAAGCTGAGATCGCGCCACTGCACTCCAGCCTGGGTGACAGAGCAAGACTCCATCTTAAAAAAAAAAGAAGAAGAAGAAGAAAGAAAGAAGGAGGATAGAGGAGGAAGGAGGAGGAGGGAGGAAGGAGGAGGAGGAGGAGACAGAGACGGAGATGGAGAGGGAGACGGAGACAGAGAAGGAGAAGGAAGAAATGCCGGGGAGAAAAGACCGAGTGAGGACACAGGGAGAAAGCTTGTCTGCAAGCCAAGGAGAACAGCCTCAGGAGAGACCCAACCTGCTGACACTTTGATCTTGGACTTCCAGCCCCCAAAACTGTGGGAAAACACATTTTTTCGTTTAAGCTGCCCAATCTATGGTATTTTTATCATAGCAGCCCTAGCAAACGAATAGACGGAACAGGAAGAGAGAAAAGAAGTAAGGGTTTTATGTTGAAACCCCCAGCATCTGTGGCCCTTAGAGTGCTGATACGTGTGTGTGTGTGTGTGTGTGTGTGTGTGTGTGTGTGTGTGTGTGTGTGTGTGTGTGTGTGTGTGTATGGCAGCTATTTTCACTCAGAGGATGGGGCTTTTGGATTTAGACAGACTTGGGTTTTAGATCCAGCAAGTCACATAACCTTCCTAAGTTTCAGAGTTTTACTTGCAAAAAAGAGGTAATGAAATCCACCTTGGGTTTTTGTGAAAGTAAAATGAAATGAAATCCGTAAAAACACTGAGCACACTAACGAACCACTCACGGATATTACTATCTGGAAAGGTGGTGTATCGTGAGGCTACGTTATTTTGTTAGTATTATTGGAGATAAATGAATTCCTGAGGCATAAGTGCCTGCATTCACACCTTGTCATTTGGTGAGGAACTAGGGGGTCTGGGTGGATATGGTACAGATATTGAGTCACATACAGGGCTTTGCACTGACTCTGGGGTAGAACCACCATAAAACATAACCCCAGGTAACCAGACTCAGAGAGGCTGCCTTCTAAGATGCTGGTACCTAGCAACGCACCTGGCACACAGTAGGCAATTAAAAAGCACTGGCCGGCCTGGCGCAGTGGCTCACGTCTGCAATCCCAGCACTTTGGGAGGCTGAGGCAGGCGGATCACGAGGTCAGCAGTTTGAGACCAGCCTGGCCAACATGTTGAAACCCCATCTCTACTAAAAATACAAAAATTAGCCGGGCGTGGTGGCACATGCCTGTAGTCCCAGCTACTCAGGAGGCTGAGGCAGGAGAATCGCTTGAACCCGAGAGGCAGAGGTTGCGGTGAGCCGAGATTATCCCACTGTACTCCAGCCTGGGCGACAGAACAAGACCCTGTCTCAAAATAATAATGATAATAAAAATATATAAAATATAAAAAGCAGGCCAGGCGCAGTGGCTCACACCTGTAATCCCAGCACTCTGGAAGGCCGAGGAGGGTGGATCACGAGGTCAGAAGATTGAGACCATCCTGGCTAACACAGTGAAACCCTGTCTCTACTAAAAAATACAAAAAATTAGTTGGACGTGGTGGCGGGTGCCTGTAGTCCTAGCTACTCGGGAGGCTGAGGCAGGAGAATGGCATGAACCCGGGAGGCAGAGCTTGCAGTGAGCTGAGAGATTGTGCCACTGCACTCCAGCCTGGGCGACAGAGTGAGACTCTGTCTCAAAAAAAAAAAAAAAAAAGGCATTGGCCAATGAGTGCAGGAAGGAAGAGCACTCACTGAGTACTGAACATCTATCAGCATCTGTTAATGGGTCTGTTAGTTAACCCTTTCAGGGTTGTAAGTAATAGCAACCATTCAAACCAGCCTAAGCCAGGGAATTTAAATACATTTAAAATTCTTTTAAATGTAAGGAGAATCTGTTGTCTTGAAGACTGACAAGGCCAGTGTGTGCTTCAGGTATGGCTGGATCCAGGGACAGTGGGATGTATATGGTGATCTTCTCCCCGTTTTTTCTCCTGTGCTAGCTTTATATCCAGGCAGGTGCCCTTCATATGGTGGTCTTGGCAGCCCCTCCTGACTCCTACCTTCTATACACCCAGAAATTCCAGAGCAAAGGGAATCTCTTTTTCAAACAGTGCCAGCCGGAGGCTTGGACTGACTCTGAGCCACACAGCCAGAGTCACAAGATCATCTTTATCCAATCACTCCAGCTCCAGGCCCTGGGAGTAGGGGAGAGATAATTTCTGAAACGAGAAACAGGAATCCTTTCCCAGCAGAAGGGCGAGACTGGTTGCCAGGCAGGCAGACCACACTGCCCACCGGACTAAGTATCTATTTCATTTATTTATGTATTATTATTATTATTTTTTGAGACAGAGTCTCCCTCTGTCACCAGGGCTGGAGTTCAGAGGCGCAATCTTGGCACACTGCAACCTCTGCCTCCCAGGTTCAATAGATTCTTGTGCCTCAGCCTCCCGAGTAGCTGGGATTACAGGCGCCTGCCACCACACTTGGCTAATTTTTGTATTTTTAGTAGAGACAGGGTTTCACCATGTTGGCCAGGCTGGTCTCAAACTCCTGACCTCAAGTAATCCACCTACCTCGGCCTCCCAAAGTGCTGGGATTACAGGCATGAGCCACTGTGCCCAGACTGGACTAAGTATCTGGATAGAAGTCAGGTAATTCATGGGTGACCAGGTAAGACACAGAAGCATGCCACCTGGTGAGTACATGGGGATGGGGAACCAGATCTGTGCTGGGTCCAGGCAGCACCAGTGCCATTGGGGATTTTAAGGAGGCTGGGATCTGCACCCCTGGCCAAGAGGTCATCCAGTAGATTAATTGCAAAAATGCTCCTGATTCTCCATCTGTCCCTGAATCCTCACCCTGTGTGGAGTGGCTTTGCGATATCTCCTAGCAGAGCCTGTTTCCCTTCCCCTAGAATCAGGGCTGGCCTTGTCATTTGGATGGACAGCAGATTGTGGCAGAAGGCACGGTGTACCAGCTCTGAGCCTCAGCCTCAAGCCATCTTCTGTGCCTTTGGTTGTTCACCTTCTTTGACCCCCAGTCCCCTCATGAAAAAAATCCTGGCTATTTGGGTGCAAAATGAGAGACCCCACAGGGCTATCCCAGCTTTTCCAGCCAAAGGCCCCAGACATGAGATTGCTTGGTATGATTACCAAAGCTGCCTAGCTGACTCATAGCTGACTGAAGATGCAGAGCCTAGCTCAGATCAGAACTGGGACCCAGAGACTTGTGAGCAGTAAGTGATTGCTGTTTGAAGCCAGTGAGTTTTGGGACAGTTTGTTATGCAGCGTTGTTGTAGCAAACAACCAATAAAAGGCATGCTAGGGAGAAAACCTAGCTGGTGCTTGGCCTGCCACACTGTGCAATCAAGAGGTTAGGTCTCCTGGAAGGGACATGTGTTTCTAACTTGCAGGAAAATGCCATGTGGGCTAACCAGGCCTGGAAATCACGCCTGTTGGAGTCTATTATCTCTACAGATCTTATGCAGGGTTTTTTTTTTTTTTTTCAAATGGAGTCTCACTCTGTCGCTCAGGCTGGAGTGCAGTGGCAGGATCTTGGCTCACTGCAACCTCCGACCCCCAGGTTCAAGCAATTCTTCTGCCTCAGCCTCCCAAGTAGCTGTGAATACAAGCGCGTGCCACCACGCCCGGCTAATTTTGTGTATTTTTAGTAGAGATATGGCTTCACTATGTTGGCCAGGCTGGTCTTGAACTTCTGGCCTCAGGTGATCCACCTGCCTCAGCCTCCCGAAGTGTTGGAATTACAGGCGTGAGCCCCCACGCCCTGCCTGCAGAGGTTTTAACTGACCTCCTGACATGTTTCCCAGAGACACAGGCACTGGGAACTTTTGGAAACAATTCTGCTTGAGCTGCTAGGGTGAAATGTACCCCACTAGCCACATCCCCCTTGCAGTATATATTTTGGTTTTGATGTTTTTGTATGGTGCTTGTGTGCAAGGAACAAAAAAACAAAGGTGGCTTCCAAGAGGGGCCTAGGGGAGACTGGGAAGAACTGAACAGGTTCCCAGTACTGCCCAGGTGCAATGTAAGCCATTTGATTGCAGTGGGAGAAAAAGAATCCATGAGACAGGATTAAAGCCCATTTCAGACTTTTCCAAAAAAAAAAAAAAAAAAAAGTGCAACGAGGGAAGCTGTCTGATCCAAGGATCTGTCAATCAGAGAATTTTAAAAAAGGTGAAACAGTTCACACACCCTCCCTCCCTGCCCACCACGCCACCTGCTCCTGCTCCTGGTATCCAGGTAACTCCTGCTATATGCCTAGGCACATGTAAAATGACCATTTGGGTCCCAAACACATCCCAGATTGTGTCATCTGCCCCCACACCTGCCCCGGTCTCATGACTTGCTCCAGGGAACATCACCATCCGTCCAGGTGAGAAGTCTGGCAGTTGGCCACCAGATCCTGCTCACCTCCTGCCTCAACACCTCCCCATTCTGTCTGCTCTACCTTGACCACACCTATTCCACTCCCAGGCTCCCCACTTCCAATTGGGCCACCTCTACACAGGTTTGGGTTTGTCCACTGCATGAAACCTCAATTCCGCAGTCTGACATAGGGGGTCTTCCTTCTCCAGTCCTTCCTTCCCTGCGTCTCTCCCAGGCTTCTCTCTTCCTGTGTCCCTGAAGCCAGCTTCCAAGGCCCAGGCTGGGCGTGCACATCCCCAGGGCCCCTCTACATCCGGCTTTCTGCCCTCTCGCGTCTCGCGCCTGCCTGCAGGGTCGTGCTCAAGGGTGTCGGCCCCCTCACAGGGACCCACTAGGAGCAGGATCAGAAAAAAGGTCCACATGTCCCAGGAATGTGGCCACTTTGTAATCCACCCTCCAGGCCCCCCTGACAGCCTGGGAGCGAAGTGGGAAGTGGGCCCAAGAAGCCGACAGAGCACGGTCCTCCATGTGCAGGCACACTCAGCACCTGCTCCTACAGCATCTGGCTCTGGGCCTGGGGGTAGGAACAAGGGCTGGCAGAGGAGGGCCCGACCACAGCTCGGCGGCTGAGGTAGCTGCAGGAGAGGCTGGCGGTGTGCTCAGAGCCCGGGGCACAGTGGCCCCGGACCTCGGCAGTGTCTGGGCTGCCCTCTCGGCCTCCATCTCCCTGCTCAGGCCGCAGAGGACGCGGTGTGGCCACTGTCACCAGGCCAGGGGTGAAACCATCCCGGAGCTGCGCAGGCCCTCCCCGGCCTGCAGGTCACTCAGCGCTCGCTGGGGAGGGGGAACACAGAGGTAGGGTGGTCAGTGGTCCCAGGAACCTGTGACGCCTTCCCTGTCTCTTCCCACACTAGACAGCCCATCAGGGGGTTAGGGGGACATGTCGCTCACTGGAGCCCCTTTCCCAGCCCTGGCTTCATGGAGGATCCCTTCATTTGGCCTCTGGCCCCCACCTCTCCAAAAGGGCCCCTCAGGGCTCCAGCGAGGCTCACCTCGAATTTGCTCATGAACTCTGCAAAGATGCCGAAGAAAGCCTCAGAGGTGGTGGCCTTGGAATCCTCCCCAAAGAAGGCCAGCGCCTTGCCCAGCTCCTCCATGGCCTCGCGCTGCAGCCCGTCGAGCGCCCGAAGTGCTGGCTGGGCCGTCTCCAGGAAGGACTGACAGGCCTCAGTTAAGGAAACAGCCAGCCCGCTTGTGCCCCCAGGGTCTCAGGTGGTGGCCCGACAGACAGGTCCCTAGCAGCCCTATTCCCGGTTGGCCTGAGTCCTTCCAAGGGCCAGGCCCTGTGTCCAACAGGGAACCAGGCCCTGTTCAGGGACTCTAGTCCCACTGGCCACTGAACTCATCCTGGAACTGGCCACAGCCAGTGCAGCCTCAGGCCATTCACCCCTGTTCTCTCTGCAGGGCCAGGCCCTGGGTCTCTGATCAGAGGCTTCCACTGCCACCTTCTTCCCCAACCACTCATTTACAGTAGGCCCCTCTGTCACTCTCTAGGCCTTACTTTTTTTTTTTTTTTTTTTTTTTTTGAGACAGGGTCTTATTCTGTCGCTCAGCCTGGAGTGCAGTGGTGTGATCACAGCTCACAGATCATTCCAGCCTCTACCTCCCAGGCTCAAGTGATCCTCCCACCTCAGCCTCCCGAGCAGCTGGGACCAGAGGTTTACACCACCATACCCAGCTAATTTTTTGATTTTTAAAATAGAGATGGGGTGTATGTTGCCTAGGGTGGTCTCAAACTCCTGGGCTCAAGTGATCCTCCCACTTTGGCCTCCCAAAGTGCTGGGATTACAGGTGTGAGCCACTGCACCTGGCCTTAGGCCTTACTCTGTTTTCTAGAGCATTTGTCATGATCTGAAATTGTTCATAAGTTCATTTCCTACTGCCTAAGTGAAAGCTCGCTCCCTCCTTGCACCTCCAGGGCTTAGAATAGCATCTGATACATGGTCAGTCTTGCAAAAAGATTCAGTGGCTGAATCGCTATCATTTTTTCAGCACTTAAAATGGTGCCGAGCTTTGTTCCAAGCTTGTTGAATCATCGTTTAACACCTCTATGAGGTAGATTATCTCTATTTTACATGTGAACAAATTAAAGCACACAGGACTTTAGCAACTAGCCCAAGATCACACAGCAAGCACTGTGGTGCCTGAGCCACGGTTGAACCCACCAGGGTCACATCAATTAATGACCACTGTGGTAGAGGTTCTCATGACCCCTCTTTTTCCTGATGAGAAAACTGGGCTCACAGAGGGTAACTGACTTGCCCATAGTCCCACAGCAGGTAAGGAAATGAGCCAGGATTTGGGCCTATGCCTGTCTGATGTGCCAGGTCAATTTCCTTTGCAGAGGCTGCCTTTAATTAATTAATTAATTAATTTTGAGACAGAGTCTCGCTCTGTTGCCCAGACTGGAGTGCAATGGCATGATCTCGGCTTACTGCAATCTCCGCCTCCTGGGTCCAAGTGATTCTCCTGCCTCAGCCTTCTGAGTAGCTGGGATTACAGGCACATGGCACCATACCTGGCTAATTTTTGTATGTCTAGTAGAGACAGGGTTTCACCATGTTGGCCAGGCTGGTCCCAAACTCCTGACCTCAGGTGATCTGCCCTCCTTGGCCTCCCAAAGTGCTGGGATTACAGGCGTGAGCCACAGCGCCTGGACTGCCTTCATTTTATTTTTGAGACAGGGTCTCACTCTGTCACCTGGCTACAGTGCAGTGGTGTGATCATACCTCACTGTAACCTTGAACTCCTAGGCTCAAGTGATCCTCTAGCCTCAGCCTCCTGAGTAGCTGGGACTACAGGCATGCACCACTATGCCAGACTCATTTTCAAATTATTCTGTAGAGACGCGGTCCCCCTATGTTGCCCAGGCTGGTCTCAAACTCCTGGCCTCAAGCAATCTCTCAGCCTTGACCTCCCAAAGTGCTGGGATTACAGGCATGAGCCACTGCACCTGGCCCAGAGGCTACCCTTGAATGTGACCATCCATCTTCTCTCTGGGGACCTCCAAGCCCAAGGAAGCCGCCAATACCCCTGGACTGAGGGATGCTAGAGTGGACTAACCCTTACCTAAACAGCCTCAGTTTTCACATCTGCAAAACATCTGGGTGGGCCGGGCACAGTGGCTCACACCTGTAATCCCAGCACTTTGGGAGGCCGAGGCAGGTGGATCATGAGGTCAGGAGTTTGAGACCAGCCTGACTAACATAGTGAAACCCCATCTCTACTAAAAAATACAAAAAATTAGCCGGTTGTGGTGGTGGGCACCTGTAATCCCAGCTACTCGGGAGGCTGAGGCAGAAGAATTGCTTGAACCCAGGAGGTAGAGGTTGCAGTGAGCCGAGATCGCACCATTGCACTCCAGCCTGGGCAACAGAGCGAGACTCCGTCTCAAAACAAAACAAAAATCCGGGTGTGAAGTGGGTGAAAGATGGGGGTGAAAAGCACCTTGCCCAAGCTGTAGAGTTTGCTTAGTGATTCTCTGCAGATCTCCTGCCTGAGAGGAAAGGGCAGGGGTAGATCTGACATCAAATTCCTACTCAGACACTCACCCGCACCAGGCCCCATGTGCTGCAGTCAGAGGAATGTGACAGGGGCTTTCACCACCTACTGCCCTGGCCACAGGCACAGCCCCCAGAGCTCTCCCCCTTACCTAGCTTCAGCATTAGGGAAAACCCTGTGTTCCCTGCCAAGGGGTGTTGGAGCCAGAGAGGGGGAGCAGCGAGAACTGCCACATGCCCTTCTTTCCTGTCTTCCCATCTGGGCCTCTGTCACCCACTGGCCAGGCCCTGTTTGGAGGCTCAGTGGGAATGTCCCACCCTCCTGACTGCCTTTGGCTGGTAGGGCCTGACAGGCTGCTCCTTGTAATTTTGACACTTAGCTCTGGGCTCCACTGCCCCAGAGGACAGATGGTACAGTGGCTTTGGGGCACTCAAAAGAGCTCTGGCTTCAGTTTCACACAGACTTGGCATAAGCACTTGGATTATAAATGACCCAGGGCTAAGCACAGTGGCTCAGGCCTATAATCCCAGCACTTTGAGAGGCAGAGGCAGGTAGATCACCTGAGGTCAGGAGTGCAAGACCAGCCTGGAAAACATAGTGAACCCATGTCTATACTAAAAATACAAAAATAAGCCAGGTGTGGTGGTGGGTGCCTGTAATCCCAGCTACTTGGGAGGCTGAGGCAGGAGAATAGCTTGAACCTGGGAGGCGGAGGCTGCAGTGAGCCAAGATCGTGCAACTGCACTCCAGCCTGGGCAACAGAGCAAGGCTCTGTCTCAAAAAATAAATAAAATTAAACAAACAAACAAATAAATAAATAAATAAATAAATTTATAATCCAGGATGGGACCTGGTGTTGTGGCTCACACCTGTAATTCTAGCACTCTGGGAGGCTGAGGCAGGCAGATCACTCGAGCCCAGGAGTTTTAGACCAGCCTGGGCAACATGGCAAAACCTTGTCTCTACTAAAAATACAAAAATTAGCCAGGCATAGCCTGGGTGACAGAGTGAGACCCTGCCTCAATCAATCAATCAATCAATCAACAACCCAGGATAGAGCCTCTTCCAGGACCCCTGGGTGCACAGCAACCTGTGTCCAGAATCTCTGCTGGAAGTCGAGGTCTCCAGCGGCCACTGGAGCCACAGCCAGCTCTACCCAACCACCCCAGGATCCAGCCTGGTGCAGGAACAGGCTGCTCAGAGGATGCCGACATGACCATTGCAAACTTGTCCTCGCTAGAGGGGGAAATGCTCTGGCAGGCATCCTGTATCTCGCTGATAGTGCCATGGAGGTCAGCCAGGTCACTGGTCAGGGCCCGTTGGTTCACTGTAGGGAAGAGGACAGGGGCTGCATGGGGCCACTCTCCCAGCCCAGGACAGCATGCCTCTGCCTCCCCATCCACCCACCCAGCATACCTTTGGCAGCCAGGGGCACGGTGGGCAGGTCCTGAGCAAAGCCCAGGAGTTCAGGGAAGTGCTGGCTCAGCGATTTGGCAAGGATGTGCAGGAAGGTGGACTTCCCATCCACTGTCTTGGTGGAGTTCAGCTGCAAGTGACCCCCAATATACATTCCCGTCAAGGACCCCATCAGATGGGGTCACATGGGCCCAGCTTCTCCTGGACTACTGTGGCATCAATGATGAATTCTTGGCGCCCCCACTTTTTTTTTAATAGCAGGGTCTTGCTCTGTTGCCCAGGCTGGAGTGCAGTGGCTCCATCATAACTCACTGCAGCCTCAAACTCCTAGGCTCAAGCGATCCTTCCACCTCAGTCTCCCAAGTAGCTTGGACTACAGGCCTGTGACATGCCTAGCTAATTATTTTTGTAGAACTGGGGTCTAGCTATGTTGTCCAGGCTAGTCTCCAACTCCTGGCCTCAAGTGATCCTCTCACCTTGGCCTCCAAAGTGCCGGGATTACAGGCATGAGCCACCACACCCAGCCCAATCCCCAGCCTTTGACACTCTCTTTCCAACTCTCTTCCCTCACTCCATTTTTCCAGATCCTGGGAGTGTGTTCCCCCACCCCACCCCACCCCACCCCACCCTTTGCTGCAGTCACATCCTGGCTTCAATGTGGCCCTTTTCCTGCTAGGAGGAGAGCCCTCCTTGGTCACGATGTCCTCTTCTGCCCTCTGCCACAACTGAGCTAGGCCTGGCGTTAGCGCCTTGCTGGTAGAGCAAACCAGTCGATTGCTGCCGGCAGGTCCCCTCACCTCTGTCAGAAAGTTGATCTTGAAGCCCGTAGTCTTGTTGGTTTTGGGCTGTCCATCGTTGAGATAGTTGCCCATGGCCAACACAAACTGTGGACAAGAAGGTGGGTAGGTCCTGTCCTCACCCCACCACCCATCCACCCTGCTGTCTGGATGGGCCTCCAGGCTGGAAGCCCCAGGAGGCAGAGAAGCAGATAGGGTGCCAGGAAGGGTACGCCCACTGACCTCCAGGATCTTGGCGAGCTTCCGACTGTTTTTGAGCTCCAGGGAGGCCTGGCGCAAGCATTCAAGGCTGCCTCGGATCTCCTCTGTCTTCTCCTGGAGGGTGGCCTGGAAGTGGAGGCTGCGCAGGCGTGTCTTGTATTCGGGAACTGACAGCATCTGCCTCGAAGGCAGAGCCAGGATTCACCCATCCCCTTCCTGGGACCCTCTGCCCCACCGCAGGCTTTGGGGTGGGAGGGGGGGATCTGCTGGCTGCTTCGGCCCGATATTCCGGTAGGAAGAATAAGCACGATCCCTGGGGGAGCCCGCCTCCCATGTACCTTGGACCCCTGATAGGACCCGGCCATTAAAGGTGTTAAACTGGGACTCAGAGGCTTGGGCGCAATGGCGGCCCCCGAAGGCGCGCGGGACCCCAGCAGCCCTGGCCACAGCGACAGCCCCTGTGGAGCCGGCCGAGGCCTCGGGGCGGGGTTGTGGTCGCGGCACCTGCAGGACGAACTGGTCCGGCTCGCTGAGGCGGCCGGGCGCCTCGCGGAAGGCCTGGTAGCGCTGCTCCTCGTCGGCGTCGGGCGCGAAGAGCAGCAGCTGCGCGAGATGTGCGGGCTCCAGGCGCCGGGGCTCCATGCTCATCAGCACCTGGCGCAGCTCCGCGGGGCTCAGCTTCAGGTGTGCCAAGAGGATGGCTGCGGGCGGGGCGGGGCGGTGAGCTGGGCGGGGCCGGAGCGGGGCCGGATGGGACCCAAGACGGAGAGGGCAGGGCAGAGGCGGGGAGAGGGCGGACACGGGGCGGGGCCTAGGGGAGAGGACGGGGCCTTGAGGCTGGAAGGACAAGAAACGCGGACGGGGACAAGAGGCTGAGCTGAGGCGGCTCCCGAATGGGGAGAGGACGGCGCTTCAATATTGGCCTGGGCTAAGGGGAAGAAAAAAGGAAAGGGGGCGGGGCCGCTCGGTGAGCAGGGGCCGGGAGAGGGTGGGGCCTGGCAGGAAGGGGGCGGGGCTTCCAGGTTGGCCCAGGATACAGCGGGGAATCTGAAGGGGCAGGGGACAAGGGAAGCAGGTAGACCTGTGAGGCAGAGCTGGGGCGGGGACTGGGCTACTGGAGGAACTCTAGAGGGGTGGGGGTCAATGAACAGGGCGGGGTCTATGAGGCTAAACTGAGGCGGGGCCCGGGTGGAAAGAGGGCGGGGCTTTGGGATTGGCCGGGGCTACTGTGAGGAGCCTGGCGGGTAGGAGCAAGGAAACTGAGCGGGGCTGCTGGTTGAGTTCGAGCGGGGGGAGAGGGCGGGGCCCAGCAGGGAGAGGGCGAAGCTTCCAGGTGGGCTTCGGCTACAGGGAGGAGACCGAATGGAGGGGACAAGGAACAAGGGCGGGGCCTGCGAGGGGTGCCGTAGGGGGCCGGGGCAGGGGCGGGCCCTGAAATAGAGACGGTCTTTCAGCGACCGATTTAAGGGTGAGGACGGGGTTCTCGAGACGCTAGATTGAGAAGCTGGGTGGGGTCTATGGGGGTCGGGCCAGGGACTAGGGCGGGGCCTGCGAAGGAGAGAGGGAATGAGGCTGGAGGCGGGGCCAGAACCGGGAAGTTGATTAGACAGTGAGGGTGGGGCCAGCACCCGCGCCCAGATGGGATCTGGCTGGCTATGGGGCCTGGGAGGGGGCCTTCACCGCGCTGAGCGACAGGAGGCCGGGTCCCCACCGCCTAATCTCTGTCATCCACCTGGGCAGGTCTGAGGCCCAGAGAAAGGGCCGCCGCCTGCCCCCTACACCCCCTGGGGTTCCCCGGACCCTCACAGGTGTTGTAGGCCTTCTTATGGGACAGGATCTCCACCACCTCCTTCTTCCGGAAGGGCTCCGGCCCCGGCACCGGTTCTGGAAAAGAAACTGACAGTTTACGGAGGCGGCTAGGCTGAGGCTGCAGTGGGAAGGCCCAGGGGTGGCGTGGTCACAGCCAACAGCCACTATCCCCCTAAGCACGACCTCGACTTAATCAGCTACACGTCCATAGTCCCTTCATTCCTCAGGTCGGGGACCTTCAGGTCCTGTGTGTAACCTCCCCCGCCCCGTGTCCTGTGCACTCCCCGTGCTGCAGGAAGCCAGGTCTTTCTGTTCCATCCTGGGACCGCCTGTTCCACCCATCAACGACAGGGAGATACCCAGGAAGGGGTGAGGGCAAGAGAGCCTGGAAGATGTATTTGTGGATGCCTCCTGTCTACGGTGTGACTGAGCAAATTACCTGACCTCTCTGTGCTTCCTCATTAGGAAGTGGGGGGTGATCACATTATGTACATCACAGAGTTGCCATGGGATTTAGAAATGAGAGTCCCTGGTGTTTGATCACTGCACAGTAAATGCCAGCTTTTTTTTTTTTTTTTTTTTTAGACGGGGTCTCACTGTGTCACCCAGGTTACCAGGTCGGAGTGCAGTGGTGTGATCGCGGCTCACTGCAACCTCCACCTCCGAGGCTCAATCGATCCTCCCAACTCAGCCTCCCAAGTAGCTGGGACCACAGACATCCTCCATGTGCCTGGCTAATTTTTTGTATTTTCGGTAGAGACAAGGGTTTCGCCACGTTGCCCAGGCTGGTCTCGAACCCCTGAGCTCAGGCGATCCACCCACCTCAGCCTCCCAAAGTGCTGGGATGACAGGCGTGAGCCACTGTGCCCGGCCTAAATGCCAGCTATTAAATAACTCAGGGACTGAAGGCTTGAGGACGCATCAGGTTAAATAGTAGTCAGTGCAGCCCTGGGAGATGCTAAGCCTGGGGCTGCCACAGATGGTGTGGTATCTGGGGTTCCCCCAAGGCCATCAGGCCACTCACTAGCAGGTTTCTGGGTGCCGAAGTGGAGCTCCAGGTCGAGGTATTTCACCATGTCACTCAGCTTATCGTAGTCAGAGTCTTCCCCGAGCTGCGAGGGAGGATGGGAGGTTCAGAGTAGGAGGAGCAGCAGCAGCTGGACTGGCCTCCCACTTCCCACCCTCTGAGGGCTGCCATAGGGGCTTCCCGAGCAAAAGCACCCATCAGGTGCTGGGATAAAGCCCGGAGCAGGAGGAGACTGCAGGAGAAGCCAGATCATCCGAGTCACCGGGTGCTGAGCCAGCGCCTCCTGGGGTCAATCGAGACTCAAGACTTGGAACACTACTCGTGCAGAAGCCAGCAAGGTGGGACTGCAGCGGGGGCATGAAGGAGCTGTGAAGAGGCTAGAGCCAAGTAAGGGGCTACCGGAGGTGGCTCAGGGGTCTGGCTCTGTCATCAGGTCTCCTTGGAGAGCGGTGAGTTCACCAGGGCTGCCCTGGGCAGAGTGAGCTGGTGCTGAGAGAACTGCAACTGTGACAGCCTAGGGGCCAGACGCTGGACACGTGGCTGTGATGAATGGCATAGATGAGAGGTAACAGCCTGGGGCTGGGGCAGGGAGTGCGGACGGGGTGGCTGCCAAAGGGAGAGAACCCAAAGGGAGGGCAGGCAGGGGAATGAAGTCTTAGAACATGGCTGCAGGGCAGGGACACTGAGGATGGATTTGGGTTTGGCCACATGTGTGACCTGTGTCCCTGTGTCCACCTTTGGTAACCAATGGAAGAACCACGCTGTGGAGCAATACTTGAAGATCGGTCCAAGGCTGGCAGGAGTGAGGTCTCCAGGGGACCCAGGAGGTCCTTATTTGTGCCCTTGTCTCACTGAGGTATTTTTTTTTTTTTTTTTTTAGATAGGGTCTCACTCTGTACCCCAGGCTGGAGTGCAGTGGTGCCATCTTGGCTCACTGCAACCTCCACCTGTGGGAATCAAGTGATTCTCCCTCTTCAGCCTCCCGAGTAGCTGGGACCACAGGCATGCACCACCAGGTCTGGCTAACTTTTTGATTTTTTTGTAGAGACAAGATCTCACTATGTTGCCCAGACTTGTCTTGAACTCTTAGGCTCAAGCAGTCCTCCCGCCTCAGCCTCCCAAAGTGCTGGGATTACAGGCGTGAACCACCAAGCCTGGCCTCAATGGGCATCTTTATTAGCAACTTGGAAAGGGTCCCTGGAGATGTGGGCTGAGAAAGCAGGAGACAGAATTGGGACCCAGGAGATGGCAGTGGGGAAAAATCACAAGCATGCCTCTGCCCAGTGTGACTACATGTGAGAGTGAGCTATTGATCCCAAGAAGATGGAGTTGAGGATGATGGTGATCATGAGCACTGGGACGGGGCAGCCCTGGGAGCTGGAAGGAGCCCCTGCCATATTAAAAGGAGTATGATGTCCCAGTCAAAGGAGCTGAGAACCCTGTTCTCTCCTCTGAGCTGGTCAAGCCCCATTGGGGGTTCCATCTGGGAATGTCTCTTTGACAGGGACATGGACACTGGAGTGGGGGTTGGAAACCATGTTCTAAGAGAATGATCTGAAAAAAAAAAAAAGGGGTGGGGTGAACCTTGTTCATCTTGCAGATTGGTTGGTCTGTGGATAAGATTGCTCTGCCCGATTTTAAGGGCCAGAAAGAAAACAGGGCATGGGAATCCTGGGGAGACAAGATTTCAGAGCAAGACAAAGGATGGTTAAAATCGTCCAGTGAGGAAAGGAAGACCTTGACAGGTAGTGAGTTCCCCACCACTGAAGGTGTTCAAGCATACACTGCCAGTGTTGTGAGGGAGGAACTTCAAGCATCAAAGTGAAAGGGTGAAGGCTGGTGTGCAGGAGTTTGAACCAGCTGCTCTTTTAAAGGTTTAAGAGAACTTGTCTGGCCTCAAAAGTGATAGGTTTCAAGGATGGGTAGGGTGGCATTTCCAGGTGTCCCCAGTGTGTGTCTTTGGCTGAGGGACACAGATTGGCTTCAATGCCTGCAGTGGCCCCCAAGCGTGGGGACGTTCTTGGGCTGGGCCTCTACTCATCCTCTGCTTGGGGTAGGGAGGATGATGTTGGAAGATGCCTGGCCGATGGGTTTTCCTTCAGTGCTGCTGCCCAAGCCATCCTCCCCCAGTACAGAGCGCTGCTGGGTCCCAGGTCACCTACCTGACCCCAGATGGTGCCTTCTGAGTTCTCCACCTGTTCCCACCGCAAGCGCTTGACGCTCATGTGGCTGGTCTCACTGCGCCGGTGGCCCAGGCCCCGGGACAGCATGGGGGGTGCACAGGGCACGGGTGGGGGCAGGGGCGGTGGGGGTGGTGGAGGGACTGGGTGGCTGAGTTGGGTGAGGGGCTTGGCCAGCGCCTGAGCAGGGCCCCGGGAACCATCAGAGCTGCGGGAGCTGGGCTTAGCGTCATGGAAAGGCAGGGGTGGCGGTGGTGGGGGGCTGAGCGGGGGTGGGGGGATGTGGTCAGAGATGGAGGAGTAGGTCAGGGAGCTGCCTTCTTCACTGCTGCTGATGCAGTCGCTGGCGCTGCTCCGCTCATTGGTTACGAAGCTGCCCTGGTCATCATGGAAGCTCATCTGGTGGTGGGGAGAGAGGCAAGGGGAGGGTGAGGCTGGGCCCAGAGAGACTAGAGCAGGTGCAAAGTGAAGGATCATGGGATAGCCTGGGACAAGGACAGGGCCATCTCACGGGTTAGCCTCAGGCTGTGAGGGACACCTGGGCTAAGGATAGGACTGTCTCACAGGTTAACCTCAGGCTGTGAGGGGGATAGCCTGGGCTAAGGATAGGACCCTCTCATGGGTAAGCCTCAGGCTGTGAGGGGGATAGCCTGGAATAAGGACAGGACCCTGTCACGGGTTAGCCTCAGGCTGTGAGTGGGATAGCCTGAGCTAAGGAATGGGCTAACCTGCGACAGGGAATATGGGCTAGCCTCAGTCAAGGAGCATGATAACCTTGAACAGGAGATAGGGTAACCTGGGGCAAGGGGTGGGATAGCTTGAGCTAGGGAGTGGGATAGCCTGGGGAAGATCCCAAGGGCAGCAGGCCCCTTGCGGGAGCCCAGGAACACTGTTGCCTTGCAGACCGCCACACCTCGCCTCACCCGCCTCCCTCCACACCTGCTTGCGTGCCCACCTCCTCGTAGTCGTTCTCCGGGGTCAGGAAATCATCCACGATGGTGACCCGGGGGCCCAGCTGCTCGCTCAGCACGTCCAGGAAGCGGTCAGTATCGCGGCTTCGCACAGGGTGGGAGAAGGTGAAGAGCTTCCTGCGGCTGGGCGGGCGGGTGGGGTCCGGGCTTGGGGGGCTGTCGGGGCAGATGGGCCCGGGGCCTGGCTGTGGGGAGGGTGCCCTGCTGCTGTCCAGGCTGGCGTAGGGGTGGGACTCAGAGCTGCTGGGGGAGGCCAGACCCCCCGAACACAGCGGGTGGTAGCAGGGGGAGGGCAAGAGTCGCTCGCTGGGCCATGAGACGCCGGACAGGGTCCTGGGCCCTGGAGGAGGGATGGAGTATGAGGATTCCTCTTCAGCCAGCACCGAGGTTCCAGGTGCAAGCTGGAGAGAGGGTCCTAGGACAGACTGGCTCTGTGTCCCAGGCCACTCTCCTTTCCCTCTCTGGGCACAGTGCAGGAAGACCTTGAGCGGCCCTGCCTTCCAAGCATGACTAAAGGCCAGATCTGGTGAGCAGGAGCACTGCTCGGCCTCAGGACAGGCTGGACGCCAGCTCACCTTGGAATGGTCACCAGGGGTCCCAGCTGGGAGCCACTGAACACCATTAACTCAAAGGGTGGAGGGGTTTCTCTAGGGCCCAGAGCCACAGTCATGGAGCGTCTCGCGCACCCAGCAAGCCCTGAGATCACAGGAGGGCCTCCCAGGGCTCCTGCCTTCTGAGCTGCAGAGCAACTGTCTTCCCAGCTGTGCCAACGCTGGTACAACGCGTTGCACTTGATCATTTATCCAATAACCACTTGCTAACTCGGGGACTTCCTCAGAATCAGGCATCTGCCTTCTTTCTTTTTCTTTTTTAAGACAGGGTCTTACTCTGTTGCTTATAGGCTAGAGTGCAGTGGTTCGAAATAGCTCACTGCAGCCTTGAACTCCTGGGCTCAAGTGATCCTCCCGCCTCAGCCTCTTGAGGAGTTGGGACTACAGGCATATGCAACCATGCCCAGCTAATTTTGTATTTTTTTTGTTAGAGATGGGGCCTCACTATGTTGCCAGGCTGGTCTCAAACTCCTGGGCTCCATTGATCCTCCTGCCTCGGCCTCCCAAAGTGCTGGGATTACAGGCACGACCCACGGTACCCAGGCTACTTTCTTGATCCACAGCTGAGGTGAGGGTCACAGGGCCATGGGAGGGACTGGGACAACCCTGACCCTGATGGAGCAGAGAAGCAGCTCCAGGGCTGAGCCTGGGGTGGAGGGAAACACCCAGACAGTAGATGACAGAGGCTGGAGCCCTACCTGTGGTGACTGCTGGGCTGGGGCCTGGAGGGGAAGCCCGGGATTTGGACACGGTCCCCATCTTCCCTTTGAAGCTGCTGTTCAGTCGAGACTCAAGCTCTGCATAGACGGCTGACATCTGGAGGGAGACGGGGGAGAGTCCAGCCCATTCTGCTTCCCCTCGTAGCCCTAATGTGGTCCAGGCCTGGGTGGGCCGGGAGGCAGGGATATGCCCCAGCCTGAAGCAGCACAGGGACGCCTTGGCCTGGGTCTCCTGGGCCCAGTCCTATGGACCGTCCATTCCCTGCCCCCTACTGACCCCACGTGGAGGGCAGAGAAGGTCTCACCATCTTGGGGTTGGGGGTCTCAGGGAGGGACGTGCCGTCGCCTGCCTGGCGCTCGCCTGGGATCAGGGGAAGAGGCATCTCAGGGCACTCGCTGGGACCTACCGGGGAATAATGTCATTACCGTATCTGAGCTCTACGGCTCAGGCCCCGGCCCAGAACCAACATGCCCCGCAGACCCAGGAGGGCCAATCCTGAGCCCTGCTTAGCCCCATTCCCTGGGATTCCCCACCTCACCAAGCCCATTTTGCAGGTGGGAAAACTGAGCTCCATTCATACCCTCCCCCTGACACCAGCCTTACCGCAGCTGAGGCCGGCCTCCAGGCCCTGGGACCGGAGGCTGCGGCGGCACATGGAGGAAGCCCGCAGGGAGCTCCGCGGCTGGGGCTCAGGCGTGGGCTCGGACTCCAGGTCCAGCTCAGGCTCCGGCTCTGCTGTGGGACATGCAGGGAACATGGGGCCCTCTTGCCCTCTCAGCCAGACAAGGGACCTCCAAAACAGGGAGGGGAGGGCAGATGTCATCTGCACCAATATGCAGACCCCAAGCTACGGGGCCTGCCCTGCTTGCCTCCAGAACAGCTCTTGAGGGGAAGCCCCAGGGCAAGAAACCAGGTGCCAGGAGCAGCACCAGAATGCAGCACCAGAATGCAGCTAGCCTGAACTCAGGGGCCTAGCAGAGATCTCATGACAACAGCTTCCAGAGTCTCAACGCCCTGTGCTTGCCCCAGGCCAAGTCACTGCTGCCCAGAGAGGATTATGGGCAAAATAGAAGTGTTTTTTTTTTGAGACTGAGTTTTGCTCTTGTTGCCCAGGTGGGAGTGCAGTGGTGCAATCTCAGCTCACTGCAACCTCCACCTCCCAGGTTCAAGCGATTCTCCTGCCTCAGCCTCCCAAGTAGCTGGGATTACAGGTGTCCGTCACCATGCCTGGCTAATTTTTGTATTTTTAGTAGAGATATGGTTTCAACATGTGGGCTAGGCTGGTCTCAAGTTCCTGACCTCAGGTGATCCGCCTGCCTCGGCCTCCCAAAGTGCTGGGATTACAGGTGTGAGCCACTGCTCCCGGCCAAAATAGAAGTTTTTTGAGCCTACGCAGATATGTAAGGCATGTGTGGTCCAGCATGGATCCTGAGCTTCTCGCTAAAACCCTAGCAAATTGTGGGTCCCTGGGACTGCAGCTCATGGGCACACAAGGACCAGCAACTCTGCAGCGGCCCCTTCCCTTTCCTTCCTTTCCTTTCCTTCCTTCTCTTCCTTCTCTCACTTTCTCTCTTTCTCTCTTTTCTCTCTCTCTGTCTCTTTCTCTCTTTCTCTCTTTATTTATTCAGAGTCTGGCTTTCTCATCCAGGTTGGAGTGCAGTGGCACAATCTCAGCTCACTGCAACCTCCACCTCCCAGGTTCAAATGATTCTCGAGCCTCAGCTTCCCAAGTAGCTGGGACCACAGGCATGCACCACCATGCCTGGCTAAATTTTTGTATTTTTTTTTTTTAAGCAGAGATGGGGTTTCACCATATTGGACAGGCTGGTCTTCAACTCCTAACCTCAGGTGATCCACCTGCCTCAGCCTCTGAAAGTGCTGGGATTACAGATGTGAGCCACCACACCTGCCTTTTTTTCTTTTCTTCTTTTTTTTTTTTTTTTTTGTGACAGGTCTCACTCTGTCCCCCAGGCTGGAGTGCAATCAAGGCTCAGTGCAGCCTTGAATCCCAGGCTCAACAGATCCTCCTGCCTGAGCCTCCCCTGCAGCTGGGATTACAGGTGTGTGCCACCACACCCAGCTAATTTCAAATTTTTTTGCTATGTTGCCCAGGCTGGTCTCCAACTCCTGAGCTCAAGTGCTCCTCCCACCTCATCCTCCCAAGTAGCTGGGACTACAGGTGCATACCACCACGCCTGGCTAATTTTTTATTTTTTTTTTCTTTGAGATGGAGTCTCACCGTGTTGCCCAGGTTGGAGTGTAGTGGTGCGATCTCAGCTCACTGCAACCTCCGTCTCCCAGGTTCAAGCAATTCTCCTGCCTCAGCCTCCCGAGTAGTTGGAATTACAACTGCGTACCACCACACCTGGCTTATTTTTGTATTTTTAGTACAGATGAGGTTTCCCCATGTTGGCCAGGCTTGTCTCGAACTCCTGACCTCACGTGATTGGCCTGCCTCAGCTCCACAAAGTGCTGGGATTACAGACGTGAGTCACCGCGCACGGCCACCCCTGGCTGATTTTTAAATATTTTGAATATATGGGGGTCTTGTTGTGTTGCCCAAGCTGGACTTGGAACTCCTGACCTCAAGTGATCCACCCACCTCAGCCTACCAAAGTGCTGGGATTACAAGAGTGAACCACTGCACCTGCAGCGGCTTTCATAGCAGGTGCAGGATGCCTAGAACAGGGTAGAACACAGGCTTCGGCACACCTTCCATCCACATGACCTGCATGCTGAGTGCAGGGGTTTGTGGGCATTCGGAGGGCACGCTGAACAGACAGGTGGCAGCCACACATGGCACTGCAGGCCTGTGTGTGTGCAAGAAAGAGTACACTGGGAGCCCACCAGCCAGGTGGGATGTGGTCGTGTGCTCATGATCCTGGTGGTGGTGTTGGCATGTCTGGCAACCACGTGAGTTTCTTTCTTTTTTCTTTTTTTCTTTCCTTTTTTTTTTTCTGGAGGCAGTAGCTTGATCATAGCTCACTGCAGCCTTGATCTCCTGCACTCAAGCCATCTTCCCACCTCAGCCTCCTAAGTAGCCGGGACTACAGGTGTGCATCACACCTGGCTAAATTAAAACTTTTTTTTTTTTTGGTAGAGACAGGCTCTTGCTATGTTGCCCAGGCTAATCTTGAGCTCCTGAGCTCAAGTGATGCTTCCACCTCAGTCTCCTAAAATGCTGGGATTATAGGTGTGAGCCACCACGTCCAGCCTTACACGAGTTCCTTCTCACAAGTTCCACTTCTCAGAGTACAGAGCGCAGCCACTGAGACCACTTCCATTTTGTGGGTGCAAAAACTGAGACTGCAGGTGGTTAGGTGCAGTGTCTAAAGTCTCAGGTTATGTTGTATATGCTGCATAAAGGTCACGCTGGGAAGGCGCGTCCGTGGGGCCACGTGTGGGCCTAGCCCTGGTGTATTGGGTGTGTACGTGCATGGCTGTGGACACTTCTATGTGGGAGGGGCCCAAATCGGCTGTAAGACCTCATAGGTGAGGCCAGATGCAGTGGCTCACACCTGTAATCCCTGTGCTTTGGGAGGCCGGAGTGGGAGGATCACTTGAGCCCAGGAGGTTGAGGCTGCGGTGAGCCATGATGGCACCACGACACTCCAGCCTGGGCGACAGAGCAAGACTCCGTCTCAAAAAAAAAAAAAAAAAAAAAAAAGGCTGGGCGTGGTGGCTCACACCTGTAATCCCAGTGCTTTGGGAGGCCGAGGTGGGTGGATCATGAGGTCAGGAGATAGAGACCATCATGGTTAACATGGTGAAACCTCTTCTCTACTAAAAACACAAAAGAATAGCTGGGCGTAGTGACATGCGCCTTTAGTCCCAGCTACTCGGGAGGCTGACGCAGGAGAATCGCTTGAACTTGGGAGGCGGAGGTTGCAGTGAGCCAAGATCGTGCCATTGCACTCCAGCCTGGGGCACAAGAGTGAGACTCCATTTCAAAACAAACAAACAAGCAAACAAACACCTTCACATGTGAGAACAGGTGTCTGTCTGTTCACCTGGTGAGCTGGACAGTCAGCAGCTGCAGGCAGGGAAGTGGCAGGGGAGAGGACGCTTACCTGTCATGGCCGTGTAGCCCAGGAAGCATGCGATTTTCTCCTGACAGAGCTCCTGCTCCTCATAGGTCAGCAGCTGGTAGATGAACTGCCACAGGACCTGCTTGGCAGGGGTGTCCAGCACAGGGTAGACGTCAACGATGAGGGTGTCGATGTTCCTGGGGGAAGGTGCAGGAATGTGAGGCTCAATACTCACGGGCTTACCATGATGCACAGAGTGGGGGTAGACAAGACGGCACTTCCAAGCCACAGCGTCTGCCCTCATGCCCTATCCCTACCCTTCAAAGACAGAAGTGGGGGCCGGGCACAGTGGCTCACGCCTGTAATCCCAGCACTTTGAGAGGCCGAGGCAGGTGGATCATTTGAGGTCAGGAGTTCGAGACCAGCCCAGCCAACATGGTGAAAGGCCGTCTCTACTGAAAGTATAAAAATTAGTCAGGTGTGGTGGTGCACACCTGTAATCCCAGCTACTCGGGAGGCTGAGGCAGGAGAATTGCTTGAGCCTGGGAAGTGGAGGTTGCAGTGAGCTGAGATCGTGTCACTGCACTCCAGCCTGGGAGACAGAGTGAGACTCCAACTCAAAAAAAAAAAAAAAGAAAAGAAAAAGAGAGAGAGAGAGAAGTGGGCAGGAAGGCAGGCTCCAGGGATAGGGTAGCCAGACTCCAATCTCAGCTCTGCCACTTACCAGCTAAGTGACCTTTCTCAAGTGACTTACCCTCTCTGTGCCTCAGTTTCCTCATTTGTAAAATGGGGATAAAAATAGCATCTACCTCATAGAGCTGTTGTGAAGATTAAAACACACAGAGCAGGCCTGGCGTGGCGGCTCACGCCTGTAATCCCAGCACTGTGGGAGGCCGAGGCGGTTGGATCACCTCAGATCGGGAGTTCAAGACCAGTCTGGCCAACATAGTGAAACCCCCTCTCTACTAAAAATACAAAAATTAGCTGGGCGTGGTGGCATGTACCCTCAGTCCCAGCTACTCAGGAGGCTGAAGTAGGAGAATCGCTTAGACTGGGAGGCGGAGGTTGTAGTGAGCTGAGATTGCGCCACTGCACTCCAGCCTGGGTGACAGAGCAAGACTCTGTCTCAAAAAAACCCAAAAAACCAAAAAACATATAGAGCAGGCCAGGCATGGTGGCTCATGCCTATAATCCCAGCACTTTGGGAGGCTGAGGCAGGCGAATCATCTGAGGTCGGGAGCTCAAGATCAGCTTAGCCAACATGGTAAACCCTGTTTCTACAAAAAAATACAAAAATGTGGTAGGCATGTTGGTGTGCACCTGTAATCCCAGCTACTCAGGAGGCTGAGGCAGGAGAATCGCCTCGCCTGAGCTCGGGGAGGCGGAGGTTGCACCGAGCCAAGATTGCGCCACTACACTCCATCCTGGGCCACAGAGCGAGACTCTGTCTCAAAAAAATAAATAAATAAACAAAAATAAAAATAGGCTGGGGGTGGTGGCTCACGCCTGTAATCCTAGCACTTTGGGAGGCTGAGGTGGGTGGATCACGAGCTCAGGAGTTCGAGACCAGTCTGGCCAACGTGGTGAAACCCCCTCTCTACTAAAAATACAAAAATCAGCCAGGCGTGGTGGTGTGTGCCTGTAATCCCAGCTACTCGGGAGGCTGAGGCAGCAGAATCGCTTGAACCCGGGAGGTGGAGGTTGCAGTGAGCTGAGATCGCGCCATTGCACTCCAGCCTGGGTGACAGAGCAAGACCCCGTCTCAAAATAATAATAATAAAAAATAAATAAATAAATAAATAAAAATAAAGTAGGAGAATATCTTTTGACCTAGAAGCAGGGAAGAGCTTAAAATTTCAAAAGCCAAAACTGTGGGCGGCAAGCCACCCAGATGCCAAGGCAAGAGACCGAGGGCACAAGCTGTTCCAATATAATAAAGAAAATACATAGAATAAGAATAGTTATACTAGAAATAGATTATAGATATGTATATGAATATTATTAATAATTAGTTTGTAGCATTACTGTTTATTCCAATATTATAATAATCTTTGTCCTACAATTATAACCTAGGAGAAACCAGGCCATACAGAGATAGGAGCTGAAGGGACACGGTGAGAAGTGACCAAAAGACAAGAGTGTGAGCCCTCCGTTATGCCTGGACAGGGCCACTAGAGGGCTCCCTGGTCTACTGGTAACGCCAGTGCCTGGGAAGGCACCCGTTGCTTAGCAGACCGGGAAAGGGAGTCTCCCTTTCCTGGTGGAGTTAAAGAAGACTCTGCTCCACCACTGCTTGCCCGCCCGCAGCCACCCAGAGGCCTAACGCTGTCCCTGTGATGCTGTGCTTCAGTGGTCACGCTCCTGGTCCGCATTCATGTTCTGCCCTGTGCACTCGGCTCCACCTTCTAGATAGCAGCAGCAGAATTAGTGAAAGTACTAAAGTCTTTAAAATGCATAGAAGAAATAATTACGTAAGCTGTCCCCTCTTTCTCTCCGCCTCAGCTACCAAATAGGGAAGGGCCCCCTGTCTGGCGGACACGTGACTCACATGACCTTACCTATCATTGGAGATGACTCTCACTCCATACCCTGCCCCTTTGCCTTGTACACAATAAATAACAGCACGGCCAGGCATTCGGGGCCACTACTGGTCTCCGCGTCTTGGTGGTAGTGGTCCCCCGGGCCCAGCTGTCTTTTCTTCTATCTCTTTGTCTTGTGTCTTTCTTTCTTTTTTTTTTTTTTGAGACAGTCTGGCTCTGTCACCCAGGCTGGAGTGCAGTGGCACAATCTCGTCTCACTGCAAGCTCCGCCTCCCAGGTTCACACCATTCTCCTGCCTCAGCCTCCCGAGTAGCTGGGACTACAGGCGCCTGCCACCACGCCCGGCTATTTTTTTTTTGTATTTTTAGTAGAGACGGGGTTTCACCATGTTAGCCAGGATGGTCTCGATCTCCTGACCTCGTGATCTGCCCATCTCAGCCTCCCAAGGTGCTGGGATTACAGGCATGAGCCACCGCGCCCAGCCGTCTTGTGTCTTTATTTCTACGATCTCTCATCTCCGCACACGAAGAGAAAAACCCACAGGCCCTGTAGGGCTGGACCCTACACAAAACTATAAGACCAAAAATGTGGTGAGTTTGATTATGCAAAATCAAGGTTATCTATTCAAGGAAGCCCAACTTAGACACATTCATATTAGACACAACAGACCTAATAACAGAAGTAACAAATGGGAGAGAAATTTACAATGTTCAAAATCAAGGAGAAATCAGCATCTAAAATATACAAAGGTGTCCAGCCGTCGTGGCTCACAAGTCATCCCAGCACTTTGGCAGGCTGAGGCAGGGGGATCACCTGAGTCAGGAGTTCGAGACCAGCCTGGCCAACATGGTGAAACCCCATCTCTACTAAAAGTACAAAAATTAGCCAGGCATGGTGGTGGGCGCCTGTAATCCCAGCTACTCAGGAGGCTGAGGCAGGAGACACACTTGAACCGGGAAGGCAGAGGTTGAAGTGAGCCAAGATCATGCCACTGAACTCCAGCCTGGGCGACAGAGCAAAACTCTGCTTCAAAATAAATAAATAAATAAATAAATAAATAAAATAAAATATACAAGGGGCTGGGAGCAGTGGCTCACACCTGTAATCCCAGCACTTTGGAAGGCTAAAATGGGCAAATCTTTTGAGCCCAGGAGTTCAAGACCAGCAACATGGCAAAACCCTGTCTCTACTAAAAAAAAAAAAAAAATTAGCTGGGCATGGTAGGCGAGTGCCTGTAGTCCCAACTACCTGGGGGGCAGAGGCACAAGGATCACTTCAGCCTGGGAGTTCGAGGCTGCAGTGAGCTGTGTTTGCACCACTGCACTCCAGCTTGGGTGACAGAGTGAGACCCTGTCTCAGAAAATAAATAAAATAAAATATACAAGAAACTTCATGCCAGTCAACAAGGACAAAAAGTCCAAGAAAACAAAAATGGACAAAGGGTATGAACAGTAATTTATAGAGAAAAATCCCAGAAAAAGTTCACAAGCATATTAAAAGATGCTTAAAATAATTAGTAATAGAAGAAAATCAAATAAAAATAACAGGATGTCACTTTTATGGCTAAGAAAGTAGCAAAAATAGGCCGGGTGTCGTGGCTCACACCTGTAATCCCAGCACTTTGGGAGGCTGAAGTGGGCAGATCACGAGGTCAAGAGATCAAGACCATCCTGGCCAACATGGTGAAACCCTGTTTCTACTAAAAATACAAAAATTAGCTGGGCGTGGTGGAGAGTGCCTGTAGTCCCAGCTACTCGGGAGGCTGAGGCAGGAGAATCGCTTGAACCCAGGAGGGGGAGGTTGCAGTGAGCCGAGAGCACGCCACTGTACTCCAGCCTGATGACAGAGTAAGACTCCATCTCAAACAAAAAATAAAAATTAAAAAAAAGAAACTAGCAAAAATAAAAAGTTGGGCATCACTGTGATCTAAAGGAATTTGGCTTTAGTTATAATCAATGTATGAAATATACATTGGACAGAGCTAAACACATAGTAATTGGTGAATAAGTTAGACACAAAACATGATATCAAGCACAGTTTTTTTTTGTTTTTTTGTTTTTTTTTGAGACGAAGTCTCATTTTGTCACCCAGGCTGGAGAGCAGTGGTGTGATCTTGGCTCACTGCAATCTCTGCCTCCTGGGTTCAAGTGATTCTCCTGCCTCAGCCTCCCAAGTAGCTGGAACTACAGGTGCGCACCACCATGCCCAGCTAATTTTTTCTTTTTGTAGAGATGGCTTCTTGCTCTGTTGCCCAGACTGGTTTTGAACTCCTGGGCTCAAGCGATCCTCCTGCCTCAGCCTCCCAAAGTGCTGGGATTATAGGTGTCTGGCCTGGGTTTCTTTTTGATGTGATGAAGTTTTAAAATGGACCGTGGTGATGTTTGCACGTATTTGTGAATATACTAAAAACCACTGAATTGTATAATTAAATGGCAAATTGTATAGTATGTGAATTACATCTTAAGACTCTTTAGAGCCAAGTACAGTGGCTCATGCCTGTAACCGCAGCACTTTGGGACGATCACTTGAGCCCAAGAGTTCGAGACCAGCCTGGGTAACATAGTGAGACCTCCCCATCTTTTTTAAAAAACAAAACCAAACCAGGCCAGGTGCGGTGACTCATGCCTGTAATCCCAGCACTTTGGGAGGCTGAAGCAGGTGGATCACCTGAGGTCGGGAGTTTGAGACCAGCCTGACCAACATGGAGAAACCCTATCTCTACTAAAAGTACAAAATTAGCCAGGCGTGGTGGCATATGCCTGTAATCCCAGCTACTTGGGAGGCTGAGGCAGGAGAATCGCTTGAGTCCGGGAGGTGGGGGTTGCGGTGAGCCGAGATCGCACCACTGCACTCCAGCCTGGGCAACGAGAGTGAAACACCATCTCAAAAAACAAAAACAAAAATAAAAAACCCTTCAAACAAAACAAAAAGGTATGGACAAGTGACAGGCTTTGCAGAGACCATAATAATGACCCCATGGACCGAGGAGTGTGATAAATGCAGCTGGCTGCAGCTGAGGTCCAAAAAGAAAGACACCAACCCTACCCCGAAGGGCCTAGCCCATGACAAGTGCCCACAGGTGGGGCTCTGGTGAAGGTCCCATCAAGAATGCTGCAGGTGGGCCAAGGCACGGTGGCTCACGCCTGTAATCCCAGCACTTTGGGAGGCCGAGGCGGGCAGATCACGAGGTCAGGAGTTTGAGACCAGCCTGACCAACATAGTGAAACCCTGTCTCTAGTAAAACCCTGTCTCTAGTAAAAATACAAAAAAATTAGCCGGGTGTGGTGGTGGGCACCTGTAATCCCAGCTACTCGGAGGCTGAGGCAGAAGAATCGCTTGAACCCAGGAGGCGGAGGCTGCAGTGAGCCAAGATCTCATCATTGCACTCCAGCTGGGTGATAGAGCGAGACTCCATCTCAAAAAAAAAAAATAGAATGTTGCAGGTGGTTCCTGTCTGCCTCACTTCACAGAGAAGGCTGAGACTCGCCCAAGGTCACGTGACTAGGAGGTGTCAGAGTCAGAGATTGTTCCAGGGCAGCTCAATTGCCCACCACCCTGGGGCCCCTGATACCAGCAGCCACCTTCCTGAGCATCCCCCAGGAGAACGGGACTGAGGAGGTTCAGGCAGGGAGACTGGGATGTGAGTCTAGGCAGGACTTAGGGCCCACCCAGGGCAGGGCCCCACCGCGGCTTTGGCCCGGCCACCTGTGCTGGAAGAAGCTCTCGAGGGCCCGGCAGACCCCATAGCGCTCAGGAGGTGTGAGTAGGTGCTCCAGCTGCTGGCTGAAGGTCCTCCCTTGGACCCGGATGCTGGACGGCAGGATCTCCGCCACCCACTGCAGGGAGGTGAGCGCCGACGACGGGTTGGGTGAGTCCAGAGAATCGGAGTCTGCTGGGACCACAGGCGGGAGAGGCATGAGTGACTCAGAGTCCCCAGGCCAGGTGTAGTCTCCCTGGCTTTTGAGGTCAGGAGACCTCCTGAGCTGGGGTGTGGCTGTCCAGTGCCATGCATGGGAAGGCATGCCTGTGGCCCGACACCGGGGCCAAGGATAGAGGGAGTCAGCCCTGGGAAGGGTCCCTAAGGCTATACACTAGGGTTTTTTGTTTGTTTGTTTTGAGACAGAGTCTTGCTCTGTTGCCCAGGCGGGAGTGCAATGGCGTGATCTCGGCTCACTGCAACCTCCGCTTCCTGGGTTCAAGTGATTCTCTTGCCTCAGCCTCCCAAGTAGCTGGGACTACAGGCACGTGCCATCACGCCCAGCTAGTTTTTGTATTTTTAGTAGAGACAGAGTTGTGCCATGTTGCTCAGACTGGTCTCAAACTCCTGGCCTCAAGCGATCCTCCCACCTTGGCCTCCCAAAGTGCTGGGATTCCAGGCATGAGCCACCATGCCCAGCCTCACTGGGGTTCTATAGCACCACTTAGGAGGCAGCCCCGGGGAGGCAAGCTGCAGGTTTAGGGGAAGAGCTGAGTCCTCCGCACTGTGACTCTCACATATAGCAGCCTGGGCAGGGTCTCTGGGGGCCAAGGAAGCCAAGTGTCCATGGGGGTCTCACCACTGGCAAATGGGACGAGCCCTTCCTCCACCACCAGCGTGGGCATGGCACCACTGCCCTGCAGCATGGACACCACCTTGTCGTGGGAGCAGTTCCTGCCAAGCAGAGATGGCCCAGGAGGGCCTGACTGGGGTGAGCCCTGTCCACGGCCACCAGCCAGACCTCCCTGTCCTGCCCACAGAGGTCACACAGCAAGACCACCTCTGTGTGACTCTGTGTCCCCAGCATGGAGCTGGAGTATTTTCTGGTTGGAAGGATGAACTGAGGTCCTGGCTAGAGTTGGCGACTGGCGAGGAGGAGGGTTAGATTCAAGAGTTCCCATTGGAAGAGGGACAGACCCTGGGGACCAAATGGTGAGAGGAGATTGTGATCACAGCCTGGGTGCCCCAAGAGGCAGGAGTCTTGCAGGGGGTGGGGGCAGCTCCTCACCAACCCCTGGTGTCCCCAATAGCCTCTGACCTCATGTCCAGTCCATTGAGGAAGAGGATCCGGTCACCTGACTTGAGGGCAGCATTGTCAGCTGGGCTCCCTGGAAGCAAGAAGAGAGGGTGTGCCGGTCAGCTGGGCAGGGTACCACTTTGAGAGCAGGATGCTATCCTGTTTTACAGGCGAGAAATGGAGACTCAGAGACCCATAGCTTGCCGGGCATGGTGGCTCACACCTGTAACCTCAGCACTTTGGGAGGCCAAGGCAGGAGGATCGCTTGAGCCCAGGAGTTCGAGACCAGCTTGGGCAACATAGCGAGACCCCATCTCTACCAAGAAAAAAAATACAGAGCCCCATAGGCATGGGTGGCAGAGGAGAGTCAAATCAGGTCAGCAGACCCCTGTAATAGACTCTGCACGTCTCTGATCTCAGCTGCTCTAAGGATCTAAGGACCACGGGAGTGATCCCCTAGCAGGGGTACAGCATGGACCCCCAGTGCTGGAGAAGAGGGAGGTCTGGAGGGCAGGACTCAGGCAGCATCAGTACTTCTTGAGTCCCTGCTCCATACACTGTTCTTAGCCCCACACAGAAAGGTCCTGTCAGGGTCTGGGATTCCTCTTTGCTTCAGGAGAATTATTTTCTGTATTTTTTTTTTTTAATTTTAGAGACAGGGTCTTGCTGAAGTGCAGAGGTGTGATCACAGATCACTGCAGCCTCAACCTCCTAGGCTCAAGCAGTCTTCCCACCTCAGGCTCTGAGTAGCTGGGACCATAGGCACGCACCACCACTCCGGGCTAATTTTTTTTTTTGAGATGGAGTCTCGCTCTATCACCCAGGCTGGAGTGCAGTGGTGTGATCTCGGCTCACTGCAACCTCTGCCTCCTGGGTTCAAGCTATTCTCCCACCTCAGCCTCCTGAATAGGTGGGACTACAGCCACCATGCCTGGCTAATATGTGTGTGTGTGTGTGTGTGTGTGTGTTAGCGTGTGTTTAGTAGAGATGAGGTTTCGCCATATTGCCCAGGCTAGTCTCGAACTCCTGCTCAAGTGATCCGCCCGCCTTGGCCTCCCAAAATGCTGGGATTACAGACATGAGCTACCATGCCCGGCCACCCAATTTTTGTATTTTTTGTAGAGACGAAGTTTCACCATGTTGCCCAGGCTGGTCTCAAACTCCTGGCCTCAAATGATCCTCCTGCCTCAGTCTCCCAAAGTGCTGGGATTACAGGTGTGAGCCACCACGTAGTCCTCTTTCTGCCTCTTTTATGAGTCATCATTCTAAATGTAATTTGGAAAGTAGGGAAAATGATCAATGGCTAAATAAAATATACTCTCAGATTGCGAGAAGTTCTCTCTGGGGGAAGTGGAAACTGTCCAGAGAAGAGAGGGAACAATTAGGGAAGACTTCCCGGGAGAGGCGAGATGGGGGAAGTCCTTTCCCTGGACCAAAAAGGAGAGAGTGATGGTGGTGGCGAATCCAATCTGGCCTGCCTGGAATGGTGGGACAGCTAGAGAGGTTGTCGCAGGGGATCAAAGAGCACTGGGCCAGGAGTCAGGAGATCCCAGTTTCTGGTCCTTAATTTACCAGAGCCTCTCCAGGCCTCAGTTTCCCCATCTGTAAAAGCTTCCATCTAAGCATCCATTTGGCTTCCTATGACAGGAAAGGCATGGGATCACTGGCTTGAAGGTTGGGTTGGGAAGAACAGCAGACCTGGATTTTTTTTTCTTTTTTTGAGACAGGGTCTTGCTCTGTCACCCAGGCTGGAGTGCAGTGGCATGATCATAGCTCACTACAGCCTCGAACTTCTGGGCTCAAGTGATCCTCCCACCCCAGCCTCCAGAGTAGCTGGGACTACAGGCATGTGCCTCACTATTGCTCAGACTGGTCTCAAACTCCTGGGCTCAAGTGATCTTCCTGCCTCGGCCTCCCAAAGTGCTGGGATTACAAGTGTGAGCCACTGCACCCAGCCACACCTGGATTCTAACAAGGCCCTAGGCCAGGTATCTCTGGCTACACATGTGGGAGAGACTGGGAGATGGAGATGGTGGTGGTGGCATGGTTGGAACAGCCACATCCACAGAGGAGAGATTAATCACTTCTAGAGGAAGCTCTCCAGAGAGCAGCTTTGGGCCTTTTGCTTACAATATGGTGTCAACAAGTTAGTGATGCCCAAATCGGGGAAGAACCTGAACATGCCACTTCTCAGGATTAAGTCTCAGAACAGCCTGAAGCCTGTAAGGATGATGCACTGACACTGAAGTGCTCTTCCAGGGCTGGGACTACTGGCCTCAGTTTCCCCCTTTGTAAAAGCGTCCATCTAAGCATCCATTTGGCTTCCTATGACAGGAAAGGCATGGGATCAGTCCCGGGCTGGGACTACAGGATCAGACGATGCCCAGCTCACAGATCCATACACTGGAGATGTGATGACACACAGAGTGTGGAAAGAATGCATTGGCATGGCCACCAATGGAGATGTGTAACCAGGAGCATTACACTTAGGTGCTGGGAGGGGACGGATGCAGGACAGAGCAGGTGACCCAGTTCTGAGCAGATGGTTACAGGGAGGGAGAATTCAATTCAGCTCTAGGAGACACTTCTGCCCTACAAACACCTTCCACAATGAATATGAGTGCACACACACACCCCTGCCCCACTGGAGGGGCAGGAAGAAAGGGATTCTTGCACTGCAGAGGTTCTGCCTTCTTCAAGATGCCATGGTTGGGCATGGTGGCTCACGCCTGTAATCCCAACATTTAGGAGGCTGAGGCAGGAGGATCCCTTAAGCCCAGGAGTTGGAGGCTACAGTGGGCCATGATCATGCCACTGCACTCCAGCCTGGGTGACAGAGGGAGACCTCATCTCTCGTTTGTTTTTTTTGAGATGGAGTCTCACTCTGTCGCCCAGGCTGGAGTGCAATGGCATGATCTCAGCTCACTGCAAGCTCCGCCTCCCGGGCTCACGCCATTCTCCTGCCTCAGCCTCCCGAGTAGCTGGGACTACAGGCACCTGCCACCACACCTGGCTAATTTTTTTCTGTATTTTTAGTAGAGACGGGTTTCACCATGTTAGCCAGGATGGTCTCGATCTCCTGACCTCGTGATCCACCTGCCTTGGCCTCCTAAAATGCTGCCCCGGCCAACCTCATCTCTTAAAATAAAATAAAATAGGCCGAGTGTGGTGCTCTTGCCTGTAATTCCAGAACTTTAGGAGGCCAAGACGGGTGGATCACCCGAGGCCAGGAGTTCAAGACCAGCCTGGCCAACATGACGAAGCCCCATCTCTACTAAAAATATAAAAAAATTAGCTGGGTGTGGTGGCAGGCGCCTGTAATCTCAGCTACTCAGGAGGCTGAGGCAGGAGAATCGCTTGCACCTGGGAGGCAGAGGCTGCAGTGGGCTGAGATCATGCCATTGCACTCCAGCCTGGTCAACAAGAGCAAAACTCTGTCTCAAAAAATTAAATTAAATAAAATTTTAAAAATAGGCCAGGTGTGATGGCTCACGCCTGTACTCCCAGCGCTTTGGGAGGCCAAGGCGGGAGGATTACTTGAGCTCAGGAGTTCAAGACCAACCTAGGCAATATGGCAAAACCCCAGCTCTACCAGAAATACAAAAAATTAGCTAGGCATGGTGGCGTGCGCCTGTGGTCCCAGCTACTCTGGAGGCTGAGGAGGCTCTGGAGGCTCAGCTACACTTGAGCCTCGGAGATGGAGGTTGCAATGAGCCAAGATTGCACCACTGCACTCCAGCCTGGGTGACAGAGCGAGACACTATCTCATTAAAATAAAATAAAATAAATAAAAAGATGCCATGATTTCAGGAACAAGAAGGAGCAAGCAGGGTGGGAGGAGAGCGAAGTCCATATTCAGCAGGTGTTAGACAGCAGGCAGAGGCCCTGAGGCCCTTTTGGCTGTCTGAGTCTGGCCTGCCAGGCAAGAACCCAGTTCAGCGTGGGCACTCCATGAAGCTCGTGTTGCTGGGGGCACAGCCTGGGTAGGCAGCAGCTCAGTCCTGGCTGCCCCAGAGTCCTAGACAGTGCCCCGGCCCTCCCTGTGGACACAGGAAAGGTCTGGATGCAGAACCTGGTTCCCTTGGCTTGGGGGGATGCTGAATTTAGAGGGGCAGGGGTGGGGTGCCCCAACTCAGGCAGAAGGCTCTGGCCTCAAGCATCTTAGGTAGGAATGGGATTCAGATCTGCTGGCTCTGGGACACTCTGGGGACACGGTCTACACAAGGATGGTACCTGACGTGGAGGGGTTGCTGAGCAGGAGCCTACATGGGGTACAATGACCCGGCAGAGCCACCACGGGGCCCTTCACCCCATCCTGGGCCTTAGGGACTCTTAGGGCAACCGGCCCACCCCTCACCAGGCAGGACAGACTCGATCCAGACAGGCCCGTGGCCGCGAAGTGTGAAGCCGAAGCTCTTGTTGCCTTTGTAGACTCGGACAGTCCTGGGGGAAAAAGAAGGGGCGAGCAGCATGATGGAGAGGGGGCCCTGGGGCGCAGAGGTTGGAGATGTCCCGTGTCCCTCTCCCCTTAACCTCTCCGGCCCCCTATGCACCCCAGATGCCCAGCCCCGCCCCTACGCCCTCTCCCCGGGTCTCGGTCCCGAGCCCACCCGCAGGGAGGCGCCCGCTGCCAGTGCCTGTGAGCCCCGCGTACCTGCGCGCGCCCCCGGGGCCGGCGAGGCCGCCCACCAGCAAGGAGGCCCTGCGCGGGGGCGGCTCATCGGGGCGGCGCGGCGGGGCGCTGGCGCGCGTGGACACCAGGAGGCGCTCCGGCCGCTCCTCGCTGCGGCTCCGGCGCAGTCGCTGCGCGCCCTGGGCCCGGCGTGCGCGGCACAGCTTGCCCAGGAGGCCCTGAGACACCACCTCGTCGAAGCGCGCCCGGTGCTTCTTGGGGATGAAGATCCTGCCGGCGAGGACGGCGGAGTCGGGGCGCGTTCCCGGACCCCGGATCTCTGCAAACCGCGGCCCGAAGGCGCGTCCTCGCGGGCGCCGCCCTAGGCTCTCCCACCTCTTCCTAGGAGTGGCGGAGGGCTGGGGGGATCGGGATGAGCAGCCGGTAGCACCCCAGTCTCCCCCTCGCTGCTCGGATTTGCGCCCCCAGCTAGGACTTGGCGTCCTGCTCGCTTCACCTCGGGAATGGCCCGTTCGGACCGTCCTCCATGACTCTGGCCACTGCAGGGCCCGAGCCCCTCAAAGCCAGTCCACGGACCCGTTCCTCCTCCTGCCTCTGTCCTCTCCCCCCACTCCCTCTGCACCCGCCAGGCCAAGCCCTGAGCCAGGGATCCCCACCACCCACTGTCTCCCACCTCGTCTCTAGATGGCTCTGCTGGAGGAAACTGGAACCCACGAGCCCCTCACCACGCCTCCAGTCTTCCTGCTTGCTTCTCTGTCCAGGCCCATCTGCAGCTGCCCACTCAGATATCTGGCAGGAACCCCGTTTCTGCCACCTTCAGTCCTATCTCTAAGCTCTTGCCCAGGCTCTTGCCCAGGTCCACTCCTTTGCTTCCTTAGCTAAATGAGGCTCCGTACCCAACACTGGCCTCCTTTCAACTTAATCCTACATGTATTCAGGGAGCCCCTGCTATCTGTGCCAGCCAGGAACTGGCGTTCAAAGCTAAAGGGACTGTGGCTCCTGCTCTCAAAGTAGTTACCTTGGAAGTGAGAGGCAGGGGGAAGGCCCGTGGGTCTCCGCTGCAGGGCTAGAAACTCTCTCTCTTTCTCTGTCTCTCTCGTTCTCTTGAGAGAGGGTCTTGCTCTGTCTCCCAGACTACAGTACAGTGGCACGATCATAGCACGATCATAGCTCATTGTAACCTGGAACTCCTGGTCTCAAGGGATCCTCCTGCCTCAGCCTCCCTTGTAGCTAGGACTACAGGCACATGCCACCAGGCTAATTTTTTTTTTTTTTTTCAGACAGAGTCTTGCTCTGTCGCCCAGGCTGGAGTACAATGGTGAGATCTCAGCTCATTGGAACCTCCACCTCCCCAGTTCAAGCAATTCTTCTGCCTCAGCCTCCCGAGTAGCTGGGATTACAGATGCATGCCACCACGACGGCTAATTTTTGTATTTTTAGTAGAGATGGGGTTTCACCATGTTGGCCAGGCTGGTCTTGAACTCCTGACCTCAGGTGATCTGCCCGCCTCGGCCTCCCAAAGTCCTGGGATTAGACGTGAGCCACTGTGCCCGGCATTTTTTTTTCTTTTTAATTTTTTTTGTAGAGATGAGGCTCTATGTTGCCCAGGCTGGTCTCAAACTCCTTGGCTCAAGTGATACTCCCACCTCCACTTCTCGAAGTGCTGGGATTACAGGCGTGAGCTACAACACCCAGCCTTGGAAGCTTTCCGGGGGTTATGTCTATAGTTCAATCCTGAGCCACAGTGACTAGCCAGGGCTCAGCACATAGGAGAGACTCAGTCAACAGGAGATCCACCAGCAGCCTAACCCCATCTCTGAGTAATGGCAGCAGTTAACATCCTGATGGACTCTCCGGTCTGTGGCAGAGGATTCTGAGGCACAGAGAGGACCTGTAGCTCTCCACGGTTACACAGCTGGCCTGTGGCACAGCTGGCATCAGAGAACAGACTTCAGCGCTCAGCACTGTGGCAGGACCTCTAACAAGAGCCCCTGAAGGTCTGGTTGCCTGTGAGGTCTCCCTGGCTGCATCCCAAGGCCCCCTTCCCTGTTCCTTGTACCAGGTGCCAGGGCCAAGGGCAAGATGAGGGGGAGAAGGGAGAAGGGATCAGTGGCCTTGCAGCTGAAAGACAAACCCCTCTGAGGTGTCCCAGCGGCCCTCACACTTCCCTCCACCTCTGTGGGTAGGAGTAATTAGGCCCGCCAGGCAAAAGAAATTGCCTGGTGGGAGGAAGTGGGTGTGGATTCTCAGGGAGGAGGCTCTGTCCCCGCAGTGAGCTCCGCTCCAGGTCTCGATGGTCCGGGGGGTAACCAGGAACCAGGATGAATGTCCTGCTCACCTCTGCCCGGTGCCCATTCCCATCCACCTGCAATGCTTCCTGCAAATCCGGAAACACAGCCTCATCCCCCAGATGGTCATTTAAGGTCTCCAGAGCCTGACCGCTCCATCTGCCAGGCCTGCACATTCCCTAGCGCCTCCCAGACCTCAAGCCTCATGTCCAGGCAAAGGAGAGAAGACACACACACCTGAGACTGTCCACCTCACTTCCGGCTCCAGCCACAGACTCTGAAGACATCACCCCATGCACCCAACCCTTGAGTCCAACCTGGGCAGGGGTCAAGAGGACATCACAGCTCTACCTTCCAGCAGCAACTAGAAAAGGCCCTGTCGTCCGGGCGCGGTGGCTCAAGCCTGTAATCCTAGCACTTTAGGAGGCCGAGGCAGGCAGATTACCTGAGGTCAGGAGTTCGAGACCAGCCTGGCCAAAGTGGTGAAACCCCATCTCTACTAAAAATACAAAACTTAGCCGGGCATGGTAGTGCACTCCTGTAATCCCAGCTACTCAGGAGGCTGAGGCACGAGAATTGCTTGAACCGGGGAGACAGAGGTTGCAGTGAGCCGAGATTGTACCACTGCACTCCAGCCTGGGCAAAAGAGTGAGACTCCATCTCAAAAAAAAGAAAAGGCCCTGTCCCCCAGGTGGGAACCAGGCTGTCACCAACTGCACAGATGGAAGAAGGTTGGGCAGCCCTTTCCTTACTTGGTGTTTTTGGGGCTGAGACAGAGGCCAAGGCTGCCTGGTGAGCCAGACATCCAACCTGGCTCCTGCTGGCCCTCCATGCAGCTCAGTCTGGCCCAGAGTCCCCAGCCCTGGGTCTGCCCTAAATCGACTGACCCAGCAGAGCCAGGAGCAGTGGGGCCACAGTGACTATTACCACCAGTCACTATCCCCCCTGAGTGGCAGTCCAGCAATCACTGTCTCTGGACTCTGGAGTCCCTGCTATGCCAACAGGCCTCTCTCAGGCCACAGGACTCTTCCTGGGGGCCACACAATGACCTTGCACACCGGGTCAGTTCTGTTCTCTCTGCCAGAGTCAGGTCTAAATCCAACCCCAAGTTCCTACCCCGCCCCCTCCTAGGGTCCTCTCTCCCCACCCAGCTTTCTCTCTCTCTCTCTCTCTCTTTTTTTTTTTTTTTAAGACAAAGTCTCGCTCTGTCACACAGGCTGGAGTGCAGTGGTGCGATCTCCGCTCACTGCAAGCTCCGCCTCCAGGATTCATGCCATTCTCCTGCCTCAGCCTCCCGAGTAGCTGGGACTACAGGCGCATGCCTTCACACCCGGCTAATTTTTTGTATTTTTAGTTGAGACAGGGTTTCACCGTTTTAGCCAGAACGGTCTCAATTTCCTGACCTCATGATCCGCCCGCCTCGGCCTCCCAAAGTGCTGGGATTACAGGAGTGAGCCACCGCGCCTGGCCTTTTTTGTTGTTGTTTGTTTGTTTGTTTGAGAGAGACTCTCTGTCGCCCAGGATGGAGTGCAGGGGTACACTCTTGGCTCACTGCAACCTCCGCCTCCCAGGTTCAAGCGATTCTCCTGCCTCAGCCTCTCGAGTATCTGGGGCTACAGGCATGCACCACCACACCTGGCTGGCTTTTTAAATTTTTAGTAGAGACGGGGTTTCACCATGTTGGTCAGGCTGGTCTCGAACTCCTGACCTCAGAAGATCCGCACCCCCCACCCCCCTCGCCCTCCCAAAGTGCTGGGATTACAGGCGTGAGCCACCGCGCCTGGCCCCCCACCCAGCTTTCTTTATCTCACCTTTGATCATCAGCCAGCGAAATGGTGGCAAGGGGACAAGGGTTCCCTGGTTCAGTATAGGGAGCACGGCAGTGGAGAGGTCGTGCCCCCCAAACTCAGGACGAGATGCCCCCGATTTTCACAAGAGCACCCAACCTCAGTCTCGGCCCTCTGTCCTGTCCCCTCGACCAGCCCAATTGTAGGAAGGAAAGTGGGCTTTCAATCCCAGCCTTTTATCCCAACACCGACTCTTTAGGGCCACGCACGGGTTCTGAGCGCCCAACGCTTAGACCTCGCCGCCCCGGTACCCACCGAGTTTATTTCCAACCTCCCTGGGCCTCGGGCTCCGCCCAGGCTCGGAGGGTGCCCACCCAGGGCAGGGAAGCCCCTCCACGCTCCAGCCCCACCCGCTTTCAGACCAGCCCGAGGCGGATCCGTGGCGCAGAGGGCGCACGGTTCCCGGAGGCGCGGGACGCGATGGGGAAGCTACCGAAAGTGCCGAGAGAAGCCCTGGTCCTTCCCCATCTGGAGCCGGGGACCGCGGCGCGGCAGGTGCCGAAGGGCAGGGGGTAGCCGAGCCCAGGAATGGAGCGAGCGCGCCGCGACTCCACGCACCTCTGCCCTGCGAGCGCGCGCGGCCCCTCCCGAGCCGTCCCGGCCCGCAGCCCCGCCCTGGCCCCTTTTGGTGGCCCCGCCCCCTCCAGGTAGCCCCGCCTCTGCCCTGCTGGGACCCTTTTGGTCGCTCTGGGGTGCAGCGGAAACTGGCGGCGGTTTGAAGCCGCCGCGCTCACTCCCCTTGGCTCTCTCCGTTATTCCCTTCCCAGGATCCTCGCCTGCGTCCTCTCCAGCTACTGCGCCCCGGACCCCCACACAGTGGCGAGTCCCCGCAGTTCAGAGGAAGCCCCGACGGCCTTTGGTAGAACATGCAATATTTTCCGGAGGGGATGCCCTTTACGCTGGGCCTCCAGGGCTCAGCAGGAGTCGGCCGGCTAGAAGAAGCCCTGTTTACCCTCCCCGGGGTCGGGAGGGACCCACCTCAGCCTCCCAAGTAGCTGGGACTACAGGCATATACCATCATGCCTGGCTAATTATCGGCTGTGGCCGAGAAGAGGCTGGATAGGGAGGCTTTGAATGCCGTGGTCAGCAGCTGAGACCCCACTCTGGGAAGAGGAAGGAGCCGTGGGAGGGTTTCATGGTTCCAGGAGAGGTGGAAGGACTCCAAAGGTTTTGGCACACCAGGAGAGGGCTGATGCTGGGAGGTGACCCAGAGGGGGGTGTTGGGATGGGACAAGAAGCCGAATTCCAAAACACAGAGGAGGTGGAGTGTCTGAGGCCTGGGGAGTCAGTGCGAGTGAGGACAGGACGCCCAGGCTGCGACAACACCCAGGTGAGTGGGGAGGGAGCGAGTAGAGGGCCTCCCAGAGCTGCGCCTCTTGCTCTGCCAGGAGAGAAGAGGGGAGGAACATTAAAGGGGAGGAGAGGGAGGCCACAGGAAAGGAGGTCTGGACTCATCCCTGGAGGCTCTGGGCCTGCCATCCCCTGAACAGCAGCAGGAGGGGACCCCAGCGTGCCTGCTTGCGTGTCATGTCTCAAGGAGTCCCGACTGCCTCTGGAGAGGCCCAGAATCAGGCCTGAGGAACAAATGAGAGTTGGGGTAACCAGTTCAAGGCACATCCTGGGGAGGGGCTCTTCAGGGGCACCCCCAACCAGAACATCAGCATGAAGCCCTCTCCAAAGACAGGCGGGAACAGGAGAGGCAAGATGCCCCGGGGACTTTCCCTCTGTCTCACTCAGAGGGACAGCTCCCATGGGGCAGCCTGTGGGTACCTGCAGGCAGCACAGGGAGGACCCTCTGGTCCGATCATCGGTCTCTGGTACTGTCCACGCACTGCTCCCCAATACACTGCAGCCCCCCATTCCTGGCCCTTGCAAGACCATCACTTTGCTGTGACCCCCCGTGGCTGTACTTCTTCCTGGAAGCAGCCAGAAACTGGAGCCAGTGCCCACTCATGCCGTGCCCTCCCCAAGCCCTGTCCTCAGCCCTGCAAGGGAGAGAAGCAGCTGACAAGCCTCCCAGCCAGCACAGCTCTCTGTCGTCTGTGGGGCCCCAGCCATCCCATTATGATTGGAGCCATTCCTGGTTGTATTGTGCCAGCTGCAGTGGCCCAGAATCCAGAACCACACATGGCCAAAGGCTCTGAAAACCATCCACCGTGCTGTGAGCACAGGAGATGCAACCAGGGAGCAGACGCCCAGGGTCAAATCCAGGCACGCTACCTCAGAGCCAGGTCTCCGTGGGCACAGTGGGGCCAGCTGCTCATGCCTGTGGCCAGGTGACCCAGGGCAGCATGAGGTGGTCACCCAGTCACTAGGTGATCACCAGGGGACAGGCAACAGCCGGACTTCCCTGAAGTGTCTGCTCCAGCAAAAGGCACTGCTTAAGTTTCCTCCAGAGCTGTACTTCTCAACCAGTCGTGATTTTTGTCCACCCAGGGGATATTTGGCAGTCACTTGGCATTTTGTTTGTTACAAAATGACAACTGACAGGGGTTGTGCTACTGGCATCTAGGGGGTAGAGGCCTGGGATACTGCTAAACATCCTCTAATGTGCAGGACAGCCCCTGACAACACAGAAATATCAGCTCCTAAATGTCAGCAGTGCCCTACTTGAGACACCTGCTCTTGGGAACGAGAGCTTCCCTAAGAGAAGCCAATACTAATTGAGCACATATTTTATGCCTGGTGCTTCTATCTACACGTCTCATAGAATTCTGCCAATATCTCTCTTATTTATTTTTAGAGACAGAGTCTCACTCTGTCACCCAGGCTGGAGTGCAATGGCATGATCATGAATCACTGCAGCCTCAAATTCCTGGGCTTAAGTGATCCTCCCACCTCAGCCTCCCAAATAGCTAGGACTACAGGCATGTACCACTATGCCTGGCTAATTTTTTAATTTTTTTGTGTGTAAACATGGGGTCTCGCTCTGTTGCCTAGGCTGGTCTTCAACTCCTGGCCTTAAGCAATCCTTCTGTTTCAGCCTCCAAAATCGCTAGGATTACAGGCAGGCACCACTGCCCCCAGCTCATTTTTAAACTTTTTTTTTTTTTTTTTTAAGAGATGGGGTCTTGCTGTGTTGTCTAGGCTGGCCTTAAGCTCCTGGGCTCCAGTGATCCTCCTACCTCAGCCTCCCAAAATGTTGGGATTACAGGCATGAACCACCAAACCCAGCTAATTTTTTATATGTATTTTTTGTAGAGATGGGGTTTCACTATGCTGCCCGGACTGGTCTTGAACTCTGGCCTTAAGCAACCCTCCCACCTCAGCCTCCTAAAATGCTGGGCTTACAGGCATGAACCACTGCACCCAGTCCCAATAACTCTATATTATGGTGTTCATGACACTTGGCACTGAAGCAGAAGAGGGTGACGGGGTGCAGATAGTCCCTCACAGGCCACCCTTAGATTCTCAACTCACCTTTCCTGCTTTCAGTTGGCCAAGTTCATTTACATGGTTTCCTACCAAGAACCCTGCTGAGAACACCCAGAAACTACCAAGCCCGTTTTACAGACAAACTGTAGATGTCAGTGAACCTGCCTGAGATTGCACTGCCAGTGAGTGGACCTGTATTCAAGCCGGGTCTGTCCGGATTCCGAATCCCAGCTTCTACCATGACCTGCCCCTGACCTGACACCCCGTTCCCCCCACGCCACCACTCATATTTCCTGAAACGCTAGCGGACCACAAAGCTGACTCTGCTTTCCTGTTCCCTCCTGGCCACGTCACACTTTCCAAACTGCCTGGCCTGTCCTAATTAGAAAGCCATTTTCTCACTTCATCAGACCGGGGTCCCTTTGGGGAGAGACCCAAATTAGCCTCCCAGTCGCAGGATTAACTGTTGTGGTGAAGGAATAGGAGACCACCTGCTTACATGGTGACCACGGACCCATCTCACCCTTTACAGCAGCAGCGCTGTCCAAGGGAACGTTCTGTGACGATGGACAAGGTCTACATCCGCCTGGTCCTGTACGGTAGCCGCTAGCCATATGTCACTGTCACTGTTGTGTGCTTGGAATGTGGCTAGTGAGACTGAGAAGCTGAACTTTATATTTTATCAAATATTAATTACATTTAACTTTTTTTTTTTTGGAACAGAGTCTGGCTCTGTCACCCAGGCTGGAGGCTGGAGTGCAGTGGCTTGTTCTCACCTCACTGCAACCTCCACCTCCCGGGTTCAAGCGATTCTTCTGCTTCAGCCTCCCAAAGTAGCTGGGATTACTGGCAACTGCCATCATGCCCAGCTAATTTATTTATTTATTTATTTTGAGATAGAGTTTCACTCCTGTTGCCCAGGCTGGAGTGCAATGGCACGATCTCGGCTCACTGCAATCTCCGCCTCCCAGGTTCAAGCGATGCTCCTGCCTCAGCCTCCCGAGTAGCTGGGATTACAGGCATGCGCCACCACCCCCAGCTAATTTTGTATTTTTAGTAGTGACAGGGTTTCTCCATGTTGGTCAGGCTGGTCTCAAACTCCGGACCTCAGGTGATCCACCCGCCTCGGCCTCCCAAAGTGCTGGGATTACAGGTGTGAGCCACCGCGCCGGGCCTTGCCCAGCAAATTGTTGTATTTTTAGTAGAGGCGAGGTTTCACCATGTTGGCCAGGCTGGTCTCGAACTCCTGACCTCAGGTGATCCACCCGCCTCGGCCTCCTAAAGTGCTGGAATTACAGGCATAAGCCAGCACGCCCAGCCACATTTAACTTTAAATAACCATGTGTGGCCAGTGGCTACTGTGCTAGATGGCCCAGCTTCATGGTGTCACTGCTCCCTTCTCCTTCTCCCCAAGCCTTCTATTTTGGCCACTGGGATCACCCTTTAGTGAGGCCACACCTCTCTGATTTGGGTGGGTCCTGGCCTCCTTGCAGATCTCTGACACACACACACGTGTATATTTTTTTGCCTACCACCCTTTGGCTGTTCAACCTCTCACTTAAACCTTACCTCTTGGTGGGGCACAGTGGCTCACACCTGTAATCCCAGCACTTTGGGAGGCTGAGATGGGAGGATCTCTTGAGGCCAGGCCAACCTGGGCAACATAGTGAGACCCTGTCTCTATTTATAAATTCTTAAAAAAATTAAACCTTGTCTCTCCTCAATGTGGGGTCTTAGGGCCCAAGTGGTGGCTCTCTGTGGTCCCCTCTACTCCCTGTTGGGTGGTTCACAGCTGGGGGCTGTTGGATGCCATAGGCCAGGGCGGCACTGCCCTCACCCTGTATGGCTAGCACCTGGCCCATCCGAACTCTCCTTGGGGACTGTCCTCCCACATCTACAGGACGCACCACCAGACTCCACCAGTCACTAAGCCACAGCACCGCCACCTCCTGCTGCCTCCTCCAAGAAGCCTGCCCTGGTTGCTCTGTGCTGAGTTAGCCATCAACTGGCACCCAACCCTGGGAATCACAGCTGCGTCTGTGGCTTCTCCATGCCCCCTCTGACCTCTCTCCAGATGGGGCTGCCCAGAGATCGCTGCCACCCTAGAGGCCAGCACACTATGGGGCCATGGGTGACTGGCCAGCCCTGGGGAGGGGGTTGTTGGGAAGTAGGGGGTTTGAAGAGGTGCGGGGTGGCTGAAGCCCTACTGCCAGGGTAACATTCTCCTTGCGGAGCCCAGCTGGGCGCCGCCCCTTCCTCCAGCAGCCTCCCCAGTTTTCCTGGCGCACTTGACACGCGCTTACAGCAGAGGCTGCCGTTTCAAGCTGCGGGGACTGGGCATCCCCAGGTGTCCAGGGCTCCCGCTGCCCAGGCTCTAAATCGAGCGCGCCCAAGGGGGTTCCCCCTCCCGCGCCCTGCCCGACCCGCTGCCGCAGCTGCCGGCGGCTTGGGGACCAGCGGCGGCTGGGAAAGGCGGGCATGGGGCTGTCCCGGGGGGCAGGCGGGCTGGCCCGGGAGGGGGCAGGAACAGACACCGGCAGCGCTGTGGGAGAGGAGAACCGAGAGGGCCTCCAGCCGAGCCCGGCTGCCAGCAGCCGGGAGACGAGCGAGCCAACTTCCTGGGGGACAGCTGGGCCGCCTGCGCCCCGCTGGCCCATCCCTGGTGGGGAGGGGCGGGACGGGGGGCTGCCTGTCAATCAGCTCCCCAGGAAGCGCTCAGAGCCAGCGCATCATCTCCGCGGCAAATTCGGCTCTAGAAATAACTTTTTTCCTTTTTTCCCCTCTTCTGATTCTCCTAGCAAGGGGCTCACCCCTTACTCACCCCAGGCAGCTCATGGTGGCCTCTTTCGGTGGTGGTCGCCTATGCTCCGCTGCAGAGCCGAGAGCTGCGCCGGGGCTGGGGTGGGCGGGGGGGCGGCGGGGAGGGTGGCCAGCCCAGTCCCTGACATTGGCCAGGCCCAGAGGGAGGGGCAGGCTGCGGGGTGAATGGCAGCAAGGGGAGGGGGCGGGCTGAGTCCGGGAAGAGGGAGGGGAGGGATGGAGGAGCAGTCGCAGGCCCAGGAGGCTGGGTGAGGAGGGAAACCCGGCGGGATCCGGGGAGGGAGAACAGCAGTCCAGCCCAGAGGGGGTTTGGTCCAAGCTGGGCAGGCAGGGAGGGCCTCCAAGGATGGAAGTGGAGTCAGGAGACTCCTGGGTCCCTCCAGGTGAGGACCCACCAGTATTTTTTTTCTTCTGACAAATAAACTGAGAGCAGGCCGGGCACGGTGGCTCACGCCTGTAATCCCAGCATTTTGGGAGGCTGAGGCGGGCGGATCATTTTAGGTCAGGAGTTCGAGACCAGCCTGGCAAATATGGTGAGACCTTTTTTTTTTTTTTTTTTTTTTTTTGAGACAGAGTCTTGCTCTGTTGGCAGGGCTGGAGTGCAGTGTCGTGATCTCAGCTCACCGCAACCTCCCTCTCCTGGGTTCAAGTGATTCTCCTGCCTCAGCCTCCCCAGTAGCTAGGATTACAGGCGCCCGCCACCACAACCTGCTAATTTTTTGTATTTTTAGTAGAGATGGGGGTTTCACTATGTTGGCCAGGCTAGTCTCGAACTCCTGATCTCATGATCTGCCCGCCTCGGCCTCCCAAAGTGCTGGGATTACAGGTGTGAGCCACTGTGCCCGGCTGAGACCTCGTCTTTCCTAAAAATACAAAAATTAGCCAAGCGTGGCATCGTGGCACCCAGCTACTTGGGAGGCTGAGGCAGGAGAATCACTTGAACCCGGGAGGCAGATGTTGCAGTAAGCCAAGATCATGCCACTGCACTCCAGCCTGGATGACAGAGCGAGACTCCGATTCAAAAAAGCTTCGAGCAAAACAGAGCGGAAGAGCAGAAAGTGCACTGCTGACCCTGCTCGTGGTCCTGTGACTGCTACCAATTTGCTGTGTGGCTTCAGGCCAGCCTCTTAACCTCTCCGAGCCTCAGTCTGTCTCTGGGAAATGGGGTTAATAACAGCTCTTGGGTGATTCAGTGAAAGAGTGTTCCTCTAGTGTCTGCTGAGGTCCTTGGCACACATTCATCATCATCACCAAAGGGTCGGGCACCGTGGCTCATGCCTGTAACTCCAGCACTTTGGGAGGCCATGGTGGGCGATTGACTGAGCTCAGGAGTTTGAGGCCAGCCTGGACAACATGGCGAAACCTCATCTCTAAAAAAATACAAAAATTAGCTGGGCATGGTGGCACGCACCTGAAGTCCCAGCTACTCAGGAGGCTGTGGCAGGAGGATCACTTGAGCCCAGGAGTTGGAGGCTGCAGTGAGCCAAGATCATGGCACTACCCTCCTGCCTGGGTGACAGAGCGAGACCCTGTCTCAAAACAAAACAAAACAAAACAAAACAAAACAAAACAAAACAAGAAAAGTAATCAGGCCGGGTACAGTGGCTCACGCCTATAATCCACACACTTTGGGAAGCTGAGGTGGGTGAATCACTTGAGGTCAGGAGTTGGAGGCTGCAGTGAGCCAAGATCATGGCACTGCCCTCCTGCCTGGGCGACAGAGCGAGACCCTGTCTCAAAACAAAACAAAACAAGAAAAGTAATCAGGCCGGGTACAGTGGCTCACGTCTGTAATCCACACACTTTGGGAGGCCGAGGTGGGTGGATCACTTGAGGTCAGGAGTTGGAGACCAGCCTGGCCAACATGGTGACACCCCATCTTTACTAAAAATATGAAAATTAGCTGGGCGTAGTGGCACCTGTAGTCTCAACTACTCGGGAGGTTGAGGCAGGAGAATTGCTTGAACCGGGGAGGCAGAGGTTGCAGTGAGCCGAGATCACGCCACTGCACTCCAGCCTGGGCGATAGAGTGAGACTCTGTCTGAAAAGAAAGGAAGATGAAAGAAAGAGAGAAAGAGAGAGAGAGAGAAGAAAGGAAAGAAAGGAAATCAAAGGGCCAAGAGCACACATGGTTTGTAGGGTGGAGGTCGAGGGGGTACTGGAGCCCCACATGGCACAGTCCTGGGCTTCCCTGCCCTCACATTGTGCCATTATCCTGTCTCAATAAAGAATTGGAAGTGTCTGGTATCCTGTTGGAGATTTTTACAATCTAGGTTTTGGGGTGGAGCAGGGCAGACTGTGACCTTTTTTTTTTTTTGAGACAGTGTCTTGCTCTGTCATCCAGGCTGGAGTGCAGTGGCACAATCATAGCTCACTGCAGCCCCACCCTCCTGGGTTCAAGCAATCCTCCAGCCTCAGCCTCCCAAGTAGCTGGGACTACAAGCATGCACCACCACACCCAGTTAATTTTTATATTTTATAGACATGGGGTCTTTCTATGTTGCGTGGGCTGGTCTTCAACTCCTGGCCTCAAGCGGTTCTCCCACCTCAGCCTCCCAAAGCACGTGGATTACAGGCAGCAGCCACCATGCCTGGCCAAGGTGGTGACTTTGGATCAGAAGGTGGATCCTTTCTGAGGTCTGTCCTGGCCCTTCTCCCATCACTCAAGGTGGTACCCTGGCATCTGGCAGAGCCAACAGCTGCCTTCTCAGGGTCATTGGCCTACCCTTGTTTGGGGCTTGCAGTTATGTTGCGATGCTGTTCAAGAGCAGGCTACCATCTATTATCTCCCACCTGGGCTGGAAGGGGTGCCTGGGGTGGTTGTGAGGGAATGATGGCTCTAAGTGAGACCCACCCTGCCTGTCTATCCTGCCCCCTGCCCGCAGTACCTGAGGTTGTCCAGGAGTGGCCCGCAGGCCTCTCGGGGCAGCGCCAGGGTGAGAGTCCACACCAGATCATCCACCCGCTGCTCAGCTGCAAACTGCTTCAGTGCAGCGAACACCTGCTCCTTGGCAGTTGGCTGGTCCCCCAAGATTTCATCCACCTGCAAGGAGGAGTCCTGTGAATGACCAAAAGGGATCCAGAGTGGAACCCTGGAGAACTGCTCTCCTCCTTCCTTTCCTCCCTCAGTTTACCTACACGGGATGGCTGACGTGGGCGTACCACCTGAGTGCTATGCCCATATCATGCCCCTTCCTTCCTTCCTTTCTCTTTCTCTCTTCCTTCCTTTCTTCCTTCCTCCCTTCCTTCTTCCCTTCCCCTCCCCTCCCCTCCCCTCCCCTCCCTTCCCTTCCTTTCTTTTTGAGACGGAGTTTCAGTTTGTTACCAGGCTGCAGTGCAGTGGTGCAATCTTGGCACACTAGAACCTCCATCTCCCAGGTTCAAGCGATTCTCCTGCCTCAGCCTCCTGAGTAGCTGGGATTACAGGCATGCGCCACCACGCCCGGCTGATTTTGTATTTTTAGTACAGACAGGGTTTCTCCATGTTGGTCAGGCTAGTTTTGAACTCCCAACCTCAGGTGATCCGCCCGCCTCGGCCTCCCAAGGTGCTGGGATTACAAGCGTGAGCCACCGCGGCCGGCCATATCATGCCATTTCTAACCATGTATCTGCCCTGCGAAGAGGGCCTGGTCGCATGGTTAGTATCTTCATTTTATTTATTTATTTTAATTTAATTTTTAATTTATTGTTATTTATTTATTTATTTTTTGTGACAGAGTCTCACTCTGCCACCCAGGCTGGGGTGCGGTGGCTCAATCTTGATTCACTGCAACCTCCGCCTCCCAAGTTCAAGAGATTCTCCTGCCTCAGCCTCCCAAGTAGCTGGGATTACAGGCACCTGTGACCACACCTGGCTAATTTTTTTTTTTTTTTTTTTTTTTAGTAGAGATGGGGTTTTACCATGTTGGCCAGGCTGGTCTCAAACTCCTGGCCTCAGGTGACCCACCCACCTTGGGCTCCCAAAGTGCTGGGATTACAGGTGTCAACCACCGCACACAGCCAATTTATTTTAATTTAATTTTTGAGAGGTATCATCTCACTCTGTTGTCTAGGCTGGAGTGCAGTGGTGTGATTATAACTTACTGCAGCTTCCACCTCCTGGGCTCAAGTGATCCTCCCTCTTTAGCCTCCCGAGTAGCTGGGACCACAAGTATGTGCCTACATGCTTGGCTAATCTGTTTTTTTATAATCCCTCATCTACTTAAAGAGAACTGGCTAATTAAATTTTTTTTTTCTATAGAGATGGAGTCTTGCTATATTGCCCAGGCTGATCTCAAACTTTTGGGTTCAAGTGATCCTTCCACCACGGCCTCCCAAGGTGCTGGGATTACAGGTGTGAGCCACCTCTCTTGGCCAGCATCTTCATTTTCCATGTAAGGAAACTGAGGCTGGTAGAGGTGACGGCGTCACGGGGTGAAAGTGAAGGGTCAGGATTCAAACCCAAAGAGAGCTGTTCTAATAAATATCGTAAAGATCAAAGGAATTAATATAAAAGCTTAAAACCACACCACACATTCAGTAATTGCTAGTTACTATTATTATAATACTACACTCCCTTCCATACTGTGCGCTGAGAGATCCCACACAGAACATTCTGACTCCACAAAAAAAGTCCTGGCACGTCAGCTTGGCCCTGAATTTTGACTCCCTCAGTTCTCTCTCCAAACTTTTGTCTTTGTCCACAAACCAGCTGATACTAATCAAGGCACATCTGCACACAGGAGTGTGTGGCCATTGGAAATGAGCGTGCAAATGGACACGTTGGAAACGTGTGCAAATGATCACGTTGGAAAGGAGCATGCAAATAGACATGGTGGAAACGAGCGTGCAAATGCACACGTTGGAAACGAGTGTGCAAATGGGCACATTGGAAATGAGCATGCAAATGGTCATGTTGGAAATGAGCATGCAAATGGTCACGTTTCTGGAAGGCAGGTTGTTAAGTGTGTCCAAAGCCCATCCTTCTACCCAATGATCTCACATGTAGGAATTTATCTTACACACATCCTGACAAGACACATGCACGATGATGTATGAGTGAGGTGGTTCACCTGTGTATTATTTCTAACACTAAGACGTTGGCAGCAATATAAATATCTGACAGTGGGGGCTAAATAATTGCAGTACATCCATGTGGGAGATATTTGTAGTTTCTTGGCTATCTAGGCCAAAAACAAAGAGGAAAATCTCAGCCAGGCGCGGTGGCTCACACCTGTAATCCCAGCACTTTGGGAGGCCAAGGGGGGCGGATCATCTGAGGTCAGGTGTTTGAGACCAGCCTGGCCAACATGGTGAAACCCCGTCTCTACTAAAAATACAAAAATTAGCCAGACGTGGTGGTGGGTGCCTTTATTCATCCCAGCTACTCGGGAGGCTGAGGCAGGAGAATCGCTTGAACCCAGGAGTCGGAGGTTGCAGTGAGTCGAGATCTTGCCATTGTACTCCAGCCTAGGCAACAAGAGCAAAAACTCCATCTCAAAAAAAAAAAAAAAAAAAAGAAAAAAGAAAATCCCAAAGTAGGTGGGAGGCAAGATCCTGGCAGGGCTGGGGGCAATGGTTCACACCTGTAATCCCAGTGCTTAGGGAGATCGAGGCAGGAGGATTGTTTGAGACCAGGAATTCAAGACCATCCTGGGCAACATAGCATGACCCCATTTCTACAAACAAATTTTTTTTAAATTAGCCAGATGTGGTGGTGCATGCCTGTAGTCTCAGCTACTTGTGAGGCTGAAGTGAGAGGATCACTTGAGCTCAGGAAGTTGAGGCTGCAGTGAGCCAAGATTGTGCCACTGCACTATACAGTCTGGGCAACAGATCAAGACCCCATTTCAATAAATAAATAAGAAAATAAAACCATGAAATAGGGAGTGATGGCTAAGGAGTGCAGAATTTCTTGTTAGAGTGATGAAATTGTTTGAAAATGGATGGTAGTGATGGGTGTTACAATCCTGTGAATATATTAAAAACCATCGAATTGCCCACATGTCATACAGTTTAGCCACTGAAAGCACATACTCCATGAGACCCTTCCCTTGTTGGCTGAGGGTCTGGTTGTCTCTGGGCACTGACAGCTGGAGCTGACCCTGAAGCAAGGCTGGGCGGCTGAGTGAGTCCATGAGTCGTTCACGTCTCCCTCTCTCGAGGACTTGTGGGTGCAACTTCAGCCTGAACTGGGGCTGTCAGGCCCCGCCTCTCTCACCCTCATCCACCTCCAAACTTCTCAACAGACTCCGCATCCTTCCCTTCCATCCTCTGCTCTCAGAGGTTGAAGAGGCCCACTTCCGGCCGGGTGCGGTGGCTCACGGCTGTCATCCCAGCACTTTGGGAGGCGAAGGTGGGTGGATCATCTGAAGTTAGGAGTTCGAGACCAGCCTGGCCAACATGGTGAAACCCCATCTCTACTACAAATACAAAAATTAGCTGAGCATCTGATGGCAAACGCCTGTAATCCCAGTTACTCGGGAGGCTGAGGCAGGAGAATTGCTTGAGCCTGGGAGGCGGAGGTTGCAGTGAGCCAAGATCGTGCCACTGCACTCCAGCCTGGTGACAGAGCGAGGCTCTGTCTCAAAAAAAAAAAAAGCCCCCTTTGTAGTCAAGGCCAAATCACCAGGCCACAGACACCTCACCATTCCCAGTCTCCACCCCTTTCTTCCTGCCACCTACTTGTCATTCAGCTTTCAGCTCAAAGATCATCTCATCAGGCAGCCTTTCCTGGCCACCCTGTCAAAGTGGGTTGCGTCACTCTCACCTCACCCTATTTATGCCTCCACTTTATTCATCATCATCTTTTTTTTTCTGGAGTCAGGGTCTTGCTCTGTTGCCCAGGCTGGAGTGCAGTGGTGCAATCATAGCTCCCTGTGGCCTTGAACTCCTGTGTTCAAGCGATCCTCCCACCTCTGCCTTCCGAGTAGCCAGGATCACAGGTGCACGCCACTGTGCTTGGCTAATTTAATTTAATTTTATTATTATTATTATTATTTGAGAGAAAGTCTCACTCTGTCGCTCACTCTGTCGCTCTGTGCAGTGGTGGGATCTTGGCTCACTGCAACCTCCACCTCCTGAGTTCAAGCAGTTCTCCTGACTCAGCCTCCCAAGTAGCTGGGATTATAGGCAAATGCCACCACGCCCGGCTCATTTTGGTAATTTTTGTAGAGATGGGGTTTCACCATGTTGGCCAGGCTGGTCTCAAACTCCTGACCTCAGGTGATCCTCCCACCTCGGCCTCCCAAAGTGTTGGAATTACACGTCTGAGCCATCGTGCCTGGCCTGTCATGATCTTTAATAGCTTGTGTATTGATTAATCCACTTGCTTACTGTCTCTTTCCCTGCAGTAATGTTAGGTGTGTGAAGTCAGGCTCCTTGCCTGTGTTGTTCATGGCTGTTTCCCCTGTCCTGCACATCATAGGCCCATGATCAATGACTGGTAAATGCATGGTTTTCTTTTTCTTTTTTCTTTCTGTTTTTTTTGAGATGGAGTGTCACTCTTATTGCCCAGGCTGGAGTGCAATGGCATGATCTCGGCTCATTGCAACCTCTGCCTCCCGGGTTCAAGCGACGCTCCTGCCTCACCCTCCTGAGTAGCTGGGATTACAGGCACCCGCCACCACAACCAGCTAATGTTTTGTGTTTTTAGTAGAGACAGGGTTTCTCCATGTTGGCCAGGCAGTCTCGAGCTCCTGACCTCAGGTGATCCACCCGCCTCAGCCTCCCAATGTGCTGGGTTTACAGGTGTGAGCCACTGTGCCCGGCCTGCATGGTTTTCAGTATATCTACTTCTCCATTCCCTGCAGCTTATATAAATGTTCAAGTCTCTCTCAGGCTATAAATAAATAAATAACAAGCTGGGCACAGCAGCTCATGCCTATAATCCCAGAGCTTTGGGAGGACAAGGCGGGAGGATCACTTGAGGCCAGGAGTTGGAGACCAGCCTGGGCAACATAACCAGACCCTGTCTCTAAAAAATGAAAGACAGCCGGGCGCGGTGGCTCATGCCTGTAATCCCAGCACTTTGGGAGGCCGAGGCAGGCGGATCACAAGGTCAGGAGATCGAGACCATCCCAACTGACACGGTGAAACCCCGTCTCTACTAAAAATAGAAAAAAAATTAGCCAGGTGGGCGTGATGGCGGGCGCCTGTAGTCCCAGCTACTCGGGAGGCTGAGGCAGGAGAATGGTGTGAACCCGGGAGGCGGAGCTTGCAGTAAGCCGAGATCGCGCCACTGCACTCCAGCCTGGGTGACAGAGACAGACTCCATCTCAAAAGAAAAAAAAGAAAGAAAAGAAAAAGTAAAAAGTTAGCCAGATATGGTGGTGCACGCTTGTATTCCCAGCTACCAGATACTTGGGAGGCCGAGGTAGGAGGATCTCTTGTGCCCGGGAAATCAAGGCTGCAGTAAGCCATGATCACACCACTGAGCTCCAGCCTGGGTGACAGATCAAGACCCTGTCTCCATAAATAAATAAATAAAAGACAATCCTCCTTTGATCCTGAAAGCTGCTCATTCTCCTCCCTTCTGTAGTCTGGAGCCGTCTACACGTGCTGTTTCTGTACCACTGCCCTTTGCCACTGCAGTTCACTATTGCACTTGAGGCTCTCCACGACCCAGCTCTGGCGAAGAACCCCAGACAGTGACTCTCAGACCTCGATCTTCAGCCGAGAGCTCGCTCTTGAACTCTGGAACTGTATATCCACCCGCTTTCTAGATGATTCCAAAAGGGGAGGAGAAGTAGCGGGAAGCTTCGAGGGTTTCCAGTCAGAGGCCACGTTCTGTACACGTCTGAATCCTAGCACAGATGCACCATGAGTCTGTGTAACCGTCTGTCTCCCCCACCCAGGTGTGATGATCCGGGGTCTCATGCTTGTCCAGCCCCAAGCACAGCGCCTGGCACATATTAGGCACTCAGAGAATGTGGATGGGACTGAATCAAAAAGCAGCCTTGCATTGCACTTCCTGCAGGCCCCAGCTCACCACTGTTTCCCTCCCTGTGAGTGGGCCAGGCTGGCAGCACCAGCCGCCCCCTCCCCACGCACGCGCCGTGCTGGGGAAGGTTGCCAGTTTGGAAATCAAAGTCAGCAGCAACCTCAATTCAAAGGAGAACATGGCTGGCTGCAGAGATGTTTTATGTAAGAAAGAGGAAAAAATAGTTCCTCCCTCCTGGGGCCCGTGCTACAGTGCGGTTTCGGTGTCAGTTATTACCCAGATGTTCTCAGCCTACATCTAAGCATGAGGTATCATCACGGGACACTAATGGATTTTCTATTAAATATCAGCCACTTCAAGGAGGAAAAACTGGGGCAGGCAGAAAGCGCAGGCGAGAACTGGAGGGCTGGTGATTGAAAACCAACCAGTCTGGCGCAGTGGCTCATGCCTGTAATCCCAGCACTTTGGAAGGCAGAGGCAGGTGGATCACCTGAGGTCAGGAGTTTGCGACTAGCTTGACCAACATGGTGAAACCCCATCTCTACTTGAACTCCTGACCTCAGGTGACCTGCCTGCCTCGGCCTCCCAAAGTGCTGGGATTACAGGTGTGAGCCACCGTGCCCAGCCAAGCCACCAAGCCTGGCCTGTCTCTACTAAAAAAAATACAAAATTAGCCGGGCGTGGTGGTACATGCCTGTAATCCCAGCTTCTTGGGAGGCTGAGGCAGGAGAATTGCTTGAACCCAGGAGGCGGAGGTTGCAGTGAGCCAAGATCACGCCATTGCACTCCAGCCTGGGCAACAAGAGCGAAACTCTGTCTCAAAAAAAAAAAAAAAAAGATAGAAAACCAACTGGGCTCCACGGAGGCCCTTCATCTTCCAGAGGAAGTCATTTTTGGAGATTCACTCTCAGCTTTTGTGGGTGCCCAGCGAGCCCTAACCAAAATCCTCCACTTCCCCGTTCCTCCTTGCCAGAAAACACACTGCAGCTGGCCTGGGCAGCCTGTCGGATTCTACCCTCAGCGGGTTGCTGCCCAGCCCTGCTCCTGGGCAGGTCTTCTCTTGCATCCTGCCCTGTTTGGAGCTCTGAACGTGCCCCCTTCCAACTCTGCAGGGATTAGATGGAGTCTGGGATAGACCTTTGGCTCCATGGCAGGTGATCTGGGATTGTAGCAGGCATTACTCGCACTCACCAATATTTCTAGGTCTTCCCTCTTTCCTGGACACACATTAGACTACATTTCCCAGCATCCTTAGGGAGGAGCAGTGTACCTAGTTCTGCCCAATGAGCATTGAGGACAGGTGCTGTTCTAAGAGGAGATGCACAATTTTCCAAGCTCTCTTCCTCTTCCATAGGGAACCCTGAAGCTTCACATAGAGATGGAGGAGTCTGAAATGCTGAGACCTCGTATGGACATCAAGCCACCCTAGAAAGTCTACTGACCCCCTAGAGGACTCTGTGGGTGAAAAGTAAACTTCTGTAGTGCAAACGCACTAAGTTGTTGATTTTGGGTCAGGCACAGTGGCTCACACCTATAATCCCAGCACTTTGGGAGGCTGAGGCAGGAGAATTGCTTGAGGCCAGGAGTTTGAGACTAGCCTGGGCAACATAGCAAGACCTCATCTCCCCAGTCTTTTTTTTTTTTCTTAATCAGCCAGGTGTGGTGGTGCACACCTGTGGTCCCAGCTACTAGAGAGGCTGAGGCAGGAGGATCACTTGAGCCCAGGAGTTGGAGGCTGTAGTGAGCTATGATTGTACCACTGCACTCCAATCTGGGCAACAGAGCTAGACCCTGTCTCAAAAACAACAACAATAAAAAATGTTGGGTTTGTTTGTTATAGCAGCAGAGCCTGTTGTGGGTACAGGAAGAAAGTCACAGCTTTGGAAGATCTGGACTTTGGTGATGTAGGGAAGCTGGAGTTGAGTCCTGTGTGTATGCGAGTGTGTGTATCTGGCCACAGAGGCTGGTCTACTCAGGGTCAGAAAAGCCCATTCAGGGGATCAGGCTAGGGTACATGATGGAGGAGACACTCCTGAGGGGGTTAATTTGGAAGGGGTTAGGACTGGACCAAGCTTGGGCACTGAAGGAGGCCAGAGTGGGTGGGGACCTGATGCCTGGGCAGTGGGCTGGGAGGCATTTCTGCAATAGTCAAACTCCGACAAAGTTTCCAGGCTCCCTGACCTCCCAAACCCCATGGCCAAGTGCTGCTGGGGCAGAACTGAGCAGATTCCCTTCCACGGAGGAAAAGTCTGTGAGCTTGATAACACAACAGGGTGACTATAGCCAATAATAACTTAATTGTCCATTTTAAAATAACTTAGGCCAGGTGCAGTAGCTCACACCTGTAATTCCAGCACTTTTGGAAGGCCGAGGTAGGCAGATCTCCTGAGGTCAGGAGTTCAAGACCAGCCTGGACAACATAGTGAAACCGTGTCTCTACTATAAATACAAAAATTAGCCAGGCATGGTGGTGGGGGCCTGTAATCCCAGCTCCTTGGGAGGCTGAGCCAGGAGAATTGCTTAAACCCGGGAGGCGGAGGTTGCAGTGAGCCGAGATCGTACCACTGTATTCCCTGGGCAACAGAGCGAGACTCTGGCTCCAAAAAAAATAAATACAAACTTAAACGGTGTAGATGGATTGTTTATAACTCAAAAGATAAATGCTTGAGGGGATGGGTACCCCATTCTCCATGACATGCTTATTTCACATTGCATGCCTGTATTAGAGTATCTCAGATACCCCATAAATATATACACGTATTAGGTACCCACAAAAATTAAAAATCAAAATAATGTAAAAAAAGTTGGCCAGATGCGGTGGCTCACGCCTGTAATCCCAGCACTCTGGGAGGCCGCAGCAGATGGATCACGAGGTCAGGAGTTCAAGACCAGCCTGACCAATATGGTGAAACCCCATCTCTACTAAGAATACAGAAAAAAAAAATAGCTGGCCATGGTGGGGTACGCCTGTAATCCCAGCTACGCGGGAGGCTGAGGCAGGAGAATCACTTGAACCCAGGAGGTGGAGGTTGCAGTGAGCCGAGATCACACCACTGCACTCCAGCCTGGGTGACAGAGCGAGACTCTGCCTCAAAAAAAAAAAAAAAAAAGTCTATGAGCTTAAGTGTCCCAGCCGCCAAGCAAATACTGAGTTTCCAGGCTTCATGTCCACAGGGGTCCGATAGCCAGGCAGGGGTAGGGACTGAGTGTCTTGGCTCCGGACTATTTCCTAGTCGCACACAGGATCACTTTTTGTTCCATTCAAGTATTAGTGAAATAAAGGCCTTAGGACCCCATCTGAAAGCCCTGGAGGACAGGAGTGAAGGTGAATGGCATGGGAGGTTGCTGTACTGGGACCTAGTCAGTGGCCTGGGGTAGCTGTAACCATACTAGGCAGCTTCTTCTTTTATAACCATGTCACGTCCCAGGTTTCTTGGAATTGCCTGGATCTGTCCAGTAAATGGCAGGTTCCTGCAAATCAGGGGTTGCTTGGGATTCAGGCCTGAGACCGACTCTATCCTCCCTCTTTCCATCCCAGCCCTGGGTCTCTAAATGGTGCCTCCATCTTGGCTTGTGGCCACACCCTACTTCCTGCAGGTGACTCAGGCCTTGGGTTCTTCTTGTGGCTAGAGGTCTGATCCATTCCAGGCTCCTCATTCTTAATCTTCAGGACCACGCTAATATTCCACCTGCAGTCTATCACAGCCTGGTTTGTGCCAAAGTCAAGAGGAAATGCCTTTGGCAGATTGGTGAAGCCAAACTAGGGCCTCCTGCAGCCAACAAGCCAGCCAGGCCGCTGTGCAAGGGCAGGTCTAATCCTGGTTTTGTGGGGGCTTAGAACAGGCGGAATTCTTTTACATTTTTTTGGAGGTGGGGAATGGCGGGGAGGGGAATGGAGTCTCACTCTGTCACTCAGGCTGCAGTGCAGTAGCATGATCTCAGCTCACTGCAACCTCCGTCTCCCAAGCTCAAGTAATCCTCCCACCTCAACACCCTTGAGTATCTGGCACCACAGGCGCGCGCCACCACACCTGGCTGGTTTTTTTTTTTTTTATATTTTTGATAGTGATGGGATTTCACCACATTGCCCAGGCTGGTCTCAAACTCCTGAGTTCAAGTCATCAGCCCTCCTCAGCCTCCCAAAGTGCTGGGATTACAGGCGTGAGCCACCTCACCCCACTGGCTCTTTTACACTTGATCTTAGATGAAGGGCCAAGAAGCGATATCTGTGGCTCTTTTTATTTTATCTTTTTATTTTAGAGATGCGGTCTCACTCCGTTACCCAGGCTGGAATGCAGTGGTGCAGTCATGGCTCACTGCAGCCTCAAACTCCCAGGCTGAAGCGATCTTCCTGCCTCAGTCTCCTGAGTATCTGGGACTATAAGGCATGCACCACCATGCCAAGCTAGTTTTTGATTTTTTTTGTAGAGATGGTGTCTCATTACGTTGCCCAGGCTGGCCTTGAACTCAGGGTCTCAAGTGATCCTCCCACCTTGGTCTCCTAAAATGCTAGGATTACATCTAGCACCTGGCCTGCAGTTAAGTTCTAATGGGGAGGATAGACAGAGAAAGGGGCACGTGGGAACATTCTGGTGTCAATTATTCTATAGTCTACATTATATTTTTATCTATATCCTATTATTTTATATATTGATCAAGAGGGTGGTTATTCAAGGGTGCATGTATATGGAAAATTTATTGAGCTGCACACTTAATGCACTTTACACCTATAGTACCTTAATAAAAAAGAAACACAAGTGAATAAAAATTGCAAAATTAGGCCGGGCGCAGTGGCTCATGCCTGTAATCCCAGCACTTTGGGAGGCAGAGGTGGGCAGATCACTTGAGGTCAGGAGTTTGAGACCAGACTGACCAACATGGTGAAACCCCGTCTCTACTAAAAATACCAAAAAAAAAAAAAAAAAAAAAATTAGCTGGGTGTGGTGGCAAACGCCTGTAATCTCAATTACTGGAAGACTGAGGCAGGAGAATCACTTGAACTTGGGAGGCAGAGGTTGTACTGAGCCAAGACCTGGCCACTGCACTCCAGCTTGGGTGACAGAGCGAGACTCTGTCTCAAAAAAAAAAAATGCAAAATTGTTTGCAAGGTTTTGAAGTTGAGCATTCCCATATTTCTGTTAAATCTGACCCCAGAAGTTTCCTTACCTCTGGCCCTGGGAGAGCGGCGCCCGGCCCACTCCCTGCCCACATTATGAGCCCCCTCCTTCCCGCCCCCACCTCCCACCCCCGCGCCTTACCTTGCGGCTGAACTCTTGGGCCTTGCGCCTGCGCTCTCGGTGCACCGCGTCCGGGCGCTTGCGGCCGGCCAGGCGAAGCAGCTCACGGCCCAGAGCTAGGCCGCGGCCGCACCGCGGGGCCCGCAAGACTGTGGTCGGGGCCGCGGGGCCGGATCCTGGGCCGGGGCCACCGTCGGGAGCCGGGAGCACGCCCAGACTGGGCGGCACACGTGGGCAGCGCCGTGCCAGGCGCACGAGGCGCTCGCGGCTCAGACCGCCCACCGCCAGCCCCTCCACCTCCAGGATCTGGTCTCCTGGCCGCAGTCCTCCGGCATGCGCGCTGCTCCCCTTGGCCACCTCCAGGACGAAGCAGGGGCCAGAGCCACCTAGCCGGAAGCCAAAGTCCTCTGGCCAGCCCTGGTTCGTGGCCGGCGTGGCAGTGGTGGCCATGCACCTAGAACTGGAGACAGAACAGGGATTTCCTTGCTGCTCTGTCCATGGCTCCAAAGCCACTCAAAGGCCCAGGGCCACTGAAGGCCTCTACTTATCTCTGCCTCCTCCCTCTGACTCCGTCTTTGTCTCAATTCCCTTCCATCTATGTTTTTTTGTTTTGTTTTGTTTTTGTTTTTTTAAGACAGAGTTTCGCTCTTGTTGCCCAGGCTGGAGTGCAATGGCGTGATCTCAGCTCACCGCAACCTCCGCTTACTGGGTTCAAATGATTCTCCTGCCTCAGCCTCCTGAGAAGCTGGGATTACAGGCATGTGCCACCAAGCCTGGCTAATTTTGTATTTTTAGTAGAGACGGGGTTTCTCCATGTTGGTCAGGCTGGTCTCGAACTCCTGACCTTAGGTGATCTGCCTGCCTTGGCCTCCCAAAATGCTGGGATTACAGGCGTGAGCCACCGTGCCTGGCTTGCCTAATTGTTGTATTTTTAGTAGAGACAGGGTTTCACTATGTTACCCAGGCTGGTCTTGAACTCCTGGCCTCAGGTGATCTGCCTGCTTGGCCTCTCAAAGTGCTAGGATTACAGGCATGAACCATCATGCCTGGCTTGTTTTTTTGTTTTTTGTTTGTTTGTTTGTTTGTTTTTACTAAAAACAAAATTGGGGAGGGGGTGTAAAAGAAAAATGGCCCTTCCTTAAAGTCTTCTTTTGAGTGCCTTGGATTTTTAACCAATGCGGCCACATCCTTTTCCATGGGCCCCTCCTGCTTCCACAGGTCTGTTTTACTGTCTTACATGTACACTTGGCTTCCATGGGCCCTCCTCACTCCCTACACTTTAATCCCTCTTCTTACCCCTCTCCATCTACCAAAATTCCCTTTCGGGATCTGGCATGAATCACAAACTTACGGAAGTCCAGAATGTTGGAGCAGAATGGTCCCTCAGAGACCATTCATATCTTTGGGCATTTATTTTATTTTATTTTATTTTTGAGACAGAGTCTTGTTCTGTCACCCAGGCTGGAGTGCAGTGGTGTGATCTCGGCTCACTGCAACCTCTGACTCCTGGGTTCAAGCGATTCTCCTGCCTCAGCCTCCCGAATAGCTGGGATTACAGGTGTCCACCACCATGCGCGGCTACTTTTTGTATTTTTAGTAGAGACAGGGTTTCACCATATTGGCCAGGCTGGTCTCCAACTCCTGACCTCAGGTGATCCACCTGCCTTGGCCTCCCAAAGTGCTGTGATTACAGGCGTGAGCCACCGTGCCCAGCCTCTTGGGCTTTATTTTTTAGAGGCAAAGTCTCACTCTGTCACCCAGTCTGGAATGCAGGAACACCATCATATCTCACTGCAGCCTTGACCTTCCAAGCTGAAGTCATCCTCCTGCCTCAGCCTCCTGAGTAGCTGGGATCACAGGCGCATACTACCATGCCCAGCTAATTAAAAAAAAATTTTTATAGAAATGGGGTCTCACTATGTTGCCCAGACAGGTCTCAAACTTCTGGGCTCAAGCGATCCTCCTTCTTCAGCCTCCCAAAGTGCTGGGATTACACATGTGAGCCACTGCACCCAGCCTGGGGGAGACTTTAGAAACCTCCTCAGAGGCCGGGTGCGGTGGCTCACGCCTGTAATCCCAGCACTTTGCGAGGCAGAGGCGGGCGGCTCACGAGGTCAGGAGATCGAGACCATTCTGGTTAACATGGTGAAACCCCGTCTCTACTAAAACTACAAAAAAAATTAGCCAGGATGGTGGCGGGTGCTTGTAGTCCCAGCTACTCGGGAGGCTGAGGCAGGAGAATGGCATGAACCCGGGAGGCGGAGCTTACAGTGAGCCGAGATTGCACTACTGCACTCCACTCCATCCAGCCTGGGCGACAGAGCGAGACTCCATCTCAAAAAAAAAAAAAAGAAAGAAAGAAACCTCCTCAGACCCAGCATGTGGCGTGTCTGCACTTTGAGACAGGAGAGGGCCCTAACCCAAGGTCACCCAGCTGGGGAATGGCAGTGCCAGGTCACCCTCAGGCCCCATCCAAGGCTGTCTCCACAGAGCCTCCACACACACCTCAGGCAAAGCCTCAAACCTCTGTCCAGACGTCTCCTGCCTGGCTTGAGGATGCCCTCACTGGCTTCCCCTCACTCGTGTTGTAGGAGGTGGAGTGGGTTGATGTCCTCTTTCCTATGCCCTAGGATTTGGGGAACAAACATTTATGTACTGGCCCTGGTGGCCAGGGTGAGCATTGACCAGGCTGGCCAATCACTGTATCTCAGCCTTTGTGTCCTACAGAGGGCTTTTTGGAGCCCCTGCAGAGTTGATACTTTGGTCCTGAGAGAGAACGGTCTTTCTGTGGGTCCGTTGGCTGTATGGACGTCAAAGGTTTGGGGCTGCTGGCAGCCATGTTGCCACCCTGTGGAGGATCAGTTCTTATGACATCATCCGAACTCCTGGATCCAGCTGTGCCTGAAATGCACCCAACTTACATTTGACAGAAGGACTTCTCAGTAACACAGGCTCATAAATTCCTCTTTTTGGTTGTTGTTTTTTAAAGCCTGTTTGGCTGGATGAGGTGGCTCACGCCTGTAATCTCAGTGCTTTGGAAGACTGAGACAGGAGGATCACTTGAGCCCAGGAGTTCAAGACAGCCTGGACAACAGAACAAGACCCTGCCTTTTTTTTTTTTTTTTTTTGAGACGGAGTTTCGCTCTGTCACCCACACTGGAGTGCAGTGGCTCGATCTTAGCTCACTGCAACCTCCACCTCCCAGGTTTAAGCAATTCTCCTGCCTCAGCCTCCCGAGTAGCTAGAATTGCAAGTGTACACCACCATGCATGGCTAATTTTTGTATTTTTTTTGTAGAGACAGGGTTTTGCCATGTTGGCCAGGCTGGTCTCAAACTCCTGGCCTCAGGTGATTCACCCGCCTCAGCCTCCGACAGTGCTGGGATTGCAGGCATAAGCCAGACCCTGTCTTAAAAAAAAAAATTAGCTGAGCATGATGGTACACACCTGTAGTCCTAGCGACTCAGGAGGCTGAGGTGGGAGGATTGCCTGAACCCAGGAGTCTGAGGCTGCAGTGAGCCATGATGGTGCCACCACACTCCAGCCTGGGAAGTAGAGTGAGACCCTGTCTCAAAAATAGACAAACAAATGAATAAGTAAATAAATAAATACATTTAAAAAAATTTAAGGCTGTTTAGAGTTCAGATGCAATCACTTGCAACTAGTGGGACACTCAGTGCTAGAAACCTCTAAGTAAAGAGGAAACAGGAAGAGCTCTCATATGAAAGTTGCATCTCGGCCGGGCACGGTGGCTCACGCCTGTAATCCCAGCACTTTGGGAGGCCGAGGCGGGCGGATCACAAGCTCACGAGGTCAGGAGATCGAGACCATCCTGGCTAACATGGTGAAACCGCGTCTCTACTAAGAATACAAAAAATAAAAAAATTAGCTGGGCGTGCTGGCATGCTCCTGTAGTTCCAGCTACTCGGAAGGCTGAGGCAGGAGAATCACTTGAACCTGGGAGGCAGAGGTTGCAGTGAGCCAAGATCAATTGCACCACTGCACTCCAGTCTGGGTGACAGAGCGAGACGCCGTCTCAAAAAAAAAAAAAAAGAAAGTTTCATCTCATTTCCTGTTGATGTTTGGTGAGAGGGGATTTGCCCTTTGAGCAAATCTTTGAGGAGGTAAGACTCTCCTTCTTGGCCTCCTCGGGGAAGGATGGTATGGCTGATTTCAGGTCTCTGGGCTCCTAGCTCTTGCATGGGCTCAGGGAGGAAGTGGCTCTGTCCTCCAAAAGAGGCCAATTGGGCTGGCGAGGGACTGGAGATCCGTCTCCAGTGGAAAGGTGAAGATGGACTATGCTGGATGGAACAATCTCTGTGTGTCTTTTTTTTTAATCTGTTTTATTTTTAAAAACTTTTTTTTAAGGACGGTAGTGGTGGCTCGGGCCTGTAATCCCAGCACTTTGGGAGGCCAAGGTGGGTGGATCACCTGAGGTCAGGAGCTCGAGACAAGCCTGGCCAACATGGTGAAACCCTGTCTCTACTACAAATACAAAAATTAGCTGGACATGGTAGCGGGCGCCTGTAATCCCAGCTACTTGGTAGGCTGGGGCAGGAGAATCTCTTGAAGCTGTGAGGTGGAGGTTGCAGTGAGCCAAGATCGTACCACTGCACTCCAGCCTGGGCAACAGAGTGAGACTCTGTCTCAAAAAAACAAAAAACAAAAATAAAAATTTTTTTCTTTTTTTTTTTTTTTGAGACGGTCTCACTCTGTCACCCAGACTGGCTCACCGCAACCTCTGCCTCCCAGACTCAAGTGATTCTCCTGCCTCAGCCTCCCGAGTGGCTGGGATTACAGGTGTGTGCCACTACTGCCCAGCTAATTTTTGTATTTGTAGTAGAGATGGGGTTTCACCATGTTGGTCAGGCTGGTCTTGAACTCCTGACCTCAAATGATCCACCTGCCTCGGCCTCCCAAAGTGCTGCGATTACAGGCGTGAGCCACTGCACCCGGCCCATTTTTTAAAATAGAGACCGGGTCTCGCTATGTTTCCCAGACTGTTCTTGAACTCCTGGCCTCAAGTGATCCTCCTGCCTCAGCCTGGTGTGTGTTTCTCTTTATAGCAGGGATTTCTTATGGGAGCCCATGGCGGCCTCTGAAACCGTAGGCAGTATGTGGTGTGGTCAGTGTCGTTCTGGTCAGTGTGTGAAGGCTTCCTGAGCTGGCTTGGAAGAACCTCTGAGGGCTGGTTTTGCAAGGCCCTGGGCTTGGGTACCGCTCAGCCCCCTGCAGCTGTGTGGAGATCTGCCTATGGCCGTCTTCTTTGCAGAACCAGCCTCTCCCAGGAGGCCTGGGGAATACTTCCAGGAAGCTGCAGAGTTGGGGACTGGGGACGAGGAAGAGACCTATCTATGATGGACTAGAAGGAACTTTCCTTGAGTGACACCCAATGAGAACTGGTGTCACCTGGCCACCAGAGGGCCCAGTGAGAGAACTCCTTGCACTAGGTGGGAAAGAGGTTGTCACACCCTGAGGCTGGCGGGATCAGATCCAAACACATCCCGGGAGTCCTCATCCCCAGCTGCCAGGCTGTGGTGCTGGCCCCTAGGCATGGAGCCTCAGGGACACTTCCTCTGTCACTTGGTGGCAAAGCATTGGGCTCCCGTGGTCCCCTGTGCCTAGGTGGGGTTTGGGCATCATGCCGTCCTGGAGGGGCCTCAAGTCAACCATGAGAGGAGACTCCGCTCCCCATTATCAAGGAAGGGCTGGCCGGGAATGGTGGCTCATGCCTATAATCCCAGCACTTTCAGAGGCCAAGGCGGGCAGATCGCTTCGGAGGTCAAGCGTTCGAGACCACCCTAGCCAACATGGTGAAACCCCGTCCCTACTGAAAATACAAAAGTTAGCCGGGCGTGCTGGTGCACGCCTGTAATCCCAGCTACTCGGAAGGCTGAGGTGGGAGAATTGCTTGAACCAGGGAGGCGGAGTTTGCAGTGAGCAGAGATTGTGACACTGCACTCCAGCCTGGGTGACAGAGCGAGACTCTTTCTCAAAAAAAAAGGAAGGACTGGTTGGAAACCGAATTAGGGGCTGAGACACAATTCCCACGTCCCCATGCACATCTGTTCCGGTCCCCACACCTGTGATGGGTGGCAGGGCCGCCCATCAGAGGCCGAAGCAGGGAACTTCTAACACCTCCACACCCAGTTTGGTTGGGTCAGCCCGCAGTACTGACTCTCCAGGGCTCCTGAACCCTGGCAAGCCCTCCGATGTATCCCCAGTCCTGCAGACTGGCCCAAGCCCTCTCTTCCCCCATCAGAGCCCCCAGCCTGGCCCACTGTCTTTTCCTTCACCTTCCCTGGAAGCAAGAGTGCAGGCTCTGAATGGGGATCACTGGGCTAGCTCAGAGCACGAGAAAGAGGCATCTCTGGGCCCCTGATCTCAGATGAGTGGGTGCGGTGCCCCCAGCCCAGGTCCGCTCACCTTTCTCGCTGATGACTGCAATGACCACGGAGTTCAGAGCACAGTGCTCCCGGGACGCCCAAGGACACTCGCTTGTGGCCGGCCCTCTGCTGCTCAGGGCCTTGGCATCAGTTACCGATGTGCCCGCAGTGACAGCTGGAGTTTCTACGGCAAAGTGATCCCCTGGGTAACCTGAGAAGGCCCCAGTTACCAGGTGGACCAGCAGGATGGCTGGATGGCTTGGCCAGGGCCCAAGCCTGCTGGCCCGTTCTGCTTACTCCTGGTTGGGGGTGAGCCACGGCTGGGGCCTGGCCCATGCACGAGGTCCCAGAGCATGGCAGGTAGGTCGAGAGGATTCAGGGGTGTTGCTTTGGGGTGGGGTGTATCACTTAGTTCAGAGGGAACAGTGATGCTGGAGGGGACTGTGAGACCCAAAAGGGCGTGGGAATCCAGTTCCACAGAGAATGCCGCAGTGGGAGCCCGACAGGCTGAGAAAATTGGCAGAAGGGGAGACCCAGGATAGCAAAAATGCTTTGGGGGCCAGGCACAGTGGCTCACACCTAGAATCCCAGCGCTTTGGGAGGCTGAGGTGGGAGAATCACTTGAACCTAGGAGTTCAAGACCAGCCTGGGCAACATAGCGAGACCTCATCTCTACAAAAAATAAAAATAAAAATTAGCCAAGCGTGGTGCACAGTGTAGTCCCAGCACTTTGGGAGGCCAAGGCAGGTGGATCACTTGAGGCCAGGAGTTTGGAAACAGCCTTGGCAACATAGGGAGACCCCTTATCTACAAAAAATATATGTAAAAGTTACAGCTGGGCACGGTGGCTGATGATTGTAATCCCAACACTTTGGGAGGCCGAGGCGGGTGGATTGCTTGAGGCGAGGCATTTGAGACCAGCCTGGTCAACATGGTGAAACCCCGTCGCTACTAAAAATACAAAATTAGCCGGGCATGGTGGCGCATGCCTGTAATCCCAGCTACTAGGGAGGCTGAGGCAGGAGAATCGCTTGAACCTGGGAGGCGGAGGTTGCGGTGAGCCAAGATCGTGCCATTGCACTCAACCCTGGTGACAGAGCGAGATTCCGTCTCAAACGAGAAAACAAGAAAACATATAGAGAAATCTATTACACACACACACACACACACACACACACACACACACACACATACACTAACCTGGAGAGCCTCTTTGGGTAAAGCATTTCTGGAAAACATCCCAGCTCAAGCTCAATTATGGTGACCTAGGCAACATAATGAGACCCATCTCTACCAAAAAAAAAAAAAAAAATAGCTGGGTGTGGTGGTGCCTGTAGCCTCAGTTACTAAGGAGGCTGAAGCAGGAGGATCACTTGAGCCCAGGAGGTTAAGATTGCAGTGAGCCGAGATCACGCCACTGCATTCCAGCCTGGGTGATGGAGTGAGACCCTGTCTCAAAAAAAAAAAAAAAAAGAGAGCGAAAAGAGTAGCTCCTTGTGGCCTACTACAGCGTTGCCTTTTCTCTAAAATAAAATAAAAAGTAAAAAAATAAAATAAAATTAGAACCAGAACTCACCCTCTTCTCTCCACTTTCCAGGCCACCACCCTGGTCCAAGATGCCATCATTTGTCTCTTGGAATGGTTCCACCACTTCCTCCCTGATCTTCCCTTGCCCCCTGCAGTCTATTGTCAACATAGCACCCAGAAGGAGCTGTTAGGAAAGTCAGGCGGGGCCCGGTGGCTCTTGCCTGTTATCCCAGTACTTTGGGAGGCGGAGGTGGTTATCTCAGTACTTTGGGAGGCGGAGGTGGAGGATCTTTTGTGCCCAGGGTTTGAGACCAGCCTGAACAAGATGTAACCACAGGCCCCCCACCCCCCGCCAAAAAAAGGAAAGTCAGATCCTGTAGTTCCTCAGCTCAAACTTGTTGTTGGTTTTTTGTTTTTATTTTTGTTTTGTTTTGTTTTTAGGCAGTCTTGCTCTGTCGCCCAGGCTGGGGTGCAGTCTTGGTTCACTGCAACCTCCACCTCCTGGGTTCAAGCGATTCTCCTGCCTCAGCCTCCGGAGTAGCTGCGATTACAGGTACCCACCACCAATCCCTGTTAATTTTTGTATTTTTAGTAGAGACGGGGTTTCACCATGTTGGCCAGGCTGGTCTTGAAGTCCAGACCTCAAGTGATCTGCCCGCCTCGACCTCTCAAAGTGCTGGGATTACAGGCTTGAGCCACTGCGCCCGGCCTCAAACTTGTTTTTGTTTGTTTGTTTATTTGTTTGTTGTTGTTTATTTGCTTGTTTGTTTTTGTGGAGGAAAATATCTTGCTCTGCTGCCCAGGCTGGTTTCGAACTCCTGGACTCAAGCGGTCCTCCCACCTCTGCCTCCCTAAGTGTTGGGATTACAGAAGTGAGCTACTGCACCCAGCTCATATGCTCAAATTGCTCCCCATCACTTAAGTCCTCACACAGCCTGCAGGACCCCACCCAGTCAGGTCCTTGCACCTCTCTGACTTTTCTCCCTGCTACAGGACCCCTTGCCCAGTCACTCCTTGCCCAGGCCAAACATTGAGCTCCCACTCAGGACCTTTGCACAAGCTCTTTCCTCTGCCTGGACCATTTCTCCCACGTGTCTGCATGCCTCCACTTACCCCCTCCCAGTCTCGGTGCAGATGTCTCCTGTTCCATGAGCCTCCCCAGCCCTCCTCTGCTCCCCTCCCCTAATTTCAGGGAGGAGAATGGAGGAGGTGCATCACCATCTGACATGTCCCCAGGGGTCCTATGGATTCATCCTGTTTATTGTCCTCTCCACCCATGAGAATACAAACACTAGGAGGGCAGGTATTTCCCTTTTGTTTATTGCTGTATCTGTGGGACCCAGAATAATGTTTGTCGAGTCACAGATGCTTAATAAATATTTGTGAAATGAATGAAGACATTAATAAAATCTACACTGCGGCCCCATTCCTCTAACAGAAGTACATTCCCCTCCCCAGGCTGCCCTAAGTAATTTTTTTTTTTTTGTAAAGCGGGGTGTCCCTATGTTGCCTAGGCTGGTCTTGAACTCCTGGGCTGAAGCGATCCTCCTGCCTCAGCTTCCCAAAGTGCTGGGATTATAGGCGTGAGCCATGAAGACTGACGTTTTTTGTGTTTTGCTTTTTTTTTTTTAAGAGACAGGATCTCTGGTCAGGCGTGGTGGCTCACGCCTGTGATCCCAACACTTTGGGAGGTTGAGGAGGGTGGACCACCTGAGGTCAGGAGCTCGAGACCAGCCTGGCAAACATGGTGAAATGCCATCTCTACTAAAATACAAAAAATTAGCCAGGCATAGTGGCGAGTGCCAGTAATCCCAGCTACTTGGGAGGCTGAGGCAGGGGAATCGCTTGAACCCGGGAGGTGGTGGTTGCAGTGAGCCGAGATCACGCCATGGCATTCTAGCCTGGGAGACAGAGCGAGACTCTGCTAAAAAAAAGGGCCAGGCACGGTGACTCACGCCTGTAATCCCACCACTTTGGGAGGCTGAGGTGGGCGGATCACGAGGTCAAGAGATTGAGACCATCCTGGCCAACACAGTGAAACCCTGTCTCTGCTAAAAAAAAATACAAAAATTAGCTGGGCGTGGTGGCACGCACCTGTAGTCCCAACTACTTGGGAGGCTGAGGCAGAAGAATCGCTTGAACCAGGGAGGTGGAGGTTGCAGTGAGCTGAAATGGCACCACTTCACACCAGCCTGGAGACAGAGCAAGATGCCGTCTCAAAAAAAAAGAGGGTCTAGCCGTGTCTCCCAAGCTGGGGTACAGTGGCATAGTCATAGCTCACTGCAGCCTCCAACTCCAAGGCTAAAGGGATCCTCCCACCCCAGCCTCCCGAGCAGCTAGGACTACAGGTGAGCATCATCATGCCGGGTTAATTTATTATTATTGTTGTTGTTATTATTTTTATAGAGATGAGGAATCGCTGTGTTGCTCAGGTTGGTCTCGAACTCCTGGGCTCAAGTGATCCTCCCACCTCAGCCTCCCAAAAGGCTGGAATTACAGGCATGAGCCACTCCAATCAATCCAGGAATCTTTTTTTTTTTTTTTTTTTTTTTTGAGACAGAGTCTCACTCTTTTGCCCAGTCTCGGCTCACTGCAACCTTCACCTCCCGGGATCAAGCCTCAGCCTCCCGAGTAGCTGGGATTGCAGGTGCCCACCACCACGCCCAGCTAATTTTTGTATTTTTAGTAGAGAGAGGGTTTCACCATATTGGCCAGGCTGGTCTTGAACTCCTGACCTTGTGATCAGTCTGCCTCGGCCTCTCAAAGTGCTGGGATTACAGGCATGAGCCACCATGCCCGTCCAACCCAGGAGTCTTGAAATCTCCAGCTGGGCGCGGTGGCTCACGCCTGTAATCCCAGAACTTTGGGAGGCTGAGGCAGGCGGATCACCTGAAATCGGGAGTTCGAGACCAGCCTGACCAACATGGAGAAACCCCATCTCTACTAAAAAATACAAAATTAGCCGGGTATGTTGGTACATGCCTGTAATCCCAGCTACTCAGGAGGCTGAGGCAAGAGAATTGCTTGAACCCGGGAGGTGGAAGTTGCGGTGAGCCGATATTGTGCCATTACACTCCAGCCTGGGCAACAAGAGTGAAACTCTGTCTCAAAGGAAAAAAAAAAAAAAGAAAAGAAATCTCCAAGACAGGCCCCCATGTGGCAAAAGGTAAGCATTATTTTCTGATTATTATTATAATCACTAGTATTATGCTTTTCTGACAACTCAATTATGTTTCCCAGTGTTGCAGTTTTTCAAAATAAGCTTTTTGTGCTATAGTTTTAGGTGTACATTCACTTACTGAGGAACATGTTGGTTGCTTCCAGCTTTTAGCAATGAGGAATGACTCTGCTATAAACATTTACATACAGACTTTTGCCTAGACATAAGTTTTCAAATCAGTTGGGTAAACACCTAGGATCATGACTGCCAGATCATATGGTAAGTCTATGTTTAGCTCTGTAAGGGACTGACAAACTGTCTCCAAAGGGGTTGGATCACTTTGCATCCCCACAAGCCACTCCATGTGTCTATAGGCAATGGATATTGTTAGGCTTTCGGGGGGTTGGGTGGGAGGGATTTTAGTCATTCTAATAGGTATGTTGTGGTGTATCTCCTTGATGCTCATTGATTTTTGTTTTTACTTTTTTTCTTTTCCTCTCTTTTTTTTTTTTTTGAGATGGGGTCTCTCTGCATTGTCCAGGCTGGAGTGCAGTGGCTCTATCTTGGGCTCACCACAACCTCCGCCTCCCGGGTTCAAGCAATTCTCCAGCCTCAGCCTCCTGAGTAGCTGGGACTACAGGCACATGCCACCACGCCCAGCTAATGTTTGTAGTTTTAGTAGAGATGGGATTTCGCCATGTTGGCCAGGCTGGTCTCGAACTCCTCACCTCAGGTGATCCACCCCACTAAGCCTCCCACAGTGCTGGGATTACGGGTGTGAGCCGCCATGCCGTTTTTTCCTCTCTTTATAGAGACAGGGTCTCTCTATGTTGCCCAGGCTGGTTTTGAACTCCTGAGTTCAAGTAATCCTCCTGCCTTGGCCTCCCAAAGTGCTGGGATAGGCCGGGTGCAGTGGCTCATGCCTGTAATCCCAGCACTTTGGGAGGCCAAGGTGGGTGGATCACGAGGTCAGGAGATCGAGACCATCCTGGCTAACATGGTGAAACCCCTTCTCTACTAAAAATACAAAAAAAAATTAGCCAGGCGTGGTGGCAGGCACCTGTAGTCCCAGCTACTGGGGAGGCTGAGGCAGGAGAATGGCGTGAACCTCGGAGGCAGAGCTTGCAGTGAGCCAAGATCACACCACTGCACTCCAGCCTGGGCAACAGAGTGAGACTCCATCTCAAAAAAAAAAAAAAACTGCTGGGATTACAAGTGGGATGTTTTAATTTGCCTTTTCCTAATGTCAAATGATGTTGAGCATCTTTTCATATCCTTATTTGCTACCTGTATTTCTTCTTTGATGATGTACCTATTCACATATTTTGTCTTTTAGAAAAAATTGTTTTGGCCAGGCACGGTGGCTCACACCTGTAATCCCAGCATTTTGGGAGGCCGAGGCTAGCAGATTGCTTGAGCCCAGGAATTCAAGACCTGTCTGGGCAGCATGGCGAATCCCCATCTCTACAAAAAATTAGCTAGGTATGGTGGTGCACACCTGTAATCCCTGCTACTCAGGAGGCTGAGATGCGAGCATCACTTGAGCCCAGGAGGTCAAGACTGCAGTGAGCCATGATCTTGCCACTATATTCCAGCCTGGGTGAAGAGTAAAACCCTGTCTCAAAAAATAAATAAATAAATAAATAAATAAATAAAATTGTTTTAATTGTTGAGTTTAAAGAGTTTCTGTGTGTGCATTTTGGAAACAAGTTCAAATTCTTTTCTGTTTGTTTTTAGATACACAGTCTCACTCTGTTGCCCAGGCTGGAGTGCGCCCGGCCTAGAAATAGGACTTTTAAACAGGTAATTAAGTTAAAATGGGGTCATTAGGGTGGATCCTAATCCAATCTGACTGATGTCCTTATAAGAAGACTAAATTTTGTGGGAGGCCAAGGCAGGAGGATGGCTTGAGCCCAGCCTGGTCAACATAGCAAGATCCCATCTCTACAAAAAATTTAAGAATTAGCCTGACATATTGGTGCATGCCTGTAGTCCCAGCTACTCAGGAAGCTGAGGTGGGAGAATTGCTTGAACCCAGGAAGTGGAGGCGGCAGTGAGCCATAATCATGCCACTGCACTCCAGCCTGGGTGACAGAGAGAGGCTCTGTCTCTAAAAAACATAAATATATAAAAATAAGAAGAGGAAATTTGGACATGAACAAGCACAGAAGGTAGACCATGTGAAGACACAGCATGAAGGCGGCCATCCACAAGCCAAGGAGTGAGGCCTCAGGAGGAACCAGCCCTGCCAACACCTTGATCTCAGACTTCCAGCCTCCAGAACCACAAGAAAATAAATGTCTATTGTTGAAGCCATCCGGTCTGTAGTATTTTGTTAAGGTAGCCCCAGCAAATGAATGTACGGCCACAGTGAAATTTTATCAGAATATGGCTAAAGGGCTCTTCATTCTGGATGTGTTGAGAGCCTGGGTAGGCTTTGGCCAAGGACAGCAAAGGAGGGCAGACAGGGAATGAGTGGGAAAACCCAGACACCCGTTTAAAATTGGCTGGCGCCTCGCTCTCTTCCTGCCAAGTCCACGCTGACACATCCAGCCTTTCTGGACTGAGGAGACAGGGTCCAAACAGAGGATTTTTTTTATTTTTTTGAGTCGCAATCTTGCACTCCACCCAGGCTGGAGTGCAGTGGTGTGATTATCATGGCTCACTTCAGCCTCGACCTCCCAGGCTCAAGCCGTCCTCCTGCGTCAGCCTCCAGAGCAGCTAGGACCACAGGCACGTACCACGACTGACTGATTTTTTATTACTTCTAGAGAAGGGGTCTTGATATGTTGCTCAGGTTGGTCTCAAACTCCTGGGCTCAAACGATCCTCCTGCCTCAGCCTCCCACAGTGCTGGGATTATAGGAGTGAGCCATCTCACCTGGGCCAAACAGGAGATTTGTATCCTGCAGTCACACACTCTTATCTAAAGCCTCCGTGTTTCTGCGCTATGTCCTCAAAATCTCAGGCGACAAAAGAAAAAAGGACGGGTGACAGCTTGCAGGATTGGGGGTTGGCCCAGATGATTGTCCACCACAGTGACTGAGAGCTGAAGTTGACCAGTGATGTAACGGCATTTTATTTTTTTCTTTTTTAGACAGAATCTCGTTCTCTTGCCCAGGCTGGAGTGCAGTGGCGCGATCTTGGCTCACTGCAACCTCTGCCTCCCAGGTTCAAGCGATTCTCCTGCCTCAGCCTCCTGAGTAGCTGGGATTACAGGTGCCCACCACCACACCTAGCTAATTTTTTATTTTTAGTAGAGATGGGGTTTCACCATGATCGCCAGGCTGGTCTGGAACTCCTGACCTCAGGTGATCCACCCGCCTCAGCCTTTCAAAGTGCTGGGATTACAGATGTGAGCCACTGTACCTGGCCCCGACTGATTTTTTTATTACTTGTAGAGAAGGTTTTGCTATGTTGCTCAGGCTGGTCTCAAACTCCTGGGATCAAGCAATCCTCCCACCTCAGCCTCCCAAAGTGCTGGGATTACAGATGCCCGCCACCATGCTCAGCTAATTTTTGTATTTTTAGTAGAGATGAGGTTTTGCCACATTGGCCAGGCTGGTCTCAAACTCCTGACCTCAGGTGATCCACCTGCCTCAGCCTCCCAAAGTGCTGGGATTATAGGCATGAGCCACTGCGCCCAGCCAATGTAACGGCATTTTGAAGGCAGGCTTGATGGTTAGCCCTGAGCTATGCCATGGCTTTCACCAATAACCAGCATAGTGTATTAGCACCGTTAATACCAGCTACTGTAACAACCTCCAATCTCAGTGGCTTTACATAATGAAGTTTCATCAGTGACCACATCAAAGTCCAGTATGCTGGTCTGTGAGCCCTGGTGTCTGTGGGAGCCTCTCTGAGCCCAGTCACTTCCACTTCAAAGTAAGAACAGCCCATGGGTATACCTGGCTTCACCTTGTCTTATGTTTACATCCTCTTCTTCTTGTTTCCCCTTCTAATCTCTTTTTTTTTTTCAGAGTCTTGCTCTGTCGCCCAGGCTGGAGTGCAGTGGCGCGATCCCAGGTCATGGCAACCTCCACCTCATGGGTTCAAGCAATTCTCCTGCCTCAGCCTCCCTAGTAGCAGAGATTACAGGCATGTGCCACCACGCCCAGCTAATTTTTGTATTTTTAGTAGAGATGGGGGTTCACCATGTTGGTCAGGCTGGTCTCAAACTCCCGACTTCAAGTGATCCACCCGGCTCAGCCTCTGAAAGTACTGGGATTACAGGCGTGAGCCACTGCGCCTGGCCCCCCTTCTAATCTCTTTAAAGTTATGTATGTATGTATTTATTTGAGGCAGGGTCTCGCTCTGTCACCCAGGCTGCAGTGCAATGGCGCAATCTCGGCTACTGCAACCTCCGCCTCCTGGGTTCAAGTGATTCTCCTGCCTCAGCCTCCCAAGTAGCTGAGATAACAGACATGTGCCACACCCAGCTAATTTTTATATTTTTAGTAGAGATGGGGTTTCACCATATTGGTCAGGCTGATCTCAAACTCCCGACCTCAAGTGATCCACCCGCCTAGGCCTCCCAAAGTACTGGGGTTACAGGCATGAGCCACTGTGCCTGGCCATGAGTCTAATCTCTTTAAAGTTACGTATGTATGTATTTATTTGAGGCAGGGTCTCGCTTTGTTGCCCAGGCTGGAGTGAAGTGACATGATCATGGTTCACTGCAGCTTCAAATTCCTGGGCTCAAGCGATCCTCCCACCTTAGCCTCCTGAGTGGCTGGGACTCAGGAGTGTACCATCAAGACTGGCTAGTTTTCATATTTTCTTGTTACCGAGGCTGGACTCGAACTTCTGGCCTCGAGTGATCCTCACACCTTGACCTCCCAAAGTGCTGGGATTACAGGCATGAGCCACTGTGCTCAGCCTCTTTAAAGTTATTTTACCTTGTTTTTGCGAGCCTATGTAAGCCATCTCCAGTCCTGCCTAGAATAAGTCAGGCTGATAGAAATCAATGTAGTGGGCCAGGCACAGTGGCGCCTGTAATCCCCGCATTTTGGGATGCCGACGAGGGAGGATCACTTGAGGCCATAAGTTGGAGACCCGTCTGGGCAACAGAGCAAGATCCTGTCTCTAAAATTTAAAATTTAAATTTAAATGGATAAATTGGCCAGGCATGGCCAGGCATGGTGGCTCACGCTTGTAATCCCAGCACTTTGGGAAGCTGAGGTGGGCGGATCACTTGAGGTCAGGAGTTTGAGACCAGCCTGGCCAACATGGTGAAACCCTGTCTCTACTAAAAATACAAAAATGAGTCAAGCGTGGTTGCATGTGCCTGTAGTCCCAGCTACTCCAGAGGCTGAGGCAGGAGAATCGATTGAACCCAGGAGACAGAAGTTCCAGTGAGCCAAGATCATGCCACTGCACTCCAGCCTGGGCGACAGAGCAAGACTGTTTCAAAAATAAATAAATAAGTAAAAATAAAATAAAATAAATATAAACATAAATAAATAGCGGGCGTGGTGGCTCACGTCTGTAATCCCAGCACTTTGGGAGGCCGAGGTGGGCGGATCACCTGCGGTCAGGAGTTCAAGGCCAGCCTGGCCAACATGGTGAAACCCCGTCTCTACTAAAAATACAAAAATTAGCCAGGCATGGTGGCATGTGCCTGTCATCCCAGCTACTGGGGAGGCTGAGGCAGGAGAACTGCTTGAACTTAGGAGGCAGAGGTTACAGTGAACTGAAATCGCTCCAATTGCACTCCAGCCTGGGCAAAGAAGCAAGACTCCATCTCAAAAACATAAATTATAAAAATAAATAAATAAATGTAGTGGACCACGCTTTGAAGTTGCCCTTCCTGTTCCTTCTACCTGCTGCTCTTCCCCTCAACAGTCATGCTAGAATTAGCTGGGTCTGTGAGTGTGTGGGGGGAAGGTGACGGGAGATTGAGCTTCAAAAGAGCTACCTTTTTGTCCCTATACCTCCTACACAAACTTAAAAAAAATATTTTTGGTGTCAAAGTTGGGGATTTTGGAAGGGAAAAAAAATATTGCAAAAGCTTCTGTTTTACACCATAAACCATAGAGTGGGACTGCTTGCACAAGAACTCATTTTTTTCATACCCAAGAGCAGTAAAAGTCTGAGCCATGGGCAAAGAGGGGAGACTCAAGAAGGCGGGCAGGCCAGGCACAGTGGCTCCCGCCTGTAATCCCAGCACTTTGGGAGGCCAAGGCAGGTGGATCATTTGAGGTCAGGAGTTTGAGACCAGCCTGGCCAACGTGATGAGACCCTGTCTCTAGTAAAAACAAAAAAATTAGCTGGGCATGGTGGCGTGTGCCTGTAATCTCAGCTACTTGGGAGGCTGAGGCATGAGAATTGCTTGAACCCAGGAAGCAGAGATTGCGCCATTGCACTCCAGTCTGGGCGACAGAGCGAGACTCTGTCTCAAAAAAAAAAAAAAGCAGGGTAGGAGAGACAGGTTTGCTGTCCCATTGGAACGTGGGTCACAGCAGCCACACTAAGTCCAGTTACGGAGATGTAACCACCCAAGGGGTCACCTTGCCCGCTGCCTAGACAGAGCCGACTTATCAAGACAGGGGAATTGCAATGGAGAAAGAGTAATTTATGCAGAGCCAGCTGTGCGGGAGACCGGAGTTTTATTATTACTCAAATCAGTCTCCCCGAGCATTTGGGGATCAGAGTTGGTTTTTTCTTTTTTTTGAGATGGAATCTTGCTCTGTCACTCAGGCTGGAGTGCAATGGCGTGATATCGGCTACTGCAACCTCCATCTCCTGGGTTCAAGCGATTCTCCTGCCTCAGCCTCCTGAGTAGCTGGGATTACAGGCACGCGCCACTCTGCCCAGCTAATTTTTGTATTTTTAGTAGAGACAGGGCTTCACCATGTTGGTCAGGCTGGTCTTGAACTCCTGATCCCATGATCCGCCTGCCTCAGCCTCCCAAAGTGCTGAGATTACAAAGTTTTATTTTATTTATTTATTTATTTGTTTGTTTGTTTATTTATTTATTTATTTGTCTGAGACAGAGTCTCGCTCTGTCGCCCAGGCTGGAGAGCAATGGTGCGATCTCAGCTCACTGCAAGCTCCGCCTCCCGGGTTCATGCCATTCTCCCGCCTCAGCCTCCTGAGTAGCCGGGACTACAGGCGCCCACCACCGCGCCCGGCTACTTTTTTGTATTTTTAGTAGAGACGGGGTTTCACTGTGTTAGCCAGGATGGTCTCGATCTCCGGACCTTGTGATCCCCCCGCCTCGGCCTCCCAAAGTGCTGGGATTACAGGCGTGAGCCACAGAGTTTTTACAGATAACTTGGCGGGTAGGGGCTTGTGGGCAGTGCTGATTGGTCAGGTTGGAGATGGAATCATGGGAGGTCGAAGTGAGGTTTTCTTGCTGTCTTCTGTTCCCGGGTAGGATGGCAGAACTGGTGGAGCCCGATGACTCGTCTGGATGGTGTCAGCTGATCCATCCAGTGCAGGGCCTGCAAAATAGCTCAAGCACTGACCTTAGGTTTTATAAAAGTAATGTTACCCCCAGGAGCAATCTGGGGAGGTTCAGACTCTTGGAGCCAGAGGCTGCACAGCCCCTAAACTGTCATTTCTAATCTTGTAGCTAATCTGTTAGTCCTGCAAAGTCAGACTGGTCCCCAGGAAAGAAGGGGGTCTTTTCGGGAAAGGGCTGTTATCAGTTTTGTTTCAGAGTCAAACCATGAACTGAATTACTTCCCAAAGTTAGTTCAGCCTATGCCCAGGATGAACAAGGACAGCGTAAAATTGGTTAGGTCTGATTTCTTTGACTGTCATAATTTTCTCAGTTATAATTTTGCAGTGATGGTTTCAGAGACACAAAGGAGGATGCATTTGACAACATGACTTTGGGGTCAGCTGTATATGCTCCCCCTTGATGGTCTAATCGCCTGACTGGCTCTTCTTTCAGCTGCACAGATAGAGCCAATTTACTGAGACAACGGTATTGCAGTAAAGAAAGCTTAATTAATGCAAGGCTAGCCACGTGGAAGGACTGGAGTTTATCACTCAAATCAGTCTCCTGGAAAATTCAGAGACTAGGGTTTTGTAAGAATAATTTGGTGAGTGGGGGCTAGGGAATGGGGAATCCTCATTGTTTGCACTGGGGATGAAATCCTAGGGGGCTGGAGCTACCTTCTTTTTTTTTTTTTTTTGAGACGGAGTCTTGCTCTGTCGCCCAGGCTGGAGTGCAGTGGCATAATCTTGGCTCACTGCAAGCTCTGCCTCCCAGGTTCATGCCATTCTCCTGCCTCAGCCTCCCGAGTAGCTGGGATTACAGGTTCCCGCCACTACGCCCGGCTAATTTTTTGTATTTTTAGTAGAGACGCGGTTTCAGCATGTTAGCCAGGATGGTCTCCATCTCCTGACCTCGTGATCCGCCCTCCTCGGCCTCCCAAAGTGCTGGGATTACAGGCGTGAGCCACTGCGCCCAGCCCGGAGCTATCTTCTTGAGCTGGGCCGGTCCCTGGGTGGGATCATGTGACCAGCTGAGCCCTTTTACCAGTCACAGTGGCACCAGCTGGTCCATTACAATACAGGATCTAAAAGATACCTTGAACACCAATCTTAGGTTTTCCAGTAGTGATGTTATCTATAGGAGCAACTGGGAAGGTTATGAATCTTTTGACTTCTGGAACAATGGCTGGTTGTCATTGAAGTTGGCCTCCACTTTAGCAGAGTTCATATTCCTCACACAAGCCTAATCTTTGGTTGTTTATTAGTTTTACAAAGGTGGTTTAGTCCATGAACAAGGAGGGGCTAGTTGTTGGGAAGGGGCTTTTATCATTTTTTTAAAGTTAAACTTAGGGCTGGGTGAGGTGGCTCACACCTGTAATCCCAGCACTTTGGGATGCCAAGGCGGGCAGATCACGAGGTCAGGAGTTCAAGACCAGCCTGGCCAATATGGTGAAACCCCATCTTTACTAAAAATACAAAAAAAAAATTAGCTGGGTGTGGTGGCACACACCTGTAGTCCCAGCTACTTGGGAGGCTGAGGCAGGAGAATCGCTTGAACCCAGGAGGCAGAGGTTGCAGTGAGCCAAGATCGCGCCACTGACTCCAGCCTGGGTGACAGAGTGAGACTCCGTCTCAAAAAAAAAAAAAAAAATTGAACTAAGCTGGTTTACACCTATAATCCCAGCACTTTGAGAGGCTGAGGCAGGAGGATCGCCAGAGCCCAGGAGTTCGAGACCAACCTGAGCAACATAGAGGTACCCCATCTCTACAAAAATTAAAAAATATCCATGCATGATGGCACTTCCCTGTAGTCCCAGCTACTCAGGAGGCTGAGGCTGGAGGATTGCTTGAGGCCAAGAGTTGGAGGCTGCAGTAAGCCATGATCTGGCCACTGCAATCCAACTTGGGTAACAAAGTGAGACCCAGTCTCAAAAAAAAAAAAAATTAAAAAAAAAAGTTAAACGAAATTCCTCCCATAGTTATCTTGGCCGATATCCAGGAATGACCAAGGGCAGCTTGGAGGTTAGAAGTAGGATGGAGTCAGGTCAGATTTCGCTCACTGTCATATTTGCAAAGGCAGTTTCAGTCTCCACCCACTCTTGGGAGTATCATGAGAGAGTGACAGTCAGGGTGAGGCATGCCAGCTACTGCAATGAGCAAGCTCACCGTGTCTGTGTGTGCAACAACCACCCAACACTATGTATTCCAGATGCCTCTCCCTCTGGTCCTCTTGCTTCCAGCTCGTGTTCAGAAACCCTTCTGACACTGCAGTCTCAGGCAGCACGGCTTCCAAGGCCTTATTCTGGAGGCCTCCATCCAGTGACGTAGCATCTCCAGCCAGCTCTGGAGAGGAGCTGCCCTGGTGGCTTGCTGGGCCAGAGGAATTATCAGAACCCGGGGGGCTACGGTGATCACTAGAGCCATTCCCTGGGGACATTTCACAGTCTGTGGGAGGCTCATTCCAGGTTCCTTCCATTGGCCTCACCCTTAGAGCCTCCCTGGGGGATTGTAGTGCACGTCCTCTTTGGCTTCCATGTTACCCCCTCTTCCCTGACTCTCCTCCCACTTCTTTTGCTTTGTTTTGTTTATTTAAAAACATTTTTTTTTGGCCGGGCGCGGTGGCTCACATCTGTAATCCCAGCACTTTGGGAGGCTGAGGCGGGGGGATCACAAGGTCAGGAGATCGAGACCATCCTGGCTAACATGGTGAAACCCTGTCTCTACTAAAAGTACAAAAAATTAGCCGGGTGTGGTGGTGGGCGCCTGTAGTCCCAGCTACTGGGGAGACTGAGGCAGGAGAATGGCGTGAACCTGGGAGGCAGAGGTTGCAGTGAGCCGAGATGGCGCCACTGCACTCCAGCCTGGGCGACAGAGCGAGACTCCGTGTCAAAAAACAAAAACAAAAAGAAAAACATTTTTTTTAAAGATGCGAAGTCTTGTCCTATTGCCCAGGCTACAGTGCAGTGGTGAAATAATAGCTCACCGCAGGCTTGACCTCCTGGGCTCAAGCGATCCTCCCACCTCGGTCTCCTGAGCAGCTGAGACTACAGCTGTGCACCACCATGCCTGGCTAATTTTTAAATTTTTTGTAGAGATGGGGTCTCGCTATGTTGTTCAGGCTGGTCTCAAACTTTTGGCCCCAAGCGATCCTCCAGCCTCAGCCTCCTAAAGTGCTGGGATTACAGGCATGACCCAAAGTGCCCAGCCTCCTCCTACTCCTGTGGACATCCTCCCTTGGCTTTCTTTGCCAGCTCCTCTTTTTCTGCTGGTCCCAGGAAGTTGGAGAGCCTCAGCCTCTTCTCTCCTTATACACTCTTGCTCTTCCTAAGGAATTGCATCCATTCTGAGTGACCTTGCACAACTGTAACTGCAGCTTTGTGGCTAAAATTTCCTTCTCCTTCCTTTGCAAACACGTTCCCTTGAATCTGCACCCGGAGATTGCTGCCAGGAAGGAATTGTATTAATAGATTTGCCTTTGAGTCTGGGAAATGAAGGACACGCATCAAAAGTTCCTACCATGCCCCAAGCATCTCATGTTCTCACTCTTGCACCTTCATTCATCGGGGGTTGAATTTTTTTTTTTTTTTTGAGACGGAGTCTCACTCTGTTGCCCAGGCTGGAGTGCAGTGGCGTGATCTCTGCTCACTGCAACCTCTGCCTCCCGGGTTCAAGCGGTGCTCCTGCCTCAGCCTCCCGAGTAGCTGGGATTACAAGCACCCACCACCACACCCAGCTAATGTTTTGTGTTTTCAGTAGAGACGGGGTTTCTCCATGTTGGCCAGGGTGGTCTCGGACTCTGGACCTCAGGTGATCCACCCGCCTAGGTCTCCAAAAGTGCTGGGATTACAGGCATGAGCCACCGCACCCGGCCCTGGGTTGAATTTTTTTTTTTTTGAGACAGAGTCTCGCTCTGTCGCCCAGGCTGGAGTGCAGTGGCTTGATCTCAGCTCACTGCAAGCTCCGCCTCCCAGGTTCACGCCATTCTCCTGCCTCAGCCTCCCCAGTAGCTGGGACTACAGGCGCCCACCACCTCGCCCGGCTAATTTTTTTTTATGTTTTTAGTAGAGACGGGGTTTCACCGTGTTAGCCAGGATGGTCTCGATCTCCTGACCTCGTGATCTGCCCTCCTCGGCCTCCCAAAGTGCTGGGATTACAGGCATAAGCCACCATGCCCGGCCCTGGGTAGAATCTTAATTTGAAGAGACATTTTTGACACATTCCTTGCATCATTCCAGATATCACTTATTAGATGTCCACTGATTGATTGCCTACCTGGCCAGCATCCATGTACCTTCCCAGTAGGGCCCACACATCCTTCCAGAATCCAGCCCCTCACCTGAGCAACTCATGTGCTTTGGGGGAAACTGATCCTCTGTAGCTTCAGCAGGAGGCCTTGTTTTACCCAAGACAAAGGCCACATTCCATTTTCCTGGTGGCATCATGGTTCAGGGGTGAGTCTATGACCCAAGCCAGCTTAATCACACTGAATGTCAGTACTCCTACTTGGGCCTGGAGGGAGACCTCCCCACTCTCCCTTCACTGGATGTGGGTGTGGATGCATGAAGCCCCAGCTATGGCTGGTGGCCATCCCATCATCAGGAGGAAAGCTGGTCTTCAGATGAAGCTGATCTTCCAGTCAGAGTGAGGGATAAAAAGAACATTGATTCTTGATCATGCCATTGGGCTGCGGGTTCAAGTCATTCCTGAAGCCAGCATCATTTCTGGACATTCCAATGGCAGGGACCAAGATGTCTCTTTTGTTGTTTAATCTACTTTGAGGGCTGGGCGTGGTGGCTCACACCTGTAATCCCAGCACTTTGTGAGGCTGAGGCAGGTGGATCACCTGAGGTCAGGTGTTCAAGGCTAGTCTGGCCAACACGACGAAACCCTGTCTTTACTAAAAATACAAAAATTAGCTGAGTGTGGTGGCGCATGCCTGCAGTCTCAGATACTCGGGAGGCTGAGGCAGGAGAATCACTTGAACCCAGGAGGCAGAGGTTGCAGTGAGCTGAGATCCCGCCACTGCACTCCAGCCTGGGCAACAGAGCGAGACTGTCTCAAAAAAAAGAAAAAAAAAAAAAAAGGCACGGGGCAGCAATTACAGTAGCAAAGGCAAAGTGGAAATTTGGGTGTAAACTGGGCACCCATAATGTATGCTCCAAGCCAGCTAATAGTGACAACTGTGGCCCCACCTACTGGCCACAGGAATTTTTTTTGAGTGATATCAAGGATGTAGATTTCCTTCTGATATAAGTTATCATTTTCTTTCATTCATTCAGTTGATACATTTTTATTGGGCATCTACTATGAGCTAGGTGCTAAAATAGTTGCTACTGATATAACAGTAAGCCAACACAGATCCAGTCCTTTTTTTTTTCTTTTCTTTTCTTTTTTTTTTTTTTTGAGACAGGGTCTTGCTCTATTGCCCAAGCTGAAATACAGTGGCACAGTCATGGTTCACTGCAGTCTCAAATTCCTGGACTCAAGCAATCTTCCTGCCTCATCCTGCCTCAGCCTCCCCAAGTAGCTGAGACTACAGGTGTACACCACCACACCTAACTAATTGAAAACTTTTTTGTAGCGGTGAGGTCTCACTAGGTTGCTCAGCCTTGTCTTAAACTCCTGGTCTCAAGGGATCAGCCCTCCTCAGCCTCCCAAAGTGTTGGGATTACCGGTATAAGCCACTATGCATGGTTCAAAAATACTTTTATGTTCCTTTCCTTCTTCTTAATTTCTCCATGGCAAAATTCCTCATGGTCAATAAATCACTGATTGTAAACAAGCATCATGTGTGATATGCCTTTTGCAAGCGTAGCTACGAAGTCCTGTATCCCATTTCCAAAGTATAGCATCCATCATTCCCTTGGGGACAAGAGATCGTGGTGTAAAGCTGGTTGATCCTGTCAACTGATCTCACAGCAGGTAAAAAACTGATACTGCAGGTCCAGTTTCAGGAGCTGACAGGAGCGTTTAGCAACACTCCAAAGAGGAATTCTTTGCTCCATGCATCACAAGCAAGGCAATCCTTTTGATCACACTTGAATTTTTGGTTTTAAGCTTAAGTAGTCTGTTTTCTCTTATGCTATTTATAAAATGCAGGTGTCAAGGTTTGCGCTTGGATGTTTTAAAGAGGCAAAAAATCAAACATGCCTAGGTTTCAGGAACTGACCAAGTGCTGAGAGATTAATCTTTTTTTTTTTTTTTTTCTGAACCAGGGTCTTGTTTTGTGGTCCAGGCTGGAATGCAGTGGTGTGATCCTAACGCACTGCAGCCTTGACCTCCTGGGCTCAAACAATCCTCCCACCTCAGCTTCCTAAGTAGCTGGGACCACATGTGCATGCCAGCACACCCGGCTAATTTTTAAATTTTTTGTAGAGACAAGGTCTCCATATGTTGCCCAGACTGTTCCCAAACTCCTGGGCTCAAGCGATCCTCCCACCTCGGCCTCCTGAAGTGCTGGAATTATAGGTATGAGCCTTGGTTTTTCAATTCTGGGTCCATAAATTTATGAAGACCTTGGATACAATGTACACAGGAGAAGGCATCCTGTTGGTAAGGAGTTTCATAAAAAGGAAAAGAAAACGCATCAAGAAGCTGACGTAGGTAGCAAAGAGACAGGAAAAGAGAAGAGCTTTAAGGCCAGTGTTTGGAGATCAGACATTTCCCCTCAAAGGAGGACAGGCCTGGCTCAGGTCTTCAGAGGCATCAGGAATAGACCCTGGCCTCAGCTGATTCAGAGATGGTCAGAGCAAAGGACACCCCACAGGGCCTTCTCAGGGCTATGTTTGGAAGCAGCTCTTGTTACCCCAAGCCTGCCTAGCATCAAACACCCTTCCCTTTTATCCTCAACGTTTGTGGTCAAGTATTTGTCACTGCCCCGAGGATATTTAGGGCTGTACAGAGCAACATGTCCTTGTCATCAGGAGCAAGGACACACATGGAGCGGAATCTGACTGATGGGTACACATTGTGCTTTCTGCCCGCTTCTGCAACGGAAGATGCTGGAAATGTTCTGCTAGATCTCAACAGTGTGGGTGGCTGAAAGCAAACTCTGTCCACCACACAGACATAGTCTGAGAGCCCCCTAAGTGTGACTGCCCTGGGCCACCTGGATCCCCCTGCTGGGCTCTGAGCAGGGACATGACTGGTCTCTGTGCAGGCCGCAGGGCAGCTTAGTCCCTGTCACAGCCCCAGAATGATCGCCCCCACCAGGCCCAGGTCGGTCCTCCTGTAAGTCTCCTGGCAATACTGCTCTAAAATCCCACTTCCAGCCCAGTGCAGGGACTCACGCCTGTAATCTCAACACTCTGGGAGGCCGAGGTGGGAGGATCACTTGAGCCCGGGAGTTCGAGATCAGCTTGGGCAACATAGTGAGACACCCGTCTCTACAAAAAAAAAAAAAAAAAAAAAAAAATTAGGCGGGTGTGGTGGCATGCACCTGTGGTCCCAGCTACTTGGGAGGCTGAGGCAGGAGGCATTGCTTGAGCCCAGGAGTTGGAGGTTGTAGTGTGCTAGGATAGCGCCATTGCACTCCGGCTTGGGCGACAGAGCGAGGCTGTTTCTGAATGAATGAACGAATACATAAGTAAATAAGAAAATAGGTAATACATAAAATAAAATAAATAAAATAAAATAAAATAAAATAAAATAAAATAAAATAAAATAAATAAAATAAAATAAATAAAATAAAATAAATAAAATAAAATAAATAAAATAAAATAAATAAAATAAAATAAAATAAAATAAAATAAAATAAAATAAAATAAAATAAAATAAAATAAAATCGCACTTCCCAGCGGTTACACCCGGCCACGGAGGTCCCCAGGCTGGCTGCGAGGGCGCCGGGGAGGTCACTGTTACTCCAGCCCCGCAACCCGCGGCGGCCCTCGCACACTTCCGCCGGAAGTCAGCCCCTCAGGGGCGCCGTGCTGATGTCACGAGCCCGCAGGAAGTCTCGTATCGCGCCCGGGAGGCGCCGGAGCCCAGCGGCTGGCGGTAAGGCCGCCTCCGCGGGGCTGTGGGAAGCTTGGGCTGTCCCAGGACCGTCAGTCTCCTCCTCTGACCCTCCCTTTCCCCTTGTGTGTAGGGCCGCCGTCCCACCCCCACCTCGCCCGAGTCCGGGGCGGCCCCGGTGTCCCCTCCGAGCCTGCTGCACTCCACGTCCCCCTACCAGGGCTCCAGCCCCCAGGGAAATCTCCGACCAGGCCCGCCCAGGAGGTGCCTTGGATGGGGGTGGCTTCGGGAGGCCCTAATGGGGAGTGGCGGGGAGAGACCCAAGGCTACCGACTTGGCTTATTTCTTCCCAACTAGCTGTTTCTCACAAAGTCTTTATTATTATTGTATTTTGAGACGGGGTTTCGCTCTTGTTTCCCAGGCTGTAGTGCAGTGGCGCGATCTCGGCTTACTGCACCCTCCGCCTCCCGGATTCAAGCAATTCTGCCTCAGCCTCCCCAGTAGCTTGGATTACAGGCATGCGCCATCACGCCCAGCTAATTTTTTTTGTATTTAGTAGAGACGGATTTCACCATGTTGGTCAGGCTGGTCTCGAACTCCTGACCTCAGGTGTTCTACCCGCCTCGGCCTCCCAAAGTGCTGGGATTATAGGCGTGAGCCACCGCGCCCGGCCTCTTTTATTGTTTTTAGAGATGGGGTCCAGCTCTATGGCCCAGGCTGGAAGGCAGTGGCACGATCACAGCTCACTGCAGCCTCGACCTCCTGGGCTCAAGCCATCCTTCCACCTCAGCCTCCCAAGTAGCTGGGACCACAGGCGCGGGCCACCACGCCCCACTGATTTTTAAATTTTTATGTAGGGACAGTGATCTCACTGTGTTGCCCAGGCTGGTCTCGAACTCTTAACCTCAAGCTATCCTCCTGCCTGGGCCTCCCAAAGATTTGGGAGCAGGCCTAAGCAACTTAGTCTGGGCCATTTCTCCCAAAGTCTTACCCATTCATGCTGGGGGTGCTGAAAATCCCCTACTTCCAAATCCTTTTCCACAGGTATTCTGCCTTTGACTGCAACTCTTGTCGTCTTATGTGGGTGTTGAATTGATCTGTCTCTGCAGCCAGATCCAGGCTCCTGGAAGAACCATGTCCGGCAGCTACTGGTCATGCCAGGCACACACTGCTGCCCAAGAGGAGCTGCTGTTTGAATTATCTGTGAATGTTGGGAAGAGGAATGCCAGAGCTGCCGGCTGAAAATTACCCAACCAAGAGAAATGTAGGCTGGGTACCCTGAATCACCCCGTGAGAATTGCTGCTGTTTGTTTACTCTCACCTATCATGTCATGAATAGCTTCTTGTTTGGTTATCTCACTTGGCATTACAGCCCAGAATCTTATCTGCTAAGGTCAAAAGTGACCAGTTCCGGTATCTTTTTTGGTTTGTTTTTGAGACAGGGTCTCATGCTGTCGCCCAGGCTTGAACTCCTGTGCTCAAGCAATCCTCCCGCCTCAGCCTCCACAGGCATGCGCAACCACACTTGGCTAATTTTTGTATTTTTTGTAGAGATGGGGGTCTCGCTTTGTTGCCCAGGCTGGTCTTGAACTCCTGGGTTCAAGTGATCCTCCCACCTCAGCCTTCCAAAGTGCTGGGAGTACAGGCACGAGCCACTACGGCCGGCCAATTCCAGTACCTTTTTTTTCTTCTTTTTTTTTCTTAAACCGCTACACTATGGAAAAGAGTTCCAGTATCCAGTGTCTTTTCTTTTTTTTTTTTTGAAACGGAGTCTCGCTCTGTTGCCCAGGCTGGAGTGCAGTGGCGCGATCTCGGCTCACTGCAACCTCCGCTTCCTGGGTTCAAGAGATTCTCCTGCCTCCACCCCCTGAGTCGCTGGGATTACAGGCATGTGCCACCACGCCCGGTTAATTTTTGTGTTTTTAGTATAGATGGGGATTACACCATGTTGGCCAGACTGGTCTCGAACTCCTGACCTCGTGATCCGCCTGCCTCGACATGCCAAAGTGTTGGGATTACAGGCATGAGCCACCACGCTCGGCCTCAGTATCCAGTATTTTAACGCAGGCCTGTGTGTTGACTCTGGTTCCAGAGGGTAATTCCTGATGGTTGTGGCCAGTGTCCTGGAGGGATGCTTCTTAGGACAGGATGCCTGATTCTGGGTGCAGGGCTCCTGACTGCCTCTAGGAGATGCTTGTTCTCAAGGCATTGTCAGCAGATTCTTTGGGGACACATCTTGTATCTTTGTGAATATTTAAGGAAGTAAAAGAATGATTCATGCCTGGGGGCAAGGAAGGAGGATGCATGTTCTTTCTTGGTTTATTTTGGATTTGCAAGTTGGAGATGCTTCAAAGGCAGGCCACAGTCTTAGGGTGTTAGATTCAAAGTTTTTATCTTGGGCAGGTGCAGTGGCTCACGCCTGTACTCCCAGCACTTTGGGAGGCCGAGGCAGGTGGATCACCTGAGTTCAAGAGTTCGAGACCAGCCTGGCCAACATGGTGAAACCTCATCTCTACTAAAAATACAAAAATTAGCCAGGCATGGGGTGCGTGCCTATAATCCCAGCTACTCAGGAGGCTGAGGCAGGAGAATTGCTTGAACCTGGGAGGCGGAGGTTGCAGTGAGCCAAGATCACGCCACCGCACTGCAACCTGGGTAACAAGAGTGAAACTCTGTCTCAAAAAAAAAAAGTTTATCTTTCTTTTTTTATTTTTTATTTTATTAAATTGAGACAGGGCCTCACTATGTTGCCCAGGCTGGTCTCGAACTCCTGAGCTCAAGCGATCCACCCACCTCTGCTTCCCAGAGTGCTGGGATTACAGGCATGAGCCACTGCACCTGGCCCAGAATTTTTATCTTGATTGAGGGAGCTCAGGACCATTTTGGAGGCCCCACTGAGAGGCAGCAGGCCTCTGTTATGTGTGCCTAAGAATTGGTGAATTCTGTTCTGTTTGTCTTTCTGCTTTTTGCTTTGAGATGTCATTAAAGTCTAGATGAATTCTGTTTTGGTAGCCATTTGGGAGTTGATGTCTGAGAATGTGTGCCATGGAAGAAACCTTTCAGTAGCAGATAGTCACACTCTTTCTGTTCCTTTGTAGCTGCAGGATGGACTTTCTGGTCCTCTTCTTGTTCTACCTGGCTTCGGTGCTGATGGGTCTTGTTCTTATCTGCGTCTGCTCGAAAACCCATAGCTTGAAAGGCCTGGCCAGGGGAGGAGCACAGGTAAGGATGATCCTTGGATGGCACTGGAATTTGAATACTGTGTTAGTCTAAGAGACTCACAGGTTTTGCTACAGGACAAAAAAGAGATGCCAGGCCGGGTGCAGTGCCTCACACCTGTAATCCCGCTACTCAGGAAGCTGAGGCAGGAGGATCCCTTGAGCCAGGAGTCTGAAGTTGCCATGAGCTATGATCACGCCACTGCACTCCAGCCTGGACTACAGAGTGAGACCCTGTCTCAACAACAACAAAAAAGATGCCACTTAACATCATTGATGGATTTAGTTCGTTGATGGCAGTTGTGGGATATTCCACAGCCTCTGTCTGTGTGGGTTTTGTGTTCCTGCTGAAAGTCCTCTTGCGGTGGTGCTTTGAGAGAAGAGGTTGCTGTTTTCCTCTGGATTAGATGCCTGTGATTGGGCATGGATGTGAGCAGGGTCCGCCTGGGGCACTTAATGGGTGACTCTGGGGGCCAGCAGAAAGCTCAGCATTGGCTGGCCCCCCTCCTTCAGGGATCAAAGTGAGCAAAACGGGGCAAGCAGCCTATGGGAAGGCATTGAGTTGGGAGGGACCTGGGCCAATGCCCAGTGATCTGGGTGTGGATGCTGGAACCTGGGATTGAACCCAGGCTGGGGAAGGAGCGGCCTTCACATTGACATTCCCCGACCCATCCCCTCTGCTCACCTCTCTTTCCCTGAAGACACTGACAGGTGCCTTCGTCAGAATCAGACTAGAAATGGAGTTGGCGTGAAAGGAAAGACCAGTAGAAAGAATTCCCCTCTTTATTCTCTGCTAAATCACTTCTTCACCCATATAGGGAAACAAAACTTACTATCACCCAGATTGCCAGCTGTATGTGGAGTGTCTGATTTGTTTGGGAGTGGAGGAAGTGAGAAATGAAATTGAGTCTTTCTCTTTCCTTTTGTTTCAGATATTTTCCTGTATAATTCCAGAATGTCTTCAGAGAGCCGTGCATGGATTGCTTCATTACCTTTTCCATACGAGGTATTTCTCTTTCAGAGTTTAAATATTCTCCTCTTTTCTGCTTTGATTATTAATTGTTGAGATCCTCTAGCTTCAGGAAGCTCCTTGTGGTTTCCAGCATGGTGAGGGAAAGAAGGCCGGAAAGAATCACGAGTCCTGAGTTGGGAGCCTCTACTCGTAGTTAATCTGCCTTTTGAGATGGAGGTTTTAACTTGCCTACTTTTAAAAAGCGATATTTACAGATTGTGAATTTCTGTTAAATACATGCAAAATGTTTCACATAGTTTTCTATGTAATTCTTACTATTATCTCAAGCCCAAAGGAAGTGGTTGGCCGTTGGTTACTTTCTTTAGTATCATACAATTTCTTCAAGAAGAAACCCCCATGAACAAGCCATGCCTGTTTTCTTTCAGAAACCACACCTTCATTGTCCTGCACCTGGTCTTGCAAGGGATGGTTTATACTGAGTACACCTGGGAAGTATTTGGCTACTGTCAGGAGCTGGAGTTGTCCTTGCATTACCTTCTTCTGCCCTATCTGCTGCTAGGTGTAAACCTGTTTTTTTTCACCCTGACTTGTGGAACCAATCCTGGTAAGTTGAGGCTCTTAGCATACAGCATGGTGACAGCTCCACTGTCTTACTAATAGTGCTGCAAACAAGGAGAGGCCCCCCCTGAGGACTTTGTAAAAGATTTGATGTGTAGCATTTTCATTACCTTTCAGTTTTGAGTGTTTTCTAATTTTTTTTTTCTTCTTCAACCCATGGGTTATTTAAAACCACTTAAAATTTTTAGTTTATCTTTTTAATGCTTTCACTTCGTTTTGTCATATATAGAGCATGTGATCGGTATGGTACTGTTCCTTTTTTTGTTTCTTAAGACGGAGTCACGCTTTGTCGCCCAGGCTGCAGTGCAGTGAGGCGATCTCAGCTCGCTGCAACCTCCGCCTCCCGGGTTCAAGGGATTCTCTTGCCTCAGACTCCCGAGTAGCTAGGACTACAGGCGTGCGCCACCACACCCAGCTGATTTTTGTATTTTTAGTAGAGATGGGGTTTCGCCATGTTGTCCAGGCTGGTCTCGAACTCCTGACCTCGTGATCCACCCACCTCAGCCTCCCAAAGTGCTGAGACTACAGGCGTGAGCCACCGCACTGGCAGAATTGTACACTTTAAATGAGTGAATTAGGTTTGTGTGTTATATCTCAATAAAGCCATTATTAAAAATGAATTGCGTGGCTGGGCGCGGTGGCTCACACAATCTCAGCCTGTTTGGGAGGTCTAGGTGGGAGGATCACCTGAGGTCCGGAGTTCCAGACCAGCCTGGCCAAAATGGTGAAACCCCATCTGTATTAACAAAAAAAATACAAAAATTAGCCACGCGTGCATTAGCACGCCTGTAATCCCAGCTACTACTCAGGAGGCTTACGTGGGAGAATCACCTGAACCTGAGAGGCAGAGGTTGCAGTGAGCCAAGATCATGCCACTGCATTCCAGCCTGGATGACAAAGTAAGACTGTCTCAAAAAAAAAAAAAGAATTACTTACGATATTAAAGATAGCAGTTTCAGTTGTGTTTTATCAGGACGGGTTTTGTGACTATCCAGTCCAAAGTATTGCACGAAACTGACATATGTCCTTACTTTTCCCAGGCATTATAACAAAAGCAAATGAATTATTATTTCTTCATGTTTATGAATTTGATGAAGTGATGTTTCCAAAGAACGTGAGGTGCTCTACTTGTGATTTAAGGAAACCAGCTCGATCCAAGCACTGCAGTGAGTGTGGCTCTCGTGACTCCAGCGGCACCTCCAACAGCACATGTGTGGGCTTCGTCTGTGAGGGAATGTTTCCTGAATCCGAAAGCAGAGCCAGTTCACCCCCAGATATGGTGTGGCCACTACTTGTAGAGTTGAGATAATGGTTTCTTTCAGATGAGTGAGGGTCAGGTCTTGTGTTCCTGTGTAGTAGACAGTCCTCATCTCTGGGCATAACAGCCCTTCCCTCGCCACGTGGCAGGACATGCTCCCCACAAGTTGTTTCTGCGGATGTTGTGTTTGCAGATTTCAGTCCTACAAAGCCTAGTCTTCTGGGGAGGGCCCAAGATTCTAGACCCGTGCTGTCTAACAAAAATAGAATGTGGCTGGGCGCAGCGGTTCATGCCAGGAATTCCAGTACTTTGGGAGGCAGGCAGATCTCTTGAGCCTAGGAGTTCAAGACCAGCTTGGGCACCATGGGGAAACCCCACCTCTACAAAAAATACAAAAGATGTAGTCCTGGCTACTCAGGAGGCTGAGGCGGGAGGATCACTTGAGCCCAGGAGATCGAGGCTGCAGTAAGCTATGATTAAACCACTGCACTCCAGCCTCAGCAACAGAGCAAGACCCTGTCTCAGAAAAAAAAAAAAAGGCCATGAATAGAAAGTTTTTAAAAATGTTTTTCAAAATGTGGCTGTGCTTGGAGACAGTTTTAATCAGGATGTTATTTAACCTACATATGTAAAATATCATTTTAACATGTAATCAATGTAAAAAATTCTTCATGAGATAGTTTATATTCTTTTTTTCATACTAAGCCTTTGAAATCTGGTGTGTATCTTACATTTATAGCACATCTTGATTTGGACACTAAATTTTCATGTGGAAATGCTTGTGTATTTAGATTTAATAAAATGTACAGTTGAAAAAGTAGGCTTACATGTGCAAGCTATATCCAGATATTCTTAAAAGTTTTCCAATATCTGAATTCGGTACCAAAAAAATAATTTTCCTTCACCATCCATGTCTACATTGACATAATGATTCATCTTAATCAGAAGAATTGACTTTAAAGCAGGAACACCAGTTTTAAAACTATGTCTATCCAAGTCAAGTAAATTAACTAACTCTTGTGTTGCCTCCATATTCACACTGAATTCAAAGGAGTATTGTAGTAAAAAGACAACTGTAAATTTGTCAGTATTGACAAAATGTCCTCTCTGTTTTTTGGTTTGTTTTTTGAGATAGGGTCTCACTCCATTACCCAGGCTGGAGTGCTGTGACGTGATCATAGCTCACTGCAGCGTTGACCTCCTGTGCTCAAGTGATCCTCCCGCCTAGCCTCTGAGTAGCTGGGACCATGGGTGCATGCCGCCACCACCTCAGATTTGTCTTGTAGTCAGATTGCAAGTGCTCAATACCCACATTTGGCTGGTTGCTCCTGTACTGGACACCACAGTTCCAAAAGCTTAGTTTGGAACTAAGCAGCTGCCATTTTCCTCTGATGACACATCCAGTGGACAGATTATGAAAATCTCAGCAGGTGTGCGGTGTCCTTGTCTCGTCAAGCACCATCCCAGCACGTGCCCCCTTGTTTCTGTGCAGGTGTGTGTAACTGGTGTGTGCACCGTTTCGACCATCACTGTGTTTGGGTGAACAACTGCATCGGGGCCTGGAACATCAGGTACTTCCTCATCTACGTCTTGACCTTGACGGCCTCGGCTGCCACCGTCGCCATTGTGAGCACCACTTTTCTGGTCCACTTGGTGGTGATGTCAGATTTATACCAGGAGACTTACATCGATGACCTTGGACACCTCCATGTTATGGACACGGTCTTTCTTATTCAGGTAATTATGCTGTAGGTTTCTGACTTCAAGTTTCAGAATCGCAAAAAAGACATTTATTTTTCCAGTAAAAGCATGAAGTTAGGTGGGGTGTGGTGGCTCACGCCTATAATCCCAGCACTTTTGGAGGCCGAGGTGGGAGGATCGCATGAGGCTAGGAGTTCAGGACCAGCCTGGGCAACACCCAAATGTCCATCAACTGATGATTGAATAACTGGTCTCCTGTAGAGACCTTGTCTCTACAAAAAATACAAAAATGAGCCAGGGCCGGGTGCAGTGGCTCATGCCTGTAATCCTAGCACTTTGAGAAGCTAAGACAAGCAGATTGCCTGAGCTCAGGAGCTTGAGACCAGCCTGGGCAACATGGTGAAACCCCATCTCTACTAAAATACAAAAAAATTAGCTGGGTGTGGTGGCACATGCCCATTGTTCTAGCTACTTGGGAGGCTGAGGCACAAAAATTGCTTGAACCCGGGAGGGAGAGGTTGCAGTGAGCTGAGATTGCACCACTGCACTCCAGCCTGGGTGACAGAGCAAGACCCTGTCTCAGAAACTAACAAACAAACGTGAAGTTTTTCCTTTTTCTAAACTGATATAAAATTCACATATTGGGCCAGGCATGGTGGCTCACAGCTGTAATCCCAGCACTTTGGGAGGCCAAGGTGGGTGGATCACCTGAGGTCAGGAGTTCAAGACCAGCCTGGCCAATGTGGTAAAACCTCGTCTCTACTAAAAATACAAAAAAGTTAGCCAGGCATGGTGGCCAGCATCTGTAGTCCCAGCTACTCGGGAGGCCGAGGCAGGAGAATCACTTGAACCTGGGAGGCGGAGGTTGCAGTGAGCCAAGATCGTGCCATTGCACTCCAGCCTGGGCAACAAGAGCGAAAGAGAGAAACTCCATCTCAAAAAAAAAAAAAATTCACATATCATAAAATTCACCCTTTAAAGTATCCCACAGTGGTATAAGTATATTCACAGACTTGTTCAGCCCTCACTACTATCTAATTTCAGAACATTTCATCATCCCCAAAAGGAAACACTCCCCATTCCCTCCTCCCCCAGACCCAGGTAATCACTAATCTACTTTCTGTCTTTCGGGATAGGCCTTTTCTGGACACTTCATATAAATGGAATCATGCAATATATGGTCTTTTCCACTGGCTTCTTTCTTGTGGCACAAGGTTTTCAGGGTTAATTCATGTAGCACGAATCTACTTCATTCCTTTTGTTTATTTGGGATGGAGTCTCGCTCTTGTTGCCCAGGCTGGAGTGCAATGGTGTGATCTTGGCTCACTGCAACCTCTGCCTCTCAGGTTCAAGCAATTCTCCTGCCTCAGTCTCCCGTGTAGCTGGGATTACAGGCATGAGCCACCACGCCTGGCTAATTTTTGTAATTTTAGCAGAGAAGGGGTTTTACCATGTTGGCCAGGCTGGTCTTGAACTCCTGACCTCAAGTGATCCACCCGCCTCGGCCTCCCAAAGTGCTGGGATTACAGGCATGAAACCCCGTGCCCGGCCTTACTTCATTCTTTTTTATGGCTGAATAGTATTCCGCTGTATGGATAGACTGAATTTTAATTATTTGTTCATCAGTTGATGGACATTTTGGTGTTTTCACTTTTGGCTATTTTTGAGTAATACTGCTGTGAACATTCATGTACAAGTTTTTTGTGTGGACATAGGTTTTTATGTTTATAAAACATGTTTTATGTTTATGTTTTTATGTTTTATGTTTATATTTCTCTTGGGTACATTCCACCTAGAAGTGGCACTGCTGGGTCATATGGTAACTTTTTTTTTTTTTTGAGACAGAGTCTCACTCTGTCACCTAGGCTGGAGTGCAGTGGTACCATCACAGCTCACTATGACCTGGACCTCCTGGGCTCAAATGCTCCCACCTTGGCCTCCCAAAGTGCTGGGATTACAGGTGTGAGCCACCATGACTGGCCCAGAATCACTTTTGATTTGAGGTCTTTATATAATAATGACGGTTAATCTTTTGTTATACTGTTTTTTTGTTTGTGGATCTTTTGGATCTTGGGAATGGGGTTTTGGGTTTTTTGGGGTTTTTTGGTATAGAAAAGTTCAGACATTCTTTCTCATCAAATTTCTTTTCTTTGTAACTTCAACAAGAAAGTCTCCTCCATCAGGAGTTTTGTTAAATGTTCTCTTTTCTTGTGACTTTCAAAAATATTAAACTTTCTAAATTCTTCATTTTGCTTATTACAAAAATAACTTACAAAACTTTAAGCAGCGCAGTTCCTATGGTCATATACCATTTACGGAGTCAGTTTTGTTTTTACCCAAACAAGATGACAGTGTAATCCTTACATCTTGCCTTTCTCATTAGTCAATATATTAAGTCTTTTCACAATCAGTACATAGAAATTGACATCATTTTTCATGGCTCCTCGTTTTCCCATTGTGTGACCATCCCAGAGTTTACCCTTCCTGACGGATGGACATTTAACTTGTTTCTTGGCCAGGCACAGTGGCTCACGCCTGTAATCCCAACAATTTGGGAGGTCAAGGCAGGAGGATCACTCAAGGCCAGGAGTTTGAAAGCAGCCTGGGCAACATAGCAAGACCCTGTTTCTATTGATTTATTTATTTATTTATTTATTTTTAGATGGAGTCTTGCTCTGTCGCCTAGGCTGGAGTGCAGTTGCACAATCTCAGCTCACTGTAACCTTCACCGCCCGGGTTGAAGCAATTCTTCTGCCTCAGCCTCTTGAGTAGCTGGGATTACAGGCTTGTGCCACCACACCCGGCTAACTTTTGTATTTTTAGTAGAGAAGGGTTTCACCATGTTGGCCAGGCTGGTGTCAAACTCCTGACCTCAAGTGATCTGCCCGCCTCGGCCTCCCAAAATGCTGGGATTATAGGCGTGAGCCATTGCGCCCGGCCCCTGTTTCTATTTATTAAGAAAAGGAAAAAAACTTCGGAAGAGGGGCTGATAAAATCAATGATACAACGAATATCCTTGTACATCTATTTTTGGGGTTGTATTGTTTTAAGAAAGACATTGATCTCTTTTGTCCATCTGGATTTTATATTGATGAATGAAGTCTGCATTTATTTTATAAATAGCTAACTGGAATAGCACATTTCCTAAGTAAACTTTCCCTTTTCCTTCAGTGTGAACACTTCATTCATCCCACAGGAAACTCTTGTATGTACTGGGATTATTCTGGGCTGCTTCTCAGTGCTGTTTATGTTCAGTTTGTCACATCTGGACACAAGTAGGTGGGCTGAGGAAGCAGCGCTGGTGGCTGTGGCAGGCCCAGGGTTGGCCAGTGTTCACTCTCATGGATGTCACAGTCCAGCTGCCTAAAGCACTACCTTTTCTCTGCTCCTAGTACCTGTTCCTGACTTTTCCACGGATTGTCTTCATGCTGGGCTTTGTCGTGGTTCTGAGCTTCCTCCTGGGTGGCTACCTGTTGTTTGTCCTGTATCTGGCGGCCACCAACCAGACTACTAACGAGTGGTACAGAGGTGACTGGGCCTGGTGCCAGCGTTGTCCCCTTGTGGCCTGGCCTCCGTCAGCAGAGCCCCAAGTCCACCGGAACATTCACTCCCATGGGCTTCGGAGCAACCTTCAAGAGATCTTTCTACCTGCCTTTCCATGTCATGAGAGGAAGAAACAAGAATGACAAGTGTATGACTGCCTTTGAGCTGTAGTTCCCGTTTATTTACACATGTGGATCCTCGTTTTCCAAGCATGGCTTGTTTGTTTTGATTTCTGCTGTGCTTATAAATCACTTTCGGTGGGCAAGGGAGAGAGGGGAAAATGGGTGTTGACTGAGGAATCCCCCTTGCTTGTCTTCTTTTGAAACCGGGCATCTCTGAAGTCCTGGTGTCAAGGGGATCAAGAGATGACTTCTCAGAGGTTCTAGGTGATGCTGAGACCTTGGTGTCTCTAAACTCTGGGCATGTGGACAGGAGGGGCTTGCGGCCGTGTCTCTGACCTGTGTGATGTGCAGGAGGGTCTCATTGACTCAGCGCCTGCGCGTTGTGCCTGGCTGTGCTCTCTTTTATGCCCCCTCTATTCTCCTCTCTCCCCCAGGGGATTTTCATCTCAACAACAGAGTGTCCTCACCCAGGCCTGCCTTCCGGCCAGTATGGGCTTGTACATCAGGCACCTTCCTGCATGTGTGGCCTCCGGCCTGCCCTCCTCTAGCCACATTCAAGTCCTTTCTCACCAGTTTAAAAATTGTGAAAGTGAACTGCCACCTATTTCAGAGGAGACATGACTGCCAGAAACGAGGTCTTGGTGCGGAAGGTCTTTGGAGTGGGAGGGCTCTCAGGTGCAGGTGGCAGGTGTTCTGCACCTTGCTAGGCCAAGGAGCCCGCAGTCAGAGAGGCTGGGAAGTGGGAGTCAGGGGCAGGGGGCCTTCCAGCCATCTTCCCCCGTACCCCCCAGCTGAGAACAGATGGAAACGTGAAGACGGGTAGCTGGGGCGGCCAGGGAACCCAAGTCCGCTGGCCGAAGCCAAAGCCCGGCACCACCCCCAATTCTTGCTGGTGGAAAGCACCGTGAAATCAACCAGCGGCAGCTCTGAACGCGACGCACAGCCCGCGAGGGAGCCTGGGCAAGGACGGAGCGGGCCTGCACCGGCGGTTGGGCGGGCTCCGGGGGCGGGGTCCACCTGGGACCGCGGCGCGCCCCTCACCGCTCGCGCCGCCAGGGGGCGCCCTCCGGAGAGCGCGCCTAGGCCGCGGCCTGCGCTTGGCCCCTGCGGGCCGCCGTCTCCGTGCCCGGCATTCGGCCGCTGTTCGGCTGCGCGGCGGCAGCTCCCGGCGGCTCCTGGCGGCGCCGCAGTCGGACCTTCGGGCGCCTGCTGGCCGGCGGCAGCAGCGATGGCCCCCTGAGCAGGCAGGGAGCAGGCGGCGGCAGGCGGGCAAGCGGGCGGGTGCCGCAGCCCAGGCCCGGGTCGCGCCTCTTTGTTTCCACGGGTAGCGGCGCAGTCCCGGGCCCCGGGCGGAAGTGAGACGCGCTCGGCGCGGGGGCCGCGGCGGCCGCACCATGAGCGACATCCGCCACTCGCTGCTGCGCCGCGATGCGCTGAGCGCCGCCAAGGAGGTGTTGTACCACCTGGACATCTACTTCAGCAGCCAGCTGCAGAGCGCGCCGCTGCCCATCGTGGACAAGGGCCCCGTGGAGCTGCTGGAGGAGTTCGTGTTCCAGGTGCCCAAGGAGCGCAGCGCGCAGCCCAAGGTGCGGCCTGAGACGGTCGGGTTCCCGGGCCCCGCAGGCGGGCGGGCGGGCCTTTTCCCCAGCGATGCAGGGCTGTGTCAAGCCGCGGGCGCCCCATGTCCAGGATCCCCGCGCTCGCGCTCGGCCTCGCTCCTGCAGCAGCCCCCAAACCCTTCTCCGGGTCCTGCAGTGTTGCTCAGCTGCCTGTCCAGTCTGCGGGGCGTGTGACAGCCGAGTCTTGGTGTTAAAGGGACAAACTGGCGACTGCCCGCTCCCTAGAGGTCTGTTGGGCTGTTACCGAAAGGCTCATCCTGAACCCTCCAGGAGGATGTATAATGATCTGTATGGCTTTCTTCTTACATCTTTTTCTTTTTTTTTTCTTTCTCTGCCTTTTTTTTTTTCGAGACAAGGTTTCACTACGTTGCCCAGGCAGGAGTGCAGTGGTGCAATCACAGCTCACTACAACCTTGAACTCCTGGGCTCAAGTAATCCTCCCGCCTCATCCTTCTGAGTAGCTGGGACTCCAGGCGTGCACCACCATGCCCAGCTAATTTTTGAATGTTTTGTAGAGATGGGGCCTCCCTGTGTTACCCAGGCTGGTCTCAAACTCCTGGGCTCAAGATTCTCTCTCCTTGGCCTCCAAAGTGTTGGAATTACAGGCGTGAGCCACAACGCCTGGCCTATATGACTTTTTTCTAAGATCAACAGCAAAGATCTCCCTGAGACCTGAGCTTTACGAAGGGCGAAAAGTTCTACGGGAACTTTACGAAGGGCGAAAAGTTCTACGGGAAAATACTGTTATTTCCTGTTTTTCTTTTTTTTTTTTTTTTTGAGACGGAGTCTCACTCTGTCACCAGGCTGGAGTGCAGTGGTGCGATCTCGGCTCACTGCAACCTCCGCCTCCCAGGTTCAAGCGAGATTCCTGCCTAAGCCTCCCGAGTAGCTGGGATTACAGGTGCGCGCCACCATGCCGGCTAATTGTTGTATTTTTAGTAGAGATGGGGTTTCACCATGTTGGCCAGGCTGGTCTCGAACTCTTGACCTCGTGATTCGCCCACCTTGGCCTCCCAAAGTGCTGGGATTACAGGCATGAGCCACCGCGCCCAGTCTATTTCCTGTTTTCTTAATGTATGAGTTAATAAGTACGTTACAGCCACATTTCTTAACGCTTTTCCGGGATTTCTTTTGCAGAGACTGAATTCCCTTCAGGAGCTTCAACTTCTTGAAATCATGTGCAATTATTTCCAGGAGCAAACCAAGGACTCTGTTCGGCAGATTATTTTTTCATCCCTTTTCAGCCCTCAAGGGAACAAAGCCGATGACAGCCGGATGAGCTTGTTGGGAAAACTGGTCTCCATGGCGGTGGCTGTGTGTCGAATCCCGGTGTTGGAGTGTGCTGCCTCCTGGCTTCAGGTACTGCTCAAGAGAGACCCTCGGCCGGGTGCGGTGGCTCATGCCTGTAATCCCAGCACTTTGGGAAGCTGAGGTGGGCGGATCACTTGAGGTCAGGGGTTCAAGACCAGCCTGACCAACATGGCGAAATCATGTCTCTACTAAAAATACAAAATTAGCCGGGCATGGTGTTGCATACCTGTAACCCCAGCTACTCAGGAGGCTGAGGCAGGAGAATCACATGAACCCGGGAGGCAGAGGTTGCAGTGAGCTGAGATGGTGCCATTGCACTCCAGCCTGGGTGACAGAGCAAGACTCCGTCTCAAAAAAAAAAGAGTCTCCCCTGAGAGTCTCTGAAGATGATTTTGCTGTTCGGAATTCTCATTTAATTAGATTTCTGGAGTGTTTTTTGTTTGTTTGTTTAAATTATTTTTTTTGGCCATGCTTAGTGGTTCACTCCTGTAATCCCAGCACTTTGGGAGGCCGAAGGGGGGCAGATCACTTGAGGTCAGGAGTTTGAGACCAGCCTGGCCAACATGGTGAAACCCTGTCTCTACTGAAAATACAGAAATTAGCCAGGCGTGGTAGCACGCGCCTGTGGTCCCAGCTACTTGGGAGGCTGAGGCAGGAGAATCGTGTGAATATGGGAGGCGGAGGTTGCCGTGAGCCGAGATTGTGTCACTGCACTCCAGCCTGGGTTACAGAGTGAGACTCAGTCTCAAAAAAAAAACTTTTTTTTTAAATTAGGGTGTGTTTTTTTTTCTTTTTCTTTTTTTTTTTCTGACAGGGTTTCAGTCTGTCACCCAGGGTGGAGTGCAGTGGTGCAATCTTAGCTCACTACAGCCTTTGCCTCCTGGGCTCAAGTGATCCTCCTACCTCAGCCCTCCAAGTAGCTGGGACCACAGGCGCACACCACCATGCCTGGTTAGTTTTTGTATTTTTTTGTAGAGACAGGGTTTCACCATGTTGCCCAGACTGGTCACGAACTCCTGAGGTCAAGCGATCCTCCTGCCTCAGCCTCCCAAAGTGCCGGGATTATAAGCATGAGCCACTGCGCCCAGCTTAAGAATAAGATTTTAAGAGAAATTTAGCAAGTACTGCTGTAAACACACATTTTCATCATGTGGCAGTTCACTGACTCTCCTGAATCTCTTCAATGTGATAGCAGCTGTTAATTTTTACCTGTGGCATCTCACCTGGGATCCTGTAGGGTACAGAAGTTGTCATTTCCTCACCTGAAGGCAGAAATGATGTTTCCTAAGTAAACTGTAAAGCAAGAGCTGGCAGATGTTTTATGTAGAGGGCGAGATAGTGAACTGTCTTCGGCTTTGCGGGTCCTGTAGTCTCTTTCACAGCTACTCACCTCTTTCCTTCTAGTGCAAGAACAGCTTTAGGCAGTAAGCAAACGAATAAGCGCGATCACGTCTCAGTGAAATTTTGTTAACAAAAACGGGTGGTGGGACAAATTTGGTCTGTGCGGTGGTTTTTTTTTTTTTTTTTTTGAGGCAGAGTCTTTCTCTGTCGCCCAAGCTGGAGTGCAGTGGCGCGATCTCGGCTCACTGCAAGCTCTGCCTCCCAGGTTCACCCTAGTCTCCTGCCTCAGCCTCTCGAGTAGCTGGGACTACAGGCGCCCACCATCAGTGGTGCCGGCCAATTTTTTTGTATTTTTAGTAGAGACGGGGTTTCACTGTGTTAGCCAGGATGGTCTCGATCTCCTGACCTTGTGATCCGCCTGCCTCGGCCTCCCAAAATGCTGGGATTACAGGGATGAGCCACCACACCCAGTCAGGTGGTGTTTTTCTGTTTTTTTTTTTTTTTTTGAGACGGTCTTGCTCTGTTGCTCATGCTGGAGTGCAGTGGTGTGACCACGGGGCTCACTGCAGACTCAACCTTCCTAGGCCCAAGCCATCCTTCCGCCTCGGCCTCCTGAGTAGCTGGGACTACAGGTATGTGCCACCATATCTGGCTAATTTTTTCTATTTTTTATAGAGATGGGTTCTTGCTGTGTTGCCCAGGCTCATCTGGAACTGCTGGGCTCAAGTGATCCTCCCGCCTCGGCCTCCCAAAGTGTTGGGATGACAGGCATGAGCCGCCGTGCCCAGCCTGGTCAGTGAGCTTCAGATTGCCCACCCCTGCTTCAGTGTAAGCCTTTAACTTTTTTTTTTTTTTTTTTTTTTTTGAGATGAAGTTTTGCTTTTGTTGCCCACGCTGGAGTGCAGTGGTGTGATCTTGGCTTACTGCAACCTCTGCTTCCCAGGTGTAAGTGATTCTCCTGCCTCAGCCTTCCAAGTAGCTGGGATTACAGGCATGCCCCACCATTCCCAGTTAATTTTGTATTTTTAGTAGAGACGAGTTTCACCATGCTGGCCAGGCTGGTCTCGAACTCCTGACCTCAGGTGATCACCCGCCTCGGCCTCTCAAAGTGTTGGGATTACAGATATGAGCCACCACACTCGGCCCCATTAACATCTTTTTTTTGTCTTGGAAGTGGTTCTGCCATTTCTGGAGGTGGTCACTGTGTGTGCATAGTTGCTGGTCTACTCACTCACGACATCTGTAGTTAAGTGGACTGTGTGGCTTCTTTCCAGCGGACGCCCGTGGTTTACTGTGTGAGGTTAGCCAAGGCCCTTGTAGATGACTACTGCTGTTTGGTGCCGGGATCCATTCAGACGCTGAAGCAGATATTCAGTGCCAGCCCGAGATTCTGCTGCCAGTTCATCACCTCCGTTACCGCGCTCTATGACCTGTCATCAGGTAAACTTTAAACAGGTTATTTCTATGGAAGAAGCTTCAGTCAATGGCTAGTTTTATTTTCCACTGAATACCCAGGTGAAGTGTCCAGTGAATGCTTTGGCTGTTTTGTCTCTGAAATGTATATTTTTATTTTTATTATTTTTTGAGATGGAGTCTGTTGCCCAGGCTGGAGTGCAGTGGTGTTATCTCAGCTCACTGTAACCTCCCCCTCCCAGGTTCAAGCAGTTCTCCTGCCTCAGCCTCCCGAGTAGCTAGGACTATAGCAGGCATGCGCCACTACTCCTGGCTAATTTTTTTGTGCGTTTTTAGTAGAGATGGGGTTTTAATGTGTTGGCCAGGCCGATCTCAAACCCCTGATCTCAAGTGATCCACCCGCCTCGGCCTCCCAAACTGCTAGGATTATAGGTGTGCACCACCGTGCCCAGCTGAGTTTTTATTTTTTATTTTTTGAGACAGGGTTTCACTCTGTCACCCTGGCTGGAGTGCAGAGGCGTGATCCCAGCTCACTGCAGTCTCTGCCCCCAAGGCTCAAGTGTTTCTCCTGCCTCAGCCTCTCGAGTAGTTGTGACTACAGGTGCATGCCACCACGCCTGGCTAATTTTTGTATTTTTTATAGAGACAGGGTTTCGCCATGTTGTCCAGGTTGGTCTTGAACCCTGAGCTCAAGCAATTCTCCCTCAGCCTCCTGAGTAGTCGGGACCACAGGTTTGCAACACCATGTCTGGCTGATTTTTTATATTTTTTGTAGAGATGGAGTTTCACTGTGTTGCCCAGTGTGGTTTTGAACTCCTGGACTCAAGCAGTCCTCCCACCTCGGCCTCCTAAAGTGTCGGCATTACAGGTGTGAGCCATTGCACCCAGCCTGAAATGTGTGTTTTTAATTTAGGTTAAAAGCTAAAGGTGTGGACCACCTGGACGTGTGCAGTTTGCTAAGAGGGAACTATTAGTGATACCCATTTGCCTGAGGTGCAATGGTCCAAGTGGCAGGCAGCCCAGAAAGCAAGCTCTAGTGTCTGTGAGATGTGACCCACTCCCTGGACATATGACTTGATTTCTTATCATCCCCATACTTTCTTTAATTTTTTTTACTTTTTTGGATATAGAATCTTGCTCTGTTGCACAGGCTGCTGGAATACGGTGGTGCAGTCATAGGTCACTGTAGCCTCAAAACTCTTAGGCTCAAGTGATACTCCCACCCCAGCCTTCCAGGTTGCTGGGACTGTAGGCACACACTACCAGGCCTGGCTGACAAAACCTGCTTTTCTGCTGCTGTTTCTGATTCCTCCTCCTCTGCCCTTGGCTGTTGCTGCTCACAGGGCTGACAAATAGTCTCTTTCTCTTCCTGGTCTGATAGCCATACCAGCACTTTGAAAGCCTTCAACAGCATCTGTCATTTTTATTCAGTCCAGTATTGGTCTCCCACCAGCCTCCTGACTATTTTTGAGCCTTCTTTTTTTTTTTCTTTTTTTGAGACAGAGTCTCCCTCTGTCGCCCAGGCTAGAATGCAGTGGCATGATCTTGGCTCACTGCAACCTCCGCCACCTGGGTTTAAACAATTCTCGTGCCTCAGCCTCCTGAGTAGCTAGCTGGGACTACAGGCGCGCACCACCATGTCTGACTAATTTTTGTATTTTTAGTAGAGATGGGGTTTCACCATATTGGCCAGGCTGGTCTCGAACTCCTGACCTCCTGATCCACCCATCTCGGCCTCCCAAAGTGCTGGGATTACAGGCGTGAGCCACTGCGCCCAGCCGAGCCTTCTTTTATCTGTCACCCTTTTTTTTTTTTTTTTTTTTGAGACGGAATCTCACTCTGCTGTCCAGGCTGGAGTGCAGTGGCATGATCTTGGCTCACCACAACCTCTGCCTCCTGGGTTCAAGAGATTCTCTTTCCTCAGCCTCCCGAGTAGCTGGGATTGTAGGTGTGCGCCACCACACCCGGCTACTTTTTGTATTTTTAGTAGAGATGGGGTTTCACCATGTTGGCCAGGTTGGTCTTGAACTCCTGACCTCAGATGATCCACCTGGCTCAGTCTCCCAAAGTGCTGAGATTACAGGTGTGAGCCACTGTGCCCGGCCACCTTTTTTCTTGTTGTTAGGTTTTGTAACTCTCTTGAGAAAGTTTGTGTGGAAATATTGTGAACATGCAAGCGCGTGCATATTCGTACGCTAATTTCTTTCTTTCTTGTTGTTTGTTTTTGGAGACAGAGTCTCGCTCTGTCGCCCAGGCTGGAGTGCAGTGGTGCGATCTCGACTCAACTGCAAGCTCCGCCTGCCAGATTCAAGCGATTCTCCTGCCTCAGCCTGTAGCTGGGACTACAGGCGCCCGCTACCACACCCGGCTAATTTTTTGTATTTTTAGTAGAGATGGGGTTTCACCGTGTTAGCCAGGATGGTCTCGATCACCTGACCTCGTGATCCACCCGCCTCGGCCTCCCAAAAATGCTGGCATTACAGGCGTGAGCCACTGTGCCAGCTGCATATGCTAATTTCATACTCTTCTTTTCCTAGCAGTTTCCTCGTGGAATGGGAGGCAGGTGTTGGGGAGCAGGGCCACGCTGCTGCAGTGGGATTTCCCTTCTCTCTCCTCCAAAGGCTTCCTAATTGCTGTTAACAGGTGGGAGTGGTATTCAGGTCTTTCATCTTCCAATAGGAAAGATTTCACTGAACCCAGCTATGGTATCATAGTTGGCTTTTTGGTTTTTTTTTTTTTGAGATGGAGTCTCACTCTGTCACCTAGGCTGGAGTGCAGTGGTGTGATCTCGGTTCATTGCAACCTCCATGTCCCAGGTTTAAGCGAGTCTCCTGCTTCAGCCTCCTGAGTAGCTGGGGCTATAGGCATGCGCCACCACGCCTGGCTAATTTTTGTATTTTTCGTGGAGTCAGGGTTTCACCCTCTTGGCCAGGCTGGTCTCAAACTCCTGACTTTAAGTGATCTCCCTGCCTCAGCCTCCCAGAGTGCTGGGATTACAGGCATGAGCCACCACACCCGACCTACCTTTTAAGTCATTGGTTATTCCAGGCCAACAAAAACAGAAACTGGCCTTACCATGGGGAAGGGATGAGTTAGCATATGGAACAGGAAAGAATATTCAGGGAATGCCACTGACACAGCACAGCAGATCTGAAACTGTTTTTCTCTTAAGCCAGTATGTCCGTTGAGATGTTGGTGATTTCTCAAGTCACTGCCACACAGCAGTGGCCCTGGAAGTCACCATCCGAATGGTGACTGAAACCGCTGTTGGGCACTTCTGGTAACAGGAGAGCATTCTTGGGGAGCCCGTGTCTTCAAAGCACAAAAAGGAAGATACCCACATAATTATATCCCCCCTTTCCTGGATGGAGCTGAGAACGTGGGACTCTAGAGACCCTAACTGGGATCCTAGAGACTGAGGACTCATGAAGCGAACATGCCAACGTGTATGATGAGGGCACACCTGCACAAGTGTGCACACGCACACATTTTCTACAGGCTGGTAGAGATGCGTCAGCTCAGATCTGAGGGGGCGGGGATACACTGGAGAGGTGGGTATGACCTGGTGTTGCCCAAACAGAAACATCTCTGTGGAATCAAGAGGCTGCACACGTGGCCGGGACGGGTGGCTCACTCCTGTAATACCAGCACTTTGGGAGGCCGAGGTGGGCGGATCACCTGCAGTCAGGAGTTGGAGACCAGCCTGGCCAACATGGCGAAACCCCATCTCTACTAAAAATACAAAAATTAGCCAGTGTGGTGGCAGGCGCCTATAGTCCCAGCTACTCGGGATGCTGAGACAGGAGAATCGCTTGAACCCGGGATGCAGAGTTTGCAGTGAGCTGAGATCACGCCACTGCACTCCAGCCTGGACAACAGAGTGGGACTCCATCTCAAAAAAAAAAAAAAAAAGGCACACAGGACAGCAGCTGCTCCCCGCTGTAGCCATCGTCTCACTGCAGTAGGTGGGCAGGGCGGTTCATACTCCAACAGTTGGCAGGAATCATCTCAGATGGTGGGCACAGCCCCAGAGAGAGGGGGCTGAGGACGCCCTCCTGTGCACACAGGCAGCCTAAGGGCATTGCACACCAAGCCCCGCATGCACAGTATAGCCTCCTGATTAAAAGCCAGGCTGCTGAGGTCAGATCTGGGCTGTATGCTTTGTGTGTGTGTGTGTGTGTGTGTGTGTGTGTGTGTGTGTGTGTGTGTGTGTATTTTTTTTTTTTTTCCTGAGGCAGGATCTCACTCTGTTGCTCAGGCTGTTGTACAGTGGGACAGCCACAGCTGACTGCAACCTTCACCTCCCAGTATCAAGTGATCCTCCTACCTCAGCCTCCTGAATAGCTGGGAATATAGGTGTGCACCACCACTGCCGGCTAACTTTTAAGAATTTTTGTAGAGACTGGGTCTCACTATGTTTCCAGGGCTGGTTTCGAACTCCTGAACTCAAGTGATCCTCCCACCTTGGCCTCCCAAAGTGCTGGGATTGCAGGTGTGAGCCTGGGCCATATACTTTCGACGAGTCCTGGGGAAATCACTTGACATGACTGTCCCTCAGTTTCTTTGTCCTTTGTATGAGACTAATTGCTGGGGTGGAGGGAGGATTAAACGAGTTCGTCTGTGTAAAGCGTTGAGACCTGTGCCGGGCTCATAGGAAGCCCAGACTAAGTGTCACCATCTGTTCTTCTCTGTCTGGGCCACAGAGCCTGCCAGGTCTCAGGGATCACATCTCTGAGGGTTGCTTAGATGAGGGTTCCAAGTTTGGGGTTGGGACGGCCCTTGGCAGCAGCCAGATCACTGACAGGACTCTGAGCTGCTCCCTGAAGGCCACCATTGCTGTCACTGCCCCATACAGGAGACACTGAGCACCGGGAGGACACGTACTCAGGGAAGGGGTGACGTGTGGCAGTGTGGGATAGAAAAACCGTGGAATTTTATCTAAATTAACATGCAGGAGGCAATTTCTCCAAAGCATGTTGGAGTTCCAGGGAATTGTAGACTTAAGTATTTCTGCAGCCTCTCCCTTGCTCCAGGGTCCTGGGCACTGGGATGTGACAGTGACTGAGATGAGACTCCCAGTCCCCCTGGTGTGGATGTTCTAGGAAAGGGGACAGAAAATAGCTAAGCCAGGAGGCGTGATCCAGACCATCAGGTGGGCAGTGCCATGGGCCTTGGGGTCAGGCTTCCCTCTCTCCACTTCCCGCCCCTGTCCTCGAGGCCAAGAGTGCTCCTGACCTAATGGTCTTTGTTTGCAGATGACCTCATTCCACCTATGGACTTGCTTGAAATGATTGTCACCTGGATTTTTGAGGACCCAAGGTTGATTCTCATCACTTTTTTAAATACTCCGATTGCGGCCAATCTGCCAATAGGATTCTTAGAGCTCACCCCGCTCGTTGGATTGATCCGCTGGTGCGTGAAGGCACCCCTGGCTTATAAAAGGAAAAAGAAGCCCCCCTTATCCAATGGCCATGTCAGCAACAAGGTCACAAAGGACCCGGGCGTGGGGATGGACAGAGACTCCCACCTCTTGTACTCAAAACTCCACCTCAGCGTCCTGCAAGTGCTCATGACGCTGCAGCTGCACCTGACCGAGAAGAATCTGTATGGGCGCCTGGGGCTGATCCTCTTCGACCACATGGTCCCGCTGGTAGAGGAGATCAACAGGTTGGCGGATGAACTGAACCCCCTCAACGCCTCCCAGGAGATTGAGCTCTCGCTGGACCGGCTGGCGCAGGCTCTGCAGGTGGCCATGGCCTCAGGAGCTCTGCTGTGCACGAGAGGTGGGTGCCTCCCTGGCCCAGGCCTCCTGGTGCGGGGACACCGCCGCCCTGCAGAAGGAAGGAGGGGCTCCTGGACAGACACTGTTTTTGCTTCATTTAGGACTTCTTTTCCTCCTAGTGAACACAGGGGAGGAAGGTGCCCCAGCCGTGCCCCCTGCATTCCACCCTCCCTGCTCACCCCGTCAGGGTCCTAACATCCCACAGATGGGAGGTCTCAGTGTCGCCCAGGACTGGGGACTCCTTGAGAGCCTAGATAGCTTTCCTTCCAAGGAACCCTTTTTCTTTTTTATTTTATCTTATTTTTATTTATTTATTTATTGCGACGGAGTCTCACGCTGTTGTCCAGACTGTAGTGCAGTGGCACGATCTCAACTCAGTGCAACCTCCATCTCCTGGGTTTAAGCAATCATCGTGCATCAGCCTCCCGAAGAGCTGGGACTACAGGCATGCGCCACCACGCCTGGCTAATTTTTGTATTTTTAGTAGAGACAGTTGCACTATGTTGGCCAGGATGGTCACCTGGTGCCACCTCTACCATCCAAAGTGCTGGGATTACAGGCATGAGCCACCGTGCCGTTTCTTTTTCTGTGTCCTTTTTTATTTTTATTTCTCTTTATTTATTTTTATGAGACAGGGTTTCTCACTCTGTTGCCCAAGCTGGAGTGCAGTGGCACGATCGTAGCTCGCCACAGTCTCCAGCTCCTGAGCTCAGGCAATCCTCCTCCCTCAGCCACAGAGTAGCTGGGACTACAAGTGTGTACCACCACACCCAGCTAATTTTTTAAAAAGATTTTTGTAGAGTCAGGGTCTCACCATCTTGTCCAGGCTGGTTTCAAACTCTTGGGCTCAAGTGATCTTCCTGCCTCAGCCTCCCAAAAGTGCTAGGATTACCACTCTGCCTGTCCTTGTCCTTTTTTATTGAGGCATAATTTATTTTTATTCATTTATTTTTTTTTTGAGGTGGAGTCTCGCTTCTTTGCCCAGGCTGGAGTGCAGTGGTGCGATCTCGGCTCATTGCAACCTCTGCCTCCCGGGTTCTAGTGATTCTACCGCCTCAGCCTCCCAAGTAGCTGGGATTACAGGTATGTGTCAGCACGTCTGGCTAATTTTTGTATTTTTAGTAGAGACGGGGTTTCACCATGTCGGCCAGGATGGTTTCAAACTCCTGACCTCAAGTGATCCGCCCGCCTCAGCCTCCCAAAATGCTGGGATTACAGGCGTGAGCCACTGCACCCAGCCAGGGGACGGGTTTTTTAAAGCAAAAATTGAAGACAAGGAGAACTCAGATTCTTCTTTTTTCTTTCTTTTTTTTTTTTTCGAGACAGGGTCTCACTCTGTTGCCCAGTCTGGAGTGCAGTGGTGTGATCTCGGCTTACTGCAACCTCCCTCTCCCAGGTTCAAGCAGTTCTCCTGCCTCAGCCGCCTGAGTAGCTGGGACTACAGGTGCCCACCACCACTCCTGACTGATTTTTGTATTTTTAGTAGAGATGGGGTTTCACCATGTTGGTCAGGCTGGTCTCAAACTCCTGACCTCGGGTGATCCACCCGCCTCAGCCTCCCAAAGTGCTGGGAATACAGGCGTGAGCCACTGCGCCCGGCTAGAACTCAGTTTCTAAATGACACTAGGGAAATGTAGTATGAGGCGCTCTTGCTGTCTTGCTAGCATCCTTGCAAAGAACGTCAGTGTGTATTTCACCGTGTTGTCTCCAGTATGTTCATTAATCTTGTATCTCCTTAATTGCAGATGACCTGAGAACCTTGTGCTCCAGGCTGCCCCATAATAAGTAAGTATCCTCAGGACTCCTAGCTGGGCCAGCTTGCTGGAGCAGGGTGGAGGGAGGCAAGACAGGGCGAGCCCCTTTGTCCTGGGTTCTTTGGGGAGAGCCCAGTAAGCACATGATGATAAGTGGAGCATCAGAAAACGCACGTGAATGGAACTCAAGTAGAAAGTAAACCTGAAAAATGGTCATCTTGCTGGTAGTCTGTGAGAGAGGCCAGTCCCTGTATCACCGAAAGCTCCCTAGTGAAGGTGCACCTGTTGAGTGGTGGGTGTGGCGCAGGGGGCCCTCTGTTGGTGGCACTGTGAACTGCACAGCCCTTTGGGAAGTCTCGCAGAGCCACAGCCCTACAGCACTGTACGTTTGTTAGGCTAGCTGCCAGCGCTTGGCCATCAGGCGGCACGGACCTGGGTTCTGGGCGCGGCCCTGTCTGGGATTGGCTGTGACACTTGGGAAGTCTCTTGACCTGTCTCTATGCCTCAGCTTACCCCGTTGTAAAATGGGGGTGATACTGTTCCCTGACTCACAGGACGGTAGTGAGGATGAGACCCAGTGGTGTTTGTGAATTTCTCATCCTACTCCTTGCCACGTGGAGACCTCCACAAACGCAGTCATCAGGTGAAAAGTGGGAACTGTGGTCAGATTCTGGAGAGAATCCGGGCCTTGCCACTTCCAAAAGTCCATATGTCCTTGGTCAGCTTCCCTGCCTTCTGCCTGAAGTCCTCATGTGTAAAATCAAGAAAACCATGGGACCTGCCTCATGTCCCTCTTGCCTACCCCAGCTTCTCACCGTAAGATTTTTGTGAGGATTAAATGAGTGAAAACAGGCCAGGGCTGGGGTGTGGTGGCTCACGCCTGTAATCCCAGCACTTTGGGAAGCTGAGGCAGGTGGATCACCTGAGGTCAGGAGTTCGAGACCAGCTTGGTCAACATGGTGAAACCCCGTCTCTACTTAAAATACAAAAATTAGCCGGGCGTGGTGGTGCGCACCTGTAATCCCGGCTACTCGGGCGGCTGAGGCAGGAGAATCACTTGAACCCGGAAGGTGGAGGTTTCAGTGAGCCAAGAGCATGGCACTGCACTCCAGCTTGGGCAACAGAGTGAAACTCTGTCAAAAATAAAAAATAAAAAGGCCAGATGTGGTGGCTCATACCTGTAATCCCAGCACTTTGGGAGAACGAGGCAGGTGGATCACTTGTGGTCAGGAGTTTGAGACCAGCCTGGCCAACATGGTGAAACCCCATCTCTACTAAAAATACAAAATTAGCCAGGTGTGGTGGCATGCACCTGTAATCACAGCTACTTGGGAGGCTGAGGCTGGAGAACCACTTGAACCTAGGAGGCGGAGTTTGCAGTGAGCTGAGGTCGTGCCACTGCACTCCATCCTGGGTGACAGAGCCAGACTCTGTCTCACAAAAACAAAAAGGCTGGGCACGGCTCACAACTGTAATCCCAGCACTTCGGGAGGCCAAGGTGGGCGGATCACCTGAGGTCAGGAGTTTGAGTCCAACTTGGCCAACATGGTGAAACCCCATCTCTACTAAAAATACAAAAGTTAGCCAGGCATGGTGGCGGGTGCCTGTAATCCCAGCTACTTGGGAGGCTGAGGCAGGACAATTGCTTGAACCCAGGAAGCAGAAGTTGTAGTGAGCCAAGACCGCACCATTGCGTTCCAGCCTGGGCAATAAGAGCAAAACTCCGTTTCAAAAAAAAAAATTGGCCAAATATGGTGGCGTGCATCTGTAATCCCAGCTATTCATTCGGGCGGCTGACACAAGGATTGTTTGAGCCCAGGAGTTTGAGGCTGCACTGAGTTGTGGTCGCAACTGTACTACCTGGGCAACAGAGCAAGACCCTGTCTCTTAAAAAAAAAAAGAAAAAGTGAAAACACAGAATGCACTTAAACTAGTACTTGGCCTGTAGTGAATATCTAAAAAGTGTCAGCTGCTTTTTTTCTTTTTGAGACAGTCTTGCTTTGTTGCAGAGGCTGGAGTGCAGTGGCACGATCTCGGCTCACTGCAAGCCTCTGCGTCCTGGGCTCAAGCCATCCTCCCACCTCAGCCTCCCAAGTAGCTGGGACTACAGGTGTGCGCCACCACAGCAGGCTGATTTTTGTATGCACAAAAAATGTTTCATACCGATGCAGTTACTAACTAGCAAAGAACTGGAAACAACCTGTCCTACAGCGGGGTGATACTTAGTAAATGAGCTGTGATACCTCAGGAGGATGGAACATTATGCATCTGCTACAAATAGTAACTGACTGCTGGGGAGGAAATGTTGATAGTGGAAAGCAGAACCCCTGTGCACATGGACAGGGTTTATAGAAATGACAAAGTGAGCTTGGTGGGGTTAGTAATGTTCTTCCTTCAGAGCCCTCACACTGGTCTTTAGCAAGGAGAAGCAGGCTTCCAGGGCAGGTGTTGGTGAGCAGTGTGGACAGAGGGTCAGTGAGTGGCTCGGCAGCCCTGGGGGTGCACACAGCCTCAGCCTGGCCCAGTGGCCGTGTCAGGTCCAGCAGCAGAGCGCTGGGCAGCGCTCGCAGGCTGAGACAGAAACATGCATAACTCGAGTCCAGGGTTCAGCCGGATGCTGGTCCACAGCCTGCAGAGGAACCGCATCCTTGTGTGGGGGTTGGGGACTCCCATCCGTGCCACACTCACTCTGCCAGGTTCTGCAAGGGAGGAGCCGGGGCAGATGTCTGGATGGGTACAAAGCCTGAGGGGGCGGAAGGGAACAGTCTCTGGGATAAGACTGTCCTGCGTGAGGTGTCATGACAGCAGCACAGACAGATCAGAGGGCCACCTCTCCCAGGGGCCCACACTCTTCCTCTCCTCTTTTTCTTTTTCTCTTTGTTTTTTTTGTTTTGTTTTTTTGAGACAGAGTCTCATTGTGTCACCCAGGCTAGAGTGCAGTGGTCTGATATCAGCTCACTGCAACCTCCGCGTCCTGGATTCAAGCGATTCTCCTGCCTCAACCTCCTGAGTAGCTGGGACTACAGGTGCCTGCCACCACGCCTAATTTTTGTATTTTTAGTAGAGACAGGGTTTCGCCATGTTGGCCAGGCTGGTCTCGAACTCCTGACCTCAAGTGATCTGCCTGTCTCGGCCTCCCAGAGTGCTGGGATTACAGGCATGAGCCACTGTACCTGGCCTCTTTTTCCTTTTTTTGGTCTGGGTTCTAGAAGTTTCCACAGCATCGAAGAACATTGTTGGTATCAGCTGGCACCTTTCCCCTCCTGCAGGAATCCCTTTGTGATAGTTCCCTTCTTTGTCCACCGCTTTTATTTAACATTTTAATGTTTTCTTCAGGGAATTAAAAAGACAGCAGGATACAAATCCTGTGTATCATCCGAGTCTTATAACCAGGGGTCCACATTAGAGCCCCCCAGAACTAATCAGCAGTCCCCTGCTGGTCCTGCCCTGGAGACTCTTGACTCCATCCCTTCCAAGGAGCTGGTGGCCGCCTCTCCTGACGCAGATTTGGGGAGCCCTGACCTCCCGGGGCAGGCCTGGCACTGCTGTTGGGGAAGGACAGGGGGTCGCCTGGAATACCTCCTACATTTCTTTTCTTTTCTTTTTTGAGACAGAGTCTCGCTCTGTCACCCAGGCTGGAGTGCCGTGGTGTGATCTCGGCTCACTGCAACCTCTGCCTCCCGGGTTCAAGCGATTCTCCTGCCTCAGCCTCCCGGATAGCTGGGATTACAGACAACTGCCACCACGCCCAGCTAATTTTTGTATTTTTAATAGAGACGGGTTTTCGCCATGTTGGCCAGGCTGGCCTCGAACTCCTGACCTCAGGTGATCTGCCTTCCTCGGCATCCAAAAGTGCTGGGATTACAGGTGTGAGCCACCACGCCTGGCCTACCTCTTAGATTTGTGACAGTCTCTGTGTTCACCGTGTTTCCAAATAGACTGGAAACTTCTTGAAGTGCTTTCTATCTCCGGCAGGGTGTGTACAGGTTCAAATCATCACATGACCGAAATTTGGCCTCTGCAGTACTCTGCAGTACCTCCTCCTTGGGTTCGTTAATCTCTTGCTAAGTTACTTACCCAGGGTTATTTAATAGTAGTAACAGAAAGAAAGGGGGCTCAGAAGAACTTTGGGCACCGAATGCACCAGCCCTCCACATACCCTCTGTTTACTGCCTCAGCCCCTCCTGGGGGCCCTGGGCCCAAGCCTTTGTACTGGGGAGCTTGGGGGTTCAGTCTGTGACAGACCAGCCCCTTGATGGAGTATGGGGGAGTAGACAGAGAGCAGGCAGGGCCGTGGCTGGGAAAACGGGTTGTTGTGGGACCCAGTTAGGATAATATGCAGGGACGGAGCCTTGGCTAAGTGACGGGGTGTGAGTAGAACCCGGCAGGCTGGCCTTGGTGTTAGGAGAGACCAGTGCAGGCGCTGCAGACACAGGACCCAGCCGGAGCAAGATCCTGGGGCAGGTCAGGAGAGGGGCGGGCAGAGCCCCTCTGTCTGCAGCAGAAGCTTCCGATGGGGGAAGCAAGGGGAAGGCAGGGTAGGGAGGAGGCCTGGGACCTGAAGCTGGGAAGGGCCCCAGAGGGCCTTTTTTTTTTTTTTTTTCTTTGAGACAGGGACTCACACTGGCTCCCAGGCTGGAGTGCAGTGGCACAATCATGGCTCATGGCTCACTGCAGCCTTGAACTTCTGAACTCAAGCAATCCTCCTGCCCCAGCCTCCTGAGTAGCTGGGACTAAAGGTGTGCACCACCACGCCCAGCTAATTTTTAGTTTATTTTCTGTGGAGATAGGGTCTCACTGTATTGCTCCGTCTGGTCTTGAACTCCTGGCGTCAAGCAGTCGGCCTCCAAAAGTGCTGGCATTACAGGCGTGAGCCACCAGACCCGGCCAAGAGAGGTTCTGACTGGGGAGAACCCATGGGGAGTTGGTCGTTTCCGGCTGACACAGAGCGGGGCAGCCCTCGCCTCGGCTGGGGGAGCTGGGGGTGATGAGCCAAGCCAGGGAGTTCTGGGGGGTTGGGGGATCATCCTGGGGAGGGCGTGGTTAGAAGGCAAGGGCCGTGAGAAACTCTTTCAGGAGTCTGGGAAGGGACCCAGCGTTGGAAAGCCACGTTGAATTTGCTGGGAGGAGGATTCCAGGAAGTGCGGGCCGTGGTTGTGCTGTACCACCAGGACGGGAGGTCCAGGCCTCTGGGGCCCGGAGGCCTTGGTGGGAGCGCGGTGGCGGATGGGGAGACCGTGCTTGCAGCTGTTCTCGGAGCCCCGGTGCTGGGTGCTGGGCGGGGTGGGTGCCCAAGAGTGGGGGCATCTGAAGCTGAGGCTGCGCGGGGCGGGGTGGGAGGTGGGTGGGTCCCGGAGGTCTGTAACGGCTGGGTCCAGGCCTGGGCCGTCCCCGAGGGGGCCGCACCGGACTCATTCTGAATTTCAGGACTCTGAATTTCGGGGTCGTTTGCAAGGCCAGCTTCCTGGGGCTTCTGCTTGGAATTCAGGTAGGGCGCGGTCATTCTCGGCTCTGAGGAGACTGTGGCCAGCTGTTCTGTGTGTCCCAGCGCAGCAGAGAGCCGCAGAGGCTGACGTGGAGGCCACCTGTGTGGGCTGCGCGCCCGGGAGTGCTACGGCCGGAGCTCCGTGGGCCACAGGCCCCGTGCAGAGCCCACTCCCACGCATCCTCGCCTGTGGGGTCCTGGCTCTGCCACTGCTTCTCCGTGTCCACCGCCTGGACCCCCGGGTGGTCCGTGCCTGTGTCGGTGCCTCTCCTGGGCGGGGTGCGGGGGGACGGGGTCAGCCTACCGTGCGCACCTGCGGAGTCCCCGGAGCCCGCCCGCGCTGACGCTTATGCTTGTGTTCGCAGCCTCCTCCAGCTGGTGATCTCGGGTCCCGTGCAGCAGTCGCCTCACGCCGCGCTCCCCCCGGGGTTCTACCCCCACATCCACACGCCCCCGCTGGGCTACGGGGCTGTCCCGGCCCACCCCGCCGCCCACCCCGCCCTGCCCACGCATCCCGGCCACACCTTCATCTCCGGCGTGACCTTTCCCTTCAGGCCCATCCGCTAGGCTGGCCCGTGTGTGCCTTCTGCGCTCTCGCTGGACGAAGCCTTTCGAGATGGAAGGGGTGGCCGGACTCCCAGAAGAGAACCTCGGGGAAGGGGTCGGGCAGCCCCTCCCCGCCGGCAGAACCGTCTTGGTGTCACGGAGTCCAGGTGCTTCCCACCCGGTCGCATTCTTTGACATGCAGATTGGATGGTGGAGGGAAGAGTCCAGCCTCTGCCGAGAGCCTGCTGCGTGCATTTTTAAAAGATGCCGATCCTGGGAGCCTCTGTTCTCTGCGCATTTCAGACACAGCCTGTGTGGCGAGGAGTGTGACGGCAGGAGCCACGGGTGCAAGCCCGTGTGTCTGGCCTCTTTCCTCGTGAAGACGATGTGTCCCCGCCAGAAAAAGTGGGCTCCTTCTGCAGCCCCGTGAGCTGAGCCCAGGCTGCGTAGTGACCACAAGCTTATGTGCAGCACTGCTCAGGGAGGCTGTCAGGAATTCCCCTCACCTCGGAAAGGAACTTCTCAGTTTTATTGGGGGTGTCTAAATTTCCTTTCATATGTTCAAATAAATTTTTCTAAACAGTCATGTAGACTTTATGGAATGTATTTTTAACAGCTTCATAAATATTGCTTCCAACTGCGGTATTTTCTTAGCAATCTCTTTTTTTTTTTTTTTTTTTTTTTTTTTATTTAGACAGAGTCTCACTCTATTGCCCAGGCTGGAGTGCAGTGGCATGGTCTCGGCTCACTGCGACCTCCGCCTTCCGGGTTCAATTGATTGTGGCACCTCAGCCTCCCCAGTAGCTGGAACTACAGGTGCACGCCACAACGCCCGGCTAATGTTTTGTATTTTTTAGAGATGGGGTCTTGCTAGGTTGCCCAGGCTGGTTTTGAACACTTGAGCTCAAGCGATCCGCCCACCTTGGCCTCTCAAAGTGCTGGGATTACAGGTGTAAGCCACTGCACCTGGCCTCCTTCCCAATGTCTTATGATCGTCGTAGTTTTTAGTCATTTCTTTTGACGGAAACAGCTTGGACACCTATGTTCCCAGCTGAGCCAGGCAGCTGAGGTCAGCAGGCATAGAGTGCTCCAGGTCTTTTTTTTTTTTTAAGACAGGATTTCACTCTGTCATCCAGGCTGGAGTGCAGTGATGTGATCTCAGCTCACTGCAACCTCCACATCCCAGGTTCAAGCGATTCTCCTGCCTCAGACTCCCAAGTAGCTGGGATTACAGGCGCCCTTCACCGCGCCTGGCTAATTTTTGTATTTTTAGTAGAGACAGGATTTCACCATGTTGGCCAGGCTGGTCTCGAACTCCTGACCTCAGGTGATCCACCAGTCTCGACTTCCCAAAGTGCTGGGATTACAGGCGTGAGCCACTGCGCCCAGCCTGCTTCAGGTCTATTTGCTTTGGGTCACATTTCTTCTCTCAGGTACAAAACAGCCGTCGGGGATCTTTTTCCTACTGAAAAGGGAAGGTGTCTGCTTGGAGTCCTCCCTTAACTGACTTCAGGAGGAAGGAAAGATCAGGAACCATGTCACTGGCTCTCCTAGCCTGAAGTGAGAGACAGCAAACATGGAGCACTGAAAGATGGAGCTTACCTTGCAGGGAAGAAATTGAACCTCCTGGGGCCGGGCGCAGTGGCTCACGCTTGTAATCCCAGCACTTTGGGAGGCCAAGGTGGGCGGATCACTTGCGGCCAGGAGTTCGAGAACAGCCTTAGCAACATGGTGAAATTCCATCTCTACTAAAAATACAAAAATTAGCTGGACGTGGTGGTGTGCGCCTGTAAAATCCCAGGTACTCGGGAGGCTGGGGCAGGAGAATCGCTTGAACCCAGGAGGCAGAGGCTGCAGTGAGCCAAGGTTGTGCCACTGCATGCCAGCCTGGGTGACAGTGAAATTCTGTTTCAAAAAAGAGAAAATTGGCTGGGCGCAGTGGCTCATGCCTGTAATCCCAGCACTGTGGAAGGCCGAGGTGGGCAGATCACCTGAGGTCAGGAGTTCAAGACCAGCCTGGCCAACATGGTGAAACCCCGTCTCTACTGAAAATACAAAAATTAGCCAGGTGGGATGATGTGCACCTGTAGTCCCAGCTACTCAGGAGGCTGAGGCAGGAGAATCACTTGAACCCCAATTGCTTGTTGTTTTGACACAGAGTCTCACTCTGTCACCAGGCTGGTGTGCAGTAGTGTCATCTTGGCTCACTGCAGCCTCCACCTGCTGGGTTCAAGTGATTCTCCTGCCTCAGCCTACCAAGTAGCTGGGACTATAGGCACCTGCCACCACGTCCAGCTAATTTTTGTATTTTTAGTAGAGACAGGGTTTCACTATGTTGGCCAGGATGGTCTCGATCTCTTGACCTTGTGATCCACCTGCCTCGGCCTCCCAAAGTGCTGGGATTACAGGCGTGAGCCACCGTTCCTGGCTGATTATTTTCATGCAACACACTTCCCTGTCCTGGCACGGTTGATGGCATTTATTGGGTGTTTGACCTGAAGAGTGACAACCGACATTTGCACACTAGACCACTGCCAATGCATGCTTTCCGTTTTTTAAAATTGTATTATTTTTATTTTCCTTTTTATTCTATTCAGAGAATGCAAGCATTTCTAGGGAAGGACTCTTGAGAACGTGCTCTATTAAAATGAAGGGCAGCATCATCGATGCTCACTGCAGCATTAATCTTGGTGTTTCTCCCTAGTCTGCTGCTCCTCCCCAGAACAGAATCCAAATCTTTTCCATCATCTCCAGGAGGAGACAAACTTCCTGCAGCCCCACAGCTGCCGTCTGGGAGCAGCTCTAAGTCTGTCTTATTCCACTCCCTTTCAAGGCACCTGCTACTGGCCCACCAGCTTTTCTTCTCAGGCGCAAAGGATCAATAATCAAAATGGCACTGGACTTCTCTACTAGCAACTCTGGAAGCTAGAAGACAATGAAACTGTTAGTTGCACCACGGCACTCCAGCCTAGGAGACAGAGTGAGACTCTGTCTTGGAAAAAAAAAAAGTGTCTTTAACATTCTGAGGGGAAACAATTGCCAATCTATAATCTATAGCTGAGACAGGGCTGGGCACAGTGGCTCACACCTGTAATCCCAGCACTTTGGGAGGCCGAGGCAGGTGGATCACGGGGTCAGGAGTTCAAGACCAGCCTGGTCAACATGGCAAAATCCCATCTCTACTAAAAATACAAAAATTAGCTGGGTGTGGTGGCAGGCACCTGTAATCCCAGCTATTCAGGAGGGTGAGGCAGGAGAATTACTTGAACCTGGGAGGTGGAGGTTGCACTGAGCTGAGATTGCACCACTGCACTCCAGTCTGGGCAACAGAGCAAGACTCTGTAAAAAAAAAAAAAGGAAAAGCTGAGACAGGAAGATCACTTGAACCCAGGAGTTCAAGGCTGCAGTGAGCCATGATGGCACGACTGCACTCCAGCCTGGGTAACAGAGCAAGATCTTGACTCAAAAAATAAGAAAGAGACAGACATGGTGTGAGAACAGGGATTAGTATGAGGATAACAAAGGCAAATCCCGGAAGGACGGCGGTGGAGGGGGGGGTCCCAGGTTGACAGTGGGCAGCAGCTCTGACAGCAGCCTGCCCAGTGTGGGTCTGCAGGGAGGAAGCCCCTGAAGAAACGCCCCTGGGAAACAGTGAAGCAAATACCTTCCTGACCAGATTGGCTAGGTGGAAAGTTGAGCTGGGAGGTATTTATAGCTCCAAAGGAGGATGTGGGAAGGCTTACTAAAAGATTCTAGCTGGGGCCGGGCATGCTGGCTTATGCCTGTAATCCCCGCACTTTGGGAGGCCAAAGCAGGTGGATCACTTGAGGTCAGGAGTTCGAGACCAGCCTGGCCAACATGGTGATACCCTGTCTCTACTAAAAATACAAAAATTAGCCATGTGTGGTAGCTTGTGCCTGTAATCCCAGCTACTCAGGAGGCCGAGACAGGAGAATCACTTGAACCTGGGAGGTGGCGGTTGTGGTGAGCCGAGATCAAGCCATTGTACTCCCCCCGGGAAACGAGTGAAACTCCATCTAAAAAAAAAAGATTCTAGCCCAGGCCGGGCATGCTGGCTTACGCCTGTAATCCAAGCACTTTGGGAGGCTGAGGCGGGTGGATGACTTGAGGTCAGGTGTTTGAGACCAGCCTGGCCAACATGGTGAAACCCCGTCTCTACTAAAAATACAAAAATTAGCCAGGCGTGGTGGCACATACCTGTAGTTCCCAGCTACTCGGGAGGCTAAGGGAGGAGAGTCACTTGAGCCTGGGAGGCAGAGGTTGCAGTGAGCTGAGATCACGCCACTGCACTCCAGCCTGGGTGACAGAGCAAGACTCCATCTCTAAATAAATAAATAAATAAAATAGCTGGGTGCAGTGGCTCATGCCTGTTAATCCTAGCACTTTGGGAGGCTGGGGTGGGAGGATTGCTTGAGGCCAGGAGTTCAAGACAAGGCTGGGCAACATAGGGAGACCTCGTCTCAACAAAAAAAATTAGCCTGGTGTGGTGGTGCATCCCTGTAGTCCTAGCTACTTGGGAGGCTGAGATGGGAGGATCACCTGAGCCTGGGAAGTTGAGGCTGCAGTGAGCTGTGATTGTGCCACTGCACTCTAGCCTGGGCAATGGGAGTGAGACCCTGTCTCAAAAACAAACCACAAAAAGCTCAGTGGGAGGAACTGTGTGTGGACTGGGTGGGACCCCTCTCTGGTGGCACAGGTGAGCAACGAGCCTAGGGGAGGGGAGCAGAGCCTGCAAGGTGTCAGAGAAGGGGCCAAGAGGAAGGTGAACCGAGGTGTTTCTCCCTGGACAGCATGGCAGAAGTGTCCAGTGCTGCCCAGAGGCCAAATATGATGAGGGTTTAGTGACGTGGACATTGCTGGTGACGTCACGGGGAGTTGTCTGGCTGCAGTGAGGCCAGGTCAGAGAGGAGAAGGAGGGATGGGCAGATGGGGATATGGCAAAGGAAGTTTGGCTGTCAAGGGCAGGAGAGAGAAGTGGGTAGCTCTTTTATGTTTTACAGACAGTCTTTTTTTTTTTTTTTTTTTTGAGACGGAGTCTCACACTGTCGCCAGGCTGGAGTGCAGTGGCGTGATCTCGGCTCACTGCAACCTCTGCCTCCTGGGTTCAAGTGATTTTCCTGCCTCAGCCTCCTGAGTAGCTGGGACTACAGCATGCGCCACCACGCCAAACTATATATATATATATATATATATATTTTTTTTTGTATTTTTATTAGAGACAGGGTTTCACCATGTCGGCAAGGATGGTCTCTATCTCTTGACCTCATGATCTGCCCACCTTAGCCTCCCAAAATGCTAGGATTACAGGCGTGAGCCACCGTGCCCGGCCAGCAGACAGTCTTGCTCTGTCGCCAAGGCTGGAGTGCAGTGGCATGATCATGCCTCACTGCAGCCTCCAAAGCCAGGGCTCTCACGATTCTCCTGCCTTGGCCTCCCAAAGTGCTGGGATTACAAGCATAAGCCACTGCGCCTGGCCCGGGTAGCATGTTTTTAAGATGGGAGAGCCCTGAGGATGTGTAAATCCTGTCAGAAAGAAGCCAGTGGAGGGAGAGGATAAAGACCTGAGGAGGGAGGGGCTCCTCAGGGCATGAGGGTTTGCAGGAGGCTAGAAGAGGCAGGTGCACACCTGCTCTGATCTTAAACTCCTGCCCATATCCTCCTCACCTTATCTGCTCGTCCTTATCCTGCCTAGCAGGCTGTCATCTCCACTTCACAGACGCAAGGCAGTCATTTGCCTGCAGTTACCTGGCTGCAAAAGGTCCCATGACCCTAGATGACTCTGTCTCCAAAGCCAGGCTCTTGCTGCACTTTTTCTAGCCTGGGGCAGAAGCCACCAGAGTGCAGGCTTTTCAGGCAAGGGCCAGAAAGGAAGCCTGAAACTCCAGTGCCTGTGGGGGCCAGAGAGATTCCAAAAACAGGACAAGGTGGCCACCTGTGCCACAGCAGTGTGAGCCCAGGGACAGGAGGAAGGGAGGGGGCTGTGAACCCTGAGGGCTCTTGTCCCCCACCAGGGGGGCATTCCTGCTGCACCCCAGGAGCACCTCCCAGATTCAAGCGATTCTCCTGCCTCAGCCTCCAGAGTAGCTGGCGTTACAGGCATGTGCCACCATGCCCGGCCAATTTTGTATCTTTAGTAGAGATGGAGTTTCTCCATGTTGGCCAGGCTGGTCTCCAACTCCAGACCTCAGGTGATCTGCCCGCCTCGGCCTCCCAAAGTGCTGGGATTATAGGCGTGAGCCACCGCGCCCAGCATGTTTGCTTGTTTTTAGATGGAGACAGGGTCTCACTCTATCACCCAGGCTGGGGTGCAGTGGCGCGATCATAGTTCACTGCAGCCTCGACCTCCTCCCGGGCTCAAGTGGTCCACCCACCTTGGCCTCCAAAGTAGTTGGGATTACAGGCTACTTTTCAGTAGCCCAGCTAATTTTTTAAAAACCTCTTTTGTAGAGATGGGGTCTTGCTATGTTGGCTAGGCTGGTCTCAAACTACCAGCCTCAAGTGATCCTCCCGAAATGCTGGGTTTACAGGCGTGAAGTACCATGCCCTGCCCCCAGATCTTTGGTTTTTTCTAAAGAATTTGAGCATCCCAATTTGAATTTGAATTCTCCAGGTTAGAGAGGTTTGTGCACCGAGAACAGGAAAGTTAGGTGGTGCAACATTAAGACGGGGTTAGGGAAGGCCTCCCTTGGAGAAGACCCCTGACCCAGGCAGGAATCCACTTGCCAAGTAGGGAAAGAGGAGAGGAGAGGGTGAGGGAGGTGGGAGGCCTGACCACCAGCCTTGTGGTCAGCGAAAGGCCGCAGGGGCGCTGGGCGGGAGGATTCCAGCTCTGCCAGTTCTCCACGGTGGCCTCATTTGATCTATGCAGGTCACAGTCCCTGATCGGGGGAGGGAGGCACACACTCCCTACTGGCCTGCCCTCCCCAGCCCCGGGGTCTAGGAGGAGGGCTCCACGGTGCGGACCGGGGTGGCCTCTCCAGGGCCCGCTCGGGCCGGGCCCGGATGGCGCCTACTCCCTCTCCGAGTGCCATCGAATTGTGTGCTAATTAGCCACAATTTGCACCGCGGCAGGGGCGCCCCGAGGCCACGCCTGCCCTCTAGGGGGTGGCAGGGATCGGGTTGGGTACCCCCCACCCAGACACCCAGGCAGTGACAGTCGCCAACCCCGTGGCGCGAGGACACGCGCAGCAGGGATGCGGCACAGCGCGCGCTGCGCTCGGCACCGGCCAGCCCGGGACGCCCCAGGGGCCGCCGCATCGTGTCCCCCGGGCCGGGTGAGTGGCCGGGCCGGGAATGGTTAAGCCCACCGAGCTGCGGCTGCCTAGAGCGGCGGCGGCGACGGCGGCGGCGGCGGCGGGGGCCGGGGCGCGGGGGCGCGGCGGGCGGGCAGGGGCGGGGGACAGGATGCGGATGCCGGGGGGACTTCCTGTGCCGGCCCCCGCGCCCCCGCCCCCGGCCCGGCCAGCGGCCCGCACGGACGCACTCCCGGGCGGGCGGGCGAGCCCAGGGGGACCCGGCCTTGCCGCGGCGCCCGCCCCGCCCCCGCCCCGGCCCCCGCGCGGCCCGGCCCAGGCCGCCCGCAGGCTCCGGGCACCTGTAGCCCCCGAGGACCCGCGTCGCCTGGCCGCCGCCGACCCCAGGCGGGGCCACCCCGTGGTGCCGACCCCGGGCGCCGGCCTGGATCCCGCTGCCCGCGATGGTCCCGGGGGGCCGGCCCTGAGCCCCGCGCGGGATTCGGGGCCCTGCCTCCCGCCCCAGCCCCCGCCGGAGAGTCTCCACCAACTTCTGCTCGGCCGCTCCTCTCAGCCCCTTCCCTTGGCCCAGGGCGACCTCGGCAGCCCAGAGGGCGTGGACCCTCCGGAGTGCCCAGAAAGCCCCCGGGGTGGCCCTGCGCCTCCTGGCTCTTTCTGGATGGAGGCGCCTCCGGAAGGAGCCGGCTGCACGCCGTGGCCTTCACCTCGCAGCCTCTGCTGACCACACCTCCCTAGCGCAGAGGCTGCCCGGGAGCAGGAAATGCTCCACCAGGTGAGGCCCAGGGGGTCGTTGGCGCTGGGCAACCGGGGACGCGTCCCTTGAGAGAGTTTGGACTGGATGGCACGAGTCGGCCTGTTTAGGGGAGAGGGGCCAGCTCTGCACGGGCCAGGGTGGACTCTCAGGAGCGCCTGGGCACAGGGCCAGGCCGTGGGTGACAGTGCTCTGGACACCTGCCTTGCCCGGGAGCTGGGGTGGCAGCTGACACACGTGGCCTGCTGGCGGCCTTCTCAGAGCAGGCCAGGAAGGCAATAGAATGGAAGGGCGCCAGGCGCAGTGGCTCACTCCTATAATCCCAACACTTTAGGAGGCCGAGGCAGGAGGATCGCCTGAGGCCAGGAGTTCGAGACCAGCCTTGGGCAACATCATCTACAATATAAAAAAACATAAAAATTAGCTGGGGGTGATGGCACGCACCTGTAGCCCCAGCTACTCAGGAGGCGGAGGCAGGAGAATCGCTTGAACTGGGGAGACGGAGGTTGCAGTGAGTCCAGATCGCACCACTGCACTCCAGCCTGGGTGACAGAGTGAGAATCCGTATCAAGAAAAAAAAAAAAAAGTATTTAATAAAAAAAGAATTGAAGGAGGCAGGGAGGATGTTGATGGACAGTCTCTCTTTGGCCCCAGAGCTCCCCGCCCTGAATGTCCCTTTGGTGACTCTAGCTTTCCTCCCTTGTGAAGGGCTGATACCCACAGTTGTGTCTCTGTGGGGCTACCCCACTCTCCATCCCGCTGTGAAAAGTCAGGAGAGGCAGTCCTGCCTCTATGCAGGTGACAGCCTCTGGTGCTGTCTGCCAACTCCCCAGTCCTGAGCCTCCAGGCCGCCGGCACTCCCCGTTCCCCGTTGCGGGGGACAGTCCTATAGTTGCAGCAGGTATGGAGCTGACCGCTCTGGGTGGCCCGAGGCAGAGGTGGAGGGCCTTTGGGGGCCTGTGGGCACCTGGCGGGGGTCAAAGCACTCCAGCCTGGCTAAACTGCTTCCTTCCTTTCAGCACAGCCGACTCCCGGGAATCGGGGTCTGACCGCCAGGATGGAAGTGGGGCCAGCCACCGAGACCTTCGTGCTGGAACTTCAATGTCTTGAGGATGGGGGCCCAGGGCCTGACACCCTCTCAGGTGAGGGCCTCGGGGGATCCCTTGACAGAGCCTCATGCCTGCCTGCTGTGGCAGAAAGAGGCTCAAGGGTGGCGGGCAGCCTGCACAGACTCACACCAGCCAACCTCAGCTGCATTGAGTAACACCAGCAGCTCTCCCTTGAGATTTTCCAAGGTGGCTGTGTCAGGCAGGCTGAGGCCAGGCTGGTGAGGGGCTCCCCGCTCCCCACATGGGTGCTGACTGGACTTAACACTCACACGCGCTGCTGGCTGGAACTCATTGCTGTGTTTCCTGGCAGCCAGAGGGCCTCCACCATCCTCCCACCTGGCCCCAGCTCCTGAGTCAATTTCCACTCAATTTCCCGGATCCGATTCAGGTACTAATAGGCTCTCTTCCTCTGCCCCTCCTGCCCCAGATGTTGGCTCCCTGGCTTCTTCTCCCCTGTGGCCTCGTAACCTTTTCCACTTTAGCTTGACCTCTGCTTGCATCTGTTTTTCTCTACCTGATGCCCAGGGGCAGATGTGGTACTGCAGAACCTTCCAAGACCTCTTCCTCTGGGACCCACTCTGGGCAAACCTTCTCTGGTGGCCACACTCATGAGAGCCAGTTTCCATTCTGTGCTTTAAGGGTGCTGAGTGAGGGCCTGGGGCAGGGCGGGACAGAGCTTGAAAAGGACCAAGGGAATTGGAGGGGGTGGGATGGGGATGTGTGGAGTCAAGAAGGACCGTTCTGACCGAGCATGATGGCTCATTCCTGTAATCCCAGCACTTTGGGAGGCCGAGGCGGGCAGATCAGTTGAGGCCAGGAGTTTGAGACCAGCCTGGCCAACATGGTGAAACACTGTCTTTACTACAAATACAAAAATGAGCTGGGTGTGGTGGGCACCTGTAATCTCAGCTACTCGGGAGGCTGAGGCAGAAGAATCACTTGAACCCAGGAGGCAGAGGTTGCAGTGAGCCAGGATCATGCCACTGCACTCCAGCCTTGGTGACAGAGTGAGAGTCCGTCTCAAAAAAAAGAAGAAGAGGAAAAGAAGACCCTTCTGACTTGTAAATTTACCTGACAAAACTTTGGGAGGGTATACACGTCAGACAACACTGGACTAGATGTTCACTAAAATGCCTTTGTTAAAAATGCTGAGGTCAGGCACAATGGCTCACACCTGTAATCCCAGCACTTTGGGAAACCGAGGCAGGTGGATCGCTTGAGCTCAGGAGTTCGAGACCAGCCTGTGAAACATGGCAAAACCCCATCTCTACAAAAAGTTTAAAAAATTAGCTAGGCGTGGTGTTGTGTACCTATAGTCCCAGCCACTTGAGAGGCTGAGATGGGAGGATCGCTTGAGCTTGAGAGGTTGAGGCTACAGTGAGCTGAGATTGCGCCACTACACTCCAGCCTGGGTGACAAGAGTGAGATCCTGTTTAAAACAAACAAACAAACAAAAACTGAAATTGCTGCCCCAGGGAGTCAGAGTGGCCTGTGGTCAAGACTGTGCCAGAAAAGAGGAGACTCAACACAGAGGCATGATCTGTCTCATTCCTCCCAGAAGAGGTGGGAGAAAGGAGGGTCCATGAGACATTGGACTTGCTGGGGGGACAGTTTTCACCCTGTCTTCTACCATGTGCTTCCCCCCAGCCAATGTCAGTGTCTATGAAAAGCACGCTCACGGATCTGTTAGCCTAACCAAAGGTTATTAGGAATATTTTACTAGAGGAAATTATATGCATACAGATCTCCCTTGGTGGATTTTTTTTTTTTTTTTTTTTTTTTTGAGACAGAGTCTCACTCTGTTGCCCAGGCTGGATTGCGGTGGCTCAATCTTGACTCACTGCAACCTCCACCTCCTGGGTTCAAGCAGTTCTCCTGCTGCAGCCTCCCGAGTAGCTGGGACTATAGGTGCCTGCCACCATGCCCGGCTAATTTTTGTATTTTTAGTAGAGACAGGGTTTCACTATGTCCCTTGGGTTGTTGTTTTTGTTTGTTTGTTTGTTTGTTTGTTTTTTTGATAAGGAGTCTTGCTCTGTCGCTGGGCTGGAGTGCACTGGCGTGATCTCAGCTCACTGCAACCTCTGCCTTTCAGGTTCAAGTGATTCCCCAGCCTCAGCCTCCCGAGTAGATGGGACTACAGGCGCACACCACCACGCCCGACTAATTTTTTGTATTTTAGTAGAGATAGGATTTCGTCATGTTGGCCAGGATGGTCTCAATCTCCTGACCTCGTGATCCATCTGCCTCGGCCTCCCAAAGTGCTGGGATTATAGGCGTGAGCCACCGCGCCCGGCCATCCCTTGGTTTTATTAAATCAATATATTCTTGGAAAAATGGCCAGAAAGCAAACTTTTATAAATCAAAGCATTGTCTTCCATTACAAAATGGAAAACATATGATGTTATAGGGAGAAGAGATGTTGAAATCAGAGTTGGGAACGGAGAAAGCCTCCTCAAGTCACATGTAGAAAGAAGGATTGGGATTTTCCAGTAGCACAATAGTAATACTCAAAACGAGAATCTCATGGTGTACACGGTGCGGAAAGAGAAGCGTAGTAACGGAGTGGTGCTGTTTTTGCAGGGCCTCCCAGGTTTATGCCTCCCAAAGTGTTGCGATTACAAGCATGAGCCACCACGCCCAGCCTAGTTAGTCCTTTGTATTCCTGAATGACAATCTCAAACAGTCCCAGTCTCCTTGGTATTTTTTTGTTACTTTGCAAACCAATCCTAACCTTCAGAGAGAGGGAATTTTCAAGCACCTACCAGGCTCCAGGTACTATGCCAGGGCTCTCCTTGTTGTACTGTTTAAGCAGATGGTGTGGGTATCACTGAGCTATTTTGTAGACAGGACTGTGAGCCTGCAGGAGGTTGTATACCTGCCGACTGGTAGAGTTAGGTTCTGAACTGAGAACTTCCTGTCTGAAACCTAGTGGTCTCTCTGACACTTTGGTGATTTTGGGAAACTACTTGTGGTAACACCTCCGGGCAGCTTTATATAAATTCTTTATTATTTACAGAGAAGGATAATTTCATTTATTTAAGGTGTGGCTGTAAGGTCGGAGTTCAGCATGGGGTTGATGGCTTGGCCGTTGGGACAGCCAGTTCAGTGGTTTCTACTGGAGGGTGATTAAGCGCAAGAGACTTCTCAGGATGGTCAGGGAGCCCCCAGCATCCCTGCTAGTGCCAGTGCCGAGATCAGAGCATGGGGCCTGTGTAAAGGGAAGCTCCAAGGAGGGATCAGGGAGCTGGGGTCCAGAGGGAGGTCACCAGCAGTCCCTTGGCCACCTACCTTCCTTCCTTCCCTTCCTTCCCTTTCTTCCCTTCTTCCTTTCTTTCTCTCTCTCTCTTTCTCTCTCTCTCTCTTTTGAGATGGACTCTCCCTCTGTCACCCAGGCTGGAGCACAGTGGTGTGATCTCGGCTCACTGCATCCTCCACCTCCTGAGTTCAAGTGATTCTCCTGCCTCAGCCTCCTTAGTAGCTGGGACTACAGGCACCTGGCAGCTAATTTTTTGTATTTTTAGTAGAGACAGGCTTTCGCCATGTTGCCCAGGCTGGTTTCGAACTCCTGAGCTCTGGCAATCTGCCCACCTCGGCCTCTCAAAGTGCTGGGATTACAGGCGTGAGCCACTGTGCCCGGCCACCTGGGCACATTTCCAAGCCACCCCTGCCCCTGCAGCATTTCAGTTTCTGCTGGGCTGCTATTGTTACTCGATCCAGCACTTTCGGGCTCCTGCTAAGAGCGTGTTAGTGTATCTTTGAGGGCAGGGTAAGGGGCAGGTCCTGGGGTCTGCACCAGAGAGCTTCCTGTAGATCTTTCTCTCTTGGCTTCCTGCCATTTCTTCCACAGGTGGCAGCGGTGGGAGCGAGAGTCAGGAGGAGGAAGAGCCTCAGGAGAGGAACAGCAGTCCACAGCGGCCAGCAGTCTCGGCCCCAGTGGGGGCCAGTGAAATCGCTGAGGAAACCCGGCCGGGACAACGAGAGTTGCAACTGCAGCAGTTAGAACAGCAGCCCGAGCCGCAGCAACAGCCGCAACACGAGCAGCTGCAACAGCCGCAGCCACACCTAGAACTGCAACAGCAGCCGCAGCAAGATGGGCAACAACAGCTATCTCAACTACAACAGGAAAAACACCAATCCGTGCACCATCAGGAACTGAAACCAGAACTGCAGCTAATGCACCAGCAGCAACAGTTACAGCCACAGCAAGTGCAAGAGCAACAGCGGTTGCAGCAGCAGCAGGAGCAGTTACAGACGCAGCAAGCACAAGAGCAACAGGTATTGCAGCAGCAGGAACAGCTACAGCAGCAAGTGCAAGAGCAACAGCTGTTACAGCAACAGCAGGAACAGTTACAGCAGCAGCAGCTGCTACAACAGCAGGAACAGTTACAGCAGCAACAGTTTCAACAGCAGCAGGAACAGTTACAGCAGCAGCAGCAGCTACTATTGCTGCAGCAGCAGGGACAGTTACAGCAGCAACTGTTGCAGCAGCAGCAGGCACAGTTACAACAGCAGCTGCTGGAACAGCAGCAGGCACAGTTACAGCAGCAGCTACTGCTGCAGCAGCAGGAACAGTTACAGCAGCAGCAGCAACAGCAGCTGTTGCAACAGCAGCAGGAACAATTGCAGCAGCAACAACTGCAGCCTCCTCCCCTGGAGCCCGAGGAGGAGGAAGAGGTGGAGCTGGAGCTCATGCCGGTGGACCTGGGGTCAGAGCAGGAGCTGGAGCAGCAGCGGCAGGAGTTGGAGCGGCAGCAGGAGCTGGAACGGCAGCAGGAGCAGCGGCAGCTGCAGCTCAAACTGCAGGAGGAGCTGCAGCAGCTGGAGCAACAGCTGGAGCAGCAGCAGCAGCAGCTGGAGCAGCAGGAGGTGCAGCTGGAGCTGACCCCGGTGGAGCTAGGCGCCCAGCAGCAGGAGGTGCAGCTGGAGCTGACCCCCGTGCAGCCGGAGCTGCAGCTGGAACTGGTGCCAGCCGCAGGGGGCGGCGGAGCGGCGGTCCCGGGGGCTCCGGCCGCGGTCGTGGTGGCTCCCCCGGGCTACGTGGTGGTGCAGGAGCTCATGGTGCTGCCCGCCGTGGCAGCGCCGGCCGTGGTGGCCATCCCGGGCCCGGCAGGCAGCGCGGCGTTGACCCCTGCACGGCAGCGGCGGCGGCGGCGCGCTCGGGACCGGCCGACCATCTGCGGGGAGTGCGGCAAGGGCTTCAGCCGCAGCACGGACCTGGTGCGCCACCAGGCCACGCACACGGGTGAGCGGCCACACCGCTGCGGCGAGTGCGGCAAGGGCTTCTCGCAGCACTCGAATCTGGTGACGCACCAACGCATCCACACGGGCGAGAAACCCTACGCCTGCTCCTACTGCGCCAAGCGCTTCAGCGAGAGCTCGGCGCTCGTGCAGCACCAGCGCACGCACACCGGGGAGCGACCCTACGCCTGCGGGGACTGTGGCAAGCGCTTCAGCGTCTCCTCCAACCTGCTGCGCCACCGGCGCACGCACTCGGGCGAGCGGCCCTACGTGTGCGAGGACTGTGGCGAGCGCTTCCGACACAAGGTGCAGATCCGCCGCCACGAGCGCCAGCTGCACGGCGCGGGCCGCTCCAGGGGCCTCGGCCTGCTGCGCGCCTCGCGGCCGGCGGCCCTCGGTGGCCCAGCCCGCGCGGAGCAGGCCGCTACAGCCACTGCGCCCGCAGACAAGGCGCTGTGAGGGCCGTGATCGGGGCTGCCTGGCCGGGAGGGGACCCCCCACCCGCCTCCACCTGAAAAGCTCCTTGACCCGGGTTCATGGGCGCTGGAGGCGTCCTGGAATATCCCTGGAGTAAAAGGCTTCCACCATCATCATCATCATCATCTTCCGGATTCCCTGAGAAAATACCAGGTTCACAGATTTCACCGCCAGAAAAATCCATCCGCCAAAAGAGAAGTGGACCGGGGCTGAAACAGCACACGGGACACGTTTGTCTGCCCTTTGAGGGGTCTGCCAAAGGTTTTCCCTCCGGGAAAACTGGACTTACTACGAACGAGGAAAAACCCCCAGTGGCGAGACGATTAATGACACTGGCCGAGGACTGGACACCCACCAGGGAATCAAGACGTGGTGAGACACACGTGGAAAATCTTCGATCCTGGTGAAAATGATCGCAAGGAGAAATTCGGGGAGGAAGCAAACTTGTTTGCACTATGTAGAAACTGACCAAGGCATCGAATCGTCCTCAGAGGCATTTGCCTTGAAAATACTTTCCAAGATGAAAATTCATCAGGGTGGGTATAATTCTGATGAAAACGCCTGTGTTCATCAACACAGGGTCAGAGCGCTCACCGGGTCGATGTGCAAATCCAAGCCAGGAAGTCCTGCTCCGGGTGGAAGGTAAAACCTTCCCTCCAGGGAACCAGGGGCTCCGGCGGGCATCGGAGGCAGCTTCTTGGCCTCTGCTGCTGTGTCCCCCAGTCCCCCCAGCCCGCATTAATGTCCTCTGGAATAAGAGCCTGTGGCTGAAGCAGAGGGCCTTCTGGGAGAGCTCTCCAAGGTCTGGAAGGAGGGTCCCCCAGAAGGAGCTCCGGGGTAGCCCCACTGTGGCCCCCCTGGACTCCACCAGCTTCATGCTTCTCAGATGCTACCCAGGGGCCGGCCCGGGGAGACCAGGGCAGATTTCTCCCGCACCAGGCTGTGGAGGTTTGGAGGGCTGCCTGAGCAGACACTGTGCCATTGCTGGGGCTGGGGAAAGAATATCTGAGACGACGTTTGGGAGCAATGCTCTTTACCACGTTCACCAAGTCGTCTGGGGCAGGGGTTGTGAGCTGCAGCAGTTGCTGGTGCCTTGTGGGAAGGTGGGGCAGGGAGGAGGCTGCCCGCCACCTCTGCCCCCAGTCACTTCCTGCTTGACCTGACTCTTCACATGTGGCTGCTTAATTCCTGCCCCTCTCCCCCCAGCTGCTTCTCCTTTACTAACACACCTGCTACATTTTACACATGTGTTGGTAAGTGAGAAACAGAAACGAAAAATAAATTAAAATGCAGAAATACAATGTCCTTGTCTTGGTGTTTTCACCTCTGGATTTTGTGTCTTCCATAGGGCTTCCTTTCTTTTCTTTCTTTCTTTTTTCCTTCCCTTCCCTTCCTTTCCCCGTCCCCCTTTTCCCCTTTCTTTCCTCTTTACCCTTCCCTTCCTTTCCTTTCTTCTTTCTGTTTCTTTTCTTTCTTTTTTTTTTAATGTTGCCTGGGCTGGTCTCAAACTCCCAGGCTCAAGCAATCCTTCCACCTCAGCCTCGCAAACTGCAGGGAGTACAGGTGTAGCCACTGTGCCTGGCCAAAGATTCATTCCTTTTTTTCTTTCTTTTTTTGAAAGAGGTTCTTGCTCTGTTGCCCAGGCTAGAATGCAGTGGTTTGATCACTGCAACCTGAAACTCCTGGGCTCAAGCAATTCTCCTACCTCAGCCTCCTGAGTAGGTGGGACTACAGGTGCATGCCACAATGTCTGGCTAATTTTTTTTTTTTTTTTTTTTTTTTGAGATGGAGTCTCACATTGTTGCCCAGGCTGGAGTGCAGTAGCATGATCTCTGCTCACTGCAACCTCCGCCTCCTGGGTTCAAGCGATTCTCCTGCCTCAGCCTCCTGAGTAGCTGAGATTACAGGCACCCGCCACTACGTCCGGCTAATTTTTTGTATTTTTAGTAGAGATGGGGTTTCACCATGTTGGCCAGGCTGGTCTTGAACTCCTGACCTTGTGATCTGCCCGCCTCAGCCTCCCAAAGTCCTGGGATTACAGGTATGAGCCCCTGCACCTGGCCATGTCTGGCTAAATTTTAATTAGTTTTTAGAGAGGGGGTCTCACTGTGTCGCCCAGGCTGTTGAGGTTCATTTCAAGGAAAATGTTTCTGGTTGCTCTCGAGCAAGGAGCATGCTGTTCAGGCCCATTACCCAATCCTCCTCACCCCAGACCAGCCTTCCAGCCTGAGGCCCTTGGCTGGGTAATGGACTTACTCGGTGAGAACCTCATGGGAGGGTCAGGTACCAGAGGGTGGATGCTTGAGAAGGCCAGCTTTGGGATCTAGTAAGGACAACCTTTGTATCAATTCAGCCCAACTTGGTAGTGGCTCACACCTGTAATCCCAGCACTCTGGGAGTCTGAGGTGGGGGGATCACTAGAGGTCAGGAGTTTGAGACCAGCCTGGGCAACATAACAAAACCCCATCTCTACTAAAAAATAATACCACTGCACTCCAGTCTGGGAAACAGCGAGACCATTTCCCCCTCCACCCCCCAAAAATTCAGGCCAGCTGCAGCCTGGAGTGATGGTGCTGAGCTCGCCCTGCTGCACAGCCACTTGGAGGAGCATCGTGAGGCCTGGAGTCTCCTCCCAGCCCTGAGAGTCTTCATTCATTCATTCATTCATTCATTCATTGAGAGACACTAGTCTCTCTGTGTTGACCAGGCTGGAGTGCAGTGGCACAATCTTGGCTCACTGCAACCTCCACCTCCTGGGTTCAAGTGATTCTCGTGCCTCACCCTCCCGAGTAGCTGGGATTACAGGCATGCACCACCATGCCCGGCTAATTTTTGTATTACTTTTAGTAGAGACAGGGCTTTTGCCATGTTGGCCAGGCTGGTGTCAAACTCCTGACCTCAAGTAATCCATCCACCTCAGCCTCCCAAAGTGCTGGGATTACAGGCGTGAGCCACCGCGCCCAGCCTTGCTGGATGGAGCCCCTTGATGCACCTGAGAATTACCTTCCCCAGGATGACCCTGGAACCATTAAGACAGGCACAGGAGGAGAGTGCAGCCTGAGTTCTCCTGTTTTTGTTCAGGGCGGCTCTGAGGCGTGACTCATGCTCGAGTTTGCCTGTGGGATCCAATCAAAGCATCCCTTGCATATATATATATATACACACAGGGTCTTGCTCTGTTGCCCAGGCTAGAGTACAATGGCATGATCACGGCTCACTGCAGCCTCAATCTCCTGGGCTCTAGCAATCCTCCTGCCTCAGCCTCCTGAGTAGCTGGGACTACAGGTGTGCTGCTACATCTGGCTAATTTTTTTTTTTTTTTTGAGATGGAGTCTCGCTCTGTCACCCAGGCTGGAGTGCAGTGGCTCAATCTCGGCTCACTGCAATCTCCGCCTCCGAGGTTCGTGATTCTCCTGCCTCAGCCTCCTTAGTAGCTGGGATTACAGGCAGGCGCCACTGCACCCAGCTAATTTTTGTATTTTTAGTAGAGATGGGGGTTTCACCATGTTGCCCAGGCTGGCCTTGAACTCCTGACCTCAGGTGATCCACCCGCCTTGGCCTCCCAAAGTGCTGGGGTTACAGGCGTAAGCCTCCATGCCCAGCCACACCTGGCTAATTTTTGAAATTTTTTTGTAGACATGGGGGTCTCACTATGTTGCCCAGGTTGGTCTCGAACTCCTGGAATCAAGCAGTCCTCCTGCCTCGGCCTCCCAAAGCACTGGGATTAGAGGCGTGAACCACCATGCCCGGCCTCACAGGATTTTGCTGGGGGCTGCATCTCTGCTTGGTTTCCTCTCCTTCCTTGACCCGCTTCTCTTACTCCAGCACCCTCTGAGAGCATGGCCTTAATGCATCACTCACTCAGAAATCCGTGTGTTGAAGTCTGCTGCCCAGCAGCCTGCCCTGAGACCCATGGTGTAGTTCTGGCAAATGGAGTCTGGGCTGGGGCCACTCCCCCATCAGGTGGCAATAGGGACCTGTTTGTTGGGGGTGAGTGGTGGTTACCTTTGGCTGCCTTTTTTTTTTTTTTTTTTGAGACAGGGTCTCACTCTGTTGCCCAGGTTGGAGTGCAGCTACAATCATAGCTTACTGCAGCCTCCAACTCCATGGCTCAAGGGATCCTCCCATCTCAGCCTCCTGAGCAGCTCAGACTACAGGCACACACCACCATGCCTGGCTTACTTTTATTATTTTTTGTAGAGACGGGGTCTTGTCATGTTGTCCAGGCTGATCTCAAATTCCTGGGCTCAAGCAGTTCTCCCACCTCAGCCTCCCAAAGTGCTGGGATTACAGGTGCTGGGATTACACAGACCAGGAACCGCCCCTGGGCTGATGCCCCTTTTTGACATGGTGGATGGGGTTCGAGATACAATAAGTTCTGCCAATCGCCTGCCTCCCCACGGGGCACCTGGTGGGCTGGAAACACGAGGAACATCAGACAAAGGAACCCAATCCCACTTCATCAAAAACTCAAAACAGGCTGGGTGCAGTGGCTCATGCCTGTAATCCCAACACTTTGGGAGGGTGAGGTGGGAGGATCACTTGAGTTCAGGAGTTCGAGACCAGCCTGGCCAACATGGCAAAACCCCATCTCTACTAAAAATACAAAAATTAGCTGGGTGTGGTGGCGGGCACCTGTAATCCCAGCTACTCGGGAGGCTGAGGCAGGAGAATTGCTTGAACCCGGGAGGCAGAGGTTGCAGTGAGCTGAGATCGTGCCACTGCACTCCAGCCTGGACGACAGAGCAAGACTCCATCTCAAAAACAAACAGAGACAATAGGGAAAAGAGACCTTAGTATAGAACTGATAGAACTGGGTTCAATTCTGGCCAGGCGCGGTGGCTCACGCCTGTAATCCCAGCACTCTGTGAGGCCGAGGCAGGCAGATCACGAGGTCAGGAGATCGAGACCATCCTGGCCAACATGGTGAAACTCCGTCTCTACTAAAATACAAAAATAATTAGCCAGGGGTGGTGGTGCGTGCGTGTAGTCCCAGCTGCTTGGGAGGCTGAGGCAGGGGAATCACTTGAACCCCAGAGGCGGAGGTTGTAGTGAGCCGAGATCGCACCACTGCACTCCTGCCTGGCGACTGAGCAAGACTCTGTCTCAAAACAAACAAACAAATGAAACAAAACCCTGAAAACAGAGGATGCCCCCCACACCTCCCCCATGAAGGGCTCCTGGCCTTCTGCCAACAGGAGGCAGCCTAGGGAAAGAGGGAGGACAAGCGGGCCTATGTCAGCGGCTGGTCCACCTGCCATCCTGCTGCTTATGTGAGCAGGAGGAAAGAGGAGAGGTGATTGGCAGCCTGCCCCAGGGACATGGCCTGCCTGGGCCTGTGCACCCCGAGACAGCAGGAAACAGCAAGAACAAGAAAAACAGATACCCACATGGACATTGCTGCTCAGCCCAGCCAGCCACTGGCCTGTTAGTGGGCAGCTTTCCCTCCCTGGAGGGCACTGGAGGTGGCTAACAGAGGTGGGCTGGAGCACCAGAAAGGCAGCCCCTCACTTTAGCCTCAGCTTGAGCTCCTGCACCGTGCCGCTGGCTATCATGGCATCCAGGGCCTTCAGCTCATGGCATCAGGCCTGGAGTAGGGCAAGGCCCCCCCACAAGTCCCAACCATGAGGTGCAGCCTGAGAGTCACACACCAATAATCAAGGGATGACAGAAAGAGGAGTTCCCCGGCCTGCATGGGGACAGGTGGTATTTCAGCCCAGCCTGAAAGGTGACCAGAGAGGGGGATGCAGTGGTGGTAGGGGACATTTGTCTTGAGCAAGAGCCTGAGGTGGGAGCTGGGGGCAAATCCAGGGGTCTGAGTGGTCCTGTGGCTGGAATTTCTTGCCCTGGTGGGGGGTCCATGGTGGCTATGAAAGGCGTCAGGTGCTGGGGAAGGTTATGACTTGCCAAGGTGGATGGGGTGTGGCATGTGGTCCCGATGGACAGCAGGAAGCCATCCGAAGGCTGTTTAAGGGAACCAGGTGAGAGATGACAAGACTTCAAGGTGACAGAGTTAAGCTCTGGTAACTGGAATTTTTTCTTTTTTTTTTTTTGAGACAGGGTCTGACTCTGTCGCCCAGGCTGGAATGCAGTGGTGCAGTCATAGCTCACTGCAGCCTTGAACTTGGGCTCAAGCTCAAGTGATCTTCCTGTCTCTGCCTCCTGAGTAGCTGGGACTACAGGTGTGCACCACCATGCCCAGCTAATTTATTTTTATTTTTATTTTTATTTTTATTTTATTCATTTGCTTTTTTTGAGACACAGTTTTGCTCTTGTTGCCCAGGCTGGAGTGCAATGGTGCGATCTCAGCTCACCGCAACCTCCCTCTCCTGGGTTCAAGTGACTCTCCTGCCTCAGCCTCCCGAGTAGCTGGGATTAAAGGCTCCTGCCACCTCATCCCGGCTCATTTTGCATTTTTAGTAGAGACGGGGTTTCTCCATGTTGGTCAGGCTGGTCTTGAACTCCCGACCTCAGGTGATCCGCCTGCTTCAGCCTCCCAAAGTACTGAGATTACAGGCGTGAGCCACTGAGCCCGACCTCTAATTTTTTTTTTTTTTTTTTTTTTTTTGAGACGGAGTCTCACTCTGTCACCCAGGCTGGAGTACAGTGGCGCAATCTCGGCTCACTGCAAGCTCCGCCTCCCAGGTTCACGCCATTCTCCTGCCTCAGCCTCCCGAGTAGCTGGGACTACAGGCGCCCGCCACCATGCCCAGCTAATTTTTTGTATTTTTAGTAGAGACGGGGTTTCACCGTGTTAGCCAGGATGGTCTCGATCTCCTGACCTCGTGATCTGCCCACCTTGGCCTCCCAAAGTGCTGGGATTACAGGCGTGAGCCACCACGCCCGGCCCCGACCTCTAATTTTTAAATTTTTTGTAGAGGCGAGGTCTTGCTATGTTGCCCAGACTGGTCTCAAACTCCTGGGCTCAATCAATCCTCTCGCCTCAGCCCCCCACAAAGTGCTGGGATTACAGGCATGAGGCACTGCCCAATAATTCCCAGTAAATGGGAATGATTGTTCAGCAGAAAACTGATCCCTTTGGGAAAGTTAACGTGGGGAGAATGTGGCCTGGCTCTATGGTCCTTGACACCACCGTGAAAGACCAGGTCACCCTCTGCCCATTGCCCTTCCAGAAGAAGCTTGTCCTCCCTGCCCCAGCTCCGAGTCCACCACAGTCTCCCACTCAGGCAGCTGCAAGGCATGCTGGGAGTGAGTGGCCACTGGGGCTGGGGGCTGTCGGGGGCAGAAAGGAGGAGCAGATTCCTCCCTCCTGGCACCTACAAAAGTGTGTCCACCAGACAGGGCTAGATCAAGTCCAGGTCCCCGCAATGGAATGGGAAGGAGCAGGCAGCAGTGGGGTCTCAACTGCCGATGAGGAGGCATGCAGGGCTGGAAACACAGTCTTTCTATTTCCTTGAGCGGCCTTCAGCCTCCCCGGAGCCTCTTCTCCACTCAGCCTTGACCTTTGAGTGTCTGTGCCCGTCTCTGCATTGCCCAGCTGTAGCAAAAATCCTGTCAAGTCAGTTTAGCCAGAATCTCCACCCTTGGTATCTGATCAAATCCCTCCTCTCCCACCACCTGCCAGGTGCCCTCTGATCACTCTTGCCTGCCTTCAGCCAGGATCCTGGGAGTCAGTTCAACCACAACCTCCCACTCCTTCGTATTTTTCCACCCACCCACTCCCCTCCAACCTGCTCCTAGGCTGGAAGTCTCCACTTGTCCCTGCTGTATTCAGAATTGAGCCCAGTTCTATACTGAGGTCTCTTTTCCCTATTGCAATAGTTCCTGAATAAAATCTGTTTTTTACCGTTTTAACTACTGTCCAGCTTTGTTTTCTTTTTCTTTTTTTTCTTGAGACAGGGTCTCAGTCTGTCGCTCAGGCTAGAGTGCAGTGGCACCATCATAGCTCACTGCAGGCTCACCCTCCCGAGTAGCTGGAACTACAGGCTCGCACCACCATACCTGGCTAATTTTTTCTACTTTTTGTAGAGACGAAGTCTCACTATGTTGCTCAGGCTGTTCTCGAACTCCTGGGCTCAAGTGATCGATCCTCCCACCTTGGCTTCCCAAAGTGCTGGGATTACAGGAATAATATGGTTTGGATCTGTGTCCCCACCCAAATCTCATGTTCAATTGTTATTTATTTATTTTTGGAGACTGAGTCTCCCTCTGTCACCCAGGCTGGAGTGCAATGGTGTGATCTCAGCTCACTGCAACCTCCACCTCCTGGGTTCAAGAGATTCTCCTGCCTCAGCCTCCTGAGTAGCGGGGATTATAGGCACTCGCCACCACTCCTAGCTAATTTTTGTATTTTTAGTAGAGACGGGGTTTCACCAGGTTCGCCAGGCTGGACTCAAACTCCTGACCTCAGGTGATCCACCCACTTTGGCCTCCCAAAGTACCGAGATTACAGGCCTGAGCCACCATTCCTGGCCTCTCAAGTTCAACTGTAATCCCCAGTGTTAGAGGTGGGGCCTGGTGGGAGATGATTGGATTATGGGGGCAATTTCTCATGGTTTGATACCATTCCCCCTGGAGCTGTCACCACGACAGTGAGTTCTTGTGAGATCTAGTTGTTTACAAGTGTGTGGCACCCCTCCCTTCTCTCTCATTCCTCCTGCTGCCACCATTTGAAGTGCTGGCTCCCCCTTCACCTTTTGCCATGACTGTACGTTTCCTGAGGCCTCCCCAGCCATGCTTTCTGTATAGGCTGCAGAGACATGAGCCAGTGAAACCTCTTTTCTTAAATTACCTAGTCTCTGGCAGTTCTTTATAGCAATAGGAGAACCGACTAACACGAAACATGAGTCACCGCTCCCAGCCTCACCTATGGTTTTAATAGCAGCACTACTGCCTTCAGCCCACTCCAGGCACACAGAGGCTCCGTGGGGGCATCCATCAGCATCCTTCTGTGCCAGGCTCCCTGCCAGCCCCTGGTGTGAGAGCTCAGGAGGAGCCCAGGAGGGCTTCCTGCAGGAAGAGACAGCTGAGGAAGTCCCGAGAGCCGAGTGAAGGGGAGCTCTGCCCAGTCAATGTTCAGTCCCTGCAGGTGGGTCTGTGCAGATACGGGGCAGGCCCATGTACTTGAACGGAGATGCTCTCGGCCTCACAGAATTCCAAATGCCCCAGATGCCTGTTAACTTTTCACATACCCTGTGTCCCTGCCAGTGAGACACACGAAGGCTGAAGCATAGAACAAGCTTCATGCCAATCACTGGGTGGGCTGGCACCCTCCTCACTGCCAGCACCCACCGTGGAGGATGGGCAGGAGCCAGGCAGATGACACCCCAGGAACTGTTTCATGAGTATGCTTGGATATTCCCCCAGCCCCAACCCCACCAACTGCTCATAGATAGATGACTGACATGGAATTGTACTAGTGCAAAAAGGGTATGATTTACTTTTTTTTTTTTTTGAGACGGAGTCTCACTCTGTCGCCCATACTGGAGTGCAGGGGCGCGATCTCGGCTCACTGCAACCTCCGCCTCCCGGGTTCAAGCGATTCTCCTGCCTCAGTCTCCTGAGTAGCTGGGATTACAGGCACCCACCACCACGCCCAGCTAAATTTTTGTATTTTTTTTTTAGTAGAGACGGGGTTTCACCATGTTGGTCAGGCTGGTTTTCAACTCCTGACCTCAGGTGATCCACCGGCCTTGGCCTCCCAAAGTGCTGGGATTACAGGCATGAGCTACTGCGCCCCACATTATTTAATTTTTGAGATGGAGTCTCACTCTGTCACTCAGGCTGGAGTGTAATGACACAATCTCGGCTCACTGCAACCTCTGCCTCCCGGGTTCAAGCGATTCTCCTGCCTCAGCCTCCCGAGTAGCTGGGATTACAGGTGTGTGCCACCACACCTGGCTAATTTTATATTTTTAGTAGAGACAGGGTTTCTCCATGTTGGCCAGGCTGGTCTTGAAATCCTGACCTCAGATGATCCGCCCACCTTGGCCTCCCCAAGTGCTGGGATTACAGGTGTGAGCCACTGTGCCTGGCCCCTAATTTTTGTATTTTTAGTAGCAACAGGGTTTCACCATGTTAGCTAGGCTGGACTTGAACTCCTGACCTTAGGTGATCCACCTGCCTCGGCCTCCCAAAGTGCTGGGATTACAGGTGTGAGCCACTGCACCCAGCTATTTTATTTTATTTTATTATTATTTTTTTGAGACAGAATTTTGCTGTGTCGCCCAGGCTGGAGTGCAATGGCACAATCTCGGCTCACTGCAAGCTCCGCCTCCCAGGTTCACGCCATTCTCCTGCCTCAGCCTCCCCAGTAGCTGGGACTCCAGGTGCCCACCACCATGCCCGGCTAATTTTTTGTATTTTCAGTACAGACGGGTTTTCACCGTGTTAGCCAGGATGGTCTCGATCTCCTGATCTCGTGATCCATCTGCCTCAGCCTCCCAAAGTGCTGGGATTACAGGCATGAGCCACCGTGCCTGGCCTATTTTATTTTATTTTTGAGACAGAGTTTTCCTCTGTCACCCAGGCTGGAGTGCAGTGGTGTGAACATAGTTCATTGCAGCCTCAACCTCTTGGGCTCAAGCAATCCTCTCACCACAGCCTCCTGAGTAGCTGGGACTACAGGCATGCACCACCACACCCAACTAATTTTTAAATTTTTAGTAGAGTCAAGGTTTCACTATGTTGCCCAGGCTGGTCTTGAACTCCTGGGCTCAAGCTATCTTCCTGCTTCGGCCTCCCAAAGTGCTGGGATTCCAGGCGTGAGCCACTGCACCCAGCTAATTTTTAAAAATGTTGTGTAGCGACAGGGTCTTGCTATGTTGCCCAGGCTGCTCTCAAACTCCTGGCCTTAAGCTTTCCTCCTGCCTCAGCCTTCCAAAGTGCTGGGACTACAGGCATGGGCCAATCCTGGCCTGCTTTTTAATTACTTCCTTCTTCAAATGAGTCTAGGGAAATCTATCAAGACTGAGTTCAGTAGTGAGTGACAAGAAGGTCCAACTAAACTACAGTTTATGACAACCAATTGTCCCCAGGTCAGAGGCATCCTCAGGTGGCCCAGGCCTGGTCTAGCATCTCCCTAAGGCCAAGGACACATAAGTCCCACCAGCTTCCTTCGTCTCCTCTCCGTCTCCTCAGCCCCTCAGCAGTGCTGTTGGAGCAAGAAGCAAAACTCACTCGTAGGGCCCGGTGAGGTGGCTCACGCCCTTTCCTTTCCTAAAAAGGAAAGGGAAAGGAAGAAAAGGGAAGGAAGAAAGGAAGGAAGGGAAAGAAAGAAGGAAAGAAAGGAAAGGAAAAGGAAAAGGAAAAGGAAAATTATCTGTGGACGAGGGAGAGGAAGAAATTGAGTCTTGGATTAGGTATCAGGTGAGGACAGGCCAAGAGGAGATCTGAGGAGATGCTGGGGTGATTCGGGGTCCCTGCCTGACAGGGTGGAGGGATCTAAGGCCGGGATGGAGCTGCTGACTCTATTATACACACTCCTCTTCTGGGGTCCCTTGCTGTCCACATTACAGGTGGTTTTGGGCAACGGGCAGCACTGGGAAGTGACAGGGTGCAGGAGGGCAGGGTTGGGGTACTCTCTCCTTGCCACACTGTCCCTCTATAATCACAGTGCCCACAGTGTCCCCATCTTTATATCTCCACCTCCCTCCAGGCTTGACAACATCCTGCCCTTTCCTGCTCCTGCAGGGCTAAGGGTGGCAAAGGCCTGGTGCCTTCACATTCCAGCTGCTTCCCTTTACCTGGTGTATTAGTCCATTTTCATGCTGCTGTAAAGAACTGCCCAAGACCGGGAAACTTATAAAAGGAAAGAGGTTTAACTCACAGTGGCTCTTGCCTGTAATCCCAGCACTTTGGGAGGCCGAGGCGGGCGGATCACGAGGTCAGGAGTTCGAGACCAGCCTGACCAACACGGTGAAACCCCATCTCAACTAAAAATACAAAAATTAGCCAGGCGTGGTAGTGCACACCTGTAATCCCAGCTACTTGGGAGGCTGAGGCAGGAGAATCACTTGAACCTGGGAGGTTGACGTTGCAGTGAGCAGAGATTGTGCCACTGCACTCCAGCTTGGGCAACAGAGTGCGAGACTCCATCTCAAGAAAAAAACAAAAACAAAACAAACCACCACCACCACCACCAACCACCACCAACCACCACCACCACCAAAAACTGACTCACAGTTCCGCATGACTGGGGAGGCCTCAGGAAATTTACAATCATGGTGGAAGGGGAAGCAAACACTTCCTTCTTCACATGATGGCAGGAAGGAGAAGTGTGGAGCAAAGGGGAAAAGCCCCTTACAAAACCATCAGATCTCATGAGAACTCACTAACATGAGAACAGCATGAGGCGAACTGCCCCCATGATTTAATTACCTCCCACCGGGTCCCTTCCACAACATGTGGGGATCATGAGAACTACAATTCAAGACGAGATTTCAGTGGGGACACAGCCAAACCACATCACCTGGTGACACTGCTTTTGGTCAATTGTTAATTGTCCTACAGTCAGAGCCCTTCCTGGGAGTGCCTGGGGGCAATTGCACCTTCCTACTGAACCTGACGGATCAGGTAGGGTGGGGAAGGGTCTAATCTAGGGATTAGGGGTTCTAAAAGATACCCACAGGAGAGTCAGGCAGTGTCATTCAGATGTGGGCCTGGAGGAAAGGGACAGGGAGTGGTGGGCACTGAGGACCATGGCCACGCTCAGTCCCACCCACAGAAGCTGGTTACTTCTCAGGCCCTACTGGCTGGTGCCCTGCAAACCAGGGGCCTTGTGTTGCCAGAACTTCTGATTTTTCAGATTTTATTTATTATTAGAGACAGGGTTTCAATCTGTTGCCCAGGCTGGAGTGGAGTGGTGCTATCATAGCTCACTGCAGCCTCAACCTCCTGGGCTCAAGCAATCCTCCCACCTTGTTTTCCCAAAGTGCTGGGATTACAGGTGTGACCCGCCTCGGCCCCCCAGAGTGCTTAATTTATAGGTGTGAGACCCCGCATTAGAACCTGATTTTTCAATTTTATTTTTTAAACAAGAATGGGACTCCTTATTTTAAAATGTTATTAACTTTAAGACATTTTAAGACACCAAGAGCCAAGCGACATCACTGTGAGGGTCTGATTCAAGGGGTTGGGGCTGCACCCCTCTGTGGGACTAAGGTTTGAGTCCTCCTCTATCTTATTATTATTTTGAGACAGAGTCTCACCTTGTCGCCCAGGCTGGCGTGCAGTGGTGTGATCTCGGCTCACTGCACCCTCTGCCTCCCGGCTTCAAACGATTCTCCTGCCTCAGCCTCCCAAGCAGCTGGGACTACAGGGGTGCGCTACCACGGCCGGCTAATTTTTGTATTTTTAGTAGAGATGGGGTTTCACCCACCATGTTAGCCAAGCTAGTCTCGAACTCCTGACCTCGTGATCCGCCCGCCAAGACCTCCCAAAGTGCTAGGATTACAGACACCGTGCCTGGCCGAGTCCTCCTCTATCTCTTGCCCAGTCAGGCCTGGGGTCCCCACAGAAAAGCACCAAGAACAGTGGTGCAGGCGGGCTGGGAGCTGGGGAAGGGGCCCAGGCCACACCATTCCAGGCGGAAGACAGACCCTGGACTCCACCAATGCCAGAGCTCATCCTGACACCCCAGCTGCACCTCTTGGGAGCAGGTGCAGACAGGCTTGTGGGTGGGGGTCTGGGGGTGGCCGCTGAGCTCACCGACCCCTCCCTGGGTTCCTGGGGTCGCCTGTCACTTCTGCCCCCACACTGGCCATGCCCTCTGCCTGGACATCGCTTCCCTGCCCGTGACCCCATGTCCCTCCAAGTGCGGGCTCCACAACCCCAGTCTCCTCCTGCACTCAACCGCCACAGTCCACCCATAAGACGTTCACCCCGCCCGTCCCTCCTCCCTCCCCACCCACAAGACGTTCACCCCGCGCGGGCCCGGGGATCTGGTGGAGGCGTGGACACCTGGCCCCCTCCCCACCACAGGGGTCGCCTCCTCCCTCCACCATCCTGGGGTCCCGGGCAGGCTCCGTGGACTGGCGGAGGGGGCCCAGCGCGGGGCCTGGTCCTCAGCGGGCGCCCCGATGAACGAGGCCGGGCTGGGGTTCGGGGAAGGCGGTGGTCGCAGCGGCGGGACCTCGGGGTCACCTCCGAGACCTGGCCAGGGTGTCCAGGAGCGGGGCGAGGTTGTGGGCGCCCCACGAGTGTCGAGGGCGCTCCCGTCCCCTCCCCGCATGCCCCGTCCTCGCCCCGGCCCGAGGCCCAGCTGGGCAAACCCCCGCAACCCGCGCTTCCCCGCTCCGCGCCGCTGCCCCCGCGTGACCGGAAGTTCCTCCCCCCGCGGGCGCGGGCGGGGCGGGGCCGGCCGGCGGTACTTCCGGTGCCCACGCGCCGCCGTCGCGCAGCTCCCGGGCCGTCACTTTGTGTAGCGCGGGGTCCGCCGCCGGCCCGCAGGCCCCGGCCCCGGTGTCCGGCCCGTGGCTCGGCCAGCCCGGCCCGCGCGGTGAGTGGGTCTCGCGGGGCCGGTGGGCGGCGGCGCGGGCGGCAGGTGCGGGCGGGCCGGGCTTGCGCTCGGGGGCGGCGGCGGCGGCGGGGCCGGGCTGGCCCTCGACGCCCGGCGCGGGGAGGCCGCGGGGAGGCGGCGGGGCCGGGGCCTGCAGAGTCGGAGCGGAACGCGGGTAGGGACTTCCGCGGCAGCGCCCCCGCCTCCCGGACCCCCGTCCGGGCCTGCGCGTTGCCGACCCCCGGGGCCGGTCCGGGCAGGAGGCGGAGGGGGCAGGCCCGGGAGGCCACGCGTGACACCTCGGGGTGCCCGCCCACGCCTTCTCGGCCGCAGCGGCAGGGGCTGGGCCGCGGCCGCCCCCAGGACACACCCATCCAGGAGGGGCTGTCATCGTCTAGGTCTCTGCAGGAGGAGGCGGCTCCGGACGCCCCCTGGGGGGCGGGAGGCGCTCGGCCCGTCGCCCCAGGAGCCCGCTTTGTGACCTTGGGGGCCTTATCCGGGCTTTCCCTCATCTGCAGAAGGAGCCCCGGTGGGCTGCTCGGCTGTCTTCTGCTGCCGGCAGGTAGGTAGGGACACCCATCCCTGGGATTGGATGGGGTCTGGGCTGTCCCGCGTGGCAGCAGAGGTAGGAAAGGGGCTGGGCTTTGGTCGAGGACCCGATGGGCAAGAGGAAGTGCAGGTACCAGGAGGATCAGGCCCCCAGCTCTGCTTGTGTGGGGAGACCTCGGTGCTTGGTTTGGTTCAACAAGTGTGGGCAGGTCTGGGGGCCGGGTGGGGTGGTGAGGGGGCTACCCTGGGGAACCTGAGATGGCCCCCGTGGAAATAACCTGCACCAGGAGCAAACCCAGGAAAGTAGGGGGATCCAGAATCCGAGGACAGACAGTGAGGACTGTGGTGGTCGGGGAAGGAAGTCCTTCAGGAGGGCATGAAGACCCGAAGGGCTCTGAGGGCAGCGGGGGCCACCCAGAGGGAATGAAGGGGGCTAGACACAAGCACACCCCCACATCTCCCGCTCTCTGAGTTGGGTTTCCCTGGCTTTGGAGCTTTTGTGAGGAGTTTCTATCAACTTTCAAGCTTTGCCTCTTCTTCCTGCCCTTGCCTCGCTCCCTTCTCCTCTTGGGAGATACCTTGTCACCTCCCATTCTAAATGTTGGCTGCAGCACCGTATCCTAGAGTGCAGGGCCCTAGTAGAAATGAGGGTTTGGGGCCGGGTGAGGTGGCTCACGCCTGTAATCCCAGCACTTTGTGAGGTCGAGGCGGGTGGATCACCTGAGGTGGGGAGTTTGAGAAATGAGGGTTTGGGATGACGTTGGTGAAGCTCCCTGTGGCCTCTGGTTTGGGATTGATGCTGATGAGACCCCCTGTGGCCTCTGACCCAGAGTTGGATGCCGAGGGAGAAGTGAGCAGTGTTTACAGTGGACTGGCAGGCTGGCAAGAAGAGGGCAAGAGTGCAGGCCTGGGGGAGGCAGAGATAACCCAGGGGGAGTTGCTGGAATCTAAACTCTGCCCGGACTGCTGAGGTCCGTTTTTCAAACCATTATGTTCTGAATCTTGGGTTGGGGACGATGTCTGGCTGTGCTTCTGACCTCTGTAGGAGCTGGTCCTCCACCTTCTCTGGTCATCCGTGGGTGGACTTCTTGGGAGAAAGAACTCAGTGTCGTCTTTGGAGGCAGAGACTCTCCACTGCTTCTGGGGTGAGTTCCAATTCCAAGGGTCCCCCCAACCCCCTACCCCCAGCAGTGGTCAGTCTGTTCTGGAACAGGACAGTAGGGCCAAAATGCTGAGTTTGAAAAATCCTGTGTCCATCACATTGGCTGGCGACTTTAGACATTCTTTTAGTAAGTATTTGAATGCTTCTTAAGTGCTGGTGTGAGGGGTATTCAGACATGAGCAAAGGGAGCTTCTGCCGCCCAGGAGCTGGCTGTACTCAGGGAGAGAGATGATAAGACAGTCTCATAAGTGTATTTTTAAGATGTGGTGAGTGCTGTGAGGGAAGAATTACAGGGAACTGTGTCACCCACTGGGGCCCAGGGGGCTGCCTCAGAAGACCACCCAGGAAAAGGGGAAGAGAGTTCTGGGGATGGGGAATAACACACACACGGCCTGAGATGAGATGAACATGCAGCCACTTTATTCCAAAGCTGTGAAGTGTTCTTCTGTTGTGTCCTCATATATGGCGGCCTGGCTCTGGGAGTTTAAAGTTGCTGCTTCAGGTGGTGGCCAGGCAGGAGACAGCTCTACTGAGCTTGGCATGGCACCTAGGCCCAGCCTGAATCTGCGGCCTGAGGCTTGAAAGAGAAAAGCCCTCCTCTGGGCCTCAAGTGGGTGGCAGTTGGGAAACCGTTGCTGCGTGTACCCAGCGCCCTGAGTGCTGGGCAGGGCCGTGTCCTCCTGGAGGTGGCTAGCATAACACGCAGCACGTGGATTTCGACACTTTGGGCATCTTCACACGCCAAAGAGCTGTGGACACTGAGAAGGTTGGCTTCTGGGAGAGGCTGGAGGTTGGGGTGGCGCTCCCAGGCGTAGTTCTGTGACTTGAGTCTTTGGGGGTTAGTGATTCTGAAACTAGAAAGGGGGCTGGAGCCAGTCAGGGGGCACGTGTGACCTTCGGGACAGAGGTGGCTTCTGGATGCCTGTGTGTCCCAGCCTTTGACTTGGGTGAGCCTGTGTGAATGCTCAGAGCTTCCTGGCTATTAAAGTGTGGATTTTAAAGCAACTGCTCAAAGCAGTTCAGGAAATGAGTACGCGCGGCTGCTATGGTTTGGGTGTTTGTCCAGGTGTCAGGCTGTTCTCGCATTGCTGTAAAGAAATACCTGAGACTGGGTCATTTATAAAGAAGAGGTGAGACTGGCGCATGGTTCTGCAGGCTGTACAGGAAGCATGGTGCTGGCATCTGCCTGGCTTCTAGGGAGCCTCAGGAAGCCTTTAATCATGGTGGACGGTGAGGGGGAGTAGGTATGTCACATGGCGAAAACAGGAACAAGCAAGAGAGAGTGAGTGGGGAGGCGCCACACACTTTTAAAGACGACCAGATGTCCTGTGAACTCATTACTCACTGTCTCCAAGGGGATGGCCCAAGATTCAGGAGGGACCCACCCCCATGATCCAGTCACCTCCCACCAGGCCCCGCCTCCAGCATTGGGGATTACGGTTCAGCGTGAGATCTGGGCGGGGACAAACATCCAGGCTCCATCAGTCCCCTTCCAGTCTCACGCTGAAGCATGATTTCCAGTGCTGGAGGCGGGCCTGCTGGGAGGTGATTTCCAGTGTTGGAGGTGGGCCTGGTGGGAGGGGATTGGCCCATGGAGGCGGATCCCTCATGAATGGTCTAGCACCGTCCCCTTGGTGATAAGGGAGTTCTCAGTTCACAAGAGATCTGGTTGTTTTAAAAGAGTGGGGCTTCCTCCCTCTCTCTTGCTGCCCCTTTGCCTCCCTCCACGAGTGGAAGCTTCCTGAGGCCCTCCCCAGAAACAGATGCCGGCGCCATGTTGGTGCAGCCTGTTGAACTGTGAGTGAATGAAACCTTTTTTCTTTGCCACTTACTCAGCCTCAGGTATTCCTTCACAGAAATGCAGAAATGGCCTAACACAGCTGCGCTAATTGATAGAGAAGTGATGGGTTATGGAGGGAGAGCTAATCACGGAGCAGCTTTCTCCTGTGTCCGTAAGAACACCAGGCGTGGTGGTCTGGACTGTTCTCGTGAAGGCCACTCAGTCTTGTTTTAGGAGTTCTGTGGCAGACACTGTCCACTGCTCGAGCTGGATGAGCTAGGGTGGGCCCAGTGCTCTGTGTGGCCAAGTGGCCTGACATTCCAGGATGCTTCTGGGGCTCATGGCCTCTCCCCCTGGATTCTGGGCTTGGCTTGCTTTGGAAATGGCCCTGTTCAGGCCAGAGACACTGATGGTGTGTGTCCTGGGTAATGGGCCCGGTCTCAGGTTTATACCCAGAAAGGAGCCACAGAAATGGACTCATCAACGCTATGACTCTGCCGTGCCCTTGGGACCCCACAGGGGCTAGTGAAGGACACGCAGTGGGGAGGGGCGAGGGGTCCCAGGGCCAGCAGCTCCCATCCTGCTGTGTCCATGGCCCTGGACCCTGGACCCTGTGTCAGTGTGGCTGCCTCTCCCCTGAGCTTCTGGGCTGAGCTGTTACTGATGTCAGTGAGAGAGTAGGACGCTGTAGCCTCTAGGGCTTTGGTAAGTCAGCCCTCAAGAGTCTCTGATCCCCAAACTTGAAATGTCACAGGCATTTCCTGTCCTCCTGATGGTCTGGCGATGAGCCGTGTGTCCACCATGCACTGCGCTTTTCACAGAGCGAGGGCTGAGGGCACATGAGGGTGATGCTGGCTCACAGCCCCCACTCTCCCATGTCCTGCAGGAAGAAGCCTGACCTGCCGGCTTCCTGGCACCTGTCTCTCCTCCTAGCCCCGTTGTGCCTTGCAAGTGCCTGCATCCTGTCTGTGCTGAGACCTCTTGGCGTTCCCTGCTGGCCTGGTTCATGTGTGTTGAGGACCAGGTAAGCGTCTCTTTGTCCTGTGTATCAGGTGGGCTTTTCCTTCTGGCTAAACATGGGCCACCCTCGGGCTGTGTGATGCTTCCTTGTGGATAAAGACTGGGATAAATGCCTGATTTACTCCAGGAAAGAGCAGCAGTTCACACCAGGCACGTAGTTCTTGGTGAAAAGGAGCTGAGACTGGCATCCCAGGGGTCACGCGGAGGGGCCATTGGGGCAGCCTTTCTGGGTACAGAATGTCTTGATGGTGCAGGGTAAGATCGTGGGAAGGCCCGGTCCTCCCTCATCTCCATTGCCTTCAACTACATAACAGGAGGAGTAAATCCTGCTCCCTGCGCCCCCGCCAGGCTGCGGGAGACCCTGTGAGGGGACCGTGTGGTGTGCTGAGAGCAGCCCGTCACTGGCGTCCATCTGCATTTCAGGCCACGTGGAGGCTCGCTCCCAGGGAGGATGGCGGCGCTCCACACGACTCCCGACTCCCCAGCTGCCCAGCTGGAGCGGGCAGAGGACGGGTCAGAGTGCGACCCTGACCAGGAAGAAGAGGAGGAGGAGGAGGAAAAGGGGGAAGAGGTGCAGGAGGTGGAAGAAGAGGAGGAGGAGATAGTGGTGGAGGAGGAGGAGGAGGGTGTGGCAGAGGTAGTGCAGGATGCGCAGGTGGAGGCGGTGGCCGAGGTGGAGGTGGAGGCGGACGTGGAGGAGGAGGATGTGAAGGAGGTGCTGGCAGAGGAGGAGTGTCCGGCGTTGGGGACCCAGGAGCGACTTAGCCGTGGTGGTGATGCCAAGTCCCCAGTTCTTCAGGAAAAGGGTAAGAAAAGCAGCCAGCCTTGGGGAGGAGATGAAGGGGGCTGAGGTGGGCCAGGCCAGGGACCTGGTCAAGCCAGGAGGGCTCTTGGGCCGACAGGGTGGAGCTGAAACCCAGCTTTGCAATGAGGGTGTTGCCAGGGCTCCTGGCCCTGCAGGCTGGGGGCTCAGGGCAGCTGGCCCTAAGAGATCTCTCCCCACAGGCCTGCAGGCCTCCCGGGCTCCAGCCACTCCTAGGGATGAGGACCTGGAGGAGGAGGAAGAGGAGGAGGAGGATGAGGACGAGGATGATTTGCTGACGGCTGGGTGTCAGGTGAGCCGCCCTCTCCGTTTGGGGCTTGGGTAACCTGGGCAGGGTTTCCCCCGGGGCCTCGGCACCTGCTGTTTGGAGGCGTCTGTTGGCAGCGGCCATGGCACTGGAGTCCCCGGACCAGGCCCAGGCCCTGAGCTGGGAGTGGCCACAGGAAGCGGCTGGGTGTCCAGCCCCAAGCCCGGGGGTGTGGTCCTGCTTTCCTGGGCGTTGGGTTGTCCTGATTGCTTTGGCTGCCACCCACTCAACCGCACTGTGCACAGCGACTTCAGAGGCCTGGCTCTCCCCCAAGGCTGGCCCTCCCCTCACCTGGAGTGCCTGTCACATGTCCAGGGTCTGGGTTCCTGCTGCCCAGTCAGGTCAGGCACCAGTGCCCACGCTCGGTTTAGTTGCTGCTGCTTGTCCACTCGGGTGTGGGCCCTCCATGGCTGACATGGCCATTGCACTGGCTTGAGCCAGACTGCATGAAGAGGGGGACTGGGGGCGGGGCTCCCTGTCTCCTGGCCTCTGCTTGAGCCACAGCTCTGCCCTACGAGCTGGGTCGTTCACCGTCTTTGAGCTTGAGTCCCCATTCTCTGGCTGGGATCTGGTCCTTGCTTTCCAGGGCTGTGGCAAGGCCTGAAAGCCCTCAGTGCCATCTGGGCATCTGTGTCCCCTGACACCCATGCTGGAGAGCCTCAGTGGCCTCAATCTTCCGTGGCTCTTTGTAAAGGGCTCCCTCAGCCTCTCACCTGAGGCTCTGTTTCCCCAGGAGCTGGTGACGTTTGAAGATGTGGCTGTGTACTTCTCCCTGGAGGAGTGGGAAAGGCTGGAAGCAGACCAGCGGGGCCTCTACCAGGAAGTCATGCAGGAGAACTATGGGATTCTCGTGTCCTTGGGTAAGGACGGGACCTTTTGTCCCCAAGAGGCAGCCTGGTGTGATGGCTGCCAGGGTCTTAGCTGTCTGACGGGGCGCTTTTCAAATCCCAGGGTCTTTCCAAAGGTGGATGCTGGGCCCAGCCCACCTCCCAGGGAAGCCCTAGGACCCCATGGCCCCTGGGTGGGGCGGGGGATGTCACTGGCCAGGCAGCACCCTGAGCCAGGTGACACATCTGTGGAGGCTGTCTGTCTCTGGTGTCTGCTGCATGGCCCCTGAAGCCTCCAGGGGTGAGGCGGAAGGCGAGGGAGGAGGAGGGTTGTGGGCATCTTGCAGGTGAAGGTGTTGGGGGGGCTTGGTGGGAGGAGGGCAGGGGAGGACAGGGAAAGGTTCAGAGGGAAGGGACCGCCTGGACCCTCCAGAGCAGGGGTGTGGGAGGGCTGGTGCTGGGAAGATGGAGGTGGAGGGGCACTGAGCGGTGGCACAGCACGGGCTGCAGGGCAGGGGAGGGCCCACGGGAGCCGCCTGCAGCCGCCGTCTGTTCTCCTGGCAGGATACCCAATTCCCAAGCCCGATCTGATCTTCCGGCTGGAACAAGGGGAAGAACCTTGGGTCCCAGATAGTCCCCGACCTGAGGAAGGAGACATCGTCACTGGCGTCTACACAGGTGAGCGTGGATGGAATTTTGCGGTTTGTGCCGATAGCTTCTCAGAGCTGTTGTCAAACTTTGGCCTTCACTGCGCTCTCTGCAGACCTGGTACCTGGTGCCTCTGACTGCGCCTCTGCCTTTGCCGCCTGGCTCCTGGTGGTTCAAGTTCCAGAAAGGTCCGAGGGCTGTAAGGTCCTTAGAGAACCTAGAGGCTCCTCCTAGGAACCTTTAAAAATGATACCCTGCCCTGCGTTGGAGCCTGTGAATTTCTTTGCATGTGAGGGGCCAGCTGTCAGGTGGTCGGCTGAGCCAGGGCAGACCCAGGAGCCCAGCACGCCATCGCGGAGGCCTTTCTGATGGCACAGTGCTAGCCGTTCCTCCTGCTTCTCCGCCCACTTGGCCATGTCTGGGAAAAGGCTCCCCCCAGCTCCCTTGCTCTCCCTGGAGCACCATGGGCAGGACTCTGACCGGGATGGGCAGGTTGGGGCATTCTGGAGAGGAGGTTTTGGAGTGATGGGTGCAGAAGGCGTTCAGGGTGGTGAATTTCCCTGAAAGCCTCAGGCCCAGCTCTGGCTCTGCTCCTTCAACTCTAAGGCCCCCTTTATTCATCTGAAGAAATTGAACTCAACTCAGGTTCCCACTGGGGGACGCCACATTGTCAGTTGCGTGGAGGTCCTTAGTGGTGTCTGAGGGGCTCCTAGCGTCAGAGAGCTCTGCAGAGGCCCCTGCCCCACAGGTGTCTGGTTTGGGGCTAGGTGATGCCGGTTAGGAGGGGCAATGGGTAGATTTGGAGCACCTCATAGATGTGTTTTCAAATGAAAATACAAGCTGGGTGCGGTGGCTCATGCCTATAATCCCAGCACTTTGGGAGGCTGAGGTGGACAGATCACTCGAGGTCAGGAGTTTGAGACCAGCCCGACCAACATGGCAAAACCCCATCACTACTAAAAATACAAAAATTAGCTGGGTGTGGTGGCGTGTGCCTGTAGTCCCAGCTACTCGGGAGGCTGTGGCAGGAGAATGGCTTGAACCCGGGAGGCAGAGGTTGTAGTGAGCCGAGGTTGTACCACTGCACTCCGGCCTGGGTGACAAAGTGGGCCTCTGTCTCAAAAATTAAAAAAGAAATAAAAAAAAAATAGGCTAGGTGCGGTGTCTCATGCCTGTAATCCCAGCACTTTGGGAGGCCAAGGTGGACAGATCACGAGGTCAGGAGTTCAAGACCAGTCTAGGCAATATGGTGAAACCCCATCTCTACTAAAAATACAAAAATTAGCTGGGTGTGGTGGTGCGCGCCTGTAGTCCCAGCTACTTGGGAGGCTGAGGCAGAAGAATCACTTGAACCCGGGAGGTGGAGGTTGCAGTGGGCCAAGACTGCGCCACTGCATTGCAGCCTGGGTGACAGAGTGAGACGCCATCTCAAAAAAAAAAAAAAAAAAAAATCAGATCTCGTGAGAACTCCCTCACTATCATGAGAACAGCATGGGGGGAAACGGCCCCCATGATCTGATCACCTCCCACCAGGTCCCTCCCTTGACACGACACGTGCGGATTACAATTGGAGATAAGGTTTGGGTGGGGACACAGAGCTGAACTATCATTGAGGCCTGCCAGTCCCTCCTCTGTGTCATTGTAGGAGGCCCTTCGTGCCGCCATTCTCCAGATACTTGGGGACCCTCTTGGAATATTCCCCAGGTTTCAGTCAGGAGGGCTCTGGTTGGCAAGAAAGATCACTGCTGCCCCCAGGATGAGTCTGGGATGTGGATGACGCTCTCAGGAAGAGAAGGGGACACAGACCTGCGGGGCCCGTCCCTCAGCGTGTGGTCTACTTGTGCTCCTGTTCTCTGTGCCTCCTGGAGGGTTAGGGGTAGAGCCTTGTGCAGGCTTGAGCCTGAGTGGTTCCCTTTCAGCCCGGGCAACAGTACCCTTGTGGCCTGTGCACCTGGCTGGGGTTTGAGAGCTACCTGAGGGGCTGGCTGGGCCAGTGCCTCCTGCATCCCCTGCGGATGGTCGTCGTGTTGGGGCTGGCAGGCCTGGGATGCCCCCCGGCCCTGAGTGGGTGTGTAAAGTCAGTCTCTGAAATGTGATCCATAGCCTGTGTACTGAGTGGCTACCCTCCCCTGATGCTCCCCGCCTCCCCCAGTGCTCCCTGCCTCCCCTGCATTCATTTCTGGTCGGCTGAGCTGGTTGAGATCGCTGGGGCAGGACAGAGGCTGCCTGTGCCCAGGCTGACAGAGTTTGTTTCTAGACTGGAGTCTTGCAAGAGCCAAGTATGTCCCTCTCTTGGGCTCCTTGATGAGTTGGGCCACACATGACATCTGGGCTCTGGCACTGCCCTGATCAGGACCCACCCCTCCTGAGGGCTGCTGAAGCCCCCACCTGCCCTTCAGCCATGCTTCAGACCCTCCCCTGCCCTGCCTTTCTCCTTACCTGGCTTAGATCCCCGCCCTGGTTGAACCCTGTTTTCTGCCGGCTCTGGTCTGCACTAGAGCAAGAATGTGCCTGGAGAAAATTGTGGCTGTGGGTGCCTGCCAGTGGCATTGGCCTGGCGGGCCAGCCCTGTACTTGTGGGACTGTCTTTCCACCCTCCGAGATGGACCCCCTCAGCCACTGCAGACTGGCCCTTCTGAGGTCACCTGCCCCAGTGAGGGGCAGGCCCAGTGCCTGTCCTCAGAGAGGCCCCTCCTTACAGACCTGGCAGCCTGGCCAAGGCCATGCAGCTGGTTCAGATGCCAGTGCAGAAGCTGCGCCCGAGAGCCCCGCCTCCCCCAAGCACCAATGTGTGGGGCCAGTGCCACCCTCATCCCCCTGACAGTTTGCAGAAGAGAGTGCTGCTAATGCCTATGGACTTGGGCGTGTCACCCTTGTCCTCCACCTCCTTTGCGACTGTCCCCCGTGAGAGAAGATCTCCCTAAGGCCATCTGGAGTTTGTGTCTGAATGGAGAAAGTTGCACTGGCCGGGTGAGGGGAGGGAGCAGGTGTTGGCTTCACTCGGAACTGACTTCCACAGCCTGCGCTCCAGGCCAGGCCCCAGTGGATGGGTTGTCAGAGGGAGAGAAGTGGCGCTGTTCAGTCAGCCAACTCCGTGGACTCGCCGTGGGGCCCAGGTCAGGTTGGGCCTGGAGAGCAGGTTCCAGACTCCGAGATGGGCAGAGGTTGCCCAGGAGTGGGAGTCGTAGATGGTGGCGGCCTGGTGCCATGGGTGGTGTGTGTGGGCTACACCGAGCAGCATCCCTCAGTGATGTGAGATGTGTGTGGGGTCCCGTGGCAGGTTGGGACCGTGTCTTCTGGGTCAGGCATGTGGCTGTGGGGCCACTGTCTTCCCCACAGCCGCTGTGATTAGTGTCCTACATAGGGCCCCCACGCTGTGCCCAGGGCAGGGCACTTACCAGACTGTTCTGGGGGCTGTGCTGCTGGGGACATTGGTTGGCCCCTGGGATCACCACTGCCTCCCACACAGTTAAACCAGGGCCTGGGGACAGAAGCTGGAGAGCCTGCAGTTGTGTTGGTGGGATTCTGGGTAAATGCCCGGCTTTGGTGATGCCGACGAGCACCCTCCCAGGTGTAGGGACCTTTGTGCCTCCAGGGCCTGAGGGCCTTGGCACTGCACCAGCCACTGGTGAGCAGGAGGGCACTAGTGTGGGCTGGAGGGTGCCCCGCCCCTCCTGTCCAGTCCAGGAGGCAGCCTGCCCCCGGGGCACAGGGCTGGCCAGGGGCCTATCTAGGATTAGGGACTGTGGCCCAGCCTCAAGAGGAAAGGCCTTGGTGGGGATCTGTGGCCACCAGGACCTGATGGCAGGAAAGGAGCATCGCCTGACATTTGGGGGACAACTTGAGCGGTGACCAACAGAAAGCATGGGATGGACAGCAGGGGGCCTTGGCATCTGCAGGGAACTGTGGTGGCAGCAGCGCCACCTGACCCGGGGAGCAGTGGAGGTGCTTCTGCAGCCGCATCGCAGGTGTTTACGGATGTGCATTTCATCCTGGCAGCAGTCCCACCAAGTGGATTGCAGGTGCTGTTATCAACCCATTTTACAGATGGGAAAACTCAGATTTAAGGCCTTGCCCAAGGTCCTATGGCCAGTGCGTCATAGGAGTGGAATTCACACCCAGACAGAGCCCGGGCCCCCCAGCTGCCTTTTGAGGTGAAGCCAAGGGAGAGAAGGTGTAGCATCCCGGCCTGGCCCCTGCCGTCCTGGCGGAACTGAGCAGATGTGGGGCTTCAGCCTGCAGGAGGGTTGCTGCGGGCACAGGGGAGTAGTGAGCCTTGAGGGACATCTCAGCATTAAGGTTCAAAGGGGAAGCCTCTAAAGACGCCACTCATGCTAGGGAGCAGCTGTGCCTGGTGCTGATGCCTGTGGAGGGAGGTGGGGGGATCGTTCCTGTGACAGCCCCAGCCCCAGCCCTGAGCCTTTCATTCATTCCCTTGCACCCAGCCTGCTGGGGTGGTCTCCCTCTCCATCAGCTCCTGTCACCTGCCGCTGGATGGGGGGGGTCTTAGTGTTCCCAGTTCAGGACATGGGCCGTGAAGGTTCTTGTGGCCATACTCTGGAAGCTTCTCCCTCCCTAGACAGAGCTGACTTTGAGCCTCTGATCGGCCTCTCCTTTTTATCACTGAGCCCTTGTGGTCCCTCTTCCGGAAGCCTAGCTGCATGTTGCTAGGTCAGAGTCCTTAGGCCTAAACGTGAGGTGCAGGGGAGAGGGACCGTCAGTCCCAGGGTCTCCTCTCCTCTGCTGTCCCCTGGGTTCTGGAGGAAGCAGGTGTGTTGGGTACCCTGGGCTGCTGTCGCATGGTTCCTGCCCCAGTGCCCTCCAGCTGTTGAGAAACATGCACCAGCCCCTCCTAGTCAGCCTCCTGTTGCCCCGGCTTGGGTCTGATGAGTTGAGCTGTGATGAGGCCTGACTTAGATCTGGAAAACGGCTTTGGATCTGAGAGCCAGCAAACGCCCTCGGGGCCTTGTCCCTGGAGCCCTGTTGGCTGAACACCCTCACTCAAGGATGTTCCCGTGGACTTCGACAGAGCCTGGCCTGGGGCAGGCTGGTCTCCCTCTGGGACCCTTCCCAGGGGCCCTGCTACTTCCTGGGAGCTCCCCTTAGAGTGCAGCCCGCTCAGACTCCCCAGGGACTTGGATGTCCTTCCCCTCCTGCACTCGGTGTCAATGGTGGCCTGTCACCATGCCATATGCTGGAGTGTGGCCCACCCTTGTCCCAGTTGTTGGACAAGTGGCCATGCCAGCTCCAGAGCTGGCGGGGGGTGCCCTCTCTACAGATCCCACTGGGATGGGGGCTCCCTGCCTACCTCCCCAAGTGAGAGGATTCCCTGCTGCGATCAGGATCAAGGGAGAGGTGATGGGAGGAGCCTCCCAGCTCTGGGCAGCTGAGACTTCTGTGGGCAAGGCCGCCCTTGGCCTGGGAGTCCAGTTCTTTGAGGCTTATTATCCAGTAAATGCTCGCTGAGTCTTGGCTGTTTCCTGAGGTACCGATGCACCCCGCTACAAAATCATAGTTGTTCCTAGGCTTGAACCTTCCCCGTTTGGAGGGGTCTCTAAACCCAAGACCTGCATCAGAGCCTCAGGGTGAGATCCTTTCGAGCTCTCTGCCAGCCTCCCTATCCTGTAGGGTTGGGGTATAGGGCTGGGGTGCAGCAGCCTTCCCAGACCTGGGGAGTGTGGCTGCCAGTCGGGGAAGGGTGGCCACTGATGGGGACGGGGCTTTTCTTTGCTGCTCTGTGCACGGAGTGGCTGTGGGTGGCAGTTCGAGGTAGACTCAACTTAGTGACAAGAAACCTTTTTATTTCAAGCTTACGTTTACTATGATAGTAAACCGATAAAGTATCATGAAATGTGAAAGATGCAGTAACCCGTTTTCTGACCCTTTTCTATGATGCCTGTTTTTTCACAGTGAAGCCGGGCCTGTGTGGGTCTGTGTTTTCCTGCGGCTCTAGGTCCCCATATGGAATGTATGTGGGACGAGGCAGTGCCAAGGGCATGCAGCCTGGCAGGGGCCAGCGTGCGACATGAGGGGCTACCCGAGGCCTACTGGGACCTCCTGGGCTCCGACTTTCCCTCTAGGGCAGCACTCAGTGGTCCAGGCTTATCCAGCTAGGTGACGGCTGAAATGGGCAGGGGACCCAGGTGGGGTGAGGAGGAGATTTCCACACCAGCTGTGGGAGCTGGAACCTTCCAGATGCTGAGACTGTCGGGCAGACACCAGGAGGGTCCATGAAGGTGCCTTAGAGCATCTGGGGCTGCAGGCCAGGTGTCATCCCTGTGTCCCGTGACTTAGTGCCTGCTCCATAGACACCAGTTCCCTCCTGGGTGCGTCACGATGTCTTAGGTGTTTGAGCCATCAACAGGAGCCCCACCGAGCCAGCTCCATCTACATGTTGTTCATTGCCTGCACAGGTGCCTCGCAAGGCTGAAGGGAGAGGGCAGGGGTGCAGCTTGGTGTGAGAGGGGCAGAATGGGGGAAGCTGAGCAAAGCTTAGAGCTGACAGGCCGGGCACGGTGGCTCACCCCTGTAATCCCAGCACTTTGGGAGGCCAAGGTGGGTAGACCACCTGAGGTCAGGAGTTTGAGACTAGCCTGACCAACACTGAGAAACCCCATCTCTACTAAAATCATCATCATCATCATCATCATCTGGGCGCACGCCTGTAACTCCAGTTACTCGGGAGACTGAGGCAGGAGAATTGCTCAACCCGGGAGGTGGAGGTTGCGGTGGGCCGAGATTCGGCCATTGCACTCCAGCCTGGGCAACGAGCTCAATTCCGTCTCAAAAAACAAAACAAAATAAAAAAAGGCTGGGCGCGGTGGGTCACGCCTGTAATCCCAGCACTTTGGGAGGCCGAGGTGGGCAGATCACCTGAGGTCAGGAGTTCGAGACCAGCCTGGCCAACATGGCGAAACTCCATCTCTACTAAAAATACAAAAATTAGCCAGCTGCGGTGCTGTGCGCCTGTAATCCCAGCTACTAGGGAGTCTGAGGCAGAAGAATTGCTTGAACCTGGGAGGTGGAGGTTGCAGTGAGCTTTTAAAAAAAAAAGCCGGGCGTGGTGGCCTGAGCCCATAATCGCAGCTACTTGGGAGGCTGAGGTGGGAGAATTGCTTGAACCCACGAGGTGGAGGTTGCAGTGAGCCAAGATCGAGCCACTGCACTCCAGCCTGGGTGACAGAGTGAGACTCTTGTCTCAAAACAAAAACAAAAAGCTTAGAGCTGACAAAGGCAGGTCTTCTGTGGACAGGGCCGCCGGCTGCGCTGTCTTCCAGGAAGGCCAGGGAGGCGGAGTTCTCCAGGAGCTTTGGGGAAAACTGCCCCAGCGTCTCCACCTGGTTTTCTCAGCACAGGATCCCTGCTTGGGTTTAACCTTCGGTCGCACCCCTTCCTAGAGTTTGCCCCGTTCCTCAGCAGGTGGCAAGCCCTGGAGGGAGCCGGCGGTCTGGAAGAGATGTTGGACGGGAGCCCTGGCTTTCCTGGGAGGGACAGTTTCAGGTGCTGCGTGTCCCCAGGTTCCTAGCTGGGGGCGGCGGCTTTCCTGCCTTGCGGCTGTTCAGGACTGGCAGTGGGACATGGGCAACCGCTCACTTGGTGAAAGGAGGTGCCCCGTCCGACTGAAGGAAGGTCCTGCTGGTGGCGTCTCGGAAGCCCTGATTTCTCGGGACAGGAACCTGCCAGAGGCTCCTGTCAAGTTCACTTACCTCTCTCTTCTGGCCTGCCTTTGTCACCTTCAGGAGCCTGGTTCTGGACGGACGACATAGAGGACCACGAGGAGGAAGACGACGAGGACTTCCTGGCGGAGGTGGCCGAGGAGGAGAACGAGCCCCCAGGGCTCTGGTCGGCGGCCTACGGCGTGGGGGACGTGCCTGGGACGTGGGGGCCCGACGACTCGGATTCGGCGCAGACTCCAGAGGGGTGGGGACCCGACCCAGGCGGCCTGGGGGTCCTGGCCGACGGCTCTGAAGCGAAGCCTTTCCTGCCCGGCCGGGAGCCGGGTGCGAACCTGCTGTCGCCCTGGGCGTTCCCCGCCGCAGTGGCCCCGCCGGCCGGGAGGCCGGAGACCACGTGCGACGTGTGCGGCAAGGTCTTCCCGCACCGCTCGCGGCTGGCCAAGCACCAGCGCTACCACGCGGCCGTCAAGCCCTTCGGCTGCGAGGAGTGCGGCAAGGGCTTCGTGTACCGCTCGCACTTGGCCATCCACCAGCGCACGCACACCGGCGAGAAGCCCTTCCCGTGCCCGGACTGCGGCAAGCGCTTCGTCTACAAGTCGCACCTGGTTACGCACCGACGCATCCATACTGGCGAGCGGCCCTACCGCTGCGCCTTCTGCGGCGCGGGCTTCGGGCGCCGCTCCTACCTGGTCACGCACCAGCGCACGCACACCGGCGAGCGACCCTACCCGTGTTCGCACTGCGGCCGCAGCTTCAGCCAGAGCTCGGCGCTGGCACGGCACCAGGCGGTGCACACGGCCGACCGCCCGCACTGCTGTCCCGACTGCGGCCAGGCCTTCCGCCTGCGCGCCGACTTCCAGCGCCACCGACGCGGCGGGGGCTGCGCGGAGGCGGGTGGTGACGGCCCCCGGCGGGAGCCCGGCGAGACGGCGGCCGCCGCGGGGCCCGAGGACACGGACCCTGGGCCAGAGGGATCTGAAGTTGGCGAGGCGGACGGAGAGGCGGAGGCCGCGGCCGAGGAGAGAGAGGAGGCGGCGGTGGCGGCGCCCACCCCCAGCGGCAAGGTGGACCCCGCGCCGGAACGGCGCTTCCTGGAGCTGGGCAACGGCCTGGGGGAGGGCGAAGGCCCCTCCTCCCACCCGCTGGGCTTCCACTTCCCCGTGCACCCCAAGTCCTGGCTGCACCCGGACAGCTTCCCGATCCTGGGCCTACCCGACTTCCGAGAGCGGCTGCCGGTCGACGGGCGCCCGCTCCCGGCGCCCCTGGGGGGCCCGCTCTCCCTGGTGGAGGGTACCGGGCTGGCGTGCGACCCTTTCGGCGGCGGCGGGGCCGCGGGCGGCGGAGGCGGCCTGCGCGCGTTCGGGCCCGCCATCGGGGGTCTGCTGGCGGAGCCCGCGCCGGCCGCGCTGGCGGAGGAGGAGAGCCCGTGGATCTGCTCGGACTGCGGCAAGACGTTTGGGCGCCGGGCCGCGCTGGCCAAGCACCAGCGCTACCACGCGGGCGAGCGGCCGCATCGCTGCGCCGACTGCGGCAAGAGCTTCGTGTACGGCTCGCACCTGGCGCGCCACCGGCGCACACACACCGGCGAGCGGCCCTTCCCGTGCCCCGAGTGCGGCGCGCGGTTCGCCCGCGGCTCGCACTTGGCGGCGCACGTGCGCGGCCACACGGGCGAGAAGCCGTTCGTGTGCGGCGTGTGCGGTGCGGGGTTCAGCCGTCGCGCGCACTTGACGGCGCACGGGCGCGCGCACACCGGGGAGCGGCCTTACGCGTGTGGAGAGTGCGGCCGGCGCTTCGGGCAGAGCGCGGCGCTGACGCGGCATCAGTGGGCGCACGCCGAGGAGAAGCCGCACCGCTGCCCCGACTGCGGCAAGGGCTTCGGCCACAGCTCGGACTTCAAGCGGCATCGGCGCACGCACACGGGCGAGAAGCCCTTCCGCTGCGCCGACTGCGGCCGCGGCTTCGCGCAGCGCTCCAACCTGGCCAAGCACCGGCGCGGCCACACGGGCGAACGCCCCTTCCCGTGCCCTGAGTGCGGCAAGCGCTTTTCGCAGCGCTCGGTGCTGGTCACGCACCAGCGCACACATACGGGCGAGCGGCCCTACGCCTGCGCCAACTGCGGCCGCCGCTTCTCGCAGAGCTCGCACTTGCTCACCCACATGAAGACGCACCGCGGAGCCACCGCAGCGCCGGGCTCGGGTTCGGCCCCAGCCCCCGCGCCCAAGCCCGAGGCGGCCGCCAAGGGGCCGTCCAGTGCCGGCCCCGGTGAGCGCGGCAGCGCCCTGCTGGAGTTCGCGGGCGGCACAAGCTTCGGCTCCGAGCACCAGGCCGCGTTCGCCGGGCCCTCGGGCGCCTACCGGGAGGGCGTCCTGTGAGGGGCCCGGGGCCGACAGCAGCGCAGCCTGCAGGGCCACCGGCCCCTCCCTTGGACGGCCGGCCCCCCGCTCCTCGGGCCCCGGGAGGCTGAGGGTCCCAGTCCTGGGTGCGGTGCCTTCCCTCAGCCCTCGCCCTGCGGCCCCGGGTCTCATGCCCGCCGGGTCCGTGTGCTCAGCCGGAGACGTGGGGGAGCTCTGGGGAGAAGAGCAGCGCGGAGGCAGCGAGGCCAGGACGTCACCCCCACGGAGACTGCGATATCCCCTGGGTGGGCCCGGGCTGTGAAGCAGGGCGGTAGTTGGCGGGCGATGCTATTTATTTCACTCGGATTCCGACTTGGGTGGTCTGGGGAGCAAGGGATTTGTGTGTTTGCAACCGGGTGTGGCGGCGAGGGAGGGGCCCGGCCACCCAGGTGGGCCAGCGGGATGCCTGGGAGGCCGGTGGGTTTGGCTGACCACTTCTTCCCATTCCTCAGTGAGAGACTTGGGCCCTCCCGGTCATCCGAGTCTGTCCCGAAGGTTTAACTGCGCGCGGCGAGGGGAGGCCTTGTAGGTTTCCAAAGGGCGGAGCTCCAGTGGGAAAACTTGAAACTTGTCGTCTGCGGATATTTATTTCCACTTCTTGTATGGCCTGAAGAATCTAGGAGGAGAAAAAGCCAGATACCAAACTTACGGCCAGGCAGACGGGTCGCGGGTGTTGACAGGGTCCTGAGGGAGTTTGAAGCCTTATTCTCGAGCCGCCTCCTCTTCTCTACCCACACTTGCACCGAGGTCACCCCGGCACCCTCCGCACCGGTTCGGTTTTGGTCTCTGCTTGTCCTCTCAGTCCTTGGTACTTTCGTCTCCCTCAGCCGGAGGTGGCAAACTCAGACATCTACGGGCGCCCGAGGCCCTCGCAGCCCTGAGCCCCAGCTTTCACTTCCCTGGGCTGCCCCTCTCCGGGAGCAGGCAGACGCCCCGTTCTCGGAGCCCAGCGCTCACTTAGAGCGACTGAGGTTGGTCGAAGGATCTTTCCCCACATCCCATAATCAGGGCCCTAGGACACTCGCAGGTCCCTTTAACTCTGCTTCTGTCATTACACTAGAACAAGTAGTGTTTCTGTTTAGAGTCCCATTTCACAAATTGGTTAGTGGAGGCACCCGTGGCCTGGCAGCTTGCACAGTGGCTGTCCACCTCGGGGGGGTGTGGACCTGAGCCGTGGCTCAGTGACAAACCAGGCACCCAACTATGCAAGGCCCCTGCCTGGTGGGCATCCTACCCTCTGGACTGGGCCCATGGAAGCCACTGGGCGGGCAGCTGGGGTGTAGTTCATGTGAAGCCCCATTCCCCTCACGCTTTTGGGGCCACTGTGAATGGGGCCAGGAAACGGATTTTTGGTGCAGCTGCATTCCCTAATAGACCTAGTTCCCTCCACGTTAGTGTAGACATGGCCTTGGGGGCTGAGCGCAGCAGCCAGGCTGCCAGGGCTGGGGGCGGGTAGGAGGCACGGTAGTTGGTGGGTGGGAAGAGGGCCTGGGTGGTGGCGGTCAGTTAGCCTGGCTGGGTGAGGTTGGTGAGGTTGCGGGGCGGGGTGGTGAGGAGAGCAGGGGTCCCAGGGAGGCATTGGGGTGCTGGGTAATGACCTCGGCCCTGGGTTTCTCCTCTCCCTGCGGGACAGGAGCCTCAGAAAGGGCCAAGGGCAAGGTGGGCTTGGGGGGCTCTGGGAATCTCAGCTCTAGCCCTGTATGGCCAGGATCTGCTGTCTCCGTCCCTCCTGGGCCCCAGCAGCTGTCCTGCAGCTGTCAGCAGGAGGGCCTGGCTTTAATAAAGAGTGGACAAACTGAACTTCTGACTGGACTCCATGCTGTCGCCACTCCTGGGAACCCGTCGGGGAGGCTCTGCGCGGCCTCAGGTCCAACTTGTTTCTGCAAACATTTTTTAAAAGATTTTCTCTTTTAAGAAATTAGAATGGGTCCTAGGATGGCCCATGAGGAGTTGGCCCCAGGCCAGTGTGGCCCCGTGCTGCCCATGCCCACCGTATTCCTTGGTGGCCCCCACGCTGCCCCACACTTGATGTAGTGTAAACACCTGACTTGGGGCATTACTTTTTGTGAATATGTTGGCCAGGCTTCCAGAGGCCAGAGTGAGGGGCCAGGTACCCTTCGTGGTGGTCCAAACACATCCCCAGCCCTTTCTTCAGAGGCCCCAGCACCATGTGGCTCATCCAGGGCTCACCTACTCCAGTACCAGGGCAAGGTGTACAGCCCCAGGACCCAAAATGCCTCCCTTAAAGCTGATTGGTTGATTTCTTTATTCTTATCACATGGTAGCCCACGATCAGATCTGACTCTCCTGTCCTTTCTTTGTGGGTCTGAAAAATAAGAACTGCTGTAATCAAATGTGATCTGGAGGCATCAGAACAGAGCAATCTAATGCTTCTTTTCTTGCCCAGGCTGGAGTGCAGGGCGTGATCTCGGCTCACTGCAACCTCTGCCTCCCAGGTTCAAGCGATTCTCCTGCCTCAGACTGCCGAGTAGCTGGGATTACAGGCATGTGCCACCATGCCCAGCGAGTTTTTTTGTATTTTTAGTAGAGATGGGATTTCAGCATATTGGCCAGGCTGGTCTTGAGCTCCTGATCTTGTGATCTGCCTGTCTTGGCCTTCCAAAGTGCTGGGATTGCAGGTGTGAGTCACCGCGCCCGGCCAGAGCAACCTAATATTTCAAAAAAAAAAAAAAAAAAAAAAAAAAAGCCGGGCATAGTGGTATGCATCTGTAGTCCCATCTACTTGGGAGGCTGAGGTGGGAGGATCGCCTGAGACCAGAAATTCAAGGCCAACCTGGGCAACGTATCAAGACTCCATGTCTGAAACAGACGTTTGAGTGGCAGACAAATACAAAGACCTAGTTAAAAAATGGAGCCCCTTGAGGATCTTACAGTCTATTCAGAAAAGTTAAATGAGGCTGGGTGCGATGGCTCATGCCTGTAATCCCAGCACTATGGGAGGCCAAGGCGGATCCCTTGAGCTCAGATGGATTCCTTGAGCTCAGGAGTTCGAGGCCAGCTGGGACAACACGGCAAAACTCTTGTCTCTATAAAAAATACAAAAATTAGCTGGGTGTGGTGGCGCACGTCTATAGTCCCAGCTACTCTGGAGGCTGAGCCTGGGAGGCAGAGGCTGCAGTGAACTATGATTTTTCCATTGCACTCCAGCCTGGGTGACAGAACAAGACCCTATCTCACCAAAAAAAAAAAAAAAAAAAAAAAAAAGGTTCCCCGATAGAACTTATAGTTGACTGTCCAGCCAAATACTTAAAAAAAAAGTTTATAGGGAGAAAAATACCCTCCCCCATCCAATGGTCATAGGAAAAAAAGTAGACACCCTTTATTGCCAAGGAGGAATTAAACCCTAGTGACTTGTGAAATGTGAGTCACGAAAGGTGGCACTTAGAGGGTCCCTCAGCCCTGAGCGTCACTTTCCCCTCCATCTACCTTTGTTATTTCCTTTCTCTTTTGCCGGTTTCCCCAACCTCCTTCCTTTTCTGATTCATTCCTTTTATCCTGATCTTTTCACTTAATCTCGTCCAACATTTCCTTCTATCTCCCTTTTTTCTTTCTCTAATTGGCTACATATGGAATAAAGTATTTTGAATTACTGGGTTATATCTATTAAATAAAGCTTTATGATCTTTGCTCTTTTTTTTTTCCTGATTATAAAAATACATGCTAGGACCAGGCACGGTAGTTCACGCCTGTAATCCCGGCACTATGGGAGGCTGAGGCGGGTGGATCCCTTGAGCCCTGGAGTTCGAGACCAGCCTGGGCAACATGGTGAAATCGCTACAAAAAAATTTTAAAAATTAGCTGAGTGTGGTGGCATGCACCTGTGGTCCCAGCTGCTTGGAAGGCTGAGGCTGCAGCGAGCCAAGATCCCACCACTGCACTCCAGCTGGGGCAACAGAGTGAGATGCTGTCTCAAAAACAAAAGCGAATTCTCTAACTCAGTGATTTTGAACACTTCTGGCTCATGATCCACAGTGAGAAACCCATTTTCCGTCATTGAACTTGAGTGTGCATACGTGCATACACACACTTAGTGCACCAACACTTAAACCTTTACTGCATTTTTAAATTCCACCTCTTTAAATCTATTTCATTTTTTTTAAGCCAATCTCACTTCACGATGAGTCAGGATCTGCAGTGTGAAAGCCGTGGTTTGAATCCCTCTAAGCTGTAGCTCATCACACCCCCTTCTGAGCAGGACCTGCCCCCAGCTCCAGGAAGGGGGCTTGCCCAGTGTTCAGCAAAGACAGAGGCCAGGGTGGGACGCATATCAGGAAACGCTTTGGTGCAGAAGCACCTCTGTCTGAGCTACCTGCATTTAAGGAGGTGCTGGCCACGAAGAGACATGGGGCAGCCCTTGGTAAAATGGGGGAGTGAGGCAGCCAGGACAGTGCACCTTCCTGCGGGCCCAGAGCTCCTTTTCTCTCCAGGGACTGGGTATTGAGGTCGCTGCTGCTTTTGGGAACCCAGGAACTCAGGGCTCTTTCCTTTTCCCCCTTGTCCTCCTCCCTGCCCTGTCCCCTCTCAGAGAGGGAGAGATTCCAGGACAGATAACAATGGCCACTAACACGTGTGTACCAGACTCTGTCCTGAGAGCTTTATGTGAATTCATTCCATTTAGTTCTCACAATATTATTGTCGTTCCTGTTTTGCAGATGAAGAAACCAAGGCATAGAGAGGTTCAGTCATCTGTCCAAGGTTTGCATGACACGTGACCCCAGCATGCTTAAGGGCATTTCTGAAGGTGCTCTAGAGGTAGCCGTGCAAAGACCGGGCTACTGCAAGCATGATGGTCGCATACGAGAGCCTGTGCAGCCGGGCTGTGTTGCTGCAGGCGTGTAGTGGGGTGGAAGCTGTCTATTGTCTGTTTCAGTGCTGCCTGCTGTGTTACAAATGACACCTCCCCCCAAAACACACACACACACGGTGGTTTCCTATCACAGCCGTTGGGCAATGTGCAAGGATTCCAGGGATCAGGAATGCAGGTGGCCACAGCAGGGCTGGCTTTCTTTCCCCTGTTCCTTCACTTCTGGGACCTCAGCAGGGAAGGGACTTAGCAGCTGGAATCATGCACCTGTAATTGGGGCTGCAATAACTTGGCAATTAGGACTGTCAGCTGGCATGCACACAGGCGCCCTCCTGTGTGGCGTGGCTTCCTCAGCATGCTTGGATTTCTTCTATGGTGGCCCTGAGATCTGAGCATGTCCCACATACGAGGCAGAAGCTGTATGGCCTTGGGCCGTGCGTGGTGGCTCACGCCTGTAATCCCAGCACTTTGGGAGGCTGAGATGGGCGGATCACTTGAGGTCAGGAGTTCAAGAGCAGCCTGGCCAAAATGGATATTTACTAAAAATACAAAAATTAGCAGGGTGTGGTGGCGCACGCCTGTAGTCCCAGCTACTGAGGAGGCTGAGACAGGAGAATTGCTTGAACCCAGGAGGTGGAGGTTGCAGTGAGCCAAGATCACACCACTGCGCTCCAGCCTGGGCTAGAGTGAGACTCTCTCTCTCAAAAAAAAAAAAAAAAAAAAAAAGCTGTATGGTCTCATCTTAGAAGTTGTGCACCACCATATCCACCATACTCTACTGACTGGAGCTCATTCAAAGGGTGGGACACAGACCCCAATTCTCGATGGTAAGAATGTCACAAAATTTCACGGTCATTATTTTTTTTTAAGTACGAATACTTTTATATTCAGCTCCTGGAGAGCTATCACGTTTGAAAAATTAAAACATGAACCAAAGGGTCTAGTTTTTAAAACACAGCAGTGAGGCCAGGTGTGAGTTTTATAATCCCAGCACTTTGGGAGGCAGAGGTGAGAGGATTCCTTGAGCCCAGGAGTTCAAGACCAGCCTGAGCAATATAGCAAGACCCTGTCTCTACAAAAAAATAAACAACATTAGCCAGGTGTGGTGGCATGTGTCTGTGATCCCAGCTACTTGGGAGGCTGAGGTGGGAGGCTCGCTTGAGCCTGGAAGAGGGAGGTTGTAGTGAGCTGAGATCACGCTGCTGCATTCCAGCCTGGGTGACAGAGCGGGATCCCATCTCAAAACAGAACAAAAAAACCCCACTATGATTGGGTGAAATCCTACCCATGTAATAGAGTTATCCAAATTAGTAACAAAGTATAAAATGAAAGGAGGGTCCCTTAGAAATTTGAAATTCTTCTGCAGACAGTTCTGTCTTCTTTATTCAAGAGGTTTGTAGTCATTTTCAGAATTCACTCCAGAGCCAACTTTTAAATTTAAATATCAGCAAACCGGGCTGGTTATGTTGGCTCATGCCTGTAATCCCAACCCTTTGGGAGGCTAAGGTGGGTGGGTGGTTTGAGCCCAGGAGTTTGAGACCAGCCTGGGCAACATAGCGAGACTCTGTCTCTACTAAAGATACCAAAATTAGCCAGGCATGGTGGCACAGCCCTGTAATCCCAGCTACTCGGGAGGCACAAGAATCACTTGAACCTGGGAGGTGTGGCTGCAATGAGTCAAGATCGCACCACTGCACTCCAGCCTGGGTGACAGAGCGAGACTCTGTCTTGAAAAAAAAAAACAGTATCTTCCTTCTTTCCAGTGCAGACTAAAAAAATTTAGCATCTTCCTACTCTGCTGTGATTATTTCACATTTCATGCCTGTATCAACATATCTCATGTACCCCATAAATATATACGCCTACTATGTACCCACAAAAATTAAAAATAAAAAACAGTATCTTCCAAGATTCATGAAGATGTTGCCTGTGTAAAATCAGAACGGGATGGTGGGAAAAAGAGAAATCAGAGAACAAGAAAAAATTTGGAAATTAAACATAATGGCCCAAAAGAAAAAGAAAGAACAGAAGGTAAAGTTTATCTCTTAAAATACAGAGCAAAAAAGAGGAAGAGGCAGAAATAATGATACGGAGGATTGACACAAGAATCTGCACACTCAGGTAATAGGAATTCAATAAGGAGGGAGGAACAGAACATGTCTGTCACCCAGGCTGGAGTGCAATGGCACAATCATAGCTCACTGCGGCCTCGACTTCCTGGTCTCAAGCCATCCTCCTGCCTCATCCTCCTGAGTAGCTGGGACTATGGGCATGCGCCACTAACCCTGGCTAATTTTTGTATCTTTTGTAGTGATGGGGTTTCATTCACTATGTTGCCCAGGCTGGTCTCAAACTCCTGGGCTCAAGCAATCCTCCCACCTCAGCCTCCCAAAGTGCTGGGACTACAGGCATGAGCCACCACGCCTGGCCAGGTCCACCCTACTCTTAACTAATTACATCTGTAATGATCTTATTCCCAAATAAGGCCACATTCTGAAACACTGAGATGGGAGTTAGGATTTTGACAAATCTTTTTTTCTGTTTGCGGGAGGTGGGGTGTGGGGGGCGGGCTGCTGGGGGCACAATCAACCCGTAATACAAGAGAAAGAAGCAAACCGGCCAAGAGACAGAACTAAACGCCGTCCTGATGTTGCTGCTTGGGCCCCTAGATCTGGCTGTGTCTGAAGCTAGCAAGAGCCATCCTGGACTTTTAAAGTTGCTTAAAGACAGCAGATTTATTTTTTTGGCTTAAGCTCATTTTAGTTGGGTTTCTGTATTTGCAGCAGAAAAGGCCCTCAATGGCAAAGCATCCTTCACAGTGTAGCCTAAGTATCTGTTTCTCAGGTCTTCTCTGTTCCCTTAATCTAATTTAGATTTCTCTGTTCTAGTTTTCTTTTTTTTGAGATGGTGTCTCACTCTATTGCCGAGGCTGGAGCCCCATGGCATGATCTTGGCTCACTGCAAACTCCACCTCCCAGATTCAAGCGATTCTCCTGCCTCAGCCTCCTGAGTAGCTGGGATTACAGGCACCCACCATCACGCCCAGCTAATTTTTGTATTTTTAGTAGAGTTAGTAGAAACGGGATTTCACCATGTTGGCCAGGATGGTCTTGAACTCCTGACCTCAAGTGATCCACCTGTCTCTGCCTCCCAAAGTGCTGGGATTACAGGTGTGAGTCACTGTGCCCAGCCCTTTTTTTTTTTTTTTTTTTTTTTTTGAGGTAGGGTCTCACTCTCTCCCCCAGGCTGGAATATAGCAGTGCGATCTCGGCTCACTGCAGCCTTCACCTCCTGGGATAAGGTGATTCTCCTATCTCAGCCTCCTGAGTAGCTGGGACTACAGGTGTGCACTACCACACCAGCTAATTTTTGTACTTTTTGTAGAGACAGGGTTTCGCCATGTTGCCCAGGCTGGTTTTGAACTCCTGGGCTCAAGCTATCCGCCTGCCTCGGCCTCCCAGTCCCTGTTCTGTTCTTTTATAGTCCTCTATGGGCTCTGACTTTTATAGTTCTTAGCTTTGGTTATTACATTATTATGTGTTATTGGTTGAATGACTGTTTCCTCCAAGAGACAGTGTGATCCAACAAGAAAGATTTTTTTTGTTATTCTTTCTCCCCGTGGACCAGCACAGTGCCTAGTAAAAAAATAATTATCTGCATAATTAACATGTTTGAATGAATGGGTCATTGAATGGAGAAAGGTGAAGTCTAGACCTAGAGACATCAGGTTTTGGGTGGTCCCCAGCTAACAATTCCTTGCTGAGCTGCAGAGCCTCAACCTGCCCCAACCTTTTTTTTGAGATGGAGTCTTGCTCGGTCGCCCAGGCTGGAATGCAATGCCGCGATCTCAGCTCACTGGAACCTCTGCCTCTTGGATTCAAGCGATTCTCCTGCTTCAGCCTCCCCAGTAGCTGGGATTACAGGCATGCGCTGCCACACTCAGACTAATTTTTGTATTTTTAATAGAGACGAGGTTTCACCATGTTGGCCAGGCTGGTCTTGAACTCCTGACCTCAGGTGATCTGCCAGCCTCGGCCTCCCAAAGTGCTGGGATTACAGGTGTGAGCCACTGCCTGTACGGGAGGGGATGTGGAGGTGGGGGTGATGGGGGAGGGGGTGGAGATTTAGAGGTGGGGGGTGAAGGGGATGGGGAGAGGATGTGGAGGTGGGGGGTGAAGGGGAGGGGGAGGCGATGTGGAGGTAGGGGGTGAAGGGAAGGGGGAGAGGGAAGGGATGTGGGGGAGAGGGAAGGGAGGTGAAGGAGGGGAGCAGGAGGGGATGTGGAGGTGGGGGGTGAAGGGGAGGGGGAGAGGATGTGGAGGTGGGGGGGTGAAGGGAAGAGGGAGAGGGAAGGGATGTGGAGGTGGGAGGTGAAGGGGGAGGGGTTGTGGAAGTGGGGGAGAAGGTGTGCCAGGCGATGGAGGGGGTCGGCGGGGGCGGGGCCCGCACTGTCCCCGCCCCATGTGGGTGGAGCCTCCTGCCCGGGCCTGTGTCGCGGCAGAGCCTGGCGGGCTTTGTGCGCAGGCGCTTGCGGCTTCGCGGGGCTGACCGTGCGCTTCGCCTGCGGGGTCGTGCTGGGGCGGCGGGTGAGCCTGGGGGGCTGCAGAGCGGGCGCGGGGCGCGTCCGAACAGTCGCAGCCCCGAGCCCCTGGGACCGCCTTCCCCGCGGAGGCTTGGGCTCAGCGCCTGGGGCGGAGGTGGGGCGGGGGCGGTCCGCCCGCAGCAGGGGGTGCCGGGGCCGCCTCCGGGTTTCCTCCGCTGGATGCGGCGGTGGTGCGCTGTCGGCCCGGCGGGTGCGGCGGGTGTGGGGTCACGGGTGTCGCGCGCCGCCCTGGGCCCTCCTCCGAGGTGCCTCGCGTGGGGCCCGTGCCAGGGCCCGCTGAGTCGGGGCCGCTCGTGGGCCGCCTGGCTGCCGCCTGGGGCCTCCGGCCGCTGCGTCCCGCGGCTTCTGGGAACCGTGCGCGCTCACAGGCGGACTTGGGCCTCGAACAAGGTTCCTGCTAAATTGAGTTGTGCCTTAGGCTCTGCTGGACAGAGCAGCTCCACTGCGTTGACAAGGAGGGGGCTCAGGGACAGAAATCTCAGCGGGAAGACAACCCCTCCTCCGAAGGGAGGCCCATCAGGGCTTCAGAGAAGGGGCAGAGAATCGCATAAGAGGAGCGTGTGGTCCGGAGGGGCCCGGGCTTAGGGGAGGCCCTGAAAGACCCAGTAGAGGAAGGGAGCTGGGCAGAGGGTGATAGCAGAGGCCAGACTGGTCTCAAACTCCAGGCCTCAAGTGATCCTCCCGCCTTGGCCTTGCAGGGCGCTGGGGTTATGGGCATGAGCCACTTTGCCTGGCCTACTCAATTCTGTTTTAAATGTTTCTGTGTTTGTGAAGTGGGACAAAAATTGTTAAAGCAATGGGAAACATTGCAGGTTTAAGTTCCACTAAATCATACTGGAGTCAAAAAGGGATGCGGGGATGTTTCCCTCCTTTCCTTCTGCAGGGTCAAGGTTACCCAGCGGACGTGTGGGGGTTTTTAGGAGAATTAGGCGGGTGCAGAGCCTGCCAGATCGCTCATTCTGTTTCTTCCCCCCTTCTTCCAGGTACGCTATTTGAAGAACAGGTTTCCATGCTCTTAGAGGAGCATCAGAAAATGAACAAACCCCAGGTGAGTTCCTTTTTTAGATTTTTTCATTTTCCAGGGGATTTGCTGGCTTTTATAAAATTCGTTTATTCAGATGGACATTTAAAAAGCTACTTCAGGATAAATGAGGAGTGAGAGGCAACTGAGCAGTAGGCAGAGGTGGCTGCGGAACCCTGTGGTCATGTGATCCTACAATCGTCAAAGGAGAGGGGCAGATTTGTCTTTTTTTTTTTGACACAGAGTCTTGCTCTGTTGCCCAGGCTGGAATGCAGTGGCGTGATCTTGGCTCACTGCAACCTTCACCTCTGGGGTTCAACCAAATCTCATGCCTCGGTCTCCCGACTAGCTGGGACTACAGGTGCTCACCACCACACCCGGCTAATTTTTGTATTTTTTATAGAGATGGTTTCGCCATGTTGGCCAGTCTGGTCTCGAGCCCCTGACCTCAAGCAGTCCTCCTGCCTGGGCCTCCCAAAGTGCTGGGATTACAGGCATGAGCCACTGCGCCTGGCCTTCATTTGTCTTTTATCTTCCTAATCTGCACTTCATTTTCACTGGCCACCAGAAGAAACGAACTAGTTACTCTTGGGACAGAAAGATTTCCTGGAGTCTGAAAGAATGTCTGAACATCGTCATGGAGCAAAGAACCTTGCAGTGAACCTCCCTGTTGCCTGTAATTGTTCTTTGTTGGAAGTTGGCGGTACAACTCAGGTTTTATTAGGGGGACCAGAGCAATATGGACTCAATAGAGACTTTTTGGAACATCTGTTTTGATCTAAGGACAAAACCTAAAAGCATTTGGAGAAATGAAAGAAATGGACTGCCTGTATTTGAAATAACTTTTCCTTACACTCTATAGGTGGGACAGCAGATGGTTCAAAGTCAAACCTTTTTTTTTTTTTTTTGAGACGGAGTCTCACTCTATTGTCCAGGCTAGAGTGCAGTGGTGCGATCTTGGCTCGCTGCAACCTCTGCCTCCTGGGTTCCACTGATTCTCCTGCCTCAGCGTCCTCAGTAGCTAGGATTACAGGTGTGTGTCACCACAGCAGGCTAATTTTTTTTTTTTTTTGAGACAGAGTCTTGCTCTGTCGCCCAGGCTGCAGTGCAGTGGCATGATCTTGGCTCACTGCAAACTCCGCCTCCCGGATTCACACCATTCTCCTGCCTCGGCTTCCTGAGTAGCTGGGACTACAGGTGCCCACCACCACGCCTGGCTAGTTTTTTGTATTTTTAGTAGAGATGGGGTTTCACTGTTAGCCAAGATGGTCTTGACCTCCTGACCTCGTGATCCGCCTGGCTCGGCCTCTCAAAGTGCTGGGATTACAGGTGTGAGCCACTGCACCCAGCCAATTTTTGTATTTTTAGTAGAGACGAGGTTTCACTATGTTGGCCAGGCTGGTCTCAAACTCCTGACCTCAGGTGATCCGCCTGTCTCAGCCTCCTAAAGTGCTGGGATTACAGGCATGAGCCACCGTGCCTGGCCTAAAGTCATATTCTTTGGTGAATGTTTCTGCACTATCCATTCTCTTTTTTTGCTTGTGGTAAAATATACATAACATCAAATTTGCCATTTTCACTCTTAATGGTACAATTCAGTGGCATTAATTATATTCACAGTTGTGCAGCCATCACCGTTTCTATTTCCAAAAGGTTTTCATCACTCTAAACAAAAAGTGTGTCTCCATTAAGCAACAACTCCCCATTTCTCCCTCCCCTCAGCCCCGGTAACATGTACTTTCTGCCTCTGTGAAGTTCCCTATTCTAGGTATTTTATATAAGTGCAAACATGAAATATTTGTCCTTTTGTGTCTGGCTTATTCCACTGAACATGACGTTTACAGGGTTCCTTTATGCTGTGGCCTGGGTCAGAGCTGCATTCCTTTCGGCGCCTGAATAATATTCCATTGTGTGGATCGACCACATTTTCTTTACCTCTTCATTTGCAGATGGACATTTAGACTTTTTCCACGTTTTCATTGTTGTAAATAATGCTGCTGTGAGCATTGGGGTACAGGTATCTGTTCATTCCTTCGCATTTTAGTCTGCTTTGTGTGCTCTTGCCACTTCCCCGCCACCTGCCCAGGACGTCCTGATAAAGCCTAACGGCAGCCTCTTTGCAGTTCAGTCCAATGCGTGTTTTTCTGACCTGGCCTTCCTAGAACATTCTGCTGCATTGGCATTGAACTGCTTTCACCTTCTAGAAAGGCCCCTCTCCCTAGTGTCTTGTGACATGCTTCTTGTGGCTTTATTCCTGCTGCTCAGATTTATTGGTGCCCCTCATTGTGTCTTCCTCCAGCACATTCTCATGGCTTATGTCCAGATGTCCATCCTTTACTCCCTCATCTTTTTACTCTTCCAGTCTTTCCCGAGTATTTCATGCCCTCTGTAGTGGTAGGGACGGGAGGCAGGGAAATTCTGGGCAGAAGAGGGCGGGTCCCTGGCGAGGGCCCTACCCTCAAGCCGAAAAGCCTGACACTGTGGTCGAAAGTGAGAACTGGCCGGGCGCAGTGGCTCACACCTGTAATCCCAGCACTTTGGGAGGCCAAGGTGGGTGGATCACGAGGTCAGGAGATCGAGACCATCCTGGCTAACACGGCGAAACCCCATCTCTACAAAAAATACAAAATATTAGCTGGGCGTGGTGGCGGGTTCCTGTAGTCCCAGCTACTTGGGAGGCTGAGGCAGGAGAATGGCATGAACCCGGGAGGCGGAGCTTGCAGTGAGCCAAGATAGCGCCACTGCAGTCCAGCCTGGGCAAAAGAGTGAGACTCTGTCTCAGGAAAAAAAAAAAAAAAAAGTGAGAACTTACATCCCTGTTTTCCCACTCAAATGTTGCCTTTTCCCAAACTACCCGTGGCCCACCCCACCCCCCCCATCCTGTGCCCATAAAAACCCCAGGTTTTGTCTGTAGAAGCCCTTTGTATTTCCATATAAATTTTAGGGCTGGGCGTGGTGGCTCTCGCCTGTAATCCGAGCACTTTGGGAGGCCGAGGCAGGCGGATCACCTGAGGTCTTAGCCTGGCCAACATGGTGAAACCCCATCTCTACTAAAAATACAAAAATTAGCCAGGCATAGTGGCATACGCCTGTAATCTCAGCTACTAGGGAGGCTGAGGCAGGAGAGTCGCTTGAATCTAGGAGGCGGAGAAAGAAAAAATTAGAACCAGCTTGTATATATCTACAAAGAAAAATTTGGGATTAAGATTGGAATTGAACTTGTAAGATCAGTTGGGGGAGAATGGACCTCTTTAACAGTATTCATTCTTTCATCAACCCAGTATATTTCTACATCTGTTTAAGTCTTTAACTTATTTCAGGATTGTTTTGTAGTTTACAAGGCACAGGTCTGGCACATCTCTCAAATGTATCCCTAAGTGTTTCATTTTTTTTTGATACTCTTGTAAATGGTATTGAATTTTAATTTATGATCGTTTTTTGCTAGTATGTAGAAATACCAAATTTTGTATGTTTATACTGCAAAATTATCCTGCAACCTTATTAAACTCACTAGTTCTAGCAGCTTTCTTGTAGGTTCTGCAAGATTTTCTACATAGACAATTCTATCATGTCATTTACAAATAGTTTTACTTCTTCTTTAATCTCTGTGACTTTTTGTTGTTTTATTGCGTTGACTAAAACCGCCTATACAATGTTGAATAGAAATGAGATGCGACATCTTTGCCTTTCTTATTTTAATTTTAGGAGGACAGCCCTAAGTCTTTCACCATTACTGTGATGGCAGCTGTTGGTTTTTCATAGGTGCTTTTTATTAGGTTGAGAAAATTCCCTTTTATTCTTAAACTGTTGAAAGTCCTTTTTTAAAAATCAGGAATCAGTGTTTTGTCAAATTCTTTTCTGCATCTATTGATAAAATTATATGGTTTTCCTTATCTATTTGTTAGTATCACAAATTGTTTGATTATTAAATATTAGTGTTCACCTGGTACAAAGCTGTTCTAATATTCTTACCCCATCTTGTATCTGTGGAATTTCTAGTGATGTTACCTCTCACCCCTGGTGGCGATAATTTGTTGGTGTTGCCTCCTCCTCTTCTCTGTCTCTCATCAGTGTAGCTAGAGGTTTGAAACATTTATTGATTTTTAAAAAAGTTTTATATATTACTGATTTTTGTTTCTCTGTTCTCTATTTTGTTGTTTTCTGTTCTCACTTTTATTACTTTTTTCTGACTACTTAGGTGTAATTTGCTCTTTTTCTGGTTTCTAAAAAGGTAGAAGATGAGGTCATTGATTTTATTATTATTTTTTTGAAGTGGAGTCTTACTCTGTTGCCCAGGCTGGAGTGCAGTGGCAGGATCTTGGCTCACTGCAACCTCCACCTCTCAGGTTCAAGTGATTCTCCTGTCTTAGCCTCCTGAGTAGCTGGGATTATAGGTGCCCGCCACCACGCCCAGCTAATTTTTCTATTTTTAGTATAGATGGGGTTTTGCCATGTTGGCCAGGCTGGTCTCGAACTCCTGACTTCAGGTGATCCACCCACCTTGGTCTCCCAAAGAGTTGGGATTACAGGCGTGAGCCACCATGCCTGGCCTGCTTTCAAATTTTTAAGAAAATATAGTTTAAGGGGCATGATTTGCAAAGGTGTATGTGTGGGGGTACATTTTCTGGAGGATAACTGAGTGTTTTATAGAGCCAAGGCCGAAAAGCAAGCTAGTTGAGTGTAAGAATCTCTGTTAGACTTGTGACTCTTGTTTGGGAATGAGTATTTTAGAAGATATTTATTGTGGATTCTTGTAAGGATACCTTGAACTAATATAAACCTTATTTTATCTGTTGGCACATAGATAGTGGGCTTTATCTATATAGGTCTTATTCATCTGTTTTCTCTCACATCTACGCCATCCTGTGATATTTCTCCTTAACATCCATGACGTAGTTTAAGGGGCATGATTTGAAAAAGGGGTGTGTGTGTTGAGGGTACATTTTCTGGAGGATAACTGAGTTTTTTGTAGAGCCAAAGCTGAAAAGCAAGCTAGTTGAATGTAAGAATCTCTGTCAGTCTCATGACTTGTGTTTGGGAATGAATATTTTAGAAGATATTTATTGTGGATTTTTGTAAGGATACTTTGAACTAATATAAGTCTTATTTTATCTGTTGGCACATAGATAGTGGGCTTTATCTATATAGGTCTTTTTTTTTTTTTTTTTTTTTTTATTGTTCATTCTTGGGTGTTTCTCGCAGAGGGGGATTTGGCAGGGTCATAGGACAGTAGTGGAGGGAAGGTCAGCAGATAAACAAGTAAACAAAGGTCTCTGGTTTTCCTAGGCAGAGGACCCTGCGGCCTTCCGCAGTGTTTGTGTACCTGGGTTAGATTAGGGAGTGGTGGTGACTCTTAACAAGCATGCTGCCTTCAAGCATCTGTTTAACAAAGCACATCTTGCATGGCCCTTAATCCATTTAACCCTGAGTGGACACAGCACATGTTTCAGAGAGCACGGGGTTGGGGGTAAGGTCACCGATCAACAGGATAAGAATTTTTCTTAGTACAGAGCAAAATGAAAAGTCTCCCATGTCTACCTCTTTCTACACAGACACGGCAACCATCCGATTTCTCAATCTTTTCCCCGCCTTTCCCCCCTTTCTATTCCACAAAACCGCCATTGTCATCATGGCCTGTTCTCAATGAGCTGTTGGGCACACCTCCCAGACGGGGTGGTGGCCGGGCAGAGGGGCTCCTCACTTTCCAGTAGGGGCGGCCGGGCAGAGGCGCCCCTCACCTCCCGGACGGGGCGGCTGGCCGGGCGGGGGGCTGACCCCCCCACCTCCCTCCCGGACGGGGCGGCTGGCCGGGCGGGGGGCTGATCCCCCCACCTCCCTCCCGGACGGGGCGGCTGGCCGGGCGGGGGGCTAACCCCCCCACCTCCCTCCCAGACGGGGCGGCTGGCCGGGCGGGGGGCTGACACCCCACCTCCTTCTCGGACGAGGCGGCTGGCTGGGCAGAGGGGCTCCTCACTTCCCAGTAGGGGCGGCCGGGCAGAGGCGCCCCTCACCTCCCGGACGGGTCGGCTGGCCGGGCAGGGGGCTGACCCCCCCCACCTCCCTCCCGGACGGGGCGGCTGGCCGGGCGGGGGGGCTGACCCCCCCACCTCCCTCCCAGACGGGGCGGCTGGCCGGGCGGGGGGCTGACCCCCCCACCTCCCTCCCGGACGGGGCGGCTGGCCGGGCAGAGGGGCTCCTCACTTCCCAGTAGGGGCGGCCGGGCAGAGGTGCCCCTCACTTCCCGGACGGGGCGGCTGGCCGGGCGGGGGGCTGACCCCCCCACCTCCCTCCTGGGCGGGGCGGCTGGCCGGGCAGAGGGGCTCCTCACTTCCCAGTAGGGGTGGCCGGGCAGAGGCGCCCCTCACCTCCCGGACGGGGCGGCTGGCCGGGGGCGGGGGCTGACCCCCCCCACCTCCCTCTCGGACGGGGCAGCTGGCCTGGCGGGGGCTGACCCCCACCTCCCTCCCGGACGGGGTGGCTGCCGGGCGGAGACACTCTTCACTTCCCAGACGGGGTGGCTGCCGGGCGGAGGGGCTCCTCACTTCTTAGATGGGGCTGCTGCCAGGCGGAGGGGCTCCTCACTTCTCAGACGGGGCGGTTGCCAGGCGGAGGGTCTCCTCTCTTCTCAGACGGGGCGGCCGGGCAGAGACACTCCTCACCTCCCAGACGGGGTTGCGACCGGGTAGAGGCGCTCCTCACATCCCAGACAGGGCGGCGGGGCAGAGGCGCTCCCCACATCTCAGACGATGGGCGGCCGGGCAGAGACGCTCCTCACTTCCTAGATGGGATGGCGGCCGGGAAGAGGCGCTCCTCACTTCCTAGATGGGATGGCGACCGGGCAGAGACGCTCCTCACTTTCCAGACTGGGCAGCCAGGCAGAGGGGCTCCTCACGTCCCAGACGATGGGTGGCCAGGCAGAGACGCTCCTCACTTCCCAGACGGGGTGGCGGCTGGGCAGAGGCTGCAATCTCGGCACTTCGGGAGGCCAAGGCAGGCAGCTGGGAGGTGGAGGTTGTAGCGAGCCGAGATCACGCTACTGCACTCCAGCCTGGGCACCATTGAGCACTAAGTGAACCAGACTCCATCTGCAATCCTGGCACCTCGGGAGGCCGAGGCTGGCGGATCACTCACGGTTAGGAGCTGGAGACCAGCCCGGCCAACACAGCGAAACCCCGTCTCCACCAAAAAAATACGAAAACCAGTCAGGCGTGGCGGCGCGCGCCTGCAATCGCAGGCACTCGGCAGGCTGAGGCAGGAGAATTGGGCAGGGAGGCTGCAGTGAGCCGAGATGGCAGCAGTACAGTCCAGCTTCGGCTCGGCATCAGAGGGAGACTGTGGAAAGAGAGGGAGAGGGAGATCGTGGGGAGAGGGAGAGCTTTTTTTTTTTTTTTTTGAGATGGAGTCTCGCTCTGTCACTCAGGCTGGAGTGCAGTGGCGTGACCTCAGCTTAGTGCAAGCTCTGCCTCCTGGGTTCATGCCATTCTCCTGCCTCAGCCTCCCAAGTAGCTGGGACTGCACGCATCCGCCACCATGCCTGGCTAATTTTGTTTTTGCATTTTTAGTAGAGACGGGGTTTCACCATGTTAGCCAGGATGGTCTCGATCTCCTGACCTCGTGATCTGCCCTTCTCGGCCTCCCAAAGTGCTGGGATTACAGGCTTGAGCCACCACACCTGGCCTATCTATATAGGCCTTGCTCATCTGTTTTCTCTCACATCTAAACCATCCTGTGGTATTTCTCCTTAACAGCCATGTCTCCAAACACTGCTTTTCACTCCATTTCCTGCTTATGATTTCTGTTGGGCTGACCTCATTTTTTTAGTTTCTCTGTCATGCTTTTCCCTCAGTTAACTGTTCCCTATGTTTAATAATTTCACCTTTTCAGTTTTGAGGGTCATCTTTTTAAAAATAGCAAATATATGTGTGTTCCTTGCAAGTTTTTCCTCCCTTTTCCACTATAGCAGGCGGTTTTCATTTTTATTTTTTGGAACCAAGGTGAAATATGTATTTGGGATTTCATCCCAGGAGGCTGGGCCTGAAAATAGAGAATCCATGATATAAATCACACGTACATAGGAAATGTTTTAACATTTTTAACGTATACTTAATTTTTCTCATTTCTAGAAGTCCAGAAATTAAGAGACCTGATAAAGGGAAGCCAGGAAAATCGAGATGCATATTTGTGGTACACTTCAGTTCTCAGTAACAACACACTGACTAAGAAGAGGGAATACGTTTTTGGGAAAAACCTTAATCTGGGTGCAAACCCAGTTTCTTCAAGAAAAATAGCCTGTTAGTATGACTCATGTGGAATGAGTTTGAATACGTTTCAGAATCAAGTATTAGTGATAAAAATTATGCCAGTAATAACACTGATGAAATTAATATAAGTGAGAAGTTGCCTTTTGATAGTAATCAGGAAAACACTCATACTGGGAAGAAATCTGTTGTATATAACCAAAGTGGGAAGTCACCAAGTCATAGTGAGGACCTTATTAAGGAACAGGAAATTCAAGCTTTAGCCCACCTTTGGAAGCTAATGAACATGGAAATCCCTTCCTTGAGAAGGTAGCCACCATCACACAAGAGACAGCTCAAACAAGAGAGAAACCCTGTGATTATAAGGAGCATGGGGAAAATGTCAGTGCCACATCAGCTCCCAGAGTTCATCAAGAAATTCACACAAGGAAGAATCACTCTGAAGTTAACGAGTGTGAGAAGTCAACCTTCTTCAAACATCAGAAAGTTAATACAGGGGTGAAAACCCAGGGAGCTAATGAAAATGAGAATTTCAGTCACAAGTCACATCTCAGTCTGCCTCATAGAACTCACACAGTAGAGAAAACTTTTGAATGTAGTCATGGCAAGAAATCTTTTTGCCAGGAGTCCCACTTCACTGAGCATCACAGGACATGCACAAGAGAGAAACCATGTGAAAGTAATAAATATGGGAAAACCTTCCAGAAATGACAACTTACCAACTCTCAGATAATGCATCGAGAAGAGAAACCCCATGAATCTGGTAAAACCCTTGTGAAGTCAGCCCTCACTGATCACCAGATAAGTCAATCAGAAAAGAAGCTTTATGTATGTAGTGACTGTAAGAAACGTTTTTGTCATAGCTCAGTCCTAAGAGTCCATCAGAGTATTCACACAGGGAGAAACCCTATCAGTGTAATGGGAAATCCTAAGCAAAATCAAACTTCAGTCATCATCAGAGAACTCACACAGGGGAGAAACCATATGAATGTAAGGAATGTAGGAAATCCTTCCATGTGAAACCAAACCTCACTAAACATCAGAAAACACATATAGGGGAGAAACCTTTCAAATGTACTGCGTGTGGAAGAACTTTCTTCCAGCAGTCACAATTTGCTGATTATTAGAGAAAACACACATGAGAGAAATCCTGCAAATGTAATGAATTTGTTGGCCGGGCGCGGTGGCTCATGCCTGTAATCCCAGCACTTTGGGAGGCCAAGGCGGGCAGATCACGAGGTCAGGAGATTGAGACCATCCTGGCTAACACAGTGAAACCCTGTCTGTACTAAAAATACAAAAAATTAGCCGAGTGTGGTAGCGGGTGCCTGTAGTACCAGCTACTTGGGAGGCTGAGGCAGGAGAATGGCGTGAACCCAGGAGGCAGAGCTTGCAGTGAGCCGAGATCATGCCTCTGCACTCCAGCCTGGGTGACAGAGCAAGACTCCGTCTCAAAAAAAAAAAAAAAAAAAAAAATTAATGAATGTGGAAAATCAGTCCTTCTACTATAAGTCAACCCTAAATGTCCATCAGGGAAAGCACACAGAAGAGAAACCCTATAAATATACTGAGTGTGAGAAATCCTTCTATAAATCAGTGCTAATTATACATGAGGAAACACAGATAAGAAACCCTATGCGTGTAATGAATGTGTGAAATCCTTTTGTGTGAAGTCAAGTCTCAGTAAACAACAAAATTCACACCAGGGAAAAGCCATATGAATGTAGTGAATGTGGAAAATATGAATTCAATCCTCATTGTGTATCAGAGAACTCACACTGGGGAGAAACCCTGTGGATGCAATGAATGTGAGAAGTCCTTCTACAACAAGGATGCCCTCACTAAACATAACAGAACTCACACGGGAGAGGCCACATAAATGTAATGAACGTAGGAAGTCCTTACAACCCTAGTTATACACCAGAGAACTCACACTGGAGAGAAACCTTACAAATGTAATGAGTGTGAAAAATCCTATCTGAAGTCACATCTTTTTTTTTTTTTTTTTAATTTTTTGAGATGGAGTCTCGCTCTGTCACCCAGGCTGGAGTGCAGTGGCGTGATCTTGGCTCGCTGCAGCCTCCACCTCCTGGGTTTAAGCGATTGTCATGCCTCAGCCTCCCAACTAGCTGGGATTACAGGTGCCTGCCACCATGCCCAGCTAATTTTTGTATTTTTAGTAGAGACAGGCTGGTCTTAAACCCCTGACCTCAAGTGATCAGCCTGCCTTGGCCTCCCAAAGTCCTGGGATTACAGGCATGAGCTACTGCACTTGGCCTGAAGTCACATCTTAATATTCATCTGAGAAATCACACAGGAAAGAGACCCCATGTATGTAATGAATGTGGGAAGGCCTTTTCTATGAAGTCAAACTTCACTGATCATCAGAGAACACACTGAGAAGAGAAATCCTATGAATGTACTGAATGTCAGAAAACTTTTCACCATAAATCAACCCTAACAGTACATCAGAGAACTCATATGGGGAGAAGCCTTATAAATGTAATGAATGTAGAAAATCTTTCTATATGAAGTCAGCCCTCAGTCAGCATCAGAGGATACATATATGGGAGGAACATTGTGAATGTAAAGAATGTGGGAAAACCTACCAGAGGTCACACCTTGCTAAACATCATCGAAAATACACCACACAAGAAACCCTATGAATGTAAGCAATGTGGAAAAACCTTCCAGAAGTCACACCTCATTGAACATCAGAGGACACACCCAGGGGAGATACCCCATGAATGTAATAAATGTGGGAAATCCTTCTGTTATAAGTCACCCTTGACCATTCACCAGAGAACTCACATAGAAGAGAAGCCCTATAAATGTAGCAAATCTGTTACTTATTTCTGTATGAAATCACACCTCACTGTGCATCAGAGACCCCATACCAGGAAGAACCCTTTTGAGTGTAATGAATGCAGGAAAATGTTTTATGTGAAGTCAAACCTCATCAATCATCAGAGAACTCACACAGGGGAGAAACCATATGAAGGCAATACATGTGGGAAATCTGTATGAAGTCATCCTCCACACAAGAGTGATACTCTGAATTGTAACAAATATGGGAAATCCTCATGTGTAAAGTCAATTTGTTTTTCAAACCAAAATTCATGGTAGAAACCTTATGAATGTAAATAATGTAGGGGTCTCCTTCTGTGTAAATTAAATCCTTAGTTGGCATCAGAAAACACAAGATATAGGGACTGGAGGCCTCTCCACAAATGAAATGGATATGGGAAGATTTTGTGTTATCTTAGAAAATACTGGCCGGGCATGGTGGCTCACACCTGTAATCCCAGCACTTTGGGAGGCTGAGGCAGATGGATCACCTGAGGTCAGGAGTTCAAGACCAACCTGGCCAACATGAGGAAACCCCATCTCTACTAAAAATACAAAAATTAGCCAGGCGTGGTGGCAAATGCCTGTAATCCTAGCTACTTGGGAGGCTGAGGCAGGAGAATTGCTTGAACCTCGGAGGCGGAGGTTGCAGTGAGCCAAGATCATGCCATTGCACTCCAGCCTGGGTGACAAGAATGAAAACTCCATCTCAAAAAAAACAACAACAACAAAAAAAAAACCAGAAAACTCAAATGAGGAGAGACCCCTGAGAACATCTTGTATATTAGTATCCACCAAGAAATCAAATACAGTATGTTTCACATAAATCACAGGGAAAAACCGATAGAACAGTAATATAAAAGCATTTACAAAGTTCCAGCACATTTGCACAACATATGATTGATACTGGTGTAAAACTATGTTTTCTATGCATGAAAGCTTTCAGGAAAAATTCAACTATAAGCAGACAATTAATACTGAGGGGACGTCTATCAGTTTAGGAGATAGAGATACTTTATTTTTTTGAGATGGAGTCTTGCTCTGTCGCCCAGGCTGGAGTGCAGTGGCGTGATCTCGGCTCACTGCAAGCTCCGCCTCCCGGGTTCACGCCATTCTCATGCCTCAGCCTCCCAAGAAGCTGGGACTACAGGCACCTGCCACCACACCCGGCTAATTTTTGTATTTTTAGTAGAGATGGGGTTTCACCATGTTAGCCAGGATGGTCTCGATCTCCTGACCTTGTGATCCATCCGCCTTGGCCTCCCAAAGTGCTGGGATTACAGGCGTGAGCCACTGCGCCCGGCCGAGATACTTTTTTTTCCCTACAAATACTGTAATACTAGAAGTCACATTTCAGGTACCAAATTTAGCAAATGTGATGTGTGATACATCTAATGCTAATGACATTCATTGTTGGAAGATGAAGTCTTTTGAAAAACAAGTTGCAGCAGCAAGCTGACAGTATTAGATATTTGAGTACTTGAGGTAAGATGGCCTTACATTTGTTAGTGGGCAGCATACAACATACATACATGGCCTGTGTTTGATTTACATAGTGGAACTCCACCGAGTGGTCAGCAGGAAATATCTCTCCATAGCTTAAGAACTGTTGTAACACATCTACCACACAAAATGCCTCCAGTGTATCTTTGTATCTTTTTGTTTGTTTGTTTTTGGGTCAGAGTCTCGCTCTGTTGCCCAGGCTGGAGTGCATGGCACTATCTCGCTTCACTGCCACGTCTGCCTCCCAGTTTCAAGTGATTCTTCCTGCTTCAGCCTTATGAGTAGCTGGATTACAGGTGCCTGGCACCGTGCCCAGCTATTTTTTGTATTTTTAGTAGAGACAGGGTTTCTCCATGTTGGCCAGGCTGGTCTCAAAACTTCTGACCTCAGTTGATCTGCCCGCCTTGGCCTCCCAAAGTGCTGGGATTACAGGCATGAGCCACTGTGCCCGGCCTCTTTGTATCTTAATAGTACAGTATACTTGATATGTGACATGTATGACATTTGCAGTATACAATATGTTATTGAGAAATGCAGAGTACAGAAAACTATATGGCTTGCTGCCTTTTGTTTGAGAATTGAGGGGAAGAAATAATACGTATGTACATAGATATTTTGTATATATATTTATCTATTATATATGTTTATATATTTTTTTAATTTTTAAATTTTTTGTAGAGATGGGGCTCGCTATGTTGCCCAGGCTGGTCACGAACTCCTGGGCTCAAGCGGTCTTCCTGCCTCAGTCTTCCAAAGTGCTTAGATTACAGGCATGAGCTACTGTGCTTGGCCAATATATTTTATATAATATATATATTTTGCAAATAAGTATAAACTACAAACTACAAACCTGAAGAGTAAATTACAAACTCAAAAGTGAATGCCTATGGAGATAGGAGTGAACAGGGTGGCAGGGCTGAGGATAGAGACAAGGCTTCTTCACGTGTAGCTTTTTGTGAAGTTTTGACTTTTGGATAAATATGAGTAATTTACGTACTCAAAAGCACATTTTGAAATTGAAACCAAAGAAGAAATCAACTGAAGTTTATATCAAATTGGTAACTTCACTAAGTAGAAGAGCTCATTCTTTCAAGAGACTTTTAAATGCAGTATGATGAGCATATCCTTAGTGGGATTTGTTTCTGTTTTAGGACAAAAAGAACTTAAAAAATGACATTTAGAAGACACCTGGCTAGGTCTCTTCAAAAAGCTGACTTTTTTTTGAGACGGAGTCTCACTCTGTTGCCCAGGCTGGAGTGCAGTGGCGCGATCTCGGCTCACTGCCAGCTCTGCCTCCTGGGTTCACACCATTCTCCTGCCTCAGCCTCCCGAGTAGCTGGGGCTACAGGTGCCTACCACCACACCCGGCTAATTTTTTGTATTTTAGTAGAGATGGGGTTTCACTGTGTTAGCCAGGATGGTCTCCATCTCCTGACCTCGTGATCTGCCCGCCTCGGCCTCCCAAAGTGCTGGGATTACAGGTGTGAGCCACCACACCCACCTGCTGCCATCATTTTTAAAAGGAGAGAAAAGGTGGAGGGACTATTTTTCAAGGGCAAACATGCTGAATATAGAAAGATGAACTGGCTTGATGTCTGCAGCCTTGAAGTGGCTCAGGAAAAAGATGCATGCATCGATAAAGCAAAAATGGCAAAATTTAAGCAAGTGTTGATCTGGCAGGCACATGGGTATTGACTGTTTTTCTTACAAGAGTTGTGTTTGAAAAATTTGATAATAAAAAGTTTTGGAGAAGTACTGTACCACTTAGCAATTCTGTTACTGTTCTTTGGCGTATATAAATAGCTCTGCCCGTGCTTATTGATCTGCTTGTCAATAAAGAAGCCAAACAGTAACCTTTAAAGTGTTCAGTTGTTTTGGGTTTTAGTCACTTCAATAAAAACAGAACATAACCAAAGGCTGGTCATGGTGGCTCATGCCTGTAATCCCAGCACTTTGGGAAATTGAGGCAGGAGGATTATTTGAGCCCAAGAATTCAAGACCAGCCTCGGCAACACAGCGAGACCACCTTGTCTCTGTAAAAAGTTGAAAAATTAGCCAGACATGGTGGTGTACACCTGTGGTCCCAGCTACTTGGGAGGCTGAGGCAGGAGGATCTTTGAGCCAGGGAGTTTGGCTTTGCAGTGAGCTGTGGTTGTGCCACTGCACCCCAGTCTGGGCAACAGAGCAAGACCCCATCACAAAAAAAAGAAATAATGCAAAGGCAGCGTATTATACCATTAACAACTCAAGCTTGTGTTAAGAACTAGGTGCAAACAGTAGTGCTCATTGCACTGACAATGAAAATAGTATTGTATAAAGAAAATGTGCTTCTCTTTCTACTCCTGACACGTTTCTAAGCGGTGCCTCCAGAAGTACATGGCATAGGCCCCAAGCGGTAGGAGCCCAGGAACCATTTGCCAACAGGGTGGCAGCTGTTGTGTCCTCATTCTTTCTCCCTCCTCTACCTGGATTTCCTTGCAGCAGGGGGCAGACTGTTCTAGGCTGCTTTGTTGCATGAAAGCCTTGGTGTGGCCTGTTTTCCCCCCCTCAACAGGGACTGTTTGGGTTGGGCATATGACCAAGCCTTGACCTCTAGGATGTGTAGGGAAGTGTTCTGTATGATTTTTGGGAAAGGGTTTATCACTGATGAAGAGACATGAGCAGAATCACATTACCCTTCTGAATACATCCATTGTTTGCGTCTTGTGGCCCAGGGCTGTAGTTGGAGGTTGGTGAGCAGAGATAGAAGAGCCTGGCCACTGATGGTATGAAGCACTGATTTAACCCACACTGAGGAGGCTCTGGATTGGGCACTTGAGGTCATTAGTTTTTCTTATTGTGTAAGCCTGTTGGAGTTGAGATTTTTCTGTGACTTGGAGCTGTAAGGCATCCTAACTTTGAAGAGGGATAGTTTTTGTTTGTAGAGAAAGGGTCTCTATGTTGCCCAGGCTGGTCTTGAATTCCTGGGCTTAAGTGATCCTCCTGCCTTGGCCTCCTAAAGTGCTGTGATGACAGGATACATTTTTTTAAAAGAAGTTGTGTAATTCAGAAGTGTTAGTCACAGTGATTTGGGGGCAAGAATGATTTTGAGAAAATGATTCAGCAGCTGCTTTCTGCTCTGTACATTTATATGTAATAAGGAAATGCAGGTACCCTTGAACAGCACAGGTCTGGACTGAGCAGGTCCACTTGTAAGTAGTTTTTGTTTTTTTTCCCAATAGTTGGCCCTCCTTATCTGCAGGTTCCACATCTGCAACCATATACAGCTCAAAACTATAGTATTCACAGAATGCAAACCTGAGGATACAGAGGGCCAACTTTGTATACAGGTTCTGAAGAGTCAACTTCAAAACTTTTGTATGCGGAGTTTGGTATCCACAGGGGGTCTGGAAACAATTCCCCCATGGATACTAAGGGGCGACTGTAATGTCATTTCTTATTTGCAAGAATCCAGAGCGGAAAATGTTCTTTTCGAAATTAGTTGCATATTAAGTATTCTTTCTCTTCATATAAAATGTCATTTTTAATTGATCAAATTATTCATTGCCTTTTTTTTTTGACAAGGTCTGGATTCATGTACGGATGTAATCTTTACTTTTGCAATGAACTGCTAGTTGTCCTTACACTATTTAAGAAATCCATCTCTTTGTCCCTGGTTTGAAATACTATTTTTATTTTATTTTATTTATTTATTTATTTGTTGAGATGAAGTCTTGCTCTTGTCCCGCAGGCTGGAATGCAATGGCATGATCTCAGCTCACTGAAACCTCCACCTCCTGGGTTCAAGCAATTCTCCTGCCTCAGCCTCCCGAGTAGCTGGGATTGCAGGCACCTGCCACCACATCCGGCTAATTTATATATATATATTTTTAGTAGAGATGGGGTTTCACCATGTTGGCCAGGCTGGTCTCAAACTCACGGCCTCAGATGATCCACTCGCCTCGGCCTCCCAAAGTGCTGGGATTACAGGCGTGAGCCACCATGCCTGGCCGAAATACTACTTTTATCATAGGGTAGGTCACTGTTAGTAGTGTCTTTGCTTTTTGTGTGCTCAGCACTCTTTCTCACATCTTTGTAGAAAGAGAAGCTGAAAACCTGGAGAGCTGGAAGTTCTCTGGGTGACCATTCATTCATTCCACCATCCTTTTGGCCCATCTTGATTTTACCAGGGAAGGACATTCAATCTGAGAGGTTAATGACAGTTGTTGGGAGGTTGTAATGGGAGGTCATTGTAGAGCCGTTTTTTGGTTTGGTTTCGCCTGGGAGTTGTCAGCAGCTTGGTTTTATTGGTTTTTGTCTAATTTACAGTTTTAGTCCTGCTTGGCATAGCTTGTGAGTCCCGTTATGCTTTGCTTAACAACAGAGATATATTCTGAGAAATGCTTCATTGTGTGAATGTCACACAGCGTGCTTACACAAACCTACGTGGTAAAGACTACCATCTGGGCTGTATGGTATGGCCTATCGCTCCCAGGCTACAAACCTCAACAGCATGTGACTGTACTGAATACGCTAGGCAACTGTAACACAGTTGCATTTGTGTATCTAAACAGAAAAGGCACAGTAACATGCGGTATTAGAATCTTATGAGACCACTGTTGTATATCTGGTCCATCACTGATCAAAATGTTATGTGGTGTGTGACTATACTCCAATTCTGAGTTTTATTCTATTTTATTGAACTATGAATACTTTATGCTAAAGAAGATCATGTTCCAATTCCTCTTGCTTTGTAATCTTTTCCATACATCAAAGAACAATCCTGTTTTTCAAGCTTTTTGGCTTTTCCTACAATTCATTCTCAGAGATGACCTTTAGAATAGACTCACCAGGCTCTTATTTCCAAAGCCTGTAGGGATTATGACTAAATCTGCATTTAAATTTAACCTCAGTGAACTGCCCACTGAGGGGGGCCACTCAATCCAGCTGGCTTGAACAATCTCTTGATGACCAGAGACTGGGGGGTCACTCCAGCTGCTCTCCCCGACCCCAGGGACATCACCATGGCCCACTGAGCATTCCTGGGGCCCCAGGCCTGCCTCATCTTCCTTCCAATTGTCTCCTTTCTAACTTTCTTTGGGGAAGGTGGCACCTAATTTGAATGCCCTAGAGGTTGACTGTTTACCTGCCGGCTTTACCCAGGGACTTGCAGCTTCCAGGTAGGGTAGGAGGAATTTTTTGTTGGAGGCATTTGCTGGATGCCTTCTCCATTGTTTCAGTGGTATTTCCTCTTAACAAATGCAAACGTAACAGCTCACACAATAGAACTTCAGTTTTCAATCACACCAAGTCCAAAATCAGCACTCTTGTTCAGAGAGTGGCTTCCAGGGACTTCAGTTTTTCTATAAATGGCTTCTCAGTTCTCCTTCAGGTTTCCAAGGTCAATCTGCTCATTAGCAGAAAGGGAGAGAGGATGGAGAAGGCACACTGGCTTTTTGGCCACCTCACCTGTGGCAAGTGATGCAACAATTCTGCCCCACTGGTGACAATGTGTCATGAAGGCCCCATTTGTGCAAATGGCTGGCAGGTCTCATCTGCCTGGACAGTTGTCTCTGTCATCTTTCCTCTGCTCTGGTCCTGACAGGCATCTAGGCAACTCTGTTGCATCCTAAGGCTTTGCTTTCCCATCTTACCTGTCCATTTGTCCAGCTGTCTACTCACGTCCTGAGGGCCAAAACCTAGTCACCTGGCCACAGCTAGCTAACAGGAAAGTGGAGAAATGAACTCTCCAGTTACAGCCTGAACAACACAGTGAGACTCTTTCTCTACAAAAAAAAAAAAAAAAAAAAAAAAAAAAAAAAGCTGGGCATGGTGGCACACACCTGAAGTCCCAGCTATCTGGAAGGGTGAAGGGGGGAGGATCACTTGAGCCCAGTAATTGGAGGTTGCAGTGGACTATGATTACACCACTGTGCTCCAACCTGGGAAACAGAGTAAGTCTGCCTCTAAAAAAATAAAGAAATCTCATTAGGTACCCAGCTGAGACTTGAGGAAGAGGGAATCCTACAAAGAGGGGGAACACTGTAGTGCAATTAGCAGTCTGTTGCAGAGTTCTGTCATGCGATGCAGATACTCATAGATGGAGTATTCGTTCAACAAAGCAAGGATGTGTCCAACAGTTTGAGCAGCCCAACCATTTCCATGAAAGCTGGCACAGGGCAAAGCTGCTAAAAAAGGCACAGACATCACTTAGGCACCTGAGCCATGAAAATGTGGCTAAAACTGAACAGACTATTTATTATCAACATTGGTTACTTTTTTTTTTTTTAAAGATGGAGTCTCTGTCACTCAGTCTAGAGTGCAGTGGCGCAATCTTGGTTCACTGTAACCCCTGCCTCTGGGTTCAAGCAATGCGATTCTCCTGCCTCACGCTCCTGAGTAGTGGGGACTATAGGTGACGTGTGCCATCATGCCTGGCTAATTTTTGTATTTTTAGCAGAGACGGGATTTCACCATGTTGGCCAGGCTAGTCTTGACCTCCTGACCTCAAGTGGTTCACCCAGCTCGGCCTCCCAAAGTGCTGGGATTACAGGTGTGATCAACGTTGGCTTCTGCAAGGACCTGGCTATGATTTGAATGGTTGTCCCCTACAGAACTAAAGGTAGCATTTTTAAGAGGTGATTGGGTCATGAGGGCTCTGCCCTATGAAAAAGTTAATGTGTTAATGGGTTAATGGATTAATGGGTTATCAGAGGAGTGAGTTAGTTATCACTATAAAAAGCCAGGTTGGCTCTCTCATGAGCCTCCTCACAATGTGATGCCCTCTGCACCTCAGCACTCTGCAGAGTCGCCGCCAGCATGAAGGCTGCTAACAGACGCAGCCCCTAGACCTTGGACTTGCCAGTCTCCAGAACTGTTAAATCAATGTCTTTCCTTTATAAATTACCCAGTTTTAGATATTCAGTTACAGCAACAGGAGATGGATTAAGACAGACCCCCTCTTATTTTACCTGATTTTCTTTCCTCTTCATACCAGACCCCACCCCATTCCCTCCCCCATAGGTGTTACATGAAATTTATGACGTTAAGTAGTGTTGTGAACCTATATAATAGATGTGTGTGTAGGTATGAGAAATTTTGACATTTTGTTTAGCTATATTAAATATTGTTGAATCAGTTTTCCCATTCATATCTAAGAGATTTTATCAAATGTGCTACATGCCAGTCTAGCATTTTACTTCTAACTGCTCACAGCCTTCTACTGCTTGTTTCACATTTTACTAACCTCTGTTAAGGATGTTCACCTAGGATGTCTCATAAATCTTGTTACGAAGAAATTCCAGTCTATAAAGACAAATTTGCAGCCAGGCGTGGTGGCTCACGCCTGTAATCTCAGCACTTTGGAAGGCCGAGGCGGGTGGGTCACGAGGTCAGGAGATTGAGACCATCCTGGCTAACACAGTGAAACCCCATCTCTACTAAAAATACAAAAAATTAGGCGGGCATGGTGGCGGGCGCCTGTAGTCCCAGCTACTCGGGAGGCTGAGGCAGGAGAATGGTATGAACCTGGGAGGTGAGCTTGTAGTGAGCTGAGATCGTGCCACTGCACTCTAGCCTCGGTGACAGAGTGAGACTCTGTCTCAGAAAAGAAGAAAAAGAAAAAAAGAAAAATTTGCTCAATCTAAAGTAAAACCAACAAGTAGAATATATGAGGATATTCAGCAAATAATAAAAGGGTAGTATACTAAAAAAAAAAAAAAAAAAAAAAAAAAGGATATAACCTATACCTGAAATTAGTGGTTACAAAATGCAAGTTGAAACAACAAAATACCCCATTCACATCCTTCAGAACAGCAAAAATTACAGAGACATATAGTAAATATTGGTGAAGATGTGAATGGTAATTGAAAAGGTTTCGTGCTATAAAATGACACCCATTCTAGGGAAGTGACCAGGCAGTATCTTTTAAAATTAATATTGGTCTGGCACAGTGGCTCATGCCTGTAATTCCAGTACTTTGGGAGGCCGAGACGGGCAGATCACAAGGTCCGATTGAGACCATCCTGGCCAACATGGTGAAACCCCGTCTCTACTAAAATACAAAAAATTAGCTGGGTGTGGTGGTGTGTGCCTGTAGTCCCAGCTACTCAGGAGGCTGAGGCAGAGGAATCACTTGAACCCGGGAGGCGGAGCTTGCAGTGAGCCCAGATAGCACGACGGCACTCCAGCCTGGTGACAGAGCGAGACTCTGCCTCAAAAAAAAAAAAAAAAAAAAAAAAAAAAAAAAAAAAAAAATTAATGTCTGTGCCTTATGCAATGTATACCATCAGTTTATATGTTCCAGGGAAGTTCATTCACATAAGGATATATATACAAGGAATTTCATCATAACAACAGTGCAGCAATTAGAAGTGCTGGTTTTGCAGGTAGAACATTTGATAAAATCATTTAGGTTATGAATGAAAAAAAGGATGGAACAAGATTTTCTTTTTTTTTTTTTTTTTTTGAGACAGAGTCTCACTCTGTTGCCCAGGCTGGAGTGCAGTGGCACGATCTCAGCTCACTGCCAGCTCCGCCTCCCGGGTTCACGCCATTCTCCTGCCTCAGCCTCCCGAGTAGCTGGGACTACAGGCGCCTGCCACCATGCCTGGCTAATTTTTTGTATTTTTACTAGAGACGGGGTTTCACCGTGTTGGCCAGGATGGTCTTGATCTCCTGACCTCGTGACCCACCCGCCTCGGCCTCCCAAAGTGCTGGAATTACAGGTGTGAGCCACCACGCCCAGCCCAGGATTTTCTTTATTTTTCCATTTGGCACCACATCAATCTCTTCCAATTTGAGGCCTTTCGTTCTTTTTTAATTACAAGAAAATTTTAATTCGTGTATTTTCCTCGTGTGTTGTCTCTTTTTCTTTTGGGAATTGTAGTATATGGTTATTTCTACTATCCTCTACATCTCAGTTTTTGATTTTTCACTTTCCATTTCTTCATTTCTTCTGGTGTCCTGGAGGAAATATTTGCCTTTACAACAGAGCCTGCTAACTCGTTCTTTGGGTGTATCGCATCTATCAATCTCATCTATTATTTCCTTCATGTCGATTATGCATGCTCAACAATCCACTTTTCTTTTGGTAACTATATTTTTACACACACCCCATTCATCTTTATATTTTTCTTCAAAGATACGTATTAAGGCGGGGCGCAGTGGCTCAAGCCTGTAATTACAGCACACTGGGAGGCCGAGATGGGGGGGATCACTTGAGGTCAGGAGTTCAAGACCAGCCTGGCCAATATGGTGAAACCCCGTCTCTACTGAAAATACAAAAATTAGCCAGGCATGGCGGCACGTGCCTGTAATCCTACTCAGGAGGCTGGGGCAGGAGAATCGCTGGAACCTGGGAGGTGGAGGCTGTAGTGAGCTGAGATCGCACCACTGCATTCCAGCCTGGGCGACACAGTGAGACTCCATCTCAAAAAAAAAAAAAGATATGTATTAAGAACATTTTGAAATCTGTCTGGATGCCCATATTTCATTAAGTTAGGCCTTCTCATGTAAATGGTATTGTGTACTGTCTCTTAGTACCAATTCCTCATGTGTCTGACTACTTTCCTGAATGTTTACTTGGATACTGTAAATCTTGGCTGAGAATGAATAGCAGGGAGAAGGCCTAATCCTCCTGTTTCTTCCTGTTGGGTGGGTTTAAGTGGAGGAGTGTGTTACAGAAAAAAATCCCCTATCACCAATGCCTGGAATGAGACCCCCCCCCGCCCCGCTTGACTGACCCTCAGGATACCACTTGACATGATCACCCTAAATACTGCCTCCTTAAGATGTCTCCAGTCGACTGGGTGTGGTCGCTCATGCCTGTGATCCCAGCACTTTGGGAGGCCGAGGCAGGCAGATCACAAGGTCAGGAGATCGAGGCCATCCGGGCCAACATGGTGAAACCCCATCTCTACTAAAAATACAAAAAATTAGCTGGGAGTGGTGGCTGGCACCTGTAGTCCCAGCTACTTGGGAGGCTGAGGCAGGAGAATCGCTTGAACCCGGAAGGCAGAGTTTGCAGTGAGCCGAGATCGTGCCACTGCACTCCAGTCTGGTGACAGAGCAAGGCTCTGTCCGTCTCAAAAACAAACAAAAAACAAAACGAACAAACAAAAAAATGAATGTCTCCAGTCGTAGCAATGACTGGCTTTTGAAGTGAGGAGAGGATGCTCTAATGGAACCTAAGTGCTCCCATAGGACCGAGCTGCTCTCCTATCTTATGAAGGCACCATGGTGGGCTATCATCTCCTGGGCATACTACAGAGGACCATAAATGTATAGGGAAAAAGATTACAATTCAACTACTCTTTAAGATTTGTTCTGTCTGCCATTACCTTTCCCGCAAAAGAGCCCCATTCACATCCTTAGTTCTCTGGACCCAAACACTGCTCTTATTTCCGTGGCACCTCCGGGCTTGCACTGTAACAAGCCAGCAGCCCATGCTAGTGCATCAATTTGGCAGGAATCATAGACTTTATATTCAATGAAGGGAAAATCAATTTATTTTTGATGTAGTTATCTCTGTGATAGGAAGAAAAAAGCAATATAATTTTAAGAATGTATTTCCTGGTGGGCTTCATTTTAAGATGGGCCAAAAAAATCTCTTAATTTATGAAAACATTGGCATCTTTTAAACTATAAACATGTTACTATGAACACTGACTACATTACTGAAGAGGCAGTTCAGGACCACTTATATACGTACCAGACCCTTTGATGTGCAGGCAATCCATAGGATAAGAAGAAAATGCCAAGCCATTTACAGTTTTCAAATATTTTACTGAAAATGCATATTGTACAATTAATGTATAATGACACACCAGTGTGAGAAACCTCCATAGGTATCATTTCCACAAATATGCTATGAATATAGAGTTCCTACACAAAACTATACAACTTACCAGATGTAATTCCTGTTACGTACCATACTCACAATCGTCTTGAAGAATATGGAGAAAAAGTGCTGAGTGACAAAAACAGGAGCCATGTGTGATTTTAATAAATGGAAAACACGGCATTTCAGCTCAGTGGTAAAGCAGTAAACCAATCAGATGCTTAGCTATCAAGTAATCATGTGAGAGGAAACAGAATTAGATCCTTACCTCATACTATATGTTGTCAGCTAACACTGTAGCAGTGGTATATGAATCACATAAATTACCTCCAACAAAATGTATTCCATGTATTAGAAAAAAGGAGGTATGCCTAACATTGTGTCACGTTCCAAAGGTGAATTTTGCAGGTCAACGATATGACAGTTCAAGGAAGCATACATTTTATTGTTTCAAGTTGATTTCTAATGCTCAAACTATTTACGTCAAAATTTACAGAAAATAAATCTCTATATCAACAGCTTAAAATAAATGACTTACCTAAAGTCCACTTCTGAACTGCATAACTCCTATAAAGGTTTCAGTCTGTACCAATTAGAATGTCTTCAGTTATTAGTAATAGAGCATCCTAAATCAACTGGCTTAAAAATAAGTTTAGTCTCTCACAAAAGAAACAGTCCAAAGGAGGAGTGGCTACAAGGCTGCTTGGTTTGGTGGCTCAAAGACATCATCCAGGTCTCAGGGTCTTTCAGTATTTCTGCTCAGGCCATGATTAAACTATAATCCATTGCTGAAAGATGGTTACCAGGCACCACATCCAGACAAGGTACTGTTCACCACAAGATTCCACTTCCCTTTGCTTGAATCCTTGGGCCTTTGAGAAAACCTTTTCCAGAAGTAGTCTGTCAGGTATATCCTTTGTTTTATGTCTAGAATTGGGCCCTGTGACCACTGTAAATCAACTGCTGGCAACGAGAAGGGGAGTGTCACTGGTTAAAACTAATCAGGATTTATCTCACTTCCTTTTGAGGATAAATGGATAACCAAACTCCGCCAGCAGAGTAAGGGAGTGACTAAGAAAGTCACTCGGCAATGTCTGCCACAGACCCTTGTTAGAATGTGTTCTTAATTCATTAACAGGAAGGAGTAGAGCACAAGGTTTAAAACCAGTACGACATCAAATGAAAACACAGTGAATTCCTATGTTAGAAAGTCACTCGGCAATGTCTGCCACAGACCCTTGTTAGAATGTGTTCTTAATTCATTAACAGGAAGGAGTAGAGCACAAGGTTTAAAACCAGTACGACATCAAATGAAAACACAGTGAATTCCTATGTTACACAGCATTGTGCTCTGCACTGTTATGTAAGTGTCCAAATAAAAAACAGTAGAAAAAAAAATAGATACAAATGGGAATATTTTAAGTATATCTTAAAACTGTATAGAGTGCAATGATTTTCTCACTCTTGGAAAACTGGCATTATTAATTTTAAATTACCAAGCAAAGTTTTCTATCTATTTTATACATGGATATTTATCTCTCTGGCTGACTCAGATACAGTTGAAAACATTATAAAAGCATTGGTCCTTTAGAGCTGATATTGTTCATTAAGAATGATCAATGCATTAAATCCTAGAGAAGAGTGCAAGAAAAAGTATACTTTATACCTATCAAATGATATTAATGTAGTGCTGTTTAGAATACTCTTACTATATGAATTACAAAATAAGGATACAACGTTTTTTCAAACATGATTCGAAGTGAACATACAATTCCTGTAATGTACTGTAATAAAAACAACCCTCTCCCCAAACATAAGTCCTATGTTCTTTGGGAACTGCTTACATGAGTTTAAGGTTACCGACTTAACTAGCTATCCTGATGACTTTACAGTTTCTATTTACACAAGAAGTATGTTTATTCACAGCAGGAATCTTCTATTTCTTTTTTTTTTTTCAAGTTTGCTATTGTATCAGAAACATATCTTTTAGTATTAACAGTTTCCAAAGGATTATGTCTTCCACATTCCTTATACTGATAGATTTCCCCTTGGCTATGATTTCCCTGATATGCAAAACAGTTCCAATCCATGGTGACATGTATATACATTCTTAATATTTATAAATTTTTACTTGTCTATAGTCTAGTATTGTTATACCATGTGGTCTTGTTATAATCATGGTTTCCATTCTGTGAGTCTTCAGATTATGAGTCCAACACACAAGGGGATGTCCACACTAACCTGTGTGAACTCTCTGATGTACAAGGTGTTTGACTTCAGGCAGGAGTTTCTGATTCACTATACTGAAAGGGTTCTCTGATATAAAATGAGGTCTGACTTCAGAGAAGCCTTCCCACATCTATTACATTCATATTGCCTCTCCTATGAATTCTCTGATGGCTGTTGAATGCTGATTTGTGGTAGAATTTTTTTCCACATTCAGTACACTCATAGGGTTTCTCTCCTGAATGAGTTCTATAATGTACAGTGAGGTATGACATCCGAGAGAAGGCTTTTCCACACTCATTACATTCAAAGGGTTTCTCTCCTGAATGAATTCGATGATGTATAGTGAGATAGGACATCTGAGAGAAGCACTTCCCACATTCATAACATTCGTAGGCTTTCTCTCCTGTGTGTGTTCTCTGATGTCGATTAAGGGCTGAATTCTGGCAGAAGGTTTTCCCACATTCACTACATTCATAGGGCTTCTCTCCTGAATGAATTCTATGATGTATAGTGAGGTATGACATCTGAGAGAAGAATTTTCCACATATATAGCATTCATAGGGCTTCTCTCCTTTGTGTATTCTCCGATGTCTACAAAGGGCTGAGTTCTGGTAGAAGGTTTTCCCACATTCACTACATTCATAGGGTTTTACTCCTGAATGAGTTCTATGATGGATAGTGAGGTATGACAACTGGGAGAATAACTTTCCACATTCATTACATTCGTAAGGTTTCTCTCCTGTGTGCACTCTCTGATGTCTCATGAGGGCTGAATTCAGGTAGAAGGTTTTTCCACATTCATTACATTCATAGGGTTTCTCTCCTGAATGAGTTCTATAATGTACAGTGAGATATGACAACCGAGAGAAGAATTTTCCACACTCATTACATTCATACGGTTTCTCTCCTGTGTGGGTCCTCAGGTGGGTCGTGAGAGTAGACTTGCGGCAGAAGCATTTCCCACATTCACTACACTTGTAGAGTTTCACACCTGTGTGAATTTTCTGATGGTCATTAAGTGCTGACTTCTGCGAGAAGGTTTTCCCACAGTCATGACAAACATAAGGTCTCTCTCCTGAATGTGTTCTCTGATGTTGTGTGAGGTGTGTCTTCTGGCAAAAGGATTTTCCACAATAACTACATTCATAGGGCTTCTCTCCTGAGTGAGTTCTCTGATGCTGAATGAGGTGTAACTTCTGGTAAAAGTTCTTCCCACATTCATTACATTCATAGGGCTTCTCCCCTGTGTGTGTTCTCTGATGCACAGTAAGGGTTCCCTTCTGGCAGAAGGATTTCCCACACTGATTACATTCGTAAGGTTTCTCTCCTGTGTGAGTCCTCTGATGTATAATAAATTTTGACTTTTTACAGAAGGATTTCCCACATTCACTGCATTCATAGGGCTTCATTTCCATATGAGATGTCTGATGTACAGTGAGGTCCGACATCTGGAGAAAGGCTATTTCAGATCCATTCCACTTATAGGGCTTTTCTTCCATGTGATTAACAAAAACAGTGTCCTTTTGGAAGGCTTTCTGGCATTCAATATATTCAAAAGGTTTCTCCAAAATACGAATTTTCTGATAAAGACTTTCTTCATTTAGAGTATAAGGTTCCCCATTTTGATTAAATTCATAAGCTTGATCTCCTGGATGAGTTTTCTCAAGCTTAATATGGAGGAGTGATTTCCCACATCCACTACATTCATCAGCTTTCATTCTTGCATAGCTTCCATCACTACTAATATATTCTGAAACAGACGTTAAACACTTTTCACATGAGTCACAGAGGCTATTTTTATAGGCTATTTTTCTTGAAGGAACAGGGTTCGTTTCTACATCAAAAGTTTTACCAGGAACATTACCTCTCTCTTCAATCAGGGTCTCAATGAACACAGTTTGCCTTGAAGGTTTATTTTCCTCTTCCTGGATTCTCTCTATTAGGTCATCAGTTTGCCAGACTTCATCTAAAGAGAGACAAAATTAATAAACTTTTGTACATCTTCCTATATATATATGATATGGAATGAGATTCATGATTTGTACACACGCATCTCATTGTGAGTAGATGCTAGCTTCATGAACAGATGAAAATAATTCCAAGTGTACTCTTCTCCTTTATGCTTTTGCTTAAAATTACACACACACAAACACACACACACACACACATCCCCCTCTAGGAATGGAGAAAGGGGGAAGTAAACTGACAAAAACACATGCACTTTTGATCTACTTTATATTTTGTTCAAAACTGGGAATAGAAGATAAAATATAACACAGAACAATGACTGGTAGGCGAAGAATGCAGGATGAATGGCTGACAGGGTAGAGCGATAAGGAGTGCTGTTGGACAAGGAGGGTCATAAGATGTATTCAATTAGGGATTCATTTAGGGGGAGGTAAAGCTGTACTTTATACCACATCACTTCATACCAAGTTGAGAGAGATTACAATTTAAGGCATTAGCACTGTATACTAAGATTTTTGTGGTAGCATTTTCACTAGACTACATCCTTCCAAACTATTTTGCCTTCTTTCCTCATTCCACATAGTAGAATAAACTAAATCTCCTCATGTTTAAAGGAACAGCCCTATAACCAGGGCATTCGCCCTGTAATTCTGTTTCACTTGGATGAAGAATCCCAGGAATGTATATATATATCCTACAGGAAATATAAAATAGTCCACAGAGCTATAGGCTTATCTTGTGAGGATAGCGATGAGATCAACTGGAAACTTCAGTATTCTAATGATGCTATGATTTAATGCTAAACTCATTCTGACCATGAAATTCTACTTGTTCCTATTTGAACAGTATATTTAATAGCATGAATTCTGGTGAGGTGACCTAGGGCAAGCTACTTAGCAATTCTCTGTAGTCAGTATCCTTCATCTGCCAAATGGAGATAATGGCACCTACCTCATAAGGTGGTTGTAGGATTGCAGCAGTTAATGCAGTGCTCAGAGCAGCATCTGGCACAAAACACATGCTTGATAAGCTTAGCAATTATTCTTCCCATCTTTCAATCTCCTGACCATTTGCTTAAGCCAGACCCACCCTGACATACTACCATCACTTAATTCTCAGTGTGAGTGCTTTCCCACTCCTGAGTAGCATTTAGTGTACAAACCTTACAAATCAGATCCCTGGCCGGGCGTGGTAGCTCACGCCTGTAATCCCAGCACTTTGGGAGGCTGAGGCGGGCGGATCACTTGAGGTCAGGAGTTCGAGACCAGCCTGGCCATGATGGTGAAACCCTGCTCTACTAAAAATACAAAAATTAGCCGGGCGTGGTGGTGGGCACCTGTGATCCCAACTACTTGGAAGGCTGAGGCAGGAGAATCGCTTGAACCCGGGAGGTGGAGGTTGCAGTGAGCCGAGATTGTGTCACTGCACCCCAGCCTGGGTGACAGAGTGAGAATCTGTCTCAAAAAAAAAAACAAAACAAACAAAACAAACAAACAAAATCAGATCCCTTACCATGCTCCTAAAATAACAATTTTATTTTTACTTACCTTAGAAGTGTCTGGATGAACCTGACTACTGTACTTGCTATCATGCACATTAAGTGAAACGATATCAACCGTAACCCCTATAACCTGTGCTTTCCCTGAACCCACTGCCAAAATATCAACAGATCAAATGAGAAAAAAATCTGAGAGACAATACTTTTCACCACCTGGGATCACTATATGCTGCCAAGCTAGGATGACAGTCATCTAACAAAAATATTCCGTTGCAGGAAAAGCAAGCTATTTGTTGCACAAGGAGGTTCCTAAGATAAGTCCAAGTAGAGAGTTGTTCTGGAGGAAGTGGGTCTGCACTTTACACCTTCTCATGTCACATCAAGCTGGGAGAGATAGGTCATGATCTATCTCTTATCCTTGCCTTATGCTACGATCACTGTGTGCCTGATCAATGCCCAGCACATTTCACCTACAGTCTCCACCCTTATTGTTTCACTCAGTTTGCTTGACTTCCTGCCTTCATCTTCTCAAAACCTACCTTTGTAGGGGATTTCCATGCTTGAAAAAAATACTTCTCAAATCCTTTCTCACCTCAATTCCATTTCCCCTTGAAGTTGAGAATACTGTCTATAGAATCATTTTAATACAAAGTGACTCAGCCTTGCATTGGAACATCAGCACTCCATGTAAAATGCTGAGTTTTAATTACTTCATGCAGCGCTGTTCTCTTTTTTTTTGAGACGGAGTCTTGCTCTGTCACCCAGGCTGGAGTGCAGTGGTGCGATCTCAGCTCACTGCAAGCTCTGCCTCCCAGGTTCAAGGGATTCTTCTGCCTCAGCCTCCTGAGTAGCTGGGACTACAGGCATGCGCCACCAGGCCTGGCTAATTGTTTAGTAGAGACAGAGTGTCACCATATTGGCCAGGCTGGTCTCAAACTCCTGACCTCATGATCTGCCCGCCTCGGCCTCCCAAAGTGCTGGGATTACAGGCGTAAGCCACCACGCCCAGCCCTTGTTCTCTTTTCCTAACCACAACCTTTCTCCTAGGAAGGATGGTCCTATTTCCTATTTCCTTTGAACCTCTGAATAAAAATCAGAGAAGCTGTTCTTAATCTGAATCATATAGGTATTTTTCCACTACTTGCAAAATATATGGGGATGTGACCCAGGCATGCATTATTTCTTTTTTCTTTTTTTTGTAGAGACAGGGTTTCACTATGTTACCCAGGCTGGTTGCAAGCAATCCTCCTGCCTCAGCTTCCCAGGGTTGGGATTACAGGTGTGAGCCACCACATTTGGCCCAGGCATGCATATTTAGAAGTAACTGCCTGTAAATTATTTCTGAATGGATGGACAAGAAAGTTCTTTCACCTGCCTAGCTTCTCAGATAATCAAAGAAAGAAAGAAATATCTCTCTCTGTTACACACTACATCAAGGGATAACATGCCCCTTTCCTTACAGGACTATGATCCAAGAGCAAAACAGCTCAAGCAAAATATAGACACTATCGAATAACAGATTACTTAATCAGAGTCACTTCTTTATCCTATCACCCCTAGGTGAAACTGAAGTCGAGGGAAGGGAGATACAGAAGTCATGACAAAAGTCAGGGAGGGGTTGAAGATTTGAGGTCAGACTTAAAGAATGTGTTATGTGGGGAAGGAAAGCACACCCTAATGAAATGTAAAGCTGTAGGGACAATAGTATCATGAAGAGAAGACATTAGGAGTGTGAACCAAACGGAGTTTAGTCAGAGTTTTGGGGAAACAACAGAAAATTACTTTTTCCAGGTAATACAGGCCTAATATTGTTGAGATCCTTAAGGGACAAGGAATTAAAATTCCCTTTAGGAAGTAAAATGTAACCAACTATAGGCTTATCTTGTGAGGCTAGCGATGATATCAACTGGAAACTTTAGATGAAGACATACTGCAAATCCAGCTAGGACTCATAGCATGACAGCATCTAGTCTTTGTTTACATTAAGTCAAAGGAAACTGAGGATATACAGAGGACAATGAAGACATTTCACACTGGACAAAATCCAGTAATCCAGAGAGATCAGTAATATCTGATGAGAATTTCAGTGGTTTCACAGGGACCACTATAGAAGAAGAAGAGATTAGTATAGTTTAGTAAATAAAGGGAGGTGGAAAGGTGATTAGTAATTATAATTTGGAATAGGTCATGATCAATTTCCAGGCCTGATGAGAACAAGAGCAGCTCTGTAACTGGTATCACAGAAAATACCAGACTAGAGCCCAGGCTCAATGGTGGTAGAGATGTCATCCTGGGTGCGAGCAACATAAAATAAAAAACAAAGCCTAAAGACTTGGCACTGGAGGCACCCTTTGAGAAACTCATAATGCGAGGAAATCACAGTAGGTAGAAACAGACCCTTTAAAGACATTTCTGGAGGTGGTGGAAGCATAAACCAGACTTCATTTGCGTATATGATACTTACTAAGCACCTGCCATGACAGGGTATCATTCAAGGCATTGGGAACAGAACAGAAAATAAGAAACAAGATGAAAACGAGCATTTGGTTAAAGAGGGAGACCCAGGTACTGCAGTCACCAAATTTCAGGAGGGCTGGGTCTCAGGAATGAGCAGCACTGTCCAATGAAGCACAGGTGCACATGACAAGTAGCAGGATCCACTGGCTTAGGCACAGGATGGGAACTTTGGAGTCTAACCTCAAAGAAAGAAAAGTACAAAGTAGAACAGGGTCCAGAAACAGTCTCAGGCACTGCACGGTAAAGATTAAAAAAAAAAAACCAGAAGTTACACGAAGAACACAAGAATCACATAAGTTATTTTTAAATGTCAGACTTATAACACCTAAAAAATCCATGATAATGGTTTCTGAAAATGCTAGAAGAGCAAGCAAAGACCCAAAGTTTAAGAGAACAACAGAAGTGACTGGAATTCGATTCTTGGGAGTGGCAAGCACAGAAAAGCTCCATAAACATAAGTTCTTACGGGGAAGGAAGAAGTCTTTGGGAGTGAGATTCAGGTTCATAGAGCATATAAGCAACTATTTCTAGTCACTTCTAAAGGTTCGGGACCATTAAAAAATCCCTGGGAAAAACACTCCCAAGTTACCGATCTCCTCACTGCCTCCACTAACACACCTGGATAGCTCTGAAGTAGGAATTCTCCTTCTACTATCCATGGCTCTTCTCCTTGCTCCAACTTGCTGATAACATCCGGTTTGATAATGTGATACCCTGTTAATGAGAAATGAAAGAGAACTTGAGCCCAGGCCGGTTGGCTTCAGGGTCTCTGTCATACAGGGAAAATTCCATTTGTGTCTTATCAAAATCAGAACTTTTCACGGGGGAGATCAAGACCAAAATGCCCTGCCTGGTGCCCAAAAACAGATTACTCACATTCGTCCCATCAAATTTTAAGTTAAAGTCATAAAATTTGTGAGAAATCCCATATATTTTAGCAACTGAGAAAGCAAGCTATCCTCACCCACAGAAACTAGATTGCTGTAGTTCTCCAGCATCACATCCCTGTAAGTTATCTTCTGCTCAGGATCCAGCTGCTGCCATTCCTCCTGGGTGAAGTCCACAGCCACGTCCTTGAATGACACTGGCCCCTGAAATGGCACCGTGATTGGAATTGGGTGACGTGAAATAGGCACATAGGTACAAGATCTTAGCATGCTCACTGGCAAAATTAACCATGAACACTGTATACCTTTATTTTATGTTACAGACTGTCAAAGGGAAACAAACATATCAGAAATACACTGTTCTGGGGTTCATTCAGTATACATCAAACAAAAAACAAAAAACAAAAAAACAACACTGGGATTGCACGGTGAGCCAGAAACAATCCTGGCTGTTGGGAACTCTTAACACCAGCAGGGACGAATCTCACCCCTGAGGAGCACAGGCCTGGGGACACTCACAGAACCCCAGGATGCACTCTGCTTCTTTGCACATTCTTCAATTTGCTTCTAGAACATTAATAATGTTGGTTCTCTTCTTACCTCCCTGGTCACTCCTTCTCAGTCCCTTTGCTGGCTCCTCCTCTACTCCAAGTCATCCTGAATGTTGTGGGCCTACGGCTGTCTTGAGTCTTTTTCTCTTTGCTGTCTGTACTTGCTGCTTTGATGGTGAGCCCTCTTCCTGGCTAATTTAATTACCATCTATACACCAACATTTTCCAAATTTACATCATCAGTCCAGGCCTCTCTCCTAAATTCCAGACACATATGTCCCAGATGGCAAACTCAACATCCCTGAAATTCAATTGCTGTTCCTGTTCAAACCTGCTCCTACCATAGCTACTACTGGAACCAACCCACAATATTTGACACAATTACCAAAATAACAAACAGGCTGGGCAACACACATTCTAGTTTTTATTTTTACTGCCAAGTGACCAAGCCTACAGCAGTTCAGAATGCAGCCTGTCACATGAATTATCAGTAATAGCTTGGTTCAGGTTTTCCTAATTCCCAGCTGGGAACCCCAAATTTCCTTTCTTCCCATGGTACACGTTCTAGGAGAAAGGAACATTCCTGAGGAGGAACAGACAGCTGACCTGGAAACTGTCAAAACCACATCTATAAATGTGTATCTTTTGAATAAAGTGTCCCATTCACAAGTACTCACACTAGCCATTATAACTGTTTCCTTTAATATCATCCCCTCTAAAATAAAGAGAATAATGCTACCTATACATAATACCAGTATTAAATGGACTAATCCACGAAAAGCACTTAGCATAGTTTTTTGGATAAAACACATATTTATCAATGAAATCTACTGTTATTGCTGACTTTCTACTGTGGCTCTGACCACTTTCCAAATTAGGACAGAAAATTAACCATAAAACACAGAAGTTTAAACAACTGAAGGTTATGTGGTTGTTATTTATGTAATTGGCAAGAAAGAATCATAAAACAGTGTCTGTGTGTTAAGAACAAAGAGGCTGAGATGATTTCAAGAAAATATGGTAGCAGGAATGGTGTAGAAGGTGTGGAAGGAAAGGCCATGTCATGTTCAGAGCTACGTAAGATGATGACAAACTCCTGATGTTGACTGAACACCTTGGGTTTCATATGTGGAATGACTGGAATGATCCATGAGTGCAAGCTGGGTTCTACTGACTCCCTGAGATGCCGTGCCACTCTCTCCCAGCTCTAGATATAGGCGTATCCACAGACAGGCCTGGCTGGCCTGGGAAGGATGAGGGTAATCAGGGCTGAGAGTGTCCAGCTGCTGATGGGACACACGGTGGGGAAAGAAGTGGGTCCCACCCCAGCCAGATGAATCCAGGTGCAGGACTGCCCCAGCAGGTGATGAGAACTTCCTGGGGAGCAATAGCTGAGCTTCCAGAAACTCTGTGCACACTTTGTTCAGACGTCATCCACCATGAGGATCGGGAGAGTCTCGAAGTTCACGTATGGCATTGCCCTGCCTTGCTGAGCAATAACAACTTGTTTATTTCTTAGGAAAGTCAGCCTGGTTTCCTTTATTCAAGTGGTAGGTCCCTGCTTAGTATGTCCACCTGATATCTGTCAGGATGGTCACTGTGCAATGGGTGAAAACGGGCAAAGGACTTTCAAGGACTCATAAGAGGAAAAATGTGAAGAAAGTCATCAGCTCAGGAAAAGTCACAAAAGGAAAGCAAACAAATGAAAGTAGATGAGTAAAGAGACCACATATATCTATGACTACAATAAGTGTGAACACATAAAATCTCTATTTTATTTTCGATTTTTTTTTAAATCTCTATTTTAAACCAGAATCCCTCTTACAATAAAAATATGCCAGGGACGGCCGGGCGTGGTGGCTCACACCTGTAATACCAGCACTTTGGGAGGCCGAGGTGGGCAGATCACAAGGTCAGGAAATCGAGACCATCCTGGCTAACACAGTGAAACCCCGTCTCTACTAAAAATACAAAAAATTAGCCGGGCGTGGTGGCAGGCACCTGTAGTCCCAGCTACTCGGGAGGCTGAGGCAGGAAAATGGCGTGAACCCGGGAGGTGGAGCTTGCAGTGAGCCGAGATCGAGCCACTGTACTCCAGCCTGGGCAACAGAGCAAGACTCCGTCTGAGAGGAAAAAAAAAAAATATACACACACACACACACACACACACACACACACATATATATACATATGTGCCAGGGACACGATCTTGACCAGAAACATACTTAGAAATAACCAAACCATTTCAGTCACACTTCTGTCCTATAGATCGTATATATTTGAGTCTTTCCATTAAGAGATTCTAAGTGATCTTCCTGAGAAAGAATATTTCATTCTTTTTAGAATCCCATTAGCTAGGAGAGTCCTCTGTCTAGCATCTCAGCTAGACACCCTTGAGTGTCACTGACTCAATCCCCTCAAACCCCCACTGCATTTGTTTTTCACAATGTCAGTCTCTATTAATTTCAGCTTTTCAACAGATGACACACTTTTCAAATTAGAAGGCTTGAAGTTCTCTGTAGGACAAAACCAAAACTCAGTCCAGCATTGGGGGCTCCTGGGTCCATCTGGGTATTTATCTGCATTCCCATCCCTCAGTCTCTTAACAGGAAGTCCAAATTCTAAGGAAGCAAAAATCTCACCAGCCCTCCAGGAGACTTACTCAGGCCCCTAATGCTGGTCTCCTGAGTGCCTTTACAAGCCTCTGCCACTAACCCGAATTATTCCAGGGCTGGCAAATGCCACCTTTCCCTTCCTTGAATGACTGAATCACAATACTTTGATGGTGCATTCATTTGTTCGTTTGTTCGTTTGTTCATTCATTCATTCATTCATTCGAGACAGGATCTTGATCTGTTGCCCAGGCTGGGGTGCAGTGGTGCAATCATAGCTCACTGCAGCCTCATATTCCTGGGCTCAAGTGATGCTTCTGCCTCAGCCTTCCAAAGTGTTGGGATTACTGGTGTGAGCCACTATGCCCGGCTGAGGATGCATTTAAAATCAGACTTCTGCTTCATCATCACTTCAGAGTTTCCCAGGCATTGACCAGAACGACTCCCATGATCTCCCATAATTACATCCATGAATTACCTCCTCCAAGGAGAACATAAGCACCTTGAGAGAAAGAAGTGCCTCTTAAAATCATATCCCAAACCCCAAGACAAATGATGTTAGTGTCTAAGAAAAAAAGACAAAATGCTAGCTGAGCAGAAGGACACAGAGCCAAGCAAGGAGGGAGCTTCCTCTGGGACTCCTGAAGCCCCAGAACAGCAGGTGTCTGTGTGGTAGACTGGCTGCTGCTCTAATCGCTTTCAGCTGAGAAACACCAGTATCATGACACAAGCTCCCAAAAGAGTAGTATGTTACATTTACATTGTGAGAAATGAGCTGGGATTTCAGACAGAAGGAAAGGATGGTCCTCACGGCTGGCTGAGCATGTGTGGGGGTGGTTAGGATGCAGCTGCTCTCTCCCAAAACCCGGCCGTCACCCCTCACTCTTGGCTGACGAGCTATTTCCCTGAGAAAAGAAGCAAATAGGAATGCTATGTCTACCCTCTTCTCTAACCACCTCATGGGACACCTCCAACTGTTTGCATCTCTGTCCCCTCTGGCTGACTCGAGGCCCCACAGCCATTCTCACTCCATGGGCAACAACTATTTCTCATTCTCGACAGAATCACCCCACTATTATCTCTCCCATCAAAACAAAACAAAATGAAAAATCCTTTCTTAACCTCAACTCCTATTCCTGCTACTATCCAATTTCTCTTTTTCCTTTAGGGCAAAATTTCTCAAAAAAAAAAAAAAAAAAAATTCTCAATAGACCAAATTCAATTCTTCTACCACTCTCTCCTAAACCTCTCCAATCAGGATTTCCCTTACAGATCCAGCCACAGGGCCTCAGAGAGTCACATGACCTCCCCTGAGCTAAATCCCAGCACTATTTCTCAGTCTTCCTTGGGCTGGACTCTTAACAGCATTTGACACAGTTGATCACCTGTCCCTGAAGCTTCTCATTCCCTTGGCTTCAGAAACTGCACGCTCCTGGTTCTCCCTCTAGCCTGACCAGTAGCACCTTCCCAGTTCCTCCTTCTCTACCAGACTGCACATGGGAGAGTACCAGATTCGTCTCCCAAACTCCACAAACACACACACACACACACACACCAGATTCGTCTCCCAAACTACACACACGCACACACACCAGATTCATCTCCCAAACTCCACACACACACACACAACCAGATTCGTCTCCCAAACTACACGCACGCACACACACCAGATTCATCTCCCAAACTCCACACGCACCAGATTCGTCTCCCAAACTCCACACACACACACACACACACAGATTTATCTCCCAAACTGCACACACACACACACACACATGAGATGCGTCTCCCAAACTACACACACACACATACACGAGATGCGTCTCCCAAACTACACACACACACACCCACACGAGATGTGTCTCCCAAACTACACACACACACAGAGATATATCTCCCAAACTACACACACACACACACACACACATATGAGATGTGTCTCCCAAACTACACACACACACACACACGAGATGTGTCTCCCAAACTACACACACACACACACACACACACACACACACACCGAGCAGATTTGTGTGTCAAAATACACACACACACACCCAGAGAGATATATCTCAAAATCCACACACACACACACACAACAGAGTTGTGTCTCAAACTCTACACACACACACCCCCTAGAGTGGTGTCCCAAACCACACACACACACACACCAGATTCGTGTCCCAAAACACACACACACACACACACACCTGCCTTCTTGATGCTGCCACTCATTGCATACTAACACAGCTAACACAGCTCCCAAACTACACACACACACACACACACACACACCCCTACCTGCCTTCCTGATGCTGCCACTCACTGCATACCAACACAGCCCAAATTTTAAACATCTGAAACCTAATTCTGGCCTTTTCTCAAGCCTGCTTTACCCACAGTCTTCCCCATCCCAGCTTCAGGCAACCTCATTTTCGTAGTAGCCACTCTGGGAGCCACGCAAGTGCTTTTCCCATGGGGGAAGCACGATATGATGAACACTTCAGGAGAAATACTCGACATGGGAAATGCAATATGCCTGGGCTTGTGGAGGAAAGTAGCAGTATAGAAAGAAAATCTCTACAACAGTAGAGAGGCCAAAAAATAAGCTATTTTTACAACAGCAGGGAGGGGATAGGGGACAGGATAAAAACCATCTAGAATATGACATGTACAAACTCAAAACAATCGCGAGGTCAGAAAATGGACAACTTTAGAAAGAATCCCATCTTTCTCGATAGGGCTACAGGCTGGACGATGGAACAATGAATCAATAGGAACAAGAGAAGGCATAGGTGGGGGGGCTCCAAATAATTATTCTGAACCTGCTGCATCTATGACCTTGAGGGGTCCTTTGGACACACTCCAAAGAAATGCTAAGCAGGTGGCTGGACAGTTCTATGTGGGAAAACCAACACAGAGCTGGTAGTTAGAAGCACAGGAGGGTGACATCAGATAGGTACAGAGTCGTGAGCCAAGAGTGGACACCAACACATGAAGACCAAAGAAATCATCAATTTCAGGAAGCAGGCAAGAAGAGAAAGGGCACTCAAACTGACAGAGCAAACTGCAGAGTGGGCCAAGGCAAAGATGCAAATGTCCACTAAGAGCATGTGCTGGATTATTGGCAACCTTTTCCAACAAGGTCAGGGGAGTGGTAGGGACAGGACCAAGACCACAGGCTATGGGATAAAATGGGCATCTATGCCAGAGATTTATTATGGTCCTTTCTGCTGTGCAACCCAGATAAACTAAGAGAAATATTTAGGGAGGCGGCTTGGCATGGTGGCTCACACCTATAATCCCAGCACTTTGGGAGGTCAAGGTGGGCAAATCACTTGGCACTTGAGGTCAGGAGTTCGAGACCAGCTTGGCCCAAGTGCTTCTGAAACCCCGTCTCTACTAAAAAAATACAAAAATGAGCTGGGTGTGGTGGCAGGTGCCTGTAATCGCAGCTACTCGGGAGGCTAAGGCAGGAGAATCGCTTGAATCAGGGATAGCGCCACTGCACTCCAGCCTGGGCAACAGAGTGAGACTCCATCTTTAAAAAAAAAAAAGAAAAGAAAATATTTAGGGAGACTAATTTAAGGGTGAGAAGGCCATTTCTGCAACGGATAGAGCAGTAAAAAGAATCTACCTTTGAGACAACAATGTTTTAGTTACTAGAAATATTATGGGCTGGGCGCAGTGGCTCATGCCTGTAAGCTCAGCACTTTGGGAGGCCGAGGCGGGTGGATCACCTGAGCTCAGGAGTTCGAGAGCAGCCTGGCCAACATGGTGAAACCCTGTCTCTACTTTAAAAAAAAAAAAAAAAAAAAAAAAGGCCGGGTGTGGTGGCAGATGCCTGTAATCCCAGCTACTCCAGAGGCTGAGGCAGGAGAATCACTTGAACCTGGGAGGTGGAGGTTGCACTGAGCTGAGATAGCGCCACTGCACTCCAGCCTGGTGACAGAGCGCAATACTTGGTCTCAAAAAAAAAAAAAAAAAAAAAAAAAAAAAAAGAAAGGCAAGAATTGCAATGGTTCAAGGGTTATTATTTAGGAAAGCTGTTGATAATGATCTCAGAGGAATCTTTAAAATTCATGCAAAAACAAAAGTGATTCTGCTTACGGTCAATGTAAGTCAAGGAATGGATGGTATTTATCATTTTTTGTGATAAATGCCAAGAACATAAGACGCTTGTACTCTGACTTCAAGAACTCTTTAAGGATCACGCTATCTGCGCATATGAATATGATAAAAAGGCTTGGTGCTGATGGCTACTGTTCTGTCTGACCAAATCTTGTATCTATTTCTACTTTCCCATTTTAAACTTTGAACCCTTAATCTCCTCCTAAGGTGTATTGTAAATCAGAGTAGAGAATAAATACATGAACAGAAACACTCACCAGGGATTTATTCATTTTCTGCTGCTCTTGGAAAAATCTGGAGGACTGTGAAAGCGGAGGCAGATCTGGGGAAGGAAAACCCAAGCCATGGCGTTATGAGCGGTCTGGCCTGCCAAGGCGGTCATCTCCCGCCCAAAACCTACACAGAAAGTTCCAAGAAGTACATCTTGTGGGAGACTGTCCCTTTAAGCCTTCAGAAGGGATTGGAAAATGATCAGGAGGGGGACCGATCTGCACATTTGAAACTCACACATGGCTACCTTGTGACTGAGTGGATGAGATTCTCATGGTGAATGAATACTGGATCCTACTGAAATAATCTGCCATCATTAAATGCAAGATTTAAAAAGGAATTCTGGTGACCAGCCTGGCCAACATGGTGAAACCCCATGTCTAGTAAAAATACAAAAATTAGCTGGGCGTGGTGGCGGGCGCCTGTAACCCCAGCTACTCGGGAGGCTGAGGCAGGAGAATCGCTTGAACCCGGGAGGCGGAGGTTGCAGTGAGCTGGGATGGCACCATTGCACTCCAGCCTGGGCAACAAAGCGAAACTTGTCTCAAAAACAAACAAACAAACAAACAAAAAACAAACAACAAAAAATGAATTCTGTAATACTCATCTATTTTCTTACTCTTTTAAATAAAGATCAGAAAATCCACAGGATGCCCTAAATAAAGGAATACAGTCGGCATAATTGAGTCTTTATTTGCAGAAACTTCAGTGTGCTACTCAAAAGGATCTTTTATTGAAGAACTTACGCTCACTTAACTAGGATACGGGGGACAGAACACTGGCCTGGGAGATAAAACTCCAGAGTTCTACTATGAGCAACTCCACCCACAAAACCTCGGACAAGTCACCCACCTGCTAAGGCCCTTCCCCTAGCAAATGAGGCAGCAAGAGATAGTTCCTGCAGGCTGTTCCTGCACTACAACGTATGATTCCACAAGAGCAGACCTAAGGGGGAATCAGCACTTAAATGAGAGAACAGAGGTGCTGACGGACGTTTAGATACGGTAGCAATCTGGAGCAGAGAGAGGAGGAAGGGCTGCTGGGGTGAGGGGGGAGTGGAGACAACGTCCGCAGCTGAGGCTGGTGACACCCCCCACGCCCCCGTAAGCCTCGTCCTCGCCGGACCCTGCCTTCAAACCCAAACACACGTCACTCCTGCAAGCGATCGAGACCTTCCACTGTCCCTCACTCTAAGGTGCCCTACACGCGGTGACTTCACCCAGGCCCTTCTCGCCCCGGGCCCGCAAACCCACGACTTACCCTCCTGGGGCTCCGCAGCCTCTGCCCCACCGCTCCCGACAGGCCGGGGCGGGATTGCTGTCGCGGGCGCGCGTCTGCTCGCGAGGTCCCTTCCTGTCCACCTCACCAAGGCCGTTCTGCTCCAGAGGGGCCCGGGCCGGGCCTACGGGACAAATCCAGGCGGGGCGTCCCTCCCGGAGCCCAGATCCGTCTCCCTGGGGCTCACCGTCCTGCGGAGCCGGGGCCGGGCCGTCGAGGACGCACACGGGCCGGGCCCGGGTCCCGCCGCCCCTTCGCCTCCGCCGTCGTCACCGCCCGGCCGGCCCCTTGGGCCCCAGCGCCGTCGGCTCCGGGGGTCGTGCTCGGGGATCCCCGCTTGAGCCTCCGCCTGGCCCGCACAGCCCCGCGCCCGCTTGGGTGCCGGCCCGGCTCTTCGGCGCCCAGCCCCGCAGGCTCCGCGATTCTCGCCCACCGGAGGCCAAAGCCTGGGAACTAGGGCGAGCGGTGACCTGGGGACGCACAGGAAGCGAGGGCACTGCGGCCGCGGCGCGCATGCGCGAACACGCACACAGAGAGGGGTGCACATGCGCAGGAATGCACCGGAAGTCCGCCTCCCGGGACCCGCCGCCGGTCCCAGGACAAATACCGTGACTCTATTTCCCATGAGCCTACGCGCTCCCCAAATTTAGGAGCCATTTGAAATGTCTCTATCTGGTCTAGCGGTTAAGAGGCTCTATGCTAAGAGAATTGGCAACGCCGAACCCCAGACTCAAATTTCTCCTTAGTTTAAGGGAACGTCTTCATGGGGATGTCTTGACTATCTTTAAGGGAACGTCTAGAAAGTCTCTGCTTCCTGTAGCATCTCGTAGACCATGCCTGGGCCAGTCCTGCCTTACCGGAGAGCTCAAGGCTTAAAATCAATGTCCATGTGCAACCGTGACAAATGGAACAAGAGGGTGCATCATGCTAGCTTATGATCACAATGACACATTTAACGAAAACTTCAGTAAATAGAGCCCATGGATGAAATAATAGAGGATTAGCCTGGGACAGGATACCATCCTCGCCCCAACAAGGAGAAAAAGAATTCCAGCTTTTCCAAATCACTTTGAATTAGTGATAGCTAGAAAACTCAGAGAATATGTACAGAATTGAAAGAAGAAAAAAATTAGCCAGAACTCTACTTCCTGAAGAGGATGAGGCAAGCAGAAGAAGAAATTTGCGTCTTAATGGAAAACGAAGCACATTTAGAAAGCCATGTTACTTGATTCCAACCCTGTTCCTTATCTTTGAGGTATTTTACACCTCTTTGAAAACTGTAGGTAATCGATGCAAGTTATGTTCTGTCTGGTGGAAGTTGGTTGACTTCCCACAATCCCCACTAGAGAAAATGCAGTTTTGACTGCATTTCTCCATTTACATAATCATTTCAATATTCCTGATCTGAAAATATGTCTGTTTCTCAGATTCTCTCTCTCTCTCTCTTTTTTTTTTTAATTTTGAGACAGGGTCTCACTCTGCTGTGCATGCTGGAGTTCAGTGGCGAGATCTTGGCTCACTGGTTCAAGGAATTCTCCTGCCTCAGCCTCCCAAGTAACTGGGATTACAGGTGCACACCACCAAGCCCGACTAATTTTTGAATTTTTAGTAGAGATGGGGGTTTCACCATGTTGGCCAGGCTGGTCTTAAACTCCTGACCTCAAGTGATCCACCCGCCTCAGCCTCCCAAAGTGCTGGGATTACAGGCATGAGCCACCATGTCCAGCCCTCAGATTCTCTTTTGAACCAGTTATAATATCTGCCTGTTTCCTCTTGAATTAAATAAAATCTTTAGCATGTGCTCATTTTTATATCTGTATCAGAGTCATGATTTTACTTTTATGTTTTAAGGTTTTCCAGGTCTTTGCAGAAGTCCCTGATGGAATCACATGACTGAGCCAGGAAAACCTCAGGACTGGAGTGCCTCATGAACTGTTGAAGCCCAGGTGAATCTTTTCTTGGCTCCCAGGAATGAGTCCAAAGTGCCAGTAGAAATTTGCTGGCTTCTCATTTTTCAGTAATTTCCCCATTTACCAATCCTGTGTTTTACTTTGGTTTGCATTTGTTTACATTGCTAGCATCACTGATTGGGACTTTGTTTGTTTTTGTTGTTTCAAGGCAAAGTCTCACTCTGCCGCCCAGGCTGGAGTGCAGGGGTACGATCTCGGCTCACTGCAACTTCTGCCTCCCAAGTTCAAGTGATTCTCCTGCCTCAACCTCCTGAGTAGCTGGGACTATAGGTGCATGCCACCATGCCCGACTAATTTTTGTATTTTTAGTAGAGACGGGGTTTTTCCATGTTGGCCAGACTGGTCTCGAACTCCTGACCTCAGGTGGTAGACTCGCCTCAGCTTCCCAAAGTGGTGGGATTACAGGCGTGAAGCACCGCGCTGGGCTAGGAATTTGGTTTTATGGTCTGATCACATGGTGATCTCTGTAATGAGATTAATGTTTGCAAAGACCTAATCTCTGTTGGGTGAGAGACATCAGAGTCTGATTTGTTATTCTATTTCTCTGTCTATTTTGAGCTGAAATCAATTAAGAATTTCATGCCCACTGGGAGGAGAAGAGCTCTTTCATATCTGGAAGGGTGAGTTTTTGCATTTTTGTGTTTACTCTTGACCCATGTCTGAAATTTTAGAATTGAAGCTGTAAGCTCTATTTCTTTGTATGTCTGTGTGTCTGTAATTTAGAAAGGTCTTTACCTCTGATTGTGTGAGTGTCTAATGTTTTTCCACCTCTGAATGGTATTATAGTAGATATAGAGTTTGTTTGTTTGTTTTTGAGACAGGGTCTCACTCTGTCGTCCAGGCTGAAGTGCAGTGTGTGCGATCACGGATCACTGCAGCTTCAACCTACCTGGGCTCAGGTGTTCCTCCCACCTCAGCCTCCCAATTAGCTGGGACTGCAGGTGTGTACCACCATACCCAACTAATTTTCGTATTCTCTATAGAGATGGGGTTTTGCCATGTTGCCCAGGATGGTCTCGAACTTCTGGGCTCAAGCGATCTGATCACCTCAGCCTCCCAAAGTGCTGGGATTACAGGCATGAGCCACAATATAGAGTCTTTAAAGGTTTGCTGTTCTGATTGGCTTGTAGAGGTGTGTATGTACTTATATAAATTGAATTTGCCCAAATTCTTAGAAAAAAAGAGAAATTGAACTTCTGTTGCTTTAATGTGCTAGAAAGGTATTTTTTACTGAAACCAAATCAAATGTTTTGGAAATGCGAGTCCGCATGTAGTCCACATATATGTTACCGAGCAGTCAATGCACTCGCTGCCCAGTGTGTACAGAGGCCAATACCATGGCTCCAGCTTTTGAGAAATAAAGCCTTTTTGTAAGTCAACTAGCAAGGACACAGGAGGAAATGCTCAAATCTCCCTTTCCCAGCTGGGGGCTATGTCAGGTTTTGTACGCATAGGGTAAGGAGATGTGATTTGATTGGATCTTGAGATGAAGTAATTAATGCTGGGAGGTGTGATCTGACTGGATCCTGCCATGGAGTGACACCAAAACTCAATCTCATTGGTTCCTGGCTCCTGCCACAGGGTGTCCGGTTCTTAAATGGGTCCCAGCTCCTCAGTCCGAGCACTTAGGTTCCACTTCGTGGTTGCATGCTTGGTTAATCTGGGCATGCTCAGAGTATATGACCTTCAACCCACGGATCCATGGCAGTTGAAAAACAACTGCCAACTACATTACATAAAAGTTGAAATGGACGTGGAGTGTGGTGGCTCACACCTGTAATCCCAGCACTTTGGGAAGCTGAGGCAGGCAGATCACGAGGTCAGGAGTTCCAGCCCAGCCTGGCCAATATGGTGAAACCCCGCCTCTACTAAAAATACAAAAATTATCCAGGGGTGGTGATGCGCTGAGGCAGGAGAATCTCTTGAACCCAGGAGGCGGAGGTTCCAGTGAACCGAGATCGCGCCATTAAACTGCAACCTGGGTGACAAGAGCAAAACTCCGTCAAAAAAAAAAAAAAACTTGAACTAGATTTAGTCTGATGCAGTTCCAGATTTACAAACCGTGTCCCCACCCTCCTGCCGACACCTTCCACTCCTCATTCTTGAGGGATTAGGGATGGAGGTCATGCTTCTGTATCTACTTCATGCTGACCAGAGGCACTGAGTCCCCTAAAGTTAGAGGAATGAAACTCTTGGGCTGCTGAGTTCAAATGAGTTTTGGGGTCACCCAGAATTGCTTGAAGGGCTGGTATTGTTGTGGTAATACAAGCTGAAGGTGGAAGTGTTGGAGCCGGGAGGACAAACAGCTCACCATCAATTTAAATAAACAGGACTGAAAAGTACCAGGAGAACAGTGGCCACGAGGGGCCCCAACAGAGGAAGAAACCAGGTGAGGTGCGGTATAGTGGACTCGACTGCTTTCTAAATCTCAGTGGTTGGCCAGGCACTGTGGCTCATGCCTGTAATCTTAGCAAAAGGGAGGCCGAGGCAGGCGGGTCACCTGAGCTCAGGAGTTGGAGACCAGCCTGGCCAACATGGTGAAGTCCCATCTCTACTAAAAATACAAAAATTAGCCAGGCATGGTGGCATGTGCTGTAGTCCCAGCTAATCGGGAGGCTGAGGCAGGAGAATTGCTTGAACCCGGGAGGCGGAGGTTGCAGTGAGCCTCCAGCCTGGGTGACAGAGCGAGACTCTGTCTCTAAATAAATAAACAAATAAATAAATCTCGGTGGTTCAACTACCCTTGATACAGTTTGGCTCTGTGTCACCACCCAAATCTCATGTCAAATTGTAATTCCCAGTGTTGAGGGAGGGAGCTGGTGGGAGGTGATTGGCTCATGGGGACCATCTTCCCCCGTGCTGTTCTCTTGGTAGTGAGTGAGCCCTCGTGGGATCTGGTTGTTGAAAAGCGTGCATCACCTCCCGCTTCATTCTCTCTGTCTCTCCCGCTCCACCATAGCCAGACGTGCCTGCTTCCACTTCGCCTTCTGCCATGACTGTCCGTTTCCTGAGGCCTCCCCAGCCATGCTTCCTGTACGGCCTGCAGAACTGTGAGTCAATTAAACCTCTTTTCTTCATAAATTAACCAGTTTCAGGTAGTTCTTTATAGCAGTATGAAAACAGACTAATGGACCCTTCTGGTTGAAGGAATGCAGCCATTCTGCTAGTTTGACTATTTCCTTTCTATTCATCTCTATTTCCCGGGAGGTGTTTATCCAAGTGCAGTAGGAGGTATTGGTGACTGCACAGTCCCCTCAGTGTTCTGCTAGTGAATAGTTGAAGGTTGATCAGTGATCTCCTGCATTTTCAGTCTGGCATGGAAAAGCCCCCATGTAACTGGTGAAGATATCAGTGAGCACCAGGAGGTATCTAAATCCTCCAGGAGCCATAGGCATCACGTTGATGTCCGTTTGCCAGTCTTCCCTGGCAAGGTTCTTCTGAATTGTACTGCCTTGGCCAAAAGAGGTATGGGAGGGGCTGGGCACAGTGGCTCATGCCTGTAATCCCAGCATTTTGGGAGACCAATTCGGGTGGATCATTAGAGGTCAGGGGTTCAAGACCATCCTGACCAACATGGTGACATCCCATCTCTACTAAAAATACAAAAAGTTAGCTGGGTTCGGTGCTGGGTGCCTGTAATCCCAGCTACTCAGGAGGTTGAGGCAGGATAATCGCTTGAACCTGGGAGGAGGAGGTGGCAGTGAGCTGAGATTGTGCCATTGCACTCCAGCTTGGGCAACAAAAGCGAAACTTCATCTCAAAAAACAAAAAAAGAAGTCCGGGCGCGGTGGCTCACGCCTGTAATCCCAGCACTTTGGTAGGCCAAGGCGGGTGGATCACGAGGTCAGGAGTTCAAGACCAGCCTGGCCTAGATGGTGAAACCCTGCCTCTACTAAAAATACAAATATTAGCTGGGCATGGTGGCATGCACCTGTAATCTCAGCTACTCAGAAGTCTGATGCAGGAGAATTGCTAAAACCCGGGAGGGAGAGGTTGCAGTGAGCCAAGATCGTACCACTGCACTCTAGCCTGGGTGACAGAGCAAGACTCCATCTCGAAAGGAAGAAAGAAAAAGGAAATTCCCCAGGGAAGTACCCTGGTTTATTTCATAAAGAGGTACTGAAGGAAGCAGAGGCATGTGGAGGACTGTTTCATCATTTGGCCAGGCTGGTCTTGAACTCCTGCTGGGATCAATGGAGTGAGCCACTGCGCCCTGCCACCTTTAGAGTTTTCTTACCACCTGGTTTTCCTCTCTCAATATCTTTCCCTCATTTCCTGCTTTAAAACTCTAGCTTGGGGTGTGGGCGCAGTAGCTCATGCCTATAATCCCAGCACTTTGGAAGGCCAAGACAGGCGAATCACTTGAGGTCAGGAGTTGGAGACCAGCCTGGCCAACATGGTGAAACCCTGTCTCTACTATTTTTATAAAAGTTAGTCAGACGTACAGTTGGGTGCCTGTCGTCCTAGCTACTTGGGAGGCTGAGGCAGGAGAATTCGCTTGAATCCAGAGGTGAAAGTTGCAGTAAGCCGAGGTCGTGCCAGTACACTCCAGCCTGGGAGACAGAGCGAGACTCTCTCTCCAAAACAAACAAACAAACAAACAAACAAACAAACAAAACCTCTAGCTTGGGATCGGCCTTCTCTTCTATTATTTTTCTTTTTAAAAATTTTTTTTAAAATAGATGTTGATGCTATGTTGCCCAGGCTGGCCTCAAACTCCTGGCCTCAAGTGATCCTCCCGCCATGACCTCCAAAAGTGCTGGGAATGTAGGTGTGAGCACTGCACCCAGCCTTATGTTTTTCTCTACATAAAAAATAATGCAGGATTATCTTCTAGAGCTAATTAATATGTTCAAATAACCAAAACCCCATTAAGGAAAAATGTCATGACAGCAAATAGTCAATCCAGACCAATATGATCACACTCGCTGTGAAGGTGAGAAAACTTCATCTTTATTACGTTTCCCCAAGAGACGCACTGCCTTGTTCTCTTGAAAACCCACAGCTCATGTCCTCCTTTAGAACACACATCCTCTTTAAAGTAACATACAAACATGCCAATACAAGGTAAAAAATTACATCTGAATTCTCACATTTCAAAAACATACAGTAAACATCAAATAAAAATTGATTTTTATAAGAATTTAGGGGGACTATCATGTAGCTATAAGTGTAATACATATGTTAAGTATCATAGATAAAAAGAGTGCTCCCTTCAGCAGCACATGTAATAATAGATACAAAGATTTACAGATAAAAGATTTAGGATAAAAAGAATCCTCTCTTAAAAAGGAAAACAAAATTATATTTATGTGTATATAGCAGCTGTAACACCCATCTCACAACTTTATAGGAATGGTGTCTATTCAAAAATACCAGTATTTTCAAAATATTTTAAATAAATGTAGTAATAATTCTATGCCCATCTTTTTCAAAATATACCAATAAAATATATAGTGTTTATTAGACATGTTAGTATATATCTAAGACATGTTAAAAATCACAACTGAATTCTCACAATTCAGTCACAAATCTAAACAGCAAATAAAAATTTCTATGATGAGAACTTAGTAGAACTACCAATAGCTATAAAGGGAAAAGATTATTATGTAAGTATCATAGATAAAAAGTGTACTCGCTTCAGAGGCACATATAATAATACAGAAAACAATTTAAACATAATAAAAGATTTAGGATAAAAAGGATTCTCTTAAAATGAAAAGAAAATTATCTTTATGTATATATAACAGCTATAACTCTCATCAAAAAATCTACAGGAACAGCATGTTTTCAAAAGTACAACAATTTCCAAACTATTTGAAATAAACCTATTAATAATTTGATGGCCAACATTTTCCAAACAAACCAATAAATGCATAGTGTGCATGAAGCTGTCTGTTACAGTCTATGGCACTCATATTTTACAAAGAATTCCATGCCAATCTGAGTGTCTGCACTGTGCCTTCAAATGCTCCTGGACTGTAGCAACCAAGTCCGTAAGAAACAGGACCTCCAGGTTCCGCCCCAGGAGGTTGGAATTCAGCAATATAAAAAGGGAGATGGTGCCTCAGGAAAGGGTGGAACCGGAAACACCCCTGGTTTCTCACTGTTCTCTATGGATTCCTAGAAGTACCACCCCACCCCATCCTAGGAGGACAACATGATCACTCTATTCAGCTCCGTCTAGAACAGTCCAGGTTCTTCTAGATGATCTGCACAAATGGCTCCTCTCCTCCTTCCTGGTGCCTGCCATTAGCATTGGAATAAAGTTCTTGCTGAAAATCTGCATCTCCCCTGGGCCCAGCATTCTGGAAGTGCGAAAGAGGATGTCACACTTCAATGAGGCAGCTCTCTAGACAGGAAGGTTATTCACGTCCCATGTCAAGTCTAACTAGAGTTCAGAGCAATTGAGAAATCCAGTTTTATCTCCTGTCCTTCATTCCATAGCCTGCTTCTGAACCATGGTGTTCAACTGTGAAACTCACACTTTGGTGACCCTGACTCCAAAACTCACTTAATACACCCAAGGGCAGCCCCAGTGATCTACTTCATAGCAAGGACTTCGGGTGGGTCTGCCCAGGGAGTAGGGCACCCTCAGAGAATGTGGCTTTGGACTTCATCACAGCTGGGGCCTTTTGTGTCACTTAAGAGCTAAACTTGTAACCATGCTAGATCTGTTTCTAATGTGACAACATCACGAACCCTGAGTCCAGAAGCCTAATCCATAATCCTACCTCCTCATGATGAAGTCTCATGCTCTGTGCTCAACGTGGTTAGCTGCACAAGATGTAAACCAAAGCTTCACTGAACCCTCAACCCAAATCGGTAACTCAAGTGTGTCAATCATAATGAACCTCCCCAAACTCAGTATTTATGATTATTTTTGAGGTAGGGTCTCACTCTGTCGCCTGGTCTGGAGGGCAGTGGCAGGATCAGGGCTCCCTGCAGCCCCGACCTCCCAGGCTCCAGCGATCCTCCCGCCTCAGCCTCCTGAGTAGTTGGGAGTAGAGATGCCTCCCACATCGCCTGGCTACTTTTTGTATTTTTGTGGAGAGGGGATCTCGCCACGTTGCTCAGGCTTGAAGCTGGATCAAGCAATTGGGTTCCTCAGATTTCCAAAATAGACCCCAATATTCTGCCTTTACCCCAGAGGACACAGATGTACCTTCTCTCAGGCCGATGACCTCAGGCCTCCACGGTCCCTGGAGCTCTAGGAAAGGTGGGCGCGATCTCACGCCCACACCCAGTGCCCTGGGTCATAAGCCTGGATCTGGAAAAACAGACGCCCCTTAAGAAGATGGGGACTCCCCAGGATACTCCTCCCTCCCCTTATCCAGCCTCCAGCCCACCCAATTCCTCCCCACCTCCTCCACCTCCCCAGGCCCCACCCACCTCCTCGAACTCCTCCAGGGAAATGCAAGCCCTGCAGCACACAGAACGGAAGACCCGGAAATGAAGCGTATGGAACAAGGCAATCTGAGAGCAGTTCTTCCCGTACAGGAAGAAGAAGATGTTTTGTTTGGGGGTCTCGCTGTCCTCCTCCATGTCATTGGCCAAGTAGCTGGGGACAGCTATCAGGTTACTGCTCAGGGGCACCACCAGGAGAGACTTCTGGCTGACGTCAGCTTCCTAGAGAGGAGGGCAGGGGACCGTCCTCACCTCAGGACGGGCACACACCCTGCACAGAGCCACGCCTTCCTCAGGAGGGCTCTGCTGGACAGAGACCTGCTGAAGGGCGTCTCCCACTCCTTCAGGATGGAGACAAAAACCCAACTGGTGACCAAGAATGGTGGCTTATGCGAGGAATCCCAGCACATTGGGAGGCCGAAGCAGGAGGATCACTTGAGGCCAGGAGTTTGAGATGGGCCTGGGCAACATAGCAAAACCCTCATCTCTATTAAAAATATAAGAAATATGCTGGACGCGGTGGCTTATGCCTGTAATCCCAGCATTTTAGAAGGCTGAAGCAGGTGGATTGCTTGAGATCAGGAGTTTGAGACCAGCCTGGTCAACCTGGAGAAACCCCATCTCTACTAAAAATACAAAAATCAGCCTGGTGCGGTGGCACACCTGTTAGTCCTAGCTACTCAAGAGGCTGAAGCATAAGAATTGTGTGAACCCAGCCAGCTGCGGTGGCTCATGCATGTAATCCCAGCACTTTGGGAGACCGAGGTGGGTGGATCACAAGGTCAGGAGATCGAGACCATCCTGGCTAACATGGTGAAACCTCCTCTCTACTAAAAATACAAAAAATTAGCTGGGCGTGGTGGCGGGCACCTGTAGTCCCAGCTAGTTGGGAGGCTGAGGCAGGAGAATGGCGTGAAAGCAGGGTGTGGAGCTTGCAGTGAGCGGAGATCGCGCCACTGCACTCTAGCCTGGGTGACAGAGCGAGACTCCATCTCAAAAAAAAAAAAAAAAAAAGAATTGTGTGAACCCAGGAGGCAGAGGTTGCAGTGAGCCGAGATTGGGCCCCTCCACTCCAGCCTGAGAGGCACAGCAAGACTCTGTCCCAATCAATCAACTAATCAATAACTGTCCAGGTGTGGTGGCACAGCCCTGTAGTCGGAGCTAATCAAGGGGTTGAGGTGGGAGGATCGCTTGAGCCCAGGATATGGAGGCTGCAGTGAGCTATGATCTCACCACTGCACTCCAGCTTGGGGGACAGGGGAAGTCTGTCTCAAAAAAATAAAAGAAATTGAATACATTGATAGTTTGCCAGGACCCTGCCTTCTACAGGCATCTAGTCTAATGGGACTGGTAGTAATCAAGGCAGATGACCTAATCCCAGTGTCACATTATAATAGGATATAACTGGAGATCTACGGGCGTGCAGAAGTTGGAAGATGAGGGAAGGCATGACAGAGGCTGTGGGGTGAACTGACTTCAAGGAATGGGTCCTTCCCTTCAGAACCACATGTGTGTGGGACATCCAGACAGAAAACACAAACGCAAAGTCAAGTGGAGGACATTTGGAAGGAGCAGTGAAGCCAAGCCAGGAAACACCAAGAAGGCGAGCCAGTGTGGTTGTAGAGATTGTAGAGAGGGTGGAATTGGCACTGTTACCCTGGCCTCGATTTAGAAAGATGTCAGCTAAGGAGGTTGTTCAGGTGGGCAGTGAGGGCATCGTGCCGTGGAAAGATGTTCAGGCTGCACTAGGGAGCCCCCTGGCTTGGGGAGAGACTCCAGGAGACCCCAGCAGGGAGCATTTGACAGTGGATTCGAGTGATGCGAGGGGGACCTGAACTGTGGCCTCTGTCGTGGGAACCCGGAGGAGGTCGATGGCATTTGTGGTTGATGTGGGAAGGAGAGAGAGAGAAGAACCAGAAACGTCTGCTTGCTGGGGGAAGTGTCGTGTCCGCTCCTCCGCTCCTTTTCTTCTCCCCTTAGGAGCAGTTTATGTTTCCTTTTGTTTTATTCTTTTATTTGTACACTGGCATTGGAGTTTGTTTTTTTTTGCTTTTTTTTTTTGGAGAAAAAGTCTCACTCTGTCACCCAGGCTGGAGTGCAGTGGCTCAACCTTAGCTTACTGCAACCTCCACCTCCTGGGTTCAAGGGGTTCTCTTGCTTCAGCCTCCCAAGTAGCTGGGATTACAGGTGCACACCACCATGCCCGGCTAATTTTTCTATTTTTAATAGAGATGGGTTTGGCCATGTTGGCCAGGCTGGTCTCGAACTCCTGACCTCAGATGATCCGCCTGCCTGGCCCTCCCAAAGTGCTGGGATTACAGGCGTAAGCCACCGCTCCCAGCCTGAGTTTCTTTTTAGAAACAACAGTCTAAGAACAAGATAGTAAAATCCTGTCTTTTTTGTACACAGAGTAAAGTGGACAAATAGGTGAAAGAATAAATGAAAGGCTGGAATCCCACCTTCCTCTGCTGTCCCAGAGCATTGGATATTGACCGATAGGAGGCAGCAAACCACTCACAGAGCCAGGAAGAAATAGATGCGTTGGTATTGCCAGGAGAAGGGTCTGGCCCGGCTAAAATACGCTGACCATAGCCAGGAGATACTGATGGAGAGAAAGGAACACAGAGAGGTCACATCTTGGAAGAGGAAGATTGTGGAGAGGGGGAATGAGGGTCTGGGGAGGGGCTGCCCATCAGAGAAGGGACTTCAGTGTTGGGGTGACTGTACTCATTTGGAAATAGCAGGGTGGAGGGGTATTCGATGGTCGGATGCAAATCCGAGGGAGGAAGGGATGTCGGTGATGCTCCCAGGATGGTGGGCTCCGATGGGATCTTTGGTGGGGGCGTGTCTAGGTCAGCTGGTGTCAGGAGGGTCTTTTGTGTGCCAGGCAGAGAATTGTCTCAAAGAGCTGAGAGTAGAGGGGCCAGGAGCTTCAGGGCTGCGGTCAGACTGTGGACCAGGGCTCAGATCCTAAAGGACCCATAGGAGAGGCAGGGGCTATTCATTCACTCGGCAAGAGACCAGCAGAGTCCTGAGGGAGATGCTGACAAATCATAAAAAGACCAAGAATAGCCGGGAGTGGCGGCTCAGGCCTGTGATCCCAGTACTTTGAGAGGTGGAGACAGGAGGATCACATGAGCCCAACAGTTTGAGAACAACCTGGGCAATGTAGCGAGACCCTGTTTCTACAAAGATTTCAAAAATTAGTTGAGCATGGTGGCATGTGCCTAGTCCCAGCTCCTCAGGAGGCTGAGGAAAGAGAATTGCTTGAGCCCAGGAATTAGAGGCTGCAGTGAGCTATGATCATGCCACTGCACTCCATCTTGGGGAGCAGAGCTAGACTCTGTCTCAGAAAAAAGTGTGGGTGCCAAGACTCAAGATTGTGGGAGCTGGTGGGGCACAGTGGCTGACGTCTGTAATCTCAGCACTTTGGGAGGCCAAGGCGGGTGGATCACCTGAGGTCAGGTGTTCAGGACCAACTTGCCCAACATGGCAAAACCCCGTCTCTACTAAAAACACAAAAATTAGCCAGGCGTGGTGGTTCACATCTGTAATCTCAGCTGCTTGGAGGCTGAGACAGGAGAATCGCTTGAACCTGGGAGGCTTCGGCTGCAGTGAGTCAAGATTGAGACACTGCCCTCCAGCCTGGGCAACAGAGGAAGACTCTGTCTCACAAAAAAAAAAAAAAAAAAAAAAAAAAAAAAAAGACCGTAGGAGCACCTGGTGGGAGGTGGTGGAGGGAGAACTGTGGGTTTGGAAGCTGCGCCCTCCCTCCGGTGGTGCGTTGAAGCAGGAACACAGTTACATGGAGAACAACCTTACGTTGTCTGACACCCTCAGATCTTTGTCCCAGGCCAGGAATCTTTTAATCACAGGATCCTCTGTTATTAGAGGGCAGATGTCAGCATGAGAAGCTTTCTGTGGGAGCAGCAGGGCAGCGAGAAGTGTGCCTCCCGGGGGGGAGGTCTCAGGATTGCTGCCATGGGCGAGGTGGATGGGAGGGGGGAGAATGACTTTCACTGGGCAAAGGAGAGAGGCTCCTGCTCTGAGACTCCCCTGAGAAGAGGCCGAAGGAGGCCCTGGGTGTGAGAATCTACGGGATGTAGAGCTGGGAATAAGCCAGGATGCCCTCCCAGCAGACACGGAGGGACCACTGCAGAGTCATAAAGGAATTCCCATCATTTCCTCATGAGACAGTCACATCAGGGTGTGACCATGGCCTTGGTATCCCCCACTATGGATGGAGACACTTAGGTTTAGAAAAGTCAGTAAGAGACATTAAGTTTCAGAGAGCACAGCTGAAACCACTTTCTTTGTTTATTGATTTTGTTTTTCTTTATTTGATTTTTATTTTTATTTATTAATTTATTTTGAGACAGAGTCGTGCTTTGTGGTCCAGGCTGGAATGCACTGGCGTGATCTTGGCTCACTGCAACCTCTGCATCCCGGGTTTAAGCGATTCTCCTCTCAGTCCCCTGAGTAGCTGGGATTACAGGCATGAGCTACTGTGCCCAGCCTTGGTTTTTCTTTTGAGACAGGGTTTTGCTCTGTCACCCAGGCTGGAGTGCAGTGGTGCAGTCATAGTTTACTGCAGCCTCAAAGTCCTGAATTCAAGCAATCCCCTTGCCTCAGCCTCCCAATATGCTGGTATCTCAGGCGTAAGCTCACCTGGCCCAAAACAAAGCTTTCTTATCCCAAGCACTGACCTTTGTCAAGTCTAGCCTAATCCTCTATTGTCTCCTAAGCGTCCCTCATGAGTGATCACTTCTGAGTCCTCCCACATGGAGAGCTCACCCAATGGGGGCATATTTTTCCCATTGGAAAATAGTGGTTATTGGAAGTTTCCTCTTTTTTAGAAGAACAGGATTGGAGGTGCTCTCTGGAGTGTCCTCCTACCAATCTGATTATTGAAGGCCTCGTGGTGCTCAGGGAGCACGAGGTGACACTCGCTGTTGCTTCAGCTTCATCTTGAGCCCACACAGCATCTCCACCACCCAGGTCTCCTCAGGCTCGGGGGTGAGCTTCTTCTCTGGCTCCTCCTCACATTTGTCCAACCACTCCCTCTTCCTTTTCCAGCAAAAATACCTACATGGGGGGCTGGGATCTACCCCAGGGGCTGAGTAAAGAAGCCAGGCCATGGTGTAATGCTTCTGCAACTGACCACCTTAGACCCCGACCCCAAACCCCAAACCACTCTCCATCCTCCCCAGCTTCGCAGACTGCTGGCTTCTCCAAGCCATCTTTCTGGATTTCTCCTCTGCTGAGCCCCATGTGCCGCTCCTTCCCCTCCCCGTTCTTCCATCTCTCTGTCCTCACAACACTTCCTCATGTCCTTCCCTGGTCCCTGGCTCTCTGAGTCCCTCCCTTTTTTTTTTTTTTTGTTTTGAGACAGAATCATGCCTTGTCTCCTGGGCTGGATTGTAGTGGTGCAATCTCAGCTCACTGCAACATCCATCTCCCAGATTCCACTTATTCTCCTGCCTCAGCCTCTCAGGTAGCTGGGATTACAGGTGCCTGCGATAATGCCCAACTCAATTTTGTACTTTTAGTAGAGATGGGGTTTCACCATGTTGGCCAGGCTGGTCTCAAACTCCTGGCCTCAAGTGATCTGCCTGCCTTGGCCTCCCAAAGTGCTGGGATTACAGGTGTGACCACTGCACCTGGCCTGAATCTGAATTTCTCCATTCTTCCCACACACCCGCCTCAGGTTCTTCTTCCTGACCTCTGACCTTTTTTTTTTTTTTTTTTTTTTGAGACAGCGTCTCACTCTCTCACCCAGACTGGAGTGCAGTAGCGCAATCTTGGCTCACTGCAACCTCTTCCTCCCAGCCTCAAGCGATTCTCCTGTCTCAGCCTCCCGAGTAGCTGGGATTACATGTGCGCACCACTAACGCCCAGATAGTTTTTGTACTTTTAGTAGAGATGGGGTTGGCCATGTTGGCCAGGCTGGTCTTGAACTCCTGACCTCAGGTGACCCGCCCACCTCGGCCTCCCAAAGTGTTGGGGTTACAGGCATGAGCCACTGCGCCCGGCCCCCTTCCTTCATCTTAGTCAATCCTATCCTACCTCTTCTTCCTCCAGTCCCCTCACCTGATGGTCCCGACACTTCATCATCCACCACCTCCTGGAGGGGTACCCTGAGGCGCTGGGCTGGGGGCTCTGCTCCTCATCCTGGGGGTGCGGTTGATGGCTGGTTATGATCTTTCCCAAAATCTGTCCCATCCCACGGAACCTAGTCTCTGTTCTGTCCAAGGCCTTCTTCTGGACTCTGCTAAGACCCAGAAGAGTGTGTTGTCAATTTTCGAGGCTGGGAGAAGTCAGGAGTGGAGACCAGCTCTGAGAAGGTTGTCCAGCTGAGCTCCCAGGAGCCCACAGAGTCCAGTCCTTCCAATCAGGAAGGTTGGAATCTCTGATGTCATTGGTCATTCCAACCTGGCAACCAGTTTGAAGAAAAACACATGTAACTGCCAGGCTGATCTTTGTCCTGGAGATCGTGGGTGAATGGTATCTCCTGCCACTGTCCCAACCTCAGGCACTGTCCAAAAGCATCTTTAGGGTCTCCACATCCCTCTGTTCCCTGTCCCAGCAGAGGCTGTGTCCTCTCCACTCAAAGCCTGAAGCATGGTGGGGTCTCCTCTTCTCTGTACATGCCCATTTCAGAGTCCAGTCTGGTGGGAGAGGGAACAGGGTGGGAAAGAAAACTAGGCTAAGCAGAAACTATGAAACCTTACAAGAGTGAGATGATCATGTACAAGAGATCCCAGGAACATTGACTTGATGAAAATGTCACATCAGAGCACTCAGTTTGGCAGAGCTTTTCTGCCGAATGTTTACTGACATTCACTGTCCGAGATTCTATACTGGGGGTACAAGCGTCCTCTGCCCTAAGGCATCTTTGAGTCCAGAGACATCTTGAGGCCTGAAAGTCATAGGAAACTGTCCAGGAGCTCACACATATTTCCAATGGTGTCCCCAATTTCAGGGAGTCCATGGATTACCTAAAGCCAGCCCCTCCAGTTTGGCTAACAAACTCTAGTCTATATATCAAGTTTTGTATCATATGTATTGCTCTGAACTCAGAAATTTCCCTACCATTTATGGATTCTAGGAATAAAATATCGCATGTACAAAAAGGCTAAGTCAAAAAATCTCAGCTGTGCACAGTGGCTCATGCTTGTAATCCCAGAACTTTGGGTGGCCAAGGGAGGAAGACTGCCTGAGGCCAGCAGTTCAAGATCAGTGTAGGCAACATAGCAAGAGCCCATCTCTAAAAAAACAAAACCAAACCAAATTAGCCAGGTGTGGTGGCTGGCACCTGTGTTCCACCTACTTGGGAGACTCATGTGACAGGAAGATCGCTTGAGCCCAGGAGTTAGAAGCTGCAGTGAGCTATGATCTGGCCACTGCACTCCAGTCTGGGCAACACAGCAAGACGTTGTGTCAAAAAAATTTTTTTTGATACAAAATAAAAGAGTTGCATGACATTCAGAGACCATCCGAAAAACCTGTGGGTTCCTGGCCGGGCTCAGTGGCTCATGCCTGTAATCCCAGCACTTTGGGAGGCCAAAGGGGGTGGATCACTTGAGGTCAGGAGTTTGAGACCAGCCTGGCCAACATGGTGAAACCCCATCTCTACAAAAAATACAAGAAATTAGCCAGGCATGGTGGTAGGTGCCTGTAATCCCAGCTACTCAGGAGGGAGGGCTGGAGAATCACTTGAACTCAGGGTGCAGAGGTTGCAGCAAGCCAAGATCACACCATTGCACTCCAGCCTGGGCAACAAGAGCAAAACTCTGTCTCAAAAAAAATAAACAAAGAACGTGTGAGTGAGTTCCCACACGGCTTCCTAATGGGCTGTGGCTCTCCTAGGAGTCTCTTGCTCATGGGAAAGACACAGACTGAGTGAAGAAGCAGATCCCATTGCTGTGGAAGTCCCATTGTTAGGAAACTCTGCTTTTCTGGAGTTCAAATTTGCATTCATGATGCTTTAAACCGTCAGAGCTGGGTAGGTCCTCCTACAACAAACAGTTTGCTCTCTCTCTCCTAGTTAACAGGCTTTCAAATATTAGAAGATCAATGTCCTGACCCCGTTAAAATTGCTCTTTTGTGGAATGAAAAGCTCTGATTTAACCCGTCTTCAAGCCTGGTTTGCATATTCCCCTCTCTTCTGGCCACCTTGTCTAGACACACTACACTGAGGCAGTGCCCATCTTAAATGATGTTGATACGTTGTCAAAAAATGGGCGAAGCAGGTGCGGTGGCTCATGCCTATAATCCTACCACTTTAAGAAGCCAAAGCAGACAGATCACCAGAGGTCAGAAGTTCAAGACCAGCCTGGCCAACGTGTTGAAATCCGTCTCTACTAAAAATACAGAAAAAATGAGCTGGGCGTGGGAGTGCACATCTGTAATCCCAGCTACTTGGGAGGCTGAGGCAGGAGAATTGCTTAAACCTGGAAGGCAGAGGTTGCAGTGAGCTGAGATTGCGCCACTGCACTCCAGCCTGGGTGACAGAGCGAGACACCATCTCAAAAAAAAAAAAAAAAAAAAAAAGGCTAAACAGCCCAGGTTTGGTCTGATATGTTCAGAAAAAAGCAAAACAGCCACCTCTCGCCTTCTCTTTTCCCGCAGTGATGCAGTTGAATACAGCAATGGCTGCAGGTATGCTGCAGAAATACCATTCAAGTGACACAGAAGGGCTTTCCTGGCCGGACACAGTGGTCACTCCTGTAATCCCAACACTTTCGTTGGCCAAGGTGGGAGGATTTCTTGTAGCCAGGAGTTGGAGGCTGCAGTGAGCTGTGATCCCACCACTGCATTCCAGGCTGGGCCTCAGAGTGAGGCCTGTCTCTAAAAAAACTCTTCACTCCCCACAAGAAGGGATTTGCAAATACCAGCCTTTCAGCATGAGGATCACATGGAGGAACATTAAGATACAGATGCTGGGACCCAGCCCTATTGATTGTAATTCAAAAGCTGAGGTGGGGCGTGATTTAACTCTGTCACTGGAATCCATTCAGATTTGGAACTCTCTGGGTTGGACAGTGCAAGAGAGATCCTAAAGAAAGCAAAGTCACTATGGACTGAAATGAGCAGACAAGGTTTTCTGAGCATGGTGAAATATGCTTTGGGCCTCACTTGGGAGGGCTGTGGCCAGGCCTTGAGTCCTTGGCTCAGTGGGACCTTCTGAAACAGCCTCCAAGCTCCGCTCCCTGCTTCCTTTGCTGTTGGATGACCCCCTCCAGCGGCTTTGGTGCTGATGGGAATAAGTCGACCTGCAGAGGAAGTTCAGCCCAAGTCTCAGCCCAGCAGCGTCCCGACACCTGACCGGGGTCTGGTCATGCTGCTGTCTCTGTGGTTCTCTGCGGAGTCATGGTTTCTGTACCTTGAAGAGAACTTCCCCTTCTGGAAACCAGAAACCCAGTAAACCCTGAGGAAATAAGCGAATGAAATTACTGCAGACAGCTCTGTGGTGGGGAGATGGAAAAGGGGCTGTTTGTTTTTGTTTTTTATTTTTTTTTGTTTTTTGAGACAGAGTTTCGCTCTTGTCGCCCAGACTGGATTGTAGTGGCTCAATCTTGGCTCACTGCAACCTCTGCCTCCCATGTTCGAGCAGTTCTCGTGCCTCAGCCTCCAGAGTAGCTGGGACAATAGGCGCACACTACCATGCCCAGCTAATTTTTGTATTTGTAGTAGAGATGGGGTTTTCCCATGTTGCCCAGGCTGGTCTTGAACTCCTGGCCTGAAGCAATCCGCCTGCCTTGGCCTCCCAAAGTGCTGGGACTACAGATGATGTGAGCCACCGTGGCCAGCCCTCACTGTACGGATTTTCTAAAAAAAAAAAAAAAAAAAATTAAATTTGTCTTATTTGCCAAAAGGTAAATTAACCTTTTCTCCTCTCCTTTTTAAAGAGTATTTCCTGATAAACATTGTAATATAAATAACTTTTGTGCCTTTGACATGTATCTAAATCTTTTAAAAAGGTAAATGAACTTCTTGCCAACACTACAACCCGGGAATTTTTTTTTTTTTTTTTTTTTTTTTGAGACAGAATCTCGCTCTGTCACCCAGGCTGGAGTGCAGTGGTATGATCTCGGCTCACTGCAACCTCCACTTCCTGGGTTCAAGCTATTCTCAGGTCTCAACCTCCTGAGTAGCTGAGACTACAGGAACTTGCCACCACGCCTGGCTAATTTTTGTATTTTTAGTAGAGATGGGATTTCACCTTGTTGGTCTGGCTGGTCTTGAACTCCTGACCTCAGGTGATCCACCCGCCTCGGGCTCCCAAAGTGCTGGGATTACCGGTGTGAGTCACCCTGCCGGGCCACAACCCAGGAATTTTTTTCTTAAGAGCCTGACAGTCTTGTCTTTGAAATGTAAACCTCGAGGAAAATAGTGTCCCTATCTTCCTGTTGCCTAGGGAGTTTAGCCTAGGCACCTTGAGCTGTTACTACCTGCTTGTCAAGGAGATATGAGAAGTTTAATTTTTTTTTATCTGATACAGGTAATTAACTAGCATGGGTGGCCACCTTGATTTCCAGGTGAATTTAGGATGAGTGTTTAAGAATGCATAGCAGGCCAGGCGCAGTGGCTCACACCTGTAATCCCAGCACTCTGGGGGAGGCCGAGATGGGCGGATCACTTGAAGCCACACAGAAATTGAAAGGAGTTTGAGTCTAGCCTGGCCAATATGGCGAAACTCTGTCTCTGCTAAAATACAAATATTAGCTGGGCATGATGGCACATGTCTGTAATTCCAGCTACTCCAGAGGCTTAGGCACGAGAATCACTTGAACCCAGGAGGTGGAGGTTACAGTGAGCCAAGATCACACCACTACACTCCAGCCTGGATGACAGAATGAGACCTTGTCTCAAAACAAAAAAAAAAAAAAAAAAAAGCATAGCAAGTCCTTTTACATGAGGATGAGTTACTGTTTATCTTGAGAGCATGTATGCAATGGATTGTATCTGCCAGGCTATACAAAAAGGAGGCTTTGACCAGGCGCCATGGCTCATGCCTATAATCCCAGCACTTTGGGAGGCCGAGGCGGGCAAATTATGAGGTCAGGATTTCGAGACCATCCTAGCTAACATGACGAAACCCCGTCTCTACTAAAAATACAAAAAATTAGCCAGGCGTGGTGGCATGCACCTGTAGTCCCAGTTACTTGGGAGGCTGAGGCAGGAGAATTGCTTAAACTGGGGAGACAGAGGTTCCAGTGAGCCGACATCGCACCACTGCACTCCAGCCTGGGCAACAGAGCAAGACTCTGTCTCAAAAAAAAAAAAAAAAAAAGAGGCTTTATTTCTCTTTGCATCTCATTAATGGATCACCTGTGATGGGCATCACAGTCTGGTTTAATGCTTATTCAATGATAAAATTGTTTTCTTTATTTTCTGAATTTGTGGAGAGAATATTCTAGGTTAACAGAATAATTTATTTATTTATTTTGAGATGGAGTCTTGCTCTGTTGCCAGGCTGGAGTGCAGTGGCGTGATCTCAGCTCACTGCAATCTCCACCTCCCGGGTTCAAGTGATTCCCCTGCCTCAGCCTCCCAAGTAGCTGGAACTACAGGCGCGCACCACCACACCCAGCTAATTTTTTGTGTTTTAGTAGAGACGGGGTTTCACCATGTTGGCCAGGATGTTCTTAATATCCTGACCTCATGATCCACCCACTTCGGCCTCCCAAACTGCTGGGATTACAGGCATGAGCCACTGTTCCTGGCCTCAGAAGAATTTATTTTTAGTCTTTTCCTTACCAGTTTTTATGAAACAACTGGGCAAGAACACTGTTAGATTTCACCAAAAAGTTGTGATGAATCATTGTCCTTATATCCCATTTTTGAAAACTGACATTTTAATTGTAAAGCAAAAATAAAATTCTAAGCCTCCACAGCTGTTGAGTGGACTCCCCTGTTGGCCAGCAGGATCCAAAATAAACATGAAGAACTAATTCAGGTCATGACGGGAAGGAGGGGGTCGGACATGCCTTGTCATACTCTCCTCCCTTCAGAGTTTAGGCACAGCTGACCAACATTAACACTAGACTACAGATCATAAGACTGACAGAACAGGCTCTTTGTGTCAGTAAGATACCCAACTCCAACCAGACTCTGATATAGCATCACGTGACAGATAGCAGTCCCTGAAGGAAATCATAGTATTTTACCCCATAATATATTTTCTTTGTCACACTTTAAAATAGTCCTGCAAAGCCATCTCTTTGGGGGAAATTTGCATTCTGTAGAGAATCTCCTTCCCTTACAGAAAAGAATCCAGGTCTTTTCTCGAGATTCTGACACCTTTTAAGATCCAATAAGAGATATTTATCATCTATTCTCTCTGAAGCCTGTTCTGAGGCTTCATCTACATAACAAGAACCTTGGTTTCCACAATGCCCCTTATCTTAACTCAAGCTTTTCTTTTCTTTTCTTTCCCTCCCTCTTTCTTTTCCCTCCCTCCCTCCCTCCCTTCCTTCCTCCCTTCCTCTCTCTCTCTTTCTTTTCTTCTCTGTTGCCCAAACTGGAGTGCAGTGGCACCATCATGGCTCACTGTAGCCTCAACTTCCCAGGCTCAAGCGATCCTCCCATCTCAGCCTCCTAAGTAGCTGAGACTACAGGCATGCACCACCACACCTGGATAATTTTTTTTTTTTTTTTTGTAGAGATGGGGGTCTTGCTGTGTTGCCCAGGCTGTCCTTGAACTCCTGGCCTCAAGGGATCCTCCCAGGTCACCCTCCCAAAATGCTGGGATTACAGGCAAGAGCCACCGCAATGGCCCATTTCTTTACGTCATCTTCCAACTGTTCAGCCAACACTTAACTCTGAATCAACTGCCAATCTTTGAATCTGCTAGTGACCTGAAAGCCTTTCCAGGCTGACCCAATGTGTACATCCCATGTATTGATTTATGTCTTTGCCTGTAACTGCTGTCTCCCTAAGATGTATAAAACCAAGCTGTAACCCAACCACTTTGGGCTCACGTTCTCAGGACCCCCTGAGGCTGTGTCACCAGCCATGGTCACTCAAATAGGAGGCCCAGAATAAAACTCTTTACAAACTTTGAGTCTTTTTGGTCAACATAACCTAACCCTAAACATAATCCTCCTGGGGAAGGTGAAATCACAGGTATCTTTTCTTTGTTCGATTTGTGTATTTCCTGATTTCTCTACAGTTTTTAGGCATTTGCTGTGTGATCTAGAAAAGCTACAGAGTCTCGCTCCGTCGCCAGGCTGGAGTGCAGGGGCGCGAGCTCGGCTCACTGGAACCTCCGCCTCCCGGGTTCAAGCGATTCTCTTGCCTCAGCCTCCGGAGTAGCTGGGATTACAGGCACGCGCCACCACGCCCAGCTAATTTTCGTATTTTTAGTAGAGACGGGGTTTCACCATGTTGGCGAGGATGGTCTCTATCTCTTGACCTCGCGAGCTGCCCTCCTCGGCCTCCCAAAGTCCTGGGATTACAGGCGTGAGCCACCGCGCCCGGCCACAAATTCTATTTTCTTTCTCTTCCTTGGAAAGCATCGCTGGGCATTTATCCTGTCCTAGTATTTGAGTGAAACTTCTCTTAGCATTTCAGCGCAGTGACCACGATACACCCTTTCCTTTCCTTCTCGTTATGGGAAACTCGGTTCTAACCTGGAGGCCTTGGGCTCCAGGACCCAGTCACTGCAGCCCTGGACTTGACCCTAAAAGGGAATAAAGACAAATGCGAAGTTCAGTCCGGGGATCAGGGCTGCCGAAGCTCATATAGCCTGGGGCTTCTTAACCTTTAGACGGGGTAGAGACATTTGAAATGGCCCCTAAAGTTGGGGGGCGCTGGTAGGCTCATGGGAAATAGAGTCCGGCCCTTGTCCTGGGACCAACGGTGGGCCCTGGGAGGCGGACTTCCGGTGAACTCCTGCGCGTGTGCGCCTCTCCCTGGGTGCGTGTTCGCACATGCGCGCTGCCGCCGCACTGCCATCGCTTCCTGTGTGTCCTCAGGTCACCGCTTGCTCTAGTTCCCAGGCTTTGGCCCCCAGTGGACGAGAATCGCTGAGCCTGCGGGGCTGGACGCTGAGCGCCTAGGCCAGCACCTAGGCGGGCGCGGAGCTATGTGGGCCAGGGTTCGCACGGGCCGGGTGGAGGCTTGAGCGGGGACCCCCGAGCGTGAGCCCCTGAGCCGGCGGCCCTGCGGCCAGGGGAACCGGGCGGGAGGTGGCGAAGGTGGCAGCGGAGGCGGAGGCGAAGGGGCGGCGGGAACCGGGCCTGGCCCGTGTGTGTCCTGGGGGCCTGGCCCAGGCCGCCGCTGTACGGTGAGTCCCAGGGAGGCGGATCTGGGCCCCGGGAAGGACACCCTCCTGGATTTGCCCCGTAGGCCCGGCCCGGGCCCCTCAGGAGCAGAACAGCCTTGGTGAGGTGGACAAGAGGGGACCTCGCGAGCAGACGCGCGCCAGCGACAGCAGCCCCGCCCCGGCCTCTGGGGAGCCCCAGGAGGGTAAGTCTTTGGGTTTTCGGGCCCGGAGCGAGAAAGGCCTGGGTGAAGTCACCGTATGTTCGGGACCTTAGAGTATGAGGCGGGGGAGGGTCCGATCGCTTGCAGGAGAGGCGTGTGTTTGGCCTTGAGGCGCTGCACGGGAATATCTGGGAGGACGAGGCTTACGGGGGCGTGGAGGGTATCACCAGCCTCAGCTGCAGACGTCGTCTCCACTCCCCACTAACCCCTAACAGCCCTTCCTCCTCCTTTCCGTGCTCCAGATTTCGACCGCCTCTAAACGTCCGTCAGCATCTCTGTTCTCTCATTTAAGTGTCTGCTGATTCCCCCCTTAGATCTGCCCTGGAGACTGGTAGTAATGCAGGAACAGTCTGCAGGGATTCTCTCTTGCTGCCTCAGTTGCTAGGGGAAGAGACTGGGCCTTAGCAGGTGGGTGACTTGACCGGGTCACTGGCTTTGTGGGTAGAGTTGCTCATAGTAGAACTCAGGAGTCTTATCTCCCAGGCCAGTGTTCTTTCTCCCGTATCCTAGTTTTCTTAGTAGAAGGTTATTAGGTGCAGCAATAACCAAGTTCAGTTAGATAATTTAGAAACAAAACCATATTTTATACACATTCATTTCATTTCTGAGAGCTCACATACTCAATTCCTATGGTTTCTTTGATTTTAAGCAGTTTAAAGAGACAATAAGAAAATGCGGGCCGGATGCAGTGGCTCACACCTGTAATCCCAGCACTTTGCCGGGCTACAGCAAGAGTATCCCTTGAGACCAGGAGTTAAAGAACAGCCTAGGCAACATAGGGAGACCCTGACTCTACAAAAAATACAAAAGTAGCCAGGCATGCTGGGATGCACCTGTGGTCCCAACTACTCAGGAGGCTGAGGTGGGAAGATCAATGGAGCCCAGGAGGTGGAGGCTGCAGTGAGCTGTGAATGTACCACTGCACTCCAGCCTGGGTGGCAGATTGAGACCCTGTCTCAACAAACAAACAAACCACAAAAAACATGAGCCGTATAATGGGAATTTTTTTTTTCTTTTTGCGGGTTGTATTTGATGATGGCAGACTATTTGTAAAAGAAGTCATGTTACCCATGAGAGTCTTAACTCATCTAATTACTACCTGATTATCTTAGAGTTACAAAGTTACAAGTGCATGCTTCCCTTATCAGTCTTTTTTTTTTTTTTTTTTTTTTGAGACAGTGTCTCTCACCCAGTCTGGAGTGCAGCAGCGTGGTCTCGGCTGACTGCAACCTCCACCTCCCAGGTTCAAAGGATTCTTGTGCCTCAGCCTCCTGAGTAGCTGGGACTACAGGCATGTGACACTGCGCCTGGCTAATTTTTTTGTTATTTTTAAGTAGAGACGGGATTTCGCCATGTTGGCCAAGGCAGGTGGATCACTTGAGGCCAGAATTTGAGACCAGCCTGGCCAACATGGCGAAACCCTGTATCACTCTTTTAGGCCCTTCTGAGTGTTTGCAGGCTGAGTGTTCACAGGGTGTTAGCCTATTGAGCTTTCTTTTGTGGTTCTTACGCAGGAGATTCCTGCCTTTGCAGGCCAGAGCACTCATGACTTCAGTGACCTGCTTCTCCCCCTCTAGGTCTACCAGCCACAGTCTCTGCACGTTTCCAAGAGCAGCAGAAAATGAACACATTGCAGGTGAGTTTTCATGCTTGTGTATATGTTCCTCAACTTTATTTTATGATGCATTTTAAGAGGTTTGTAAGGATTCCTACTTTTTTTTTTCTTTTTTTTTGGGATGGAGTCTTGCTCTGTTGCCCAGGCTGCAGTGCAGTGGCATGATCTCGCTTCACTGCAACCTCCACCTCCTGGGTTCAAGCGATTCTCCTGCCTCAGCCTCCCGAGTAGCTGGGATTACAGGCGTGTGCCACCATGCCCAACTAATTTTTTGTATTTTTAGAAGAGACAGGGTTTCACCATGTTGGCCAGGCTGGTCTCAAACTCCTGACCTCAGGTGATCCTCCCGCCTCAGCCTCCCAAAGTGCTGGGATTACAGGCATGAGCCACCGCGCCCAGCCAGGATTCATACTTTAAAATGGGAATGTGGAAATAGACATTGTCCTGTAAAATATAGTGTGGCAGATCAGCACCAAAAATGATTTGTGAAGCTTGTGTGTGTGGATAGTAGATTTTAAGGCTGTTGAAATTGAGCCACACCCAGGACTGATATTCTTGGCAGTCATCACAAAAGGAAAATGCCATCTGTATTAGTCCATTCTCACACTGCTGTAGAGAAATAACCAAGACTGGGTCATGTATAAAGAAAAGAGGTTTAATTGGCTCACGCCTGCAGGCTCTATCATAGGAAGCATGGCTGGGGAGGCCTCAGGAAACTTACAGTCATGGTGGAAGGCAAAGGGAAAGCGGGTACATCTTCCATCACCAGAGCAGGAGGAAGAGGGAGAGGGAGGCGCTACACACTTTTAAACAACCACGTCTTGTGATAAGTCACTGAGTGTCAGGAGAACAGCACCAAAAGGGAAATTGCCCCCATGATCCAATCACCTCCCACCAGGCCCCACCTCCAACATTGGGGATTACAATTGAACATGAGATTTGGTTGGCGACACAAACCGAAACCATATCACCATCCATGACATCGCTTGCATTCATTATAAGGAGAAACCAATTTTGTTACTTGTGGATTTAAGAGATTTTCTAGGACTTTGAAAACTTTCTTCATTCCAGTTGATACAATTGCGGATAGGCTTCCTAATAACAACCATTAAATTACCGTAACTTACGGCGTATTCTTGGTGCTTATGTAAGCAGAGGGCCTGCCTGCTGCCCAAGGAGAACTTGGTGCCTATAATTTTTCCAGGGACGGAAATATTGTGATCCCAGTAGACAGAATTCTGTTTTTACTGTTGAGTCCTAGATCATGGGGGGAATGAATGACTTGATCATCCTTCAAATATTTGTTCGTCTTTCTGTTTGGGTTGCACAGCAAACAATACAAACAGTTACTCTCTTTTGAAGATTTCCTCATTTCTGTTTCTCATTTCAGTTCTCAGTGTTTTAGTTTTGTCCTTTTCACGTTGCTGAGTCAGTCTGTAAAGATTACCAATGATTTCATTGCAGTCGAATCCAGCGGGCATTTTCTAGCCCCTACCTCCCAGGACCCTTTGTCTGCCTTTGACATCTGTTACTTCCAAACTGATACTTTCTCCATGGAGTCTCTCTTTTCTTGGCTTTTAAAAAGATTCGTCTGTAAGTATTTCTGCTTGTCTTTAAATGATGAAGTCTGTTTTGTTCTGTTTTGTTCTGTTTCTTTTTTCCTTTTTTTGAGATAGGGTCTTGCTGTGTCACCCAGGCTGGAGTGTAGAGACGTGATCACAACTCACTGCAGCCTCAATCTCTTGGGCTCACACGATCCTCCTGCCTCAGCCTCCTGCACAGCTACAGGCGCACGCTGCCACACCCGGCTAATTTTTTTTGTATTTTAGTAGAGACTGGGTTTCACCGTGTCACCCAGGCTGGTCTTGAACTCCTGAGCTCAGGCAGAGCTCAGGCAATCTGCCCGCCTCGGCCTCCCAAAGTGCTAGGATTACAGGCGTGAGCCACTGCTCCTGGCCTAGAGATGTATTCTCACTGTATTGCTCAGGCTGGTCTCAAACTCCTGGTCTAAGTGATCCTTTCACTTTGGCCTCCCAGAGTGCTAGGATTACAGGTGTAAGCCACCACACCTGGCCAATAAGGAATCTTATGTGATGGATTAATAATTATTAATTATAACTATTAATAATGTGATATTTAGGTTTATTTCTAATTACATTTTAATGTCATAAATACTTTTCTATGTACATTGAATGTGTTTTATGAACATTTAAGCTGTGCCCGCATTTCACTAGAATTTCTCGGAGAGCAACTTTAGGTTGGAAAAAGACTCAGTTTTAGGAATCTATGATTAGAGAAATACAACTTTGTTTTTTGTTTTTTTTTTCCCGGGGTCTCGCTCTGTCGCCCAGGCTGGAGCGCAGTGGCGCCATCTCGGCTCACTGCAAGCTCCGTCTCCTGGGTTCATGTAATTCTCCTGCCTTAGCCTCCCGAGTAGCTGGGACTACAGGCGCCCGCCACCACGCCCGGCTCATTTTTTGTATTATTTTTAGTAGAGATGGGGTTTGACTGTGGTAGCCGGGATGGTCTCGATCTCCTGACCTTGGGATCCGCCCGCCTCGGCCTCCCAAAGCGCTGGGATTTCAGGCATGAGCCACCGCGCCCGGCCGAGAAATAACACTTTGAGAGTTGTGAGGAAACTTTTGGTGATGGATATATTCATTATCTTGATTGTGGGGATAGTTTCACAGGTGTTTGTGTATATGTCAAAACTTATGAAATTGCACACTTTAAATATGTGTAGTTTATTCCATGTTAGTCATATCTCAGTAAAGCTGTTAAAAAATGTATCCTTAGGCCAGGTGTAGTGGCTCACGCCTATAATCCTAGCACTTTGGGAGCCCGAGGCGGGCAGATCAGCTGAGGTCAGGAGTTCGAGACCAGCCTGGCCAACGTGGTGAAACCCCGTCTCTACTAAAAATACAAAAATTATCTGGTCGTGGTGGCATGTGCCTGTGATCCCAGCTACTTTGGAGGCTGAGTCAGGATAATCACTTGAGCCCTGGAGGCGGAGGTTGCAGTGAGCCAAGATCGCGCCATTACACTCCAGTCTGGGTAACAAGAGCGAGACTCCGTCTCAAAAAAAAAAAAAAAGAAAAAAAGAAAAAAAAAAAGTCCTGCCTGTAGTCCAAGCTACATGGCAGGCTGAGGCAGGCGGATCACTTGAACCTGGGAGGTTGAGGCTGCAGTGAGCCATGATTGCTCCACTGCACTCCAGGCTGTGACAAGGCGAGACCTTGTCTCAAAAAAAAAACCAAAAAAGTATCCCCTTCTAAGAACATGCTGGTTGGTTAGAATAGTATGTTGTTAGAATGCAGGGGGTCGGAAACATTTGTCATTTTTTCTTTTCTACTCCTTGTATTTTGTGCAGGTCTGCAGACTCGTGAATGACGTCTACCGCGTGTATAATCGACACCAGTATCCATTTGTTGTTCTTAACATTTCTGTTGATTCAGGTAAGTTCCATTGGCATTTCAGTACAACTAGTGACTAATGCCTCAAAGAATAAAATGAAATTCTACAACTCTGCTATGACTGGAATGAGATAACAATTTATGGTCATGTAAGTTTTTTTTTTTCTTTTTGAGACGGGGTCTTGCTCAGGGTTTCACCGTCCACGCCCTGTAATCCCAGCATTTTGGGAGGCTGAGGTGAACGGATAAGTTAAGATCAGGATTTCAAGACCAGCCTGGCCAACATGGCAAAACCCCGTCTCTACTAAAAATATAAAAAATTAGCCGGGTGTGGTGGCGGGCACCTGTAGTCCCAGCTACTCGGGAGGCTGAGGCAGGAGAATGGTGTGAACCCGGGAGGCGGAGCTTACAGTGAGCCAAGATCGTGCCACTGCACTCCAGCCCGGGTGACAGAGGGAGACTCTGTCTCAGAAACACAGACACACAAACAAACAAAAACCAAAACAGTATAGTTTAATCTGTTTTTAATTTGAAGTTATTCAGTCTGTCCTTTTCTGTGATTTCTTTCTTTCTCTCATTATTTTGTTTGTGAGATTCATCCAAGTCATGCGGCAAAATTCATTTTTTTGTTCGCTATACAGTGTTCCGTTATAGTCAGATATCATAATTTGTGAATATTTGAATTGTTTCCAGTTTCGGGCTATAATGAAGAATGCCGTCATGAACATCCTCATCCACGTCTTTTGACGAGCATAGAGATAGACACTTCTTTTTTTTTTTTTTTTTGAGAGGGAGTCTCACTCTGTCACCCAGGCTGGAGTGCAGTGGAGTGATCTTGGCTCACTGCAACCCCTGCCTTCCAGGTTCAAGTGATTCTCCTGCCTCATTCTCATTCTCCCTAGTAGCTGGGATTATAAGTGCATTCCACTATGCCCTGCTGATTTTTCTTGTATTTTTAGTAGAGACGAGGTTTCAGCATGTTGGTCAGGCTGGTCTTGAACTCCTGACCTCAAAGAGCTAGGATTACAGGCATTAGCCACTGTGCCGGCCGATAGGCACTTCTGATAGGAGTAGCTATGCTGGGTTGCAGGTGTGCATACATTCAGATTTAGGAGGTATTCCCAGAGAACTTTTCAAAGCAGCTGTACCAGGTTCATTCCTACCAGAGGTATTCAAGCATTCCGCTTGATCCTGATCTTTGTGAGCATTTGTTGTTTTTTTAATTTTACCCATTCTGGTGAGTATATGGCCATATCGCATTGTGTTGGGTTTGTTTTTTTTTTTTTTTTTTTTTTTGAGACAGAGTGTTGCTCTGTCACCCAGGCTGGAGAGCAGTGGTGGCATCTTGGCTCACTGCAACCTCTGCCTCCCGGGCTAAAGGGATTCTTGTGCCTCAGCCTCCCAAGTAGCTGGGATGACAGATGTGCCACCACACCCGGCTAATTTTTGTATTTTTAGTAGAAACAGGGTTTTGCCATGTTGTCCAGACCGGTCCTGAACTCCTATCTTCATGTGATCCCCCTGCCTTGGCCTCCTAAAGTGCTGGGATAACAGGCGTGAGCCACCACACCTGGCCCATATTATAGTTTTATTTTGAACATTGAACCGTGTTCATCTGTGTAATTAGCATGTGGATCTCCTCTTTTGTGAAGTATCTGTTCACATAAGCACGTCCTCTCACCATTTCAGGATAGTCCCTGACCCTCTTCTCCGTCCACGTTTGCTTAGGTAACTTAATAAAAATGCATGCAGCGGATTTGGAAAAGCCCATGGTAGAAAAGCAGGATCAATCCCCTTCATTAAGGACTGGAGAAGAAAAAAGGGACGTGTCCATTTCCAGACTGCGAGAGGCCTTTTCTCTTCGTCACACAACAGAGAACAAGCCTCACAGCCCAAAGACTCCAGAACCAAGAAGGAGCCCTCTAGGACAGAAAAGGGGTATGTCGTCTTCTAGCACTTCAGATGCCATCTCTGACAAAGGCGTCCTGAGACCTCAGAAAGAGGCAGTGAGTTCCAGTCAGGGACCCAGTGACCCTACGGACAGAGCGGAGGTGGAGAAGGACTCGGGGCATGGCAGCACTTCCGTGGATTCTGAGGGGTTCAGCATCCCAGACACGGGCAGTCACTGCAGCAGCGAGTGTGTGGCCAGCACCCCAGGGGACAGGGGCTCGCAGGAACATGTGGACTCTCAGGAGAAAGCGCCTGAAACTGACGACTCTTTTTCAGATGTGGACTGCCATTCAAACCAGGAAGATACCGGATGTAAATTTCAGGTTTTGCCTCAGCCAACTAATCTCACATCCCCAAACACAAAAGTGTTTTAAGAAAGAAGAAATTCTTTCCAATTCTGACATTCGTCAAAAGTTAGTAAATACTCAGAACGTGTCAGCTTCTCAGGTTGATGTAGCTGTGAAAATTAATAAGAAAGTTGTGCCCCTGAACTTTTCTGAGTTCTTTAGCTAAACGAATAAAGCAGTTACATCATGAAGCACAGCAAAGTGAAGGGGAACAGAATTACAGGAAGTTTAGGGCAAGGATTTGTCCTGGAGAAAATCAAGCAGCCGAAGATGAACTAAGAAAAGAGATAAGGTAAAGTTTTAATTTTTTACTTTTTATTTTAAATTTGTATTTATTTTTATTTTTTATTTTTTTGAGACAGAATCTTGCTCTGTGCACAGGCTGGAATGCAGTGGCACAATCTTGGCTCACTGCAGCCTCCACCTCCTGGGTTCAAGCGATTCTCCTGCTTCAGCCTCCTGAGTAGCTGGGATTATAGGTGCACGCCACCATGCCTGGCTAATTTTTATATTTTTGGTGGAAACAGGGTTTCACCATGTTGGCTGGGCTGGTCTCGAACTCCTGACTTCAGGTGATCCAGCCATCTTGGCCTCCCAAAGTGTTGGGATTACAGGTGTGAGCCACCACACCCGGCCAGGTAAAGTTTTTTCTTAAGAGTATTTTGAGGCTAGGTGTGGTGGCTCACGCCTGTAATCCCAGCATTTTGGGAGGCCAAACCGTGGAGGGAGGATCACTTGAGCCCAGGAGTTCAAGACCAGCCTGGACAACATAGGGAGACCTCGTCTCTACAATAAAATTGGCTGGGCGCGGTAGTGCGCAGTTGTAATTCCGGCATCTGCGCCTGGCCAGATCCTGTTCTCTGTGGCAGGACACAGACTCCAAACACATGGAAGACTTGGGTCTTTTAGGCCAGCACCAGCTTTTGAGCAGATTATCTATGTACTGGGAACCAGGGCATATTCAGACAATTCCCGGGAGAGCCTGGGATCGGCGCCAGGGGAGGTGGTATTTGTGCTGGCATCTGGGATGCTTCTGGGATGTTCTTTTCCTTCCCTCCTGTGCGGCAGGAGTTCCTGTGTCATCACTCACTCTGGCAGCTTCTCTCCATCCAGCAGGCTGCGGCCACTCCTGCTCCAAGGAGGTCTGAAACTCAGCCTGAGTGGGTAGGAGCCTCTTACAAGAGTTCCTTTTCTGCTGGGCATGGTGGCTCATGCCTGTAATCCCAGCACTTTGGGAGGCTGAGGTGGGTGGATCACCTGAGGTTGGGAGTTCGAGACCAGGCTGACCAACATGGAGAAACCTTTTCTCTACTAAAAATGCAAAATTAGTGGGATATGGTGGTGCATGCCTGTAATCCCAGCTACTTGGGAGGCTGAGGCAGGAGAATTGCTTGAACCCGGGAGGTGGAGGTTGTGGTGAGCCAAGATTGCACCATTGCACTCCAGCCTGGGCAACAAGAGCGAACTCCATCTCAAAAAAAAAAAAAAAGAAAAAAGAGTTCCTTTTCTGAGGACTCTCCCTCTTCCCTAGGGTAGTAGCATTTTCCATTCCTGTATTTCTTAGCATAGTAGTTAACCACCTTTTGCTAGTTTGTGTAATGCTTTATTATACATTTTTCCTCCTCAGGCCTAGCATGGTGGTGCACACCTTGTAATTCCAGCACTTTGGGAGGCTGAGGCAGGAGAATCACTTGAGGCTAGGAGTTTGAGACCAGCCTGGGCAATATAATGAGACCCCATCTCTAAAAAAAAAAAAAAAAAAGTTAGCTAAGTACACTGCTGCACGCCTGTAGTCCCAGGTACTCAGGGGGCTGAGGCAGGAGGCTCACTTGAGCCCAGGAGTTTGAGGCTGCAGTGAGCTATGATCATGCCATTGCACTTCAGCCTGGGTGACAGAGCAAGACCCTGTCTTAAAAAAAAAAAAAAAATCCCTGTTAAAATCACTGGTGTGGTTTTTGTCTCTTGATTGATTGCACTTTGCCTGATATGGAATCAGTACCAGGAAACAGACCCTCAAAGATAGGATTTGGGGATTGGTTTGGTTATGACTTGGATTTGAGCTCTGTGTGGAGCCCCTCACCATAGGAAATGTGGGCTCAGTAATCCATGCCATGTGGAGGTCTCACAGTTCACCAAACTGTCCCCTGTGGTTGATTGTGATGGTGACGAGCATGGTGGCATGGGACCGGGTCTTCCTGGAGCACTTATAGAAAGAAACAACAATATCAGCTCCTTTCTCTTTTTTTTGAGACAAGAGTCTCACTCTTTCACCCAGGCTGGAGTGCACTGGCACGATCTCAGCTCATTGCAACCTCTGCCTCCCGGGTTCAAACGATTCTTCTGCCTTCGTTTCCCAAGTAGCTGGGAGTACAGGTGTCCACCACCACGCCTGGCTAATTTTTTTATTTTTAGTAGAGATGGGGTTTCACCATGTTGGCCAGGCTGGTCTTGAACTCCCAACCTCAAATGATCTGCCCACCTTGTCTTCCCAAAGTGCTGGGATTACATTATAGCTCCTTTCATCCTCAGCTCAGACCACCAGGTGAGAACCAGAAAACGTCCATGGCTGCTTTAACAGAGCCATTTCTTGTCGTCACCGCGCTGATACTGCGGAAAATCCATTTTCACCGGATTTAATTGTGTGGAACTGAGAATGACAGTGTCAATTTCTCGTGTGAAGGTTAGCGGTGGTGTCTGTCTTTTGTCCAGATTGACTAAGTTAGTATTTAATGACATTGGATGTTGAAGCCACCCAGCAAAGGACCCAGTGGTGGGCCTGGCAAAGATGAGAAGGATTGATATCCAGCATTGGCAGAAAGGTGCTCTTACACACCATTGGTGGGAGTGTGACTTTTCACAGATTTCCCGTCAAAAAGTACATATGTAGTTCTACCTGTAGCGTCTGTCTCACGGAAATGCACCCACAGATGAGTAGGTTTATGCACAGAAGTATTTGTTGCAGCTTTGAGTGCACTATTGAAATTGGAAACAACCGAAATGTCCTTTAGCAGGGGATTTGTCAGACAAGTTATGGTACATCCATGCAATGAATTCCTATGTGGCCATTAAAAAGAATGAAGTAGGGCGGGTGCGGTGGCTCACGCCTGTAATCCCAGCACTTTGGGAGGCCGAGGCAGGTGGATCACTTGAGGTCGGGAGTTCAAGACCAGCCTAGCCAACATGGTGAAACCTTGTCTCTACTAAAAATAAAAAAATTAGCCGGGCTTGGCGGTGCATGCCTGTAGTCCCAGCTACTCGGGAGGCTGAGGCAGGAGAATCGCTCGAACCTGGGAGGCGCAGGTTGCAGTGAGCCACGGTCGCGCCACTGCAGTCCAGCCTGGGCAACAGAGAGAGAGACTCCGTCTTAAAAGAAAAAAAAAAGAAAAAAATAATGAAGTAGATCTATGTGTACAGGTCTAAAAACGTCTTTCAGATGCATTAAGTGATGACAGAATGGAGAATTAAGATTCCATTTTTGTTTTTTAAAATTAAAAAAATTATATATAGAGACAAGGGTCTAGAAGGATATATTCCATTTAAATCGTTAATAGTAGCAACTGATGTCTTCTCCGGAGAGTTGGATGAATGAATAATTAATGTTATCTTTAGAAAGTGGGATGGTTAAGCCGAACGCAGTGGCTCACGCCTGTAATCCCAGCACTTTGGGAGGCCAAGGCGGGCAGATCATGAGGTCAGGAGTTCGAGACCAGCCTGACCAACATGGTGGAACTCTGTCTCTACTAAAAATACAGAAGTTAGCTGGGCATGGTGGCGCACCTGTAATCCCAGCTACTCAGGAGGCTGAGGCAGAAGAATCACTCGAACCCGGGAGGTGGAGGTTGCAGTGAGCCAAGATTGTGCCATTGCACTGTAGCCTGGGTGACAGAACGGGACTCTGTTTCAAAAAAAAAGAAAGCGGGATGGCTAGGGACTTTATTTTGTTTTTGTATTGTTTGACTTTTTTTTATTACAGTGTTCTATAACATAATCAGAAAAATAATCTTGTAAAATGTCTGATAATTAACATTTTCTACCTGCAGTAAAACGATGTTTGCAGAAATGGAAATCATTGGTCAGTTTAACCTGGGATTTATAATAACCAAACTGAATGAGGATATCTTCATAGTGGACCAGCATGCCACGGACGAGAAGTATAACTTCGAGATGCTGCAGCAGCACACCGTGCTCCAGGGGCAGAGGCTCATAGCGTGAGTGTGTTTAGTGTTCATTCCCAGACTCCCCCTCAAATTGAAGATCTAATAGAGGCCGAGGCAGGAGGATCACAAGAGGCCAGGAGTTTGAGACCAGCCTGGACAACACAGCAAGACCTTGTATCTACTTTAAAAAAGAAGAGATCTAGGAAGGAGGGGTGTAAAAAATAAAAAAGATCTAGTTGGCCAGGTGCGGTGCCTCACACCTGTAATCCCAGCACTTTGGGAGGCCGAGGCAGGCAGATCACCTGAGGTCAGGAGTTGGAGACCAGCCTGGCCAACGTGGTGAAACCCCGCCTCTACTAAAAATACAAAAAGGCCAGGCACGGTGGCTCACGCCTGTAATCCCGGCACTTTGGGAGGCCGAGGTGGGCAGATCACTTCAGGTCGGGAGTTCGAGACCAGCCTGACCAACATGGTGAGACCTGTCTCTACTAAAAATACAAAATTAGCCAGGCGTGGTGGCAGGCGCCTGTAGTCCCAGCTACTTGGGAGGCTGAGGCAGGAGAATCGCTTGAACCCGGGAGGCGGAGTTTGCAGCGAGCCGAGTTCGTGCCATCGCACTCCAGCCTGGGCAACAAGAGTGAAACTCCGTCTCAAAAAATAATAATAATGATAAAAAATAAAAATACAAAAAATTAGCTGGGCATGGCAGTGCACGCCTGTAATTCCAGCTACTCAGGAGACTGAGGTAGGAGAATCGCTTGAACCTGGGAGACAGAGGTTGCAGTGAGCCGAGATCGCACCACTGCACTCCAGCCTGGGTGACAGAGCGAGATTCTATCTCAAAAAAAAAAAGAGACCTAATAGTTTATATGTGTGTCTATATGTATATATGTAATTTTCCATAAGTATTCATATAGCAGATTTTTATACTTTTTACATAATAATAGTGATAGTTACCATTTATTTAATGCCTAGAATCTGCCAGGCACTGTTGAAATAATGTATGTGTATTAGTTCCTTTAATCCTCAAAAACCTGTCAGGTTGTTACTGTTACCATCACCATTCCACAAGCGATAAAACTGAGGCACATGCAGAGAGGTTGAGTAACCTGCCCCAGTTCACGTGGTTAACATGTTCTCTAAGTATCAGACCTTTTTTGCTATTAAAAATGTTGATCACTGGTTAGCCAGAAGATCCTTCTGATGAGGGCAATTGATAGTATGGAGTATTAGTATGCATAGTGTATGGAATGTGTGTGTTCAGAAAGACAGACAGCCTGTGCGCCAGTGTTGATTGACAGTAGAGTAATCAGAAGTCAGATAGTCACTGCAGGTTGGATGCAGGGGCACACGCCTGTAATCCCAGAGCTTTGGGAGGCTGAGGCAGGCAGATCCCTCGAGCTTAGGAGTTTGAGACCAGCCTGGGCATCATGGTGAAACCTTGTCTCTACAACAAATGTAAAAAATTAGTCAGACTTCATGGTGTATGCCTGTGGTCCCAGCTATTCGGGAGGCTGAGGTGGGAGGATCGTTTGAGCCCAGGAGATTGAGGCTGCCATGATCGTGCCACTGCACAGCTCTCCAGCCTGGGTGACAGAGTGAGACAGTGAGACTCTGTCTCACAAATAAATTAATAAATAAAATAAAATAAAATTTAAAAATTATTTTAAGATAGTCACTGCAGAATTTGGTATTTCTCTCTCCTCGGCCAAGCTGGAATGTTTTACTCTGACTACTTCACAAAGGTCAGATGTGATAGTATCATGTAAAACCAAAGTCTTGTCTTCAGCAAAGTTATAAGAAGAGGTCATGGATTTTCGTGTGGGAAATTAAACAACGTAGTGAAGTAAACTCAGATCCCAACAAGTAGATCCCACATGGAGAAATGTACCACTGAACCTGTGTAGTTTGCTGAGTACTCTCCTGTGTAGTTTGCTGAGTACTCTCCTGTGTAGTTTACTGAGTACTCTCCTGTGTAGTTTGCTGAGTACTCTCCTGTGTAGTTTACTGAGTACTCTCCTGTGTAGTTTGCTGAGTACTCTCCTGTGTAGTTTGCTGAGTACTCTCCTGTGTAGTTTGCTGAGTACTCTCCTGTGGAATGCGTGAATTGTTTTTATTCTCAGTAGGAGGCAATGGTAATAATAGACATTTAGTAAGCTACTTTATATCCCTTCCCTGTTCCTCTTAATAGAGGTTTTTTGTTTTTGTGTTTTTGAGACAGAGTTTCACTCTTTCGCCCATACTGGAGTGCAGTGATGTGATCTCGGCTTACTGCAACCTCTGCCTCTCGGGTTCAAGTGATTCTCCTGCCTCAGCCTCCCGAGTAGCTGGGATTACAGGCACCCGCCACCACACCTGGCTAATTTTTGGATTTTTAATAGATAGGGAGTTTTGCCATGTTTGTCAGGCTGGTCTTGAACTCCTGACCTCAGGTGATCCACCAACCTCAGCCTCCCAAAGTGCTGGGATTACAGGCGTGAGCCACCATGCCCGGCTGAGGTCTTGTATTTTTTAGCCATTCGGCAAAGATAACCTCTCATCTGTGACATTTCAAGTTGGCCCAGGTAATCACAGACCACTTAGGGTCCCAGATGGACCACACTTCAAGATTAAAGGATAAAGACCCAGTTCCACCCTGCCCTGCCAGCCCCTGTGTAGGGTGGCCCTGTTGACCTCTGTAGCTTTTCCCGTTCGTCTTCCCCTTGTTCCCTGTACTCAAGCCTCTCTGGCTGTCTTTCTTTTTCCCTTGGCAGGCCTGATGAATCCCTATGTGGCCACTAAGCAGAATGAAGGATATCTTTATGTGTGGCTCTGCAAACATCAGCGGTCCATCCTGGGGCTTGGCACAGATTGTTGTCCCTGTCTAGAATACTTGTCCTGCACCCTGCACCCACTTCTCCCCCGTTACCTGATTAACTCTCTTATCCCCGGACTCAGCTCAAAGGTCACTTCCTGACCCCAGGGTGAAGTCTCTCTATGACACTGGCTGCTTTTTCTTCCTGACCTTCCTGTCGTTTCTCATCATAATCGACTTGCCTGAGTATTTGCTCAACGTCTTTCTTCCCCGGTAATCTGTTGGCTCCAGGACCAAGCCTGTGTTTGCTCACCAGCTGTCTCCTGCCTTGAGCAGTGTTTGTCTTATCCAGCACTCAGGACCAGATGCAGTGGCTCACACTCGTAATCCCAGCACTTTGGGAGGCTGAAGTGGAAGGATCGCTTGAGCCCAGGAGTTTGAGAGCAGCCTGGGCAACATAGTGAGACCCTGTCTCTATCTTTGAAAAAAATAACGAAAGGTTAAAAAAAAAAAGCACTCAGTAAATCCAGGAGGAGAGAAGGATGGAGATATAATACAGGGAGAGGAAGGAACAGGATAGCAAAATAAATGCTGTCTGTTCATTCTGTTTACAAATGCTGGCAATGACCTAACCCAGTGTTTCAAATTCTCTATTAGAAGGAGAAAAAATAGCATTTTTGTGATACTGTTATCCTTAAGGAAAGGATTCAGAAAAAGTGGGAGTCATTGGCGTGGCAGGCTGAGGAAAAAGCAAACTACTTTTGTAGCTACTTTAACTTTTTTTTTTTTTTTTGAGTCAGAGTCTTGCCCTGTTGCCCAGGCTGGAGTGCAGTGGTGTGATCTTGGCTCACTGCAACCTCCACCTCCTGGGTTCAAGCAATTCTAGTGCCTCAGCCTCCCGAGTAGCTGGGATTACAGGCATGAGCCACCACTTCCAGCTAATTTTTGTTTTTGTGGGTGTTTTTTTTTTTTTTTTTTTTTTTTTTTGAGACAGAGTCTTGTTGTGTCGCCCAGGCTGGAGTACAGTGGCGTGATCTTGGCTCTCACTACAACCTCTGCCTCCCTCCTGGGTTCAAACGAATCTCATGCCTAAGCCTCCCAAGTAGCTGGGACTACAGGCGTGCGCCACCATGCCTGGCCTAATTTTTATATTTTTAGTAGAGAGAGGGTTTCGCCGTGTTGACCAGGCTGATCTCAAACTCCTGGCCTCAAGAGATCTGCCTGCCTCAGCCTCCTAAAGTGCTGAGATTACAGGCGTGAGCCACCGCACCTGGCCTGTAGCTATTTTAACTTCTAAAAAGAACTTTAAGAAAGAGAAAATTAAAAGGAACTTCTCAGGAAGTTTTGTGACACTTAGCTGAATTATGTTGTTATTCGTGTTGTTATTTTGACATGAATTCAAAATACAGTATTGTTGTTTTCATTTCATTTCTGCTGTAAAGCTAAATGTTTGACTTCAGGATATGGTTTGAATCATTTTTGTGTTTTTCAGACCTCAGACTCTCAACTTAACTGCTGTTAATGAAGCTGTTCTGATAGAAAATCTGGAAATATTTAGAAAGAATGGCTTCGATTTTGTTATCGATGAAAATGGTAAGTTATTAATTAGAACTATAGCGGCTGGGTGTGGTGGCTCACGTCTGTAATCCCAGCACTCTGGGAGGCCAAGGCGGGCAGATCGCCTGAGGTCAGGAGTTTGAGACCAGCCTCGCTAACATGGTGAAACCCCATCTCTACTGAAAATACAAAAAGTAGCCGGGCCTGGTGGCGGGTGCCTGTAATCCCAGCTACTCAGGAGGCTGAGGTGGGAGAATCGCTTGAACCCGGGAGGTGGAGGTTGCAGTGAGCCGAGATCACGTCACTGCACTCCAGCCTGGGCAACAAGAGTGAAACTCTGTCTCAAAAAAAAAAAAAAAAATTAGAACTATAGATTCTTGTCTTTTTAGAGCTGGGAATAATCTTTCAGGTCATATAGACTGTTTTTTTTTTATTTTATAAAAGATTAAAAAGGTTCCCCCAAAAAGCATTTTGTGACTGTCCTCTCTTTCAGATGTTCACTATTTTTTTTTTTTTTCTTTGAGATGGAGTCTTGCTCTGTCACCCAGGCTGGAGCACAGTGGTGTGATCTCGGCTCACTGCAAGCTCCGCCTCCCAGGTTCACACCGTTCTCCTGCCTCAGCCTCCCGAGTAGCTGGGACTACAGGTGCCTGCCACCACACCCAGCTAATTTTTTCTATTTTTTAGTAGAGACGGGGTTTCACCATGTTAGCCAGGATGGTCTCTATCTCCTGACCTCATGATCTGCCTGCCTTGGCCTCCCAAAGTGCAGGGATTATAGGCATGAGCCACCACGCCCGGCCTCAGATGTTCATCCTAAGTAGCTTTCAAGTGAAACGTGTTTGTCAAGTCATGGATTTTTCTCAAAATTGTATTCTTTTAGCTCCAGTCACTGAAAGGGCTAAACTGATTTCCTTGCCAACTAGTAAAAGCTGGACCTTCGGACCCCAGGACGTCGATGAACTGATCTTCATGCTGAGCGACAGCCCTGGGGTCATGTGCCGGCCTTCCCGAGTCAAGCAGATGTTTGCCTCCAGAGCCTGCCGGAAGTCGGTAAGTAAAGAAAGCCTGGCTGTCAGCTCAGCTGCTCAAGCTTGCAGTCGAGGAAGGTCTCAGCCCAGCTCCTGATTTGGTCAAGGTTGTAAACGCCTTTGTGATTGCCAGGGGTCATTTTACACAGAGAGCTACGTGCAGCGTCGTAGCTGAGCATCTGTGTCGTCTGTGTTCTCTGTGACCTTGAACTCATAATTATTGCTCTTTTGTTACCTCTGTTAAGCAGTATTCTTGGCCGGGCATGGTGGCTCAAGCCTCTAATCCCAGCACTTTGGGAAGCTGAGGCGGGCGGATCACGAGTTCAGGAGATCGAGACCATCCTGGCTAACATGGTGAAAGCCCGTCTCTACTAAAAATACAAAAAAATTAGCCGGGCGTGGTGTCGGGCGCCTATAGTCCCAGCTACTCGGGAGGCTGAGGCAGGAGAATGGCGTGAACCCAGAAGGCGGAAGTTGCAGTGAGCCAAGTTCATACCACTGCACTCCAACCTGGGCGACAGAGCGAGACTCCGTCTCAAAAAAACAAAAAAAACCCAGAATTCTTCTTTTTTTTTTTTTAGACAGATTCTCCCTCTGTCCCCCAGGCTGGAGTGCAGTGGCACAATCACAGCTCACTGCAGCCTTGACGTACCAGGCTGAAGCGATCCTCCTCTCTCTGTCTCCCAAGTAGTTGTGACCACAGGCATGCACCACCATGCCCAGCTAATTTTTAAATTTTTTGTAGAAACATGGTCTCCTTTTGCCCCTTGTCTCAGCCTCCCAAAGTGCTGGAATTACAGGCATGAGCCACTGTGCCTGGCCCGGCCAGTATTCTATCTCCGAGCTTTGGTTGACTCCAACGCAGTTAGCGTTTGAGGTACCTTGTTCGTCTATGGACCTTATGGGTCATAACAACATTGGGAGATAAAGATTTGCTGCTGCCAGGACTCGGCGACATTGGACACGATTCTGCAGAGTCATCGAGGCAGCAGGTGCTTCACGGGGTGCCGTGGTTGTCATTGCACGTGGCGTCACTGCCGCTGCTTCGGTTGGTGTGGGAAGGTGGCAGCAGTGGTTCTGCCTGCAGTGGGGATTAGCCTGATTTCCAAGAAAAGTGACTGTGTATCAGCTGGCCACTGGGAAGGGCCAGGACGCCATTCCTTTATTTATTCAGCAGGTGCTCCTTGAGCCCCTGATGTGGGGCCCGCCCTGCTCCAGGTGCTCGGGACACAGAGGTAACAAGGCGGCTGCAGCCCCTGCCCCTGTGGAGCAGACAGTGGGGAGAAATAGGCATCACCACAAATAAATGACACGCATTAGATGCCAGTAAGCACAGTCAAGAGATTCAAACAGCATTTTTCTTTGTCTGTTTTTGAGACGGAGTCTCGCTCTGTTACTAGGCTGGAGTGCAGTGATGTGATCTCAGCTCACTGCAACCTCCGCCTCCCAGGTTCAAGCGATTCTCCTGCCTCAGCCTCCCAAGTAGCTGGGACTACAGGCACCCACCACACCTGGCTAATTTTTATATTTTTAATAGAGACGGGGTTTCACCATGTTGGTCAGGCTGGTGTTGATCTCCTGACTCATGATCTGCCCGCCTTGGCCTCCCAAAGTGCTGGGATTACAGGCGTGAGCCACCGCACCTGGCCTAAAACAGCGTTTTGGGGCAGGAAATGACAAGAGAAAAACATGGTGACCAGGTGAGATGGTGGTCAGGGAATGGCATCTGGGCAGGTGGCATCTCAGCTGCCATCTAAAAGGTGGGATGGAAGCCAGGCATGGTGGCTCACACGTGTAATCCCAGCATTTTGGGAGGCCAAGGCAGGAGGATTGCTTGAGGCCAGGAGTTAAGAGACCAGCCTGGGCAACACAGGCAGACCCCATGTGTACAAAAAATTAAAAGATTAGCCAGGTGTGGTGGCATGTGCCTGTAGTCACAGCTACTCAGGAGGCTGAGGTGGGAGGATCACTTGAGCCAGGGAGGTCGAGGTTACAATGAGCCAACATCACGCAACTGCACTCCAGCCTGGGTGACAGAGTAAGACCTTGTCTCAAAAAAAAAAAAAAAAAGGTAGAATGGAGCCCTCTTGGGTAAGAACTTTCCAAGCGAAGGAAGTAGCAAGACTGAAGCCAGAGGCTGATTGTGTCCCTGGAGAGGGGAAGGGAGTGAGCAGAGCGGCGTCCAGAGGACAGCCACGTAGAGTGTTGCCGGTCATACCTAGACCCTGGGGGTCTGTGCTGTGTGTGGCACGAGCCACTGGAGAGAACAGACGGGAAGGAGTCCCGTGATTGCAGCTGCTGGAGAGAGAACAGACTGGAAGGGGTGCGGTGGCTGCGGCCGCTGGGGAGAGCAGCAGCTGGGGGCCACGTGGGGAGTGGGTGGGATGGAGCCTGCTGTGTGAGCTTCAGGTGTAATTTACAGCCATGAGATTAGATGAAATGACTCAAGGGCAGAGTTTAATTAGAAGAGGGCCCAGAGTCTGACTTCTAGCCACAGTGTTTCTTGGATAAAGACCTAATAGGGGCTGGGCGTGGTGGCTCACACCTGTAATCCCAGCACTTTGGAAGGCGGAGGTGGGTTGATCACCTGAGGTCAGGAATTTGAGACCAGCTTGGCCAACATGGTGAAACCCCATCCCTACTAAAAGTACGAAAATTAGCTGGGCATGGTGGTGGGCGCCTGTAATCCCAGCTACTCGGGAGGCTGAAGCGGGAGAATTGCTTGAATCTGGGAGGCGGAGTTGCAGTGAGCTGAGATCGCACCATTGCATTCCAGCCTGGGAGACAGAGTCTCTCCACCACCCCTGACCTCACCAAAATAAAAGACATAATATGGATCTTCCAGTCTTGGAGTCTGTGAGTGAGAGCGTGGAGCTGAGCTCATAGCCGGGCAGTTTTGATGTCCTGAGTTTAGTGTGACTCAGTGGCCCGGGGAACCACAGGCTGCTCCTTCCCTCTCGCCCTGGCCTACCCGTCCATCTCCGGTGTTGTCACTGCCTGCCCAGGAGGCTCCTGCTTTGAGCCCTGCCCACCCTTCCAGCCCCATCTCCCCACCATGTAGCTTCCAGCCATGTAGCTGCCTTCCAGTTCCACGCTCGCCTCAGTCTCCTCCCTGCCTTACACCCTTTCTCCCTACTCTCCTCTCTACCTGGGTTTGCCACCGTCACCCTTCACCCCATCCCCACACCTGAGCAGGCCGCCTCGCCTGGGTGCCACCTGTCTTGGTTCTCTGTTGACTTGTTGATTGTCTGTCCTTCTCCAACCTGCTGTCACCCCAGCCTTCTGACTGTGCTTGGCACATGGCGAGCCCTCAGGGTGCTGCAGGAAGAAAGAAGGTGACATTGGGCTTCAGGCTTGTGTCCTCTCCTTCCTGTCAGAGGACCCATGGCAGGGAGGCAGCAGGGCCAGGGCTGGAGTGCTATGGGCAGCAGGTCGGAGCTCGACAGAGGGGGAGTGACGCCTGCACCCATTGGGGGAGAGGGTCCCGGGAGTGCCACAGTCCCAAGGCAGGTGTTTGCGTGATGGGCCTGTGCAAGAGGAAGGGAGTAGCAGTGCAGCTGGGGTGAGGAAGGGAGGCATTCGTGCTTGGAGGTGGGGGTGCAGGCACAGCCCAGCGAGGGCCAAGTCAGGGGACAGACGGGGGCTTTTATTCAGGTGAGGGGGAGAGCTGTGAAGTGGAATGAATAACCTGACAGCCCTTTAAAAGTAATCACTGGCTGCTGAGTGGAGAGCGGCTCGGAGGGGTCGCAGTGGGGCAGGGAGGCCTGCTGGGAGGCTGCTGCACCTGCCAGGGTGAGAGGGCAGGGTGGCTGCTGAGACAGGTGTGGTCGGCGTCTGGAGTGGAGGCGGTGCCACCTTGAAGGAGCCACAAGGAGCCTGATTTCACAGAAGGGTGGAGGGCTGAGATCTAGAACCTAGGCTTCTCTGGGGGAAGGTTTTTCAGGGAAGGTAGTTTTTGAGCTGTAATCTTGTCCAGCCTTATTTTAGAGAAGAATGCTTCTGAAGAGCTGCCATTCTGACGTCAAAAAACTACTAAAACGTTGAACCATTGTGTCTCACACTCAGGTGATGATTGGGACTGCTCTTAACACAAGCGAGATGAAGAAACTGATCACCCACATGGGGGAGATGGACCACCCCTGGAACTGTCCCCATGGAAGGCCAACCATGAGACACATCGCCAACCTGGGTGTCATTTCTCAGAACTGACCGTAGTCACTGTATGGAATAATTGGTTTTATCGCAGATTTTTATGTTTTGAAAGACAGAGTCTTCACTAACCTTTTTTGTTTTAAAATGAAACCTGCTACTTAAAAAAAATACACATCACACCCATTTAAAAGTGATCTTGAGAACCTTTTCAAACCAGATGGAGCATTGCTTGCAAATTTTTTTTCTCTATGTTTGCATGCGCTCGTGTGTGTGTGTCCAGGCAAGAACACATTTTATAAAAATAAGAACACTTGGGCTGGGCATGGTGGCTCATGCCTGTGATCGCAGCACTTTGGGAGGCCGAGGCCGGCAGATCACCTGAGATCAGAAGTTCGAGACCAGCCTGACCAACATGGAGAAACCCTGCCTCTACTAAAAATACAAAATTAGCCAGGTGTGCTGGCGCATGCCTGTAATCCCCGCTACCCAGGAGGCTGAGGCAGGAGAATCGCTTGAACCCGGGAGACGGAGGTTGCAGTGAACCGAGATTGCGCCACTGCGCTCCAGCCTGGGTGAGATAGAGCAAGACTGTGTCTCAAAAAACAAAACAAAACAAAACAAAACAAAAAAAACCAAACCACTTTGGAAGTTACTCAGGCCTCTGCTCTGGCTGGACATAGTTTAGTCTATAACTTTCAACCCTTAACAATAATTAAATTCATCTTTGTTTAATTTCATAAATTTAAAAGTAGGGTCCTTTTCAGTTAGTGATTCTCAGCCCTGATTCACATTAAATTTTTAAACACGGGGGATTCTCTGCCCGGCTGGAAGAAAATGACTGGATGGGACAGGGGTCACTATTTGAAACATTCCTCTGTGCGGCCAAGGTCGCAAAATGCTGTCCTCGCAGGGGAACAAAAAGAGTTTGATTTCCCATAATTTGATGCTGTGATTTGGTTTCCTCAGGATGTGAACTGTAGAACATTCCAGTTACTGGCCTTGAATGGTTCTGGGAATATAAGAATCCCTGTCTGTCTTTTCAAATAGTTTTCATGGAACCTTGTCCTGTTTGAACTTGGCTGAAAATGGAAGTAAAGATGCCCTCTTGGGGGCCCAGAGATGACAGATGTGGCTCCCCCTGCTGCCCCCACCCCTTCTCCAGACTGTGGGCGGCTCCCCTTCCTGCTTTAGAATCCTTCAGATGGAGGAGGCAGTACAGTAGTCACTGTGCCATCGTGTCTGGCACTGTGCTGGCGTGGTCTGCAGGATCCCACTTATGAACTCTCCAGATTGGGAGCTGTGGCAGGATAACAGCCCCCAAGACAGCTGTGTCCTAATCCCCAGAACCTGTGACCACGCTGCCTCACGTGGCAGAAGGGACTCGGCAGGTGTGATTGAGTGAAGGATCTTTTTTTTTTTTTTCTTTGAGATGAAGTTTCGCTCTTGTTGCCCAGGCTGGAGTTCAATAGCATGATCTCAGCTCACTGCAGCCTCTGCCTCCCAGGTTCAAGTGATTCTCCCACCTCAGCCTCCCGAGTAGCTGGGATTACAGGTGTCCAGAACCATACTGGCTAATTTTTGTATTTTTAGTAGAGACAGGGTTTCACCATGTTGACCAGGCTGGTCTCGAACTCCTGACCTCAGGTGATCCGACCGCCTCGGCCTCCCAAAGTGCTGGGATTACAGGTGTGAGCCATCATGCCTGGCTGAGTTAAGGATCTTGCAACAGAGAGATTATCCTGGATTGTCTGGGTGGGCCCAGTCCATTGGGTGAGTCCTTCAAAGGTGGAGACCTTTCCCTGCTGGCCAGAGAGAGGCTGCCTTGCTGGTTTTGGAGATGGAAGGAGGTACCACTAGTCAAGGATTGCAAGCAGTCTCTAGAACAGGGATTCCAACACTCCGGACACAGACCAGTAGTGGTCCATGGCCTATTAGGAAGTGGGGTGCACAGCAGGTTAGGGGCCGGCAAGCCAGCGAAGCTTCATCTGTATTTATAGCCACTCCCCGTCGCTGGCGTTACCACCCGAGCTCCGCCTCCTGTCACATCAGCGGTGGGCATTAGATTCTCATAGCAGCACGAGCCCTATTGTGAACTGCACACACGAGGGATGTAGGTTGCACGCTCCTTATGAGAATCTGATGCCTGATGATCTGTCACTGTCTCCCGTCACCCCCAGATGGGGCTGTCTAGTTGCAGGAAAACAAGCTCAGGGCTCCCACTGAGTCTCTGTGATGGTGAGTTGTAGAATTATTTAATTATATGTTACAATGTAATAATAGTAGAAATAAAGTGCACAATAAATGCAATGCACTTGAATCGTCCTGAAACCATCCCTCCCCGACCCCAATCCATGGAAAAATTGTGTTCCGCGAAACCGGTCTCTGGTGCCAAAAAGGTTGGGGACCGCTTCTGGAAAAGCTGGAAAAGGCAAGAAAACGCATTCTCTCCCTCAGCCTCTGGAAGGAACCAGCACTGTGGGACTAATTTACATACTGTAGGGTAATAAATTTGTGTTGCTTCGAACCACTAAATTTATGGTAATTTGTTTGCGGCAGCAATGGAAAACTAATGCCTGCGTTATTCCTATTTTATGATGAAGCAGTTAGCAGAGCTGGGAAAACCCTGGCCTGCTGCCTCCAGCGTCCAGCCTTTCCCCCGGCCTTCAGGACCAGCAAGGGCGGGACACCTGCTTGGCGCTGGCGCGCGGCCCCTTTAAGAGCACAGGGTGGGCCTGGCGGCGTCCGCGGTTGCCTGGAGACCGGAGCCGGGTCTGGGACGCCGAGAGCCCGGCAACACCTCAGCCCGAGCCCGGCGAGGTCTCTGGGCTCCTGGAGCGAGGTGAGCGCCCCAGGCCGCGGTCCTGCCTACGCCGGGACAGCCATGGCGACTGGGTCCTGCTCCTTCCCGGCCGGACTGACGCGGCCTCCCAGGACCCGAGCACGTGCGTGATGGGCGAGGAGGGCCTAGGCCGGGCAGACCAGTGCAGGGAGCCGATTCTTCTCGGCTCACCGTAGACACAGGAGAGAGATGGCCTCTCCTTAAGCCCAGGAGAACAGAGGAAACATTAGGAAACGCACTGAGAAACGAAATTGGCTTGATTTGTAGTTCACTTATTTGTAGATCACTGACAGAAGACCGAAAAGCTCGTAGTAAAGGCCCCTCTAAATTTAGAGGTGAGAGCACCTTGGGCTAGGGGACCCAGGGGCGGCTTCGCTGAGACAGTAGTCGGGGGCGGGAAGGAGCAAGGGTGTTGGAAGGAAGCGAGAAGGCTTGGCCGGGCGCGGTGGCTCACGCCTGTAACCCCAGCACTTTTGGGAGGCCGAGGCGGGCGGATCACCTGAGGTTAGGAGTTTGAGACCAGCCTGGGCAACATGGTGAAACCCTGGCTCTACTAAAAATACAAAAATTAGCCGGGAGTGGTTGCAGGCACCTGTAATCCCAACTACTTGGGAGGCTAGGGCAGAAGAATCACTTGAACCCGGAAGGTTGCAGTGAGCCAAGACTGTGCCACTGCACTCCAGCCTGGGTGACAGAGCGAGACCCTGTCTCAATAAATAAATAATGGAGGAAGAGAGAAGGCTGGAGATGGGTTCAGCTGGAGGGTGGGGTGTCCAGAGGATGGCATCCAGGAAGAAGAGGGCAAGAAGTGCCCACTGCACCCGTCGGGGCCTACGAAAAGGGACCAGACCTGGCCTTCACCACAGGGCTCACCTATGCATCCTGCCTGATGGACCAGGGTGCTTTCAGCGGGGCCAGATTAGGAAAGCCATGAAAACTATGGCTTTGAAACCCTGCACCGCAGCTCATATGCCAGACAAGCAAAGATATGCGCTGGAAACGGAGCTCGAGCAACGATGCGCTGGAAATACAGCTCAAGCAACCATGCGCTGGAAACGCAACTCCAGCACACCGGTCCTTGCTTGTCCGGCATATGAGAGGCACTCAATCGATGGCAGTGCTAGAGGGAGTGGGAAACCAATGATTTCAAGTTTGAAAACAGGAAAGGGACGAGATAATCACTCAATTTATTGACTTTGCTCTGTATCCTGTACTTAGGGATTTTTCTGTGTGTCATCGGTTTAATTCTTATGAGACAAGGTTCTGTTATTTCTATTTGTGAGGCAGAGGAGATTAAGCAGCTTGCTTCAGAACACAGCACTTGGCCGAGCTCAGTGGCTCATGCCCGCAATCCTAGCACTTTGGGAGGAGAAGGTGGGAAGATTGCTTGAGGCCAGGAGTTTGAAACCAGCCTGGGCAAAATGTACAACACCCCGTCTCAAAAAAAAAAAAAAAAAAAAAAAAAAAAAAAGGAAACCAGCCAGGCACGGTGGCTCACACTTGTTATCCCAGCACTTTGGGAGGCCAAGGCGGGCAGATCACGAGGTCAGGAGTTCGACACCAGCCTGGCCAACACAGTGAAACCCCATCTCTACTAAAAATACAAAAATTAGCTGAGTATGGAGGCAGGTGCCTGTAATCCCAGCTACTCGAGAGGCTGAGGCAGGAGAATCACTTGAACCTGCAGTGAGGTTGCAGTGAGCCAGTGAGCCAAGATCCTGCCACTGCATTCCAACCTGCAGGACAGGGCTAGAGAGTCTGTCTAAAAAAAAAAAAAAAAAACAAACCCAAAAAACACAGAACTGGGCCGGGCACCCACACCCGGTGACTCACGCCTGTAATCCCAGCACTTTGGAGGCCAAGGCGGGCAGATCACGAGGTCAGGAGATCGAGACCATCCTGGCTAACCCGGTGAAACCCCGTCTCTACTAAAAATACAAAAAGAATTAGCCAGGTGTGGTGGTGGGTGCCTGTAGTCCCAGCTACTCAGGAGGCTGAGGCAGGAGAATGGCATGAACCCGGGAGGTGGAGCTTGCAGTGAGCCAAGATCGCACCACCGCACTCCAGCCTGGGCAAGAGAGTGAGACTCCGTCTCAAAAATAAATAAATAAATAAATAAACAAACCCATAGAACTGGTAATGGGCAATGCAGGACTCCGAATCCAGCTCTTGCACACTTTACAATGCTGACCTATAAGGAGAGGGGCTTTTGTTTTGTTTTGTTTTTTTTGAGACAGAATCTTGCTCTGTTGCCGAGGCTAGAGTGCAGTGGTGTGATCTCGGCTCACTGCAACCTCCACCTCCTGGGTTCAAGTGATTCTCCTGCCTCAGCCTCCTGAGTAGCTGGGATTACAGGCATGTGCCACCATGCCTGGCTAATTTTTTGTATTTTTAGTAGAGACGGGGTTTCACAGTGTTAGCCAGGGTGGTCTCAATCTCCTGACCTCGTGATCCACCTGCCTTGGCCTCCCAAAGTGCTGGGACTACAGGTGTGCGCCACTGCATCCGGCCAGAGAGGGGCTTTTAAAGTGTGAATTGGCTGCATGCAAGACCTGAGAGGTGAAGTAGCCTATTTCATGTGTAGGGTTACCTTTCAAGAAACAATGCTAGACAATGGTTCCAACTTAAATAATTTTTGGGGCAAGGTACAGTGGCTCACACCTATAATCCCAGCACTTTGGGAGGCTGAGACAGGCGGATTGCTTGAGCTCAGGAGTTCCAGACCAGCCGGGGCAAGATAGCAAGACCCTGTCTCTACAAAAAATTAGCCAGGTGTGGTAATGCATGCCTGTGGTCCCAGCTACTTGGGAGGCTGAGATGGAAGGATCGTCAGAGCCTAGGAGGTTGAGGCTAGAGTGAGCTGTGATTGTGCCACTGCCCTCCAGCCTGGGTGACAGAGTGAGACTCTGTCTCAAAAATTAAAAATAAAAAAATTTTAGGAACAAGCAATGCGATGTTGAGGTTGTATTTTTATAAACTGATGGTACTTGAAACTTGTAATTATAGTCATTTTTGAGACAGAGTCTTGCTCTGATACCCAGACTGGAGTGCAGTGGTGTGACACTACTCACTGCAGCCTCGACCTCCCAGGCTCAAGCAGTCCTCCCACCTGAGCCTCCCTAGTAGCTGGGACTACAGGCATGTGCCACCACGCCTGGCTAATTTATTTTTATTTTTTGTAGAGAGGTGGCATCTCACTACGTGGCCTAGGCTGATCTCCCTCTCCTGGACTCACATGATCCTCCCACCTTGGCCCTTCAACGTGCTGAGATCGCAGGTGTGAGCCACCACACCCGGCCCTGGTAACTAATTTTTCAGACTTTGTCAGGAGAATGATAATGACATTGTGTTGTAAAACTGAAATTTTAACTACAAATGAAAACCCCAAGTGTTTGGAGACGTAATTTTTATTTTTCAGATAAAACTCATCAGTGCTTTGAAACAAGCAGCTCTGAACCAAAGAAATCATTTGATTCAAGTAACCATTGGATCTTCCCAAGGCAATGGTGAAAGAAAAGAAAAAAGCAGACAAAAAAGGGGAGAAGTCTGCCCGCTCTCCCTCATCTCTCTCTGATAATCTAGACTTTTCCAAACAAGATGGCAACACCACTAGGCAAGAGATGTCCCCAGCTGGTGTCCCATTGCTGGGAATGCAGCTCAACGAAGTGAAACCCAAAAAAGACCGCCAAAACGTTCAGCAGAACGAAGATGCCAGCCAATACGAAGAGTCCATTCTGACCAAACTCATAGTGGAAAGGTGATTTTAATGGGGGTGCCATCGGGTATAACACTGCCAGTCAGGCGGTTTATCTTATTTTATTTTGAGACAGAGTTTCACTCTGTCGTTCAGGCTGGAGTGCAGTGGTGTGATCTTGGCTCACTGCAACCTCCACCTCCCACATTCAAGCAATTCTCCTGCCTCAGCCTCCTGAGTAGCTGGGATTACAGGTGCCCGCCACCATGCCTGGCTAATTTTTGTACTTTTAGTAGAGACAAGGTTTCACCCTGTTGGCCAGGCTGGTCTCGAACTCCTGACCTCAGGTGAGCCACCTGCCTCAGCCTCCCAAAGTGCTGGGATTACAGGCGTAAGCCACTGTGCCTGGCCTGAAGGTAATTTTATGTATTTAAAAAAATTATTTTATTTTAGATTTAGAGGGTTACATGTGCAGGTTTGTTACATGGGCATGTTGTGTGATGCTGAGGTTTGGGCTTCTAGTAAGCCCATCACCCAAATAGCAAACATACAGCCCCATGGCGTGTGTATATATAGAGTTTATTGTGGTGAAACATATAACAAAATGTACTATCTTAATTATTTTAAGTGTACAATTCAATGGCATTAAGTACGTTCATAGTGTTGTACGACCGTCTATTAAATAGTAACTCCTGGCCAGATGCGGTGGTTCAAGCCTGTAATCCCAGCACTTTGGGAGGCTGAGGCGGGCAGATCACTTGAGGCCAGGAGTTTGAGACCAGTCTGGCCAATATGGTGAAACTCCATCTCTACTAAAAACACAATAATTAGCTGGGCGTGGTGACATGTGCCTGTAATCCCAGCTACTCAGGAGGCTGAGGCGGGAGAATCACTTGAACCCGGGAGGCAGAGGTTGCAGTGAGCCAAGATCACGTCATTGCACTCCATCCAGCCCGGGCGACAGAGTGAGACTCCATCTCAAAAAAAATCCCCAAAAAACAAACAAAAAAACCCCGAAATGCCTTCATTCCTCACCCTACTTTCAAACCCCTGGTAACCTCTTCTACTTTCTAGCTCTGTGTATATATATATATATATATATTTTTTTTTTTTCTGACTTCATTCTTCCCATTACATAGTTATATAGTTTAACCCACTGTCACTTGGGTTTATTCACATTGTTCATTACCTTGAATTACCTTTATTTCTTTGTAGCTATGAAGGGGAAAAGGTTCGTGGGCTGTATGAGGGAGAAGGCTTCGCAGCCTTTCAAGGCGGTTGTACCTATCGTGTAAGTTGCCCATTTGAGAACCTGCAGGAAGGGGAGGAAGGTGTGGGGTGATGGTCGTAGATTTGTAAATCTTCAGTAAAATCCACTGATGCTTCAAAAGAAATCGGAAGCTCTTCATGCCGATTTTATTCTGAAACCTGATTACCTATTTAAGGTAAAAATAATGCTCAATATAACAAAAGTTATTTTAGATTTGTTTCTTTTCCTGATTATTTTATATTTTTTGAGACAGGGTCTCACTGTGTCACCCAAGCTGGAGTGCAGTGGCACAATCATAACTCATTGTGGCCTCGACCTCCTGGAGTCAAATGATCCTCCCTCCTCAGCCTCTTGAATAGCTGGGACTACAGGTGTGAGCTAGCACGCCTGGCTAATTTAATTTTTTTTTTTTTTTTTTTGGTAGAGACAAGGAGTTGCTACGTTGCCAGGGCTGGTCTTGAACTGCCGGGCACAAGTTATCCTCCTGCCTCAGACTCCTAAAGTGCTGGGATTGCAGGTGTGAGCCCCCGCACCCGGTTGAGAACACATTTTTGTAGCTGAGGTCATCCTTAGGTCATGAAGATGAGGACCTCTTAGATCCTTTTTAGAGAAGGATGGAGCCCAGCATGGAGGCAGCTCAGAGTAGGACTCACTAGGACTCAGCTGGTGCTGAGTGTGCAGACAAGCATCTTCACGCATGTGAAATCGGGATAAGGCAGTTGTGGGAGAGAATCATCAGCTGCAGGCCAGGCGCGGTGGCTCATGCCTATAATCCCAGCACTTTGGGAGGCCAAGGCGGGCGCATTGCTAGAGCTCAGGATTTCAAGACCAGCCTGGCCAACGTGGTGAAATCCCGTCTCCACAAAAAATACAAAAATTAGCTGGGCATGGTGGTGGATGCCTGTAGTCCCAGCTACTCGGGAGGCTGAAGTGGGAGGATTGCTTGAGCCTGGGAGTTCGAGGCTGCAGTGAGCTATGATCACACCACTGCACTCCAGCCTGGGTGACAGAACCAGACCCTATCTCAAATATGTATATGTGTCAGCTGTATTCTAAGTGTTTGTCGTTGCTTTGTTTTGTTTTGAAGGGTATGTTTTCAGAAGGACTCATGCATGGACAGGGGACTTATATTTGGGCCGATGGATTAAAATATGAGGTGAGGCATATAACCAGTTATAGTTCTAAGCTGTGATTATTGGATGGAACAATCAGTTTCCCACAATTGAACAGACTGTTTTCGTAGATGTCATTCAGCATATGGGTTAAGAAAAATTTGCAGAACCAGAGGATCTAGTAACTCATGACTGCATGGGACCCGCCAGTAATTGTTATTGGTTTCATCTGTGTGTTCTAGAGGTATTCTATGTGTTCTAAGCACAGAGAGCACACATACATGTATGTAGCTTGTCCTACTTTTTTCTTTGAGACAGGGTCTTGCTCTGTTGCCCAGGCTGGAGTATAGTGGTACGATCATAACACTGCAGCCTGGAACTTCTGTAGCCTGTCTTGCTTTTTACAAACACACATAGTTTATTATACACTCTCTTTGGCATATTTACTTAGTTAGTTAGTGAGTCTGAGATGGGGTCTTGCTCTGTCACCCAGGCTGTAGTGCAGTGGTGAGATCATGACTCACTGCAGCCTTGAACTCCTAGGCTCAAGCGATCCTGTTGGCTTAGCCTGCTGAGTAGCTGTGACTAGAGGTGTGCTCCGCAGCACGCGGCTAATTTATTTTTACTTTTTTTTTTTTTTTTTGTAGAGACAGGGTTTGCCATGTTGCCCAGGCTGGTCTCGAACTCCTAAGCTTAAGCGATCCTCCCACCTTGGCCTCCCAAAGTGCTGGGGATTACAGGCGTGAGCCACCACACCTGGCCTGTACCTTTAATTTTGAGATCAAACCATATCCATTCATGTAGATCTGTTTTTAGTGGCTGCATGTATTCCATTATGTGGCTTTTATTTAACCTGTCTTGTGGGGTTGAGGGGAATGTGTATTTTTAAGCTGATTGCAAGGACCAAATTGTTCGCCAAGAGATTGTACCAGGCTCAATTCCCACCCACAAAGTGAGTGAGCACCTGAAATGCTATTCTAAAAATCCCAAATGCAGAGTTGCTAACAGATGGTGTTTATAAATGGTAATGATGACATTTAAAACACATGCGCATAACGCACTTATTCAAATAACACACAGGCAATGATGGAAACGGAGTCAAGTTTGGGCCGGGAAGCCACCTGCAGCTGGGCGGTGAGAGGCATGCTGCAGAGGAGCGGGGAGAGGGAGGGAGGGGCTGACCGTCACTGGCGGGGCAAGGAGGATCTCCAAGTTCCAGGGGAGCCTGAGGATTGGGCCCCCACCTTGGGTTCATGCCAGCTCCCTTCCCACGCGACATCCCGCCTTCTAGCCGGTGGCTGACATGTAAGGTTTCTGGTCTTTATTTTATTTATTTTTGTGGGACAGAGTCTTGCTCTGTCACCCAGGCTGGAGTGCAGCGGCGGGATCTCGGCTCACTGCAACCTCCACCTCCTGGGTTCAAGCAATTCTCCTGCCTCAGCCTCCAGAGTAGCTGGGATTACAGGCGCCCGCCACCACGCCGGGCTACTTTTTGTATTTTTAGTAGAGACGGGCTTTCGCCATGTTGGCCAGGCTGGTCTCAAACCCCTGGCTTCAGGTGATCTGCCCACCTCAGCCTCCCGAAGTGCAGGGATTACAGGTGTGAGCCACCGCACTGGGCCAGTTTCTGGTCCTTAAGTGACAACTTACCAAGAACCGCCCTGTGCCTCGTTGTCTCGGGAAACTCCCGGCAGGGGGGGAGGTCATTTTTGCAGGCACAGACCCCCACTCCAGCCCAGTCAGGGGGGCTTCTGGGCAGGACTCGGGGGGCTCCTAGAAGCATTCTCAGAGGCCGACTGGCCTCATGGGTCCTGGCTGGTGATCAGGCCACGGCGTGCTGTCCTCTTTTCTCTGCTGCTGTGGCTGCCTCCAGGGAGTTCAGGTTCCTGGAAGAGAATCCGATGCTGCTGGGTGCTGTGCACTGTGCTGCCTGCTGCCCACTCAGGCGTCCTGGGCAGAGCGCGTTCCCTGGCAGGTGCCCCTGGGGCAGGCTGTTGGCTGATTTGTTTACAGACTATTTTGATGACCGTGGCAGAAAGAGGGATTTCCTGACCGGGCATGGTGGCTCACGCCTGTAATCCCAATACTTTGGGAGGCCAAGGTGGGCAGATCATCTGAGGTCAGGAGTTCAAGACCAGCCTGGCCAATATGGTGAAATCCTGTCTCTACTAAAACTACAAAAATTTGCGGGGCATGGTGGTGCACACCTGTGATCCCAGCTACTCGGAAAGCTGAGGCAGGAGAATTGCTTAAACCTGGGAGGCGGAGGTTGCAGTGAGCCGAGACTACACCATTACACTCCAGCCTGGGGAACAAGAGCAAAACTCCATCTTGAAAAAAAAAGGAAAAAGAAAGAGGGATGTCCCCAGTCATCACTAAGCCTTGGAGGGAACAGTGAATTCACCTCCTTCGAGCGGGTTATTTTTTTTTTCATTAGAGACAGGATCTTGCTCTGTCGCCCAGGCTGGAATGCAGTGGTCATAGTTCACTGCAGCCTCAACCTCCTGGGCTCAACAGATCCTCTCACGTCAGCACCCCCAAAGTGCTGGGATTATAGGCGTGCACCACTGCACCTTGGTGGCCAGCACCTGTAGTCCCAGCTACTTGGGAGGCCAAGGTGGGAAGATCACTTGAGGCTGGGAGTTTGAGACCAGACCAGCCTGGGCAACATAGAGAAACTCCATCTCCACAAAAAATTTAAAAAGTAGTGAGGCTTGGTGGCACACACACTTGTAGTCTCAGCTACTTGGGGGGCTGTGGTGGGAGGATCTCTTGAGCCTGGGAGGTCGAGGCTGCAGTGAGCTATGATTGTGCCGCTGCACTCCAACCTAGGTGACAGGGTGAGACCCTGTCTCAAAAAAACAAAAAAACAACAACAAAAAATCCACAAAAACTAGGCATGATGGCTCATGCCTGTTAAATGCCTGTTAATCTCAGCACTTTGGGAAGCCGAGGCAGGTGGATCACCTCAGGTCAGGAGTTCGAGACCAGCCTGGCCAACATGGCAAAACCCCGTCTCTCCTAAAAATACAAAAAAAATTAGCAGGGTGTGATGATGGGTGCCTGTAATCCCAGCTACTTGGGAGGCTGAGGCAGGAGAACTGCTTGAACCTGGGAGGCAGAGGTTGCAGTGAGCCGAGATGGCGCCATTGCACTACAGCCTGGGCGACAGAGTGAGACTCTGTCTCAAAAATAAAAACAAAAATAAAATCTTTTTCTAGAGACAGGGTCTTCCTAGGTTGCCCAGACTGGCCTCAAATTCCCGGCCTCAAGCAGTCCTCCCGCCTCAGTCTCCCAAAGTGCTGTGATTACAAGTGTGAGCCACTGCACCTTGCCAAGGTGGGTTCTAAGAATCTGAAGTTCCCCAGGTCAGGATTGGAAGCCAGCACTTTCCAACATCACCTGCTTGTTTCTTCGAACTTGGTCAACCTGCAACCTCCCAGATATTTCCTCCTGCCTGAGCTTCCGCCCACTGGTCGGGTCAGATGAGAGAGGATGCGATGAGAGCAGACAAGGAAGGAAGAGAGAGAGTGTGAGGGGGATGTTCAGTGTGTCCACAGGAGAGGCAAGAACAGAATCAGAGGTCAAGCAGCTCCTGGAACCGCCCGCAGGACTAGGGATTCCCGCCCCCACCCCCCAACGCTTCCTTCTGTCACCCCATGGCCGTTCTGCTTCAGGGCGACTTTGTGAAGAATGTCCCGATGAACCACGGCGTGTACACGTGGCCGGACGGCAGCATGTATGAAGGCGAAGTGGTCAACGGCATGAGGAACGGATTCGGGATGTTCAAGTGCAGCACCCAGCCTGTGTCCTACATCGGCCACTGGTGCAATGGCAAGCGGCACGGGAAGGTGGGCGAGGTGGCCACGTGGAGGGCAGGTGGGGCAGGAGTGAAGGGGGTGGGCGGACATGGGGGGGGCAGCCATGAGGGGGCAAGGTCGGGGGGGTCGGGGGGGCAGAAAGGGGGTGGGGTGGCCATGTGGAGGGCAGGGGAGGGGCTGGGTGGCCACATGGAGGGAGAGAAGGGGGTAGGGGCTAGCGGCGCTGTCCAGGGCATATTCACTTTTTGTTTATTGAGGCGAAATTCACATCACATAAATTAACCATTTTATTAATTTTTTTTTTTTTGAGATGGAGTCTTGCTCTGTCGCCCAGGCGGGAGTGCAATGGTGCCATCTCAGCTCACTGCAACCTCTGCCTCCCGGGTTCAAGCAAATCTCCTGCCTCAGCCTCCCAGGTTGCTGGGACTACAGGTGTGCACCACCACGCCCAGCTAATTTTTGTATTTTTAGTAGAGATGGGGTTTCGCCATGTTGGCCAGGGTGGTCTTGAACTCCTGATCCCAAGTGATCCACCCACCTCAGCCTCCCAAAGTGCTGGGATTACAGGCGTGAGCCACACTGTGCCTGGCCGTATGCATGCTTTAATAGGCTATTTATTGAGTTGTGTTGTTGTTGTTGTGTGTGTGTGTGTGTGTGTGTGTGTGTGTTTTACAGCAGATTGCTTGAGACATATTGGAGGGATTGGGGGTGGTGACTTCTAGACAGCAGCATCTGCATGGCTGCAAGAAGGAATGAGTTTGCCTGATCATGAGAAAGAAGATAGAAAAATTCTCTCTCACACACACAGATAAACCTGTGAAAAAGCCTTTTGAGGCTTTTCTATGTAGATCAAACAAAGGGTACTCTATGCTCACTTATACTCGGAGGCGGTAAAATGAGTAGCATGTCCAAATGGGTAAAACAACAGTGGATCTGGTGCCTAAGAGAGAGTGACCTTCCGTTACATGGAAGGCGCAACTGTTCACTCCAGGTGGCAACAGACAGGATTTCTCTAGGTACTTAATTGACTAATAGTTACTGGATAGAATGAATATACTCGAATATGATGAATACAGTCATTCTGTGCCTTAATGTGATACTTTTTATTTTATTTTATTTTGAGATGGAGTCTTGCTCTGTTGCCCAGGCTGGAGTGCAGTGGCACGATCTGGGCTCACTGCAACCTCTGCCTCCCAGGTTCAAGCGATTATCCTGCCTCAGCCTCCCAAGTAGCTGGGATTACAGGCACGCTCCACCACTCCTAGCTAATTTTTGTGTTTTTAGTAGAGACGGGGTTTCACCGTGTTGGCCAGGCTGGTCTTGAACTCATGACCTTGTGATCCGCCCACCTCGGCCTCCCAAAGTGCTGGGATTACAGACGTGAGCCACCGTGCCTGGCCAATATGGCACTTTATTAAGGAGCAATTGATTTGTGACATTATCTCATTTCCCTTTGTGCAGCAGTTTTACCATTTTCTTGATAGCAAAACAGAAAAATAGCAGTTTACATGTCTTGCCTATGTATGACATTGACCTCTGTGTAGGTTCTACTTTTCAAGTTAATATCCTTACATTTGACAAAGCATTTGTGTCATGAGGCTTGATAGTTTTAAAGATGACATTATTTGTTTCAGGGCTCCATTTATTACAATCAAGAGGGTACGTGTTGGTACGAGGGAGACTGGGTACAAAACATCAAAAAGGGCTGGGGAATAAGATGGTAGGTATGACCACTGCCGCGCTTGGGGTGTAGATGAAGAAGGGTTTGTGGGCCCAATAGCGTTCACCTCGGATATTTAAAAGTAAGATGCAAAAGTTGCATGGAACATTTTCTCTCTAAGCAGAGTGGATTTTTTCTCTTTTCTTTGAGACGGAGTCTTGTTCTGTCACCCAGGCTGGAGTGCAGTGGTGCCATCTCAGCTCACTTCAACCTCTGCCTTCTGGGTTCAAGCAATTCTCCTGCCATGATCACACCACTGCTCTCCAGCCTTGGTGACACAGTGAGATCTCATCTCAAAAACTGGCCAAATATTCACTAATCATGATACAATAGGGAATTATTAAAAAATTTTAAAAACCCGGCTCTTACCCACTTTGTCCCCTTATTAAATAGTCAGAAGATTTAATAAAGTGACTCATTCTGCTCCCTTAGGACCATGAGCCTATCCATTGATTTTTTAAAAATTTTATTTATTTATTTTTTAGACAGTCTCGCTCTGTTGCCCAGGCTAGAGTGCAGTGGCATGATCTCGGCTCATTGCAACCTGCACCTTCTGAGTTCAAGTGATTCTCCTGCCTCAGCCTCCTGAATAGCTGGGATTACAGGTGCCTGCCACCATGTCCGGCTAATTTTTGCATTTTTTTTTTTCTTTTGAGATGGAGTTTTGCCTCCCAAGTAGCTGGGCTAATTTTTTATTTTTAGTAGAGATGGAGTTTCTCCATGTTGGTCAGGCTGGTCTCAAACTCCCAACCTCAGGTGATCCTCCAGCCTCGGCCTCCCAAAGTGCTGGGATTACAGGCGTGAGCCACCACGCCTGGCCTGAATTTAAATACAGAGAAGATTGTATAAGTACAAGGGGTGGATTTCTTCAAAGGAGCTCAAGGGGAGTGTTTAAAAGAATGTCTTAAAGGTAAATGTTGTGTAGGAGGTAACTGATTGTTTTTCTTTGGTTTCTTTCATCCTAGTTATAAATCTGGAAATATATACGAAGGCCAGTGGGAAGACAACATGCGCCACGGGGAGGGGAGGATGAGGTGGCTGACCACCAACGAAGAGTACACCGGGCGGTGGGAGAGGGGCATCCAGGTACGCCCGGGCGGGGTAGCAGCTTATACCCAGAGGCGGATGCTCCGCCGATTCTCAACACATGTATATTTCTTTTTGGGTTTTGTTTTTGTTTTTGTTTTGAGACAGAGTCTCTCTCTGTCTGTCTCCCAGGCTGGAGTGCACTGGCGCAATCTTGGCTCACTGCAGCCTCCACCTCCCGGGTTCAAGCAATTCTCCTGCCTCAGCCTCTGGAGTAGCTGAGATTACAGGTACCCACCACCACCACGGCCGGGCTAATTGTTTTTTTTGTATTTTTAGTAGAGACGGGGTTTCACCATGTTGGCCAGGTTGGTTTCGAACTCCGGACCTCAAGTGATCCGCGCGCCTCAGCCTCCTAAAGTGCTGCGATTACAGGCGTGAGCCACCACACCCAGCCTGTTTGTTTGTTTTTAGAGACAGAGTCTTGCTCTGTTGCCCAGGCTGGAGTGCGGTGGCAGGATCTCAGCTCACTGCAGCCTCCACCTCCTGGGTTCAAGCAATTCTCCTGCCTCAGCCTCTGGAGTAGCTGAGATTACAGGCACCCACCACCATGGCCCGGCTAATTTTTTTTTTTTTTTGTATTTTCAGTAGAGACGGGGTTTCACCATGTTGGCCAGACTGGTTTCGAACTCCTGACCTCAAGTGATCCACCTGCCTCGGCTTCCCAGAGTGCTAGGATTACAGGCGTAAGCCACAGCGCCCAGCGTGTTCGTTTGTTTTTAGAGACAGAGTCTTGCTCTGTTGCCCAGGCTGGACTGCAGTTGTGCAATCAGGGCTCTCTACCTCCTTGGCTCAAGCGATCCTCCCACCTCAGCCTCCCCTGTAGCTGAGACTACAGAGGTGCCCACTGCCACCATGCCTGGCTAACTAAAAAAATAATTTTTTTTTTTTTAGAAACGAGGTCTCACTTTATCACACAGGCTGGTCTTGAACTCTGAGGCTCAAGTGATCCTTCCATCTCTGCCTCTCAAAGCGTTGGGATTACAGGCATGAGGCACAGCACCCAGCCCAACTGGTATCTTTAAAAAATAAAAATTTAGGCTGGGCTCAGTGGCTCACACGTGTAATCCCAGCACTTTGGGAGACCACCTGAGGATTGAGGCCAGGAGTTTGAGACCAGCCTGGGTGATATGGTGAAACCCCATCTCTACTAAAAATATAAAAATTAGCCGGGAGTGGTCTCTGGTGCCTGTAGTCCTGGCTACTTGGGAGGCTGAGGATCACTTGAGTCTTGGAGGTTGAGGCTGCAGTGAGCCAAGATTGTGCCATACTCTAGCCTGGGTAACAGAGTGAGACCCTTTCTCAAAAAATAAAAATATATAAAAGCAAATAAACCCCAACATTTAAAATAACAATGAAAATCTTCACGATCAAGCCAGGCACTTTATGTACACTTATCTTCACTTTTTAGTAGAGATGGGGTTTCAACATGTTGGCCAGGCTGGTTTCAAACTGCTTTATATCTAACCTGAGGGGTAGGTGTCATTTCTGTTTTACAGACGAGGAACTTAGAGGGCTTAAGTGATCTGCCTTATTTCAAAAGACTCCTTAGTAAGTAGCTGAGCTGAAATTGAACCCAAGTCTGTGTGACTCCAGAGTCCAAGTTCTTTGCCCTTTCCAGTTTTCATTGTATTTATCCTAATTTTAAGGGGATCCGGGTAAAGAGAGAAACTGCTTTGTGCATTTCTGATGGCAGTGTGCTTTCTTTTCAGAATGGCTTTGGAACACACACATGGTTTCTAAAGAGAATCCGCAGTTCCCAGTATCCTTTGAGAAATGAATACATAGGGGAGTTTGTAAATGGATATCGTCACGGACGTGGCAAGTTTTATTATGCCAGTGGAGCCATGTATGATGGAGAATGGGTTTCCAATAAGAAACATGGCATGGTGAGTATAGACCTGGGAGGATCACATTTCAAACAATTATGTAAAGCCATTGAAATTATGTAAAGCAATTGAAATGTCCAAGGATAATTGCAGATTTGTCTATTCTGCTTTCAGATCTATCAGTTTTGATTCAAATATTTGAAGCTTTGTTAGGTGCATATACATTGAGGATTATTCTGTATTGGTGCATTGGCTCTTTTGATCATCACGTAATGTTCCTCATTAACCCTGCTACTTTTCTTTTTTTTTTTTTTTTGAGATGCAGTCTTGCTCTGTTGTCCAGGTTGGAGTACAGTGGCATGATCTCAGCTCACTACAACCTCTGCTTCCCGGGTTCAAGTGATTCTCCTGTCTCAGCCTCATGAGTAGCTGGGATTACAGGCGTCGGCTACCATGCCTGGCTAATTTTTGTATTTTTAGTAGAGACAGGGTTTCGTCATGTTGGCCAGGCTGGTCTCGAACTCCTGACCTCAGGTGATCCACCCTCCTTGGCCTCCCAGAGTGCTGGGATTACAGGCGTGAGCCACCACGCCTGGCCAACCCTGGTAATTTTCATTTCTCTGAAGTCTATTTTGTCTGATGTAAATATAGGCGCTCTAGATTTCTTTTTAATTTTAATTGTGGTAGAGTACACATGAGATTTCCCATCTTAACCATTTCTGAGTGCACAGTCCAGTGGCATTAAGCACATGCGCATTGTTGCGCAACCATCACCATCCATCTACAGAACTCTTTTTGACAAAAGGCATGTCATTCTCGATTAAATTACATTATCTGTTTTGTATAGGATGACTTACTGTTTTGCTAAGGTGATTACATGACTTTTTTTTTCTTTTTTTTGAGACAGAGTTTCGCTCTGTTGCCCAGGCTGGAGTGCAGTGGCATGATCTCAGCTCGCTGCAACCTCTGCCTCCCGGGCACAAGTGATTCTTGTGCCTCAGCCACTAGAGTAGCTGGGATTACAGGTGTGCGCCACCACGCCCGGCTCTTTTTTTTTTTTTTTTTTTTTTTTAGTAGTTACAGGGGTTTTGCCGTGTTTGCCAAGCTGGCCTCCTGGTCTCAAGTGATCCTCCCACCCAAAGTGCTGGGATTACAGGCATGAGCCACTATGCTTGCCAAAATAGTTTCAATGGTCATTGATTTCCTATATATTTAGTGGTTATTTAATCAGTGTTTGGTGTGTGTGTACGTGTGTGTGTGTGTATGAGGATGGTTTTGGTTTGCAAGTAACAGAGAATCTAGTGTCGTCTGCCATGTGAAATACAGAATAATGGTTTGATTCAGCAACTCAGAGCTGTCAGGATTTCTCCTCCATCTATCCACGATATCTCCCACCATGTCACTTTCACCCTTGTGTTTTTTCCTCCCTCATGATTGCAAGACAGCTGCTGTGGTTCCAGCCTTCACATCCACATACCATGCTAACTAGAAGAAAAGGAGGAACTTTTTACAGAAGCTCTCTAAAAAGGTCTTTCATTTCACAGAGCCAAATTGGGTCATTTGCCCACTTCTGAATCAGTAACTGACTATTGGCCTGGGTTTGACAAATCTCAGGGAGTCTTGGCCAGGCTTAGTGGCTCAGGCCTGTAATCCCAGCACTTTGGAAGGCCGAGGTGGGCAGAACACTTGAGGTCAGGAATTCGAGACCAGCTTGGCCAACATGATGAAACCCCGTCTCTACTAAAAATACAAAAATTAGCTGGGTGTGGTGGTGCACGCATGTAATCCCAGCCACTCGGGAGGCTGAGGAAGGAGAATTGCTTGAACCCAGGAGGCGGAGGTTGCAGTGAGTTAAGACTGTGCTACTGCACTCCAGCCTGAGTGACAGCGAGGCTCCACCTCAAAAAAAAAAAAAATTGTGGGGCACGATGGCTCACGCCTGTAATCCCAACACTTTTGGAGGCTGAGGCGGATGGATCACGAGGTCAGGAGATCGAGACCATCCTGGCTAACATGGTGAAACCCTGTCTCTACTAAAAATACAAAAAATTAGCTGGGTGTGGTGGCGGGCGCCTGTAGTCCCAGCTACTCAGGAGGCTGAGGCAGGAGAATGGTGTGAACCCAGGAGGCAGAACTTGCGGTGAGCCGAGATCGTGCCACTGCACTCCAGCCTGGGCACAGAGCGAGACTCCGTCTCAAAAAAAAAATCAGGGAGTCTGTATTGTGTGATGGGCGTTCTGCTGGTCACTAGCGTAGTTTAATAAGACACATTCTGTGGCCATAGGTGCTTAAAGTTGGAGAAAGATTGTTGGGGAGAGAGAGAGGGGAGGGGGAGGAATAGGAAAAGGAGGACGAGAGAGAGGACTTATACAGTGCATGAGACCCAGGAGCCTGATTATGTGTAGAGTAAGTGCATATTTTCAAAACGAAAAGCTCCACACCCTTGAAAAAACTATTGATGTACATTTACCCATGTTTTTCTTTCCTTTTTTTTTTTTTTTGAGATGGAGTCTCGCTCTGTCACCTAGGCTGGAGTGCAGTGGCACGATCTTGGCTCACTGCAACCTCTGCCTCCCAGGTTCAAGCGATTCTCCTGCCTCAGCCTCCCGAGTAACTGGGATTACATGTGCCTGCCACCAGGCCCGGCTAATTTTTGTATTTTTAGTAGCGATGGGGTTTCACCATGTTGGCCAGTCTGATCTCGAACTCCTGACCTTGTGATCTGCCCGCCTCAGCCTTCCAGAGTGCTGGGATTACAGGCATGAGTCACCGCCCCCAGCCTTACCAGTGTTTTTCTAAGAAATCTTTTCCTAAACTGTAAAAAGTTTTTCTGTCTGCAGGGCCGATTAACTTTCAAGAACGGGCGTGTGTACGAAGGCGCATTCTCCAATGACCACATAGCTGGGTTTCCGGATCTTGAAGTTGAATTCATCAGCTGCCTGGACCTGTCTTCAGGAGTTGCCCCAAGACTGTCCAGGAGCGCCGGTAGGAAGCATTCACCTGTTGAAATAAAATTCATTGGCCGGGCGTGGTGGCTCATGCCTGTAATCCCAGCGCTTTGGGAGGCCGAGGCCGGCGGATCACGAGGTCAGCAGTGCGAGACCAGCCTGGCCAACATGGTGAAACCCCGTCTCAATTAAAAATAAAAAAAAATTAGCCAGGCGTGGTGGCAGGCGCCTGTAATCGCAGCTACTCAGGAGGCTGAGGCAGGAGAATCGCTTGAACCCGGGAGGCAGAGATTGCAGTGAGCCCAGACTGCACCATTGCACTCCAGCCTGGGCCACAGAGAAAGACTCCGTCTGGTAAATAAATAAAATGGAAAAAAAAAAAGAAATAAAATTCATCTGTTTTTATCCATGGTGTTCACTCATGAAAATACACCGAACACTTCAGGAAACAGAAGTCCTCTGTGAGCAACTCCTTTTTTAAAAAAAAATTTTAGACAAAATCTCGCTCTATCACCCAGGATGGAGCAGGATACGATCACTGTTCACTGTGGCCTCAAACTCCTGGGCTCCAGTGATCCTCCCACCTCAGCCTTCCCCATAGCTGGGAATACAGGCACACACCACCAAGCCTAGCTAATTTTTTTTTTCTTTTTGAGACGGAGTCTCACTCTGTCGCCCAGCCTGGAGTGCAGCAGTGTAATCTTGGCTCACTGCAATCTCCGCCTCCCGGGTTCAAGAGATTCTGCTGCCTCAGCCTCCTGAGTAGCTGGGATTATAGGCGTGTGCCACCATGCTTAGCTAATTTTTGTATTTTTTGTAGAGACGGGGTTTTACCATGTTGCTCAGGTTGGTCTCTAACTCCTGACCTCGTGATCCACCCACCTTGGCCTCCCAAAGTGCTGGGATTACAGGTGTGAGCCAGCACACCTGGCCAGGCTTAGCTAATTTTTAAACTTTTTGTAGAGGCAGGGTCTCACTATGTTGCCCAGGCTGATTCAAACTCCTGTCCTCACACAATCCTCCTGCCTCGGCCTCCCAAAGTGCTGAGATTACAGCTGCAAGCCATTGTGCCTAGCTGGCAACTGCTTTTAAAAAATGTTTTTTTTAGAGACAGGATCTCACTCTGTTGCCCAGGTTGGAGTGCAGTGGCGTGATCATAGCTCACTGCAGCCTTAACCTCTCATTTTGGCTTCCCAAAGTGCTGGGATTAAAGGCATGAGCCACTGTGCCCAGCCTGTGTTCTTAGTAGGTTTTTGGAATATTCTTGTATCCCATTTTGGTGGAAAATCTTTGTGACATAATACTGAGAAATTTGAACATTGCTTTTCATAATTATCTCCAAGGATGGGTGTGGTGGCCCATGCCTGTGATCCCAGCACTTTGGGAGGCCAAGGCAGGCGGATCAGTTGAGCTCAGGAGTTCGAGACCAGCCTGGGCAACATGGTGAAACCCTGTGTCTACAAAAAAATACAAAAATTAGCTGGCCGTTGTGGTGTACTTCTGTAGTCCCAGCTACTCGGGAGGGTGAGGTGGGAGGATGGCTTGAGCCTGGGAGGCAGAGGTTGCAGTGAACTGAGATCATGCCACTGCACTCCAGCTTGGGCGACAGAGTGAGGCCCTGTCTCAAAAAAAAAAAAAAAACAAACCCCACCAAACAAACCGTACTTATCCCCTGTGTTTGCCTTCATTCATTAGAACTGATCAGAAAGCTTGATGGCAGTGAAAGTCATTCTGTGTTGGGATCGAGCATTGAGCTGGATCTAAATTTGCTCCTGGACATGTACCCTGAGACAGTCCAACCTGAAGAAAAGAAGCAGGTAAAATCTTTTTGATTGGTATGAGTTGCATCCTGGGAAAATATAGCTGGTGACTGCTGTCACGTGTTGAATGTCTTCTTTTTTGTTTTGTTTTTTGAGACCGAGTTTTGCTCTGTCGCCCAGGCTGGAGTGCTGTGGCGCAGTCTTGGCTCACTGCAACCTCTGCCTCCCGGGTTCAAGCCTCCCCCACCTCAGCCTCCCCAGTAGCTGGGATTACAGGTGTGGGCCACTACGCCCGGCTATTTTTTTGTATTTTAGTTGAGACGGGGTTTCACCATATTGGCCTGGCTGGTCTGGAACTCCTGACCTCAGGTGATTGGCCCACCTCGGCCTCCCAAAATACTGGGATTATGGGTGTGAGCCACCACACCCGGCCTAGAACAATGCTTTAGATTGTATGTGTTTATTCAGTTGAATTGCGTTTTCAAAAGCAGGAATGAATGCTCAGCGTAACAAATGCCTGAAGCCGCCCAGGTAGGGCTCTGTCTCCCTTAGGACCCTGCATCCTGTTCTTCGCATTCTCTGAATGTCTCATTATGAGGGTAGGGCATGGGGTGAGTGGTTCTGGAGAACAGGACGCTGTGTAGAGGGCAGGGCTGCATGTGTGGGGAATCTGGGGCAGCTTAAGGGCGTCAAGGTCTGGGGAAAAATCCTAAAAGGTGAAGTGTGACAGAGGGAGGTGAGTAAAGCAACCACCGTGAATATTGCTCCTTTTTTTTTTTTTTGAGACGGAGTCCCTTTTGTCGCCCGGGCTGGAGTGCAATGGCATGATCTCAGCTCACTGCAACCTCCGCCTCCCGCGTTCAAGGGATTCTCCTGCCTCAGCCTCCTGAGTAGCTGGGATTACAGGCATGCACCACCACCCCCAGCTATATTTTGTATTTTTAGTAGAGATGGAGTTTCACTGTGTTGCCCAGGCTGGTCTCGAACTCCTGACCTCAGGTGATCCTTCCACCTCAGCCTCCCAAAGTGCTGGGATTACAGGCATGAGCCACTGCACCTGGCGGAATATTGCTTCTTTCAGACTTTCAGCCCTATGTGTGGTGTGAGTTGCATGTGTTTTGTACATGCTGTTTATCAGGTTGAGGGATTCCTTTCTATTCCTAATTTGCTGAGGGTGCTTTTCATGAATGGATGTGAAATTCTGTGAAACGCTTCAGTTGTTAGAATCATTTGGTTCTTCCTCAGTCTGTGAATTACATTGATTGATTTTTCAAATGTTAACCCAGCTTTGCAATTCTAGGAGAAACCCTACTTGGTGCTGCTATATTATCTTTTTTTTTGTTTTTTTTTTTTTCTTGTTGAGATAGGGTCTTAGGGTCTTGCTCCGTCACCTTGGCTGGAGTGAAGTGGTGCGATCTCAGCTCACTGCAGTCTTGACCTTCTGGGCTTAAGCAATCCTCCCGCCTCAGCTTCCTGAGTAGCTGGGACTATACGGGCACTTGCTACTGTGTCTGGTTCTTTTTTTCTTTTTTTGAGAGGGAGTCTTGCTCTGTCGCCCAGGCTGGAGTGCAGTAGCACGATCTCTGCTCACTGCAAGCTCCACCTCCCGGGTTCACGCCATTCTCCTGCCTCAGCCTCCCGAGTAGCTGGGTCTACACCACGCCCGGCTAATTTTTTGTATTTTTAGTAGAGACAGGGTTTCACCGTGTTAGCCAGGATGGTCTCGATCTCCTGATCTTGTGATCCGCCTGCCTTGATCTCCTGAAGTGCTGGGATTACAGGCTTGAGCCACCACGCCCGGCCAGTTAATTTCTTTAATTTTTAATTTTCAGTTGAGACACAGTCTTACTATGTTGCACAGGCTGGTCTCGAGTTCCCAGGCTCAAGCGATCCTCCCGCCTCGGCCTCACAAAGTGCTGGGATGACAGGCATGAGCCACCATGCATGGCTACTATTCTTTTTATATATTGCTGGATTCAACTTATTTTGTTGAGGATTTTTGCACATTTGTTGATGAAGGATAAGGATCTGCAGACAATAGAATTTTGTTGCCGCCACTGAGAGGGGAAGCCAGCCCATTGCCATGTGAAAGGAAGTCTACTTTCCAGATAACTTGTTTTGTTTTGTTTTTACTGTTGGTCGGAGATGGCATTTTATTGACCAAGGGGGGTGGGTGGAAAGAATAAAATGCTTCTTGGCCAGGTGCCGTGGCTGACGCCTGTCATCGTAACACTATGGGAGGCCGAGGCAGGCGGATCACCTGAGGTCAGGAGTTCAAGACCAGACTGGCCAATATGGTGAAACCCCATCTCTACCAAAAATACAAAAATTAGCCGGGCATGGTGGTGGGCACCTGTTATCACAGCTACTCTGGAGGCTGAGGCATGAGAATCACCTGAACCCAGGAGGCAGAGGTTGCATTGAGCCAAGATCGTGCCACTGCACTGCAGCCTGGGTGACAGAGCAAGACTCCATCTCAAAACAAAACAAACAAACACTTCTTAAGTTCTTACAGTGGAAAGAGCTAAATGCCATTACTTTACTTGTATTATCGCATTTAATGTAGGACACAGGTGTTGTGTCTTTTGTTCTTTTTAAAATATTTAAATTTTCTTTCTTTATTTTGAGGCAAGGTCTCACTCTTGACGCCCAGGCTGGAATGCAGTGACATGATCTCGGCTCACTGCAACCTCCTCCCAGGTTCAAGCAATTCTGCCTCAGCCTCCTGAGTAGCTGGGGTTACAGGCATGTGCCACCACGGCCGGCTAATTTTGTATTTTTAGTAGAGATGGGGTTTCACCATGTTGGCCAGGCTGGTCTGGAACTCCTGACCTCAGGTGATCTGCCTGCCTCGGCCTCCCAAAGTGCTGGGATTACAGGCGTGAGCCACCACGCCCGGCTGTCTTTTGTTCTTAATCCACGTATGACTTTCTTCCTTTCAGGTGGAATATGCCGTCTTAAGAAATATTACAGAATTAAGAAGAATTTACAGCTTTTACAGCAGCCTGGGATGCGGCCACTCTCTGGATAATACCTTTCTGATGACAAAGCTTCACTTCTGGAGATTTCTAAAAGATTGCAAATTTCATCACCACAAACTAACTCTTGCTGATATGGACAGGATATTAAGTGGTGAGTGTTCCAGATCCTTCACATCTTTTGGTTTAAAGCAGAGGACCAGGCCGGGCACAGTGGCTCATGCCTGTACTTCCAGCACTTTGGGAGGCCGAGGCAGGCGGATCACGAGGTCAGGAGTTCAAGACCAGCCTGACCAACATGGTGAAACCCCGTCTCTACTAAAAGATACAAAAAATTAGCCAGGCGTGGTGGTGCATGCCTATAATCCCAGCCACTTGGGAGGCTGAGGCAGGAGAATCGCTTGGACCCAGGAGGCGGAGGTTGCAGTGAGCCAAGATTGTGCCATTGCACTCCAGCCTGGGTGACAGGGCGAGACTCCATCACACACACACACACACACACACACACACACACACACACACACACACACACACAAAAGGCAGGGGTCCCCAACCCCCAGGCCAGGGAGCAGTACTGGTCCATGGCCCGTTAGGAAACAGGCTACACAGTGGAAGGTGAGCAGTGGACAAGCAAGTGAACTTTCATCTGTTTTTTTGTTTTGTTTTGTTTTGTTTTTTTTGAGACAGAGTTTCACTCTTGTTGCCCAGGCTGGAGTGCAGTGGCACGATCTCGGCTCACCGCAACCTCTGTCTCCTGGGTTCAAGTGACTCTCCTGCCTCAACCTCCTGAGTAGCCGGGATTACAGGCATGTGCCACCATGCCCAGCTAATTTTTGTATTTTTTAGTAGAGATGGGGTTTTTCCATGTTGGTTAGGCGTGTCTCGAACTCCCGACCTCAGATGATCTGCCCGCCTTGGCCTCCCAAAGTGCTGGGATTACAGGCATGAGCCACCGCACCCAGCCTACCTTCATCTGTTTTTACAGCCATTCCCCATCGCTGGCATTCCCGCCTGAGCTCCGCCTCCTGCAGATCAGCAGGGCATTAGATTCTCATAGGAGCGCAAATCCTACTGTGAGCTGAGCATGGGAGGGATGTAGGTTGCACGCTCCTTAGGAGAATGGAATGCCTGATGATCTGTCACTGTCTCCCATCACCCCCAGATGGGACTGTCTAGTTGTAGGAAAACAAGCTTAGGGCTCCCACTGATTCTACCTGATGGCGAGTTGTAGAATTGTTTCATTATGTATTACAGTGTCATAATAATAGAAATAAGGCGTGCAGTAATTCGAATGTGCTTGAATCATCCTGAAACCAACAGCCCCCCACCGCTTTCCACCATTCATGGAAAAACTGTCTTCTACAAAATCGGTCCCTGGTGCCAAAAAGGTTGGGGACCTCTGGTTTCAAGGACAGTATCACAGTGTCACCTGGAAAGCAGTTAGGAAATGTGGAGGGAGCTGGGAAGGCCCAGGTTGGGAGACGAGTGTTCCAGAAATCAGCGCGTGGTCATTTCCCCCGTGATTACGAGGTACTTGATAAAGAGACAGTCTCGTGACGTAACAGCAACAGCACGAGGTCACCTACAAAAGCAGGGCCAGCAATGCACGGTCTCAGGGTGAAATCCAGTCCACCCCCGTTCCCCTAAATCATGCTTTACTGGAACACAGACATGCCCGTTTGCTTACGTGTTCGTGACTGCTTTACCCCGAAGCACCACAGCTGAGGGATTGTGATGTAGACGGTCTGGTCCACCAAGCCTAAAATATTTACTCTCTGGCCCTTTACAGAAAGTTTGCCTCCCTCTCTCCCCCTGACCAGCGATCTATAGTAAAAGAGCACTAAATTGTCAGGTCAGAAATGGGGAGATGGCCAGGCCTCGTGGTTTACGCCTGTAATCCCAGCACTTTGGAAGGCCGAGGCGGGTGGATCACTTGAGTCCAGGAGTTTGAGACCCGCCTGGCCAATATGGTGAAACTCCGTCTCTACTAAAAATACAAAAATTAGCCAGGTATGGTGGTACATGCCTGTATTCCCAGCTACTTATTGGGAGGCTGAGACAGGAGTAGAATCGTTTGAGCCTAGGAGGTGGAGGTTGCAGTGAGCCGAGATTTCCAGCCTGGGTGACAGAGTGAGACTCTGTCTCTAAAAAAAATGCGGTGGCTCACACCTGTAATCAGCACTTTGGGAGGCCGAAGTGGGCAGATCATGAGGTCAGGAGTTCAAGACCATCCTGGCTAACATGGTGAAACCCCGTCTCTACTAAAAATACAAAAAATTAGCTGGGTGTGGTGGTACGTGCCTGTAGTCCCAGCTACTCGGGAGGCTGAGGCAGAAGAATCGCTTGAACTCGCGAGGCGGAGGTTGCAGTGAGCCGAGATTGTGCCACTGCACTCCAGCCTGGGCAACAGAGTGAGACTCTGTCTCAAAAGAAAAAAAAAAAAACAAAACAGGGAGAATCAGCAATGGCTTGGAAGAGTCTAGAAAAGGCCCTAAGTAGTCTTAGGATTGGTCTTGATTTCAAATTAGGAAGTTGATGTCATCAATTTAACAACTTTGGAAGTTTAACTTCTTTCAGCCAAATCCTGGCAGGCAGAGCTGCAAGCTTCTAATTATCCGCTTGAAAAATGAAGTATTAGAGCAAATGCCTATTTACGTCAAAGTTTAGTGTTTGAAACATACTTAAAATCCATTTAGAATTAGCAGCATTCATCAGATTGTGTCTCAGACTATTCTGGAAAACAGTGGGACAAGATTGACATCTTTTTTTTTTTTTTTGAGATGAAGTCTCGCTCTGTTGCCCAGGCTGGAGTGCAGTGGCTCAATCTCGGCTCACTGCAGCCTCCACCTCCCGGGTTCCAGCGATTCTCCTGCCTCAGTCTCCCAAGCAGCTGAGATTACAGGTGCCCGCCACCACACCTGGCTAATTTTTTGTATTTTTGGTAGAGACAGGGTTTCGCCATGTTGCCCAGGCTGGTCTCAAACTCCTGACCTCAGGCAGTTTGCTGCTGCAGCCTCCCAAAGTGCTGGGATTACAGGCGTGAGCCACCGTGCCTGGCTTTCACGGAGTTTTAAATTTTTGGTTGGACGCTTATACACATGTTCAGAGCATTTTGAAATAAGCGCATATATTCAGTTCTTCGAATTGTATACCAGGCGCAAATAAAATGGAAGGTTCTAGCAAATGTCAGGCATCCTCTCCAATTTTCTTATTTTAGCCAATAATGACATACCAGTTGAAGAAATCCATTCTCCATTTACAACAATACTTTTGAGAACATTTTTGAATTACCTCCTGCATTTGGCGTACCACATTTATCATGAAGAATTCCAGTAAGTACTATTTCTGGACCCTTGTTGGGGGATGGGGCACAGCTAAGCTGTATTATTGTCATAATGCCCTCTTTTCTTCAGCAGTCATTTTTATTTTTTTGGAGATGGAGTCTTGCTCTGTCGCCCAGGCTGGAGTGCAGTGGCACAATCTTGGCTTACTGCAACCTCTGCCTCCCCGGTTCAAGCAATTCTTCTGCCTCGGGCTCCTGGGTAGCTGAGATGACAGGCATGTGCCACCATGCCTGGCTAATTTTTTTTTTTTTTTTTTTTGTATTTTTAGTAGAGACGGGGTTTCACCATGTTGGCCAGGCTGGTTTCAAACTCCTGACCTCAGGTGATCCACCTGCCTCAGCCTCTCAAAGTTCTGGGATTACAGGCGTGAGCCACCATGCCCAGCCTCAGCAGTCTTTTTTTAACATACTCTTGAAATGAAGGACTCAGAACACAACCTTTCCACAAATATTAACCACAAAGCCATGACATACTGGATCAAAACTTTGAAAGCCCTTCATATCTGGTCAGTTCAATACTGCAAATATCTCTCGGGGTTTCTAATGCAGAAACAAATAGTCACAACCAAGTCTTCTTTCTTACATCAGAATTTCTTGTCTTTCTTACAGCAAAAGTGGTTTTATATCTTTTTTTAAAAAAACTTTTATTTACATATTTATTTTTTTGAGATGGAATCTCGCTCTGTCACCCAGGCTGGAGTGCAGTGGCGCGATCTCGGCTCACTGCAACCTCCACCTCCCAGGTTCCAGTGATTCTCCTGCCTCAGCCTCCCAAGTAGCTGGGATTACCGGTGTCTGCCACCAAGCCCAGCTAATTTTTTGTATTTTTAGTGGAGATGGGGTTTCACCATGTTGGCCAGGCTGGTCTTAAACTCCTGACCTCGAGTGATCCGCCCACCTTGGCCTCCCAAAATGCTGGGATTATAGGTTTGAGCCACTGACTTTGCCTTCCCTTTCTATACTCTATACATTAGAAGCAAATTATTAAGTCTAGCCCGTGCTCAAGGAGAAGGGAATTATGTTCCCTCTTTTGGAGGAGAAGTAACTATGGTATCTTTTGATGATTATCACAGAAAGAGAAGCCCATCCCTCTTCTTGTGTTTTACAAAACTGATGACCGAGAACATTCGTCCAAATGCCTGCCAGATAAAAGGTAAATACAAAACCAATAGGATTCTATTTACCGCCCCATTTTTTTTTCTCAAAATATAAATCTGGGCTGGGCGCAGTGGCTCACTCCTGCAATCCCAGCACTTTGGGAGGCCGAGGCAGGAGGATCACCTGAGGTCAAGGAGTTCAAGACCAACCTGGCCAACATGGCAAAACCCCATCTCTACTAGAAATACAAAAAAATTAGCCAGGTATGGTGGTGCATGCCTGTAATCCTAGCTACTCGGGAGGCTGAGGCAGGAGAATCGCTTGAGCCTGGGGGGCGGAGGTTGCAGCGAGCCAAGATGGTGCCACTGCACTCTAGCCTGGGTGACATCAAGACTCTGTCTCGGAAAAAAACAAAAGCAATAGGATTATATTTACTGCTATTTTTTTTCTCAAAACATAAATCTGTAATCATTTTTCGAACGTTGTATTTTTAGGCAATTTATTCCGTGAGCAACAGCGGACGCTCTACTCTATGAGTTACATGAATAAGTGCTGGGAGATTTATCTCGCTTACTGCAGACCCAGTGCAGCGCCTCCCCACGAGCCTACGATGAAGATGAGACACTTCCTCTGGATGCTGAAAGTAACCACCTAAGTTCGATATTGGCTTTCTATTTACAGGCACTTTGATTTTAATTAAAGAAAGGCAGGATATTCCAGCTGTGATATGCAAATTATCAGGTGAAGATCTGGGCTGGGTTTTCAGGACCATTAAATGTTTACTGAGTCTCTTGGCAGAACAGTGGTCTGTGGTCGTGGAAGGAACAGAAACAGCTGTCACCTGCCCAATATGCTAACAGATTAGGGCAAGACAATGGTCCATGGCCTATAACAATGGCCCATGGCATGCGTATATATATATATTGCAATCCCAGCACTTTGAGAGGCCGAGGCGGGCGGATCACCTGAGGTCAAGGAGTTCAAGACCAGCATGGACATATATATTTATATATGCCATGGGCCATTGTCTTAAAAAATATATATATATATAAATATATATATAATAAATATATATATTTTTTTAATTTTATTTTTTTGAGACGGAGTTTTGCTCTTGTCACTCAGGCTGGAGTGCAATGAAGTGATCTTGGCTCACTGCAACCTCCACCTCCTGGGTTCAAGCAATTCTCCTGCCTCAGCCTCCTAAGTAGCTGGGATTACAGGTGCCCGCCACCACACCTGGCTAATTTTTGTATTTTTAGTAGAGACGGGTTTTCACCATGTTGCCCAGGCTGGTCTTGACCTCCCAACCCCAGGTGATCCACCCGCCTCAGCCTCCCTAAGTGCCGGAATTACAGGTGTGAGACACTGTGCCTGACTGGCCTACAATATCTTTATTCATGCAGATCCAGCCATTTAAAGGAAGATAGGGCCGAGTACAGCGGGGCACCCCTGTAATTCCAGCACTTTGGGAGGCCGAGGCAGGAGGATCACTTGAGCTTAGGAATTCAAGACCAGCCTGGGCAACATAGTGAGATCCCCCTCTCTACAAAAAATAAAAAAATCATAGCCGGGCGTGGTAGTGCACGCCTGTAGTCCCAGCTACTCGGGAAGCTGTAGTAAGCTGTGATCGTGCCACTGCATTCCAGGCTGGTTGACAGAGTGAGGCCCTGTCCCAAAAAAATCCCCCAAAAAACAAAAAAGGAAAATGGAGGAACACCTTAGTCTTTTTGATGGACTGAAGTGTTGCCTGATCCTAGAATAGCAATAAAGTCAACTGAAATCTTTTTAAAAAGGAAGGACTTTGGAAGGCAGAGGGGGTGGATCACCTGAGGTCAGGAGTTTGAGACCAGCCTGGCCAATGCTGTGAAACCCCCTTTCGACTAAAAATACAAAAAAATTAGCCAGGCATGGTGGCCAGAGCCTGTAATCCCAGCCACTTCGGAGGCTGAGGCAGGAGAATTGCTTGAACCTGGGAGGCCGAGGTTGCAATGAGCTGGAATTGTGCCACTGCACTCCAGTCTAGGCAACAAGAGCAGAACTCTGTCTCAAAAAAAAACTAAGGAAGTGGGGAGGATGGATATCATTTAAAACAATTACAGTTTATCGAAAAAGGAATTTTTAAAAGTTATTACTTGGGAAAATAGTGACAACATCTATACAATGTTCTCATACTAACTATTGGTTGTTTTTGTTCCATGATACTTTTTTTTTTTTAGACAAAGTCTCGCTCTTTTGCCAGGGTGGAGTGCAGTGGTGAGGTCTCGGCTCACTGCAACCTCCGCCTCCCGGGTTCAAGCAATTCTCCTGCCTCAGCCTCCCGAGTAGCTGGGACTAAAGGCGTGCATGACCATGCCAAGTTAATTTTTGTATTTTTTAGTAGAGACAGTGTTTCACTGTGTTAGCAAGGATGATCTCAATCTCTTGACCTCGTGATCCGCCCGTGTCGGACTCCCAAAGTGCTGGGATTACAGGCGTGAGCCACTGTGCCTGGCCTGTTCCATGGTACTTTTAATTTGTACTTGTGGGAATACAAATGATTAAACAGAATCAAATACTAATGATACAGTGTTTTTACAAATTTCATAATGTTGTATACATATGAAAAATGGATAATAACCTAGTGTCTAACTATAGGAAAATAGTTTTGTTTTTTTGAGCAAGGTTCTCACTCTGTCACCCAGGCTGGAGTACAGTGGTGCAATCTTGGCTTCCTGCAACCTCAACCTCCCAGGTTCAAGCAATCCTCCCACCTCAGCCTCCTGAATAGCTGGGACTACATGTGTGTGCCAACATACCCAGCTAATTTTTCTATTTTTTGTAGAGACGGGTTATTGCCATGTTGCCCAGGCTGATCTTGAACTCCTGGGCTCAAGCAGTCCTCGTGCCTCGGCCTCCTGAAGTGCTGGGATTACAGGCGTGAGCCACTGCACCTGGCCCTTTTCATGGTTTCATTTGTTTCAAGCATGTTTGCAATTGCCCATTGAATAATAATAATAATAATAATTATTATTATTATTATTTTGACAGTCTTGCTCTGTCGCCCAGGCTGGAGTGCAGCGACCTGATCTTGGCTCACTGCAACCTCCGCCTCCCGGGTTCAAGTGATTCTTCTGCCTCAGCCTCCCGAGTAGCTGGGATTACAGGTGCATGTCACCACGCTCGGCTAGTAGAGACGGTTTCACCCTGTTGCCCAGGCTGGTCTCAAACTCCTGAGCTCAGGTGATCCAACCATCTCGGCCTCCCACAGTGCTAGGATCAGAGGCATGAGCCACCACACCCAGCCTCATGGAAGCATTTTTGTGATGACTGTCTCACAGTCTCTGTCAGTCAATTGTAACATCTTTGTCATCTTGGAGATGGCATCTGTGGATTCTCTTTTTTTCATTCAGTTTGAGATCTTCCTGGTTCTTGGTATGAGTTTTTTTTTTGTTGTTGTGTTTTTGAGATGGAGTCTTGCTCTGTCTCCCAGACTGGACTGCAGTGGCGTGATCTCAGCTCACTGCAACCTCTGCCTCCTGGTTCAAGTGATTCTCCTGCCTCAGCCTCCCAAGTAGCTGGGATTATAGGTGCGTGCCACCATGCCAGGCTAATTTTTGTATTTTTAGTAGAGACGGGGTTTCTCCATGTTGGCCAGGGTTTCACCATGTTGCCCAGGCTGGTCGGTATGAGTGATTTAAAAAAAAAAACATTGAAACCTGAACATTTGAGTACAGTAAGTCCTCACTTAACATTATTATTATTATTATTTTGAGACAGTCTTGCTCTGTCACCCAGGCTGGAGTGCGGTGGCACGATCTCACCTCACTGCAACCTCTGCCTCCTGGGCTCAAGTGATTCCCTTGCCTCAGCCTCCCGAGTAGCTGGGACTACAGGCACATGCCACCATGCCCAGCTAATTTTTTTGTATTTTTAGTAGAGATGCGGTTTGTCCATGTTGGCCAGGATGGTCTGGATCTCTTGACCTCGTGAGCCGCCTGCCTCGGCCTCCCAAAGTGCTGGGATTACAGGTGTGAGCCACCGCGCCCGGCCCCACATAACGTTATTGATAGGTTCTTGGAAACTGTGACTTCAACCAGTGCCGTGTGGTCAGGAGCTTAACTCTTCTTCATGTCAATTATTCTGCGGTCACATCGGTTTTGTTGTGCAGCACGTTGTTTCCCGACGTGCTTTTCGGCCTACAGCATCGTGTTAATATTTCACACCTGGACCGTGTTCTGGTCTCCCATGTTCTATGTCCTGTTCTGATGCCAACAAATACTCTGCTGTTATTTTGGAGGCACTAGAGAAGGGATAGAGAGGTAAATACGTGTGTGTGTGTGTGTGTGTGTGTGTGTGTGTGTGTGTGTGTGTGTGTGTTTGAGACAGGTTCTTGCTTTGTTACCCAGGCTGGAGTGCAGTGTTATGATCACAGCTCACAGTAGCCTCAAACTCCTGGACTTAAGTGATCCTCCCACCTCAGCCTCCTGAGTAGCTGGGACTGCAGGCATGCACCACCATGCTCGGCCTACATTTTTAATTTTGTGTAAAGACAGGGTCTTGCTATGTTGCCCAGGCTGATCCCCAACGCCTGGGCTCAAGTGATCCTCCCACGTCGGCCTCACAAGGTTCTGGGATTACAGGTGTGAGCCACCATGTCTGGCCGCAAATGCCCATGTTAATCCAGAATGCTTTTCAAAATTATCAGTCTTTAAGATATTAATTTATGGCTGGGCGCAATGTCTCACGCCTGTAATCCCAGCACTTTGGGAGGCCGAGGCAGGCGGCTCACTTGAGGTCAGGAGTTTGAGACCAGCCTGGCCAACATATAGTGAAACCCCATCTCTACTAAAAATACAAAAATTAGCTGGACGTGGTGGTGTGTTCCTGTAGTCCCAGCTACTTGGGAGGCTGAGGCAGGAGAATCACTTGAACCCAGGAGGTGGAGGTTGCAGTGAGCTGAGATTGCGCCACTGCCTAGCAGCCTGGGCGACAGAGCGAGACTCCGTCTCTCAAAAAAAAGAAAAAAGATATTAATTTCTGGTATACTTTCTTAGTTATTGTATTGATATAAATTGACATTAAAACATATAGCTGTTTACAATTATAGGCAGTTATGGTTTTTCTTTTTTACAGGACTTTAAAATGATAAATAAAGAATTAACAGCAGCTACATTTATGGAGGTCATAGCAGAGGATAATCGTTTCATATATGATGGAATTGACAGCAACTTTGAACCTGAGGTTTGTAAAGAGCCATCACAAATGGTACAGATCCAATTCAGGCTGTTGGTTTTGCCATGGATACCAAGGACAAAGAACCAAGATTTTTTTTTTCTTTTTTTCATTAGCCTTTTCACTGATGCTTTTTTTTTTTTTTTTTTTGGAGACGGAGTCTCAGTCTGTTGCCCAGGCTGGAGTGTGCAGTGGCACAATCTCTGCTCACTGCAAGCTCCGCCTCCCGGGTTCACGCCATTCTCCTGCCTCAGCCTCCCGAGTAGCTGAGACTACAGGCGCCCGCCACCACGCCCGGCTAATTTTTTTTTTTTTTGTATTTTTTTTTAGTAGAGACGGAGTTTCACCGTGTTAGCCAGGATGGTCTTGATCTCCTGACCTCGTGATCCACCTGCCTCGGCCTCCCAAAGTGCTGGGATTACAGGCATGAGCCACCGCGCCCAGCCTTCAGCTGATTTTTTAAAAACAATTTTTTGTACAGAATGGGTCTCACTGTGTTGCCCAGGCTGATCTCAAACTCCTGGGCTCAAATGATCCTCCTGCCTCAGCCTCCTAAAGTGCTGAGATTGCAGATGTGAGCCACTGTGACCAGCCTAAGAACCAAGATTTGATTGAAAGCACTCTGAACACAAGTACCTAATATATGTGTGTGCGTGTCTGTGCGTGTGTGTGCATGTGTGTGTGTCTTTGTGCACATGTCTGCATGTCTGTGTGTGTGTGGGCAAACGTGCATATTCAGATGTCAGGAAATAATGAACACCAGTCAATCAATGCTCTGTCTCCAGGTGTGTCAGAATGATGGAAACTCTCTGTGTTTTATTTTATTTCAGCTGGTTTTCCTGGAATTCTTTGAAGCTCTCTTAAGCTTTGCATTCATCTGTGTTACTGACCAAATGACTAAATCCTATACAAATGTTCCAGCTGATGATGTGTCTGGAAATAAACATGAAACTATTTATACAATACTAAATCAGGTAACACATAATATCTTAGAATTAGGTAATCTTAGAATTACAGAGCAAGGAGGGCTGGGCACGGTGGCTCACGCCTGTAATCCCAGCACTTTGGGAAGCCGAGGCGGACGGATCACGAGGTCAGAAGATCGAGACCATCCTGGCTAACGTGGTGAAACCCTGTCTCTATTAAAACTACAAAAAAATTAGCCGGGCGTGGTGGCAGGCACCTGTAGTCCCAGCTACCGGGGAGGCTGAGGCAGGAGAATGGCGTGAACCCAGGAGGTGGAGGTTGCAGTGAGCTGAGATTGTGCCACTGCACTCCATCCTGGGCGTCAGAGCAAGACTTCTCAAAACAAAACAAAAAAACCAAACAAACAAAAAGAATTACAAAGCAAGGAATGGCTTTATTCTGGAATGGTTAAACCATCATCAAAACTATCTTGGCTTTACTAACCCTTCCAGAAAGTAATTTAAGAAGTCTTTCCGTTTTCCTTTTAAAATTTTATTTTATGTGTTTTGAGACAGGGATTCACTCTATTGTCCAGGCTTGAGTGCAGTGGTGGAATCATGCCTCACTGTAGCCTTGACCTCCTGAGCTCACACGTTCCTCCCATCTTAGCCTCCTGAGTAGCTAGGACTACAGGCATGTGTCACCACACCCAGCTAATTCTTTTTTTTTTTTTTTTTTTGAGACAGAGCTTCATTCTGTTGCCCAGGCTGGAGTGCGGTGGCACGATCTCGGCTCACTGCAATCTCCGCCTCCTGGATTCAAGTGATTCATGCCTCAGCCTCCTGAGTAGCTGGGATTACAGGCGTGTGCCACCATACCTGGCTAATTTTTTATATTTTTAGTAGAGACGGGGTTTCGCCATGTTGACCAGGCTGGTCTCGAACTCCTGACCTCAGTTGATCCGCCTGCCTTGGCCTCCCAAAGTGCTGGGATTAGGCCTGAGCCACTGTGCCTGGCCTTTTTGTATTTTTTTGTAGGGATGGGGTTTTGCCATGTTGTCCAGGCTGGTCTCAAACTCCTGAGCTCAAGTGATCCTCCTGCCTCGGCCTCCCAAAGTGCTGGGATTACAGGTGTGAGCCACCATGCCCGGCCAAGATGTCTTTTTCACATTTTGGAAGTGTATATAGATTTTTTTAAGTTAGGGGAAATGTGTTTCCTGGCCATGATCCAGGAAGTGGACTCCTAGCCACAGCAGAGAGTTGCCGATGAAGGTGACAGTGCATACCGACATGCTGGGTGGGCCGCTAGACCACACTTTAGAAAATCAGAGGTGTTTTACTAGGAGATGTTTCGTTATATGGATCCAGTGTTTCTAAGAGTGGAAAGCCTGCTCAAGAGCAGATGTGTCGAATAGTTCCTGAGTGTGCGTGGGATGCTAACCAGGTCCGCAGGGCTTGCTCACAAGCATGGACACCCAGGCCAGGCGCGGTGGCTCACGCCTGTAATCCCAGCACTTTGGGAGGCCAAGGTGGGCGGATCACTTGAGGTCAGGAATTCGAGACCAGCCTGGCCCACCGTGGTGAAACCCCGTCTCTACTAAAAAGACACTGGAAACTGAACGTTCATGTCGTGCTCCCTTTTGACCAACAATTTGGGAGTGTGATTTAGAGATCAGAGAGAGGCTCAGCTTCAAACTTATCAAAGCTGATCCTTCTTGCTCAGCTCACAGTGGTTTCACACGCTCTAGTAATTTGGGGAGGCAAAGGTAGAATTCTGTTCCACAGAGGTAAGTGTGCTATGAAGAGGGACAGCAAGCTCCAGACATGTGCAGAAGGCTCCCCTTGAGCCGTCAGCTGAGTGTGCATGCATGTGAGGGAACAGCTGGAACCTAAGGGAAGAGCCGCCAGCAAGCAGGGGAGGGACCTCAAGGACTCACGCGGGGCTGGGAGTAGTTTGCATTTCCAGTCGCCAGCGTAGAGAAGCCTTCGCATCCATGAGGGGCATCAGGCTGGGTACTTAAAAGTTCACTCTGTGTGTGTGTGTGTGTTTCTTGTTTGTTTTTTTTTGACAAAGTCTTGCTCTGTTGCCCAGGCTCGAGTGCAGTGGCACAATCTTGGCTCACTGCAGCCTCTGCCTCCCAGGTTCAGGGTGATTCTTCTGCCTTGGCCTCCCAAGCAGCTGGGATTACAGGTGCACACCGCCACACCTGGCCAATTTTTGTATTTTTAGTAAAGACAGGGTTTCACCGTGTTGGCCAGCCTGGTCTTGCACTCCCGGCCTCAAGTGATCCGCCCGCCTCATTCTCTGAAACTTCTGGGATTACAGGCATGAGCGAAGCGCCTGCCCTGTTATTTATTTTTTTTAGAGACAGGGTCTTGCTCTCTTGCCCAGGCTGGTCTCAAACCCCTGGGCTCAGGTGATCCGCCCACCTTGGCCTCCCAAAGTGCTGAGATTACAAGCGGGAGCCACTGTGCCTGATTCGGTTCACTCTCTTGACTGAGGCGATGGTTTCACAGGTATAGATGTGTGAAAACACATCAAAGGGTACAGTTTATGTGTAGTTCATTGTAAATCAGTTACAGCCCATTAAAATATTGCGTGTGTGCATGTATGTATGCCTGTATGGATCTCTATGGAAACCAGAAGCCCTCTGACGCGTGTGTTTGTTCTTGCTTAGGACGCCCAGAACAAGAGTCCCAGCGCGGTCATGAGCCACGAATCGGATGCTGCTCACTCTGACAGTGCCAGGTCATCTTCCAGCAAGTTAGAACTCTCGCCTGATGTTAACAAAATAAGGAAATCAGAGGTTTGTCTTGGCAACTAACCGTGTAGAGACACCCGCTACCGAGTGCCTGCTCTGCGAAGAGCTCTTTTCCATGCTCTGGGGACCTAGCAGTGAACAGAAACCCACGCCCTCATGGGCTTTACTTTCCAGTGAGGAGGGGACACGGCAGCAAGTGAACAGCAGTAATAGCGTTTATGGGTGTTTACCAGGCGCCGAGCTGTCCCCAGGGACCAGCTCAGCATCCCCATGACCTTCAGGTACTGTGATTCTCTCTAGGAGGGAACCCAGGCCCAGAAAGGTTAAATAGCTTGGCCACAGCTGCATAACCAGTAAGGCATGGAGCTGGGGGTTTGTGCCCAGGCACTTTAACTCCAGAATTAGCACCGGTTACCGCAAGCTATGCTTCTTCCCACTTACGAGGTCTAAGTGACAGGAAGGGCATGTGGCCGGGGCGGGGGGTCCTGGCGTTTATTCTGGGTGAGTGGGATGGGATGGGACACCATCTGAGCAGAGGTGTCAGGAGGCTCTGTGGCTTCACTGTTGACAAACCAGTGAGGAAGCTCTTGGAACCATCCCGCTGGGAGGTGATGGTGACTGGGACTAAGGTGGGCTGAGGTCTGAGGTGTTTTGAAGGGTGCAGGGGTTGAAAGGCAAAGAGAAGGCAAAGATGAGTCCAAGATTTTTTGGCTGAGCATTGGCAGAATGGAGTTGCCATTTATGATGATGTGGAAGACGGAGGCAGGGGGCTGAGTTTTGGGAGCAAAATTAAGTGGTTGATTTTGGACAAGTTAAGCTTAAGGTGCCTGAACTGATGCCCAAGTAGCATGGCTGGAGGCAAGACTGGAGTTCAAGGGCAAACTCCGGCTGGAGGTAGAAATATGGGGGTTAGGGCATACATGTGGTGATTAAAGCCGTTAGGTCGGGCGAGGTGGCTCACGCCTGTCATCCCAGCACCTTGGGAGACCGAGGTGGGTGGGTCACTTGAGGTCAGGAGTTCGAGACCAGCCTGGCCAACATGGTGAAACCCCATCTCTGCTAAAATATATAAAAATTAGCCAGGCCTGGTGGCAGGTGCTTGTAATCCCAGCTATTCAGGAGGCTGAGGCAGGAGAATTGCTTGAACCTGGGAGGCAGAGGTGGCAGTGAGCCGGGATCCAAGATCACACCACTGCACTCCAGCCTGGGCAACAGAGTGAGATTCCGTCCCAAAAAATGTAATAATAATTAAAGCCATTAGTATATGAATCTAAGTATGGTTAAATTTTTTTTTTTTTGAGACAGAGTCTCGCTCTGTCGCCCAGGCTGGAGTGCAGTGGTGCGATCTTGGATCTCCGCTCATTGCAAGCTCTGCCTCCCGGGTTCACGCCATTCTCCTGCCTCAGCCTCCTGAGTAGCTAGGACTACAGGCACCCACCCCCACGCCCGGCTAATTTTTTGTGTTGTTAGTAGAGATGGGGTTTCACCCATGTTAGCCAGGATGGTCTCGATCTCCTGACCTTGTGATCCACCTGTCTTGGCCTCCCAAAGTGCTGGGATTACAGGCATGAGCCACCACGCCTAGCCGGTATCATTAATTTTATACAATAAATACTGTACCAACAGACCCAGGTGACATTTTCAAGTTTTGGGGGTTTTTTTTGAGAGGCTTTCAGTAAATGCCATAATTCTGTTATTCATTTCATTAATAATATAAATATTTTATTCAGGTTAAAATAGTCAAATTGGCTGGGTGTGGTGGCTCACACCTGTAATCCCAGCACTTTGGGAGGCCAAGGCAGGCAGGTCACCTGAGGTCAGGAGTTCGAGACCAGCCTGGCCAATATGGTGAAACCCCATCTCTACTAAAAATACAAAAATTAGCCTGGTGTAGTGGCGCATGCCTGTAGTGCAGCTACCCAGGGAAGCTGAGGCAGGAGAATTGCTGGAACCCGAGAGGCGGAGGCTGCAGTGAGCCGAGATCGCGCCACTGCACTCCAGCCTGGGCAACAGAGCAAGACTCTGTCTCAAAAAAAAAAAAAAAAAAAAGTCAAATTAAAGTCAAATTAGCTCAAGGAGAACAGCCTCATTAATAATTTTCTAATTAATTAAAGTATAAAAAAGCAGTTTTAACCCCATAATGATGTAAACGTAATATTTTGCTTTATGATTTTTTTAAAATGCAAAAGCCCAAGATCAAGAAGTCTGTAAGTCATGAAAGAGTCTCCAAAATGAATTTTAAATTGACTGGAAAAGGGATCACCTTTTTCTCATCTGAGAGCAGTGAGTATTTTAATTGTAGAACCTTAATATTTACAAACTGTTGCTTATGAATTATATAATGTCTATACTGTTTTACAACCATCTTTTTTTAATTTTTAGTTTCTTAGAGGCAGAGTCTCGCTATGTTGTCCAGGCTGGTCTTGAACTCCTGGGCTCAAGCGATCCTCCCACCTCGGCCTCCCGAGTAACTGGGATTACAAGTAGGCATCACCACACCCAGCACAACCATCTTTTTAAATAATGAGGCTGGTACAGCTGCTTCTGTTTCTCCTCCCTGGTTTGGAGTTCAAGTTCAAGGCGTGACCTTGCTGTGCTGACTCAGTCTGTTAGGGCAGATGCCAGTATGGGACAGCTGGGCCTCCCCTGGGCCCTGCACGCCCATCTCAGAGTCTGATGCCGTTGACTACATTGTTTTCTTACAGGCAACTTTTCTCTCTCAAGGGTCTCATTCTCTCGGATTTTTAAAGGTGCTCAAATTAAAAACAACACACAACCCTTATTCACTTCCTCATCCTCCTGTTTTATTATGTTTTCCTTTATCCTGGGAAGATCGCTCTTGAGGCCTCTCTGTCTGCTGACTGCGCTTCCTCCCTCTGGTCTGATTCCTCAGCCGTGTCCGTGTGAACTTCCAACCTCATGCCTCTGCTTTCCTCAGGGTCATCCAGTGATGATCAATGTCATGGGAATTTTCCGCTGTTACTCTGCCGGCCTTGCCAGTTGCACGTGGCCTTGTTTTCATGATTAAACAAGCCCTGGTGTTTCCCCTTTTCTTTTCTTTTCTTTTTCTTTTTTTGAGACAGGGTTTTACTTTCTTGCCCAGGCTAGAGTGCAGTGGTGCCATCATAGCTCACTGCAACCTCTGCCTCCTGGGTTCAAGTGATTCTCCTGCCTCAGCCTCCCTAGTAGCTGGGATTACAGGCACCCATCACTGCACCTTGTATTTTTAGTAGATGGGGTTTCATGATGTTGGCCAGGGTGGTCTCAAACTCCTGACCTCAGGTGATCTGCCTGCCTCGGCTTCCTAAAGTTCTGAGATTACAGGTGTGAGCCCACCCGCCCCTGGGCATTTTTTTTTTTTTTTTTTTTTTTTAAAGAGGTGGGTTCTTGCTCTGTTGCCCAGGCTGGTCTTGAACTCCTGGATCCAAGAACTCCTGGATCTGAACGCCTTGACTCCCAAAGTGCTGAGGTTACAGGTATGAGCCCAACCGCGCCTGGTCTTTTTTTGTTTGTTTGTTAAAGAGATGGGGTCTTGCTATGTTGCCCAGGCTGGTCTTGAACTCCCGGGCCCAAGTGATCTTCCCGCCTTGGCGTCCCAAAGCACTGGGATTACAGGTGTGAGCCACTGCGCCTGGCCCTCCCCCTTTTCTGACGGCGTCTCTCTATGGCCGGCCACCCACTCAATGGTGGACTTTTAAAGGCTCCGTCCCGGGGCCTTGTCTTCTCAAAGGCCTCCCCTGTGTATCCCCCTCTACAGTGCCTGTCGTTTCCCGTTACTCCTCCTCCAGTGGATCATTCCCATCGGCACACATGTGCTGCATATGCCCAGTTAGGAAAATCTCTTCTCTTGGCCGGGCATGGTGGCTCACACTTGTAATCCCAGAACTTTGGGAGGCCGAGGCAGGCAGATCACAAGGTCAGGAGTTCGAGACCAGCGCGACCAATATAGTGAAACCCCATCTCTACTAAAAATACAAAAATTAGCCAGGTGTGGTGGCACACGCCTGTAGTCCCAGCTACTTGGGAGGCTGAGGTGAGAGAACTGCTTGAACCCAGGAGGCAGAGGTTGCAGTGAGCTGAGACCATGCCATTGCATTCCAGCCTGGGTGACAGTGAGACTCCATATCAAAAAAAAAAAAAGGAAAAAAGGAAAATCTCTTCTCCCACTTTCCCCTCTAGATCCCACTTTCTTTCCCTGCTCCTTTGCTGCTAGGCATCTTGGGGGGCTGTGTACATGCTCACCTTTGCTGCTAGGCATCTTGGGGGGCTGTGTACATGCTCACCTTTGCTGCTAGGCATCTTGGGGGGCTGTGTACATGCTCACCTTTGCTGCTAGGCATCTTGGGGGGCTGTGTACATACTCACCTTTGCTGCTAGGCATCTTGGGGGGCTGTGTACATGCTCACCTTTGCTGCTAGGTATCTTGGGGGGCTGTGTACATGTACACCTTTGCTGCTAGGCATCTTGGTGGGCTGTGTACGTGCTCACCTTCTCCAGGACCTCTCCTGTGTGTCCCTTAGCTTTTGCTCCACGTGGCACTGTCCTCCCCAGGCCACTGAAGGCCCCTTTTCATCAGCAGTGACTCCGTGTTGCCACCGCCAGGAATCCTGCTGTCACTTGAACCGATCTCTCCATAGTCAGGAAAAGCGTCAGCTTCTTGAAATACTCTTCACAGAGATTCGGCCTCTGTGACCCCTCGTCATCCTAGGTTTCTTCTCCCTCTGGTGCAAATCTGTGGGTTGTGTCATTTTCTCCCGCAGAGCTCAGCATCCCAGCAGAGACAGGGCATTCCTGCGGTGCCGTAATCAAGACGCACAGTTCCTGTAACAGAAATAGAACTGAAAATGGAACCCCAGCTAATGTGTTTTCCTGCTGATCTGATTAGCAGGGAAGTGATCTCTAGTCCCAGCTCCAACTGGATTTTGTCCTGGATTTCTCTGGTTGTTCCTTTAAGTCCCGTGTGCCAGTCACCAGTCCTGTGGCTCCTGCCCTGTGTCTTGTCAAGGATCCCCTTGACCCACGTGGCATCTCTTCCAGTACCATTTCGTCTGATTACTGCATGTGGCAGCCGTGACTTACTGTCCTCCAGCTTGTGGGTGTCTAGTTGAGAGTTCATGAATGAACATAAGACAATCTTGCAGCCAGGTGCAGTGGCTCACAGCCGTAACCCCAGAACTGTGGGAGGCCAAGGCAGGAGGATCACTTGTGCCCAGGAGTCTGAGACCAGCCTCGGCAACATAGCGAGCCCGTCTCTACAAAAAAAATATCAAAATTCACCGGGTATGGTGGCACACTCCTGTAGTCCCAGCAACTTGGGAGGCTGAGGCAGGATGACTGCTTAAGCCCAGGAGCTCGAGGCTGCAGTGAGCTGTGATTGCACCACTGCACTCCAGCCTGGGTGCCAGAGCAAGACCCTGTCTCCAACCAACAAAAAGGAATCTTCCTTCACATTCAGTCTTGTTCTGACCTTAGAGTCCTGGATTGCGTATAATTTGATTCTCTGAATTTTAAAATCTTCCAAGTGAATAGATAACCAGAATTGCTTAAAAAGATGGAAAAAATTACGGTAGTTTAAGATTTAGAGATTCTTTAGCCTAGACAAGAAAGATAGAGAGGGATAACTATAACTACTAGGAAATTACTTTTGTGAGAGTAACCCGTTGTCTAGTTCTCTAGGAGAGAGGATTCACTTGGGATACACAGCTATCCTTGTCTCTAAAGGGGTTTCAAACTCTGAATAAATAAAAGCTTTCGAATATTTTGTCCCCAAGACCTAGGCCGGGTGCAGAGGCTCATGCCTGTAATCCCAGCACTTTGGGAGGCCGAGATGGGAGGATTACTAGAGCTCAGGAGTTTGAGACCATGGGCAACATAGCGAAACCTTGTCTCTATAATAATTAGCTGGGTGTGGTGGCACCCGCCTGTGGTCCCAGCTACTTGGGAGGCTGAGGTGGGAGGATCATTTGAGCCCAGGAGTTGGAGGCTGCAGTGAGCCATGATGGTACCACTGCACTCCAGCCTGGATGACAGAGCATGACCTTGTCTCACAGTAATACTTAAAACAATTAGCCTCGTGTGGTGGTGCATGCCTGTATTCTCAGCTATTAGGGAGGCTGAGATGGGAGGATCACTTGAGCCCAGGAGTTCCTCCAGGCTTCAGTGAGCCATGGTCATGCCACTGCACTCCAGCCTGGGCCATAGAGTGAGAGCTTGTCTTTAAAAAAAAAAAGAAAAAAGCAAGAGAAACGAGTTTTTTTATTCTTGAAACATGGAAAATTAAAATATCAGAAAACCCAAATTCTTAAGATAGAAAAAAAAGAGGTGGCTGGGCACAGTGGCTCATGCCTGTAATCCCAGCACTTTGGGAGGCCGAGGTGGGTGGATCACGTGAGGTTAAGAGTTCGAGACCAGCCTGGCCAACATGGTGAAACCTCATCTCTACTAAAAATACAAAAATTAGCCGAGTGTGATGGCGCACGCCTGTAGCTACTCGGGAGGCTGAGGCATGAGAATCACTTGAACCCAGGAGGTGGAGGTTGCAGTGAGCAGAGATCACGCCACTGCACTCCAGCCTGGGTGACAGAGTGAGACTCTGTCTCCAAAAAAAAAAAAACAAAAAAGAAAAAACGAGGTAGCAGGAAACTCAAAGGGAAGGCTGACAATCCCAGCCAGGGTCTGCTGAGCCCCTGCCTTGTTCCAGGTGGTCATGGAAGCAGCGTCCTTACTCCTCTCACTTCTCCTGGCCGAGGAGAAGGGGGCCCACCCCAGGGAGGCTAGAACGAGAAAAAGCACGCAGACCCCCAATTGACAGCAGGATTGTATTCATGTTCAGCTTCATGAAACTCTATTCCAGAGAAATATGAGAGACCCAAGGATGATCGAGAGGAAGAGTTCAACACGTGGGTCAATAATACGTACGTCTTCTTTGTGAACACGCTCTTTCATGCGTATAAACGTGAAGAAGCTATCAAGGAGAAAATAAGGGCAGACAGGTTACGTAGCACAGCACAGGCCCAGCAGCGGAAGATGGAAGATGACGAACTGGAAGCAAGGTAACTTACGAGGTCCCTCCTCTCCTTCCCCAGCTGCTCGCTCTCTTCCTGTCTTCCGTAGCTGCCAGAACGCATCAGGACCAAGTGCTTTCCGGACAAGCCGTAATTTCCTATGGGCGTCGTTGACATAAAAAGGAATGAATATTTGGTCTCTGTTCCTGGCAGAACACCTGAAGCCTTTGTAACTTCCTGAGTAATGGGATAATGGGAGCATCTTTTGTTCTAATATTTGGTCTTAGTTTCTAGTTTTATTTTTTTTTTTTAGACAGGGTCTCACTGTCACCCAGGCTAGAGTGGAGTGGTATGATCTCAGCTCACTGCAACCTCCGCCTCCCGGGTTCAAGCGATTCTCTTGCCTCAGCCTCCCGAGTAGCTGGGATTACAAGCATGCACCACCACGCCTGGCTAATTTTTGTATTTTTAGTAGAGACGAGGTTTCACCAGGTTGTCCAGGCTGGTCTCGAACTCCTGACCTCAAGTGATCTGCCAGCCTTGGCCTCCCAAAGTGCTGGGGTCACAGGGGTGAGTCACTGCATGCAGCTATTTTCTATTTCTTGACCCAAGAGTTCAAAACCTGTGGACTCTTTGGGGTAATGACTATGTTGAGATGACTGGTAGCCAGGGGAGGGGCCCTCGATAGCTTCTCGCTGGAGCTGGTTGCCAGGAAACCAACCACGAGATTAGAAGGTTGGGACTTTCAGCTCCAGCCCAACCTCCCAGGAAGGGAGAGGGGCTGGAGATTGAGTTCAATAACTAATAGCCAGTGACTTAATCAGGTCTACATATTGGACCCTCCATAAAGTCCCCAAATGGGCTGGGCATCATGGCACATGCCGGTAACCCCAGCATTTTGGGGGGCCAAGGCAGGAGAATCACTTGAGTTTGAGACCAGCCTAGGTTAATACAGCAAGACCTCATCTCTACAAAAAATACAAAAATTTAGCCAGATGTGGTGGCAGGCGCCTGTAGTCCCAGCTACTTTGGAGACTGAGGCAGGAGGATTGCTTGAGCCTGGGAGGTTGAGGCTGCAGTGATTTGTTTGTGCCACTGCACTCCAGCCTGGGCAACACAGTAAGACCCTATCTCAAAAAAAAAAAAATACACACACACACACACACACACGTAACTTTGGGAGGCCAAGGTGGGTGGATCACCTGAGGTCAGGAGTTTGAGACCAGCCTGGCCAACCTGGTGAAACCCATCTCTACTAAAAATACAAAATATTAGCCGGGCGTGGTAGCGGAAGCCTATAATCCCAGCTATTCAGGAGGCTGAGGCAGGAGAATCGCTTGAACTCGGGAGGCGGAAGTTACAGTGAGCCGAGATTGCACCATTGCACTCCAGCCTGGGCAACAAGAGCGAAACTCTGTCTGTCTCGAGAAAAAATTTTCTTTTCATAGATAGATGAGAAGTTTATTTTGGACTGTGTCGACATGGCATCAGTTATTTCAGGCAGAGTGTAGCAACTTACAGTTTTGTTTACACATGCTGTTGAAATGCAGGTATGAAGGGCTGTATACTATAAATAGCCTAAAACTGGTTTTGCAGTTTGGAGGGGGATAAAAAAAGCTACCACCTTCTCATGTTTGCTTTTAGGCTGAACATCTTTATCTTGAGAGAGGAAGAGGCCAAGAGACATGACTATGAGGTGGACATCACAGTGCTCAAGGAGCCGGCAGACGTGTCATCCTCTCACCTCATACTGGACCCTCCCAAGGAGGATGTGACCGTGTCCCCATCCAGCAAGACCATCACCAGCAAGAAGAAGAAAAAGTAGAGAGACACGAGGACACACACACAGGCTTAGGATGGCACGTGCTGTAAGATTTCCTGAGCATTACAGTTCTTAGCACTGAACTCGTCACAGTGTTTTAACATACCCCTTGGCCCACTGCATCTCAGGTTTCCTACATGGCTGGATTACGGGAGTTCGAGACCAGCCTGGGCAACATAGTGAGACCCCCCCATCTCTGCAAAATTAAAACATCAGCCGACCGTGGTGGTGTGTACATGTGGTTCTAGCTTCTTGGGAGGCTGAGGTGGGAGGATTGCTTGAGCTCAGGAGGTTGAGGCTGCAGTGAGCCATTGCATTCCAGCCTGGGTCACGGAGCTGGTGGCCAGTGTAATCTATAAATAGGCAGCAGGAGAGAGACTCAACACCAAACCAGAATTTTAAAAACTTTTAACAATTTATTAGTCTTATTTTCCAGTAAAATATTCAAATAATGTCAAAAGAATGAAATGATAGCGATATAGCCAACTACCTTTAATTAATTCCACATAAATATTTAAAATCTAAAAACCTCAGATCAGCAGACCGAGTCGAAATCTGATTCTTCAAAGCAAGTATTGCTTTACCCTTGTCCTGAATGCAGTCCGTCATATGACCACTAACTTGCATGTGACCAAATGTTTGCAGAGTGTTTTTTAGATATGCTCTCGGTGAGCCGTCATCCGTCAATCCAAGAAGAAGATGTTGTTGAACTGCGTTGCACAAAGTTTCTTGACCTCTTCTGCAACAAGGACACAACAGTGAGGAAGGAAGAGGCAGTCACTTAAAAGGTTACATAATATATAATTAAATTCTTCTTGGGTAAAATTAGGAAGAGAGATTTGCATTGATTTTGACCTTAAATCCCAGAAGACTAGGCAAGAATTTTTTTTTTTTTTTTTTTGTTTGAGACAGAGTCTTGCTCTGTCACCCAGGCTGGAGTGTAGTGGTGTGATCTTGGCTCACTGCAGCCTCTGCCTCCCAAGTAGCTGGGACTACAGGTGCACACCACCACGCCCTGCTAATGTTTGTATTTTTTGGTAGAGACAGGGTTTCGCCATGTTGGCCAGGCTGGTCTCGAACTCCTAACCTCAAGTGATCCGCCCACCTTGGTCTCCCAAAGTGCTGGGATTACAGGCATGAACCACTGTGCCCAGCCAAGAAATGTTAACAAGTAGAAGAGGGGAAAAAATCCACCTACAAAACCTACCAGGCCTCAGGAGTTTTGAGCCTATCAACACTGCTGCCCGGGGCCTGAGAAACTGCAAAGTGCCCGGGACACCCAGGGGAGGGGGTTAGAAGCACAAGGCTGGTGACACACACCAAGCACAAGGTTGTCATCCTGGGACAACTAATGGAACAACAAAGAAACGGACAGCAACCTTGAGCTGCAGACCAAGTGCTCCGCAGAGGGGTCAGGATTTTGATCTTACCACATTCACAGTTTAGATCAGGCTTGCATTAACTGATGTTTCTAGTGCGCACAATGACTAACACAGGTATTACTAATAAAGAGAAAAATGTAGTATGCCCAAGATACAAGGGGAAAAAAACGCTTACACTGAATTTCCACACAGTGTACACGTGGGGCATCTCCCAAGGGGGCAGCTCTGCCGAGGTGAGGTCCCCTCTCTCCAGGGCAGCCGAGCTATCAGCACCGCAGCTGCCGGGTCACCCCGTGCAGTGGGCAAGGCTGGCCGCTTTGGCGGGAAGGCAGGAGAAAATGTCTGCCTCCTTCTGCCTGTGTACAGAGGGATACTTGTAAACGGCTATGTGAACCCGGCAGCTTCTCCCTACAAAAGATATGTTTTTATCACAGGATATTAAAAAAGGACATTTTGGGCTGGGCAAGGTGGCTCACGCCTGTAATCCCAGCTCTTTGGGAGGCCAGAGGATCACTTGAGGCCTGGAGTTTGAGCCCAGCCTGTGCGACAGAGCAAGACTCTGTTTCAAAAAAAAAAAAGAAATTAGCTGGGTCTGGTGACACATGCCTTGGTGATACATGCCTGTGGTCTCAGCTACTCTAGAGGCTGAGGTGGGAGGACTGCTTGATCCTAGGAGTTGGGGGCTGTGGTGAGCTATGATTGCACCACTGCACTCCAGCCTGTGTGACAAAGTGAGAACCTGTCTCCAAAAAAAGGGGGACATTTCTTAATATAAAGTCATTTTTTTTTTTTTTTAGAATTGTAGAAAATAATTTTCTTTCTGCCATTGCCAAGTTTCCTGTGCTACAGGAAGGTCTTGTCATAGTTTTCCAAGGAACAGAAAATGGATCAAATGTGGAGCAGAGGCACCTGCTTAGAATCTCAACAGTCATGATTTGTTCTATTTACCTATTTTTTAACCATGTTTCTTAATGCAATGAAAAGACAACTTCTCAAATTCTCCTGAAATACCAAATCCTACTTACCATTTACTTCAATCAGGTTTGCATTTTTTTGATTCAAAATAACATAGAGCTCCCGCCGATCAGACTTCTTTCCAACAACCCAGTAATCACTCATGGCCTTCACAATGATCTCCTCATCTTCATCCACTCTGCAAGACGAGGGTCAAAATGCAATTGTTCGTTACTCATACGGCCAGACTGTGAGAATAAGCGTTCCAAACCAAGAACAGGAAATGGAACGGGCGCACGTGGCATTTAAAAGGCTCAGGGAGTGCCGCGCGAGGGAACCGGTGACTTCAGGGCTCCCGGGTCTGTTTGGAAGCGGCGCCCATGAAGGTGGTTCACGCTTGAACCCCATGGAAAGGGCTTGAAGGGATTTTCTGTGTCTTTTCTCGTCTTAGAAAGGGGACGCCTGATTGGAGAAGTGGCTGGAATCACCTGGTAAAGTCACTGTTGATGTCACCGAGAATCTTCATTAAATCCGGGTGCACGGAAGTGAGCGACACGCTGGGCGTTTTCCTCATGTGAACTGTGCTCTTCTCGGCGAGATTCATGTGGTTGAAGTAGATAAACTTAAACTGGGGTTCTTTCTCAGACCTGTGAAAACATGTCACGAAGACAGTAGCACTCGGGCCGGATACAACTAGATTCTTCTTTTAAAATTTTTTTGAGATGGAGTCTTACTGTCGCCCAGGCTGGAGTGCAGTGACACGATCTCGGCTCACTGCAACCTCCGCCTCCCTGGTTCAAGCGATTCTCCTGCCTCAGCCTCCTGAGTAGCTGGGATTACAGGCGCCCGCCACCACGCCCAGCTAATTTTTGTATTTTTAGTAGAGACGGGGTTTCACCATGTTGGCCAGGATGGTCTCGATCTCCTGACCTTGTGATCCACCCGCCTTGGCCTCCCAAAGTGCAGGGATTACAGGCGTGAGCCCCCGCGCCCGGCCCTGGCCCTCTTTTTCTAAACAAAGTTTCACGGGAACCTCGCCATTGCCACATGTTCATGTGCTGTCTGTCTGCTTTCCCACCAAAATGATAGTTGAGTAGTTTTAACACGTATCTACATATAGCCCGTGACATCTGAGATACTTATTATTGGGTCCTTTACCGTAAAAGTCTGCTGACCCCTGCTTGAGGAGAGTAACACCTCGTTCCTCCCACAGTGCGGGGAATGAGTGTCCCGTGGAAATTAACCTGCCTCATGAGGGAAGCCTACGACACTATGTAACGAAGCTTTCCCTCATATCATCCCCAGTGGACATCACTGTAAAACGCAGTCGCCTTTTCCACTGCAGTCTGATGAACATTTTAAATGGGATATACCTTTTTATTTCTTAAACTGACTAGGCAGTGCTACGACGCTGCCTCCCAGGTCAGAGTCTGTGACCTCCTCGGGGACCTAGTGGGAAAAGCTGGGCCTCACTGCTCCTGGGGCCCCTCCCCTCCCCTCCCTGCACCCTCAGTGTCCACCCTGGGGCCTGGATGGGGCCTGAGCACAGCCCCGCCCCTGGGCTCAGAGGCCTCCTCTGCTTGCTTCAGGGTTAGCAGCCACGTTCTGGAGGGCTGGGGGTACCAGAAATCCGACCTCCGGACCAATGGGGTACTCATGAAATACTCTACGTCCAGGCAAAGAAAGAACGTGGAGGATTGAGTTTCCAGGAACATGTAAAGAAACTTCTTATAAAACCAGAATTTGTTTTCATAGTTCCCTAAGGTTAAGGAAAGTATAATGACAAGAAAAACTGTTTGGAAAGAGTTGTAAATTTAGTTGTCTGGGTAGACAAGGAACTTAAATCGGGTGTAAGCTTCTATCCTCAAAACACTCTGTGAGGCCAGGAGCAGTGGCTCACGCCTATAATCCCAGCACTTTGGGAGGCTGAGGCAGGCAAATCACTTGAGGTCAGGAGTTCGAGATCAGCCTAGGCCACATGGCGAAACCCCGCCTCTACCAAAAATACAAAAATTAGCCAGGCGTGGTGGCACACACCTGTAGTCCTAGCTCCCGGGGAGGCTGAGGTAGGAGGCTCACTTACAGCCTGGGAGGTCAAGGCTGCAGTGAGCCATGATTGCACCACTGCACTCCAGCCTGGGCGACAGCAGGAGACCCTGTCTCCAAAAACAAACCCACAAAAAAACAAAACAGGTGACACGTTCTCTATGGTCACTACACTTTGTCACTTTCCATCTGTTAGTTGATAACCTGCATGATCCAAACCGATTTAACTCACTTTTGCCTCCTTCACAAAGGAAAACCTGGTATTTTCACGGCCAAAGGATTCAATGATTCAGCAGCACTGTCAAGATATAAGCTGTTGGCTGGGCATGGTGGCTCATGCCTGTAATGCTAGCACTTTGGAAGGCCGAGGTGGGTGGATCACCTGAGGTCAGGAGTTCAAGACCAGCCTGGCCAACATGGCAAAACCCTGTCTCTACTAAAAATACAAAAATTATTAGCTGAGTGTGGTGGCACACGCCTGGAGTCCCAGCTACTCGGGAGGCTGAGGCAGGAGAATTGCTTGAATGAACTCAGGGGCTGGAGGTTGCAGTGAGCTGAGATCATGCCACTGCACTCCAGCCTGGGTGAAAGAGTGAAACTCTGTCTCAAAAAATAAAAACAAAAAGCAACAAAGATGTAAGCTGTTGACAGCAGTAATCCACACACTGTTGTACAAAACCTAGAGGTGCTTTCACCTTTGCTCGCTTCTGCGCTCTTAGAGGCCCACGGTTATACAAGACCATGCAGAAATAACATATGGGCCGGGCGCGGTGGCTCACGCCTGTCATCCCAGCACTTTGGGAGGCCGAAGTGCGTGGATCACGAGGTCAGGAGTTCGAGACCAGTCTGACCAACATGGTAAAACCCAGTCTCTACAAAAATACAAAAATTAGCCAGGCATGATGGCACCCAGCTACTCAGGAGGCTGAGGCAGGAGAATCGCTTGAACCTGGGAGGCGGAGGTTGCAGTGAGCTGAGAACAGACCATTGCACACTCCAGCCTGGGCAACTGAGACTCTGTCTTAAAAAAAAAAAAAAAACCCAAAAAACAACGTATGAACATTAAGACCATGAGCGTATGCAGAAATTCACAGCCTTTTAGTAACTTCTCAAATGTGTAGAGAGCCCATTTAAAAGCAGGACTTCAACTTCGCAAAGTGCTTTCCATCGCCTCACTTTCACTTTATAATAACTATTTTATATTGAGAAAAGATAGGCATGGCCGGGTGCGGTAGCTCACACCTGTAATCCCAGCACTTTGGGAGGCTGAGGCAGGTGGATCACTTGAGGTCAGGAGTTCAAGACCAATCTGGCCAACATGGTGAAACCGTCTCTACTAAAAATACAAAAAGGAGCCGGGCATGGTGGTGCACGCCTGTAATCCCAGCTACTCAAGAGGATGAGGCATGAGAATCGCTTGAGCCTGGGAGGCGGAGGCTGCAGTGAGCCAAGATCAAGCCACTGCACACTCCAGCCTGGGCGACAGAGTGGGAATTTGTCTCAAAAAAAAAGCCAGGGAGAAAGAATTCAAGGACATTTCAGTGTCTAGAGAGCCGGAGGAGTGAATCCCGCCTCTCCCACTCAGTGTAGACACTTCAGGCTGCCAGACTGAGTACCCAGGCCCAGTGCCCCACATCCCAGCCAGTTTCCCCTACACATTTTCACACAACGAGAGGCAAAATGCTTTCAGTCTGTGCACACCAAGACCACGCCGATGACTACTGTCCAAGTGAACGTAACAATCTGGGCTGGTGAAATGGGACGTTCCATTCGGGGGGAGCTGAGGGAAGGTATTTACCAGAAGGCCCAGCCCCAGCTGCCAGCGTGGGGCAGAAACACTCAGGGTGACTGTCCCCGGGACCCTTTCAGACAGAGGCCTGAATGGCACGTAGCACCATCCTCTACAGTCCACGAGAACACAGGACTGTTAATACCACCCGTATTTGTAAGTGAAAACTACGTGTATTTCAAAAGCCGTTCAATGCCTGAAAGTGAACCGAAAGCAAAGTACAAACCCAGACATCCTCTTGTTGATGTTAAACTGTTCACAGATGTCAGAGGCCAGCACTGTGAGCTGGGGCCCAACGATGCTGTCCAGTCTTCGGCAAAAATCCAACGTTGGGTGGACAGAGGCTGGCAAGTCATGACAAAAAATACCAGTAAGATTCATTTTACTGTGCGACACTGAACAACAGTATTCAAACGAAAACTTCACTGGTCTGGGAAAACAAACAATGAATGCTCAGGCCCCCTTCTGCTCCTCAAATAGAAGAGAAACAGAAGATAGAAAACCGGTTACATTTCAGATGAAAAAAGGGCGAAGACCTATCTCACCGTGAAAAGCTGACCGAGGCACACCCTGTAGGGTGGTAAACGGTTGCCTACCCCAGAAAGACCTCAGAAGGTCGTATGTTTATTTAACAAACATTACGTAGCACTCATGGGCCAGGTGCTTCACAGACATGACCTCATTCGATCCTCAGAACCCCCCCGAGAGAGGTACCACTGCTGTCTCCAGCTCGCAGTCGGTGGGACACAGAAAGATGCCCACACTCTACTGCTGACTAGCGGGAAAACTAGGACTTAAAAAATATGAGCACTGGCTAGTTAAGGAGACAGGGGGGTCCCAGATGGGGAACAGGGCTCCTCTCTATGCCTCTATATTGCTTATGACAACACATTTATCATTTAATGGGCTGGGTGTGGGGGCTCACGCCCGAAATCCCAGCACTTTGGGAGGCTAAGATGGGTGGATCGCTTGAGCCCAGGAGTTTGACACCAGCCCGGGCAACATAGTGAGACCCTGTCTAAACAAACAACCACAAAAACATTAGCTGGGTCCGGCGGTGTGTACTGGCAGTCCCAGCGACTTAGGAGGCCAAGGTGGGAAGATCACTTGAACCCAGGAGGTCGAGGCTACAGTGAGCTATGATCATGCCACTGCACTCCAAGAGTGAAACCCCGTCTCCAACAAAAAAACCCCAAACAACCGAAACCCCCAAAACATATTTATCACTTAAGAATAGGATGCAGCAAAGTACAAAAAGCTTAGGCTGAAATCAGACAAAGGCGCGTACCCACCGTCGATCATAAAGCACACAGCCGCACTCATGGCCTGGGAAGACAGAACAAACCAGAGGTTATGAAATGGTGGAAAAAAGGAGACTTTCGTATAATAACAATCTGTTCAAAGTCAATGGGGAGAAGTCAACTGTAAGAAGCTGCTTTTTGGTCAACTAGAGCCATCTGGACACAGACTGCCCATTCCATGATGCGAGGGGAGTGCTGTTGACCTTGTCAGGTGTGACAGCGCCAGTGGGGAGGTTACCACGGATGTCCTCATCAGAGAGGCACAGGGAAGTGTTCGTGACTGACGTGATGACTTAAAATGCTCTTGCAAACCCGACAACACAACATGGAGAAGCAACGAAGACCAGAATCTTATTCACTTGTGTGATGGGGACTTAGGGGTTCACTGTTCTAATCTCTCTGTGTATAGTCCAGAGAGAATAGAGAATTGGCAGAAACTGTCCATTATTCTGTGACGATTTCCATTGACACACGTTTACAAAGACAGCAAATGGATATCATCCTGTCTCACTTTATTATAGCAAGTAATTACAGTTATGACATTAGACCTAGCAACCGACAACAACCAGGACCACAGATAACCAAAAATGTTTAAAAGTTATCAAAGCAATGTATGGTTAAGAGAGGCTGAGCAGAACACCAGGCCTGATGATGAAAGCCACAGATTTCGTTCTCTGACCCTCCTCCCCGGCAACCACTTTACACTGTCATTAGACAACAGCGTTATCCTAACTCTTCAACGTATCCTCTTTGGGCATCGTACTGACTTCCTGCTCATGTCATGACAGGTGTGACCCCTCGTCTGCCTTCCCCCTCCTCCTCTATGGTTTATAGCATTCTATTTCCTCCGCTGGCCGCCTTCCACCAGCCACAGCCTCCGCTCCTGAACTCACATTCCCACCTGCCCCAGTACCTCTTCCCACTTCCGAGAGCGAGATCCTGTCTCAAGAGAAGAAAGATCTCAAATCAGTGACCTGACCTTTCGTCTTAAGATCCTGGACAACAGGAGTCAACTAAACCTAAAGCAAGTGGGGCCGGGTGTGGTGGCTCATACCTGTAAGCCCAGCACTTTGGGAGGCCGAGGTGGGCGGATCACCTGAGGTCAGGAGTTTGAGACCAGCCTGGCTAACATGGCAAAACCCCATCTCTACTAAAAGTACAAAAAAATTAGCCGGGCGTGGTGGTGCGCCTATAATCCCAGCTACTCAGGAGGCTGCGGCAAGAGAATCATGTGAACCTGGGAGGCAGAGGTTGCAGTGAGCTGAGACTGTGCCACTGCACTCCAGCCTGGGTGACAGAGCAGGACTCCGTCTCAAAAAAAACAAAAACAAAAACAAAAAAACCCAAACAAACCTAAAGCAAATGGAAGGAAATAATAAAGCATGAGAGCAGAAACAAACTCAACAGAGAAAAATCACAGAGATAATAAATGAAACCAAAAGTTGTTCTCTGAAAAGACCCAACATTGAAAAACTTTTCCTTTTTCTTGTGAAGATTCCAGAAGTATGAAGAACCTTTAGCTAGACTATACAACAAGAAACAAAGAGAGAAGACTCAAATTACTAAAACCAGGAATGAAAGAGGAGACATCACTACTGACTTTACAGGAAAAACGAAGGAGTATCCGGCTTTACCTACAATACCATGAAAAACCACGTGCCGACAAATCAAATAAATTAATTGAAGCTGACAAATTCCTAGAAAGACACAAACTACCAAAGCTGACTCAAGAAGAAACAAAATCAAAATAAACCTGTAACAAGTACAGAGATTAACCCATTTATGCTGGAGGTTGTAAATCTTTTTTGTGAAAAATGAGACCTTGGCAATGACCTTCAGCAGGATATAAATAACTCTCACAAGCTTAGTGTTCCAATAATGGAACACTGGGCATAAATGGTTAACTTTAAAATTTGCCACAAAGAAAAGCCCAGGTGCAGAGAGCTTGACTGTGAATTCTATGAAACATGTAAAGAGGAATTAACACCAATTTTTCACTGTCTTCCAAAAAAATAGGAGGGAACATTTCCCAACACATTTTATCAAGCCAGCATTGCCCAAAGATATCACAAGAAAACAAAACTACAGGCCAATATCCCTTACACCCAAGCCCGCACAGCACCCGCTCCACCTCTGGAGGGCTGGAGACTAAGGCTGGCCATGTGGGGCCAGCTGTGTCTCTGTGGCCAACCCCCAATCAGATCTCTGGATCTCGAGGCTCAGGTGAGCTTCCCTGGATGTCAACACTCCACAGACACAGCCACACATCCTCGATGGGGAAACACTCACTGGGCTGTCCACATGACCCCAACGGGAGAGGACAGCCGGAAGCTCACACCAGAGTGGGACTCCATCTCAAAAACCAAAAAACCAAAAAAAAAAAAAACAAAAAACAAAACAAAAACCCAAAAAACCAAACCAACCCAAACCAACCTAAAGCAAATAGAAGGACTCCTGGTCCTTCCATTGGTGGCTCCTGGGCCCTGCCCCACACGCCTCTTCCCCGGGCTGATTTTAACCTGTATTCTTCCACTGTAATAAACCGCAGCTGTGAGTGCCGCCATTCTTCCTTCCCCCTGGTTTTGTTTCCCATGGTTTCTGTTATGTGAGGGACAGTATAATAAAATATTGAGGGAAGGGGGAAGCAAACCGCATTCACATGACTTTTATTGCAGTAGAGTGTCATCGTCCAATTATGATTACTATTACTTGTTTTGAGATGGGGTCTCACTCTTGTCCAGGCTGGAGTGCAGTGGCACGATCTTGGCTCACTGCAACCTCCGCCTCCCAGGTTCAAGAGATTCTCCTGACTCAGCCTCCTGAGTAACTTGGATTACATGTGCATGCCACCATGCCTGGCTAATTTTTCTATCTATAGTAGAGGCAGGGTTTCACCACACTGGCCAGGCTGGTCTCAAGTTCCTGGCCTCAAGTGATCTGCCTGCCTCGGCCTCCCAAAGTGCTGGGATTACAGGTGTGAGCCACTGCGCCCAGCCTTATTAATCGCTTACTGTACTGAATTTATAAACATTATCACAGGCATGTATGTACAGGAAAAAACACAGCAAGTGAAGGGTTTGGTACTGTCCCCGGTTTCAGGCACCTCCCGGGGGTTTTGGAACACATGGCCTTTGGCTCGGGGGTACTGCTGTAGAAAGCCTTTTCTGAGTCCTGTAGTACTTCTAGAGAACTCTTACCCTAAAGGTGGTCACGGGGACTCCCAAACTCGCAGTGGGTGTCAGAAGTGAGGATGGTCTTGGAGACTCATGAACTTTGCAACTAGAAATCACTGAACTGTACATTTTAAGTGTAGGAGGGTGAGTTGTATGGTACGTGCATTGTATCTCAAAGTCATTAAGAAAAAGGTAAGGACCCTTTAACATAGCCACAACCCCATCATCACACCCCACAATATGTCTGTAGATTGACTCTAAAAATAGAAATGCAGCCGACAGCATATTACACACCAGGGTTATGGAGATTTCAGTCATTACCTGGGTCATTCAAAGGAGGATGATTTTTTTCTTGAGATGGGGTCTCAAACTTTCACTCGATACACAAACGGACATTCTTCCTACTCCAATTCCTGCTCTGAATTACACCTCCAACATTTTGGTTTGCTTTTTCAGACCACATCTTTCTGTATGCTCTGCCTGCAATCTCCCCTTCCCTGCCAGTCTGTCACAGCCCAACTTTAAGTGACTCTCAAGCACACCATGTGATGAATGAAACATCTTTTTATCTTGGCGGCTTGAACCCTAGAGCCCTCCCTCCTCCTGCTGTCACGGAGCTGCTGGAGGTGGGGTGCCGCCAGCAGACCTGAAGAGCCTTATCACCCCAAGATTTCCTTGTACCGTCTCACACATGAGAACTACTGTTCTGGATTCCCAAGTGTTCCTTCTTGGTGTGCTCACTTATTCTGCTGACGGATGACCCTGTGTAACACCCTCAGGAAGGGTGCATGACGGTAAACTTTTTGAGGCTTTTCATGTTGAACGTGTTTTTTTTTTTCTTTCTGAGACAGAGTCTTGCTCTGTTGCCCAGACTGGAGCACAGTGGCGTAAGCTCAGCTCACTGCAACCTCCGCCTCGCGGGTACAAGTGATTCTCCTGCCTCAGCCTCCGGAGTAGCTGGGATTAGAGGCGTGCGCCACCTCACCTGGCTGATTTTTTGTATTTTTAGTAGAGACAGGGTTTCCCCATGTTGGCCAGGCTGGTCTCGAACTCCAGACCTCAGGTGATCCGCCCACCTTGGCCTCCCAAAGTGCTGGGATTATAGGCGTGAGCCACCATGCCCCGGCTAATGTCTTTCTTTTGTCTTATCTGTGGTTGACAGCTTGGCATGGCAAAGAACTCTATGCTCAAATTCATTTTCTCTCAGAACTTTGAAAGTCTCTCTTCCACTGTCACATAATGTCTGGTGCTGGATATGAAACTGTTGATACCAGTTTCATTATTTTTGAGAGGGTTTCACTCTGTCACCCAGGCTAGAATGCAGTGGTGTGATCATAGCTCATTACATCCTCCAACTCTTGGGCTCAAGCGGTTCTCCTGCCTCAGCCTCCTGAGTAGCTGGGACTACACATGAGCACTGCCATGCCTGGCTAATTTTTAAACATTTTCCTGTCGACACAGGGTCTTACTATGTTGCCCAGGCTGGCCTCCAACTCCTGGCCTCAAGTGATCCTCCCACCTTGGCCTCCCAAAGTGCTGGGACTGCACCTGGCCCATTTCAATTTTATATTAATAGATACAACTCTTCTAATTAGTGGATACTAATTTTTAAAGTTCTCGTCTGTCCTCGGAATCATGTTTCTTTCGAGACCTCTAGTTTTGTTTTTGCAGCCATATTTAACAATGAGGGAACCAGAAGGCTGACCAGAGATGGAGGCTTCACTCTGAGTGTAGGATGAAGGTCTCAGTTCTGTCTGGAAGAAAGAAATGCCAGAATGAGCAGGGCCTCATTCTCAGGGGCAGACATCCACGTTAGCCACTCTGGGTCTCTTCAGACTGTTTCCTTTCTTTAAACAGACCCTCGATTGTCACCCAGGGATGGATGCTCAGCCGTGGGCCTGTCTGTGCAAGGATGGGGGAAGGGGAGGCTGACTGGCCTCTCTGCCACACTTCACTTCCCTTCCCCACCTTTCCAGGCCCAGGCCCCACTCTGACTCCTCAGGTGACCTCCTCCAAGTCAGGAGCCTCTCTGGGCTTCCACAGGGCTGTGGGTCCTTGCCTTAGCACAGGGTTGCCACTCATATTCCAGGCCTGCTCCGGCACCGCCCTCTATCAGGCATGGTTTACAAGTCCCGTCTACCTTCCAGAGAGGGACAGGACTCCCTCATCCTGACACATCCCGCTCCTTCCTGTTCCCCCACGGCATCATTTCTGAGCCTTTATAAATGAAAACTTCTCCACAGCCTCAGGCAGGAAAGAGGATAAACACGTGCACATGCTCCGTCTTCTTTCTTGAATCAAAAACTGCCTTTAATTAGAAACACAACCTGAGTACATATCCTTACAAGACCATGTCCTGACAGAAACAAAATACGATCCTTATGGAATTAGCAAGCCTACAGCTTTAAAATCAGAGCAAAAGCAGCATATGCACAGACACGTGGCTACGGCCCCCATCCAGAGCCATTTCGAGAACAGGCAGCACCAACCTCTGACAGCCTTTGGTTTGAGAGCACGTGAGACTTCACACGTTTATAAATCACAATCTTAAACAGTTCCTCTTTCACTAATAACAGAACTGTTTAAAAGGAGCTGAAAATAAACTTATTACGCTGGAAGAACACCCATTTTGAGTTTTACCATAATCAGAACTTCCAATATCTTTTCCAAGAAACATTTAAGAGGTTTGCACATGCACTCGTGTACACATGCAAGAAAGATCCATTTCAGCACAATCATTAACGCTGGAAGGAAAACAGTTGTTACCTTATAAACGATTAAATGGAGCTCTTCATAAGTGTCATCTGTATTTACAAAAATTTTGGGGAATCTGCATTTTGCATCTGGATCATTGAGGTTCAAGGGTCCGGTAAGAAATCTTAAAAGCAAGAACAGACATGACTTGATTCAACGAGGTGAAGGAGAATCAGGAATCTAGAAACAGAACACACTCCCACTTCATACACACCAGTTGCTTTTGATGCCAGCTGCTATTTGGCAAACACCATATCAGAATAGGCCGGCTGGGCGTGGTGGCTCATGCCTGTAATCCCAGCACTTTGGGAGGCTGAGCTGGGTGGATCACCTGAAGTCAGGAGTTCAAGGGCAGCCTGGCCAACATGGCAAAACCTCATCTCTACTAAAACTACAAAAATTAGCTGGTTCTGGTGGTGGGCACCTGCAATCCCAGCTACTAGAGAGGCTGAGGCAGGGGAATTGCTTGAACCCAGGAGATGGAGGCTGCAGTGAGCTGAGATCGTGCCACTGTACTCCACACTCCAGCCTGAGCGACAGAGAGACACTCCATCTCAAAAAAAAAAAAAAAAAAAAAAAAAGGGTATGCTGAAGTAAGTTTTAACTCATTGGAAACAACAAACTTTCCTTTGTTGATTACTGTCAATCAGATGGCACAAAGATATTTCAATGTCCATATTATCTTTACCAAAAAGATAATAGGCCAGGCATGGTGGATCACACCTGTAATCCCAGCACTTTGGGAGGCCAAGGCAGGTGGATCACTTGAAGTCAGGAGTTCAAGACCAGCCTGGCCAACATGATGAAACCCTGTTTCTACTAAAAATACAAAATGAATTAGCCAGGCATAGTGGCTCATGCCTGTAGTTCCAGCTACTTGGGAGGCTGAGGCATGAGAATCACTTGAGCCCGGGGAGGCAGAGGTTGCAGTGAGCGGAGATCTTGCCACTGCTCTCCAGCCTGGGTAACAGAGCCAGACTCTGAGTCAAAAAAGAAAGAAAACCCAGTATCATAAATCAAAGAACAGAAGTCCTACCTTCCATAGTGTTGAAGATTTCCTGGCATTTCTGCTCTTATTGGAGAATCCCTTCCTGCTAACTGCAAATACATTTAATGTTGAGAATGACTTATCAGACTTTTTATTTATTTTCCAAGCTTTGAAAAACAGCATTATCTACTAATTGGTTCCATGCCATTTGTCTTTTTCTTTTAGAGACAGGATCTTGTTCTGTTGCCCAGGCTGGAATGCATGCAGCATGATCATGGCTCACTATAGCCTTGAACTCCTAGGCTCAAGCAACCCTCCCACCTCAGCCTCCTGATAGAGGCATGTGTGACCAAACCTGGCTAGTTTTTAAATTTTTGGCCAGGTGAGGTGGCTCACGCCTATAATCCCAGCACTTTGGGAGGCCAAGGCAGGCAGATTACTTGAGCCCAGGAGTTTGAGAACAGCCTGGGCAACATGACGAGATCCCATCTCTACAAAAAATTAACCAGGTGTGGTGGCACACACCTGTAGTCTCAGCTACTTGGGAGGCTGAGGTGACAGGACCGCTTGAGCCCAAGAGTTTGAGACCATCCGAGTCAACAAAGTGAGACCTCATCTCTTAAAAAAAATATTGGAGAGCGGGAGGACAAGAGGGAGGGAATGAACAAGCGAAGAGAGTGAGTTCAACTGAGCCAAAATGATTTTTGTGTGTTAAGCTCTGAAAATACTTTGGGGAGAACACAGTGATATCATTTAAAAGTTCTCTGCAGGAAACCAGGAAATTAAGTACTAGAGTGGAAAGCCAGGTAGGCACTAAAACATCTACTGAAAATTAGGTCTCCTGTTGATAGAGGAAAATACTACACAGGTTGATTGTTTTAAAGATCACTGGCATTTTAAAGGTTTCTAGAACCCAACCTAAAATCCAATTTTTTTGGCCAGGAGCAGTAGCTCACGCCTGTAATCCCAGCACTTTGGGAAGCTGACGCAGGTCAATCACCTGAGGTCAGGAGTTCGAGACCAGCCTGGCCAACATGGTGAAACTCCATCTCTACTAAAAATATAAAAATTAGCCAGGCATGGTGGCAGGTGCCTATAATCTCAGCTACTTGGGAGCCTGAGGCCGGAGAATTGTTTGAATCCAGGAAGCGGAAGTTGCAGTGAGCTGAGATTAAACCACTGCACTCCAGCCTGGGCGAAAAGAACGAAACTCTGTCCCAATAAATAAATAAATAAATAAATAAAATAAAATACATAAATTAAAAGTAAAATAAAATCCAATTTTCCTCTACTCAATGACTCACTCCTCTTAAAAACATGCTTTGTGGACTGGGGGCAGTGGCTCACGCCTGTAATCCTAGCACTTTGGGAGGCCAAGGTGGGCAGATCACAAGGTCAGGAGTTCGAGACCAGCCTGGCCAACATAGTGAAACCTGTCTCTACTAAAAATACAAAAAAATTAGCTGGGCGTGGTGGCGGGCGCCTGTAATCCCAGGTACTAGGGAGGCCGAGGCAAGGAGAATTGCTTGAACCTCTCCATCCCAGGTGAAAGTTCGAGACTCCGTCTCAAAAACCAAACAAACAAAAACACACACAAAAAAACCAACACACAGACACACAAAACGATGCTTTCTGTATCACATCTGAATGTCACATACTGGAGGAGAGCTGCATGTGGTTTTCTGTGCTAATTGATATACAGTGACATAAATAACACACTAAGACAAAACATACATCAGAAACGATCAGAAACACCCCCATGCACCACCATCTCACTCCACCTGCCCTCTCTGTGCCCCTGCATGTAATTGTGTGCAGCTATGGTACCCATCATACCTCAGGTTCGATGTGCCTTGGGAAAAGGGAGGTGGTAAGGTATTTGTATAAAATTCTCATGTCATCTTGTTCTAATCCACTCCTGCAACAACAGAAAAGCACTGGGTTAAACGTTTCGAACTGTCTTCTGTCTTTCCACTGCTGTGATAAAGCTCATTAAACAAAAATTTTTTTTTCAAGTCATTTTTAGTAACACAGAATAAATTCTAACTTTTTAAAGTTTAAAGCTACTTAAAACTCAAAGCAATCTATTTTTCTACCTGAGATCAAAATGAGTTTCCTTTTTCCTAAACATAATTCTTAGCATTGAGGTAAATCTGAATTTACGTGGTATACTTTGTCAAACTTTTCCAAAGAATTTGAAGCCCTGGATAAAGCTCATTTTTTATTAAAAAAAAATTTTTTTTTCTTTTTTTTTTTTGAGACAAGGTCTTGCTCTGTCACCCAGGCTGGAAGCAGTGGTGCGATCATGGCTCACTGCAGCCTTGGCCTCCAGGGCTCAAGCGGTCCTCCCATCTCAGCCTCCAGACTAGCTGGGACTACAGGCATGCGCCACCATCAGCTAATTTTTGTATTTTATGTAGAGATGGGGGTCTTGCTACGTTGCCAGGCTGGTTTCGAACTCCTGGACTCAAGCAGTGCTCCCGCCTCAGCCTCCTAAAGTGCTGGGATTACATATGTGAGCCACTGTGCCTGGTCTCATCTTTTTTCATTTTTCAAGAGATGAGTCTCGTCTGTCGCCCAGGCTGGATTACAGTGGTGTGACCACAGCTTGCTGCAGCCACCGATTCCCAGGCTCAAGCAAACCTCCCACCTCAGCCTCCTGAGTAGCTGGGACAACTGGTGCTTTTTTCTTTAACATTATATCAAGAGGCTCACCACCTGACCGCGAAGTTAAGGAAGGTAAAGAGTTAAACTTCAGCCCAGGCACTGGAACTTTATCCTGACCTGCAAAAGGCTACTCCTACAGTCCTGTATTTTACATGCCATTTGAGATGAAAAAAAAAGTCACAAGGGATTGGACTCGCTGGTTGAATTCCGTGTAGGATTATGCAGGAAACCTCCAAAGCCACACTGTTTCATTTTAGGAGCAGATGTCTCTTAGCTTCCTGGGTTATATGGTAATGCCACATTCTCTCCCCTAGTCCCCTGGGAAAATATGGGTATGCTGTAGACAGGGAACGTGATCCTAGGTCTCAGAAATGTACATGGATTTTAATTCTCCGGATCTTCGGTGAAGAAAGAGGAGGAAGAGAAAAACAAGCTTTCAGGCAAACCATCTGATCTGAAATGAGGCAGGAAGGAGCAGCACATGGAAAAAGCACAGAGAAACTAGCAGGTATCAGACTCTGGAACCGGTTTTTTAAAAGGAGACAGACAATGAGGCTGGATCTGGGCGTTTTCTATTCAAGATCACTGAAATACCGTGAAGGTGGTCGGGCGCGGAAGCTCACACCTGTAATCCCAGCACTTGGGGAAGCCAAGGTGAGCAGATCACCTAAGGTCAGGGATTCAACACCAGCCTGGCCAACATGGCAAAACACCGTCTCTACTAAAAAATATAAAAATTTGCTAGGCCTGATAGCACACACCTCTAATCCCAGCTACTTGGGAGACTGAGGCATGAGAATCGCTTGAACCTGGGAGGCGCAGGCTGAAGTGAGCTGAGATCACACCACTGCACTCTAGCCTGGGCAACCAAGCAAATGAGACTCAGTCTCAAAAAAAAAAAATCAAAGCAATATACTAAGTAAATACATAAGGGTAATATATACTCTGCTTGTGACAAATGTTTTTTTTCCACTTTTTGGTAGAGACAGAGCCTCATTATATTGTCCAGGCTGGTCTCCAAGTAACTCCTGGCTCAAGCGATCCTTCTGCCTCCTCCTCCCCAGTAGCTGGGACTATAGGTATGTGCACCACGCCTGGCTTAAAAGTCTTTTTGGTATTTAATATAACAGCTTTGGAATAAGCAATTCCATCAAAACGTGCTGTTTTTCTTTTTCTTAGACAGGGTCTTGCTCTGTCACCCAGGCTGGAGTACAGTGGTGCTATCATAGCTCACTGCAACCTCAAACTTCCAGGCTCAAGTGATTCTCCAGCCTCAACCTCTGTAGTCTCTGTAGTTGGGACTCTAAGTGCACACCACAATGCCCAGCTAATTTTTTTTTTGCATTTTTTGTAGAGATACAGTCTCACTATGCTGCCCAGGCTGGTCTTGAACTCCTGGTCTCAAGTGATCCTCCTGCCTCAGCCTCCCAAAGTGCTGGGATGACAGGTGTAAGCGTTGGCGCCTGGAGTAAGAGGCTGTTTTTCTTGAAGGTTATTTTTGTTGCTACTTCCTGGGACTGACCTTTCCCCACGAGCACACTGGAGGTGACAACCGAGCAGTTCTGTGCAGCCACCAGAGCTGTGCCCTGCTCAACCCCTCAGATGCTATTCCAAGATGACGATGCCAACAGGATCCCCAGAGCTGGGCGCCAGATTGTCCTGTGACTCCAGGCTTCAAAGGGCCAACGCTGCTGGTCACTCTGGCTCCAGGGTCTCCCAGAATGAGCTCCTGGAAGACCCTCTGCTCTAAGCCTTCCCTCTTCCTCACTCTCAGGAGTTTGCACCCATGGCGGGGCTTGTGTTCTGTCCCAGAGATCAGAATCTCAGCTACCCTTCTCTTTTTGGTGGAAGCAAGGCCATGGGCCACTACTGCTGGATTCTGGCTTGTCACACGACATCTCCCTATCGCCGTGGCTGCGTGTGATTTGCAAGCACGTCCTGTCATTTCCATCTGTGGAGGAGCCATCCCTCTGCAGACCTGATGCTACAGAAGCACAACTAGCCTCCCATCTCCTACATTTCACAGCAGAATTTCACTTTAGTAACATTGTGTACATATCACAGAAAGCAACTATAGCTGAGTCAGTACAGCGTAAGGTTGCCTGATAAACTATTTGTCAAATTAGAAAGTAGGTGGAGGCCGGGCACAGTGGCTCACACCTGTAATCCCAGCACTGGGAGGCCGAGGTGGGCGGATCCTTTGAGGTCAGGAGTTCGAGACCAGCCTGGCCAACATGGTAAAACCCCGTCTCTACAAAAATTAGCTGGGTGTTGTGGTACTCACCTGTAATCCCAGCTACTCGGGAGGCTGAGGCAGGAGAATTGCTTGAACCCAGGAGGCAGGGGTTGCAGCAAGCCAAGATCATGCCACTGCACTCCAGCCTGGGCAACAGAAAGCGACTCCATTTCAAAAACAAAAAAAAAAGTAGATGGGTTTCACCTGAAATTTGTGTTGTCTTCCTAGGAGATAAAGTTCATGTGGAAACCCACCAAGTTGTTTATTAACTGGATTCAAATTTCTTTACAGTAACTTGTTTCTCTTCTTAAAATGGAGCTACAAGATTTTGGCAGGGAAGGTAAATTTTAGGGGAACTAGTTTTGCCTTTTCTATTAGCTGAACTTACCTTATAGTAGTACCATATGGCCACACCCCTAATTAAGAAACGGGGCTAGGCCAGGTGCGGTGGCTCACACCTGTAATCGCGGCACTTTGGGAGGCCAATGCAGGCGAATCACCTGAGGTCAGGAGTTTAGGACCAGCCTGGCCAACATGGTAAAACCCTGTCTGTACTGAAAATACAAAAATTAGCCGGGCATGGTGGCATATGCCTGTAATCCCAGCTACCTGGGAGGCTGAGGCAGGAGAATCGCTTGAACCCAGGAAGGGGAAGTTGCAGTGAGCCAAGATCGCGCCACTGTACTCCAGCCTGGCAACAGAGTGAGACTCCGTTAGAAAGAAAGAAAGAAAGACAGAAAGAAAGACAGAAAGAAAGACAGACAGAAAGAAAGAAAGAAAGAAAGACAAGAAAGAAAGAAAGACAAGAAAGAAAGAAAGACAGAAAGAAAGACAGACAGAAAGAAAGAAAGAAAGAAAGAAAGACAAGAAAGAAAGAAAGACAAGAAAGAAAGAAAGAAAGAAAGAAAGAGGGCTCTAGTCAATGGGAACATAAAACTTGAGGGTCCCGGAACAGCTGCAAGCCTTGATGACTTCTGTCCACCTACTCTAGGCCAAATGTGCACAACCTCGGTTGCCACCCAGCTCTCAGGGGTCATATATGCTGGGCAGTCTTGTGCCCACGTTGTTCCTACTGCAGGACACAAACCTAGTTTCACGATAGCAGGTAATTTCCTGGTTTATATAACACTTTGGATTTCTTGGATTAAAAAAAATCTAGTTTCTTTAAAAGAAAGTAGGTGCAGTGGCTCGTGCCTGTAATCCCAGCACTTTGGGAGGCTGAGGCGGGTGGATCGCTTGAGGCCAGGAGTTTGAGACCAGCCTGGGCAACACAGTAAACCCCATCTCTATAAGAAAAAAAAAAAAAAAAAAAAAAAGGTATAAAAATTCTGCTTTTAACATTTATCATTTCAGAAAAAAAAACTCCAAAATAAAAACAGGATTCCTAAATCTTACTTGATAGGAACATTCTTTTTTTTTTTTTGGAGACAGAGTCTCTCTCTGTTGCCAGGCTGGGGTACAGTGGTGCCATCTCGGCTCACTGCAACCTCCGCCTCCCGGGTTCAAGTGATTCTCCTGCCTCAGCCTCCTGAGTAGCTGGGATTACAGGCATGCACCACCACGCCCAGCTAATTTTTGTATTTTTAGTAGAGACAGGGTTTCACTATGTTGACCAGGCTGGTCTCCAACTCCTGACCTCGTGATTCACCTGCCTTGGCCTCCCAAAGTGCTAAGATTACAGGTGTGAGCCACCGTGCCCAGCCTTTCATCTTTCATGCAGCCAGTTTTAAACTCCTCTGCTTGGAAATTTGAACCCAAATCACCCTAGTTCTGCTTTAAATAATCACTGCTTTATTTTGACAATATCTATGAAGATGCTTCCTACCCATCCTCCCCGCTGCAAGTTCCTGTTTGACAACCTGTCATCAATCCAGTCACTGCTGTTTTTATTATCTTAATTTCTTCTTTTAATACCATGCCTCGGGGTGTACCTACCAGATGAGCTGATCGTTATAGAGAAAAGCAGTGTATTTGACTATATTCAGGCTTTCCTCCATTCTATTAATAAAGGACTGGATTTTCAAATAAGTCATTTTATCCAACGGGAAGAAGCTGATTCCACCAAAAATGTCAAGTAGGTCACATGACTGCAAATGTAGCGTTTGCAAATACTGTGGAAAAAAAATAAGGCATAAAATTTACTAATAGTACACTGAATATAATGCTCCTTGATAACTGAAAATAATCTTATGTCAGACTCACATTTATGGTACAATTACATACTAGCAAACAGCACAACAATGAGGCCGTGGTGAAGACATGGGTGACTGAGTGTCAACTCAGTACCAATTCCAAGATACAAAGTTCAAACTATCTACTTAATGTTTATTCAGTATTGTGTTTTACTGCTTTAAATTTATTTTTTTGTGACAGAGTCTTGCTCTGTCATCCAGGCTGGAGTGCAGTGGTGCGATCTCAGCTTACTGCAAGCTCCGCCTTCCAGGTTCACACCATTCTCCTGCCTCAGCCTCCTGAGCAGCTGGGACTACAGGCGCCTGCCACCATGCCCAGCTATTTTTTTCCATTTTTAGTAGAGACAGGGTTTCACCATGTTAGCCAGGATGGTCTCAATCTCCTGACTCGTGATCTGCCTGCCTCAGCCTCCCAAAGTGCTGGGATTAGAGGTGTGAGCCACCACGCCTGGCCAAAAATTTTTTTTTTTTTTTGGTATAGACAGAGTCTTGCTATGTTGCCTAGGCTGGTCTTGAACTTCTGGCCTCCGTGATTCTCGTGTCTAGGCATCCCAAAGCGCTGGGAATACAGGCATGAGCCACTGTGCCCAGCTAGCACTTTCAAGTATTTAATTCCTGGCCAGGCACAGCGGCTCGCGCCTGTAATCCCAGCCCTTTGGGAGGCCAAGGCGGGCACATCACTTGAGGTCAGGAGTTTGAGACCAGCCTCGCCAACATGGCAAAACCCCGTCTCTAATAAAATTACAACATTAGCCGGGCGTGGTAGCCTGTAATCCCAACTATTCAGGAGGCTGAGACAGGAGAATCACTTGAACTTGGGAGACTAAGGTTGCAGTGAGCCAAGATCACACCATTGCACTCTAGCCTGGGTGACAAGAGTAAGACTCTGTCTCAAAAAAAAAAAAAAAAATTAACTCCCTGCCTTAATGCTCTTCAAATTAGACTAACCTAATGAGGGATCTATCCATTAATACTACAGAGAGTGCCATCTTTATTTCCCCCCCGAGATGGAGTCTTGGTCTGTCACCCAGGCTGGAGTGCAGCGGTGCGATCTCGGCTCACTGCAACCTCTGCCTCTGGGGTTCAAGCGATTCTCCTGCCTCAGCCTCCAGAATAGCTGGGATTACAGGCGTGCGCCACCACGCCCAGCTAGTTTTTTGGTATTTTTTAGTAGAGACGAGGTTTCACCATGTTGGCCAGGCTGGTCTCGAACTCATGACCTCAAGATCTGCCCGCCTCGGCCTCCCAAAGTGCTGGGATTACAGGCGTAAGCCACCACACCCAGCCAAGAGTGCCATCTTATACTAAAATCATGTCTAAATGATATGTACTCAGGACAACAGTTCTATCCATATGTTGACGGGTAAGAGAGAAATGAGGACAAGAACAGAAACCAGGAGATAATATGCGAGTGGATAATTGTGGTCATTAAAATGACAAAACAACAAAGAAAAGTAATTCAGAGAAACAAAAAAATTCAAAAATAGCTATGAAAGCTGTTTTAGAAAGTCGAATTCAAAAATAGATACAGAAGGTATTTTCAGAAGAAAATAAATTGAGAATTGTTGCTTCAAGATAAACTAGGCTAGGCGAGTTGGCTCACGCCTTTAACCCCAGCACTTTGGGAGGCCAAGGAGGGAAGATCGCTTGAAACCAGCCTGGGCAAAACAGCCAAGACAAGACCCTGTCTCTTTGTTTCCTTTTAAAAAAAAAGATAAACTGAGCTTGACAAGGTAGGGTGAAACATGCAAAATTCAATTACAACGAAAGAGGACAGCACTTGGAACAAATCTCCCCAATCGCTAATCTGACAAAGTCTGTCAAGGCCAATAACTCTTACCTACATCAAGACAGTTTACGCCCGTTTAGTGAACAGAACCAATCCCTGAGATTGTGCAACTCCAATAATTAAGTTTTCCTTATCAACTAATCTATCACACAAAAGATGGCTGCTGAGTAAGCCCAGAAGGACAGATGCAGGTAAAACACAGGGAGGCCAAACGATGTCTCCAGGACCCTTTAAGAGCCCCGGGCAAACGCAGGAAGCTCTGCCTTACACCACAGCTGGAGGGAAGGTTCCAGAGCACACGCCTCATGCGTTTCCTCGCTGCTCCAGTTTTGCGACGGTCTGTCTCAGGCTCTTTGCCACTTTCAAGTTCTGGGTTTTTTGTAGATAAGAAACAAACTTGTCTGTCTATATTTCTCTAAAAACCTGATGAATGCTTAGTAAAGTTATAAATGAAATTCAAAATACTTACCCGATGGAAGAATTTCTCTAATCTTTCTTTCAGAAGCTTGACGCCTCCGTCTTCCATGGCTTTCAGAAATGTACCATTAAAAAGCTAGTGAGGTAAAAGATTGCAGAAAAAAAAATCAGTTTCCTATGCTCACTTTTTCAGTATAACAAGTTCTTTTTTTCCTTTAGATTATTAATTCAGCTCATTAAATCTCCCAGTTCTTTCCAACAGAGAATATTTACGTGAGAAAACTTGAGTTAAAAATGTAAGTTACAAAAAATACTGTTAAGTGATGCTGTTTTATGAAACCACCTAATTGCTCTAGGCATCTTTCAAAAATTTCAACTTACCCTTAAGTTTCAATTTACATACATAATATCACCCACATTTCTGTTTTTTTATTTTTCAGTGTTCTGTTAATAAATGGAATCACCAAACTTTTTATCCTTTTTTTTTTTTTTTGAGATGGAATCTCGCTGTTGCCCAGGGTAGAGTGCAGTGGTGCAATCACAGTTCACTGCAGCCTCGACCTCCAAGGTGCGAGCGATCCTCCCACCTCAGCCTCCCAGGTAGCTGGGACTACAGGCATGCACCATGATACCTGGCTAACTTTTATAAAATTTTTTTGTAGAGATGGGGTCTTGCTATATTGCCCAGACTGGTCCTGAATTCCTGGGCTCAAGCAATCCTCCCACCTTAGCCTCCCAGAATGCTGAAATTACAGGTGTGATCCACTGTGCCCTGCCTCACTGAAACTTTTAAATCATAAAATTATCTGCATTCTGTATGTTCCTTGAGCACATAGATACACTTTTTCATCAATGGGGACACATTCCTACTATAAGGCTGAGAAAAGAGAAGGGAGTTCAATACTTACTGAATAAATGTAGGCATAAACCTCACTACCTGTTTCAAAGGCCTCATTATTTTCTTCTCTAAGACAAATACAGAGTCACTTTGCAGTCATTTATAGACTTCTCTTTAAACAACCCTGGAGCCTAGAGATAGGGGTAAGTGGTTGGACTCTGAGTTGAGAAAGAACGCCACGCTTACCTTGTACATGCTGTAGCACTGCCGCAGCACCGAGCTATAAACCTTGTCCTGCAGACGCGAAAACACAGCACACAGCTCAGTTCAAGGGAAAAACAATGTCTACTGGATAGATGGCAAAGGTACACTGACTCTTGGCCAAACAGTATAATGTTTATAAACTTCATCCCACAATAGTTGCGTGCTGAAAAAAAGTGTTTGCGTTCTTTTTTTTTTTTTTTTTTTTTGAGATGGAGTCTCGCTCTGTTGTCCAGGCTGGAGCGCAGTGGTACAATCCTGGCTCACTGCAACATTTGCGTCCCCGGTTCAAGCGATTCTCCTGCCTCAGCCTCCTGAGAAGCCGGGATGACAGGTGTGCGCCACCATCCCTGGCCAGTTTTTGTAGTTTTAGTAGAGACAGGGTTCCGCCATATTGGCCAGGCTGGTCTCGAACCCCTGACCTCAAGTAATCTGCCTGCCTTGACCTCCCAAAGTACTAGGATTACAGGTGTGAGCCACTGTTCCCAGCCAGAAGTGTTTAAACTCTAATTTGTCAATCAGTAAGCCTTACTTTAGGAGGGCTTTCAATATAGATGAAGAGTAGAAGGTATTAGTGAGATTGGGTGCATATACATTTTAAAAAGATTGTGCTCATGTAAATGATAAACATAAACCTTTGCTATATACCCCGAGAAACTTCTGCAAAAGCCTCCTAGTTTAAATCCGACCAAGTAAGGCATTCAACATACTCAGCAATACATTTAAAAAAATAAATAAATAAACAAACAATGACACATTACCAACAACTCCTCCTCTTGATATTCAATAACTGGTTTTCCATCTTTACTCTGTTTTTCAATTATAGGATTCCGAACAACCTACAAAGTTTGATAAACTGAAATTATACAATGAATTCATTAGACCATGTTTATTTTGCCTTAATTTAAAAACTTTGAACATGCTACAGCACCAGAAACACAACTTCTTAAAACAGCCCCAAGAATGAATAAAGCAAATAGGAAGAACTTGATTTTAAAATTGCAACCAATTTTATTTTAATTTTACTTGGATGCAACAGCCAGAGAACTTTCCTAAATTCTGAACAGTAAAGATCACCCATAACTTCACCATACAATTTCAGAAAGATACACTGTGTGTGTAAATACCATGACCATCCAGAAATTTTCTTCTGGTTCATTGAAGAACTGTCTGTTCTTCTGTGTATGTAAAGATTTTGCAGGTTTTGATGGGCTAAATGTCCTACAAAGGTTAAAAAAATATGTTTGGGACAATTCTCCAGCAGCAGTTTTAAGAATTCACTGAACGCTAAAGGCACACTTAGAGGTATTACCTTGTAAACTGTACAATAGCTTCACACAATCCGACATTTCTAATCTTCTCATTCTTTTCTACCTCATTTGGATGATAAAATAAAATCTTATTTTCCTCCTGAAACATGAGGAAACAGAAGCACAACATGAATAGAAACATTTCATCTTAGCTATTGAAAACGCTAAGTTCAATGTCGACCTCTTGTGTCACACATGCTAATGACAAAATAAAACAAAAACCGGTTTTAGAAAAACAGGAATTGTAATCCTAGTATTTTCAGAGGCTGAGGCGGGAGGATCACTTGAGCTCAGGAGTTCAAGACCAGCATGGGCAACACAGTGAGACGTCTCTATTATTTAAAATAAGAAGAAGAACAGGAATGATCTCATCATTGTGCAAATACTGCCCACCAGTCAGAAAGGCAATTTCGATAGTCAAGAAGTCACATCTGAAGTAGCACCAGGTAATTTTTATGAAAACTCAAGTCTCCAGGTTTCTTTCCTAGTGCTAATTTGTAATACACCAATGCTTGTAAGAAGTAAAGGTGTGCCCATCTGCAGACACATAGCTCCCTGAAAATTAAATCCAGTCAGTTCCCAGCCATTTGAACTGACAAGTTGTTTTTTTTTTCTTTTTCTGGAGATGGGGTCTGTGCTGCCCAGGCTGTAGTGCAGTGGCGCTATTACAGCTCACCTGCAGCCTCAATCACTTGGGCTCAAGCGATCCTCTGGCCTCAGCCTCCTGAGTAACTGGAAATACAGGTGCGTGCCACCACGCCCGGCTCACTTTTCAATTTTTTTTTTTTTTTTGTAGAGTTGGGGGTCTTGCTATGTTGCCCAGGCTGGTCTGGAACCCCTGGCCTCAAGCAATCCTCCCATCTCGGCCTCCTAAAGTGCTGGGATTACAGGCGTGAGTCACAGCGCCCAGCCTGGACAGTCTTTAACAGAAGTCTGACTTGCTGGAAACAAAACACAGCTCCGGACATCCTTTGAGAAAGTCGCCGTCCCCACCTCAGAAAAACCACACACACACACACACACACACCCCTCCCGAAATTAATTTATTTCCTCATTTGGGCGAAAACTATTACAGGGACCTCCAGGCTTGCATCATTTGAAGGCTAGCGTCTGCCACCCTGGTTCCACGCTTCTAGTTGGGGACTACCCACTTAACAAAGCCAAGTTCAATTTTAATTTCCCAGAACTGACGCAAAGCAAAGCGCAAAGAGCCTCAACCTGGGGTGTGGAGTGATATAGACCCGACGGGGCTTTATTCCATCGACCTAGGACCTGAAGCGGTCCCTGCCTGCTGTCAGGTCCCCGCCGCAGCCCCCTGCCCGGACTCGCACCTGGCACAATGCAGGCTAGGTCAGTGCCCCTCGAGGTGGGCAGAACCACAGGGCCACCTTCCCGGGGAACACCGGCGCCGCCCGCCCGCGCGCCGCCCCCTCCGCATACCTGTCCTTCGCGCGGCCCGAAGCGCGGGTTGTAGATGAAGAAACTCAGCAGCGCCGGCGGGAACTGCTTCTCCTGGGCCGCCCAGGGCCCGCTCCCGGCCCCGGCCGCCGCTGCAGCCATCCCGCCCCGGCCCCCACCTCGGGAGCCTCCCACGGCCCGCCCAGAGACAGCAGCCACCGGCTAAAACACCGCACTTCCGCCTCCGTCGCCACCGCCCCGGAAGCACTCGCCGCAGGCCCGGAAAAAGAATCCGCCTCGCAGCGTCCTCTTCAGGCACCCCCGGGTGGCCTTGTTGTCTGTTTCCTGGCCGAGTTTGTGTTTTGCTGGCTCGCGGAGTTTTCTCCTGGCTACAGGCGAGGGCTGCGCGTTTCAGGAAAAACCGAGCGGGCACTGTTTTTTTGTTGTTGTTGTTTTTTCTGATAGGGTCTCAGTTTGTCATCCAGGCTGGAGTGTAGTGGCGCGATCTCAGCTCACTGCAGCCTCAACGTCCGACACTCAAGCAATCCCCCTGCCTCAGCCTCCCAAGTAGCTAGGATTACAGGCGCGCGCCACCAAGGCCAGTTTTATTTTTTTGTAGAGGTGGGGTCTGTGTTGCCCAGGCTGCTCTCGAACTCCTGGCCTCAAATGGTCTCCCACTTCGGCCTCCCAAAGTGCTCCGATTACAGGCGTGAGACACCACCGCCCAGCCTGTTGTTGTTTTGGTGGTATTGTTTTAAATTTAATTTAGAGACAAGATCTCGCTTTGTCACCCAGGTTGGAGTGCAGTGGTGCCATCATAGCTCACTGCAGCCTCAACTCCTGGGCTCAAGGGATCTTCCCACCTCAGCCTGAGGAGTAGCTGAGACCACAGGCATGCACTACCATGCCCAGATAATTAAAAAATAGATAGATAGATAGTAGAGACAGGGTCTCACTTTGTTGCCCCGGCTGCTCTCTAACTCTTGGCATCAAGGGATCCTCCTGCCTCTGCTACTGGATGGAAGGTCTTGACCGTGGATTGCCCAGGTTCTTGGCTTGTTGAACACAGAACTGAACAAAATGCAATGCACAAAGTAACAAAAGAACAAAGCAACGAAAAGAAACAAAAGAAAAAACCGGAGTAAGGAATAGACAGATTTATTGAAGCGAAAGTACAACTCACAGAGCAGGAGCAAGACAGAGCAAACAGCTCAAGAGCCCCCATTAGGATTTTCATTAAGCTGGAAGAATTAGGTAACGCCCCTAGGTGCCCGTTAGAGGTCTCCGATTGGTTACACCCTCTGAAGGATTGGCCTGTGACCAATCAGAGGCTGAAGTGGAGACGCGCACCCGCCCCCCCGTCAATCAGAAGCTGTCACCCTCCCCCCCGGCCAACCCCCTGTCGTCCGTCAATCAGCCTCTGATTGAGGGAATGAACACGTGGCCTCTATGCTGCCTAATCTTGCCTAGAACTGGCTGCACCTGCTGTTCTTTTGTTTATGCCTTAACCCTTGGTTACCCTCATTCCCTATTCTGCCTCACCTGCCCTCCGAAAGTGCTGGGATTACAGATGTGAGCCACCCACACCAGGCCCATTGTTTTGTTTTTAGTTTATTTAAAAAGTATTTTATTCTAAGACAGCACTTTGCTCTGTTGCCCAGGCTGGAGTGCAGTGGCCAGATCAGACCTCACTGCAGCCTGGAACTCCGGGGCTCAAGTGATCCTCCCACCTCAGCCTCCCGAATAGCTGGGACCACAGGTGCATGCCACCATGGCTGGCTAATTTTTAAATTTTTCGTAGAGCTGGGGTCTCACTATGTTAACCCAGGCTGGTCTCGAACTCCTGGGCTCAAGTGATCCACTGGCCTTGGGCTCTCCAAGTGCTGGGATTGTAGGCATAAGCCCCTGTGCCATGGCAGTTTTTTTTGTAGAAGGAAATGTAGAGACACAAAGGAAGCCTCATTTAGAAATAAACAAGGCTGGCCACGGTGGCTCATAGCTGTAATCCCAGCACTTTGGGAGGCCAAGGTGGGTGGATCACTTGAGGCCCAGAGTTCCAGACCAGCCCCGTCTCTACTAAAATAAAAAAACTAGCCAGGAGTGGTGGCACATGCCTGTGGTTCCAGCTACTTGGGAGGCTTGAGGCAGAAGAATTACTTGAACCCAGTAGGTGGAGGTTGCAGTGAGCCAAGATTGCACCACTACACTCCAGCCTGGGCAACAGAGCAAGACCCTGTCTCAACAAAAAAAAAAAAAAAAAAAAAAGAAAGAAAGAAGAAAAGAAAGAAAAGAAACACACTTAGGGGCAGATGTGCATTCCGTTTGGCCCATTAACATCATCTACAGAGTCCTTGTTTGAGAGACCTCAAGTGACCACTGGATCACCCACACCTACAAAGCTTGCCCCTTCCCCCCATTCCTTCAGCGCAGGTCTGGAGGCAGATGGGGCACCATGTGTGCCACGGGAGCAATATCAGAGGTGGCAGACTCCCCAGAGTGGCTGTTCCTGGACCTTGTCGCCTGGGATTCCCTTGCCTTTGAGTTGTGTGGGTTGTGGCATAGTTGGGATGGCTTGTTACAGTTATGTGGATTCAAGCCTTGGCAGCATATGGTTTGACCAAACTCAAGAAGACTTTGGTTTAGATTGCCTTATCTGTCACATATTAAGTTTGGAAGCAGAACCACTTCCCTTATCCAGCCTGGCAGATAAGGGAAGTGATGAGTTGGAATTTGGACTGGAGACAGATCTGGGTACATATCCACTTTTGCCATTCACCGACTGCACCAATCTCCTTGCACCAAAGAAGAGATAGAGACTCTCTCGTCTGTATCTCTTATTTGGAAAATGGCTAATAGTAAATTCCTGCCAAGTGAGAGTTTCACTTGAAGAGTTAAATGGGACTATGAATGTGCATCAGGTGCCAGCAACTCATCATTATTTCATAAACTGTTGACTTTCCCAATTAGCTTGCTCTAGTGCATGCAGTTATTCCATGAGAAATACATGTTTTGGCTGGGTGTGGTGGCTCATGCCTGTAATCCCAGCACTTTGGGAGGCCGAGGATGGCAGATCACTTGAGGTCAGGAGTTTGAGGGCCAACATGGTGAAACACTGTCTCTACTAAAAAATAAAAATAAATAGCCATGCGTGGTGGCAGGTGCCTATAGTCCCAGCTACTCGGGAGACCGAGGCAGGAGAATTGCTTGAACCCGGGAGGCGGAGGTTGCAGTGAGCTGAGATTGTGCCACTGCACTCCAGCCTGGGTGACAGAGTGAGACTCTGCCTCAGTAAATAAATAAATAAATAAATAAATTAATTAATTAATTAATATAAAGTACAAGGTGCTATATAAGTGAGTGAGATTAATATTTTATAGTATGAGTCACAGTTTCTCCCAGGATACCTCTGTGTCCTTGTACATGTTTGCCTCTCCCTTCCTCCCACATACAATTCATTGCAGGAGGCATCGAAAGAGGGAGATGACAAAAAACAAAATGAAACATCCAGAGATCAAAGAAAAGAACATGCTTTTATGGTTTCAAAGTTAAGGATGCAAGAACGCTTAGACCTCAATGCATCTGCCTCTCCAAACACAGTCCTTGGGTGTGCACGGGTACCAGGCAGGAGTGGTAGTGACGACAGATACCCACATAGGTTTGGAGGTCTCAGAGGAGAGGGTGTGTGTGTCTTTCTCCCTGGGGAAGCTGGGGGAGGTGGTGAGCTTTGCAGAGTTCCCCTCTGGGTCAAGCATGGTTTGGTAACAGTAGAGTAACCACGGAACAGGGGTATCTGGATGAGAAATCCTTATTGTTCAGGAAGAAGCTGAATGACTTACTTGTGCACAGAAGGAATTCAGAGAAAGCCAGTGCTGAGAAGCCTCAAGGTCAGGACCAGGAGGAGGTAGCAGTGGCCCCTCAAGACCACGAGAGTAGAGAGGATTGAGGATGACTCTGTGTTCACTATTCGGACTGAGAATACTCCAGTCCCATCTGGGGCCTCGACTCTCTCCCCTAGCCTATGGTAAGAAGGGAGAAGAGGTTGCTTAATTACCTGACATGATTAAGATTCTGACACCCAGCACAATGGGAATTCAAATCAAGTTCAGTTACAGAAATAGAAGTTAGATGTTTTGCGCAAAGAATTTGCGAACTCAAATTCCAAAGGAATGAGCTGTGGGAAAGACACATTTTGGTGTTGGAAAGGGAGCTCAGTTCCAAGTAGAAAGTGACAGTTCCAACCGGGTGCAGTGACTCATGTCGGTAATCCCAGCAATTTAGGAGGCCAAGGTGGGCAGATCACTTAAGGTCAGGAGATTGAGACCAGCCTGGCCAACATGGTGAAACTGCGTCTCTACTAAAAAAAAAATACAAAAATTAGCCTAGTGTGGTGGCAAGCCCCTGTAATCCCAGCTTCTTGGGAGGCAGAGGCACGAGAATCACTTGAACCTGGGAGTTGGAATTTGCAGTGAGCTGAGATTGTGCCACTGCACTCCAGACTGGGCTACAAAGTGAGACTCTGTCTACAAAAAAAAAAAAAGAAAAAAAAAGTCCCAGTTCCAGGCTAGGTGGTTCTGGACATAGGTTGTCACATATGTCTGTCTCCTCCCTATCAAGGTTATATATATATATATATATATATATATATGCGTGTGTGTATATATATACACACACCACAGACACACACACACACACACACACACACACATATATATATATATATATAGGTTTGAGACAGTCTTGCTCTGTTGCCCAGTTTATAGTGCAGTGGTATGGTCATAGCTCACTGCAGCCCCTAACTCCTGGGCTCAAGCGATCCTCCTGCCTCTGCCTCCTATATAGCTGGTCCTACAGGCACGGGCCACCATGCCCTCCTTCCTATCAAGGAAAGTGAACTTCTTGAGGCCAGGACTCTGTTGGGGCCATCTTCTGGTTCCTGTTGTCTAACACAGTGCCTGCGTCACAGGACACGGTAAATCTGTGTTGAATGAATGAATGGAGGAGGCAGGGGATGGGGAGGAGTGGGCAACAGACGTCAGAGATGGGCTTTCATCCTTCAGAGCTCAGCTACTGCTTATCCTATGAATGGAGCTCAGTCCACAGGCTGATCTGACATTCAGGTGAGTTCTCTGCTCCGCTCAGCACTGAGCTCTAAGAAGCAGCTGCAGGGTAAAGGTTTGGGTGCAATGTACACCTCTAAGACAAAGGGCCTCTTCATCCTATTCTGTTGGCAGAAATATCAGACCAGTGAATGGAGTAACCAATCTTAGTGGATTTAGAGCCCAGAGACACTGTGTCAGTCAGAGGTCACCTTTACTGTGAGGGTACATCTTTCTCCTGCAGTTAAAATTGTCCTTGACTTCCGTTTCCTCCTGAGATCACTTGTGAAGGAGCTTCAAAAAATCTGGTTTTTTGGTTTGTTTGTTTGTTTGTTTTTTTGAGACAGGTTCTCACTCTATCGCCCAGGCTGGGGTGCGGTGGTGCGATCTTGGCTCACTGCAACCTCTGCCTCCCAAGCTCAAGTGATCCTCCTGCCTCAGCCTCCTGAGTGGCTAAGATCACAGGTGTGCATCACCATGCCCAGCTCATTCTTTGCATTTTTGGTAGAGATAGGGTTTCTCCATGTTGGCCAGGCTGGTCTCAAACTTGTAAGAAAAAGCCATCATGCAAGTAATACCACGATTTGATAAAGTGTGGTGGCAGGTGCACAGGTATTATTTTGCTCAGTATTCTCCTAATGTTTGAAATACTTTATGATTTAAAAATAATTTAAGGGACAGGTGCAGTGACTTACACCCGTAATCTTAGCACTTTGGGAGGCTAAGGCAGGCAAGTCGCTTGAGCCCGGGGGTTGGAAACCAGCCTGGGCGACATAGTGAGACCCCATCTCTACAAAAAAAAGAAAAAAGAAGAAAGAAATGAAAAAAACTTAGCTGGGCTTGGTGGCACGCACCTGTAGTCCAAGCTACTCAGGAGGCTGAGGTGGGAGGATCACCTGAGCCTGGGGAGGTGGAGGCTGCAGTGAGCCATGATTGCTCCCCTGTATGCCAGCCTGGGCAACACACCGAGACCCTGTCTCAAAAACATAACAATTTAAGGTGAATAGATTTACAGTCATTGTAGAGCCCCTAGGAAAACAATGTCAAAATCTATACCCCCCGCCAAAAACAAGTTGACTTTTTCAAACCCGTGAAAACGTATGCAAATGAAGTCTTTCCAGTGAATAAATTAACAGGCCATGTGGAAACCGTCCTGGTGATTCCAATTTCATCTCTCTTCTTAAGTGTTTGCAAAGTAACCTCATACCTTAACATGAGCAGAAGAGATAGAAGATAGGTTTTTGCTTGCAATTGGATTCCTGAGTACCCATTCCATAAACTTAAACTGCAGTCATGACAGAGAATTAACTACATAGCTTGGAAACCTATACAAATAGGCAAGTATTTCCTATCATCACTGTTTTGCTATCCTTTGCTTATGAGCTAGAAAGAATTACTTTGTAAATACTGCTACTAAGTCTTTACTAAGTACTGCTACTTAGTAAATAACTACTTAGAAAATACTAAAGCATTTACTGAGTATCAGTACTTAGCAAATGACTACCTACAGAATACTAAAACATTTACTTAATAGCCATACTTAGCAAATGGCTACTTACATAAAATGAAAGTATTTACTGTGTAGCAGTACTTAGCAAATGACTACTTACAAAATGCTAACATATTTACTGAGTAGCAGTACTTAGCAAATAACTATTATAAAATACTAATTAATTACAGATTTTGTGCAATTATGTAGTAGTGCTAAATATTAAAATACTTAGTATTTTTAAAATACTAAAGTATTTACAAATTACTAAAGTATTTACTAATTAGTAGCATTTACAAAAAAGTATTTTCAGATTGGAGTGTATGGCATGATCATGGCTCACTGTGGCCTCAACTTCCAGGATCAAGGGATCCTCCCACCTCAGCCTCCCAAGTAGCTGGGACCACAGGTACATCCTAACACACCCAGCTAATTTTTAAGTTTTTTTTGTAGAGACACGGTCTCCCTAGGTTGTCCAGACTGGTCTTTTGAAAATTTTAATTTTAATTTTTTTCCTTCATTTTCTCTAGTTACCATGCTGCATTTTATTTTATTTCTCACAGTTGGTGTACACACTGTGACATTATTCATAATAGTCCAGTGGGATGTTACTCCTCAGGTCACAGGGGGTTAATACCCTGGGACAGTAATCCTCATATTCCAGGGCGGTGATACTCCTAAAGTCACAGGGTGTGTACCCCGTGATATTATTCGTCCTATTCTAGGGGGACATTACTCCTAATGTCACAGAGATGTACACCCTGTGATATTATTCATAGTATGCCAGAGGGATATTAGTACTAATGTCACAATGCATGTACACCTTGTGATATTATTCATAATATCCTAATGTCACAGGGGGTGTGTTCCCTGTGATATTATTCCTAACATCCTAGACGGATATTGCTCCTAACATCACAGGGTGTGTACACCTTGTCATATCACTCATAATATCCTAAAACTATGTTATTCCTCACTTCACAGGGGGTGTTCGCCCCGTGATATTACTCGTAATAGTTTTGTGGGATGTTACTCCTAATGTCACACGGGGTGTACACAGAGTCACACAGTGCTATGACCTGTAATATTCTATAGAAATGTTACTCATAAATCACAGGGGCTGTACCTCCTGCGATATTATTTGTCATGTTCTAGGGGAATGTTACTACTATTGTCACAGGGGGTGTACAGCCTGTGATATTACTCATCATATCCTAGTGGGATGTTACTACCAATGTCACAATGCGTGTACAACCTGTGATATGATTTGTCATATCCTAAAGAGATGTTACTACTAAGGTCACAATGCTTCTACACCCTCTGATATTATTCGCTATATCCTCGGGGGATGTCACTCCTAATGTCACACGGGGTGTACTCCCTGTGATATTATTCATCATATCCTAGGGGGATGTTACTTTTAATGTCACCGGGGGTGTGTATCGTGCCTATTCAATGCCTGTGATACTATTCCTAATATCCTAGGGGCATGTTCCTCCTAATGTCACATGGGGTGTACAACATGTGTGTACACCTGCTGTGATACTATTCATAATATCTTAGGGGAATTTTATTCCTGATGGCACAGGTGGTGTACACCATGTGTGTATACCGCCTGTCTCATTATTCATAATATCCTAGGGGGATGTTTCTTTTAATGTCACAAAGGGTGCACAAAATGTCACAGAAGGTGTTCACCTTGTGATGTTATCTGTAATACCCTAGAAGGATGTTACTCCCAATATGTCACAGGGTTGTACACCCTTTGATATTACTTGTAATCACATAGAGAGATATTACTTCAACTATCACCATGGATGTACACACATGGTGCATACCCCGTGATATGACTCGTAATATCCTAGGGAGATACGACTCCTGATATCACAGTGCGTGTACCCCGGGTGTGTACACCCTTGATATTAGTCGTAATATCCAGGGTAAAGATTACTCCTCATATCACACAGTGTGCACACCCTGTGATATTTTTCATCCTACTTTAGGGAGATATTGCTTCTAGTGTCACAGCGGGTGTACCCCTTGTGTGTGTACTCTGTGACGGTATTTTTTATATCCTAGGGAGGTATTACTCGTAATGTCACAGTGGGTGTTCACCCTGTGATATCATTCTTATTTGACCTTGCTGCCTTTTTGAACCCACACTACAAAAGGAATGGAACAGATAAGAAGATATTGAGATTAGACTGTGCTGCCGTGTGGCCGCCGCAGGACACCTTTAACATCCCTGTTTCTCAGGCTGTAGACGAAGGGGTTCAGCATGGGGGTGACAACCGCGTACATCACTGAGGCCACTGCACCCTTTCTGGGGGAAAATGACACATCCGAACTGAGGTACCCTCCAACGCCTGTTCCATAAACTCAGCAAACAACTGACAGGTGAGACCCACAGGTGGAGAGGGCTTTATACCTCCCACCTGACGATGAAACCCTCAGAATGGAGGAAACAATTTTAGAGTAAGAGAAAAGGGTCCCCGAGATGGGAAGAAAACCAAATATGGCGGCAGGGAAATACATGATTATGTTAATGGTGAAGGTGTCACAACATGCAAGATGGGGGAGTTGAGAAGGGTCACAGAAGAAATTAGGAATTTCCACATCCTTGAAGCAGGTCACTTGTAAGGCAATCAAGTTGTGCAGCTGGGCATCTAAAAGACTGAGAAAAAAAAAGACAACAAAACTAGGAAGCCACAGAAACACGGGTTCATGATGGCTGAATGATATAGAGGGTGACAGATGGCTACAAACCAGTCATAGGCCATCACACTCAGGAGCATGCCTCTCTTCCATGCCTCCAAAAATGACAAAGAGAGACATCTGAGTCAGGCAGCCTGCATAGGAGATGACTCTGCTGTGAGATTGGATGTCCACAATCATCTTGGGGACTGTGGTGGAGGTGAAACTGATGTCAGGCAAGGACAGGTTGGAGAGGAAGAAGTACACGGGGGTGTGGAGGTGGGAGTCAGGGCTGATGGCCAGGATGATGAGCAGGTTCCCCAGCACCATGACCAGGCAGATGGACAGGAACAGCCCAGCGAGGACCAGCTGCAGTTCTGGATCCCCTGAGAGTTCTAGGAGAAGGAATAGAGAGACATCTGTTAGATTCTGTGGCTCTGCATAGTTTGGATACCTTTTGCCTAGAAAAGAGGGTTGCAAAATGGGAAACAAGTAAACCAACACCCGGCATTGATTGTGTCTGCATTTTGAATAGAAGCAATTCACAAGTCATGTTTTCAGATTTCAGAGCAATCCACACTCAGCAATATTTTGCAGTTCTGATAAACTCAATTGTCTTCTAGTGCTTTCATCATTGATTTCTGTGTTATTCACTTCTTGCTGTACACACCTGCCTTAGAGACAATAGATTCAAGAATGTTCCAAGAACCAGATCATCATATATAACAAATTCATAATTGCTAGAAAATACAGCCTATCTTGTCTGAAGGAAAATATGTAATAAAACCATTCTCTTCACTTTAAGAAAAAAGTTATCCTAATTAAAGGAAACTAAGAACTCAAATATTTTATTTCATACTACTAGATGGATACAAATTCCCTTGATTTAGAACATTTATAAACACTGTAGAACAGCTGAGACCGGGCCAGGCGCAGTGGCTCATGCCTGTAATCCCAGCACTCTGGGAGGCTGAGGCGGGTGGCTCACCTGAGGTCAGGAGTTCGAGACCAGCCTCAACATGGGGAAACCCTGTCTCTACTAAAAACACAAAATTAGCCAGGCGTAGTGGTGCATGCCTATAATCTCAGCTACTCGGGAGGCTGAGGCAGGAGAATTGCTTGAACCTGGGAGGCGGAGGTTGCGGTGAGCCGAGATCAAGCCATTGCACTCCAGCCTGGGCTACAAGAGCGAAACTCCGTCTCAAAAAAAAAAAAATAAAAAAATAAAAAAAACAGCTGAGACCATGTCATCTGGAAATGAAATGAAAGTTGATAGTTCATAAGCAGAAAATAGTTCCACATGCCGGTTAGGTCCTAGTGATTTCATCATTATGTGTTCTGACTTTTCTCCTTCAAGAGAGTAATTGCTTCCTCAAATCGGTGGGTCTTCTTTGAAAATTCACGTAAGCTCTAACTCCTGTCCTTAGCTTAGGTGGACTTAGAATTTTCATCAGAAAGTTTGGCCGGACGCAGTGGCTCACTCCTGTAATCCCAGCACTTTGGGAGGCCGAGGAGGGTGGATCACGGGGTCAGGAGATCAAGACCATCCTGGCCAACATGGTGAAACCCCGCCTCTACTAAAAATACAAAAACTTCGCCCGGTATGGCGGCGCGGGCCTGTAGTCCCAGCTACTCGGGAGGCTGAGGCGGGAGAATGGCTTGAACCTGGGAGGCAGAGGCTACGGTGAGCCGAGGTCACACCACTGCCTCCAGCCTGGGCAACAGGAGCAAAACTCCGTCTCAAAAAACAAAAAACCAAAAGAATCAAGTAAGTCGAAGTCACACTGATGACAGCCAATTTTTGTGAACCAAGGAAGTATCAATTCAATAATTCACATAGATGTTGACTTTTGCTGTCTCCTATGTGCCAAGCAAGATATCGGCTCTGGGGCATCAGAAACAAAAGATACTCACTTGTTCCTCTCACAATACTCAGTACTTACTGAGATAAGGACAAAAGTAAATGTCCTGTCTGGAATGCAGAGAAACCAGAACTTCAGGTCAGGGGATATTTCCGTTGAATTGTATGGAGTTGAAGCTGAAAATATTCACGGATGTACCTAAAATTCACTTTGCCTTGACTTTACGCATCCATCACATAGAGATCACGCAGCGGGCACCCACGATCGGTTTCATCATCGCTCACTTCCATTGGATCAACTAGAAATCAGCTCAGATGAGAGTGCTGAGTCTCAGAGGATGGGCCTCTCACCCCTTGCCATACAGAGGAGTAGAAAAGGTGGTATTCCAAATTCATGGCCAGACTCTAAGTCCCGGGTACTATACTTCATGGTCTTCCAACTTTCAAAAAGTTGTGGTTTTGGTTTTGGTTTTGTTTTTGCTTTTTTGAGACGGAGTCTCATTCCGTTGTCCAGGCTGGAGTGCAGTGGAGTGATCTCGGCTCACTGCAACCTCCGCATCCCAGGTTCAAGCTATTCTCCTGCCTCAGCCTGCTGAGTAGCTGAGATGACAGGCGCCCACCACTACACCAGGCTCATTGTTTTCTATTTTTAGTAGAGACGGGGTTTCACCATGTTGTCCAGGCTGGTCTCCAACACCTGACCTTGTGATTCACCTGCCTCAGCCTCCCAGAGTGCTGGGATTACAGGCGTGAGCCACAGCGCCCAGCTTCCAAAAGTTTTCAACAGAGCTCAGAGGTCTTAACCACAGGCACATCTGAGGAGCATTCACAAGCAATTCACAAGGAACATCTTCACACTTGCTGACCATACACCGCCAGCAGTGTTTCTCAGTTGTGTCAATTCCAAAAATCTCAGAATTATTACGTGATTTACTTTTTTGCTATACAAGGCTTTCTGTACATACTACTTTAGAGAAAATCCACTGAAGAATATTAGAAGACCAAAACGTCATATATAAGAAATCCATGATCTCAGTAAAATACGGCCTGCTCTTTTCAGAAAAAATAGAATGCAATGAAAATGTTCTTCTCTCTTGAAGAGAAAGATCTCAGTCTAATTGAAAGAAATTAAGAAGCCGTGAAATACACTCTATTTTATTCTGACACCGTGCTACAAATTCCTTTGATGTAGAATACGTAAAAGGACGATACAAGAGCTAGGACCGCATTATCTAAAAATGAAATCGAAACTTAGAGTTCTTCATCGGAAGACCTTTTCACATGCCACTTACTTTTCGTATTTATTATCATCCTTAGGTTTTCTGACATCATTTCTTCATAAAAGTACATGCACACTCAAATATGGGAGCTGTGTTTCCAAATGAATTGAATCTATAACTCTCGGCCGAGCGCCATGGTGCACCCCTGTAATCCCAGCACTTTGGGCGGCCGAGGCTGATGGATCACCTGAGGTCAGGAGTTCCAGACCAGCCTGGCCAACGTGGTGAAACCCCGTCTCCAGTGAAAATATAAAAATATTAGCCGGGCGTGGTGGCGGCTAACCCTAGCTACTCGGGAGGCTGAAGCAGGAGAATCCCTTAGAACCTGGAAGGCAGGGATTGGACACCCTGTGATAGGATTTTTGATATCCTAGGGAGATACTGCTCCTGACAGCAGAGTGGGCGTACACCCTGTGATATTATTTGTAATATCCTAGAAAGATATTGCCCCTAATATCACAGTGGCTGTACACCCTGTGATCTTAATTGTAATATCCTACAGAGATATTACTCCTAATAATACAGTGGGTGTACACGCTGTGATATTATTCATAATATATTATGGAGATACGACTCCTGATATCACAGTGAGTGTACACCATGTTTGTACACCCTGTGATCTTATTTGTAACAACTTAGAAAAATATTACCGCTAATATCGAAGTGGGTGAACACCCTGTGATGTTATTTGTTATCTACTAGGTAGATATTACTCCTAATATCACAGTGTGTGTACACCATGTGTGTACAGACAGTGAAATTATTCGTAATACCTTAGGAAGATATTACTCCTAATATCACAATGGGTGTACACGCTGTGATATTATTGGTGATCCCCTAGGGTGATACGATTCCTAATATTACAGTGGGTGTACACTCTGTGAGGTTATTTGTAATGTCCTAGGAAGATATGACTCCTAATATCAAAGTGGATGTACACCATGTGTGTACACTCTGTGATCTAATTCATATTATCCCAGAGAGAGATTTCTCCTGATATCACAGTGGGTGTACACTCTGTGATATTATTTGTACTATCCTAGAGAGATATTGCTCCCAGTATCACAGTGGGTGTACACCCTGTGATATGATTCATAATATCCTAGAGAGATATTACCTCTAATATCACAGTTTCTGTACACCCTGTGGTATTATTCATCATATCCCAGGGAGATATTATCCCTAACATCACAGTGCGTGTACAGCATGGGTGGACACCCTGTGATGTTATTGGTAATATCCAATGGGGATATTACCCTTAATGTCACAGTGGGTGTACAGCATGTGTGTACGCACTGAGATGTTACTCGTAACATCCTAGGGAGAAATTACACCTAGTGTTACAGTGGGTGTAAACCGTGTGTTTCTATTCTGTGATGCTATTGGTAATATCTGAGAAAGTTATTAGTCCTAGTGCCACAGTGGGTGTATACCATGTGTGTCCACTCTGTGATGTTAATCGTATTATCCTAGGGAGATAGTTCTTATAACATCACTGTGGGTGTACATCATGTATGTACTCCCTGTGGTCTTATTGGTTATGTCCTGGGTTGATATGACACCTAATATCACCATGGGCGCACACCATAGGTGTACATTCTGTGATGTTATTCGTAATATCCTAGGGAGATATCACTTCTTATGTCATAGTGGGTGTACAGCCTTGTGATATTCCTGGTAGTATCCTTGGGATGTATTACTCCTGTTATCACAGTGGGTGTACACCCTGTGATAGTATTTGTAATATCCTAGCGACGTATCACTGTATACCCTGTGGTATTCTTTGTGACATTTGAGGGAGCTATTTCTCCTAAAGTCAGAGTGGGTGTACACCCTGTAATATTCTTCCTGATATCACAGTGGGTGTACACCGTGAGTGATTTTTTTTTCTAATATCCAGCGGGGGAGAGGATGATATTGCTTCTAATATCATGGAAGGTATACACCCCCTTGTGATATTGTTCCTAGTATCCAGGGAAGGAGAGGATGACATTATTCCCAATAGCACTGGGGGTGTACCACCTCCCGCCGGGATATTGTTCTTAATATCCGGAGGTGGAGAGAATGATGTTACTCCCAATATCCCAGGGGGTGTACAACACACCTGTTTGTAGACACCCCCTTTGATATTGTTCCAAATGGCCTGTGAAAGAGTCAATATTACTCCCATTATCGCAGGGGGTGTTCAGCCCTGATGATATTGTTTTCTAACATCCAGGGAAGGAGAGTATGATATTACTCCCAATATCGCAGGGCTTGTATACCTTTTTGTGTTATTGGGCCCAATATCCTGGAAAATAGAGGATGATAGTACTCCCAATATGGAAATAATTGTGCAGCACCCCTGTGATATTCTTCCTAATATCCAGAAAGGAAAAGAATGATATTATTACCAACAGCGTAGGAAATGTACACCCGCGCTGTGATATCTTTCCCCATATCCAGGTGCGGAGAGGATCATATTACTTCCAATATCGCAGGGTGTGTACACCCCCTCTGTGATCTCGTTGGTAACATCCAGGTTTGGGGAGGATGACATGACTCCCAATATCGCAGGGGGAGTCCCCCCCATGACCTTGTTAGTCATTTCCTGGGTGGAGAGGATGATCTTACTCCCAATATCGCAGGGGGTGTACACACCCCTGTGAAAATCTTCCTCATATCCAGAGGGAGAGAGGATGATATTACTCCCAGTACCGCAGGGGGTTTCCACAGCCCAGTGATACTCTTCCTAATATCCACAGGGAGAGAGGATGATATGACTCCCAATATCGCAGGGGGTGTACACAACCCTGTGATATTGTTCCTCATATCCAGAGCGAAAGAGGATGATATGACTCTCAATTTCGCAGGGTGTGTACACCCCTCCCGTGCTATTGTTCTGAATACCCTGGGAGGGAGAGGATAAGGTGACATTGAATATCGCAGGGAATGTACACCCTCCCCCTCTGATACCCTTCCTAGTATCCAGGGGAAGAGAGGATAATTGTACTCCCAATATCGCAGAGGCAGTACACCCCGCCTGTGATATTGTTCCCAATATACAAGGGGGGATAGGATGATACTACTCCCAATATCGCAGGGGTGTTCACATCCCCGGTGACATTTTTCCTAATATCTAGGGGAGAGACAATTACATGACAGCAAATGTCGCAGGGTCTGTACATCCCTTCCTGATATTGTTCCTAATATCCAGGGGGGAAGAGGATGATATCGAATATGAAAGGGTGTATACAACCCCCACCCCTAAGATATTGTTCTTAATATTCTTGAGGGGAGACGATGATATGACTCCAAATATCGCAAGGGTTGTTCACACCCCACTGTGATATCCTTTCTAATATCCAGTGGGGGAGAAAATAACATAACTTCCAATATTGCAGGTGGTGCATACCCCACCTGAAATATTGCATTAAATATCCAAAGAGGGAGAGGATAGTATTCATACCAATATCTAAGTGTGTGTACACGCCCCTTGTGACATGGTTTTTAATATCCAGGGGGCGGGAGGATGATATTAGTCCCAACGTCACAGAAGGAGTACACTACCCCTGTGATATTGTCCCTAACTTCCAGAGGGGAGAGGATGAGATCACTCCCAATATCTCAGAAGTTGTACATCCCCCGTGATATTGTTCATCATATCCAGGGAGGCACAGGATGACATTCCATTGAATTTCATGACAGGCATACACGCACAGTGTGATATTGTTCCTAATACCCAAGAAGGCAGAGGATGACATTAATCCCAATAAAGCAGTGTGTGTACATTACCCCTGTGTTATTGCCTCTAATATCCGGGACCGGGGGATGGGGGAGAGGATAACATTCCCTCAAATGTAGCAGGTGGTTTGATGCCCCTCGTGGTGTTGTTTTACATATCCAGTGGGGAAGACAATAATATTATTTTTGATAGTCCGATTCATCCTCTCCACCTTTCTGGAACTCTGAGGCCGGGAGGCGGCATGCACTTTCCGTGTGATCCCCAATACCTTTGCCGTCTTCTGTAGCAAGTCAGCCACAACCGCAGGCCCGTTATCTGAGCCAATCCGGAAGGGCTGTCCCAATCTACGAATCAGATCTCGAAGAAGCACATGGGTTACTTCACGAGCTTTCTCAGTTCGTGTTAGATAAGCCTCCACCCACCCAGAGTAGGTACGCCCAAGAACTAGTGAATACTTGTTACCTCCACACTTTGGCATCTCTGTGAAGTCTACCTGGAGATCTTCAAAGGGGGCTGCTCCATAAGCTTGTATGCCGGGTGGAACAGCTGGACCTGGCCTCGCATCATGCTGTCGGCAGCTGACACATCGCTGCCTCACCGTTTTGGCAAGGGCTGACAAAGGCGAGATGGAGAAATACCAGCCTAACAACTTTTTGCAGTGACTCCTGACCTAGATGGGTGGTTTCTTGCACAGCCAGTACAACTGCAGCTCCTGGCAGCTGTGGCACAGCTACTCTCCCATCCGGTAACCAAATCCATCCTTCCTCCATCACTTGTCCTTCCCTCTACCTGGACAAAGTCCTTTTCTCCTTTAGAATAAGCAGGTCCAAGATCAGGTGCTTGAGGGAGCAGAGGAGCTGTGACTGATGCCTGGAAAGGGGCAGATGCTGCTTTTCGAGCCTCTGAGTCAGCGCGGGAATTCCCCAAGCCCACCAAGGTGGAAGCTCGCTGGTGCCCCCTGCAATGCATAACTGCCACCTTGTGGGGTTTCCATACTGCTTCTAATACATGGAAGATTTCTGGTTGATATTTTCTGCCTTTTCCCCCAGAGTTCAATAGGCCCTTTTCTTTCTAGCATGCTCCATGCACTTAAAGGGTTAAAAAGGCATACCGAGAATCAGTGTAAATGTTGACAGTCTCACCCTCACTGAGCTCTAAGGCCCGAATGAAAGCAATGAGTTCAGCTTTCTGGGCTGAAGTGGCCTGGGGCAATGATCTGGCTTCAACAACAGTGTCCAGGGTTACCACTGCATACCCTGCACCTCTCTTTCCTTGGGTGTTGACCAAGCTGCTCCCATGCACGTATAGTTCCCAGTCTACTGATGCCCAAGGCTGGTCCCGGATGTCAGGTCTGCTAGGGTCAACTGAGTCCAACACTTCTACACAGTCATGCTCGACAGGGCTCTCTGATAGCGGGAGCAAGGTGGCGGGGTGTAGGGTGTTACAAACTTCAATGGTTATACGGGGATTTTCACAGAGCAAACTTTGGTACTTGGTGAGTCTGGCATTCGTTAGCCAGTGATGTCCTTTAGTATTCATTAAAGTCACCACAGCATGGGGGGCCTTTCTGTTCAGGTTCTGCCCAAGAGTCAGCTTCTTTGCTTCTTGTACTAGCAGAGCAGTTGCTGCCAAGGCCCTCAAACACAGGGGCCATCCTTTAGAATCCCCGTCTAGTTGTTTGGAGAGGTAGGCCACCGGCCTCGGCCAGGGCCCCACAGTTTGGGTTCAAAGTCCGGCTGCCATCTTTTCCCTCTCTCTGACACATAGGATGTAAAAGGCTTTGTCAGATCGGGTAGCCCCAGGGCTGGGGCTGACATAAGTTTCTCCTTTAACTCATGAAAGACTTGCTGTTGTTGGGATCCCCATTCAAAATGTTCCCAGTCCCCCCCCCCTGCCCCTTGGTGACCTCATACAAAAGCTTGGCTAATACTGCAAAGTTTGGGATCCGCAGTCTACAAAACCCCACAGCTCCTAAGAATTCTCTCACCTGCCTTCTGCTCTTAGGCTGGGCTAGATTGCAAATGACCTGCTTTCTTTCTGATCCCGGGCTGCATTCCCCCTGTCGGATAGTAAATCCCAAGGAACGTACCTGCTGTCGGCAGATCTGAGCTTTCTTCTTGGACAGCTTACACCCACAGTCCTCCAGGTGTCGGCATAGGGCAATCCATTCCCTTGGCGCATCCGACTGCCGTGGGGTGTCCCAGCAAAAGCTCATCAACCTAGCGGAGCAACGCGCAGCCTAGGTCTCTGGTGGGAAACTTCTGGAGGTCTCGAGCCCACGCCTCCCCGAAGATGGTGGGGGAGTTCTTGAACCCTTGGGGAAGCCCGGTCCAAGTGTACTGAGTAGTGACACCTGACTCCGGATCTTCCCACTGAAAGGCAAACAGCTTCTGGCTCTCAGGGGCTAATCTGATAGGAAAGAAAGCGTCTCTCGGGTCCAAGCAGGTGAACCAGCTGTCCTCAGCTGGCAGCAACCCCAACAATGTGGACGGGCTAGGTACTGTTGAATGGAAAGTCAGGGTAGCTTGACTAAGCAAGCGCGAATCCTATCCCGGCCTGTAGTCCTAGGCCCATGGCTTGGGAACAGGCAGGAGGGGAGTATTCCATGGAGACTGACAGGGAACTATCATTCCGAAAGTTCTTAGGTGCTTAAGATGGACCTGGATACCTTGAAGAGCTTCTCTGGGGACCGGGTCCTGTTTTTGCTTAAGCGGCTGGGCCCCAGTCTTAACTGGCCAACCCTGGAGGGTTGTCTTCTGCCTGTACTCTTGGCCACCGCTTAGCCAGAGCTGGTCTTCTCTTGGCCCGGCTCAGTTCAGAAAAGTCTCCATTCCTCCTCTCGGGGGACCGTAAGGGTCATAATGACTCCCGTGGCGGGTCACTTTAGCAGCAAAGAGCTGTGTTCTGTCAAAGAGAGAGCAGCTCTCAGCTTGCTAAGCTAGTCCCTTCCCAAAAAGGGCAAGGGACAGTCAGGCATGTACAAAAACTGATGAATCACTTGATGTCCTCCTACAGTGCACATCCCAGGCAAGTAGAAAGCTTGCTTTGCTGAAACCCCCATGGCTCCAGTGAGGTCAAGAGTCTTTCTGGATAAGGGGGCGACCGGGGTGGTTACTAGCGAATGTTCAGCACCGCTATCTACAAGAAAATCAATGTCTCTACCCTCGACTGTCATTCTGACCAGAGGCTCTTTGGGGACACTGGAGCCCGGTCTCCCTCAGTCCAATAACCCTTCTGCCAGGTTGAGCCGGGCCCCTTCCTCCTTGTCCAGGGCCTCCTGCTCTGAGTCACCTTCTTTTCTTTTGAGCTGAGGGCATTTGTTCTTCCACTGTCCTATTTCTTTACAATAAGCACACTGGTCACGCTGCAAACTCTGACACCCAAGCTGAGTTTCTTTCCCAAGGCCCCCCTTCCCTTGCTTCTTTGGGGGGACAGCTCTGATTGCTGCAGCTAACAAACAGGTCGGCGTTTCGCCGGGCCTGACCTTCATTCTCTTTGGGCTTTCCCTCGCGGCTTACTGCATCCCTGTTTACAAACACCTGCTTAGCTATTTCTCATCAATGTGATGTATTCATCCCTGCAAGCCCAGCCTGCTTCTGCAGTTTTCTTCTAACGTCTTCCGCGCTTTGATGGACTAAAGCCATGTGAATCATGCGCTGATTTTCAGGGTTATCGTGATCAAGGGGAGTATACATACCATAGGCCTCACACAGTCTCTGGTAGAATTGCGCTGGACTTTCTACTTTTCCCTGAATGACCTCAGAGACCTTGTTAACGTTTGTGGCCCTCTGAGCTCCCCTCTTGAATCCTTCCAAGAGAGCTTCCCTGTCTCGGTTTAGCCTTTGCATCTCCTCTCTTTCATGTGGGTCCAACTGGGGGTGGGTTCCTGGTAACTGGGTGCTTCCATACTCTTGGGGGTTTTGATAATCAGCTGGTGCATGTTCCTCTAGCCACTTAGTTGCTGCGTGAAGCCCTCTCCGCCTTTTGCCTTTCATCTCTCTTAAAGAGGAACATGAGCAACCGGTGGCGATCGGCCCAGGTGGGGTTGTGGGTCTGGATAACCGTTTGGAGGAAATCAATTAGGGCTTGTGGCTTTTCGCTCTAGGACGGGGTATTGTTTTCCCAGTTGAGAAGGTCGGCAGAGGTGAAGGGCTGGTACACAAAAACACGCCTCTCCACCACGTGACCATCCTCCTCTCTCCCAGTATGCCGCTGCTCTCTCAGGGGCATTTGGATCCCCGTTTTGGGTCGTAAAAGAGCTGCCGAGGGAGGGGTGGAATGGCGCAATGTTACTTACCGCAATTAATAATCTTAATTATTAATTGATACTGATAATTATCAATATTAATAACTGATCATATAATTCTGAAAATCAATACCGATAATGATAATTCGTATTAAAGAGTTATACTCACGATAACAATAAATGAATATTAATGATTAATGATGCATGGTCTTAAAGAGTGATATTGATCTTATTCATTAGAAAACTGTCATATTAGCTCCTAATAATTAACATTAATATTAATAATCTGAACACTATTTTTAACAATGATTTCTTAATATTAATATTAATATTGGTAATACATATTCATGTTAATAAAAGAGGAAGAATTAATATGAATATTATCCCTAATACCTCAGTGGGTGTACACCCACCTGTGATGTTGTTCCTAATGTCCAGGGAGGGAGAGAGCATGATATGACGTTCAATATCGCAGTAGGTGTACACCCACCCGGTGATATTGATCCGAATATCATCTCCAGGGGGTGGCGTATGACGTTACTCCCAAGATAGCAGTGGGTGTGCATCCACCCGGTGATATTCCTCCTAATATTCCCGGAAGAAGAGAATGCTATTACTCCCAGTATCTCAGGAAGTGTACACCCCTTCTGTGACATTGTTCCTAATATCCGGAGGGGGAGAGGGTGATATTACTCGCAATATCGCAGGCTGTGTGCACCCACCCTCTGATATTGTTCCTAGCAGCCAGGAAGTGAGAGGACGATATGACTCCCCATACAGCAGGAGGTGTACACCCATCCTGGGATATTATTCCTAATATCCACGGAAAGGAGAGGCTGATATGACTCCCAATATCGCAGGGGGTGTACATCCAGTCTGTGATATTGTTCTTAATATTCAAAGGTGGAGAGGTTGATATTACTCCCAATATCACAGAAAGTGTACAAGCCCGTGTACTATTGTTGCTATTATACAGAAGAAGAGAAGATGATATCACCCCCTCATCGCAGGAGGTGTACACCCACTCTGTGATATTTTTTCCAATGTGCAGGGCAGGGGAGGATAATACTCTTCTTCATAGCACAGGGTGTGTACAGCCCCACCGTGATATGATCCTTAATATTCCAAGGCGGAGAGGATGATCTTACTCCCAATACCGCAGAAAGTGTACACAACCCCAGTGATATGGTTCCCATGATCCAGGAGAGAAGAGGATGATGTTACTTTCAATATCGCACGGGGTGGACACGCTCCGGTGATATTGTTCCTAATTTCAACGTGGGAGAGGATGATACTACACGGAATGCCCCTAGGGATAAAAACACTCCTGTGATATTGTTCTTAATATCAAGGGGAAAGAGGATGCTATTACTCCAAAGAGCGCAGAGGATGTGCACCCGTCTGTGATATAGTTGGTAATTTCCAGAGGTGGAGAAGATATTACTGACAATAACGTGAACACGCTGTGTGACCACCGTGGATCGTCATATCCAGGGGGGGAGAGGGGGTGCTGATATGACTCCCCGCATCGCGGGGGGCGCCCGCCCCCCTGCGACGTGAATCATCATATCTAGAGGGGGGTGATATGACTGCCCGCATCGCGGGGGCCTCATCCCCTTGCGATGGGGGTCCTAAGAGCCAGGGGGTGATAGGGGCTGGCTCTTACTCCCCGTACCCCAGGGTGGGGCCTTACCCCCCTGCAAAGGGGCTCCTAAGAGCCAGGGGGAGAGAGGGGCTGGCTCTTACTCCCCGTATCGCAGGAGGTGGGTACAACCCCTGCGATATTGGGAGTAATGTCATCCTCTCCGCATGAATATAAGAAACAGTATCACAGGAGGATGTACACCCCCTGCGATATTGGAAGTAACAACATTTTCTCCCCCTCCGGATATTCGGAACAATATCACAGTGGGTGTGTACAGCCCCTGCGACATTGCCGCTAGTATCTTCCTCTCCCTCCCAGGATAGAAGGAACAATGTCACAAGGGGGTGTACACTCCCTGCGATATTGGCTGTAATATCTTCCTCTCCCCCGCTGCCCTTTAGGAGCAATGTTACACAAGGGGTGTACACCCCCGGCTATATTGGGAGTGATATCATCCTCTCCGTCCCTTTATATTAGGAACAATATCCCTAGGGAGTGTACACATTCTGCAATATTCAGACTAATAGCATCCTCTCGCCGCCTGGATATTAGGATCAATATCACAAGGATGGTGTGCACCCCCGGTGAAATTGGAAGAAATATCATCATCTCCACCTTTGGATGTTAGGGACAGTATCTCGGTGGAGGTCTCCACCCCCTGCGATATTGGGAGTCATATCCGCTCCCACCCAGGATATTAGGAACAAGATGACCGAAGGGATGTACACCCACTGCGCTATTTTCAATAATGTCATCCTCTACCCCCCGGCTATTAGGAGTAACATCATAGAGGGGTGTACACTTTCTGCGATATAGGGAGTCATATCCTCTCCCCCACGGATATCGGGAACAGTTCTATTAATTATTAATATTAATAAATATAATAACAATTAATAGTAATCATCAATATTAATAATTACAGTAGAGACAGTAAAACAGTACAGATGAAAAATATTAACGGTTACTATTAATAATTAATAGCAATATCACTATTAATAATAAAATAATGATATCACTAATTAATGTTACTTCAATCAATCATAAGTGATGTTGGTAATAAAACAATAATTAATATTAAGATTAATAACTAATATTAAAAGTGACATTAATCTTAATAATTAATTTTAATCATGCATAATCATATCTTGAAAATAATCATTAATGATTAATAACGTTATACTGTTAATTAATATTACCATTGATAATTATTAATAAGACTGATGTTTAATAATTCAGAATATTATTACTGCTAATACCACAGGGGGTGTACACCTACCTGTGATATTGTTCCTAATATCCAGGGATGGAGAGCATGATATTAGTTTTCATATCGCAGTAGGTGTACACTCACCCTGTGACACCGATCCTAATACCCAGAGGGTAGAGTATGACATGACTGCCAACACAGTAATCAATGTACAGCCACCCGGTGATATCGCTCCTAATATTCACGGAAGAAGCGTATGATATTACTCCCAATATCGCAGGGAGTGTACACCTCTTCTGTGATGTTCTTCCTAGTATCCCGAGGGGGAGAGGGTGATAATAATTCCAGCATCGCAGGCTGTGTTCACCCAGCCTGTGAAATTGTTATTAATATCCTGAAAGGGAGAGGATGATATTACTCCCCATAATAGATAGATATGACTCCCCATAATAGAGCAGGAGGTGTACACCCACCCTGTGATATTCTTCCTAATATTCGGAGACCGAGAGGTTGATATTACTCCCAATATCGCAGGAAGTATACACCCCCATGTGAGATGGTCCTTCATAATATTCTAAGGCGGAGGGGGTGATATGACTACATATATGGCAGAAAGTGGACACCCCCCAGGGATATTGTTCCCATGATCCTGGAGGGAAGAGGATGATATTACTTTCAATATCACAGAAGGTGGACACGCCCCCACTGATATTGTTTCTAATTGCAACGTGGGAGAGGAGGATATGACACGCGATATCCGAGGGAGTGGAAACACCCCTGTGATACTCTTCTTAATATTCAGGGAGGAAGAGGATGATATTACTCCCAATACAGATGGGTGTACACCCTCTGCACACCGAGGGTGTACACCCGTCTCTGAAACAGTTCATAATCTCCAGAGGGGGAGATGATATTGCTCACAATATGGTAAACAGGCTGTGAGTCCACCGCGGATCCTAAAAACCAGGAGGGGGGAAGAGGGGCTGGCCCTTACTCCCCGCATCGCGGTGGGCACCTCACCCCCCTGCGATGGGGGTCCTAAGAGCCGAGGGGGAGAGGGGCTGTTCCCTACATTGGGGCACTGAGGTCCCTGTTTTCTTGCAAGCTGCCATCGGGGACCACTCTCGGCTTCCAGGGGCCTCCTTGTAGGTGGCACCATGGCCACTTGCCCTACTCCAAGCCTGCAGAAGAGCACCTCTCTGCCATGTCCCTTTCTTTTAAAAGACTTGCCTGACTGGTTCAGGTCCATTAGGTAGCGTCCCACTTGATTAGCTCAAAAGTACTGTAGCCCATCACATTCACTCACAGGAGGGCATTAGCGGGGTGTGGACACCAGGGAGTGAGAATCTCTCAGGCCAGTTTAGCATTCAGTTGGTTAGCGAGGTTCAGTGGCTCACGCCTGTACTCCCAGCACTTTGGGAGGCTGAGGCGGGCAGATCACCTGAGGCCAGGAGTTCGAGACCAGCCTGGCCAATATGGTGAAACCCAGTCTCTACTAAAAATACAAAAATTAGCCAGGCTTGGTGGTGGGCGCCTGTAATCTCAGCTACTTGGAAGCCTGAGGCAGGAGAATCGCTTGAACCCGGGAGGTGGAGGTTGCAGTGAGCCGAGATCGTGCCATTGCACTCCAGCCTGGGCGATACAGCGAGTCTCAAAAATAAATAAATGCGAAGGCTGCCGAGCGCAGTGGCTCATGCTTATAATCCTGGCACTTTGGGAGGCCGAGGCAGGAAGACTGCTTAAGGCCAGGAGTTTCAGCCTAGCATGGACAACACAGTGCAACTCTATCTCTAAGTAAAATAAAATAAAATAAAATAAAATAAAATAAAATAAAATAAAATAAAATAAAATAAGTAAAATAAGAATTCAGTTGGTTAAAAGAAACTCACTAGGTCCAGCCCACAATCAAGGGATGGAAATTACACAAAGTTGTGAAGAGTCAAGGGTGGGAGATCGCTGGCAGCCCTTATAGAAGCTGCCTATCTCACATACCTGTTGGACAGCTTCTCTCTCCTAGCTGGGGGTATTTGGAGCGGGTGTCGAATCCTGCTCTTTTGTATGTCTGTTGCCTTTTCTCGCGGTGATGTGTTTCCTTTGCGTTCTGTAATTTTGGATCATGAGCTGAGCTTCAGAGGGGCTTTATGTGGGGAATCCTGGGTGGCCAGGTTTGAGGGAGCCACCTAGAGAGGTTTTCTATTTGGCTTTTCCAGGGGCCCCAGGGTACCAGTAAGCGAAGGCACCTGTTTTTTTTTTGAGACAGAGTTTCACTCTTGTTGCCCAGGCTGGAGTGCAGTGGCGCAATCTCAACTCACTGCAACTTCTGCCTCCCAGGTTCAAGCTATTCTCCTGCCTCAGCCTCCCGAGTAGCTGGGATTACAAGCACACGAGGCGTGGCTAATTTTTTGTATTTTTAGTGGAGATGGGGTTTCACCATGTTGGCCAGGCTGGTCTCGAACTCCTGACATCAGGTGATTCACCTGCCTCAGCCTCCCGAAGTGCTGGGATTACAGGCGTGAGCCACCACGCCTGGCCCAAAGCAACTTTTTAGTGTTAATTTCTCAACTCTGGCATTCCTAGACCACACAGGTAGCATGACTTCATTGTAGGAGTTCCACATTTATATAAGAGAGGCCTGAAAACGCAACGATCTCATGGGAAACTTGTTCACCACCTAAAGCTCAAATTTTCTCACCTCTCTCTGTTCCCCTGGGTGGAAATGTTTCTGTCCCTTTCTCTAAAGGTGTTGCATTTCTGTGGCCCCAACTTCATCATGCTTGACTGTAACCCTGACCCCCTGCCTTGTAAGGGCTTCCAACACTCAACCCAGCCCTGCCCTCAGGCAGTTGCAGCACCAGCTCCTCTGTCCCCACCTTGGTTCTCACTCCCCTCTTCACTTCTGGCCTTAGGGGACTTAACTTGTTTTCTGAAGAACTCAGCTAGATATTTATTTTATTTTATTTTATTTTATTTATATATTTTTTGAGATGCAGTTTCACTCTTTTGCCCAGGCTGGAGTGTAATGGCGTGATCTTGGCTCACTGCAACTTCTGCCTTCCGGGTTCAAGCGATTCTCCTGCTTCAGCCTCCTAAGTAGCTGAGATTACAAGCACCTGCCACCACTCCTGGCTGAGTTTTGTATTTTTAGTAGAGATGGGGTTTCACCATTGGCCAGGCTGGTCTCGAACTCCTGGCCTCAGGTGATCCGCCCACCTCAGCCTCCCAATGTTGTGGAATTACAGGCGTGAGCCACCATGCCCGGCCTCAGCTCTATAGTTAAAAGGACATTTGTTTCTTACCCAGCATTCCTAGGTGTTTTGAAGAGGGAGACTTCTCAGGTTATCTAACCTGCTACTGAGAACTTAAAGATAGGGAAAATCTTGGACTGGAGATTCTTGGAATCACATAATTGAAAAATCCCAGCCGGGCGTGATGGCTCACGTCTGTAATCCCAGCACTTTGGGATGCCGAGGCAGGTGGATCACCTGAGGTCAGGAGTTTGAGACCAGCTTGGCCAACATGGTGAAACTTCGTCTCTACTAAAAATACAAAAAAATTAGCCTGGCTTGGTGGTGGGCGCCTGTAATCCCCGCTACTCGGGAGGCTGAGGTAGGAGAATCACTTGAACCCAGGAGACGGAAGCTGCAGTGAGCTGAGATCACGCCATTGCACTCCAGCTTGGGCAACAAGAGTGAAACTCCGTTGCAAAAAAAAAAAATAAATAAAGAAAAGAAAAAGAAAAATCCCCACAGTGCAGATCGACAAAATCACAGAGTTGCTTTGGGAGCGAGGGTGGCAATCAGACACGGAGGCCATGACACAGCCTACTCGTCCACTCAGGGGTCCAGAACCTCCACCCAGTCACCTTATCCGGGGGTGATGGAGACAGGGGAGGTGCCACCTACGCCAGTGTCATCTCTTACAATGAGCTCTTCTCCTGCTCGAAACGAGCCAGCCTGCTGAGCTTGCTGCCAGGGCCCGTCGCACTGCCTGCACTGTGTTTCCCGTCGCACAGCCTGTGATGTGTGTTTCCCGTCACACGGCCTGTGATATGTGTTTCCTATCATGTGTGCACGTGCATTGTCATGTAGTGTCTGTCACAGGTGTTACCCGTCACGTGTGTTTGCATGTTGCATGTGCGTGGCCTATCAGGTGTACATATGTGTTGTTTGGCACATGTCAGCATCTGGGCATTCTCCGTGTGCCAGGAGCAGCCAGGTGGCCTGTGAAACCTTCTCATGGGAAATGCCCAGATAGAAAGAGCACAGCCAGGAGCCAAGACCCTGAGTGGCCACTCCATGTGCCTGGATCACCTTCAAGTCTGCTCAACATCAGAGCCTCTGTTCCTTGGCACCATGGACATTGGAATTGACTCGGAACTGGGAAGAGCTGTAGGCCCACTATCCAGGTACCCGCTCCCCGTTTGCCCAGCATCCCAGGGGCCCACAACCTTCCAAATATCACCTTGCCCTCCATTCAGAGGTGAATCATCCGAGCGTCAGGTTGCCCAACTCCGACTGGTTTGCTGGAGGCTGCCTGTAGGATGTCGCCAGCCACCTCCAGAGAACACTCAGTCCACAGATGCCGAGGGGGAACTGGAAGCACACAGTGCTGGCCTTCACCCAGTTTACGGTGGCACCTCGGGACCGCTTCTGAGTCTGCTTGTCGCTGAAGGTCGGCATGAGGAAGGCAGCGTTCCCTCCCAGATTTAGAAAATGTCAAGTCTCCCGCCGCACCCTTTTGTGTTTCTTACAGGGTCTGGGGCGCTTGCAGCTGCCACACTAAGGGCTCCAACATGTTCCGTCACACACTCAACAGAGAAGGAACCTATGGCTCAGATGGGAGACTCCCTATCCAAGGCCACAGAGTCTGGCCCCAGGGACCACTAGAGGCTTCAAGAACCAAACTCACATGAGGGCAGAGAGGAGAGATGGGGCCAGTTTAGGGCTGGGAGAATCCATAGAGCGATGCTGAAGCGGGCATGGAGCCTGGAGGTACGGACGAGGGTCTCACCAAAGTCAGGGGTAGAGAGGCTGTGGGGAGTGAGGAATGGTGTGGGCCGGCCCCGGGCCTGCTGGGGTGCAGCTGGGGGCTCCATGGCCCTCCCACGGCCCCGACTTGTCCTCACCCAACCGTTCAGAGCTCTTCATGGCGGGGGTGTCCCTCTCCTCTGGCCACAAGAGGAGCGGGTGGAGGAACGGCACCTTCAGGCCTTGTAGGGGGTCTGCCCCTCCACCAGCCTGTTTCTCTTGGGCATCGCAGCTGAGGCTGTAGCCAGGAAAGGGTAGTAACCGAGCGTACCTGGCCTCCAACCACTACTTCCAAGGCCCCTACTGGGCACAGGGTGACCCCACCGTGGCTCGGAAGTGGACCCTGTCCGACGCGGGGGTGGTCGCTGGAGGGCCGAGGATGCCTACACAGGCCCCTGGAGGGTGTGCCTTCGGAGTCTGTCTCGCCCTCTGGACCCATGGGGGACCAGCAACGCCGTCACACCCTCCTCTGTCTCTGCCAGCCGCTCCCCCGCTCCCTTCTCCTGGCTGAGGCTGGCAAAGGCAGGCAGGCATGGGGGGGCGGGGCCTCAGGAGGGAGGAGGGGCTGGTGGGCGGGGCCTACGGACACCTCGCCCCGCCCCCAGTGGGGCTCCGCACTCCCCACACCCCGCGGTCCCCCTAGGTCAGGGCCTCTCACCACCGCGCCCAGAGGCCGGGCCAGCCGGGCGTGCATCCCAGGGGCGCTCCGTCCCCCGCGGCCTGGGACTCTCCAGTCAGGACAGTACAAAATCTCTTTATCGCTCATTTTCTGTAAAAAATCGTGGCTCTCGGCGGACCCTGGAGATAGGAGGTGCAAAGGGCGCTCACACGCGGCCCGGGTCCGCGGCCGAGAGCTGGGGGGATCTGGAGCGGGGCCGGGTCGCAAGAAGACCCTGACCCTGCTCCGGCGCTGGGGCGCGTGCTAAGGGCCCGCGGGGTATCAGCTGTATTTTCGAACCCCTGTGCTTGGCCGGGGAGTTCCCAAGGCTCCACTCCGCCTTGGAGGGGGCTGCGGAAGCCCGGAGGTGACCCGGGCTCTGGGAGGGGCGTCCCCAACGTGGGGGAAGGGAGACAGGGGCCTTCGAAGACAGCGCGAGACTCGGAGGGGGTCCCCCCGACCTAAGACGTGGTAAACTGAGGCCGGCGAGGAGCGAGGCTGAGTCCGGGGACCAGGCGGCCCCTCACTGCTCCTCCGGCCCGTCGCCCCCCTGCGCCTGTTCGTACGGGCAGGGCCGGCGGCCGAGTCCAGCGGGCTCGGGGCCAGGCCTGGGCCCCGGGGGCGGCGCCTCCTCCTCCGCGCCGTCCCCATGCTCGCCCTCCGCGTCGCTCTCGTCCGAGTTGTCCTCCTCCAAGTAGCCGTCACCGCGCACCTTGTGCTGGGGCCGCGGGATGCGGGGCTGGCGCGGGGCCACGCCCCGCCGCAGCTTCTGCTCCATCCGCAGGTAGGAGACCGCGGCCACCACCAGCGTCACCAGCAGCACCGCCAGCTTAGCCTGGGCGTAAGGAGAGGGATGCCAGGGACCCGCGGCCGCCTCGCCCCGCACCTTCTCCGCCTATACCCCTCGCTGAGATAGGCCCTTCCCTCCTCCGGGAGCCTCCCGGGCCACGCGGCCCTCAATTTCTCCAGCCCCTCCACCCACGTTTCCTGGACCGCCTCCTGCAGGCGAGGCTCACATCCAGCACTGTCCCTTACAGTCGCCATGCCCCTGGCGACCTCAGTGTCCCACGCTGTAAGGGGACAATGCAAATCCCTTTGCCTCTTAGGGTGCATGCGCCAGTGTTGATAAAGTGCTGGCCACAGGCCCTGCCTTCCCAGGGCTCACAACACTGTGTCCCTGACACACCCGTGGGCTGTAGTGATGCTTTTCATGGGGTTTTGACTATAACCCGCAGTCAGGAATGATTTCACACCATAGCTCAGTACACACACACATATCTGTATGCATACTTCCTGCTCTTTTCTTTTTTCCAGACACGGTTGCTCCGTTTCCCCACCGCGCCCCCTCCCTCCCTTCCCCCACCCACTGCTGGAGCGCAGTGCCATGCTCACTTCAGCCTCAATCTTCCAGGCTCAAGCCATCCTCCCACCTCAGTCTCACAAGCAGCTGGAACTACAGGCACGCGCCACCACGCCCAGCTAATTTTTAAATTTCTTGTAGAGACAGGGTCTCCTATGTTGCCCAGGCTGGTCTTGAACTTCTGGCCTCAAGCAATCCTCCTGCCTCAGCCTCCCAAAGTGTTGGGATTACAGGGGTGAGCCACCATGCCCAGCCCACTCACTGCTTTTCTTTTTTCTTTTTTTTTCTTTTTTCTTTGGGAGACAGAGTCTCGCTCTGTCCTCCAGGCTGAAGTGCGGTGGCGCGATCTTGGCTCACTGCAATCTCCATCTTCCAGGTTCAAGCCATTCTTGTGCCTCAGCCTCCAGAGTAGCTGGGATCACAGGGATGCGCCACCATGCCCAGCTAATTTTTGTTTTTAGTAGAGACAGGGTTTTACAGCCTGTTACCCAGGCTGGTCTCGAACTCCAGACCTCAGGTGATACCCCCACCTCAGCGTCTCAAAATGCTGGGATTACAGGCATGAGCCACTGCTCCCGGCCCACTCCCTAGTATTTTTAGTTCTATTTTTATTTTTATTTTTTTTTTTGAGACGCAGTTTCGCTCTTGTTGTTTAGGCTGGATGGAGTGCCAAGGCCCCGTCTCGGCTAACTGCAACATCCGCCTCCCAGTTCAAGCGATTCTCCTGCCTCAGCCTCCCGAGTAGCTGTGGTTAGAGGCACCTGCCATCATGCCCGGCTAATTTTTGTATTTTTAGTAGAGACGAGGTTTCACCATGTCGGTCAGGCTGGTCTCAAACTCCCTACCTCAGGCAATCCACTCGCCTCGGCCTCGCAAAGTGCTGGGATTACAGGCGTGAGCCACTGCACCCGGCCTTTAGTTCTATTTTTAAAAAATGTTTAGCAACTGGGACTTCCTAGACCGAGCCACCATCTTTTGGGAGCAGAACATGAGGAGCCTGCTCCCCTTCAGGCCATGAAGGGAGACAGACCCAACATCTGGAGAACAGGGTACCAAACAACCCACAGGATGGCTGTGATGCACCCACAAATCCCCTCAGAGATGGGCAAACTGAGACTGGCTGGAGGTGGGCCAGTAAGTGGGGTGCTGAGTTGGGGGCCACCCAGTGGGCTGCAGGAATGGGGCCTTGGCCCAGAGACTGGCTAGGGAAGGGGTGGCGTTTAGGAAGCTGTGAAGCCAGGGCAGGGGCTAAGGAAGTACCTGTCATTGGGCATGGGGCCCCCAACCCTGCCCAGTCTCACCTTCATGTGCAGGCTGGAGCCCAGGTACACGGTGAAGATGGCCACAGCCTGCCACCAGTGGTAGATGGTGAAGATGAAGTCCTGTCTCTCCTTGTCTTCGTACAAGATTCCCAGGAGTGCTGCAAGCAGGCAGTACAGGGCAGGCAGGGGAGAGGTGTCACCTGGGGCCTGGGGCTGCCGAGCTACCATCTATGAACTTTACTAAGCCCTGTATGTGTCCCAGCCCGGGACCAGAAAGCGCCTAGAAAGTGCTGTGAGCCGGTCCTGGCCTGCCCCCTGGTGGAGACCCTGGTCACCACACTGCTCACACGCTAAGCAGAAGTAGGAGCAGGTTCGCCAGGCTGTGTGGATGCAGGTGGTCCCGCTCCACACCACATGCGTGGCCTCAAAAGAAGAAAGCTCTGTGCTTAGTCATGTTCTGTCCCCAACCCCAGGTGTGCAGTGCCAAGCTTGCAGGCGCTGTTTCTCCTCCTCAGCCGGGACTAGAGAGATCCAACTGTTTGCAGCTGCCAACTCTGCAAATCAAACCTGAAGCTAAGCATGGAGAGGGGGGCTTCCTTTCCGGTGAGTCCTCCCAGGGTGGGCAACAAGAGTAATGGATTGGGAGTCAGAAGATGCACACTCGTTCTCAGGACTGTAACGTTGGTTCTGTGGGTGATTTGGGTACTTAACTCCCCAGAGCTGCTTTTCCCAATGGTGAGATGAGCCTATGCCTATAGTGTGCTGTGTTCTGAAGTTCTAAAGTGAGAAAGTGGGCATGGCACCTGCCAAATCATAGGGGCCACTATTAACACCTTCACCAGGCACTCAGGACATGAACACTCCTGTCTTGGGGCCCTGCAGGGTGACTTTACCCCCACAGTGCTGCTATGAAGAGACAAGGATCCCCCAGGGTTCACCTGTGGAGATGGGATATGGAGCTGGGCAGAGGGGATGCCATGACCAGACAGGGCACAACATGGGTCCAAGATACCCAGGTTGGACTCGGCCCAGAATTGGCTATCCTTGGGCAAAACGGCCAAGAGACTGTGGTGCAGTATGAGGCTCCAGCCCCTGCTACAGACAGAGACACCGAGCCAGCCTCTGCCCTGCCAGCAGCAGGCATGACCTCTGCCACTCCACACCCCCAAGGATGACGTTCAAAACTGTTCACAGCTTCCGCCCATCAGAACAGACACTGACATGGATGCCCCGCAGGACTGTGCCCGTGTGTGCTAGTTGTGTGTCACTGCGTGTGCCCATCTGTGGGCAGGGAGCATCCTGGAGCTGAACATGGGCCCACCCACTGCCTTCTGCAAACAGGGCCCTGTTCCCCACCAGCCCAGACCTGGGGCCTGGACTGTGGTACTGAGCAGACTGGGTTGGGGCTGCAGGCCTGCTCCTCTCTATACAAAGGCCCATGTCTGTATCTATGCCGTGGATGTACAACAGGCCACTTGCTCCTACCACATGCTCCGTGAGGCAGAGACCAAAACATCTGCTCCAAGTGTCACGAAAACAATGTCAGGGTAAGCCCTGTCCCCTGGTATGAAAAGGGAGAATCCCTGATGTGTTTTTCACACTGTCCGTAAGGGGTGTCCACAGAGCCCCACACCTGCCCCGTGTAGCCACGAGATTTCACACTGACCCTCCAGTGTTGATGGGGCCCTGTGCCCGCCCTGGGGTGTTAACGGAATGTCCATGGCGTGGAACCCCAACACCTGTCTCCAGAGTGTCCACGCCCTACCCATCTGTCCCAGTGTGTCCATGAGACTTCCCTTCCAGCCCCGGAGTGTCCACAGGAAGCCCCACCTGCCTCTGCCATGTCCACAGGACCCTATGTGACCATGGGACCCCATATCTGTCCCTGCGATGTCTATGTCTAGCCAACCACCCACAGATAGCCATAAAGCCACCTGCCCTGCCCCCCCCCAGTGCCCACAGCTATACTCACTGCTGAGTCCAGTCTTGTTCAGGGCGCTGCCCACACCCCAAAGGGCGGCTGCCACACAGAGGATCCAGCTGTGTTGCAGGACCTGAGGCACAGGGGCCCAGAAAAAGAGGATGAAGGTGAGCAGCAGGTGCACCCCTTCTCCAGCCACGAGGGGCACCGGGTGTGGCAGCCACAGGCCCAGCAGAACCAGGAGTGAGGCGGCTGAGGCGCCCAGGCTGTAAGCCACGAGGAGGTAAGCCAGCCACTCCAGCCCCACCGAGCACACACCATAACCCTGCGGGGGGACAAGGGGTGAGTGTTGAAGTCTGGAACAGCCCAGACCCCAGTCTCAGCCCTCCCTGCATCGCGGGGGGTGCCTCACCCCCCTGCGATGGGGGTCCTAAGAGCCAGGGGGGGAAGAGGGGCTGGCTCTTACTATTCCTGATGGAATAGTTTAGAGGGACTCATTCCCTGCTATCGTGGGTGAGATGTCTATGAAAAGGACAACCAGTGGGGGAGGGTAGCAAAATTTTGAATAAGATTTCTGAGACCCCCAGCACAACCAGGAACAGAAACTCCACACTCTGCTGAGCGGATAGTTTGCACATTGGTCTCCTCCCATCTGCCCATCTCACTCTCCTGTTTGTCCTGAGGAGGAGGAAACAAAACAAGGCTCCCGACCGTCCCTCAACACTCACTTGAAAGGGTGGCCCGTCCCTCCACACCTGTGGGTATTTCTAGTCGGGTGGGATGAGACACTGAGAAAAGAAATAAGACACAGAGACAAAGTATGGAGAAACAACAGTGGGCCTAGCGGACCGGCGCTCAGCATACCAAGGACCTGCACTGGCACAGGCCTCTGAGTTCCCTCTGTTTTTATTGATTATTATTTTTATTATTTTAGCAAAAAGGAATGTAGTAGGAGGGCAGGGTGATAATAAGGAGAAGGTCAGCAACGAACATGTGAGCAATAGAATCTATGTCATAATGAAGTTCAAGGGAAGGTACTATGACTGGACGTGTACGTAAGCCAGATTGATGTTTCTCTCCACCCAAACATCTCAGTGCAGTAAAGAGTAACAAGGCAGCATTGCTGCAAATATGTCTCACCTCCCACCATAGGGCGGTTTTTCCCCATCTCAGAATTGAACAAATGTACAATCGGGTTTTATACCGAGACATTCAGTTCCCAGGGTCAGGCAGGAGACAGCGGCCTTCCTCTCCCTCAACTGCAAGAGGCTTCCCTCTTTGACTAATCCACCTCAGCACAGACCCTTTACTGGTGTTGGACTCGGGGATGGTCAGGTCTTTCTCCTCCCACGAGGCCACTTTTCAGACTATCACATGGGGAGAAACCTTGGACAATATGCCGCTTTCAAGGGCAGGGCTCCCTGCGGCTTTCCACAGTGTATTGTGCCCCTGGTTTATTGAGACTAGAGAATGGCGGTGACTTTTACCAAGTATACTGCTTGGAAACATCTTGTTAACAAGACACGTCCTGCACAGCCCTAGATCCTTTAAACCTTGATTTCATACAACACATGTTTTTGTGAGCTTCAGGTTGGGTCAAAGTTGCTGGGGCAAAGCTACACATTAACAACATTTCAGCAAAGCAATTGTTGAAAGTACAGGTCTTTCTCAAAATGGAGTCTCTTATGTCTTTCCTTTCTACATAGACACAGTAAGAGTCTGATCTCTCTTTCTTTTCCCTACACTCACTGAACTGCCCTTCCCCTCTGCTGGGCCATGACCACGGAGAACAGGTCCACTGTCCTCCCTGTGTGGTGCACCATGGAGGCTCAGACTCCGTCCTCAAGGCTGGCAAGAAGACAGGGTGAGACGTGAGCCTCCTGATACAGGTGACGGGAGTGGAGCCCACAGGACTGGAACCTCACACTGCAGGGCTGGAGTCACAGACTATTTACTATTCTGTGGCCTCGGGGGCTCAAGGCACAGAGCTCCTTATTAGCCAAAGCCACCGAAGTTCCCCAAGCTCTAAGGATTCCTCATCATCATGCAAGAAGAAGAAGAGAAAAGTGAGTGTCCATAGAAGTTTTGGGGCTCTTCCTCTAATCAGGAGAAAGCTGGTGTGTATTCTTCGCTTCTTTCTTTTCTTTTTAGACATCCAACTGCTTTAATTTTCATCTTTTATTATGGGAAAATATACCAAGTATAAATATTAAAAATTATAAATATATATTAGTTCATATAGAATGGCCAGTATAAACATTTACAGTTTCCACGCTTTTTCAGTTTACAGTTTCATGACATTAAGTACGTTCAGATTGTTTAGCAAGCATCACCGTCATCGTCTCCAGAACAGTTTTATCTTTCTTTTTTATTTTTTATTATTTATTTATTTTTTAATTATACTTTAAGTTTTAGGATACATGTGCCCATTGTGCAGGTTAGTTACATATGTGTACATGTGCCATGCTGGTGCACTGCACCCACTAACTCGTCATCTAGCATTAGGTATATCTCCCAGTGCTATCCCTCCCCCCTCCCCCCACCCCACAACAGTCCCCAGAGTGTGATATTCCGCTTCCTGTGTCCGTATTATTCACAATAGCAAAGACTTGGAACCAACCCAAATGTCCAACAATGATAGACTGGATTAAGAAAATGTGGCACATATACACCATGGAATACTATGCAGCCATAAAAAATGATGAGTTCATGTCCTTTGTAGGGACATGGATGAAATTGGAAAACATCATTCTCAGTAAACTATCGCAAGAACAAAAAACCAAACACCGCATATTCTCACTCATAGGTGGGAACTGAACAATGAGTTTTATCTTTCAAAATGGAAATTGCACCCATTCACCAAGCTCTCCACTCCTCTCTCTTGCCCGCCCCTGGGGGCCACCTTTCTAGTTTGCAACTTTATGAGTTTAACTACTCTAGACACTTGATAGATAAGTGGAATCATACCGTGTTTAATTTTTTTGTTTTGGAAACAGCGTCTTTCTCTGTCACCCCGGCTGGAGTGCAGTGGCGTGATGTCGCCTCACTGCAACCGCCACATCGTGGGTTCAAGCGATTCTTCTGTCTCAGTCTCCCGAGTAGCTGGGATTACAGGCATGCGCCACCACGCCCAGCTAATTTTTGTATTTTTAATAGAGACCATATTGGCCAGGCTGGTCTCGAACTCCTGACCTGAAGTGATCCGCCTGGCTCAGCCTCCCAAAGTGCTGGGGTTACAGGTGTGAGCCACTGAGCCTGGGCGTGTTTATCCTTTTGGGATTTATTTATTTCACTGACGATAATGTTTTCAAGGTTCATCCATGTTGCGGCCAGCGTCAGAAGTTCCTCTCTGTTTTTTTTTTTTTGTTTGTTCGTTTGACTTTGTTTTGTTTTGTGTTTCCATGGAGTCTCACTCTGTCGCACAGGCTGGAGTGCAGTGGCACAATCTGGGCTCACTGCAACCTCCGCCTCCCGGGTTCCAGCCATTCTTGTGCCTCAGCCTCCCGAGTAGTTGGGACTATAGGCACACGCCACCACGCTTGTCTCATTTTTTGCATTTTCAGTAGAGACAGGGTTTCACCAACATGACCAGGCTGGTCTTGAATTCCTGACCTCAGGTGATCCACCCACCTCGGTCTTCCAAGACGCTGCGATTACAGGCATGAGCCACCGCACCGGCCAGAAGTGCCTGCCTTTTTAAGGCTGAATAGTCTTCCATTGTATGAAGGAACTGCAGTGTGCTTTTTCATTCATTTGTCCACGAACCCTTGGGTTGCTTCCACATTTTGGCTGTTGTGAATAATGCTGCTATGGATATGGGTGTACACAAATCTGTCTTCCACTCCTGGCTTCTAATTCTTTCTGGTAGGTACCCACAAATGCAACTGCGGGAACATCTGATCATTCTGTTTCTAATTTTTCCAGTAAAAGCCATACTATTTTCCCCATTCCTTCACGGTTTTACATTCCCTCCGATCATATTCAAGCATTCCTACTTCCCTCTAGTCTCACCAATGCTTGTTTGTTTCTCATATCCATCCTAATGTGTGATATCACATTCTTGGTTTGATTTCTGCTTCCCTATGATGAGTGATTTTGAACATCATTTTAGATGCTTATTGGCCATTGCTGTATCTTCTTTAGGAACACGTCTACTCGAGTCTTCTGATGGGACGCTTTGGGTTTCTTGTTGTTTAGTTCTAGCTGTTCTTTATATATGATGGATATCAGCCTCTTTTCAGATATATGCTTTGCAAATCTTTTTCCTAATCCATGAGTTATCTTTTCACTCAGGTCACAGTGTTTTTTGCTGCACAAAAGTGTCTGTCATTTAGATGCAATTCAAGGAATCAAATTTTCTTTTGTTGCCTATGCTTTTGGTGTCATATCCCAGAGAACATTGCCCAGTCTGATGTCATGAAAGCATGGCCAATGGTTTCTTTTAGGCGTATGATGCTTTTAGCGCTTGGGGTGAGGTCTTTGATCCAGTTTGTGTTAATTTTTGCACCTGGTGTGACATAGGGTCCACCTTCATTCTTCTGCATGTGGAAATCAAGTTTCTCCAACACCATTTCTTGAAAAGGCTGCTTTTCCACCAATGAGCTTTCTTAGCACTCATGTGAAAAATCATTTGAACATATAGGTGAGAAGTTATTTCTGGGCTCCAAAACAAACAAACAACAACAGACAACAGATAAGGATACAGCATGGGCCGGGCGCGGTTGCTCACGCCTGTAATCCCAGCCTTCTGGGAGGCCGAGGCGGGCGGATCACCTGAGGTCAGGAGTTGAAGACCAGCCTGACCGACAGGGAGAAACCCCCGTCTCTACTAGAAATACAACATTAGCTGGGCATGCTGGGGCATGCCTGTAATCCCAGCTACTCGGGAGGTGGAGGCAGGAGAATCGCATGAACCAAGGAGGCAGAGGTTGCGGTGAGCCAAGATTGCACCATGACACTCCAGCCTGGGCAACAAGAGTGAAACTCCATCTCAAAACAAAAAACAAAAAACAAAAAAACAGCATGATTTCAAGAGCAGAAAGAGAAGAGCTTAAAAACCAGCCTAATGAGAAAGTTAGGAAGCTTCTTACCAAAGCATCTGGAAATATGCAAACGATTCTTGTGAACTAAAATTTTCATATTGTACTATCAAACAGTAGAACTCACTTATTCCATCTTTCTGTATTTTGGGACCCAATTATCCACTTGTCTTCATTCCCTATCCCACCCCTTTTCTTCCTAGCATCTGCTAACCACCTTTATACTTTCCACTTTCCTGAGATTCCTTTTGTGTGTAGGTGTGTGATGGAGTCTCTTTCTGTTGCCCAGGTTGGAGTACACAGGCACAATCCGGGCTCACTGCAAGCTCCGCCTCCCGAGTTCAAGCGCTTCTTGGGCTTCAGCCCTCCGAGTAGCTGAGACTACAGGCACACGTCACCACACCCAACTCATTGTTTGTGTTTTCAGTAGAGACGGGGTTTCACCATGCTGGCCAGGCGGGTCTCGAACTCCTGGACTCAAGTGATCTGTGCAACTCGGCCTCCCAGTGTGCTGGGATTACAGGCCTGAGCCACCACACCTGGCCAAGGTTTCCTTTTTTCTTCCTACATAGAAGTGAGGACATGAAATATTTGTCATTCTGTGCCTGGCTTATTTCATTTAATATACAGACCTGCAATCTCATCCATTTTGTCTGCAGTGGAGAGGAGTTTCTTCCTTTTTAGGCTGAATAATACTTCACTGGGTGTGTATACCACAGTTTCTTCATTGAAACAAATTTCTGAAGAGCAAATATTTTAAAGATGTCTTGGAATGTGAAACTTCACGGATACTGTGCCCATTTTATTCTTTTCTATTTCCCATCTTATGTATATGCAAGTGTATAACAAAGCAGCCATCAATGTGTGTATAAATCTGTAACTTCAACAAATGTAAAATGTAAATGCTAAGTGGTGGCTGGGCGCGGTCGCTCATGCCTGTAATCCCAGCACTTTGGGAGGCGGAAGCAGGCGGATCACCTGAGGTCAGGAGTTCAAGACCAGCCTGAACAAAATGGAGAAACACTGTCTCTATTAACAATACAAAAAAAAAAAAAAAAATTAGCCAGGCATGGTAGCGCATGCCTGTAATCCCAGCTACTTGGAAGGCTGAGACAGGAGAATTGCTTGAATACGGGAGGCAGAGGTTGCAGTGAGCCGAGACCGTGTCTTTGAACTCCAGCCTGGGCAACAAGAGTGAAATTCTGACTCAAAAAATAAGGAAAAGAAAGAAATAGAAAATGCGAAATGGTAAGAAACAACAGCATAATAAATATTTGTATGGTGTTGCTGGACAATGCATTTGAAGATAATATTTGAAGAAATCATATTACAATTAATTTCTTTTCTTACTCATTGGAGCTTGATGCCTCTAAAAACTTTGTCATTGGAACCACCTCTTGTGCTTTAAAAGAAAAAAAAGAAATCCACATACTCACACAGGTGCAAGGAAATCAGAATCTCAGGTATTGAGACCCAGGCCTCATCATTTGTAAGCTCCCCAGGTGAGTTGACTCAAAGCCAAGACTGAGGAACGGCGACATGGATCTCTACACACAACTTTCCTAAATAGATTCTCTAGAAGCAGTTTATAAAGAAATTCCACATGAACTGTGGAAGAGGATATGAATTTGATGTACAGTATGTCCTCACGTAACATCTTTGAAAGTCTCTTGGAAACTTCACCTTGAAGCAAAATGATGTACAGTGAAACCACTTATTCCTAATCCACAATATAACTAGACAACTTTGAACACACCAGTGGTGTTGGAGGACCTCCTGTACATTGTTTCCATAAAGTCAGTTTTCAGGGAATTCCAAAACGAAGTGAGGACTTCGTGTATATAAAAAGATGGTTGTGATTCCACCTGGATGACAGGGTTATTGCTCAGAAACTAAAAGAGGCCGCCTAGGTATAGAGGATTCTGTCGTGAGGTTTCTGCTAAACAAAGGATCCCAGAATCCTCACCCATTCCAGTGAAAGGCATAACGAAGAAAGCAATATTCACAAAGGAAATGCGGAAAGGAATAAAAGCCATCAAGCCACAAAAAGAATGTGACTAAGGGGCAGGATTTGCAGATGTTGAGATTTAATGTGGTTGCCCTTTCTAACCCACACAAGAAAAAGGATGGAACAGATCATGAGATTCGACTGTTCTGCTGAGCAGCCTCCGCAGGGCGCTTTGAATGTCCCTGTTTCTCAGGCTGTAGATGAAAGGGTTCAGCATGGGGTGACCACAGCGTACATCGCTGACGCCACCACACCATTCCTGGGGGGTGGTGCCACAGCTGAAGTCAGGTACACGCCAATGCCTGTTCCATCAAATCAGCAAACAACTGCTAGGTGAGAGCCGCAGGTGGCGAAGGCTTTATACTTCCCATCTGACGATGACATCCTTAGAATGGAGGGGACGATTTTATAGTAAGACAAAAGGATCCCTGAAATGGGAAGAAAACCAAACATAGTACTATCGAAATATATGAATATGCTATTGATGACGCTGTCAGAACAGGCAAGTTTGAGAAATTGAGAGGGGTCACAGACAAAATTAGAGATTTCCACATTCTTGATGATGGTGAATTGTAACACAATCCAACTGTGCAGCTGGGAATCCAACAGGCTAAGGAAAAAGGACACCAAAATGAAGAAGACACAGAGGTGAAGATTCACGATGACTGGGTAGTGCAGAGGGCGACAGATGGCTACAAAGCAGTCATAGGCCATCGCACTCAGCAGCATGCCTTCTATACATGCAAAAAGGACCAAGAAAGACATCTGTGTCAGGCAGCCCGCATGAGAGATGACTCTGCTATGCGACTGCATGTCCACAATCATCTTGGGAACCGTGGCCGAGGTGAAACCGATGTCAGCCCAGCACAGCTTGGAGACGAAGAAGTACATGGGGGTGTGGAGGGGGGAGTCAGAGCTGAAGCCAGGATGCTGAGCAGGTTCCTCAGCACTGTGACCAGATACATGGACAGGGACAGGGACAGCAAAGCGAGGACCGGCTGCAGTTCTGGATCCTCTGAGAGTCCCAGGAGGAGGAATTCTCAGACACCTGTGAGATTCCGTGGCTCTGTGTGTCTTGGACACCTTGAGAAGGAAAAAGGATTGGAAAAGTAAAAGATAAAATCCAGCCCTTAATGCTGGATGCAAGCAATTCACAAGGAACATCTTCACACTTGCGGACCATACACCGCCAGCAATGTTTCTCAGTTGTGTCAATTCCAAAAATCTCAGAATTATTACGTGATTTACTTTTTTGCTATACAAGGCTTTCTGTACATACGACTTTAGAGAAAATCCACTGAAGAATATTAGAAGACCAAAACGTCATATATAACAAATCCGTGATATCCGTAAAATACGGCCTACTCTTTTCAGAAAAAATACAATGCAATGACAATGTCCTTCTCTCTTTAACAAAAACGTCTCAGTCTAATTGAAAGAAATTAAGAAGCCATGAAATACAATCGACTTTATTCTGACACCGTGCTACAACTTCCATTGATGTAGAATATGTAAAAGAACGACACAAGAGCTAGGACCCCATTATCTGAAAACGACGTCGAACCTTATAGTTCTCAATCGGAAGACCTTTTCACATGCCTGTTACTTTTCATATTATCATCCTTCGGTTTTCTGACATCATTTCTTCATAAAAGTACATGCACACTCAAAGATAGGAGCTGTGTTTCCAAATGAATTGAATCTATAACTCTTGGCCCAGCACCATGGCTCACACCTGTAATCCCAGCATTTTGGGCGGCCGAGGCTGATGGATCACCTGAGGTCAGGATTTCCAGACCAGCCTGGCCAACGTGGTGAGACCCCGTCTCCAGTGAAAATAAAAAAAAATCAGCCGGGCGTGGTGGCAGGTAACCCTAAATACTCGGGAGGCTGAAGCAGGAGAATCCCTTAGAACCTGGAAGGCAGACATTGGACACCCTGTGATAGGATTTTTGATATCCTAGGGAGATATTGCTCCTGACAGCAGAGTGGGCGTATACCCTGTGATATTATTTGTAATATCCTAGAAAGATATTGCTCCTAATATCACGGTGGCTCAACACCCTGTGATCTTAATTGTAATATCCTACAGAGATATTACTCCTAATAATACAGTGGATGTACACCCGGTGATATTATTCATAATATATTACACAGATATGACTCCTGATATCACAGTGAGTATACACCATATTTGTACACCCTGTGATCTTATTTGTAACAACTTAGAAAAATATTACAGCTAATATCAAAGTAGGTGTACACCCTGCGATGTTATTTGTTATCTACTAGGTAGATATTACTCCTAATATCACAGTGAGTGTACATCATGTGTGTACAGACTGTGAAATTATTCGTAGTACCCTAGGAAGATATTACTCCTCATATCACAGTGGGTGTACACTGTGATATTTTTTTGTAATATCCAGCGGGGGAGAGGATGATATTGCTTCCAATATCACAGAAGGTGTACACCCCCCTGTGATATTGTTCCTAATATCCAGGGAAGGAGAGGATGACATTATTCGCAATATCACTGGGGGTGTACCACCTCCCGCCGGGATATTGTTCTTAATATCCGGAGTTGGAGAGAATGATATTACTCCCAATATCACAGGGGGTGTACACCACCCCTGTTTGTAAACACCCCCTGTGATATTGTTCCAAATGGCCTGTGAAAGAGCAAACATGACTCCCATTATCGCGGGGGGTGTTCAGCCCTTATGATATTGTTTTCTAACATCCAGGGAAGGAGAGTATGCTATTACTCCCAACATCGCAGGGGTTGTACACCCTTTTGTGTTTTTGTGCCCAATATCCAGGAAAATAGAGGATGATATTACGTCCAATATCGAAGTAATTGTACAGCACCCCTGTGATATTCTTCCTAATATCCAAAAAGGAAAAGAATGATATTACTCCCAACAGCGTAGGAAACGTGTCCCCGCGCTGTGGTATCTTTCCCAGTATCCAGGTGGGGAGAGGATCATATTACTTCCAATGTCGCAGGGTGTGTACACCCCCTCTGTGATCTCGTTGCTAGCATCCAGGTTTGGGGAGGACGACATTACTCCCAATATCGCAGGGGGAGTACACCCCCCTGTGACCTTGTTAGTCATTTCCTGGGTGGAGAGGATGATCTTACTCCCAATATCGCAGGAGGTGTACACAGCCCTGTGAAAATCTTCCTATTTTCAGAGGGAGAGAGGATGGTATTACTCCCAGTACCGCCGGGGGTTTCCACAGCCCTGTGATCCTCTTCCTAATATCCACAGGGAGAGAGGATGATATTACTCCCAATATCGCAGGGGTTGTACACCCTTTTGTGTTTTTGTGTGCAATGTCCAGGAAAATAGAGGATGATATTACTCCCAATGTCAAAGTAATTGTACAGCACCCCTGTGATATTCTTCCTAATATCCCAAAAGGAAAAGAATGATATTACTCCCAAAAGGGTAGCAAATGTATACCCGCGCTGTGGTATCTTTGCCAGTATCCAGGTGGGGAGAGGATTATACGACTCCCAATATCACAGGGGGGGTACACAACCGTGTGATATTGTTCCTAATATCCAGAGCGAAAGAGGATGATACGACTCTCAATATCGCAGAGGGTAAACACCCCTCCTGTAATATTGTTCTGAATACCCAGGGAGGGAGAGAATAAGGTTATGTTGAATATCGCAGGGAATGTACACCATCCGCCTCTGATACCCTTCCTAATGTCCAGGGGAAAAGAGGAAAATTTCACTCCCAATATCACAGAGGCAGTACACCCCACTGGTGATGTTGTTTCCAATATGCAACGGGGGAGAGGATGATACTACTCTCAATATCGCAGGGCTGTTCACATCCCCAGTGACATTTTTTCCTAATATCTAAGGGAGAGACAATTCTATGACAGCAAGGGTCACAGGGTCTGTGCATCCCTTCCTGATATTGCTCCTAATACCCAGGGGGAAAGAGGATGATATCAAATATGAAAGGGGGTGTACATCCCCCACCCCTACGATATTGTTCTTAATAATCGTGAGGGGAGACGATGATATTACTCCAAATATCGCAGGGGTTGTTCACAACCCCCTGTGATATTGTTTCTGATATCCAGGGGTGGAGAAACTCATATTACTTCCAATATTGCAGGTGGTGTATGCCCCACCTGATATATGGCACAGAATATCCAAAGAGGGAGAGGATGGTATTCATACCAATATCGAAGTGTGTGTACATGCCTCTTGTGATATGGTTTTTAATATCCAGTGGGCGGGAGGATGATATTAGTCCCAACATCCCAGAGGGTGTACACTACCCTTGTGATATTGTCCCTAACTTCCAGAGGGAAGAGGATGATGTCACTCCCAAAATCTCAGAAGTGGTACATCCCCTGTGATATTGTTCGTCATATCCAGGGAGGCGCAGGATGACATTCCATTGAATTTCGCGACAGGCGTACACGCACAGTGTGATATTGTTCCTAATATCCAGGAAGGGAGAGGATGATATTACTCCCAATAAAGCAGTGGGCATACATCACCGCTTTGTTATTGTCTCTAATATCCGGGGCCGGGGGAGGGGGGGAGAGGATAACATTCCCTCAAATTTAGCAGGTGGTTTGACGCCCCTTGCGGTGTTGTTTTAAATATACAGCGGGGAAGACAATAGTACTATTTTTGATAGTCCAATTCATCCGCTCCACCTTTCCGGAATGCTGAGGCCGGGAGGCGGCATGCAGTTTTCGTGTGATCCCCAATACCTTTGCTGTCTTCTGTACGAAGGCAGCCAAATACGCAGGCCCCTTGTCTGAGCCAATCCGTAAGGGCGGCCGAAATCTAGGAATCAGATCTCGAAGAAGCACAGGGGTTACTTCACGAGCTTTCTCAGTTAGTGTTGGATAAGCCTACACCCACCCAGAGTAGGTGCGCCCAAGAACTAGTGAATACTTGTTACCTCCACACTTTGGCATCTCTGTGAAGTCCAGCTGGAGACCTTCAAAGGGGGCTGCTCCATAAGCTCGTATGCCGGGCGGAACGGCTGGACGTTGCCTCGCGTCATGCTGTTGGCAGGTAACACACCACTGCCTCACCGTTTTGGCAAGGGCTGACAAAGGCGAGATGGAGAAATACCAGCCTAACAACTTTTCCAGTGACTCCTGACCTCGATGGCTGGTTTCTTGCACAGCCAGTACAACTGCAGCTCCTCGCAGCTGTGGCACAGCTACTCTCCCATCTGGTAACCGAATTCATCCTTCCTCCATCACTTGTCCTTCCCTCTACCTGGACAAAGTCCTTTTCTTCTTTAGAATAAGTAGGTCCAAGATCAGGTGCTTGAGGGAGTACTGATGCCTGGAAGGGGGCAGATGCTGCTTTTTGAGCCTCTGAGTCAGCGCAGGAATTCCCCAAACCCAGCAAGGTGGAAGCTCGCTGGTGTCCTCTGCAATGCATAACTGCCACCTTGTGGGGTTTCCACACTGCTTCTAATCATTGCAAGATTTCTTGTTGATATTTTCTGTCTTTTCCCCCAGAGTTCAATAGGCCCTTTTCTTTCTATCACGCTCCATGCACTTGAAGGGTTCAAAAGGCATACGGAGAATCAGTGTAAATGTTGACAGTCTCACCCTCACTGAGTTCTAAGGCCCGAATTAAAGCAATGAGTTCAGCTTTCTGGGCTGAAGTGGCCTGGGGCAAAGATCTGGCTTCAACAACAGTGTCCAGGGTTATCACTGCATACCCTGCACCTCTCTCTCCTTGGGGGTTGAAGAAGCTGCTCCCATCCACGTATAGTTCCCAGTCTACTGATGCCCAAGGCTGGTCCCAGAGGTCAGGTCTGCTAGAGGCAACTGAGTCCAACATTTCTACATAATCAGGCTCGACAGGGCTCTGATACCGGGAGCAACGTGGCGGGGTGTAGGGTGTTACAAACTTCAATGGTTATATGGGGATTTTCACAGAGCAAAGTCTGGTACTTGGTGAGTGTGGCATTCGTTAGCCAATGATGTCCTTTAGTATTCATTAAAGTCACCACAGCACGGGAGGCCTTTCTGTTCAGGTTTTGCCCAAGAGTCAGCTTATTTGCTTCTTGTACTCGCAGGGCAGTTGCTGCCAAGGCCCTCCAACAGGGGGGCCATCCTTTAGAATCCCCGTCTAGTTGTTGAGAGAGGTAGGCCCCCAGCCTTGGCCTGGGCCCCACAGTTTGGGTTCAAAGTCCAGCTGCCATCTTTTCTCTCTCTGATGCATACAATGGAAAAGGCTTTGTCAGATCGGGTAGCCCCAGGGCTGGGGCTGACATAAGTTTTTCCTTTAACTCATGAAAGCCTTGCTGTTGTTGGGATCCTCATTCCAAAGGTTCCCGGTCCCCACCCCCTTGGTGACCTCATACAAAGGCTTGGCTAATACTGCAAAGTTTGGGATCCACCGTCTACAAAACCCCACAGCTCCTAAGAATCCTCTCACCTGCCTTCTGCTCTTAGGTTCCCCTAGCTTGCAAATAACCTGCTTTCATTCTGATCCCAGGCTGCGTTCCGACCCCTGTAAGATAGTCAATCCCAAGGAACGTACCTGCTGTCGGCAGATCTGAGCTTTCTTCTTGGACACCTTCTACCCACAGTCCTCCAGGTGCCGGTGTAGGGCATCAGTTCCCTTGGCACACCCGACTGCCGTGGGGTGTCCCAGCAGAAGATCATCAACCTACTGGAGCAACACGCAGCCTAGGTCTCTGCTGGGAAACTTCTGGAGGTCTCGAGCCCACGCCTCCCCGAAGATGGTGGGGGAGTTCTTGAACCCTTGGGGAAGCCCGGTCCAAGTGTACTGAGTAGTGACACCTGACTCCGGATCTTCCCACTGAAAGGCAAACAGCTTCTGGCTCTCAGGGGCTAATCTGATAGGAAAGAAAGCGTCTTTCAGGTCCAAGAAAGTGAACCAGCTGTCCTCAGCTGGCAGCAACCCCAACAATGTGGACGGGTTAGGTACTGTTGGATGGAAAGTCAGTGTAGCTTGATGAAGCAAGCACAAATCCTGTACCTGCCGGTAGTCCTTGGTCGGTGGCTTGGGAACAGGCAGGAAGGGAGTGTTCCATGGAGACTGACAAGGAACAATAATTCCAAAAGTTCTTAGGTGCTTGAGACGGACCTGGATACCTTGAAGGGCTTCTCTGGGGACTGGGTCCTGTTTTTGCCTCACCGGCTGGGCCCCAGTCTTAACTGGCCAATCCCGGAGGGTTGTCTTCTGCCCGTGCTCTTGGCCACCTTTTAGCCAGAGCTGGTCTTCTCTCTTGGCCCGGCTCAGTTAAGAAAAGTCTCCATTCCTCCTCTGGGGGGACCATAAGGGTCATAATGACTCCCTTTAGCAGCAAAGAGCTGTGCTCTGTCAAAGAGATAGTGGCTCTCAGCTTGCTGAGCAAGTTCCTTCCCAAAAAGGTCAAGGGACAGTCAGGCATGTACCAAAACTGATGAATGACTCTATGTCCTCCTACAGTACAAGCCCGAGACAAGCAGAAAGCTTGCTTTGCTGAAACCCTAGTGGGTCCGATGACGTCAATAGTCTTTTTGGATAAGGGGGCGACCGGGGCGGTTACTAGCAAATGTTCAGCACCGCTATCTATAAAAAAGTCAATGTATCCACCCCCAACTGTCATTTTGACCAGAGGCTCTTTGGGGCCGCTTAAGCCCGGTCTCCCTCAGTCCAAGAACCCTTCTGCCAGGTTGAGCAGGGCCCCTTCCTCCTTGTCCGGGGCCTCCTGCTCTGAGTCACCTTGTTTTCTTTTGAGCTCAGGGCATTTGTTCTTCCACTGTCCTATTTCTTTACAATAAGCACACTGGTTACGCTGCAAACTCTGACAGCCAAGCTGAGTTTCTTTCCCAGGGCCCCCCTTCCCTTGCCTCTTTGAGGGGGCCCCTCTGATTGCTGCAGCTGACAAACAGGTCGGCGTGTCACCGGGCCTGACCTCCATTCTCTTTGCCGTTTTCCTTAGGGCTTACTGCATTCCTGTTTACAAACACCTGGCTAGCTATTTCTAGTAATTGTGGTGGATTCATCCCTGCAAGCCCAGCCTGCTTCTGCAGTTTTCTTCTCATGTCTTCTGCGCTTTGACGGACTAAAGCCATGTGAATCACGCAGTGATTTTCAGGGCTATCGGGATCAAAGGGAGTATACATACGATAGGCCTCACACAGTCTCTCGTAGAATTGTGCCGGACTTTCTTCTTTTCCCTGAATGACCTCAGAGACGTTGTTAACGTTTGTGGCCTTCTGAGCTCCCCTCAATAATCCTTCCAAGAAAGCTTCCCTGTCTCGGTTTAGCCTTTGCATATCCTCTCTTTCACGTGGGTCCAACTGGGGGTCGGTTCCTGGCAACTGGGTGCTTCCATACTCTTGGTGGTTTTGATAATCAGCTGGTGCATGTTCCTCTAGCCACTTAGTTGCTGCTTGGAGGACTCTCCGCCTTTCTTCGCTGTTAAAGAGGAACATGAGCAACTGGTGCCAATCAGCCCAGGTGTGGTTGTGGGTCTGGATAACAGCTTGGAGCAAATCAATTAGGGCTTGCGGCTTTTCGGTATAGGTCTGTGTATTGTTTTTCCAGTTGAGAAGGTCGACACAGGTGAAGGGCTGGTACCCAAAAGCACGCCTCTCCACCACGTGACCATCCTCATCTGTCCCAGTATACCGCTGCTCTCTCAGGGGCATGTGTGTCCCCGTTTTGCGTCGCAAACGAGCTGCCGAGGGAGGGGTGGAATGGCGCAATGCGACTTACCACAATTAATAATCTCAATTATTAATTGACACTAATTTTCAATATTAATAACCGATAATATAATTTTAAAAATCAATACCGATAATAATGATAATTAATATTAAATAGATATACTAATGATAACAATAAATGATTAATATTAATGATTAATGATGCCTGATATTAATAATTGATATTGACCTTATTAATGAGAAAACAGTCATATTAGCCCCTAATAATTAATATTAATATTAAAAATGGGAAGTTTTTATTAGCAATTATTTCTTAATATGAATATTAATATCGGTCATTCATATTCATGTTAATAATAAAAGAGGAATAATTCATACTAATATTACGCCCTAATACCTCAGTGGGTGTACACCCACATGTGATATTGCTCCTAATGTCCAGGGAGGGAGAGAGCATGATATTACGTTGAATATCGCAGTAGGTGTACAACCAGCCGGTGATATTGATCCGAATATAATCTCCAGGGGGTGGAGAATGACGTTACTCCCAATATAGCACTGGGTGTACATCCACCCGGTGATTTTGCTCCTAATATTCACGGAAGAAGAGAATGCTATTACTCCCAACATCGCAGGAAGTGTACACACCAGTGTGAGACGGTCCTTAAAAATATTCCAAGGCGGAGGAGGTGATATGACTACATATATGGCAGAAAGTGGACACCCGCAAGGATATCATTCCCATGATCCTGGAAAGAAGAGGATAATATTACTTTCAATACCACAGAAGGTGGACACGCCCCCAGTGATATTGTTTCTAATTGCAACCTGGGAGAGGAGGACATGACACCCGATATCCCAGGGAGAAGAAACACCCATGTGATACTGTTCCTAATATTAAGGGAGGAAGAGGATGATATGACTCAAAACACAGACCGGTGTACAACCTCTGCACACAAAGGGTGTACACCAGTCTGTGAAAAGGCTCAGAATCTCCAGAGGGGGAGATGATATTACGCACAATATGATAAAAAGACTGTGAGTCCACCGCGGATCCTAAGAGCCAGGGGGGCAAGAGGGGCTGGCTCTTTCTTTACTCCCCGCATCGCGGGGGGCGCCTCGCCCCCCTGCGATGGGGGTCCTAAGAGCCAGGGGGGCAAGAGGCGGTTGCTATTACTCCCCGCATCGCGGGGGGCGCCCTCACCCCCCTGCGATGTGGCTCGTAATATTCAGTGGGGAGAGCGGTTGATATTACTCCCTTTCTCCTATTATGTTTTCTCTACTGCCACGCTTAGTTAACATCCTGGGACATTATTTTCCATCTTCTAGGATGGTGTCACTGTTTAAGTCCCAGGGGTTATACACCCTGTGATATTATTCGTGGTATTGTCGCGAAACATGAATCCGTATTTCACAAGTCTCTACACACTCTGATATGATTCGCAACACCCTAACGATACGTTAATAATAATGCCACAATGTGTGTTCAGCGTGTGCTATTATTCTTAATCTCCTAAGGGGAGGTTGATTTTATTGTCACACGGAGTATTTTCCCTGTGGTATGATTCGGAATATCCTGGAAGCATGTCACTCTTTATGTCACAGGGTTTGTGCACCTTTTCAAATTACTCGTATTACCCTTATAAGATGTCACTCCTCATATCAACGAGGGTGTACACTCTGTGATATTATCGTCATATTCTAGGGAAATGTTACTTTTAATGTCACAGATGTTGCACACCTTGTGAAATTATTCGTTATAGTTTTGTTTGATATGACTGCTAACGTCACACGGGGTGTACATCCAGTGATATTACGTGTAATCTTCTATAGAAATGTTACTCGTAAATCACAGGTCCTGTACACCCTTTAATATTCTTCGTCTTATTCTAGGAAAACGTGACTACTAATGTCCCAGGGCGTGTAGACCCTGTCATAAAATTCGTAATATCCCAGCGGGAGTTCACTACTAATTTCACAATGCGTGTACACCCTTTGATATTGTTCGTATTATCCTAAAGAGATGTGACTACTGATGTCCCAATGCATGTACATTCTGTGATATTATTCCTTATATCCTCGAGGGATGTGACTTCTAATGTCACACGGCGTGTAGTCCCTGTGTTCTATTTCATAATATCCTAGGGCAATTGTACTGTTAATGACACAGGGGGTGTACACATTGTGATATTATTCATGATATTGTAGAAGGATGTTACTCCTAACGTCACAGGGTGTACACCCTGTGATAGTATTCAAAATTTCCCAGGGGTCTATACTCCTAATGTCACAGAAGATAACACACTGTGACATTATTTGTAATATTCTGGTGAGATGATTCTCCTAATATCACAGGAAGTGTATACCCTGTGATAGTATTCTTACTATTCCAGGGGGATGTCACTTGTAATGTCACAGGTGTCTTCCTTCCTGATATTATTGAAAATATGCTAGCTGGATATTACTACTAATGTCAGAATGCGTGTACCCCTTGTGATATTATTAGTAATATTCTGGGGGGATGTTACCCCTAACGTTACAGGGGTGTACACCGTGTGATATTGCTCCCAATATTGTAGGGGGATGTTACTCCTAATGTCACAGGGGGTGTACAGCCTTTGATATTATTTGCAATCTTATAGAGACATATTACTTTAATGATCACAGTGGGTGTACACACATGGGCTACACCCACTGGGATATTATTTGTAATATCTTAGGGAGATATAACTCCTAATATCACAGTGGGTGTAGCCCATGTGTGTACATCCTGTGATATTATTTGTAATATCCATGGTAAACATTACTTCTAGTATCCCACAGAGGGTACACCCTGTGATATTTTTCATATCATTGGGAGATATTTCTTCTAATAACACAGTGGGTGTACACCATGTGTGTACACTCTGTGATGTGATAGCTTATATCCTAGGGAGATATTCCTTCCAATATCAGAGTGAGTGTACACCTTGTGATATCATTCGTAATCTCCTAGAAAGATGTTGCTGCTAATATCACAGAGGGTGTGCCCCCAGTGACATCATTCGAAATATCCTAAGGAGATGTTACTCGTAATGTCACGGGGGTTGTACACCCTGTTATATTATTGTAATATTCTAGGGTGGTGTTACTTTTAAAGTCAAAGGGGTGTACACCCTGTGATGTTATTCGTAATATCCTAGGAAGAGGTTACTCCTAATATCACAGCCTGTGATAGCATTCAGAATATCCAAAAGGGATGTTACTTTTAATGTCACATGGGGTATACACCCTTTGATAATATTCGTAAGATCCTACGGACATATGACTTCAAATATCACATTGGATGTACACACATGGTGTACACATTGTGTGTGAACACCTCCTGTGATATTATTCATAATATCCTAGGAAAATGGGACTCCTAATATCACGGTCAGTGGACACCCTGTGATATGATTGGTAATATCCTAAAGAGATGTTACCACTAAGGTCACAATGTCTGTACGCTCCCTGATATTATTCGTTATATCCTCGGGGGATGTTACTCCTAATGTCACACGGGGTGTACTCCCTGTGATGTTATTCGTAATATCCTAGGGTGATGTTACTTTCAATGTCACCGGGGGCATATATCATGTGTATTCAACACCTGTGATACTATTCCTAATACCCTAGGGGCATGTTCCTCCTAATGTTCACATGGGGTGAACACCATATGTGTACACCTGCTGTGATATTATTCGTAATATCCTAGGGGAATGTTACTGCTGATGGCACAGGAGATGTACACCATGTGTGTCAACCGCCTGTGTCATTATTCGTAATATCCTAGGGGGATGTTTCCTTGAATGGCACAAAGTGTGAGCAAAAGGTCACAGAAGGTGTACACCTTGTGATGTTATCTGTAATACCCTAGAAGGATGTTACTCCTAATATGTCACAGGGGTGTACACACTTTGATATTATTTGTAATCTCATAGAGATATATGTCTTCAAATATCACAGTGGATGTTCACACATAGTGTATACCCTCTGATATTATTCGTAATATCCCAGGGATATGCAACTCCTGATATCACAGTGCGTGTACCCGGTGTGTGTACACCCTTGATATGAGTCGTGATATCCAGGGTAAATATGCCTCCTCATATCACACAGTGTGCACACCCTGTGATATTTTTAATCATACTTTAGGGAGATATTGCTTCTAATGTCACAGTGGGTGTACCCCATGTGTGTGTACTCTGTGACAGTATATTCTATATCCTAGGGAGGTATTACTCGTAATGTCACAGTGGGTGTTCACCCTGTGATATCATTCTTATTTGACCTTGCTGCCTTTTTTAACCCACACTACAAAAGGAATGGAACAGATAAGAAGATATTGAGATTAGACTGTGCTGCCGTGCGGCCGCCGCAGGACACTTTTCATATCCCTGTTTCTCAGGCTGTACATGAAGGGGTTCAGCATGGGGGTGACCACCGTGTACATCACTGAGGCCACTGCACTCTTTCTCGGGGAAGATGACACATCTGAACCGAGGTACCCTCCAACGCCTGTTCCATAAAATCAGCAAACAACTGACAGGTGAGACCCACAGGTGGAGAAGGTTTATACTTCCCACCTGATGATGAAACCCTCAGAATGGAGGAAAGAATTTTACAGTAAGAGAAAAGGTCCCTGAGATGGGAAGAAAACCAAATATGGCAGCAGGGAAATACATGTTGATGTTCCTGGTGAAGGTGTCACAACATGCAAGATGGGGGAGTTGAGAAGGTTCCCAGAAGAAATTAGGAATTTCCACATCCTTGGAGCAGGTCATTTGTAAGGCAATCAAGTTGTGCAGGTGGGAGTCTAGAAGACTGAGAAAAACAAACAAACAAACAAACAAAAACAAAGACAACAAATCTAGGAAGCCACAGAATCACGGGTTCAAGATGGCTGAACGATATAGAGGGTGACAGATGGCTACAAACCGGTCATATGCCATCACACTCAGGAGCATGCCTCTCTTCCATGCTTCCAAAAATGGCAAAGAGAGACATCTGAGTCAGGCAGCCCGCATAGGAGAGGACTCTGCTGTGAGACTGGATGTCCACAATCATCTTGGGGACCGTGGTGGAGGTGAAACCGATGTCAGGCAAGGGCAGGTTGGAGAGGAAGAAGTACATGGGGATGTGGAGGTGGGAGTCAGGGCTGATGGCCAGGATGATGAGCAGGTTCCCCAGCACTGTGACCAGGCACATGGACAGGAACAGCCCAGCAACGACCGGCTGCAGTTCTGGATCCTCTGAGAGTTTGAGGAGGAGGAATATAGAGACATCTGTTAGACTCTGTGGGTCTGTATAGTTTGGACACCTTTTGCCTGGAAAAGATGGTTGAAAAATCAGAAACAAGTAAACCAATACCCAGCCTTGTGTCTGCATTTTGGATATAAGCAATTCACAAGTAATGTTTTCAGATTTCAGAGCAATCCACACTCAGCAATATTTTGTAGTTCTGACAAGCTCAATTGCCTTATAATGCTTTCAACATCGATTGCTGTGTTATTCACGTCTTGCTGTACACACCTGCCTTAGAGACACTAGCTTCAAGAACGTTCCAAGAACCAGATCATCATATATAACAAATTCGTAATTGCTAGAAAATACAGCCTATCTTTTCCGAAGAACAAGATGTAATAAAACCATTGTCTTCACTTTAAGAAAAAGGTTATCCTAATTAAAGGAAATTAAGAACTCAAATACTTTATTTATTCTACTAGATTGTTACAAATTCCCTTGATTTAGAACATTTGTAAACACTGTATAACAGCTGAGACCATGCCATCTGGAAATGGAATGAAAGTTGATAGTTCATAAGCAGAAAATAGTTCCACATGCCAGTTGGGTCCTAGTGATTTCATCATTCTGTTTTCGGACTTTTCTCCTTCAAGAGAGTAATTGCTTACTCAAATCAGTGGGTCTTGTTTTAAAATTCATGGAAGCTCTAACTCCTGTCCTTAGCTTAGGTGGACTTAGAGTTTTCATCAGAAAGTTTGGCTGGATGCGGTGGCTCACGCCTGTAATCCCAGCACTTTGGGAGGCCGAGGAGGGCGGATCACGGGGTCAGGAGATCAAGACCATCCTGGCCAACATGGTGAAAACCCACCTCTACTAAAAATACAAAAACTTCGCCCGGTATGGCGGAGCGCGCCTGTAGTCCCAGCTACTCGGGGGGCTGAGGCAGGAGAATGGCTTGAACCTGGGAGGCAGAGACTACAGTGACCCGAAATCACACCACTGCACGCCAGCCTGGGCCAACAAGAGCAAAACTCCGTCTCAAAAAACAAAAAACAAGAATCAAGTAAGTCAAAGTCACCCTGATGACAGCCAATTTTGATGAAGCAAGGAAGGGTCAATTCAACCATTAACATAGATTTTGACTTTTGCTGTCTCCTATGTGCCAAGAAAGATATAGGATCTGGGGAATCAGAAACAAAAGAGACTCTCTTGTTCCTCTCACAGTACTCAGTACTTACTGAGAGAAGGACAAAACAAAACGTCCTGTGTGGAATGCAGGGAAAGCAGAACTTCAGGTCAGGGGATATTTCCGTTGAATTGTGTGGAGTTGAAGCTGAAAATCTTAAGGAATGTATCTAAAATTCACTTTGCCTTTACTTTATGTATCCGTCACCTAGAGATCACGCAGCAGGCGCCCACGATCAGCTTAATCGTCACTCACTTCCATCGGATCAACTGGAAATCAAGTCAGATGAGAGTGCTGAGTCTCAGAGGATGGACATCTCACCCCTTGCCATACAGAGAAGTAGAAAGGGTGGTATTCCAAATTCATGGCCAGACTCGAAGTCCCGGGTACTATACTTCTTGGTCTTCCAACTCTCAAAAAGTTGTGGGGTTTTTTTGGTTTTTGTTTTTGTTTTTGTTGTTTTGAGACGGAGTCTCGTTCCCTTGCCCAGGCTGGAGTGCAATGGAATGATCTCGGCTCACCGCAACCTCTGCATCCCAGGTTCAAGCTATTGTCCTGCCTCAGCCTGCCAATTAGCTGAGATGACAGGCGCCCGCCACTACGCCTGGCTCATTTTTTTCTATTTTGAGTAGAGACGTGGTTTTACCATGTTGGCCAGGCTGGTCTCGAATTCCTGACCTTGTGATTCACCTGCCTCAGCCTCCCAATGGGCTGGGATTACAGGCGTGAGCCACCGCTCCCAGCTTCCAAAAGTTTTAAGCAGAGCTCAGAGGTCTTAACCACAGGCACATCGGAGGAGCATTTTTGAAACACTTTCCAGCTTCCTCATTAGGAATGGAAGCCAAACTCCGAATTGATGACTCCTTGGAGGAAGTCGAGAGCTGTAAGGAAAGCCAGGAACAGGGGCAAGGGAGAGATGTGTCCCAAATGATCCTGTGCCAATTCTTTCTGGAATCCTCGATGTGATCTCAGCTGCTGTTTCCATACTTGACACAGTGATTGTGGCACTCACTGGTCTAGCTGTGGTCTACAAGGAACCCCCAAAGGGAAGGGCACAGTGAGCAGGGGCATCCGCCTGAGTGACGAGAATTTGAGAGGACAGGTTGGTTGCAGGGAGAGGACTGGCCAAATGCCATATGTCTGGACTTAGACTGCCTGGTTGAAAATGGACTTCACCCTTTTTGACTTCATGATCAAGTACGAGTGATTTGAAAAGGCATTGCTCCTTTTCTAGTCTGTAAAATCATCCTGAAATGTGCACTAATAACGTGGAGACTACGCAGATGAAATGAAACAAGCTGCATAGAGCACAGAGCTCAGAGCCTGGCCTTTAGGAAACCCTCAGTAAGGGTTCATGATGCCATGGTGTCTGTCATCATCCTCTTTATCCTCATCATCACCTTCATAATCTTTTTGTTGTTGTTAGGGAATAGTTTAGAGGGACCGATTCCCTGCTATCATGGGTGAGATGTCTATGAAAAGGACAACCAGTGGGGGAGGAAAGCAAAATTTTGAATAAGATTTCTGAGACCCCCAGCACATCCAAGAACAGAAACTGCACACTGCTGAGCGGACAGTTTGCACTTTGTTCTCCTCCCATCTGCCCACCGCACTCTCCTGTTTATCCTGAGGAGGAGGAAACCAAACAAGGCTCCCGACCGTCCCTCAACACTCACTTGAAGGGGTGGCCTGGCCCTCCACACCTGTGGGTATTTCTAGTCGGGTGGGATGAGAGACTGAGGAAAGAAATAAGACCCAGAGACAAAGTATAGAGAAACGACAGTGAGCCCAGGGGACCGGCGCTCAGCATACCAAGGACCTGCACTGGCACAGGCCTCTGAGTTCCCTCAGTTTTTATTGATTATTATTTTTATTATTTTAGCAAAAAGGAATGTAGTAGGAGGGCAGGGTGATAATAAGGAGAAGGTCAGCAACGAACATGTGAACAATAGAATCTATGTCATAATGAAGTTCAAGGGAAGGTACTATGACTGGACGTGCACGTAAGCCAGATTGATGTTTCTCTCCACCCAAACATCTCAGTGCAGTAAAGAGTAACAAGGCAGCATTGCTGTAAACATGTCTCACCTCCCACCATAGGGCGGTTTTCCCCCATCTCAGAATTGAACAAATGTACAATCGGGTTTTATACCGAGACATTCTGTTCCCAGGGTCAGGCAGGAGACAGCGGCCTTCCTCTCCCTCAACTGCAAGAGGCTTTCCTCTTTGACTAATCCACCTCAGCACAGACCCTTTACGGGTGTCGGGCTCGTGGACGGTCAGGTCTTTCTCATCCCATGAGGCCACTTTTCAGACTATCACATGGGGAGAAACCTTGGACAATACGCCGCTTTCAAGGGCAGGGCTACCTGAGGCTTTCCACAGTGTACTGTGCCCCTGGTTTATTGAGACTAAAGAATGGCAATGACTTTTACTAAGTATACTGCTTGGAAACATCTTGTTAACAAGGCACATCCTGCACAGCCCTAGATCCCTTAAACCTTGATTTCATACAACACATGTTTTTGTGAGCTTCAGGTTGGGTCAAAGTTGCTGGGGCAAAGCTACACATTAACAATATCTCAGCAAAGCAATTGTTGAAAGTACAGGTCTTTCTCAAAATGGAGTCTCTTATGTCTTTCCTTTCTACATAGACACAGTAAGAGTCTGATCTCTCTTTCTTTTGCCTACACTCACTGAACTGCCCTTCCCCTCTGCTGGGCCATGACCACGGAGAACAGGTCCACTGTCCTCTCTGCATGGTGCACGACGGATGCTCAGACTCCATCCTCAAGGCTGGCAAGAAGACAGGGTGAGACATGAGCCTCCTGATACAGGTGATGGGAGTGGAGCCCACAGGACTGGAACCTCACACTGCAGGGCTGGAGGCACAGACTGAGTATTTACTGTTCTGTGGCCTGGGGGGCTCAAGGCACAGAGCTCCTCATTAGCCAAAGTCGCCCAAGTTCCCCAACCTCTAAGGATTCCTCATCATCATGCAAGAAGAAGAAGAGAAAATGATTGTCCATAGAAGCTTTGGGGCTCTTCCTCTAATCAGGAGAAAGCTGGTGTGTATTCTTCGCTTCTTTCTTTTCTTTTTAAAAATCCAACTGCTTTAATTTTCATCTTTTATTATGGGAAAATATACCACATATAAATATGAAAAATTATAAATATATATTAGTTCATATAGAATGGCCAGTATAAACATTTACAGTTTCCACGCTTTTTCAGTTTACAGTTTCATGACATTAAGTACGTTCACATTGTTTAGCAACCATCACCGCCATCATCTCCGGAACAGTTTTATTTTTCAAAATGGAAATTGCAACCATTTACCAAGCTCTCCACTCCTCTCTCTCGCCCAGCCCTGGGGCCACCTTTCTAGTTTGCAACTCTAGGAGTCTAACTACTCTAGACACTTGATAGATAAGTGGAATCATACCGTGTTTAATTTTTTTTTTAGATACAGAGTCTTTCTCTGTCGCCCAGGCTGGAGTGCAGTGGCATGATTTCGGCTCACTGCAACCTCCACATCGGGGGTTCAGGCAATTCTTATGTCTCAGTCTCCTGAGTAGCTGGGATTACAGGCGTGCGCTATCACGCCCAGCTAATTTTTGTATTTTTAATAGAGATGAGCTTTCACCATATTGGCCAGGCTGGTCTCGAACTCCTGAGCTTAAGGGATCCGCCTGCCTCAGCCTCCCCAAATACTGGGGTTACAGGTGCGAGCCACTGAGCCTGGACATGTTTATCCTTTTGGGATTTATTTATTTCACTGACGATAATGTCTTCAAGGTTCATCCATGTTGCGGCATGTGTCAGAAGTGCCTGTTTTTTTTTTTTTTTTTTTTTTTTTTTTTTTTTTTTTGATTTGGTTTTATTTTGTTTTGTTTTGTGTTTTCATGGAGTCTCACTCTGTCGCACAGGCTGGAGTGCAGTGGCACAATCTGGGCTCACTGCAACCTCCGCCTCCCGGGTTCGAGTGATTCTTGCGCCTAAGCCTCCTTAGTAGCTGAGATTACAGGTGCGTGCCACCACACCAGCTAATTTCTGTATTTTTAGTAGAGATGGGGTTTGCCATGTTGGCCAAGCTGGTCTTGAACTCCTGAGCTCAGGTGATCCACCCGCCTCAACTTCCCAAAGTGTTAGGATTACAGACGTGAGCCACTGTGCCCAGCCCAAGGGTGTGGATATTTTCTATAGACTTTTGATGATAATACTTTGACAGCAAATATATTGTGTCTATCTATATATACATTTATATATATATATATATATATATATATATATATATATAGAGAGAGAGAGAGAGAGAGAGAGAGAGAGAGAGAGAGAGAGAGAGAGAACGTGTGAGAGAGACAGCGAGAAAGAGAGAGTCTCCCTTTTTCACCCAGACTGGAGTGCAGTGGCACAATCATAGCGTGCTGCGGCCTTGAATTTCTGGGCTCAAACAATCCTGTCACCTCAGCCTCCTGAGTAGCTGGGACTACAGGCATATACTACCATGCCCGGCTAACTTTTTATTATATTTTTTTGTAGAGATGAGGTCTTTTTTCCCGGGTTGGTCTTAAACTCCTGGCTGAAAGTGATCCTCCTGCCTTGGCCTCCCCAGGTGCTGGGGTTACAGGTGTGAGCCATTGCATCTGGTGTGAAGCTGGGATTGCAGGTGTGAGACACGGCATCCGGTGTGAATATCTCCTGGTAAATACCTTGTACTTTCACTTTCATTAAGATGTCTTTCGTCCTCATGAAATTATCTGAAAAACGGATGAAACACTGTTCTGCTCCATCTTCCCCGCAGGCACTTGGGCCCCATCCTGCTCTCCTGCCCCCCTCTTCTAGTGAATGGCCAGATAGGAACTATTGCAGGTTTATGGGCCACGTGGTCTCTGTTGCAAATATAACAGCTCTGCTGTTGTAGTGCTAAAGCAACCACAGACCATATGGAAACCATCTTTCCTGCATGGCCTCTGTAATCTTTTAGAAATACCCGTTGGGTCACACCACTGCCTGACTTAAAACATATAGATGACCTCTTCCGTCTCCTAAGCTATTAGGTTGGTGCAAAAGTAATTGCTGTTTCCATTCAAAGTAATGGCAGAAATTGGCTGGGCGTGGTGGCTCACACCTGTAATTCCAGCAGTTTGGGAGACCGAGGCACGTGGATCACTTGAGGTCAGCAGTTTGAGATCAGCCTGGGCAACATGGTGAAACCCCATCTCTAGTAAAAATACAAAAATTAAAATTAGCTGGGGGTGGTGGCGTGTGCCTGTAGTCCCAGCTACTTGGGAGGATGAGGCAGAAAATTGGCTTGAAACTGGGACTTGGAGGTTGCAGTGATGCAAGATCACACCACTGCACTCCAACCCGGGTGACCGAGACAGACTCTGATAAAAAAAAAAAAAGTAATGGCGGAAATCACAATTACTTTTGCACCAACCTAATAAAAGTCAAGTCCTGACCACAGCCTAGGAAGCCGGCTATGACGTGGCCCTTGTCACCCTCTCCAAGTTCAACTCCCGAGACTTTCCGTTTCCTCTCTGCTCCCCGCTCCGGCCTCCCATTCCTCACTCGTGTTGCATCAGATGCCTGCGCACCCTGGTGTTTCCGCATGTGCTCTTCTGTTAGCCTGGAAAGTTCTTTACTCCCTCTTCATCCAGCACTACTAGATACCTCCCCCTGCCTTAGCCTAGCCAGGTCCCCTGTCATTTAGTCTCAGAGTATCTTGAATGTCTTCTTCACAGCCCAACTGACAACCCTCACTCACTCGCTGAGTGGGTGCCATCCTTTCTCTCCACCTAGAATGCAAGCTCCCTGAGGGCAGGGGCTGGAACCGTCTTGTTCTTTGCCAAATCCCCAGTGCCATCTCTGGCACACAGTGGGCATTATGAAAATATTTGCTGAGTGCATAAAAGGAGGGAATCATGCATTTGAGCCCTCGGCTTGGTGCCCTGGGGATGTGGCTCCATAAAATCAGTTCCCATTTTTTCTCTCTCTTCTCCTGGGAGGTGGGTATCTGGGTTCTCCTGCCAGGAGAGCTTCTCTCTCATAAGACTCCAGGTGCCTCTTGGCCTAGGCCTGCCTCCTGCTAAGTGAGACTCTTTAGGGCTAGTCTGCATCGACTCTGCTGAGATGCAGCCGCCAGAGATGGGTAACGTGGGCAACCCTTGGCAGGTCCCTGGGAACGAGGCTTCCGAGTCATCTGGATCAACTAGTTTGAAGTTACAAACTCACCAGATGTTGGTCAGCTGGCATCTTAGTGATGAGCTGGTCCAACCCCCCTTGTTGTAGTCAAGTCACTTGTGCAAAGCCACCACTTGGCTGGGACCCCAAGCTCAGGCCCGTGCTCTCTCCATGGTCCCAGGCTTTACACTAAGGGAATGTCAACTGTTCTCTAGAATCACTTGGACTACTTTATACTTTTGTGTCTCCTTTTCCTATTCTGTATTCTGGAAAAACAAAGTTTTCCTTGTGATTGAACAGACTCTTCACACTGTGTTATTGCTGGCATTGTTCTAAATTTAGCCTTGGTTCATCCCCAGCTGGAGTGAATGACTTTAATTTGATCAGCTGCTGTCTGTGCTTGGGAGCCTCCGAAGGGGTCCTATGGCCTTTAAGGCTCCTTTCCATACTTAGATCCTGACCTGGGGCAAACACACACTCCAGCTCGTTCATGTCCAGATAAGACACCTAGAGGCCATGGCGAGGGTTCCCCCTGTCGGGGCACTATTGCTGTTGAGAGGATCAAGGCAGCAGTCAGGGCCTGAGTGTTGTCCAGAAGAAAGCACAAAGTGTACCGAGCGCTGGTCTGACAGCACTTAGGGGTGTGACAGAAACCTTCTGTCATGAAACCAGAGATTGGAGACTGTGGGAACACATCCGAATCCACATCTCCATGACAAGGTGGTGCTGATTTCCAGTGGTCCTCCCTGGTGGGGGAATCACGTAGCTCTGACGGTGGAGCGTGTTGTTGTGTTTCTCTTTCAGTATGAGCTTGTCTGTGGCCCTAGGGTTCCTCCCTTATGAAATAATGATGCCTCCCAACACAGGACATCCCAGGCTGCAAGCCTGTCCCTTCAGCCCAGCTTCCTTACCCCTGTGCCCCAAAAGCCCACAGCAGGGCCTGCCAGAGGCTGATGACATATCTGTCACTGTCCCAAGGGGGCAGGGGCAGCGACGGAAATATTAGGCCACAAAAGGCATGCCTGCAGGCACATATGAGGGAAACACCCAAAGCCAGATGTCAATGAAACAGTAATTCGGTGGAATAGGAGAGGTCATATTCTCATGCAAGACTGTCTAAATACATAAGTCTCCTTGGGCACAATCTCCCAGGGGACAATGGTTCATGCCGAGACAGCTATTACACTGTCTTGCTAAGAACTTCCAACACACACTTACACACACACATACACACGCACATATGCATGCACACACACGCATGCATACACTCATGCACCCACACACACACATGCAAGCACACATACAGATACACACACATGCACAAACACACATACAGATACACATACATATAGGCACACACATGCACACACACAGATACACACATGCACACAAACACACGAAGGCACACACACATGCAACAAATGCACATGCATACAGACACATGCACACACAGGCAACACACATGCATACACATACATACACACAGGCACACACAGATGTACATATGCACACGAAGACACACATGCATGCACACACATGCACACAGACACACACATGCACACACAGAGATACACATGCATGCACATACAGGCACACACATGCAAACACATGCACACGCAGAAATGCATGTACACCCCTGTACACACCGTACACACACATGCACACAAAAACACGTGCACACACATGCACACACATACACACATACAGATGCACACACAGACACATGCACACAGATACACACACATGCACACATCCACATGCACACACGTGCACACACGTGCACACACATGCACATGCACACTTGCACACACGCACACACACACACATGCACACATACACACAAACCACTCCTTTTCCATTTCTCTAATTTCCAATTTTTTTTCTATGAGCTTCCTCAGACTCATGATCTTGATTCTAGAATGAATTCAGGGAGTAAGTGTGTATTATTGAAATAACAGTAAATTCAAACATGCCTAAGAAGCTTTTTGAATGTTGGGGAAACCATCTCACAGATCATTCAAATGACCCGAGGAGACACTTCACCAGGGACCCTTGGACATGTCCCTGTCCCTTCTGCCGACCTCTGTGCTGTAATATCAGGGGACAAACCTCTCGATTTTGGTTTCTCATCTCTTTGTCCCCAGGTACACTGGACTGCACTACTGTGTCAAAGCTACTTGTAGCCTGACCTGGGAAATGCACTTTTGGATTCACTCGATTTGCCACCTATTTGGGTGGTTTGGGCTGGAAACTGCCCTGCTCACACTCTTGGCTCCCAGCTGCTCCTGCTTTGGGGGCGCCTAGAGACCCCAGCTCATCCCGTGGGTCATATCCCCACAGTGGGGCCGGGGGTGCGACTGAGAGTTGTCTGGGCACCTGTCCCCAGCAGCATTGAGGATGGCGCTCAGCACTGTGTGATGTTGGCTGGTGGCCACTGCCTGTTTAGGTCGAAATGGCCCAGCCTGATGTCCACAAGCACCTCTGCGGCACACTGGCCTGCAGACCCCCGAGCATGCGCTGCATGCTTCTCACCTCTAGAGTGGCCACCCAGACAGCGATACAGACACACCAAGAAAATCCACAGGCAAGCCCAGAGGAGCCCGTTCTACTAGGGCCTTGTGAGCCTCTGTGATTTGAGTCACGAGCTTCTTGTGGTGATTTCATTTGGCTAACATCCAACACAGTGCATTTAGAGACTCTTTCTCTTGGACATTATATGGAGGAGTGGCCATGGTTTGCTGAGAGAAATGTCCCAAAACACCCCTCAATAAAACCAAATAACAGCTCATCAACTCCTTACATTTAAAAAAAAATTGACATCTTATAAATAGCAAATATTGGATGACAATAAGGCACAGGAAAAAGCTCATAAGCCCAGATCAGCAGTCATCCTTCAATTGTTCCTTAACTACTGACTGTGCACCTGTTCTGTACCAGCACCGCAACCTAGATGCAGGGACACCACACGAAATAAGATGACAAAGCACCTGCCCCTGTGGAGCTGAGCCACTAGCAGGAGAGACAGTCACTAAACGAATATCTCTATCCTGTGGTTTCTGGGAATGACAGTCACATAAAAGTATAGAAAGGGATGGAGGAAAGCTAATTTAGCCAACTCAGGATCAGAATGGGGAGGTGGTTGCATCCCTCAAAATTCAGAGTAGCTGGAGTGCAAGCTTTGTATTAGCTGAGCCTGAATCCGGGCCCTGCCATTGTCCATGGTGTCCTCAGGCAAATGGCTGAACTCCTCTGGCCACCGGCTTCAAGTGCAGAACAGGGGACCAGAGTCCCATCTCTCAGGGTTGTTGCTGTGGACTGAATTGTGTTCCCTCCAATTCACTCATTAGGAGCTAATTAACGTTAAAGGAGGTCATAAGGGTGGAATCCTAATCTGATAGGATTGGTGGATTTATAAAAAGAAGAGATGTCTCTGTCTCTGTCTCTGTCTCTCCCCCTCTCTGCCATGTGAGGACAAGCAAGAAGGCTGCTGTCTGCCAGCCAGGAAGACAGCCCTTACCAGAAAGGGATGGTGGATACTTTGATCATGAACTTCTGGCCTCCAGAACAGTGAGAAAATCAATGTCTGTTATTTAGGCCATCCGGTCTCGGGTACTTTGTTATGGCAGCTGGGCTGGCTGAGGCAGTTGTTGAGAGGAACCGACAAGGTAGTTGGGGTAAAGCACACAGCACGGCCACAGCTCACTGAGCACAATGTCAGTCTCATTCCCCTTCAATTGTTATTCTCTGTCTGGAGGATTTTCATGATGGCTTTTCTCCAAGAAGCTCCCTGGGGTCTTTGTAAATATGGGGATATATCTGACAAGAAAAATCCTTACGGTTCTTAACATTGACAATGATCAGGAACAGCAAGACATGAAAATGAGAAGGTGGCTAGAAAAGAGAGGACCCACAGAAGAAACCAACAACCACATAACACACACACACAGGAGGAATCCTAATGCAGGAGAATAGAACATCAGGGGACCCTGAGACTGAACTCTGCATCTCATGTATTGAGATCATTCCCTGATATGGTTTGGCTGTGTCCCCACCCAAATCTCATCTTGAATTGTAGCTCCCCTAATCTGCATGTGTCATGGGAGGGACGTGGTGGGAGGTAATTGAATCATTGGGTGGGTCTTTCCCATGCTGTTCTCATGATAGTGAATACGTCTCACGAAATCTGATGGTTTTATAAAGGGGAGTTCCCCTGCACAAGCTCTCTTGCCTGCTACCAAGTAAGACGTGACTTTGCTCCTCATTCACCTTCCACCGAGATTGTGAGGCCTCCTTAACCATGTGGAACTGTGAGTCCATTCAACCTCTTGCCTTTATAAATTACCCAACCTCAGGTATGTCTTTATTAGTAGCATGAGAACAGACAAATACATTCCCTAAGCCTCTCTTTTCCTCTGAGACAGGCTTAAACTGAATAGCCCCATCTTTGCAGGCCTTGAATAGTAATACTGTTATGTGTTATATTAACATGTACTTTACTGAAAGTCTCTGGTTTTTGTCTCTCTGAACATAGGCAGGCATTGCTGAAACTTGCAGATGACACTCCAAAATGCATTCTATCTTAAGATAAGAAGAGAGGGTGGTGAGGAAAAATTGTACATACCTTCCCCTTGATGAAGAGGTCCCCGTGGTGTGGCCGGCCTTGGTATAAGCCTTTTGGCTCTGTTAATTCATGAGGGCTGAGTCTGATTGATCCTCATGGGGAAGACTAACAAGGGAATCCTTGGCAACCATTAGGAATAACACTAATGACCCAGAAAGTGGTTCTGTCTTCATGGGGCATCATCTGTCTTGTTTACTGAGTGATCTTCTGGCTCATTTTTCTTCCAACCAGGGTTGGAATTCAATAATTCTAGTTCCTTCCCAAATTTTAGAGCTGGGAAATGCATTCCTCAGGTATCTGCTTTTCAAAAGTGAACAATATCTGTGGAGCTCAACTCCTAAATAGTGTGACTTTGTCTGTTTATGTGGTTCTCTTGCTGACTGCCTGGTTGCGACTGTGCCTGAACTCAGGCCTCTGTGTTTCTGAATCTTAGAAGCGGTGGTTGGCATGTCAAACTTGAAGTCATTGTCCTTTAGTTATCTGAGTGTTATAATTGAACAGCACATTTATTAACAAGACTTTAGTAAATCCATCAGCATTCTAGGGAGCTTTGATTCATTGACCTATCTCTAATGTACGCAAAGGCTGCCATAGAGTCGCTAACAAGAATTCCATCTTTCCTCAGAACCTTCGATTCGCTAGGGTCGGAGTTCATACCTGTTTCATGAAAAATGCAAAACCATTTAATCACAGCTGTTCATAGTATGCCTATTCTAAGAGACCTCTGCTGTTCCTACCCCAGGGACCGCCAGAATAATTAAAAGTCACAGAAATCAAACAAATGGGCCTCTGGCTAAATTATAGAAGATTAACCCAGGAAGAGCACTTATTAAATAGTAAGCAGTCCCCGAAAATATTAAAGTACAAAAAGGATTAGAAATTGTTTTAAGTGTTGATTCCAACTTCAGGTGCTGTTCTTCCACTCCACTGCGGAAGGGAACAAATGGATTTTCCCGTCCTAAAGACAGTAACATTCATCACGCCCCTTGGAGGCTTAATAACATCTCGCTTTATTTTATTTTAATTGTTTATTTATTTATTTATTTTTGAGATGGAGTTTCACTCTTGTTGCCCAGGCTGGAGTGCAACGGCGCGATCTCGGCTCACTTCAACCTCTATCTCCTGGGTTCAAGCGATTCTCCTGCCTCAGCCTCCTGAGTAGCTGGAATTACAGGCACATGCCACCATGACCAGCAAATTTTTGTATTTTTATTAGAGATAGGGCTTCCCCACGTTGGCCAGGTTGGTCTCGAACTCCTGACCTCAGGCGATCTGCCTGCCTCGGCCTCCCAAAGTGCTAGGATAACAGGCGTGAGCCACCGCCCCCGGCCAATAATATCTCACGTTAAGCAAGGAGTTGCTGTCTGCTGTGTGGCCAGAGAGAAAACAAGCCGCCATTACAGAGGGAGGTGGTATTGGGCTACTTTTTTTTGGAAACAACAGCAAAATGTGAGGCAAATCCGCTTTTAGATCCTGGTTACACTGCTGGATGGAGCTTAGCAAGCCTGTGATAGGGTAGCCTGGTGGTGGCTTGGGGGACTCCTAGCCATGTCAGACAGGACAGATGCCTTTGAGGAGAGATGGCATAGCGTTGGCTCTCAGGCCCCCATTGCAGGGGGACCAGGCTGTTTATGGATCAGGTGGGAACCCTGTTAGAAAAATAAGAGGAGGCTGGGTGTGGTGGCCTACACCTGTAATCCCAGCACCTTTGGAGGATGAAGTGGGTGGATTGCTTGAGCCTAGGAGTTTGAGACCAGCCAGGGCAACTTGGCAAAGCCCTGTCTTTAGAAAAATAATAATATTAGTTAATTAATTAGTTGATTTTTTTTTTTAAAGAAAGAGAAGTGGAGCTAAGGAGCACAGAGCCTGCCAGAAAGCCAAGGTGACCAGCTAGAAGGACACAGAAGAACATTACCATAGTTCTCTCTGAGCTTTTGGACTAGGGATGCTTTCATGTGGTTTTCATATCAAACATACTTTAATTTTATACTTAGCCGGGAAAGACCTAATACATACAATAAAGGTAACACGAGACAAAACTCTCACCTAAGCCTAACATCTTAGATGCTCTACTGGGTCTCTGCAATTTCTATTAGGGACCCCATGGGTTTGAATTGCATTCTAGATTTGTTAAGAAGATCCAAATGCTCAACCCCTTCAACCACCCCGCATCCGTCCACCCCATTTACAAAAGCCAAGTGAAAACTAAGGAGGGACCGGGTGCAGTGGTTCACACCTGTTATCCTAGCACTTTGGGAGGCTGAGGCGAGGGGAACACCTGAGATCAGGAGTTCGAGACCAGCCTGACTAACCTGGTAAAACCCCGTCTCTACTAAAAACACAAAAATTAGCAAGGTGTGGTGGTGGACACCTATAATCCCAGCTACTTGGGAGGCTGAGGCAGGAGAATCACTTGAACCCGGAGGCAGAGGTTGCAGTGAGTGGAGATTGCACCACTGCACTCCAGCCTGGGTGAGAAAAAGCGAAACTCCAAAGAAAAAGAAGAAAGGAAGGAAGAAAGAAAGAAAGAAAGAGAGAAAGAGAGAGAGAGAGGGAGAGAGGGAGGGAGGGAGGGAAAGAAAGAAAGAGAAAAAGAGAGAAAGAAAGAAAGAAGAGGAAGAAGGAAAAGAAGGAAGGAAGGAAAGAGAGAGAGGGAGAGAGGGAGGGAGAGAGGGAGGGAGGAAGGAAGCTAAGGAGGAAGGTGGCTTGTACAGAGGTACAGAGGCCCTCAGGTCCTAGCCGGCACTGGTGCCTACGCAGGTTCCAATGGGCTGAGCTTTGCAAAAAGCTCATTGTGTAACCCAGGAAGCCCAAATTTATTTCTGAGCAGATGTCTTTTCAAAGTGATTTTCCTTTTAGGAAGTGAGAGGAGAATGAAGGGGAGGTTTATCTACTTCTGATGTTAAAAAAGTCAAAACAAAATAAATTGGTGTTCATTGCAACTATTGGCCAAAGCACTATAATCACCAGGACTGGTACCTCAAACACACCTCCTGACAGCCCCTTCCATTCTAATCAAGATGTGCCCAACAGTGGTCACCCAGGGGCTGTTTACCTTTACTTAAAGAGAACCGCTGGTAGTAAGCCATAAAAATTACCATATTCACCATCTTTCTGCTTCAAAGAAGGTTTTAGATTAGCAATGGCTGGATCAATCACTGTGAGTATGTTCTTGGGAACTAAAAGCCAAAAAGAAATATTTTAAATACGTGGTATATTTTTAAAATGTGGACTCTTAATATATTTTTAAATGCAATGTAGGTAAGATTTTAAAATCACTTTCCAAATCGGTGCAAGAGTCACTCCCTCTCCCTGTTACATACACACACATACACACAACCCAATGGTATCCACGTGATCATCAAATGCTCCAGAGAGGTGGTTTTAGGCCCATTTTGCAATATTTAAAAAATGGAGACTAAAAACAAGATATGATATATCCATCCAGAAGAATACACCTCAGTAATAAAAAGGAATGAAAAGCTCGGCATGGTGGCTTACACCTGTAATCCCAGCACTTTGGGAGGTCGAGGTGGACAGATTACTTGAGGTCAGGAGTTCGAGACCAGCCTGGCCAACATATTTGAAACCCCATCTGTACTAAAAATACAAAGTTAGCTGGGCTTGGTGGCACAAGGCTGTAATCCCAGCTACTTGGGAGGCTGAGGCAGGGAGAATTGCTTGAACCCGGGAGGCAGAGGTTGCAGTGAGCAAAGATCGCACCACTGCATCCCAGCCTGGGTGACAGCGTGAGACTTCAACTCCAAAAAAAAAAGTGAAGTACTGATACGATACATGCTACAACATGGATGAACCTCTGAAACATTACATTCAGTTAAAGACGTCAGCCGTGCACACACACACAAAACCATCCATTGCATAATTCCATTTGTATGAAATATTCAGAAAAAGCAAATCTAGAGAGAAAGTAGATGCGTGGTGACCTGGGACCGGGGGGCTGGGAATGGGACAGTGACGGCAAATGGGCACAAGGGAGCTTCGGGGCATTGTGAAAATGTTTTAAAACTGGAGGGTAGTGATGGTTGCACAACTCTAAATTTACTACAAATCATTGAATTTTATTCACGTGTAATAGAATTTTAAGAAAAATAAACAACACGTCAATAGAGTGGTTAACTCTGGGCCGGGCACGGTGGCTCATGCCTGTAATCCTAGCACTTTGGGAGGCTGAGGCAGGTGGATCACTTGAGTCAGGAATTCAAGACCAGCCTGGCCAACTTGGTGAAACCCCGTCTCTACTAAAAAATACAAAAATTAGCCAGACGTGCTCACTTGAACCCAGGAAGTGGAGGTTGCAGTGAGCTGAGAGTGTGCCACTGCACTTCAGCCTGGGTGACAGAGGAAGACTCTATCTCAAAAAAAAAAAAAAAAAAAAAAAACATATATATATATATATATATATGGTGGTTAACTCTGAAGATGAGCTTCCCTGGACTCAATAAAGCAAAATGACTGTGACCAACTCAAAATCCACCATCAAACTCTCCCAGCACCTGCTCTTCTGCTTTCTACCCCAAGCTCTTTGCCTCTGTGTTTCCATCGTAAATCTGGAAAGAATTCGAAGACTCTGTGCTAAAGTGATTTGCTAAATATTATCAGAAAGGACTACAGAAAGATGCAGAGAGGATGGCAGCGTGACCGACCCCTTTGAAGGTGGTTGAAGACTCTGCTGAACTGAACCTAAGAATAAGCCCTGGGATGTCAGAATCCCCAGGCAAAGCTGCTGGCAGATGACAGCACCCGCTGAAACAGAGGACAGAGCAAGAATTCTGCAGGCCAAGCACACTGCCGCAGGCTGGGAGAAGGGAGTGGAAACCGAATATTCCTCCTGCATAAAACTGCTTATTTTTATTTGTTCCTCAGCCCAGCTGAGATCTTGGAGAAGTAGCAACAGGAAATGGAAAGAAAGCGAAAACAAACTGCAAATTCAGTTGCACTGCTTTTTAAAAAAAGAACAAGTGAGACATCTTCAGCAGCAAGAAAACCTTGTTTCCTTTCTTGGAGGGCTTAACTAAATTCTTCTGGGGATGTCCCAGGATCAACAACCACAGGACATTCCTAGATTGTGAGTTTTCCATGTACAAGAGGCCCTGGTACCTTGGTGCCCCTCAGCAGCAAGGGAGACTTCCCAGGGAGGCCCGGTGAAGTTGCTGGAGGTGGCTGATGATTTCCAGGGCCTCGAGAAATGTCCCTTGGCTGTCCTCAGGGCCCACCACTGATCCTGGGACCATGGCAGCTTCGGAGAGCTGAGCGGAGCTGCTGCAAAATGCTTTCTGCTTTAATTACCTCGCATTCATTTCTGGGCCCAGAGAAGGATACAGTGGCCTGGGAAGTGTCAGCTCTCCCTGCCAGGGGTAGGACTTCTTTCTCATGTCTGCCTCTTGGCTTGTTCTCAAACTGTGGCTTCAGGAGGGCCTTGGCTCTTGGCAAATGCCAGAGGCTTTACAGTTTGAGAAAGAATCAGAATTTTGAAGAGGAGCTCAGAGAGGAAGGTCATTCTAGGATGCACTTTGCAGAATCACCAGGCAGTGAAAAGGTGAAATTGGCTGTGGATGACACAGGCCACTGCAGGGAATGTGCCCCTCTACCATGTGAAATTGGTTCTGAAATCCAGAGAATCTCTTAGGACCTTTAAAATCACCGTTGTCAACACACTTGTCAGATTTTTGCATCTCCTTGTTTCAAACTGGTTCAGAATGAGGTCGGGGACTTGGGTGTGATTGATCACCGTCCTGCTCCACTTCAGATATGTTGGTGAAAACACTAGGGACCACTCTTCATGGAGCTCCTACTGTGTGCAGGACCCTGTTCTCAGCAGTTTAAACCAGGGCCATCTTCCTCCTCATCAACACCTTTCCTCTCCCACTCAGCAGCCTCAGCGTCTCAGCCCCTAGTGTGCAGCTAGTGCGCATACCCTAGTGTTCACCCTACAGGATGGTTCTCTTTGGAACACTTAAACCACCACCCCCAAGCTAAATTAGGCCCCCTCCACTGCTATAGTCTTCTTCCCTTTTCTAAAATAGCATTTGTCACAATAGGGCATGATGATGTGTCTGTCTATTTGGTTAATGCTTGCCTTTCTCCCTCAACTGTTCACCCCATGAAAACAGGACCGTGTCTGGTTTTTTTTTTTTTTTTTTTTTTTTTTTTGAGACAGAGTTTCACCCTTCTCACCCAAGCTGAGTGCAGTGGTGAGATCTCAGCTCACTGCCAACTCCACCTACCAGGTTCAAGTGATTCTCCTTGTCACAGCCTCCCGAGTAGCTGGGATTACAGGCATGCGCCACCATGCCCAGATAATTTTGTATTTTTAGTAGAGACGGGGTTTCACCATGTTAGCCAGGATGGTCTCGATCTCCTGATCTCGTGATCCGCCCACCTCGGCCTCCCATAGTGCTGGGATTACAGGTATGAGCCACCACGCCCTGCATTAGTTTAGTTTTTTAGAGACAGGGTTTCACTCTGTTACCCAGGCTAGAGTGCAGTGGTCCAATCATAGCTCACTGCAGCCTTGAACTCTTGGGCTCAAACCTAGGCTCAAGGGATCCTCTCGCCTCAGCTTCTCAAGTACCTGGGAATATATGAATGCACACCATGCCCAGCTTACATTTATTTGTTTAAAAGACAAGAAAGAGGCCAGGCACAGTGGCTCACAAGTGTAATCCCAGCATTTTGGGAGGGAGGCTGAGGTAGGAGGATCACTTGAGCCCAGAAGTTGGAGACCAGCCTGGGAAACATAGCAAGGCCTCATCTCTAAGTTAAAAAAAAAAAAGCAATAAAGATGACATGATACCAAATCAAATCATTTCCTTTCCTAGGAAAAGGGCAAAAACAAGGCACGGTGTCAGTTAAGAATCCCTCTTTAGAGAAGCATGAAAAGTCTGCCCCAAATCTGGTAAAACCAGGAACAACTGACGGTCAAACTGATGGTGCATTCTAGGTTAGGATGATTTGGACCAGGTTGTACTTTGTTCCCAAAGAATTCAAGGAAAAGTTAGTTTGTTTAATCCGCTTATCATGGTAAAATCTTTCTTTGCAATGTCATACAAAGTTGGCATTGTGTGTGCACTGTTGAAGAAAACATAGTTAATTGTTTTTTTAAAAGACTGTATTCCAAAACCATTTAATTAGTAAAAATGTTTAATAATGATTTGTTTTTTTTTGTTTTTGTTTTTTTTTTTTGAGACGGAGTCTCACTCTGTCGCCCAGGCTGGAGTGCAGTGGCGCGATCTCTGCTCACTGCAAGCTCCGCCTCCCGGGTTCATGCTATTCTCCTGCCTCAGCCTCTGGAGTAGCTCGGACTACAGGCGCCCACCACCACACCTGGCTAATTTTTTGTATTTTTAGTAGAGACAGGGTTTCACCGTGTTAGCCAGGATGGTCTCAATCTCCTGACCTTGTGATCCACCTGCCTTGGCCTCCCAAAGTGCTGGGATTACAGTCAGGAGCCACCGTGCCTGGCCCTTTGAGTACATTTTCTAAGAACTTGGTCATGAGTTCAGATGTCTGCCTCAGAGATACATGTGGCTTCCTTTAAAGAACCCACCTTCCCTTTCTATAGGAGTATTTATGGGAGATATGAGCCTGGAGGTTGGAATCTATCCTGGTTGTACTTTGCTATACTGAAGTAAGGAGTAAACCTACAACTAAATTCATACTGAAGTATACAAAGGGGGCTCTACAATAGATAGGAATTCTGTTTAGTTTTGTTGGGTAACAATTTCTTTGAGAAGCAAATAATAGCTCACCTACAAAACTGGTGATCTGTATAAGTTGGGATTTTTCATGGATCAGTTTTGCTTGGAATGAACTACCTAATCACAAATATATTTATACCCAGAGAGAGAGAAGGAGTGTCTGTTGAAACCGTATCATCTTAACGTGTCTATAAAAGGCAATACCTGGAAGGTGGTGGGTGCCACACAGGTTAAGCTGTCTTCCCTCTGGGAGGCAGGCTTCTGGGAACTACACATTTGGTAATCTTGCCCATAAAATGCCGATTGGACACTTATCGTAGAATGCCGAGGGCACTGTAGATTGAAATAGTCCCCATCACAGGCATATGTGGTGTGGTTTTGCAGGAGTTTGGTTAGGTAACCTGGTAAATATTCAGTCGGGTTACAAGAGTTCCAGAAACCCACCACTCCTCCTTGGGTTTGGGGACAGGAGGACGTTGGTTCCCCTGGGGAAGGGCTGTTGAGTTAACAACATGTGGGGTGGGGCCTCCCTAGCAGCTCTGGTGCAGAGGTCACCAAACCAGGCCCAGAGGTGGGGCACAGGAGCCAATGTCAGCTTTCATGTTGATATGGAAGGGGGGCAGGGGAGTGCTGGGTAGAGAAGGGTGGGGTCACTGTCGAGGGCTCTGCCCTCGGGCTTGTGCCCTTGGACCTTAGTGAGAACAGGCACTCCTGTTTTCTTGTCCAAATGTTGCATTTTCCAAGACTACTCTGGCCTGCTATGACCCCCATCCTGTGCCCATAAAAAACCCAAGATCCTAGTGGGCACAGACACAAGTGGCTGGACATCGAGAGGAGCAGAGAAGCAGGAGAGCACACTGAAAGACATCAGCAGATGCTGGCAGGCTTTTGACAGTGGGGAGATGTGGAATTCAGTAGGGGGTGGTCGGAGGAGAGTGTGGCTACTAGGCAGCCCGACTCTAGCAGAAGATCACCTTCCCACTCCATCCCCCTTCTGGCTCCCCATCCATCTGAGAGCCACCTCCTCCACTCAATAAAATCTTGCATTCATTCTCCAAGTCCACGGGCAATCTGATTTTTCAAGTACACTAGGGCAAGAACCCGGGATACAGAAAGCCCTCTGTCTTTGTGATAAGGCAGAGGGCCTAACTGAGCTGATTAACACAAGCCACCTGCAGATGGCAAAACTGAAGGAGACCACTGTAACACATGCCCACTGGGGCTTCGGGAGCTGTAAACACCCAATTCCACACGCTTCTGTGGGGCCAGATCCCAGAAATGCTCCCCACGACATGCCCCTCTACACGCTCCCTCTAGGGGTTTGAGCAGCAGGGTACTGAGAAGCGAGCCATGCCCCTGTAGCATGCCCTGCAAGGGGGATAAGGGTACTCCTCCTGTTTCAATGTCTGGGTCAGAAACCTTGGTCTAGGCCCACTGAATGGTTTGGAGGGCTCTTTCCCCTTCAGGAAGCACTAAGGTATTGGCCAGGAGCCAAGAAGTCCTGAAGCACCTCTGTAAACCAGGAAAAAACAATTGGGATGAGTATCCCCTGGACGTGTGGATGCCCATCCTGAGGGAGGCTTTCATTTTCTCATCTCCCACTAGTGAGGCCATGCCTTATTGGGATGAGAGGATGCAGTTTCATTTCAAGAAATCACTCTTGGCTCTGTCTTGGTGCTGGAGAGGAAAGACAGGCAGGGTGCCCTGTGCAGAGAAGCGATGGTGGGGCTCTGCTGTGGGTTGAATGGTGTCCTCTCAAATTCACGTTCATCAATGTGGGGAAAAGAAAGAGAGATCAGATTGTTACTGTGTCTGTGTAGAAAGTAGAAATACGAGACTCCATTTTGTTCTGTACTAAGAAAAATTCTTCTGCCTTGAGATGCTGTTAATCTGTAACCCTACCCCCAACCCTGTGCTCCCTGAGACATGTGCTGTGTCAACTCAGGGTTAAATGGATTAAGGGCTCCGCAGGGTGTGCTTTGTTAAACAAATGCTTGAAGGCAGCATGCTCGTTAAGAGTCATCACCACTCCCTAATCTCAAGTACCCAGAGACACAAAACACTGCTGAAGCCCACAGGGACCTCTGCCTGGGAAAGCCAGGTATTGTCCAAGGTTTCTCCCCATGTGATAGCCTGAGATATGGCCTCCTGGGAAGGGAAAGACCTGACCACCCCCCCAGCCCAACACCTGTAAAGCGTCTGTGCTGAGGAGGATTAGTGAAAGAGGAAGGCCTCTTTGCAGGTGAGCTAAGAGGAAGTCATCTGTCTCCTGCTTGTCCCTGGGCAATGGAACGTCTTGGTGTCAAGCCCGATTGTATATTCCTACTACTGAGATAAGGGAAAACCACCTTAGGGCTGGAGGTGGGACATGCTGGCAGCAATACTGCTCTTTAATGGATTAAGATGTTTATGTGTATGCACATCAAAAGCACAGCACTTAATTCTTTATCTGGTTTAAGATGTAGAGAGCTTTGTTCACGTGTTTTCCTACTGACCTTCTCTCCGCTCTTACCCTATTGTCCTGCCAAATCCCCCTCTCTGGAAACGCCTGAAAATTATCAATAAATACTAAGGGAACTCAGAGGCTGCTGCCGGCATGGGTCCTCCGTATTCTGAACGCCCGTCCCCTGGGCACTATTTTCTTTCTCTATACTTTGTCTCTGTGTCTCTTTCTTTTCCAGGTCTCTCATTCCACCTAATGAGAAACGCCCACAGGTGTGGAGGGGCAACCCACCCCTTCAATCAGGAACCTCAGAATGTGACATTTGGAAATTGGGTGGTTGCAGGTGTAACGAATTAACCTGGTGACATACTGGAGTAAGGTGGGCCCTTCACACCATGTGACTGGTATCCTTAAAAGAAGAAGAGACTCAGAGGGAAGACAGCCATGTGCAGCTGGAATGATGCATCTGAAGCCAAGGAATGCCACGCATTGCCAGCCACCACCCAAAACTGGAAAAAGTCAGGAAGGATTCTTCCCTAGAACCTTCAAAGGCAGCACAGCCCTGCCAACATCTGCATTCAGACTCTGGCCTCCAGAACTGTGAGAGGATGAATTTGTTGTTTTCAGCCACCCAAGCTTAGGAAATGGGTTGCAGCAGACTGGGAATAAGACAGGCAGCCAGTCAGACTCCGTGGAATTCCCAGGCAGCTTGCAGAAGCCACAGTGGGCCCTGGGCTCTGAGAAGTCTGAGGCCTAGCAGGCACGTGGCCTAAACTATTTCTCGGCAAGGAGGAAGGAAGGCTCATCCAGAACGTAGATCCCCTTCCTCCTTCTCACACCTCACGAGGTCACAGCGAGGTGGCTGGGAGGAGAGCCAGGGGCTTTTCACTGAGGTGTGTGGGAGACAGCTTGGCCGCCCTTGGCCTCTGAAGGGAGGAGGTGGTGTGAAGGAGGGCAGCTTCAGAACTTCCCAGTTCCTGCTTGACCACCTGTGTGTAAAGTATTCCTGTTTAGGTTTCAAAATCCTCTCAGAAACATAATTCTCAGAAAATCCAGGCACCCAATCCAGCTCCCTGGCCTTCCCTGAAATCTGAAGTCAAAGGGGCTGAGCCAGCCTGCCCTGGGTGTCAGGCCTCTGAGCCCAAGCTAAGCCATCATAGCCCCTGTGACCTGCATGTACACATCCAGATGGCCGGTTCCTGCCTTAACTGATGACATTCCACCACAAAAGAAGTGAAAATGGCCTGTTCCTGCCTTAACTGATGACGTTGTCTTATGAAATTCCTTCTCCTGGCTCATCCTGGCTCAAAACCTCCCCCACTGAGTACCTTGTGACACCGACTCTGCCTGCCAGAGAACAACCTCCCTTTGACTGTAATTTTCCTTTGCCTACCCAAATCCTATAAAACGGCCCCACCCCTATCTCCCTTTGCTGACTCTCTTTCAGACTCAGCCCACCTGCACCCAGGTGAAATAAACAGCCATGTTGCTCACACAAAGCCTCTTTGGTGGTCTCTTCACATGGACGCACATGAAATTTGGTGCCGTGACTCAGATCGGGGGACCTGCCTTGGGAGATCAATCCCATGTCCTCCTGTTCTTTGCTCCATGAAAAAGATCCACATACAACCTCAGGTCCTCAGACCCACCAGCCCAAGGAACATCTCACCAATTTTAAATCGAGTAAGCGGCCTCTTCTTACTCTCTTCTCCAACCTCTCTCTGTCCATCAACCACTTTCTCCTTTCCAGTCTTCAATCTCTCCCTTCTCTTAATTTCAATTCCTTTCATTTTCTAGTAGAGAAAAAGGAGACACGTTTTATCCATGGACCCAAAACTCTGGCACCGGTCATGGACTGAGAAGGCACATTTCCCTTGGTGTTTAATCATTGCAGGGATGCCTGATTATTCAACCACGTTTCAAAGGTGTCAGACCACCCAGGGACGCCTGCCTTGGTCCTTCACCCTTAGCGGCAAGTCCCGCTTTTCTGGGGGAGGCACAAGTACCCCAACCCCTTCTCTCCGTGTCTCTACCCCTTCTCTGCTTTTCTGGGGGAGGGGCAAGTACCGCTCAACCCCTTCTCCTTCACCCTTAGTGGCAAGTCCCACTTTTCTGGGGGAGGTACAAGTACCCCAACCTCGTACCTCTGCACCCCAATCCCTTATTTCCGCACCCCGACCCCTTTTCTCTGTGCCCCAATCCCTTATTTCCACACCCTGACCTCTTATATCTCTGCACCCCAATCCCTTATTTCCATGCCTGGACCTCATATCTCTGCGCCCCCACCCCTTTCCCACTTTTCTGGAGAGTAAGAACCCCCGAACCCCTTCCCTCCGTGTCTCTACTCTCTCTTTTCTCTGGGCTTGCTTCCTTCACTATGGGCAACTTTCCACCCTCCATTCCTCCTTCTTCTCCCTTAGCCTGTATTTTTAAGAACTTAAAACCTCTTCAACTCTCACCTGACCTAAAATCTAAGCATCTTATTTCTTCTGCAATGCTGCTTGACCCCAATACAAACTCAACAGTAGTTCCAAATAGCCAGAAAACGGCACTTTCAATTTTTCCATCCTGTAACATCTAAATAATTCTTGCCGTAAAATAGGCAAACGGTCTGAGGTGCCTGACTTCCAGGCATTCTTTCACACATCAGTCCCTTCCTAGTCTGTGCCCAAAGCAACTCATCCCAAATCTTCCTCCTTTCCCTCCCACCTGTCCCCTCCGTCCCAAACCCAAGCATTGCTGAGTCTTTCTAATCTTCCTTTTCTACAGACCCATCTGACCTCTCCCCTCCTCCCCAGGCTGCTCCTCGCCAGGATGAGCTAGGTCCCAATTCTTCCTCAGCCTCTACTCCTCCACCCTATAATCCTTTTATCACCTCCCCTCCTCACACCGGGTCCCGCTTACAGTTTCATTCCATGACTAGCCCTCCCCAACCTGCCCAGCAATTTACTCTTAAACAGGTGCCTGGAGTTAAAGACATAGTCAAGGTTAATGCTCCTTTTTCTTTATCCCAAATCAGATAGCATTTAGCCTCTTTTTCATCAAATATAAAAATCCAGCCCAGTTCCCGGCTTGTTCGGCAGCAACCCTGAGACGCTTTGCGGCCCTAGACCCTAAAAAGTCAAAAGGCCGTCTAATTCTCAATATACATTTTATTTCCCAATCTGCCCCCGACATTAAATAAAACTCCAAAAATTAAATTCTGGCCCTCAAACCCCACAGCAGGATTTAATTAACCTCACCTTCAAGGTGTACAATAATAGAAAAAAGTTGTAATTCCTTACCTCCACTGTGAGACAAATCCCAGCCACATCTCCAGCACACAAGAACTTCCAAATGCCTGAACCGCAGTGGCCAGGCGTTCCTCCGCAACATCCTCCCCCAAGAGCTTGCTACAAGTGTCAGAAATCTGGCCACCAGGACAAGGAATGCCCGCAGCCCGGGATTCCTCCTAAGCCACGTCCCATCTGTGCGGGACCCCACTGGAAATCGGACTGTTCAACTCACTGGCAGCTGCTCCCAGAGCCCTTGGAACTCTGGCCCAAGCTTCTCTGACTGACCCCTTCTCAGCTTAGCGGCTGAAGACTGACGCTGCCTGAGTGCCTCGGAAGCCCCGTAGACCATCATGGATGCCGAGCTTTAGGTAACTCTCACAGTGGAGGATAAGTCCGTCCCCTTCTTAATCAATACGGAGGCTACCCACTCCACACTACCTTCTTTTCAAGGGCCTGTTTCCCTTGCCTCCATAACTGTTGTGGGTATTGACAGCCAGGCTTCTAAACCTCTTAAAACTCCCCAACTCTGGTGCCAACTTAGACAACACTCTTTTAAGCACTCCTTTTTAGTTATCCCCACCTGCCCAGTTCCCTTATTTGGCCGAGACACTTTAACTAAATTATCTGCTTCCCTGACTATTCCTGGGTACAGCCACACCTCATTGCCACATTTTACCCCAGTTCAAAGCCTCCTTCACATCCTCCTCTTGTATTACCCCATCTTAACCCACAAGTATATGATACCTCCACTCCCTCCTTGGTGACCAATCATGCACCTCTTACCATCTCGTTAAAACCTAATCACCCTTACCCCACTCAACGCCAATATCCCATCCCGCAGCATGCTTTAAAACATTTAAAGCCTGTTATCACTCTCCTGCTACAGCATGGCCTTTTAAAGCCTATAAACTCTCCTTACAATTCCCCCATTTTACCTGTCCTAAAACCAGACAAGCCTTACAAGTTAGTTCAGGATCTGCGCCTTATCAACCAAATTGTTTTCCCTATCCACCCTGTGGTGCCAAACCCATATACTCTCCTATCCTCAATACCTCCCTCCACAACCCATTATTCTGTTCTGGGTCTCAAACATGCTTTCTTTACTATTCCTTTGCACCCGTCATCCCAGCCTCTCTTTGCTTTCACTTGGACTGACCCTGACACCCATCAGGCTCAGCAAATTACCTGGGCTGTACTGCCACAAGGCTTCACAAACAGACCCCATTACTTCAGTCAAGCCCAAATTTCATCCTCATCTGTTACCTATCCTAGCATAATTCTCATAAAAACACACGTGTTCTCCCTGCTGATTGTGTCTGATTAATCTCCCTAACCTCAATCCCTTACAAAACAACAACTCCTTTCCTTCCTAGGCATGGTTAGTGCAGTCAGAATTCTTACACAAGAGCCAGGACCGCACCCTGTAGCCTTTCTGTCCAAACAACTTGACCTTACTGTTTTAGGCTGGCCATCATGTCTCTGTGCAGTGGCTGCTGCCGCCCTAATACTTTTAGAGGCCCTAAAAATCACAAACTGTGCTCAACTCACTCTCTACAGTTCTCATAACTTCCAAAATCTATTTTCTTCCTCATACCTGATGCATATACTTTCTGGCGCCCCGGCTCCTTCAGCTGTACTCACTCTTTGTTAAGTCCCACAATTACCATTGTTCCTGGCCCGGACTTCAGTCCAGCCTCCCACATTATTCCTGATACCATACATGACCCCCATGACTGCATCTCTCTGATCCACCTGATGTTCACCCCATTTCCCCACATTTCCTTCTTTCCTGTTCCTCATCCTGATCATGCTTGATTTATTGATGGCAGTTCCACCAGGCCTAATCACCACACACCAGCAAATGCAGGCTATGTTAAACACACCTCACCAAGCTCAGCCGACTTAAAAAGGACTGGACAATACTTTTACCACTTTCCCTTCTCAGAAGTCAGACCTGTCCTCAGAATGCTACAAAATACAGCCCATTTGAGCTCCTGTACAGACGCTCCTTTTTATTAGGCCTCAGTCTCATTCCAGACACCAGACCAAGTTAGACTATGCCCCAAAAAAACTTGTCATCCCTACTGTCTTCTGTCTAGTCATACTCCTATTCACCATTCTCAACTACTCATACATGCCCTGCTCTTGTTTACACTGCCGGTTTACACTGTTTCTCCAAGCCATCACAGCTGATATCTCCTGGTGCTATCCCCAAGCCTCCACTCTTAACTCTTGAGGTAAATAAATAATCTTTGCTGACAAGGCTATGCTGAACCTCCTTAGGCACTCTCTAATTAGATGTCCTAGGTCCTCCCAATTCTTAGACCTTTAATACCTGTTTTTCTCCTTCTCTTATTCCATTTAGTTTTTCAGTTCACACAGAACTGTATCCAGGCCATCAACAATAATTCTACACGACAAATGTTTCTTCTAACAACCCCACGATATCACCCCTTACCACAAAATCTTCCTTCAGCTTAATCTCTCCCACTCTAGGTTCCCACGCTGCCCCTAATCCCGCTCAAAGCAGCCCTGAGAAACATTGTCCATTATCTCTCCATACCGTCCCCCAAAATTTTCGCTGTCCCAACACTTTACCACTATTTCATTTTATTTTTCTCAGTAATATAAGAAGACAGGAACGTCAGGCCTCTGAGCCCAAGCTAAGCCATCATAGCCCCTGTGACCTGCATGTACACATCCAGATGGCCGGTTCCTGCCTTAACTGATGACATTCCACCACAAAAGAAGTGGAAATGGCCTGTTCCTGCCTTAACTGATGACATTATCTTGTGAAATTCCTTCTCCTGGCTCATCCTGGCTCAAAACCTCCCCCACTGAGTACCTTGTGGCCCCCACTCTGCCCGCCAGAGAACAACCCCCCTTTGACTGTAATTTTCCTTTACCTACCCAAATCCTATAAAATGGCCCCACCCCATCTCCCTTCAATGACTCTCTTTTCAGACTCAGCCCGCCTGCACCCAGGTGAAATAAACAGCCATGTTGCTCACACAAAACCTGTTTGGTGGTCTCTTCACATGGATGCGCATGAAACTGGGGTCCTCACGCCCACCAGCCCAGAGTACTCTCTAGAGGAAGGCTACAGATACTTCCTGGCTCGCTCATCCAAACGTTAGCTGTCTTGCTGAAACTCCTTTTGTCACCCTTGAAAACCACTGGAAGAATGGCCAAGAACCCAGCTATCCTGAGTAAGTTCACTTAAAGAAGCAAAATCTGACATGAGTGGCAAAACGGACATTGGCACCAAGAGTGTGGGTCAGAGTCCTGCCCCTTGGAACTACATCATCGCTTGTACAGTGTACCCCCCAGGCACCAAGAGACCAGGCGGAGACCCTTCAGTGGCCCTGGGCCTCTGGTCACTGTCTTCCTGCCTGGCACAGAGGCAGGCCCTCATAAATCAATGAGTACTGAAAGTTCCAGCCTTCTTGGTGGGTTCTCTGCACCCCGTCGTGAGCCACACCCTGCCCCAGGGAAATCAGGGTCAACTTGATGCTACCCCTAGGCCAGTGCCCCTTCTGCAGTGCCCCAGGCTGGCACCCCATACTTAGATCTCTTCAGCCTCTTCATGAAAACCTTCTTGTCCATCACCCCAGCATTCCCCAGACTGTGCTAAATGAGCAGCTGACCACACGTCAAATCAATTTTCAGAGTTTGCCTTTGGTTTAATATTCATGGCTTATCCAAAAGATCTTGTCACCATAGCTAGATGAAAAAAATGACAAGGCTCTGGAGAAGCAGAGCCACAAGATGGAAGATACCTGGGTCCTAGGTTCATGAGGAGAGGAGCTTCTTGCTCCACAGACTGTCACATGAGTGGGAATGAAACTTTTGCTGCGTTTAGACGATTACCTTTCTTCACTCTGTCACATAGTCTATCCCCGCTAAACAGAACTTGACCTCCACCAGACCGTTTACATCAAGACCTATATGTGTAGTGCAGCGGCCTGAGCCTCCAATCCATGCCCCACCTATCCAACCAGCCTTGCCATATTCTAACTCTGAGAGTGGTATTCTGGGGGCAGACGCTCAGAGCATAGAATTGACTAATGCCAGATACTTCAGGCGCTTTGCACTTTGAAGTCTCTCTGTCCTAGCACATTCCAAGTACAAAGAAGACACTTCAGCAGTACAACCTGGCCTACACTCAGTTCAATTACTTCTTCAAAAACCTAGGCCCGGCCAGGTGTGGTGACTTACATCTGTCATCCCAACACTTTGGGAGGCGGAGGTGGGTGGATCACCTGAGGTCAGGAGTTCGATACCAGCCTGGCCAACATGGTGAAATTCCATCTCTACTAAAAATGCAAAAAATTAGCTGGGTGTGGTGGCAACCCCCTGTAATCCCAGCTACGCTGGAGGCTGAGGTGGGGAAATTGCTTGAACCCTGGAGGCGGAGGCTGCAGTGAGCCGAGACTGTGCCACTGCACTCCAGCCGGGGAAACAGAGCAAAACCCCATCTCAAAAAAACCCAAAAAAACAAAAACAAATAAAAACAAGCCTAGGCCCACATCCAGACAATGGAATGTTATTTAGCACTACAATGAAATGAGCTATCAAACCACAAAAAGCCATGGAGAAACCTTAAATGCATATTCCTAAGTGAACGAAGCCCATCCGAAAAGGCTGCACACTGTATGATTCCAACGATATGACATTCTGGATAAAGCAAAACTATGGAGACAGCGAAAATATCCATGGTTTCCAGAGGTCAGGAGAAAGGAGGAATGAATTGATGAAACACAGAGGATTTTTAAGGCAGTGAAACTACTCTGTGTGATACTACAATGGTGGATCCACGTCATTGTCCATATGTCCAAACCCATGCAATGTACAACACCAAGAGTGAGCCCTCATGTTAACTATGGACTCTGGGTGATAGTGCCCACCTCGGCCTCTCAAAGTGCTGGGATTACAGGTGTGAGCCACAGCGCCTGGCCTCTGCTTCATTTCTCTAACACATTAAGTCTATTTAAAAGGAAAAAAAAATTCCCTATCCCCAGGATAGCATTACCTTTGGGAGGAGAGGAGCTAGCGTTAGGGAGGGGAGAATGAGGTGCTCAGGCAAGCTGGCCATGCCCAGTTCCTTGATCTGCATGACGTGCATGTGCTTTACTGTGTGAAAGCTCACCCGGTTATCCACTTGGGATATGTAAACAAAAATGTTTAAGGAAACTTCGAGGATGGGCTGCTGGGTGACAGCAGGACAGGCTCATGAGGACCAGCCATCACCCAAATGCTCTGGTCCTCCAGGCTGCCTGCCCATGCCTCAAGCTGTTTGGTCTACAGTGCCAAAAGGTCAGGAAGAAGGACAGTTAGGACAACCTCATAGTTTCAGCAACATGGAGGCCATCAAGAACCATTTTGAAACCATATGGAATGGGGGGTGGGGACAGAAGCTTGTTTGGAAAAGGTAGAAAAGTGAGTGGAGGGGCCAGGTGCGGTGGCTCATGCTTGTAATCCCAGCACTTTGAGAGGCTGAGGCAGGTGGATCACCTGAGATTGAGAGTTCAAGACCAGCCTGACTAACATGGAAAAACCCCATCTCTGCTAAAAATACAAAATTAGCCATGTGTGGTGGCAGGTGCTTGTAATCCCAGTTACTTGGGAGGCTGAGGCAGGTGAATCACTTGAATCTGGGAGACAGAGGTTGCAGTGAGTTGAGATTGCACCATTACACGCCAGCCTGGGCAGCAAGAGCAAAACTCCATCTCAAAAAAACCAAAAAAAAAGAAAAGTGAGTGGAGGTTCAGAAAGTCAAAGATGGTCCATGTGGTAGGCAGAATAATGGCCCACAAAGATGTCCACAGGCCTTAATCCCCAGGACCAGTGATTATGTTACCAGACATTGATGGAAAAAGGGACTTGGCAGATGTGATTAAGTTCAGGATTTTGAGTGGGGGAGATTATCCTGGATTATCTGGAAGGGGTTTATATAATCACAAGAGTCCTTAAAATGAGGAAGGTGGCTGAGTGCAGTGGCTCACACCTGTAATCCCAGCACTTTGGGAGACCGAGGTGGGTGTATCACCTGAGATCAGGAGTTTAAGGCCAGCCTGGCCAACATGGTGAAACTCTGTCTCTACTAAAAATACAAAAAATTAGCCGGGCATGGTGGCTGATGCCTGTAATCCCAGCTACTCAGGAAGCTGAGGCAGGAGAATAGCTTGAACCTGTGAGACGGAGGTTGCAGTGAGCCAAGATTGCACCATTGCACTCCAGCCTGGGCAACAAGAGCAAGACTCTATCTCAGAAAAAGAAAGAAAGAAAGAAAGAGAGAAAGAAAGAAAGAAAGAAAGAAAGAAAGAAAGGAAGGAAGGAAGGAAAAGAAAATAAGACAGAAATGGTTTATACTGGATCAATCTACCTGGGAGGAGATATTCCCAAGCAAGCAGCGTCTTTTCTCCTATGACTGACTCTGGAACAGTGAGGAGCTGCTGGATTCTATCAACAGTTCGAGAGTGCCCTATATAACCAGCTCTCATCTCACTCACCCCCAGCTGTTTGGTCTATGGATGACAATTTCGAGGTGAACAAACAACATCCTGTTTGGAGGGCTGCTACTCTGGCTAAAGACGGTAAAAATCAGTCAGCTCAGTGAGCTGAATTGCATGCTGTTTTCCTAGCCACTGATTTATACTAGAATGATGCCAGTAACTGATTTTCAAAGAATCATGGTATGTGTCCCAAAGTGTTCCACAGGAGTGTGATATTGTGAAATATATATTTGATCAGTTGAACAGTGGTAGAAGTCCCCTGTTTGGGTTTTTACTGACTCCTGGGCAGTGACCAGTGTCTTGGCTGTACACTCAGGCAAGAGGGCAATCGCCACCTGGCTTATTAACGGATGTCCATATGGGGCACAGCCCTGTGGAGAGGTGAAAGATGCCTTGAAGTAGAACAGGTTCACGTCCATCAGAAAAACTCCCTTCCAGGCTCAGGAGGTGGCTGGAGTCACCAAGTGGATTTTTTTTGTGTGCTCCTGTGAGGTGGTCACCTGGGCCCATGAAATGAGTGAGCAAGGCCGTTCTGCAGCAGTACAGAGATGGGCTGAATCTAGCCATGCCCCTTGGGCTCAAAATGCCAATAAGAACTGTTCTGTCGCTGGGTGCGGTGGCTCAAGCTTGTAGTTCCAGCACTTTGGGAGGCCGAGGCGGGTGGATCCCCTGAGGTTGGGAGTTTGAGACCAGCCTGACCAACATGGAGAAACCCCATCTCTACTAAAAATACAAAATTACCGGGGCGTGGTGGTGCTTGCCTTTAATCCCAGCTGAAGCAGAAGACTTGCTTGTACCCAGGAGGCGGATGTTGCGGTGAGCCGAGATGATGCCATTGGACTCCGGCCTGGGCAACAAGAGTGGAACAACGTCTCAAAAAAAAAAAAAAAAAGAACTGTTCTGTCTGCCAGCAAGAGAAACAGAGACTGCCCACAACTGCCAGGCACATTCCCTAGTGAGAAAGCTCTTAACGTCACTGGCAAGTGAGATGGATGCTGGCAGCCCTGGGGGAGCTGCATCTAGGTCTTTACAGGAATAGACGCTGTCTCTGGACTGGGCTTTGTTTGTGTGGTAGAAGATGCAAACTCTCGGAGTGCCATTAAAAACAAGAAAAAAGGCCAGACACGGTGGCTCATGCCTGTAATCCCAGCACTTTGGGAGGCTGAGGTGGGCGGATCACCTGAGGTCAGGAGTTCAAGACCAGCCTGGCAAACATGGTGACACCCCGTCACTACAAAAATATAAAAAAAATTAAGCAATCCCAGCTACTCGGGAGGCTGAGGTGGAAGAATCACCTGAACCCAGGTGGCGTAGGTTGCAGTGAGCTGAGATCGTGCCATTGCACTCCAGCCTGGGAGACAGAGGGAGACTCTGTCTCAAAAAAAAAAAAAAAAAGAAAAAGAAAAAAGAGAAGAAAAGAAAAGAAAAAAACAGAAAAGGAGATACTGCATGAATCTTGATAGCCAACGTCATTGCTTCAGAAAAAGGAGCACTCTGTACAGCCCATAATGTCCAACAATAGGCAGAGAGGCATCCTCTTCAGAGTCATAATGTGGCACAGAAATGGAACAGGCAAATCAAACGCTGGTTGTCTAAAACGGGGGAGGTGAAAGCAGAAGGGCTGGTGATAGAGTGTGGATCTGTATCTCCACCAAATTGTGTGTTGAATTGTAATCCCCAGTGTTGGAGCTGGGGCCTGGTGGGAGGCAACTGGATCATGGGGGCAGGTTTCCCATGGATGGTTTAGCACTATTCTCTTTGGTATTGTACTCACGATAGTGAGTGAGTCCTCGTGAGATCTGGTCATTTAAAAGTGTGTGGGGCCGGGCATGGTGGCTCACCCCTGTAATCCCAGCATTTTGAAAGGCTGAGGTGGATGGATCACCTGAGGTCAGGAGTTCAAGACCAGCCTGGCCAACATGGCAAAACCCCGTCTCTAGTAAAAATACAAAAAGTAGCCAGCGTGGTTGTGGGCGCCTGTAATCCCAGCTACTTGGGAGGCTGAGGCTGGAGAATCACTTGAGCTCAGGAGGCAGAGGTTGCAGTGAGCCAAGGTCACACCATGGCACTCCAGCTTGGATGACAGAGCAAGACTCTAAAAAAAAAAACAAAAAAAGTGCGCGGCACCTCCCCCAGTCATTCTCTCTGGCTCCTGCTCCTGCCATGTAAGAGAACTGCTCCTCCTTCATCTTCTGCCATGATTGGAAGCTTCCTGAGGCCTCACCAGAAGCAGAAGCTGCTATGCTTCCTGTATAGTCTTCAGAACAGTGAGCCAATTCAACCACTTTCCTTGTAAATTACCCAATCCCATTGCTTCTCAGCCTTTTGGCTAAGATCAAGTATAAATTACCCAGTCTCAGGTATTTCTTTATAGCAATGCAAGAATGAACTAATATAGCTGGCTTGCACGCTTTGTGAGTGTGCACTCATACTTAGCATGAGTGGTCTAAAGGAGTGGCCTTCCAGATTTTTCTCCATTTTTTTGGTTGATCTGGGGAAGGGGGGGTGGGGAGGATGCTGACATGACCATGCAATTTTTTTTTTCTTTCTGAGACAGAGTCTTGCTCTGTCACCCAGGCTGGAGTGCAGTGGTGCAATCTTGGCTCACTGCAAACTCTGCCTCCCAGGTTCAAGCAATTCTCCTGTCTCAGCCTCCCGAGTAGCTGGAATTACAGGCGCATGCCACCAGGCCCAGCTAATTTTTGTATTTTTAGTAGAGATGGGGTTTCACCATGTTGGCCAGGTTGGTCTCAAACTCCTGACCTCATGATCTACCCGCCTCAGCCTCCCGAAGTGCTGGGATTACAGGTGTGAACCACCGCACCCAGCCCAATGAACAGTTCTTGAATGAATGAGACAGTGAAGAAGACTACCAGAAGAATAGCAGATCAAAGGTGAATAAGTGAGTAGTAGCTTCTGATTAATCCCTCATCAGCAACCAACGTAACCCAGGGCTTATAGATTTCTCTGTGTAACATGTTACACACATGTCTACGGAAAGAGAGAGAGAGAGAAGCACATCAGTCAAGCATTTTTCAAAAGTTACCCTAAATGTGCTGTGTTGGTCTTGTATTACAATCTTTAGATTACACTACTGTTTTATTTCAAACAGGACTGGTAGAAACTTCTTCATGCCTTTTCAACCAAAGGCCTTCAGTCCTATAAAAATGATCACCTTGTTCTTTGACCAAGTACCAACCTTAGAAAGTTAAGCAGCGAACTCCATCTGACTTAGATTAGTTGAAAAGTAACTGGATCAATCCCCCTTTACCCCAAACATCTAAATGGAACAATTTTCTTTTCTTCGGGATGCAGCATAATCCTCAAACTACAGAGCCACTTGGCGATGAAGCCAGAATTGCAGTGCATTTGATAACTTCATGCAACTTTTTACTAGCATTTAAAACTCAGATATGAAATCTGTACTTGATCTTTTCTGCTTGGAATTGGCCAGATTAGTGGTTCTGCCCCCACATACAACAAAAGGCTCTCAGAAACACTCAGGGTTGCTAACCAGTCAGAAGGACCAACAGAGCTCGACAAACAGACAAGAGGGAGAAGGGCACCACCTTCCAACCTACCCGCTTAGACAGCCTTTCAACTCTGCCCACTTTGAGGATGTGTAGGATGATCCAGGTAATCATGATACCTACCTTAACTTCAAGGTAGAAATTAAGGCTTGAGGGCACTTATTTGGTGCCTTATTCAGTGAATTGGAAGACTATATGGTAATTTCACTGCTCATAATAATTAAACCTTTTTTTTAACTTTAGGGATGATAATGACATTTGGAGAGTAGCACTATAAACCTCAGACATCTATTTTGAAGATGACTGGATTTAGGAGCAAGACAGGTTTGCTGTACACTTGACTGAACATGCTTTGTTCCCCAAAGCAGCAAAAAAGCCAGAGCCTGGAAGTTTCTAAAACTTGAAGCAGATGTAAGTGGCAAATCCAAAAAGCCATGCCTAGAGAACAGGTCGGGTGACCGGCTGTGTCTATTCCAGCCTCCCTGTTGGCTCGGTGGAGGACTTCGGACAGGTCTGTCAGTATCCCCTTCTTTGGTTTCACCTTAGAATGAGGGGAAGTCACAGCATTTCTTCGTTTGTATTTCACAGAAACACAGTCAGCAAATGTAAAGAAGTACGGGCGCCTAAATGGTGGTTATGCTGCCCTGGTCTCAAGCTTCATATTCATCCTTAATTGATTCCCAGGCACACTCACTAGTGACCTGGCTCTGCTTCACTGAATGACCCCAAGGGCCCACACTTTCTTAATTCTCCTGTGGACCCTTTATTCACTCCCCCTCATCCTTCCTTTGCTGACGGTGTTTGCTTCTGATTGTCCCAATCTTTTTTTTCTTTTTCTTTTTCTTTTTTTTTTCTTTTTGAGATGTAGTCTTGCTCTGTTGCCCAGGCTGGAGTGCTGTGTCGAGATCTCAGCTCACTGCAACCTCCGCCTCCCCAGTTCAAGTGATTCTCCTGCCTTGGCCTCCCAAGTAGCTGGGATTACAGGCGTGCGCCACCACACCCGGCTAACTTTTTTTGTATTTTTACTACAGATGGAGTTTCACCATGTTGGCCAGGCTGCTCTCTAACTCCCAACCTCAAATGATCCATCTGCCTTGGCCTCCCAAAGTGCTGGGATTATAGGCATGAGCTACTGAGCCTGGCCTCAATCTTATGCTTACAATTCTTAATCTGTTGCCTCATTTTATAGCCACAGCTCAGGTGACAGCTGAGGGATTACCTTCGTCTGTCTCTGAGCCTCTAAGATTTCTATTTTCTTCACCACCTTCCAGGAATCCTTTTTTCTAGCTCTTGGTTGCTGGCCATGTCCTGGACAGTTCAGTTTAAAATCTGACCTCCAGTTCATCGGTGCATCTACCATCAATCCTCATTACCTGCAGATTCTGCAGCTGTAAATTCACGTACTTGATAATGTTTATTTATAGCCCCTAAATCAATCCCAGCAGGGCTTTCCTGGATGTGCGCCAAGTGCTGAAGAGGTTGAATGGCTGATATGCACGGTCCCAGCAGAGCTCCATCGAGGAGCTCCTTTTGGTTTCCGCTCTTATACCATAAATGAATGCCCTTTTCTTGGTTGCTTTGGGGTTTTTTTTTGAGACAGAGTCTCACTCTGCCACCCAAGCTGGAGTGCAGTGGTGTGATTGCAACCTCTGCCTCTTAGGTTCAAGCGATTCTCCTGCCTCAGCATCCCGAGTAGCTGGGACTACAGGCATGTGCCACCACACCCAGCCAATTTTTGTTTTTTAGTAGAGACGGGGTTTTGCCATATTGGCCAGGTTGGTCTCAAACTCCTGACCTCAGATGATCCACCTACCTTGGCCTCCCAAAGTGTTGGGATTGCAGGTGTGAGCCACCATGCCCAGCCAGGGTTCTCTTAAATGTAATGGAAAGAGGAGAATTGGAAAGGCAGAGAGAGAGAACTAGGATCCTGCATGAATGAATCAAGTTGAGTTGGAGAGAAACTGTATTTATAGGAAAGTTAAGGCTCTGAGTTTGGAGGCCAAGCAGGGTGGGGATGAGCAAAGCCATGAGAAGGAAAGAAGGGCTTCAAAAAACAGCTGCTCCTTCTTGATAGATGCAGAGAGGAATCAGGAAAGACCGGGGGCCATGCAGTGTTATTTGTAGCACTTGAATAGCTTGGCTCTTAGAGTTCCAAGACCTCCAGCTAGTGATCCAGAGATGCCATTAGAGGGCAAAAGCGCTCGCTGCTCCCTCATTTGTCACCAGGAAGACATGGTATGGCCCTGGTCTTAAGGACAAATTAGTCAATTGCTTATTGTATATCACGAGATGAACGCTGGGAGAGAGGAAACGCAGGGTGTGTAGGAAGAGGGCAAAACCGGCTACATCTGACCCACCCCAGAGATGAGGAAGGCTTCCAGGTGGGAGGTGACGCCAGGAGGTAACCAGGTGGAAATCACCGTCAAGTAGCAGGGACAGGAGTGCAAAGGCTCAGAGGGAACTTCTCCAGGATCAGCAGAGCTCAATTGTAGGGTGTGAGGCTGTCACAGAGGCTGGAGAAATAAGCAGTGCCTTGCTAAGAAGTCTGAATTTTAACCTGAAGGGACATGAGAGCTACTGCAGGCTGGTAAGCAGGGGGGTGATGCTGGTTGGATTGCAATGCAGAGAAACCCTGGGTTGGCCTGCGTCTGATGGACTGGAGACACCCTTGAAGAAATCAGGGTACAGGCAGTCCTCCGGAGTAGAAATGAGGAAGGTGCCAGCTGAGACCACAGCAGTGGGGAAGAGTGTGAGAGGGATGGAAATTGAGATGAATTCATGGGTGTTTGGCCTGTGCAGTCACACAGTGCCCCATGCTGAGAGGGACCCCGAGCGTGGCTTAATGCTCTGCTCTTACTGTCTTAAAATTCCTCCTCATTTTATGTTTGAATCTATGTTTTGTTTTGTTTTGAGAAAGAGTCTCGCTCTGACATCCAGGCTGGAGTGCACTGGCGCCATCTCAGCTCACTGCAACCTCCACCTCCCAGGCTCAATTGATTCTCCTGCCTCAGCCTCCCAAGTAGCTGGGACTACAGCCACCTGCCACCACACCTGGCTAATTTTTGTATTTTTAGTAGAGAGTGGGTTTCACCATATTGGCCAGGCTGGTCTTGAACTCCTGACCTCAAGTGATCCGCCCACCTCAGCCTCCCAAAGTGCTGGGATTACAGGCATGAGCCACCGTGTCTGGCCTTTTTTCTTGTTTTTAATGGCACTCCGAGAGTTTGCATCTTCTACCACACAAACAAAGCCCAGTCCAGAGACAGCGTCTATTCCTGTAAAGACCTAGATGCAGCTCCCCCAGGGCTGCCAGCATCCATCTCACTTGCCAGTGACGTTAAGAGCTTTCCCACCAGGGAATGTGCCTGGCAGTTGTGGGCAGTCTCTGTTTCTCTTGCTGGCAGACAGAACAGTTCTTCTTTTTTTGAGACATTGTTCCACTCTTGTTGCCCAGGCCGGAGTCCAATGGCATCATCTCGGCTCACCGCAACATCCGCCTCCTGGGTACAAGCAAGTCTTCTGCTTCAGCTGGGATTATAGGCAAGCACCACCACGCCCCGGTAATTTTGTATTTTTAGTAGAGATGGGGTTTCTCCATGTTGGTCAGGCTGGTCTCAAACTCCCAACCTCAGGTGATCCACCCACCTCTGCCACTTAGAAAACAATAAACAAATGGGGTAAAATGGTAGCACTGGGGAATGTCAGCGAAGGGTATAAAGGATGTCTTTGTACTATTCTTGCAGCGCTTCTGTGTCTGGAAAAATAATAATAAATATTACATATTTAATAACTAAATGAATGAAAAAGTGTGCAATGTTTTTGCAGATGTCAACCTTGGCAATGCAATAGGATCATCTCAGAAGCTCTGCATGAATATCAGTGCCCAGGCTCCAACCCAGAGATTCATAGTCAGTTAGCTGGGGGTGAAACTCCAGACATCGGCATGTGTGAAACACACCCCAAGGTCATTCTAGTGTGAATCCAGAATAATAAGCAGCCAGCTTAGCCTTTAGTGTCATTGGGTGACAGGAAAGTTCTAGGCTGGGGACTTTCTGAGCCCCCCATGTCTGCTTGTTTTGAGATCTGATCTTGGGGGCAGCATGGTGACTCAAAACAGGAGCACAGTTGTGGGTCCAGTCTTGGTCCTTCCACTAATAAGATGGGAGACGTTGGGTCAGATCCCTTGCCTGTGCCAAGCCTGGGTTTTCTCAGCTGTAGAATGAGGTTAACCAGGAAGTGCCTCAGAGGCCAATGTGCATTCAAGGAAGAAGATGCCCAGCTCAGTAACTGATATGGTGTGGCTGTGTCCCCACCCAAATCTCTAATTATAGTTCCCATAATCACCACATGTTGTGCGAGGGACCTAGTGGGAGGTAACTAAATCATGGTGTGGGTCTTTCCCCTGCTGTTCTCATGACATTGAATAAGTCTCACAAGATCTAATTCTTTTTTTCTTTTTTTGAGACCGAGTCTCACTCTGTTGCCCAGGCTGGAGTGCAGTGGCGTCATCTCAGCTCACTGCAACCTCCGCCTCCTGGATTTAAGCAATTTTCTTGCCTCAGCCTCCCGAGAATCTGGGACAACAGGCATGAGCCATCACTCCTGGCTAATTTTTGTATTTTTATGAGAGATGGGGTTTCATCATGTTGGCCAGGCTGGTCTCAAACTCCTGATCTCGGGTGATCCACCCACCTTGGCTTCCCAAAGTGCTGTGATTAGAGATTTGAGTCACTGTGCCCTGCCTGATCTAATGGTTTTATAAAGGGGAGCTCGCCTGCACAACTCTCTTGCCTGCTGCCATGTAAGATGTGACTTTGCTCCTCCTCCACCTTCTGCCATAATCATGAGGCCTCCCCAGTCATGTGGATCTGAGTCCATTAAACCTCTTTTTCTTTATAAATTACCCAGTCTCAGGTATGTCTTTATTAGCAGAGTGAGAATGGACTAATACAGTAATCCTTACACCCCCGGACCCCAAAATGGAGTTGCCACAAGATGGCAGTCTGAAATCCTTGTGATGTCCAGCTGGCAGAAAGGAATTTGGATGAGTAGGGCTGGCCAACTTCTGGTATTGCTGGTGGGTCCTGTCATTGTGTGGGTGACTCCTTGCACCCCTGGCCCTTCATAGGACTGAAATCTGGGAGGGTTCTTGGGAAAGGGGCTAGAGAAAGCAAGAGGACACCAATTTTCTTCCAGGCAGTAGGAAGGCAAGCTGGAGAGGCCAAGCTCCCAAGTAAACTGAGGCACCTCCACTGGCCCCTTTGTGAGGCACGCTTGACCTGGGTTTTATGGAAAGAAAGTGCCCTCACCAAAGGGTGCTAAACAAGGCCCCAGGCTCCACACTTGATCCCATGTGCCCCCCTCTGCCCTGCCCTAGACTCACCTAAAGCTGTACTGCCCAGAGTCATGGCCTCAGGCCACACGTGGCTACTGGGCACTTGAGATGTGGCCATCTCAATTGAGATATGCTGTTAGTGTAAAATATACACTAGATTTCCAAGCCGTCATGAGCAAAAAAAAAAAAAAAGAACATAAAATATCTCATTAAGAATTTTTAAGTATTCATTAATGTTGAAATAAAAACATTTTGAATATATTGGTTAAATAAAGTTTACTAGGAGAATTCATTTCACCCCTTTTACTTTTTCTAATGTGGTGACTAAATTATTTAATATTACACATGTGGATTACATTATATTTCTATTGGACAGCTCTGTTCTAAAGTCTGCACGTTGTCCTTTTGTGGCTTATTTCCTTGATAATTTTATTAAAATTAAATTGACGGGCAAGGTGCAGTGACTCACACCTGTAATCTCAGCATTTTGGGAGGCCAAGGCAGGTGGATCACCTGAGGTCAGGAGTTCGAGACCAGCCTGGCCAACATGGTGAAATCCTGTCTCTACTTAAAAATACAAAAATTAGTGGGGCGTAGGGGGGCATGACTATAATCCCAGCTACGCGGAGGCTGAGGTAGGAGAATCGCCTGAATCCTGGAGGCAGAAGTAGCAGTAAGCCGAGATCACGCCACTGCACTCCAGCCTGGGGGACAAGAGCGAAAATCCATCTCTAAATAAATAAATAAATAAATAGAAAAACAAAATTGAGGGCCAGGCACGGTGGCTCATGCCTGTAATCCCAGCACTTTGGGAAGCCAAGGCAGGAGGGTGACTTGAGGTCAGAAGTTCGAGACCAGCCTGGCCAACGTGGTGAAATCCCATCTCTACTAAAAATACAAAAATTAGCTGGGCTTTGTGGTGGGTGCCTGAAATTCCAGCTATTCCGGAGGCTGAGGCAGGAGAATCACTTGAACCCAGGAGGCGAGGTTGCAGTGAGCTGAGATTGCACAAAGGCGCTCCAGCCTGGGCGACAGAGTGAGACCCTGTCTCAAAAAATAAAGAAAGAAATAAAAATAAATTGAGGAAGGATTGAGCATGCAAAATAGAATCAGCCTTTGACCCTGAATACCCTGCAGTGAGAATTCCCCTGTGGTTCTCAGGCTTCTGTCATTCCAGCAAATACACTCTTCCCTCAGCTTCACTAAAATGCAGATATTGTGAGATAATGCTCATTTCTCACAGCTTGCTTGAATAATAACAATGATCATTATAGTAATTTATAACTTAATAGTCAACATTGCCTTTTTAACCCAGTCTGTGAGACTGAATCGTAAACGTGACATTCTTTAAAGCTGTCAATTAATATACCAGACTGCATAAACTCTAATAACTTACCTTTCCATGGAAAGAGAATATGTGGGTATTCTCTTTGAAGACAAATGGTGGAGAGTAGACTCTCATCCAAGACCCTCTGGCAGTAATGAGTTGCATTCCAGAAGGTTCCAGAAGGTTCTGTGGAAGGCTGCAGTTTGGGATTGGTTCTCAGGTGTCTGTCTAACTGCTTTCTAAGGATGAAGACGGCCGGGCACGGTGGCTCACGCCTATAATCCCAGCACTTTGGGAGGCCAAGACGGGCGGATCACGAGGTCAGGAGATCGAGACCATCCTTGTTAACACTGTGAAACCTCGTCTCTACTAAAAATACAAAAAATTAGCCGGCGTGGTGGTGAGCACCTGTAGTCCCAGCTACTCCAGAGGCTGAGGAAGGAGAATGGCATGAACCCGGGAGGCGGGGCTTGCAGTGAGCCGAGATCGCGCCACTGCACTCCAGCCTGGGTGACAGAGCGAGACTCCGTCTCAAAAGAAAAAAAAAAAAGGATGAAAACTCCTGGTTCGTGCTTTAGCAACATCCACAGGAGCAACAGACTAAGACATTCCTCCACACACTAACAGACCCCGGCAGTGCAGAGCCACGTGGGTCTTATCTGTCCTGTTGTCCACAGTCTGGTTTTATCTTAGACCTGGCCTGGTGCAATCCATGCTGCGTATAGGCACGCCACTTAAGTTTCCTGTTTGTAAAAAGCCCCTTTCATTCAGTGATTCCTCAGGGCTTTAGGGGAACTTTCTGGAAACCAGGAAGAAGGAAATAAAGGTTGTTTTACTGAGGATGGGTGACATTGGGTGCGGGACCCAAATGAGTGGTTTGAGCAGAAAGTAGCCTCCACGCTGGACTAATGCTTGGCAACATTATGGGAAAATTTGAGGAAGCCGGGAGAGGAGGGGGCAGAGTTTCTTTCCCAGCCAGCCACGGGGGCCAGGCAGTTTTGGTCCTAGGATGTCTCTATGCATTCCCAAGTGATTGCAAGGCTTCTTCTTGTCATCGTCTGAGACTTGGATTCCCCAAGCGTCCTTCTTTTCCTGGAGTCTCTGAGTCCTCTATTCCTGAGGCCTTTCTTCAGCCCTCCCAATAGCCCTGCCATGATTTCATTGCAGGGCTGTGACCGTCTATGACAAGCCGGCATCTTTCTTTAAAGGGACACCTCTGGACCTGCAGCACAGGCTCTTCATGAAGCTGGGCGGCATGCACTCTCCGTTCAGGGCCCGGTAGGCCTCCCATCCTCAGCTGCTTTCTCTCCTGCTCACCACTGCCCTGGCCTCTCCCCTTCTCACTGCAGACCTGGGAACACACTCATCCAGGGGTTGGCATACTAAGGCAACCGGCCAGTCTCCTGCTTTGGTAAGTCAAGTTTCATTGGGACACAACACACTCATTGCCTTCTGAGTTGTCTACAGCCGCCTTTGAGCTACAATAGCAGAATCGTGTTTTGCAACAGAGAACCCGTGGCCTGCAAAGCCTGAAGTATTTACTCTCTGGCCCTTTAAGAAACGTTTGTGGACCCCTGTGCTGTCTTACTCTCCTGCCAGTGGGTTCCCAGGCCTGTGGCAGGATCTGTGGACCTGTGGGTCCCCTGGGGTGTCTCACGGGGCTAAGGAGGGACCTTTGTGCAGATCCACACACCCTAAGGTGTGCCCCTGGGTAAGCTGCGGTGGTGTGGGAGGGCGTCCCTGCACCCTCATATTGAGTCCAGGGGATGATAAGACAGTAAGTCCCACGGAGAAAAGGAATGAGTCAGTCTTGTTTGCTGTTGTAACCTTAGCACCCAGCAACAATATTAGAGAAAGGAAGCCCAGGCCTCGATGGCAGGGGTGGCCTGGTGCTGCTGATGTGGCCGGGCACCCCAACCTTTGGGAGCCTGCAGGCCTTGCCATGGCAGGAGAAGCCTGTCCTGGGTCCTGGGCCTGCTCTGTGGCCTCTCACAGGCTTTTTTCCTGCTCTTTCAGTTTAGAACCTGAGGAACCAGCCACGGAGCCGTCGGCCTTCATGGAGCGGGATGCTGGGAGCGGGCTGGTGATGTGTCTCTGCGAGTGGCCAGCCCTGCTGGTCAGCAGCACAGGCTGGACAGGTCTGCACGACCCCTGGAACACTTGGGCTTGGTGTGACGGGCACCTGGCCAATCTGTATTCTCCTCACCCCTGCCAGTCCTGCATGCCCCCACCCTGCCACAGTCTCAATGAGAAGGGGAGGGCGTGTGAGCTGGAAGAGGGGTGTCTAGAAACAGGCCCCTGACATTCAATTCTCTTCTCATAGAGGACGAAGACTTCTCCATCCTGCTGGCAGCTTTAGAAAGTAGGGGTGTAGCTGTGGTGAGGAGCTCTGGGCTTGTCGGGGGCCACTGAGCTGTGAGCTGCTTGCCTGGCCTGCAGCATGTTCCTGTCCCGGGCCACTGGGTGGGGCAGCCTGGGGACAGCGGAGGTGGTGGAGGTGGGCTGCCCTGAATCCCCAGTTGGGTCATTGAGTGACCAGGCCCTCAGGCTGAAATGCCTCCTCCAGGAGAGTATCTCACAGAGGCTGGTGGCCTCCCCACAAGAGCAGTGCTCTTTCTCCAACTGACCAGGTGACTCTGGCTATTGTTTATTTAAAACTTTTTTTCTGAATGGGCATGGTGGCTCACACCTGTAATCCTAGAACTCTGGGAGGCTGAGGCAGGCAGATCACCTGAGTTCAGGAGTTTGAGGCCAACATGGCAAAACCTGTCTCTACTAAAAATACAAAAATTAGCTGGGTATGGTGGTGGGCGCCTGTAATCCCAGCTACTTGGGAGGCTGATGCATGAGAATTACTTGAACCCAGGAGGCAGAGGTTGCAGTGAGCTGAGATCATGCCACTGCATTCCAGCCTGGGTGACAGAGCAAGAGTCTGTCAGAAAAACAAACAAAAAAAGAAATTCTATCAGAAATTCCATGTAGAATTGTTTCTTTTTTTAAACACAGAGTTTGAGCAACTGACTCTTGATGGACACAACCTTCCTTCTCTCGTCTGTATAACAGGTACCGCCTGGGACCCTGGGTGTCTGTTTGATTGGGGGATGGTGGAGGGGGAGGGGCACGCAGCCTTTACCCTGTGCTTCCCACGATCTTGTCTCCTTAATCTTCACTGCAGCTCTCTGCATAGGGTCTTATACTGCTTGACGTGGGGGAAACTGTGGCTCAGAGGATTTCACAGCAGGGCAGGGAGCCCAGATTAGAATCTGTAGATACCAAGCTTTCTACTTTTTCAGTAGTTTCCAAGCATCTTTTTGTTGTTGTTGTTACATCATTAGTGTCTTTTTTTCTTTTTTTTTTTTTTTTTGAGACAGAGTCTCTGTCGCCCAGGCTGGGGTGCAGTGGTGTGATCTTGGCTCACTGCAACCTCCGCCTCTCACATTCAAGCAATTCTCATGCCTTAGCCTCCCGAGTAGCTGGGACTACAGGGGCCCACCACACCCAGCTAACTTTTGTATTTTTAGTAGAAACAGGTTTCACCATGTTGGCCAGGCTGGTCTTGAACTCCTGACCTCAGGTGATCCACCCACCTTGGCCTCCCAATATGCTCGAATTATAGGCACGAACCACTGTGCCTGGCCATGTCATTGGTGCCTTAACCAAGCCTCTTTTAATTTTTCAAACGGAAGAGCCCCTGTGCCACAGTTACTGCTGCTGAGCCCTTTCAAGGTGACTCAGTGAGGAGGGAGAAAAGCGGAAGTGGTGTGGGAAGAGGCGGGGTCTGGGCCAGCTGCTGGTCCTGCTCTCCTCCCTCCTCTGGCCTCTAGGCTCCCAGGAGTGGTTTGGAGCCCGCGCCATGTGCTCTGGAGGCTGTGGCAGGGCAGGGGGAGTCCTCGTGTCCCCTGTGCACAACACAGACAAAAGGCTGGGTCCACCCAGTGGGGGGTCGGGTGCCAGGCCGGTGCTTACCCCGCCATGTTTGCAGCCCGAGGCCAGCTGGCTGCAAGTGCAGGGCTGTGCGTCAGGGGTCAGGGTGCACACACCCCTGCGGGTCTCGGGGCTCCTGGGATGCTTCCCGAAGGGCCCGGATGGGGCCTGACTGGAGCTGCCGAGGGGTGGAGCTTCTGGGAAAGGGATCCCTCCTAGCGGGGAGTGTCTTGGGCCTGGGGCCACTTGGTAGGGTCAGAGACGGGTCCATAGCAGTATCTGCTCTTCTCTGTGAAGGCAAAGGGCCTCTGACGGAGTATTACAGCTGCCTCATCCACCAGAAGCATTTCCAGCACATCCAGGTCAGCACCCCTTGGCTGGAGGCCGAGGACTAGCCCCTGCTTCTAGGTGAGAGGCCAGCAGGAGGCTCAGGGAGGAGGCGGGGCCTTAAGCAGCGGGAACAGAGGTGGGCGGGATGTACTTTTTCTGAAAAGGTGGCTCTGGAGGCCACTTGGGGACAGGACCTGGGCTCTGGCTGAACTCCCGGGAGGAGGCTACTTCCTGGTGTGCCAGCCCCTCCCTGCCAGGTGGCCCCAGAGGCCCTTTACCAAGGGGTTTGAGGAGGCCATGTCCTTTCAGCCTGCCACGCCCTCCATTCAGTCCTCTTCCTTCCTGCAGGAGGGCTGGGCCTGGGGTTGGGGCACTGTTGCCCAGGTGTGGGAGGGCAGTGGCTTTGGGAGGTACAGGGACGATGTGTCAAACAGCGTCGCTTCTCCCAGTGAGATGGTTCTCCTTTGCCTCCGTCTCTTTCCCCGATTGATTTTTCCAAATGGGGAGTCGTGGCTTGGTCCTGATGCGTCTCTAGAGCTGCATCTTCCAGCTTCAAGTGAGCAGAGCAGTTGGAGGCTGAGGGCCTTTTCCTGGCAGGACTCTCCAGCTAGTCTTTGTTTTAGACAGTCTCGCTCCGTTGCCTAGGCTGGAGTGCACGATCTCAGTTCATGCAACCTCTGCATCCTGGGTTCAAGCGATTCTCCCACCTCAGCCTCCTGAGTAGATTACGGGATTACAGGAGCCCGCCACAACACCTGGCTTATTTTTGTATTTTTAGTAGAAACAGGGTTTCACCATGTTGGCCAGGCTGGTCTTGAACTCCTGACCTCAAGTGATCCTCCCGCCTTGGCCCCCCTAAATGCTGGGATTCCAGGCGTGACCCATCACGCCTGGCCCCAGCTAGTCTTCAGAAATATTAAGCTGTTTCGCTTTGTTTTCACACTGACAGCTGGTTTGTGGTGGGTGTGCTGTGGTTTATTATTATTACTGTTATTATTATTATTATTATTTTGAGACAGAGTTTCGCTCTTGTAGCCCAGGCTGGAGTGCAATGGCACGATCTTGGCTCACTGCAACCTCTGCCTTCCAGGGTTCAAGCGATTATCCTGCCTCAGCCTCCTGAGTAGCTGGGATTACAGACAGCTGCCACGATGCTTCGCTAATTTTGTATTTTTTTTAGTAGAGATGGGGTTTCACCATGTTGGCCAGCCTGGTCTTGAACTCCTGACCTCAGGTGATCTGCCCGCCTTGGGCTCCCAAAATGCTGGGATTACATGCGGGAGGTGAACCTGGGAGGTGGAGGTTGCAGTGAGCTGAGATTGTGCCACTGCACTCCAGCCTGGGTGACAGAGTGAGACTGTCTCAAAACAAAACAAAACAAAATGACAACAAAAAAAAAACAAATTGTGGTTAAGTAGAAAAAGTGTCAACTTACATTTTCAGATGTCCCAGCCAGGCCGTGTGGCTGCTTGGCCGGCTTAAGCCACTTGTGCTTGGTGCTGTCGGGTGCCTTATCCGATTTTCACTCCCCTCAGGGGATGTTGCCTCACTGTGCTGGGAGGATTTGTGTTCCCAGGGCAGAGACCAGTGCTCTGACCGCACCCCTCTTGCCTAGCAGGGTCGGTGGACCTGGGTGTCTGTCTGCACACGTTCTCCAGTGGCCTGGACCTGCCCATGAAGGTGGTGGACATGTTCGGGTGCTATTTGCCTGCGTGTGCCGTGAACTTCAAGTGGTAGGAGCAGAACCCGAATCTTTCTAGGGATAGCTTCACAGATCCACCGCTGAGGGGGAAGCAGTGCAGAGGGAGCTGCCCACAGTGAGGCCCTGCCCCTCGGTCAGTCCAGCACACACTGGAGGCCACGAGGAGGAGCCCTGCGGTTACTGTGGCTGGGCTGAGCCTCACTGAAGTAGTTGCTTCCATTTAGAGCTCATGTTATATTTAGGCTGGTACAAAAGTAATCACGGTTTTTGCCATTAAAGATGGCAATTACTTTTGCACCAACCTAATATGAAAAAAAAGCATCTTAAATACTAGAACTCCACTCGGGGCTTTTGCTCCTGGAGTAGAATTGGCGGGAATTGCCTGCAGGCTTACATGGTCTTCTTTGTTTCTTTCTCTCCCACCATGTCCCTTTTGGCCAAGCTCACGTGGTGGGTTTGAATCAGTTGAATGAGTGTCATGCTGTGGCCTCACTCCACCCAGCATAGACGGGTGTTTGGAAGGGCACTGTTAGAGGAGATTCTAGAAGCAGTAGCCCCAGCACAAGCTGAGCCCTTGGCCCCTGCTCAGGAGCCGGCTCATGGATGGGATTCAGCGATGTGAGCCCCTCCTGTGAGCTGAGCTCAGGGAATGTCGGGATCAAATCTGGTGCCCTAGAAAAGTCATCTTTTATGTGCTGAGCCAGTCCCCAGGGTGTTCCCTTTACTTGTTCCATGGCCATGGAATTAAGAAAAACATGCAAAAATAATTCTTCAGTCCTTGAAGAGCATCCAGCACAGAAGGTACAAACCCCCCTTAAGGCTCCCTCCTCAAATCGGTTTGGCCACTTAGATGTGCACCCCCCCAGGCCTTTATACCCTTCAGATGCCAAATCTAAGAACGAGCTCCCGGAAACCACACCCCCTGTTCCAACCCCCAGCCTGGCTTGAGCATGGGGTTGGGGGGGTGGAGCCCAGGTGGGCACCCCAGGGGTCTGGTGTCTTCTCCAGGCAGCTCTCAGGCTCCCTTGGTTCTCTCTGCAGTTTAAATGAGCTGGTGAAACATGAAGAAAATGGCCTGGTCTTTGAGGACTCAGAGGAACTGGCAGCTCAGCTGCAGGTAGCCACATCTGCCACCACGCCAGGGTGGGGAGGGTTCTGGAGACTGGCTCCGAGCCACGCTCCCTGATCCCTTCTTCCCACAGCCAGGGTGGGACCATGTAGGGTCTGGCGGAAAAGCTAGGGAGAGAGCAGAGGTCACAGGCCGGCCCACTCTGCTGTCCCGTTTTGGTACAGTAGGCTCAGGAAAGTTAGGACACACCCCCACCTGCCCTCTGGATTTATGGAGCTGACACTCCACAAATGATGCTGGAGCCGGGTGGGCCAGGCTGCAGTTTAGGAAGTGATCAGGATCACGTAGGTGGGCGGGCAAAGGGAGCTTCTGGGACCAGCCTTGAAAGATGGGTGGAATTCTGCAAAGGTTACTTGTTTCTTATTGCTAAAAGTAATACACCATTCTTGCCAACAGAATGATTGGCAGGATTTTCAGTAAAGGTCCAGGTCGGAAGTCATTTAGACTGGGTCCCCCAGTCTCTGTCAGAACCATGGTACTGACATGTGGTGTGAAAGTAGCCACAGATCATCTGTCGATTAAGGGGTGTGGCTCTGTTCAAATAAAACTTTATTTACAAACACAGGCTGTGGGCTGGATTTGGCCTGCAGGCTGTAGTTTGTGATCCTTGATTCAGACAGTTTAGCAAGGCTGCAAAGAACACAGACACCCCCTTGTTACCCACAGATGGGTGGGACATGGCCAGAGGCCAAAAGGAGGGTGCTTGCAGGGGAACATACAGCATGTAGAGGCCGGGAGGTACTCCAGGGCACCAAGTGTGGGAAAGTGGGACACACGGGGAAGTTTCCAGAAAGCGTGATGTCAAGTTGGAGGCAGAGCGCTGCTGGGGTGTGAAGAGTCTCGAGTCCAAGTGAGGGAGTTAAGAACTTGGGAGGGGTTGTTGTTGGGTTGGGGACATGGGGTCAGCCAGGTGGTGACCTGGGATGGGGTGGGGACAGGAAATGAGTTAAGCTCTGCTCTTTATTTTTTTGCAGATGCTTTTCTCAAACTTTCCTGATCCTGCAGGCAAGCTAAACCAGTTCCGGAAGAACCTGCGGTAATCGCAGCAGCTCGGATGGGATGAGAGCTGGGTGCAGACTGTGCTCCCTTTGGTTATGGACACATAACTCCTGGGCCAGAGGCTAAAACCCCGGGACCCCTGCTGTCCTTCCCGCAGCTTCTTCTCGGAGTCTCAGGGCAAACCCTTTCGAGCAGCGCCTCCCAGTGGCCAGAAGGTGAAATGACGGCAGTGGTGCCGCCTGGTGAATGAATTGGTTCTGTGACCCGGGAAGCTGTGCTTGGTTCTGATTTCTTTTCTGGAGGCTCAGAAACACTTCCTCTCTTCTTCTGTTCTTCATGCCCCATGCCCCTGCTAGCGTATTACTGTTCTGTGACTTCTGCAGTACTCCTTATCCTGCGTTTGGTCTCCAGGTGTCATCTTTCTGCCGTGTTCCTAACATTTTGATTCCTGTCTTGAAAAAAGCACCTGCTGCACCGTAAGCCCAGGGATGTGGCAGCTGCAGCGGGCTTGGCTTTGTGAAGAACCGAGTGTGTCCACGGATGTGGCAGCTGCAGCGGGCTTGGCTTTGTGAGGAACCGAGTGTGTTCAGGGATGTGGCAGCTGCAGCGGGCTTGGCTTTGTGGGGAACAGAGTGTGTCCACGTTGGGGGAACATCATACTTGATACACACTTTTTATTTGCACAAAGAAAATGCTGTTTTTGGAGCCAGAGTTTTCATGTCTGATTGATGGCGATTTTCTTCAGAACCAGAACTGCTGGCAGAAAGGGAGCACCCACACGCTTAGATAGCTGATGTCTTATTAGAGGGCAGTTTGTGGTTCCTGATTTGGAAATTAACATTCTCCAAACATTCCAGTCCAATGAAAGTTTTATCTGCTTTCCCATATAAAAACTCTTCCCACAAGAGTGACTTGATTCTCACAATCCCGTTGGAGTCGTGTGTGAATCCTACAGTGTGAGGTTCAGCATTGCCATCTCCAAGTGCTCTTCGTAGGGAAATAGTTTCTGGTCATGACGAGGGTTCCACTTCCCATCTGATCCTGGCCTGCCTGGAAACAGAGGACATGTGTTTCAGGATGGCAGAGTTTGGGGACAGGACATGAGCGTATTGTGTGGGGCTGCTAGGACAGGCCTGGCGGGGTCGGGGGGTGTCCAAGTCAGTTTACTTGGTTCACAGGTTCCCAGGCCCACCCAGGTGCCTAGAATTGGCCTCCAGGATGGGACCAGAAATCTGGTTTTGCATAGAAATGGCTAGCAGCAGGCACCGTGCCGCTGTCCAGTCTCTGCCCGCGTCTGCCCCAGCACTTGGCACAGCGGGACAGACGCAGAGATCTGAACCCACATCTACCTGGCTGCTCAGTCAACCCACTCTCCACAAAGCTTAGAAAGCAGCCAGGCACAGTGGCTCACGCCTGTAATCCCAACACTTTGGGAGGCCAAGGCGGGTGGATCACTTGAGATCAGGAGTTCGAGACCAGCCTGGCCAACATGGTGAAACCCCATCTATACAAAAATACAAAAATTAGGCAGGCACGATGGCAGGTGCCTGTAATCCCAGCTACTTGGGAGGCTGAGGCAGGAGAATTGCTTGAACCCAGGAGGCGGAGTTTGCAGTGAGCCGAGATTGTGCCACTGCACTCGAGCCTGAGTGACAGAGTGAGACTCCATCTCAAAAAAAAAAAAAAAAAATCACACACACACACACACACACACACACACACACACACACACACACACAGCTTAGAAGGGGCTGGTGTTCTCATAAGCACAGATATCTGAAGAGCCGTTAGCCAGAATGATTCTTTTTTTTTTTTTTTTTTTTGAGATACGATCTTGTTCTGTCACCCAGGCTGGAGTGCAGTGGCACAGTCATTGCTCACTACAGCCTCGACTCCTGGGCTCTAGCAATCCTCCCACTTCCTGAGTAGCTGGGATGACAGGTGCGTGCCACCATGCTAGTAATTTTTTTATTTTGTAGAGATGGGGTCCGGAATGCATGGCCTCAAGTGATGCTCCTGCCTCAGCCTCTTTTATTATTATTTTTTAGACAGAGTTTTACTCTGTTCCCAAGGCTGGAGTGCAGTGGTGCAATCTCAGCTCACTGCAATGCATCCCAGGTTCAAGTGATTCTCCTGCCTCAGTCTCCCGAGTAGCTGGGATTATAGGCGTGCACCGCCAAGCCTGGCTAATTTTTGTGTTTTTAGTAGAGATGGGGTTTCACCGTGTTGGCCAGGCTGGTCTTGAACTCTTGACCTCAAGTGATCCGCTCACCTCAGCCTCCCAAAGCCTCAGCCTCTAACAGTGTTGGGATTACAGGCGTGAGACACTGTGTCCTGGGATGATTTTCAATCACAGTTTTTTGTTACGAGTGGAAAATGCATATTTATAAAAATGAAGTAGTACAGACATGAACGTGTAGAAGTCTCTATAATCCTGCCATCCAAGGATGGCACCTGTTAACGTGTATATCAGGTATGTCCAATCTTTTGGTCTCCCTGCACCACATTGGAAGAAGAAGAATCGCCTTGGGCCACACATAAAATACACTAATGCTAGCAATAGCTGATGAGCTAAAAGAAAAAAAAATCACAAAAAAACCTCGTACTGTTTTAAGAAAGTTTACAGATTTGTGTTGGGCCGCAGGTTGGACGAGCCTGCTATATATATATTCTAGGTTTTCCCCTATAGGTATACTTATGTGAAAATGATTATTGTGATAATTTTATTTTGAGATGAAGTCTTGCTATGTTGCTCAAGGGGGCCACAAACTCCTGGGCTTAAGCCATCCTCCCGCCTCAGCCTCCTGAGTAGTTGGGAATATAGGTACTCATAACTATGTGTGGGTGATTATTATTATTTTTAAAACAAAAATGGGGCTGGGTGCAGTAGCTCATGCCTGTAATCCTAACACTTTGGGAGGCTGAGGCAGCAGATCGCTTGAGGTCAGGAGTTCAAGACCAGCCTGGCCAACATGGCGAAACCTCGACTCTACAAAAAATACAAAAATCAGCCAGGCGTGGTAGCACGCACCTGTAGTCCCAGCTGCTCAGGAGGCTGAGATGGGAGGATAGCTTGAACCTGGGAGGTGGGAGGTTGCAGTGGGCCGAGATGGCACCACTGCACTCCAGCCTGGGCAATACAAAGCCAGACTCTGTCTCAAAAAAAAAAAAAAAAAAAAAAGGTGGATTGGGGCTTATACTATGTGTGCTGCTTGGCACTCTTTTTTTCACTTCAAAGATATTGCAGGTATTTTTTCACATAAGTATCTGAAGAAAGACTTCCTTTTTTTTTTTTTTTTTTTTTTTTTTGCATTTTTGAGACAGGGTCTTGCTCTGTTGCCCAGCCTAGAGTGCAGTCGTGAGATCAGGGCTCACTGCAGCCTCCACCTCCTGGGCTCAAGCCATCCTCCCACCTCAGCCTCCCAAGTAGTTGCGCAACCATGCCCGACTAGTTTCTGTACGTTTTGTGGAGATGGGGTCCCACTATGTTTTCCAGGTAGGTCTTGAACTCCTGGTGTCAAGAAGTCCCCCTGCCTTAGCCTCCTAAAGTGCTGGGATGACAGGCCCGAGCCTCGCACCCGGCCAGCCTCCTGTGCGAGGTTGTGCGGGACTCTGTCGTGGAACCCAGTGTGTCTTCGTGTGCTGGCTTGTTTGTTGGCTCTGTAGTTAACGGGCTGCCCCACGTGGACAGGCATTGGACCCGTGTCTCTCTGTGCAGGCAGAGGCTGCTGCACGTGCATCTGTGAACATGGCTGCCAAGAGGGGCTGTGCTCAGGGGGAGCTGGGGCAGAGGCTGGTGGCAATGGGGGGCTTGGGTGTAGTGTGGAGGCACGAGAGCCAGGTGGCCGGGCTACAGTCTGTGGGAGCTTGGGGGTTGCTTGTCCTCTGTGTGTCCCAGTGTCTTTGTCGGTGAGATGGGACAATGATAGCACACTCTCACAGGTGCTGGGGGCTGACAAATGTCAGGTCTGAGGACAGTGGCTGGCCCACTACGGGGCCAGTTCCCCTACTCTATAGTCACCCTGCTCGTCTTCCATCAACTGGGTGCTCAGGACAGTGGCATGGTGGATCCGCCTGTACAGCCTGTGCTCCAGCGTCCTGCAGGCCACAGCGGTGTCCAGCCCTGACCATGACTGCCCCTCCCGCCACCTCCATTTTATAGATGAGGAAACCGAGGCCCAAGGGCTTAGGGAATCTTGCTCTGAAGCACACAGTAGGGCTGCTGGGCTCAGATCCTCCCTCCCTGTGCTGAGCTGCCCTCCTCCTGCCGCAAGTCCCCCACGCCATGAGCCCACCCTGCTCACCGGCCTCTGCCCTAGTTCCCCGCATGGTGTGGGAGTGTGGGGCTTCCTAGCTTTTACCCTGCCCTCAGTTCTTTCACTTCCACTGGAGTCCCGCAGGGACAGCTCCGGGACCATGCAGGCCCGGGTGGGCGTGGGGGCTCAGCTAGCTCGGTGGTGAACAGCTGGCACGTCTCTTGGTTGCGGACGGTAAGGGCCACATAGACTTGAGGAGCCCGTTGGTGTTCCCGGTAGGCAGCCAGCCTCCGCAGGACCCCGACCAGCGACACAATGGCTTCTGGGCAATACGGCACGTCTACGGTGAAAGCTTCAGATTACTGAAGGGGACCAGCGGACAGTTCCAGGTCATGCTGACCTCAGCAGAAGGGCGAGGCCAGAGAGGCAGCGGTCATATGAGACTAGTAGATGCCATTTGACCATTTGGGCCATTAGATGGAAAGGCAATTACTTGGGTGAAAAAGGAGAACCCTTAGTAGAGAAAGCTGCAAAAGACCGAAGCAAAAGAAAAAATCTCCAGACTCACTGGTGTTCCTTAAAAAACGAGCTCTGGTTCTCGGCCTATCTAGAGGGCTGTGAATGACACAAAGCCTGACCCTGCCATGAACTTCGTGTTTCAGGCGTCTGCCGATTTGTCTGCTGGCTTGCAGGGGTGGGCCTGTGTCCCTGGCCACTGCTGGACCTGTGGTTTTCAGGGCTGGGACCCAGGACCACAGGCAGAGCTCTGTTCGACCCGAGAGGAGACTGAGTGTGCTGGCAGGGGCGAGGGGTTTTCGGTGGCCCAGCCAAACACCACCTTCTCTCAAGGGCCCTGTCCTCATCCCAGAAGTGGTTGTTTTCCTCCTGTGGTCTCTGAAAGACACAGGCATGGCTCTGGGACAGAGCCATGTGGTGATGACTGTAATGGGAGTATGCCTGTCTCCAAAAAGAGGGCTGTGGCTGTAAGGTCACCTTAAGAGGCACCCCTGTCCTTTGATGTCACCCTGGAGGCCCAGAGTAACTCTTCTGGAAGCCCCATCATGTCCATGCCCAACAGCGTCCATCGTTCCCTTTTCCCAGAGCCCAGAGCTGGGTAGAGCTGCAAGGACACCGCCTGCACAGGGTGCCCGGGGCTGGGCATTACCTGCTGCAGTGACAACATCTGGCTGGATGGCAGAGAGCTGACGGACTGTCGCGACATCCCAGTCCAGCTGGGCCACTGTCACCCTGGGGTTGTCTAAGTTGGCAGAGATGTCTGCCTCTAATGAGAGGCCATTGAGAAGGATATTCCCTCGGAGCTTCTTGAGGACCCGGCTGTGACAGTCGCTGAAGATATATGCCCGGGGGAGGCACATCTTGCAGATGGCCAGGCCTGTGAGGCCGGCGCCACTGCCAAGCTCTAGGACAGTCCTGGCGGGAGGAAAGGGGACCATGTCTGCGACTGCACCAGGGTAAGCCTGCCTCGGTGCCCTGCCATGCACCCCGAGGTCACCTATGAGAGAAGGCTGCCGGGTTCTCAATGGCCCATTCTGCAAGGTAGAGGGCAGCATCTCATGTGACCAGGCCTGTGATGCCGTGGGAGATGATGGCTGTGCTCTCAGAGAGTGTGACTGAGCCTCCCGAGGGCTGCACCAAGAGAGGGCGAGAGAGTCAGTCCAGCGATCAGAAGGCAAGTGGCTTAGAAGACAAGTAGCCATCCACCACATGGCTGAATAAACCATGACAGGACCAATCGCCACTCAGCAATGAGAAGCAACTAACTGTTGACATGCCAACAGCTTGCACGGGCCTCAAGGGTGTCATGTGGCATGAAAGACACTCATCTCAGGCCACACAGGATTCCATTCATTGAACATTCCTGAGACAACGGAATTCTGGTGATAGAGCACAGGTCAGTGGTGGCCAGGGGCCGGGTGTGGCTATGAAGGGGTGGCTGCCTTGTGATGATTCAATATGCTATGTTTTTCCTTTGTGGTTTTCTGTATCTATGTTTTATCTTATTTTTTTTGAGCTCTGTTCCCCAGGCTGGAGTCAGTGGCACAATCTTGGCTCACTGCAACCTCTGCCTCCTGGGTTCAAGCAATTCTCCTGCCTCAGCCGCCCAAGTAGGTGCAACTACAGGCATGTGCCACCATGTCTGGCTCATTTTTCTACTTTTTTTTGAGACAGAGTTTCACTCTCGTTGCCCAGGCAGGAGTGCAATGGCGTGATCTTGGCTCACTACAACCTCCTCCTCCTGGGTTCAAGAGATTCTCCTGCCTCAGCCTCCCGAATAGCTGGGATTAGAGGCACCCACTACCACACCCGCTAATTTTTGTATTTTTAGTAAAGAGAGTTTCACCATGTTGGCCAGGCTGGTCTCAAACTCCTGACCTCAGGTGATCCACCTGCCTCAGCCTCCCAAAGTGCTGGGATTACAGGCATGAGCCACCACGCCCGGCCTAATTTTTGTATTTTTAGTAGAGACAGGGTTTCACCATATTGGCCAGGCTGGTCTTGAACTCCTGACCTCGGATCCACCCGCCTCAGCCTCCCAAAGTGCTGGGATTACAGGTGTGAGCCACCACACCCGGACCTGTCAAGTATTCTTTGAGGAATGGACACCAGGTCCTTGTGAAGGAGGTAGAGTGTGTCACCTATTGGACAAATGCCCAACAACCCCATGAGACATGCTGTTGTTGTTGAAGTGCTTGATTTACAGACAGGGAAACTGAGGCTAAAGAAGGTTGACGGACCTCATGTCTAAGACTGCAGAATGGGTGAGTCAGGATTTGAACCCACACCCACGTTTTCACTTTGTCTGTGCAGGAAGGGTATCTGGGCTGTGAGGGGGAGGAGGGTGCCCTTCTTATACCAGCAAATAGCTCCGGTGGCCCTGGGTGGACTCCTTGGCCATCAGGGTCTCCGCCAGCGCCTCGTACAGCTCGTCCAAAGGCTCCGTGTGGACAGCCTCCTGCTGGGGGCAGGCAGAGTGAGAGCTTGTTTGCTTTCGTTCTAATCTGTAAAAATGGTCAGATGATTTCACCAAGTTTGGAGGGGAGATTTGGGATGGAATGGTGTAATACTGGCCAGCTGGCATATAAAATATTCACTTCATTGGGCTTGGTGGTGTGTGCCGAATAGTCCCAGCTACTCTAGAGGCTGACATGGGAGGACTGCTTGAGCCCAGGAGTTCGAGGACAGCCTGGGCAAGAGACCTTGTCTCTAAAAAAAAAATTCACTTGGTAGGGAAACCTGGATGGGAGGGCCTTCAACGAGAGGTGTTGAGAGGGTAGTGTTAGGTGTAGTCTAGGGCAGGAGACAAGGATCCGTGAGAGCTGCCACATGACCATGACAGAGAGGAGGAAAACAAAAGGTGCTTTTAAGTGAGCCCAGGCAGAACTGTGAGGGCGGCCCATGCTGTAGGCTGTGGCTGTCAGCAGGCTGCTTCTCCACGGCTGGCCCCATCCTAAGATTCACAGGGCAGCAGCAAGATACACTGGGTGACTGCTGCCCTCTCCTGGTGGCACAGGGCAGACCTGCTGGTGACTACAGATGCACCCTTTTGGGGAGGATTAGGGAGAAAGCAGGTATTGGAGAAGCAGGGGATTGTTTACTTGCTAAAAGTGTGGCCCTTTCACTCAGCAGGTCTGCTACTGCCTACTGAGGAATGGCCTCTCGACATCCTTATGTCAAACGCTGCATGTTCGGGCCCATCTTTAAAATCCATCCTAGGCCAGGTGCGGTGGCTCATGCCTGTAATCCCAGCACATTGGGAGGCCGAGGCAGGTGGATCACCTGAGGTCAGGAGTTCGAGACCAGCCTGGCCAACATGGTGAAACTCTGTCTCTACTAAAAATACAAAAATTATCCAGGCATGGTGGCATGTGCCTGTAGTCCCAGCTTCTTAGGAGGCTAGGTACGAGAGTTGCTTGAACCCAGGAGGCAGAGGTTTCAGGGAGCCGAGACTGTGCCACAGTAATCCAGCCTGGGCAACACAGTGAGACTCTGTCTCAAAAAAATAAATAAGTAAAAAATAAAATCCATCCTGTATCAGTCAGGAAAGAGCACATTCCAGCAGGATCAATGCGGAGAATTCACCAGAGGAACTAGTTCCAAAGTTATGGCAAGAGCTAAACCTTCCAACAGGGGCCCGTGGGGCAACCCAGAGACAGACAAGAGTAGGAAACTCCAAACCCTTCGGCGGGTAGGACAGAGGGTGTGGGTGAGGGTTCCAGTGCTGTGGGCTGGGCCAGCCTGGTAGGAATGAGAATCCATATGCTAGGAGCTGGGGCCCCAGAGCAGCAGCTGCGGCAGAAACCCCAGGAGGCAGAGTGAGGGAGAGACGCTGGCCTCCCCTTCTTCCCATCCTGCATTGTCTCCCATGGGTCACACGCGGCTGCAGCCAGTTGCCTGGTTAGGCCCCTGCCACGCTGGGGTTTGCAAAGCAGGCCCAGGGCCTGGGAAGGACGGGGGCTCCAGCACGCAGGTGGCTATGCTGTCTGGCTACTGGGCGGACACTCCCCATAACTGACCTTTTTGATGAGTTCTGAGAGAAAGCACCGGGCATACTTGACTGACGGCCGGTGCTTCACACACACAGGATGCTTCACAGTCTACCGCAAAGGACAGAACGTTGGTTGCTCGAGAGCCCGTCTTAAGCCTCCTATGAGCTTCAAGCCAACACAGCAGAGGGCAAACTCCAGGCTACCCGATCCCCCAGCAAAGATGTAGATGGACACAGCGTTCTGGCCCCATGCATCTGAAGTTTGTCTTATGATATAAGCCGTTTCCTAAAAATGCTTCCACTGCAGTGGCACAGGCTATGGCAGCATTTCTAACGCCCATTCTGAGCAAGAACGCAGGGCACGTGGGCCCAAACCACCTCCCTCCCAGGGGAGCCAGTGTGAACCAGGGTTTACAGTGAGGACAGTCGCCAACTGTCTGGCTCTATGGAAGAGGCGGGAAGGCCCACTCGGCAACTGCTCTCTTGGAGCGTGTGTCCCTGGGGACAGGATGGAGGGGAGGGGACGCTCAGGGTGACACCCCAGCTAAAGCCGAGAGAAGCCGAGTGCAGGACGAGCAAGTTCCAGGCAGTGGCAACAGCTGGTGCAAGCTCTGAGGTGGCCGCGGCCTGGCACTTGGAACGGAGGGCAGAGGGACTGCTGCAGCAGGAGCGGGGACAGCGGGAAAACAGGAGCCTGGAGGGAGAGGGAGGAGACGGTCCGCAGCGCCTGCTGGCTGGGAGGGATGCAGATTCTGCCCAAGGGCAGCAAAGTACCCCACGCAATACACAGGCTCTTCAGGCTGCTGCTGGTTTTTCATTTTTTCTGACACAGTCTCGCTCTGTTGCCCAGGGTGGATGGCAGTGGCCCGATCTTGGCTCACTGCAGCCTCCGCCTCCTGGGTTCAAGCGATTCTCCTGCCTCAGCCTCCCGAGTAGCTGGGACTATAGGCGTGCACCACCACGCACAGCTAATTTTTGTATTTTTAGTAGAGATGGGTTTTTGCCATGTTGGCTAGGCCGGTCTTGAACTCCTGACCTTAGGTGATCTGTCCACCTCGGCTTCCCAAAGTTCTGGAATTACAGGTGTGAGCCAGTGCGCCCAGCCTTGTGCTGGGTTTTAAAGCAGCTATCCCTGCATTTCATGCTTCACCACCTACGAGAGTGAGGCTCAGGGTGAAACTCAGAGCAGGGTGCAAGATAACTGCAGGTATCTCCATGTTCGAAGCCCTGACCTACTGCATTGACCTGAAAGTTGCTTGAGCCCAGGAGTTGGAGGCTGTAGTGAGCTATGATTGTGCCACTGCACTCCAGCCTGGGTAAGAGAGTGAGGCTCTGTCTCAAAAACCGAAGAAAACAAAAAACAAAAAACAGATGCTATGTCCCATTCCAGAGGTTGAGGTTTAATTATTCTGGGGTGGGGTGTGACCTGGGTTTTGGAACACTGAAAAAATCCCAGGTGATCCTAAAGTGTAGATGAGTCTGGAAACCACACACCTAAGGCACACTTGAATGGGGGAGCAGTGAGGTGGTGTGGGCTAGCCGGCCAGAACCCAGGGGTGGGAACCAACATTGCAGATGCCATAAAGGCTGGGAAGCATAGTGTCTGGGGCCCATAACAATGCTTGGACATGAATGCTTTAGACCTAAGACAATTGGCTCCTAAATGTGAAAACTGCAAGGCTGAAATGAATGCATGTTTAATGCTTTGCAACATTGTCAAGTGGTCAGCTGCAACTCCGTTCTGAGGGCGTGATGCCTGAGATACGCCTGTCATGGCGGTTGATTTTAATGAATTTAATATGGTGTGGAGTGGGGCCTTCAAAAGTAAAAACGTCAGTTCTAAGTTGGTTGCGGGGGTCTGGGCAAAGGTCTTCAAACCCCGTGGTAAACACCCCGATTTTAAAACAGGGCCTTTTTTCCAAGAGACTTTTTGAAAATAGCTCCTATTTTGAGGGGAGGAACCCTGGCGGGAGAGAGCCAGAGTTAAGCCCAGCTGAGAGGGGGTTGGCAGGCACGGGCCTGCCTGGTCCTCACTGAAACTTGCTACTCAGGGTGAGCTTCCTAAACCAATGCAGACTTGCTGGCCCACTGAGCCTCCCAGCTGAGAACCTGCATTTCGACAAGGTCCTCAGTGCAGCAAAGTTTGAGATATACTGGGCTAGAGCACCCAGGGGACCTAAAGGTTCTTTGAATACTAAGGAAAATAGGCAGGGTGTGGTGGCTCATGCCTGTAATCCTTGTATTTTGGGAGGCCAAGGTGGGTGGATCACTTGAGGTCAGGAGTTCGAGACCAGCCTGGACCAATATGGTGAAACACCGTCTCTACAAAAGATACAAAAATTAGCCAGGTGCAGTGGCAGGTACCTGTAGTCCCAGCTACATGGGGAGCTGAGACAGGAGAATCGATTGAACCTGGGAGGCGGAAGTTGCAGTGGCCCGAGATCGCACCACTGCACTCCAGTCTGGTGACAGAGTGAGACTCCATCTAAAAAAATAAAAAATAAATAAAATAAATATAAATACTGGACTAGAAGACCCAGGAGACCCGAAGATTCTCTCAAAACTAAGGAAAATAATCTAGGTCACAAATATATTCTCTTTCTCCTTCTCCCCATTGCCCCCCCCTGCCAGTAATCTTTATAGACTCAAATAGAGTTGATGTTCTATAATCAATTCTAGTCACTTTTATTTATATTTATTTATTTTAGAGATGGGGGTCTCACTATGTTGATCAGGCTGGTCCCAAATTCCTGGGCTCGAGTGATCCATCCACCTCAGTCTCCCAAAGTTCTGGGATTACAGGCATCAGCCACTGCACTTGGCCATCACTTTTATTTTTGATGTTCAAATTATAAGCTAATATCTGTGAGACCATAGATTCTTTTTATGCACTCAATACATTTTTGTGTTTACCTTACATTTTTATTATGGAAAAGATTCTGTTTTTTCGACTTGTTTCTATTTGATAATGAAGCCCTCTGTGCCTATCACCAGCCTCAGCCGCCATCATCTCATTACCAAGCTGGGTTATTTGGAAGCAAATATCTTCAATATTTAGCCAGTGTTCAAATTTCCCCAACCATCCTAAATGAGTGTTTAGAATAGTTGTTTCATTGGAAACAAGGTCAAAACAAGTACATTTTACATTTTTAGGCCAGTCTTGAAAGTAAGTGTAAAACCATGTGTGGGGTAGGAGGTGGGACTAGCCTCTCAAGGTGGGGCCTGCATACCAGACCCAATTGAGGACTAGCTAAGACAGATTCCACAATGAATAACACCAGGAGGTGGGAATATTAAGGTCCATTGCAAAGGTTGGCTACCACAATTATTTGATCAACTAGTTATCAACCCTGACTGCAGCTGAGAGAGATTTCTTTTTGCTTTTTTTTTTTTTTTTCAGAGACAGGGTCTTGCTATGTTGCCCAGGCTGGACTCAAACTCCTGGGCTCAAGTGATTCTTCTGCCTCAGTCTCCCGAGTAGCTGAGACTACAGGTGTGTGCCACTGTGCCCAGCAAGATATTAAAATATACGTATGCACGGACACCACTCTAAACCAACTAAATCAGAATCAGATACTGTGAAGTCATTAATCATTTTGCTCCTGGGTCTTTTTGACAGTTTTGCTCCTGGGAAACTCCTGGCAATGTGTTAGAGAGAAAGAGATGGGAAAATAAGATTTTAAGAAGTGTTGCTATGCATTTTGAAAATAATTTTTCTTTGGTGTTGGTCTTGAGGGACGGCGGTAAACATTTCAATTGCCTTTAAGTATGCTTGCATGCTGGAATGATGGTTCTCTGAATGCAGCAACGAACTGGCATTGGGCCACATGGCAGCCAGTGTGAGCCTTTATGCCACATTTATAAAACATGAATGTCATGAGCCCACTCTCAGGGACCTTACAATTTGGAGGGTTAGGTCAGATCCACAAATCTCCTCTATCTCATGGTAAAGGAAACCTGGCGTGTAGCAGGAGATGGTGTGATAACAATGTCATATTGCATGATCAATATTTGTATTCTTCTTGGCAATATTAAACTTTCGGACCCCCTCCATTGTGTCATCAATTTGCTTAATACAGTTTCTGCTTCAGCGTCGGTTTTTAGGCCTGGCATAAGCTGTTTGAAACCCAAGCACGTACCCCGCCCATCATCTTTGGCCTAGTTAACACCTCCCCTCCCTGTGTGGTGGTTTGGAGAACCTGCTTGTTCCTCATCCCACTGATCCCAAACCCAGGACACCCCACAGCTGCTGACCAGGATTAAACCTAACAGAGATTTAATGCCTTTCTTCTGATTCTCAGGGACTGACATTCATTCACTTAAATACTTGCAGAGTCAGCCAGGCGTGGTGGCTCACACCTGTAATCCCAGCACTTTGGGAGGCCGATGTGGGTGGATCACGAGGTCAAGAGTTCGAGACCAGCCTGGCCAACATGGTGAAACCCCATCTCTACTAAAAATACAAAAATTAACTGGTGTAGCAGTGCGTGCCTGTAATCCCAGCTACTCAGGAGGCTGAGGCAGGGGATTTGCTTGAACCTGGGAGGTGGAGGTTGCAGTGAGCCAAGATTATGCCATTGCACTCCAGCCTGGGCAGCAGAGCGAGACTCTGTCTCAAAAAACAAAAAACCCAAAAACTTGCAGAGTGAATTTAGGAAACCATGAAGTCCAGAGTTTGATCCAATCCCTTCCTTTTTCTCTTTCTCAAATATTTTGAGCCAGGTACTATTCTAGATTGTCTTGTGATATTTACAATCTAGGAGAAGGCAGGAGAGAGAACTAAGAACAGAGAGCATGTTCTGAGATGTCTGCTGTGCTTGCAGGTACCTTCCCTCAATTTCCCTGCTCATTGGCCATGCTAGAAAGCAGGTCTTGGCGCCATATTTGTACCATGGTACTTCCCCTCCCTATACTCAATTGGTTGGCCAGAAGCCCAATTGTCGTTCTCTCTCTCTCTCTCTCTCTCTCTCTCTCTCTCTCTCTCTCTCTCTCTCTCCCTCTCCCTCTCTCCTCCCTCCCTCCCTCCCACTCCAAGATATCCAGTAACTGACTGATCAGCTGGTGGTGGGCTCTGCTGGCTGCCATGATGGGCCACCAGCAAGAAGGGAAAATTGGTTGTGAGTGAGAGAAGCAGAGATAAGGAAGTCCACAGGGCTGATAGGAAAGACCATGGGCTGCCGGGCACGGTGGCTCACGCCTATAATCCCAGCACTTTGGGAGGCCAAGACGGGCGGATCACGAGGTCAGGAGATCGAGACCATCCTGGCTCGCATGGTGAAACCCCGTCTCTACTAAAAATATAAAAAATTAGCCAGGTGTGGTGGCGAGTGCCTGTAGTCCCAGCTAATTGGGAGGCTGAGGTGGGAGAATGGCATGAACCCCGGGAGGTGGAGCTTGCAGTGAGCTGAGATCGCACGACTGCACTCCAGCCTGGGCGACAGAGCAAGACTGTGTCTCAAAAAAAATGGGCTTCTGAGAGCCAGAAAGAGGCATTTTGGTTTCTGTAACTGCAGTTTCCATTCTCTCATGGCCTCTCATTTATTTCTCGTGCCCATGAGTTTGCCTATTAGAGATAAGGTGTGCTCCTTTCCCTCCAGCTCATGCAAATGGATTTCTGTTTCTTACAATCATTGTTCCCAGATATGGATGGTGACTGATGCTCTACTAAATGCTGAAAAAAAGCAGAGTGGAAGCACAGAAAAGAGGGCTTCTCTGAGGAGGTGACGTTAGAGCCCAGTTGGAAGGCAGGAGTAAATGTGCACCATGATTTTTTAGGATTAAAACCAAGTATCTCACTGCTTGGGCACATGTAGATAGAGGTGATTTAAGAGTAAACTGTCCCAGTGGTACCCATTGTCAGTTACCTCACCACAGGGATTATGTAGCCCTGAGTTTGCTTAGTGCTTATTTATTTTAGGTTGTTGTTTATCCAAACCTCTTAAATGGTAAGCGTTTCAAACAAGTGACAGCATCGTTCATTGATGTTGTGGACAAACCACTATTTTATTACTCAAGACTGGGTAATTTATAAAGAAAAAGAGGTTTAATGGGCTCACAGTTCCATGTGGCTGAAGAAGCCTCAAAATCATGGTGGAAGGCAAAAGGCACATCTTACATGGTGGCAGACAACAGTGATGAGAGCTATTTTAGTCATTGTTCACTGGCCATAGAATTTACTTCTATATTTTGAACTAAGACAAGAGCCAGGCACACAAGACCGTTACAGGTCTGTCTTTTGTTTTTGATGATGATGATGATGATGATGATGAAATGGCTGACATGGTTCATGACTTGCTTTTTCTCATCATCTCAGACCTAGATTTTTGGCTGGACTATTGTCTTGAGATAGATGAAAATCATTCCTTGTATCCCCTGATCTTAAAGTCAAGACTGAACCAGCCTCCAGACGCAAGCCTTCATGGGGCTTCAGATACCATGAGGAATGGGCGTCCCTGCAATATTGTCATGGCTGTCAAAAGTGTTATTGGAGCTGGGCAAGTGGGCGCTCTCCTGCCACTGCATCCTGCTTAGATTTTCCATTCAACATCAATCTTATTTCCTTTTTTTTTTTTTTTTTGACAGTCTCACTCTGTCTCCTAGGCTGGAGTGCAGTGGTGGGATCTCGGCTCACTACAGTCTCCACCTCCCAGGTTTAAGTGATTCTTGTGCCTCAGCCTCCCAAGTAGCTGAGATTGTGGGTGCACACCATCAAGCGTGGCTCGTTTTTTTTTTTGTATTTTTAGTAGAGACAGGGTTTCGCCATGTTGGCCAGGCTGGTCTTGAACTCCTGACCTCAAGCGATCCACCTACCTTGGCCTCTCAAAGTGCTGGGATTACAGGTGTGAGTCACCGTACCTGGCCCCATTTCCTCTTATACCATAAGTCATTGCCCGCAGATGTGTTTTCTCCATTAGTTTGCAAAAGCTTCCGGAGAGTAGGTCTGTGCCTCATTTATTCTGGAATCTTCCTGGCACAAAGCACAGGGCTTTATCCTCAGTAGGCATCCAACAAATGTTTAATTTCATTCAACAGCTCCTCTTACCACTGCCCCCACCTTATTTGCAGGTGGCTAAGTACAATCAGAACAAGTAGGTATCATAAGATTTAGTCCAGAGTCAATCCGGGAAGAAATTACCTTAGTGATGTGAAAAGAAACCAAGCTCTTTAGTCAGAATGTTTCTGAGAGTATCCCCTGTCCAAGCATTTGCGGAATTTCGATCTACTAATTTTCAGGTGGAACAGTATGGTTGCAGAGTCCATTTGGACATAGATACACTTTCATGCATTCATGTCTTTAACAATAATTTGTGGCCCTACTGTGTTTGTTCACTAACTCCTTTGAACCTACCATATAAGCTATATATTTCCCTTGTAATTTGGGAGGTCCAATGCTTCATTAAGCTCACATGCCTGAAACTAATGAAGAAAATAGCTCGTTAACCAGCTAGTATAAAAATAGCCACCAAAACAAGTCAATCACCCGCCTTAAATCAGCTCATTACTCCCATCTTGAGTGGAGAAGCCCTTTCTGAATCACATTCAAGACACTGATGGAAGAACAGCTCTGTCTGGGTATCAAAACCACGCTCACCCCACATCCTCTTCCCCAGAGTTCTACTCATTTCTCACCCACTGAACCCAGAACAAACCAGAAGTGCTTGAAATGAGGACGGGTAGCTCCGTGTACCAATTGGAATTTAAAACTATATCAATTCCTGCTATAGAAATGAGGCTTCTCCCCAGGACCAGCATTCCATGAAGGCAGCCCTTCTCTAGATGGAGAAATAGAACCTGAAGGCACCCGTTTCCCTAAACTGCTCTTGCTCATGTGTAAGTACAAATGAAAAATGCTGAGGCTGCTTCTGTTGGCATTGCTTTATAATTACGGCCATCAATAAATCATTTTATCCTTGAACAAGACTTGAGAATGGCCCGAAGGCAGAGGCATGATTCCTTAGGAATTAGGCCAACAGAGAATGGGCTATCTCTCTTCCCACCTCTTCTCTTACTCTGCTGTCAGAAACAGAAAAGTTCTCTGTGAGTAGCTGGGAGCAGACGGCGGCACTCGAGTTCCATCTGGGGGTTCTGTTGACACAGTTTTACCCCAGCCTGCCTTGATGGCCACTGCCACACAAGCTGCATCTGTTCTTTCTTCTGCGCCTTTTGTTACTTCGTTATTTTTCCTCTTTCTAGTGTAGTGAGCTGAATGGTGGATTTGCACAAGATATATCCAGATCCTTGTGCCTAGAATCTGTTGAGGTGGCATTATTTGGAAAAAGGGTCTTTGCAGATGTAATTAAGTTAAGGATCTTGAGATGAGATTCTCCTGGGGTATTTTAGGTAGGCTGTACATCTAAAGACAAGTGTCCTTATAAGAGGACACTACTGTCCGGGCGCAGTGGCTCACACCTGTAATCCCAGCACTTTGGGAGGCCGAGGCGGGTGGATCACCTCAGGCCAGGAGTTTGAGACCAGCCTGACCAACATGGAGAAACCCCATCTCTACTAAAAATACAAAATTAGCCGGGCATGGTGGCGCATGCCTGCAATCCCAGCTACTGGGGAGGCTGAGGCAAGAGAGTTGCTTGAATCCAGGAGGAGGAGGTGGCAGTGAGCTGAGGTCATGCCATTGCACTCCAGCCTGGGCAACAAGAGTGAAACTCCTTCTCAAAAAAAAAAAAAAAAAAAAAAATAGGACACTCTTTTTCATGCACGTCCGTGTGAAGAGACCACAAAACAGGCTTTTTGTGAGCAATAAAGCTGTTTATTTCACCTGGGTGCATGTGGGCTGAGTCCAAAAAGAGAGTCAGCGAAGGGAGATAGGGGTGGGGCCATTTTATAGGATTTGGGTAGGTAAAGGAAAAAGGGGTGCTCTCTGGCAGGCAGGAGTGGGGGTCACAAGGTGCTCAGTAGGGGAGCTTTTGAGCCAGGATGAGCAAGGAGAAGGAATTTCACAAGATAATGTCATCAGTTAAGGCAGGAACAGGCCATTTTCATTTATTTTATAGTGGAATGTCATCAGTTAAGGCAGGAACCGGCCATCTGGATGTGTACATGCAGGTCACAGGGGATATGATGGCTTAGCTTGGGCTCAGAGGTCTGACGTTCCTGTCTTCTTATATTAATACGAAAAATAAAATGAAATAGTGGTAAAGTATTAGGATGGTGAAAATTTTTTGGGGGTGGTATGGAGAGATAATGGGCGATGTTTCTAAGGGCTGCTTCAAGGGGGATTAGGGGTGGCATGGGAACCTTGAGTCGAGAGATTAAGCTGAAGGAAGATTTTGTGGTAAGGGGTGATATTGTAGGGTTGTTAGAAGAAACATTTGTCATTTAGAATTATTGGTGATGGCCTGTATACAGTTTTGTATGAATTGAAAAACTAAACGGAATAAGAGAAGGAGAAAAACAGGCATTAAAGGACGAAGAATTGGGAGGACCTAGGACATCTAATTAGAGAGTGCCTAAGGAGGTTCAGCATAGCCTTGCCAGCAAAGATTATTTATTTAAGAGTTAAGAGTGGTGGTTTGGGGATAGCACCAGGAGATATCACCTGTGATGGCTTGGAGAAACAGTGTAAACCACCAGTGTAAACAAGAGCAGGGCATATATGAGTAGTTGAGAACGGTGAATAGAAGTATGACTAGACAGAAGACAGTAGGGATGACAAGTTTTTTGGGGCACAGTCCAAGTTGGTCTTGTGTCTGGAATGAGACTGGGGCCTAATAAAAAGGAGCGTCTATACAGGAGCTCAAGTGGGCTGTACCTTATAGCATTCCAAGGACAGGCCTGACTTCTGAGAAGGGAAAGTGGTAAAAGTATTGTCCAGTCCTTTTTACGTTGGTGGCTGAGCTTGGTAAGATGTGTTTTTAAAAGACCATTAGTCTGTTCTACCTTTCCTGAGGACTGAGGACTGTAAGGGATATAAAGGTTTCACTGAATACCAGGAGCCTGAAAAAATGCTTGGCTGACTTGATTACTAAAGGCCGGTCTGCTATCAGACTGTATAGAGGTGGGAAGGCTAAACTGAGGAATTATGTCTGACAGAAGGGAAGAAATGACCTTGGTGGTCTTCTTACACCCTGTGGGAAAGGCCCCTACCTATCCAGTGAAAGTGTCTACCTAGACCAAGAGGTATTTTAGTTTCCTGACTCGGGGCACGTTGAGTAAAGCTAATTTGCCAGTCCTGGGTGGGGGCAAATCCCTGAGCTTGATGTGTAGGGAAGGGAGGGGGCCTGAAGAATCCCTGAGGAGTAGTAGAATAGCTGATGGAACACTGAGAAGTTATTTCCTTGAGGATAGATTTCCACGATGGAAAGGAAATGAGAGGTTCTAAGAGGCGGGCTAGTGGCTTGTACTATAGCATAGCCTGCCTTTGCTGGTGTGTGGCGATTAGGCCTGGTGGAACTGCCATCAATAAACTAAGTGTGATCAGGGTGAGAAACAGAGAAGAAGGAAATGTGGGGAAATGGGGTGAATGTCAGATGGATCAGAGAGATGAAGTCATGAGGGTCAGGTGTGGTATCAGGAATAATGTGGGAGGCCGGATTGAAGTCCGGGCCAGGAACAATGGTAATTGTGGGAGACTCAACAAAGCGTGAGTACAGCTGAAGGAGCCAGGGAGCAGAAAGTATATGTGGCAGGTGTGAGGAAGAAAATAGATTTTGGAAGTTATGAGAGCTGTAGAGAGTGAGTTGAGCATAGCTTGTGATTTTAAGGGCCTTTAAAACTATTAGGGTGGCAGCAGCTGCTTCACGGAGACATAATGGCCAACCTAAAACGGTAAGGTCAAGTTGTTTGGACAAAAAGGCTACAGGACGCGATCCTGGTCCTTGTGTAAGAATTTCAACTGCACAGCGCTGCACTTCGGCTGTGTGTAATGAAAAGGGTTGGGATGAGTCACGGAGAGCTAGAGTAGCAGGACGAGTTGCAGACAAAACTCCTCAGACACCGGATTAAAGAAGGAAGAGGTTTTTTTATTCGGCCGGGAGAGTCAGCAGACTCGTGTCTTAAGAGCCGAGCTCCCTGAAAAAGAAATTCCTAGCCCTTTTAAGGGCTTACAACTCTAAGGGATCTACCCGAAAAAGTCATAATAGATCAAGTAAGCGTGAGAAATGTGACTGGGGGCTACAAACATCAGCTAACAGAACAAAAAGTTTTTACAGTGCTTTCTCATACAATGTCTGGGATTTACAGATAACACCAGTAGTTTTGGTCAGGGGTTAATATTATTGATATTTTAACCACCGGGGCCAGGTGGTGGCGCCGAGGGCGTCTAGCTATTTATTTTACTTCTGTTTTTTCCAGCTTTTTGCTTTCTCCCTTTTTTCCTGTCTTATAAACTAGGGAAAAAGGGAGGTTGGGGAGGAACTGGGAAGGACAGCAGGAGACGTGGTGGTCTCACACCATATTTCCCTCCTTTGAGAATTTTCACTTTTAGTGGGAGTTCTCGCTCTCATCTTTACTTTTTGAGTCTCTCTGTGAGATTGAACGATAGTGATTTATATAATACACCTGTGCTGAAGTTTTCTGATGAATCAAAGTAGCAACAAAACCTTTTGTCATTTGAAAAAGCGAGGGTAATACACGGGGGAGCAGCAAGCAAGCTCCTATCACTAGCAATACACCTACAATGAGGGGTTTAAATCCTCCTATAGCTGGAAACCATTTTCCAAATAAAGACTCAGGGTTAAACTCGTGCCAAATCTGTAAAGGCACATGTGCCACCTTTGTCATGTCCCTGACTATCCTTGATCATTTTAACCTCCTATCCTTGATCATTTATTTGTAGGCAGCAATTGGTTAAGTTAAATTTTCCACAAACTCCTCCTTCAGCTACTAACAAGTAGTCTAAGGCCAGTCTATTCTGATAGATAGCATTCCTCATTTGGGTTTCTTGCCAAGCTAAAACAGTCAAAGCTCTGCCAGTTTCATTAGTAATTATTTCTAAGACAGCCTGCAACCGTATGATCCAATTGAGCATGTAGATGGGGGTTCGGTATCCCCATGAGCCATCTTGTGCCCATGTGGCAGGCCCATAATACTGTATGATCCTTTCAGGGGGCCACTCATTATCTTTCCAGTTTCCTATAACTATGCCTTTCTTTTCTCGGGAAGTATAGACAGGGAAACCTAGCAGCTTACCTGTTTTTATGGGTAATAAGAAAAAGGACGGCTTAATAGTGCCAATAACACAACTGCCTGCCCATTTATTAGGTAACTGAAAGTAGGCTCTGTGCCTACATATCTAGTATAGTCCAGAGGGAACTGTCCAGTCCTGATGAGATTCTGGATGAGCCAAAGCAGTTTGTAATTTAGAAAATTTACTAAATGGATTCTTTTCAGTGTGGTTTAGGCCCTACTAAGTAATTGTCTTTGTTGTGCTGTTATACAACTTCTGTCCTATACAATTAAGCTTTCCTACAGGGATGATAAAGTCTTTCCCTTCTCTAGCTATACAGTATTGTCTAATAATTGAGGTTTTTGGACCTAGAAGTTGCTAGCTTGGGCCTTCTGAACTGGAATTATATCAGGAGCTGGATCAGTAGGCACCAACTCTCGGGCTTCCCAAGGCCATCTGTCTCCGACAGTGGTTCCTCCGCGTACATAACAAGAAGTAACATTAAGGGAATGAGCTACATTTTCTGCTAATTGGAGAAACAAATTTTTTGTCTTTTTCGGAAGTTCTGGTGCTGGCAGATTCAGCTCCTCATAAAAGGTTTGAAATACTGGTTTTGGGAGAGCACTTGTGGACCTCCCCTCTAATTAAAATGGCAACTTGAGGGTTTAACCCTGTCCTATTGATCCCCAGGGTTACACGTTCTCCCTTTTTCCAACGGGGATCTAGGGAATGGTAATTATTAGTTCTAGTGGGTTACAGTGACTGGCAGCACAGGAGGGGTTGGCTTCCCCCTTCTGAAGATAAACCGGGTCCTTTTTGTTCTTTTTTAAAGTAGCCTAAATAACACATGTCCAATAGCCACAATTTTCACAAACCCCTGACTCATGACAAACATATTTATTTTCTACTCTTTAGCTCCTTTCTTAATTAAGAGAACCACATCCTATTTCTAGCTGTTTACTATTAATGGCTGCACAAGCATCAAATCTTAAAGTTATTTGCTTGGGGATTTCTTTTTCTTCTGTTCTAGTTATTATTTTACTTGTATCACCTAGGAAAAGGCCAGTTCTTATTCTTTTTTCAAAAACGGCGGTTGCAGGGGGCTCAGATGGGTTATAACACACATCAGGTCGGTCATTTCTTCGGCTACATACCTTGTACTGAGTGGCATTATACAAACAAGTTTCTTTTAATGTTCCCATACATTCATAACTATAGAACAGAAAGATTGTTTTAATTTGCTGTCCTACTTCGGTGACCTGATGAATACACTGGGAACAGTCCCCAGTTTGAGTAAGGTCAGTTGAAGCCCTTACTGTATAAGTCCAAAATTTAAGAAAAATGAATCTCATGATGAGCTTCCTCAGGCTTCGGCCGTGCGTGGACCAGTCAGCTTCTGGGTGTGACTGGAGCAGGGCTTGTCGTCTTCTTCAGGGTCACTCTGCAAGGGTTGTCTGGGCTTGGTCTTGCCTCCCAGGTTTCAGGCCCTGCAGGTTTTATATGGCTGTGTTGGATCCAGGCTGGGATTCCTTCTACCTTCACAGCGGTGGGAGTGCTCAGGACGATAGTCTGGGGTCCTTTCCACCGTGGGCACAAAGAGGCTACTTTCCAGTCCTTGATCCACACTCGATCATCTGGGGAGAAAGGGTGAACTGGGGAGAATAAGCTAACAGGGCATCTCTCATTTACCCAGGCTGAGATTGTTTGTGTAATTTTTCATAAGGCCTGTAGCTGTCGCTGTAACTCAATTTCACCTAACTCTCAGGGAGTGCCTGGAAGTCCCCGCAATATAGGAGGGGGCCTACGATATAATATTTCATAAGGGGAATATCCTGTTCTTTTAGAACGGGTACATCTAATTTTAAATAATACCATAGGGAGAGCCTGTAGCCATTTTAATCCTGTTTCCTGACATACTTTCCCTAAACTATTTTTGATAGTTTGATTCATTCGCTCCACCTTTCTGAAACTCTGAGGCCAGTAGGCAGCATGCACTTTCCATGTGATCCCTAACATCTTTGCCACCTTCTGTACTAAGTCAGCCACAAACGCCGGCCCATTATCTGAGCTGATCCATAAGGGCAGTCCAAATCTAAGAATAGGATCTCGAAGAAGCACACGAGTTACTTCACGAGGTTTCTCAGTTCGTGTTGGATAAGCCTCCACCTACCGAGAGTAGGTGCGCCCAAGAACTAGTAAATACTTGTTACCTCTACACTTTGGCATCTCAGTGAAGTCCACCTGGAGATCTTCAAAGGGGGCTGCTCCATAAGCTTGTATGCCGGGTGGAACGGCTGGACCTTGCCTCGCATTATGCTGTCGGCAGGTAACACACCACTGCGTCACCGTTTTGGCAAGGCCTGACAAATGTGAGATGTAGAAATACCAGCCTAACAACTTTTCAAGTGATTCCTGACCTCAATGGGTGGTTTCATGCACAGCCAGTACAACTGCAGCTCCTGGCAGCTGTGGCGCAGCTACTCTCCCATCCGGTAACCGAATTCATCCTTCCTCCATCACTTGTCCTCCCTCTGCCTGGAGAAAGTCCTTTTCTTCTTTAGAATAAGTAGGTACAAGATCAGGTGCTTGAGGGAGCAGGGGGGCTGTGACTGATGCCCGGAATGGGGCAGATGCTGCTTTTCGAGCCTCTGAGTCAGCGCGGGAATTCCCTAAACCCACCAAGGTGGAAGCTCGCTGGTGTCCTCTGCAATGCATAACTGCCACCTTGTGGGGTCTCCATACTGCTTTTAATAATTGCAAGATTTCTTGTTGATATTTTATGTCTTTCCCCCCAGAGTTCAATAGGCCCTTTTCTTTATATAATGCTCCATGCACTAGAAGGGTTAAAAAGGCATATTGAGAGTCAGCGTAAATGTTGACATTCTTAGCTTCACTGAGTTCTAAGGCCCGAATTAAAGCAATGAGTTCAGCTTTCTGAGCTGAAGTGCCCTGGGGAAACGATCTGGCTTCAACAACAGTGTCCAGAGTTACCACCGCATATCTTGCACATCTCTCTCCTCGTGGGTTGATGAAGCTGCTCCCATCCACGTATAGTTCCCAGTCTACTGATGCCTAAGGCTGGTCCTGGAGGTTAGGTCTGCTAGAGTAAACTGAGTCCAACACTTCTACACAGTCATGCTCAACAGGGCTCTCTGATACTGGGAGCAAGGTGGCGGGGTGCAGGGTGTTAAAAACTTCAATGGTTATACGGGGATTTTCACAGAGCAAAGTCTGGTACTTGGTGAGTCTGGCATTCGTTAGCCCATGATGTCCTTTAGTATTCATTAAAGTCACCACAGCACGGGAGGCCTTTATGTTCAGGTTCTGCCCAAGAGTCAGCTTATTTGCTTCTTGTACTAGCAGGGCAGTTGCTACCAAGGCCCTCAAACACGGGGGCCGTCCTTTAGAAACCCTGTCTAGTTGTTTAGAGAGGTAGGCCACCCACCTTGGCCAGGGCCCCACAGTTTGGGTTAAAACTCCAACTGCCATCTTTTCTCTCTCTGACACATACAATGGAAAAGGCTTTGTTAGATCGGGTAGCCCCAAGGCTGGGGCTGACATAAGTCTTTCCTTTAACTCATGAAAGGCTTGCTGTTGCTGGGATCCCCATTCAAAACCTTCCCGGTTCCCCCACTTTGTGACCTCATACAAAGGCTTGGCTAATACTGCAAAGTTTGGGATCTACAGTCTACAAAACCCCACAGCCCTTAAGAATTCTCTCACCTGCCTTCTGGTCTTAGGCTCCGGTAGATTGCCAATGACCTGCTTTCTTTCTGATCCTAGGCTGCGCTCCCCCTTCGGATAGTAAATCCTAAGTAACGTACCTGCTGTCGGCAGATCTGAGCTTTTTTCTTGGACACCTTATACCCACAGTCCTCCAGGTGCCGGAGTAGAATATCTGTTCCCTTGGCGCACCCAACTGCCGTGGGGTGTCCCAGCAAAAGGTCATCAACCTACTGGAGCAACACGCAGTCTAGGTCTCTGGTGGGAAATTTCTGGAGGTCTCGAGGCAATGCCTCCCCGAAGATGGTGGAGGAGTTCTTGAACCCTTGGGGAAGCCGGGTCCAAGTGTACTGAGTAGTGACACCTGACTCCGGATCTTCCCACTGAAAGGCAAACAGCTTCTGGCTCTCTGGGGCTAATCTGAATCTAAAGAAAGCATCTTTCAGGTCCAAGCAGGTGAAGCAGCTGTTCTCAGCTGGCAGCAACCCCAGCAATGTGTACGGGTTAGGTACTGCTGGATGTAAAGTCACTGTAGCCTGATTAACCAAGTGCAAATCCTGTACAGGCCTGTAGTCCTTGGTCCTAGGCTTGGGAACAGGCAGGAGGGGAGTGTTCCATGGAGACTGACAAGGAACTCTAATTCGAAAAGTTCTTAGGTGCTTGAGATGGACCTGGATACCTTCAGGAGCTTCTCTGGGGACCGGCTCCTGTTTTTGCCTAAACGGCTGGGCCCTAGGCTTAACTTCTATAAGTATGGGGGCTTGGTTGACTGCCAACCCTGGAGGGTTGTCTTCCGCCCACACTCTTGGCCACTGCTTAGCCAGAGCTGGTCTTATCTCTTGGCCCAACTCAGTTAAGAAAAATCTCCATTCCTCCTCTGGGGGGACCATAAGGGTTATAATGACTCCCGTTCTGGGTAACTTTAGCAGCAAAAAGCCATGCTCTGTAAAAGAGATAGTGGCTCTCAGTTTGCTAAGCAAGTGCCTTCCCAATAAGGGCAAGGGACAGTCAGGCGTGGACAAAAACTGATGAATCACTTTATGTCCTCCTACAGTAGAAGTCCGGGGCAAGCAGAAAGCTTGCTTTGCTGAAATCCTTTTGGCTCCGATGACGTCAATAATCTTTTTGTATAAGGGGGCTACCGGCGCGGTTACTACTGAATGTTTAGCACCGGTATCTACAAGAAAATCAATGTCTTTACCCCTAACTGTCATCCTGACAATAGGCTCTTTGGGTGTCCTTGAGCCCTGTCCCCCTCAGTCCAATAACCCTTCTGCCAGGTTGAGCAGGGTCCCTTCCTCCTTGTCTGGAGCCTCTTGCTCCAAGTCACCTTGTTTTCTTTTTAGCTGAGGGCATTTTTTCTTCCAATGTCCTATTTATTTACAATAAACACACTGATTACGCTGCAAGCTCTGACAGCCAGGCTGAGTTTCCTTCCTGGGACCCCCCTTCCCTTGCCTCTTTTGGGGGACCCTTTTGATTGCTGCCGCTAACAGGTCGGCATTTCGCTGGGCCTGATGTTTCTTCTCTCTGCAGTTTTCCTTACGGCTTGCTGCATCTCTGTTTACAAACACCTGGTTAGCTATTTCTAATAACTGTGATGTGTTCATCCCTGCAAACCCAGCCTGATTCTGCAGTTTTTTTCTAATGTCTTCTGTGCTTTGACTAACTAAAGCCGTGTTAATAATGCATTGGTTTTCAGGGCTATGGGGATCAAAGGGAGTATACATACCATAGGCCTCACAGTCTCTCCTAGAATTGTGCTGGACTTTCTTCTTTTCTCTGAATTACCTCAGAGACCTTGTTAACGTTTGTGGCCTCCTGGGTTCCCCTCTTTAATCCTTCCAAGAGAGCTTCCCTGTATCGGTTTAGCCTTTGCATATCCTCTCTTTCATTTGGGTCCTACTGGGGGTTGGTTCCCAGTAACTGGGTCCTTCCATACTCTTGGGGGTTTTGGTAGTCAGCTGGTGCATGTTCCTCTAGCCACTTAGTTGCTGCTTGGAGCACTCTCCGCCTTTCATCTGTGTTAAAGAGGAACATGAGCAACTCGTGGCAATCAGCCCAAGTGGGGTTATGGGTCTGGATAATAGTTTGGAGCAAATCAATCAGAGCTTGTGGCTTTTTGGTATAGGATGGGGTATTGTTTTCCCAGTTGAGAAGGTGGGCAGAGGTGAAGGGCTGGTACACAGAAACACGCCTCCCCACCACGTGGCCATCCTCATCTATCCCAGTATACCGCTGTTCTCACAGGGGCATTTGTATCCCCGTTTTGAGTCTTAAACGAGCTGCCAAGGGAGGGGTTTCTCCTGAGTCCTCACCTCTTCTCTTGTATACTCTGGGTGGCCTAGGGATATGTTTGTCTCGTGGAGGCACAAGCACCGTGGACTCAAAAGTGGGGAGCCTCTCTCCCTGGTAAGGGGAGGGCACCACTGGGATCACTGGTGCCATCTCCTGCAGTGCATCTTCTGATGTTGGGTCGAATAGAACTTCAGGAGTTGATTTCCCTCAGCGGGTGGAGCGGGATCCTTCCTTGGCTATCTGTCCCTTTGCTACTAGCACTGCTGCTGCCTGCCCCCTTAGCCACTGTGGGGGGTTTAGCATCAGCTGTAACCAAGTGTCTATGTATGGAAACTGGTCTGAGTGTCCTGACTTACCAGTTACCTTGTGCCATACCTTAGAAACAAGGGACCTGTCCAGGCTTCCTTCTGATGGCCATCCTACTTCTAATATTGGCCAATCTATTTTACACAAAGTTCTAAGTTTCCCTGGTGTCATAGTAACCCCATAGTCTCCATTAAATCCTTTCTTAAAATTTTTCAACATAGTTCCTAGCAGAGTAGGCTTACTTTGTGTCTGACCCACGTTTCCTCGAGACAAAACACCAAGCTCACACCACACGCACACAACAGAACAAAGAATGGGTAAAAAGGGCACACACACACTTTTTCAGTTTTCACCAAACCAGAATCAAAACCAAAATCAGAGTATCCAGAAATCCAAGCCAGGTCTAACCAAAACCAAAGTATCAAGCAATTCAAGTCAAGTCAAAAACAAAAACCAAAGTGCCAGTACAGGCACGCCGTGGGTGATCAGGCCACACTTCCACTCAGATAGAGTGGGCAAGTTCCAAAGACCAGTCTTACCAAGTTTCAAATGTCCGGACTCCAAGTGCCTGTTCCTTCCCAGTGTTCACCCACTGCGTCGATCCTCCACGGGGGCCTACCACACACTGCTCTGACGAGGCATTCCACCGGGTCAATTGCCTACTTGGGAGAGCTCTCAGTATCCGTGTCGCTCAAGCTGGCAGGAGTCCCCCGCAGGGATGCTCCACAGGGCAGGCCTAAGCCGCCTAAAGTGCTGCCTCAACTGTCCGCCAATTACCTCGCTTCCCGGTCAGGTAACCAAGACTAGGGTGGGGGCAGTCTTTAAAGCTGTCTTCAAGGAACAGAAAGGGGAGTGGGGAAAGGATTTAGGATCTATGGGGTCAGCTAGGTTTCCTTTTGTGAGTTTATATAATGGTTTTGTTAGGATGGCAAAACCAGGTATCTAAAGGTGAGAGTGTCTAACCATGCCCAGGAAGGAAAGGAGTTGTTGTTTTGTAGAAGGGTTTGGGGTTTGAGAGATGAGTCACACACGATCGGCAGGGAGAGCACGTGTGTTTTTATGAGAATTATGCTGAGATAGGTAACAGGTAAGGAAGAAATTTGGGCTTGACTGAAGTAATGGGGGCTGTCTGTGAAGCTTTGCGGCAGTACAGCCCAGGTAATTTGCTGAGCCTGATAGGTGTCAGGGTCAGTCCAAGTGAAAGTGAAGAGTGGCTGGGATGAAAGGTGCAAAGGAATAGTAAAGAAAGCATGTTTGAGATCCAGAACAGAATAATGGGTTGTGGAGGGAGGAATTGAGGATAGGAGAGTATATGTGTTTGGCACCTTGGGGTGGATGGGCAAAACAATTTGGTTGATAAGGCATAGATCCTGAACTAACTTGTAAGGCTTGTCTGGTTTTAGGACAGGTAAAATGGGGGAATTGTAAGGAGAGTTTATAGGCTTTAAAAAGCCATGATGTAGCAGGTGAGTGATAACAGGCTTTAATCCTTTCAAAGCATGCTGTGGGATGGGATATTGGCATTGAGCGGGGTAAGGGTGATTAGGTTTTAATGAGATGGTAAGGGGTGCATGATAGGTTGCCAAGGAGGGAGTAGAGGTATCTTCTACTTGTGGGTTAAGGTGGGTGGCAATGAGACGTGGCTGTAGTCCAGGAATAGTCAGGGAAGCAGATAATTTAGTTAAAGTGTCTCAGCCTAATAAGGGAACTGGGCAGGTGGGGATAACTAAAAAGGAGTGCTTAAAAGAGTATTGTCTAAGTTGGCACCAGAGTTGGGGAGTTTTAAGAGGTTTAGAAGCCTGGCTGTCAATACCCACAACAGTTATGGAGGGAAGGGAAACAGGCCCTTGAAAAGAAGGTAATGTGGAGTGGGTAGCCTCCGTATTGATTAAGAAGGGGATGGACTTACCCTCCACTGTGAGAGTTACGTAGAGCATCTGTGATGGTCCTGTAGGCTTCTGAGGCAATCGATCGGGCATTGTCAGTCTTCAGCTGCTAAGCCAAGAAGATCTGGGAAGGAGTCAGTCAGAGAGCCTTGGGCTGGAGTTCCAGGGGCTCTGGGAGTGGCTGCCAGGTGAGTTGAACAGTCCAATTTCTAGTGGGGTCCTGCACAGATGGGACATGGCTCAGGAGGAATCCTGGGCTGCAGGCATTCCTTGGCCTGGTGGCCAGATTTCTGGCACTTGTAGCAAGCTCCTGGGAGAGGCGGTTCTGGAGGAATGCCTGGCCACTGCGCTTTAGCCGTTTGGAAGTTCTTGTGTGCTGGAGATTTGGCTGGGGTTTGTCTCACAGTGGAGGCAAGGAATTGCAACTGAGAAATATGTTGCTACTTGGCTGCCTCTGCTCTATTATTGTACACCTTGAAGGCGAGGTTAATTAAGTCCTGTTGTGGGATTTGAGGGCCGGAATTTAATTTTTGGAGTTTTATTTAATGTCGGGAGCAGACTGGGTAATAAAATGTATATTGAGAATAAGACGGCCTTTTGACCTTTTAGGGTCTAGGGCTGTAAGGCAACTCAGGGTTGCTGCCAAACGAGTCATGAACGGGGCTGGATTTTTAAATTTGATGAAAAAGAGCCTAAACGCTATCTGATTTGAGAAAAAGAAAAAGGAGCATTAACCTTGACTATGCCTTTAGCTCCAGCCACCTTTTTAAGACGAAATTGCTGGGCAGGTTGGGGAGGGCTGGTCACAGAATTAAACTGCAAGCCAGATCCAGTGTGAGGAGGGGAGGTGATAAAAGGATTATAGGGTGGAGGAGCAGAGGCTGAGGAAGAATTGGGAGCTAGCTCAGCCTGGCGAGGAGGGGAGAGGTCAGATGGGTCTGTAGAAAAGGAAGATTAGAAAGACTCAGCGACACTAGGGGTTGGGACTGAGGGGACAGGTGGGAGGGAAAGAAGGAAGATTTGGGATGAGTTGCATTGGGAACAGAGACTAGGGAGGGACCAATGTGTAAGAGAATACCTGGACATCAGGCATCTCAGACCATTTGCTCATTTTATGACTAGAATTATCTAGATATTGTAGGATGGAAAATTTGAAAGTGCCGTTTTCTGGCTATTTGAAACCACTGTTGGGTTTGTATTGGGGTCAAGCGGCATTGTAGAAGAAAATAAGGCATTTAGGTTTTAGGTCAGGTGTGAGTTGAAGAGGTTTTAGGTTTTGAAGAACACAGGCTAAGGAGAAGAAAGGGGAATGGAGGATGGAAGCTTGCCCATAGTGAAGGAGGCAAGCCTAGAGAAAAGAGACAGTAGAGACATGGAGAGAAGGGATGGGGGGTTCTTGCCTTCCAGAAAAGAGGGAAAGGGGTTGGGGCACAGAAATAAAAGGTTGGGGTGCAGAGATAAGAGGTCAGGTTGTGGAAATAAGGGATCGGGGCTCAGAAATAAGAGGGCGGGCATGGAAATAAGGGATCAGGGCACAGAGATAAGAGGTCAGGGCATGAAAATAAGGTATCGGGGTGCAGAGATAAGAGGTCGGGGTTCTTGCCCCTCCCCCAGAAAAGCAGGACTTGCTGCTAAGGGTGAAGGACCAAGGCAGGCATCCCTGCGTGGTCTGACACCTCTGAAACCTGGGTGAATAATCAGAGAGGCGTCCCTGCAATGATTAAACACCAAGGGAAGGCTGCCTTCCCTAGTCCATGACCAGCGCCGGAGTTTCGGGTCCACGGATAAAACGTGTCTCCTTTGTCTCTACCAGAAAATGAAAGGAATTGAAATTAAGAGAAGGGAGATATTGAAGTGTGATGCCAAGATTGGAAGGAGAAAGAGGTTGAGGGATAGTGAGGGAGGTTGGAGAAGAGAGTAAAAAGAAGCCGCTTACCAGATTTGAAATTGGTGAGATGTTGCTTGGGCTGGTCAGTCTGAGGACCTGAGGTCGTAGGTGGATCTTTCTCACAGAGCAAAGAGCAGGAGGACAGGGGATTGATCTCCCAAGGGAGGTCCCCCGATCTGAGTCACAGCACCTAATTTCACATGCATCTGTGTGAAGAGACCACCAAAGAGGCTTTGTGTGAGCAATAAAACTGTTTATGTCACCTGCGTACAGGTGGGCTGAGTCCAAAAAGAGAGTCAGTGAAGGGAGATAGGGGTGGGGCCATTTTACAGGATTTGGGTAGGTAAAGGAAAAAGGGGGGTTGTTCTCTGGCAGGCAGGAGTGGGGGTCACAAGGTGCTCAGTAGGGGGGCTTTTGAGCCAGGATGAGCAAGGAGAAGGAATTTCACAAGATAATGTCATCAGTTAAGGCAGGAACTGGCCACCTGGGTATGTACATGCAGGTCACAGTGGATATGATGGCTTAGCTTGGGCTCAGAGGCCTGACACTCTTCCTCCAGAGGAGGAGACCCAGACAGAAGAGGAGGAGGCAAGGTGATCACAGAGGCAAAGAATGGATCATGCAGCCACAAGTTGAGGAATTCTAGTAGCCTCTACAAGCTGGAAGAGGCAAGGAATGGATTCACCTCTAGAACCTCTGAAGAAGCATGCTCCTGCTGACATTTGATTGATTTTGGACTTCTGGCTTCCAGACAATTTTTTTTTTTTTTTTTTTTTTTTAGACAGAGGCTTGCTCTGTTGCCCAGTCTGGAGTGCAGTGGCACGATCTCAGTTCACTGCAACCTCCGCCTCCCAGGCTCAAGCCATTCTCTTGCCTCAGCCTCCCAAGAAGCAGGGACTACAGGTGCCTGCCACCATGCATGGCTAATTTTTGTATTTTTAGTAGAGACGAGGTTTTGGCATAGTGGCCAGGCTGGTCTCGAATTCCTGGCCTCAAGTGATCCACCCACCTCAGCCTCCCAAAGTGCTGAGATTATTTAGGTGTGAGCCACGGCACCCGGCCCAGACATTGTTTGAAGCCACCCATTTCATGGTTCTTTGCTGCAGTGGTTGTGGAATATGAATGAACTCGTGCTGTTGGTTAGACTTTGCTGCCCTTGTGTCTGTTATTCCCTGGCAGTTCTACAAGGCCTGGAGCTGATACGAAAAACCTCCCTTCTTTCCCTAATGGTCCCCAGCTTCCCCGTTCACTGAAGGCCCTGCAGTCAGGAACAGTCAGGACTTTGCACCCAGTTGTTGTGGGTGTTTGGCCGACCCTTCCTCTAGTGTGATTCATGGACCCACAGCATTGCGTCACCAGGGAGCTTTTGGAATTGAAGACTCTCAGGGCTCACCCGGAAGGACCTGCTGGGCCAGAATCTGCATTTTAACAAGATGCCCACGTGATTTGCATACACGTTCAGATCTGAGAAGCGCTAGTAGGAGAGGCTTTAAGGTGGTAATTAGATCTTTTCTCCACCTGCAAGAATCTTAGTTTCTTCATGTTAAATCAATTAAGTGTGGCAATGTCATGGGTGTTATAAAACAAAACAAAATCCTTACATCAAGAATGCACCCTGGCGTGTTATGGATGTGGGTGAAATGAAATGTCTGGAATTTGCTTTAAAATATCCTAAAATAGCAAGAAGGAAAAGAAAAGTGGGAACTGGAATGAGATTGGCGAAATGTTGACAAGTTCTTGCAGTGGGATGATGGGTGCATGGGGGTTCATCGTGCAATTCTCTCCCTGCTTTTTGTGCGTATGGGAAATTTCCATAATGAAAAGTTAGAGGTCGGGCACGGTGGCTCATGCCTGTAATCTCAGCATTTTGGGAGGCTGAGGTGGGTAGATTGCTTGAACCTAGGAGTTCAAGACCATCCTGGACAACATGGTGAAACCCCATCTCTACTAAAAATGCAAAAATTAGGCATGGTGACAACATGCCTGTAGTCATGTTGAGGTAAGAGTTTGAGATATGAGAATCACTTGAACCCAGGAGGCGGAGGTTGCAGTGAGTGGAGATCGCAGCATTTCACTCCAGCCTGGGTGACAGAGTGAGACTTGGTCTCAAAAAAATTTTCAATTTTCTTTTTTTTTTGAGATAGGGTCTTGCTTTTTTGCCCAGGCTGGAGTGTAGTGGGGTGATCTTGGCTCACTGCAAGCTCCACCTCCCGAGTTCACTCCATTCTTCTGCCTCAGCCTCCAGAGTAGCTGGGACTATAGGCACCCAGCACCATATCCGGCTAATTGTTTGTATTTTTAGTAGAGATGGGGTTTCACCGTGTTAGCCAGGATGGTCTCAATCTCCTGACCTCGTGATCTGCCCACCTTGGCCTCCCAAAGTGCTAGGATTACGGGCATGAGCAATCGTGCCCGGCCTTAATTTTGTTTAATTTTTTTCTTTTTTGAGACAAGATCTGTAGCCCAGGCTGGAGTGCAGTGGTGCAATCCCGGCTCACTGCAGCCTCTACCTCCTGGGTTCAAGCGATCCTCCCACCTCAGCCTCCCGAGTAGCTGAGACCACAGGCGTGTATCATCACACCTGGCTAATTTTTTTCCCTTTTTCTAGAGGCAAGGTCTTGCTATTTTGCCCAGGCTGGTCTTGAACTCCTGAGTTCAAGCAATTTTCCCGTCTCAGCCTGGGAGTAATCCCAAAGTGCTGGGATTACAGGTGTGATTCACTCTATCCAGCCTCAACTGTTTTTCATGACTCCACTTTTTCTCCCCTCTTGGAAATGAGTAGTCTTTGAGGGAATGTCATTTTGTCTCAATCTCTGGTTTCTTTGCTCAGTGCAGCTGTGTTTGGGGCTTTGTTGATCTCCAGGCCTTTTTCAGCAGCGTTGTCCCTGGAGAGCAGGATGGGAGCTGATGGCTTCTCAGCATCTTTTAACCTCAGTTTAAAGATGACTATCAACAACATCTAGTCAGCATCTGTTGCTCTCGGCAGCTGGGACTTCATTTCCTTTCTCTTTCTCCACCTCTCTAACCTCTTTAAGACTCTGGCTTTGTCAGGGGTACAGCATCACCTGTGTGGCCCTTAGGCTCTCTTACTTACATGTGATCTGCGTATTATGTCTTTACTTCAGGGCTTCTCAGCCAGGGGGTGATTTTGCCCCCCAGAGAACATGTGGCCATGTCTGGAGACAATTTTGGTGGTTGCGGCTGGAGGAGGTGGTGCTACTGGCAGCTAATGGGTAGAGGCCAGGGATGCTACTAAACATCCTACAATGCCCCGGACAACTCCCACTAAGACAAAAGAATGATCCAGCCCCAAATGTCAATAGTGCTGAAAGTGAGAGACCCTGATTCCATCTTAGAGATCATCCAAGCACACTTGGCCAAATTGTTTTTGCTACTGTCCCATGAAGAAAAGGCAGACTCATGACTGATGGCAACATCGATGGGAGTTTTGCTTACCTCTTCTTTGTGGACTTTGGGATACGATGACTTACCGTTTGTGCAAGTTGTGCATTACATACCTCCAGGGGGCGCCACCCACATATTTATGAAAATGCCACCCCAGGAATTGCACAGTACATAGTCTACGTGGCAATAAGCAGTTGCTCTGGTTTTGGGGTTGCCCTGGGGTGCTCTGGAACTGGGAGGAATTTTATCTCTGGCCATTAGAGGCCCTGAGCGTGACATTGAGTATCCTTTCAAGAAAGGAGAAATGTTGAACAGAGAGGACCTCATTTTTATAACTCTTGACCATCATCTAGTTACGGAGCGTCCACTTTTCTCCCCTGGGCCATATCCATTTGACGGATGAAAAATCATCAAATTATAATATCATGGCTTATACTTTTGATAGATTCTGCCCGGAACATGGCGGTAAGAGCTTCTCATTTTCAATTGATTCATTGGGGGAGAGAATATACACAGCTGTCCTAAGACTTTCAATGACACACCATTTGCTTGATGGGATTTCTTTAGTTTCTGTAGCATAACTTATTCTAACTGGTCCTCAATCACTTTGCAATAAAACCTGAGATTGTGAAGATGTTCATTGTCATTACCAGTGATGGAGCAGTAAGTACAGAGTTCTGGAGAGAGAAGGAATTGAGAGAGTTAAACTAGCAGAATGAGCCGCTCACCCTCAGAATTGCTTTTAATCTTGGTGAGAACTGAGGGGAATTTTGACAGGGTTCAGGGAGACTGCGGGGAGTGGGGCTGGGAGGTGGCTGTTTGCACGTGTGGTCAGCAAATCCAGTGAGGGGTTCATGTACTGTGGGCAGCCCCGCAGATGGAGTTGGGATTGCCCTGGACTGAGTACTGTGTCATCAGTACTCAAGACATCGAGGCCCAGGCTGGTGCAGGAGATACATTGCACTGTGTCAGCCTTTCTTCTATCGCTGCTCTCCAATGACAGTCCCCGATTTTCCACTGAGGAGTCACTAGTCCCCCATGGCATGTGTGCCACTGGCTATTCCCCACCCTGATCTGGAGCTGGGGCATGTGGTCCCAGCCTGGATGCCAGTGTCCTTCCACCACCCTGGCCACAGTGATTGGGTCTGAGAAGCAGATTAGCCAAAGGAGAGACAATCTTGGAAATTTCATGTTCATGCTTAAGAAAGTAAAATGGAAAGCGGGGGGAGGGTGAGGGGTCATTCTGATGATATAGTTTTAGGACCTGGATGTAGCCACACCTGTAGCTGTCAACTCTGTGCTATAGTACTGCTTTTTTTTTTTTCCTTCCAATTTAAATACTTTCTAAAGGCAAGATCTTGCTATGTTGCTTAGGCTGGTTTTGAAAATTCCCTTTCGTGGGGATGCTTTCTCTGCTTCACTTCCTTTCTATGACAGCTCAGGGAATCAGAAGACAAGGGAGATGCCTTTTTTTTTTTTTTTTTTTTTTTGAGACAGGGCTTGCTCTATTGCCCAGGCTGGAGTGCAGGGTTGCAATCACAGCTCGCCACAGCCTTGATCTTCTGGACTCAAGCGACCCTCCTGCTTCAGCCTCCTGAGTAGCTGGGACTGTAGGTGGCTACCACCAAGCCCAGCTAATTAATTTTTTTTTTTTAGAAATGAGGTCTCACTATGTCACCCAGACTGGCCTCAAACTCCTGGGCTCAAGTGATCGTCCTACCTTAGCTTCCCAAACTTACAGGTGTGAGCCCCCACACCAGTCAACGCTGTGGTCTTATGCACCTGGTGTCCCCTACGCCCTGAGCAATGATCCTCCTGCTTCAACCTCCCAAAGTGCTGGGATAACAGATGTGAAGCAGCATGTGTGGTCCACATAGTATTCTTACGGGTTAAATTGAGTCCTCCTCAAAACATGTTGAAATCCTAAATTCCAGCAGCTCAGAATGTGACCTTATTTAGAAATAGAGTTATTGCGGACCGGGCGTGGTGGCTCATGCCTGTAATCCCAACACTTTGGGAGGTCGAGGCGGGTGGATCACCTGAGTTCAGGAGTTTGAGACCAGCCTGACCAACATGGAGAAACCCCATCTCTACGAAAAATTCAAAATTAGCTGGGTGTGGTGGCCCATACCTGTAATCCCAACTACTCGGGAGGCTGAGGCAGGAGAATCGCTTGAACCCAGGAGGCGGAGGTTGCATTGAGCTGAGACCGCGCTATTGCACTCCAGCCTGGGCAACAAGAGTGAAAGTCCCTCTCAAAAAAAAGAAAGAAAGAAAGAAATAAGGTTATTGCAGATGCTGTTGATTAGGATGAAGTCATCCTGGAGTAGGGAGGGCCTAAGTCAATGACTGGTGTCCTTATAAAAGAGGAGAGGACACACCGAGTCACAGAGACACAGGGAAGAAGGCCATGGATTGGACAGAAGATTGGACTGATGCGTATGCAAACCAAGGAACACTGAAGACTGCCAGGAAACCACAGAAAGCTAGGAAGAGGCAAGGCAGGAATCCCTGACAAGTACAGGAGGGAACGTGGCCCTGCTGGCACTTCCATTTCAGACTGCTGGCCACCAGAGCCACAAGACAATCAATTTCTCTGGTTTCAAGTCACCCAGCTTTTGGTACTTGGTTGTGGCAGCCCTAGGGAATGAATATAAGTACTTTCTTTCTTTTTTCTTTTTTTGAGACGGAGTCTCGATCTGTTGCCCAGGCTGGAGTGCAGTGGCGGGATCTCCGCTCACTGCAATCTCTGCCTCCTGGGTTCACGCCATTCTCGTGCCTCAGCCTCCCAAGTAGCTTGGACTACAGGCACCCGCCACCATGCCCAGCTAATTTTTTGTATTTTTAATAGAGAAGAGATTTCACCCTGTTAGCCAGGATGGTCTCCATCTCCTGACCTCGTGATCCGCCTGCCTCAGCCTCCCAAAGTGCTGGGATTACAGGCATGAGCCACCACACCCGGCCGAATATAAGTACGTTTAAATTAACTCTCCTCTTCTCTCCATCTTCTTCTAAATCATCATTTTTGCCTAAGCAACAGCTAGGGTCTAATACAGATGTGACGACTCACTTGAAAGTGGGGGAAGCCCCCATGTGCACCCAAAGCTCCTGCTGCCTTGGCCCTGGGTTCAGAGACTGGACCATCATTTTGGAGGCTTGCTGGAGATCTGAGCCAGGGCATCATTCTCTGTTGCCTTTAAACAAAGGCTGGTGCTCTCCCAGGCATGTGAGCTCCACCGAGGATCTATTTGGAGGGCAGAATTCTGAGATGACCCCTTAGGTTCTTGCCCTGGATAAATGCCAGGTGTAATCTCCTCTCCCCTGGAGTGTAGGCAGGACCCGCGTCTTGTTTCTAATCTATACCTATGGAAAAGTTGAAGGGATTTTGCAGATGTAACTAAGCCCCTAATCCATTCACTTTGAGTTAATCAAAAGGGAGATTATTCAGGGTGGGCCTGACATCTATAGGTGAGATCTTCAATGAGGGTCTGGAGGAGAGAGACTCCTTCCTCCTGGTTTTTGTTTGTTTATTTGTTTTTGACATGGAGTCTCACTCTGTTGCCCAGGCTGGAGTGCAGTGGCAAAATCTCGGCTTACTGCAACCTCTGCCTCCTGGGTTCAAGTGATTCTCCTGCCTCAGCTTCCCAAGTAGCTGGGATTACAGGCGTGCGCAATCATGCCCGGCTAAGTTTTGTATTTTTAGTAGAGACGGGGTTTCACCATATTGGCCAGGCTGGTCTCGAACTCCTGACCTCAGGTGATCCATCTGCCTCGGCCTCCGAAAGTGCTGGGATTACAGGCGTGAGCCACCATGCCTGGCTGGTTTTGAAGAAGCCAGCCACATGAGTTCCACAGTTGCATGGAAATAAATTCTGCCAACAACCATGTGAGGTTGGGAGAAGACCCCAAGCCTCATAGGAGACACTAATTCCCGCCAACACCTTGATCACAACCTTGTAAGAACCTGAGCAGAGGGCCCAGCTAAAGCTGCACCCCCAGACTCCTGACCCACAGGAAAGGAGAGGGAATAGATGGGTGTTTTAAGCTGCTAAATTTGTGTTGATTTGTTATGCAGCTTAGAAAATGAATACATCATTCCATTTTTAAAAAATCATAAGCTAATCACACCACTCGAATTCTTTTTTTTTTTTTTTTCTTTGAAACAGAGACTCACTCTATCGCCCAGGCTGGAGTGCAATGGTGCAATCTTGGCTCACTGTAACCTCTGCCTCCCAGGTTCAAGTGATTCCCTTGCCTCAGCCACCCAAGTAGCTGGGACTACAGGCATGCACAAACACACCCAGCTAATTTTTGTATTTTTAGTAGAGATGGAGTTTCACCATTTTGGCCAGGCTGGTCTCGAACTGCTGACCTCAAGTTACCTGCCTTCCTCAGCCTCCCAAAGTGCTGGGGTTACTGACATGAGCCACTGCACCTGGCCTGACGTACTATTCAATTTTAAGGAACTTCCAGGTTCTGTGGTCATGCCCCTCTTGTGTGGCATGCAGGTGGGGAGAGATGGGTTGGAAGATGACTGGATGGGGGCATGGAGTTAGGTGGGAAGAGGAAAAGTGTCTTGAAGGAAGTAAGTCCCTTCAGATAAGGGAGGGAGAAGCTTGATCAATATGCAGACTTTCACAGTCCTTCAGTCCTTGGGATATTGGAGGAGAGACAGGTCTTGCCTTATATTTGAGAGTTACCATCCCAGGCAGAGGCCCTACTTCCACCTTCTTGCATGTGGGGCTGGGGGGCAAATACTTAGAGGAGAAACGAACACCCTTTGTAAGTATGTGAAAAGTTTCTGGAGTGGAGAGATGATGAAGCAGGATATTTGGAGTCAACAGCAAAAGTTTTTATTTCATTTTTTATTTTTTATTATACTTTAAGTTTTAGGGTACATGTGTACAACGTGCAGGTTTGTTACATATGTATACATGTGCCTTGTTGGTGTGCTGTACCTATTAACTCGTCATTTCACATTAGGTATATCTCTTAATGCTATCCCTCCCTCCTCCACCGACCCCACAACAGGCCCCGGTGTGTGATATTCCCCTTCCTGTGTCCATGTGTTCTCATTGTTTAATTCCCACCTATGAGTGAGAACATGCGGTGTTTGGTTTTTCGTCCTTGCAATAGTTTGCTGAGAATGATGGTTTCCAGCTTCATCCATGTCCCTACAAAGGACATGAACTCATCATTTTTTATGGCTGCATAGTATTCCATGGTGTATATGTGCCACATTTTCCTAATGCAGTCTACTGTTGTTGGACATTTGGCTTGGTTCCAAGTCTTTGCTATTGTGAGTAGTGCTGCTATAAGCATACGTGTTCATGTGTCTTTATAGCAGCATGATTTATAATCCTTTGGGTATATACCCAGAAATGGGATGGCTGTGTCAAATGGTATTTCTAGTTCTAGATCCCTGAGGAATTGCCACACTGAATTCCACAATGGTTGAACTAGTTTACAGTCCCACCAACAGTGTAAAAGTGTTCCTATGTCCCCACATCCTCTCCAGCACCTGTTGTTTCCTGACTTGTTAATGATTGCCATTCTAACTGGTGTGAGATGGTATCTCATTGTTGTTTTGAGTTGCATTTCTCTGGCCAGTGATGATGAGCATTTTTTGACGTGTCTTTTGGCTGCATAAATGTCTGCTTTTGATAAGTGTCTTTTCATATCCTTCATCCAGTTTTTGATGGGTTGTTTGTTTTTTTCTTGTAAATTTGTTGGAGTTCATTGTAGATTCTTGATATTAGCCCTTTGTCAGATGAGTAGATTGCAAAAATTTTCTCCCATTCTGTAGGTTGCCTGTTCACTCTGATGGTAGTTTCTTTTGCTGTGCAGAACCTCTTTAGTTTAATTAGATCCCATTTGTTAATTTTGGCTTTTGTTGCCATTGCTTTTAGTGTTTTAGACATGAAGTCCTTGCCCAGGCCTATGTCCTGAATGGTATTGCTGAGGTTTTCTTCTAGGGTTTTTATGGTTTTAGGTCTAACATTTAAGTTTTTAATCCATCTTGAATTAATTTTTGTGTAAGGTGTAAGGAAGGGATCCAGTTTCAGCTTTCTACATATGGCTAGCCAGTTTTCCCAGCACCATATATTAAATAGGGAATCCTTTCCCCATTGCTTGTTTTTGTTAGGTTTGTCAAAGATCAGATGGTTGTAGATATGTGGCATTATTTCTGAGGGCTCTGTTCTGTTCCATTCGTCTATATCTCTGTTTTGGTACCAGTACCATGCTGTTTTGGTAACTGTAGCCTTGTAGTATAGTTTGAAGTCAGGTAGCATGATGCCTCTAGCTTTGTTCTTTTGGCTTAGGATTGACTTGGCAATGTGGGCTCTTTTTTGGTTCCATATGAACTTTAAAGCAGTTTTTTCCAATTCTGTGAAGAAAGTCATTGGTAACTTGATGGGGGGATGGCATTGAATCTATAAATTACCTTGGGCCGTATGGCCGTTTTCATGATATTGATTCTTCCTACTCATGAGCATGGAATGTTCTTCCATTTGTTTGTGTCCTGTTTTATTTTGTTGAGCAGTGGTTTATAGTTCTCCTTGAAGAGTTCCTTCACATCCCTTGTAAGTTAGATTCCTAGGTATTTTATTCTCTTTGAAGCAATTGTGAATGGGAGTTCACTCATGATTTGGCTGTTTGTCTGTTATTGGTATATTAGAATGCTTGTGATTTTTGCACATTGATTTTGTATCCTGAGACTTTGCTGAAGTTGCCTATCATCTTAAGGAGACTTTGGGCTGAGACAATGGGGTTTTCCAGATATACAATCATGTCATCTGCAAACAGGGACAATTTGACTTCCTCTTTTTTTAATTGAATACCCTTTATTTCCTTCTCCTGCCTGATTGCCCTGGCCAGAACTTCCAACACTATGTTGAATAGGAGTGGTGAGATACGGCATCCCTATCTTGTGCCAATTTTCAAAGAGAATGCTTCCAGTTTTTGCCCATTCAGTATGATATTGGCTGTGGGTTTGTCATAGATAGCTCTTATTATTTTGAGATACGTCCCATCAATACTTAATTTATTGAGAATTTTTAGCCTGAAGGTTGTTGAATTTTGTCACAGGACTTTTCTGCATCTAATGAGATAATCATATGGTTTTTGTCATTGGTTCTGTTTATATGCTGGATTATGTTTACTGATTTGTGTATGTCGAACCAATCTTGCATCCCAGGGAGGAAGCCCACTTGATCATGGTCATAAGCTTTTTGATGTGCTGCTGGATTCGGTTTGCCAGTATTTTATAGAGGATTTTTGCATTGATATTCATCGGGGATATTGGTCTAAAATTCTCTTTTTTGTTGTGTCTCTGCCAGGCTTTGGTATCAGGATGATGCTGGCCTCATAAAATGAGTTAGGGAGGATTCCCTCTTTTTCTATTGACTGGAATAGTTTCAGAAGGAATGGTACCAGCTCCTCCTTGTACCTCTGGTAGAATTCAGCTGTGAATCCGTCTGTTCCTGGACTTTTTTTTGGTTGGTAAGCTGTTAATTATTGCCTCAATTTCAGAGCCTGTTATTGGTCTATTCAGAGATTCAGCTTCTTCCTGGTTTAGTCTTGGGAGGGTATATGTGTCGAGGAATTTATCCATTTCTTCTAGATTGTCTAGTTTATTTGCGAAGAGTTGTTTACAGTATTCTCTGATGGTAGTTTGTATTTTTGTGGGATTGGTGGTGATATCCCCTTTATCAATTTTTATTGTGTCTATTTGATTCTTCTCTCTTTTCTTCTTTATTAGTCTTGCTAGTGGTCTATCAGTTTTTTTGATCTTTTCAAAAAACCAGCTCCTGGATTCATGGATTTTTTGAAGGGTTTTTGGTGTCTCTATTTACTTCCGTTCTGCTCTGATCTTAGTTATTCTTGCCTTCTGCTAGCTTTTGAATGTGTTTGCTCTTTGCTTCTGTAGTTCTTTTAATTGTGATGTTAGGGTGCCAATTTTAGATCTTTCCTGCTTTCTTTTGTGGGCATTTAGAGCTATAAATTTCCCTCTACACACTGCTTTGAATGTGTCTGAGAGATTCTGGTACTTTGTGTCTTTGTTCTCATTGGTTTCAAAGAACATCTTTATTTCTGCCTTCATTTAGTTATGTACCCATAGTCATTCAGGAGCAGGTTGTTCAGTTTTCATGTAGTTGAGCAGTTTTGAGTGAGTTTCTTAATCCTGAGTTCTAGTTGGATTGCACTGTGGTCTGAGAGACAGTTTGTTATAATTTCTGTTGTTTTACATTTGCTGAGGAGTGCTTCACTTCCAAATATGTGGTCAATTTTGGAATAAGTGCAGTGTGGTGCTGAGAAGAATGTATATTCTGTTGATTTGGGGTGGAGAGTTCTGTAGATGTCTATTAGGTCCGCTTGGTGAAGAGCTGAGTTCAATTCCTAAATATCCTTGTTAACTTTCTGTCTCCTTGATCTGTCTAATGTTGACAGTGGGGTGTTAAAATCTCCCATTATTATTTTGTGGGAGTCTAAGTCTCTTTGTAGGCCTCTAAAGACTTGCTTTATGAATCTGGGTGCTCCTGTGTTGGGTGCATATATATTTAGGATAGTTAGCTCTTCTTGTTGAATTGATCTCTTTACCATTATGTAATGGCCTTCTTTGTCTCTTTTGATCTTTGTTGGTTTAAAGTCTGTTTTATCAGAGACTAGGATTGCAACACTTGCCTTTTTTTTGTTTTCCATTTGCTTGGTAGATCTTCCTCCATCCCTTTATTTTGAGCCTAGGTGTGTCTCTGCACATGAGATGGGTTTTCTGAATACAGCACACTGATGGGTCTTGACTCTTTATCCAATTTGCCAGTCTGTCTTTTAATCGGAGAATTTACCCATTGACATTTAAGGTTAATATTGTTATGTGTGAATTTGATCCTGTCATTATGATGTTAGCTGGTTATTTCGCTCATTAGTTGCAGTTTCTTCCTAGCCTTGATGGTCTTTACAATTTGGCATGTGGCTGGTACCAATTTGCAGTGGCTGGTACCAGTTGTTCCTTTCCATGTTCAGTGCTTCCTTCAGGAGCTCTTGCAGGGCAGGCCTGGTAGTGACAAAATCTCTCAGCATTTGCTTGTCTGTAAAGTATTTTATTTTTCCTTCGCTTATGAAGCTTAGTTTGGCTGGATATGAGATTCTGGGTTGAAAATTCTTTTCTTTTTTTTTTTCTACAGTGATGACTTTATTTTATTTTTTTATATTTCTTTTTTAAAATTAATTAATTAATTAATTAATTTATTTTTTAATTGATCATTTTTGGGTGTTTCTCGCAGAGGGGGATTTGGCAGGGTCATAGGACAATAGTGGAGGGAAGGTCAGCAGATAAACAAGTGAACAAAGGTCTCTGGTTTTCCTAGGCAGAGGACCCTGCGGCCTTCCGCAGTGTTTGTGTCCCTGGGTACTTGAGATTAGGGAGTGGTGATGACTCTTAACGAGCATGCTGCCTTCAAGCATCTGTTTAACAAAGCACATCTTGCACCGCCCTTAATCCATTTAACCCTGAGTGGACACAGCACATGTTTCAGAGAGCACAGGGTTGTGGGTAAGGTCACAGATCAACAGGATCCCAAGGCAGAAGAATTTTTCTTAGTACAGAACAAAATGAAAAGTCTCCCATGTCTACTTCTTTCTACACAGACACGGCAACCATCCGATTTCTCAATCTTTTCCCCACCTTTCCCCCCTTTCTATTCCACAAAACTGCCATTGTCATCATGGCCCGTTCTCAATGAGCTGTTGGGTACACCTCCCAGACGGGGTGGTGGCCGGGCAGAGGGGCTCCTCAATTCCCAGTAGGGGCGGCCGGGCAGAGGCGCCCCTCAACTCCCGGACGGGGCGGCTGGCCGGGCGGGGGGCTGACCCCCCCACCTCACTGCTGGATGGGGCGGCTGGCCGGGCGGGGGGCTGACCCCCCCCACCTCCCTCCTGGATGGGGTGCTGGTCGGGCGGGGAGCTGACCCCCCCACCTCCCTCCCGGACGGGGCAGCTGGCCGGGCAGAGGGGCTCCTCACTTCCCAGTAGGGGTGGCCGGGCAGAGGCGCCCCTCACCTCCCGGACAGGGCGGCTGGCCGGGCGGGGGGCTGACCCCCCCACCTCCCTCCCAGACGGGGCGGCTGGCCGGGTGGGGGGCTGACCCCCCCACCTCCCTCCCGGACGGGGCGGCTAGCTGGGCGGGGGGTGACCCCTCCCACCTCCCTTCCGGACGGGGTGGCTGGCCTGGCGGGGGCTGACCCCCACCTCCCTCCCGGACGGGGTGGCTGCCCGGCGGAGACGCTCCTCACTTCCCAGACGGGGTGGCTGCCGGACGGAGGGGCTCCTCACTTCTCAGATGGGGCGGCCAGGCAGAGACGCTCCTCACCTCCCAGACGGGGTCACGGCCGGGCAGAGGCGCTCCTCACATCCCAGACGGGGCGGCGGGGCAGAGGCACTCCCCACGTTTCAGATGATGGGCAGCCGGGCAGAGACGCTCCTCATTTCCTAGATGGGATGGCGGCCGGGCAGAGACGCTCCTCACTTTCCAGACTGGGCAGCCAGGCAGAGGGGCTCCTCACATCCCAGACGATGGGCAGCCAGGCAGAGACGCTCCTCACTTCCCAGATGGGGTGGCGGCCCGGCAGAGGCTGCAATCTCCGCTCTTTGGGAGGCCAAGGCAGGTGGCTGGGAGGTGGTTGTAGCGAGCCGAGATCTCGCCACTGCACTCCAGCCTGGGCACCATTGAGCACTGAGTGAACGAGACTCCGTCTGCAATCCCGGCACCTTGCGAGGCCGAGGCTGGCGGATCACTCGCAGTTAGGAGCTGGAGACCAGCCCAGCCAACACAGCGAAACCCTGTCTCCACCAAAAAAATACGAAATCCAGTCAGGCGTGGAAGCGCGTGCCTGCAATCGCAGGCACTCGGCAGGCTGAGGCAGGAGAATCAGGCAGGGAGGTTGCAGTGAGCTGAGATGGCAGCAGCACAGTCCAGGTTTGACTCGGCATCAGAGGGAGACCGTGGGGAGAGGGAGAGGGAGAGGGAGAGGGAGAGGGAGAGGGAGAGCTACAGTGATGAAAATTCTTTTCTTTAAGAATGTTGAATATTGGCCCCCACTCTCTTCTGGCTTGTAGAGTTTCTGCCAAGAGATCAGCTGTTAGTCTGATGGGCTTCCATTTGTAGGTAACCCGACCTTTCTCTCTGGCTGCCCTTAACATTTTTTCCTTCATTTTAACTTTGGTGAATCTGACAATTATGTGTCTTGGAGTTGCTCTTCTTGAGGAGTGTCTTTGTGGCGTTCTCTGTATTTCCTTAAGTTGAATGTTGGCCTGCCTTGCTAGATTGGGGAAGTTCTCCTGCATAATATCCTGCAGAGTGTTTTCCAACTTGGTTCCATTCTCCTTGTCACTTTCAGGTACACCAATCAGATGTAGATTTGGTCTTTTCACATAGTCCCATATTTCTTGGAGACTTTGTTCATTTCTTTTTATTCTTTTTTCTCTAAACTTCTCTTCTCGCTTCATTTCATTCATTTCATGTTCCATCACTGATACCCTTTCTTCCAGTTGATCAAATTGGCTACTGAGGCTTGTGCATTTGTCACGTAGTTCTTCTGTCTTGGTTTTCAGCTCCATCAGGTCCTTTAAGGACTTCTCTGCATTGGTTATTCTAGTTAGCCATTCATCTAATTTTTTTTCAAGGTTTTTAGCTTCTTTGCCATGGGTTCAAACTTCCTCCTTTAGCTTAGAGTAATCTGATCATCTGAAGCCTTCTTCTCTCAACTCATCAAAGTCATTCTCTGTCCAGCTTTGTTCCATTGCTGGTGAGGAGCTGCATTCCTTTGGAGCAGGAGAGGCACTCTGATTTTTAGAGTTTCCAGTTTTTCTGTTCTGTTTTTTCCCCATCTTTGTGGTTTTATCTACCTTTGGTCTTTGATGATGGTGACGTACAGATGGGGTTTTAGTGTGGAAGTCCTTTCTGTTTGTTAGTTTTCCTTCTGAGAGTCAGGACCCTCAGCTGCATGTCTGTTGGAGTTTGCCTGGGTATCAGCAGTGGAGGCTGCAGAACAGCAGATATTGGTGAGCAGGAAATGTTGCTGCCTGATTGTTCCTCTGCAAGTTTTGTCTCAGAGGAGTACCCGGCCATGTGAGGTGTCAGTCTGCCCCTACTGTGGGGTGCCTCCCAGTTAGGCTACTCGGGGGTCAGGGACCCACTTGAGGAGGCAGTCTGTCCATTCTCAGATCTCCAGCTGTGTGCTGGGAGAACCACTACTCTCTTCAAAGCTGTCAGACAGGGATATTTAAGTCTGCAGAGGATTCTGCTGTCTTTTGTTTGCCAGTGCCCTGCCCTTAGAGGTGCAGTCTACAGATGCAGGCAGGCCTCCTTGAGCTGTGTTGGGCTCCACCCAGTTGGAGCTTCCCAGCTGCTTTGTTTACCTACTGAAGCCTAGGCAATGGCAGGCGCCCCTCCCCCAGCCTTGCTGTCACCTTGCAGTTTGATCTCAGACTGCTGTGCTAGCAATGAGTGAGGCTCCATGGGTGTAGGGCCCTCTGAGCCAGGCATGGGATATAATCTCCTGGTGTGCCATTTGCTAAGACCATTGGAAAAGTGCAGTATTAGGGTGGAAGTGACCCGATTTTCCAGGTGCCGTCTGTGACCCATTTCTTTGACCTGGAAAGGGAATTCTCTGACCCCTTGCACTTCCTCGGTGAGGCAATGCCTCGCCCTGCTTGGACTCATGCTCACTGCACTGCACCAGGTGTCCTGCACCCACTTTCTGACACTCCCCAGTGAGATGAACCCAGTACCTCAGTTGGAAATGCAGAAATCACCTGTCTTCTGCGTCGCTCACTCCGGGAACTGTAGACTGGAGCTGTTCCTATTCTGCCATCTTGGCTCCACCTCCGCTATTATGATTCTTACACAGAGTCCTTTGCTTTTCAGCAGCCTCCTTTTCCTCCTTTTTAGGTTGGAATCCCTCTGTTTTAGTGGCCACTGGGATTCTGAAATGACCAGGTCTTTGTCTCAGAGACCTGACACATGCTCTTCCCTCTGCCTGGAACACATTTCCTTGTTCTGGTCCCCTGAGAACTCTTTCAGCTCAACTGCCCCATGCTCAGAGACCCCCTTTCTCCCTCTCTAGTTTGAAGCCAGTTTACTCCTGTAGTCTGCGCCTGGAAAACTCGTTTTCCTCCTTGATGCCTCCCGAGTTGTCACGGGATGTATGTGTCTGTTTGGGTGTCTGGTGTCTGTCTCCCCGACTGGACTGCATGCTCCTGGTGAGCTGGAGGGACTGGACTAACACAGGCCAAGACTCTGGGGCTGGAGGGAGCAGGGCAGAAGGCACAGGCAAAAGGCCTTTGTGATCCGGAAGGAAGTGAAGGAGAGGGAGAGAGATGAGAGAGGCTGGCAGAAGATGGGCCAGGCGCCAGGCTGTGTGGGATCTTTTGAGCCACAGAAAGACATTTGAATTCTCATGTAAGAGAACCAGAACACCATTGGAGGGTATGAGTCACCTCATCTAACTGAGCTCTGTAAATGTCAATGTTTTATTATTTTTATACAATTATTTAAAAGTGACTTTAGTTATTTACCTTTTTATTTTTATTACTTTTATTTTTTTTGAGACAAAATCTTTCTCTGTTGCCCAAACTGGAGTGCAATGGCATGATCTTGGCTCACTTCAACTTCAACCCCACAGGTTCAAGCGATTCTCCTGTATCAGACTCCCGAGTAGCTGTGGTTATAGGCATCTGCCACCAAGCCCAGCTTATTTTTGTATTTTTAGGATAGACGACGTTTCACCATGTTGGCCAGGCTGGTCTTGAACTCCTGACCTCAGGTGATCCACCCACCTCAGCCTCCCAAAGTGCTGGGATTACAGGGGTGAGTCACTGTGCCTGGCCCTATTTACTTTTTTAAAAAAGATCAGGCCAGGCATGGTAGCTCATGTCTCCAATCTCAGCACTTTGGGAAGCTGAGGTGGGATGTTCACTTGAGGCCAGGAATTCAAAACCAGCCTAGGCAACATAGTGAGACACCCCCTGCCCCAATTCCTAAGAAAATGAGAAAATTAGACACGGTGGCTTGTCTGTATCCCCAGCTACTGGGGAGCCTGAGCTAGGGAGGACTGCTTGACACCAGGAGTTTGAGGCTCCACTGAGCTGTGATTATGCCACAGTCTGGGCAACAGAGTGAGACCCCGGAGCCTCCTCAGCCTCCCTAGAGCTGACCGAGCTTTTGCTTCTTATCACAGGGAATGACGGACGCTGGGGCTTTGATGGGCATCGGGTGAAATGGGCAGAGTGGCGCTTACCTGTGATGGCAGTGAAGTGGGACGGGGAGGTCATTGTGACAAGGGGTGGCATGAGGTACTTGGCCTTGACGCCCTCCTCGGCCAGATGGTCCAGGTTGGGGGTGTCCACATCCTCATCCTAGTTCCAGCGGAAGCCCTGGAAGGTGATCAGCAGCAGCTGTGAGTGCTCTTCTTCCCTGGGACGGGGTGGCCACCCAGTAGGACAGGCGGCGGCAGCAGCAGCTGGAGGGCACCGAGCCATGTCATCCTACAAGCACCTGTCATGCACTCCTCACAGAGTTCATGGGCTTCGCCCTCTTTAGTCCGTTGTTGAACAAAGTCCACATTAATAATTCAGCCCAGCTCTGTTGTGGGACAGACAACCTGGAGTGAAGCAAGGTGCTGCATATTTGCAGGACAGGATGAAAGCGTTCTGGGGTTGGATGGGGGACATGGTTGTACAATGTGGTGGACGCACTTAACACCACTGAATTTTTCCTTTGAAAATGGCTAAAATAATAGATTTTGTATGTACTTTACCACAATAAAAAATCAAACTGGCCGGACATGGTGGCTTACACCTGTAATCCCAGCACTTTGGGACGCCAAGATGGGTAGATCATTTGAGGTCAGGAGTTCAAGACCAGCCTGGCCCATGGAGAAATCCCATCTCTACTAAAAATGCAAAAATTAGCCGGGCGTGGTGGTACATGTCTGTAATCCCAGCTACTTGGGAGGCTGAGGCTGGAGAATTGCTTGAACCCGGGAGGCGGAGGTTGCAGTGAGCCGAGATTGTGCCACTGTATTCTAACCTGGACGATGGAACGAGACTGCATCTCCAAAGAAAAAAAAAATCAAACTACATGAAATATTTTGGACTCTTATACTAATTCGCCACATGAAATATTTTGGACTCTTATACTAATTCCAACATTTTGAAGATCTGGGGAGAACAAACTAGATTGGTGCTTTCCTTGGCTTAGTATGTCCTGTTTTTATAGGGAGAGCAAATTTTTTTCACCAGCACTATTAAAATAGCTACAACAGGATGGGCATGGTGGCTCACACCTGTAATCCCAGCACTTTGGGAAGCTGAGGTGGGAGAATCGCTTGTGCCCGGGAGTTCAAGATGCCAGCCTGGGCAACATGGTGAGACCCTGCCACTACCAAAAAATACAAAAACAACAACAAAAACAGCTAGGTGTGGTTGTCTGCACCTGTAGTCCCAGCTACTTTAGAGGCTGAGGTGGGAGGATCACTTTTGTCCAGGAGGTTGAGGCTGCAATAAGCCATGATTATGCCACTGTACTCAGCCTGGGTGTCAGAGTGAGACCCTGTCTGGGGAAAAAAAAAAAAAAGCTGCAGTGGACTCAGTGACCATGAGGCCAGGCACTGTATACATATACGTCATCTCATTTAATTTTTTCTCTTGTTTAAAATTATTTTTTCCTCTAATCCCCATGTTGATCGACATTTTTTTAATCCTAGGAATATATTAGTTGAAAATTTCACATAAGAATTAAAAATTGCCTGGCCTGATGGCTTACACCTGTTATCCCAGCACTTTGGGAGGCTGAGATGAGAGAATCACTTGAATCCAGGAGTTTGGGCCAGTCTGGGCAATATAGTGAGAATGCAACTCTATAAAAAAAATTTAAAAAGCTGGGTGTGGTAGGATTCACCTGTAGTCCCAGAAACTTGGAAGACTAGGTGGGAGGATTGCTTGAGCCCAGGCGGTAAAGACAGCAGTGAGCTATGATTGTGCCATTGCACTGCAGCCTAGGTGACGGAGTGAGACTCTATCTCTAAAATAAATGAATAAAATTGTGGTATAACATATGCAACTTTTACCATTTTGTGCATCTGAAAGTGTACAATTCAGTGACATTTTGTACATTTATCATGTTGTGCAATTATCACCACTACCTAGTTTCAGGGCTTTTTCAACACCTCAATTGGAAGCCTCATATCCATTCAGCAGTCACTCTCCATGCCCTCTCCTCTGCAGCCCTCGGAAACCTCTCATCTACTTTCTACCTCTGTCGATTGGCTTAGTCTGAACATTGCATATAAATGGAATTGTACAATATATGACCTTTCATGTCTGCTTCTTTCACTCAGCATGTTTTTAACGTTCATCCATATCACAGCATGGATAAGTTTTATTTTCTTTTTAGACGCTATCTAAAAAGAAAAAAAAATTATAAAAAACAAAAATAAAAAATTATATAGGATGGAGATCAGATGAGTCCTGCAAAGTTTATAATATTTACTATCTAGCAGTTTACATAGAAGCTTGCCTACCTCTGAATGATATGCAGGTACAGAGATGACATTTATCTTGGCACTTATAGAAAGACCTATAAATTGTATAAAGACATCATCATTGGATTTCCAGTAACAAGAAGCGGCAAGACATGACAGTGTGTCCAGGTGTTCAGGTGAAGTTTAGGGAAGGTCTTGTCTTGACGAGGTCGGATGTGAGACCCAGATGAGATAACCCCATTTCCCCTGCTGAAATTGCCTGAGAATTTCATTCCAGTTATTTGCGTAGGTTGATTCTTTCGGTGGGGGTGGGGTGGGTGAGGAGGTGAAGTGTCAGGGGAGTTCTATTGTGTATTTGCACAACTTGGCTTTCTTTTCACTTGGTGTGGGGTTTTGCTGTCTGAGGAATTTCATAGAATTTTGTGATGAGTATGCAGCATAGTGGTTTGAATCCTGCCAGGCCGAGGGTCATATCTCAGCTCTGCAACTCATTATCTATGACGCCTTGGGGCAGGTCCCATAACTCCCCAAGCCTCTGTTATATATTCCATGGGGTTGTGAGGTTCAGATGAAATAATGCATGCTGGCGGGAATGGTTACTGCTCATGGGATTTCCATGTGCTCCCCGTATTCACCAGACCCCCAGTAGTTAGATGGATCCATGCCAGGGTCCAGTGCTCTATAAGTGGAAGTCACTGACTTCACCTCTAGTCTACAGCTTTTGAGGGCTTGGGGATAACTATCTCATTCTCTCATCTCATGGTGCAGTAACTATGGGAGAATCCTTGCATTAAGATGGTAGAATTTCCATCATTCTAGGTCTTCGAGTGGCCATATGGAGCACACCGTACCCAGCCAACCCATTGTGGACATGGAATGTAAGAAATCAACCTTGGTTGCTAAGCTGCTGAGTCTCTGTGGTTAATTTGTTACTGCAGCATAACCTAGTCCATCCTGATGCATGCAGCATGCAAACCACTTATGTTGACCCTTAGTCATGGTAAGTGCTCCACAGATGTTGGTTACTTTTGGTAGGAAGATAGATTGCCTCTGAAAGTTTTGTTAGCTGATCTCATGATGCCAATGTTGCTATTTTGTAATTGGATAAATTGGACTTGTCTCTCCTTCCAGCAGGTGGGAGAGAAAGATGACTGAGAGACAATAAAGCACTATTATCTTCAGTTTGTGTCCTTGGATACCCTTGGTGGCAATGAACAATGTATGCTCCTCTGAGAAAACTGGACTTAAATGAGAATGGGAGGTGATACCAGAATTGGGAACGTCCAAGGCCCCAGGCATTCCCTGGTCTGGAGACAACTTTGAGTCCTTGGTGGGAAGATTCTCCAAGGGAACATAAATGCTTTTACTATCTAGTTTGTCTCTTTGAGAATTAAAACATTTTTTTTTCATTCCAGTAGCTTCTGGGATACAGTTTGTCTCTTTGAGAATTGCATACTAATTAATTTTAGGGGTCATCTGTACACATCTCTATATTCCTGAAACATGGTAGAAACAGCCAGCAGTCAGACAACAATCTACCATGACCACTAAAACATCCCCAAAGTGAAACACCAGATGTGACCCACTAGGTTTAGTGGGGATGGCTGGCTCGAGAGTTGATTATATTTATTATTGTCACTGTGGTGATTATGGCCACAACATTGTGATGCGTGTTGGTCTTCTTTTGGTGAGTTGCAGTTTGGAAGGAATAAATCCATTATTTTTTTGTTTGAGTCTCGCTCTGTCGCCCAGGCTGGAGTACAGTGATGCCATCTCAGCGTGCTGTAAACTCTGCCTCCCAGGTTCAAGTGCTTCCCCTGCCTCTATGGCCAGGCTGGTCTTGAACTCCTGACCTCAGGTGATCCACCTGCCTCAGCCTCCCAAAGTGCTGGGATTACAGGCGTGAGCCACCATGCCCGGCCCTATTATTCATTTAACCAATATCTATTGAACACATTGGGTGTGGTGGAGGATGAACTGCTGACTATGTTTTCAAGTTGTCCTAATACTCCACTGTGGGACACGCAGGCTTGTGGGTCCCAGAGCTCCAGAAGCATCTTCTGACCGCACCATCCTGACCCAGATTCTACTGAAAAATACGTGAGTCTAGCAGAGCCATCTCTGACACTTCCCTTCTTTTGAACGGCTGATCTGTCAGTCATGGGGAGCTCTTATGAAAGTGTAGTGTGTTTTGTGAAACTTGAGGTTGGTCAAAGAATACCATTAAACTTTGTTAAGAAATCTACATATTGATGACATAGGCAGTGGGGTGGAGGTGGGAAAATTCCCAAATACATTTTAGGAATTATCTCAGAAGGAGGTAATAGTCAGAACTCTTGGTTGCCAGTGACAGAAACTCATCTTACTAGTGTGGAGTACAAAAGGGGTCATGTTTTTGTCTGCACTCCCCAACCCCAAGCAGATCCTGAAAGAGGGACAGGATTGCAAGTGGATTATTTAGGAGATGATTCCAGGGAACACCAATAGGGGAGTGAGGAACTGATTCATGGAAAGGCAGGAGGCCACACAGGGGCCTTCAATGAGCAGCTTACCACTCCAGGCAACTAGGATTTGACCCCACTGGGGACCTCTGGGAGGTGATGTGGAATGCATTTCAAAGTTGTTCCATCCAGGGGGCAAAGATATTGAAGCATTTATAGCCTAGCTCCCATCCGTCACTGGCTGAGGACAGGTCCCAGGGCATCAACTCTCTGGCTTTTCTTTTTTCTTTTTTTTTTTGAGACATAGTCTTGCTCTGTTACCCAGGCTGGACTGCAATGGCATGATCTCGGCTCACTGCAACATCTGCCTCCCAGGTTCAAACGATTCTCTTGCCTCAGCTTCCTGAGTAGTTGGGATTACAGGTGCCTGCCACCATGCCCTGCTATTTTTTTTATTTTTTGTAGAGACGGAGATTTGCCATGTTGATCAGTCTGGTCTCAAACTCCTGACCTCGTGATCCACCTGCTTCGGCCTCCCAGTGTTGGGATTACAGGAGTGAACCACTGTACCTGGCTTCTGTGGCTTTTCTGACATAATCCATGCCTGACTTTGAGAAAGCCCTCAGGTGAAAGTCTTGGTTGTATGTAGTAGCAAGCATGTACTAGAATGATAAAAACCAAGGGGTTTACCATAAGATCTCTCTCTCTATCTCTGTCTCTAGCTTTGTCTGCATACTGGCTTAATTTCTTCTTACTCAAGCTTTTTCTCCATAAGGTGAGAAACGTGGCCACAAAAGCTCCTATATTTCTCACTACACACAGTTCCTGTCATCACGGAGAATGATTAAATTGGTCTAGTTACAGTTTGGAAAAATATTCAAGGGAAGAATTCTGATTGGCCAATTTAGGCCAGATTCTCATCCCTGGACCAATCAACTGAGGCCAGAGGGGTGGAGTCATGTAAGAATATGGCAGCCCCTATGAGAGCCACGTGACTGGAGTAGGAAGTGTGAGTCTCTATAGAGGGGAGGGCTGCTAGGCTGAAAAGGCAATAGATGTCTGCAGTGAAAGGAATAGATCAGGAGATACATTCTGTTAAACCTGTTAATTATTTTTGAAAAAAGAGAAACTTTCAATATACAGTTATAGTATAAGTAAGCGGGTGGCTCACGCCTATAATCCCAGCACTTTGGGAGGCTGAGGTGGGCAGATCAGAGGTCAGGAGTTCGAGACCAACATGACCAACATGGTGAAACCCCGTCTTGTGTGCCTGTAATCCCAGCTACTCAGGAAGCTGAGGCAGGAGAATCACTTGAACCCAGAAGGCGGAGGTTGCAGTGAGCTGAGATCATGCCACTGCCCTCCAGCCTGGGCAACAGAGTGAGACTCGGTCTCAAAAAAAAAAAAAAAGTTACATTGTGGTTCCCACAGCATGATTTATCAGAAAGGAAAAACTTAAAATATGCGTATTTTCTATGCACAGGCTACTGCTATGAATTCAAATTCTTAAATTCCAAAGATTAACTAAAATGTTTCTCAAGACACATAAACTGTTAGAATCTGCTTATAATGAGGCTGAAGTTGAGTAAGAAGAGAACTGGCATTTGGGACCCTACTTTTCTTCTGTCGAGTACTGTCAAGTTTTGGTTCTGCCTGGAAGTAGATGCACCTCAAGGGAGGGTTACATGTAAAGTTGTGTGTGTGTGTGTGTGTGTGTGTGTGTGTGTGTATGGTAGTTTCCAAAGATGGGTACAACTTTCTGCAAATGCTCGTGCAGTGTAATCGAACCAATCTTTCCTTTAAGAGGTAGAGTTTATATTTCTCTACATAAATCTGGGCTGCCTATGACTTGCTTTGGCCAGTGGAATGCTGCCAAAGTGATGGTGACCAACTTCTAGCCGTGAAAGGAAAATAAACCTTGGGTCCCCAAGATCACTAAGCTAGGCTGGGCTCGGTGGCTCACACCTGTAATCCCAGCACTTTTGGGAAGCTGAGGCAGGCGGATCACCTGAGGTCAGGAGTTCCCAGCACTTTGGGAAGCTGAGGCGGGCAGATCACCTGAGGTCAGGAGTTCAAGACCAGCCTGGCCAACATGACAAAACCCCGTCTCTACTAAAATATATGAAAATTAGCCAGGCGTGGTGGCAGGCGCCTGTAATCCCAGCTACTTGGGATGCTGAGGCAGGGAAATTGCTTGAACACTGGAGTTGGAGGTTGCAGTAAGCCGAGATGGTACCACTGCACTCCAGCCTGCGCAACAGAGCGAGACTCTGTCCCCCCCAACAAAAAAAAGTTACTAAGCTAAAGAGAAAAGTCAAGCTGGGAACTGCTTAGGGGAAACCTGCCTCCCATTCTATTCAGTTACCCCTTTGCTCACTGAGATAAATGTATATCTGATTGCCTCATTTGGAGAGGCTAATCAGGAACTCAAAAGAATGCAACCATTTGTCTCTTAACTACCTATGACCTGGAAGCCCCTACCCCTTGTCTCACCATCACCTTCACCTGGACTTGTCCCGACTTTCCAGACTGAACCAATGTACATCTTACACATATTGATTGATGTCTCATGTCTCTCTAAAATGTATCAAACCAAGCTGTGTCCCCACCACCTTAGGCACATATTGTCAGGACCTCCTGAGGCTGTGTCAGGCGTGCGTCCTCAACCTTGGCAAAATAAACTTTCTCAATTAACTGAGACCTCAGATTTTTGGGGTGCATATAGTCTTAGGCCTTGAGAGCCCTCTCCTAGTTTCTATATTTTTGCCCTCTTGGATGCTGGCACCAAGCAAACCTTGGCTATCCTGCTTAAAGGGCCATTTGGAGAGGGGTTCTGCAGGGCGAGGGGCCACATGGAGGAAAACAAGTTTCCCCAGCTGACAGCCAGCACCAACTGCCAGGCACATGCATGAGGTCGTCCTGGATGTTCCACCCAGCTGGCCCTCCAGCTGCAGGTAGCCACACAAATGAGCCCCGGTTAAAACAGCCAGGAAGTCCCCATGCAACTCACAGGGTCATGAGCAATAATGACTTGAGGTGGTTTAAAGTTTCTAATTTTAGGTGCAATAGGTAACTGAAACAGCCCACAAGGGTTTGAGCCTGTGGAGGGTGCATTTCCCACCTGCTGAAGCTTCTCAATTCCCAGGATTCAATGCGGATAAGACTCTTGTTCTCAGTGTCCTTGATGGAAATGGCAATGAACTTTTTGCAGATTGGACCATCTCAGGGGAATCCCAAAGATCGGAAACTATTTTCTTTCTCAGAATCTTCCACACAACATTGAGCCTTAGGAATTTCTAAGAAGGATCTGGAATGAAAAAAAATCTTTTGAAAAGGTATTTGTATAGCTTCACTTCAGCAAGATTCATGGTGGGTGTTAGACTAAGTGCTGGTGTTAAGCCAAACCATGTTTTTCAAAGACTCATCTGGCCTCAAGGTTGGCAGGATCAGAGTGGCCTCCCAGGATCTACCACATCCTCAAAAGAGTTGGTTCAACTGGCATGTACCCAGATCTCTTTGAGCTAGTATGATACTCCCTTGAGTCAAAGGCTGCCACATCACATCTCCTTTAAGTCTCCCTAAGTACGACCCCAGAAGTATTGACAAAATAGTGCTATTCCTGAAGATTTCAGGAGGACATAAATGAAGAGATTAAACTGCAAGGTACCAAAACTTCCATCTTTGCTAAAGACCCTCATCCAGGCTGGGCACGGTGACTCACGCCTGTAATCCCAGCGCTTTGGGAGGCCAAGGCGGGCGGATCACCTGAGGTCGGGAGTTCAAGACCAGCCTGACCAACATGGAGAAACCCCATCTCTATGAAAAATACACAATTAGCCGGGCGTGGTGGCACATGCCTGTAATCCCAGCTACTAGGGAGGCTGAGGAAGGAGAATCGCTTGAACCTGGGAGGCGTAGGTTGCAGTGAGCTGAGATCGTGCCATTGCACTCCAGCCTGGGCAACAAGAGTAAAACTCCATCTCAAAAACAAACAAAAAGCCCTTATCCAATGGTCATGCCACTCTATCTGGCCATGTAATTTCTCCTCCTGGCTTTCTGTAGCAACAGCCTTCTGAGGAACCTCACTCTGCCTTTCAAAACCCCTTCAACTTGTACCCTTCATCAGCAAAGTACTTAGCTCAACATGTATGCGTCTGGGGGAACTCATCCACATGCTATTTAAGGATATTTCCAGCAACATCATCTTCACTACCCCAGGATGGCATTTTAGAGTGGATTACGTGCCTGCCGGATGTGTTGTAGTTGAACGAGTTAGAGAAAATGCCACACTTTGAGACGAATTAAGAGTCTGTTCATTTAGCCGGTGGCTAAGAAATGGCTAACATTTAAAGTTCTCTCGGCCTCGAAGAAGGGGCTAGATTTTCTTTTATACTTTGGTTTAGAAAGGGGAGGGGGATTTTTTACAAAAGTAGGAATTTTACAGAAGTAGACAAAAAAGTTAAAAGGATAAATTGTTACAGGAAAGTAAACAGTTCTAGGTCTAGGGGCTTTTAGACTATTATGAGGTGACAGATGCGGGGCTTTGGGCGTTATCAATTGGACGAATTCCTGGGAACTGCGGATATTGCTCGCCACAGTATCTTATCAGTTAATTGCATTCTTGGATGTGCTGGGAGTCAGCTTGCACAAGTTAAGTCCTTGAGGAAGGGGCTGCCAGTGAAAGAGCCAAGATGGAGTCTGTCTGGCTCTCTTAGCTAAGGGAGAGTCAGTTCAGGTTGAAACAAGGCTAGGTGATTAAAAGAAAGGGAGAGTCTAAGAACAGGGTTAGTAAAAACAAGGTTGGGCATTACATTCCTCACTTGTGTTTTTGGGGAGTCAAATCGTTGATTCTTCAGTTATAACAAGGGGGTTATATTGAGTCTTAAGATACATAAGTTTGACAGAAGCTATGCGTTGTTTTACAAAATTAAGAAACTAATTTAATATACAAGGTCCAAAAATTAGACTTAATACTAGGATGGGGAGGGGGTCTGGCTAACTTAGTAATTAGAATAGTTAGCTCTGGGTTCTAGTTGAACATGCTTTGATACTAGCGGATGTTATTTTCTTGTTCTTGTTGGCGCTTATCTAGATTTTCTTGCACTTTCTGGAGTGTATCTTTTATGACTAAGAATGGTGGAGGAACAGTTAAATCAACTTTGTCAGGGTGTTTCTGGAACATAGGGTTACTTAGATCAGTTAAAGGCCTGATTGACTTGGGTGGGCTTTATGAGACTATGGTTTTTTTGGATGGTGAACATAGACTTAACATTAAATCCTGGGATGTAAAATCTTAATCTTCATGACATGCCATGATACTATTGAGTTGAGTTAAGGTCATGGACAGTTACAGTAAGAGGATTACAATTTTTTCTAGTACATAATTTAGGATGAGAAGCAGGACTTATGGAAAGAGTTGAAGATCTGGTTGATCTTTTAGAGTAGGTGGCTAAAGTTACACATGTCTAATCAGGACAGGAAAACTGATAAGTATCTTGACAGCTAGCATCAGGGTGATTTCTAGGACAGAGGTAAAAGTCAATATTTTGGAGTCTTTTTTCTGCACTTTTGGAGCTTCTACACTTAGTTTGGCTCTTGGAGTGTCTGAATCTTGCTGAAAGGTCGACCCTTGCTGCTCCTGGGACTGGCAGATTGTGTTGCTTTTCATGGGTATGGGCTGGCTTTGGGAAAAGTACAAATAAGTCAACTGCAAAGGAGACTTCCTTGGAGGTACTGGCCTTCTAAGTGGTGTTTGCAAATACAAGTCCTGTTGTGAAAGAGGTGAGGAGAAAGGAGTAGGAAGGCACAGAGGACGTAAAGGGCAAAAACAAATAAGTGAGGCAGATAAAAAGAATGAATCTAATGGGTTCACCTGACTTAGGTGCAGTTTTAAGGGGCCTAACTTAGGCCTGGGGACTTATGTTTTTAGTTGGGCTCTGTTGGCCTTTTTGATGCGGGAGTGATGAATGTAAGCAGGAATGCCGTCTACTTTCAGAGCCATTGGCGTTGTGAGGATGACGGTGTGAGGTCTTTTCTAAGCAGGAGTGAGTCTTTCTTTCTGGAAATTTTTAACAAACACTAGGTCTCATGGCTGGAACGAATGGCTGGACTTTGGTCAGGAATTGGATTGGGATGGGCTCCTGGAACAAGTGGCAGGATAATATCTTGTACCTGTTGGAGAGACTATAGGTACTGTAATAAATTATTTTGTGATATTTCTGCTAATTTGGCATCTCTTAGCTTAGGCAAGATAGGGGGTTCCTTCTTATACATGATTTCAAAAGGTGAGAAACTAGCCTGGTAAGGGGTGCACCTTACTTTAAGTAGGGCTAAAGGAAGGAGACTTACTTAATTTACACTTTTTTTTAAGATTAATTTTGTAAGAGTGTTTTTTAGGGTGTGGTTCTTGCGTTCTACTTGCCTGGAACTCTGGGGTTGATAGGCACAATGGAGCTTCTGTTGAATGTTTAAGGCCTTACTGACTGACTGAGCTATAGGCGAGGTGAAGGTTGGTCTATTATCAGACTTTATGGCAGCAGGCAGCCTATATTGAGGGATGATTTCATTGAGTAAAAATTTAACTACTGTGTTGGTGGTTTCGTTTTCGGTAGCAAATGCCTTAGTCTATCTGGAGAAGGTGTCTACCAGTACTAGAAGGTATTTGTACTTAGCCTGGTGTGGTTTGACTTCTCTAAAGTCAATTTCTTACTTTTTTCTTGGTGAGTTTTTTCAGAGACAGTGGCCTGGGCTGGGTTTAGGACTTTGTTTGGCATTTACTTGGGCGCAGGTTGTGCACTGGAGAGCTGCTTAATCTGTTAGGCTTTGAAGATGGGGGATCTTAAAATGGCTCTGGAGGAGCTAAGGTAGATTTGCTCTTCTTAAATGGGTGGTAGACTGTAGGTAACTGATTAAAGTTTCTTTAAGAGTTCAGGGTATGAAGATTCTAAAGTCTGGAAGAATCTACTAACTTTCCTGATTTTTATTGGCTCTGAGATCCGAAGCCAGTTTTTTTTGTTGTTGTTGTTGTTGAGTATACGGGATTGTCAGGCAGATCTGGCTGTGGAAAGGAGACTGTGGGCAGCAAGTTTAGAGGCGTGACTGAAAGTCGCGCTGAGACCTGAGCTGCTGAATCACGTTTCTGGTTACTATGGGCAACGGGTGTGTTTTCTTTTTGATGTCCTTTGCAGTGGATCACAGCTACCTGCTGAGGTGAGTAGCCTGCTTTCCTGGTAGATGGCTTTACGTACATACACAGTAGCAAAGGCGTACTTGCTGTCAGTGTAAATGTTAATACGTTTATTCTTACTTTATCAGAGAGCCTGAGTGAGGGCTATCAATTCAGCCTTTTGGGCTGAGGTGTTCGCTGGTAAAGCTTGAGCTTACAACACATGTGTCTCCGTGGTAACAGCTGCACTGACTTTTCATACTTCCTGCTTGAGGAAGCTGCTACTGTCTCTGAACACGGCGGTACCTGCCTTTTCTAGGGGCACACCTTGAAGATCACATCGGCCAGTTTCGATAGTTTCTAACAGTTCTTGACAGTCATGAGCAGGAATAGTGGAGTCTGAGTCAGGAAGTACTGTAGCTGGATTTAAACACTTTGTGGGAGAGAAAGTCAAACGAGGCTGATCTAACAGTAAACTTCGATACTGCAAGATGCGAGCATTTGACATCTATTTGCCAGAAGCACTTCGTAGTAAGGTCTTTATGGCGTGAGGAGCTGTAAGGGTTAAATTTTGGCTTAGAGTTAATTTATCGTCTTCTTGGGCCAGGCTTGCTGTAGCCGCTACGGCTCGCAGACAACTTGGCCATCTAGAGGCCACAGGATCTAGCCTCTTAGACAAATAGGCCACTGGGCGTCTTTAGGGTCTTAGAGTCTGAGTAAACACGTTTTTAGCAACTCCTTGGCTTTTATGGAGATATTAGGGAGGGCTAAAGCAGGGGCTTCAGTTAATGCTAAATTAACGGGCTATTTCATTCTGTACTTCTTGGATAGCTGCCACTAAGATTTTTGTTTGTCTTTTGAATGCTTTATCAGCGGCCTTTTCAGCTGCCAGTGTAGCTTGTTTTTGTTTTTTAAACTTTTGATTGTCAAAAACTTCTTGGGCTATTTCTAAAAGCTGACTGATATTTATTCTAGCAAATCTTTTTAGTTTTTGGAGTTTCTTTTTAATATCTGGGGCTGCCAGAGCCACAAATGCTAAATGAAGAGCACGGCTATTTTCGGGAGCTGCCGGGTCAAAAGGGATGTAAATCCAATAAGCCTCCTGGAGGCGCTCTAAAAACGTTCTTGGTGACTTATCGGGCCTTTGGACAACTTCGCTTGTCTTAGACAAGTTTATGGGTTTCTGAGCGGCTCTTTTAATACTTGCGAGGAGATACCGGTGAAAATCACCTAAAGCTCCCTTTCTACTTGAGGAATTTGGGTGCTGGTTAGGCCGGGTAGAGGGAAAGACCTCCTCAAGGGGGTCTCTAGCTTCTTCTTCCGGTCCGTTGGCTGATGTGAGGAAGTACTTTTTGGCTTCTTTTTGGATACGTTCTTTCTTTTCAGAGGTGAAAAGGGTTAAAAGGAGCTGTCGGCAATCATCTTAGGTGGGCGGGTGAGTCTGGAGTACAGACTCTGTCAGAGAGGTCAAAGCCTGGGGCTTTTCAGAGAAGGGAGGATTATGGGTTTTCGAATTACATAAGTCAGAAGTAGAAAAAGGGACATAAACTAAGAAGGGTGCTGAGCGCTCATCACCTGGAGGGACTTGTGCCTCTCTCAGTGGTAGGAGAGGGGCTACTTCTTCCTGCCACGGTCATGATTGAGAGGCAATGGGTGGCGAGCCTACAGGGGACGTCGTCGAGCAGACATGGGATAACTTTAAGGGAGAAGGTTGGTAGTAAGGCGGTGGGACTGGGTGAGGGAGACTCCCCTCTTCTTCAGAGGGAGGCAGTACAGGGGGAGCTGAACCGGCTGAGGGTCGAGGCGAAAACGTGGTCTGGCTTAGGAGGACCTTGGAGGTAGAATTATGAATGGCGCATGAACGGAGCCATGGAGAGTGGATCCTGACTAAACTTAGCTCTTGATCAATGTAGGGAAACTGATCAGGGTGGCTAGGAGTTTCAGTAACAACCTGCCACACAGCTTGAACAATTGTGAGGTTCAATGACCCTTCAGGGGGCCACTTGACTTTAAACTTTGGCCATTTTATTTTGCAGAGTGTCTAGAGCTTGCCTTTTTTAAGGCGGACTTTATAATCTGAGAAACTGAGAGGAAAATTCTGCAGCATACATTGGAGAGGGCTTTAACTTTACAAGGCTGGGAGGAAGTGTTTCTTTTTTTTTTTTTTGAAGGCAATTTAATAAGATTTGAGCATAGATATTAAACTTAGCATGGACAGAGAAACTTATTTCTTGGGGGACTGGAGTAGTGAAAGAACAGAATCAATATGACTAGAAAGAGCAGAAAAACTTACAACAGCTAATACTACTTGCTACATTGCTGTAGCTTTAAGACTGAGGGAGGAGGACTAGAGCCAGCCTGAGATCTTCTGGGTCAGTTTGATCTAGGCGTTCTTCTTCTTCTTCTAGATCTGCACTTTAAATACTTTTGGTGTCTTTATAACTTAAACGCAAATAGCTTAAACTTAGCTTTTTCTCTTAAGGGTTTAAGGAGTGAGAGCAGAGCCAAGTCCTGGAGACGGTAAACTTGCTGTGGCACCGGAAAACGAGATGTGCGGGATACGGGGCAGGGACAAGGTGGAAAAGGACTACTCGGATCATTTTTAAGATGGAAGAGTAGCCACAGAGGAACAGAGTAAGAATCTCAATGAAGTAAAGCAGTACGGGCGTACATTTCTTTACACAGTGCTCTATTTCAGGGCACAGGAAAAGTTACAGAATGACAAGAGAGGTGAGCAAGGAAATCTGCAGGGTGGCTGTTTTGAACTCATTACTGGTTTAGTTTAGAGGACGTCTAATCACTTGGACGTGGAGTATGATGATCTAAATACTTAACAACTTTCTTGGTGCTAGAAATCTTAATCAGGCGAATATTTTTCACACTTGTTCTTGTAACAACACTTGACTTGCTTCTGGCAGAAAAGACAGGACTGTGGTGGCCAGCCTAAAAGATTGATGAGAAATTTAACCTCCTGTGACAAAAAATCAGCACTAAGGACTTTGAAGAAGTTTTTACTTAGAGGTCTTGGGCAATACCAACGTCTTGACATGCAAAACTTTGACAACTACTAACAAGACAATAGACGCTGAACAGAACAATCAATATAAAACAAACAGTTGACTTTAGGGCATGTAAACAGTTATGACAGTTTTTCCTTTTTTTTTTTTTTTTTTAGACAGACAAGGGGAGGGTTTCCTGTGATGGGATCAGTCAGATGCCTGCCTGGCCACTCCCCTTGAGGGGACTTGGGCTCCTCTTAGCATTGGCAGGCCGGTATAAACTTCCGGCTCAGATCAAGGTACGCCTGATGCTGCCTTAAGCCTTATGAGGTCGCCACGGAACCGCAGGTGAGGGCCCACTTGAACTCCGTAGCTTTCGCCGTGGAGCTACAAACTGGAGGACAAGCGCAAACCCTTGTCCTCCCTCATTCATTCATTATTCACACAGAGTATATAACAGTTTTTTTTTTTTCTTTCTTGGAGATTCTTCAAGAAACTTGAACAAGAGAAAGATGAGAGATACAAAAAGAGAGAGAGAGAGTGACCGGTCTGCCAGAAACCAGGACTCAGTCCTCCAGCATCCTGGGATGTGGACTGAGTCAAGGGAGGGCCCCTGTCAGGGCCACTTCCCTCCTAGAAAGAGACACAGAGGAGCCTAACAGAAAACCAGGGCTCTACCTTCTAGCGTCCTAGAGAAACAGGCAGAGTCAAAAGAGGGACACCCTCATCAGGGCCGCTTCCCTCTTACTAGAACTGAAGTCAAATCTGACCTACCTGACCTCAGGGTCAGAAGTCGAGGACTCAGAGGTGGAATTTTTATGGGCACCCACAAGGTAGTCGATCCGCTCTCCTCTGGAAGACGGTCACCTTTCGAGGACCTGAAAATTTTTTTGTAGGTGGCACCCCGCAACAAGCCGGCCGTCCTTCCGGGGGAGCCCGGAGCGAGCCCGGTTCTCGCCTCGTGGCGTTTCTCGCTGGGGCCTCCAAATGTTGTACTTGAATGAGTTAGAGAAAATGCCACACTTTCACATGAATTAAGAGTCTGCTTATTTAGCTGGAGGTCAAGAAATGGCTAACTCTTAAAGTTCTCTTGGCCCTGAAGAAGGGGCTAGATTTTCTTTTATACTTCAGTTTAGAAAGGGGAAATGGGTCTAGTTAAAAGAATTTTACAGAAGTAAAGTAGGCAAAAAAGTTAAAAGGATAAATTGTTACAGGAAAGTAAACAGTTCTAGGTCTAAGGGCTTTAAGACTATTACAAAGTGATAGACATGGGGCTTTAGGCATTATCAATCGGACAAATTCCTGGGAACTGCGGATATTGCTTGCCCCACAGTATCTTATCAGTTAATTGCATTCTTAGATCTGCTAAGAGTCAGCTTACACAAGTTAAGTCCTTGAGGAAGGGGCTGCCAGTGAAAAAGCCAAGATAAAAGCTGTCCCCAGTGTTAGAGGTGGGGCCTGGTGGGAAGAGATTGGATCATGGGGGTGGATTTCTCATGAATGATTTAGTGTCATCCTTTTGGTCCTGTCCTTGCAATAGTGAGTGAGTTCCGGCAAGATCGGGTTGTTTACGAGTGTGTAGCACCTCCCTCCTTACTCTCTTGCTCCCGCTTCACCTTCTGCCATCATTGTAAGTTTCCTGAGGCCTCCACAGAAGCTCAGCAGATGTCAGTGTCATGCTCCCTGTATAGCCTACAAAACTGTGAGCCAATTAAACCTCTTTTCTTTATATATTACCCAGCCTCAGGTATTTCTTTATAGCATGAGAGAACAGCCAAATCCAGCAGCCATAGACAATATGCAGCAAATGTGCATGGCTGTGTTTCAGTAAAACTTTATTGACAAACACATGTGCAAGCAGGTCAGATTTGGCCCATGGGCCATAGTGTCCCAACCTCTGCTCTGGAATATTCTCTTCAGCCTGGACGGACATCTCTAGGTTGTTGTTGTTTTTTTTGTTTGTTTGTTTTGAGACAAAGTCTCACTGTTGCCCAGGCTGGAGTGCAGTGGTGCAATCTTTGCTCACCGCAACCTCTGCCTCCTGGGTTCAAGCAATTCTACTGCCTCAGCCTCCCAAGTAGCTGGGATTAGAGGCACCTGCCACCACACCTGGCTAATTCTTGTATTTTTTAATAGAAATAGGGTTTCACCATGTTGGCCAGGCTGGTCTCAAACTCCTGACATCAGGTGATCCACCCACCTCAGCCTCCCAAAATGCTGGGATTACAGGTGCCCACCACCACACCTGGCTAATTTTTGTATTTTTAGTAGAGATGTGATTTCACTCTGTTGTCCAGGCTGGTCTCGAACTCCTGATATCAAGTGATCCAGCTGCCTCAGCCTCCCAAAGTGCTGGGATTACACGTGTGAGCCACTGCAGCTGCCCTCTAGATTTTTTTTTTTTTTTGACCATTGCTTATTTGGTTTGACTTTCATTTTCTTCCCCATTGTGGTAGTCATTTTCTGAATGCCTGTTAGTTTGTCCATCTCTCTCCTCTGTAGTCCCTAGAGTCAGATGAACTCCTCTGCAGGTGCAATGGTGTAACACTCTCTAGTGCTGAATTTTGAGCAGGAGAAAGAGAGCAAGAGTGACCAGTACCTTTGGAAACTCTGCCCTCCTGAGAATTTGGTGTCTTCTCTGCAAATGTTGCAAACCTGTTAACCCACAGGCTGGAGAGAGAGACAAGCCAGAATCATGATCTGTTGAGCTTCAGTTTAATATTTGATGCACAGAGATCACTGAGTTTTTTTATAAGAATTAGAGGGGGAAGAAATGGCCACAGAGAGCAATTTCTATCTCCAGGTGAGGATTCAGGAGATAATTCTGCGAACAGAACTTCCTGAGAACTGAGATGGGGGAAATCGCTGGTATTAGAAGAGTGAAAAGTTCAGTAATTAAGGCTACGACTGTGCTCTTAGAGGCAAAAGAAGAAAATGAGACTGCCAGGCATGAATAATGAGAAATCTTTGATGGAATTAGCCATGCAGAACAGATACTAAATGCATCCTCATTCTTCTCATAGTCAAAAGTTTTTGCTTAAGCTGGATAGGAAAAAGAGCATCCCATTTCACTAAGTATAAAAGAGGGGATTTTAGAGAAGGTCTCAGAAGAAAGAGATGTGGGGGTTTGGTGAAACTCACCAGAGGCTGGACCCTCTCCAGCATAACACAGGGATTGGGAGGAGCGGGGCGGCATTAGGCCAGGTGCATAGCCCAGTGCTGCTATCTCTGGACTTTCTGCTCTCTCTGGACTTGTTTACTAGCTGAGCTTATCCATTTACATAATTTTCAGTGCCATTTCTCAGCTGATGAGTCCTGAACTTTTGTCCTGAGGCTAGAATTCTCCTTGAAACAGCAGTCTTAAACACTCAACTTCTTTCTTGTTTTTTCCACTTGTCAACTCATGAACACCTCAACCTTGTTACATCCAAAGCCAAACTCATGGCTTGGTGTGGTAGGTGATGGCTGTAATCCCAGTGCTATGGGAGGCTGAGGTGGGAGGATTACTTGAGGCCAGGAGTTTGAAGCCAGCCTGGAAAACACAGTGAGACTCCCTATCTACAAAAAAAAAAAAAAAAACAACAAAAACAAAAAGCTAGGCATGGTGATGTGCATCTGTAGGATCTGTAGTCCTGCTACATGGCAGGCTGAGGCAGGAGGATCAATTGAGCCCAGGAGTTTGAGGCTGCAAAGAGCTATGATGGCACCAATGCACTCCAGCCTGGGTGACACAGCCAGAGACCCTGTCTTAAAAAAAACCCAAAGCCAAACTCTCTTTTTCCTCCTCCTTCTCCATGGGCTCTGTCCATGCCATCTCTCTTCTGTAAATGGCACCACCCCCTGCTGAGCTGCTCAAGGTGGTCATAACTCATGTGTTGTGCTAACTCTGCTTTTGCCCTCTTCTCCAGTCAGCAAGTCCTGTGATTCTAAACTTTATCCAACTTGTCCACTCTCTCTAGCTTCACTGTCATTATCTTTGCCTAGGACACCAGTATCTCAGCTGGGCTACAGCAGCAGCCTCCTAACTGGTCTTAACTGGTACTCTGCACCTGCTCTCCATGCTCAGCAATCCATTTCCTACCTGGCAGCTTCAGTGATCTTAAGGTGTCCATTGAGTCTCATCCCTGCCTTTCCTGCCCATGGTACATAGAATAAAATCGAGACCCCGAGTCTTCTGCCTGTTCCTGCCACCTCTCCAGCCCTCTCCTATCTCCTGCCCTTGGCCTACTCTATTTCAGCCACTATGGCCTCCTTTTGTTTTCTTGGACTTTCAAACCTTTTTCCACAACAGGGCCTTTGCACTTGCTGCTTCAGCCTGGAATGATTTTCCTCTGCACCTCCCCAGATTAGACCATCCTTTAGGTCTCAGCTAAAATGGTGCTTCCACAGACAGCTCTTTCCTGACCCCTTTATAAAGTGGACTTCCCTGCTCTTCTCCACCTTAACCTCTTATTGTTTCTTGTTGTGGGAAGTCAGGGACCCCAAATGGAGAGGGACTGGCTGGAGCCATGGCAGAGGAACATAAATGGTGAAGATTTCATGGACATTTATCAGTTCCCAAATAATACTTTTATAATTTCTTATGCCTGTCTTTAGTCTCTTAATTCTGTTATATTCATAAGCTAAGGATGTACATCACCGCAGGACCACTGTGATAATTGTGTTAACTGTACAAATTGATTGTAAAACATGTGTGTTTCAACAATATGAAATCAGTGCACCTTGAAAAAGAAGAGAACAGCAATTTTTAGGGAACAAAGGAAGACAACCATAAGGTCTGACTGCCTGCAGGGTTGGGCAAAAAGAGCCATATGTTTCTTCTTGCAGAGAGTCTATAAACGGATATGCAGGTAGGAGAGATATCACTAAATTCTTTTCCTAGCAAGGAATATTAATAGTAATACCCTGGGAAAGGAATGAATTCCTGGGGGAAGGTCTATAAATGGCTGCTCTGGGAATGTCTGTCTTATGCGGTTAAGATAAGGACTGAGATACACCCTGGTCTCCTGCAGTACCCAAAGGCTTACTAGGGTGGAGAAAAACTCCGCCCTGATATATCTGTGGTCAGACTGGTTCTCTGCTCTTGAACCCTGTTTTCTGTTGTTTAAGATGTTTATCAAGACAATACATGCGTGAATGAACATAGACCCTTATCAGTGGTTCTGCTTTTGTCCTTTGCTTTGTGATCTTTGCTGGACACTTCTCAGTAGTTCTGCTTTTGCCCTTTGTCCTGTTCCCTCAGAAGCACGTGATCTTTGTTAGACCCTTAGTAGTAGTTCTGCTTTGTACCATTTGAAGCATGTGACCTTTGTACCTATTCCCCATTCTTACACCCCCTCCCCTTTTGAAGCCCTTAATAAAAACTTGCTCATCTGAGACTCAGGGGGCATCATGGTCCTACTGATGTGTAATGTCACCCCCAGCAGCCCAGCTGTAAAATTCCTTTCTTTGTAGTGTCTCTCTTTATTTCTCAGCTGCCTGACACTTATAGAAAATAGAAAGAACCTACATTGAAATATTGGGGGCAGGTTCCACCTATACTTCTTTCATGGATTTACTTATTTTTTGTTTGTCCCCCTGTGTATCCTAGAAACTCCTGGAGGGCAGAGGCATGCCTGCCATCTTCATCATTGCATTACCACCACCCAACACTATTGGGGGACCTGCCCCGATAATCATGTAGGTTCTTTTCTACTTTCCTAAGCGTCAACTGGCTTGAGAAATAAAAGGACAGAGTACAAAAGAGAGAAATTTTAAAGCTGGGCGTCCGGGGGAGACATCACACATTGGTAGGATCCGTGATGCCCCACAAGCCACAAAAACCAGCAAGTTTTTATTAGGGAGTTTCAAAAGGGGAGGCAGTATACGAATAGGTGTGGGTGACAGACATCAAGTACTTAACAGGATAATAGAATATCACAAGGCAAGTGGAGACAGGGCGAGACCACAGGACATTTAGCCCCCCAGCTCTCTTACCTCAAAGCTTGTCTCCTGAAGGCCACAGCTTCTGTCAACTGACCCTTTCCACACCTCCTTTTCTTCAGATTCCAGGAACTGCTCCCTATCCAGCTACTCTATCACAATGCTACTTGCTTTCTCACTCTAGGATCTGTTAAAACAAAAAGTGAGTCTGGGTGCATGGTTCACGCCTGTAATTCCAGCACTTTGGGAGGCCAAGGCAAGAGGGTGGCTTGAGGCCAGGAGTTCAAGACCAGCCTGCTCAACATAGTGAGATTCTCCCCCCACTCCCATCTCTGGTCTCACACACATACACATGGGCACAAATTAAATTTTATCTAAAAATTTAAAAATTGTTTTAAAATTGAAATAGTTACATGGATTATGTATATATTCATTTTGTAAAACTATAGATCTCATGGAAATGGGAACTCTTTACTCTTCCAGCAAAACATTTTTTTAGCCACAAATAAAAGAAGACCAGTGATTTAGCCTGTACACACAAAAAAGACATAAGAAAATACTGCTAAGGCTGGGGCAGGGGTGGGGGAAAGAGATCTAAAAAATTCAAATTTTACTGGGAAGGACCACTAATTAGAATCAGAATAATTACTGTTTTAAAGCATTTAAGAATAGAGCACAATGAACCCCGGGAAGAAATAGATATGATTCAGAGTCGAGCTCACAGAGCAGATGGTACCTCAGCTGAGACTGATAGAATAACATTAATAAGGGCATTCACTGCCATTTATTATCTCCTAACTGCAATGCATTTTGTATAAGTTATTTGTACTCTTCACATCAACCATGGAAAATAATAATTATTCTTATCTTTTGACGTTAAGGAAGTGGTAAGTGGTGTAAGAAGATAAATTAACATGCCAACACCAAACAGCTCAAGTTCGATAACTCAGGAGTGCCCGTGTCTCCCCAAGAGGTTGCTTAGCAGGCAGACCAGGTAGAGAGAGCCCTTCCAAGAAGTGGCAGTGAGATGTGAAACGTCTCAGTGTGTCTCTAAGAACAACAGAAACCAGTACGTAGACCAAGTGGGAAAAGCCAAGGAAGAGGCAGGAATTTCCTCTTAAGATAGCAAGAAGAATAAACAAGAGCAGGACTGAGGGAAGCCATGGGAAATGGGCAAAATACCATGCATTAAGCGAGAAAAAACAACTTTTACTTTAGAATAGGAAAGGGGGAAGGAATGGTGGTAGTCTAGGTAAGCCTAGAAGAGTAAAGGGCAGCAGAGAAAAAATTAGTTGTACTAGGGTTCTCCAGAGGGACAGAATCAATTGGATACATGTATATGAAAAAGGGAGTTTATTAGAGAGAATCGGTTCACAGGATTACAAGGCAAAGTCCCACAATAGGCTGTCTGCAAGCTGGGGAAAGAGAGAAGCTGGTGGTGGCTCAGTCCAAGTCCAAAAGCCTCAAAACCAGGGAAGCCCACAGTGCAAACTTCAGTCTCAGGCTCAGGGCCTGAGAGCCTCGGGGAAGCTGCTGGTGCAAGTCCCAGAGTCCAAAGGCAGAAGAACCTGGAGTCTGATGTCCAAGTGAAGGGGTGGGTTGCCCCTCCACACCTGTGGGTGTTTTAATTAGGTGAAACGAGAGACCTGGAAAAGAAAGAGACACAGAGACAAAGTATAGAGAAAGAAAAAGGGAGCCCAGGGGACCGGCGTTCAGCACACGGAGGATCCCACTGGCCTCTGAGTTCCCTTAGTATTTATTGATCATTATTGGGTGTTTCTCAGAGAGGGGGATGTGGCAGGGTCATAGGATAATAGTGGAGAGAAGGACAGCAGGTAAACACGTGAACAAAGGTCTCAGCATCATAAACAAGGTAAAGAATTAAGTGCTGTGCTTCAGAGATACATACACATAAACATCTCAATGCCTTAAAGAGCAGTATTGCTGTCCACAGGTCCCATCTCCAGCCCTAAGGTGGTTTTCACCTATCTCAGTAGATGGAATATACAATCGGGTTTTACACCGAGACATTCCATTGCCCAGGGACGGGAAGGAGACAGATGCCTTCCTCTTGTCTCAACTGCAAAGAGGCGTTCCTTCCTCTTACTAATCCTCCTCAGCACAGACCCTTTACGGGTGTCGGGCTGGGGGACAGTCAGGTCTTTCTCTTCCCACGAGGCCATATTTCAGACTATCACATGGGGAGAAACCTTGGACAATACCTGGCTTTCCTAGGCAGAGGTCCCTGTGGCCTTCCGCAGTGTTTTGTGTCCCTGGGTACTTGAGATTAGGGAGTGGTGATGACTCTTAACAGGCATGCTGCCTTCAAGCATTTGTTTAACAAAGAACATCCTGCATAACCCTAAATCCATTTAACCCTGAGTTGTTGACACAGCACATGTCTCAGGGAACACAGGTTTGGGGGTAGGGTTACAGATTAAAATGGAGTCTCTTATGTCTACTTTGTATACAGACACATTAACAATCTGATCTCTCTTTCTTTTTCCCACATCCAAGGTCAGGAGGAATGGAAGCAAGCTTCCTGCATGGGAAGAAGAAAAAAAGGCTTCTGGCAGAAGCCTCCACTAGCAAGCCTATCCCACCTTCCTCCGCCTGCTTTGTTCTAGCTGCTCTGGCAGCTGATTGACTGGTGCCCACCCACCTTGAGGGTGGGTCTTCCTTCCCAGTCCACCAACTCAAATGTCAGTCTCCTCTGGCAACACCCTCACAAACACACTCAGGAACAATACTCTAGGCAGCTGTCAATCCAATCAAGTTGACACCTAATTTTAACCAACATACAAGATTTATAAGCTAAGTATGTCAATGATGATAAATAAGTGTTGTGGAGAAAAGCAGAGCAGAGAGGAGAAAAGGAATGCAGAGAAGGGTTTACAAGTTTTAGAAGAATTCATACTTACAGGCCCCTGTTTTCCATAAAAAACAGGAGGCTCATCTTCTGCAGGTACTGAAGGGCTTGGGATGTTGTGAGGGTGAACTTGAAAATAACAGACAAATATCAGAGTTAATGAGGGGAAAAAGAAAAGATGAGTGGGCATCATGGTGGTCCAGCAAAGGAGGAAAACCCAAGCATGAATGTGGACTGGCACCATCAGAGAGGGCAGAGCCTCCAATAACATGGGGCAGTCTGAGAGCCAGAGTCAAGACGTGGGGGAAATGGATCCAGGTTCTGTGTTTGGCACAGTGTGTGTGGAAGAAGGATAAGAGGGCTCGGGAGGACAGGTACAGTGAGTGTGCCTCCACAGGGATGCTCTTTTGGTATGTTCTATTATTGCTGAAAAATATGCAGTGCCCCTCCCTGGGGGAGGATTATGCTATATCTAGCCCATTGATATCAGTGTAGCCAGGTGACTTGCTATTGCCAGTGAAATGTGAGTAGAAGTGACAGGTGTTACTTGTGAGCAGAAATTTTAAGAACCACGATGTAGCTCAACACCAACTTTTTTTCCTCTGCCAGTATTCCAGGTAGGAGCGACTCCCCCAACCAAGGGCCCAGAATGAAAATTATGTAGAGAAGGGTCACAGCCTACCCATGATCAATATGTAGCTGGAGTGAGCAAACAAACTTTTCTGGTTGTAAGTGTCTGAGACTTGGGAGTCATTTTGTAACTGCAGCATAACCCAATCTAAACTGGCTAATTCAAGCTTGAATATTTTAAGTTGAAAGGGAAATTAGTAAAGCCATAAGTGACCTAATTTGTTGAGAGCAGTAACAGGAGCTGATGATTAGAGGCTTGGTTGCAGGCTATGGGAGAGAAGTATGGGAATGAAAGAGACAGATGAACTGGACATTTTCATGGGTAAGGAATGTATAATTTTACAGTGTTAAATAAAATGATGAATGTAAGATTATCTAGCTTAGGTCCCTGAACACAATGTGTGTTAAATAAACAAAAGCTTTCTTCAAACAGAATTCCCCTAAGCATTTCCAGGTTGTTCCCTGTCCAGACATAGATACACCCTGTGCAGTCATAGATACTGTTGAAAGATTCGGAAATAGGAATCAGGAGCCCTGGAGTAACAGGCCCCCAGAAAATCAGAGTGGAATTGTTAGTCCAGAAGCTTGACAAACATCCACCTTCATTGTCTTCCAACTGTATCTCTGACTTCCCTCTCCCTAGTTCATTACATCCCAGTCATATTGATATCGTTGCTGTTCTTGAACACATTAAGGAGAGGCGAATAGGGTTTTTAGCTGCTGAAAGTTAGACTCGTGGCTAGAGACCAGACTAAGTCCTTTTCCTTCATGTGGAGGTTATGATTAGGATTGTCAGAGAGAGTTAGGGTTTAATTTTTTCATTAAACTAATAATATGTTTTGAGTATCTATTGCATTATGGGGCATGGAGCTTATTACATTCATGGTGCAGAGGAAGAGGGGGAGTTAACAAGGCACATAAATTACATATATAAATGAAGGTAAGTGCTATAGAGAAAAATAGAGTAGAGAAGAAAATGCCATAATGGGGCCCGGGCATTGCATTATGTAATATCATCCTATATAGTCTGCTATAGTCCAAATAGTCTGCTATCATTTGGTTTTCTCATTGGATAAAATGTTGTGAACATCTCTCTGGGATGAAACAAAAACATTCTGTATTGCTGTAGTGAAAGGTCCTCAGAAGGGAATCATTTTGTCATTCCTGAGGCTTGTTAGATATGACCAACCCATCCACCGCATCTCAGTCATAACTACTCTAAACAACACCCACCAAAGGGGGAAAGGGCTTGCTGGAATCCAGCCATCAGTACATCCTTGCAGCAGCTGAAGACTCATTTCACTTTTACCCTAACTTGGCCATCATGACAGCACCCAGCCCAATATTCCAAAGCTAGGTATTTAACACCATAATGGGGACCACTGTTTCCTAGGAGGTACTGAAGGGTTTCAGAGGCTGCAGATACAAATGATGCTTACTGCTATATCTGCAGTGCAGAAAGCTGAGAGCAAAAGTGATGAGATATCAAGGCTGCCTCTGTGGTCTGGATGCTTTCTTTAAGAAACTGGCACCAAGTGTAGGCTATATGCAGACTGTCCAGATCAATTGTGGCAGACCTTGAAATAACAATCATAGCTACTGTTTATTGAGAGCATTTTGGGTCACCTTTTCAAAGTGATTTATTTTTGTCCAATGTTAAGTAACCGGCTTAGAAGCTGAACTCACAGGGTATGGCAGGGTCAGCCCCACCCTCAGAAAATCCTTCAGACCAAGCATGTCTCAGCCATCAGGCCCCAGCATAGACAGAAAAACACATCTCCCCACGGCATCTGGCTGTGATCTAGAACATCTGGTGACAGGACAAAGGTGAGGAAGACTGACAGGAAATTATCAGAGCAAGCAAATAACAGTCTGAAATTCGGGTTTCTCTGTGAGGCTACCTCTGTCCATTTCTATCTCTGAGCATAGTATGTAAAGGAGTTGGTGTAGTAGTCGAATGGTGGCCCCCCAAAATATATACACATGTCCCAGAACCTGTGAATGTGACTTTACCTGGAAAAAAGCATTTTTGCAGATGTAATTAAGTGGAGGACTTCAGGATGAGACCACCCTGGATTATCCAGGTGGGCCTTAAATCCAAGGACAAGCGTTCTTTTTTTTTTTTTATTATTATACTTTACAGTTTAGGGTACATGTGCACGACATGCAGGTTAGTAACATATGTATACAAGTGCCATGTTGGTGTGCTGCACCCACTAACTCGTCATTTAACATTAGGTATATCTCCGAATGCTATCCCTCCCCTCTCCCCCCACCCCACAACAGGCCCCGGTGTGTAATGTTCCCCTTCCTGTGTCCATGTGTTCTCATTGTTCAATTCCCACCTGTGAGTGAGAACAGGCAGTGTTTGGTTTTTTGTCCTTGCAATAGTTTGCTGAGAATGATGGTTTCCAGCTTCATCCATGTCCCTACAAAAAAGGACATGAACTCATCATTTTTTATGGCTGCATAGTATTCCATGGTGTATATATGCCACATTTTCTTAATCCAGTCCATCATTGTTGGACATTTAGGTTGGTTCCAAGTCTTTGCTATTGTGAATAGTGCCACAATAAACATGTGTGCGTGTGTCTTTATAGCAGCATGATTTATAATCCTTTGGGTCTATACCCAGTAATGGGATGGCTGGGTCAAATGGTATTTCTAGTTCTAGATCCCTGAGGGATCGCCACACTGACTTCCACAATGGTTGAACTAGTTTAGAGTCCCACCAACAGTGTAAAAGTGTTCCTATTTCTCCACATCCTCTCCAGCACCTGTTGTTTCCTGACTTTTTAATGATTGCCATTCTAACTGGTGTGAGATGGTATCTCATTGTGGTTTTGATTTGCATTTCTCTGATGGCCAGTGACGATGAGCATTTTTTCATGTGTCTTTTGGCTGCATAAATGTCTTCTTTTGAGAAGTGTTTGTTCATATCCTTTGCCCAATTTTTGATGGGGTTGTTTGTTTTTTTCTTGTAAATTTGTTTGAGTTCATTGTAGATTCTGGATATTAGCCTTTTGTCAGATGAGTAGATTGCAAAAATTTTCTCCCATTCTGTAGGTTGCCTGTTCACTCTGATGATAGTTTCTTTTGCTGTGCAGAAGCTCTTTAGTTTAATTAGATCCCGTTTGTCAATTTTGGCTTTTGTTGCCATTGCTTTTGGTTTTTTAGACATGAAGTCCTTGCCCATGCCTATGTCCTGAATGATATTGCCTAGCTTTTCTTCTAGGGCTTTTATGGTTTCAGGTCTAACATTTAAGTCTTTAATCCATCTTGAATTAATTTTTGTATGAGGTGTAAGGAAGGGATCCAGTTTCAGCTTTCTACATATGGCTAGCCAGTTTTCCCAGCACCATTTGTTAAATAGGGAATCCTTTCCCCATTTCTTGTTTTTGTCAGGTTTGTCAAAGATCAGATGGTTGTAGATATGCAGCATTATTTCTGAGGGCTCTGTTCTGTTCCATTGGTCTATATCTCTGTTTTGGTACCAGTACCATGCTGTTTTGTTTACTGTAGCCTTGTAGTATAGTTTGAAGTCATGATGCCTCCAGCTTTGTTCTTTTGGCTTAGGATTGACTTGGCAATGCAGGCTCTTTTGGTTCCATATGAACTTTAAAGTAGTTTTTTCCAATTCTGTGAAGAAAGTCATTGGCAGTTTGATGGGGATGGCATTGAATCTATAAATTACCTTGGGCAGTATGGCCATTTTCACGATATTGATTCTTCCTACCCATGACCATGGAATGTTCTTCCATTTGTTCGTGTCCTCTTTTATTTCATTGAGCAGTGGTTTGTAGTTCTCCTTGAAGAGGTCCTTCACGTCCCTTGTAAGTTGGATTCCCAGGTATTTTATTCTCTTTGAAGCAATTGTGAATGAGAGTTCACTCATGATTTGGCTCTCTGTCTGTTATTGGTGTATAAGAATGCTTGTGATTTTTGCACACTGATTTTGTATCCTGAGACTTTGCTGAAGTTGCTTATCAGCTTAAGGAGATTTTGGGCTGAGACGATGGGGTTTTGTAGATATTCAATCATGTCATCTGCAAACAGGGACAATTTGACTTCCTCTTTTCCTAATTGAATACCCTTTATTTCCTTCTCCTGCCTGATTGCCCTGGCCAGAACTTCCAACACTATGTTGAATAGGAGTGGTAAGAGAGGGCATCCCTGTCTTGTGCCAGTTTTCAAAGGGAATGCTTCCAGTTTTTGCCCATTGAGTATGATATTGGCTGTGGGTTTGTCATAGATAGCTCTTATTATTTTGAGATACGTCCCATCAATACCTAATTTATTGAGAGTTTTTAGCATGAAGGGTTGTTGAATTTTGTCAAAGGCCTTTTCTGCATCTATTGAGATAAACATATGGTTTTTGTCCTTGGTTCTGTTTATACACTGGATTACATTTATTGATTTGCGTATGTTGAACCAGCCTTGCAACGCAGGGATGAAGCCCACTTGATCATGGTAGATAAGCTTTTTGATGTGCTGCTGGATTCAGTTTGCCAGTATTTAATTGAGGATTTTTGCATTAATATTCATCAGGAATATTGGTCTAACATTCTCTTTTTTTGTTGTGTCTCTGACAGGCTTTGGTATCAGGATGATGCTGGCCTCATAAAATGAATTAGGGAGGATTCCTTCTTTTGCTATTGATTGGAATAGTTTCAGAAGGAATGGTACCAGCTCCTCATTGTACCTCTGGTACAATTCGGCTGTGAATCCATCTGGTCCTGGACTCTTTTTGGTTGGTAAGCTATTAATTACTGCCTCAATTTCAGAGCCTGTTATTGGTCTATTCAGGGATTCAACTTCTTCCTGGTTTAGTCTTGGGAGGGTGTATGTGTCCAGGAATTTATCCATTTCTTCTAGATTTTCCAGTTTATTGGCATAAAGGTGTTTATAGTATTCTCTGATGGTAGTTTGTATTTCTGTAGGATCAGTGGTGATATCCCCTTTATCATTTTTTATTGTGTCTATTTGATTATTCTCTCTTTTCTTCTTTATTAGTCTTGCTAGCGGTCTATCAATTTTGTCGATCTTTTCAAAAAACTTGCTCCTGGATTCATTGATTTTCTGAAGGGTTTTTTGTGTCTCTATTTCCTTCAGTTCTGCTCTGATCTTAGTTATTTCTTGCCTTCTGCTAGCTTTTGAATGTGTTTGCTCTTGCTTCTCTAGTTCTTTTAATTGTGATGTTAAGGTGTCAATTTTAGATCTTTCCTGCTTTCTCTTGTGGGCATTTAGTGCTATAAATTTCCCTGTACACACTGCTTTGAGTGTGTCCCAGAGGTTCTGGTATGTTGTGTCTTTGTTCTCATTGGTTTCAAAGAACATCTTTCTTTCTGCCTTCATTTTGTTATGCACCCAGTAGTTATTCAGGAGCAGGTTGTTCAGTTTCCATGTAGTTGAGTGGTTTTGAGTGAGTTTCTTAATCCTGAGTTCTAGTTTGCTTGCACTGTGGTCTGAGACGCAGTTTGTTATAATTTCTATTCTTTTACATTTGCTGAGGAGTGCTTTACTTCCAACTATCTGGTCAATTTTGGAATAAGTGTGGTGTGGTGCTGAGAAGAATGTATATTCTGTTGATTTGGGGTGGAGAGTTCTGTAGATGTCTATTAGGTCCACTTGGTGCAGAGCTGAGTTCAATTCCTGGATATCCTTGTTAACTTTCTGTCTCGTTGATCTCTCTAATGCTGACAGTGGGGTGTTAAAGTCTCCCATTATTATTGTGTGGGAGTCTAAGTCTCTTTGTAGGTCTCTAAGGACTTGCTTTATGAATCTGGGTGCTCCTGTATTGGGTGCATATATATTTAGGATAGTTAGCTCTTCTTGTTGAATTAATCCATTTACCATTACGTAATGGCCTTCTTTGTCTCTTCTGATCTTTGTTGGTTTAAAGTCTGTTTTATCAGAGACTAGGATTGCAACCCCGCCTTTTTTTTTTTTTTTTTTTCCATTTGCTTGTGAGATCTTCCTCCATCCCTTTATTTTGAGCCTATGTGTGTCTCTGCACGTGAGATGAGTTTCCTGAATACAGCACACTGATGGGTCTTGACTCTTTATCCAATTTACCAGTCTGTGTCTTTTAATTGGAACATTTAGCCCATTTACATTTAAAGTTAATATTGTTATGTGTGAATTTGATCCTGTCATTATGATGCTAGCTGGTTATTTTGCTCATTAGTTGATGCAGTTTCTTCGTAGCCTTGATGGTCTTTACAATTTGGCATGTTTTTGCAATGGCTGGTACCAGTTGTTCCTTTCCATGTTTACTGCTTCCTTCAGGAGCTCTTGTAAGGTGGGCCTGGTGGTGACAAAATCTCTCAGCATTTGCTTTTTTGTAAAGCATTTTATTTCTCTTTCACTTATGAAGCTTAGTTTGGCTGGATATGAAATTCTGGATTGAAAATTCTTTTCTTTAAGAATGTTGAATATTGGCCCCCACTCTCTTCTGGCTTGCAGATTTTCTGCCAAGAGATCAGCTGTTAGTCTGATGGGCTTCCCTTTGTGGGTAACCCAACCTTTCTCTCTGGCTTCCCTTAACATTTTTTCCTTCATTTCAACTTTGGTGAATCTGACAATTATGTGTCTTGGAGTTGCTCTTCTCGAGGAGTATCTTTGTGGCGTTCTCTGTATTTCCTGAATTTGGATGTTGGCCTGCCTTGCTAGATTGGGGAAGTTCTCCTGGATAATATCCTGCAGAGTGTTTTCCAACTTGGTTCCATTCTCCCCGTCACTTTCAGGTACACTAATCAGATGTAGATTTGGTCTTTTCACATAGTCCCATATTTCTTGGAGGCCTTGTTTGTTTCTTTTTATTCTTTTTTCTCTAAACTTCTCTTCTTGCTTCATTTCATTCATTTCATGTTCCATCACTGATACCCTTTCTTCCAGTTGATCGAATCGGCTACTGAAGCTTGTGCATTTTTCACGTAGTTCTCGTGCCTTGGTTTTCAGCTCCAGCAGGTCCTTTAAGGACTTCTCTGCATTGGTTATTCTACTTAGGCATTCGTCTAATTTTTTTCAAGGTTTTTAACTTCTTTGCCATGGGTTCAAACTTCCTCCTTTAGCTCGGAGTAGTTTGATCATCTGAAGCCTTCTTCTCTCAACTCGTCAAAGTCATTCTCCATCCAGCTTTGTTCTCTTGCTGGTGAGGAGATGTGTTCCTTTGGAGGAGGAGAGGTGCTCTGATTTTTAGAGTTTCCAGTTTTTCTGCTCTGTTTTTTCCCCATCTTTGTGGTTTTATCTACCTTTGGTCTTTGATGATGGTAACATAGAGATGGGGTTTTGGTGTGCATGTCCTTTCTGTTTGTTAGTTTTCCTTGTAACAGTCAGGATCCTCAGCTGCAGGTCTGTTGGAGTTTGCTGGAGGTCCACTCCAGACCCTGTTTGCCTGGGTATCAGCTGCGGAGGCTGCAGAACAGCAAATACTGGTGAGCAGCAAATGTTGCTGCAGGATCATTCCTCCGGAAGTTTTGTCTCAGAGGAGTACCCGGCCGTGTGAGGTGTCAGTCTGCCCCTACTGGGGGGGTGCCTCCCAATTAGGCTACTCGGGGGTCAGGCACCCAGTTGAGGAGGCACTCTGTCTGTTCTCAGATCTCCAGCTGCATGCTGGGAGAACCACTACTCTCTTCGAAGCTGTCAGACAGGGACATTTAGGTCTGGAGAGGGTTCTGCTGCCTTTTGTCTGCCTATTCCCTGCCCCCAGAGGTGGAGTCTAAAGAGGCAGGCAGGCCTCCTTGTGCTGTGGTGGGCTCCACCCAGTTCGAGATTCCTGGCCACTTTGTTTACCTACTCAAGCCTCGGCAATGGTGGGCGCCCCTCCCCCAGTCTTGCTGCCGCCTTGCAGTTTGATCTCAGACTGCTGTGCTAGCAATGAGCAAGGCTCCGTGGGCACAGGATCCTCTGAGCCAGGCACGGGATATCTCCTGGTGTGCCATTTGCTAAGACTGTTGGAAAAGCACAGTATTAGGGTGGGAGCGACCCAATTTTCCAGGTGCTGTCTGTCACCCCTTTCTTTGACTAGGAAAGGGAATTCCCTGGCCCCCTATGCTTCCCAGGTGAGGTGATGCCTCGCCCTGCTTTGGCTCGTGCTGGGTGCGCTGCACCCACTGTCCTGCACCCACTTTCCGGCACTCCCCAGTGAGAAGAGCCCAGTAACTCAGTTAGAAATGCAGAAATCACCCATCTTCTGTGTCGCTCACTCTGGGAGCTCTAGACTGGAGCTGTTCCTATTTGGCCATCTTGGCTCCACCCCGACAAGTGTTCTTAAAGAGACACACAGAAGGGAAACAGAGAAGGCCACGTGAAGGCAAAGATTGGAGTCATGCAGTCACAAGCCAAGGAACATCTGGAGCCACCAGAAGATGGAAAAGGCAAGGAAGGGATCTTCCCTAGATGCTTCTTAGGAAGTGTGGCTCTGCTGACACCCTAATGAGAGACTTCCAGTTTCCAGAACTTCAAGAAAATAAATTTCTGTTGCTTTAAGCCACTTGGTTTGTGGTAATGCATTACAGCAGTCCTAGGAAACTAATACACTTGATGACTCTCTTTAGCCTGACCCCACGTTTGATGCCTACCACCGACACAAGAAGAAGCCCAGGCAGCAGCACCACTGCCAATCCTAAATGCCTCTGCAATTGTCATGGCCTCCATTTCATGTGCACTCCCTGTCGTATTTAAACTAAGGGATCTCTTGCACCTCCATCCTCCCAACAACCATCGAGGTCAGAGCAAGCTACATAATCATTAAAGAGATTCTCCATCTTCATGGACTATTCAGCCAATTAGTCTCCAACCTTCCATTCTGATGGATGCCCCCACTTTGCAAGACACCATTCAAAACTATCTATGTAATTACCAGATGCCCTTCTGATACACCCTTCCAGACACCTTGGCTCTTTTACCTGCTCAGATTGCATAGAAATGGGCTACAGTGAATTAGTAAATTGCTATTTTCCTCTTACAGAATAGCCATTTCCCTGAAAGTTATCATTTCCTCCTCTACATTTTCTCAGGTGTCTGCTGCTCTTGACACAGTGCAGAGCCAAGCACAATGCGTGGCACATAGAAGGCACTCAATAAATGCTTGCCAACTGAATAACTAGAGGCCAGGCAGCTTAGGAACACCCAGGAGGATAACCTAGAACCCACAAAAACGTCAGGGAGTGCTCTAAACACTTTCCCACTGGCACTGCTACCACTGGCCTCCTAATACATTTCACCACTCTCCTTAGCTTGACCCTATTTTTGATGCCTGCACCTAGTGATGGTGGAAGCCTATTCTGGGCTCCCCACAGTGGGCATATGGAGCTTGCTTCGGGCAAAGTCTTCCTGCCAAAGGGAGAGGAATTTACCAGGTGAACAAGCAAAACTTCAAGGACAACCTCTACCTTCTGGCTAGCATTCTGCCTCCTGTCTCTTTTCTGTTTTGACCTCCCTGGTTCCATGCATTGTGTTCAGACACCCAGAACTCCGTCTCTTAGTGTTTGGATCAAGTTCTCTACTTAATATTAGGCTCACAAGCTCTCATGCTGTGTTTTGGGAGTGTGACAGTAAGAAATATATACTTGGTGTTTGTCTTTGGTTTCCAACACAGAGCTTTAAAAAATAATAATAATTTTTAAGAGACAGGGTCTCACCAGTGGCATGATCATAGTTCACTGCAGCCTTAAACTCCTGGGCCCAGGTAATCCTCCTGCCTCAGTATCCTGAGTAGCTGGAATGACAGGTGCTTGCCACCATGCTGACTCCTGACAGAATTCTAAAACCCTTGGAATTTCCTGAGTGACAAGGGTGATAGGAGCATCTTTTGTTATCATAGCAAGCACCTTTCAACCATATCTGAGTTTATGCTAACAATGTGACTCTTGGAGGATAAGGGCTGGTTGTCCTAGGAACCAATGAAGTGATTAGAGGGTTGGAATTTCCTCCCCGACCCCTCGACCTCCTGGGAGGGGACAGGGGCTGGAGATTGAGGTAATCAACAATGGCCAATGATTTAATAAATCATGCCTATGTAATGAAAGCTTCATAAAATGCCTAAATGGTGGGGCTCAGAATGCTCCTGGATTGGTGAACACAGCCAGGGGCTGAGAGGGTGGTGCACCCAGAGAGAGCATGGAAGCTCCGTGTACCCCCATACCTTAAACTATGCATCTTTTCTGTTTGGCTGTTTCTGAGTCATATCCTTTAAGATAAATTGGTAATAGTAGGTAAAGTGCTTTCCTGAGTTCTGTGAGCTGTTCTAGCAAATTATCAAACATGGAGAGGGAGTCTTGGGGGAATCTCCAATTTGTAACCAATCAGTCAGAAGTATGGGAGGCCTGAGACTTGGGACTGGTTTCTGAAGCGAGGGCAGTCTTGTGGGACTGAGTCCTTAACCTGTGGGATTCACGCTTACTCCAGGTAGATGGTTAAAACTGAACTGAATTCTTGGACATCCAGTTGGAGTCCGGAGAGTTCAGGGAGACAGGATCTGCGCTATGGTATCATACAGATCAAACATAAGAACCTCAGCTACATTACCTTGAAGCTGTATGACCTTGAGCAAGTCCTCTCAGATTCTCAGTTTCTTCACTTGCCAAGTGGAAAAAAGATAAGAACTATGCAGGCTTGTTTGGAGACTTAGGAATAATGCGAGGATTAGCAAACTGGCAGGGTAGTTGGAACACAATAAAATTTCAAAATATATCAGCTCTTGTTATCACTGGACTATATTCACGTTTGGCCTCCAAATTCATAGCATTTAATGCAGAAAGGAGTTCTTGCAGAACCCTGGGCAGCCTCGCTCACTCTTTCAGACCCGAAGAGGTGAACAGAATACTCCCAACTATTCCCAGATGTTTCTACAGTTCTCTCTTACTGAACTGGGGATGGAAATAACAAAAGCCATTAGAAAATACTAGTTTGAAAAAATTAACTTTCTTAGCACTTAATTTTATCTCTAGCAAATGTAACTTTCTAGTTTTACACAGTGTCAGCAGATGTAACTCAAAATGCCTTACAAGAATACATCAGTCACAAAACATTGTGATGTACTAAATATCACTGAATTGTACACTTTAAAATGGTGAATTTTACCTCAATTTAAAAAATTTGTTTAAATGTGGTTGATACAGGAGTTAAGAAGAAATTACTTAGGCAGATAGTGAGGCTATGGACATAAGGTAAGGTTTTTTCCTTTTAATGAAAAGCAGCCCCAAATTATTTTTCTTTCTAACAAAGAGCAGCCTGTAAAATCAAGCTGCAGATGATGCTGGCAGTTGTGCCAGTCGGAGCAGAAAAAATGGTGCTGCCAACGGGAAAGTGCATTTGCATAATAAGATTATGGTGGGGCAGCCAGCCTTCCCCCTTCCCTGGCTATGTAAATGTTATACCTGATCAAAACCAATCTGTGAGCCCTGTGTAAATTAGACACTGCCTCCTCAAGCCTGACTATAAAATCCTGCACATCTGCCACAGGCCAGCCTTTTCCTCTCAGAAGTCCCCTCTCTCCCATTAAAGAGAGTGCTGTTTTCCTTTCTCTTTCTTTGTCTTTCTTTTGCCTATTAAACCTCCACTCTGAAACTCCTCATGTGTATCTGTGTCCTAAATTTTCTTGGCATGAGATGACGAACCCTGGGTATTTACCCCATGCAACGTAACTGCCGCACAGTGACTGATGTTGTCTCCAGGATCAGAATGTTGACCTGGAGTTCATTTTAAAAACAGGTTCTTGAGATTCTGATTCTCTAGGTCAAGGTAAAGCATAGTCATCCATGCCTTGTAAAATCTCCCTTAGAGATTCAGATGAGTCAGAGTTGAGAACCATTGATTCACGATTTAAAATATCTCAAAATTGGGCAAAGGATATGAATAGAGTAGAAATTGCACTTAAAAAAAGAAAAAGACTGTTGTTATCTGGCTAAGATGGTTGGATTCTGGGGGCATTCTTTTCTCTATCATTTCTATTATTTGAATTATGATAAAGTTTGGGTTTTCTTGTTGTTATTTTGGGGGATTTTTGAGACAGGGTCTCACTCCTGTTTCCCAGGCTGGAGTAGCTGGGAATACAGTCACATACCACCAAGCTTGGCTTTTCTTTTTTTCTTTTAATTTTTAGTAGAGATGGGGTTTCGCCATGTTGCCCAGGCTGGGCTTATTAATCCAGGGCAGATTACTCATGGGCTTAAGAAATCCACCTGCCTTGGCCTCCCAAAGTGCTGGGATTATAGGCATGGGCCACCATGCCCAGTCTACGATAACGTTTGAGCAATGCATTTAACTATGTACTTTTCTGTGGGTTTTTATTCATTTTGTTTTTAGGAAGAAGTGTCTGTTTAGTGGTAGGGGCAAGCTTGGGAGCTATGAGGGGGGAAAACAAAACATGGTCCCTATAGCACCCTCTGGATTCTCCTTATCCAGGAGAGGATGAGAGGAGCTAGGGTAGCATAGCAAGACCTCATCTCTACATTGAACCTCTTCCATTCGAAAGGGTCCCAACACCAAAAGCAATTTCAATAAAAGCAAGATTTGATACATGGGACCTAATTAAAGAGCTCTGCACAGCAAAAGAAACTATCAACAGAGTAAACAGACAATCTACAGAATGGGAGAAAATATTGGCAAACTAGGCATCCCACAAAGGTCTAATATCCAGAATGTATAATGAGCTCAAACAAATCAATGAGCAAAAAACAGCCCCATTAAGAAATAGGCAAATAACATGAACAGATAACTTTTCAAAAGAAGACCTTCATGTGGCCAATAAGCATATGAACAAATGCTCAACATCACTAATCATTAGGGAAATGCAAATCAAAACTACAATGAGATACCATCTCACACCAGTCACAATGGCTATTACTGTTAGTATTATTATTATTATTATTTAGACAAAGTCTCACTCTGTCACCCAGGATGGAGTGCAGTGGTGCTATCTTGGCTCACTGCAACCTCCACCTCCCGGGTTCAAGTAGTTCTCATCCCTTAGCCTCCTAAATAGCTGGGACTACAGGTGTGCGCCACCACACCTGGCTAATTTTTGTATTTTTAGTAGAGACGGGGTTTTGCCATGTTGGCCAGGCTGGTCTCCAACTACTGACCTCAAGTGACCTGCCTACCTCAGCCTCCCAAGGTGCTGGGATAACAGACTTGTGCCCTGATGCCCAGCCACAATGGCTATTAGTAAAAAGCCAAAAAACAACAGATGCTGATGCGGCTACACAGAAAACGGAACGCTTATACATTGTTGGTGGGAAGGTAAATTAGTTCAGCCACTGTGGAAAGCAGTTTGGTGATTTCTCAAAGAACTTATATCAGAATTGCCACCTGACCCAGCAATCTCATTATTGGGTATATAACCAAAGGAATATAAATCATTCCACCATAAAGACATATGCACACCTATGTTCATTGCAGCACTATTTGCAATAGCAAAGACATGGAATCCACCTAAATGTCCATCAGTGATAGACTGTATAAAGATAATGTGGTACATGTTTACAGTGGAATACTATGCAGCCACAAAAATAATGAGCTATGTCCTTTGTAGCAACATGGATCAACATGGATGCAGCTGGAGGCCATTATCCTAAGCAAACTAACAGACAGGAACAGAAAACCAAATACCCCACGTTCTCATTTATAAGTGGAAGTTAAATGTTGAGTACATATAGATACAAAGAGGGGAACTATAGACATCGGGGCCTACTTGAGGATGGAGGGTGAGAGGAAGTTGAGAATTGAAAAACTACCTATCAGGTACTATGCTCATTACCCGGGTGATGAAATAATTTGTACACCAACCACCCCTCCATTGCAACATGCAATTTACCTATTTAACAAACCTGCACATGTGCCCCTGAACCTAAAATAAAAGTTTAGAAAATAAAATAAAGTAGTTGTGAAACTCTTTAAAAGAAAAAAAGGGTCCCCAAGCACAGCTCAGCATCCCTTTGTTTCCTGATGGGAGGTGGGCAGTGGGGATATGAACTTTCCGGGGTGACTGAGGCTCTTCAGTGAAGCAGGGTGCTATGAGATCTGGAGGAGAGAGGCTATATAGGAACAGCCAGGGTGCAGCAGACAACACTCCAATGCTCGGTTGTCTTCAGCTTTCCCTCTGACCTCCTCCCCTCACACCTCCTGCCACCCACCCCACCTCCCCCACAACCCATCTTCCCCGCCACCTCCAAGTCCACTTGTAACTGGCATATGAATGTAGACTGGGCAGTACCTCATTTCTGAAAGGGCTTGCTGCTTCCAGGAAGATTTCACCTAAGGCAAAATCTTACTAGATTTGCAAGCAAAGAGCAAACAACCCCATTAAAAATTGGGCAAAGAACATGAACAGTCACTTCAAAAACAGACATTGGTGCAGCCAACAAGCTTGTAAAAAAATGTTCAACATTACTAACCATTAGAGATACGAAAATCAAAACCACAATGAGATATCATCTCATACCAGTCAAAAGAAAACATGCGGGGAGAAAGGGAATCAGGTGGCAGAAATAAAGGGAAGTATTAAACCTACATCTATGAGCCAGAGAGAAAAAAAAAGACTGAATTTTAATAAAAAAAAAAATGTTCTTACTAGGTTCTTCATTTCACAGGGTAGGAGAAAGAACCTCATCTCTGACTATTTGGAGTTTTCCCAGTTTGCTATTATCCAAGAGAAGATGCTTTTGGATTTTTTTGTATTTCTTTTAGGGATGTAATCACTACTTGTTATTATCCTCCTCTACATTTCATTTCTCCCTCCTCCTTTTGATTGTAAACTCTGACTTTTCAGATCAACTCAAACACTCCCTGGCTGAGTTGTTACCACATAAATACCTGTTGAATTACTAAGTGATTAGTTGAAGTGGAAAATGTAAGAATCGTAGAGTGTTCTGCTTTTACTATAAAAGATTTGATGAAGCTTTTCTTGTGGTTCCTAGGAAAATACATTCTTTTTTTTTGAAGCTTCCACCTCTCTCACAGCTGATGTCCCAGCTTATAAGATTGGAAACTGAGTTGAGATATGAGTCTCCAACTAGGCCGTGAGGTCCTACTGGCCCCTTCAAGCCATGTTAACAATGCCAGGTTAGGAGACTAGAATATTGAGGTCTAGTCCCAGATGCATATAGTAGTATATTACTATACTGTATATTAAGGCTTCACCTGAATGCCTCTTTTGGAAGTTAATAAGAGACCACAGGGAATTTTTAATTACTTTAATTGAGCTTTTTAGAATGTGGAATTTATTCCATTCCAGTTTCAAAAAGACTCTAGTGTCAGTATCCCAATCTTCCCCCACACCAATTACCTATTTCCACTCTGTAACTGATACATTACCAAAGTTTATTATGCAGAATTAACATGACCTAGCTGCAAGGTCCACAGCCAGAAAACAGACATGTCGAAGAGTATTAGTTAAAATGAGAGCTTTTACATAACAATAATCAAATCGGTATGTAGTTATGAATGAGTATCTTTTTTAATGTCAAAAAATTGAGCAGACTCATAAGACAATCGTTGTGCATTAAGTTACCCATTGAGAAAAAATAATTGATTACTTTTTTCCTTTTTTTTGAGACAGGGTCTTGCTCTGTCACCCAGGGTGGAGTGCGGTGGCATGATCTCAGCTCACTGCAGCCTTGACATCCCAGGCTCAGGCGATCCTCCCACCTCAGCTTCCCCAGTAGCTGGGACTACAGGCCTGTGCCACCACGCCCAGCTAATTTTTTGTATTTTTTGTAGAGACAGGGTTTTGTCATATTGCCCAGGCTGGTCTTGAACTCCTGGGCTCAAGCAATCTTCCTGCCTCAGTCTTTCAAAGTGCTGGGATTCCAGATGTGAGCCACCAAACCAGGTGAATAACTCATTTTTAATTTAATGAATTTATTTAAAATTTAGTAAAGATTTTGAAACTTGTTTTCTTCAGCATAAGAAGTATCTACATATATCTTAAAATGTAATTATTCACATATGTTCATGATGTGTCTGACAGGCAAGGAAGGCACGGCCATTTATGTCTCTATAAATCCTCTAAGAACACAAGAAATCCTCTAAGAACACAAATGACTCTGGAGGTGACAAGGCCCATTGGAGATTTTTAGGTGGAGTGGAATGATGACATTGATTTTTTGAAAAGCTAACCTTGACAGCTGTAGGGAGAACCAACTGCAGTTGGGAACTCAGCAGCCCAGAGGTCAATTAGGAAGCAGAGGGGAATGCCGGCTGCGCTGGGATGCAGAGACGCCTCTGTGGTGACTTGGAGACCAACGGAAATTACAATGAGGGAGAGAGAAAATCCAAAGTGTTCTTAAGGGGTGGATTAAAGGAGAAAGCATGATAAGAAATAAGAAATATCAGAGAAGGAGGTGTTGAAATAGGGACAATTGAAGGGTAGAAAAGGGGTTGAAAGGAGGGACAAGTAATATGAATTTAGTTTAATACCTACTAAGGCAGAAGTACCTGAGCTACATCCAGTGGGTAGTTGGATGTCAGTCTAAAACCAAGGAGATCTGAGTTAGAGGTTTAGAAGATAATGAAATATAGTCGTTATAACAACAGCTTCAAAGTCAAATAGACAATGGGTTCAATCAAAGTTCTGCCACGGGATTAGACAAAATTTGGGGTCTTACTGAGCATACACTTCTTCATTTTAGAATGAAGATGGTAATTCTCAGAAGAGTATTTGGTATGAATTGGGTGAGACAAGGCAGGTACAAAAGTTAGCAAAGTGCCTGGCACAAGTACTATGCTAACTGCTCAGTAAATGTTAGATGCCGTTACTATTACGTAAGTTATTGAGTCATGAATAGAGTAGGAATTGAAGCCAGGATGGAAGCTGATAACCCTGAAGTGTGTGAGACAGGAGAATCAAAGACAGGGCCTTGGGGATGCCAACCCAGGAGGGGCAGGCAGAGCTGGAGCAGGCAAAACAGACTAAGAACACACAGAGACAGGGGGACGGAGAATCAGGATTGGGTGATAACCTGGAAGCCAATGAAAGAAAGAGTTGCAGCAAGTAGGAGGATGGTTAGAATCGTATTTAGCAGATAAGCAGCAGAAAATTAACTATTAGATCTATCAATAAGTATGTCTTTGTTGACCTGAACAGCAATTTGAAGAAAGATAGGGTAGAGGCAGTGCACAGAGACAGCATTCAGCTTTCCTATCAGTCTGAAAGTTTAATTATTAAAATAGCCATATAATTCTGAAAGAGTGAATATAATCTAGCTAAAAACCAGGCAGGGACTAATTACTAGTATTAACACAGCTGAAGCGGATCTCCTCAGGAACCTTCCCCTCAGTGTGTGATCATGCTAGTATTTCTCCCATCTTAAAAAAGTAAAAACAAAAACAAACAACACAATAACAAAAAAATCTCTTAACTTTACAACTCTGCAGCTCTACTTCTTTTTCCATTCTACTTCTGCTCCATTTCTCTCATTACCTTCACAGCAAAACTCTGCCAGTGGTTGGTCTAAATTCCCCATTTCCAGTTTTTTTATATTCTCTCTTACACCTACTCCAAAATGGCTTCTCTCTGACATTCCACTAAAACTCTTGTCAGAGTCACCAAGGACTTCCACATTGCAAAATCCGATGGTCAATTCTCAGTCCTCATCTTCGTTGCCTGATTAGCAACATTTGATACACCTAATCACCCTTTTTCTTTAAATATTTGATTCATTTAGTTTCCAGAATGCACATTCTCTTCACCCTCCTCTTTTTTCATCAGCCACTCTCTGAGTCTCCTTTCCTTGTTCCCTTTTATCGTCTTGACCTCTTAATATTGAAGAGCCCTAAGCTCAGTCCTTAGACTTCTCCAATATATATTTTAAATCTATGCACTCCTCACTCAACAATCTAATCCAGTCTTGTGACAAAAATAAATTGTATGCTGGTAACTCCTAAATTTGTATTTTAAGCCTAGAACTTTCCAGAAACTCCAAACTACTACTTCCATGTTCATTTAAAGATTTTTATTTGAAACCCTTTTTTTCAAAAAACTGTCCATTTAAAAAATAAATATCAACAAAAGCAATGCATCATCTCTTTTAATTTTTATTTTAGGTTTGGGGGTACATGTGAAGGTTTGTTACATGGATAAACACGTGTTGTACATATTATTACATCATCCTCGTATTAAGCTCAATATCCAATAGTTATCTTTTCTGCTTCTCTCCCTCCTCCCACCCTGCCCCTTCAAGTAAACTCAGTGTGTGTTGTTTCCTTTTTTGTGTCCATAAGTTCTTATCATTAAGCTCCCTCTTATAAATGAAAACATGCGGTATTTGGTTTTCTGTTCCTGTGATAGTTTTCTAAAGATGATAACCTCTGGCTCCATCCATATTCCCACAAGAGACATGATCTCATTCTTTTTTAATGGTTGCATAATATTCCATGGTGTATATGTACCACATTTTCTTTATCCAGTCTGTCGTTGATGGGCATTTAGGTTGATTCCATGTCTTTGCTATTGTGAATAGTGCTGCAATGAACATTCCCATGCACGTGTCTTTATGGTAGAATGTTTTAAATTTCTCTGGGTATATACCCAGTAATGGGATTGCTAGGTCAAATGGTAATTCTGCTTTTAGCTCTCTGAAAAATCACCATACTGCTTTCCACAATAGTTGAACTAATTTACTCTCCCACCAACAGTGTGTAGGATTCCTTTTTCTCTGCAACCTCACAAGCATCTGTTATTTTTTTCTTTTTAGTAACAACCATTCTGACTGGTGTGGGATGGTATCTCATTGTGGTTTTGATTTGCATTTCTCTAATGATCAGTGATATTGAGCTTTTTCTCATATGTTCATTGGCCACATGTATGTCTTCTTTTGAAAAGTGACTGTTCATGTCCTTTGCCCCCACTTTTTAAGGTGGTTGCTTTTTTTTTTTTGAGACGGAGTTTCACTCTTGTTGCCCAGGTTGGAGTGCAATGGCGCAATCTCGGCTCACTGCAACCTCTGCCTCCCAGGTTCAAGCGATTCTCCTGCCTCAGCCTCCCTAGTAGCTGGGATTACAGGCATGTGCCACCACGCCCGGCTAATTGTGTATTTTTCATAGAGATGGGGTTTCTCCATGTTGGTCAGGCTGGTCTCGAACTCCCGACCTCAGGTGATCCACCCACCTTGGCTTCCCGAAGTGCTGGGGTTACAGGAGTGAGCACCCAACCTTGTTTTTCTCTTACAAATGTCAGTTCCTTATAGATGCTGGATATTAGACCTTCGTTGAATACATAGTTGGCAAATATTTTCTCTCGTTCTGTAGTTACTTGCTTACTCTGTTGATAGTTCCTTTTGCTGTGCAGAAGCTCTTAAGTTTAATTAGATCTCATTTGTAATTTTTTATTTTTGTCGTGTTTGCTTTTTGTGTCTTTGTCGTGAAATCTTTGCCCATTTCCAGATCCAGGATGGTATTGCCTAGGTTGCCTTCTAGGGTTTTTATAGTTTTGGGTTTTACATTTAAGTCCTTAATCCATCGTTTTAAATATTTATTTATTCTTCAACTTTTCTTTTAAGTTCAAGTCCTGCACATGTACAGGACGTACAGGTTTGTTACATAGGTAAACGTGTGCCATGTGGTTGGTTGTACAGATCATACCATTACTTAGGTATTAAGCCCAGCATCCGTAAACAATTCTTCCTGATGTTCTCCCTGCCCTTGCACCACCAACAGGTCCTACTGTGTGTTGTTCCCCGCAATGTGTTCATGTGTTCTCATCATTCAGCTCCCACTTATAAGTGAGAACATGCGGCCTTTGGTTTTCTGTTCGTGTGTTAGTTTGCTGCGGATAATGGCTCCCAGATCCATCCATGTCCCTGCAAAGGACATGATCTCATTCCTTTTTACGACTCCATAGTATTCCATGGTGTATATGTACAACATTTTCTTTATCCAGTCTGTCACTGATGGACATTTAGATTGATTCCATGTCTGCTATTGTGAATGCTGCAATAAACATACACGTGCATGTATCTTTATAATAGAATGATTTATATTCCTTTGGTTATATACCCAGTAATGGGACTGCTGGGTCAAATGGTATCTCTGCCTCTAGTTCTTCGAGGAATCACCACACTGTTTTCCACAGTGGTTGAACTAATTTACGCTCCAACAGGGTAAAAGTGTTCCTTTTTCTCTGCAACTTTGCCAGGATCTTTTGTTTTTTGACTTTTTAATAAAAGCCATTCTGACTGCAGTGAGATGGTATCTCACTGTGGTTTCGATGTGCATTTCTTTAATGATCAGTGATGTTGAGCTTTTTTTCATACGTTCGTTGGCTGCATGCATGTCTTCTTTTGAGAAGTGTCTGTTCATGTCCTTTGTGTGCTTTTTAATGGAGTTGTTTGTTTTTCTCTCGTAAATTTAAGTTCCTTGTAGATTCTGATATCAGATCTTTGTCAGACAGATAGATTGAAAAAATTTTCTCCCATTCTGTAGGTTGTCTGTTCACTCTTGTGATAGTTTCTTTTGCTGTGCAGAAGCTCTTTAGTTTAATTAGATCCCATTTGTCAATTTTTGCTTTTGTTGCAATTACTTTTGGTGTTTTCATCATAAAATCTTTGCCCATGCCTGTGTCCTGAATGGTATTCCCTAGATTTTCTCCTAGAGTTTTTAGTTTTTGGTTATACATTTAGGTCTTTAATTCATTTTGAGTTGATTTTTGTATATGGTGTAAGGAAGGGGTCCAGCTTCAATCTTCTGCATATGACTAGCCACCTATGCAAGCACCATTTATTGAATGAATAGGGAGTCTTTTCTCCATTGCTTGTTTTTGTCAGAAAAGCAAAACATCTTAACCTTAAAACTCAATCAGTTTTCATGTGTCTTCCTCAGACCAAAATTTAAGAAGATGTCCTACTCCTGCTAGGTGCATGTAAAACTATTACTATTTTTGGTCTATAGTAGCAATTATGGGTCTCAAATCAATCCTTTCAGAAAGTCCATGATGTCAAAGATATTTTCATAATATGAGACATGACCTGAATTTTTCACTTTCATACACCCAAATGTACGGAGTACAAAAAGTTCATTGATACCATTTCTGTTTCCACATTATAGCAAACCTTTAGTAAACTAGTACTTAAACAATTTGATGTCATATCAAAAAATACTCACAATTGTCTAAAAAGACCATTAAAATACTACTCCTTTTTTCAGCTATACATCTGCATGAGGCCAAATTATCTTCATGTGTTTATCTAACACAGTATATCACAGCAGATTGGAAGTAAACAGATGTGAGAATCCAGCTATCTTCTAGGACAAACATAAAAGAGATTACAAAATTTGTAGACAATATCACTCATAACTAATTTTTATGTTTGGGAAACATAATTATTTCTTGTAAAAATTATTATTTATGTTAAAATGTAAAGGGTTTATTATTGTTCTATTTTTACTTTTGTCCAGCTTTATTGAAGTATAATTAACAAATAAAAATTGTATATATTTATGGTGCACTATGTGATGTTTTGATATATATTCACATAGTGAAATAATCCCTACAGACAAGCTAGTTAGCATATGCATCCTCTCACATAGTCAGCATTTTGTGTATGTGTGTGTGTGGTAAGAATATTTAAAATCTACTCTCTTAGCGAATTTTAAGTATACAATATAGTATTATTAACTATAGTCACCATGCTGTCCATTAGATCTCCAGAACTTTCATTCTGCGTAACTAAACTTTGAACATGCTGACCAACATCCCTCCCTCTGCCTCATCCCCTAGCCTCCAGTACCACAATGCTACTCTCTGCTTCTATGAGGTTGACTTTTACATATTTCACATGTAAGTGAGATCATGTTACTGTTTATGTTTCTGTGCCTGGCTTATTTCACTTAGCATGATGTTCTCTACATTCATCTATGTTGTTGTAAATGATAGGATCTCCTTCCTTTTTATGGATGAATAATATTCCATTTTATATGCCCATTGACACTTAGATTGATTCTATATCTTGACTAATGTGAATAATGCTGCAGTAAACATGGGAGTGCAGATGTCTCTTTGACATACTGATTTTCTTTCAATATATGCCCAGAAGTTGGATTGCTTCATCATATAGTAGTTTCATTTTTAATTTTTTTGAGGAACCTCCACAGTGTTTTCCATTATGGCTATGCCATATCATGTACCCACCAACAGTGTGCAAGGGTTTTCTTTTTTCTCTTTGTCCCCATCAGCATTTGTTATCCTTCTTTTTTTGATACTAATTATTCTAACAGATATGAGGTGATATCTCACTGTGGTGTTAATTTGCATTTTCCTGATGATTAGTGATTTTTAGCACCTTTATATACCCCTGCTGACTATTGGCATGTCTTCTTTTTAGAAATGTCTATCAAGCCTTTTGCCCTTTTGAAAATTGTTTTTTTTTCCTTGTTATTAGTTGGTTGAGTTTCTATATATTTTGGATATCAACACCTCATCAAATGTAAGGTTTGCAAATAATTTCTCCTAATCTAATCTGTAGGTTGTCTTTTCATTCTGCTCACTGTTTTCTTTGCTGTGCAGAAACGTTTCAGTTTGATGCAGTCCCATTTGTCTATCTTTCCTGTTGTTGCTCATGCTTTTGGGGTCATATCCAAAAAAATGATTTCCCAGGCCAACGTCAGAACACTTTTTTCCCTATATTTTGTCTAGTAGTTTTACAGGTTCAGACATACATTCAAATATCTAATCCATTTTTAGTTTATTTTTGTATATGGTATGTGATAAGGGTCCAATTTCATTTTTTGAATTTGGATCCTGTTTTCTCATGTAGTGTGATGCCTTCAGCTTTGTTCTATTTCTTTCATCTTTCAAAAGTTTTTTTAATTTTAATTTTTATTTCAATAGTTTTGGAGGAACAGATGGTGTTTGGCTGCACAAAAAAGTTCTTTACTGGTGATTTCAGAGATTTTGGTCCACCCGTCACCTGAGCAGTGTACACTGTACCCAATGTATAGTCTTTTATCCCTCACCCCCTTCCCATCCTTCCCCCTAAGTCCCCAAAGTCCATTATATCATTTTTGTGTCTATGCATCCTCATAGCTTAGCTCTCACTTATAAATGAGAAGATGGACAGTGTTTGATTTTACATTCCTGAGTTACTTCACTTAGAATAATGGTCTCCAACTCCATCCAAGTTGCTGCAAATGCCATTATTTCATTCCTTTTTATGGCTGAGTAGTATGCTGTGGAGTATGTATACTATATTTTCTTTATTCACTTGTTGGTTGATGGGCATTTGGCTGGTTCCCTATTTTTGCAATTATGAATTATGCTGCTATAAATGTGTATGCAAGTGTCTTTTTCATATAATGACTTCTTTTCTTCTGGGAGACATCCAGTAGTGGGATTCCTGGATCAAACTAGCTCTACTTTTAGTTATTTAAGGAATCTCCACACTGTTTTCCACAGTGGTTATAATACTTTGCTTTCTAACCAGCAGTATAAAAGTGTTCCTTTTTCACCACATCCACACCAACATCTGTTATTTTTTAATTTTTTGATTTTGGCCATTCTTGCAGGAGTAAGGCGGTATCTCATTGTGATTTTGATTTGCATTTCCCTGATAATTAGTGATGTTGAGCATTTTTTCATATGTTTTTTGGCCATTTCTATATCTTCTTCTGAGAATTGTCTATTTATGTCCTTTGCCCACTTTTTTATGGGATTATTTGCTTTTTTCTTGCTGATTTGTTTGAGTTCCTTACAGATTCTGAATACTAGTCCTTTCTCAAATGCATAGTTTGTGAATATTTTTTCCCACTCTATGGGTTGTCTGTTTACTCTGCCAATTATTTCTTTGGCTGTGCAGAAACCTTTTAGTTTAATTAAGTCCCATCTATTTGTTTTTGTTTCTGTTGCATTTGCTTTTGGGTTCTTGGTCATGAACTCTTTGCCTAAGCCAATGTCTAGAAGAGTTTTTCTGTAGTTACTTTTCAGGATTTTTATGGTTTCAAGTCTTAGATTTAAGTCTTTATCCATCTTGAGTTGATTTTTGTATAAGATGAGAGATAAGGATTTAGCTTCATTCTTTTAGATGTGGCTTGCCAATTATCCCAGCACCATTGGTTGAATATGGTATCCTTTTCCCACTTTATGTTTTTGTTTGCCTTGTTGAGGATCAGTTGGCTTTATTTCTGGGTTCTCTATTCTGTCCTATTGGTCTATGTGCCTATTTTTATGCCAGTACCATGCTGTTTTGGAAATTGTAGCCTTGAAGTATAGTTTGAAGTTGGATAATGTAATGCCTCCAGATTTGTTCTTTTTGTTTGGTCTTGCTTTGGCTACGCAGGCTCTTTTTTGGTTCCAAATGAATTTAGAATTATTTTTTCTAGTTCTGTGAAGAATGATGAAGGTATTTTGATGGGAGTTGCATTGAATTTGTAGATTGCTTTTGGCAGTATGGTCATTTTCTTTTCTTTTTTTTTTTTTTTTTTGAGATGGAGTCTCGCTCTTTCACCCAGGCTGGAGTCCAGTGGCATGATCTCGGTTCACTGCAAGCTGCGCCTCCCGGGTTCACGCCATTCTCCTGCCTCAGCCTCCCAAGTAGCTGGGACTACAGGCGCCCGCCACCATGCCCGGCTACTTTTTTGTATTTTTAGTAGAGACGGGGTTTCACTGTGTTAGCCAGGATGGTCTCCATCTCCTTACCTTGTGATCCGCCTGCCTCGGCCTCCCAAAGTGCTGGGATTACAGGCTTGAGCCACCGCACCAGCAGTATGGTCATTTTCACAATATTGACTCTACTTATCCATAAGCATGGGAGGTGTTTCCATTTGTTTGTGTCATCCATGATTTCTTTCAGCAATATTTTGTAGTTTTCCTTGTAGAGATCTTTCATGTCCTTGGTTAGGTATATGCCTAAGTACTTTTTTTTTTTTCAGCTGTTGTAAAAGGGGTTGAGTTCTTGATTCAATTCTCAGCTTTGTCACTGTTGGTATGTAGCATGCTACTGATTTGTGAACATTTATTTTATTTCCTGAAACTTTACTGAATTCATTTATCAGATCTAGGAGCTTTTTGGATGAGTCTTTAGGGTTTTCTAGATATACAATCATATAATCAATGAAAAGTGACAGTTTGACATTCTCTTTACCAATTTGGATGCCTTTTATTTCTTTCTCTTGTCTGATTTTTCTGGCTAGGACTTCCAGTAGTATGTTGAATAGAAGTGGTGAAAATGGACATCCTTGTCTTGTTCCAGATCTCAGGGAAAATGCTTTCAACTTTTCCCCATTCAGAATTACATTGGCTATGGGTTTGTCATAAATGGCTTTTATTACATTAAGGTATGTCCCTTCTATGCCGATTTTCCTGAGGGTTTTAATCATAGAGGGATGATGGATTTTGTCAAATGCTTTTTCTGCATCTATTGAAATGATTCTGTGATTTTCGTTTTTAATTCTGTTTATGTGGTGTATCACATTTATTGACTTGTGTATGTTAAACCATCCCTGCATCCCTGGTATGAAATCCATTTGATAATGGTGTGTTATTTTTTTTTGATATGCTGTTGGATTCGGTTAGCTAGTATTTTGTTGAGGATTTTTGCATCTATGTTCATCAGGGTTATTGATCTATTGTTTTCTTGTAGTGTCAACAAGATTGGTACAAATTCTTCTTTGAATGTCTGATAGAATTCAGCTGTGAATCCATTGGGTCCTAGACCTTTTTTTGTTGACAATTTTAAAATTACCATTTCAATCTTGCTGCTTGTTATTGGTGTGTTCAGACTTTCTATTTCTTCCTAGTTTAATCTAGGAGGGTTGTATATTTTTAGGAATTTATCCATTTCCTCTAGGTTTTCTAGTTTATGCATGTAAAGGTGTTCATAGTAGCCTTGAATGATAATCTTTTGTATTTCTATGGTATTAGTTGTAATATCTCCTGTTTTGTTTCTAATTGAACTTATTTAGATCTTCTCTCTTCTTTTCTTGGTTAACCTTGCTGATGGTCTATCAGTTTTATTTATCTTTTCAAAGAACCAGCTTTTTGTTTCATTTATCTTTTATATTTTTTGTTTCAATTTCATTTAGTTCTGCTGTGATCTTTGTTATTTCTTTTCTTCTGCTTGGTTTGTGCTTGATTTGTTCTTGTTTCTCTAGTTCCTTGAGGTGTGACCTTAGATTGTCTATTTGTGCTCTTTCGGGTTGTTTTATGTAGGCATTTTATGCTATGAAATTTCTCCTTAGTACAACATTTGCTGTATCCCAGAGGTTTTGTTAGGTTGTGTCACTATTATTGTTGAGTTTAAAGACTTTTTAAATTTCCATCTTGATTTCATTGTTGACCCATCTTGATTTCATTGTTGACCCATCTTGATTTCATTGTTGACCCAGTGATCATTCAGGAGCATAAAATACATGGATTTTTTTTTTTTATTATGAGGGTTCATCTTGGAGTTAATTTCCGATTCTATCCCACTATGGTTTGAGAGGGTACTTGATATACTTTCAATTATCTTAGATTTATTCAGACTTGTTCTGTGGCCTATAATGTGGTCTGTCTCTGCGAATGTTTCATGTTCTGGTGAAAAGAATGTATGTTCTGCATCTGTTGCATAGAATGTTCTGTAAATATTTATTAAGTCCATTTTGTTGTAGGATATAGTTTAAGTTCATTGTTTCTTTGTTGGCTTTCTGTCTTGGTGACCTGTCTAGTGCTGTCAGTGGAGTACTGAAGTCCCCCACTATTATTGTGCTGCCATCTGTCTCATTTCATGTCTAGTTATAATTGTTTTATAAATTTGGGAGCACTCATGTTAGGTGTGTATAAATTTAGGATTATGATATTTTTCTGTTGGACTGATCCTTTTATCATTATATAATGTCCCTCTTTGTCTTTTTTTAACTGTTGTTGCTTTAAAGTCTGTTTTGTGAGATATAAGAATAGCTACCCCTGCTCACTTTTGGTTTCCATTTTCATGGAATATCTTTTCCCACTCATTTACCTTAAGTTTATGTGAGTCCTTGTGCATTGGGTAAGTCTCGTGAAGACAGCAGATACTTGATTGGTAGATTTTTCTCCATTCTGCCATTCTGTATCTTTTAAGTGGAGCATTTAAGCCATTTACATTCATTGTTAGTATTGCGATGTGAAGTACTGTGGTATTCATTTTTGCTACTTGTTGCCTAAATCCCTTTTTATAATTGTATTTTGTTTTCTAGGCCCTGTGAGATTTATGCTTTAAATAGGTTCTATTTTGGTATATTTTGAGGATTTGTTTCAACATTTAGAACTCCTTTTAGCATTTCTTGTAGCACTGGATTGGTAGTGGTGAATTCTTTCAGTATTTGTGTGTCTGAAAATGACTTTATCTCTCTTTCATTTATGAAGCTTAGTTTTGCTACAGCCAAAATTCTTGGCTGATAATTATTTTGTTTGAGGAGGCTAAAGATATGACCCCAATCCCTTTTGGCTTGCAGGATTTCTGCTGAGAAATCTGTTATTCATCTGATAGGTTTTCTTTTATAGGTTACTTAATGATTTTTGTCTCACAGCTCTTAACAATCTTTCCTTTATTTTGACTTTAGATAACCTGATTACTATGTGCCTGGGATTACTATCTTTCTGCGATGAATTTCACAGGTGTTCTTTGAGCTTCTTGTATTTGGATGTCTAGATCTTTTGCAAGGCCAGGGACATTTTTCTCAATTATTCCCTCAAATATGTTTTCCAAACTTTTAGATTTCTCTTCTACCTCAGGAATACCAATTATTCTTAGATTTGGCCATTTAACATAATTCCAAGTTTCTTGGAGGCCTTCTTCATTTTTACCAAATTCCTTCTTCTTTGTTTTTGTCTGATTGAATTAATTTGAAAAGCCTTGTATTTGAGCTCTGAAGTTCTTTCTTCTACTTGTTTGATTCTATTGTTGAAACTTTCCACTGCATTTTGTATTTCTCTAAGTCTGTCTTTCATTACTAGAAGTTGTTATTTAAAAAATATATATATACACATATATATACTTATACACATATATACATACATATATATATAGACACATACATATATATATATATAATACGTGGAGCATTTTTCATCCATATCCTGTTTTTTTTAATTTAAGTTAGTCTCCACCTTTCTCTGTTATCTCCTTGAGTAGCTTAATAATCAACCTTCTGAATTCTTTGGCAATTTAGAGCTTTCTTCTTGGTTTGGATCCATTGCTAAGGAACTAGTGTGGTCTTTTAGGGATGTTACAGAACCTTGTTTTGTCATATTGCCAGACTAACTTTTCTGATTCCTTCTCATTTGGGTAGACTATTTCTGCACAAAAGTCTGGAACTCAAGGGCTACTGTTCAGATTCTTTTGTCTCATGAAGTGGTCCCTTGGTGTGGTGTGTTCCCCCTTTCCCTAGGGATGGGGCTTCCTGTTAGCCAGACTGCAGTGATTCTTATTGCTCTTCTTGGTCTAGCCACCCATTTGGGCTACTGAGCTCTGGGCTGGTGCTAGATAATGTCTCCAAACAATCCTGTGATGTGATCCATCTTCAGGTCTCCCATTCATGGATACCAGCACCTGCTCTGGTGGAGGTGGCAGGGGAGTGAAGCAGACTCTGTGACAGTCCTCGGTTGTAGATATTTTTAGTGTGCTGGCTTCTTAAATACTTGTTACGCTAGCAGTGAAGTTGTTACATGGACACACTCAGGACACACTCTGGTTAGCCAGGATGTTGCGGGCAGTGGAATTAGCTGTTGCCTTGTTCTTCCTGGGATCAGGCTTATTTTGTCATGAGTTGCTATAAGGATCTGAGTTGGTTGGCCTCCAGCCAGGAGGTGGTGCTTTCAAGAGGGCACCAGCTATGATAGTAGAAGGTGGATATAAGCTTGCCCTAAGTTGACCAGGGTAACTATTTGGGTTTCTCAGGCAATGGGAAGGGTCATAAAGCTCCCAAGAGTTTATATTTTGTGATACGCTACCAGGACAGGTAGAGAAATACCATCAGGTGGGAGCAGGGTTAGGTGGGTCTGAGCTCAGACACTTGAGTGGGGCTTGTTGTGACCACTGTGGGGGATAGGGGGTAGTTCTTGGGCCAATAGGCTTATGTTCCAGAGGAAATTATGGCTGCATCCGTGGCTAGGGAAGTGGTGGAAAGGCATTAGTGATAGGCCTTACCCAGTTCCCACGTGTTGGTGAGACTGGTATCTTTTCCACTGTACCCTGCTAACAGCGCTAAGTTTGTCTCCAGGCAGCCTGTCCACAGGACTCAGACCTTACCCCAGACTATAAGTTTCCCCACTGAGAAAGCAAGCAAGGCTTTCAGGCCATGCCCCTTCCTGTCTGTCCACACTGTCTGCCTCAACTCCTGCTCTACTCTTTGAGGCAATTCCTGTTCACCCCCAGATTCTGCTCAAGAAAGTTTGCACCCAGTCAAAATTATTACATAGTTCAGTTGGAAGCTCCTTTCATGCTGTGACCCCTCCCGAATTTTGCCAGCTGCCTTCACCAAGGTTCCCTGTGAGATATAGTCAGGGATGGCTTCTCTGGGCTCAAGCTGGAGAACGAGAGTGCCTACAAGGCTCTTCCCCTGCTGCTTCTATTTTTATATTTTATGCTAAATCCGTTTAATCTCTAGGTAAGGTTAAGTCCTTTCCTCATGATTTGAATTTTCAGGCTCTCCAGTGGCAACATGTATTCAGAGGCAGGTTTTCCCCGCTCACGCTTTGGGAATGCACGGTTTTTTGCCTGTCTCATGGAATATACAGCATACTGCCACTTCTTTCAAAGGATCTGTGAATTCTTTCAGTTTTTCTGTTATGGTGCTGCTATTGTTCCTGAACCAAAAGTCCATGGTGTGAGTCTTTATACACTGTTGTGTCTGTCCAAGTGGGTGCTGCACATCAGCCCTGTCCCATATCCATCTTCCATTTATCTCCTGGCTTTGTTCTTTTTATTCAAGATGACTTTGGCTACTCGGGGCCTTTTGTGCTTCCATACTAATTTTAAGATTTTTTTTTTCTATTTCTGTGAATAATATCATCAGAATTTTGGCAGACATTGAATTGAATCTGTACACTGCTTTGGGTAGCATAGACATTTTGATAATATTAATTCTTACAACCTATGAACACAGGATATCTTTCCATTTATTTGTATCTTCTTCAATTTTTTTCATCAGTGTTTTATAGTTTTCAATGTACAGATCTTTTGCCTCCTTGGTTAAATTTATTCTTATGTATGTTTTGGCAGCTATTGTCATTGAAATTGCTTTCTTGATTTCTATTTTGGATAGTTCATTGTTAGTATGCAGAAATGCTACTGACTTTTGTATGTTGATTTTGTCTCCTGCAGTTTTATTGAATTTATTGGTTCTAACAGTTTTTTGATGGTGTCTTTAGGATTCTTCTGTGTATAAAATCATGTCATCTGCAAACAAAGAAAATTTTACTTCTTTCTTTTTGATTTGGATGATTTTATTTCTTTCTCTTGTCTAATTGTTGTGGCTAGGACTTCCAGTACTACATATATTGTTTGTTTGTTTGTTCGTTTGGAGATGGAGGCTTGCTATGTTGCACAGGCTGGACTCAAACTCCTGGGCTCAAGTGATTCTTCCATCTCAGCCTCCCAAGTAGCTGGAACTATAGGGGTACACAAGCATGCCCAGCTTAGTACTATATTGAATGGAAGAGGGGAGATTGGGCAATCTTGTCTTGTTCCTAATCTTAAAGGAAAAGCTTTCAATTTGTCACTGTTGAGTAAGATGTTATCTGTGAACTTGTCATGTATGACCTTTGTTATGTTTAGGTAGTTTCTCTCTCTTCCTACTTTATTGGGTGTTTTTATCACAAAAGAGTGTTGAATTTTATCACATGCTTTTTTTTAATCTATTGAGATGATCACATGGTTTTTGTCCTTTATTCTGTGAATGTGGTATATTACATTTATTAATTTATTTATATTTAAAAGTCTGCACCCTAGGGACAAATTCCACTTAATCATGGTGAATGAGCCTTTTAATGTCCTGATGAATTTGGTTTGCTAGTATTTTCCTGAGAATTCCTGCATCTATGTTCATCAAGGATATTGGCTTGTATTTTATTTTCTTGTTGTTTTCTGACCTGACTTTAGTATTAACATACTGGCTTCATAACATGAGTTTGAAAGTGTTCCCTCCGCTTCAATGTTTTGGAAAAATTTGAGAAGGATTGACATTAGTTCCTTAAGTATTTGGTAGAATTCACCAGTGAAGCCATCAGGTCCTAGGCTTTTCTTTTTATTGCTGATTCAATCTTTTTCCTCCTTATTGGTCTGTTCAAATTTTCTATTTTTTCATGACTCAGTCTTGGTGGCTGTTTATTTATTTATTCTAGGTTCTTTGATTTGTTGGTATATAATTGTTCATGGCAGTCTCTTATGACACTATATTTTTGTGGCACCTGATGTAATTTGTCTTTCATTTCTGATTTTATTTATTTCATTCTTTTCCCTTTTTTTCTTACTCTAGTTAAAATATTGTTGATTTTGTTTATCTTTTCAGAAAACTCACTCTTATTTGCATTGATCTTTTCTATTGCTTTTCTGGTCTCTATTTCATTTATTTCTACCCTCATCTCTGTTACTTCCTTCCTTCTACTAACTTTGGCCTTAGTTTGCTTTTCTTTTTTCTAATTCCTTGAGGTGTAACAGAAAGCTGTTTATCTGAAATCTTTTTTTCTTTTTTGATATAGGTGTTTATTGGTATAAACTCCTGTCTTGGAACTGCTTTTGCTTCTTTCTATAAGTTTTGGTATGCTGTTGTCCATTTTCATTTTTCTCAAGATTTTTTTTAAATTTCTCTTTCAATTTCTTCTTTGATGCATTCATTGTTAAGTAGCATGTTGTTTAATTTTCATATACTTGTGGAACTCAGAATCTTTGGACAGGCTGACTGGTGAAGGGCTTTCCCTGCCAAAGCCAGTTTATAAAGACTGAAAGAGGTGCCTACTTCTTCAATTGTGCAAATACCAATGCAAGGCCACAGGATTATAGATAATTGGGGAAAGATAACACTACCAAGGGAACAACAACAACAAGAAATGGAGATCTATAAACTGTCTAAAGAAGAATGCAAAATAATCATTTTTAAGAAGCTCTAGGGAGTTCCACAGACTTGGTCAAGCTGGTCTGGTGTTTGGTCAGTGGGTAGATGATCCTAGTACCCTGATCCATCAAGTTAATTTTGGGATCTAGGTCTGTAAGTGCAAGGCTGGATCTTGAGTTTACAAGGGTTTTCTGGTGCTGGGGTCCACTTATGTGGGTCTGGAAACTAGAGCCACAGGGGTATTTCAGAAGCCTGGGTCCATGGGGGCTAACCTGATGTTGGGGGGAACTCCTGATCTTGAATACAAAGGCTTATATAGCCCTGGGGCAGTCCTAGTGTCTGGAGTCTGGCGGGGATGTCCTGAACCTGGGTTTATGAGTGTGGGCCTGGGTTTATGAGTGTGTGTATGCAGGGGCCAGCCCTGGTGCTGGGGTCTACTGGGGCAGGCCTGGAAACCAGATTTGTAGGGTTGGGCCTGGATCCTGCATCTGGGGTTCAGGTCTGGAGCCTGAGTCCAATGGAGCATATATCATTAATTTAAAAAGAATAGATAAATAAATATTTTTAAAATTTTTCTTTTCTAATTTCTTATACTGTAAATATTGATCAGTACCATTCAGGTAAACAAAAGCTCTTTGGGGGTCCTAAATAATTTTCTCAGGCTCTAAAGAAGTCCTAAGATTTTAAAAAGTTTAAGAATCATTGGTTTATAAAAATTTTTTTGTTAAATGGAGCTATAATGCTCAGAATAGGCAAATCAATAGAGACAGAAATGAGATTAGTGATTGCCTAGGGTTGGTGGCGGTAGTGGGCTGGGGTGGGATTAGAAATTAGTTACTTAACAGGTACAGAATTTCTTTTTGAGGTGATGAAAATATTCTAAGATTGTCTGTGGTGATGGTTGCACAATTCTATGAATCAAGTAAAAAGCACTGAATTGACTTTAATAGGTGGATTTTATGGTATATGAATTATATCTCAATAATATTGTTACCCAAAAAATTGAGTTATAATACTGGAGATTGTGGGAAATTTCAGCTCCTCAGCTTTTGTAACCATGACATCCTCCCACATATCTAAAAATATGTGGCATTTTTAGCTTAAAGAACAAAGATAATATGCCTTGTGGTATCTCCGCCAAACTGAGTGAAGATCTCAAGGTACCTCTAAGATTCTCAAGGAGACTCAAACAAATAACATTATGACCTGGGTATGTACTGGTAAAACCACTGAGCCAATACCCCAGTGGAAGGATCCTTCTTCTCTGCTTCTAATCACATATGTCTCTGGTAAGTGTCACTGAAAGTGGTAGTCAATCATTACACCCCCTAGAAAGACCCATAAATATATGGGTATAGATATTTGGGTTAAAATCTACAAGGGAGTGGAAGCTGATGAAGAAGAAAAACAGTTTCCATAATAAACAGAACTTGTTGTCATATATCCTAACAGGTAAATCTCAAGGTTTCCTTATTCTACTGCCTTTCAGAATAAACACTGAGACTCCTGCATTGTGTGTTAGTGTTTTACTTTCCTAGGCAAATATTGTGAATTCTCCTTAAATCTTAAATATTTTATTGGATAATTAATATAACTTCTTTCAACTGCAGGTAGTCGCCTTTAAACAATCTTCTTCCAATTTGCCAACTTAAGACCACAAGGTATGACCTTCACCAGTCTGACCCATTCCCACATATCACAAAATCCCAGTGTGTCACAAGACCCAAGATTTCCATTTATAGTACATGTTGTGATAGACCATAAATGCCTATATAAGTTTAAAAAGAAAGAAAAGGAAACAAGAATGTAAGTAATGGGAAGAATATGGGAAAATGGAGGCTAATGTGGTCTCTATTCGTTGAGTGAGTTGAAGTAGCATGTCAGAGGTTGCTCATCACATCATAATCATCATAAATTTGTATAGATTTACACAAATTTGTATTGATTTATGATGTAAAACTATAACAATTTTCTAGCATGTGGCAGTACAGTGTCTTGAGGAAGGGGTGCTTTTTTTCTAGTTCACAAAAAGTTGCCAACATTAGTCAGCAGTGATGGAAATAGCCCTTCTTATTGGCTGACTATGGAGTACTTTCCAAGAGGAAATTAGGTTACAGAATATATATAATGAAAACCCATCATTTTGAGGTGCTAAGGAACTAGGAGTGATATTTTCTTTAGCCTCTTGCTGGTTTGTGGCCATTATCCTCCTTCCATCTTGCAATATGGTTTTCATGTACAAAAATGTTTTATTTAAAATTCTGAGGCTAGGGTCTTTTTTCACAATACCACACACAACAAGCAAAAGATTGGTTGATCCAGAATTGGGGTTGATTAGAGCAATGCTAGAAGTAAAAAAGAACAAGGAAGAAAAAAAGGTATGGGATGAATATCACTGATGTCACAGAATGTAAGTTTAGACTGGAAAGGTTAAGGAAAAATAAATCATTAATAGAATGGAAGCATATAGAGGAATGGAAGAAAATGTGGTCTCAGTGAGTTGAGGTAGATAAAGCAATGGAAGGAGCAGAAGAATTGAGAACTTCCCTGCCCTAATAACTGAAACAAAAATGCCCATGAGAAGAGAAAGATGTGTGCTTGATCTCCAGCCATAAGTTTAGCCTATAGAAGCTGAAGACAGAATTATCTGTGCACAATTCTGACCAACATGAACAGGCCCAGCATTAGATTTCAAAATCTAGGCTTGCAAAATCACAGAAAGCCTCATGTGTCTCAAGAGTATCTGGGTACCAATGGCCCACCCCTGCCCCTACTTGCTAGGGAACTAGAATCAAGAATTATTAGCAACCAAAGCTGCCTTTAAGTATATGTAGAATGTCGAATAATGGCCCACCCAAAGATGTTCATCTAAATTCCCAGAATTTGTGAATATGTTATGTTATACAGCAAGGAAAAATAAGATTGAGGATAAAATGAAGGTTGCTAATCAACTGACTTTAAGATTAGAAGAGTGTCCTGGATTATTCAAGTGTGCCCAATGTAATGACAAGGGTCTTTTAAGTGAGTAAGAGGGAGGTAGAGGCCAGGTGAGAAGAGAGATTTGAAGATGACACTCTGCTGGCTTTCAAGATGAAAGTGGGCCATGAGCTGAGTAATGTGGGTAACTTCTAGAAGCTTCAAAAGATGGGGGTATAGATTCTCTCCTAAAGCTTCTGAAAAGAAAAGCAGCCTTGCCAACATCTTGGTTTTGGAATTTCAGCAGATGCAGAAATAACAATAAATGCTAGCATTTAATAAATCTACTTTAATTCATCATTTCAAGTACGTGCACTTCTCCATTTGCTAAGTGCCCAGTGGCCAACACTATCTGAAAGATGCCCAATCTGGAAATGCAGACACCAGGTGAAAAGGTTGCTATTAACCCAGATATCTTTCAAGTAAGAACTTTACCACTACCTGGTCCTCATGGAAGAAGCAGAAAGACATTCTTTCTGTAGAGAACATCTAGAGGGAATTCTAGGTATTAGGAAGGCTGAGAGCTTTATCAAAACAAGTAAAGGAACAGGAAGCAGCAAAATGGAGATGCTTCCCCAGCAGACCCTACTGTGTTGGTTGATTTTTGCTGTGGAATAAAGAGTTGCAAAATTTTATGCAACAACACATTTGTTCTACTCATGAGTTTTTGGGTCAATGGAGGTGGCTCTGCCTTGGATTGCAGGTCTCAGTCAGCTGTATAAGGCTTTTTTTTTTTTTTTTCGGGGTCTCACTCTGTCACCCAAACTGAAATGCAGTGATGCAATCACAGCTTATTGTAGTCTCAACATGCAGGCTCAAGCAACCCTCCGACCTCAGCCACCCTGAGTAGTTGGGACTACAGGCATGCACCACTATGCAAGTAACCCTCCTACCTCAGCCATCCCGAGTAGCTGGGACTACAGGCATGCACCACCGTGCCTGGCTAATTTTTGTAGTTTTTGTAGAGACAGGGTTTTGCCTTGTTGCCCAGGCTGGTCTTGAACTCCTGGGCTCAAGCAATTCGCCTGCCTCAGCCTCCTATAGTGTTGGGATTACAGGTGTGAGACTCCATGGCCAGCCCTCTGTGTAACTTTTATCCTCTTTGATCACTAGGCTTACCATGGCATGTCCCTCAAAATGATAACAGATACGCAAGATGATTAACCCCACTGTGCAAGGATATTTCAAGTGGATGAAAGTGCTAATATCCTATTGCTCAAAGCAAGTCACATGGCCAAGCCCAATGTTAAGGGATGGGGAATTTCACTCTTTCCACAAGAAAATGTGTGGATAAAGAGAGGAGTGAAGAATTGAAGCTAATAATTCAATCTACCAAAAATATTATCTGTCTTAGTCTATTTTGTGCTGCTGTAACAGAACACTTGAGACTGGGTAATTTATAAAGAATGGAAATTTATTTTCTCACATTTTTGGAGGCTAGGAAGTTTAAGATCAAGGTACCAGTAGATTATAGCCTGGTTTATCTGCTTCCAAGATGGCACCTTGAATACTGTATCCTCCAGAGGAAAGGGACACCATGTCTTCACATGAGAAGAGCAGAAGAGAGGGAAAGAGAGAGAGTGAGACAGAGAGACAGAGAGCCCACTCCCATAAGCCCTTTTTTATGGTGACATTAGTCCATTCATAAGGGTAGAACCCTTTTGATCAAACACTTCCCATTAGCCTCCACTTCCCAATACTGTTGTATTGGGGATTAAGTTTCTTACACATGCATTTTGGTGGGACACATTCAAACCATAGCACTGTCCATTGGATATCTGAACCGAATCTGCAGGGAACTTTGGTGACACAGATATTCCCAATTAGTCTCTCTAGCTGGATATTGACTTTGACATCTACCTACAGGGAAAGGACAAGCCTAGGTGGCCAAAGGGTCTACTTTAGCCTTGCAATCTAAAATGTCTTTGGAAAAACCTGACTATGGCTTCTATTTTATTTTATTTTATTTTTTTAGAGATAGGATCTTACTCTGTTGCCCAGGCTGGAGTGCAGTAGTGGGATTATGGCTCACTGCAGCCTCAAACCCTGGACTCAAGCAACCCTCCACACTCAGCTTCCTAAGTAACTAGGACTGCAGAGATACACCACCACACCCAGTTAATTTTTTAATTTTTGTAGTGGCAGGGTCCCATGTTGCAAAGGCTGGTCTTGACCTCTGTTCTCAAGGAATTGTCCTGCCCTCAATTCCCAAAGTGCTAGGATTATAGCCCTGAACCACTGTGCCCAGTTGGCCTTTATTTTAGATACATTTCCTGCCACCTTCAACCTATATTGTGTCCCGAAAGTTCTTCCTAAAAGCAAGGCCATCTATTACAATCTTATTTATCAAAGAACATTTTTGTATTTATGTACTGTCCAGCTGTCTGCACCCCAATCTTCAATTCACATGCTTTTTCCACGTAGGAGGACATTATTCCAAGTAGCCCTGCTTTGCAATGCCCGAAATACTCAGACAGAAGGGACTCTTTTTGTATACCTGCTAAGACATCATAGCTTTTGCACCTACCCAAGCCAAATGGCATTTTCCTGTGGCAATCACTGCCTTTGTTGCAGGTTGCATTCTCCCAGAAGCAGACTTTGAGAAAGCAATTAACATAAAGGAGTTTTATTTGGGAGTACTCTTTAGGTCAACAGCTATGGAAGGGAAAGGGCCAGGATAGAGCAGGGAGAGGTTGGATTATAACGTGTCAATGAACATGTCATCCAACCCCATTGGAGCTCTGAAGCTGAAAGAGCCCTTAAAGTTGTCCCAAGTTGGGATTATATAGCTAGGCCTTTATGACTCTGCATCAATCAGTCGTTGGTTAAGGAGTGTAACGTTAGACAAGAAAAGTCCTCAGCTGAAAGCAGTGAATGGAGGGCTCTCAACCAGCAGTACTCGGATATGGCTGGTGCACCACACCAGCCTATCCTATGCAAAATGGCATAGTTCCCTCCAATAAGTTCCTGTTATAACAGTTCCCTGATCCCCACTCTTCCTGGAGCCACTGACAGCTAACAGCAATAAAATATCAAGAGAAGCAAAACAACACATGGTAGGTTCAGAGGGAAAGCTGAGGGCAGCATCTCTGTAATTTTTGAGATTCGTGGATAGCCTCTCTAATTACGAATATCTCAAAATTGTGCAAAACAGAGAATACATTTGCTGGCAAGATGGCCGAATAGGAAGAGCTCTGGTCTGCAGCTCCCAGTGAGATCGACACAGAAGGCAGGTGATTTCTGCATTTCCAATTGAGGTACCCGGTTCATCTCATTGGGATTGGTTGGACAGTGGGTGCAGCCCATGTGGAGGGCAAGCAGAAGCAAGGTGGTGCGTCACCTCACCTGGGAAGCACAAGGGGTCGGGGGATTTCCCTCCCATAGCCAAGGGAAGCCATGAGGGACTGGGCTGGGAGGAACGGTGAACTCCAGCCCAGATACTGCACTTTTCCCATGGTTTTCACAACCCACAGACCAGGAGACTCCCTCCGGTTCCTAGGCCACCAGGGCCCTGGGTTTCAAGCATAAAACTGGGCAGCCATTTGGGCAGACACTGAGCTAGCTCCAGGATTTTTTTTGTTCATATCCCAGCGGCACCTGGAACCCTAGTGAGATAGAACTGTTCACTCCCCTGGAAAGGGGGCTGAAGCCAGGGAGCCGAGTGGTCTTGCCCAGTGGATCCCACCCCCACAGAGCCAGCAAGCTAAGATCCACTGGCTTGAAATTCTTGCTGCCGGCACAGCAGTCTGAGGTTGCCCTGGGATGGTAGAGCTTGGTGGTGGGAGGGGCGTCTGCCATTGCTGAGGCTTGAGTAGGCAGTTTTACCCTCACATTGTAAACAAAGCCGTCAGGAAGTTTGAACTGGGTGGAACCCACCGCAGCTCAGCAAGGCTGCTGCAGCCAGACTGCCTCTCTAGATTCCTCCTCTCTGGGCAGGGCATCTCTGAAAAAAAGACAGCAGCCCCAGTCAGGGACCTATAGATAAAACCCCATCTCCCTAGGACAGAACACCTGCGGGAAGGGGCGGCTGTGGGTGCAGCTTCATCAGACTTAAATGTCCCTGCCTGATAGCTCTGAAGAGAGCAGCAGATCTCCCAGCACAGTGTTCAAGCTCTGATAAGGGTCAGACTGCCTCCTCAAGTGTGTCCCTGACCCCCATGTATCCTGACTGGGAGACACCTCCCAGTAAAGGCTGACAGACATCTCATACAGGAGAGCTCTGGGTGGCATCTGGCAGGTGCCCCTCTGGGACAAAGCTTCCAGAGGAAGGAACAGACAGCAATCTTTGCTGTTCTGCAGCCTCTGCTGGTGATACGCAGGCAAATGGTCTGGAGTAGACCTCCAGCAAACTCTAGCAAACCTGCAGCAGAGGGGCCTGACTGTTAGAAGGAAAACTAATAAGCAGAAAGGAATAGCATCAACATCAACAAAAAGAACGTCCACTCAGAGACCTCATCCCAAGGTCACCAACATTAAAGACCAAAGGTAGACAAATCCACAAAAATGGGGAGAAACCAGCACAAAAAGGCTGAAAATTCCAAAAACCAGAGTGCCTCTTCTCCTCCAAAGGATCACAACTCCTTGCCAGCAAGGGAACAAAACTGGACAGAGAATGAGTTTGACAGATTGACAGAAGTAGGCTTCAGAAGGTGGGTAATAACAAACAACAAACTCCTTCAAGCTAAAGAGGCATGTTCTAACCCAATGCAAAGAAGCTAAGAACATTGACAAAAGGTTACATGAATTGCTAACTAGAATAACCAGTTTAAAGAAGAATATAAACGACCTGATGGAGCTGAAAAACACAGCACAAGAACTTCATGAAGCATACACAAGTATCAATAGCTGAATCAATCAAGCAGAAGAAAGTATATCAGAGATTGAAGATGAACTTAATGAAAAAAAGCGAGAAGACAAGATTAGAGAAAAAAGAATGAAAAGGAACGAACAAACCGTCCAAGAAATATGAGACTATGTGAAAAGACCAAATATACTTTTGTTTGGTGTACCTGAAAGTGATGGGGAGAATGGAACCAAGTTGGAAAACACTCTTCAGGATATTATCCAGGAGAACTTCGCCAGCCTAGCAAGACACACCAACATTAAAATTCAGGAAATACAGAGAACGCCACCAAGTTACTCCTCGAGAAGAACAACCCCAAGACACATAATTGTGAGATTCCCCAAGGTTGAAATGTAGGAAAAAATGCTAAGGGCAGCCAGAGAGAAAGGTCGGGTTACCCACAAAGGGAAGCCCATCAGACAAACAGTGGATCTCTCTGCAGAAACCCTACAAGCCAGAAGAGAGTGGGGGCCAATATTCAACATTCTTAAAGAAAAGAATTTTCAACCCAGAATTTCATATCCAGCCAAACTAAGCTTCATAAGCAAAGGAGAAATAAAATGCTTTACAGACAGACAAACGCTGAGAGATTTTATCACCACCAGGCCTGCCTTACAAGAGCTCCTGAAGGAAGCACTAAACATGGAAAGGAACAACCGGTAGTAGCCACTGCAAAAACATACCAAATTGCAAAGACTATCGACGCTATGAAGAAACTGCATTAACTAACGGGCACTAAATTAATTTGATGTTTCTTACCTTCTTGGTATACTACTAAAGGGAACTAAAGGCCTAGGGAGATTGATAAGCTGAAGTGAGTAAGTACCTGTTCAGATACTGGCTAAGTTCCTCAGAATGGTTCAGAGGATACATCTTTCATTTCAGCTTTCCAAAATACATTGGGAAAGAAAGATCTTTGTGGTAGCTGTTCTCTAAAGGTTCTAAATGAGAGGGGGAAATGCTACCTTCTAACTGGGGTCTGTGACTTCAGTGGAAGTGATGAGATCCCAGGGAGAATGCGCCAATTGCTGGCATTTGATCACAAAAGATGAGGAAGGTAGCTGGGACCACAGGTGTGTACCACCATACCTGGCTAATTTTTGTTGTTTGTTTTGTAGAGACAGGGCCTCACTTTGTTGCCCAGGCCGATCTTGAATCCCTGGCTTCAAGCAGTCCTCCCACCTGGGCCTCCCAAAGTACTGGGATTACAGGCATGAGCCACTGCACACAGCCAGATAGAGATCTTTAACATTCCACTTAATAGTTGATCATGGTATCCCTAGAACTGAAACAGGTAATTATCATATGCCTTAGTCATTCAGGCTGCTATAGCAAAATACTATATACTGGGTAGCTTACAAACAACAGAAATTTATTTTTCACATTTGTTAAGCCTTGGAAGTGCAAGATCAAGGTACCAGCAGATCTGGTGTCTGGTGAGGTCCACTTCCTCATAGACAGCACATTCTGGCCATGTCCTCACGTGGTGGAAGAGGCAAGAATCTCTCTGAAGTCTCTTTTATAAGGCCACTATTCCCATTCATGAGGGCTTGGCCCTCATGACCTAATCACTTCCCAAAGACCTCATCTCCTAAAGCCATCACCTTGGGGGTTAGGGTTTCAACAAATGAATTTGGCGGAATGTAAACATTCAGTCCATTGCACTCCATTAATGTCCTACTTGATTCACAAACAGTCTGGTGAACCGACGCCATACCTGCATTAGCACAATAAGGAATTGTGGAACCTCAACCAATTTTCAGACTTAAGATGCAAAGATTTTGAAAGAAAGGAAGACAGCGTCTCTTTGAGGATTGCTTCTATGAGACCAAATATGTACACTCTAGCCCTAGCCCTAGTTGGCGGTGTCTCAACCCAGGGCAATTTGCCCCCAAGAAGATATTTGCCAATGTCTGCAGACATTTTTGGTTGTCACGACTAGGAGCATGCTACTGACATCTAATAGATAGAATCCAGGGATACTAAATATCCTACAAAGCACAGGACAACCCCACTACAACAAAGAATTATCTTGCCTGAAATGCTGAAAGTGCTAAGGTTAAGAAATCCTGCTTTTCTCAAAAGACCTGTGACCACCGAGTTACAACAACAGAAAGTGAACCAACATCATCATACTTTGCAGTAATTCAGGAGGACCTAGACTAAAGTCACACTGGGCAATAAAAAAGTCATAACACAGATTGAAGAGTGATATGAGCTTAATGTTAATACACAGGGACAATATTCAGTCTCCCCTAGAGTTCTGCAATGTTAATTATCCAAAACATTACATAATTGCAAGAGAGATAAAGTAATCTGGATTAAAAATAGGAAGAATATAATTAACCGTATTAACAAACTGAAATAAAATGTTGTTTTAAAAAAAGTTAATCTTCTTTCATTTACCAAATCCAATCCATCCACAACTGCCATGTAAAAATCAATAACAAATCCATTCCCTTCTCCTCTCTCCTTCTTCTCTTCTACTACCTTCCCTAGTAAAGCCACCACCATCTCTCTCCTGGACAGCCTGTTTACTGTAGCTTTCTACTTCCTCCCTTGTTCCTGCATAATCTTTTTTGATATGCTGTTGCCAAGTACTCTTCTTAAAATGTCAACTACTCACAACACTCCTGAGCATCACAGAGAGTCCCAGTGAGGAGGGAAGCTACGGTGTGTGAGATGAAATTGGAATCTTTTTCCTGCCTCAAAGGAAAGCCCGGAAGTATGAGTTAAAAAAAAAACAAACAAAACACTGGCCAGGCATAGTGGCTCACGCCTGTAATCCCAGCACTTTGGGAGGCCGAGGTGGGTTGATCACCTGAGGTCAGGAGTTTGAGACCAGCCTGGCCAACATGATGAAATTCTGTCTCTACTAAAAATACAAAAATTAGCCCATTGTGGTGGTGCATGCCTGTAATCCCAGCTACGTGGGAGGCTGAGGCAAGAGAATCACTTGGACCCAGGTGGCAGAAGTTGCAGTGAGTCTAGATCATGCCACTGCACTCCAGCTTGGGCAACAGAGTGAGACACTGTCTTGAAAAAAAAAAAAAAAGAAAGAAAACATTGATGCAGTTTTGCTCTGCCTAATACAGCCTGTATGGAAGGTCTCCGTGGTCTCCTTGCTTTCATTCCTGGCCCTGCCTGCCTTCCACACCCACTCACAAATTATCCTCTGTAGCAGAGGGATCTATGCAAACCATAAATCAGGTCACTCAATATAAAACCATACCTGCAAGTACCTTCCCAAGCCAGTGCTTGATCTAAGTTGTTTCAAGTAGGGCCTAGGAATCTTATATTGTCTAATATGTCCAGGAGATTCTAACTTAGCCAAGACTGAACACCCCTGGCCTAGAGCTGTACTTCTCAAAATTTAACTTAACGGGTCTCTGAACTACACTTTCTCCTGGACAGCCTCTTTAGTAGGCTTTCTACTTCCTCTCTTGTTCCTGCATGATCTATTTTTGATATGCTGTTGCCGTTTGATATGCATGTTGTCCAGGAGACCCATTAAGGCTGAGTGGATCCCGATATGCTGCATTTCTAACAAGCTCCCAGGTGGTGCTGGTGCTGCCTCCCGAGGACTATACTCTGAGCAGCCAGAGCCTAGAAGGGAAAAACATTGCTCCCCTCTACCTAAACCACCCTTGTTCATCATTACTAGCAACTATATTTTCCACCCTTTACCCAACCTTCTGGACCTGGTAATCTGCAGCCAGCCCGCTCAAGATTGCCTGACAGGACCTTCAGGGCAGACTTTTATAGATGAAAGAATGACATAATGATGGTGCGCACTAGGAACAGATCAGAATATGTGAGAAACACTATTTTTTTCCCAGTGTACAGCAGGCTTTCTTCTGGTAAAATTAAGCAAAACTCAGCCCTGCCCTGCCCAGTTAGAGACTAGTTCATCAAGGGGGCAGGTTGAAATTTAGCCACAGTACCCTCCTATGCCTGATATGCAACTAAAAAGCAGTGACTGTCAACCTTTTAACTATCATGACCTCCCTAAGGAGCCTTTTTAGACTTTTTTTTTTCCTGATCACACCCTCCGTATAAAATGTCAATACCACAGATATACGATATATATGGTTATGAACTCTTGACCTTTGTAGGACTACAAACCATTAAATGAGACCTAAGAATTTTTGGCCGCTCCCTGTGGGCAATACAACCCTCATTGAGAATGCATGATTGAGATCCATTCGCTCATTCCAGTCAGCTAGATTCCAGGCCTGGTGTGTAGACCACATGTTTGGACACATTTCTCCAGCTTTCCCTACCAGGCCAAGTGGTGGAGAGGACACTATCTTTAGAATCACACAAATCAAGTTAAAACCAAGCCTCAGCCATTTACAAGTTGTAGGACTCTAAGCAAGAATCTTTACCTCTCTTATCCTAAGTGCCCCAACTGTTAAATGGAATTAAAATACTCACACTGAAAATTTGCTGTAAGGTGTAGAGGTGAGGTAATGTTCCTGTAAAGTATAAACTGTAGTGTCCAGGGCAGGACAGGTATTCAAGAAATAGTAGTAACTGGCCATAATTTAGTGGTGGCCCTCCACAGCTTTCTATTTCCTTTGAGATTAGATTCATTACACCTGGGCTCAGTAGCGCCTTGATGGCCCAGTACACCAGCCCAGTACAACTGCAGAGTTAGATGTCTCTCTCGTCATGCCCCAGTGCAGAAAAAAGAAAGACACACCTTCCCTAAGTATCTACCTGAGAACCAGGGCATCTTGAAGCAGTTCCGGGAGTTTGATTAAAGTGGAGTGGGGAGCTGAGAAGGATTTGTCAGCACAAGCAAAGGTACAATCTGCATCCAAGGCCACTGCTATCAGTTTGTAGCCCTGACCCAGTCTCTTCGACTCAACACTACCCTTGACGCCCATCTTCTGGATAAGAATAAGCCTAGTCAGCCTACGTCTACCACACTACACTTTATCTCAAATGCTCCTGGACAATCTGACTACAGTTCCATTTCAAGAATCATCTTTAACCTCATTTGCCACATTGGTCCTAATTTGTCTTTTGAAATACACTTCCTGCCAAACAGTACTAGCTATCTGTTAGAGAGCAAAGAGATTTTCCATTTTCTCAAACTACCCGCCACCTAGTTTATAACCTCAACCTCAGTGTTTATCCCAATTTTGCAGAGTACCATTGATATGCTTAGGCCACTCAAATCTCATCTTGAATTTTAATCCCCAAAATCCCCACATGTCAAGGGAGAGACCAGGTGGAGGTAATTGAATCACGGGGGGCAGCTTCCCCAATGCTGTTCTCCTGATACTATGTGAGTTCTCATGAAATCCAATGGGGCTCTTCCCCCTTTGCTCAACCCTTCTTCCTGCCACCTTATGAAGAAGGTGTCTTGCTTTCCCTTCACTTTCTGCTGTGATTGTGTTTCCTGAGGCTTCCCCAGCAATGCTGAACTGTGAGTCAATTATACCTCTTTCCTTTATAAACTATCCAGTCTTGGGTAGTTCTTTATAGCAATATGAAAATGGACTAATACAACTATTCAAAGCTGTCATTGAATATCTTCTCCTGTCAAGCTCCCAACCACAACAGAAAGAGTGAATCAGCTCTTGCCCTTTTTTTTAATATTCGAAAATATTTCCAAAAAATAGCCTCGTCTCTCAAAATGAAAATCTTGCCTTATACCAACTCCCTGGTCTCCACTCCTCTTGGAACCCCTTGTCATAAGCCAGTGCTTAGCCCAGTTCCCCACAAATAGAAAGCCCTAAATAAACACCTGTTGCCTGTTCCTCTATTGTCAGCACCAGAAATACCCATCTCCTAGGGAGTATCTGGCTCTGTCACCTGCAGGCTGTGTGACCTTCCTACAGGTGGCCTTGCCTCCCTGAGCCTCAACTCCTTTACCTGTCAAATGGAAGTAAAAGAACCACCTCCCAGGGCCATTTCAAGTGTTGGGACAATTAAAGAATTAGACACCTAGCAGAGAGACTGAATCCTACCCAAGACCTCTCTAGTGAGAAATTAACCCATCCTCTTTTGATGGCCTGGTAATGCTGCCTGAAACTGATGGCTTCACTGGGAGGGGAAATCATTTTCAGTCTCTTTTTTTAAATTTCAGGATGTAGCTGAGGACCAAGTTATATTGTACTACTGTACAGATTTATTACTAAGGAATTATTACTACTTTTTCCTGACTTTAACCTCTTCCCATATTAGATCCTATCATCAAAGCCAAATACTTCTTAAGATTCTACCACATAAAAAATAGAAATGATCTTGAAAACATTTAGTATTTCAACAAATAACAAAAAACCTTAGTATTTTATAGATAAATACATTTTAGCCATAACTATTATTAAGGCTTTGTCTCTTACAAAGGAGAAAGGTAAAGGCTTATAATTTCCCTATTAAGTCAGCACATAAAATGCAATTTTAACTTAAAATTCTGTTAAAAGTATATTTATTGTCATAGTTTCCAGCCCTGATTGGTCCTAAGAATCACCTGTAGAGCATCTTAAACATAAAGAGCTGTTTGGGGCCATTACAAATGTAGTACTAAGAACATCTTATATAGTACCTATCTTTTGGGGCACATATGTATGCATCTCTGTGAAGTGTATATCTGAGAATAGAATTGCTAAATCAGGATATGCATGTGATGAGCTTTCATAGATATCACCAAAGAGTTTTCCAAAATGGTTGTACAAATTAACACTCACACCAATGCAATATGAGAATCCCCATTGTTCCATATTCAATACCATTGCTTGGTATTTTATATCTTTTTAATTTTAACCACTCCAGTGGATATTTTAATTTTTATTTCCTGAGCCATAAATGAAGTTGAGCATATATTTATTGAGTATTTGCATATTTTCTCTGAGGTGTGCCAAGTATTTTTAAAATTGAGCTGTGTTTTACTGGTTAATACATAGGATTCCTGTCTATATATTCATTCCCTCTCACTGGGGTACAGGTCTTTTATTTTTTATATGTGTATTGAGAATATTTTTCTTCACATATCCCTCTCTTTAATGGTGACTTTTGTTAAATTTTGTTGTTCCTTAACTTTAATATGCTCCAATTTATCAATTGTTAACTACCTAGGTGCCCATCAACAGTGAAATGGATAAATAAATTGTGGTTTATTCAATCAATGAAATACTATAAAGCAATGAAAATGAACAAATCACAACTACCTGCAACAAATATAAGTGAATCTCATATAACATTGAGGGAAGGAAGCTAGCACAGGAGTAGATATTATTTTAATTTTTTTTTTTTTTAGTTTCAAAAACAAACAAAACTAACCCATGATGTTAGAAGTTAGGATGTTGACAACTTTCACTGGGCTGCAGTAGCTAGAAAGGGGCCCTAGTGGCTCTCTTGAGCTGCTGGTGAGAATCTGTTTCTGAATCTGGAAAGCTAGTCACTCAGTTTTGTTCAGTTTGTGAAAATCTATCTAGCTTCACATTTATAATATATGTTTATTTCAATAAAAATTTAACCAAAATAGAGGTACATATATCTGAGCCTCAACACCTGGACATCCATATTTCTTAGTGATTCAAATGGGCAGCCAGGGCAAGGACCTTCGATCAATATTCTGATCACAAATATGTGTGCAAATATAAGGACTGGAAGCCCCATTTTTTGAAAAATGTCTGTGGTTTATGGGAAACATTAAAATGGTGGGATTCTAGAGTTTCTTTTTTCTCTAACATTGTAATTTGTATTCTTACAATGTTGTTTTGTGCAATTGTGAAAATCCTGTGAATTACACTTCTCTGTGCTCTCATTTGTCAGTGTTGTCCATTTCTAGGAAGAAACATTTGCTTGCATGTCTAGAAGTGTGGCAAGAGGGAGGAGGGACAGAAGCTATGAGGAAGTGAGAAAATAAGTGCTGGCTTTCCTCCATCTTGTGCTACTCTGATTAGTCCCAGCTCACAGCCAAACATCCTCCTCTGACCAGATGTGGGGGCACAGTGGTGATGTACACTCGCCAGGAGGGCAGAGTCCAATGTTTATGGGGTTCTGCAAATTACTGGAGCAGAGTGTGGTCCCGAAGAACAGGAGAGACAGAGGAAGCTTCCAGCTACAGCTTTCTCCTCCACTTTTTCTCTGCCCTCTCATGCCCTGCTTGTCTGGCAATTTGAATGCAGACTAGACATTTCATCATTTGTTACAAGGACTTATGAAAAGGGATACGGACTCCGATGTTGTTGGGCAGATTCTAGTTTAGGCTAGAAGCTGGGGAGTAGGGGAGGAGATATAAGGGAGGAGGATGAGGTGTTAATGTTGTGTGTACTTTTGAGCCAGGAAAGAAATGTGATTCTGGGTGGTGAAGGTCTTGGCCAAATGGATCTGTTTTTCAGAGAGACAAAGAGCCCCTGTGATATTGTGAAGTATATATTTGGTATCCGTCCCCTTTCCTGGCATACAACTTTTAAAATACTTTGAATCTCCAAAGTGCTTTTTTTTTTTTCATATGCAATTGTTGACTGATAGATTGAGGATGGGACTGGCCACTAAAAAGACAAAGGCATGATCACAGGGTTGGGACTTTCAGCCCCACCCCCCAACCTTCCGGGGAGGGGAGAGAGGCTGAAGGTCAAGTTGATCACCAATGGCCAATAGTTTAATCAATCATGCCTATGTAATAAAGCCTCCATAAAAACCCAAAAGGGCAGAGTTCAGAGAGCTGAACACATGCAGGCTGACAGGAAGGTGAACCAGAATTTATTCATGTGCCAGGAAGATGGAACACCCCAACTCCACAAGGCAGAAACTCCTGTGCTTGGGACCCTTGCAGACCTCACCCTAGGTACCTCTTCTCTAGCTGCTTATTTGTATCTTTTAAAATAGGCCAGGTGTTGTGGCTCCCACCTATAATCCCAGTAACGCTTTGGAAGGCCGAGGTGGGAGGGTCATATGAGCCCAAGAGTTCGAGACCAGCCCAGCCAACATAGTAAGACTCCGTCTCTATGAAAAATAAAAGAAATTATCCAGGCATGGTGGCATGAGCCTGTAGTCTTACCTATTTGGGAGGCTGAGGCAGGAGGATCACTGGAGCCCAAGAGTTTAAGGTTACAATGAGCTATGATCATACTGCTACACTCCATCCTGGGCACATGCGCAAGACCCTGTCTTAAAAAAAAAAAAAAAGAGGAAAATCCTTTAAAATAAACCAATAAAAGGCTGGGCGCAGTGGCTCACGCCTGTAATCCCAGCACTTTGGGAGGCCGAGGCGGGTTGATCATGAGGTCAGGAGATCGAGGCCATCCTGGCTAACACGGTGAAACCCCGTCTCTACTAAAAATAGAAAAAATTAGCCAGGTGTGGTGGCGGGCACCTGTAGTCCCAGCTACTCGGGAGGCTGAGGCAGGAGAATAGCGTGAACCTGGGAGGTGGAGCTTGCAGTGAGCCGAGATCGCGCCACTGCACTCCAGCCTGGGTGACAGAGCAAGACTCCATCTCAAAATAAATAAATAAACCAATAAACAAAAGTAAGTGTTTCCTGAGTCTGGTGAGCCAATCTAGCAAATTAATTAAACCCAAAGAGGGGATTGTGAGAACCCCAACTTGAAGCCGGTCAGTCAGAAGTTCTAGAGGCCTGAACTTGCAACTGGTGCCTGAGACGGTGGAGCAATGTTGAGGACTGAGCCCTTTGCCTGTGGAATCTGACATGATCTCCAGGTAGATAGTGTTGGAACTGAACTGAAGGACACCCAGCTGGTGTCTGCTGCAGAATTGATTGCTTGTTTGCTAGGGGGGAGAAATATCCACATATTTTGGGGTCACAGAAGTCTTTTGTGTTGATGATTATTGATGTGTGGTATGAGAGCAGAGGAAAAAACACAGTTTGAGTTTTTCCCAACAGTTCCCATCCCCAGCTGCTTGATGGTTGCGAGTTTTTTGCCACTATAAATCAGGGGACTTCTGTAATCATTTACGCCTCGTTTAGGGAAAAAAATCAAATTATTGCATTGTTTGCTTCTGTATCTTATTTCCTCCTCCCTTAAACCGTTAGTTGTTTTCAAATACAAAATCCTATGTAGCCCAAAATTAGCATTTCTACACCATAAATTGATTGTATTGAATTAGCGAATAATGAGGCAAATTGGAAGAACCAGAACAACTGAAGGCAAACCTCCCAAAGCCTTACTTTTTATCGCAGACAAAGCAAATCCCTCCTTTCTTTTCTTCTGCTGTGCTTGTCACTTCTGTAGAGCTGCTATTCCAGCTGGCCTGCCCTGTTCTTGGTGATATTAGAGATCTGTAACTCACCCTAGACCACAGGTTCTCAGAGTGTGGTCCCCAGAGCAGAAGCATCATCTGGAAACTTTCAGACATGCACATTTTAAGGCCGCAGCCCAGACCTCCTGAATCAGAAACTCTGGGAATGGGGCCCAGTGCCCTGGGATTTAACAAGTGTTCTAGGTGATCCTAATGCAGTCTACAGTGGTTCTCAAACTCTATGAGTTCCTTTAGGTAGAGAGCACATCTGAGGTACCTCCTGCAGGACTTGGAAACCAATTGAATGTGGGAAGGTAGAGAGGAAGTAAAAGATAAAGATGTTTCAACAAACCAAGTAAGGAATACAAAGAAAAGAGGTGTTTTGGTTTTGTTATTGTTTACTTGTTTGTGGTATTTACACAGAAAGAAGTAGGTGATAAAAAGCTTTTTTATGCCTATTTTCAAAAGCCCGTTCTACATACATGTGTTGTCCGCTCAAAACATCCATCTGCTACGGACAGCAGCGACCATAGCTGAGGAGCCACATGGGTTTGGCTGTAAATCGAAGCTCTGCCATGTTTAATTCTTCGAGCCTGGGCAAAGCCTTGCACATTCCTGAGCTTTAGCTTCCTCATCTGACAATTGGAATAGTCATACCTACCCCACAGAGTTCCTGGAAGTATTAAATGAGATCATGTATACAAATCAATTAGCAAAATTCCTGACTCAGAAATGGCTGGTACTATTTGCGTATAGATTTGTGAGCCTGCAGAATGTATATGAGAAATGTAGACAATAGAATGGCTCTGATTATCCTAGTTGTGCAAGAGAGATGGAAAACTGAGCACACTTGAGGATGCCAGCAGTGGGAGCGGGTGGAGGAGGAGCAGGCAGAGAGACTGATGAGAAGGCACATGGGAGAGGCAGGAAGAGAATCAGGAGAGTGGCCTGGGAGCCAATGGAGGAAGGAGTGAATCAACAGCCACACATGGGGCAGAGATTAAGTAGGACTGAAACTAAGAATTAGCCATTTTATTTGGCCGTGAAAAATTCACTGTTGGCCTGGAAAACAGCAACGTCCACGAAGGTGTAAAGGGAGAGGCAGAACCCACTAGCGGGACCATGCAATCCTGAAGTGCTGTAACTTTAATCATGGAAATGGATTGATAACTGGGAGAGAGAAAGAGAATGTAAGCCATCTTCAAAATGGATAGAGCCTGATTAATGGTATTAATACATATAATGAAAGAATTTTCCTGAAATGAAAATTTTGGAGTTATCCATGATTTATTTCTTTCCATCACATCTCACATGTGATATGTGAAATATTTGTTAATATTTGGTGATAGGTCCAACAGAGGTTGTTGAGTTCATCAGCAGCCTCTCTTGGACCTATCACCAAAATAAATCCCAAATATATCCACTTTTCTGCTCCACTACTGTCACACTAATCCAGGCTACCCTCACCTGACTTCCAGGCAACTACAATGGCTACAACTGGCCTCCCTATCTCCTCTCTTGATTTCCTCCCTGCCTCAGCTCTCTTCCCAGCAGCCTCAGAGATGTTTTATCATGTAAATAAACTACAGTAGTCCCCTAATTCAAACCCTTCACAATTAGCAAATAATTCACAAGATTTACCTTGGTGAGCAAAGCCTCACCTACCTGGTTCCTGCTAATCTTCTGACACCATGTCGTCCAATACAACTGCCACTAGCCACATGTGACTCCTGAGAATTTGCAATGAAGCTGGTGTAATAGAAAAGCTAAATGTTAGATTTTATTTAATTTATATCAACTTAAATTTAAACAGCCACATGTGACTACTGAGAATTTGCAATGAAGCTGGTGTAATAGAAAAGCTAAATGTTAGATTTTATTTAATTTATATCAACTTAAATTTAAATAGCCACATGTGGCTAGTGGCTACCATATTATCCAGCACAGATTCAGAACACGTCTATCATCACAAGTTCTGTTGAATAGTGCTTATCTGACCTGGTGTCTCTGTGCTCTTCCTTGCTTATTGCACTTCAGCAGCATTGGCAAACTCACCCACAACAAGCTACTTCACCCTTGAAAGCCTTTGCACAAACTGGATATTATGAGAGGAAGATATTACTCCCAATATTGCAGAGGCAGAGAGAATGTTACTACCAATATCGTAAACACCCTGGGTATACACCATCTGTGATATTGTTCATAATATCCATGGGGGAGAGGAAGATACTACTCCCCATATTGCAGGCGGCGAACAACCCACCATCATATTGTTTGTAATATTCAGGGGGGAAGAAGATAAAATTACTTCCCATATCGCAGGGGGTATACACTTCCTTGTGATATTGTCTGTAATATCCGGCGGGGGAGAGGATGACATTACTCCCCATAATGCAGGGGGTACACACCCCACGGTGATATTGTTCGTACTATCCAGAGAGGGAAAGGATATCACTCCCCATATCGCAGGGGGGTACATCCCCCTGTGATATTGTTCGTAATATCCAGGGGGAGAGAGGATGATATTACTTACCTGTGACGTTGTTCATAATAACCAGAAGGGAAGAGGATATTACACTCCATATTGCAGGAGGTGTACACTCCCCCTGTGATATTCTTCATAATATCCAGGGGGGAGAGGATGATATTACTCCCAATATTTCAGGGGGTGTACACCCACCTGGGATATTGTTCGTAATATCCAGGGGGGTGGGGCATAAGATTACTTCCAATATCGTAAACACCTGTGTACACCTACTGTGATATTGTTTGTAATATCCAGGGAGGGAGAGGATAACATTACTCCCAATTTCATAGGGGGTGTACATCCCCTTGTGATATTGTCCGTACTATTCACAGAGGCAGAGGATGATATTACTCCCAATATCGCAGGGTTTGTTCACTGCCCTGTGATATTGTTCATAATATCCAGGGGGACAGAGGATGATATTACTGCGATTATTGCAGGCAGTGTGCACCTTCCTGTGATACTGGTCATAATATCCAGAGGGGGAGAGGATAATATTACTCTCAATATCGCAGGGGGTGTACACCCATCTGTGATATTGTCCGTAATATCAAGGATGGAGAGGAAGATATTACTCCCCATATCGCAGGGTTTCTTCACCTTTCTGTAATTTTGTTTGTAACATCCACGGGGGGAGAGGATGATATTTCTCCCAATATTGCAGGGGGTGTACACCCGTCTGTGATACTGTCTGTAACATCAGGGTGGAGAGGAAGATATTACTCCCCATATCACAGGGTTTCTTCACCTTTCTGTAATTTTGTTCATAATATCCACGGGAGGAGAGCATGATATTTCTCCCAATATCGCTGGGGGTGTACACCCCCTGCTAGATATTCTTCATAATATTTAGGGGGGAGAGGATGATATTACTCCCAATTTCGCAGGGGGTGTACACCTCCCTGTGACATTGTCCACAACATCAAGTGTGGAGAGGAAGATATTACTCCACATATTGCAGGGTGTGTACACCCACTATGATATTGTCCCTAACATCCGGTGGGGGGGGGGAGTGGCTGATATTACTCCCCATATCGCAGGGAGTGTACACACTCCTGTGATATTGTCCATAACATCTAGAGTGGGAGAGGGTGACATTACTCCCCATATTGCTGGTGGTGGTATTCACCCCACCTGTGATATTGTCTGTAACATCCAGGGGTGGAGGTGATGATATTACTCCCCATATTGCAGGGGGTGTACGCCCTCCGGTGTTTTGTTCGTAACATCTAGGGAAGGAAAGGATTATATTACTCCCCATATGGCAGGGTGTGTACTCCTTTCTGTGATATTGTCCATAACATCTAGAGCGGGAGAGGAAGACATTACTCCCCACATCGCAGGGAATGAAAGCCCCCTTAAGATATGGACTGTAACATCCAGAGAGGGAGAGAATAATATTACTCCCCATATCGCAGGGGGTACACACCCCTGTGATATTGTTTGTAACATCCAAGAGGGGAGAGGATGATATTTCTCCCCATATCAAAGGGGATGTACACCTCACTCTGGTATTGTCCGTAATATCTAGGGAGGGGGAGAGGATGATGCAACTCCCCAAATCCAGGGGCACACCCCTGCGATATTGTGTGTAAAGTCCGGGGGTGGAGAGAAGGTGTACACACCCCTGCGATTTTGTCCATAATATCCAGAAAGGGAGACGATGATGTATCTCTCCATATCGCAGGAGGTGTACACCCTACTGCGATATTGTCCATAATAACCAGGGGGTAAGGATGCTGTTACTCCCCATATCGCAGGGGCTGTACACCCTCCAGCAATATTGTCCATAATGTCCAGGGTGGAGAGGATGATGCTACTCCTCATATCGCAGGGGTGTATACCGCTGTGTGATATTGTCTGTAAAATCAAGGGGAGGAGAGGGTGATTTTCCTCCCTATATCGGAGGGAATATACAGCTGTCTGGGATATTGTTCATAATATCCAAGGAGGGAGAGAGTGATGCTACTCCCCATATCGCAGGATGTGTAAAAACCCCTGTGATATTCTTTGCATTATACCCGGGGGAGGAGATGATGTTACCAATCATATCGCCGTGTGTGTGTGCCCCCCTGCGATATTCTTCGGGATATTCAGTGGTGGAGAGGATAATATTACTCTCTGTATCACGGGGGGTGTACACCACACTGACATATTGTTACCCCCAGCGATATGAGGAGTAGTAGCAACCCCCTTTCCCCCCCCGGCTACTACGATCCACATCGCAGGGGGCTGCACACACCCCACCGTGATGCGGGGAGTAGTAGCAACCCCCTCTCCCCACCTGACTATTACGATCCACGGTGGACCTACACAGTGTTTATGATATTGTGAGTAAATCATGTCCCCCTCAGCAAATTACGAACTATTTCACAGACGGGTGTACAACCTCTGCCGTATTGGGAACAATATCATCCTCTCCCCCACTGGATATTAACAACAATATCACAGGGGTGTTTTTACTCTCTATGATAATGCATGTCATATCATCCTCTCCCACGTTGAAATTAGGAACAATATCACTGGGTGTGTGTACACCTGCGATGTTCAAAGTAATATTATCCTCTTCTCTCCTGGATCATGGGAACAATGTCACTTGGGGGTGCACACTTTTTCCAATATTGGGAGTAATACCATCCCCTCTGCTTTGGAATATCAAAGACACTCTCACACGGGGGTGTACATCTCCTGCGATACTGGGAATAATATTATCCTCTCCCCCCCTGCATATTAGGAAATATATCACAGAGTGGGTGTACACCTTCTGCGATATTGGGAGTAATATCCTCTTCTCCCCTTCTGGATATTAGCAACTGTGTCGCACGGGGTTTACACTTTCTCTGATATCTGGAGTAATGTCATCGTCTCCTCCTTTGAACGTTAAGAACAATATCACAGGGGGCATGTACACCCCCTGCCATATTGGGAGTAATATCAGGCTCTCCCCCTTCTCTTGATATTAGGAACAATATCCCAGCGTGGGTGTACACCTCCTAGTATATGGGGAGTAATATCATCCTCTCCCTTCCTGGATATTAGGAACAATATCACAGGGTGGGGGTACAGAGCCTGCAATATTGAAAGTAATGTCATCCTCTCCGCCTCCGGATATTAGGAACAATATCACAGAAGGGTTGTACACTCTCTTCGATATTGGGAGTATTATTATTTTCTCCTTCCCTGAATATTAGGAGCAATATTCCTGGGTGGATGTACACCCACTGTTATATTGGCAGTAATGTCATACTCTGCCCCCTGGATATTAGGAGCAATATCACAGGGTGGGTGTACACCCACGGCGATATTGGGAGTAATGTCATGCTCTCCCTCCCTGGATATTCGGAACAATATCACAGGTGGGTGTACATCTCCTGCAGTATAAGGAATAATATTATCTTCTCTTCCTTTAGCTAGTAAGAACAATATCACATGGGGGTGTACACCCCCTGCACTATTGGGAGTAATATCATTCTCTCTTATTCCGGATAGTAGAAATAACATCACAGGCGAAGTGTACACCCCCTGCGATATTGGGAGTAATATCATCCTCTCCCAACGTAGATATTAGGAACAATATCGCAGGGGGCGTGTACACTTCTTCGATATTGGTAGTAATATCAACCTCTCCCCCTTGGATATATGAAACAATATGACAGGCGGGGTGGACACACCTCGCCATATAGGGAGTAATATCACCCTGTCTCCCTCCCTGGATATTACGATCCACGTGGACACACCACGTTGTTTACGATATTGTGAGTAATGTCATCTCCCCCTCTAGAAATTACGAACAATATCAAAGATGCGTGTACACCCTCTGCAATATAGGGAGTAATATCATCCTCTCCCCACCTGGATATTAGTTACAATGTCAAAAGAGTGTGTATAACCCCAGAGACATTGGGAGTAATATCATCCTATCCCACGTTGAAATTAGGAACAGTATCACCGGGGGCGTGTACGCCCCCTGCGATATTGAAAGTAATATCATCCTCTTCCCTCCTGGGTGATAGGAACAATATCACTGGGGGGTGTACACTTCCTGTGATATTGGGAGTAATATCATCCTCTCCGTCTTTGAATATTGAGGACAATATCACGGGAGGTGTACACCCTTTGCGATATTGGGAATAACATCCTCTCCCCTCCTGCATATTAAAAAAAATCACAGAGTGGGTGTACACCTCCTGCGATATAGGGAGTAATATCCTCTTCTCCTCTTCTGTATATTAGGAACAATATCACACGGGGGTATACACTTTCTGCGATATTGGGAGTAATATCAACCTCTCGGCCTTTGAATATTAAGAACATCACAGGGTGGATGTACACCCCCTGCGATATTGGGAGTAATATCAGCCTCTCACCTCCATGGATATTAGGAACAATATCCCAGGGTGGGTGTACACCTCCTGCTAGGTGTGGAGTAATAGCATCCTCTCCCTTCCTGGATATTACGAACAATGTCACAGGGTGGGTGTACACAGCCTGCGATACTGGAAGTATTATCATCCTCTTCCCCCTCCAGATACCTGGAACAGTATCACAGAAGAGGTGTACACTCCCTGCGATATTGGGAGTAATATCGTTCTCTTCTTCCGTGAATATTAAAAGCAATATCACCGGGTGGATGTACACCCACCGCTATATTGGGAGTAATGTCATACTCTAATCCATGAATATTAGGATCAATATCACAGGGTTGCTGTACACCTACTGCGACACTGAAACGAATATCATGCCCTCTCTCCCTGGATATTAGAAACAATATCACCAGGGGGTGTAGACACCCTGCGGTATTAGGAGTAATAACATTATTAATGATTAATCCTAGCTTCTTAATATTAATATTAATGATCAATATTAATATGAATTTTTTCTAATATGATATTAATTAATAGTAACAGTAATTAATATTAATTACTCATTATTTTGTTATTGATAGCACCATCAACTAATGTTAATCATTAATATTAATTTTTATTAACATGATTAATAACATAATTGATAATATTAATTGGTATGATTGTCATGTTTATTAATATTTATAATCAATATTAATTAATAATTATCAATGTTATTGTAACAATGATTATTAATAATAAATAACTAATAATGTGTTGATTATTCATAATTACAACTTAATTAGAATTAATTAAAATCAATTATTAATTATTAATAAATAGTATTATTATTTCTGATATCGGGGCGGGGAGGGTGTGATATTACTGCCAACATCGCAGGAACTGTGCACCCTTCTGTGATATTGTTCCTAATAGCCAGAAGGGGAGAGCATTACTCTCAATATCACAGGGGGTGTACACCTGTGATAGTGTTCTTAATATCTATGATGGGAGAGGATGATATTACTCCCAATATCACAAGAACTGTACAGCGTCCCGTGATATAGTTCCTAATATCTAAGTGGGGAGAGGATGATATTACTCCCAATATGGCACAAATTGTAAAACCCTTTCGATATATTTCCTACAATCCATGGGGAGAGGGTGATATTACTCCCAATATCGAAGGAGGTGTACACCCTCCCGTGACAGTGTCCTCAATATCCATGTTGTCAGACGATGATATTACACCTAATATTGCAGGGGCTGTACACCCACCCTGGGACATTGTTCCTAATATCGAGAAGGGGAGAGGATGATATTAATCCCAATATCGCTGGGGCTGTACACCCCTCCTGTGATATTGTTCCTAATATCCTAGGTGGGAGAGCATGATATTACTCCCAATATCGCAGGGCTGTATACCCACCCAGTGATATTGTCCTTAATGTCCAGAAGGGAAAGGATGTTATTACTCCCGACATTGAAGGGGTTGTACCCCTCGACACGCCAGGATATTGTTCCTAATATCCGGGGAGGAGAGGGTAACATTGTACCCAATATCGCAGGGGGTGTGCACCCCCCCTGCGATATTGTTCCTAATATCCAAAGGTAGAGAGGATTATACACTCTCAATATCGCAGGGGGTGTACACCCCACTTGTGATACTGTTCTTAATATTTACGGGGGGAGACAATGGTATTACTGTCCATATCTCAGGGGTGGACAACACCCCTGTGATATTGTTTTTACTATTCAGTGGGGCAGAGAATGATAATTTCAATATCACAGGGGACACACTCCCTGTGATATCGTTTCTAATATTCAGGGGAAGAGAAATCATATGACTCACAGTATGACAGGGGGTGTACTCACCCTCCATAATATTGTATCTAAAATCCAGGGGGGATTTGAAAGATATTACTCCTAATATCACAGTGGGTGTAAAAGACCCCTTTGATATTGTTCCTAATATCCGGGGAGGGAGAGGATGATATTACTCCCAATGTCTTTGGAGGTGTACACCCCCCCGTGATATTGTTTCTAATATTTACGTGGGGAAAGGATGATATTACTATCAATATCTCAGAGGGTGTACACCCTTCTTGGGATATTTTTTCTAATATCAAGTGGGGGAGAGCAAGATATTACTCCCAATATCGCAGGAGGTGTACACCCCGCCTGTTATTTTGTTTCCAATATCCAGGTTGGTAGAGGATGACGTTACTGCCAATATTGCAGGAGTTGTACCCCCAACCTGTGATATTATTCCTAATAGCCAGGGGAAGAGAGGATGATATTACTCAAAACAGCGCAGGAGGTGTACACACCCCTGTGATATTGGTGCTAATATCCAGTGTGGGAGACGATGATATTACTGGCCATATCGCGGGGGTTGTACACCCCCTCTGATATTTATTTTAATATCCAGGGGGTAGAGTATCACATTACTCCCAATATCGCAGTGGGTGTACACCAACTCTGTGGTATTGTTCTTAAAATCCAGGGAGGGAGAGGATGATATTACTGTCAATATCGCAAGGGGTGGACACCCCCTCTTTGATATTGTTCCTAATATCCAGGGGGAGAGCATGATATTAATCCCCATATCGCTGGGGGATACACCCCTTTTTGATATTGTTCCTAATATCCCGGGGGGAGTCAGTGATATTGGCAATATCACAGGGTGTGTACACCACACCTGTTATATTGTTTTTTTTTTCCGGCAATGAAGAAATTGATACTATTGTCAAAACAGAATGCGCGGTACACCCCGCATGAGATATTGTTTCTAATATCCATGGGAGAAAGGATGATATTACTCCCAATGTTTCAGTGGGTGTATAATCCGCCTGTGATATTGTTCCTAGTATCAAGTGGGGGGTGAGGATGATATTACTCCCAGTCTCGCAGAGGGTGTACACCGCCCCTGTGATATCGTTCTCAATATCGATGGGGGTAGAAAACTATATTACTCCCAATGTCGCTGGTGATGTTCACCTTCCCGGTGATATTGTTTCTAATATTTAGGTGAGGGAATGATATTACTCTCAATATCGCAAGTGGTGTACACAGCTTCTTTGATATTTTTCCTACTATTTTCGGGGGGAGAAGAGGATATTACTTTCAGTATTGAAGAACGTGTACACGACCCCTGTGATATTGCTCCTAATATCAAGGTTAAAAAAGGATGATATTACCCCCATTATCGCAGGGGGTGGGGTGTACACTTCACCTGTGATATTATTTCTAATATCCAGGGGAAGAGAGAATAGTATTACTCCCAATAGCGCAGGGGGAGTACACACCTTTTGATATTGTTCCTAATATCCAGGGAAGGAGCCGATGATATTGGTGGCCATATCACAGGGTGTGTATATCCTTGTCTGATATTGTTCCTAGTATTCAGTGGGGGAGAGGATAACATTAATCCCAATATTGCAGGAGGTGTACATATTTGCTGTGATATAGTTCCTAATGTACAGGGAAAAGAGAATAATATTATTCCCAATATCGCAGGGGATATATTGTCTCTGTACATTGTTCCTAATATGGAGAGGGGTAGAGGCTGATATTACTCCCAATATCGCAGGGGGTGTACACACCCCTTTTGATATTGTTCCTGATATCCAGCGGGAAAGCGGCTGATATTACTCCCAATATCGCAGTGGGTGTACACCTCCTTTCTGGTATTGTTTCTAATATACAGGGTGGAAAAGGATATTACTGACAATATCGCAGGGGGTTTACACCCCTTCTGTGATATGGTTCCTGATATCCAGGGGGTGAGTAGATGATATTACTCCCAATAACGTAGGAAGTGTACACCCCCCTGTGATATTGTCCCCAATAACCACATGGGGAGAGGTGATATTACTCCCAATATTGCAAGGGGTGTACACACCGCCTGTAATGCTATTTCTTATATCCAGGAGGTGAGAAGATGATATTACTACCAATATTGATGGAATGTACACCACCCATGTGATATTGTTTTGAAAATCCACGTGGATAGAAGATGATATTACTCCCAATATAACAAGGGGTGTACACACCGCCTGTGATATTATTCGTAAAATCGAGAAGAAGAGAGAATGATATTACTTCCAATAGTGCAGGGGGAGTACACTCTTCCTGTGATGTTGTTCCTAATATCTAAATGAAGAGATAATGATATTACTTTCAATACCGCAGAGAGTGTACAACCCCCTGTGATATTGTTCCCAATAAACTAGTAGGGGAGAGAATGATATTACTTCTAACATTGCAGTGGCTCTTCTCCACACCCCCAACCCCGTGATATTGCTCTTAATTTCCAGCTGGTATAGTATAATGTTTCTCCCAGTATAGCAGTGGGTGTACACTCAACCTGTGATATTTCTCCGAATATTCAGGGAAAAACAGGATGATACTACTCTGAATATCGCAAAGAATGTACACTCCTTTTGTGATATTGTTCCTAATATCCAGAAGGGGAGAGGATGATATTACTTTTAATATCGCAGGCAGTGTACACCCCCCTGTGATATTGTTCGTAATATCCAGGTGAGGATAAAATGATATTACTCCCAATATTGCATGGGGTATACATTCTCCTGTGATATTGTTAGTAATATCCAGGGGAGCAGAGGTTGATATTACTGTCAGCATCGCAGGTGGTATACATTTCCCTGTGATATTTTTCGTAATATCAAGGGAAGAAGAGGTTGATATTAATCCCAATATCGCAAAGGTCATACACCCTCTGTGATATTGTTCGTAATATACGGGGGGGGGGGGAAGGATGATATTACTCTCAATATCGCAGAGGAATATACACATATCACAGAGGACCATATCACAGAGGAGGTACGCCCCCTGAGACACCCCCCTGCCATATGGTTCATAATATCCAGAGGGGGAGAGAATGATATTACTGCCAATATCGCAGGGAGTGTACACCTTCTTCTGATATTGTTTGTGATATCCATAGTGGAAGAGGATGGTATTACTCCCAATTTCGTAGGGGGTGTACACCCCCTTGTGATATTGTTAGTAATATTCAGAGGGGGAGAGGATGATATTACCCTCAATATCACAGGTTTTGTTCACCGCCCTGTTATATTGTTCATAATATCCAAGAGTAGAGATGACATAACTCCCAATGTCACATGGAATTTACCTTCTATGTGATATTGTTCATGATATCCAAGGTGGCAGATGATGTTACTTTCAATGTCGCAGGAGGTGTACACCCTAACTCATAATGTTCGTAATATCTAAGGGCGGAGATCATATTACTCCCAGAGTCGCAGGGGATGTACAACCTCTGTGATACTGTTTTTCATATCCAAGGGGGAAGATGATATTACTCCCAAGATCGTAAACACCCTGTGTATGCACTCTCTGTGATATTGTTCATAATATCCAAGGAGGGAGATGATTTTACTCCCAGTATCGCAGGGGGTGTACACCCTGTGTGAAATTGTTTCTAATATCCCAAGGGTAGATGACGCTTCTCCCAGTATCACAGAAGGTATACATCCTCTGTGATATTGTTCGTAATATCCAATGCGGGAGATGACGTTGCTCCCAGTATCGAAGGGCGTGTACCCCCTCTCTCTGTATTGTTGTTCATGATATTCAAGGGGGGAGATGACTTTACTCCCAGCATTTCAGGGGGTGTACCACCTTTTAGATGTTGTTCGTAATATCCAAGGAGGGAGATGACGTTACCCCCAGTATCGCAGAAAGTGTGCCCCCTCTGTAATATTGTTCATAATATCCCATGTGGTAGATGACGTTACTTCGAGTATTGCAGCAGGAGTACCCTGTGATATTATTTGTAATATCTAAGGGGAAAGATGACGTTACTCCCAGTATCTCAGAGAGTGTACCCTCTCTCTGATATTGTTCATAATATCCACGGGGTGAGATGACGTTACTCCCAGGATTGCAGGGGGTGTACCCCCTCTGCGATATTGTTTGTAATATCAAAGGTGGACGATGATACTACTCTCAGTGTCGCAGGTGGTGTACACCCTCTGTGATATTGTTCATAATACTCAAGGGGGGAGATGATACTACACCCAATGTCGCAGGGGGTGTACACTCTCTGTGCTATTGTTTGTACTATACAAGGGGAAAATGATACTACTCACAATGTTGCCGGAGGTGCACACCCTCTGTGATATTGTACGTATTATCTAAACGGGGAGATGACACAAATCCCAATGTCACAGTTGTTGGACACCCTCTGTGATGCTGTTCGTAATAATCAAGGGGGACGATGATACTACCCCCGATGTTGCAGGAGGTGTACAACCTCTGCGATATTGTGTGTGATACCCAAGATGGGAGATAATACTACTCCCAGTGTCGCAGGGGGTGTACACCTTCTGTGATATTGTTCGTAGCATCCAAGGGAGAGATGATACTACTTCCAATGTCGCAGGGGGTGTACACCCTCTGTGTTATTGTTCATAATATCCAAGGGGTGAGATGGTACTACTTCCAAAGTCATAGGGGATGTACTTCCTCTGTGATATTGATTTGTGATATCCAAGGGAAAAGATAATATTACTCCCAATGTCGCATTGGGTGTACACCCTCTGTGATATTGTTTGTAATATCCATGGGGGGAGATAATATTACTCCCAATGTCGCAAGGGGTGTATACCTTCTGTGTTATTGTTCATAATATTTAAGAGGGGGGAATGATATTACTCCCAATGTCCCATGGGTGTACATTCCAAGGGTGGATATAATATTACTCCCAATGCTGCAGGGGGTGTACACCCTCTCTGTTATTGTTTGTATTATCCAAGGGGGGAGATGATACTACTTCCAATGTCTCAGGGGATGTACATCCTCTGTGATATTGTTTGTACAAAATCACAGAGGATGTACACCCTTTCTGTTATTGTTCTTAATATCCAAGGGGGGAATGATGTTACAATGTCGCAGGGGGTGTACACCCTCTGTGATATTGGTCTTAATATCCAAGGTGGGAGATGATATAACTCCCAATGTCGCATGGGGTGTACACCCTCTGTGATATTGTTTGTAATATCCAAGTTGGGAGATGATATAACTGTCAATGTTGCCTGGGGTGTACACCCTTTGCGATATTTTTGGTAATATCCAAGGGGGATGATGATGTTACTCCCAGTATTGCAGGAGGTGTACCCCCTCTGTGATATTCTTCATAATATCCAAGGAGGGAGATGTCATAACACCCATTATCGCAGGGGATGTACCCCTCTATATCATTTGCAATATGCAATGGAGGAGATGACATTACTCCCAGTATCGCAGCAGGTGTACCCCCTTGTGATATTGTTCATAATATTGAAGGAAGGATATGATACTACTCCCCATATCATAACACCGTGTGTATACACTCTCTGTAATATTGTTTGTAATATCCAAGGGGGGGAGATGATACTACTTCCAATGTTACAGGGGGTGTACACCCTCTGTGATAATGTTCTTAATATCCAAGGGGGGAAATGATACTACTCCCAATGTCGCAGAGCATGTACATCCTCTGTGATATTGTTTGTAATATCTAAAAGGGGAGATAATACTACCTCCAAATGTCACAGGGGGTGGACACCCTCTGTGATATTGTTTGTAATATCCAAGGAGGGAGATGATACTACACCCAATGTCGCAGGGGGTGTACACCCTCTGTGACATTGTTCATAATATCCAAGGGGGGAGATGATACTACTCCCAATGTTGCAGAGGGTGTACACCCTCTGTGATACTGTTTGTAATATCCAAGGGGGAGGTAATACTACTCCAAATTTCGCAGCGGATGAACACCCTCTGTGATATTGTTCACAATATCCAAGGTGGGAGACTATACTATTCCCAATGTCTCAGGGGATATACACCTTTTGTGATATTGTTTGTAATATCCAAGGGGGGGGGGATGATACTACTTCCAATGTCACAGGTGTGTATACCCTCTATGATATTGTTTGTAATATTCAAGGGGGGAGATGATACTACTCCCAGTGTCACAGGGGGTGTACACCCTCTGTCTATTGTTCATAATATCCAAGAGGGGAGATGATACTACCTTCCTTGTCACAGGGGATGTACATCCTCTGTGATATTGTTTGTAATATCCAAGGGGAAAGATGATATTACTCTTAATGTCACAAGGGGTTTATACCCTCTGTGATATTGCTCATAATATTTAAGGGGGGAATAATATTACTCCCAATGTCGCATGGGTGTACACTTTCTGTGTTATTATTTGTAATATCCAAGGGGAGATATGATATTACTCCCAATGTCGCAGCTGGTGTACACCTTCTGTGATGTTGTTTGTTATATCCAAGGGGGGAGATGATATTATGCCCTGTGTCGCAGGGGGTGTATACCGTCTGTGATATTGTTTATAATATCCAAGAAGTTAGATGATATTACTCACAATGTCGCAGGGGTGTACACCCTTGGTCATATTGTTCGTAATATCCAAAGGGGGAGATGATATAACTCCCAATGTTGCATTCAGTGTACACCCTCTGTGATATTGTTCATAATATCCAAGGAGGGGAGATAATATTACCTTCAGTGTCACAAGGGTGTATACACCCTATGTGATATTGTTCATAATATCCAAGGGGGAGATCATATTACTCCCATTGTAGCAGTGGGTGTACAACTTCTGTACTATTGTTCATAATATCCAAGGGGGAAGATGATATTACTCCCAATGTCATAAACACCCTATGTGTACACCCTCTGTGATATTGTTCGTAATATCAAAGGAGGGAGATGACATTACTCCCAGTATTGCAGGCGATGTGTACCCTCTGAAATTATTCCTAATATCCAAGGAGGAGATGACGTTATTCCCAGTATCACAGAAGATGTATCCCCTCTGTGATATTGTTCATAACATCCAAGGGGGGAGATGACGTTACTCTCAGTATCTCATGGGGTGTACCCCCTTTGTGATATTGTTCGTAATATCCAAGGGGGGAGATTACATTACTCCCAGTATTGCAGCAGGTGTACCCTCACTGTGATATTGTTCGTAATATCTAAGGGGAAAGATGACGTTATTCCCAGTATGTCAGGAAATGTACCCACTCTGTGATATTGTTCGTAATATCCAAGGGGGGAGATGACGTTGCTCCCAGAGTCGCAGAGAGTGTAACCCGTCTGTGATATTGCTTGTAACATCAAAAAACGGAGATGACGTTACCCTAGTATCACAAAGGGTGTATCCCCCCCTGTATATTGTTCGTAATATGCAAGGGGTGAGATGACGTTACTCCCAGTATCGTAGGGGGTGTACCTTCTCTGTGATATTTTTCATAATATCTAAGAAGGGAGGTGACGTTTATTCCGGTATCACAGGGGGTTGTACCCACTCTGTGATATTATTTGTAATATCCAAGGTGAGAGATGACTTTACTCCCAGGATAGCAGGGGGTGTACTGCCTCTGCAATATTGTTTGTAATATCCAATAGAGAAGATGACGTTACTTTCAGTATCACAGCACGCGTACCCCCTCTGTGATATTGTTTGTAATATCCAAGGGAGCAAATGACATAACTCCCAGTATCTCAGGGGGTGTACTGCTCCTGTAATATTGTTCATAACTTTTAAGGGGAAAGATGACGTTACTCCCAGTATCTCAGGGGGTCTACCTTCTCTGTGATATTGTTCGTGATATGTAAGGGGGGAGACGACGTCACTCCCAGTGTCGCAGGGGGTGTACCCCTTCTGTGATACTGTTCTTAATATTTAAGGGGGGAGATTATGTGCCGAGACCAGCTCGGTCGGTCGGGGAGACCCTAACCCAGCGGAGCTAGAGGAATTAAAGACACACATAATGTAAATGACGAGTTAATGGGTGCAGCACACCAACATGGCGCATATATACATATGTAACAAACCAGCACGTTTTGCACATGTACCCTGTAACTTAAAGTATAATAATAAATAAATAATAAAAAAATAAAGTTACAAAAAAAAAAAAAAGAAACATATAAGTGTGGAGTAGGAAATCAGGGGTCTCACAGCCTTCAGAGCTGAGAGCCTCAAATAGAGATTTACCCACGTATTTATTGACAGCAAGCCAGTGATAAGCATTGTTCCTAGAGATTATAGATTAACAAAGTATTCCTTAGGGAAAATAAAGGGAGGGGCTGAAATAAAGGGATGGGTTTGGCAGGAGTGTGTCCTTAAGGCACAGACCGCTCATGCTATTGTTTGTGGTTTAAGAAGGCCTTTAAGCAGTTTTCCACCCTGGGTGGGCCAGGTGTTCCCTGCCCTCATTCCGGTAAACCTACAACCTTCCAGCGTGGGCATCATGGCCATCATGAACATGTCACAGCGCTGCAGAGATTTTGTTTATGGCCAGTTTTGGGGCAAGTTTATGGCCAGATTTTGGGGGGTCTGTTCCCAACAATTATGTAACTCCCACTATCGCAGACGGTGTACCCTCTCAGTGATATTATTCGTAATAACCAAGGGGGAGATGACGTTACTCTCAGTATCACGGGGGTGAACCGCCTGTGAAATGGTTCATAATATCCAAGCTGGAAGAGGACGTTACTCCCAATATCGCAGAGGGTGTACCCCCTCTGTTATATGGTTCATAACATACAAGAGGGGAGATGATGGTACTTTCAATATCGCAGTGGGTGTACCCCCTCTGTGGTATGATTCTTGTAGTATAAAATGGGGGAGAAGACTTAACTCCCAATATAACACGGGATGTACCCCCTCTGAGATATGTTTCATAATATCCAAGGAGGAAGAAGACTCCCAATATCGTAGAGGGTGTACCCCCTCTGTGACATGGGTCGTAGTAACCAAGAAAGGAGATGACGTTACTCCCAATATCGCAGAGGGTGTGCTCCCTCTCTGATACAGTTTGCAATATCCAAGGGGGGAGATGACATTACTCCCAGTACTGCAGAAGGTGTACACCCTCTGTGATATGGTTCATAATATCCAAGGAGGGGAATGACGTTACTCCCAATATCGCAGGTTGTGTATCCCCTCTGTGATATGGTTCGTACTATCCAATAGAGGAGATGACGTTACTCCCAATATCTAAGGAAGTGTACGCACTCTGTGATATGGTTCATAATATCCAAGAGGGAAATGACGTTCACCCAATATCACACAGGGTGGACCCTTCTGTGATATTGTTCATAATATACAAGGGAGGAGATGATGTTACTCCCAATATTTCAGGGGGTGGACTTCCTCTGTCATATTGTTCGTAATATTCAAGAAGGGAGATGATGTTACACCCAATATCAAAGGGGATGTACCCCATCTATGATTTTGCTCATAATATCCAATTGGGGAGATGGTGTTATTACCAATATCACAGGGGGTGTACACCCTCTGTGATATTCTTTGTAATATCTCAAGGGGGAGATGATATTACTTCTAATATCGCTGGGGGTGTAAACCCTCTGCGAGATTCTACATAATATCCAAGCGGGGAGGAGATGATATTACTCCTAATAATATCGCAGGTGTGCAGCGCCTCTGTGAGATTCTTCGTAATATCCCTGCGGGGAAGAGATGACGTTACTTTTAATAATATCGTAAGGGGTGTACCCCCTCTGCGAGATTCTTCGTAATATCCCAATGGGGAGGAGATGATGTTACTCGTAAAAATATCGTGGGGTGTACCCCCTCTGCGAGATTATTTGTAATATCCCGGGGGAGAGGATGATATTACTCTTAATAATATCTCAGTGTGTGTACCCCAACTGCGAGATTTTTCATAATATCCCCGGGGGAGGTGACATTACCCCTCATAATATCGCAGGGGGGTGTACCTTCACTGTGAGATTCTTCGTAATATCCCAGAAGGGAGATGATATTAATCCTAATAATATCGCAGGGGGTGTACACCCTCTGCGATATTATTCTTAATATCCCAGTGGGGAGATGATATTACTTATAATATTGTAAACACCCTGTGTGTACACCCTCTGTGATATTCTTCAAAATATCCATGAAGGGAGATGATGTTACTCTTAATAACGCAGGGGGTGTACACCTTCTGTGATACTCTTCGTGATATCCAAAATTGGAGATGATGTTACTCCTAATATTGCAGGGGGTTAAAACCTCTGTGATATTCTTCCTAATATCCAAGGGGGGAAATGATGTTACTCCTAATATAGCAGGGGGTGTACACCCTCTGTGAAATTCTTCATATGATCCGAGCGGGGAGATGATGTTACTCCTAATATCGCAGGGGGTGTACACGCTCTGTAACATTCTTTGTAATATCCAAGGGGGGAGATGATATTACTACTAATATAGCAGAAAACGTACACTCTCTGTGATATGCTTGGTAATATCCAAGGGGAGAAATGATTAATTTCGCAGGGGGTGTACATCCCCTGTGATATTTTTCATAATATCCAAGGGGGTAGATGATGTTACTCCAAATATCGCAGGGGGTGTACACCCTCTGTGATATTCTTTGTAACATCCCAGGGAAGAAATGATGTTACTCCTTACATCGTGTACACTCTCCGTGATACTTTTCGCAATATCCCAGGGGGCAATGACATTACTTCTAATATTGCAGGGGGTGTACACCCTCTGTGATAGTCTTTGAAATATCCAAGGGGGGAGATAATGTTACTCCTAATATCGTAGAGTGTGTACACCCTCTGTGATATTCTTCCTAATATCCCAGGAAGAGATGATGTTACTCCTAATATCGCAGGGGATGTACACCCTCTGTAATATTCTTGGTAATATCCCAGGGGGGAGATGATATTACTTCTATTATGGCTGGGGGTGTACACCCTCTGTGATGTTCTTTGTAACATTCCAGGGGGGAGATAATTTTACTTCTAATATCTCAGGGGGCGTACACCCTCCGTGATATTTCTCGTAATCATTTTCAAGAAAGGAGATGACATTACTTCTAATATCGCAGTGAACGTACACCCTTTGCGATATTATTCGTAATGATGTCCAAGGGAGGAGAAAACATTACTTCTAATACCTCAGTGTGCATACACACTCCATTATATAATTCATAATCATGTCCAAGGCAGGAGATTACATTACTCCCAATATCTCAGGAGGTTTATAATATCGCAGTGGGCATACACCCTCCGTGATATTATTCGTAATGATGTCCAAAAAGTAGATGACATTTCTCTTAATATTGCAGTAGGCTTAAACCCTCTCTGATATTGTTCGTAATGATGTCCAAGGGAGGAGATGACATTACTCCTAATATCGCAGTGGACGTACACCCTTTGTGATATTATTCATAATAAAGTCCACGGGAGGAGATGACATTACTCCTAATATCGCAGTGGGTGTAAATCCTCTGTGATATTATTTGTAATGATGTCCAAGGGAGGATATGACATTACTCCTAATACCGCAGTGGGCATACACCCTCTGTGATATTATTCGTAACAATATCCACGGGAGGAGATGACATTACTCCTGATATCGCAGTGGGTGTACACCCTCTGTGATATTATTCATAATATCCAAAAAAGGAGATGACATTACTTCTAATATCGCAGTGGATGTACACCCTCTGTGATATTATTTGTAATATGCAAGGAAGGAGGTGATATTACTCCCAATATCCTACACACCCTGTGTGTACACCCTCTGTGGTTATATTTGTAATATCCAAGGAAGGAGATGATATTACCCCTAATGTTTCAGTGGTCGTACACCCTTTGTGATATTATTGGTAATATCCAAGGAAGGAGATATTACTCCTAATGTAGTAGTGGGTGTACACTTTTTGTGATATTATTCGTAATATCCAAGGGAGGAGATGATATTACTCCTAACATCGTACACACTTTGTATGTACACCCTCTGTAATATTATTCATAATATCCAAGGGAGGAAATTATACTGCTCCCAGTATCGCAGGGGGTGTACACTCTCTGTGATACTCTTTGTAATATCCAAATGAGATGATATTACTCCTAATATCGTGCTGGGTGTACACCCTCTGTGATAATATTCATAACATCCAATGGAGGAGAGGAATTACTCCTAATAATGCAGGGAGTGTACACCCTCTGTGATACTATTTGTAATATCCAACAGAGGACATGATATTACTTCTAATATCACAGAGGGTTTACACCCTCTATGATACTATTCAGAATATCCACGGGAGGAGATGATGTTACTTCTAACAGCGCATGGGGTGTACACCCTCAGTGATACTATTCTTCATAATATCCAAGGGAGGTGATGATGTTACTTCTAATATTGCACAGGGTGTACACCCTCTGTGATACTATTATTCGCGATATTTAAGGAAAGAGGTTATGTTACTTCTAATATCGCATGGGGTGTACACCCTCTGTGATACTATTATTCATAATACTTAAGGGAGAATATGATGTTACTCCTAATATCGCACGGGGTGTACACCCTTCATGATACTATTATTCATAATGTCTCAGAAAGGAGATGATGTTACTGCTAATATCGCATGGGGTGTACACCCTCTGTGATACTATTATTCATAATATTTAGAAAAGGAGATGACGTTACTCCTAATATTGAACAGGGTGTATATTCTCTGTGATACTATTATTTGTAATATACAAGGAAAGATATAATGTTACTCCTAATATCGCATGGGACGTACACTCTTTGTGATGCTATTATTCATAATATCCATGGGAGGAGATCATGTTCCTTCTAATATCACATTGGATGTACACCCTCTGTGATGCTATTATTTGTAATATCCGAGGGAGGAGATGATGTTACTCCTAATATTGCATGGTTACACCCTCTGTGATGTTATTGTTCGTAATATCCAAGGGAGTAGATGATGTTACTTGTAATATCCCACGGAATGTACACCCTCGGTGATACTATTATTCATAATATCCAAGGAAGGAGATTATATTCCTTCTAATGTCACAAAGGTGTACATCCTTGGTGATATTATTATTCATAATATCCAAAAAAGAAGACTATATTATTCCTAATATCACAGGGGGTGTACACCCTTAGTGACATTATTCATAATATCCATGGCGTATGATGACATTGCCACTAATATCACCGTGGGTGGTCACCCTTTGTGACATTATTCATAATATTCATGAGAGATAATTATATTGCCACAAATATCCCCATGGGCGGACATTATGTGACATTATGTCACATAATGAGGTGACAATATGTCACCTCTGTGACATTATTCGTAATATCCAAAGGAGATGATGATGTTGCCCCTCGTGGGTGGACTCCCTCTGTGATACTTTTTGTAAAGGAGGATTATAGAGTGAGCAATATATTTTTATATATTTGTTGAGGGTCCCTAGCAAATATTATAACATCTGAACTATGAAAGCCTGGCTTGACAACTAGAATTTTAAATAACACTTGTCTTATTCACAAAATGTTATAAAGCTTAAGATGGAAAAATATAAAATGCTTTGACATTACCTAAAGAAGCATGAGCTCTTGTTAGGTATATGATGGTGGCCCTGAACTTGAGCCGACATCTATAATCCCTTTTATCAATCAAAAAGCCATGTTCTTTTATATGGCATGCAGACTATTAAAATACGAAAATGTGATAATGGATAAGCAACTAACACAAAGCCCCCACACTTCAAATACTGTCCTGGATTGATGAGGGAAGACTGGTTGGTGTGGGGGTGGGGGAGAATTCAAATATTTATCTGCAATCCTAATGGTTAAAATTTTACCAGGAACAGACCTGCCACTCTCTTGAAATACTGTCTCTGAGATTAACGTTAAGAACAGCATCATCTCTGTTGAAAGGCTACATTCCCTTATGATGCTGATTTTTTTTTTGTATGTTTTTGTTTTTTGTTTTGTTTTGTTTTGTTTTGAGATGGAGTCTTGGCCAGCTGGAGTGCAGTGGCGATCTCGGCTCACTGCAACCTCCGCCTGCCAGGATCAAGCGATTCTCCTGCCTCAGCCTCCTGAGTAGCTGACACTACAGGCACGTGCCACCACGCCTGGCTAATTTTTATATTTTTAACAGAGACAGGGTTTCACCATGTTGGCCAGAATGGTCTCCACCTCCTGACCTCGTGATCCACCCGCCTCAACCTCCCAAAGTGCTGGGATAACAGATGTGAGCCACCGCACCCAGCCTGTGTATGTTCTTTGTGTTTACCGTACCAAAAGCAGACCTGAGCATTTTGCTGGCCTTAGAGGTCTATAAAAGAACTCTAAGCTTAGGCATGCAGAACAGGCACTGGATGTATGTAGTGAGCTTACCAGGAGTCTTGTTGGCTCCCTGATGTCCTTATCATCTCTCTTTGCAGGCTGTGGATGCACACAAGGCAACTAAAATCTTGGGCATCGTTTGAAAATGTTTGGCTGCCTGCTACAAACTCAGAAGAGAGAACACTTACTTATATTCATACTTGTATTGGACTGGATATATTTTAAATCCAATTCTTTTTTAAAAAAGATGCCTCACTTTAGGAAATAAGACATCAGACCAGCAACATCAACTAGGTATGGAATACTTGCTGGTGAGACACTTAAAACTAGGAATCTTCTAAATCTTCTAAAGGTGCTTAAGAGCATGGAGAAATCAATAAACAGGCATCCAAGTGTTGTGGCTGTAAAGCAATAACATAGGGTCCCTAGTAAAGAGTAGGCCTAAGAGTTGGTTTTGGAGAGAACTTGGGCCAAGAACAGCAGAAAAAGCTAAATGAGCTACTTATGTTGATGTGTTTTAATACTGGTGCATTCGCAGTATCTTATGGAAGTTGTGAACACTAAGAACCAATTTCAAGAAAAATAAAAATGTTTATAGGGCATATTAAAATAAAAACAGCTTAAATTAGTTCTGTAAATAAAATAGGCCTAGCACAGTGACTGATGCCTGTAACTCCAGCACTTTGGGAGGACAAGGTGAGAAGATCACTTGAGGCCAGGAGTTCGAGACCAGCCTGGGCAACAAAGTGAGACCCCATCTCTGTTCTTTTTAATATCAAAATTATTATAATAAAAAAGTAAAAATAAATGTACCTACTTAGAACACATATTAAATAAAGGAATGCCATGAGAAAATGGCACTGCATTTACCAAGTCACCACTAGATTCTTGTGCAATGATAAAGTTTGAGACTATGTATTAACAATTTCATAAATAAATAATCAACAATTTTCTTTCCACTATTTTGATGTTGGGTAAAGCCTGACATGTGCTGTCAAGTTTTCCATTTGCATTACATCAAATTCTTGTCTACTATGGATATTCTGATATAAAAAAGACTAGTTAAACTCCTATTGAAAGATTTGCCATTCACTACACTCACATAACTTCTCTTAGATATAGATTCTTTGATGTTGAATGAGCGTTGGGTTGTGACTGAATCTCCTCGTGCACATACACATTTATTACATTCATAATCTTTTTGCATGGCATGAATTTGATACTAAACAAGGTAGTTTCTTTGACTGATGGCTTTTTCACATTCATTGCAGTAATGGAATTTTATTCCCATACGAATTCTCCAAATGTGACTAAGGTATGAAATTATTAATAGCATGAAAATTGAATTATCTGATGCTGAGTAACGGTTGAGCTATGACTGAAGGCTTTACCACATGCAGTACGTACATGATTTCTCCCTGGTGTGAACTCCCGGATGTTGAATGAAGCCTGAATTTGACTAGACTAAATGTCTTCTCACCCTCGTTATATTCATGAGTTCTCTTTGGTATGAATGCTCCGATATTGAACCAGGTGTGCTCTCTGACTGGAGTTCTTTTTCCGTACATCACAATCAAAGACTTTCTGTCTGGTGAGGACATCTTGTTGCAGGATAAGGTCTGAGCTATGACTGAAACTGCCCTCATACTCGTTACATTTATATGATTTCTCTTTCCTATACATTATTTGATGGTGAATAAGGCATGAGGTTTGACTGAAAGCTTTTCCATATTCATTACACTCATGCAGTTTCATTCCTGTGTGAATTTTTTGATGCTGAATAAGATGTGAATTCAATCTGAAGTCTTTTCTACATTCATTACATGTATAGGGCTTTTCTCTGAAATGAATTCCTTGTTTAATATAGGCCAACCCATATTCATCATATTCATAGGATTTCTCTTCATGGTGGACCCTCTGATGTTCAAGCAGATATGAAGGATGGCAGAAGTCACTGCCAGATATAGTACACTTACAGGGCATCTCTTTGTGAATTTTCTGATGTTGAGTAAGGTGGACACTATGACTGAAGATTCTTTCACAACTGCTACATGTGTAAGCTTTGGCTCTGGTGTGAATTTTCTTGTGTTGAATTATGCCTGAGCTTGGACTACAGGATTTATCAGATGCTTCACATTTGTAAGGTTTTTCTCTAGTGTGTATTCTTTTATGTCGACTAAGACTCGAGCTCTGACTGAAACGCTTTTCACATTCTTTACATTTGTAGGGCTTCTCTCTAGTATGGATTCTCTGATGTCTAGTAAGGGCTGAGCTCTGATGGAAAACTTTCTCACATACATCACATTTATAGGATTCCTCAGTGTTAGGGATGCTGTCCCATTTATTAAGGAGGGAGAGATCCATTAAGCTTTCCTTACATATACTACTCTGAAAATCCTGTGTTAGATTTATGTGTTCATGTTTACCAGAGGCTGAATTCTGGCTGAAGCTCATGTCGTTCTTATCATTATCATCAGTGTTCTGTATTCTAAGAACTTTCTGATCTGCATCAATAGTAGAGTCCAGACTGAAGCTTTTTTCAGGTTTATTACATTCATTGTTCTTCTCACTGGTGAAGGCTTCTTTGCTGATTGTTATTTGCCTAAACTCTCCAGGTACAGGAATTTCCTTAGAATTTCCTGAAGCCTTTCTAATCTGTCCTCAGACTTATACACTTCTCTAGTCTCAGGAACTTAGGTAATATTGTGTTTGAGTCTTCCTACTATCACTTTGCATGAATGTACTTCTTCTGAAATTTTCTCCTTAGGAATCAACAGCTTGTTCTCTGGTCTCTCCATCTGATACAATATATAAATAGAAGATACAAATGTAATCTGTACCCTGTGCTTAGGAAAAGAAAACTCAGATGAGAAAACTGAACAATGTAATATCTACAAGGACAAGAAAAGTTTATTTATGCTGAAAAACAGGCTCAAAATCTCAACAGCAGAAGTAAGGGCATGAACAGGAGCAGTGAGGTAAAACAGCGGACATCTTTAGCAAAGTAAGAAGACACCAGTTAAGGAGATAATAGGGAAAGAGTTTGAAAGAATTTTAGATAAGCAACTTGATTAGCGGTCCAGTACAACATGTGCACAGGTCCTAAACAAATGGAAAGGGTCAACCTAACTGAAGGAAAAAGAAAATAACTCTCCATGCTGGGACACACACAGAACTCTTCATTCTGAGTGCCAAAGCAGCTACAACTTGGCTCAACAATTGAACTTTACTTCCCTACTAATTCCATCTGATTGATTCTGCCTTCCTCACCTGAGAAGTCATCTCTTAAGACTTCTCTAGTCTTAGTTTCCAGATCAAAGACCTGTAGATCCTGTTCCAGCTGGGAGAGCCCATCAGGCTTGGAAATTGGAAATCCTGATCATAGAGAAGGAAATGGGTGTGGCAATGTATCCCCAGATGCTACACCAGCCACTTTTTCTTTTAACTAATGATTAAGACAGAGAGAAGGTAAACTCTGAGAAGACGTTAATTAGGAAGGCCTGGAGAGTGAAGAGGGCAAAGATCTTCTACAAGGAGCTCAAATTTGGGCTCTAGAAAGATGTGTGTTAAGGGGCAAGTTGATGGCTTGGGAGCAGAAGGATTCATTTAAACATTATTCGGACAACAGGATGTGTGCATGGGTTTGTCTTCACAGAAGTTATCCTTATCACTCTCCATCTGTTACCTAAAGATCAATCTTTGGATTAGAGCTGGTCTACAAGCATCAAAATGGAGGTCATCAAAATATAATTCTGCTGGACTGGAGAAAGGTGAAACTCAAGCATCTGCTACATGGTTAGCTAACCTGTAGCAAAAGAATCAGTGAAAACTGAATAAATATTCTAAGAACCAATCTCAAGAAACAATTCGTTTCAGTGCACATAAGAAAACAAAGAATAATATGACACATTCTTACCCATTAGGAGTGTAGCATTTATTCAGTAAACATTTGTGGAGTGCCTCCTTTACGCAAAGTATGCAGGGGATAAAGAGGGCAAGCAAGGTCCCTTCCCTTAAGGACCTCAAGGATCCCACACTCTACACAGAGAGAGCTCTAAACAACTAACTACAATAAAATGTAGATAGAGGAAAGTGCAATCAAAGTGCATCTTCACATAAAACGGTCTTTCTATGGCTTGCATAATGGAATGCTTGGATCTAAATCTCTTTAAAAGCGAAAGCAATAGGCAGTCTGCTTCTGAGGAGACAGAATTTTAATACTATTAGCATCAAAGGGCAGTTTTTATATGTGTCCAGCCCAGAAAGCTTCTAATAGCACACATACAAGGTCTAGCTCAAGCTCCTCATCTCCAAAAACCTTTCTCTCCATTTACTGAATGTCTACAAAATTTATTAGTTGTTCCTCTTACCCTGACATGTCACATATCATGGTGTTTACATAGATTTGTTTTGTTTTTTGTTTTTTTGTGACAGAGTTTCTTCACTCTGCCGTCCAGGTTGGAGTGCAGTGGCATGAGCTCAGCTCACTGCAAACTTTGCCTTCCGGGTTCAAGTGATTCCCCTGCCTCAGCTTCCTGAGTAGCTGGGATTACAGGAGTGCACCACCACACCCAGTTACTTTTTGTATTTTTAGTAGAGATGGGGTTTCAACATGCCTGAACTCCTGACCTCAGGTGATCCACCTGCCTCTACCTCCCAAACTGCTGGGATTACAGGCATGAGCCATAGCACCCGGCCCTTTACATAGATTTTTTAAAGTAGTTTCAGGTATTATCATTCATACTTGATTTATAAACTCTTTGACAGAAGGGACCATGTATCTTGTATCTTGCACTTCTTTTGATTCATTTACTTAACAGCTACTTATTGAATGCCAACTCTGTGCCCAAGTATCAATGTATTAACAGCTACCCAATTTTGTAAAAAGGGTATTGGGGCTGGAAAATATGAAGAACAGCTCCCCAGAAGATTCCATGTGACAGCCTATGAGCAAGGAGATCAGGACAGATAGAAAAAGGTATTTACACCCCCTGCGATATTGGGAGTAATATCATCCTCTCCCCCCTGGATATTTAATCCTTATAACCGCCTCTGAGATGTGTGCTAAAGAATTCACACTTGGCTGGGTGCAGTGGCTTATGCCTGTAATCTCAGCACTTTGAGAGGCCGAGGCGGGCAGATCACCTGAGGTCAGGAGTTTGAGACCAGCCTGGCCAACATGGTGAAACCCCATCTCTATTAAAATACAAAAATTAGCTGGGCATGGTGGTGCATGCCTGTAGTCCCAGCTACTCAGGAGGCTGAGGCAGGAGAATTGCTTGAACCTGGAGGTGGAGGTTGCAGTGAGTCAAGATCGCGCCACTGCACTCCAGCCTGGCGACAGAGTGAGACTTCGTCTCAGGAAAAAAGAAAAAAAAAGAGAAAGTATTCACACTTTACAGGTGATTAAATCAAAAGCAAACAGGCCCAAGTAATCTGTCCAAGCCCAAGAAGCTAGTAAATGGAGGAGTGAGAATTCGAACCCTGGCATTCAGAACCCAGAGCCAGAGCTCTTTGCCACATTGTCATACTGCCTTCCTCCTTATTACAGAGGTGCATATAGTAGCCATTTCATTAAAAATGTAATAAATGAATGTTCATTGCAGGGCTCTGATAGCTCCTCATTCCTTCCAAAGTAGCAAACCAGGCATAAATAAAAGATGAGATACATAACTTAGAAACGTTTACATAAATTTCTACATATTAGAAATTTAGCACACAAAATGGTACACATTATGCAAGAATACAAACAAAAAGATGTTAAACATTTGAGAATGGTTATGTATGGAGCATTGTAAATAAACAGGAATAGACAAAACAAGAGAGGCCTCCCGATATCGCATGGACATATAATGATAATGTGCCATGAACTGAAAATACAATTATTTGGCACTCAGCACCTGAGGTCTTAGCACCTGGGCCCACGTCTCCAGAGGTGAAGAGCAGAGTCACATGCCTCCCTCCTCCCCCACGGAGGTCTCCCACCATTCTAACCTCACAGGGCTTGGGGTGGGATGAGATTTAAATTTATATGAAAATACTTACAAATATTTTAAAATTATTTCTTACTGTTGCTATATTTATTATATAAAAATATGAATACTTAATCATTTTTAGGTGAGGCTAGTGTAAAAAAATGGACCTTCCAATCAAAACTCTATAAATAAAAATTTTAAATGTTATCTTGGTTCTCATCCTTGGCAATGATTCTTAAATATATCTCTATATATTAGGAATCTGCAGCTCTGCAGTGTGGCCCAGGCATCTGGTAGTGTGTGTATGTACGTGTGTGTGTGTGTGTGTGTGTATGTGTCTGTGTTTATTTCTGTCATTGCTTTTTTTAAATTTTAACACATTTTCAGCACTCCAAAAAAGAAACCAATACACTTTAAGAGTCACTCCTCATTCTCCAGTCTCACACCTGACCCACAGTCCCAGGCAATCTCCTTTATGTCTCTTTAGAGTGACTCAATTTCCGGACATTTTAACCTACTTTCTGTATCTTGGAATTGGTCTATTCTGGACACTTCATATAGATAGAACAATACAATATGTAACCTTTTGTGATTGGTTTCTTTCACTTGACATAATATTTTGAAGTTTCAACCATGTTGTAGCATATGTCAGTATTTCATTCCTTTTTTTTAAAAATATACTTTAAGTTCTGGGATACATGTGCAGAATGTGCAGGTTTGTTACATAGGTATACACGTGCCATGGTGGTTTGCTGCACCCATCAACCTGTCATCTACATTAGATATTTCTCCTAATGCTATCCCTCCCCTACCCCCCTACCCCCAGACAGGCCCCGGGGTGTGATGTTCCCCTCCCTGTGTCCATGTGTTCTCATTGCTCAACTCCCACTTATAAGTGAGAACATGCGGTGTTTGGTTTTCTGTTCCTGTGTTAGTTTGCTGAGAATGATGGTTTCTGGCTTCATCCATATCCCTGCAAAGGACATGAACTCATCCTTTTTTATGGCTGCATAGTATTCCATGGTGTACATGTGCCACATTTTCTTTATCCAGTCCATCATTGATGGGTATTTGGGTTGGTTCCAAGTCTTTGCTATTGTGAACAGTGCTGCAATAAACACACGTGTACATGTGTCTTTATACTAGAATGATTTACACTCCTTTGGGTATATGCCCAGTAATGGGATTGCTGGGTCAAATGGTATTTCTGTTTCTAGATCCTTGAGAAATTGCCACACTGTCTTCCACAATGGTTGAACTAATTTACACTCCCACCAACACTGTAAAAGCATTCCTATTTCTCCATATCCTCTCCAGCATCTGTTGTTTCCTGACTTTTTAATGGTCACCACTCTAACTGGTGTGTGATGGTATTTCATTGTGGTTTTAATTTGCATTTCTCTAATGATCACTGATGATGAGCATTTTTTCGTATGTTTTTTGGCCACATAAATGTCTTCTTTTGAGAAGTGTCTGTTCGTATTTTTCACCCACTTTTGGATAGGGTTTTTTTTTTCTTGTAAATTTGTTTAAGTTCCTGTAGATTCTGGATATTAGCCATTTGTCAGATGGATAGGTTGCAAAATTTTTCTCCCATTCTGTAGGTTGCCTATTCATTCTGATAATAGTTTTTTTGCTGTGCAGAAGCTCTTTAGTTTAATTAAATCTCATTTGTCAATTTTGGCTTTTGTTGCCATTGCTTTTGGTGTTTTAGACATGAAGTCTTTGCCCATGCCTATGGCCTGAATGGTAATGCCTAGGTTTTCTTCTAGGGTCTTTATGGTTTTAGGTCTTACATTTAAGTCTTTAATCCATCTTCAGCTAACTTTTGTATAAGGTGTAAGGATGGGGTCCAGTTTCAGTTTTCTGCATATGGCTAGCCAGTTTTCCCAGCACCATTTATTAAATAGGGAATCCTTTCCCCATTTCTTGTTTTTGTCAGGTTTGTCAGAGATCTGATGGTTGTAGATAAGTGGCATTATTTCTAAGGCCTCACTTCTGTTCCATTGGTCTATATATCTGTTTTGGTACCAGTACCATGCTGTTTGGGTTCTGTAGTCTTATAGCATAGTTTGAAGTCAGGTAGCATGATGCCTCCAGCTTTGTTTTTTTTTCCTTAGGATTGTCTCGGCTATATGGGCTCTTTTTTGGTTGCAATATGAACTTTAAAGTAGTTTTTTCCAATTCTGTGAAGAAAGTCAATGATAGCTTGATGAGGATAGCATTGAATCTACAAATTACTTTGGGCAGTATGACCATTTTCACAAAAATGATTCTTCCTATCCATGAGCATGGAATGTTTTTCCATTTGTTTGTGTCCTCTCTTATTTCCTTGAGCAGTGGTTTGTAGTTCTCCTTGAAGACGTCCTTCACATCCCTTGTAAGTTGGATTTCTTGTTATTTTATTCTCTGTAGCAATTGTGAACTGGAGTTCACTCATGATTTGGCTGTTTGTCTGTTATTGGTGTATAGGAATGCTTGTGATTTTTGCACACTGATTTTTATATCTTGAGTTTGCTGAAGTTGCTTATCAGCTTAAGGAGACTTGGGGCTGAGACGATCGGGTTTTCTAAATATACTATCTTGTTATCTGCAAATCTGCAAACAGAGACAGTTTGACTTCCTCTCTTCCTATTTGAATACGCTTTATTTCTTTCTCTTGCCTGATTGCCCTGGCCAGAACTTCCAACAGTATGTTCAACAGGAGTGGTGAGACAACCTTGTCTTGTGCCGGTTTTCAAAGGGAATGCTTCCAGGTTTTGCCCTTTCAGTATGATATTGGCTGTGGGTTTGTCATAAATAGCTCTTATTATTTTGAGATACATTCCATCAATACCTAGTTTACTGAGAGTTTTTAGCATGAAGGTGTGTTGAATTTTATCGAAGACCTTTTCTGCATCTATTGAGATAATCATGTGGTTTTTGTTGTTGGTTCTGTTTATGTGTTGAATTATATTTATTGATTTGTGTATGTTGAACTAGCCTTGCATCCTAGTAATGAAGCCAACTTGATCGTGGTGGGTAAGTTTTTTGATGTGCTGCTGGATTCAGTTTGCCAGTATTTAATTGAGGATTTTCACATCAATGTTCTTCAGGGATATTGGCCTGAAATTCTCTTTTTTTGTTGTGTCTCTGCCAGGTTGTGGTATCAGGATCATGCTGGCCTCATAAAATGAATCAGGGAGGAGTCCCTCTTTTTCTATTGTTTGGAATAGTTTCAGAAGGAATGGTACTGGCTCCTCTTTTTATCTCTGGTAGAGTTTGGCTGTGAATCTGTCTGGTCCTGGGCTTTTTTTGTTGGTAGGCTATTAGTTACTGCCTCAATTTCATAACTTGTTATTGGTCTATTCAGAGATTTGACTTCTTCATGGTTTAGTCTGGAGAGGGTGTATATGTCCAGTAATTTATCCATTTCCTCTAGATTTTCTAGTTTATTTGCATAAAGGTGTTTATAGTATTCTCTGATGGTAGTTTGTATTTCTGTGGGATCAGTGGTGAGATCCCCTTTATTATTTTTATTGTGTCTATTTGATTCTTCTCTCTTTTCTTCTTTATTAGTCTGGCTAGTGGTCTATTTTGTTAATCTTTTCAAAAAATCAGCTCCTGGATTCACTGATTTTTTAAGGATTTTTCATGTCTCTATCTTCTTCAGTGCTGCTCTGATCTTAGTTATTTTTGGTCTTCTGCTAGCTTTTGAATTTGTTTGCTCTTTGCAAAAGAACAAAATTTGTTCTTTTAATTGTTATGCTAGGGTGTCGATTTTAGATCTTTCTCACTTTCTCCTATGGGCTTTTGGTGCTATAAATTTCCCTCAAAACACTGCTTTACCTGTGTCCCAGAGATTCTGGTACGTTGTGTCTTTGTTCTTATTGGTATCAAAGAACTTATTTATTTCCACCTTAATTTCGTTATTTATCCAGTAGTCATTCAGGAGCAGATTGTTCAGTTTCCATGTAATTGTGTGGTTTTGAGTGAGTTTCTTAATCCTGAGTTCTAATTTGATTGCACTGTGGTCTGAGAGACTGTTACGATTTCCATGATTTTGTACTTGCTGAGGCATTTTTTACTTCCAATTATGTGGTCAATTTCAGCATAAGTGCAATGTGGTACTGAGAAGAATGTATATTCTGTTGATTTGGGGTGGAGAGTTTTGTAGAGAACTTGCTTTGTGAATCTGGGTGCTCCTGTATTGGGTGCATATATATTTAGTATAGTTAGCTCTTCTTGTTGCATTGATCCCTTTACCATTATGTAATGCCCTTCTTTATCTTTTTTGATCTTTGTTGGTTTAAAGTCTGTTTTATCAGAGACTAGGATGGCAATCCCTGCCTTTTTCCCTTCCATTTGCTTGGTAAATATTCCTCCATCCCTTTATTTTCAGCCCATGTGTGTCCTTGCATGTGAGATGGGTCTCCTGAATACAGCACACTGATGAGTCTTGACTCGTTATCCAATTTTCCAGTCTGTGTCTTTTAATTGGGGCATTTAGTCCATTTACATTTAAGGTTAACACTGTTATGTGTGAATTTGATCCTGTCATTATGATGCTAGCTGGTTATACTGCCCATTAGTTGATGCAGTTTCTTCATAGTGTCAGTGGTCCTTACAATTTGGTATGTTTTTGCAGTGGCTGGTACCGGTTTTTCCTTTCCATGTTTACTGTTTCCTTCAGGAGCTCTTGTAAGGCAGGCCTTGTGGTGATAAAATCTCTCAGCATTTGCTTGTTTGTAAAGTATTTCATTTCTCCTTCACTTATGAAGCTTAGTTTGGCTGGATATGCAGTTCTGGGTTGAAAATTGTTTTCTTTAAGAATGTCGAATATTGGCCCCCACTCTCTTCTGGCTTGTAGGGTTTCTGCAGAGAGATCTGCTGTTAGTCTGATGGGCTTCCCTTTGTGGGTAACCCAACCTTTCTCTCTGGCTGCCCTTAACATTTTTTCCTTCACTTCAACCTTGATGAATCTGAGGATTATGTGTCTTGGGGTTGCTCTTCTCAAGGAGTATCTTTGTGGTATCCTCTGTATTTCCTGAACTTGAACGTTGGCCTGTCTTGCTAGGTTGGGGAAGTTCTCCTGGATAATATCCTGAAGAGTGTTTTCCAACTTGGTTCCATTCTCCCCATCACTTTCAGGTACACCAATCAAATGTAGGTTTGGTCTTTTCACATAGTCCCATATTTCTTGGATGCTTCATTCATTCCTTTTCATTTTTTTTCTTTCTAATTTTGTCTTCATGCTTTATTTCATTAAGTTGATCTTCAATCTCTGATACCTTTCTTCTGTTTGATTGATTCAGCTATTCATACTTGTTTATGCTTCACGAAGTTCTCATGCTGTGTTTTTCAGCTCCATCAGGTCATTTATATTCTTCTCCAAACTGGTTATTCTAGTTAGCAATTCTTCTAACATTTTTTCAAGGTTCTTAGCTTCCTTGCATTGGGTTAGAACATGCCCCTTTAGCTCAGAGGAGTTTCTTATTACCCACCTTCTGAAGTCTCCTTCTGTCAATTCGTCAAACTCATTCTCCATCCAGTTTACTTCCCTTGCTGGCAAGGAGTTGTGATCCTTTAGAGAAGAAGAGGCATTCTGGTTTTTGGAATATTCAGCTTTTTACCCTGGTTTTTCCTCATCTTCATGGATTTATCTACTGTTGGTCTTTGATGCTAGTGACCTTCAGATGGGGTTTTTGTGTGCAAGTTCTTGTTGATGTTGATGCTATTCCTTTCTGTTAGTTTTCCTTCTAATAGTCGGGCCCCTCTGCTGCAGGTCTGCTAGAGTTTGCTGGAGGTCCCCTCCAGACACAGTTTGCCTGGGTATCATCAGTGGAGGCTGCAGAACAGCAAATATTGCTGCCTGTTCCTTCCTCTGGAAGCTTCATCCCAGAGGGGCACCCGCCAGATGTCAGCTGGAGCTCTCTTGTATGAGGTGTCTGTCGACTCCTGCAGGGAGATGTCTCCCAGTTGGGAGGCATGGGGGTCGGAGACCTACTTGAGGAGGCATTCTGTCCCTCAGCAGAGTTTGAGCACTTTGCTGGGGGATACGCTGTTCTCTTCAGAGCCAGCAGGCAGGAATGTTTAAGTCTGCTGAAGCTGCGCCCACAGCTGCACCTTCCCCAGGTGCTCTGTTCCAGGGAGATGGGAGTTTTATCTATAAGCCTTTGACTGGGGCTGCTGCCTTTCTTTCAGGAGCCCTGCCCAGAAAGGAGGAATCTAGAGAGGTATTCTGACTACAGCAGCTTTGCTGAGCTGCAGTGGGCTCCACCCAGTTTGAACTTCCCAGCAGTTTTGTTTACACTGTGAGAGGAAAATCACCTACTCAAGCCTCAGTAATGGCAGACACCCCTTCCTCCACCAAGCTGGAGCATCCCAGGTCAACTGTAGACTGCTGTGCTGGCAGTGAGAATTTCAAGCCAGTGGGTCTTAGCTTGCTGGGCTCCATGGGGGTGGGGTCCACTGAGCTAGACCACTTGGCTCCCTGGCTTCAGCCCTTTTTCCAGGGAAGTGAATGGTTCGGTCTCGCTGGTGTTCCAGGCCCCACTGGGGTATGAAAAAAACTCCTGCAGCTACCTTGGTGTGTGCCCAAAGGGCCGCCCAGTTTTGTGCTTGGAACCCAGGGCCCTTGTGGTGTAGGCAGGCACCTGAGGGAATCTCCTGGTCTGCAGGTTGCGAAGACAGTGGAAAAAGTGTAGTATCTGCGCCTGAATGCACTGTTCCACGTGGCATAGTCCCTTATGGCTTCCCTTGGCTAGGGGAGGGAGTTCCTGGACCCCTTGCACTTCCCAGGTGAGGTGATGGCCCACCCTGCTTCTGCTTACCCTCCATGGGCTGCACCCACTGTCTAACCAGTCTCAGTGAGATGAGCTGGGTACCTCAGTTGGAAATGCAGAAATCACCTGCCAACTGCATTGATCTCGCTTGGAGCTGCAGATCGCAGCTGTTCCTATTTGGCCGTCTTGCCAGCCCCCTCATTCGTTTTTAAGACTAAATGATATTTCATTGTATGTAGATGCTAATTTTGTTTATCCATTTATCTATTGATAGGCACATGCTAATTTTTTATGATTACGAATAATACTACTATGAACATTTATGTGTAAGTTTTGTGTGAATGCATATTTTTGTTTCTCTTGGCTACATACCTAGGAAAATAATTTCTGGGTCATGTGGGAACTCTACATTTAACTTTTTGATGAGTTTAAGCATCTTCATGCTTTAAAGTTCCCTGGAAGGACAAGGACCTGGCTCTCTGACTCCCCAGGCTGTCTCTTGAAAGGTCCACACTCCAGGTCAGGTTTTTGAGAAGTTACTTTAATGTTTTATGAAAAGAGAGGTGTCTTCACTTCAACTTTTTAATGAAAAGATTCATCATAATGATTATTATCTCCCTTTCATCATACCTCTCTCCTTAGCTCTATATACTTTGAGAATGACATTATTCACCTTTTTAAGTAAATAGGTCACATAGCACAGTTATGAGCACATGCTATAGAGGCAGCCTTCCTGGCTTACATGCTGCCTTCCCTACTTACCAGCTATATAATTTTGGCCATGTTACTTAACAGTTTCTCATGTATAAAAATGATATGATGACAATATGATATTACTTTCTTAGGGTTATTGTGGAAATTCAATTAATTAATATCTGTGAAGTCCATAGAATGGTACCTGGCATAGTCTAAGTATTCTATAAATGTTCATTTTTATTATCCTACTACCAACATTCCACAATGTTTGTCATACAGATGGTGCTCCACGAGTATTTGCTGAATGAGATACATGATAAGAGGGCTTAGCTAGAGCAAGACTCATCACATGTAAAGTATTAATAGAATGAACCAGTCCTTCCCATTTGTTCCTAGGGAAACTAATCACTCCTTCCTGGTTGCACCTACAGCACTTAGAACATCCAATAGAGCTGACATCTGGGCCTTGGAATATTGTGGCTGTGCTCATATCTGTGGCTCACAAACAGCTCCAAACTCTTCTTCACCTTTTTATAGCTGACACCCAGCAGAGGAGCCAAGCACTAAGCAGGTTTGCAAATATTCAATGCAACACCTTATTGGTACTTGATTGGCAATAAGACCAGTCTTAAATAAAATCTATATATATATATTAGCCATTAACCAAGACCACCAAGTTTTATGTGCAGTTTTATAATTAGCTAGTAGTACGACATTTGACCATATAGCTACCCTCTTTTGTGTTTTCCTAAGGTATAATATTGGCCCAGATGAAAATGGGATTTGTTTGGTTCAAAAATCGTCAAAAATCAGCTATTTCATATGATTCAAGCTGATACTTCCAGCCCTCAAGTTCTATGCCCTAAGCAAGTAGTTCTCAAAAGACTCCTTTAGTCGAGAAAGAAAAAATACTCCTTATGACAGACTCGTACAACATAACGTACACACAAGCATGAGTGTACTTAATAAGCATAGGTAACTTTGAAGCACAGCACTAAACGAAGGGAAATACGTATTTATTAACAGTCAGGACCACAATCCCATTTAAATTTCAAACAACTTTCAGAAATAGGTATCTCTTCACATTACAAATGAAAGAAACAGATGCCAAATGAATCACTTGTAAATGATACAGAAGTATTAAGTGTGGATCCAGGACTCCCACCTACCCCCAAGTCTATCTGAATATAGAGCCTATGTTTTCCCCACCACGACCCTCTGCTTTCGCTGAGGAAGCCTAACCTACACAGAATGGCCCTGGAAAGAATGACTAAAGGATAAGCAGCCAAAACCAGAATGGAAAATAATTCGTATACTCTAATTTTACTGCAGGATGCAACTGCAATTTTATTTCAGTCGTACCATTTATTATGAAATATCTCTTCTTGATTTCCTCCCCAAACCTGACATTGAAGTCTCGATGGTAACATTAAAAAATCTCTTAGCTATATCCTTAAGGGTTCAGAATAAAATCTTCCTGTACATGATAAGAGGCAGCATAGGTCAAGAGCCTACTCTGATTTCTGCTTCTTGGTGATCATACAACTTCATACAAGTTACTTGGCCTCCTCTTGCCTCAGCTTCTCACTTCTGGAAAAATTAAGAAAATATCAGTAACTATCATGGAATTTTAAAACACACCTTCCTTTTCTTACAGAAAAAAAAAAGAGGAGCTAAAAAATTATATTTCTGGGGTTTTTTGTTTGTTTGTTTTTTGTCCATTCTTGGTTAAAAAGGAATCAGCTAAGGAAACTTGAAGGCAAAAGAGTGACGTAGAAACTACAGATACTTTATTGATAAACAGTTGATGTAAATATCTTATTTTGAGTAGGTGATGTAATGGAAATGGTACTAAAACTTGATTAAGTAAAGACAAAACTGGCCAGGCATGGTGGCTCATGCCTGTAATCTAAGCCCTTTGAGAGGCTGAGGTAGGTAGATCATCTGAGCCTGGGAGTTCCAGACCAGCCTGGGCTACATGGCAGAACCCTATCTATACAAAAAATACGAAAATTAGCCAGGTATGGTGGTGTGCACCTGTGGTCCCAGCTACTTGGGAGGCTGAAGTGGGAAGATTGTGTGAGCTGAGAAGTCGAGGCTGCAGTGAGCTGAGATTGCGCCATTGCACTCCAGCATGGGTGACAGAGTGAGACCCTGTCTCAAAAACAACAACAACCACCACCAAACAAACCTAATATGTTATGAATAAATTTAACTCTGTAACTCCTCTGTATAAGTCATGGCAGTTTTCCTCTTGTGTGATTTCCTTCTTTTCACTATAAAAAAAATGAGGACTCTTCTGTTGTCGAACTTTGCTAAATCATATTAATAAAATGTATGCCAGTTAAGGTGTGATTTTTTCTTTTTCTCTTCTTTCTTTTTTCTCCAAAAAGCCATCACAAGAGAGAACAATTTTGTTTTTTTTTGAGATAACGACTAAGATTAATGTGGTCCCTTTTATATAAGCTAATAAGACAAATTGTTTTTAATTTTTAAACAAAATTATTATTTTTTAGAGACACGGTCTCACTCTGTCACCCAGGCTGGAGTGCAATGACAGTATTACTGCTCACTGCAGCCTTGACTTCCCAGGCTCAAGGGATCCTCCTGCCTCAGCCTCCTGAGTAGCTAGGACTACAGGTGCACAACACCACACCTGGCTAATTTTTTATTTTTTGTAGAGACAGGGTCTCATCATGTTGCCCAGGCTGGTCTGGAACTCCTGGGCTCAAGTGATCTGCCCACCTCAGCCTCCCAAAGTGCTGGGATTACAGGTGTGGGCCACTGTGCCCGGCCTATAATATTTTAAATTGTAAAATTAAAACATTAATAAGTTTCTAAACCTGAATCTAACATGTGGCTTTATGTCCTGATAACTCCACATGATGTTACGATGATTAAAGGAGTAAATTCATGAAAAACACTTAGGACAGTGTCTGGCACAAGCTAAGTGTTCAGGAAATTATTATTATTAGTGTTGCATCTTAATGGTCTCAAGCTATTATTTTTCACCCATCATATTTAGTGTAAAATAGAATTTGGCCCTGGGAATCAATGACCACATACATGGTATAACTAATCTCAAATATTTAAATTGACTAAGATATCTATGTTTCATTAAGGTAATCTTGGCCCATAGAGTCTAACTAGATCAATCGTTTACAATCATTAAAAGAAAAAAAAGTGAAGCACATAATGCAAAAACATTTCACAGGACTCCATGTGATATAAATTATATAAATTGTTATTTTGTTTTATCCCCTAGCTGAAAAAAATACATAAAGAGTAAAAGCTACCATAAATCCTCTAATGCTTTGAAATTAATTTGTATTTTGTTTTTGACAACGTATATTTGAAAATTTATATTTGAGCCATATTCATTCACACGGCAGTTAAGCTTGTAGAATATACAGATTCACTGGCGTTTTAATAGCTTAATGAGCTCCTGGGAAGCCATGGCTAGCCATTAGGAATAATGAGTTAGAAAGGTCAGCAAAACCTTTTCTGCAAAGGGCCAGAGAGTAAATATATTAGGCTCTGCTGGCCATGTATGTCTCTGTTGAAACAACTCAACTTTGCCATTGTAGCAGTGGGCAACATGTAAACAAATGGGTGTAGCTGTGTTCCAATAAGACTTCACTTTCAAAAGCCTCAGCCCACACTGAAGGTGGGGAGGTTATGCAAAGGTGTAAATGCCAGGCAGCAGGCATCACTGGGAGTCCTCGCAGAGGCTGCTGGCCACATAACCCAATGCTCACGATCCCCAAAGTGTATTTGGAGGAACATGAATTGTTGATGTGTTTGGGAATTTTTTTGAAGCTGCATTTTATATTTAAACTATATTTTCAAAATTTCACACAGGAGCTTCAATCAAGCTGTGTAATAAGTATATGGGAGTCATTTATATTATTCTCTATAATTTATTTGTAATATATCAAAACAAAAATGCCTCAAAAATATACAGTAAAAGAATCAAACACATTCCTAGAGTTGTTTTTATGAACAATCTGTTTATATAGTGCTGGTTTATGTTTTATATCTTGTCATAATTTTAACATATGTTTAAGTATGAATGTTTATATAATAGTAAGTTTCTCTCATAGACCATCTCTCTTCTGCTTACCACATTTCCTTTAACACCCTAATTACAACGACTCTGAGATTCTACCTGAAAAATTAGCAAGATGCCCCCACATTCTAGCTTTTCTCTCCACAAATATTGAGGAAAGTCCCAGCTTTGTTTACACATGTCCTTGAGTCAGACCTCATTGCCACCTACTGATGTGATATAATTTGGGTGTGTGTCTCCTCCAAATCTCATGTTCAAATGTGACCTCCAATGTTGCAGATGAGCCTAGTGAGAGGTGTTTGGGTCACGGGGGCAAATCTTTCATCAATGGCTTGGTGCCATCCCAATGGTAATGAGTGAGCTCTCATTCTGGCAGTTCACACGAGAGCTAGGTTATTTAAAGGAGACTGGGACCTCCTCCTCCCTCTCTTACTACCTCTCTCCTGCCATGTGATATGTCCACTTCCCCTTTGTCTTCCACTATGAATGGAAGCTTCCTGAGGCCCTCCCGAAGCAGATGCTGTTATCATGCTTCTTACACAGAACTATGAGCCAAATAAACCTCTTTTCTTTATAAATTACCCAGCCTCAGGCATTCCTTTATAGCAATGCAAGGTAGACTAACACGTGATGCTCATTTTTTTTTAAAGCCTGCAAACAGTAAGAAGATTCCCCTCTCTTTCTCAGTGGATGTAAAGCAGTGATTCTGCATAAATGTATCAACACTATAGCTCAACTCCTTCTGGAGTGGACTTCCCCTAGACCTGGAGAGCGAGTCCTGCCTAGCATACACGGCCTGAAGTTCGAGATCTCTTCCAATTCAGGTAATATTCCGCTTTCTGTATGCCTGATCTCTACATATATCTGACATTGATTTTTAACTCAAATGAGGAAACAGGAAATTATTAATTACAATCTCCTAAAACTACAACAGGTGTTATAAAACTTCTGAATATAAACAGGCAGACAGCAAAAATGTACACAGGCATAAAATGTAAACTTGAGTGAGAAAAAGGAGCTGAAAAATGAAAGGCTCGCTTTGAAACAAAACAGCACTGAAGAGTCTACAAAGAGAGAGTGACTGGAGAGAGACTGATGTGGGAGAGCAGAATGGGGATCAGATTATAATGAGTATCTCTCCCACACTAAGGAATTTGCAGCTTTTTTTGATAGGCAATAAAGAGTTACATATAACAGCTGTATTTAAATTGTTCCTAGGTGATGGAGCTGCAGGTAATTCTTTTCTTCTTCCTTTTTGTATTTTACTTTTTCTTTTTTTTTTTTTTTTTTTGAGACAGAGTCTCACTCTGTCACCCAGGCTGGAGTGCAGTGGCGTGATCTCAGCTCACTGCAACCTCCACCTCCTGGGTTCAAGCAATTCTCCTGCCTCAGCCTCCTGAGTAGCTGGGATTATAGGCGCACACCACCATGTCCAGCTAATTTTTGTATTTTAGTAGAGACGGGGTTTCACCATTTTGGCCAGGCTGGTCTCGAACTCCTGACCTTGTGATCCACCCACCTTGATCTCCCAAAGTGCTGGGATTACAGGTGTGAGCCACTGCACCTGGCCTTAATTTTTGTTTATTGGAAAAGAAGGAAAATCTATATTTTTAAGGCCACCAGCCACAGCACTTAGAGAAGAAGGAGGACGTATATTGCTTTTGCTGTTTCCTGTTAGCCTGACATTTGCGACTACATTGACTCTGCTGGGGTCACTTTCTCTAATTTGTGGATTTTTTTTTCTTTCTCAACTGCCTGGAGGATATGTATGGGTCCATGACTCGGCCACCACATAAGATTGTGAAGATTATACCTGTCAAGGGTGCCCAGTCAAGGAAGAAGAGTGGCTGAATTCAGCCTGTGCTCTGCCTGAAAGCCCTATGCTCTGTGTGGGCCTTAGTCCACCTAGAGGAAGGGGTACCTTTTAAAAGTACACACAAAGGCACATCATGGGCTGGCCGCAGCCCTGCCTGGCCCCAGGTGAGCTAGCAGTGCCAGATGCCTCCAGAATAGACTGGAAGGCCTTCTGTCCCTCTATTATGTCAAAACTGCAACTGGAACTACTTTGTCCAAGGAAAGGAGAGAGAAACCATAGGAAAAGGCCATAGGAGAATGGTGTCTGGAAAAAAAAACTGCAACGAATATAAGAGATATGAATGAAGCAGATGCAATGAAACAACAGGTTTAATTTCAGGCTTATTTTAGCGAATGGAATAGAATCCCCATTGAGTAAACACGAATACAAAGGGTTTATTGAGAAGATACAGAGGAATTGCACAGAGCCAAAAGCCCAGTCTGGCTTCACAAGACTTGGAAAACTAGAGTGAGGTTCAAGGAGGTTTTCCCCGTTCATTTCTCCAGAGTCACACAGCCTCTCCTCTCCTCACCTCTGTACTGTCTGCTCTACTCTTCAGTCTCTCTCTAAAGACAAGTTTTTCTTACTCGTTAGAAAGCTCACGGCAAAAAATGGCTCCTCGATCTCAACTTTATGGGACCATTCTCTTCATGCATTCACTGTTCTCCGACCACAATGTCTATAGATTTGGATCAAATTTCCAAGAGATGAGAGAGCAAATTCCTATTTTACTCACTTGCAGATTCAAAATTAACACAGATATGATTTGTAAAGAGAGTATTTCTACCAGTCTTGACCAGGACAGTAGATTTCTATATTGAGTTCTACAGATCAGCCCATAGCTGTGTTGAAGTCAGATAAAATATAAAGACTAATCTCTAAATTTAAAACATTTTATTTGGGAAGCAAAGATTGGATTCAGCACATACCCACAGACTGGCTGGCCTTTAGTATGTCCAAAGAAAAAAGAGAAGGTTGGAGGCTTTTATAAAAAGGACAAATGTTACATATTATTTTGAAAGTAATTTCATTGGCACTAGTAAGGTTTTGGATAGCTGGCAAGCTCTGGTTGGTGAACGATGGTGGTGGCTGAAACTAGTTGTAGAGTTACAGCAGGCTGTTTCTGTAGCTATTATATTAAAACTGGTTCACGTTAAAACAGGCAGTTTCGGCAGCCAGGTTTGCAGAGAATTACATTCTTGGAGCAATATGATATGCCCTGAGTGCATTTTCCCCCTGGTTCCTCAACTCTGATTTAGTTGAGTATAACAAGAATGACCCAATTTGTGTGATCAACTTTCACAGCTGGTTCCCAATCATTGAGTCACAAAGTAAGAAATAATCAAGACAAGATATAAGCAATTTTATGAAAATTCCCCCACAATGTGATGAATTTATTGATGATCATCAACAGTGAAATAACCATGCTTAAAACTCCCTGTTCTATATAAATTATTGAACTGACAGACACAGGCATGTGACTTATCAAAGAAAAAAATAAGTATGCTTTTTAGCTAGAATGCCTGGGGAATTAATGAGTTCAAAACTTAGGGAGATGCATTATTCTCTCTTGTTAAACAAAATGAGACCGTATTTATGGGTTAATATTTGGCAAAGGTGTACAACTACCATCAGAGATGGCTTTGAACAGTCATGGAGTCTGAATGCTTTATTTAGCAAAAATTGTACAAGAACCCTATTAGAATACTAAGGCTACAAAATTCAGAGCAGGTAACCTTGATTTATACGTGTAGGAAAAATAAGTCTTTCAAATGTCAGAGTCTGGAGTTTTCTGCAATTAAGTCATAATTTTTGCTATTTTTACAGGTCAACAAGAAAACTCAATTCCTCTTCAGGAAGTTAAGTGACTTAAAGATTACATAAGAGCTAAGAAGACAAGCCAGCTAAGCATGTTCAAGACCGGGCTTTTTGAAACTGCACTAATTGATCATAACGGTGTGAGTTTCAAGCCCCTTCATAGCTTTCCTATAGCTCACTCTGTGCCTCTCCCAAATGACAAAAACAAGGCAAACCCATAGAGTATGAGTTTACATCATATGCAAAAAACACAAGTCCAGAGTATAGAAAATGGAAGAAGAAAAATGAAATCAATGAACTTTAATATCGTTAAAGTTAACACTATATCCATGGAACTTTGATCTGGCATAGTTTTTTGCCACATTTTATTTAAAAGATTTCAATTTATGCATCCTTTTCCACATCTAGGTTATGGATTCTGGCAGATATAAGATTGTCTCTTATTTAATCTCTGTATCCTTAGCAACTAGTGATATACCTAGCACAGAAAAAGCACTCAACACATTTGATGAATGAATGTGATTGTTCTGTTGACAAAAGGATAATAATCTCTTGACTAGAAAAAAAATCATTCTAAAAATCATCACATCAGGGACTAAAAGAATTTGGGAGTTTATTTACTGTTGTTCCTCTTTGTTTAAACACAGCAGGCCCTCCCAAGTATCCTATTGCATCTGGCCCACAAGATCTAGTTGCAGAGATAAATGATTCAAGAAAATTTCCCTGGCTTACTCCCCATTTATACCAGATCCACTACTTTTGCTTCCATCCTCCATTTCTCTGAATTCAGGGCCCAGTACCTCTGACTTTGATCAATGCTTTGGGCTCCTTCAGGTTTGATGACTGATAGAAGTTACCCTCTGGTTCATGAAACCTCTGCCTCCCACATGACTCTTGTCCTAGCTTGCTTCACAATGATTATGATTGTATTAGGCTCCATAAATACCATCATGATAATCAAATCAACACTCTTAGAGGGCTAACTGATAATGGCAATGAATACACCATGAATTCAATGGAGACACCTGTCTGTCATTACTTGTGTAAACGATACTCATTAGTGGTTCTCTGCCTTGGCTGTTCATGGGAAATACCTGGGGAAATCTAGAAATATTGATGCTTACCCCCATAGATTTTAACAGGATTGGCTTGGGGGAGGCCTGGCATTAGAACTTTTTAAAAACTTTCAGCGGATTCTTACATAAAGTTTTCAAATCACTGCTTTAGGCTGAAAACCTAACTGGTGCAATTTTTTCCATATTGCAGAGAATAGACATTACAAAATGAAAATGAAAAAATTTCCTAGCTTTGTGTTCTAGTTTCTTGTCTGTGTATACCATAACATTTATCTAAGTATTGCTAGGTGAATGTAGGTTGGCTGAGATGACATGTTAAAAATTTCCCTGGAGTAAAATGAGCTATATTGAGTGGATAGGTTTGAGACATGTTAAAACCAAAAAATCCAAAACGTTAATGCCATAAGGATTGATTCTTCTCTCTAAAGTGAGAACCAGGGGAGAATGTTCTCCTCCACTTCCTATCTTAACTGAAGGCTGAAAGCTGTCCATCCCCACTCCCACCCCACAGGATCAACAAGAACTGGCATTCTCTGACTGTCCCCTCCCACTTGCAGGTCATTTGCCCAGGCATTGGCTATTTCGAGAGCTGTCTGTCTGGAGACATAGGGAACTTAGCTGTTAATGGAGGGACAAATGCCAGCCCTGGGAGCTGACTCATGCCTAAAATATGCAGAGGGAGCCCAAGGGAATGCAGGCTTCCTTTCTCTTCCTTTCTATTTGTCTTTAAACAGCTGATGGGGAAGCTCCCTTGCTACAGGCAACTGAGAAATAGTGCTGACTCAGCTTCTGTTCCAAGGCTCAAGAGATAAGGGCATAGCACAGCCCTGGGTGCTGGCATCTTCAATTTTAACTCCTGTTTGCCATTTGTCCCTCTCTCTAGACCATAAGTGTCTGCTTATATGTTGTGCCAAAAGTAAAGCTTCAATTTCTAGAAGAAAAGGAGAGTTTATTACATTTAACAAAAATGGCAAACAATACTGTAAAAATTGCATACCATGTACAGTTTAAATAAACTACATATAGTATATTTGGCTTCTTTCATTAGGCCTCATTATTATGGTTGTCTTCGATTTCTCCATTGATAGTGATCCTCCCCTTGGATAGTCCTGGTTTGAGGCCAGGGCAGAGCTGGGAGGAGAGGGGTCACTAACTGTTCACAGCTTGCACCATCCCTAACATGAGATTCCAAATGAATTTTGCCACAGCCCAATTCTTACAGACCCTTCAGGCTGTAGCAGTGTCATTTAAGACACCTGGCTCTTCTCCAGAGACACATTCGAACAGGCATTGCAATCACCTTGCTGGCAGAAGAAAGAGGAGATAGGACAGTCCATTAGTGGCTAGAGCTGCAACTTGAACAGAGTCAGAGACAGGCAAAAAGAAGCAGGTAGCCCACGGGCAGGCAGCGAAAGCTGACATTCTCTCTGGACAGGGCTATGTCACAGGAGAGCTCACGGCAGGGCTTGTGTGGATTAAGATGAGGGTTAGAGATAAACAGCAGACTCCTCAGTATCTTGAACAGCAGGCCTCAGCTTGCCTTGTATGTGGAGACAGCAATGAATGGGTCTCCTTGGCAACGGAGGCATGCATGCTCAGCAGGACTACCGGGCAGGCATCTGCAAGCCTGCGATGAGTGTTGGTGTCCCTGCCCTCTTCTTCTTAATGTTCATGTCATCTAAGTATACCGCCCTTTTACTCCTCTTCACTGCTGTCATCTACTGCCTTCAGATCACTGTCCATCATTGCGTAGAAATCTTCTCCACCACAAATCCTGAGAGATTTCAACCTCTATTTAGATAGCCACTGAGCAATATTGCTTTGTAATTCCTGAGTCTCCTTTGCTGCATTGCATTTCAGCCTCCTAATCCAAGGAGCTGATCTGGGATCTTAATATCCTCCAAATGCCCCAATTCAGAAATCCTAACTCCAGTTGTCCGGTCTCAGATTATCCCCTATCCTTTCTGCTGTCTCTACCTTCAAACCATCTGTTCACAGAGACTCCTAATTCCTTGACTTGTTCTTTCATTAAGGTCTAACAGGATCCTCTTAGCCTCTCTTCTTCCATTACACTGGCCAGACCCCTTCATTCTAAATTACTACCTCACCAGAAAGATCAAAACTTATGATCAATTTTACAACCTACCTTTTCTGATTCTAAACTCTGGTGTTGCTGCTGCAAGTGCACACTGGCACAAAGTTACTATACAATTCATTTGTGCTTTTCAATCTCAGCCTAGCCCTGAGCAATTTGTCAACCTTCCTGTTTGTCTTTGACCAGGTTCTTCATCCCACTTCTCAATGGCTCTCAGTTGACCACCTCATCTCATACTTTATTCACAAAATTGGCAGTGTCAGTAAAACATCCTATATCATCCTACTCATACACATTACAAAGTTGCCTGCCTCCTCTGCCCAAGTCTCAGAGGGCAAGTTCTTCCTGCCCTCATCACCACTGGGAACCTACTCCCTCCTGCTCCCTCTGCAATTGGCTTCATCAATCTTTTTCTTGTTTTCCTTTACCTTCAACCTCACCTTCTTCATTGAGCCCTCCTCTAGTATCTACAGACCTGCTCATGTTCCTCTCAACCTAACATTTTATGCCTTGTATATTTCAAAGGAAGCTAGAAATGCAGATTTCTTGAGATACCTCTCAATTCTTAACTGTTGGCAACTATTTTTAAAAAATATTGTAAACACTGGTGAGGGAAACAAAATGAAAATTTGGGCCAACTTGGTCCAAAGGCTGTGGATGAGTGCCCATGGATTCCATGGCTGAATTTGCTTGGTTTTCTTTGGGAATCTTTGGTTTTTGCTGCTGGTGGTTGTTTGTGAGCCAACCTCCCTCTGCCTACTCAGGTGTTCATCCCCAGCCCATGAGTCTTCTCTTACTACACAGTCTTTCTGAGTGACGTCCTAAGTCTATATCTCACACTCTTACCTATGCTTTTGTTTCTGACTTCCATTTCCAGTTCCTGCTATAGCTGGAAATCTTACAAACACTTCAAAGTCCACACCAGCCCTCCCATCACCCCCAACCTCTATCCTTCGCTAAGCCAACACCTACACATAATTTAAGACTCAGCTTCCCTGAAACCAAGCTGCCCTCCTCTCCATTTCTCTCTCAGGATTGGGATACCCCTCCCATGTCTTCAGAACATTTTTATAATTATACTTTCTAGAAAGTATTATAATGATCTGTCTTGGTATCTGTCTTACCCACCTACAATGGGACATGTCAATGAGCAGGGGCTGTGTCTCATTAATCTTTGTAATCCCAGCTTCAAGCATAGTGCTGAAATATAGTAGCTTCCTATTAAATGCTTGGCAAATTAATAAACAAACAAGAGAAAAATGCACTAAAACAGAAAATTGTCATATGCCCACAGAACACATTTCCTATGTTATTTTTATTTATGGTCTCTGTTACATAATTCGTGTTATAGTTAACGTAAAATTTTGGTATTTTATCAGAAAAAAATATTTTCCCTTGTTACTTTTTAAATTAAGAAAAAACTTAGACTAGTCAAGTGCAGTAGAGAGAAGGCAGGGAAGAGTGGAACAACAAGTTCAATCTGTAACTATGAACAATCAATTGAGATAACTCACTGCCTTCAGACCAGCCTTAATTGTTATTTTGTAAAGCATTTATTTGCATGATAAAATAAAACTTTATTACATTCAGCAATAAAAAATATAAAACTGAATGATGGAAGTCAATTAATAAGGTAGGATTTGCCAAATAAACATACAAAACATAATGATACACATTTCTTTTATTAAGTGAGAGATTTACTAGGACAATTTTCTACCATAAAAATGGAAAAATTAGGGTTTTTTGTTTTTGAAATTATTTATTTATTTATATGTATTATTATTATTATTACCTTTTTTTTTTTTGAGACAAGGTCTTGCTTTGTAGCTCAGGCTGGAATGCAGTGGCACAATCATGGCTCAGTGCAGCCCCCGGGTTCAAGCGATCCTCCCGCCTCTGCCTCCATGAGTAGCTGGGACCACAGGCGGGCACCACCACGCCCTGCTAATTTTTCTTTTGTGTTGTTTGTAGAGACGGGGTTTCACCATGTTGCCCAGGCTGGTCTAGAAGTCCTGGGCTGAAGCGATCCGACCGCCTCCCAAAGTGCTGGGATTACAGGAGTGAGCCATCTCGCCCAGCCGAAAAAGTGTTTTTTGATCTTAAAATCTTACGTGGAATGAAAGTGAACAATGAGGCAATGAAAGTGGAAGTTTCTCTTAAGCAAACACAGAAGTCAACCATTCCAGCTTTCTAAGGTACTGGTAATACTCTTTCGTCTATTTTATTTTATGGCATAATTTTAAGACTCCTGTGAGCTATGTCTTTAGGGGAAGTTTGGGAAGGACAGGCAGAGTGTCAATACTAAATTAACATCAGTTTAATTTCCGCCCATGGTTATCTGGGCCTCATTCCAGCATTAAGACTTTCAGAAAAAACATTGAGATAAAGCTGTCTTTTTATACCAACAGGTGGCAGTATTGCTTTGAAACAAACGACAGCAACGACACCGTACTGTCCCATTTTAAGAAACTTCTAGATCCATTGCATTTCTAAAATCTTACACTTTTATTAGACTTCGCCTTTTTAATTTAATTTTATTTGTATTTATTTATTTATTTATTTATTTATTTGGAGACAGGGTCTCGCTCTGTCCCCCAGGCTGGAGTGCAGCGGCGCGATCTCTGCTCACTGCAACCTCTGCCTCCCGGGTTCAAGCAATTCTCCTACCTCAGCCTCCCGAGAAGCTGGGATTACAGGCATGCACCACCACACTCGGCTAACTTTTTGTATTTTAGTAGAGATGGGGTTTCACCGTATTGCCCAGGCTAGTCTAGAAGTCCTGAGCTCAGGCAATTCGTCCACCTCGACCTCCCAAAGGCTAGGATTACAGCGTGAGCCACCGCGCCCGGCCTTTTTTTTGACCGTCTGGTGGCTTTGTCTCCCAGGTTGGAGTGCAGTGGCGCGATCACAGCTCCCTGCAGCTTTGACCTCCCGGGCTCAAGCGATCCTCCCACCTCAGCCTCCCGAGTAGCTGGGACCACAGGCCACCATGCCCAGCTTCTAGGCTTCAACATGCCCCCCAAAATGACAGTGGAATAGCCAGATGCGGTGGTGCCAGCCTGTAGTCCCAGCTACTTGGGGGACTGAGGTGAGAAGATCGCTCACCAGGAGGTCGAGGCTCCAGTTGGCTGATTGTGCCACTGGGTGACAGAGCCAGAACTTGTCTCAAAAAACAAAACGAAACAAAAGTGGATTAAATAAAGCACAAACGTGGTATTTGAAGAAAATTAAAAAGGACTCACCAATATCGCCCGTTCATTCAGAGCCTTGCCTTTGGAAGAAACACACACTCATTTATCTTCCCCCAGGAAGGCCTCTTTCCTATCAAGTAAACCTAGAGTGATGATTAATGCAGAAAAACAGGCCCCGTGTTGCAAATGATAAGTTTGCTTCTCTGAGAACCTCCAGATTAGGTTACATTCAATTCACTAATCTAGTCTCCAGCCTGGCAAAAATTTACTGTGAAAACGTCTTCAAGTAAGTTTCTTTTTTACACTGACTGTTGGGATAGGACTGGAATCAGCGATCACAATTTGATCCTAATTTGTTGATGTTCCCTTAATTTTTAAAATTTTTTGCATGTACATGCACTCATGTAACCATCACACTGATTAAAATATAGAATATTTCTAGTACCTAAGAAGGTTTCCTATGCTCGCTCAAACTTTAAAATCAGAAAAAAATATATTTCTCAATTTGTGTGTTTAAAACCAAAACAAACAAATACAAAACATGAAGTAGAAGGGTTGGGGATGTGAAAGGAAAATAAAAGTTGGGGTCCCCAAATCACTAAGCTAAAGGCAAAAGTCAAGCTGGGAACTGCTTAGGGCAAACTTGCCTTCCATTCTGTTCAAAGTCACTCCTCTGCTCACTGAGATAGATGCATATCTGATTGCCTCCTTTGGAAAGACTCAAAAGAAACTCAAAAGAGTGTAACCCTCCCTCCGTCACCTATCTGCGACCTGGGAGCCCCCTCCCTGCTTCAAGTCTTCCTACCTTCACTTCAAGTTGTCCCGCCTTTCCAGACCGAACCAATGTACTTCTTACATATATTGACTGAAGCCTCATGTCTCCTAAAATGTATAAAACTAAGCTGTGCTACATCACCTTAGGCACAAGGTCAGGACTTTCTGAGGCTGCGTTACAGGCACATCCTCAACCTTGGCAAAATAAGCTTTCTACTCAAATTTTCAGGGTTCACATTTTGGTAACCATGGAGGGATTCTTAGTGGAGATGGCCCTGACCTTTGACAAGTCTCCTATTGGTGCTTGATACCAGCAGGAGCTAACTTTATGGCTCAAACCGAAAGAACAATTTGCTAAGGTCTGAGGGCACCCACTCCAGAGAATCCCTGATTTCCCCAAATTCAGTCATGACCCCAACTTTATTTTGCTGTACAACTCCTCTTTTTCTTTTGAGTTTTACTTGCTCCCAACACAAGGAAGGCAAGTTTTCTTGCTTCCATGACGTTGAAAGGCAGGTAACTCCTTCAAGGAGTTTGAGCTCGCTTGCAACAGAGAAAATGAGCTTGGTTTTTTGTTGTGGTTGTTTTTTCCTGCTTCTAGGGTGGTAGAGAGCAGTCTACAGCCTGAGACCCATCACTAGGTAGGAAACTGGTTTGGGATTCTATCTTGCAAACTCCTTTTAAATGACTAAAGTTAGCATTTAACAACCAGCTGGTGTTAATTTCTTCTTAATACTTAGAGCGCTCAGAAATAGTATATTTTTGTGTGATCATTGTTAGTTTAGCAGCATTTTGTCCTAGTTGAAATATGGTAATAAGATTTAAAAAACATTTTTAAAGGAGCTCAATGTTAAAAATCAACTTAATTAAAAGGCCATCCAAGATGTGTGTATGTATGTGTGCATGTATGCATCTTTGTATTTGAAAGGTCTTCAAGTTTTTGCTTTTTGTTTGTTTTTCTCTCCTAAGACCTTGTCTTTTTTTTTTTTTGAGCAAAAGTTTTTTTTTCTTTTTCTTCTCAGTTGACTGAATTCTGTTTTCACCTGATTTTTTTTTTCTTTTTTACTAAAATAGTTATTGCAACAGAGGCTACTGTTAAGTTTTTAAGAAAGAGTGTAGTTTAATTTTATGTTTCATTTGGCTCAAAATAAAATAAAAAACATCTCCCTCTAGGACCACCAGACTCTTTCTCTCTGTACCTTATGATGTAAATTTTGCTATTTGATTTTCACCTGAGTTGTTTCCTTTAGTGTGCAAATTTAAGGCTATTTAGCTGACAACTGCCTAGGGTTGTGAAACAGGCTATCAAGAATCTGAAAGTCTAAGATAGGAAAAAAAAAGAGCGGGGTCTTTATAAATCTATAAAATGTACTTCCATCGGCATGCCTAATACATCTTTGTATGTATTTATGCGCTGTGTACAAAATGTTTCACTACTAAAAATATATAAAAGAGCTCTAATCAATTGGCTTAAAGGAAAATAAAAGCTCTTAAATCAGATACTAAAAAATAGACTAGTCAAATGCTTTTTCAAGTTTATGTAACTTAAATAAAATCTTTAACAAATAAGCTAGCTTTAAAATTATTGGTAAAGTAATATTAGAAATGTCTTAAGAATTGCCAGCATACAGTTTTTGTTTTGCATTTATTAATCAAGCAATTCCATACTTATCCCTGCCAAATGCTATAAGGTGTCAAAATTTGGCATGGGATTACGAAACTATAAAACCAGTCCAAAACAGAATGATTTTTGTTTGTGTAATTTTTAATAAGTAAGACATTGATATGGGTTTAATGAAAATAGCTGCATCTTGAATTTAGTAAGATTACCATAATTTCTAATCCTGTGGCTTTAGGCAGTCTAGTCCACAGGCAATAAGGAAGTTTGTTTTGGGAAAGGACTGTTATCATTTTTGTTTCAAAGCTAAACTATAGACTAAGTTGCTCCCGAAGTTAGTTTGGCCTATGCCTAGGCATGAACAAGGATAGCTTGGAGGTTAAGAGCAGGTTGGAGTCAATTAGGTCAAATCTTATTTTCACTGTCTCAGTTATACATAATTTTGCAATGGCAGTTTCATAACTTTAAATTCATGACTATCACAGTTTTCATAAATAATCTAGGTAGACAATTAAAATAAAATAGATAAATGTAATGGGATAAATACTTGTAGAAAACTGGTCATAATTTCATAATTTAGAATATAAAGTTATATTAAATTAAATAATATATATTTCATTATTTGGGTATTTTCCAATAAATATATATTGTAGGAAAATATTCTTGCAAAAAAAAGTGTGACTTTTTAAAAAAAAAAAGGTGAAAAATTTTTGTCTAATTCGAAGCTTATTTAAAGGTTATATATAAAACAAGGTAAAAGGAACCATGAAATAAAAAGAGATGTAAAGTTATAAAAATAAAGAGGTATTTTTGTGTGTGTGTGGTAAGAAAGCTTAAAGAGAAATAATTTTATATGAGAAAGAATCTTACATGGTAAACTTCAGTCCTAAAATAAAATGACTGGTTGTTTAAAAAGGAGGCATATTCAGGACAAATCAGAAAGTCCAAATATTAAGTTCTGGTTTGCTTAGGGAAAAAAACCTGAGATTAAAAAAAAAAATTTTTTTAAGGTTATTATATCCATGTATTTTCCTGTATGTTCTTTTAAAGTCCTTGTGACATTGAGTTACAGGGTTTTGACTCCTGGATCTAAAAAGGACACAAAGTCTTGCTAAATCTTAAACACCAACAGCAATTAAAGCCTCATCTTCAGGCCCTGTAGAAGATGCCAGTCAAAATAAACTGCATTTCTGCGACACAGGGCAAGAAATTAAAGCTATTTCAACTCCTCAAGGCCCAGGGACTATCACAGAAGAGATGGGCACACACGCAATATTGTAAGGGCCAATTTTGAAAGATAAAATAAGTTAAGCTTCTTTATAGATGAATCATTAATGTCAAAGGCACACTGATGGAAGACCAGCATATGGGCCCCTGTGTCAGATTAACAAAGTTTTCTCAAAGCATTAACCAACTCCTTAGTGAAGGTCATAAAGATTATAAAGTGCTATGGAAGCTATATCTTATGTTCAAGATTAAAAATTTTATAGATTGTTTATAAAATTTTGAAAAACAAATTTAATTGGATTCATGCTGTTTTTATTAGGGCTTATTGTTTGGAAAATTAAGTCTCTTCTCAAAGAATAAAGGTTCTTGCCTTTTTTTTAAAGTCCAGAAGTTATCACTTTGGTTAAATGAATGACTTATTTTACAATGACCTGTGATCCTATTTTATGATATCAAATGTTTAAAACCTTTGATATTTGACAAACTTTCCAAAATCAAATTATAAATTATGTCTTTTTCTGACCTAATTAAAGCTTTAACATATTAGGTTCCCTAAAGTTCAGAAAATAACATAATTTGGCTTATTTGGTACAAAAATCATATAGGAAGCATTGTCAAATATGAAATGGTGTTGGGTTTTTGAGGGCTGCATTTTTAAAATATGTTATTAGTATGTGTTCCAAAATTATGGGAAATTCCTATAATTCTATATAACTCAGTGTACATTATCAGTAATAATCATAATTGTTATGTTAAAATTATTGTGTGCCGCAGAGGTAACAAATGTCCTTTTCAACTGTGTTTTTGACTATGGCTGTCCTAAAACTTTTTGTCATCCATGGACAATTTTTGTCTTGTTTTGGTCCTCTTTAGAAGGTGGCTTTATAATCAGCTACAAAACTCTAACAGGTGCTCTTGAATGCAGGTTTCTGATAACTTTGGAGATTGTGACATCAGAATAGAGGAAAAACTTTCAGGACTCATGGAGAGCTATAAAATATTCATGAGTATCAAGCAGAACAGGAATTAACTGCATGGACTGAACTGATCTTTTTGACTTTTTGCTTAAAATGTTGCTGATCTTTTGTTTTGCTTTTCAGAGTCTTAAAACTTTTCTTTTGAGCTATTGGCAGCTTTTAACAATTTAGTATACTCCCATAAACAAAGTTTGGAGCATATTTGTTTCTCTTTAGCTGATTTCTCCAGAATTTGGAAACTATTTGTAAGTATTCTTAACTCATGGCAATACAGTTATTTGCATAAGTGCAATAAGAATCTGTTTTCATTAATAACAGACCACAATTGGAGAAACTGCTTATTTTACCAAGGCTTTGACTGGAATGGTGTGCTTTCGTTTAAGGAATCAAACTTGACTTATGGAGCCAATAAAGCCCTTGAAAAAATTGGCCTCATATTTTGTGTACACAGTCCCTGTACAGGGTTTCTGACCTGTGGTAAGTAAAGAATGTCACTTCTAACAGGCGTAGAGGCCCCCGGTTTATCTTGGAACCTCAAGAGGAGAGAAAATTCACCCAACTCACAGGTATTTGATGGCACAAATCCATGGCTGGGCTCTGCTTTAAAAACATCTTATCTGGTATTCCTTCTATGGAACAAGGTTCCATCAAAGCCAATATAAAGCCTATGTAAAAAATAATTTTTTTTGCACTGTATATAAGTAATTAGGCCAAGTATAATAAAGCAAACCAATCCTACCATGATTTGTCTTTAGCAAAAATGGGAAACTGGAGAGAGAAAAATTATGTTTCAAAAACAATTGTACACCTGTTGTTAGATTCTAGTCTTGTCTAATGTTTTTCAATTTTTATTATTTCTACAGTTTGGGCTAAATTCTAATTTTCTCTTGACTACAAGTCTTCAAAATAATGTTTTCAATTTTTTTTTTCTTTTTTTTCCTTCTTTTTTTTTTTTTTTTTCAATTTTTCCTAACTGGGAGTCACTGAAAACCAAGCTGTGCTTTCTTAAAGCCCTGCAAACTGAAACTAGACAACTTAAAGTTCAGAAGAAAATAACAGCCACCTATTTACATGCATAAGCCACTTTCATACCTGCTACTGATTTATAGACTTCAGAGTAGTGGGGCCTATATTGATTTTCCAGGAGTGTTCTTTTGTTTGTTGTTTTTCTCCCTTCTTCTTCCACTATTTGCTCTTCTAGGAATAAACCATCCTAGCCATGAAAGATCAGGTGAAACCTGAGACCAGAGACTAATTTTCTAGTTAAATGCCATCTCCAAAATATTTTTAAAAAGAAAAGAGGGTAAATGTGAAAGGAAAACAAATCTTGAGGCCCCCAAATCACTAAGCTAAAGGGAAAAAGTTATGCTGGGAACTGCTTAGGGCAAATCTGCCTCCCATTCTATTCAAAGTCACCCCTCTGCTCACTGAGATGCATAGCTGATTGCCTCTTTTGGAAGGACTAAGCAGAAGCTCAAAATAATGCAACCCTTCCTGTCTCACCTGTCTTTTTACATATATTGACTGTACTTCTTATATATATTGATTGATGTCTCGTGTCTCCCTAAAATGTATAAAACTAAGCTGTACCCCAGCCACCTTGAGCACATGTTGTCAGGACCTCCTGAGGCTGTGTCATGGGGACATCCTCAATCTTGGCAAAATAAACTTTTAAATTAACTGAGACCTGTGCCAAATTTTCAGAGTTCACAGGAAGAAAGACAACCCTCCTTTATACGTTGCTCTGGGCCTCTGCATTGCCTGGATGGGAACTCTGGGATAGATGCTTTTAGAAGGGTCTACTGAACCCATGAGCCATTCCCTTCTCTGGAAATGGCTCCCCAAGTAATAGCTTGGGCTTCTAGGAATCCTGTTGGTAGTCTGTAACTCCCTACTCATCTGGATATAGTTAATTGGAAAATTTGACCTAGTTTGAGCTAATCATTTTTCTTCTCAGGAATGTGGAATCCAGACCAAAGGAAAGCCAGCCAGTCTATTTTCATGGCTGTTAGGTACAATTTGTATGCTTGGGAGCTGTGGAGTTGCTGTATTCTGTCATAAGGGCAGATCAGCAGAGAAAGCTAAAGCAAGAGGAGAATAGTAACATGGACACAAGGCAGAAATGCAGAGATCAAAGATGGAAAGAGAATATATCCCAGATTCCTAATGGCTTTCCAAAACTGATCCCCTTCTTTCTTGTTCCCCAAATACTGCCCTCTTCATATGGCCCTTAAATTCTTGTAATAAATTCTCCCTTCTTTGTTTAGGCCATTTCAAATTGGTTTCTGTTTCTTGCAACCAGACACCTTAAAAAAAATAAACTCAAATTTTCTTTCATGCTCCCTTTTTGCATGGTAATTAAGAGCATAGAATGTGGAGTAAAAGAGATAAAACTTTAAATTTCAGCTCCTTCATTCACTAGTTGAAAACCTAGTAGAAAAACTTAATCACTTAAACTCTCTGAGCTTTAATTTCCATATCTGGAAAAGGGGAATACTTTTAGCTATCTAAAAGCATATGGGTGTCAAACAAATATAACGACGTATATAAAATGCTAATTATAGTACCTGGCACAAAAGAAATACTTAATTAGTGGTAATAATGATTACATATTTATTCAATAAATACTTATCGATTACTAACTATACAAAAGTTAGATGACCTGAAGTGTACAAATATATTCAAGATTTAATCTCTGCTCTCAGACATGTACATAAATATCCATAATAGAAGACATTATAGAATAATAAAGGGTACATGAATGTTTTTAAAAAACAAGGACTCTAGGTCATAATCAAAGAAATGCAAATTAAAACCACAGTGCAATGCCATCAGAATCAGAAAAATAAAATAGATTAAAGGCCGGGCATGGTGGCTCACGCCTGTAATCCCAGCACTTTGGGAGGCCAAGGCGGACGGATCACGAGGTCAGGAGATCGAGACCATCCTGGCTAACATGGTGAAACCCCGTCTCTACTAAAAGTACAAAAAATTAGCTGGGTGTGGTGGTGGGCACCTGTAGTCCCAGCTACTCGGGAGGCTGAGGCAGGAGAATGGCATGAGCCCGGGAGGCGGAGCTTGCAGTGAGCCGAGATCACGCCACTGCACTCCAGCCTGGGTGACAGAGTAAGACTCCGTATTAAAAAAAAAAAAAAAAATAGATTAAAGATTTTTCTAATTTTTAAATTCTTTTTCTTTTTAAACATTTTTAATGTAGAAACAGGGTCTCACTATGTTGCCCAGGATGGTCTCGAACTCGTGGCCTCAAGCAATTCTCCCACCGCAGCCTCCCAAAGTGCTAGAATTATAGGTGTAAGCCACCACATCCAGCCAGTTTAGAGATTTCAAGTAATAGTGAGGATGTTGAACAACTGGAATTCTTGTACATTAATGGTGGGTATGTAAATTGATATAATCACTTGGGAAAACTGTGTGGCAGTATCTACATATGCATACCCTATGACCCAACAACTCTACTCTTACCTCTATACACAACAAAAGTGCATACATACTTTCACCAAAAGAAATACATCAGAATGTTAAATGTAGCAAAAAGCCAATCGACAGATGCATAACTAGATTGTGATAGTATGCACACAATGGAATACTGTACCACCACAAGAATGAAGCATTCACAAATAACTATAACAATATGAATTTCATTAACATAATGTTAGGAGAAAGAAGCTAACATAATGTTAGGAGAAAGATCCAAGAGAGTACACATGTTATAATTCCACTTTTATAAAGTTCAAAATTAATCTATACCCTAAAGTGTGAGTTGTAGTTACCCTTAGGTGGGAGTAGTGACTGGAGAAAGGGTTTCTGGGGTGCTAGTAGTGTTCTGATTCTTGATTATTCCAGTGTGTTCAGTTTGTGAAACTTCTTCAACCTGTATGCTTACATTTAGGTAAGTATGTAAGGAAGTACATGTAAATTATACTTAAAGTTTTTAAAAATTAAGCTTAGCCAAGTATAGATAAAAGTCACTTCTACCTGGAATGACAGTACAACTGGATGAAGGAAATCACATTTCTTTTCTTTTTTTTACTTTTTTTTTTTTTTTCTTTGAGACAGGGATCTGGCTCTGTTGCCCAGGCTGGAGTGCAGTGGTATATTCATAGCTCACTGGAACATCGAACTCCTGGGCTCCAGTGATCCTCCCCAAAGCACAGGGATTAAAGGCAGGACCCACCTCACCCTCAGATCTCACCCAGTAAGAAATCACATTTGCATTAGGCCCTCAAAGGTGGGCAAGTCTTCCTAGGTAGAGACAGGGAATGAGCATTCTAGAAAAAAAGGAATGGCAGAATGGCACAAAAGCAAAAGCACAGAGGTTTGAAAAAGTAAGGAGCATTTGGAAAATGACTAAATTAGCCAAAGAATAAGATTGGTAGAAGAAAGTAGGAAAAAAGTTTCAAAACTTATCTAAAGAATTTGTTCCTTATTCATTGGGCAACAAGGAGCTAGTGAAGTGTTATGTTCTATTTTGTTTGAAGTGGAAAACAACATGATCAGATCTATACTCTGAGAAGATCAATATACAGGAGATAGTGGAGGAAGAAGAGCCTAGAGGTTGGGTAGGGTAGCATACAAGGAGAACATAGGACCCTTTGTGATCCGCCCCAAACTGTCACTGAATACTCCCATTTTTCTAAGAGATAGTTTAATTATTTTTTCTGTCTCTTCTCTTTTTCCTTTTTCCAACTTCCTACTTAGCTCTTTAGAAATGCAATTATAGCCTTTACCACCTCTTCAGCAGATATTCCTCACAGGGCAAATTCATCTAACTGTGTGCTTAGAAGCTCCAGAATGGAACTCTTACCCACCAGGAGGTTGCCCCGAGAGATAACAGTCAATTTACAATCCAAAGTATGCCCGCTAGAGTTTTTGGCCACCATTACAACTCATTTCTGCCCATGAAGACACCAGCTTGACAGCCTGATAGATAAGGCACCAAGCTAGCACAAAACCCCTCACCTGCTTGTGTCCTCCTTTGCCTTTTAAAAGTGCCCACTTTCTGCTCCAAAGGTGAAGCAGTATACTTAAGGACGGAAGCCTGTACTTCTTCCCCTAAGCTAGTTTTGGAATAAAAAGGCACTTTCTTTATACCAGACCTTGTTCTTATTAATTGGACTCTGCAAGCGGCGAATGATTGAACCTGCACTTCGGTTGCATGACTACCAACCCATCTCTTCAGCCTCATCCCTCACCCAACCCCACCCAGCTGCAAGCCAGTCATCCAATCACTTGCCGTTCCTTGAACAAACCAAGCCCTGCTGGCTTTGCACAAGGGCTCATCCCTGCAGAAGACCCTTCCTCTGCTCCTTCATTACGCTTAAGCTGGAAGAGAGACAACTTCCTTCCCTCCAGCACGCCAGAGAGCTTTTCCATAACATGAAGCAAAGCCTGCAGGTGCAAAACTTGTCTTTAGGATTCTTAGGACCAAAGAGTGAATATATAAACCACATAAGGAAACACAAGCTACAGTTAGCTTTTTTCCTTAAATTGTGTGAAAACTGTGAAGGAAAACAAATCTGCTACTAATTTTTAACATATTAATTCACAAACAATAAAATTGCATATTGTAGTTACTCCTGAGCCTCTCATCACTTTGAGTAGTCTAACCAGGATCTCTGTAACCACAGAAACATGTAGCTGTTTCTATAATTAAAAAACACCAGAGGTCACCTCAAAAGACAACCCCAGACCCAATTTTATTTTGGTGCACAACATGCTATGCCTCCCCCTTTCCACACTAACAATCAGAAAGATTCTCCTTGGTTATTGCCAAGAAATTAGAAATGAGATATTGCATCATTTGAGTTATTTTTACAGACTCAAGTTGTTCAGTGCATGAAGAAAATGTATAAGAACAGAAGAGAATTATCTCGATGTTTTCTAAGATTCAAAAGGAAACAGGAAAACTCAGGTAATCCACAATCTTTCAGGCCATCTACACAATACACACCATTAAGCATTGTTAAGTGCAGTCTTCTACAAAAGCAAATATTAGCCCAAGTAACACACATGCACGGCAGTGGCAAAGGAGAAGAACAAATATTTGTAGTGAGGTTTCAATGCCAGAACCAGCCCAGAGAAAGAGGAAGAATGGAAGCCAGCTAATGCCTTTTGCCCTGCCGGGAATGCCTGTTTTTCCTAGGTCCTCCATCCAGCTTATTACTAGTCGTCTTTCAGAATACATCTGTCGTAGGTCATCTCTTATGAGAAACCACACTGGACCCTGCCTAGTTTGAGGAGGGCTCTGCTGGAGTACCAGGGCACTCCATGTGTTACACTAAGCACAGCCGTTGCTACTGTGAAGTGACTGAAGATTTCCTGGTTAGCTCCCATTCTGACTTGGAGTATCTTCAGGATAGGCACTGTATCTTGTTCCTCCCTCAGTCTCCCATGCCTAGCAAGTTCTTCCCACATTAGGGCCCAGCAAATTTGAATGTCTGCCTCAGGTTCCTTTTAAAGCTTTTGGCCTCTTAAGCTGGTCCTGCAAGATCTTAAAAGAATATAGCGTGATCTGCTCATTAAGTACTACAGTCAGGACTTGAAGGCATCTTCTATCTCTGAAGTCCATGGTTCCCCGCCATAATAATATCACTATTTTCTTTACACTGTTTTAAAAGACAATGACACAATCTAGATTGCAAATAATAAAATATAGGATTACTTTCAAAAACTTAGAAAATACAGATAAACAGAAAGAAAAAAATCACTCAGAATCCCATCTCTAACTACAATCACTATTAACATCACAGTACACACCCTTCAAGATCTTTCCTCACATTAAGTCATTACATATAGACATGTCCAGGTTGGGACCGGGCTTATGTGCAGGAATTGTTCTTTACAGGGTCAGTGCCATGACTGCAGTATTGCTCAAAAGAGACTATTCCTTGTTCCAGCTAAAAAATTTCAAAAATTTGTGGGTTTTTTCTTTGTTTTACCCCTCACCAATTGCTTTAAACAGGACATGACTTTTCATTTTGTACCATGTATTCCGTACCTTTCTTATATCCTAAAGTTTTTCAAGCTCTCGATGATAAACCAGGCCAATCCACCTCAGTCTTCACCCAAACAGCTCCCATCTGGAGTCCTCAATCCTCCTGCTCCAATGTAGGCTATTGCTCTTCCTGCTGCTGCCAGCAAATGTCCTGAGGCCTCAACGCCCTGCTCTCCTGGGTTGGAGCGACTGCTCCAGCGTCCCCTACCTTTCTCTTTCTTAAATTATTCTGTCATTGCTGAAATCCATCCTCAAGGAACATTTTTTAAAAGGGTATATTGGAGATAAAATTTCTAATACTTAAATATTTGAAATGCCTTTTTCCTCCTATTGATTGTTTGGTTGGCCAAACAATAGCATAGCATAGCAACCTGTATTTTAAATTACTATATAAATTACTATTTAAAACAATAGCATCGCAACCTGTATTTTAAATTATTTTTCCCAGAACTTTGAAAGCGTTGCTCCATATTTTTCTTAGCATTTCATGATGCTGATAAGAAGTGTGATGCTGGTAATTAAGTCTTCTGTTCCCCTCTCTCTCATCTCAGGTTTTAGAGTGAGTTGGGTTTATGTGTGTAATTGCTAGATAAAAGGGAATGTGTATATTTCACTGTAGTGGGCCGAATAATGCGCCTCCTCCTCACACCCCTCAAAGATGTCCATGTCCTAATTCCCAGCACCTGTGAGTTTGCTATCTTACACAGCAAAAGAGATTTGACCGGCATAATTAAGGTTACCGACCTTGAGATGGCGAGATTAGTTTGGATTGCCTGAGTGCACTCAATTTAATCACACAAATCCTTGAAAGTAGACAACTTTCCTGTCTGGATCAAACTTGAAACAGAAGGAGGAGATTTGAATCGTGAGAGGGACTGGAGCTGTCACTGCCGGCTTTGAAGAGAAAAGACTATAACCATGAGCCAAAAGTACAGGCAGTTTCTAAATGATAGAATTGCCCTCAGCTGATAGTCAGCAGGACCACAGGCAATTTGGATTTACATATTATCTGCAAGCAACTGAATTCTGCTAGCAACCAGAATAAGCTGGAAACGGATTCTAGAGCCTAGAAACCCTAGATCCTAGGACTAGATCATAGAGTTTCCAGAAAAGAACACAGTCCTGATGACCCTTTGATTTTAATCCAGTGAGACTCGTACCAGACTTCTCACCTACAGATCTTAAATTAATAAATTTGTGTGTGTCTTTAAATATGTGTTGTTTGAAGCCACCATGTTCGTGGTAATTTGTTACAGCAGCAATAGAAAACCACTTTTTAAAATAAATGCTGCCAAAATTTCATCCCCCAAAGCTAAATTTATTTATACTTATACCAACAGGTGATGAGAAAACTCTTCCTCAAAACCTTCACTGACAAGGGATATTTTCAATATCTTGATTTTTCCAAGCTGATCCTGAGAAATATTTCACTTTTGTTTTCATTTGCAGGCCAGGCCTCTAATTTTTTTAACAAGGTTGAGCATCCTTTATATATTTGTTTAACACATTCTGTTTTATTTGGAATTACACCATTTTGTAAAAGTCCTATCCTGGCTAACAAGGTGAAACCCCGTCTCTACTAAAAATACAAAAAATTAGCCGGGCGCGGTGGCGGGCGCCTGTAGTCCCAGCTACTGGGGAGGCTGAGGCAGGAGAATGCCGTGAACCCGGGAAGCGGAGCTTGCAGTGAGCCGAGATTGCGCCACTGCAGTCCGCAGTCCGGCCTGGGCGACAGAGGGAGACTCCGTCTCAAAAAAAAAAAAAAAAAGTCCTTAGATTTCTAAAATTTCAAACTATTAATAGTTATACTATGACTATGCATATAAAAATATGTCCTGTTTGGTATTTGTTAAACACTTTTAATTTAATGATTTATATCTCCCACACTGGAAATTATTTTGCATAGTAAACACTGTGGCAGAATCTGCTAGCTGCCTAGCTGAATATCAACACTCCCCTCCTTAATAAGCACATCTTGATCTTTTTAACATCATATTGCTGCCCAGAATAAAGGACTACATTTCCCAACTTTCCTTGCAGCTAGGTTTGGCCAGTGAGATATAAACGGAATTAATGAAAAGCTTCTTAAAGTTAGCTCCCACAGCTTAGAAGGGCCTTTCCCCACGTCACCCTGACTTCGCTTCTTTTTCTCGTCTGGATTTAGGCTTAAAGGATGCAGTTACAGCAGCCATCTCGAACCATGAGGTTGCCGTGCACATGGAAACCTTTTAGCGGGGGGAGTGGTAGCTCAGCCTGTTTTCCCAGCACTCTTGAGAGGCCAAGGTGGGAGGATCGCTTGAGCCCAGGAGTTTGAGATCAGCCTGGGTAACATAGTGAGACCCTCTCTACAAAAAATAAAAATATTACCTGGACGTGGTGACTTGTGCCTGTAGTCCCAGCTACTTAGGAGGGGGAGGTGGGAGGATCGCTTGAGCCAAGGAGGTCAAGACTACAGTGAGCTATGGTCACACTACTGCATTCCAGCCTAGGCAAGAAAGCAAAACCCTGTCTTAAAAACAAGAATGAAACAAACCATTTGGTAGATGATAGAATGGGAAGGTAAGGGCCTGGTGATCCTAATGCCTCACTGAAGTCACCAATCCACCTCAAAATTTTCTTTTATGTGAGTGAAAAACTTATGTCTTTTCAATCTTCTATCATTTTGTGATTTTTCTATTGTATGCAGTCAAATCCATTCCTAATACAGAATTCTCACAGTGATCTGTTATGTATTTTATCTGCTATCTTTTGATCCCTCTCTCTTTTTATTTTCCAGGTGAGTGCCTTGATTTCATCTTTAAAACTTTTTTTAAAAAAGTTCTGCAATTATAATTTCATTTTCTAAGAGTTATTTCTTTTTCATAGCATGTATTTTCTTGTTTTGTGTATGCAATAGCTTTTCAAATCTCAGAAGTCACTAGTTGGAAAGTCTGTCCTATTTTGAAGTATACTTCTGTTCTCTGAATTCTTTCCTTTGATGTCACATTTTTCCCGTTGGTTTATCTTGGGTTTTCCTTTTCATGTTAGAGACTTTCATCTGATGTTTATTGATCCTTGGTTACTGCTCACACTAAGAATGAGACAATAATGGGGTAAATTTACATTACATGCCTTATCACAAGATACGCACTGAGGAAAACACTGACTTCAGTGGTCTTCCTGCCAAAAGTGCATGACCTGAATTTAATCATGAGGAAACATTAGACAAACTCAAACTAAGGGACATTCTACAAAATAATTGACTTGTCATCTCAAATATTAATACCATGAAGCACAAAGACTAGGAGATTGGGCCCCATTAAAGGAGATTAAAGACATAAGACAACTGAATGCAACATGATCTAGAAATTTCCTTTCCTAAAAAGGACTTTTTAAATAATCAGCAAAATCTGAATAAGGTCTATATTTAGATAATAGTATTATATCAGTATTAATTTCCTGCATTTGATATTCTTCCTCTAATTATGCAAGAGAATGTTTTTAAGAAATAAGCACTGGAATATCTAAGTATAAAGGGGCATCATGTCTACAACTCTGAAATGGTTCCACAAAAATAAATTGCATATCTATCTATTCATCCATCTATCTCTCTATATATCTATGGAGAGAAAAGGATAAAGTACATATGTTAAAATGTCAATATTTCAGAAACTTAGGTATACTATATATGGGAATTCTTTGTACTTTTCTTCCAACTTTTCTGTAAATCTAAAATTATGCCAAAATGAAGCCTTTTAAAAAGAATATGGCCCATATAAAGATTTTCTGGGAGCTTTGTGGGCATAGTCAGGACTGGTTAATGACAGGCTTCAATAGTGTGTGTGTGTGTGTGTGTGTGTGTGTGTGTGCAGGCATGAAGCCAGCTGTAACTCTGGGAACCTTTAAATGCCAGACTTAAGAGGTATTTACTCTAAGAGTGCTTTCCCTTGCCATCTGCCCAATTTTTTCCTGGGCAATGTCTTAAGATTATTTAAACCCTCTAATTTTTGGCTTGGGGCAAATGGCTGCCTGCAAATCCTTTCAGTCCAATTTCTCAAACCCATTTCCCACTCTATCTACTACAGCCTTTCTGGGTGTCTGCCAGGACAGTCAGCTTCATGGTGCTCCCTTGGCTATGGCTGTCTCTACTCAGCTTCATCAATTTTAAGAAAACTTCCAGAAATGTATTGCAATCTCTTGTCTACCAATTATTCCCTCATTCTTTTTATTGTGCTGTTTTTGTTTTTTTTCTTTATATACTTTATTTTTATTATTTATATAATTTTATTTTTGTTTTTATTCTTTATATATTTTATTTTTGTTCTTATTCTTTATATAATTTTATTCCTAAGCATGTGTTTCATCAGCCATCTTGAATCAGAATTCTTTAGATAATTTAATGTTAATTTTTATCTGTAACTGGTTATTCATTATTTATGAACGCATACTTTTTTTTCTTTTTTGGTGTATCTGATAATCCTTCAGCTTTTCAACATTCCATATTGTCATAATATGGTATCACTACGGATCATATTGGATTCTCACCCTTGGTACTTTTTGTCATATTATTATTCATTGGGCCATTTAGTCAACATATATAATTCTTTCATGTGCATTGTCTTCTTTAGCTTCACCTCATAGATATTAAGTTTGCTAAGCCCAACGTCAAGTACATTATTTATTCCTTTCTTTTACCTAAAGTAAATATATACCCAGAAGAATAAGCAGTCCAACACATTACGTGCTACCTCTTCTTCCCCGAGCCATGGATGATTAGGTCAGGTATCTGCTCCAAATGGGCAGCCAATCTGTTGGTTTATCAGAGACCTCTGATTGGTATGGCTTGACTAGAACAGATGATCTGCATTAATCAGATTCCCTCCATCATTATTTTAAACTATAAAATACAGAGATTGTTACGAGTCAGGGTTGGACACTGGAGTGGCAAAGTCAGCTTAGTGGTGGAGGAAGCCATTTGCAAGCTGATGAGTAAGCAAATGAAATTGATTTTTAGAGAGATGAAAGTGGTATAGTTGTGGAAAAAGAAGCTGAGATTAAGTGAGAGACAATTAATATTGGTTCTAAACAGCTTTCTACTTTGTATGAGGCCCAGTTTCACACAGTTCTGTGATATATCTGTAACACTGAAATTAATCATCTTTTCTAAGCTAGTTTGAGTGAGTTTCTAATTCTTTCCAACCAATAAAAAAACCTTTCAACTTTTAATTTTATGATTTTAATTTCCTGTTTTTGTTTTTCAAAAGGGAAAGAATTCTTTATTAACAAAACTGTGCATAAAAATTAACATCTATACTAATTATTCCACAGTTTTTGGTTTTTTTTTTTTTTGAGACAGTCTTGCTCTCTCACCGAGGCTGGAGTGCAGTGGCACAATCTTGGCTCACTGCAACCTCCACTTCCCGGATTCAAGTGCTTTTCCTGCCTCAGCCTCCCTGAGTAGCTGGGATTACAGGTGCATGCCACCACACCCAGCTAACTTTTGTATTTTTAGGAGAGACAAGGTTTCACCATGTTGGCCAGGCTGGTCTCAAACTCCTGACCTCAGGTGATCCACCCACCTCTTTCTCCCAAAGTGCTAGGATTACAGGTGTGAGCCACCACACCTGGCCCATTCCACAAATTAAAGTGTCAAAGAATTAGAATTTTTTACAAATCCTCTGATAGAATATGGAGTCTTCTTCACTAATCCTTGACTGTTTTTACTGAGTTTAATCCCATCACTAAAGTAAAAGTTTATTTTGGGGAAATTTGTTTCAAGAATCAAGGATCAGGCACAATTTTCCATTGCAAGCTCGCCTGTCAGAGTTGCTACAAAAAATGGATTAGGGAAATGCCATGCGTCCTCCGTTTCCTTCATTTATCCTTCTTCTTCTTTCTCCAGAAGCAACAGGAGAAAGACCCAATGCCTTCAATGTGTTTCTGTAGTTGCTATTGTGAAATTATGACCTTTATATGCATTTTGGCCTTTGAAGCTAGAATTTCTTCTTGTTTTTACATCAGATCAATCAGATATATTATAGGTTTTTAAAAGAATATATAGAATTATAAAAATATCCAACCAGGATAAAATTATTTAAACACACTTAAACAAATCTTAATTTTGAAAGAGGGTTACACAATAATTTTACAAAAGTCCTCCAAAGTGAGTTCCCAAATGTAGGGACCATGTCTTTTAATTCCTTTGTATGTTCCCTCCAAAATGAAAAAACAAAAAAAGATTCAGAGTTATGCAACTTTCAGCTGTCCAATAAATGTGGTTGAATCGAATCACTTCAATTACCAGAAGAAAATTATATTAAACTTCCGTGCCAAGTTTCAATTTGAAAATACTTTTAAAGCAATGTTTGGAAATGACATTAAAATTTTTGAGTTGCAAAAGTCGGCAATTAAGAAAAGTGCTCCAAAATAAGCACGTCTCATCTCCTGTGAATAAGCAGTTTACTTTGGCAATGGCAGCAGCTTGTCTTGGGTGGATTCATAATATCCCACTCCATAGCTGTTAACTTCCAAACCAGTGAGAGATTTATTTTTTATTCAACTATCTAACTGATTGCTAAAGCTAAAACAAATGTGTTTTCATAACAACAATTTTTTCCACTTTAAAATAGTTTATGTTCATAAAAGAAATTTTTGAAAAGTATGACAAAGTTGGAAAAAGAAATTATCTAGAGTTTTATTCTCCAGCTAGATCCACTTTTAATATATTCTTTTTATTATTTCCTTATTGCAGTCCAAAAAATACACGAATTGCTTTTTTCATAAGATAATCTAATCTGCATGAAATGTTGAGTAACTGATTATCTAAATTACAATGTACCACTTGTTCGTGGATTCTCCCAGACTTACTTCTGTGTTCTAGATTACAGTTGCCCTGCTGAGGGAAACGCTTTGGCCTCAACCACAGGATGTTCAAGTATATATATGTTGAGGAAAGAGAGGGAAGCATCCAAAAACAGTGCTTCTCAAATTTTTCTGCACTTAGTAATCATCTGGCAATCTTGTTAAAATGCAGAGTTGGCATTTTAACCTAGAGTGTAGGATAATTGATGGAAATTTTTGCCTTAATACATCTATCTACCATTAAGCAATTACCCCAACTCTAACCCATTTCTGGGAATACATAAGAGTATTTTTCATACCTGGAAAGTTTCCCATAGTCTGAGGGTGGAGTAGGATTTATTTATTGCAATGCAAGTGAAAGTGTTGAGCAACTATGGTGAGTCCCTCTGCACAGGAAACCTTCCAAGGTTCGCAAAATACTTGTTCATTTCTTCTCCCTTGGTAGTAATACATATCATCTCTGGGCACGTAGCTTCCTAGAATAAAGTTGGCATTTCCCAGCTTCCTTTGAAGCTGGATGTGGCCATGTTACCAAGTTGCTGCCAATGGGATCTAAGCAGAAGCATGTGTACAAGCCATGTTTTAGGATGGCAATTATATTTAATTAAGATATTTTGTTTGTCCAATTCAGGTTAAGTTACAACCCAAGAGCAGTCAGCTAAAATTTCAGTTGAAAGTTTGCACTCCAGAGGTGGCATTAATGTTCTAATTAAAAAGCCTATATCATAGAAGTGATTGTTTCTGTCATTCATATCTGGGTCTTTGCTAACATTCTCAGTGAATTTCAGAAATGGGCTTTTAAGGGTGAATAAAATTAACAATCTACTAATGAATGCTAGATAGGAATTGTCATTGGCTAAATTAATGATATTTAAGGTATAAGGTTAGTGAAAATATTTTAGAGACACTCTCCACCTTTGCAGGAGTAGAATAAAAGAATCCAGTGTGACCTGTGGCCTATGGTTTGTACCTTTAGGAAAAATGCCCGTGGCTTAATCTCTAAATGATCCTGGGTTCGGTATTTGGTTTTAAGGGCTTTTTAGCTCCCTGATGCTGACTACACAGATAAGAGATTCCTGCTTCTGGAACGTTGTCATAACTGCCTTGGTTCAATTTTTCATGTCAGGTGAGATTAGAGATTGGAGGAAGGAGAGCCAAGGCTACCTTCAACTGAAAGAAAAGACTAAACTATTCTTATGCTTTCTTATAATTAAATGTTTTGTTATAAATGATTGCTTTTGTGGCAGAATTTGTTCTGTGACTTGCTTTCCATACAGCCTGATAGCAAGGTTGAAGAAGCAGCTGATACTTTCATCTCAAATCTAGTATATTCTGCCAAAGACACCCTAAGAGTTGTATGGGACCAAATGGGCTTGTGTCAGTCCACAGTACAGAACAATGGGGTAGAAAAAGATAGGTCTCCTAAAATGCTCTGGACTGCTCTCCTCCAGACAGGTTGTTGTGTCCATGTTGTGTCCAAATTGAAAAATAAATTTCCAATGTGTGCCAACCTTTATCATCCTATGTTTTCTGTTATTCATAGCAGAACCTATCTGATAGTCCTGTTGGCCCCAGTCACCATCACAGGGAAAACTTCCCATGGAAAACTTTCATGATTTAACCTCCCCCTTCCTCAAGCTTGTCTTGTCCTCCTCTTTAGTTTAGGGTTCTCTCTTGCCCCTCCCTCCCTCTACTTTTCAGATACTCTACATTCCCCTTCAATGTTTCCAATCAGAAATATCTACTCTCCCAGGGAAGGATCTTCTGTAACATTGCTGCCTTGGTGGGGACTTAATCACTTACCATTACTATTTCAAAGAAAAGAGTTTTGTTGTTGTTGTTGTTGTTGTTGTTATTGTTGTTGTTCGTCTTTTTGAGATGGAGTCTAGCTTCGTCACCCAGGCTGGAGTGCAGTGGCGCCATCTCAGCTCACTGCAACCTCCGCCTCCCGGGTTCAAGCGATTTTTCTGCCTCAGCCACCTGAGTAGCTGGGATTACAGATGCCCGCCACCACACAGGCTAATTTTTGTATTTTTATTAGAGACAGTGTTTCACCATGTTGGTCAGGCGGTCTCAAACTCCTGACCTCAAGTGATCCACCTGCCTCAGCCTCCCAAAGTGCTGGGATTACAGACATGAGCCACCACGCCTGGCCATCAAAGAAAAAAGTTTCTAATCCTAATTATTTTTCCAATGACAGATATATCAGAAGTCAGATATTTAAACCTTAGACTCTATATCTTACCACATATAACTTTAAAAATAAAAATGATCAGTTGTTCAGGATCAGATATAATCCAAAGCCCATATAACACGATATAGTATTTCCTTATTTTTTCAGGTACTTTTTAAAAAACTCATCTTTTCACATGAAAAAATGCTCATCATCACTGGTCATCAGAGAAATGCAAATCAAAACCACAATGAGATACCATCTCACACCAGTTAGAATGGTGATCATTAAAAAGTCAGGAAACAACAGGTGCTGGAGAGGATGTGGAGAAATACGAACACTTTTACACTGTTGGTGGGACTGTAAACTAGTTTAACCATTGTGGAAGTCAGTGTGGCGATTCCTCAGGGATCTAGAACTAGAAATACCATTTGACCCAGCAATCCCTTTACTGGGTATATACCCAAAGGATTATAAATCATGCTGCTATAAAGACACATGCACACGTATGTTTATTGCGGCACTATTCACAACAGCAAAGACTTGGAACCAACCCAAATGTCCAACAATGATAGACTGGATTAAGAAAATGTGGCACATATACACCATGGAATACTATGCAGCCATAAAAAATGATGAGTTCATGTCCTTTGTAGGGACATGGATGAAACTGGAAACCATCATTCTCAGCAAACTATCCCAAGGACAAAAAAACAAACACTGCATGTTCTCACTCATAGGTGGGAATTGAACAATGAGAACACATGGACACAGGAAGGGGAACATCACACAGCGGGGTCTGTTGTGGGGTGGGGGGAGGGGGGAGGGGGGAGGATAGCATTAGGAGATATACCTAATGTTAAATGACGAGTTAAAGGGTGCAGCACACCAACATGGCACATGTATACATATGTAACTAACCTGCACGTTGTGCACATGTACCCTAAAACTTAAAGTATAATAAAAAAGAAAAAAGAGAAAAGAAAAAAAATCTCATCTTTTGTGTTCATTTCACAATTTAAAAAAAAAAAAACAGTTTTTCAAGATTACAAATGCCTCAAAATTACATAATATTTGAGATTACATAACATGGCTTTACCCATTAGAATGCCTTTTAGGTCTATTACCATTCTTTGTCATTCTCTTCATACTTACACTCCACTTCTCCAAAAAGTAAATAGAAAAAGGAACTAAATAAACTAAATAAAGGATCTAAGACCTCTCCAATATTTGCATAGATCAGTACCATAATTTGAATTCTTCGCGGATTTCTCTTTGTGTAAAGTTCAGCCTGTGATGAAAGCAGGAGAGTCTGATGATTTAGCTTATGCTCTAGAGGCAGTCTGAGTTCAAATCCTGACACTACCCATGTGCCCTCAGGCAAATAACTTAACCACTTTGTGCCTCAGTTTCTCACATGAAAATGGGAATAATAACAATACCTACCTCTCAAGGTTGTAAGGGTTAAAGAAGATATTAAAGAGCTTAGTATAGTGCTTGGCATGAAGTAGCATTTAATAATATTCAGTTATTCAACAAATAATTATTCAACGTGTGCTTTGAGCGAACTACTGTTAAACACTGTAGGGAAATGAACACTGAGGCAGACTGGCTTCTTAGTCTTAAGGAATGTACAATCCAGTAAGAGAAATAAAACATGCAAAGTACATAACTAGAATAATAGAAATGGATATATGTGAAGCTATTCAGATACATTATTTATTGCAATATATTACAGATGGTTGCAAATCATTTGCTATTCCTGCTATTGAGTTTAATTCTCCTCACTTTGAATCTGGAGCGAGTCTTAGTACTTTGCTTTACTAATAGAATGTGACAAGTGATCCTCTAGGACTTCCAGTGTGTCTCTTAGAATGCTTGCTCTAGGGGAAACTAACCATTATGTAAGAACTCCAGGTATCTGGGACCACCATGTATAGGGAAGCCCAAGATATCCCCCTGATAAATCTGCATAGACATGGCACTAGGCCTAGCTATTCCAGCCGTCCCAACCAAGACATCAGACATGTGAGAAGAAGTTGTCTGGCAGCATCTTGGCTACCTCTGTGAACATGAAGTAGAGAAGAAGCAAGGAATCCAACTAACAGCCAGAACCAAGGGTTCACACCTATGGTCCCAGGTGAACTATCCTAGCCAACTAACTAGATATGACTTAAAACAAGGTAGTCAGCCTGTCTGTGCTACAGATGAGTTATCTTAAATGAGATTATGTCAGTTGTCATTCTTATGTCTCTCTGAATGCTGGAATGAAGAAAATAGTGTGAGCAGAATAGTTAACATAGCAGGCCTGAGCCTGCTATCCTTAGAAAGGCCCACTTACAAGATCAGCCCTTAGCTGGCATCTGGGAACTTGGCTGGTAAAAAGTTTCCTGCACACCTTTAAAAATTTGCCTAAATAACAAAGGTGACTCACTATGGCTATACTGTTTGTGTAAACAGCATGTTTATGGTGAACACCTCCCTGGGAGGGGAGCCTGGAATTTTGGTATATGGTAGGAAGAGGGTTCCTATTTGACAAGCCTTCAATAAAAGAAACCTTGGACACCAAGTCTCTTCTGAGCTGGCCCAGTAGAAAGCACTTTGCATGTGTTGCCACAACTCATTGCTGAAGGAATTAAGCCACTCCACTATGAAAGAACCCTTGGAAGCTTGTGCCTGGTTTTCTCCTGGTTTTGCCTCATGTGCCTTTTCCCTTTTTTGATTTGGCTTTCTATCTTTTCATGGTAATAATATCAGCCATAAGTACAAATACATGCTAAATTATTTGAATCCTTTTACCAAATCATTGGAAATGAGGGGTGGTCTTGGGAACCCCTGACACACAGCATTCTAAAAATTGTGAGAGAAAAGTTGGGAGAAATGAGATTGCTCTTCTACTTTCTTTTTACAGAAGGAGATTTCTCTCCTACCTTTCCCATGTTCTTCCTCTTTTCTTCTTCTTTCCCAGAATATGCATGCTGGACTTCCTTATTTATTCCCCACCAAAGTCCACAGTGGCCTGTGGACATAAACATAACTCTCAGAGACAACACTCAGTTCCTCAGCCCTGGAAAAGCTATGTAACTGCTATCTTGCATACAAATACAAGATTGGTTTCGCCTGTATTTTACTTTTTATCTAGTTGTGTTTACTTTGTAGGGGTATAGTATACAGACCTTTATCTTATTGGGCTAAAGATATTGAAATTTATTTTTAAAGCATTTACCTAAAGACTAAACTAATGATAAAAAGTGTTTTCCTTGCAATTACATAGCAGCCTTCTTATATTTTTGGCTAATCTCTAAAAGAACTGACACTACAGCAGGAATGTATGTCTACCGCATAAAATCTATGCAGCATCTCCTGCTATGTAGTATATCCTTCTCATATCATACAATATGCATGACTTATTTTCAGATGATTTTCCTGATAAGCTTTGTGATTATATTTTGACAGGTCTGAGTATCGTTTCTTTAATCTTGGAGAATGACAAGAGCTTAGGCACTATGACAAGCAAAGTTCTTGGATTTGGCTCTAAAAATTACTGACTGAGCACAGTATATTTTAAGAATTCATGCAAGAAGCCAGTAAACTACTGAGAATTGTGTGCAGGAATTCTGTTAAGTACTTAAAATCACGTTGTAGACATAGAGACTGAGAGTTAGGAGACCAAGTTGTGACCTGGTCTATGTTTTAAAGATATGGCCTTGGGAAATAATTTATCCTAATGGGACCTCTGTTACACCAGCTGTAAAATGACAGGTTTGAGTGAATCATTTTTTTCCATCTCAAACATTCTATGGTTCAATGATAATAGAAAGTGTGGGATAAGTGTCAAATGAGAGGATACAAGTGTATTTCATAGGAGGAAGAAGTCCCCAGAGGCTGAAATGAGAGACTTTAGTTGGCCAAACAGAGAGAGATACTTCTGGGGAAAGGAGCTTGAGTGAAGGTAAAGAGACACAGTGCACTTTGTGGGATCTTAGTGAAATGTCAATGTGCAATAATAATGATATTAATAATAGTTAACCTTTATGGAGCACTCACTAAGGTAATATGTGTTATCTCATTTAATTTCCACACCAATCCTAGGTATTATTATTATTCCCATTTTACAGAAGAGAAAACAGGCACAGAAAGATTCAGAATTTGCATGAGGTCAAATAGCAAGTGGTAGAATCCACATGTGAACCTAGGCAATCTGATACTCCAGAGAGTAACTTCTAATTACTGCTGTGGCAGCAATGCATGTAAGTCAGAAATAAAATGCTCCATAGAAGCACTATAGTTTTCGTGAATTTGACTGGAAAACTAGCAGTTTTGATAGGCTGTCATCAAGAAGAATAATGATAGTTACTATTTATGTAGTGCCAATTGTGTGCTTTTCATACATTAGTTCTAAACCTCACAGATGTTTTTGCTTTAAATGACCATTTTACGGATAAGAAATCTGGGCTCAGCACATGCAACTTGTACAAGGTCAAAGTTTGTAGGTAGAAAGCTGGGATTCAGCTCTGAGTTTGCCTTATTTCAAAGACCTTCCTTAACCCACTGTGCCACGCTAGATTCTTGGCTAGAGAGAAGAAACTATTTTCAAATATTAAAAACAGCTGTATATTACTGTAGGCTTTCATTTATATGAAATTCTAGAACAGAAAAAACTAGTCAATAGTGACATGAATCAGATCTCTGGTTTCTTGGAGTGGGAGAAATGAGGGGATTGCCTGCAAAGGAACACAAAGGAACTTTTTGGAATGACGGAAAGATTTCATATCTTGATTATGGTGGTGATTACATTTACATCATATCTGTCAAACTCACTGAATTGTACACTTAAGATAGGTGCATTTTATCATATGCATATTGTATCTCCATATAGTTGATTTTTGAGAAGCCCAGCTGAATCTAGTGTTTGGTCTTTGACAGAGGCTGGGGCCACTGGCATAATGTGTCTTTTTATATGCATGGGACCATAGTGATGGATATAAAACCCTAGCTTTTAGCAACCATTCCAAACACCTTCTATACTACTTTCCTGTATTGCAGAGGCTGAAAAGCTCAAAATTAGATTTCTCTGACTCCTTCGTAGCTAACTTTCTGATTGTAAGTGACATACTTCCAATTAAATAGCTTTGAGTGAGACTAGGGCCACCTGCCTGCTATGATGTTTGTCGCTGCTTGGTAAGCAGGACCATGCAGGCGATAGGTTTTTCTGCAATAGCATTCCAATATCCAATGCCCAGCTTTATGAGTGTTATGAGTTAGTAGCCGCAAGGATGACAGTGGCTTCTCCATCCTCAGATTGCAACTATAGCAGTGTGTTCAAGAATCCAAAAGTTTCCATGGCATACTCCTGATTTCACACATTTAGGACTGGGACAGAAGATACAGCTCCCCTAGCAAATCAGCTTGATGGTTATCTCCTGGGAGTTATTTCTGGAGGCTCAGTTTAGAGACTGCTCTTCCAGCTCTCCAATGATTTGACAAGCACATAGTTACCCTTATTACATCTCTTTCTATATGAAATTGCTGGAGTGATTTCTGTTTCTCTGGAACTATACACTGACATCACCATGAAAATTGGTATGTTTTTCTTCAGTCAAAATTATAACTAAAATGATTACTAGCATCATCAGATTAACAGCAATGTTTTCAGGGTACTGACTTTCTGCTAGGATAAATGCAGTAAGATGCAAACAGAGCACACCTTTATTCTTTCTCCCATGCTACTTAAACTGTATGGGTAGATTGTCCCCTACTGCATGAATGAAATGAGGCAGCTCTCAGATCATAAAATCAGTCACTCTCAGATCATCAAAAGTTCTCCAATTCATGTCAGTCCCCAAAATGATCTCATTTTAGTTAGTAAAATGTCCGATCTGGGGTTAATATTACATAACCCAATGCGCTTCTTGTCCACTTACATACACCCCCAGCTTGAGATTCCTTGGGGCTGGAGGAGGACATGGTTGGCTTTTGCTCAATTTCTCTGTAAGATGCCTCTCCATTTCCCTTCTCTTTCCTCTTCCCCTTCTATTTCTCATATTTTTCTCTCCCGCTTGGGATCCTCTCATGTGGGAATACAACTGGGAAGAGGTAAAACTGGGAAAGGGGAAGAGCCTCTAAACTGGTCTGGATGTCATCTGGCATCGAGCCCTCTTAGTATGGCAGATTCTCAGTGCTGACTCTTGCTCTGCTGGGGTGCTGGCGGAGCTTCCTCAGAGAACCTTCATTGCAGCCTTTCCACCGCAGCTTCTTACTAAGCTGGCCAGTGTTGAATCTCTCTCAGTTTCTGTATCTGACGGTATACTCCAACTTCTTTTAGCCAAGATCCAGTGTGGCAGGAAGACCCCTCACACAAGTCCTTTTGAAATGACTCCAGGCTAGCTTCATCCCTCCAGCCCACTGGGCACACAGGAAATTCCTCACTTCATTGTTCTGCTGTCAGTGGCAGAGCATCTGGACCCCTGCGGCCATCAGGCAGGCAACTCCAAACATAGCCTCCCACATTTAATCTTCACAGGTGTGAGTCAAACATCAGGTCCTACTTCCCCTCAAGCCCTCAGAAGGGTTCCTGTCACCTGACCTGAGGTGAGGAGGAAGCATTGGAGCAGGAAGAAAAATTCTCTCTAAGAAACAATTTCCCTCTACTGGCCTTATCAGCCTTGATTCCTTTTTCAGTAGAGCTGGGTGGTTGCATATACCAGCCCAAATAGTTTTATACTCTCTAAGCATGTCTTGCATAGTTAGTCTAGCAACTCACTTTAGAATGTGAATATTTTGGAATTAATTATTTTGTTTTTGTTCTTTGAGGCCATGGCCAAAATTGAAACAGAAGGAGCTCTACTCTAATATCATGTTACTCATATATTATGTAATGATCTCAACAACCCTATAAAATAAAAATCAATGACCCTATTTTAGAAACAAAGGTTCAGATGGCAGCAAATGGGATTCCAACACAGATGAGTCGGCCGCTAAGTCCTTTGCCGTTAACCATCATGTTTATACGATTGATATCACAAATACTGATGATTGTCGTGGGTTGAATTATGTACCCCAAAATTTATACATTGAAGTCCTGACCCCTAATACTTCAGAATGTGACCTTACTTGGAAATAGGGTTATTGCAGATGTAATTTGCTAAGTTACAATGATGTTGTAATGGAGTAGGGTGGGCCCCTAATCCAATGTGACCAGTGTCCTTACAAAAAGGAAAATATCTGGACACAGACACACAGGGAGAAAGCCACGTGAAGACTGAGTTATGCTGCCACAAACCAAGGAACGACCAGAAGCTAGGAGAGAGGCTCAGGGTAGATCCTTTCCTTGTGCCTTCTGAGGGATAATGGCCCTGCAGACACCTTGATCTCATACTTCAAGCCTCCAGCTTGGGAGACAATACATTTCTGCTTTACAAGCCACTTTCTGTTGGTACTTTGTTAAGGCAGCCCTAGAAAACCAATAAAACTACTCTGTGACAGCCATAGAAATATGATGGAGATTTCATGGTTGAAATCTGCCTGTGTGAGGGAGCACCTGAGCTCTGAGGGAAGAAAAGGTACTGGAGCAGCCGAAGTAGGGCCTGCTATTGTCCATGTTCAATGACAACACTGGGTTGGTCACTAAAAACTTTGGATAGGCTGTGAAGTAGAAAGCTTCTAAATTAATTCTACTTCCTTTATAACAGAGAAAGATTACTTGGAAAAACTTGAGAAAGTTTGCCTTGAAAAACTTTTAAGAAAAGAAATCTCAAACTAGAATTTTGCATAATTGTTTCTGAGAAGGCCTAAAGAAATTTGAAAGTGGCCCAAACAGGATATTATACCTGTATCTGAATGTACAGAACTAGGGGTAAATGAAAGGACAATACAGTACAAGCTTATATTTAATATTTAATGTCTTGCTGGCTTTGAGAACAGGAGCGCTGAGATATTGGAATAAGTGTAACGGAATTCTCTTATACATCCATGGGACGTCCAAATGCATAAATAATTATAAAGATTTTCAAATTGTAATTCATGCAGAATGTGAAGACACATCTGCATGTTCTGATCAAGATATGCACACACACGTTATTGTTTTAGAGATTTTAGATTCAATCAATTTCCAAAAATATTGGCTCAAGTAACACAGATATGCAATTAAATATTAATGCAAATATCCAAAACATCTCAGTTGCTTATCACAATAAATATTTATTTTTTGCTCACATCACAATCCAGGGTGGGTCAGATGGCCCTTCTATAGTTTGTAACTATGCCATCTAGAACATTTGACCTCCACCGCAGGGGAAGAAAGGGATAGAATAAGGCACTCTGGCTCTCAATCGCCTCAGTCCAGAAGAGACATAACACTACTTCTGTTCATAGTTCACTGGCCAGAACAAGTCACATGGCCCCCAACCTAACTGCAACTGAGTAATATAGAAAAACAGCTGGAAAATTTTGGAAATGCTAATTGTCTTTTCCATAAAAACAATACAGTAATGCAAAGGGAATAAGTGTGTAAAACACATTAACTCAAATAATAAGATGTTTGTTAGACGATACTCCAGTGAGAATCTGATCTCATTAATCTTAACAAGGGGACATTCTGGTGCCTTTCTATCTATGTGAAAATTATTATAGTATGGCTCAATTACTAAAATTAAATGCTGCTCAAGAGATCCCTATTTCTTCTGGAAATTCCCAAAGTAGTGGCTCATATGTGACCTCCCCACAAAAAAGCTAAACTGTTCCACATACAAAACAAAAAGGAACTCAAGAGTTTCCAGGGCAGCCTGGAAGCAAGGAGATAGCAGTAAGAGAATGCCAGGACTTGGAAGTGAAGTAAAAAGATGGAGGAGAGGTTCTCACCAGAGGGCAGGGGGCCCAGTCAGATGGCAGCAGGGAGGAGCCCTTGAGAGAAGGGTGGACAGCGATACATCCCCCATGTCAAGACAGTGATGTCTAATGTTCAAGTTTAAATCATTGTCAATTCTTTCATGAGCTTTCGTACTGTCTGTTAGTTTAAACAATACAAAAAGTCTACTATCCCTGAGTAAGAGTCTGACCTTCAGGGTCAGGGAAGTTTGGAGTAGCTGCAGAGACTTTAGTCCTACATTCTCCTGGGTAAGGCCATCATCTGGTCCCACATTCTACAAAAAGTCCACTTCCCAGACCTTGTGTCCCAATTTTGTCTTCAAAAAATATTGTCGTTGTGAAATCATCCCTGTGGAAAAACTGGAAAGAAAGATTTTTCTGTGCTGCAGGGAGGGCCCCATAGAGAGCAGATGACAGCACAGATTTGAAAGTAGAACCAGGCAGCATAGCTTTTGCCAACAGTGTTCAACAGAAAGAAAAGAAAGATCTATATTTTTATTGTATTACATTTGCATAAGTAAACCCTAGAGGGATATCAAAGAAGCTAATCAAGTAAGTACTTAGGGTGGGGCGAGGTGGGTGATAAGGCAGATGAGGGCAGAGGTGGGAGTGATAATTTTTACTATGCATACTTTTATATTATTTGATTTTTGAACTATGTGAATATATTATATATTCAAAACGTTGAAAGAAATTGAAAAAGAAAAAAGTCTTCCAAGCATCACAGATTTTGTTCAAGCTGTTTTGGGAGAACAAAGGAGTAGGACAGAATCCATCAAGAGGGAAGCAACATAGACAGAGGACAGTAGTCAAAGAAAGAATTACAATGTCAAGATAAGCAGGAAATGTGAACATGAGGGAATCAAGGGAACTAGGAGTCCCTGACTCAAATCCCCCTTCCTTGAAGTTCCAGAAATACTTAGGGGGAGAGGCTTAGGATGAGGAGGAGGATGTTGGGCTTTCCAGAGAATGTGGAATAGGAGCTGGAGACTTTGCAACTTTGAATATTAGAAGAAAGGGTGGCCCCAGAAGGATGGTGTGACTTGAGGACATCCAGGTGGCAGATACTTAGATTATATTAGCATGGCATCCAACGCCCTTGACAATTTGATCTGACCCCTTACTGACCCTCACTTCTTTCCTGCAGCACTTTTCTCATTAAGGACCAGTCCAGGCTAAGTGTTGGGGACACAGGATGAATGCAAGATTAAGGAGCACCCAGTCTGATTGATAAAAGCTGATTTAAAAACAAGATGTTACACATGCTCTACTAGTAAAGTGTACAGTTTCAGTAGGGACTCAAGTGCAAAGTGGACAATTGTGTGTTCCAGGGCTTCATTCACTTGTCAGGCACTCTAGCCAGGGTGATGAAAATAGCCAGGAATTGGCTGGGCTTCTCTCTTTTCACCAAATCTCTCATCATCCCATAATCTAGCCCTAGCTTCAGTACATGGAGGCTGGATCCCAAGAGTCTAAAGAAATCTGTAAGCCCTCTTAAGGTATAGGCCAGCAAGTCACATTGCATCATTTTCACCACATTCTATTGGTGAAAGCAAGTCATGGGGCTAGTCCAAATTCAGTGTAGAGGAAACAGATACTACCTCTTGATGGGAAGATTAGAAAAGTCACATCGCAAAAGGGCAAATTGTATGACAAGGATTATGGAGGCTGTCTTGAGAAATGAACTACCTTAGTGGCAAAGCACTAATTTGAGATATCTACAACTCAATTACAGACTCTCACTTAACCACTCATTAAAGACTTGTTCTCTAAATGTAGTGAACTTAGATTGATAACCCAATATCTGGACTGCCATTCTAAGTATGGGTATCTTCCTTACGATACCCATACACTTATGGCCACCACTAGACTTTAACACCCGAAGAGTAAGACTCTATCTTAATCATCCTCTACATTCAGGATTGAATGTGATACCTGGCACTTAGTAACACCATAAAGTATTCACTAATTACATTTGTTGAATTAATAAATAATAAAATTAGGTATTTATTGGGCACTCTCTTATACCAGAGACTATTCTAAATACTTCAGATGTTGTATTTGGCTGTTCTCATGCTGCTAATAAAGACATACCCAAGGCTGGGTAATTTATACAGAAAAGAGCTTTAATTGACTCACAGTTTCACATGGCTGGGGAGGCCTCAGGAAACTTAGAATCATGGCAGAAGGGGAAGCAAACATGTCATTCTTCACATGGCAGCAGGAGAGATAAGTGCAGCAAAAGGGGAAAAGCACCTTATAAAACCATCAGATCTTGTGAGAACTCACTCACTATCATGAGAACAGCAGGGAGATAACCACCCTCATGATTCAATTACCTCCTACCGGGTCCCTCCCATGACACATGGGGATTATGGAAACTACAATTCAAGATGAGATTTGGGTAGGGACAAAGCCAAACCATATCAGATGTTTTGACTTATTTAAGTAGTACAACTCTGGCTATAATTTGCCTAAGATTATATACCTTGTGTGCAGTGGCCCGGCATATAGATCTCCTTTATCTGGCTCCAGAGCCTGTGCCCTGAAGGCTTTGCTGCCTTAGCAAAAGAGTAAACAACTATAGTGAAGACAGGATTGAAAATTGCAGAAATAATGGACTTGGAAAAGGACAATTGTCCAAGGCATGAATCACTTAGAAGCATTTTAGTATACTGGTTAAGAGTGTAGTCTCTTTTAGTTTCAATTTCAGCGCTGCCAAATACTATCTTGGGTGGGATGCTGTCTGAGTCTGTTTTCTCATCTGAAAAATAAGTCTAAGAATAGTGCTTATCTCATAGGGCTGTGGTGAGGCTCAAATGAGATAGGGCAAGTAAAGTGTTTCTCTTAGTTCTTCAAACATAATGAATGCTCAGTGAGTATTTACCATTAATCACACAGACAAGCAATTAAAAAATGAAATGGCAAAACAGTGCTTAAAAGTAAAAATTGGAGTCAGATGTAAGTCGTTTACACCGTGCATGACAAAATTCCCTTCAGAAGTGTTTATTTTTTAATACAAAGAAACCTAAATTGGAAAAAGAAAAACAATTAAAACCCTTCATTAGAAAGTCAAAAGAACTCTGAACATTGAGCAACTTTCTCTTTATCAACAATGTTTTGCTAACCTTTTGAAGAGGAAGATTACATCACAAAGGTTTTAAGGGCTACTACAGGAAGAAAATAAAGGCTAGCTATAATAAAATCATTAAGCATTATAAATCTCAAGAGTCAAGAAGACTATCCCATGAGCAAAACACAGAAAATCACTGAACTCTATAAGAAAGGAAAAGAAAGAAAATTCCAGCATGCTAAAAAGCTAATACCAGCTTTCAAATTAAGGTTCAAGGGCACTATAAAGAAATCAATATGTAAACACCAAGTGATGAAAGTCATGAAACCTATCGACACAAGTTTTATTAAAAGGAAACCATGCTAGATAAGTTGAATAAGACTATGATCGATATCTGATGAGAGAAAAGTCACAGATATGATCACTAGGGTTGTCAAATAACGTTTTTTGGCACATACAGGAAACCTTTATTAGAAAATTAGCAAATAACTTCTAAAGAAATAAAAAATGATGCATCTTAAATTACATTTCAGTCATCATCCCTCAAGCTACTGTGGCTTCCCCTTCTCCTATGCCTTTCCCTTCGTCCCTCCCTCAGGAGAGTAAAGGAAGTGGGAAGGAGAAGAATTTGAGTGGCAGCAGTGGTGGTGAGGAGGAGATGGGTGCAAACTTCTGAGGCTATTGCTTTCTTGTTTCTATAACATATAACAACAACCAAAAAAGGCTTGTTTTCCATGTAGATATTGGACACTTTGTTTTGGCTTTAAATTATAAATACCAATTGAAGTAGAAGATTATAAAACTAGGTAGGTTTTCCAAAAGAGGACTTTTCTAAAAGAACTGGCTTTATAAGGCTCTATAAGACTAAAGACTATCAGGTGTTTACGGTGTTCCTTTTTCACTTCGCATGTTCCTTATGCAGCTCTGTAGACTGTAAATGATGCAGCACTATGAGCACTTTGTGGAAAAGAGGCATAAGAGGCCATATTTATTTTAGGTATAGGAAGCGTAAGAGCATGTTTTAAAAGGGAAGATAATATACAAGGCTACTTGACTTTCATTGACTAAATGATGGGATTCATTTAATCATGCATTCAGCAAATATTTATGAAATGTACCCTATGTGCCAGGCACTATTCTAGACACTGGGGAGACAGCAATAAACATGATGAAGTTCCCACTGTCTTGTGCCTTGCATTCTAGTGGAGGGAAACAGACAATAAGCAAAAAGACTTATAAAAAGTTATTGGGCCCTATGAAGAAAGATAATTCAGGGTAAAGAAAGGAGGGAAGAGGTTACGAATCTCTTTAGGTAAGATATTCAGGGAAGGCCTCCTGGGGAGCAAAGACCTGAATACAGTGAGAGAGTCTTGCAGGTATCTGAGGAGAGAACACCCAGGATCCAGGCAGAGGACATACCAAGTAGAAAGGTCATGAGGCAGGGTTTGTGATCTGTATACTCACATGGGTCCCCATTCTCAGAAGGACTCTGTGCTTTCTTCAATGCTCAGCAGTCACTGTCTTAAAATTCTTAGTAATTTTTGAGCAAGAGGCCCCAGGTCATTTTGCACTGGGTCCCAAATATTATGTAGCCAGTCATGTCGTGAAATGGGAGTGGTCTTAGCATGTTTGAGGAATAGCACAGAAGGAGCAGGGATGGAGATGAGTGATCAGGTGAGGAGTAGGAACGTAGGAGATGCAATGAGAGAGGTAGAAGAGGAGGGAGCAATTAGGACACTGCAATAATACTGGTAATTAATGAGCTGTTACAATCTCAGATGGTCATCATGGTGCTTGATAAGATAGTCATAAGATATGTTTCCTGATAAATAGATCACTGGTATCAGATCCACAAATTCCTTGTCGTTCATTATAAATTGCAGTACTATTGGTACAACACTGTATAGTCATGTGCTGCATAACAATGTTTCCCTCAAGGATGGACCACATACCCTTGGGTGGTCCCAGAAAATCATAATTGAGCTGCAATATTCCTATCACCTAGTCACGTTGTTGATGTTGCAGCCATCATAATGTTATACTGCAACACATTACATTTTCTGTGTTTACATACGCAAATACTTAACATTGGGCTACAATGGCATGCAGTATTCAGTACAGTAATATGCTATACAGGTTTGTAGCTTAAGAGCAATAAGCTATTACCATTCACCCCACGTGTGTACTAGGCTATGTCGTCTAGATTCGTGTAAGTACACTCCATGATGTTTATACAACGATGAAATCACCTAACGACGCATTTCTCAGAATGTATCCCCATCATTAAGCAATGCATGGCTGTATTCAGGATCAAATAATTGAATGAAGCCCAAGCCCTTCATTTCTAGGAAACAACTAATTTGGTATCTATTACTAGAGAAACTGCTAAATAGCAGTAGTGAACAAAGGATTTCCTGGGTGCTGACACCCAGTGCCTAGCTCTCTCTTTTAACACTCTTTACAGGTATTAAATAAAAATCATAGCAGGTCATTGTTTTGGGCTAAACTCCTGCACTAGGGTCCAATAGACCAGACCAAAAATCAAAAGGGAGTCAACTGTGCTAAAGTTGCACACTACCAAAACAAAACTAGATTGTTATGTGACTTTGAGAGGAATCAGGATAGAGAGATGACAGCCATCTGTCCAAACAGGTCAGTTTTAATCTTAACAGGCATGATAGTGACATTCCCTCTGTTTTTGTTTGTTTGTTTGTTTGATTATTGTACTTTAAGTTCTAGGGTACATGTGTACAATATATGTATAAATGTGCCATGTTGGTATGCTGCACCCATTAACTCGTCATTTATATTAGGTATTTCTCCTAATGCTATCCCTCCCCCATCCCTCCACCCCACAACAGGCCTCGGTGTGTGATGTTCCCTGCCCTGTGTCCGAGTGTTCTCATTGTTCAATTCCTACCTATGAGTGAGAACATGCGGTGTTTGGTTTTCTGTCCTTGCGATAGTTTGCTCAGAGTGATGGTTTCCAGCTTTATCCATGTCCCTACAAAGGACATGAACTCATCCTTTTTATGGCTGCATGGTATTCCACGGTGTATATGTGCCACATTTTCTTAATCCAGTCTATCATTGTTGGACATTTGGGTTGGTTCCAAGTCTTTGCTATTGTGAATAGTGCTGCAATAAACATACATGTGCTGGAGTCTTTATAGTAGCATGATTTATAATCCTTTGGGTATATACCCAGTAATGGGATGGCTGGGTCAAATGGTATTTCCAGTTCTAGATCCTTGAGCAATTGCCACACTGACTTCCACAATGGTTGAACTAGTTTACACTTCCACCAGCAGTGTAAGAGCCTTCCGATTTCTCCACATCCTCTCCAGCACCTGTTGTTTCCTGACTTTTTAATGATTGCCATTCTAACTGGTGTGAGATGGTAGCACATTGTGGTTTTGATTTGCATTTCTCTGATGGCCAGTGATGATGAGCATTTTTTCATGTGTCTGTTGGCTGCATAGATGTTTTCTTTTGAAAAGTGTCTGTTAATATCCTTTGCTTACTTTTCGATGGGGTTGTTTGATTTTTTTCTTGTACATTTGTTTAAGTTCTTTGTAGATTCTGGATATTAGCCCTTTGTCAGATGGGTAGATTGCAAACATTTTCTCCCATTCTGTAGGTTGCCTGTTCACTCTGATGGTAGTTTCTTTCACTGTGCAGAAGCTCTTGAGTTTAATTAGATCCCATTTGTCTATTTTGACTTTTGTTGCCATTGCTTTTGGTGTTTTAGTCATGAAGTCCTTGCCCATGCCTATGGCCTGAATGGTATTGCCTAGGTTTTCTTCTAGGGTTTTTCTGGTTTTAGGTCTAACATTTAAGTCCTTAATCCATCTTGAATTAATTTTTGTATAAGGTGTAAGGAAGGGATCCAGTTTCAGCTTTCTACATATGGCTAGCCAGTTTTCCCAGCATCATTTATTAAATAGAGAATCCTTTCCCCATTTCTTGTTTTTGTCAGGTTTGTCAAAGATCAGATAGTTGTAGATGTGTGATGTTATTTCTGAGGCCTCTGTTCTGTTCCCTTGGTCTATATCTCTGTTGTGGTACCAGTACCATGATGTTTTCGTTAATGTAGCCTTGCAGTATAGTTTGAAGTCAGGTAGTGTGATGCCTCTAGCTTTGTTCTTTTGGCTTAGGATTGTCTTGGCGATGCGGGCTCTTTTTTGGTTCCATATGAACTTTAAAGTTTTTTCCAATTCTGTGAAGAAAGTCATTGGTAGGCTTGATGGGGATGGCATTGAATCTATAAATTACATTGGACAGCACATCCATTTTCACGATATTGATTCTTCCTATCCATGAGCATGGAATGTTCTTCCATTTGTTTGTGTCTTCTTTTATATTGCTGAGGAGTGGTTTCTAGTTCTCCTTGAAGAGGTCCTTCACATCCCTTGTAAGTTGGATTCCTAGGTATTTTATTCTCTTTGAAGCAATTGTGAATGGGAGTTCACTCATGATTTAGCTCTCTGTTTGTCTGTTATTGGTGTATAGGAATGCTTGTGATTTTTGCACATTGATTTTGTATCCTGAGACTTTGCTGAAGTTGCTTATCAGCTTAAGGAGATTTTGGGCTGAGAGAATGGGGGTTTCTAAATATACAATCATGTCATTTGCAAACAGGGACAATTTGACTTCCTCTTTTCCTAATTGAATACCCTTTTTTTCTTTCTCTTGCCTGATTGCCCTGGCCAGAACTTCCAACACTATGTTGAATAGGAGTGGTGAGAGAGGACATCCCTGTCTTGTGCCAATTTTCAAAGGGAATGCTTCCAGTTTTTGCCCATTCAGTGTGATATTGGCTGTGGGTTTGTCATAAATATCTCTTATTATTTTGAGATATGTTCCATCAATACCTAGTTTATTGAGAGTTTTTTTAGCATGAAGGGCTGTTGAATTTTGTCGAAGGCCTTTTCTGCATCTATTGAGATAATCATGTGGTTTTTGTCTTTGGTTCTGTTTATGTGATGGATTACGTTTATTAATTTGCATATGTTGAACCAGGCTTGCATCCCAGGGATGAAGCCAACTTGATCTTGGTGGATAAGCTTTTTGATGTGCTGCTGGATTCAGTTTGTCAGTATTTTATTGAGGATTTTCACATCGATGTTCATCAGGGATATTGGTCTAAAATTCTCTTTCTTTGTTGTGTCTCTGCCAGGCTTTGGTATCAGGATGATGCTGGCCTCATAAAATGAGTTAGGGAGGATTCCCTCTGTTTCTATTGATTGGAATAGTTTCAGCTCCTTTTTGTACCTCTGGTAGAATTCGGCAGTGAATCCATCTGGTCCTGGACTTGTTTTGGTTCATAGGCTATTAATTATTGCCTCAATTTCAGAGCCTGTTATTGGTCTATTCAGAGATTCAACTTCTTCCTGGTTTAGTCTTGGGAGGGTGTATGTGTCCAGGAATTTATCCATTTCTTCTAGATTTTCTAGTTTATTTGTGTAGAGGTGTTTATAATATTCTCTGATGGTAGTTTCTATTTCTGTGAGATCAGTGGTGATATCCCCATTATCACTTTTTATTGCCTCTATTTGATTCTTCTCTCTTCTTTATTAGTCTTGCTAGTGGTCTATTAATTTTGTTGATCTTTTCAAAAAACCAGCTCCTGGATTGATTGATTTTTTTGAGGAGTTTTTTCTCTCTCTATCTCCTTCAGTTCTGCTCTGATCTTACCTATTTTTTGACTTCTGCTAGCTTTTGAATTTGTTTGCTCTTGCTTCTCTAGTTCTTTTAACTGTGATGTTAGGGTGTCAATTTTAGATCTTTCCTGCTTTCTCTTATGGGCATTTAGTCCTATAAATTTCCCTCTACACACTGCTTTAAATGTGTCCCAGACATTCTGGTACGTTGTGTCTTTTTTCTCATTGGTTTCAAAGAACATCTTTATCTCTGCCTTCATTTCATTATTTACCCAGTAGTCATTCAGGAGCAGGTTGTTCAGTTTCCATGTAGTTGTGCGGTTTTGAGTGAGTTTCTTAATCCTGAGTTCTAATTTCATTGCACTGTGGTCTGAGAGACAGTTTGTTGTGACTTCTGTTCTTTTACATTTGCTGAGGAGTGCTTTACTTCCAACTATGTGGTAAGTTTTGGAATAAGTGTGATGTGGTGCTGAGAAGAATGTATATTCTGTTGATTTGGGGTGGAGAGTTCTGTAGATGTCTATTAGGTCCACTTGGTGCAGAGCTGAGTTCAAGTCCTGGATATCCCTGTTAACCTTCTGTCTCATTGATCTGTCTAATATTAACAGTGGGGTGTTAAAGTCTGCTATTATTATTGTGTGGGCATCTAAGTCTCTTTGTAGGTCTCTAAGGACTTGCTTTATGAATCTGGGTGCTCCTGTATTGGGTGCATATATATTTAGGATAGTTAGCTCTTCTTGTTGAATTGATCCCTTTACCATTATGTAATGGCCTTCTTTGTCTCTTTGGATCTTTGTTGGTTTAAAGTCTGTTTTATCGGAAACTAGGATTGCAACCCCTGCTTTTTTTTTTTTTTTTTTTTTTTTGCTTTCTTTTTGCTTGGTAGATCTTTCTCCATCCCTTTATTTTCAGCCTATGTGTGTCTCTGCATGTGAGATGGGTCTCCAGAATACAGCACGCTGATGGGTCTTGACTCTTTATCTAATTTGTCAGTCTGTGTCTTTTAATTGGAGAATTTAGCCCATTTACATTTAAGGTTAATATTGTTATGTGTGAATTTGATCCTGTCATTATGATGTTAGCTGGTTATTTTACCCATTAGTTGATGCAGTTTCTTCCTAGCATTGATGGTCTTTACAACTGGGCTTTTTTGCAGTGGCTGGTACTGGTTGTTCCTTTCCATGTTTAGTGCTTCCTTCAGGAGCTCTTGTAAGGAGGCCTAGTGATGACAAAATCTCTCAGCATTTGCTTGTGTGTAAAGGATTTTATTTCTCCTTCACTTATGAAGCTTAGTTTGGCTGGATATGAAATTCTGGATTGAAAATAGTTTTCTTTAAGAATGTAGAATATTGTCCCCCACTCTCTTTTGGCTTGTAGGGTTGCTGCCAAGAGATCTGCTGTTAGTCTGATGGGCTTCCCTTTGTGGGTAACCTGACCTTTCTCTCTGGCTGTCTTTAACATTTTTTCCTTCATTTCAACCTTGGTGAATCTGACAATTATGTGTCTTGGGGTTGCTCTTCTCAAGAAGTATCTTTGTGATGTTCTCTGTATTTCCTGTATTTGAATATTGGCCTGCCTTGCTAGGTTGGAGAAGTTCTCCTGGATAATATCCTGAAAAGTGTTTTCCAGCATGGTTCCATTCTCCCTGTCACTTTCAGGTACACCAATCAAACATAGATTTGGTCTTTTCACATAGTCCCATATTTCTTGGAGGCTTTTTTCATTTCTTTTTACTTGTTTTTCTCTAAACTTCTCTTCTCACTTCATTTCATTAATTTGATCTCAATCACTGATACCCTTTCATCCACTTGATCAAATCAACTACTGAAGCTTATGCCTACATCACATAGTTCTCGTGCCATTGTTTTCAGCTCCATCAGGTCATTTAAGGACTTCTCCATACTGTTTATTCTAGTTAGCCATTTGTCTAATCTTTTTTCAAGGTTTTTAGCTTCCTTGCAATGGGTTCAAGCATCCTCCTTTAGCTTGGAGAAGTTTGTTATTACCGACCTTCTGAAGCTTAATTCTGTAAATTCGTCAAAGTCATTCTCCATCCAGCTTTGTTCCATTGCTGGTGAGGAGCTGCGATCCTTTGGAGGAAAAGAGGTGCTCTGGTTTTTAGAATTTTCAGCTTTTCTGCTCTGGATTCTCCCCATCTTTGTGGTTTTATCTACCTTTGGTCTTTGATGATGGTGACCTACAAATGGGGTTTCGGTGCAGATGTCCTTTTTGTTGATGTTGATGCTATTCCTTTCTGTTTGTTAGTTTTCCTTCTAACAGTCACGTCCCTCAGCTGCACGTCTGTTGGAGTATGCTGGAGGTCCACTCCAGACCCTGTTTGCCTGGGTATCATCAGCAGAGGCCACAGAACAGCAATATTGCAGGACAGCAAATATTGCTGCCTGATCCTTCCTCTGGAAGCTTTGTCTGTGAGGGGCACTTGGCTGTATGAGGTGTCAGTCAGCCCTTACTGGGAGGTGTCTCCCAGTTAGGCTATACAGGGTTCAGGGACCCACTTGAGGATGCAGTCTGTCCATTCTCAGAGCTCAAACACTGTGCTGAGAGAAGCACTGCTCTCTTCAGAGCTGTCAGACAGGGACGTTTAAGTCTGCAGAAGTTTCTGCTGTCTTTTTTTCAGCTATGCCCTGCCCCAGAGGTGGAGTCTACAGAGGCAGGTAGGCCTTGTTGAGCTGCAGTGGGCTCCACCCAGTTCGAGCTTTCCAGCTGCTTTGTTTACCTATTCAATCCTCAGCAATGGTGGCTGCCCCTCCCCCAGCCAGGCTGCCTCCTTGCAGTTTCATCTCAGACTGCTGTGCTAGCAGTGAGCAAGGCTCTGTGGGTGTGGGACCCACTGAACCAGGCACAGGATATAATCTCCTGGTGTGCCATTTGCTAAGACCATTGGAAAAGTGCAGTATTTGGGTGGCAGTGTCCAATTTTCCCGGTAGAGTCTGTCACGGCTTCCCTTGGCTAGGAAAGGGAAATCCCCCAACCCCTTGTGCTTCCCAGGTGAGGTGATGCCCCGCTCTGCTTCGGCTCGCCTCTGTGGGCTGCACCCACTGTCCAACCAGTCCCAGTGAGATGAACCAGGTACCTCAGTTGGAAATGCAGAAATCACCCATCTTCTGCAACAATCATGCCGGGAGTTGCAGACTGGAGCTGTTCCTATTCAGCCATCTTCAATGTTTTCCTGACGTTCCCTCTGTTTTAATCTTCACAACAAAAAGTCACCTGCAGCCAGGTGCGGTGGCTCACACCTGTAATCCCAGCACTTTGGCAGGCTGAGGCAGGTGGATCACGAGGTCAGGAGATCGAGACCATCCTGGCTAACACGGTGAAACTCCATCTCTACTAAAAATACAAAAAAAATTAGCTAGGCGTGCTGGCAGGCGCCTGTAGTCCCAGCTACTTGGGAGGCTGAGGCAGCAGAATGGCGTGAACCCAGGAGGCAGAGCTTGCAGTGAGCCAAGATCGTGCCACTGCTCTCCAGCCTGGGTGACAAAGCCTTGGTCTCAAAAAAAAAAAAAGTCGCCTGCAGTAAGCTGATGTCAGTCAGTTATATTTCTATTTTTCTGTCTCCCTATTCCTGTCTTATAATAAAAGTAACTTTAAAATGACTGCATTTTGTTCTTTGTTTCTGTTTTCTTCATCCCTTTCTGTGTGTAAAACCAAACCCTTCTGCACATCTCAGTGGAACACTTATTTTATGGAACGAAGTGTCGTCCTATTCTAGAATTGCAAATGAAGCCAGTTAAACCAATAAATATCTCAGTTAAGATCTTTATCTAAATTGATTGTACTTTTTTCTTTTGACATGAGCTAATTGTTTTCTGCTGAGAAGGTTTTGCAGTTTGCATTGTGGGCCATTAAAGATGCTGCCTATCTGAGCTGCTTTACCTGCCTGAATGGTAGGCTCAATGGCAACAATGACAAATCATACACATTTTTATCTTTCTTTATCAAAAGTCTTTCATTTTTCTTTTGTATCAACTACATTATCAACTCTTATAGGAAATGTTTTAGCTACATATATGAAAGCAATCAGTGACTCTGAACCCAGGACGTATTACCATTATCCAAAAGAAGGCTGTTTGCTTAAAAAGTTCCTTTGATTAAAAATGTCTTGTAGCTTGATAACATAAGCCCAAATCACCTTAATAAAATTACATTGCTCTCTTACTGATGCAGGTAGGGTACCTCAATGACTTTCCTCATTGGCCTGGCCTGTAGCTAGTTTACAATTTTACAAATGCTTTTCTAAGAACAACTGACAGGCAAACCACACATTTAAGTCCATGCTAATAACCAATTGTAAGCATCTTCCTCAACCTTATGGTCAAATTTACAAAGCAATCGTATTCTTGGCATCAGTGGGAACCAGTTGGAAAGATCTTTTTGAGGTACATCATGCTGGTTCTTTTGAGTAGGAAGAGGCTGGGTTGACCACATATATCATAGACCACCACTTCCCTCTTCTTTGGACCTGGAGATTGGCTGTGGCAGTGAGTATTCTGAGAACTGTTCCTCATGGGTTCTATGTCGTGGATAATTACTATTGCGGGCAGCAGTTTACACCCTCATTCTGGTTCACATGGGGCCCACAGAACCTACTGGATTCTCCATCAAGCCTGCACTGAGATTCTGCACAAACTCCTGTTATCATTGCAAAGAGTTTATCTCCTCTCCTTTAATCATATTCAGTATTATTTTTTAGTCCCCTTGGGCATTTGGATCATCCCTGGTGAAAACTGAGATTCTAATGAGTAGTACAATTGTCATTAAGAATTTCTTATAGGAAGTATTCGAATTTCATTACAGTATTTGGACTGAAGCAGCATTAATGTCAGATGAGTGCCCTCACCCTGTTATCCTCAGTCTGATATGTACCAGTGTGCTCTACTCTGCCCCAAAGTCCCATATGTGGATTTAGTACTACATATGGCTTTAAATACCATCTATTCACTGATGACTCCTCAGTTTATGTTTCTAGCATAGGCTTCTCTTGTGAACCCCATATTTACAAATTCATCTACCCACTTGACATCTTCAACTGCATGTCTAATAGGCATCTCAACTTAATGTGCCTAAAACAAATTTGTAATCTTTCCTGAAATATGTTCCTTTCTAAGTTCCCCCATCTCAGTAATAAATAAAATCTCTCCAGTTGTGTAGGTCAAAAGCTTGGAATCATCTTTGACGCCTCCTGCTCTCATATACCCCACATTTGATCTATCAGCAAATGCTGATGACTGTGCCCTCAAAATATATCCAGAAGTCAATGACTTCTCATCCCTTCCTTTGGAGCCAACCTAGTCCAAGTTATATTACCTTTTGCGATAGCCTCCCAATTGATATCATTGCTTCTGATTTTGCCCCACCACAAAGAGAGTCAGATCATGTCACCCCTCAGCTCAAAACCCTCCAATGTCTCCTCATCTCACTCAGTGCAAAGTTGAAGTCCTTTCACAGGCCTACAAGGCCCTACATGATTCTCAGGTACTTCACCTATTTCAAATCTCTTCTTCCTTCATGCATCTTCAGCCTCACTTATCTCACTGTTCTCCCAAAATACAGGATATAGGCCCCTCTGGGCCTTTGAACTTGTTACTCCCTCTGCTATAAATGCTTGTCCCTGAGATGGTCACATGTTTTTCTTTGTAACCTCTTTTAGGTTTTTCTTCAAATGTGCATTTCTCAGTGACCACCCTATTTAACATTACAGCTCCTGCTTGCAGCACTCTCTGCTTTTTTTTTTTTCTCCATTGCACTTATCACTATCTGACCTCGTGATTGTTTATGGTGTTACTCTCCCCACCCACCAAAATTTAAGCTTTATAAAGGAAGGAATTTTTGTTCTCCTGCTTCAAAGGTCTAACCCCAGATCAAAAGCCTGGCCTATACAGCTAATCTTCTGTATCTGTGGGTTCCACATCCATGAATTCTACCAACCATGATTAAAAATATTAAGGAAAAAGTTCAAAATAACAGTACAATAAAAATAATGTAAATATAGTATTATAATTATTTACATAGCATTTACATTGCACTAGGTATTACAAGTAATATAGAGATTATTTAAAATATACAGGAGGATGTATGAGGGTTACATGCAAATACTATGCCATTTTATATAAGGGTCTTGAGCATCTAGAAATTTTGGTATCCTGCAGTGGTTCTAGAACCAATCCCCCTCAAATACTGAGAAAAGACTGTATTAAGTACTCAAGAGATCTGCATTGCATGATTACCACAGCTGTCAGTAGTCTCTGGTGAGCATGAGTCTCCAGTGTGTTTGCTGGTGAGTAGGCTAGGGTGTGACAGGTCCTTAAGACAAGTGGAATTAAAGAACCTGACAAGAAAACATACAACTGCTCAGAATTCTCCTCCTGGAATGCCTGGGAGGTGAAGGAGACCAGAATGGCAGCCTGCCTGATGGGGTGACATCTCTCCACTCCCACAAGCAGCCTCAGGAACACAGGGCTGGGTAGGCCTCCTTATCTGGCCATCACATGGGGTATGAAGTAATACTCACTCACAAGAGTTCTTTTCATTGTACCCAGATCCTGACACTTCCTGGGCCTCATGCGAATCCCCAGGACCCCACCCCCTCTCCTTTAGACCCTTGGGCACAAAAAGTTCTCCCGTTTCTCCGAAAACAGAATTCCACTACCTTTGAGAAAGCTCCCAGAACTTAGAAAAGCCAGTTTATCCTACATGGAGGGTAAAAGGCTCTGGAATTAAGAAACTCTAAAGAACAAAGACCTTCTTTTATCCTATCTCAATACCTGTACTGTGTGTGTGTGTGCGTGCGTGTATGTGCGCACATGGGCGCAAATGCCTACCATTAGTCTCTTACAGTCACCAGCCCCTCCCTTCTGTAGCAGGTCACCACCTTGCTAATCCTGTTATTTGAATACTGGAGGAAATTGAAACAGTGCTAGAAGTCAAAATAAAATCATTGAATCCAGTTTTTAAATAAATAATAATGAGGGAAGATTTGTTTTTGACCAAGGGCCTATGAGATGATCAGGAAGCCATGTTTAATCAATCAAATTATATAGCTATATCACAGGAGTATATGGAGGCTTATGTGACAAATCTAGCAGGTTGGCTTCTTTTTTAAATATTTTAAAATTATTTTAACTGGCATTTTAAATTTTAAATTGGCATTGTAAATTTAAATTTTAAATTTTAAAATAAAAATTTTAATTTTTTCTTAGCAGGGATGGGGCCTTACTTTGTTACCCAGGCTGGTCTTGAACTCCTGGGCTCAAGTGATCCTCCTGCCTCAGCCTCCCAAAGGACTGGGGTTACTGGTATGAGCCACTCCTTCCAGCCTACATGTTGGTTTCTTAAACACAAAAGTTAGTTGAAGGCTACAAGATAAATGAGCTTTTTACTAACTAAAGAATCAATAATTTCTACTTTTATTTTTTGAGACAGAGTCTTGCTCTGTCACCCAAGCTGGAATACAGTGGCACGATCTCTGCTCACTGCAACCTCTGCCTCCCGGGTTCAAGTGATTCTTCTGCCTCAGCCTCCTGAGTAGCTGCAATTACAGGCGCATGCCACCATGCTGGGCTAATTTTTGTATTTTTAGTAGAGATGGGGTTTCACCATGTTGGTCAGGCTGGTCTCGAACTCCTGACCTCATGATCCACCCACCTTGGCCTCCCAAAGTGCTGGGATTACAGGTGTGAGCTACCATGCCCAGCCAATAATTTCTACTTTAAAAATATATATGCTAATTAAAATGCTCATTTTACTAAAATATATTTTTAATTGGCATTTCTTCTGAGAGAAATATGGAGACAGAAGTGCCATAAAGGGCAAAATGAATGGACTGAATTGCCTCAATCAGTAAAGGTGAAACTTGGCCCACCAAAAAACAAGGTCATCACCATTTACAGGTGCCTAATACAACTTAATTAAAGGTAATAAAACAAACTAATAGTTACGATAAGTAATAAAGCCGGAAAGTAAGCCAAGGTCAAGTACATGGAAACAAATGGTTCCAAGAAAAGCAATTGCCTGAGGAGTGGTAAAAAACAAGGTAACAGAGACTCACCTACATAATGGTGATATATTAGCTAGAAAATGATAATCTTTGCTATTCAAATGTGGCTGGAAAAGAAATTTGAAATCACTGTCATGCATATTTCTGTTGCAATCTTTGATCTGCAATAATTCAAAGGAAGGAAAGAAAGGTATAAACCCATACAAATTTAAATATAGTTTTTTAAGGAACTGTATTTCCTTTGAATTATATTTAATAGTTCCTGAAGGAAGGAAAGGTGTAAATTTAAGCATATTCAAATTTAAATACATAAAACATAAGTTAAAACTAACATTGAGGGGTATTTATGCCACACATATCCATTATGCTATTAATATTTCATCATCAACAAACCCTGCTGAGATGGGCATTATCTTATCCATTTTACTACTAATAAAATTGCCTCACAGAGAGATCTTGTAACAGATTCAAGTTACAAAACCAGCAATCACTAGTATGGGATTTGAACCCAGGTCTGTATAACTCCAAAACCCTTGTTTATTCTACTTAATGACCCAGCCTCTTTTCTGATCCTAATTAAACAAGTCCTGATAAGTGAAATGCAGGCAATGATTGTGGAAGCCAGAATGCAGGGTAGAACAGGACTGAACTTTGGGCTGCAGAGCCAAAAGCCAAAGATATTTAATGACAAAAACAACAATAATTATATATATATACATATATACACATATATATACATGTATATATACATATTTTATATATGTATATATATGTGTGTGTGTGTATATATATATACACACATACAGCATATGTATATACATACAGTGGCTGGTAGCCACTGAACCAGAATACAAAGCCAAGAAGACAGTCCAAAAATCTGTCAAAAAGATGTTAACCAGTGTTCCAAGAGGAAGTGGGCCGTCACTGGACACTCTCCCTTTCAAAAAAAAACCCCTGAAAAAAAGGGTGGGGTTTTTAACACCAAGAGAAATAGAGTGGTATAAACGGAAAAGCCAATCACCTGTAAGTGGGTGAAATTTGACAGTGACGAAAGCTATTATATAAATACCCAAGGGAAGTCAGGATATGGGATAAATGGGGCATTTATATCTCTTTCATGAGATAATAGTAATGATAATAATATCAACAACCATAGGAGCAACAGAGCTAACACTTATTGAAACTTCTCAACAACTATGTTAAGCACTTTGCAAACATTACATAATTTGATCACAATATCCCCCCAAGGTATATGTTCTTAAGGAGGCCTGCAGAGGAATTTGGCCCCAGAACTCTCAACTGCTACATTATAGATTCCAATTTCCTAAAGAAATAACCTACCCTCATTAGGGAAATTTTCTGCTTTTAACATAATTTTTGTCTCCTCCCCTCCCCTCCCCCACTACCCCCCTCACTTCCTCTCCCCTCCCCTACACTTCCCTTCCCATCTTTTTAAAGAGACGGTCTCACTCTGTTGCCCAGGCTGGAGTGCAGTGGTGTGGTCTGGCTAATTTTTTGATTTTTAACTTTTTTATAGAGAAAGACCTCACTATGTTACCCAGACTGGTCTCAAACTCCTGGCCCCAAACAGTCCTCTCACCTTGGCCTCCCAAAGGGATGGGGTTACAGGTATGAGCCACTGTACACTATACCTGGCCTGTATTTCTTTTCTTTTCTTTCTTTTTGAGACAGTCTTGCTGTGTCACCCAGGCTGGCGTGCAATGGCATGATCTCGGCTCACTGCAACCTCCGCCTCCCGGGTTCAAGCGACTCTCCTGCCTCAGCCTATCAAGTAGCTGGGATTACAGGCACCTGCCACCATGCCTGGCTAATTTTTGTATTTTTTAGTAAAGATGGGGTTTCACCTTGTTGGTCAGGCTCGTCTCGCATGCCTGAACTCAGGTGATCCACCCGCCTAGGCCTCCCAAAGTGCTGGGATTATACGCGTGAGCCACCGCGCCTGGCCACCTGGCCTCTATAATACTCTAGTCTTATTATGCAAAGATTTATTATTTCAAAATTCTTTTCTTTCCCTCAACTATTTAAAAGTATAAGAACTGGCTGGACATGGTGACTCTCTCCTCCTCTCTCATATTTTCCCACTTCTTCCCCCACAAAGGGAAAACCCTATCAGATAACACTGCCTCCAGGTTTAAACAGGTACCAAGGAGATACAAGTGATCATCTTGGCAAGCTTAAAATTTATGTCAACCAAATATAATGGGAAAACATAAATTAAGGACACATAAAAGCTAAACTATTTATAAATGACATTGAATGAATTGAAATCATGAAATGCTCAGGAAAATAAAATATAAGGTAATATTAAAATTTACATTTTCATTGATATAAAATTCATTTTAAAGTTTGTGTGTATGTGATTTAGTTCTATATTTATTGAAAATGAAGGATGATTATGATATATTTAGAGAAAAAGACTGCAAAAGAATATGACCATATGATTCTATTTTTGTTTTAAACATGAGTGTGCATTTGTTCAAAGAATAAAAATGTCTTAAAAGGTAACAACAAAAATATGTATAACATAGTAGTTATCTCTGAGCGACAGGATTATAAATAAAGATTTTTTTCTAACTTTTCCAGAGTAAACATAAATTGTTTTTGTAAATTTTAATACTTAATGAAACAAATCATGGCCTGGCACTCAAGAAACATTTTACTCTGAGATAGGGAGCAGGATTTATTTATTCGGGGGCCAGAGAGGGGAGTGAGTAACAATACTTAACGGTTATATTTTGCTGGTTACCAAGTTTTGTTTTTCTGTTTGTTTGTTTTTGCGATCTTTTTGAAATGGAGTCTCGCTCTGTTGTCCAGGCTGGAGTGCAGTGGCACGACCTCAGCTCACTGCAATATCTGCCTCCCAGGTTCAAGCAATTCTCATGCCTCAGCCTCCCAAGTAGGTGGAATTACAGGTGTGTGCCACCATGCCTGGCTAATTTTTGTATTTCTAGTAGAGATGGAGTTTCACCATGTTAGCCAGGCTGCTTTTGAACTCCTGACCTCAAGTGACCCACCTATCTTGGCCTCCCAAAGTGCTAGGATTACAGGTGTGAGCCACCGAGCTCAGTCAGCCAGTGACCAAATTTTTAAAGAGATCCTCACTAAGCATCAGAAAATTCTGGATCCATTTTCTGGCTCTGCCATGGGCCATCTGGGCATGTTGGACAAGTCACGCTGAGACACAGTTTACCTATCTAAAATGTGAAGGTGTAAATGTACTTAATCTAGAATTTCTTTCCCAGAACTAATATTCATTGACTTCACATTCCTAGTTCTGTGGTAACCAGTAACATGGTGATATGGTTTGGCTGTGTCTCAGATGGAGATAAGGAACTTGTGAACCTCTGCCTAGATTTCAGAAGATATATGGAAATGCCTGGATGCCCAGGCAAAAGTTTTCTGCAAAGGCGGGGCCCTCATGGAGAACCTCTGCTAGGGCAGTGCAGAAGAGAAATGTGGGGTTGGAGCCCCCACACAGAGTCCCTACTGGGGAACTGCCTAGTGGAGCAATGAGAAGAGGACCATTGTCTTCCAGACCCCAGAATGGTAGATCTACCCAACAGCTTGCACTGTGCACCTGGAAAAGCCACAGAAACTCAATGCCAGACCGTGAAAGCAGCCAGGAGGGAGGCTGTACCCTGCAAAGCCACAGGAGTGGAGCTGCCCAAGACCATGGGAACCTACCTTTTGCATCAGCATGACCTGGATGTGAGAGATGAAGTCAAAGGAGATCATTTTGGGGCTTTAAAATTTGACTGCCCTACTGGATTTCAGACTTGCGTGGGCCCTGTAACCACTTTGTTTTGGCCAATATCTCCCAGTTGGAATGGCTGTATTTACTCAATACCTGTACCTCCACTGCATCTAGGAAGTAACTAGTTTGCTTTTGATTTTACAGGCTTACAAGCAGAAGGGACTTGCCTTATCTCAGATGAGACTTTGGACTGTGGACTTTTGGGTCAATGCTGAAACAAGCTAAGACTTTGGGGGACTGTTGGAAGGCATGATTGGTGTTGAAATGTGAGGACATGAGATTTGGAGGGGCCAGGGGCAGAATGACATGGTTTGGCTGTGTCCCCACCCAAATCTCAACTTGAATTGTACCTCCCAGAATTCCTGTGTGTTGTGGGAGGGACCCAAAAGGAGGTAGTTGAATCACAGAGGCCAGTCTTTCCCGTGCTATTCTCGTGATACTGAATAAGTCTCATGAGATCTAATGGGTTTATCAGAGGCTTCCGCTTTTGACTCTTCCTCATTTTCTCTTGCTGCTGCCATGTAAGAAGTGCCTTCCTCCTCCCGCCATGATTTTGAGGCCTCCCTAGCCATGTGGAACTGTAAGTCCACCTAAATTTCTTTTTCTTCCCAGTCTCAGGGAAGCAGTGTGAAAATGGACTAATACACATGGGTAGATCTTTTCTTTTCCTTCCCAGGTATTAATTAATTTATTAATTAGTTTATTCCTCCATCCATGCATTCATACATCTATCTCTTTGATCGAATAATATTTATTGGCAAGCTATTACGTGTCTAGAACTTAGCTGAAGCATTTCCTGTGATTTTTTGGTTGAAGCTTGTTTTCTCTGTATATTTCTTAGGGAATAATATTCATTCAGTTCTTGTATGCTCACAATTGCTTTATTTTTCCGTAGCTTTTATATTTTAACGTAAGTTTGGGTATGCATAAAAATTTCTTTTTTTTTTTTTTTTTGAGACAGAGTCTCGCACTGTTGCCTGGTCTGGAGTGCAATGGCACGATCTCAGCTTACTGCAACCTCCGCCTCCCGGGTTCATGCTATTCTCCTGCCTCAGCCTCCCTAGTAGCTGGGATTACAGGCACGCACCACCACACCTGGCTAATTTTTGTATTTTTAGTAGAGATGGGTTTTCACTATGTTGGCCAGACTGATCTCAAACTCCTGACCTCGTGATCTGCCCTCCCTTGGCCTCCCAAAGTGTTGGGATTACAGGCATGAGCCACTGCACCCAGCCTACTTTTTTCTTTTTAATAAATATATTGCTCCATGGACTTATGAAATCTGATGTAAATATGATTTTATTTATGATTTTATTTTTGATGACTTGGTCTTTATGCCTGAATGTTCAAAGAGTTTTTTTATTTTCCAGTTATACTGGAATATGTCTTGGTATTGGCCATTCTGGCTCCACTTTTCCAAGGTTAATGGTGTGCTCTTTCAAAATAGGTGTTCAGTTTTTTTATAATTTTAAGAACGTCTTGTTGTATTATGGATTTTTGTATTTCCTTTGTTCCGTTGCTTTCATTTTCCTTCCAACATAAGTTACACTTATGTTGGATTTTCGTTTCCTGTCTTCTATATTTATCATTTTTCTCTCGGATCCTTTCTATTTCTTTCTTTCTGTTTTCTTTTCCTCCTTTGTAAATTGTATTTCCCAAGTCTTGTTTCTGAAAATAGTGAACTAGGTTGTTTTAGAACAATTTGAAGGTATTGAAAAACCACTCATGTAGTGAGGACTTATGGGGCCAGGATCCAGAAGAAAAGGGAACCCCAGAGAGCTGAGCCTGACATGTGCCATTGCTTTTAGTCTTGAGGCATTTGCCTATTTGAGAACAATGGCTGAAAGGATGAGAATTTGAACAAAACTTTCAATAGACTCAAGGAGTTGAGGGGAAAATTGGAGTTCTGAGCTGCACAAGGAGGATGAGATCTAAAATAAAACAAAAACCGAAACACGAAAACACTAGGCTTTCAATTGGGACCACAAGAGACCACATTTTATGAAAAAGGATAAATTGGAAATGGACCAGTGACTCAACTCCAGTTCTGAATTATATCAGTCCCCAATTCATGTTTAGCCATCTCGTCTCTGAGTTTCCTGGTTCTAATATATGCTGTTACTTTATAGTTTCCATTATTTTCTTAATTTGCTTCCATTAATTTTGTTATATTATTTAGTTTTCATTTTTTTAAATTATGTCTTTTCTGGTACATATTAACTACCCATTTTTTCATTATTTAGTTTATTTTCTTTATAATAGTGTACTTGTTTTGTGTTCGACCATCTCCTTTCTGTTGCTTTTGTATAAACAAAATCAGGTGTTCTGTACTTTTAGGAAATGCCTCCCTTGAAGGGAAATGGGATATGCTATGATAGCCTTTATAGTTTCAGTGCTTAAGAGATTCCTCCCCTATTATTATCACATAGCAGACAGATTAAGATACACATGTAGACGTGGATGGCCTTTGTGTCGTCACACCCACTTCCAGAGATGTGCCTTCTCTGGAGACCCACCTGACCTCCCAGTGTTTGATCTTTTTCTCTCAACAAACAACAAAGGCATTGTAAGGTCGTCAAAATATTGGATTTACTCTCAGAGTTTCTATCCTGCTCAATTTGAATTTTCTTCACGGAAGTGTTTTCCTCAGGAAAGATATTTTATTGGCTATTTCTGAGTTATTTGAGTACATAAGCCACCCAGTACCTTCTGATCTTCCCATTTTCTCTTAGTGTGTGGCTGAGATATTTTTATTCTACTCAGCCATAAATTGGAGTCAGAAGCCTTCTCCTTTTTACTGTTATTTTCACAATATTTACTTGCTGAGAATCCCACTCAAGGTAAGACCTTCTCTTTTTGAGTATTTGTGGACAATTTCTGTATTGCAGTGTTCGCAGAACCTTCTAAACTCTTGTTCTCTCCTGTCCACTGCCTCTGCACAGCTGCTAAAACTAGGCATGCTCTGTATGAGTTCTACTGCTGTTGTCTGTGGTTTGGGTGGGGCAAAACCCACTGGCATTCTGAGGCTCATGGGGATGTTTTTTCAGTTGGCTTTCTGGAGGATGTGGTGAGTAGAACTTATCTTTTGCTATTCTAGTTGGTTCAGTATGCTTTTAGGAATGGATTTGGGGAAATTAAGAAACTGTACACCATAACCTTGCCCTGACTTGAAGTCAAGATGGGTTTATTTTTAAATCATGAATCTATCAATCAAGGCACTGATTCCGTGTTGCTCTACTGTCTTGACTGGCTTCTAAGATTATATTTATTTCAATATAGTTTCTGTTCAACTTAGTTAGGTGTCTATTAGCTTCCCTAAAGATACTCTTTTGAAGTATAATCAACCTCTATCTCACAGTTGCCAACATTCTTATATTGCTTTCATTTTCTTTACCACCAAACTTCAAATTTCAGTTTCTTCATTAGCTAGCCTCAGTAAGGGTATGTACATGTACATTCTGAACAATTCCTTCAATCAATGAGATCTCTTTTCCTTTAAAATCAGACTTTATTTGAGAACTGTCTTTTTGCTAAAATTGCTGTATTTTCCTCCCAGGCATGTTTCAAATTGTTCTTTATATTTCAGGAACCTCAGTCAGAATGCCTCCTTTAATGTTCAGATAACTTGCTAAATCAAAAGTAGTTTCCTCAAGTTGCTGTTGCATTAACTTAGCAGTACATTCCTTTCACATGAAAATTGGTGTATTCAAGCCTGTTACCCTCACATGACCACAGCTGAAATATTTCTCTGATGAATACAGTAAAATTACTATATCCCTCTGAAGTTTTGTAGAGTCCACTCTAGTCTTTAGAACCTGTTAGAATGTCCCTTCCTTTCTGCTAAAGAAAAGAAATTAAATGGGAGGTTAGGGTGGGGTTAGGAAGAGTGGTCTCTAGTCTCCAGTGATCTACTGCAGGGCTCTATACCTGACTCTGTTCTGTCTAATTCAATCAGCATTCCAGTATTCCATTAACACCTCCTATGTGCTGAGTTTTATGTTGAATAGAAAGGAAAAATAAGTCTCCAAGAAGGCATTGGAGTTTGATGTGGACTCAAATTCTGATTCTACTGTTCACTAGCACGTGGCCCGAGTCAGCTGTTTGATCTCTCTGAGTCTTAATTTCCATATCTGAGTATAACGATTCCTATATAACATAGCTATTGTAAACACTTAGTATGTTTTTTCATTATATTTTACATATTATATACACATACATTTTTATATATTTATATATTATATAAACATTTGTATAAATGTACAGGTATATACACATGTATCTATTTATATATGTATGCATGTATATGTATATATACATATATATTTCATCTATAATTTTATAAAAGCTGTATCATGTAGGACTCATATACGCATATATGACATGTAATAGGTGGTCAAATAAGTGTTTGTTCCTTTTGGATAATGTTATGACCTACTTGTAATTAGATAACATTTCTTTCCCTTTTTGCCTACCCAAACACACAAAATGGCTGTTAGACGGCCTATTGATTTTCTTAATGAATTAAAATTAACTGTGTTTTAAGGCATTCTATCTCAAACTGTGTGACATTTGTGAAATATATTGAGACAACGAGCAGGGTTCTTGATCTGAGGGCGGTCATAAACTATTAAGGGGTTCAGGGAGTTTTTGAATCTTCTGAAATTATATGCAAATAGGGCATGTTTGTGACTTATGCATTTTTGGAGTGAAGCAATTCATTGCTATCACCAGATTTTTAATGGGACTTAGAAACAGGAAAAAAAAGTCAAGAATCATGAAGGTGTTATAAAATCACAGCTGGGACTCAAATGATTGTATGCTTTTGGAGGTCAGAAACTGTCTATGTAATTTTCTTTTTACAATGCTTGGCACAGAGCCAGAAAGAGTTAAGTACTTAATTTTTATTTTTGAACGACTGTAATATTGACCACCTTTTCTCTACTAGGAGGGTCAGATATAAAAAGTAGAACTAAAAAATAAAAAGGAAGAGATTGGAAAGACGCGGGACAAATACCAAGAGCAGTAAAAGACTAGGAAGCAAAGAAAAAGAAGGAAAGAAAGAAAACAGGAAGAGGAGGGGGAGGAGGAAATAGAGTGGAACAGAAATAGAAATGCAAAGCGGAAGAGAAAGAGAAAGGAAAGAAAGTGGTGTGTTGGACTGCGCTGATTTGTTTCCTTCCTTCTTGTCCCCTTTCCCCAATAATCTCTTCAAGGCAAAAGGTTCCCCAGAGGCTCAATAGAAACAGGACTCTTACAGACTAAATGAAGGTGTATGAATTCTAATTTTCGCTTAATTTGATAGTAATGCCTTTGGAAAGTCACTATTTTTACACGTAGATTTTCTTTATCTGCAATCTTTAGATAATGTTAGCAAAGTTAAAAAAATTCTCTGTCTCCATGTAAGCTATATTCAAAAAATTCATTTTAATGTGATTCAATTCAAAGAGGGCATTTTCCTATAGAAACACTGTTACACAGAGTATCACTACAGTTCATAAAAACATACTTAACATGTAATGGAAGAAAAGGGAACTGGCCTTTCAGCTATCAGCTCCGAGCTTGGTAAACTGGAGCACAGCATCTCTTTTCATTTCCTTTCTCACATCCTAGGGAGCTTTGCACCAATCCATGTTCATAAATTGAGGGATATGTCTGCACTTCAAAGATCAATGGCAGCAACACTGTGAACGGCTGTTCATACATAAGTAAAACTAGTTAAATTTCCTGATTCTTACTCTTTCCCTCAGCTCTTTCCTGCCCCACATGTGTGTCCTTCTTGTCCCTAGTACCTTTCCACATTTTATATTGGGTACACGTTCCAATAGCCTCATGGAACTAGAGATCTGTTTCTTCTCAACTCTGGAAAATTCTTTCTATTCCATTTCTGCATATGACCTTTACCTTCCATCTAGATCTTTTTGGTCTTCAACTGTATAGAGTGTTATTTCTCTCTTGAACCTCCACCTTCTACCTCCAACCCCTAATCCCTGCCATTTGACTAATCAGGTATATCCTTGACAAAAGTCTGATGTACAAGGGGACAGATAATGTTACCTTGATTGACAGTGTTCTAATACATATATTAAGCAGTTGATGTAGAACAGGCGGGAAGACAAAATGTTACCCTGTTTCTCATGAGAAAGGAGGCTACACTGCTCTTCTTAGGAAGTAGGAAGATAGATGCAGAGACAGATATTTAGAAGGGGAGGAAAATAAAAATTGTCTATGTGTCTGCTAACCTAAATCCATTCAGTAAAAGAGAAGTCAAGTTCAGTTCAAGACAGAAGTAAGGTTGGTTCCAAAGGATGGACACATACATGCAACTCATTCCTGGGTACACAAAAGATGAAATAGAGGGCGTGTGTCGAAGTACATGTCCAAAGGTATGAAGTAGCTGCAGGAATTTTATCAGAGAAACCAGTCCCCAGGACTAATGTTAACAGATGACAGAGGGAAAGCTGTCTGAATTATTTGCCAGTAGACTACTGGTCAAGAGGACTTGGAACTATAGCTGAAAAAAACCTTAGAACTATACACACAAACACAGTACTAATCAGCAGAAGTAATGAGTATTGAGAGAAAACAATGAGCCATAATTTACAATCAACTTAAATAGAATTTATGCAACTGAAATCTAAGACAGAATAATAGGCAGTAACTTCCAGTTTATAATAATGACTACTTGTGTAGTCATTACTACACAAAATTACTGACTACTTGTGTACTGACATGTATTTTGCACAATGATATGACAGACTAAGACAAACTGAATAGTTTGCAAGTAAACTACTTGTCAAGAGGACTTGGAACCATAGCTCTATTGACATGTAACCATCCTTACCAAAGACAGACTCAAATTCTCAGAAACGTTTGCTTCTATTTTGGGGAGATCATCCAAATCTATAAACTTGTGAGGCTTTAACAGTGGGAAAAAAAACCTTACAACTCACTTAGTCTAACTTCTTTACTTTAAAGGTAATTGCCCCTTGGATGAAAATCACTAACATTTTAGTATAAACATATTTACAGTGAATAACTTTACATTTGCTAGCCAAAATTTGTTGCCAAGGGACTAAAAAATGTGGCAATAAATGAAGTACTTGTTAAAAAGATACTTAGTTTTAAAATTTTTGTCAGTCCACTTTTTATTATAAGAGTTGCTGATAAAAATAACTACCATTTATTGAATACTTACTACATGTTAGACCCTTTGCAAACATCCTCCCCTTTAACCAGCACAACCACTAGAAAAGACAGGCATCATCATCTTCCTTTTACAAAGTTGAGGACCATGAGGCTCAGAAAATAGTAGATAGTAGTTAGTAAATAGTAGAGCCAGGATTAAAATACATGTTTTCTAATACTTCATACTCTATCAGATTGTGTCACAATGGTATTAAAAAAATTAGAAATATAGGAAAACATGAATACTTTCCATATTTTCTATGGTAGGTGCTATTTCAAGTATCCTTAAAATATGTGTGCAAGTGCAGAAGATTCTATTGAAGTTTACCTTAAGGCAAAGACAGTCATAAAGAGGTCAGAAAGAGGGCTGACTTACTGAAAGTACTTCAAAATTCTACTCTCTCATTAAATGTGAACAGTTCAAAAACTTTAGCAATTGTCATTGATCAGCATGGTGAAATGATTATGGCCTCATTTGTGAACAGGCCTGATAGGTTGCACTGGATTTATCTTTCTTCATTTCTTTTTTTTTTTCTTTTTTTTTATTAGCTATTTTTCTTTTTTTAAATTTTATTTTATTATTATTATTCTTTAAGTTTTAGGGTACATGTGCACAATGTGCAGGTTAGTTACATATGTATACATGTGCCATGCTGGTGTGCTGCACCCATTAACTTGTCATGTAGCATTAGGTATATCTCCTAATGCTATCCCTCCCCCCTCCCCCCACCCCACAACAGTCCCCAGAGTGTGATGTTCCCTTTCCTGTGTCCATGTGTTCTCATTGTTCAATTCCCATCTATGAGTGAGAACATGTGGTGTTTGGTTTTTTGTCCTTGCGATAGTTTACTGAGAATGATGATTTCCAATTTCATCCATGTCCCTACAAAGGACATGAACTCATCATTTTTTATGGCTGCATGGTATTCCATGGTGTATATGTGCCACATTTTCTTAATCCAGTCTATCATTGTTGGACATTTGGGTTGGTTCCAAGTCTTTGCTATTGTGAATAGTGCCACAATAAACATACATGTGCATGTGTCTTTATAGCAGCATGATTTATAGTCTTTTGGGTATATACCCAGTAATGGGATGGCTGGGTCAAATGGTATTTCTAGTTCTAGATCCCTGAGGAATCGCCACACTGACTTCCACAATGGTTGAACTAGTTTACAGTCCCACCAACAGTGTAAAAGTGTTCCTATTTCTCCACATCCTCTCCGGAACCTGTTGTTTCCTGACTTTTTAATGATTGCCATTCTAACTGGTGTGAGATGGTATCTCATTGTGGTTTTGATTTGCATTTCTCTGATGGCCAGCGATGGTGAGCATTTTTTCATGTGTTTTTTGGCTGCATAAATGTCTTCTTTTGAGAAGTGTCTGTTCATGTCCTTCGCCCACTTTTTGATGGGGTTGTTTGTTTTTTCTTGTAAATTTGTTTGAGTTCATTGCAGATTCTGGATATTAGCCCTTTGTCAGATGAGTAGGTTGTGAAAATTTTCTCCCATTCTGTAGGTTGCCTGTTCACTCTGATGATAGTTTCTTTTGCTGTGCAGAAGCTCTTTAGTTTAATTAGATCCCATTTGTCAATTTTGGCTTCTGTTGCCATTGCTTTTGGTGTTTTAGACATGAAGTCCTTGCCCGTTCCTATGTCCTGAATGGTAATGCCTAGCTTTTCTTCTAGGGTTTTTATGGTTTTAGGTCTAACGTTTAAGTCTTTAATCCATCTTGAATTAATTTTTGTATAAAGTATTGATGGGATGTATCTCAAAATAATAAGAGCTATCTATGACAAACCCACAGCCAATATCATACTCAATGGGCAAAAACTGGAAGCATTCCCTTTGAAAACTGGCACAAGACAGGGATGCCCTCTCTCACCACTCCTATTCAACATATTGTTGGAAGTTCTGGCCAGGGCAATTAGGCAGGAGAAGGAAATAAAGGGTATTCAATTAGGAAAAGGGGAAGTCAAATTGTTCCTGTTTGCAGATGACATGATTGTATATCTAGAAAACCCCATTGTCTCAGCCCAAAATCTCCTTAAGCTGATAAGCAACTTCAGCAAAGTCTCAGGATACAAAATCCATGTACAAAAATCACAAGCATTCTTATACACCAATAACAGACAAACAGAGAGCCAAACCATGAGTGAACTCTCATTCACAATTGCTTCAAAGAGAATAAAATACCTAGGAATCCAACTTACAAGGGACGTGAAGGACCTCCTCAAGGAGAACTACAAACCACTGCTCAAGGAAATAAAAGAGGATACAAACAAATGGAAGAACATTCCATGCTCATGGGTAGGAAGAATCAATATCGTGAAAATGGCCATACTGCCCAAGGTAATTTATAGATTCAATGCCATCCCCATCAAGCTACCAATGACTTTCTTCACAGAATTGGAAAAAACTACTTTAAAGTTCATATGGAACCAAAAAAGAGCCCGCATCGCCAAGTCAATCCTAAGCCAAAAGAACTAAGCTGGAGGCATCATGCTACCTGACTTCAAACTATACTACAAGGCTACAGTGACCAAAACAGCATGGTACTGGTACCAGAACAGAGATATAGATCAATGGAACAGAACAGAGCCCTCAGAAATAACACCGTATATCTACAACTATCTGATCTTTGACAAACCTGAGAAAAACAAGCAATGGGGAAAGGATTCCCTATTTAATAAATGGTGCTGGGGAAACTGGCTAGCCATATGTAGAAAGCTGAAACTGGATCCCTTCCTTACACCTTTCTTCATTTCTCATGTGGAACATTAATGTTAACGGGTCTATGATGTATGAAGAGCTAACTCTAAGTAAGCAGAAGTAAGTCAAATTCTATAACCTATTGATCTGAGATACCTAAAAAGGAGCTTGGATTTCAGGAGGATTGGGATACAGCTCTCCTCTTGCTTTACATTTTGCCATAGGCTGGGTTTTCCAGAAAACAGACTCTGAAATGGAGATCAGCATGTAGAAAGTTTATTAGGGAAGACTTTTAAGATCAGCACCTGTGCATGGAAAGAGACAGAAGCAGGATTGGACAGTGGGAAAAGTTGAGCTGTGATATAGTCTTAAAGTCCTCAGTCAACCCGACGAGGAACTCTGAAGGTGGAATGGCCCTAAAGAGTATCACAGGTCAGGGAAGGAAAGCTCTATTTTTAATACCCCTATGTTGATCAGTCATTGGATGTGGGTGCCTGAGGGGGCATGGCTTTAAGTTGTTTGCACCTGAGGCAGTTCCCTGAGAGGGCTGTAAGCTGAAGGTCATCTGCTGGCAGCACTCCCAATAGTTGTGGAAATAAATCTTTCTGTCCTGAAGGAGGAACAGGGCAAACCATTACAGTGTTCACCTTGGGTTTGCTGCCTTTGATTGCATGTAAATATTATTTTGTATTATTTAAGATGTGTAGGGTGAGTAAAATGCCCTAGAAACCCTAGGAAAGATTAACCTTGCCTGTCAACTTTATTCATTTATGTGTTTCTTTTAGATTTGAAAGCCTCAGAGAAGGACCAAACAGTGCCTGAGAAGTTTGAATTTAGAATAAAAGGTTGGTCTGGCATTTTTATGTGAACAGAACTAGAAACCACAGTAGCCAGGAAGAGAAGATGGCCAGATAACTGAAAGACAGAAGGCAGGTTAGGAAGGAGCTCAGGCCAGGTTGTGCCCACCCATCTGTGTTAGAAGATGGTGATCCTTGTGCAAGCAGATATGGAACTAAATAAAGCCCCTTTACTCACTGTGGTGGGATTATGTGGAATAAAGCACGCATCTAGGAGCCTTGACTATTTTTCCATTGCTTCCTTTTACATAATTATACCCATTTAATTTATCCTTTAATTTTTGTGAATGCATCACTCTATTTCAGTTACGCTAAGGGAATAAGAAAAAAATTGTGTCCATATTTGGATTAAAGAGAAAAGACAAACATCATATCCATGGGGTGCAGATGAGACAGGTGTAGGAGAAATCAAAGTGAGAAAGATTAAGAGGACGTTTCAGTGTAGGAAGCTCTAGATGCAAGAATTCAAAGCTTTCAAGACAGGAAGAAAGAGTCCAGAAAGGCATGTACTGCTATATCTTTTCTCATTTCCTTCTCCGATATGTTCCCTTTCAGGAGAAAAAAAAATGAATAGTTGTAAGCACCAATTTATGATCACATGGTACCAGTTGAGCATCTGTAATCCAAAAACCCAAAATCTGAAATGGTCTAAAATCCAAAGCTTTTTGAGCATCAACATGATGCTACGAGTGGAAAATTCCACACCTAATGTTATGTGATGAGTCACAGTCAAAATAGAAAAACTCATTTCATGCACAAAATTTTTGAAAATATTGTATAAAATTACCATCAGGTTATGTGTATAAGGTGCATATGAAACATACATTTCATGTTTAGACTTGGGTCCCATCCCAGAGATATTTCATTATGTATATGCAAATATTCCAAAAGTTCAAAAACTCTGAAGTCCAAAATACTTCTGGTCCCAGGCACTTGAGATAAGGGACACCTGTACCAGGCGTGTTCACGTTCTCTCATTTACTGATAACAACCATGTGAAAAAAACGTATATTACTGCCATTTTATCATGAGAAAAACCAAGACTCAGGGAGAATAATTAGGTTTCCTAAGCCCACACAATAAGTGATGGAACTGGGAAGAGAGTGTAGCACAGGTTTAGGGTGAGAAACAATTGGATTAAATGTCCTTCAGTATTTGAATGAATACAAAAATTGTGGTATATTCTTATAATAGAATATTACTGAACAATAAAAAGTAATAAACTATTGATAAACATAACAATATGGTTTAATTTCAAAGTAACAATGCCAGTGAATAAAACCAGATATGAAAAAGCACATAATGTATGATATCATTTTTATAACTCTAGAAAATGCAAACTAATCTCTATTGACAGAAAGCAGATCAGTGGTTGCTTGGAGATGGGGCAGGGTGGGAAGTGGCAGGAGGAAACTTTTGGAGGTGATAGATACATTCATTATCTTGACTGCGGTGATAGTTTCATGGGTGTATACATATGTCACAACATCAAATTATGCACTTTATGTATACTTATTGAATGTCAATTATACCTCAATAAAGCAGTTAAAAACAACCGGGTTGAAATCCGTGTTATACTATTTACAAATTGCTTAATCTCTAAGACTACATTTTTTAAAAATCAGTTAAATGGAGTTGCTAATGCCTACCACAGAGGGTTGGTGTAAACATTAAATCAGTAAGGCAAGTGCTTAGCACACTGTGTAATACAATAGTAAGCATGCCGCAGTAGTTATACAAGGAGTCCTAGACTGAGTTCTTCCTTCTTAGAGCTTTCTCCACTTTAACTAATCATGTTAGTCCTTTTTATTTACAGCTGGAATTCAAACACATCAATCTTACTTCAAAGACCAAGATCTTTCCACTAAACTGTGCTAAGCCATGACAAATTTTATGATTTGAATTGAGGAGGGCATGCCCTGATTGGACACCAGGCTCAGAGTATTCCACATAAATGCTCCTCTGTATTACCCCAGGGTCTGGAAAAGTCACTCTGGGCCAGGGAGGAAGACCAGTGGTTCAGCTGCATATTCTTTACCTATACTCCTTCAGATTCTATCTCTGCTCCTTTTTCAGATCCCTACTGGCTAAACAGCAATGAAATTGCTTATGCAGTGTACAGATAAATTGAGAGCAACAGGTCCTGTTTCTCAGGAGTTTGCCCCGAATGGCAATCCAAACTAGACATAATATTGGGAGAACAGCATTCATTGAGATTAACTGACTTACTCTTTATGAAACATTTGCTTTCCTGGATAAAATAGTGTATTAAGAATGTTATACATTATGTATTAAAAATGTTATACTGCACATTACACATCACATATTTAAACTACATGTAAATTTATAAAATATATAAACAATGATAAATCTCCCATGTTTATTTTCTAAAGAATACTGTTAAGAGTAATACATCTTTAATATGTCCAATCAAGATGCCATTTCATGGAATTATGTAAGTTTTTTTTGTTGTTCATTTTTTTTTTCTCCAAGTGATAATCATTGAGAGGGTCTTTTCAAGCAGAATCTGTGGTATGCTGACATCTTATAAGATTGTCCTTGGACATTCCAATTCACCAAAATTTGGACCCCCTGATACTACAGCTCTTTTCTTGGCCTACTACCCCCAGGCCTCTTCTCACAGCGCCCAGTCCCTTATTCTCCTGAGACTGTTGTTTCTCCTCTTTTCTCACCCTCTCTTTTCCTACTCCTATGAAGCAGCAAAAACATTCTCCTAGACTCAGAATGAGCAGCTTAGTCCTTGTCTCTGAAGGCTTGGTTAGCTTCGGCCTTATGGAATCCTAAGAATCTTACCTTCTACTCCATTTTTTTCAAGGTTTTAAATTTTCTTTCAAAGAAAGACACTGTTCTTTCTTAGAGAAATTCTGATGCCATCTATAAAGAAGCATGTTCTCCACATTTCACAGGGGAATGAACAAATTCATGAATAGGTAAGTAGAGATGGTGAATGCAGACTGCTGTTTCAAAAAACCTAGTGATAATGCAAAGGAAAGAAGTGTGCAGCAGTTGTAGAGGGTGGTAAGGTAATGGGATATAGAAGTCAGGGGCATGACAGAAATTGGAAATTTAGAAAAGATGCAGGTTAGTTGCTGAGGCAAGTGCTGAAGAGGAGGGAGGGGCTGGTCTCCAAAGCAGAGTACGGCTGGAAGGCCAGCCTAGAGCAGGAGGAGACAACACTTCAGAAGCTGCTACTGAGGGAAGTTTGCAGGTAGAAGAGAAGGAGTTGAGGTATATTATCTTAAAAAATACCACCTGGTGAGAATAAAAGTGAAGGAAATAAAGGAGTGTGAATATTGATTCAAGTAACTTTCATGGGAAATGGGAAAGAGAACTAATTGGAAAAGTAAAAGGAAAGCCGTCAGGCCCCAGCTGAGACAACAAACCTAATAGGTATAGCAGAGAGATTACTTCCAGCAATCTTCTCCTATTTTTCCTGTTAATGATAACTCTTAACAGTTACCATTTTCGTGGTTACAAAATATTTCATCAACTAGGTGTATGATAATCTATCAAGATTACTCAGTTCCTTTTCAAATGAACTAAAATGTGGTATTTTTAAAAAGACAACTAAGCATACTTTAATTACCTGTAAGAATATTGTCTACCTACAAATAATTAAAGTCTCTAAAAAAGGAAGCAATACATTTGCCTTTTCTGCCAACATTATTCCTGTCTTCAGCAAAACACCGTAATTTAAAAATATACACCGAATCATTTCTTTTTTTATTATGATAACATATACACAACACAAAGTATGACATTTTAACCATTTTAAGGGTACAGTTCAGTGGCATTAATTGCATACATGCTATTGTGCAAACACCACCACTATCTGTTAATGAAGCTTTTCCAGCACCCAAAACAAATTCAATAACCATTAAGCAATAACACTCCCTTATCCCCTCCACCTTTAACCTATTTTCTGTCTCTATAAATTTGCCTCTTCTAGATATTTCATATAAGTGGAATTATACAATACTTTGTCATTTCTCTGGCTTATTTCACTTAGTATAATGTTTTCAAGGCTCATCCATGTAGTAGCATATATCAAAACTTGATTTTTTTCATGGCTGAATAATATCCCACTGTATGTGTATAAAATATTTTGTTTATCCATTTCTTGGTTGATGAACACTTGGGTTGTTTCCACCTTTTGGCTATTATGAAGAAGGTCACAACAAACGTTCATGTACAAATATCTCTTGAGTCTCTGTTTTCAGTTATTTGGGGTGTATATCTCAGAGCCAAACTGCTGGGTTGTATGGTCATTCTATGGTTAGCCTTTTGAAAAACTGCCATGCTGGTTTCCACAGTGGTTGCACCATTTTACATTCCCACCAGTAATGTGCAAATGTTCCAATTTCTCCACATCCTTGTCAACACTTGTTATTTTCTGTTTGGATATTTTGTTTTTTTTTTTCTTAATCTTACAGCTATCCTAGTAAGTGTGAAATGGTACATCATTGTTGTTTTGATTTGCATTACCCTAATAACTAAGGATGTTGAACATCTTTTCATGTGCTTATTAGCCATTTGTACATTTTTTTGAGAAGTGTCTATGCAAGTCTTTTGTCCATTTTTAAATCGTGTTGTTTGTCTTTTAAGTATGTTGTTGGATTCAGTTTGCTAGTGCTTTGTTGAAGATTTTTGCTTCAATATTCAGAAGGGATATTGGTGTGCACTTTTTTGTGATGTCTTTATCTGACTTTGGTATCAGGGTAATGCTGACCTCACAGAAAAAGTTAGAAAGTGTTCTTTCCTCTTCTATTTTCTGAAAGAGTTTGAGAAGAATTGGTGTTAATTCTTCTTGAAATATTTGGCAAAGTTCACCAGTGAAGCTATCTGGTCCTGGACTTTTCTTTGTTGGGAGGTTTTTGATCACTGGTTCAATCTCTGGCCTTGTTGTAGGTCTAGTGAAATTTTCTATTTCATCTTGAGTAAGTTTAGTTAATTTGTGTGTTTATCCATTTCATCTAGATTATCCAGAGCTGGCAGTAATGCCCCTATTCTCATTTTAAATTTTAATCATTTGTGTCTTTCTTTTTTCTTTTGTCAGTTTAGCTAAAGGTTTGTCAATTTGATTACTTTTTTTACAGAGCCAAATTTTGGTTTTACTGATTCTCTCTATTGTTTATTCTGTTTTATTGATCTCTGCTCTAATCTTTCTTTCCTTCCATTGTCTAGTTTTGGGTTTGGTTTGCTCTTCCTTTTCTAGTTTCTCAAGGGATAAAGTTAGGCCATTGGTTATCTTTTGTCTTTTTTAATGTAGGAATTTATAGTTATAAGTTTGCCTCTGAGCACTGTTTTTGCTGCATCTGATGTTTTAATATATGTGTTTTAGTTTTCATTATTAAACATCTTATGTTAGGCTGGGCATAGTGGCTCATGCCTGTAATCCCAGCACTTTGGGAGGCCGAGGCGGGCAGATCACCTGAGGTCAGGAGTTTGAGACCAGCCTGGCCAACATGGTGAAACCCCATCTCTACTAAAAATATGAAAATTAGCCAGGCATGGTGGCAGGCATCTGTGATCCCACTTACTCAGGAAGCTGAGGAAGAGAATCACTTGAACCCAGGAGGCAGAGGTTGCAGTGAGCCAAGATCATGCCACTGCACTCCAGCCTGGGTGACAGAGCAGGAGTCCGTCTCCAAACAAACAAACAAAAACATCTTATGTTTTAATATGTGTGTTTTCATTTTCATTATTTTCTAGTTTTTATTGTAGTTTCTTCTTTGACCAATGAGTGTTTGGTAGTGTGTAGTTTAATTTCCATATATTTGTGGATTTTGCAGTTCTCCTTTGATTTTGATTTGTAGCTTCATTCTACTTGGTCAGAAAAGATACTGTGTATGATTTCAACTTTTTAAAATTTATTCACTTGTTTTGTGGCTTAACATATCATCTATCCTGAAGAATCTTCCATGTGCCCTTGAGAAAAATATGTATTCTGCTGTTATTGGGTAAAATGTTCTATATACACATGTTAGGTCTAGTTGGCTTATTCAAGTCTTTTATTTTGTGACTTATCTTCTGTCTAGATATTCTATTCATTTTTGAAAGTAAGTATTGGAGTCTCCAACTATTATTGTACAACTATTTATCTGCCTTTAATTCTGTCAATATTTGCTTGAAACATTTTGGGTCTCTGTTGTTTGGTGCATGTATGTTTATAATTATGATAACTTTTTGATGATATATATATTTATCTATATATCAATATATAATGTCCTTCTTTGTCATTACAACAGATTTTGACTTGAAGTTTTTTGCCTAATATTAGTATAGCCTCCTTGGCTCTCTTTTGGTTACTATTTGGATGTAATATCTTTTCCATTCTTTCACTTTCTACCTATTTGTGTCGTTAAATCTAAAGTGAATCTCTTACAGACAGCATTTATCCATTCTGCCCATCTCTGCCTTTGAGTGAATAGTTTAATCCATTTATATCTAAAATAATTACTCATAATGAAGTATTTCTGCCATTTTGATACTTGTTTTCTGTATGTCATACTTTTTTCCTCTCTTATTTTCTCCATTATTGCCTTCTTTTATGTTTAGTTGATTTTTTTGTAGTGAACCATTTTGATTCGCTTCTCATTTCCTTTTGTATATATCTTTTAGATATTTTCTTTGTGGTTACCATAGCAATTACGTTTAATGCCCTAAATTTAAGGCAATATATTTTGCATTGATACCAACTTAACTTCAAAAACATTTAAAAACTATACTACTATACATCTTTATCTTCCCCCTTTATATTGTTAATGTCTTTTTACATCTTTAACATTGTGTCCCCAACAGGAGATTTATTATTTTTATATATGTGTTTGTTAAATCTTATTAAAAATAAAAGGTAGAGTTACAAACAAAAATTAAATAGTACTTGTTCTTATATTTGCCCTACCTTTACTGTAGGCCTTTATTTTCTTAACATGGCTTTGAATTGCTGGCTAGTGTCTTTTCATTTCAACTTGAAAGACTTCCTTTGCATTTCTTGTTGGAAGGAAACGTTGAACTCAACTTTTGTTTATCTGAATATATCCTAACTTTTCCATCATTTTGAAGGACAGTTTTGCTAGATATAAAATTTCAGTTAATAGGTTTCATTTTCTTTCACCCACTTAAATATGTCACTCCACTGTCTTCTGGCTTCCATGTTTTCTGATAAGAAACTGGCCTTTAATTTTAATGAGGATTCCTTATATGTGATGAGTTACTTTTTTCTTGTTTGCTGCTTTCAAGATTCTCTCTCTACCTCTGGCTTTTGATGGGTTGGTTAAAATATCTTAAGTGTGGGTCTTTTTGAGTTTATCCAGCTTGGAGTTCATTCAGTTTCTTGGATTTGTAGGTTACTATATTTAATAAAATTTTGGAAGTTTCTGGCTATAATTTTTCAAATATTATTTCTGCCCCTCTCTTTGTCATCTAAAACTCCCAAAACACATATGCTGGTCCTCTTGATGATGACGCACAGGTCCCTTCATCTCTGTAAACTCTAAAAAAAAAATTAACAGACTTTATTTTTAATGCCATTTTAGGTTTACAGTGAAATGCAGCAGAGTTACAGAGAATTCCCATATATTCCTTACTCTCACACAAATACAGCCTCCCCCACTATCAACATCTCACACCAGAGTGGTACATTTGTTACTATCAATGAACCAACAGTGACACATCATTATCAAGCAAAGTCCATAATTTACATTAGAGTTCACTCATGGTGTTATACATTCTGTAAGTTTTGACCAATGTATAATGAAATGTATCTACCATTATAGTATCATAAAGAATAGTTTCCCTGCCATAAAAGTCTCCTATGCTCCACCTATTCATCATTCCTTCCCCTCATCTGATTGGAATCATGCAGTCTGCAACCGTTCCAGATTAGCTTCTTTCACTTAGCAATATGCACTTAAGGTTTGATATAGTTTGGATATTTCTCTTTGCCTGAATCTCATGTTGAAATGTAATCCCCAATGTTGGAGGTGGGACCTGGTGGGAGCTGTTTGGACCATGGAAGCAGATCCTTCATGAATGGCCATCCCCTTGGTAATAAGTGAGTTCTTGCTCTGGTTCACATGAGATCTGGTCATTTAAAAGTGTGTGGCATCACCCCTCCACCTCTGTCTCTTGTTCCTGCTCTGGCCATGTGATGTGCTTGCTCTCCCTTCACCTTCTGCCATGATTGCAAGCTTCCTGAGGATTCCCTGGAAGCCAAGCAGAAGCCAGCATCATGCTTCCTGTAAAGACTGCAGAACCATGAGCCAGTTAAACCTCTTTTCTTTATAAATTACCCAGTCTTGGGTATTTCTCTATAGCAATGCAAGAATGGATTAACACAAGGTTCAACCATGTGTTTTTTTGGCCTGATAGCTTATGTCTTTTTAGCATTGAATAGTATTCCATTGTCTGTGTGTACCACAGTTTATTTATCCATTTACCTTGTATTAGTCTGTTTGGGCTGCTATAACAAAATAGTACAGACTGGACTGGGCACAATGGCTCATGCCTGTAATCCCAGCACTTTGGGAGGCCAAGGCAGCAGATTACTTAAGCTCAGGAGTTGAAGACCAGTCTGCGCAACATGGTGAAACCCTATTTCTATAAAAAATACAAAAAATTAGCTGGGCATGGTGGTGCATGCCTCTGGTCCCTGTTACTCGGGAGGCTGAGACAGGAGGATCACTTAAGCCTGGGCGGTGGAGGTTGCAGTGATCCTGCCGAGATCATGCCACTGCACTCCAACCTGGGTTCCAGAGCAAGACTCCATCTCAAATTTTTTTAAAATAGGAAAAAAATAATATAGATTGAGTGGCTTAAACAACAGAAATTTACTTTCTCACAGTTCTGGAGGCTGGAAATCCATGACAACAGTGCTGCCAAATTCACTTTCTGGTGAGGGTTCTTTTCCTGGCTTTATAGGCAGCCGTCTTTTTTTTTTATGTCCCCACACGGCCTTTCCTCGTGTATGCTGAGAGACAGAAAGAGAGAGTGCTCTGGTATCTCTTCTTGAGAACACTAATCTTACCAGATCAGGGCTCCACCCTTAACTTGCACTACTTCCTTAGAGACCCCATCTCCAAATACAGCCACACTAGGTGTTAGGGCTTCAGCATAGGAATTCTGAAGGGTACATAAAAGCGCATCTTGGTTACTTTCAAGTTCTGGCAATTATTAATAAAGCTGCTGTAAACATTCAAATGCAGGTTTTTGTGTGGACATAAGTTTCACCTGATCTGGGTAAATAACAACGAGCCCAACTGCTGGATTGCATAGTAAGAGTATATTTAGTTTTGTAAGAAAACTGCCTTTCAACATGCCTACACTGAACCAGGTGTGGTGGCCCATGCCTGTAATCCTAGCACTTTGGGAAGCTGAGGTGGGAGGATTACAAGCTCAGGAATTCAAGACCAGCCCGGGCAACATAGTGAGAACTCATCTCTAGTTAAAAAAGAAAAAAAAAAAGTAGCTATACCATTTGCATTCCAACAACAAATGAAAATTTCTTCATTCTTTTTCCTTTCTGCTCCTCAGCCTCAGTAATTTCAGTGGTCTTATCTTCAAGTTCACTGACTCTTCTGCTTGCTCAGTTCTGTTGCTGAAGCCACTTAGATTTTTTTATTTTTATTTTTCAGCTTCAGAATTTCTGTTTGGTTCCTTTTCATAACTACTATCTCTTTGTTGATATTCTCATCTTGTTCATACATCATTTTCCTGGCTTCCTTTAGTTCACTGTCAATGTTTTCATTTCCATGTTTAGCATTTTGAGCATATTTAAGACAATTGTTTTAAAGTTTTTGTTTAGTAATTCCAATGTCTGGACTTCCTCAGGGACAGTTTCTATCCATTTATTTTGTTCCTTTGAATGAGCCATACTTTCTTGTTTCTTTGTATGCTTTGTGATTTTTGTGTGTGAGCTTGAAAAGTGGACATTTGGCTCCTATGATGTGGTAACTAGAAATTAGATTTTCTTCACTTTCCTAGGGGGGTTTGCTGTTTTCTGGTTCTTGAAGGCTGTAGCAGTCAGTTTATTTGATGCCTGTCTCAAACTATTATTTCAAAGACTGTATTCCTTGTCAATATGGTCATGGAAGACTCTGTCCCTTAGCCTGTGTTCAGCTAGTGTTTTGGCAGATTTCCTCGAATGCCAGAAGCTCTCACAGTCTTTGCAAAGTGGCTCTAAGCCAGGGCTCTACTTCAATTCTTAGTTAGCCTTGCACTGTGCTAAGGGATCAGCCCAAAATGAAAGCTTAGGGTTTTCTCAGGTGTTTTCTAAGCAAGTGTTTTGCCCTGGGCATGTGCATGGCTTTCTAAATTCCCACGTATATATGGTTGCTTTTGAATATTTTAATTTCCCAAAGAAACTCTCTCCAGATTTTGCCTTAGGCAGTCTATTGCATGTTTCAACTGTAATCTCTGCCTCCAGGTGTCTAGGGTTATTACTTCAGTTTGCTGTGTTTTCCAGCTTTTTCTGCCCTAGGTTCTGAGTTAGCAAAACAGAGGAGAGGATCTTGCATCAATCCTTCAGGTAGCCCCTTGTATTAGTCTGCTTGGGCTACTGTAACAAAATACCACAAACTGAATAGCTTAAACAACATAAATTTATTTTTCACACTTTTGGAGGCTAGCAAGTCCAAGATCCACATTCTGGCTGACTTGGTTTCTGCTGAGGGCTTTTTTTTTTCTGGTTTATAGATGATAGGCTTCTCTCTGTGTCCTTACATAATGGGGAGAGAGAACTCTTCCTCTTCTTGGAAGGGCACCAGGTCTATTGGATAAAAGGCCCTACCTTTATCCCCTCATTTTACCTTTATTACCTCTGTAAAACCCCAAAAGGATAGGGTTGGGGGGCTTTCCAAACACATAGAGGTTCCCAGAGGTTTGTATGCCTGGAGACAGCATGGAAGCTACATGCCATTTCTTCCATACCTTACATTATACATCTCTTCTATCTGGCTATTCATCTGTATCCATTATAATAAGTGAGTAAACATAGGTAAAGTATTTGCCCAAGTTCTGTGAGCCATTTCAGCAAAATGGGAATTTGTGGAAAAAGGTCGAGGAAGGAGATGCTTCTCTATGGAGGATGAATAGAAACAAGAAAAGGTATCTACTATAGGTCCACCTTTAGATTTAGAAATACAACTTGAAATAAGAAAAAAAAAATGCCACATTATGCAGCTACACAATTTGTAAGTCAATTAGTTCTTTTCAATAACAGATGCAACATATACATTTATAAATAATTTACTCCTTTGGGATTTCAAACTAAAGAAACTTCAACTATTTCACTTACAACAAATGTTTCTGCTTCTGTTTCTCATCAATTGAGAAAACAATTAAGGAACACTCCTGATTCTTATTCCAGGGAACTAGAGGAACAAAGAGTAACCCCAGGGATTCTAGCCTCGTAAGCTGAGAATATTTTTCTAGATGACACAAGTTCCTCAGTGCACACGTGACAGTCTCTGCTTTCAAGCTAATATGCTGTGAGTCACACTGAGTCCTCTTCCCTCGAGGTTAAATGTATTTCCTAGACTTTTTTTCTTTATTTCTTCCTCTGCTCTATTCTCCATCTTAACCCTATTCCTCTGTCAGTCAATTCAGAAAACAACACCAGCCATTCCAATTGTCTCAAAATCTTGGTAAATTTTGTAAAGATGTAGCTACAAGGAATAAAAACTGTTTAGAAAATGTTCTCTTAGGTTATACAGGGTGGCATTGTCAGGTATTTTCAATAGGAGACGAGAAGCTCTGTCTAAAAGCACAATGTTGCCAGAAGGATTTCCCTGATCTTTGTTTCCTGGTGTCCATTTTTCACTTACTCCCTAATTTAACATAGGAAATGAGGTGCAAGAAGCTCTGTCCCTTTCTTCCCCCTAGAGTTCTTCTTTTTCTTACTCAGGGATCATCCACAACAACAAACAGTCTGATATCTAATTAGGCCAGTAGTTTCAACTGATTTGGGCTCACAGCTGAATAGCTGAAAGCAAGAAAAAACCATACAATTAAATTAGGGACCTTGTATTTAAGGCCATTCATCCACTACATAATCAGGACTTGAGTCTCACACTAAGGCTCTGTCTTACTCATTCTAACATATTTACCTCTCAGGTTAGTCATGCCACAAAAATGTGCATTGTTAATAATTGCCTCATCTCTACCTTTGATGTTCCAGTATATAAAGCCTTCCCCTGTGTGCCCTAAGTTCTGCCCTCTGAAAGAGAAAGACATGTTTTCTGCCATTTATTTTCTTGCTATTGGGTGCAATTTTGCTCTAGGATGAACTCATAAACTCAAATAACCGGTTATATATATGTTTGTTATTAAGTTTGTTTAAGTACCTCTGTCACAACAAAGAGGAGCAGATATACTCAGCCACAGTTACAAATTAATTCATGAAAAAGAAAAAGGAGCCAGTGATAATTATGCATTCTTTTAAAAGAGTAATAAATTTTCAACAGGCTCATAAAATGAGACCTGACATATAAGCTACCATTCTGCCATACTCTTAAATCCAAACTGCTTGCTATGAATGATGCTACTATTTTATACAGTACACAGTAAAATCAGTAAATAAGTTGTCACTTCCTGAAAGGTCTCCATGGTATTCATGTAAAATACTTAATGCTTAATTGCTTAAACATCAGGTAGACCTCATCAGCCTAATTTAATTAAAAGAATGCTAATGCTTTATATGTAAAGCATATTTACATATAATCTCATTGACTGCCTTTTGGGGTACATTGGGATAATTTTCCCCAGTTAGTGGATAGGGAAATTGAGATTCAGAAGGGTTAGGTGACTTACTACAGGTCATCCAGCTAATCAGTGATAAAACTGGGGGCACTGAAAGATAAGTACCTGGATTGGGCTTACCAAAGTGGTGGCTACAAAAAGGCTGGAGCTGTGTTTAAAAGTTTACAGGAGAGCCATCCATTTTTAGTTGACTTTTTTAGGAAATGATCCAGTTTGAAAAGGAGCAAGAATGCAGGAATTCTGCAACAGAGGGCTTTGAGAGAATTTAGATCTGTAGATTCTGATCTTTGGATAGATTACATCAAAGCAGAATTGAACCGCCCCCTTGGTAGACCTGAGAAATGTAGACAGACCTGTTGGCGAGCCATGAAAATGTTGCAGAGAGAGTCATCAGAGGCATCTGTAGCTAAACATGCTATGCATCAGACTGGTCATTTGTGAAGAGAAATAATACAGCCAACTTTGTGAAATAGTATTGCAAGCCCTCTGGGCAAATTTGTATTATGAGTCAATCTGTAATTTGCTTGGAGATGGCAGACAAGATGGCTGTCTGGTTTCAAGACATGGTTTAATTTTGTGTTAACTCATTAATTTTTAAAAAATTAAAAAAAATTGATTGAGGAAAAACAACTGGGGGCAGAATTCAAGTTTCAAGGATTCCGTTGTTCTATTCACCATGTTACTTCCACAACTGGCAAAGTTTAGCTCTCAGTAAGATTCACACTACATCTCTCTATAAGAGATCAAAAAACCCTTAGATAATACAGGTGTCAGGGAGCAAAGATAATCCTAACATTGTATGCTACCTACTAAAGTGAAAAAGATATACTTCATTCAATTATTTATTCATTCAAACAACAAATAATTGAACACCTGCATGTGTGCCAGGCATTGTGCTAGGCTCTATTATATCCAGCTGTATGAGTTACCTATTGTTGTATAACAAACTATCCCAAAACTTAGTGGCTTAAAACAACAATCATTTAAACATTTAGTATCTCACTGTTTCTGTGGCCTAGGAATTCAGGAGCACCTTAGCTGAATGGTTCTGTCTCAGGGTCTCTTTCTAGGTTACAGTCAAGATGTTGACCATGATGCATGCAATCATTTGAAGGCCTGAAGGGTTGGAGGATCTGCTTCCAAGCTCACTCACATGGCTCTTGTCAGAAGGCCTCAATACCTCACCGGTTGTTGGCTAGAAGCCTTAATTACTCACCATGTGAGCCTCCTTATAAGTTGCCTGAGTGACCTTATGACTCTGACATAACAGCTACCTGGCCCCAACAAGTAATCCTAGAGAAAGAATAAAAAGTCTGGCATGTTTTATAGTCTCCCCTCAGAAGTCACATTACATCATTTCCACTACATTCTATTCATGAGAACAAGTCATTTAATACAGTCCAAACTCAAGGTGAGGGGAATGAAGTTTGACCCTTTGAAGGAAGAAGTATCAAATAATTTGTGAACATATTTTAATACTACCATATGAGTTAATAAAATTTAATACACGAAATTTAACTTAATTATTATAAACTGGTGTTAATATATTTGTAAAATGTAGGTATTTAAAGGGAAACTAAGTCTATTAAAGAAGACAATGTTTTAATGTTGTTGCTAGCTTGTTTGCATTTTCTGTCACCATTTTCACCTCATTCTGTCTATTAAAAAATTCTATATATAGTGCTAAATAAATGATGACTTGGCCTATCTTATTATGTCAACTAAGAATTGCATTTGATACTTACAACAGACAATAACAAAATCTTATATAGAAGGGATATAATCTTCCTCACCTAACAACAAATCCAGAAGTGGATAGTCCAGACCTGGTAAGTTGGCCCTCCAAAGCAACCATGGACCTAGGCACCTCTGGTGTCCTACACTATTAATAGTGTCTGTGTGGCTTTTGTTATTATGGGTGAAATATGGCTGTTCTACCTCCAGTATCATGTCCCTGTTTCAGGTTCAAAAAAAAAAAAAAAAAAGGGATGGGTGCATATCAAATGGCTAAAGCGATATTTCTTCCATAAAGCTTTCCTTGAGTCTCCTCTACAGAAATTCACTTTTATTTAATTGATGGTCACATGGCCAGCCATGACTTATGAAAGTCTAGGGGCATGAATATTTTTAACTGGCCACATTGTCACCCTGAAGAAATCAGAGTTCTACTAGTAAAGAAGAAAGGATTTTGGTTTAGACAACTAGTAATGTCTACCGACCTACTCCAACGAGTTTTGACATGCATTATTAAACACTAGACACAAGAGAAACAACAATACTGAGGTTTATGTGTGTTTCAAGTATGTTTCAAATGGGAGAATCTGGTCAGTTTTGAGTCCCACATATAAAGTATATTTTTCAAAGTAACCACAATTTTTATTCTCTAATTGAAAATGTCGAAGAATTGGCTGACATTAATGTCACTTCTAGGAATGTGTTCAAGGAGATAATTGCACAATTGTGCAAAAGCCTATGGATAAGAATGTTCATCAGAGACTTTTTTTATGGTAGTAAAAACTTGGAAACATAAATGTCAATCAATAGAATACTGGTTGGATAAATGATGGTATATCCATTTAACAGACAGTATGCAACTTTTAAAAATGATGTTATTCATGACTGTTGTTCACTGTGCAGATAATACGATCCAATTTATGAAATATTGTATTTATATGTCTATATGTGCTTTTATTCTTAGAGAGATGCCTAGAAGAATGTAACACAAAATTTAAGAAATGGTTATCTCTATATTATGGTATTTGGACAGATTTTAACTTCTTTGCATTTTTGTTTAAATTTTTTAAATTTGTTTGCATAAGCATGTATTGTTTTTATAAAACAATAGTTATTAGCTGGGTGCCACAGCCTGTGCCTGTAATCCCAACTACTGGGGAGGCTAAGGCGGGAAGATTGCTTCAGCCTTCAGCCCAGTTATTCGAGGCTGTTGTGTGCCAAGATCACACCTGTGAATAGCCACTGCATTCCAGCCTGGGCAACATAGAAAGACCATATCTCTTCAAAAAAAAAAAAAAGCTATTTTCAAAGAAAGGCAGGGTGGGGGCAGGGCTGATTTGGTCCAGTATTGTTTCTAGCAAGTAATTTTCCAGGATAAGGCTGTGGCTGACCTTATTTTAGGAAAGGGTTCTAATCTTTGCTCAATGGAAAAAAGTGTTATTCTTTATTAATTATAACTTTTAATAAAATTAAAACGAGATAAGGAGTTGTGAGTTTTGGTTTCTATTTGGAACACTGACCCCTGAAAGAGTTCTCCTTCCATGTTTCACAATGGATGGCAAGACATTGCGGAAAGGTGGAAGGATGTTGCGGAAAGGTGGAAGGATATTGCGGAAAGGTGGAAGGATATTGCGGAAAGGTGGAGGGGGAGGAGGCTGAGCAACAACTGTATACAAGTTGGGGAGGAGTAGAGAATGGACGTAATCATGTAAGGCAGAGAAGTCTGGACCCATGAGCCAAGGAAAGAGCAATAACCTGGACATCAGGATAGCTGCACTTCTCTTCTAACATGGACCTATCAGTTTATCTTTCTGGCCTTAGTTTTGTCATCTGAAAAATGAGACATCTGTATTAGAATCACTACATGTGCTTTATGTTTCACAATTCTTTTGGATATATTGATGCAATGTCCTGAGAAACTACACTACAGCTGAACCTAAGCAAATTAAAGGAAAAATAACAATAACTAATGTATATTATTATTTGTCTCAGGCATTCTAAGTAACTTGCCAATAGGTGGAGGGACCAAGATGCCAGCCCGGGCAGTCTGATTTCAGAGCCCATACTCTTTAACAACCATGCTGTAGAGTACTAAAGAACCGCTTGGATAGGGCATTTAAAGGAAGCAGGGTAGCTTTCCTATTCTGGAACGTGGTCTTGTAGATAATGGTTAACGCCAGTAAAGACTAAACCTTACCCTCACCTCATGACTATTGTGGGGTTGCCTCAACAGGTGGCAGCCTCCTCCCCCTATTCCAAAGACAACTTCCTTATTCAGAGCCCAGCGAAAGGGGAGATAGGTTTTGTTACGCCCCTAAGAAGCTCTTCCGGCCATTGCCCCACAGAACCGAAGTGCTGACAGAACCAAAGACGAAATGTGCCTATAGAAAGCTTTCTGGTATCATTATCTCGGTTCTCAGCTCTTCCTGGTTCTCACATGATGACCCAGCACCCGTATGCATACTTCATCTTATTACTTCCTTTTATTAAGCCCAGAGAGATACTGAGTAAAGAGAGCACGGGGAGAGAACAGAAAAACAAATGAACGGGTTAAGAGCAGGCTACAGGCCACAAGAGTCCTGCAGGGTTAGAGCCTGTACCTCAGACAAAGGTCCTTCAAGCATCCCCTTTCTCGCTCCCTATTGTTACCCTGCTTTCGTCCCGCTCAAGGTCTTGAAGCTAGTGCATAACCTTACAGCAGGATCAGAAATGCGGAGAGTAGCAGACACAAGCCGCAAGGGGGATACAACAAAATCTACTGCTCGTGCAAGATCCGACTTCCCAGACCCCTTCGCATTAGGGCGGAGCGTGCACCCGGCAGCCAATCCCCGCTTCCTCACGTCGCCGTATCCCCGCCCACCGCCCCTCCCGCTCCGCCCTTCCCTGGGGCTGGTGCGGCGGCGGAGACGTCAGCGCCAGGAGACTTCGGGTGGCGGCTGCGCCATAGGCGGGCCACGGCCTGGACGCGCTGCGGGGAGGGGCGGAGCGAGCGGGCGGGAGCGCGCGCTGGGCCCGCCTTGGCCGCCGCCGCTGTGCTGCCGCTGCCGGGGAATAATCTGGGCGGCAGCGGGCGGCCTCGGCTAGCGGCCACGAGCCACTTCTGCGGCTGCCCAGAGAAGCAAAGGTCACCAGTCCCAAGTCGTCCCCCTCTCCGCCCCCCAGGAGGGGCGAGAGGGAGCCGCAGCTGATGTCAGGTATGGCCGGCGGAGGCGCCCTCAGGCTACGGGTCCAAGGTCTCGTCTCCCCTCGCCCTCCCCCCTCTCCGGGTTGGTGGGGAAGCGTGGAGGATGGAACCAAACCCCGGGCGCGGCGGAACAGGTGTCTCGGGGTCAAAGCCGGGCTGGGGTCGTCCGGGCTCCTGAGGAAGGCGCGAGGACTTCCCGCTCCCGGAGCCTTAGCGATCTGCCACAGCGTTCGGCTGCGTACCCGGCCTCAATTTTGTGGACATGTACCCTCCTCTTCGTCGTGGGTCCTTCCCTTGTGCCCGCTCGCGCCCCTCTTCTGCTCGCGCGCTGCCTGGCGGCGCGGCGGGGCGCGCAGTGCGCCCGGACCGGACCACTTAGCGGTCCTGCCCCGCCGGGCCCTCCCAGTCCCTCCTCCCGGGCCCTCCCCGCCCCGCCGCAGACCTGTGGGTCCCGCCGGACTGGGCGCCCAGGTGTTGGGCACCTTCGCCGGGGAGCCACTCGGCTGCCGCGCCGCCTGAGCGCCCAGCGAGCGGGCTCCTTCCAGAGGTGCCTGGAGCTTGCTTGGGTCTAGCTTGGATCATCAGGTTTGTCTGTAGCTGATTTATTTCTTTAAGTTTCCCTGCCGCAGAGTGAAGCAGATACGTGTGTGTTGGGGCATTCGGGGCATGGAGGAGGAAGAAAGGCATTAAATTTTTTTTTTTTGCTTCTGCACCCCATTTTTCCCCAACAAATTGTGATGGAATTAGTAGGTGTTGACAAGTTGTCCATTTGCTTTGAATTTGGGTAAGTCGTACACTCTTAAAAGATGACCATAATTTAGCGCTGTGGATTTATTCTTTCCTGGTCCTTACCGTCTCCCCACCCCCCACCACCCCGCATTTAAAGCAAACAACAGTATCAGCAACAAAAAACCCACACATCCTGGAAAAATTCTCAAGATTTCTAACCTAGTTCTCTATATCCATTGTACATACTACTGTATTTCCTTTTAACGCTTTTTTAAGATAGAAAACTATTGTGCTAACCATGGATTGATTTCATTATGAATTTAAAAGTTATAAATTTAGAACCATAATGAATCAATGAATAATTGGCCGATGTGTAAGGGAGAGAAATATGTTAACTTACTAAAAGTTGGGCATAGAACATAGCTCTGCCAGGAAAAAGTGCGCATAATTTCAAGTTGCTTCATTCTGGTGTGAGTTTGGGAAGTTGGAATCCGAGTTTTTAGAAGGTATTTAGATGACAGCTTTTCACCCTCTTAGGTAAATGGCAGTTGAGCTTAATGCCCATGATGCTGTATGTTCTAAATATTGTATATAGTACACTATACTTTCTACCAGTCTTTATATATAGATGTACAGTTTAAGTGAATATAAAGTTTCAAGTTAGCAAACAGTTAACTCTTCACCTTATGGTAAGTGAAACAATGACTTAGTAAGGAAAGTATGACTCATTTAAAATTCTTCATAAAGAGAATAATTTTTCAGTATTAGTGGAGAGCTACTAAATGCCTCTCAAATTTGCCTGGAATGTGTATTTTTTTGTATCTTCCTACTTAGGATTAAGCATTTTAGAAATATTTTGTGTTTCCTATTTAAAGTTTTTCATAATTATGCTTTTTAAGACTAGACTACGTTGAGTAAATTCAATATCCAGTTATTCTTAAAATTGTATCACAAATTTATTTCAGGGTACACATAATGAGTTCTTGTTTACCTAATAGAAATATGAAAAAGTATGTCACTAGGCACATGCTACTATTTGTGTATTGATTTGTGCTAAAATTAAAATTGCATTATGCAGTTTAACATTATAAGCCATGGTAATTTAGAGTCTTTGTGTGGTAAAATCATTGATTGGAATTTTTGTGACAGTGCAGCTATAAATAAACCTTAAGTAGAAAATGGAAAGCTTGATGCTGAAATTAAATTCAGATAGGCTTAAAAGTTTAAGCTTCCCAATACAACCATCTTTTCTTTTAGAAGATTTCTTAAGATTTGATTAAAGACGCTGATGTACAAACTATAGCAAGGCTGAAAGAAAGGTATGACAAAAATCTTTTTACTTCAAATTCAGTGGGATTAAGTCATTCTTTTAAAAGAAGAAAGGTGGGGAGCGGGAAGGAGACTTGTTCCATAAAATGAGAAGTTAGCCTTTTATCTTAAAATCTGGTTAGAGAGGAACTCCAATGTGTACTTAAATTATTTTGCAGCTAATTCAAATGTCCAAGGGGAATATATATGCCAAAATCTGTAATATGTGAGAATAGGAAGAGGGAGAAAAAAAATATATAAAGAAACTGGTGTTTGTGATTTAGGGAAGCACATAAGAAGGTGGGGGAAACTGAAAGGAAAGTCTAAATAAATTATCTAGCACCTGTAGTATGTGCTGCCTTGCACATTGAAGGGGCGTGTTGGGGGCAACGAGAGGCAATATTAGGGAGATTCTGGAATGGGAAACCTGTATATTAAAGCACATTTAAACGGCTAGATGTTGGATAATAGGCAGAATTTGAAATTAAATACAGCTTGGCATAGTTATTTGCATTCTTGGTCATTGTATTTTCTAGGGCTGCGGTAACAAAATACGACAAACTGGGTGATTTAAAACAACAGATTTATTGTCTCAGTTCTGGAGGCAAGATGTCTGAAATCAAGATGTAGGTATGGCCATGCTCTCTCAAGGTTCGAGGGGAGAATCTGTTCCATGCCTCTTAGCTTGTTGTGTTACTGCCAATCCTTAGCATTTTTTGGCTTGCAGCTATGTCACTCCAGTCTGTGACTCTGTTATCACAACATAATCCCTGTGTGGCTCTGTCTTCAGATGGTGTGCTCCACTTCTTGCAAGGATACTAGTCGTATTGGATTAAGATCCACCCTAATCACCTCATCTTAACTTGATTACATCTGCAAAGACCCTATTTTGAAATAAGGTCACGTGCAGAGGTACTGGAATTAGGACTTCAACCTATCTTTTGTGGGGACACAGTTTAACCTGTAACAGTTGCACGGTTTATCTTTTACATCGTTCAGTAAATGTTTAGCATTATAGACTGAATCAGAGGCTATAGTGGAAACAGGATGGGACACTTACATTTATTTACATATATCAGTGATGTCTTAATCTGTTTTCTGTTGCCTCTAGCAGAATATCTGAAACTGGATAATCTATAAAGAAAAGAAATTTATTCCTTACAGTTAGGAAGGCTGAAAAGTCCTGGTTCAGGGGGCCACATCTGGTGAGGGCATTTGCTGGTAGGGACTCTGCAGAGTCCTGAGGATAGCACAGGGCACCACATGGTGAGGGGGCCGAGCATGCTAGCCCAGAACTCTTTCTTTCTTTCTTTCTTTCTTGTAAAGCTACCAGTTCCTTTCCCATGATAACCCATTCATGAGGGCTGAACCCTTAGTACCCAGTCACCATTTAAAGACTCCAGCTCTCAATACTGCCACAGTGGTGATTAAGGTTCAACATGAGTTTTGGAGGAGACAAACATTCAGACCACAGCAAGTGCTTACTATGTGCCAGGTCCTGGAGATAAAACAGTGGATAGGCAAAAATCTCTGTCCTCATGGAGCTTACATTCTGAAACACGGGTTCTAAAAATGTGGTCCCTGGATCTGCAGCATCATCATCACCTGGGAAGTTGTTAGAAATTGAAATTTTCAGGCTCCATCCCAGAACTCTTTATTTAACTAGCCTTCCAAATGATTCTGATGGAGACTCAGGTTTCAGAACCACTGATCAAGATGGAAAAGAGACAGTAAACAAGATGAATAAGTAAAATAATATTTGATATTAATAGGTGCTGTGGGTAAGCATAGGGTGGCCAGTGAAGACTCCTGAAAAGTAAAGACCTGAAGGAGTTGGAGAGTGAGCCATATGAGCACCTGGGTGCGTGTTCTTAGCAGAGAACAGTTAAGTGTGAAGACCCTGGCACGTTTGAGGAATGACAAGCAGTTAGTATTAGGTTCAATCTATGAAATTGCTGCTGTTTGTTCATTTTTGACCTACAAAAACACCAAATACTGGGGAGAAGAGATCAGAAAGAAAGGGGTGGAGTAGGATGCAGATTGTGGGTAGATCCTTGTAAGGTTTTGGCTCTCTAAGATTAGGAAGACGGGAGGGTTTTGAGCAAATGAGTGATGTGATCTGATTTCAGTTTTAAAAGGATCATTGTGGCTATTGGTAAAAATGGGCCAAAGAAGCAAAGGCTAAAGGAAGGGGAAAGTTGGTTAGAATGTTGTTGGAGTAGTTAAAAGACAGAGAGGTTGCTCAGACCAGGGTGATAGCAGTGGAGAAGTCAGAAGAGGTACAAGACTAAAAACGCACAGTAAATGGTTTGAAAAGTAAGTTTTTTTCATCCCACTCCAGTTACCCAGTTGTCCTCCTCAAAGGCAATTAGTGTTAAAAGTAGTCTTATCTCTATTCTTCCTGAGATTTTTTTTTTTTTGAGACGGAGTCTCACTCTGTCGCCCAGGCTGGAGTGCAGTGGCGCGATCTCAGCTCACTGCAAGCTCTGCCTCCTGGGTTCACGCCATTCTCCTGCCTCAGCCTCCCCAGTAGCTGGGACTACAGGCACCTGCCACCATGCCCAGCTAATTTCTTTTTTTTTTTGTATTTTTAGTAGAGACAGGGGAGATCTTTTATGTAAATGTGAGAAACAGTTTTAACAAATTAGTGGAGAGGTTGTTACCTGGAAACATTTAGCAATGTCTACAGACATTTTTGTTTGTCACAACTAGGGGGAATACTACTGGCATCTAGTGAGTAAAGGCCAGGGATGCTGGCTAAATATCCTACAGAGGACCGGACGGCTTCCACAACAGAGAGTTATCCAGCTCTTAATGTCAGTAGCGCCAAGGTTAAGAAACCTTAGTTTAATGGGATTTACAGAGGTTGGTGGGAAGCAAGTGTTGTAGTCAGAGAAGACAGTAGGAAGAGGAGCTGACCATATTGGGAACCTTTCAGTAACTGTAGACAGTTCAGGATTGCTGAAGCAGACATAAATTATAAGGCACAGAATAGCAAAAGACGAGGCTGGAAACCTGGACAGGCTCTAGGTCATAGCCTTTATTTATATATCATGTTAATAAAAAATGTTTAGTTTTTGTCTTGTAGGCAGTGGAGTTCCGTGAAAGGATTCATGGGGTGACATGGTCAGCTTTTCATTTTAGAGAGCTCATTCTGGTGACGGGGTATGAGTTAAAGAGGGATAGCACTTGAGTCAGAGAGGTTAGATATTGTAATAGCCTGTGGGGAGAGAGGAGAGTCTGAAATAGGATAAATACTAGAAATGGAGAGGAGACAATGGATTAGAATAATATTTAGGAAGTAATGTTGGCAAGACTTGGTAATTGGATTTGGGGTGAAGATAAGGGAAGCATTAAGAATATCTGTGTACTTTGTAGTTTAGATAATCCTGTGGCTCTGAGTGAAATAGGAACCCATTGGTGAATAATTTAGGTAATTACCAGTAATTAAGGTAAAATGAGCAGAGGAAAGTAATGAGTCACTTTGGAGGTGTTGAATTAGAGATGCCTATGGTCCAGGTGGAAGTATTTAGCAGGCATTTGTGTATGTGAATCTGAAACTTGGAGAAGTCTGAAAGGATCAAGAGATCATTTTGTTTGACAAGTGTGGAGAAATTAGTGGACTTTAATTTTTATCATATTATTTCACTCTGTAGATAAAAATTGCCTCCCTTTATTTAATTTTTATCAGAAAAGTAATGTGTGTACCCGATGCAAAATTAAAACATCAAAAGGTTATAAAATAAAAAAAAATTTGTCCTTCCTTGCTCATGCCACCCAGTGCTAGTTCCCAGAGATAGCTCTTGTTAAATATCATATGTATATATATCTTAACAGATTTTAAAATATATACAGAAACATTTAAAAAGCCAAGTGAAATCATACTAGAAAATATTTCGGTACATTGTCTTAAAAAATAAACCTTTTATCTTATACAGTTGTTAAAATGAATGACATTGTGTTATGGATAAAATAAGTGAAGGGGTAAATTAAAGTGCAGACTAACCGATAAGCATGATCTCTGATGTAAATTAAAAGCTGAACATACATATGTGATGATATAGGCATTACCCAACGATACGAAAGCAGTTACTTTTGGGGAGAGATAGTGGTAGAGATGGTAAAGAAAATTTACTCTTTTCTGTCTATGATTTTCTTTCATTTGTTTAGGTTTGTTCCTTTTGTTTTCTTTACATTTTCTGATGTTTAAAAAAATACCCAGTATACCTTATTAACAATAAAAAGTAACCTTTGTCAAAAGCACAAAGATTTTCCCTATCAGCACATGTAGATCATTGTTTTTAACAGCTACTACTATTCTATGCTATGGCTCTATCTTTTTTTTAAAAAACTGGTTCCTCATCAACAGACAGACGTCTTATGGTTATGGCTGTCGAGCATCTTGGCTGACTTCTATGATTATATCTGTAAAATAAGTTTCTGATCATGAAGTGATATATCAAGGCATAATTAGTTAAAAATTTAAAAAGATGTTGTGAAATGCCCTTCCAAAAGACAGTAAAAGTATGTATTATGAGAAAGAATACAGGACTACCAGTTTTCTTGTATCTGTGTCAATAACAGCTGTTAATAAACTTTAAAAGTTTTGCCAATATGTTAGGTTAAAAATAATATCTCTTCATTTGATTTACCTTTGTGAGTGAAATTTGAACATCGTTGACCATTTTTTACTGTGAATCTTTTATTTTCTTTATCTGTTTTTGTATTTGGTTAACTATCTTTTTTATTATTTATGATACTTTTTGGTTCTTTTTGCTGTACATTAAAAAAATATATTTCATAAAGAAATATGCCCTTTAACCAGCGACTTCATTGCCAGAAGTTTATCCAATGAATAAACTCATAGTGTTTTAATAGTCACAGCTTCTGAGTGTGGGAGAGATCTCAATTCGTAATATCAAAATGCAAAAATATATTTTCTTCCAGTTTTGTTTTAATTCCATTTTCTAAAATACTGAAATCTTAGAAACATTTGAAATTGTTACTAGAAAGTAAGGATCCAGCTGGTTTTGTTTTTTTTTCCCCAAAAGATTAATTAATTCAATACCATTTCTTCAATAAGCCACCTTTTTCTTGATTTGAAATGCTGTTTATTATGTATTAAATTTCCACATGAATTTTTGTTTTCCATAGAGTCTTTATTTCAACCTGATGAAGTCCCTTTATAAGATTCATCTGGTAGAGACCACCAGGGACACATCTGTAGGCTGACAAAGGTTAATTAGCTTGCTGCAGTGAAGGAGACTTGCACAGCAGAGGAAATGTCAGCATTTCTAAAGAAGGAACCAGGGTTATTATAGGATTTTGGAGAATGGTGGAGTTTGGATAAAGTTTAAACGCAACAATATTTGATAAGCTTAAAGCACGGCAAGACTGTGTGTCAAGGGTTAATAAACATCAGGCCTGGGCTGAGAAGCTGACTCAGGATTCTGATTCCCTGGAGACTACAAAATCGCGATACATGTGGAATGTTGTGTCTGGAAACCCCTTATCTGAAGCTCTGAGTTGCAAAGTGAGGTTGCTTCTGTTTCATAATGATCTACCATCAGTGCGAGAGTGGGATGTTCCATTCTCACTTTATAAAATTTCAAATAACATAGTTTCTGACAGTCTGATGTAGAGAACAGTTTCTCAGCACATTGTCTTTAGTATTAACAAATGCATTTTTTTAAACAGACTGAGAGTTTGTTCAGCATAAATACCAAATTGTTTTCATTACCTTTTTTAAGGTAATATATTTTTATATGTAGTAAACTTTGTCTCTTCCCCTTCCCCAGTTCCCCTTTCAAGAGTTTTCCAGTGATACTCACCTATTTTTCCAGATAACATTTAGAATAATTTTTGCCACATTAATTTTTTAAAATCTTTTTTATAACTTAAAATTGATCAGATCAGATTAGTACACCCCTTCCCACAATGCCCCTTTCCAGAATTTCCCAGTTACACCCACATGTTTATTGGTCCAAAGTTTTAGAATACTTTTTGCCAAGTTATATAATTTTTTAAAATCTTCCTGTGTTTTAGCTGGGATTACTTTACATACAGGTTAATTCGGAGGAAATCAACATCATTATCATTGATACCTTTTTTTTTCCAAACTTTTTAAAATTTTGGTAAAATACATACAAAGTTTACCATCATAATCATTTTTAAGTTTATAGATCAGTGGTATTAACTACATTTATATTGTTGTGCAACCATCACCGCTGTTTATCTCCAGAACTCTTTATTTTGTAAAACTGAAGCTCTATATCCGTTTAAACGATAGCTCTCCATTCTCACCTTTCCACAGGCCCTGGAAACCAAAAGCCTACTCTGTCTCTGATTTTTCACTACTTTAAAGTACTTCATGTAGGTGGAATTGTGCATTATTTGTCCTTTTGTGATTGGCTTATTTCATTTAGCAAAATGTCCTCAAGATTCATTCATTTTGTAGCATATATCAGAATTTCCTTACTTTTCAAGGCTGAATACTATTCCATTGTATGTAAATACATTTTGCTTGTTCATTCATCCTCAGTGAACACGTGGTTTGCTTCACATTTTAGCTCTTGTGAATACTGCTGCAATGACCATGAGTGTACAAATACTTTCTTGAAACCCTGCTCTCATTGGGTATATATCCAGAAGTGGAATTGCTGGATCATATGGTAATTCTATTTTTAATTTTTTGAGGAATTTTCATACTGTTTTCCATAGCAGAAATAACATTTTACTTTCATACCAATAGTATACAAGGGTTCCAGTTTCTCCACATTCTCTTCAACACTTAACAATTTTCTGAATTTTGATGGTAACCATTGTTATGGGTATAAGGTAGCATCTCATTGTAGTCTTGATTTGTTTTGCTAATGATTAGAGATGTTGAGTATCTTTTCATCTGTTTATTGGCCATTTGTGTATCTTAGGAGAAATGTGTATTTGAGTCTTTTGCACATTGTTGAATCAGGTTGATTTTTTTTGTTTGAGTTTTAGGAATTTTCTATATATTTTGGATACTAATCTCTTATCAGATAATACGATTTGCCTGTATTTTCACCCATTCTGTGGCTTGCCTTTTACTGTTGATAGGGTCTTCTGGTGCACAAATTTAAAAATTTTTCATCAAATCTAATTTGCCAATATTTTCTTTCAGTGACTCTGCCTTTGTTGTCACATCCAAGAAATCATTGCCAAATATAATGTCATGAAGCTCTTTTGTTCAATGTTCTAAGAATTTTATAGTTTTAGGTCTTATATTTAGGTCTTTGATCCATTTTGAGTTACTTTTTCTTCTTTTTTTTTTATTTCAATAGGCTTTTGGGGAACAGGTGGTGTTGGGTTACATGGATATGTTTTTTGGTAATGATTTTTGAGATTTGGGTGCACCCCTCACCCAAGCAGTGTACACAGTACCCAATGTGTAGTCATTTATCCCTCACCCCCTCCCACCCTTTACTTCAAGTTCCCAAAGTCCATTGTATCATTCTATGCCTTTGCATCCTCATAGCTTAGTTCCCATTTATGAGTGACAACTTACAATGTTTGGTTTTCCATTCCTGAGTTACTTTACTTAGAATAATGGTCTCCACCTCCATCCAGGTTGCTGTGAATGCCATTATTTCATTATTTTTTATGGCTGAGTAGTATTCCGTGGTGTGTGTGTGTGTATATTATACATACCACATTTTCTTTATCCACTTGTTGATTGATGGGCATTTGGGTTGATTCCATATTTTTGCAGTTACAAATTGTGTTGCTATAAATGTGTGTTCAAGTGTGTTTTTCGTATAATGACTTCTTTTTCTCTGGGTAGATACCCAGTAGTGGGATTGCTGGGTCAAATGTTAGATCTACTTTTGGTTCCTTAAGGAATCTCCACACCATTTTCCATAGTGGTTATACTAGTTTACATTCCCAGCAGCAGTGTAAAAGTTTTCCCTTTTTACCACATTGATGCCAACATCTATTATTTTTTGATTTTTTGATTATGGCCATTCTTGCAGGAGTAAGGTGGTATTGCATTGTGGTTTTGATTTGCATTTCCCTGATAATTAGTTGTGTTGAACATGTTTTCATATGTTTGTTGAACACTTGTATATCTTCTTTTGGGAATTGTCTATTCATGTCCTTAGCCCACTTTTTGATGGGATTGTTTGTTTTTTTTCTTGCTGATTTGTTTGGTTTTTTTGTAGATTCTGGATATTAGACCTTTGTCAGATGCATAGTTTACCAAGATTTTCTCCACTCTGTGGGTTGTCTGTTTACTGATTATTTCCTTTGCTGTGCAGAATCTTTTTAGTTTAATTAAGTCCCATCTATTTGTCTTTGTTTTTGTTGAATTTGTTTTTGGGTTCATGGTCAGGAAGTCTTTGCCTAAGCCAATGTCTAGAAGGGTTTTTCTGATGATATCTTCTGGGACTTTTATGGTTTCAGGTCTTAAAAGATTTAAGTCTTTGATCTAATCTTGAGTTCATTTTTGTGTAAGGTGAGAGATGAGGATCCAGTTTCATTCTTCTACATGTGGCTTGCCAGTTACCCCAGTACCATCTGTTGAATAGGGTGTCCTTTCCCCACTTTACGTTTGTGTTTGCTTTGTCAAAGATCAGTTGGCTGTTAAGTATTTGGCTTTATTTCTGGGTTCTGTATTCTGTTTCATTGGTCTATGTGCCTATTTTTATACCAGTACCATGCTGTTTCGGTAACTATAGCCTTTTAGTTTAGTTTGAAGTCGGGTAATGTGATACATCCAGATTTGTGGGTTTTGGGGGGTTGTTTTTGTTTTTGCTGAGTCTTGATTTGGCTATGTGTGTTCCTTTTCAGTTTCATATGAATTTTAGGATTGTTCTCCCTAGCTCTGCAAAGAATGATGGTGACATTTTGATAGGAATTACATTGAATCCGTAGATTGCTTTTGGCAGTATGATCATTTTCACAATATTGATTCTACCCATCCATGAGCATGGAATGTGTTTCCATTTGTTTGTGTCATTTTCAATTTCTTTCAGCAGTGTTTTGTAGTTTTTCTTGTAGATGTCTTTCACTTCCTTAGGTATATTCCTAAGTATTTTATTTTTTTTTTGCAGACATAGTAAAAGAGTTTGAGTTCTTGATTTGATTTGCAGCTTGGTTGCTGTTAGTGTATAGCAATGCCACCGATTTGTGTACATTAATTTTGTGTCCTGAAACTTTACTGAATTCATTTGCCAGTTCTAGGAGCTTTTTGGATGAATCTTTAGGGTTTTCTTGGTGTATGATCATATCATCAGCAAACAGCAACAGTTCGACTTCCTCTTTACTGATTTGATGCCCTTTATTTCCTTGTCTTGTCTGATCCCTCTGGCTAGGACTTCCAGTACTATGTTGAATAGAAGTAGTGAGACTGGGCATCCCTGTCTTGTTCCAGATCTCAGGGGAAATGCTTTCAACCTTTCTCCATTCAGTATAATGTTAGCTGTAGGTTTGTCATAGATGGCTTTTATTACCTTAAGGCATCTCCTTTCTATGCCAATTTTGCTGAGTGTTTTAATTATAAAGGGACACTGGATTTTGCCAAATGCCTTTTCTGTGTCTATTGAGATGATTATGTGATTTTTGTTTTTAATTGTTTATGTGGTACATCACAATTATTGACTTGGGTATGTTAAACCATCCCTGCACGCCTGGCATGAAACCCACTTGATAATGGTGTGTTATCTTTCTGATATGCTGTTGGATTCGGCTAGCTAGTATTTTGTTGAGGATTTTTGCATCTATGTTCATCAGGGATATTGGCCTGTAGTTTTCTTTTTTTTTGTTATATTATTTACTGGTTTTAGTATTAGGGTGATACTGGCTTCATAGAATGAATTAGGGAGGGTTTCCTCTTTCTCTGTATTGTGGGATAGTGTCAATAGGATTGGTATCAGTTCTTCTTTGAATATTGGATAGAATTTAGCTGTGAATCCATCTGATTCTGGACTTTTTGTTTGTTGGCAGTTTTAATTACCATTTCAGTCTTGCTGCTTGCTGTTGGTCTGTTCAGAGTTTCTATTTCTTCCTGGTTTAATCTAGGAGGGTTGTATGTTTTCAGGAATTCACCCATCTCCTCTCGATTTTCTAGTTTGTGAGCATAAAGGGGTTCATAGTAGCCTTGAATGATCTTTTGTATTTCTGTGGTATCAATCTAATATCTCCATTTCATTTCTAATTGAGCTTATTTGGATCTTCTTTGCTTGGTTAATCTAACTAATGATCTGTCAATTTTGTTTATCTTTTCAAAGAACCAGCTTTCTGTTTCATTTATCTTTTGTGTTTTTTGTTTGTTTCTTTCTTTGTCTCAATTTCATTTAGTTCTGTTCTGATCTTTGTTGTTTCTTCTTCTGGATTTGGGTTTGGTTTGTTCTTGTTTCTCTGGTTCCTTAAGGTGTAACCTTAGATTGTCTGTTTATGCTCTTTCAGACTTTTTGATGTAGGCATTCATTGCTGTGAACTTTGCGTTTAGCACCACTTTTGCTTTATCCCAGAGGTTTTGATAGGTTGTGTCACTTTTATCATTCAGTTCAAAGGATTTTTAAATTTCCACCTTGATTTCATTGTTGACTGAATGATCATTCAGGAGTAGGTTATTTAATTTCCATGTATTTACATGGTTTTGAGGGTTCCTTTTGGAGTTGATTTCCAATTTTATTCCACTATAGTGTGAGAGAGTACTTGCTATAATTTTGATTTTCTTAAATTTGTTGAGACTTGTTTTGTGTCCTGTCGTGGTCTGTTTTGGAGAAGGATCCATGTGCTGATGAATAGAATGTATATTCTGTAGTTGTTGGTAAATGTTCTGTAAATGTCTGTTAAGTCAATTTGTTCTGGGGTATAGTTTAAGTGCATTGTATCTCTATTGATTTTCTGTCCTGATGACTTGTCTAGTGCCGTCAGTGGAGTATTAAAGTCCCCCACTATTACTGTGTTGCTGTTTATCTTATTTCTAAAGTCTAGCAGTAATTGTTTTATAAATTAGGGAACTCCAATGTTAGGTGCATATATATTTAGGATTGTGATATTTTCCTGTTGGACAAGGCCTTTTGTCATGATATAATGTCTCTCTTTGTCTTTTTTAACTTGTTGCTTTCAAGTCTGTTTCGTCTGAAACAAAAATAGCTACTTCTGCTAGCTTTCTGTGTCCACTGGCTTGGAATATCTTTTGTTGTTGTTGTTGTTGTTGTTGTTTTTGTAATTTAATTTTATTTTTTATTATACTTCAAAGTTCTAGGGTACATGTGCACAACGTGCACGTTTGTTACATATGTATACATGTGTCATGTTGGTGTGCTGCACCTGTTAACTCATCATTTACATTAGGTATATCTCCTAATGCTATCCCTCCCCCCTCCCCCAACCCCATGACAGGCCCCAGTGTGTGATGTTCCCCACCCTGTGTCCACGTGTTCTCATTGTTTAATTCCCACCTATGAGTGAGAACATACGGTGTTTGGTTTTCTGTCCTTGCGATGGTTTGCTCAGAATGATGGTTTCCAGCTTCTTCCATGTCCCTACAGAGGACATGAACTCATCCTGTTTTATGGCTATATAGTATTCCATGGTGTGTATGTACCACATTTTCTTACTCCAGTCTATCATTGATGGACATTTGGGTTGGTTCCAAGTCTTTGCTATAGTGAATAGTGCCACAGTAAACATACATGTGCATGTGTCTTTATAGCAGCATGATTTGTAATCCTTTGGGTATATGCCCAGTAATGGGATGGCTGGGACAAATGGTATTTCTAGTTCTAGATCCTTGAGGAATTGCCACACTGTCTTCCACAATGGTTGAACTAGTTTACAATCCCACCAACAGTGTAAAAGCGTTCCTGTTTCTCCACATCCTCTCCAGCACCTGTTGTTTCTTGACTTTTTAATGATCGCCATTCTAACTGGTGTGAAATGGTATCTTATTGTGGTTTTGATTTGCATTTCTCTGATGGCCAGTGATGATGAGCATTTTTTCATGTGTTTTTTGGCTGCATAAATGTCTTCTTTTGAGAAGTACCTGTTCATATCCTTTTCCCACTTTTTGATGGGGTTGTTTGATTTTTTCTTGTATATTTGGATATTAGCCCTTTATCAGATGGGTAGATTGTAAAAATTTTCTCCCATTGTGTAGGTTGCCCGTTCACTCTGATGGTAGTTTCTTTTGCTGTGCAGAAGCTTTTTAGTTTAATTAGATCCCATTTGTCTATTTTGGCTTCTGTGCCATTGCTTTTGGTGTTTTAGTCATGAAGTCCTTGCCCATGCCTATGGCCTGAATGGTATTGCCTAGGTTTTCTTACAGGGTTTTTCTGGTTTTAGGTCTAACATTTAAGTCTTTAATGCATCTTGAATTAATTTTTGTATCAGCTATAAGGAAGGGATCCAGTTTCAGCTTTCTACATATGGCTAGCCAGTTTTCCCAGCACCATTTATTAAATAGGGAATCCTTTCCCCATTGCTTGTTTTTGTCGGGTTTGTCAAAGATCAGAAGGTTGTACATGTGTGGTTTTATTACCGAGGGCTATATTCTGTTCCATTGGTCTGTATCTCTGTTTTTGTACCAGTACCATGCTGTTTTGGTTACTGTAGCCTTGTAGTATAGTTTGAAGTCAGGTAGCATGATGCCTCCAGCTTTGTTTTTTTGGCTTAGGATTGTCTTGGCAATGCGGGCTCTTTTTTGGTTCCATATGAACTTTAAAGTAGCTTTTTCCAATTCTGTGAAGAAAGTCATTGGTAGCTTGATGGGGATGGCATTGAATCTATAAATTACCTTGGGCAGTATGGCCATTTTCATGATATTGATTCTTCCTATCCATGAGCATGGAATGTTCTTCCATTTGTTTGTGTCCTCTTTTATTTTGTTGAGCAGTGGTTTGTAGTTCTCCTTGAAGAGGTCCTTCACATCCCTTGTAAGTTGGATTCCTATGTATTTTATTCTCTTTGAAGCAGTCGTGAATGGGAGTTCACTCATGATTTGGCTCTCTGTCTGTTATTGGTGTATAGGAATGCTTGTGATTTTTGCACATTGATTTTGTATCCTGAGACTTTGCTGAAGTTGCTTATCAGCTTGAGATATTGGGCTGAGACGATGGGGTTTTCTAAATACACAATCATGTCATTTGCAAACAGGGACAATTTGACTTCCTCTTTTCCTAATTGAATACTCTTTGTTTCTTTCTCTTGCCTGATTGCCCTGGCCAGAACTTCCAACACTATGTTGAATAGGAGGGTGAGGGAGGGCATCCCTGTCTTGTGCCAGTTTTCAAAGGGAATGCTTCCAGTTTTTGCCCATTGAGTATGATATTGGCTGTGGGTTTGTCATAAATAGCTTATTATTTTAAGATATGTCCCATCAATACCTAATTTATTGAGAGTTTTTAGCATGAAGGGCTGTTGAATTTTGTCGAAGGCCTTTTCTGCATCTATTGAGATAATCATGTGGTTTTTGTCTTTGGTTCTGTTTATATGATGGATTACGTTTATTGATTTGCGTATGTTGAACCAGCCTTGCATCCCAGGGATGAAGCCAACTTGATTGTGGTGGATAAGCTTTTTGATGTGCTGCTGGATTCAGTTTGGCAGTATTTTATTGAGGATTTTCACATCCATATTCATCAGGGATATTGGTCTAAAATTCTCTTTTTTTTATTGTGTCTCTGCTAGGCTTTGGTATCAGGATGATGCTGGCCTCATAAAATGAGTTAGGGAGGATTCCCTCTTTTTCTGTTGATTGGGATAGTTTCAGAAGGAATGGTACCAGCTCCTCTTTGTACCTCTGGTAGAATTCGGCTGTGAATCCATCTGGTCCTGGACTTTTTTTGGTTCATAGGCTATTAATTATTGCCTCAATTTCAGAACCTGTTATTGGTCTGTTCAGGGATCCACCTTCTTCCTGCTTTAGTCTTGGGAGGGTGTATGTGTCCAGGAATTTATCCATTTCTTCTAGATTTTCTAGTTTATTTGCATCAAGGTGTTTATAGTATTCTCTGATGGTAGTTTGTATTTCTGTGGGATCGGTGGTGATATGCCCTTTATCATTTTTTATTGCATCTATTTGATTCTTCTCTCTTTTCTTCTCTATTAGTCTTGCTAGCGGTCTATCCATTTTGTTGATCTTTTCAAAAAACCAGCTCCTGGATTCACTGATTTTTTTTGAAGGGTTTTTTGTGTCTCTATCTCCTTCAGTTCTGCTCTGACCTTAGTTACTTCTTGCCTTCTGCTAGCTTCTGAATGTGTTTGCTCTTGCTTCTCTGGATCTTTTAATTGTGATGTCAGGGTGTCAATTTTAGATCTTTCCTGCTTTCTCTTGTGGTCATTTAGTGCTATAAATTTCCCTCTACACACTGCTTTAAATGTGTCCCAGAGATTCTGGTATGTTGTGTCTTTGTTCTCATTGGTTTCAAAGAACATCTTTTATTTCTGCCTTCATTTTGTTATGTACCTGATAGTCATTCAGGGGCAGGTTGTTCAGTTTCCATGTAGGTGAGCGGTTTTGAGTGAGTTTCTTAATCCTGAGTTCTAGTTTGATCGCACTGTGGTCTGAGAGACAGTTTGTTATAATTTCTGTTCTTTTACATTTGCTGAGGAGTGCTTTACTTCCAACTATGTGGTAAGTTTTGGAATAAGTGTGATGTGGTGCTGAGAAGAATGTATATTCTGTTGATTTGGGATGGAGAGTTCTGTAGATGTCTATTAGGTCTGCTTGGTGCAGAGCTGAGTTCAATTCCTGGATATCCTTGTTACAACTTTCTGTCTCGTTGATCTGTCTAATGTTGACAGTGGAGTGTTAAAGTCTCCCATTATTATTGTGTGGGAGTCGAAGTCTCTTTGTTGGTCTCTAAGGACTTGCTTTGTGAATCTGGGTGCTCTTGTATTGGATGCATATATATTTAGAATAGTTAGCTCTTTTTGTTGAATTGATCCCTGTACCATTATGTAATGGCCTTCTTTGTCTCTTTTGATCTTTGTTGGTTTAAAGTCTGTTTTATCAGAGACTAGGATTGCAGCCCTTGCTTTTTTTTGTTTTCCATTTGCTTGTTAGATCTTCCTCCATCCCTTTATTTTGAGCCTATGTGTGTCTCTGCACGTGAGATGGGTCTCCTGAATACAGCACACTGATGGGTCTTGACTCTTTATCCAGTTTGCCAGTTTGTGTCTTTTAATTGGAGCATTTAGCCCATTTACATTTAAAGTTAATACTGTTAGGTGTGTATTTGATCCTGTCATTATGATGTTAGCTGGTTATTTTGCTCGTTAGTTGATGCAGTTTCTTCCTAGCAGCGATGGTCTTTACAATTTGTCATGTTTTTGCAGTGGCTGGTACGGGTTGTTCCTTTCCATGTTTAGTGCTGCCTTCAGGAGCTCTTGTAAGGCAGGCCTGGTGGTGACAAAATCTCTCAGCATTTGCTTGTGTGTAAAGGATTTTATTTCTCCTTCACTTATGAAGCTTAGTTTGGCTGGATATGAAATTCTGGGTTAGAAATTCTTTTCTTTAAGAATGTTGTATATTGGCTTTCACTCTCTTCTGGCTTGTAGAGTTTCTGCAGAGAGATCTGCTGTTAGTCTGATTGGCTTCCCTTTGTGAGTAACCTGACCTTTCAGTCTGACAATTATGTGTCTTGGGGTTGCTCTTCTCGAAGAGTATCTTTGTGGCATTCTCTGTATTACCAGAATTTGAATGTTGGCCTGCCTCGCTAGATTGGGGGGGTTCTCCTGGATTATATCCTGAAGAGTGTTTTCCAGCTTGGTTCCATTCTCCCTGTCACTTTCAGGTACACCAATAAGACGTAGATTTGGTCTTTTCACATGGTCCCATATTTCTTGGAGGCTTTGTTCGTTTCTTTTTACTCTTCTTTCTCTAAACTTCTCTTCTCTCTTCATTTCATTCATTTGATCTTCAATCACTGATACTCTTTCTTCCACCTGATCAATTCGGCTACTGAAGCTTGTGCATGCATCACGTAGTTCTTGTGCCATGGTTTTCAGCTCCATCAAGTCATTTAAGGACTTCCCTACGCTGTTTATTCTAGGCAGCCATTCATCTAATCTTTTTTCAAGGTTTTTAGCTTCTTTGCGATGGGTTCGAGCATCCTCCTTTAGCTCGGAGAATTTGTTATTACCGATTGTCTGAAGCCTTCTTCTCTCAACTCGTCAAAGTCATTCTCCGTCCAGCTTTGTTCTGTTGCTGGCGAGGAGCTGCGTTCCTTTGGAGGAGAAGAGGCGCTCTGATTTTTAGATTTTTCAGCTTTTCTGCTCTGGTTTCTCCCCATCTTTGTGGTTTTATCTACCTTTGGTCTTTGATGATGGTGACGTACAAAATGGGATTTTGGTGTGGATGTCCTTTCTGTTTGTTGGTTTTCCTTCTAACAGTCAGGACCCTCAGCCGCAGGTCTGTTGGAGTTTGCTGGAGGTCCACTCCAGACCGTGTTAGCCTGGTTATCACCAGCGGAGGCTGCAGAACAGCGAATGTTGCAGAACAGAGATGTTGCTACCCGATCTTTCCTCTGGAAGCTTCGTCTCAGAGGGGCACCCAGCTGTATGAGGTGCCAGTCGGCCCCTACTGGGAGGTGTCTCCCAGTTAGGCTACTGGGAGGTCAGGGCCCCACTTGAGGAGGCAGTCTGTCTGTTCTCAGATCTCAAACTCTGTGCTGGGAAAACCACTGCTCTCATGAAAGCTGTCAGACCTGGATGTTTAAGTCTGCAGAAGTTACTGCTGCCTTTTGATCATACTGGTGACCAGGGAAGCGGGGGAAAGCCGGCAGTAACAGGCCTCACCCAGCTCCCACAAAGCCCGAAAGGCCAGTGCCACTCCCAAGGTGCCTCTTCCAGCAGCACTGAGTTAATTTCCAGGCAGCTGCTGAGCAGTATTGAGAAGCTGCCCCAGGCTATATGCCCTCCCCCTCCCCCGAGGAAGTAAGCAGGGCTTTCAGGTTTCACGCTTCCCTACCTGCCGTGGTTTCTTTGCTGCTTTCTGCACTGCCTGTTTGCCTCCTCCCCCGATTCTGTCCAGGAAACTTCATGTTTGTTTGAAACTGTTACACAGTTCAGCTGGAAGTTTCCTTCTCCTTGGGGTCTTTCCCCAATTCCACTGGCAGCTCTCCCCAAGGGCCTCTGTGAGACAAAGTCAGGAATGGCTTCCCTGGTGACAGAGAGTGCCCACAGGGCTCTTCTGCTTCTTCCTTTATCCCTATATTTCTCACAGCTCTCTAAATTAATCTCAGCTCCAGGTGAGGTCACATCCTTCTCTCGTGAATTGGCCCTTTGGGATCCCCAGTGAGGATGTGTGTTCAGAGGCAGACATTCCCTTTCACACATTGGGCACTCAGAGTTTTTTGGCTGTCTCAGGGGACCAGCAGCTGTAAACTGCTTCCTTTGAAAGGTCTATGGATTCTCTCGGCTTTCCTGGTACGTTCCCGTGGTAGTAGTTCTTCGAGTAAAAGTTCACGGTGTGAGTCTCCACACACTACTCGGTGTGTCTGAGTGGGAGCTCCAAGTTAGTTATGCGCCCTGTCTGCCATTATTTTCCCATTTTGAGTTAGTTTTCATATATTGTGTTATGTAAAAGTCCAACTTCATTCTTTTGCATGTGGATATCCAGTTTTCCCAGCAACATTTGTTAAAAACCTGTCCTTTTCCCATTGAATGGTCTTGGCTCCCTTCCCAAAAATCCTTTGACCATAAAGTGAGATGCTTTTTTTCCTCTGAATTCTTTATTTCATTGTTCTGTATGTCTGTTTTCATGCCAGTACTGCACTATTTTTATTAACGTAGCTTTGTAGTAAGTCTTGAAATCAGTAAGTATGAGTTTTCTAGCTTTGTACCTCTTTTTCAAAACTGTTTTGGCTATTCAGGGTCCCTTAATATTCCATATGAATTTTAGAATGGATTTTTCTCTTTCTGCAGAAAGCATTGTTGGGATTTCAGTAGGAACTGCATTGAATCTGTAGGTCACTTTGGATAGTATTGACATCTTAACAATATTAAGTTTTCTAATTGATGAACATGTAATGTCTTTCTAATTATTTATGTATTCTTTAATTTCTTAAAGCAGTGTTTTGTAGTTTTTGTCGTACAGATCTTTCACTGTCTTGGTTAATTCCTAAGGTTTCTTTTTTTTGCTGTTGTAAATGGAATTATTACTTCAAGAAGTGTTCTAGTTAGTGCGTAAAAATGTAACTCATTTTTGTGTTGACTTTGTATTTGCTTCTTTGCTAAATTAATTTATTAGTTCTAACAGGTTTTTTTTTTTTTTTGGAATCTTTAGGGTTCCCTGCATATAAGATCATATCATTTGTAAGAAGATAATTTTACTTTTTCTTTCCAGTTTGGTTGTCTTTTGTTTCTTTTTCTTTCCTAATTGCTCTGGGTAGAACTTCCAGTACTATGTTGAATAGAAGTGATGAAATCAGGAATTCTTGCCTTGTTGTAGATCTTAGAGGAAAAGCTTTGAGTCCTTTACCATTTGATCTTAAAGGAAAAGCTTTTAGTCCTTTACCATGTGTCTGATGTTCACTGTGGGTTTCTCGTGAGTGTTTATATCATGAAAGCATATTGAATTTTGTCAGATACTTTTTCTGCATCAATTGAGAGGACCATGTAGGGTTTTTTTTTCCTCCTTAATTCTGTTAATGAGGTGTATTGCCTTGATTGATTTCCATATGTACAACTATCCTTGCATTCCAGGATAAATCCCACTTGGTCATGATGTATATAATCTTTTAATATGCTGCTGAATTCAGTTTGCTAGTATTTTGTTGAGAATTTTTACATCACTGTTAATAATGGATATTGGTTTGTAGTTTTTTTTTTCTCTTTTTAGGTTGCTCTCATTTCTATTTCTAAAAATAATTTTAATTGACACAGTCATTGTACATATTTATGGAGTACATAGTGATGTTACAGTACATATAATGTATCAGGGTAATTAGCATATCCATGATCTCAAACACTTCTTTGTGTTGGGAACATTCAGTATCCTCCTCCTAGCTGTTTGAAACTATATTATTATTGTTAATTATAGTCATCCTACAGTACTATAGAATACAATAACTTATTTCTCCAACTATTATCATTAGCTGTAATTTTGCATCCTTTAACACATCTCTCCCTATGCCTCCCTTCCCCTTCTTGGTTTCTACTATCCTTTGTTGGTTTGTGGTTTTCTTGTGTGTCTTTGTCTGGCTTTGGTATCAGGGTAATGCTGGCCTCACAGAATAAGTCAGGAAGTGTTCCCTCCTCTTCTGTTTTTTTTTTTTTGTTTTTTTGTTTTTTTTTTTGGAAAAGTTTGAGAAGGCTTGGTTTTAGTTCTTTTTCACATGTTGAGCAGAATTCACCAGTGAAGCCATCATGTCCAGGGCTTTTCTTTGTTGGGAGGTTTTTGATTACTCATTCAATCTCCATACTGATATAGGATTTTCAGATTTTCTGTTTGTTATTCTGTTTCAGTAAGTTTTGTGTTTCTCACAGTTTTTCCTCATCTAGGTTATGCAGTTGTTGACATTCGGTTGTTTATAGTATCCTCTTATCATCCTTTGTATTTCTGTGAAACTATTAGCAATGCCCTACTTTCATTTCTGATTTCAGTAATTTGAGTCTTTTCTTTTTTTCTTAGTCTAGCTAGAGATTTATCAGTTTTGTTCCTTTTTGAAGAACCAACTTTTAGTTTCATTGATTTTTCCATGTTGCTTTCCTGTTTCCCATTTTGTTTATCTCTGTTCTTTATTGTTTTATTTCTTCTGCTAGCTTTGGGTTTAGTTTGTTCTTTTTCTGGTTTTTAAAGTTGTAAAAATAGGTTCTTGAATTGAGAACTTTCTTTTTGTTTCGTGTGTTAATAACTATAAATGTCTTCCTTAGCACTGCTTTATCTGTGTCCCATAAATTTTCTTATGTTGTGTTTTTCGTTTGTCTCTAAGTATTTTCTAATTACTCTTGTGATTGATTCTTCGCCCCATTGGTTGTTTGATTTCCACGCATTTGTGAATTTTCCATTTTCCTTCTTTTATTGATTTCTAACTTCATTGTATTGTGCTCAGAGAAGATACTTTGTATGCTATCTGTCTTTTAAAATCTATTAACACTTTATTTGTGGCCTAACATGGTGTATCCTGGGAAATATCCCCTGTGTACTTGAGAACAATATGTATTTGGTTATTGTTAGGCAGAATGTTCAGTCTATGTCTGTTAGACCAAGTTGGTTTATTGTGTTGTTCAAGTTCTCCATTCTGTGTGGTTCTGTTAATTATTGAGAGTGGGGTACTGAAGTCTCCCAACTGTTATCATAGAACTATTTCTCCTTTCATTTTTTTCACCTTTGGTTCGTTCATCTCAGTGGTCTGTTATTAGGTATGTAAGTGTTTATATAGCTGACCCCTGAACAACACAGAGGTTAGGGATGCTATCCCCCCCACGGAAATCTGCATGTAACTTTTGACTTTTCTAAAGTTTACTAATAGACTGCCGCTGGAAGTCTTACTGATAATGTAAGCAGTTGATTAACACATTTTATATATGTATTATTTACTGTGTTCTTATGATAAACTACAGAAAATAATGTATTAAGAAAATTATAAAGGAGAGAATTTATTTACAGTTCATTAAGTGGAAGTAGATAATCATGAATGCCTTCATTCTTGTCGTCTTCACATTGGGTTGAGGAAAAGGAAGGATTGGTCTTGATGTCTTCTGGGTGGCAGAGGTAGAAGAAGATGCACATATAGATGGACCTATACTGTTCAGACCCATGTTGTTCAAGGGTCAACTATAATTGTTATATCTTTTGCTGTATTGAATCTTTTATTAATATATAATGTCCTTCTTGTCTTTTGTAACCTTTTTTGATTTAAAGTCAATTTTGTCTGATATTAGTATGGCACTTCTGTTCTCTTTGTTCTTGTATGAATGGAATATCTTTTTTTCATGCCTTCACTTTCACCCTGTTTGTGTCTTTGGGCCTAAAGTGAGTCTTTAGTAGACAGCATGTAGTTGGATGATGTTTATCAATTCTGCAAATCTCTGCCTTTTGATTAGAGTTTAACCATTTACATTTAAAATCATAAGGAGGAACTTCTGTCATTTTGCCATTTTTTTCTATGTGCTTTGTAGCTATTTTGTCCTTATTTCCTGCATTACTGTCTCATTTCTTTTTGTGTGTATTCTATAAGCTATTTTCTTTGGTTACTGTGATGATTACACTTAATATTTAAAAATTACAATATTTATACCAGCTTAATTTCAGTAACATAAAAAAATTATGCTTCTTTACAATTCCATCCCCACCACTTATTGATGTTGCAGAATTATATCTTTATACATTGTGTGTCAAAAAATATAAACTAATTTTTTAATGTGTTAGTCTCAAGTTATGTAAAAAAATGTGGAGTTCCAAAGTTACAATAATACTAGAATTTATAATTGCCTATGTATTTACTGTCACTGCAATTTTTATTTTTTCATATAGCTACAAGTTATTATCTAGTATTCTTTTGTTTCGACTGGGAGAATTTTGCTCTACAGAGCAGGTCTTTTGGTAATAAACTCTCTCAGCTTTTTACTTGAGAATGTTTTATTTAAGAATGTCTTGAGAGGCTGAGGCAGGCGAATCACCTGAAGTCGGGAGTCAAGACCAGCCTGACCAACATGGAGAAACCCTGTCTCTGCTAAAAATACAAAAAAATTAGCTGGGTATGGTGGCATACTGCTGTAATCCCAGCTACTCGGGAGGCTGAGGCAGGAGAATCGCTTGAAACCAGGAGGCGGTGGTTGCAGTTAGCCACGATCGCGCCATTGCACTCCAGCCTGGGCAACAAGAGCAAAACTCCGTCTCAAAAAAAAAAAAAAGAAGAGAATGTCTCAGCTTTTGTTTTAAAGGACGGTTTTTGTGGATGTAGGATTCATGGTTGGCATTTTTTTTTTTGTTTTATTATCTTAATTATATTGGCCTATGCCTTCTGTCCTCCAAAGTGTCTGATGAGAAATCTGATAATTTTATTGAGGACTGCTTATGTGTGATTAGTTACTTCTTTCAGCTTTCAGGATTTTCTCTTTGCCTCTTAGTGGTTTCATTATAATATATTTTGCTGTGAGTCTCCTTGAAGTCATTCTACTTGGAGTCTTTTTCAGCTTCTTAGATGTTTATATTCATGCCTTTTATTAAAATTGGGATTTTCAACCATTGTTTCTTCAAACATTTTTTCTCTCTCCATTACTTGGGACTATGACAGTGTTTATGTAGGCCTACTTGATGGTGTCACAAGTCCCTTAGGACCTTCACATTTCTTCAGCCGTTTTTCTTTGTTTTCCTAAGACTCAATAATTTCAATTGTTCTCTCTTCAAGTTCACTGATTCTTTTTTTCTTCCTGTCTAGATCTGCCTTTCAGTCTCTCTAGTGGATTTTTAATTTCATTTATTGTACTTTTCGGCTTCAGAATTTTTGTGTGTATCCTTTTAGGTTTTCATTCTCTGTGTTTCTCTTACTCTGTTGCTTTTTTTTTTTTTTTTTTTTTTTTTTTTTTGAGGTCTCACTCTGTTGCTCAGGCTGGACTCAAACTCCTGGGCTCAAGCAATCCTCCCATCCCAGCTTCCTGGGTAGCTGGGACTGTAGTTGTGCACACTGTGCCTGGCTCAGATTTTCCATGTCTTTATTCATATTTCCATTTTGTTCATACATCATTTTCTTAACTTGGTCCACATTTTCCTTTAGTTCTTTGAGCATTTTTCAGAAAGTTGTTTTATAGTCTTTGTTTAACAGATCTACCATCGGGTCTTTTTCAGGGACAATTTGTTAGTTTATTTTCTTTCTTTTAGTGGGCCATATTTTTCTGTTTCTTTGTATACCTTGTGACTTTTTTGTTGAAAACTGGATGCTTAAATTTAATTTAATGTGGTAATTCTGGAAATTAGGTAGTATCCCTTCCTCAGGGTGTGCTTTTTTTCTTTGTTTTTTTTTTTTAATTGTTGCAGTCTCTTTGCCAAAGATCAGTCTGAGATTTTGTACAATTAAGGTATTTTCAGGTCTTTTCTGTGCCTGTGCCTTAAGCTGGATATGTAATACAATAGTCCCTCTTTATCCCTGCTTCCACTTTCTGAAGTTTCAGTTATGGTCAACAGTGGTCCAAAAATATTAAATGGAAAACTTCAGAAATAAACAGTTCATAAGTTTTAAATTACATGCTTTCTGAGTAGCATGATGAAATCTTGTTTCAACCTGCTTGGGACATGAATTATCCCTTTGTCCATCATATGCACGTTGTATATGTTACTCACCCGATAGTCACTTAGCAGCTGTCTTGATTATTAGGTTGACTCTCGTGGTATTGCAGTGCTTGTGTTCAGTTCAATAAAGTTAAGGTTCAATAAAGTTAAAATAAAGGTTCAATAAAGTTAACCTTTATTTTACGTAATGACCCTAGGGCACAAGAATAGTGATGATGGCATATTGTCATGATTTTTTTTATTATTTAATATCTTATTGTGCCTAATTTACAAATTAGACTTTCTCATAGGTGTGTATATTTAGGAAAAAACATAGTACGTGTAAGGTTCAGTACTATCTGCGGTTTCAGGCATCCACTGGGGTTCTGGGAACATATTCCCTGTGGATAAAGGGGGACTACTATAGTGAATTTCTATTTTCCCTTGTATATGCAGTTTCTTTTGAATGCCTCAGTCCTTGATGTTTGGCTCCTAAAAAAAAAGGAAAAGGACAAAAATGAAGAGGGTTGGGGAGAGCACCAGCCTTTAAGTTCCTTGGCAGTTACCTCAGCTAGAGGGGGAGGGGCTTGCATCAGTGGGTGGAGGTACAACCACAATGGCTGCCAGCCCCTGCACCTATATCTTCGTGATCAGAAGTAGCAGTCAACAGTCAGAACACCCATTCCTGATATTTGGAGGACGGGGTCCTTATTGCCCACCCTAACTCCCACAGCTACATATAAGCTGCTCCACAAACACGTGCACAGTTGCCTGCCTGTGGGAGTGAGGGTGGGGTGGGGTCGGTAGCTGCTGCTGAGCAAATAACTGAAATTGACTGAAATCAGCCACAGTTTACCTTACTGTCCAGGACTTTTTCTTGAAGTTTGAAGTTTTCAGTATACTTTGAGAGCTTCATAATAGTTGTATGAGATAGATTCTACCAGCGTAAGTGTTCTCTGGGTATACAGACTCATTCTTGGTGCTTTCTACTCTACTGTCATCCAAGAATCCTCTAACTTAATCATGGATTCTTCGTATCTCACAACACATCTTGTCTTTCCATTTACTCGTTTTATTTTAGATCCTTTATGGAATTATAGTTTTCTTTATGTAGAGCCTATACATTTATAGTTTTGTTATTCTTTGTTACTTATAGCTTTTTTGTTTGCTATTGAAACGTGACCTTCCATTATAAGTCGCATATTATCTGCATATAAAAAGTGATTGACTTCACATACTTTGTAAATGGCAGCCTTAAGTGAATTTACTGGTTTTTTTGGACAGCATTTTAGTATTTTTTCCGAAGATGGCCATAGTATCTGCAGTTAATGATGACTTTCTCACCTCTTCTGAAATATTTGTACCTTTATCTTCTTGTGCAGTTGGATTGGCTAGTGCTTCCAGTATTAAATAGTGTTGATAACCTGCACCCTTGTCTTAAATGGATACTTTGTGCATATAAGTATAGAAACAGGAGCATGATGCAGAAAGAACAAGCTCTTCAAGAATAATCTGCTTCCAGGTATGTCTTACAGCCTTCTGAACCTTGTAATGGATAAGGATCAGCCTACTCCTGGGACAGGCAGATAGGACATTCGTGGAGAAAGAATATTGGATGTTCCTAGAAAGTTTTCAGTGTGATAAAGCAGTATAATTTTCTCCCAACCTTGGGTATTGTAGAACCTTTCACTCACGTCCGTGTGAAGAGACCACCAAACAGGCTTTGTGTGAACAATAAAGCTTTTTATTTCACCTGGGTGCAGGCGGGCTGAGTGCGAAAGGAGAGTCAGCGAAGGGAGATGGGGTGGGGCCGTTTTATAAAACGGCCTATTTATAAAAATAGGATTTGGGTAGGTAGTGGAAAATTACAGTCAAAGGGAGTTGTTCTCTGGCGGGCAGGGGCGGGGGACACAAGGTGCTCAGTGGGGGAGCTTTTGAGCCAGGATGAGCCAGGGGAAGGAATTTCACAAGGTAATGTCATCAGTTAAGGGAGGAACAGGCCATTTTCACTTCTTTTGTGATTTTTCAGTTACTTCAGGCCATCTGGATGTATACGTGCAGGTCACAGGGGATATGATGGCTTAGCTTGGGCTCAGAGGCCTGACAGAACCTGTTGAGGTTGCAAAAAATATTTGTGACTCTTGGAACAGTAACAAAAAGTTGTTCTGACTTTTTATTTTCTGAACCTGGAATTGTGGGACTATTTTAAAGGGTATAATTTCAACTGGAGACTTGGGGAGCTTGATTTTGACTTGATTGCGAAGCATCTGTATAGCTCATGTTGTATGTCCAGTTTATGGCTTTGTATTATAGAAATGTATTTAAAGCTTCAAATGATGAGACCATGCATAATTTCATGGTGGGCAGATTCTTTTTTTTTTTTTTTTTTTTTGGTTTTAAGGAGCGGAGAGTTTAATAGGCCAGACAGAAGGGAGAAGGCAGAAGGAAGAAGCTCCCCCGTACAGAGACAGAGGGAGGGAGGCTCCAAAGCCAAGAGAAGGGATCCCCAAGTGCGGTGGACACCAGCCAGGTATATATGCAGAGGCTGGAGAAGGTGGTGTTCGATTTGCATAGGGCTCCGGGGATTGGGTTGACTAGGCGCATCATTCACATAGCTCATGAAAAAGCTGGCTCTTCCACCCTGGTCTTTTAATATGCAAATACATGGCGCCATGATGTTCTACGCTCGTCGGGATTCCAGGAACATGTAGGGCAAGGGCAAGAAGGCTGTGGGAATCTCCATGTTTGGGTGGACCCAGTTTCTAATGGCCTAAATTTGCATATGAAAGGTTGCTGGCCTGGCTTTAACAGCCGTGGCTTTACAAGAAACTTTTCTGGAGATGCTTTAAAAAATGAAAACTTTCCAAGGACCCCTTTTTCTTCTCTGCCTAAAATAATTTCTTAATAACTCCTACAACATTCCCGCCTGTGGAGATGCCACACTAACTGCTGTTAGAGGGTTTTGGGCAACAACTCCTTCTGGCTACTTACTGCTGAAAAGGGGCATCATATGGGGAACAGCAACTAGGGCTCCTCCTGGGGTTGATCTAAGGATCCTCGGAAGAATGGCATGTCCATGTGTGGATCAGTTTGCAGCACCATTTGGAGATTGATTGCTTCTAGGTGAGAGTTACAGTATTGAGTATACAGGGCCCAGATATCAATACAAGACATATAAACAAGAGAAGGCTTAAAAAAGGAGTTAACCAATTCCTTAAGGAAGACTGGAATGTATTAAAGAAGAATTTGTAGCCACCCGGGGCTGAAGCTGGCGTTTTCCCTGAGCCTGTCAATAATTTTGATTTGATCTTTAAGTACCTGTAGATTTTTCTCTACTTTACTAGAGGTGTTAATCACCCCTAAACCCAAAAAAAGTCCTAGCAGACTCAGTGATAGTAAAACTTTCATGCTTCCTTGTCAGTAACTATTATTCCTGCTCTAAGGATAATAATTAAGCAAAATACAACAGCAATGGAAACTCTGTCCAATATTTCAGTTAGAAGGTGCTACCGTGTGTATCCCTATTGCAAACAGTAGAGTGAGTATAGCAGTTCCCACAAGTGTGGTGTAGTAGATAATTTCCATCTAAAATTTTACTTGCCAAGATAATTTCCCTTTGGTGGTCTATGAAGCTTTGGTTTTATTTTCCTAAACAAAGAAACCTTCGGGTTATGGATACCCTACTTACTTTTATTACCTGGCAGAATTTGCAGGATAATTTCCCACAATTAGTATAGTGATTCAGATTTTTACATTACCCATCCCTTTTTCTTTCTTCCAAGCTGCAGAAGATTACCACTTGAGTCACAGGAATAAGCAGGGTTAATTTAAAATGTAGGCAAAAAGCTTAAAAACAATTAATGAGACTAGGATTTAATGACAAATGTATGATAAGCTTTGGAGCAAAATTTTCTCTCCAGTTCTCATTTTTGGTAAAAGCTAATTGTGAATGAACTTTAGTCTTATACTTGGCCTGATTATTTGCATGAAGTGTTAGCAAGAATGGTTATTTCTACATAGGTCTTTTGGATGGCTTTGATAAAACTCAGTTCCACAAGGAATCTTAGATAAGACCTTTAAAGCCTAGGCCAGCAATGGGTTTCTATCCTCAAATACCTGTGAGTTAGGTGATCCTCTCTTCTTGAGGTCCCAAGAAACTCGGAGCTTCCAGACCTGTTAGAAAGTGACGTTCTTTACTGACCACAGGTTAGGAGCCCTGTGCGGGGACTGTGTAGACAAGGTATGATGCCAGTTCTCCCAGGGGCTTTTTATTGGCTCTGCGTGTCAAGCTTGATTCCTTAAAGGGAAACACACCCTTTCAGTCAAAGCCTTGGTATAATAACCAGTTTTTCCAATTGTGTCCTGTTGAGAAAGAAAAATGGATTCTTACTGCACTAATGCAAACAACTATATTGCCATAAGTTAAGAGTAATTACAGTTAGTCTCCAAATTATAGAGGAACCAGGTGGGGAAAAATGAACATTGTTACTTATGTCCGTATAAGAGACCACCTGAGCAGGCTTAGTGTGATCAACAAGGCTGTTTATTCACTTGGGTCCAAGTGGGCTGAGTCAGAGAAAGGAGTCATTGAAGGATAGTGGGATTAGCATTGGTTTTTAAAGGTTTGGGATAAGTGGTGGAGTCAGGAGCAATTTTTTGTGGGTAAGGGATGGATGTTGCAAAGTACATTCACAAGGGCGGGGAGGAATGTTTCAGAGTACATTCACAAGGGAGGGGAGGGTGTATTGTCACAAGGGCTGGGAGGAATGTTACAAAGTACATTCACAAGGACAGGGAATATCACAAAGTACATTATCACAAAGGCAGGGGAATGTCACGATGGCTTGACCATGGTGCAGCCAGCTCAGAGGACCTTACAAAACATGCTCCAAATTTTGTTTACAGTAGTATACCTTACTCAATTATTAAAAGGTCATAAATAGTTTAGAATAAGTTTCCTTGACTCTGAAAAACCAAACAAGGATCAACAATATTCCAAGCAAAAGTTAAAAAGTTGCTTAAACTTTTTGAGTGCAGTCCACTTAGTTAACTCTTGTTTTGCTTGATATTTGTGAGCATGTCAGTTCTTTAGGAGTCCCATATCTTCTTTCTCAATTTCAGTGTTACAATCTTCAAAGCTATTAAAAACCTGCAGTTAAAGTCCTTAATATAGCTTGATTATAAACCGTCTTTTGAGAAGGAACAAAGCAAGACAACAATTGTCTGCAAATGACAAAATTTTCAGGATAGCTACAGTTAAAAACATGACTGATAATTTATTTCCATGGTTTACAGTAACTTTAGCCTTAATTGTGATTGACAGCATGTACTTCGGCATTAGAATTTTAGAAATCCCATACAATTTTGGAACGTATATTAGTATTATTTACCGAAATATAATTTAAAGAAGATTGGACATCATTTTGGCAATCTTATGTGACTAAACATGTCAGATGATTCCGTCTACCTTTTCTCTGAATGTTTCAGGGGCCCTCTGAGCCATCCAGAAAGCCAGGCATCAGGAAGGACAATTTCCAGATTGGCATAAATATTTTGCCAAAATGGTGACTTAAAAGGCAAAAATCTTTCATTAGCCTTTACTGTGACATGAAAATTTTGTTTAAATCCAAATTTTACCCTTGCACTAGTTTATTAATGTTAACCCCAATTAGTTTAAATGAAACCTTATGGATTATTTCATCTAATTTTATCCACTTTGACCATGAGGTAAAAATCTTTACAAACCTTTTATAACCTTTTTACTAAAGGGCAGATTAGTGCCTTAAGACCCTCTTGCTATGCGTTTATTTCAATGCTTAATTTATGAAAAGAACATATAAATATCATGGGAGAAGACACTGTAGTTCTTCTACCATGCATTTCATTGCAAGGCAACCCAAAGCCAATTGGCTTATTTTGTAATCAGTCCATCCCTGATGGGAGGCTCATCTCCCAGTGGGGGGTAGGGATGTTTCCTTATCTTCCAGGTGGCCAAGAGCATGCTTTCTAATTTATAACTACTATTAGCCATCCCTACAGTGTATTTTCTACTTAGTTATTACACACCAAAGCTTTTCATAATGTGAAGTAATTTGATACCCCCCAAACTTAAAACACAGTAGATAACACAATGCAAAACAGAATAGAGCCTTTGATTTTGAGAGGGATCCATCTCCTTTTAATTCCTGGGATTTCATGAGGAAAAAAAGGTTTTTTTCCCAAAACAGGGTCTGTGGCATCTCCTGTTTTTCCCAAGGAGTTCCATGCTACCAGAAGTTATCTTAGGACCTCTCATGCATGCATTAAGAGTGGTAAGACAAAAAATGGAGAAAAATAATTCAGTCGACTGAGGAGAGCCTTTTTCCAGAAAAACAAGATCCAAGAAGAGAAAAACATAAAAGCCTTTTAAGTATACCTATAACTTGAATATCCACTTTTAATTAAGCTGAGCACTCTTTAAGGAAATCCTTTTAAATCCCCTGTTACTTGACTTTAGCCATGCCAAGCAGTTAAGATTTTCGGCTTTCGAACTTTCGAAAGTAACCTCACAGGTGAAACCAACAAGGCTTAATCAGGTAATGACTCAACTGAGGGTGTACAGAGTATTTTCAAAATTGAGACTGAGACAGTGAAAGAGATCCAACCCAAGCAACTCCATTTGGTTTCCAGCCCCCAAGCTGTCCTTGCCCATCCCAGGGGTAGGCCGAACAAACTTTCGGAGAAGCCGGGTTTACATTCTCCAGTCGAAAACAAAGATGATAATAGCCACTTCCCATGATATACTTTCCACTTGCCTGGGGACCAGACCAGGAAGCTAGCTACAAGACTAGAAACCTTGGCCCAGGAGCCATGCAGCTGGAGGCTACAAGATTTTGACCCTCCTTAAACTGCTCTCAAGATCAGGCTTAAGATATTTTGTAAACCCTGCCTCTGATGGATCAGCTGGTACCATCCAGGTTGACTAACTGGATTATCTGATTTTGTGGCCCTCACCCAGGAACTGACTTAGCACAAGAAGACAGCCACCATTGTAAAATGGTGGAGACTAAAACAAAGTATTGCCACGCGGTTACAGATCGTGTTCCCAAGGACGTGAAACAAGATGGAGGCTGTAGCCAAGTTTGCCACCGACTGCTTTGCTGGGCTGGCTTGAACAGCAGGCTTACGGAGTCCTGGGCCTGCATCCTAACCTAAGGTACCCTTTCTTTGACAGAACCATACAGAAAGAGACATGCAAAGCACACCAGATTGTTTATAACTGAAGACCAACCTCACAAATCCTTCTTCATTAATTATAAATTTACAGAGAATATAAACAATGATCCTTATTATCCCTTTGCCAGTTTGTGCCGGGAGAGAAAAGCCAAAAGCCCGACTGGTAAGAAATTTTTACACTTTTGCCAGCATATCAGGCTTCTGGGTTCCCTTTCCCCCTAGCTTAACTTTAAGCCAAGCATTTTAAGGTTTGGAAAATTAGCCTTTTTCAGGTTGGAAGAACATTATAAAAGAGACAGAAGCCATTTTAAACCGCGAAAGAAGGAAAAACACCATAGAAAGGAATTCCAGTTAGGGTTTTCAAGAAGTATTGCCTCTCTTCCTATTGGGAATAGTGTTTCCTCTATTTCTTTGCCTTCCCTATTTTTTCTTTTCCCTTTTGGCGTACTGTAGGAGACATATTGCTTATCTCCAAAATTCTCTTCTGCTTGCAGAGCTGCCTGTTTTAGCTGCAGTGAGGGCTTGAGTTAGCAGCAACATAACATCCTCCCGTGTGAGGTTAAATACCTGAGTTAAATTTTGGAAAGTCTCTGTATACCTATTTCGGGTCATTAGAAAATCAGTCTAAGTCTCCTTTTACTTGCCTAAGGTCCTGCAATGAGCAGGGAACTTGAAGGTGCCCCAAATAAGGGGGACCCCTAGATGATTTCCCTGAAAGTTACTTTTTTTTTTAATTTTGGGGAACTATTTTCCCTGGGCCTGCCCAATATGGTGCTAAAAGATCTGAGTTGATCTTACAACGCTTGCAGAGGTTTATTAGAAATGCCATGCTCTTCTGCAAAAGAAAATGAGTTGCTTTCTTTAAAGTTCTGAGGTTAAGGAAGTTCCAGTGTTTGAGAGTGCACTCCAGAGGGGTGCAAGCTGAAGATAATTTATTACCCATTTAGAAAAAGAAGCGAGAATAAAAGCATTTTCTTAGTCTCCTTCCTTTCTGTATGACCCAGAGTGGAGGAGAAGACGGGGTATCCTCTGAATGTCTTACCTTCCCAGTTTCTGGATTCCGGCACCTTCTTAAATGTGCTCCCCCATGGTTGTAGGCATGGTCCTCCAAGCTGTGGATCTGGATGAACTAAGTAATGGGGCTAACCACATCTACCCAAGCAGCCTTAGCTTATCCGCCTTGTGTGATTTCTCTTTGACTTCCTAGAACCAGTGTGATTTGCCTGGATCCCCCCTCCCCCAGCCAAAAAAAACATCTGGAGAGGCTGTCACCTTTCGGGCAAGGCTCCTTTAACGGAGGCAATGTGCTATAGATTGCCTGCTATTACGGCCCATGCTATAAAGCACTTACCCTTGAAAGAAAACAGTTCCAGTTAACTTCCGAACTTAAACTTCCCTTACTAATTAAGTACTATCTTAATCGGAGACAGAATAGATGCCTTAAAAGAACGTAGGAATAGAATGGCCGTTTTCCCACTGATGGGACAATATCGGGACTAAAATCTGGCTGCCGAAGACATTTTACTGCTAACTTAAAAGCATAAACTTCCGTTCTCAGAAGAGTCCTAGAGCCTGATTTCTGCTAAGTGGCTTAGAAATGACCATGTGCTTCCCAGAGAAACCATAGAGAGAGAGAGTTATTGAGTACTGCCTGCTGTAATTCTCTTTCTTTTCTAACAGACCTCTTTTTCCTAAACTGTAAGTATTCCTGCACATTAGACACACACACACACAGGGTAAGAGATTGTGGATAAAAAGAGAAAATTTGGCGACAGGGTAGATGGAAGAGAGTATTGAGATTATAGGACAGATTTAAAGTTGAAATCCGCTGCATACTTACCAGTCTGATGAATGAACTTCCTTTACCGGCCAATGCACCAAAATGATAATGGTTCTGATGAGTGAAGGAACACCAGGGTTCTTGGTACTCATGCTGGCTTAGATAAAACGACATGGACACACATGGAGGGGTTTTAAGGAGCGGAGAGTTGAATAGGCCAGAAAGAAGAAAGAAGGTAGAAGGAAGAAGCTCCCCCATACAGAGCCGGGGAGCTGAGGGGGTGGGGGGGCTCCAAAGCTGAGAGAGGGAATTCCCCTACCTGCCCCCACCTTTTTTTTTTAAGAGACATGGTCTTGCTACATCACCCAGGCTGCAGTGTAGTGGTCATTCACAAGTGATCCTCCTGCCTCAGCCTCTTAAGTAGCTGAGACTACAGGCACATGCCACCTGCACCTGGCAGTGGTTAAAATCTTAATGATTATGTGGGCACATGCTTTATTCGCTGATGGATTATTTCATTTTTATTCCTTTTTGTTTAATAAGATAGAAACTTCTTTAAAAGCTTTGAGAAAACTATTGAAAACTTAAGAGGTGTAGGCATGATTTGAAATACAACAGAAGCAGTTCTTTTGTTTTTATGTATTTCCTTAAAGAAGCAAAGTCTCACTCTGTTGCCCAGGCTGGAGTACAGTGGTACAATCATAGTTCATTGCAGCCTTGTCCTGAGCTCACGTGATACTCCCACCTTGGCCTCCTAAAATTCTGGGATTACAGGCATGAGCCACTATGCCTGGCCCAGAAACAGTTTTGTTTGGTAAATCAGGCAGCATAGATACCGTTTGAGAAAAATCATTTCAATTGTAGCTCTCCCCTCCCTGCCGCAAAAAGCTAGATGGCTCTTGCAAGCTGAGCGGTATGTTAGATACTGGTGAGAGAAAGACACATGAGCCCATAGCTGCCATTTGCGGGGAGCTTTACTGATGAGTATATAGTAAAGGTGTAAATGAAGGAATAAGGAAAAATTTGATGGGATAGTATTATAGTTTGGCCGTGGGAGTTAGGAAAGGGGAGCAGTGGAAAGTGCTGAAACTAAGATAACCTTTAAAAGTTAGTTACAGGTCTGTGGAGTAGACAAAATCAGGCCAGGCACTCCAGTCATAAAGATTAAAATGGTCAGTCATCTGTATAAAAGGCCATGGAAGTCTTGGAGAAAGGCTCAGTGTAGGCTTAGGGATGGGGAATGTCAGAAATAAAATGACAGAAAGGTGAACTAGAGCTAGACCCTGTGTACCAAGTTAAGCAGTTGGATTTAATTTTGTGGCATTGAAAAGTATTATATTTTTAAGACAGGACTGTTAGGTGAAGTCTCTATGGGGTTGTTTGCAGATAGTAGTAAAATTTATTGGCCCAACGAAAAATGAACAAATAATGGAAGGAGAAAAGTGTCATCAGAGTGGTTAAAATGGAGCAACGTAGAGATATTAGATTTGGGGGTGGGGGATGAATAAGGTGAGCTGCTTTGCCCCCTCATTACAAGCTAGTTCTTGTGTATTGCACTAGTGCCTCATAAAAAGAATCATAGCAACTCTGAGAGGTAAGATATTCTGTTTTGCCTTATTTTGCCTTCTGAGAGTTTACACTGAAACAGTAGAAGATGTGCTAGTGACTATATCTTTGGCTCCTAGTACAATATTTAACATTTGGAAAGGTCCATTTGGTAGCACCTTCCAAAGATTACAGAAAACCTTGTAATTGGGTTTAAAATCAAATTGGTATACATCTCAAACCGTGTTTCTATTTTTTTTTTTTTTTGAGATGGAGTCTTGCTCTGTCGCCCAGGCTGGAGTGCGGTGGTGCAATCTCGGCTCACTGCAAGCTCCGCCTCCGCAGTTCACGCCATTCTCCTGCCTCAGCCTCCTGAGTAGCTGGGACTACAGGCGCCCGCCACCACACCCGGCTAATTTTTTGTATTTTTTTTTAGCAGAGACAGGGTTTCACCATGTTAGCCAGGATGGTCTCGATCTCCTGACCTTCGTGATCCGCCCGCCTCGGCCTCCCAAAGTGCTGGGATTACAGGCGTGAGCCACTGCGCCTGGCATGGAAATAGTTATTTTTCATAAAATACATGATTTGTGTTAACAGGTAGAAGGTTTAACATTACTGTTTTGAATAGTTTATACATAGGCTTTTAGGGGAATGAAAATATTCTATGATACTATAATGACAGATATGTATCATTGTACATTTGTCCAAACCCATAGAATGTACAACACCAAAAGTGAACCATAATGTAAACTGTAGACTTTGAATGATAATGATGTGTCAGTGTAGGTTTATCAGTTGAAACAAATGTACCCTCTGGTGAGGAATGTTGATAACAGGAAGCTAGGCATATGTTGGGGCAGAGAGTATTGGGAAATCTCTGTTCTCCTTCCTCTCAGTTTTGTTGTGAATCTAAAACTACTCTGAAAAAAATAAAGCCTTAAAAATTTTTCAGTTTTAATTTCTAATAAAAATCTAATCAATAGATAAAACCTACATAAATAAAAACTATTTGGAGATTCTCACTAATTAAGAGTTTAAAGGGATCCTAAGATTACTTTTTGAGAGCTGCTCAAGAAATATATATTCATTAAACTCAATTTAGAAAAATAATGTTAGTTGGCCCTTATCCAATTGAAATATTAGAAGCATTTTAAGTATTTTGGTTTATTTTCTTCTAGTCTTTTTTTAGTATCACTTTTTTTAAGCACATAATTGTAATAACATTGTCTATAAAATTTTGTGTGGAATTGTATATGAAATTGTTGTATATAAAATATTTGTGTTCACTTATGTTCTAATATGTTTTCATAATAAAATGTAATCTTCAACAATTTAGCAGTTGTATAATCTACTTAGTGGGTATATCTTAATTTACATAATTTTACCTTGTATTGATTCTGATTTGGGATATTAAATCTTTTTCATTTAGCACATCCTTGGAAGCTTATTATGTACAGGCACTGCTCATGAATGCTTTTTATTTTTTATTAAGATTTTCTTAGATTAAGAGTTGAGTGGCTGAGTAAAAAGAGGGGAATGTGCTAAAGAGAATCTTGTCTTTTGAGTTTTTTGTAGTAGCAGGCCATATAGCAAGCAATTAAAATTAATAGGAATTTACACAACTCTGTTAGCCAGCATAGGGTTGTGGAAAGTTATGGTAAATTAATTTAAAGCACTTAGAAGAATATCCTTTTCAATGAATAATTACTCAGTGTTAGCTATTTTTATTTGCTATATTATATTTTAGAGTTGAGTGTTCTTTTTAATTTGTAATTCAAATATACAGGTGACCAATTCTGAAACTTCTCCCAGTCCCCAGACCTGTATCTCCAACAGCTTGCTCAACATTTCTACATCAGTGTCCTACTGGTGCTTTAAAATATGGTATATGCTGAGCATTGATCTAAACAAAATCTGTCATGTCTTTAAAGTATCTTTATTCTTTTTTTTTTGAGACGGAGTCTCACTCTGTCGCCAGGCTGGAGTGCAGTGGTGTGATCTCGGCTCACTGCAACCAAGCTCCACCTCCTGGGTTCAAGAGATTCTTCTGCCTCAGCCTCCCAAATAGCTGGGACTACAGGCATGTGCCACCACGCCCAGCTGATTTTTGTATTTTTAGTAGAGATGGGGTTTCACCATGTTGGCCAGGATGGTCTTGATCTCTTGACCTTGTGATCTGCTGGCCTCGGCCTCCCAAAGTGCTGGGATTACAGGTGCGCCCAGCCCAAAAGTATCTTTATTCTTCCCTCACACTTGTTGCATAGTTTGAGTATAAAATTCTAGGTTGAAAATTATTTTTCCTCAGAATTTCAAAGGATTTTCTCCACTGCTTTTTAGCTTTCAATGTTGTGCAAGTCCAGAACCACTTACTTTCTGGTCTCTTGTATGTGACCTTTTGTTCCTCTCTCTGAAAGTTTGCAGGATGGCTTTGACCCACGCGTCCTGAGGTTTCATGATATGTCTTTATGGGTCTGTTTTTATTTACTGTGCTGGGTATCATTGGATCCTTTCAGTGTGAAAATGAAAATGTCTTTGAAATATTGAGTTAATGATTTCCTCTTCTCTTTTATCTGGACCTCTAAAGTGATCTTTAGTTTTCACAGTTTTTTTTCTTATTTTCCATCACCTCGTCTTTCTTGTCTTTTAACTTTGCTTACTTTCAGGGAGATTTCTTTATCTGATTTACAGCTGTTCTATTTGAGGTTTTCAATTTTCTTACATTTTAATTTTTAGGAGTCTTTTGTCTTCTGATTTTTAAAAACTGATACCTTGTTCTTCATGAATGCAATGGCATGGTATCTTTTCTCTCTCAAGATATTAATGGTGGTATGTTGTTTGTTTTTAAGTTTTCATCTCATTGCATAATCTCTACCAAATTCATTTAAATGTGACTGTTTGTCTTTTTCTTTCTTATCAGAGCCATTCCTTAAAATGTCTGGTGATTGATAACTGGTGTTGGTAATTTAGACTAGCTAATAAAAAGCGAATTGAAATGTCTGTACAAGTTGTTGGGACTAATCACCAGTGGTTTTTAACTGTAGGATGATCCCACTGGAGTGATATATTGCTCAACCTCTTAGGAATTCCATAATGCAAATCCAAACAAAGTGGTTTTTAACTTTCTGTATCCAAAACTTAAACTGTAGCAGATGATGCCAGTGCTCTCTCCATAGGCCTGTGTTTCCTTCCTGCTGTCAGACTCCTAGTGTCTGTTGATTCTCAACATCTAGCTCCTAAGGCTTGTTGCAAGGCCACCCTCACCATGCCAGAGCCTGTTTTGCCAATGTACATGCCGTGGAAGTGTCTGGAAAATTTGCTTCCTGAAGACAGCCCTTAACCAATGACTAATGATATGAGTAAACTCTGAGGTGTGACCTACGTTAACACCAGAACTACCCTGAGGGACTGAGCTAAAATTACCCTCTATGGGACCTTCCTTGGTGTCTTACCCTTGCTTAGCTTCCTTCCCTTCCTGTCCTGTTTCCCTACAAGGTTTTCCATAGAATACTTTCTAATAAATCACTTTGACACAAGCACCTCATCTTAGAGCTTACTGCCAAAAGACCCAACTTAACGATAACTACTACTAATTGCTCAGCATTCTCTTTAATTGGAGTGAAATCAGACTGAAGTTTTCTATGCTGTTCTTTGGGTTCTGTTTGTCAGATAATGTCATCAAACTTTTATATTAAAGAATAATTGGTTAATTTCTGCTCCTTAATTTTCTGGAATGATTTATGTAGTCCAAAAATTATTTTTTTAAAGATTGAGAGACTTCGTCCAGGAAAGTCTGGACCTTTTTGAAGTCTGGCTCTTTGACAACATTTTATTTTTTCTATGGTTGTCTATTAGGTTGTGTATCTTGAGTCAGATTTGATAATTAGCTTTCTTTTAAATAGAAATGTGTGTTTCATTGAGGTTTTTATGTTTAATAGCTATTATACAAAGTGTTATTTTTTCATTTTTTCTGTGAACATGAATACTATTTGAATTCTGATTTGAACAAACCAACTGCGAAAAGACATTTTTGTGCTAATTGAGACAGTTTGATTACAGAAGACAGTTGTGGAAATTTGATTACAGACTGTGGGTTAGATGATTCCAAATAATTATTGCTATTTTGTTAGGCATTTAGTAATGGCGTTATAGTTTTTAAGAAAATGTTGATATTTTCGGACAGGTATACAGAAGTATGTAGAAATGAGATGACTTTATGTCTAAGATTTGCATTAAAATACTATAATCATTTGAAGAAAGAATAAAGTAAATATGCCAAATTTTGTATTATAATTCAATCTGTATGACAGGTATGTGAGTTTTTTTTTGGTTTTATGCTTGTGTGAAGATTTTTGTAGTTAAGCTTTTTTTAAAAAAAAGTCAACTGAGTTACTTACGTGATGAAATTAGAACACATACTTCTTACAAGCACATTCTCTCCTATCCCCCTCTCCATTTCAGTTGGCACCATAATGCCATTTTTGCCTAACCATAACATAAATTAATATCATTTTATTTTATGGAGTTTTTCTTTCTGGGATAATAACATTTCTGCTTTGTTGCATAATTATCACAGACAGGTTTTTCTTTTTTTGGAGATGGAGTCTTGCTCTGTCACCCAGGCTGGAGTACAGTGGCGCGATCTTGGCTCACTGCAACCTCTGCCTCCCAGGTTCAAGCAATTCTCCTGCTTCAACCTCCCCAGTAGCTGGGATCACAGGCACCTGCCATCAAGCCCAGCTAATTTTTAAAAATATTTTTAGTAGAGATGGGGTTTCTCCATGTTGGCCAGTCTGGTTTGGAACTCCTGACCTCAAGAGATTCTCCCACCTCAGCCTCCGAAAGTGCTAGGATTACAGGTGTGAACCACAGTGCCTGGCCACACACAGGTTCTTTAGTTTTATATGGGAAGAGATTGCATGTCTTTTGCCAAGCCTTTCATTGTATGATTTCTCCATTTGTGAGTTTTATGGGTTTCGTTTTTGTTTTTGTTTGTTTTTTATTATTTTGGCATGTGTATCTTATATCCTGTGACCTTGCTGAATTTACTCTTTGTAGCATTTTTCTTTTCACAAAATCCTTGAGATTTCCTTCACAGTCACATTATCTACAAATCTGCAAATAGGGATGGTTTCATTTTTTCCATTACAATCTATATGCCTTTTCATTCTCTTTTTTATTTTTCTCCTTTATTATACTGGCTAGAATTTCCAGTACTATATTGAGTAAGAGTGATGAGAGTGGACATCCTTTCCTTGTTCATGATCTTAACGTGAAAACATTCAGTCTTTTACCATTAAGTGTACCATTAGCTGTTAGTTTTTGATACTTGTTCTTTATCAAGTTAAGGAAATTCCTTCTGTTTTTGTTTTTCTGAGAGTTATTTGTCCTGAATATTGGATTTTGTCAAGTATTTTTTCTGCATCTTTTCATTTGTGTGAATTTTCCTTTTTAGTTGGTTAATAGGATGAATCGTGTTGATTTTTAAATGTTGAACCATCCTTACATACTCAGAATAAACTCTACTTGGTCATAATTCTTTTTACATAATGCTGAATTCTATTTACTAATACTTTGTGAAATACTAATACTTCATTAAGTATTAGTACTTAACATGCTAATTCATACTTTTAAGTATTTTTGTTTCTGTATTTCTGAGAAGGGTAGTAGTCTGTAGTTTTTTTTGGTTTTTTTTTTGTACTGTCTTTGTTGGATTTTGGTATCAGGGTAATATGAACTTGATAAAATGAATTGGGAAGTGTTCTCTCCTACTTTTTGGAGGAGATTGTACAAATTGATGTTAAAACATTAAAAAATAATTTTTAGAACATCTGTTAGAATTCTCCAGTAAAACCATCTGGACCTGGAGATTTTTGTGGGGGTCAGGGGCGGGGGGTGAGGGGAGTTTTAAAATTGTGAGTTCAGTTTCTATAAATAATTATATGGCTGTTCAAATAATCTATTTCATATTGAGTGAATTGTGATGGTTTATGCTTTTCAAGGAATTGGTCCATTTCATCTAACTTGTCAAATTTATACGTGTAGAGTTGTTTGTAGTATTCCCTTATTATCCTTTGGTATCTGCAGGGTCAATAGAAATAACCCCTGTATTATTCCTGCTATTGGTAGTTTGTGTCTCAATCTTTAGAGGCTGTCCATTTTATTAATCTTATCAAAGAACCAGCTCTTTTTTTTACATTTTAGGTTCAGGGGTACATATACAGGTTTGTTACAGAGGTGAATTGTGTGTCATGGGGGTTTGGTGTATTTAAGCATAGTGTATTTAAGTGTATTAAGTGTATTTAAGTGTATTAAGCGTATTTAAGTGTATTAAGCATAGTGTATTTAACCAATAGATAGTTTTTCAGTCCTCACCCTCTTCCCTCCCTCCAGTCTTAGGTAGTTTCTGGTGTCTGTTATTCCCTTCTTTGTGTCCATATGTCCTCTGTGTTTAGTTACAAGTGAGAACTAATAAGGTTTTCTGTCCTGTGTTAGTTCACTTAAAATAATGCCTGTTTTAAATTTTATTAATTTCTGCTCTTTATTATTTTATTCCTTCTTGCTTTGGGTTTATTGTGCTCTTTTTGTTGAGTCTTGAGGTAGAAGCTTAAATAATCAATTTATTTCTCTCTTTTTTAATGTAAACAGTTAGTGCTATAAGTTTTCCTCTTAGCACTGCTTTTGCTGTGCCGCTCTATTGTTTCCAAACTGTTTCTTTGCTATTTTTACTTCCCTGTGTCATTAGCAAAACTAAACTCCAGGAAAGCAGGGAAAGGTACTTGCTTTTTGCTTTTCCCAGTATATAGCATAGTGCTGTGTATTTGAAAATAATTTTTGAGCTTTAAAACTTAGATCTCAGCTTGGCAGCTTACATCTGCTTATAACCAGGAACTGGAAGAAACACAATACAAATATTCCCTAAAATTAGAAGAAAACTATAGAGGGTTTATTGCAAGTAAAATTCTACTTAATAAATTTATTTTTGTTTGTTGAAAAGCATATGGAAAACACTGTATGGGTTAAGTCTTTAGCAGTGTGTTTTTTGTGTTTAAGAATTTATATAGAGAAACATTTGAGTTTTTTAATGGCAAAATTAAAGAGCAGAGGCATGAATATTTAGTCTGAAACCAGTTCCAATCTCTCAGCAAACATTAACATCCTCCCAGTCCATTCTTAGAGCCCGTGGACTTTTCAATATCTTATTTGCACCTCAAGATTTATAAATAGAGCAAAAGCGGTTTCTTGTTGGACCTACTGATGACATAACCTTTTAAGTATTCCATTTAAAGATAATTTTAGAGAGAAAGGGAAAGGATATGGAAAGTTAATAGACAGCTATAGGTGCGAGAGTGGTGTGTGGAAAAACTAGTGAACTTTAAATGAAATGGGGGTGAAAATTCCAATTTACCATGTTGGCTGGCTGGTTTGGGTCCATTTAATTAACCTGTCTCATACTCAGTTTCTTCATCTGTAATATGAAAGGGATACTGCTATCGAGTTTTCAGGTTGCTGTGAGCATCAGAAAAAAACATAAAAATTTCTAACATGGTACCTCACATGTACTATATTTGTAAATGTAAGGTGTGTGACTGTAAGATTTATATCACTTTCATAAGGAAAATCTTTTGGGAAAATATAAAGATGTATCAAAAATTATTTTAATATGGTTAGAAGAGGGAATATATTTTGAATACATAAATGCAGCAAATGAATGCCATAATCCAGAGCAAAATTAGAAGTACCTGATTGTCACCTTGGCAAAATGTGGTATAAAGTGTTAAAATTTAAAAAAAAAAATAACTAGAATTTCAGGGCTTTATTGTGAATTACACTCACTGACTTCCCGAAAGCCTGAAAGGAAGAAGACGTGCGCTCATGGTAAAGGGCATTAAAATCTTGGTGAAAGAATATTCTTGAACTGGTGGAGTGGCTGAAAACCAAGCATAAGAGAAGAGGTTAAAGGCTGTATCCTCAGAATTCTCTGGCACCCATGTAAGAAGACCATGGAGTAATATTTACAAAGTTCTTAGGGAGAAGAAAGTTTGTGCAATAGCAGACATTCTGAAGCCTGCAAGAATTTCAGATGTGGCACCGATTAGCGCCATTAAAAAAAACTGCTTGCTGAAACCCAGCTAACAAAAACATGATATTAATGAAAAACTCAAATTTAGAGGAGTTGTGATTAAAAAGGACTCTTGTTGAGCATGGAATCTAGTTTAATGTAGATCCAGGATTAAGCAGTCATGGAATTACAGTTCATAATTCATATAATGTAAACTATGTACATTTTTACCAAATAAAAGCAGTTAACAAAAATTGGTTGTGGCAGAGGGAGTGTGTGTGTATGTATATGTGTATATATATATTTGTACATGTGTGTATCCATGCTGATTTCCACATTTCACAGCAAGAAATCAATAGATAGTGCCTAAAATTGAGCTTATTTAATGAGCCCTCCAACTCCTTTCTGTTTTTTTGTAAACTTTTCTTAATTTTTAGAGGGATCCTTTAGAGGATGGGGGTCATATTACAGATGTCTAGGTGACATTCAGATTTTTTAGATTCCTTTATTTCCTATAAATTCAAATAAATCTAATATGTTAATTCTTTAAAAACGAGATGACTAATATAATTCCCATTCTGTAAAACTGTAGGGTTATGGTTTGAATATTTGTCCCCTCTAAAACTCATGTTGAAATTTAATTCCCAGTTTGGCAATATTAACAAGGCCTTTAAGGAAGTGATTGGTTTATGAGACAGACCTCTGCCCTCATGAATGGTTTAATCCATTAATGGGTTAATAACTTAATGGGTTATCATGGGAAGGGAACTGTTTTGGCTTTATAAAGAAAGGGAAGGCCGGGCGCGGTGGCTCACGCCTGTAATCCCAGCACTTTGGGAGGCCGAGGCGGGCGGATCACGAGGTCGGGAGATCGAGACCATCCCGGCTAAAACGGTGAAACCCCGTCTCTACTAAAAACACAAAAAATTAGCCGGGCGTAGTGGCGGGCGCCTGTAGTCCCAGCTACTTGGGAGGCTGAGGCAGGAGAATGGCGTGAACCCGGGAGGCGGAGCTTGCAGTGAGCCGAGATCCCGCCACTGCACTCCAGCCTGGGCAACAGAGCGAGACTCCGTCTCAAAAAAAAAAAAAAAAGGGAAGAGGAACAAACCTAAGCTAACACGTTAGCATGCGTATCCCTCATGCCATGTGATGCTCTGTGCCACCTCAAGACTCTTCAGAGGAGAGTCCTCAACAGCAAGAAGGCTCTTACCAGATGTGCCCCCTTTGGCCTTGGACTTTCTAGCCTCCGTAACTGTAAGAAATAAATGCTTTCTCTTTATAAATTACCCAGTTTCAGTTGTTCTGTTATAAATACCAGAAAATGGACTAAGACATAATAGCAAAGTGGTTAAGAGTCTGAATTCCTGATTCAGATTGCTAGTGTGACTCTCTGTGTCTGAATTCATCTGTAAATGGGAATACTAGTCCGTACTTTATAGTTTGCAGATGCTCTTAGTACAGGGTTCAAATGTTAACTGTAATTACCTCTCCTATTTTTGTTATTGCTAGAGAGAAACCTGTAATGATAATCACAAAATATTAATAATTGTTGTTTCTGGGTAGTAGGACTTGTGATGATTTCTTCCTTCTAAATCCTTTTTTAACAATGAATAGCATAAAGCTGTCCCTTTAAAAATAAAATTAAAATATAAATTTTAGTTGTCCCGGGAGTTCTTTTGTATCTGAAACCTCAGTTGTCAAGCTTGGAAATCTGTACTTTTAAAATATCCTCAAGCGATTCTGATTACACATCAGGTTTGGAAGCACTTGGCATAAAGAACTTCCCCCACCCAATTCAAAGAAATAGTATTTAAGCCCTCATAATGTGCAGTGTGGTTAAGCTGTGTCTTTTTCCAGTCTAGTCTACCTCAACACTCTTGTGGACATGATTTTTGCCAAAAATCTGAGTGAGCTTTGGGATGCATTCTACCCCCATGAGATGGCTATTTTATCCCAGGAGCAGGAAAAAAAAAAATGGGAGTTTACAGTTATTTAGTCATAAGGCCGGAGTCCTTTAAATTGGAAGGGAATGTGGTAAACACAACACAAGAGGAGCCAACACATTCTGAGTGTGCTGATACTCTGGGGGAGAAGAGTAAGAGAGTATGACAGGCATCAGACAGCATCACAAAACATTTTAAAGTTAAAAACAATTACGTAACACCAAGAAGTCAGTTTTCCTTACATTCACTCCAGGATAGATGCCTTGCTTAAAAAGTGCCTCTTCAGCTAAGAAAAACTGTGTCCATAAGTACTTCAGTAGCTTTCCACAAACAGTAACTGTTTTTGTGTTATAGAAGTAGGCTTGTTCTGAAGCTCAGCATGTCCTTGGAATATGATTGAGTAGCATGTTAGTATTCATAGTTGATGGAGCTGGGTTAGCACTTCTTTAACTTCAGATATCCATATGATGATAGAAATAGGAATTTTCTCTGGTCCTGCAGTCCTTCCTCTTCTCAGTCACAGTGCTTTCTGCCTAAGTGGTACTGAATGGCATTGTGACTACTGCTTTCTTCTCCAGTGCCAGGAGCGGTAGACTCTGCAGCAGTAAAATACTGTCTTTGTTCTTTTCTGAGATGGTGAAGTGGCTGTGTATGGTATTAAGGCAAAATCACAGCTAGGACAAAAAGCAATGGAAAACCAAGATCAGTGTGCTGTAAGGCAAAGTGTTAGTGAGAGAATCAGAGGATGTAGAGAGTGACAACTCAGTATCTGCTAATGCTCCAGGTTCACTGCTTCAATCGTATTCTGCTTGTCTTCCTCCATAAGAAATTAAGAGTTAAAACATCTTTCATTTACTTCTCTTGGCTTCATGTTTTCAATTCATGGTACTTTCATATCACATACCTCTATTGTAGATTGTCTTGATCATGTATACTGCTAAAGGAAGGACTTGTATAATATCGAACAGATACTTGACTAATCAGTTCTCTCTGGCTGTTTGAATGAAATTTCAAACCAAGATTTCTGGTTAGAGCAAGGTCTAATGAACTGGTCCTCAGACAATCGAGATATTTAGAATTTCAGAACAATCACTTAAGACAGGAGGGATATGTTTTATTGTATCTTTTGGATATAAAGATTACACTAACGGCCAACCTGAATGAGGGAAAGGGGGCAGTAGGGAGGCAGAATTTGAGACCCCCTCATCAGAGAAAACAGCAGAAAGACATGGTAAACTTGTTTCTGGTTTTCCTGTGGCAAATTTGATTGGGTGTAGAGAGAAGGATCGTTGAGTGGGGCTATGTACTCATCATCCATGAAGGCCTACCTTTCTGAACTTGAAGGTACAGTCAGGATAGAGCAAAAGGTGTAAACATGTATCTGATAGTTTCAGATGGTTAATTTACATCTCAAGATACTGGGCAGCTTTGCTTATACTGTGCTGTTCCTTCACCTCTCCTCTTCCTCTTAGGGTTTTTCTTCCCAAACTGGAATTACAATTCAGGAGAGAGCCTGAAATATAAGATATATAATGCAGCATAAGCATGGTGTGTTGTCATGGCATGTCAATTTTACTTGTAGATTTTGGGATATTTTTATATCAAATATGAATATATTAAGTATGTACTTAATGGGATAAAGACACATGAATGGGTTTTTGTATACACTTTTTACTGAAATAAATGTTAATACAGAAAAGTATGTAAAATCATAAATGTAGAGCTTAATGAATGTCACAGAGAACAAGCCATGTAACTACTAGTTTTTTTTGTGGTATCAATAAGCTTTCCTTTAATTACTGTTTGTATGGTATATTTTTCTATTATTTTGCTTTCAACTTTATAAATCTATTTAATATGTGTCTCTTGTAAGCTGCATGTAGATGAGTTTATTTTTCTCGAGTCTGGCTGGCAATCTTTATTTTTTAATTGTAGTTTTTAGTCTATTTGCTTTTAATATAATCATTGATATGTTTGGTTCTAAATCAACCACCTTACTATTTATTTTCTATTTGTCTCATCTATTCTATATTCCCTTTTTTTTTTTTTTTTTAACATTGCCTTGATTTGGGGTATTTTCCCATTTCATTTTTTTGTATTTGAATTTAATTATATTGTTTTACTGTTTGTTTGTTTAAAGATTATATTAGACATCCTTGGTCTTTTAAAGGCTATTATTAATCAGTTTTTTTTTTTTAAACAACTCCTGGACAGTGAAATGACTTTAGAGCTCTTAAACTCTATGGATCCTCCTTATACTTTTTGATGCCAGTTTTGTAATTTGTTTTAATGGTAATAATACTAATATCTTGTGAGACTTTCAAAAAATGTTTTATTATAGCCAATATTTATTTGGATTTACTTACATACATACCCTTTTTATGACTCTCCCTTCCTTCCTACATCTCTGAATTTTTATCTGAAATTCTTTTCCTTCTGCCTGAAGAATTAGAAATAGAACTGTTAGTGATAAATTCACTTAGGTTTTGTTTTTCTGAACATGTTTTTAAGGCTCATTCTTGAAGGACATTTTTGCTGGATACAGAATGCTAGGTTGGTAGTTCTGTTCTTTTAGCACTTTAAAAATAGTTCACTGCAGTCTTGATTCTGTTGTTGCTGCTAAAAAGTCAGCTGTCAATCTTATTACACCTTTGAAGTTTTTTTTTCTGTCCTTGGTTTTCAGTAGTTTGACTGATGTACTTAGGTAACATTTTCTTTTTCTTTGTAATCTTCATTGGGTTTTGTAGATTTTTAATGTGAGGGTTGGTACTGTGTCAGTTTCGGAAAATATTCAGTCATTATTTCTTTAAATACCACTTCTCCTGAGTTATGTCTCTTCCCTCAAAGGTTCCAGTTAACACTTACATTAGACCCTTTCACTTTATTCTGTTTTTTTGCTCAATTCTTTTTCAATCCATTTGTTTTTCCATACTTCATTCTGCGTATTTTCTTCTGACCTAGCTTTTTAGGTTATTAATTTTTTTCTTCAGCTGTGACTATTCTATGCCTAATTTCTTAATCTTGCCATTTAATTTCTTGACTTTATTAAGAATAGTTATTTCTAAGCTAAAAATATGAAAATCTTATTTGAGTCTTTTGGCTCTGTTTCTATTGTCTACTTTTTTGTGTTTAGCCGTAATTTTCATCTTGATGCCTGGTTGTTTTGGACATTGTGTATCAAAATTTTGTCCATGTTGTATACCAAAAAAAAAAAAGTCGTCATGATAATTTGAGGTTCTTCATGATTTTATATTTCTCCAGGAGAATATTTTTACAGTTAGGCTAGGGCGGATCATCCAGTCAGTGGCTGAGATGACTCTAACGTAGACTTCAGCCGTTGTAAAGATTGGTCTATTTTTGTTTTGTTCTTATTCTCAGATTGTAGCCTTTCAGAGTCCTTGATAAGAGCATAGGTGTTTTTCAGGACCTCTTCTCCTAAGCAGACTTTGGACATTAATTTTTGCTTAGCTTTATTGCCCTTGCTGTTTTCTCTTTCAGAATCAGTCATTGTCTTGAGGATAGAGCAGTGCCAGATGTCTGGTCTGCCTCTTTCCTTCCTTCTTCCAGATTTTGGCCCTACTAATTCTCACTGCCTTGATATCTTACCAGTGTCTTCAAACACATATTTATATTTTTTTACATTTTGTTCAGTTTTTCTGATTGCACTTGGTTGTACTAAAAGAACCTAGTCAGCCATTCCAGAAATACATGAAGTTGTTTTGTTTTTATTATTGTAGTGGTGATTGTTGGTTTGTACTTTTGCTTTCACAAACTATTTCAAAGCAATTTTGATTTTTAGGGTTATATTTCCCAGACCTCTACTTTCACTGCCCATTGCCCTCTGCTGTTAGTGGTGATTAGGTGAAGAGTTTGAGAAATGTAATGGAAAGGGCGTGGGTTTTTTTTTTTTGTTTTTTTTTTTTTGAGACAGAGTCTTGCTCTGTCACCCAGGCTGTAATACAGTGGCATGATCTCGGTCCTGCAGTCCTGCCTCCCAGGTTCTAGTGATTCTTTTGCCTCAGTCTCCCAGGTAGCTGGGATTACAGGCACGTACCACAACGCCTGGCTAATTTTTGTATTTTTAGTAGAGATGGGGTTTCACCATGTTGGCCAGGCTGGTCTTGAACTCCTGACCTCAGGTGATCCACCCGCCTTGGCCTCCCAAAGTGCTAGGATTACAGGCGTGAGCCACCACGCCCAGCCGGGCATGGGCTTTTTAAGCACACAGACCTACATTCAAACTGTGGCTCCTTCTGATTGTGTCAGCCTATATGAATTAATTACCTGTTTAAAATTACCTTTTTAAAATTTCTCTTTCCTCATCTGCAGACGGGTTTAGTGAGAATGAAAAAGGACATTGAAATTAAATTTTATTTAAAATGAAATAATGTATGGACAGCTTCTGGTATATAATAAATGCTTAGTAAACTTATTTTTTTAATTATCTTGAGGAATAGGAAACTAGAGTTAAGACCAATCTTTTAAGGAATTTAATAGAAGTTTATAACTTCACCATATAGTAATTGTTAACAAAAGCTTAAAAAGGGCGTTTATGTCAATGTTTGGTTGTGGGGCAGTTCAACAGGCATCTGTGTCCCAGGTACCCTACTTAATCTCGTTAATATTATAGATTCCATCCAAAATCTAGATCTTGCAGTATAGAGCAGAGGTCAGCAAACTTTTTCTTTTTTTTTTCTGAGATAGTTTCACTCTTTTGCCCAGGCTGGAGTTGAGTGGTGCAGTCTTGGCACACTGCAACCTCCGCCTTCTGAGTTCAAGTGATTCTCCCACCTTATTCTTACCAATTCTTCCCAAGTATTCACCTTATTCTTCCCAAGTAGCTGTGACTGCAGGCATATGCCACCATGCCCAGCTAATTTTTTACCATGTTGTCCAGGCTGGTCTCAAGCTCCTGACTTCAAGTGATCCACCCGCCTTGGCCTCCCAGAGTGCTGGGATTACAGGCATGAGCCACTGTGCCTAGCCAGCAAACTTTTTCTATAAAGGGCTAGGTACGGTTTTGTGAGACATATTGCCTCTATTGTAGCTATTCACTCTGCTGTTTTAGGGCAAAAGTAGCCGCAGTCAGTATATAAATGAATGGGCATGGGTGTGTTCAAATAAAACTCTATTTACAAAAACAGGTAGCAGGCCAGGTTTGGTCCATGGGTCCTCAAACTGTGCTGACCCTAGTCCTCCACAAGCTACAAGTGTTTTTTTACGTTTATAAAGGATTGTTTAAGAAGAAGATGCAACAGAAACCACATGAGACCCAAAAAGCCAAAAATATTTTATTTCTAGTTCTTTACAGAAAGGGTTTGCTAACTTTTGGGTTGGAGAAGGGGTGGTGGTTGCTACCAGAGAAAAAGAAGTAGACTTCCGTACTCAGAGTTAACAGCAAAGAAAGAAAAACAACACGACAGGAAGCCCTGGATCCACAAAGGATCCTGGTGGGAAGAATAGGAAATTCTGTGTGCAATACTGACATACTCATCCATACCCCACCCCAACTGTGACTGTCCTACTAATTAATCTGGTTTTATGGATTTTCCATAATGTGCTGTTTTAGCAGCAAATAGAGGGGTAAACTCATAGATAATAGCTAAATACTGTTAGAAATTAACTTTCCGTTATAGCTAAATGTTACCAGAATTTTTACTCCGGTTATGTATACAGCTTTGATTTTATAACATCCTGCTAATTTTTGTTCTTACAGAAATACACTTTCGGGAAATGGCCTCTAAATCCTGGCTGAATTTTTTAACCTTCCTCTGTGGATCAGCAATAGGATTTCTTTTATGTTCTCAGCTATTTAGTATTTTGTTGGGAGAAAAGGTTGACACCCAGCCTAATGTTCTTCATAATGATCCTCATGCAAGGCATTCAGATGATAATGGACAGAATCATCTAGAAGGACAAATGAACTTCAATGCAGATTCTAGCCAACATAAAGGTATGGTTTACTTTATTAAGCAGTAAACATAAGCAGTATTTTAGTCTAAATTTTGTCATATTCCTGTCTGTATCTGTTAATTAAAATGGGCTATATATTCCAGATATTAAAAATAATTCTTGGTTTGCCTCAAGAGAAGGGAATTGCTAAAACTCAGATTTATTTAGGGAATAAGATATTAATTTTGAATTCGTTTTTAAGTAGAAATAGTTCAGAACCCATGATTTGGGGAAGGGCATAACTATTCAGATTTGATTTGTTTCTGAAAATGTTTTTCTAGGTTCAGTTTTGTTATATGTGTGTCTTTGGTTTTTGTTACTTGTTTTGGTCATAGCTTTTGCTTAAGTCTTGTTTTCCTAGAGAAACTTGAGGTGTATGTAAGTTTCGATTTATATTTTTATAATTAGTTAATAGAACTAATCTTTTTTTTCCTCAAGAGGCACAAAGAACAAGGAAGTTAAAAACCAAGGATGCGTTCTAAAGACTTCATTTTCTCCTAGCCTCCTACCTCTAACCAGATTTTCTCAGTTGAGTTATTTATGTGTCCCTTAAGTGTTGGTTCTCTCCAAGTTTCTGTCCTTTAGCTGTTTGTCTGTGTGACATCATTAACCCGCATAATTTTAATTTCCTTCTATTTCTTACTGTCTTTAGCCCAGTTCCAGACATTGTGAGGTGACATTAACACAATGCAAAATACGGTTTGACAGAAAATAATATAAGTAGCTTGAAAACAATTGGAATTCTGGGATGCAGAGGGTCCACTATTCAGTTTTTTCTCTTCTCTTCTCAGTAGTAAATTATTTCTTCACCACCTCTCAAGCAGAGGTTGAATGGTGAGATTTCAAAGCCTGGTTCCATTTTATCAACTAGCAAACATAAACATACTATTACAAAGTATGTCGTGTTTTGTGATTGTTTATGTAACAGTAATTCAGCTCTGAGCAAGTGCTCTGTGTTCCTACAGAACAGTTTGGTCACTGTGTATTTGCTCTGTAGCATAGCCACATGTCTTTAGGTGATCAATTGGAGGCAGAGTTCCCTACTAATAGTAAGCCGTACGAGGCCTCACTGCAGGCATGTGTATTAGATACATACTTGTCCAGCTCAGTGGCCTACAAAATGTGGGGTATGCTAAAAGTTTGTCTACTCCCTTCAGACTCAGCATGTGTAAATTGAGTCTCCTTTTCCTTCCTACTCCTAGAAGTTGCTCTTCCTCCTCTATTCTTTCTTTTATATGGCTCATTACCATCTGTCTGTGCCAGAAATTAAGAAATCATGGTAGGTGCTTGCCTTCACATGCTAGCCAATTCGATTTGTCAGTACATTCTAACAGTGCTGCTACTTTACCATTTTTCATCTCTTTTCCTCTCAGTCCTCAGTGCATTTCCGATTCAGGCCTTCAGCTATACCCATGTACCTGCACTCAACCAAACTTCACCATTCCTTTTGGTGAACTTATAACCTATTTTCTGTATTATGTCTTTATTTTTTAATCTTCCTCTTTGTTCTACCTAGGTCCCTATCTACTGCTCTGTAGGATTTATTAGCCACTATTTTCCTTCAGCACATTGAATCCTTTGTTCATACCTCTATAATAACATCTCTTAGTATTTAGCAATTATTGGTTTGTGTGTCAGGCTCAGGCTCCCTGAATGGACTGAATTCCTCTGCAGCAGGAAATGTGTCTTACTCATTTTTTTCATCTCCTATGCCAGCCCATGCCCAGTACAAAGCAATTAGTGAATGAAAAATTATTTATCAAGTTCAGCGGTGGACAAACCTGTCTTACCTGAATGAAACAGATTGGGGATTCCTGCATTCACTGTTCTATCCATTCAAGGTTTGGTATATTTGTATAGCCAAGAGATTGGGCTCCTCAAGGATATGAGATGTCTATGCTTTCTGACTGAAAGTAGGGTGATTTTGTCTGCTGTTGTCCTTTTGGATTGTGAATCTTGATACTCAGAGGGACATGAGAATTTTTATTTTTTATTTTTTTTGAGATGGAGTCTCGCTCTGTCACCCAGGCTGGACTGCAGTGGTGGGATCTCGGCTCACTGCAACCTCCGCCTCCCGGGTTCAAGCAATTCTCCTGCCTTAGCCTCCCGAGTAGCTGGGATTACAGGCGCCCACCACTACGCTTGGCTAATTTTTTGTATCTTTTTTAGTAGAGACAGGGTTTCACCATGTTGGCCAGGCTGGTCTCGAACTCCTGACCTCGTGATCTACCCGCCTCAGCCTCCCAAAGTGCTGGGATTACAGGCCTGAGCCACTGTGCCCAGCTGGGACATGAGAATATTTTTATGTTCCACCCAGCTTTTCCCATTATTCCCTCTCAGTTGGTTAACTAGTATATTATATGCCTCCATTGTTAATTTCTCATAGGACTAAGCTTCTGTAACTTGCTGTTTGACCTTAATTTTAAGCATATGCTTCGTCAGGATACTGCCCAGAACATTGCTACTGAAAGTCAGTTCATAGACTCATTCTGGTCCTATAACTAAAGAATGTCTGCTTATTTGGGAGTAAGCAGAAACTTTTATTGTAATTGGAGTAATTTTGTCTGAAGCTAAAAATAAAAATTTAGGACTTGTTTTATATTTTAGTTTTATTTTTCTTATAATTCATTTTTATCCTATTTACACAGTGTAGACCTCTTTTAGAAATAAAAATTGGCCTTTCACCACAGATAGCTTGGGAAGTACTCATCTAGAATCTCATCATTGAGCTCTTCCTCTGTACCGGTGCTACTCAAAATGCGGTCCTGGCCTGACACTTTGTCAGCTGTTTGTCTGCACAAGATAATGAGGTTACACTAGGATGTAAATCAGTTTTACGCTCACTGCTTACTTAAATGGACAGTTTTAAGTTTCAGTTTTAAGCTCACTGCTTAGTTAAGTGGACATTTTGATTGGTTGGTTCTGATAGTAGGCCTTTTTCAAAGTAATGTGTTGCTTTCTGTTCTGGTATAAGCTCCTTATTTCTTTGCAAACCTGTAGTTTAAAGAGCACTGCTCTAGACCATCTTGGAATTCCCATGTCTACCATTGTTCTCTTCTGTTTTTGATTGGTGGATTTACATTTTGGAATGAGGTATGTGACTATCAGAAAGTAATCTCAACTCCTGTGCTTTGACCTTTTACCACCTCAGGGTACTTGTAGAAATTCTTAATAGTGGATTATTGTGAACTTCAAAAATGAACTGCCACTTCAGCAGCATGTCTTTCCTGCTCTTCAGAAACTCGTTCAGAGCAGTGAGAAATTTCTGTCAGTAATCTATTAAAAACTGGCTGCTTTCTTTTATGAAGTGCCAAGCAGAGACTATTTAAGGCAGCATTTAGCATGCCTATGAAGCACCAGGAGAACTTATTAAAATGCTGATTCTGAGTCAGTAGGTCTGGGCCTAAGATTATGCATTTCTAACAGGCTCCCAGGTGATGCTGCTGCTTTTAATCAGTAAACTACAGTTTGAGACGAATTTAGATTATAATGTCAACTCTTACTAGCTCCAGTGATGTCCTAGATAACACTGACATGAAACCAATAAATCAGAGTGTCAGTTCACATTAGGATGAGTTTGCTTTCCTTTGGCTAAATCACTAATAGAGGGATAAATAGGGACTTTGAAATTAGGACAGTGCTTTCTTCAGTATAATTTATTAATATTTGGATTTTACATCTATGTAAATAACCTTTTAAAATGTTTTGTTTAATAGATGAGAACACAGACATTGCTGAAAACCTCTATCAGAAAGTTAGAATTCTTTGCTGGGTTATGACCGGCCCTCAAAACCTAGAGAAAAAGGCCAAACACGTCAAAGCTACTTGGGCCCAGCGTTGTAACAAAGTGTTGTTTATGAGTTCAGAAGAAAATAAAGACTTCCCTGCTGTGGGACTGAAAACCAAAGAAGGCAGAGATCAACTATACTGGAAAACAATTAAAGCTTTTCAGTATGTTCATGAACATTATTTAGAAGATGCTGATTGGTTTTTGAAAGCAGATGATGACACGTATGTCATACTAGACAATTTGAGGTGGCTTCTTTCAAAATACGACCCTGAAGAACCCATTTACTTTGGGAGAAGATTTAAGCCTTATGTAAAGCAGGGCTACATGAGTGGAGGAGCAGGATATGTACTAAGCAAAGAAGCCTTGAAAAGATTTGTTGATGCATTTAAAACAGACAAGTGTACACATAGTTCCTCCATTGAAGACTTAGCACTGGGGAGATGCATGGAAATTATGAATGTAGAAGCAGGAGATTCCAGAGATACCATTGGAAAAGAAACTTTTCATCCCTTTGTGCCAGAACACCATTTAATTAAAGGTTATCTACCTAGAACGTTTTGGTACTGGAATTACAACTATTATCCTCCTGTAGAGGTAAGTTTAGAAATTTTATTACTATGTCAATACTTGGACTGACTGAATTTTGTTGATAAAAACATGTTAATATGTGTATGTTTCTTTAGTACCAACAACAAGGACTCTTCCTTAGTCTTTTTAAATAGAGTGGCAGTATAACAAAATAGATGAGAACAGGGACATCAGCAATCAGCAGTAGTCACTTAGCAAATAGCTATTGATGCTGTTATATGCCAGGCACTGAGAATGTAGAAGTAAATCACAGCCAATTTCCAGTTCTCGTGAACCTTACATTCTGGATGAGGAGATATACAGTAAACAGGCAGACTTGTAAATATAAAATAGGATTTTAGTAGTAAGTGCCCTGAAGAAAAATAAGCCAAGTAAGGGGATGGAGAGTGACCCAGAGTGGGATGGAGTCCTCTGGTTTGGGTGATTAAGAAGGCCTCTCAAAGAGGTGACTTTTGAGCAGAACCCTGAGTGTTATTAGAGAGCAAGTTGGGTGAAGATCTGGGTAAAGAGCCTTCTAGTCATCAGGAGGATTTAATGGAGGTTCAGAAAGACCTAGAGTCAAATCCTGCTCTCTCACTTAATAGCCGAACAACCTTGGATGGACAGGAGCCTTGGATGACATCTGAGCTTCAGTTTCCTCATTTGTAAGATGGACATAATGTACCTGTCTTATTTAGTTGTTGTAATTACAACATAGTACAGCCCTTCACACAGTAAGCATTTAATAAGCCTTGGCTCACATTCCTGAGAATTTTATCTAAAGTGCATTATTTTAGGAAGTATTCCAGTAGTACAAATATTTCAGAATATACATTGTACTTATCCCCTGTCTTTACCAAATATTAATCTTTTTGCCACATTTGTTTCAGTTATTTAAAGAAGAAAATGCTATAGTATTGTTTTTCAGATTTTTAAATAAATATCTTTCTACAACTTGCCCTTTTCACACAACATTGAGATTTATCAATGTTAATTACATGTCTGCTGTGTTCACTATTATAAGCATTGCTTCAGTGAATAACTGAATGAGACCAGGAATCATGGAACCTAGCTTTTAGGCTCAGTTCTGTTACTAATAATGCCTTTAGGCAAGTCACTAGTTCTCTATGCCTTCTTTTCTGTGGACCTAACGTATAAATAATACACTTCATGCTACTACTGTCATCTTCATAAGGCAATGCTTTCAAATCATCATCTGGAACAGTGATTCTCAACCCAGGGCAATTTTGCCCCCAGAGGACATTTGGCAAGGTCTGGAGACATTTTTGGTTGTTACAGCTAGGAGGCTGCTACTGGCATCTAATGGGTAGAAACCCACTACATTATAAACCTACTAAATGCTAAACATCCTAAAATGCACAGGACAGCCTCCTACAACAAAGAATTACTCTAGCCCAAAATGTCAGTAGTACCATGGTTCAGAGACCCTGGCCTAGAACATCTGACCCAAGCTTTAGGTAATCAGCTTTAAAAGGAAACTTTTGATAGTCTGTTTTTCTATTTTAGTGAGAGTACTACTTTGGATGCTTTTTTGATGTAAACTTTTCTTAATATATTTTGACCATTCCAAGATGACTTGATCTTTTTTCCTTAATTCTGTATCCTTTTCCCATATAAAAAATTTACCCAAATTCAAGAATATAAACATGTAGCAAATACATCCAAATGCATATAAGATCTTACTAAGAGTATCTGATGTTGGATACACATACAGTAGTAGCAAAGGGACATCATAATTGGCAAATTTGTTCTTTCTCTAGAAATTTATCAAATTATGTTGAAGACCATAAAACAGAATTAGAATTCAGAGTACCAAAATTGACCCATCAATCTGACATTGCCTGTTCTCCCTCAGGAGATTCTTACATAAACCCAACGTGAAACTAAAATTCTATTATTATCCATCTATCATTTAGTAAGTTTTCTTCCCCCTAAATGAGTTTAAATCTTATACATACTTTTTTTTTCTATATACTAATTACTGAAAATACAGAAAATTTTTATCTAGCAAGTCAGGGTAAAAGATATTCTAATTCATGAAAGAGTTACATTCCTAAATTTCTTGTTCAGAACTGACTCTTAAGCAGTTCCCTTCCCACTCCACCTTCTTAGTAATAGACTTTTCACCAGAGAAGTTGCAGTGAGTCTTAATATGGTAGATTTAAAATATATGTGTAATTGTTTACATATATATCTCTCTACATGAAAAATTGACTTTTCTGTAGGTCAGAAATGGTCAAATATGATCTACTTTATTCAGTTTTATTTACATTATTCTATCTGAAACATATTAGTACATAAGTGAGGTAGAGAGCTCCTGATTTTTTTAAATTGTTAACTAATTATTCTACTACCATTTTTTAACTCATTACTGATTTAAAATGTCCCCCTTATCATACACTGTAACCTTACTTATAGTAGGATCTAAATCTGGGATTTCATTTCTATGCCATTGTTCTCATTTGATTTTGGCCCAGCACCATATTGTTTTGAACCTTGTAGCTTTACAGCAGTTTTAAGTTACTATTCTAAGGGCAAATTAACTCTTCTTTTTTTCTAAGTGTTTTGGCAACTCATTTCTTTATCTTTGCATACAAACTCATTAATTTAGGGACAATAACATCTTTGCCCAGGATTTTTTGTAAGTCACCTTTTAGGTCCTTTGGTCAAGTTTTATAAACTATTTCCATAGGTATGCAATATTTTTGTTACTGTTCTACTTGGGCTTTTAAAGACTTAACTTTTTACTGATATATATGAAAACTTATTTGTTTGATTTTCTTTTTAAGCATCTTTAAAATCTGGCTTTGTAACTGAATTCTCTATTTCTGATGATTCTTCACTTGAGATTCTTGAGTTTTTTTGGGTAACCATAATTGTCTGCTAGCTCTTGTTTTCTAATAATTATAGCTTTTTACTTTTATTGTCTTTTATTGCATAAATGCTTAACAGAATCCTGGCCATCCAGTAAAATATAAATAAATAAGAGCAATATAATTAATGCAGTAAATCTTATCAAAAATATTATTTTACAGAATATAAAAATTGCTTCCAGAGGTCAGCAATTTATAACTATTACTGGTCTAGTCCTTAAGTTTAATATGCACTGGACAGTATAGTAGCCACTAAGTATGTGTGGTTATTGAGCACTTGAAATGTGGCTAGTCCAAATTGAGATATGCTGTAAATAAAATACACACCTAATTTCAAGAAAGGTTTCATTAATCATCGCAAAACTATTGCATGTTAAAACAGTATGATGAACTTTTTCAGTTAAATAAAATGAAATTTCACTTTTTTTTTTTTTTTTTTACATTTTTTATGTGGCTACTATATGGCTTACATATCTGTTGGACAGAGCTAGTTTAGATAATCACAAGTTGACTTATCTGGTTATTTTTCCTATTTGCTTTTATTCTGATATTTCCTAAAGGTGCAAGAGTAGGTTGTCTAAGAATCTACATATCCAGTGTGTGTTTCAAAGGAAAGTTTAGAGATAACAGCAGAGAAAACGCAGTGGACAGTTTGATAATTTTTACACACTGTAAGCTACATACTTCCAAACATAAATTATTAGATTTATTAAATATTCAGTCAATATGAATCTTCTCTTGGAACTTGCCAGACTATCTCCCTCATTCTTTACAAAGATGTCAGATGGAGCCTGAAGTTTTGTTGGAGTCACCTGGATGACACCAACATTCTCCAGATACCAATTCTGACTCTAGGTTGACTGCTTAATTCATCTCTTTTTCTGTCTTCTTAATTTTCTTGCTTTCTTGTTCGTTGTATTGTTGTTGTTTTATTTTAAACTTTGTTCTCATACCAACCCTATTAGGAATTTATGAGAATTACATAACTGGACAAAGGTTTAAATCTGACCTACCTTAGGGCCACCTGATATGATTTTTCAGTCAATAATAGCTAACATTTATTGGGCATTTATTTTAAGCAAAGGGTAATTTACACACATTGTCTCCTTTAAATAACCACCTTTTACAAATGTGGAAATTAAAGCTTATAGAGATTAAATAACTTACTCAAGGTCGTATACTAGCCCACAAAATTTGGGTTCAAACCCAAGTCTAGGTTGAGAGCTTTGTCTCAAATACTGTACTGTTTGGGTTGATACATATATAGATGAAGTGTATTGGGTTGTAGACACCTAATGGGCAAGGCTTTGTAGTCATTGAATGCCCTAGAGGTATGTTTCCGAGTATGAGCCACACAAAAAATTACAGTGAGAAAATGAGGAAGAGAAAGCAGATGTTGGAGAAGGAGATTTCTCCTTGTATAGCTGCTCCTTTGATTTGAAGAAATCTCAGTAATTTTATCCGCTAAAGAGTGTGAGAGAATATTGTTTCATTTAAAAATACTTTCCACAGTTTCACTTGGTTTCACCAATTTCAATTGGTTTTAAATCATTAGGATGTCTAAGTAAACTATTGATTTCTTCCACAGGTCTAGTACATTAGGTTCCTCTGCTTTACCTTGCCATCTTTAATGTTTGTATTCTTTTAAAATTAGCTGGTCCTTTATAAGTATGTAAATATTGTAGCTAGCAATGTGCTGTTTATTAACAATACCTGTTTCCACTACTTTTTTAGGGTCCTGGTTGCTGCTCTGATCTTGCAGTTTCTTTTCACTATGTTGATTCTACAACCATGTATGAGTTAGAATACCTCGTTTATCATCTTCGTCCATATGGTTATTTATACAGATATCAACCTACCTTACCTGAACGTATACTAAAGGAAATTAGTCAAGCAAACAAAAATGAAGATACAAAAGTGAAGTTAGGAAATCCTTGAAAGAAAATCATGAATGAACAAAGGTAATATGTCTAGCACTGCACTGAAAAAGGACTTCTGCATTTCTGACATAGAACACTGGAATCCCAGTGAGGAATTCTAAGTGAACATTCCTTATAGAAACCTTTCACATGAATGACTATAAACTGAAGCTTTAAATGAGCTGTGAAGTGTGTTAAAATGTGTTTTGATACAGTAATATATAAATATGTCTATATATATGAGGAACTTGTGTTTTTTAAATGGTGGCCAGGTAGAGGAACTAGAAAAGAGATTTTGTTGCCTGTTTTCTGACCATCTGTGTTATTGTCACTGAGAAACTAAAATAGTAAATTTACTAAAACTACACTGCACCATGTTAGTAATAAACAGATCTGCCTTAAAGAAAAGAAAATTTTAGAAAGAAATATTGTTGCTCAGTGTTGTTAATATAGCTCAAGAATTGAGTTTATATTTGCAGTATGCTATAAATGATACCCCCCTACCACACCCACACACACAGTTTTTGTCTAATGAAAATGTTGCTGTGATTATTTATAATTGGTAGTATTTCTTCCAGAAGAAGCTAAAATAAGACTGGCACTTACCCTGAAGTGCATTAATAAAACCACACTTTAAAATTATCATGGGCCTTGACTATATTATATACTTGATTCTAATTAGTCATCTTTTACGCAATCTCTGTTGTCTCTTTTCTAAATGTGTTTAGCCACTCTTGAATACCATTCTCCACTATTAACATTAATTTACTCAAACCGTTCATAGCATTCTGTAAACATGTATTTTACATATTTGTTCCCAAATTTGCCCATTGTTCATTATGGGTAACTAATAATAAATTTAATGCTGTTTCAGGATGCTTTTCTTATAACAGTGCCACTCTCAGGAATTACTAAGTGACATTTTAAATTGATATTTTAAACTCTTTCCAACTACATAGTTATGGTTTATTTCATTCTCATCCTGTTGGGATGAGAACTTGTTTGTGCCTTTCATAACTTGTTTAAAGCAGAGTTTTAAAATTAGTTTATAGGATCTGAGGTGGCTATTAGTTACAGTGGCAAGATTATTTAGAAAGCAAGATTTTGATGAGAATTAAAAACAATAGAAAATGTAGAGTGCTTAAACAAAAATGTTATATTTTGAAAGAGTAGATACTTAATTTATAAATAACAGTCTGAAGGTTGGTGCTATTTTGGGATAATTGTTTTGCTAATGGATAATTCTAACAATGCAGAATACCTAGTCAAGACTGTCATCAAAAACATTCACAAATGTTTCATTCTATTTTTAGTGACTCTGTTTAAAGAGTTTCTGAAAGGAAAGAAATTTTTTATTTTTATTATCTTTAGCAGTACTGAGTGTCATAGCAGAATATTTTACAGACTTTCTATGAGATTATTTTTATGGTACAAAGTATTTACATTTCCCTCATGTTTATCATTATGCCAATTTTACATGGCAGTCATGCCACTGACTCTGCTATTTAGCTAAGTAATTTCTTTTTTCGGAGACTGTCTCACTCTGTCTCCCAGGCTGGACTGCAGTGGTGCGATTCTCCTGCCTCAGCCTCCCGAGTAGCGGGGATTACAGGCACGCGCTGCCACGCCCCGCCAGTTTTCATATTTTTAGTAGAGACAGGGTTTTGCCGTGTTGGCCAGGCTGGTCTTGAACTCCTGACCTCAGGTGATCCACCCACCTTGGCATCCCAAAGTGCTGGGATTACGAGCGTGAGTCACAGCACCCGGCTAAGTAATTTCTATTTATTGTGCCAAAACATGTCAAAATCATGACCTCTTTGAATGGTATATTTGAGAGGATGTTCATTTCATTGGTTAACCATGGACTACTCTGTCCACGTAGTGAAAACATGCACCAGTTTTTACCTATTATCATGGTAGTATCATCTGCCAAAATTTCAAGGCATTCATTTTATTCTTTGAACAACTCTTCACCATGGTGTGGACATGAATTTTCATATGTGTTACTTGACTAGAAGTATAAATGGTTTACTATAGATATCCAAAAACCTTGAGATTTGCTCATAGGAAATGAATATTGTGATGAATCCTGGGCTCTAGAGTCAGACTTGCTTGGGTTTAAATTCTTGCTCTAACACTTACTGTTTTTGTAACCTTGAGCAATTTTAATCTCTCTGTGTCTCAATTTCCTCATCTTTTAATTAGGGATGATAATACTACCTACCTCACAGGATTTTTATGAGGATTAAATAAATGTAAGGTTTTTAGAACATTGATAGGGAGCAATAAATAGAAGATTGTATTATTATTCTGTTACCTTGGAGTGTAAGTACTGCATTTAAGTGAATGAAAAATTTGCTTTGACCAGATACTGAAGGAAATAAGTAATAGCTAGTATTTATCCAATGCCAACTGTATGCTAGGTACTGTGCTTAGATAATCTGTGTATAATAGTGTTAATCCTCAAAATTTGGGTGTTATACCCCTATTATAGATAAGGAAACTGAGGCTCAGAGACAAAGTAACTTTGTCACTGTCACAAAGCTAGTAAGTAACAGAGGTAGGATTTATATTCAAAACCCTGTGTGTTCATTGGAACCGTATCAGGCTTGGGGCTATTCATGTAGCATTATTTCCATTTTTATGTATATGATATATGACGTCTGATGCATTGGCCAGTAATAGTCAAATTAACCCAGCCAAATTGTCACAGTGATTCTTAAACTGTGGTTCTCACACTTGCCCAGGATGTTGTTAAATGCAGATCTGAAGACCCCAATCTCAGAAATTCAAATTTAAGCATGGGGCCCAAGAGTATGCATTCTTACCAGATACCTTGGGCAGTGACTGTCAAAAGTCTGGTCCCAACAAACAGCATTAACGTCACCTGGGAACTTGTTGGAAATGCAGCCTCTCTCGGGGCCTCATCTCAGATCAGATCTACTAAATCAGATACTCTAGGGGCAGGGGCAGGGGCAGGGGCTAGCAGTTGTGTTTAAGCAAACTCTGCAGGTGTCTTTCTTATCCTAGTTTGAGAACCAATACCCAACAACCTACGTGATTTTGGTGCAAGTAGTGTTTGAAACACACTGAAGATTACTGCCCAATTACTAAGACATTTTTCAAAAAGCATGTTTTAAATCAGTGTAGTCCAGGATCACACTATATTAAATATAAAGATAACTTAAAGGATCATTGGATCATTCATTTTGGCCAAATTTTTAGCTTCTCCAAAGTGACTAACATCAGGGCCTACAATAAAATCTGTAATTCTCCAAGTTTAGTAATTTTATATTGAGGCAGGAAGGGCTCATTAAGTACTAATAAGTACATAATTTATTAAAAACATACATAAGTGTCATCAAAAAGGTCCACAATTGTTAGTAAAAAAAATTAAATTGAAGTAGTAAATGCTGTTTTATAACATACATTTTTCTGCTAATTCATTCTGTTTTGTGTGACCTAATAAAGCAAAAGAAAAATAAAAAAGCAATTCTCCAAGTACTTCATAGAGCACATAAAACCAGATTTCATGATGATGATGTATTCACTATCTTTTAGATTAAGATCTTTGTTATTTGGTAAATGATTTCAGTATGGTTTTAAAACATAAGGCTTTTGATGTCTTATGTTCTCTAATAATGGTATGCTTGTATTTTCTAGTGGGAAGTTCATAGATAAAGCAGATTTTTGTCCCAGTTTGCTTTCAAATATAAATTTCAGAGGGCTTTTTCTTACTGTAATGAGGTATGAAAATAAATCATTGATCAGCTCTTAATATTTTTTGAATACAGAATTGGATTTGAGCAGTAAATTTGCTAACTGGTTATTTTCACAATTTTCTTGAATATTAATTTTTCACTTCTTTGAGACTGTCAAACTATAGTTACTACCAGGTTGATGCACTGTACTTGAAAGAATCCCTTGATTAAATTACATCTAGCATTTTATTTGCCATTTCAATTTTCAGTTCATTAGACTATAATTCTTTGACAGTTTCTGCCTGGTGTTTATTGCCCTTCTTTGTTTGCTTTATTACTAACTTCCATTTTCTAGTTACTCTTAAATGCTGCCTTCACAAGGTTAATTTGGCTGTTAATAGTGATTAGAATTTTTATCACTTAATTGATAATTTTAAGCCTACTAACTAGGGTTCCCTATGAAATTGAAAGTAAAAGTCTAAGAATAATGCCTGCTGGCTCTCGAGATACTTGCCCTACTTAAAAATCTATAATTTAAAATTAATTCTATGTCTACAATTATTAAAGGAAGTAAAGTTATTTGGGTTCTTCCACTCACCCTTTTCTCAAAAACAACAACAAAAAACAAAACTCATTTTATTTTTCTACTTTATAGTAGGCCTGACAGAAACATAGTGAAGCAATCTGGGAGGCAACCTGTGGTAGATTTTATGCTAAATGTTAATGTAACCTCTGTTGATTTTTTAAAAATGTGTTTATATATAAGATTTGAAATAAAAACTTTAATACAGGCTAGAATAAGGAATTTTACAAATTCTCTTTAGAGCAACCAACATTAAAGTTTTAGAGTTGAATTTTGCTCTATTTCAACTCCCTTACCTCTCTAGTTTTCAGTTTATATTAAGTTTTAATAACTTTGCGGGGCCCTGCAAATTAATAATCTACATGAAGTATATTATTAGAGGGAAACTAATCTTACTGCTAAGCAGTGTGTTGTACTACATAGTGAATGTTCGTGTTTTGGAATTTAAAAATTATTTAAGGTAATGGTGTTACGAATGGTTTAAAAATGTCTGGTGACTTGCTTATTTTTAAGTGATCACCATTAAGTCAGAAAAATGTATTTTTAAATGTTTCTTGAAGTGCCTTTTGAACATTTTTAAACAGCGGATTTAAATAATGCATAAAATAAATTGCCATGTTCAAAGTTGTTTCATCTGATTATTTTTAACCAATATAAAAGTTGTGAGATAAATGTTGTCTTTTATGGGTAGTTTGGGGTTATTTTTCCAAAAGTTTAAAATTGTTTTCCCATCAAAGCTATTTAGTTTGAATTGGCTTTCATAAGTTTTACTGCAATATATGTATTATTTACTTTAAAGCAACAAAATATTCCACCTCTGACTGAGAATAATATACTGTAAAAAAATTAGAAACACTGTAGTCTAGGTAAGTGTGTCTAGATGGGTGGGGGTGGAAGAGGGGAGAGAATCTCATATATTTAGAGAGAGATTGCTTCTGTGCTCCTTGGTATATTTTGATCTATCTCATACACTGAGAAATTAGTTTATTCAACAAATACTTATGCCAGGCATCTGCTAGAAATACAGTGGTGAGCAAGACATACAGGATGTCTTAATTCTAGAGTTAGAAAATAAGCTAGTAGATGAATAAACAAAGTATTTCATAGAGTGGTATTAGGAAAATAAAAATATTATCAGAACAATTTTCTGGATGGGGTATTAAGGAAGACTAGGAAGTAACATTTGAGCAGAGACTTGAATGTTGAATAACAGACATTTTATATACTTCAGAAGTTACTTTTATCTATGAAATTATTTGCTCCAACTATGTGTTAAAAAAAAAAAAACTTTCCACCCTTGCTTAATCATGCTGTAGGTGTAAGTGAAGGCTTACTGAAATGTACACTATAGGCTAAAAAACTTTGTGTTTTTAGGCATACTTCATCCAGAGCTCAGGTGTATTGATAGATTTGTCTGGGAGTTTCAGAATATGAATAAAAATAGACCTAGTATTTTATCTCTTTCTGGGCAAACAGTTACAAATTCCATAAGGCCCTTGAGTCTAGCCTATATGTCTTGATTTTTCAGTAATCTGCTACCCAGTATGTTATTAGCATGTGTGTGTGCACACGCAAGCATGCATACACACTGTTATTTGGATTAGACAGCTTTAGAAAAGCTGAGGAGATAAATACCACTTCATACTACTTTAGTAGTAGAGTTGTATAATTTAACATATTCAGACAGCTAAATATTTTCCAACCAGCTGTACTGATAATTGTTAAGTCATTGGAAAGTAGATATATTTACCTAAATATATACAATTAAACCTATTTTAAGTTTTCCAAAGGTATGACTTCATAGTACTGGAAAGCATACAAGAAGATTCTTGCTGAATTTATCTCCTTGTTAAAGGGAAGTACTCTACAGAGCTCAACATAGTGGTCGTCTTAAAGTCTAATAATGCTGACAATATGGATTGTTCAAGGGAAATTTTTTTAGTGGTTAAGAATGAACTAACATTTAACTACTAAAGTTGAATGAGTTCAGCAACATTGGCATTCTCCAGATGCATCTGTATTAGTAAAACAGAAGTGAACTTTGTTTTGCCATGAGTTTATTACTAATTAACGCATTTTGTATTGCTGCCTAGAACTTAAAACTGTCTCTGTGTTGCATTTCTTCTACAAAATGTGCTAGTGTTTCTTGTATTATTATCAATATTGCTTTTCTCCAGGACTGAAAATTTGTCCAGGGCATTATATACTTTCTTATATATTGCCCCTGTATAGTGCAGGTTAATACAACAGCTTACTTTGAAATAACAAAATACTCATATTTTAAAAAATGAGATTCAATCCTAGAACTTAGGCTCTTTGGCTTTTCTAATGAATGCCTAGTGAAAGATTAACAGTACTTCATTTCTAGAACTGCCGAATGATGTGCTATCGTAGAACTAATTTGGGTACAGTGTCTTCATTTTTACAACTAATCAGTTTTTGACTTTCATAAGCTTCAATTTTTTTTCATAGAACTACCTAAACTGCATTGTCTCCCCTTCTATACCTCTAACAGTTCATTCTTATTAATTTTCTTGTCTAATTGTTAGATTGTGGAAAGGTGGTGATAAAATCCAGAACATAGGTTTGGAAGAGAAGTAATATGCAACTTTTCCTTTAGTTCTACACATGACTCTCTTCCTTGTTTTTATACTTTTTGGTGGGGTGTGGGTAGGTGAGTGTGGGTATGTATATGTCAGAGACAAAGAAAAAGGATGGTTATGATTATATTTTAATAACTGGATTTTTAATGTAATTGAAGTATTAAAACCACTGCATTTTCATGTTGATTAGGTTTATATAATAAGTGGTTTATTTGATGAAGTGAAGGTAACTATGTGTTTAGAATAATTGGCCACAGATATAATTCCTGATTTTTAAAGTAATTTTTACAAACCTACTTGCCTGACGGAATTTCTCTCTTTTTTGGCCTTTGAATTTATAGCTCTTGGAACCTTCTCCTACTCATCTCTCATTCCATGTTTTTTTCTTTTACCCTTTCTTTTTCTTCTGATTGGCAGCAGCAAGTCTTTAGTTTCTTAAGACTTTTTATTGCCCCCATTCTTTTTTTTTTTTTTTAAGTAGGGACAGGGTCATATTGTGTTGCCCAGGCTGGTCTTTAAACAGTTTGGCCTCCCAGAGTGTTGGGATTATATGCATGAGCCACCATGCCCGGCTGCCTCTATTTTCTATCAAAATGGATGTGTTTAAGACTTTTTAAAAAATTGTGTATCTTTTGTGAACCTCAGTTCCCTCTCACCAGCCTAGAAGTTGCTGAAAGAAAGAAGAGATAGCACTCAAAGAATCGATGCCCACATTATCCTGCAGTTTCCTCTTTCTTAAGGAAATGTTTCCTTCTAGAACCTACTCAGTGAAAATATGGGTGCTTAAATACCTGAAAACCAGTGGGGAGAAAAACTTAATCTTTATAGATAAAAGATTTCAGTGTTCAGTATTAAGGCAGTCCTCTCTCACATCTTAAAAATGGTCACTATGACCTGTTGAATAAAATGAATATAACCTCAGATTATGTGACCTTCCACAGCCTGACCTAGCATGTATTCCCTTTTTAAAAAATTGCTATTCCTTACCTAAACGCCAGACAATTTAGCTCCAAATCATTTAACCAACATTTGAGTGCCTACTAAAAGTATTGAGCTAGATAATAGGGATAAAGTGGCAAATTATATTTGTTGCTGTCAAGGAACTCACCTTCTATTAGAAGCAAAGTACCCAAAAAAGTAGTTGTGTGCAGTAGAGTTATACTCTCAGGCAGTGTGCTAATTGTTTTACATTGCATTATCCCATGTAATTCTTACTACAATCCTGGTGGATGGATTATACTATCCACTGTTTCAGGCTTCTACTGGGGATCTTGGTATGTATCCCCCCGTGGTTAAGGGGGAACTACTGTATTTTGTTAACCTCCAGCACTTTACACAAAAGGGGAACTGAAAGTACCAGATGCTACATAGAAGAAAGAATGGAGTGTGTGAAGCAAGAGACTCTTCTCGAAAGGGGCCAATTTAAATCATTTCATTTCCATATGCAGCCATAACCATGTAAAAACTTCCATCCACATCATTCAATGGCTTTTATACTCTTAATTCATATTGCTAAGAAAACTTCTGGCTTATTCTTCTTGTTAAAGTTTATGAAGTGTCCTGATATGGAGGGGGGAAAATGCCATTTCTATGACATAAGCCCATTAACCCACCCAAGTTGTCAGAATCAAGAGGAGGTGTTTGAGAAATTGTTTCCTCTTTTTAAACATTTAACATTTTTCTTTTGTGTTAGTTTTTCTTCAAAACGTACAAAAAAGTACGCATCATTGTATCTTGTGTATTTACTACCAGCTTTTACTAGATAAGTCATCTTTCCATTGAAAAAGTGATAAGCTCCATTATTTTAAAAAAAACTTAAACATTCATTGCAGATGACCATTTCAAAGATGAAAATTTTTAAAGGACCCCAAACCCCACCACCCCCCAAAGTAATTCCAATTAATGCATAAATATAAATTGGATAGGAAGCTAAATAGATAGAAATGGTTTTATTAAAGTGAGATCGTGTAACAAATGCTAATTTTAACATTATAATTTCAAAAAAATACAGTTGCTCTTGATGTGGCCAAAATCTGCAAATTGTCCTGGGGGCAGGGAGAGGGGAATGTCATCTTAGCAGCAACAAAATTGAGTGATTTCTTTGGGAGGGGGAGATGGAGAGAGGAAGAACGGACTGGACTTAGGCTTCTCTGTAGCAACATTCAGTGCTAAAGCAGAGTGAAGCAAACTCTACCAGATTCTTGGGGGAGGAAGAAGCCAAGTGATTTCAAATGGAAGGGTAAATTGAAAGAGTGAGGGTGGACACTTCTTGAAAAATCTAGATGATGAAGCCCATCTAAAGAGATAAATGGACAAACATTGAGAACAGGACTGGTGGTGGTTAATTATTTAACTATGTAGCTATAGAATTATTTAAATAAGGCTATGGAAGCATATTGAAATGTTATAAATCTTGATATAGAAAAGATGATTAACAAGTTAGAAAATAGAATATCAAAGACGAGGTAATATATACATGCCCTAATTGGTTTTACTTTTCAGAATAGAAATTTTGTAAAATTGATAATATATCAAGAAATAGGGATGTAATATTCTGAATAGTTATGAAGGTAATCACCAAAACTGTAAGCCTGATAACTATTAAAATGAAAACACAAAATTAAAGATAACACAGGCCATATAAGAGAGCTAAAGGGAGAATTTACAATAGATGACAGAATTAAGACCAAACATAGATATGATGTCAAATAAGGAAAAATATGATTTAACTTATAAATGTATGAATATACAAAAACTGTTGGCAGTACCTTTGGGGAAGGGTACTAGGATTGGAAAGAAATTCAATAATTCACTGTTTTCCTTTTTGAACTTTTAAAAAATCATGTTTATACTGTCACAGTTTAGAGAAGTAAAGTGGGAAAAAAAAGCTGTTGGCCCTGGCTCCCTAGGGTTTTTACAACCAGTGGTGAAGAATGTCCACAGACATTCTTAAGCAGCAGTAGAGGTAAGCAGGTACACACATGAGCTGGAAAGATCTCAAAGCTGATTTGGATTCTTTTATCTTGCCATAAGAAATTACTTTCTTCAATCAAGGGTATAAAGACTGCTGAACTAGTTCATAATGAGGGTAGATGAAGGAGGTATCCATCTTCAAGAGTGGTAAATAGTTGACCCATACAAAGGACCAGCAGCCTCATGTGGACCCGTCTTAGCATCCTTCTCTCCTTCTACTCCAAGGGTGAAGAGTACTCGGAAGTTACTATTTATTCTCAAATCCTTGTGTCAGATTATTTTCATATCTTTCTTAGATCTGTTCTGGCTTAAGTCTTATTCTCTTATTCATGGAAATAGAAGACACTGAGCCCTTTCCCACATAAAAATATAGGACTACTGATTTCTAGAGCTTAAAGATGTTCTAACGCCTCGTTTGAAAGATTCAGAAACAGATCTAGAGATGTTAAAGTTTAGAAAAATGACACAAATAATGCCAGAAGTGGCAACAGAACTCAATTTTCCTGACTCCCAGGTTAGTGGTCTTTGTACTAAATGCAATTTCTTATCTTCCCTGAACAACCTGAGCTATGTACTTTAACAAAATTTTTTGTGGGTACATAGTAGGTGTACGTATTTATAGGGTTCATGAGACACTTTGATACAGCCATGCAACAAGTAATAATCACATCATAGAAAATGGAGTATCCATCCCCTCAAATATTTATCCTTTGTGTTACAAACAATCCAATTATACTCTTTTAGTTATTTTTAAATACACAATTAAATTATTGACTATAGTCACCCTATTGTGCTATCAAATACTAGATCTTATTCATTCTTTCTGTTTTTCTTTGACCCATTGTACTGCTAGATAGAACTCACATATTTGGTCCCTGCCTTTTCCCACCATTTGCAAATAGATTCTAGGAACGATCCTAATAGTTGCCAGGCACTGTTATCAGAGATCAAATCTGTCTTGTTTCCAATTGTGCCTGGGACATAATAGGATTTTTTTTTTTAAATAACAAAGCCATGTGTAGTGCTGCATGCCTGTTGTCCTAGCTACCCAGAAGGCTGAAGCTCAGGAGTTCAAGTCCACCCTGGGCAACAAGACTCCATCTCCACAACAAAAAAGTTTAAAAAGGTTACTATACGATTACTATACATTGTATGTATCAAAATATTACTCTCTCCCCCATAAATATGTACATTATATATCAATTAAAAGGAAGTAAATGGTGAGCATCCTTTCACTATGAAGAAAAGTTCTCCATATGCCCCCTACTTTCTTCTGTTTCATTTTTATGGAGACCTCTAAACAAAATGCTTTTCTCATAGATATGGAGGGACTCCTAAACAGGTTTTCTGCTTGAGAAAATCTTGATTTGAACTCCACGTATCATACACCATCAGGCAAAAAACCTCGCATTTACGTTGGAGAATACAGTCCAGAAAAAGAACAAAACCTCAAGTGTGGGCAGAAGATTGTGTGTATTTGCTATTAGGGAGGAGAGCTCAGGTTCCTTTTCTCTACAGTGACCATTAGACATTCCAAAGCACTGTCACTTGGTGTAGCTCAGTGCTCTTGGTTACTGAAGCAACAAGTGATCTCTGATGACAAAACAAAGGTAGGGTCGTGCCTAACACTGGTAAGGAGAAAACTGTGTCGAGTTAGTTAATAATTAATTTACATGTCAAGTTACAAGTTTTCTATCCTAAAATCCAAAAAAAGCAACAGCTCTTTTTTTTCCTCCAGTCATTAAATCACCCATTCAACAAACTTTCACCAGGCTCATGGTTTGTCAGCTATAGAAGAGAAAGGAGGGCGAAACCTGTGGTTAAGGCTTGCCTGAAGGATCTCACATTTGGGTTGGGGGCTGACATGCCAGTGAACAAATAGCCTCCTCAGGACTATGATAGAGGTATTTACAAAGAACTATAAGAGGACTGTATATTAAGTGTTTAGGGATCTGAGAAGTTTCAAAGAAATTGTGGCATTTGAACTGGATTTAAAGAATAAGGCTCAGGTACAACTTCATGTGAAAGAGTCGATATATTCACAAATTTGCCAAAGCCCAGTTAACTTCAATTCTTCGAGAGTTCCAGTTTTTTCCCAGGTGCAGTCAGTGTACCATTTTTTTCTGAGACCCACAGCCATTTTCTTTCATTGGCATGTTTTTAGGTTTATTTTTCAATAACTCCAGTACCCCTGAAATTTCCTTCCTTAGATCTTGAATAAATATATTCAAGTTGGGCATTACTGCATGGTTTGAGGATAATGTCTTTCCTGTTAAAAATATTTTTAAGTTTTTATACAAAGGTAATGTATGTGCTTGGTAAAAGAGAATGAATATAAAATGAAAAGCTATAATCTGCTACAGCCCCACCCAGCAGTCCCTTTGTCCAGCCATAAACAGAAAATAACAGAACTGTACTCATTTCCAAACTAAACACATCATTCTGCTCCTTGCCTTTTCTGCTTACTGTTTAATAACTTAGAGATAATTCTTTTTAATAGTTAACTAGATCTCTGTATGGATGTGCCACAATTTTTAAGCCATTCCTCTATTGATAATTGAGTTGGATACTTTTATTATAATTATTGCTGCACTGAACATCCTTGAAATGATTGTGTGGGTACAGCCATAGGATAAGTTCCTAGCAAGTAATTGCTGAGATAAAGAATGTATGCATTTAAATATTCATAGATACTGCCAAATTGCCTTCTTAAACTGTACTGTACTACCTTATACTACTACTCAACATTTGCGAGTATATTTTCCTGCCCCTTTTACCAAAGTTTTTGATTATTGAACTTACTAGTTTTATCACTGCATTAATATCTGATAATTGTTGATTTGTACTTAAGGTTTGAGTTTTTTTTATACATTGGTAATTTGCATTTCATCTTCGCCAGTTTTTAATATTGAATTACTAGGGTTTTTAAAAATTTTTATAAACTCTCTGAATATTGGTTTATTTATATGTATTAGAACTGTTATGATTATTTCGTACTTGTTTTTTCCCCACACAAACCAATTAATCTTTTCTTAGGGCTATTGAATTGTGTGTCTTGCTCACACCAAGGTTTATTTATAATATGCTTATGTTTTCCTCTTACTTTCATAGTTTCATTTTTTGTGTTTATATTTTTGATCCCTCCAGAATTTATTTTCTTATATGGAGTGAGGTAGGAAAATGGCTACCCGTTTGTTGTAATACACTTTATTTGACGATCCTTTCTTTCAACATTTATTTTAAATCACCATTACCCCATGATATTTCATTATCGGTTTGTGTATAAACTGTATTCTGGTCTGCTTATCTGCCTATTTCTTGTGCAGTACATTGTTTTAATGATTTCAGATTCATAACACTTAATAACTGACAGAATGAATTACCTACTTAAACATTTCGTACAGACACTGTGGTGGATTCTGCTACATATCATGGCATTATGCCATGAATGCTTTCCAGCATTACTGGCAGAAATAGCCACCCTTAAAATATGCCCCTCGTGATCCTCAGCGGTTCCCAGGGTACAGTGTAATGTGTACCCAGAAATGGGTTGCCCTCTTGCCCATTCCTGGGCTGCCTCCTAGGGACAGTGACTCCAGTTAACTTGCTGCTTCAGTGGGCACTACCATCTTCTGCTGGTGACTTCTGTCATCTTGTTTGACCCTGGGGAAAAGACTTATTTTCCTCTTTGTTGCCCACAGTAGAGACCAGACTTTCCTGACCGTTCCAGAATAATGAAAGAAAGGGTCCAGATAGTACTTTATGAGAGCGGCCAAGCTCCAGTGGAATCCTCTCCACCCTTACCAGGCTACTGCTCTGCCCTCTTTGCTACCTGTTTCCAGGTCACCAAAGGTAGTTCAGCTACCCCACTAGAAACCTTCAGTTATCAGCACTTCTTTAGAATTGGAGCCAAATTGACATCTGCACTAAAAGAAATGAGGAAGGTTTCCACTCACCTAACACTCTGGACACCCTCCTCCCAAAATTCCTGCTGAACCAACCTCTCCCCTGGGAAACTGGCAGTGAAAACATTTAGTCTTTTCAGAGGAAATTACACCTTTACTCAGAGAAACGTGGTCTGGATTTTGGATCTGCAGCCCCAGTAAGAGAATTGCCTAATGATCTGGTATCAGTTAGTACAATCAGGCCCTTCATATCTGTGGGTTCCACATCCATGAATTCAGCCAATCGTGGATCAAAAATATTCAATAAAAAATAATATGACAAAAATATAAACAATACAGTATAACTGTTATTTCCATAGCATTCGTATTAGGTATTATAGAGATGATTTAAAGTATGCAAGAGGATAAGCATAGGTTATATGCAAATACTATACCATTTTATATAAGAGATTTAAACATCCATGGGTTTTGGTATCAGAGGGGGTCCTGGAACCAGTACCCCAAGGATACTGAGGGACGACTGTCTATTTCGCAGTCTGTATTGTTTTTACAAGTGGGGCAGCAACAACCAAACCCAAATGAGGCCGCATCAGGCTCAGCCCTGTTCCTATTTTGTCTCCCTGCACTAAGGGTTTCAAGCATGTCTTAGGGCTGTGGTCAGCTTGTTAACACAAATCAGCCTTGAAACCTAACAGAATGTTACTTTACAATTTCCTGTTACTATGTTCCTTTTTAAAGTAAGCTACTTCCAAATCGATCTTCATCCTTTTCAAAATACCAAATTTCGGAAATGGAAGGGGGAAAGGAATGGGGGAAATACAAAGTGAAATCACCTGTATTTTCTTAGGGACCCTAACTTAGACATGACCAGCTATTTCTGAGATTCTTAAGTAAACTGTTTTTTCTCTCTGAAAGTCTGACAGTCTCTGCCATGTCAAGCTCTTTATTTCATGTCTTATACTTAGACCCACTCAGGCTACTTGGACAAATGCTCAAATAAGTTGACCAAATGAAAAACGTGTTCAGAGGTTGAGTGACTCAGAGTGAGAACAAGTGAAGCAGAACTGAGTGGTGGAACTTAACCTGCGCCTGAAGTTTTGAAACACATCAAGTCTAGTCTTCTGTATTTTAATAATATACAGACTTAGAGGGTGGAAAGAGATAAAGTGTTATGTGCTCATAAAATCAATTTATAAGTGACCTCATAGGGTCAATCACCTCAAGATAATATAAATTCATGATTTAATATATTAATGTAACCTTTGCTATGTATTAATCAGTATAAATTTATAATTCAGTAGTCTACAAATCCTAAACTTAGAGAATATTTTCTGAATTTGCTCTTTGATTACTCCACGTCTCTGCATAGAATTTTCTGACACTCACTCATCAGGATGTGTTTATAAAGGGTTTTCTTTCTTCCTCTTCACATTTAAATGATATAGAATTACCCAAACTTCCTGTTGCTACTGAAACTGAAGCAAGAGAAGCAAGGGAAATTGAAACTGAAAATGTGAACCAGCGACTTTACCCAGAAGCACAGTTGATGGCATCAATGAGATCAATTTTTTAATGAAATTAAAGAAAGTAGAGGTTTCAGCTGACACTGTTTTTCTCCAGACTCTCTACTATGCGGCAGGATGGTAGTTGTTTCCTCTCAACGGAGCTAAAAATTAACTTCATCCTATGGCATGATGTATTAAAATCAGGAGTGTTTGGCCCGGCGTGGTGGCTCACGCGTGTAATCCCAGCACTTTGGGAGGCCGAGGTGGGCGGCTCACGAGGTCAGGATATCACGACCATCCTGGCTAACACGGTGAAACCCCGTCTCTACTAAGAATACAAAAAAAAAAAAAAAAAATTAGCCGGGCGCGGTGGCGGGCGCCTGTAGTCCCAGCTACTCAGGAGGCTGAAGGAGGAGAATGCTGCGAACCTGGGAGGCGGAGCTTGCAGTGAGCCGAGATCGCGCGACTGTGCTCCAACCTGGGCGACAGAGCGAGACTCCGTCTCAAAAAAAAAAATAAATAAAATAAAATCAGGAGTGTTGATGGTAACTTTCTCTTTCCCCTCTCCAACAGGTAATTTCTCTCAAGATCCAACCCAAGCTATTCTATATACACAAGGTCAGCAAACATTTGATTCATTTTGTCAGCTTTAATATAAATCAAAATCACACCCAGGAGGCTGGGGTGTGGTCAAACAGACATCAAATCCCCTATTGCCCTAATAGCCAGTCAGTCACCCCCCTCTTTCATGTGGGAAAGAACACCGGAAGCAATTTGACAAGTAACAATCAGGCTTCTGGAGCCATGGACAATTGCTGTTAACTCTTGACTGTTCTGACAACATTTTAGAGCTATCTTTCAGGAATATTAGCCTCCCCCATTAACAAAACGGGGAAAAGCTCATTCCTCAAGGACCTCACTCTTCATTTAGTTCAACAGTTTGGATGGAGAAGGGAGATGTATCTTGAGGGAACACAAGTACATTGATCCCATTTTCTACCTCACTACATTGCTTGCAGGAAGAGGCCTGCAACTTGGTTCACCCCTTTTTTTTTCTGCTTTAGTATTTTAGTTGGGTCAAAGTAACTAAAGAGTTACTTACTTAAATTGCATATTGCGATCCCCATAATTTCCACTGGGTAAAATTTAGCTATACACTGAAGCTTGCTGTAAACATGCAAGCAAGTTGGGAGAAAATATTACCATTAGAGAAGTGGAAAAAGACCGGCCCCCTTCTCCATCATCACCAATCAGGTGTTGAGTGAAATCTCCCGCTTACTATAACATATTACTCTCACAGAGAATAAACACCGTATCTTTCAGTAAGGATCTCTGACCTGTCATTGTGAAGGGAGGACTAGCCAGACTGAGGGTGTGGTGAGGAACTAGGGGAAGCACAGACAGAAGAAACTGCTTTGAGAGGAGAAGCAACTTTGAAGTGTTGCTTAGTCCAGGCCCTGACCTAGGGTTTGGTTTTTTTGAAGTCTGTCATTAACCCTTCCCTCACTTTCCTTCTACTCTTCAAGTCCTATTACATTCATAGGAATGACTGATTTGCCCCCAGGTATTTTGCTGGTCCTGGGATCGCAGAGAGGAAAAGATACAATCCTGCCCGCAGGAACTCAGTGTATAGAGATGGCTTCTCCAACTTAACTATTACAGAGGGCTGATAATACTTTTCAGACATGTCGATCCAAAATGACCAATTAAGGATAAGGACTTGGAAGTAAAGAACATAACTCAAAGACAACAAATGCCCATTCACCAAAGATAAAGCCATGAACTGTCCAGGGCAAACGAGCTCGCCTTTTGGAGGCTAAGCTTCTTGTGGGAATTTGTAGAGTTTGGGGGAGGTCACTCAGTAACTTCTGTAATGAAAAGTTTTGTGGCAGCCAAGTGCAGTGGCTCACGCCTGTAATCCCAGCACTTTGGGAAGCCGAGGCGGGTGGATCCCTTGAGCCCAGGGGTTTGAGACCAGCCTGGGCAATATGATGAAACCTCATTTCTACTAGAAATACAAAAATTAGCCAGGCGTGTTGGCACACAGCTATAATCCCAGCTACTTGAGTGGCTGAGGCATGAGAATCAGTTGAGCCTGGGAGGTGGAGATCGCAGTGAGCCAAGATCGTGCCACTGCACCGCAGCCTGGGCAACAGAGCGAGACTCTTGTCTCAAAAAAAATAAAGAAGTTTTATTGGTAGTATTTGTTCTCTGTTAAGCCCATCTGTTGAGTTCTTGATTTCATTTATCAAGTTTTTCAATTCTAGAATTTCCATTTGGTTATTTTTTATATTTCCAGGTCTCTGCCAATGTCCTCAATCTTAATTTTTATTTCCTTAAACATTTTAAGCAAATCATTATAGAATCCATGTTGGATAGTCACATTATCAAGATCCCCTATTGGTCTAGGTCTATTGTCTGTTATTTTTTTGGTATTCAGTTACATTTTCTAGTTATTTTTGGTTGAATTCTGTCTTTGGCAAGAATATGTCAGTCACCTTTTGAATAGGATGAATGAATCTGTTACACCTTATGGAAGCCATAAAATCTATGCTGCCCCACATGGTGGCAATGGTGTATATACAAATGAAAATCTAAGAACCCCACTGACCTTCTGCTGACCAACATCGTAGTGAGGTAAAGAAGTCTCAGAGTTTAGCAAAGTATTATCCTTAAAGAATCAAATGAGATTGTAACCAGTTCATCTTGCCTGCTGCCCAGATACAGCCAATTTGTAAAGACAGGGAAGTGCAATAGAGAGAGATTTTAATATGCATAGAGCCAGCTAAATAGGAGACCAGAATTTTACTATTATTTAAATCAGCCTCCCCAAAAATTTGGAGGCTAGGATTTTTTAAAGACACTTTGGCAGGCATGAGTTAGTTCCTGGGTAGGGGCCACAAGACCAGATGAGTTGGTTTACCATTCTGGGTGGTGCCAGCTGATCCATCAGAATGCAGGGTCTAAAAGATATCTCAAGCACCAATCTTAGGTTTTATAGTAGTAATGTTATCTATAGGAGCAATTGGGGAGGTTAGTAATCTTGTAACCTCTGGGTGCATGACTCCTGAGTCATAATTTTTAATCTTATGGCCAATCTGTTGATTTTACAAAGGTGGCCTGGTCCCCAAGATACATTTTACCCAAGATGTAATATCACAGGAAACCAGAACCTTCCACTCAACCTCTCATACACAACTGGCTTTGTTAGTTTCCCACCACATTCAAGAGCACCTGATGCCCTAAACTGTTTAAGGTTGAATTAAGGAGTGCTCTTTTCAAACTATCCCAATTTCCATGAAAACCAAAGACAGCAGAAGACCTAGAAAATATTTATAGAATTGGGTATCTTGGGACATGAAACAAGTGGATACTTACATATGTGAATCTCACATGTCTTAATATCCAGACTAATTCCACCTTGACCTATTCTTACATACTATCTATTTTTCTCTTGGGAAGTTTTCTAATACTAGCTTAGCATCAGCATGTCTGTTTCAGTGAAATTAACACGTTAAAATATCCCCACTGGAGGTCAGTGAGTCAGGGCACATGCTGCTCTACAGAGGGGCCCAGTTACAACCTAAGGAGTAGCACTTCATCAGAGCTACCTCTTCAGGCCACATTCCCCACTACCTCAACCAACTGCTCCTCAGAAGAAGTAAGATGGATTTGTGGGAAATGATTTCCTTGAGCCATTTTTCCAAAGATAGTGGGGCATTCTTAAATGGTATTCATTTGAACATGGTATTCATTTGAACTTTGACATAATGCCATTATTTTGTAAATGCCATATCCTGGATAGCTAACTATGGCTGACAATCTACCCCTCATCATGACTGTGCTCAAATGCAGATATCTCTAGTGCATCATTGAACGAAAGGAATTTCACACACTTAAGCCTCTCTGAAATTTTCATCTTTCAATTGTTCACTTTTGTAACTTTTTTGTGGGGATGAAATTGACACTTTAAAAAGAAAAATTGAAGCTTGTGATGGGATTCTAAAATCTAAAAAATTTCCTTTCCAATCATATTTTAAACTGTTAGATCGTTTGCCCATTTATTGTCAATTTAACATGAAAACAGACACATGTGCACATGGACACATACACACAGGCACATGTGTTGAAGGCCTCTAGCAAGGTTGATGAGACTTGCTCAACTCTATTGCTAGCCACAGATGAGCATACAGGAAGGTCGTAGGACCCAAGTGTGTCCAACCCACAGCCTGTGGGCTGCATGTGGCCCAGGACGGCTTTGAATGTGGCCCAACACAAATTTGTAAACTTTCTTTAAAAAAAATTTTTTTTAAAGCTCATCATCTATTGTTAGTGTTAGTGTATTTTGTGTGTGGCCCAAGACAGTTCTTCTTCCAGTGTGGCCCAGGGAAGCCAAAAAATTGGATACCCAATAGTGCCTTTGAGATTGACGCCTATGGGGAAATGGAGGGAGCAGAATTGGGTGGAGGGAGAAGTTGGACCATGAAGCAGTCCTAGCAAAGGCCTAAGCCAATTCCTCAGGGAAACTGTGCAGCCAGGATAGCCCTTTGGTCTTGTTCTACTGGAGTCTGTCCTTGCTACCCTAATATTTACGAGTCATTGGATAAGGACCGCCCAGGGAGGAGCCATGACCTTGGACAAGACAGCTCTCTTCAGCTCCTCTTAATTCCCTGAGAAGAACTCAGCTGAGGGTCATCAGCTGCCAGCACTCCCAGCAGCTGAAGAATGGGTGCCTCAAACTTGAAGTGGGGACTGGCCCACATACCACAGTGTTCCGTATAGAATGACAGTAAAAAAAAGTGGTCATGAAGCTCATCTACAGTTTCTGTCTTCAAACCTGTAATTTTTTTCATTTAGGTTTTTCAAGATTATCCCAGACCCTCCCATTTCCAGCAGATTTCTTTGTGCTTTGATTTTTGGTCATTTGTTTGTTTGTTTGTTTCTATTTTGAGACATGGTCTCACTGTGTCACCCAGGCTGCAGTGCAGTGGTGTAGTCATGGCTCACTGCAGTCTCAAACTCCTGGGCTCAAGAGATTCTCCCACCTCAGCCTTCTGAGCAGCTGGGACCACAAGCATGTGCCACCATGCCCAGCATTTTTTAAAATTTTTTGTAGAGACGAGGTCTCCTATGTTGCCCAGACTAGTCTCAAACTCCTGAGCTCAAACAATCCTCCTGCCTCAGGCTTCCAAAATGCTGGGCTTACAGGCATAAGCCAGTGTGCCTGGCCTGATTTTCAATATTTAAAAAATATTCCAATTTGAAGATTGAAAAGCAGACTAAAATAGTATTGGCCTGAGAACTCCCAAAAAATTATCTGGACAACTACAAGGTATGCCTTGCTCCAAAACAGTAATTTCAGATCTGCCAGAACCAATTTGGGCTTCTGTGAAAAGTAGAATTGAGCTTAGGAAGGAGGGAAGTGGGTGGCTGCCAGTGCAGTATGACTGGAGTGGCCGTGGAAAGATTTCCCAGGCCCATCTGCTCTGAAATCATCTTTATTCGTGACAGCTTCTGAACTCCAGAAGTGCTCACCTGTCAGTGTCCTTCACCTGTCTCCTATTGCTGTTTGTCATTTTGTGTTTAACTGAAATCCTAGGCTTGAATACCTGAGGCCCCGAACCTCTCGAGGTCAGGCCAGCCTACTATTCCTCTATGTCCATGGGACCCACAAATGCAGCAAGTGAAATTGCCGTCATTCCTGCCTTGGTTTTCGCCCAACATAGGAAATGATTATACCTACATGGAGCTGCAGTGAAAGACATGATAGATGCTAACACTTCACCTGGAGATTGCTAAATACCAGCTGATAAGATTGAAGGCTGGATGAGAGCCTCTGGGGAAAGGGTTGCTGAACAGCAAAGTGGACAGACAGCTATGGTAGGCAGAATTTCTGAAAATGCCCTGAGGGACGTCCCATCCTAATCCTCAGAACCTGTGAAGATTGAGATATCACTTCTATGATTATGTTATAAGGTACAATTAACCTTAAAATAAGGAGATTGCCTGCACGGGCCTAGTGTAATCGCATAAGCCTGTAAAATTAGCTTTTCCAAAGAGGGGCAGAAGAGGAAGTTAAAGAGTTGCTGCTTTGAACATCGAGGGGACCATATGAGAAGGAATGTGGATGGCCTCTAGGAGCAGAGAGGACCCCAGCTGACATCCAGCAAGAAAGCAGGGACTTCAGTCTTAAAACCACAAGGGTGGAATTCTGCCAATATTCTCAATGAGCTTGGAAGTGGATTCTTACCCAAGCCTCCAGGGAAAAGCCCTGACAACACTTTGACTTTGGCCTGTGAGACTCTTGAGTATAGAACCCAACCTAGCCTGCCTGGAGTTGTAACCTACAAAAGCGTGAGATGATGAACTGGTGTCATTTTAAGCTGCTAAGTTTGTGGTAATTTGTTGCTGCAGCAATAGGGAACTAGTACAGTAGCCAAGACAAACAAGTCTACTTGTCACTATTTTTGAAAAAACACTTTCTTTGGAAGAAACTGGAATCTGCCTCTAAAACCATCTGGCATCTGGCATAAGGGGAAGGCGGACTGAGATCCAAAACTATTATGTGCCGGCTTGAGCTTCAACTTTATGTATACCAAACCATTTATACCTCACACCTACCCTCTGGGACGAACACTATTATTATCCCAGTGTTATCTCCATGGGCTTCTAACTGCTGTTCGGAGAAATTAAATGATTGGACCAGTAAGTTCTCAATCCCAGCTGTGCACCAGAATCACCGCATCACCTGAGTTTTGTTTATTTTGCTTTGTTTTGTTTTTAAGCTAATGAGCTTTTAGAGAGTCAGGATGCTGAGGCCTCAACCCTGACCCACTGAATCAGGGAGGCCCAGACCTCTTGCACTTATTAAAGCTCTTGGATGATTCTGATTTAACCCAGATGTTTGGCAACCAGTGGTATAAAGTGTGGTTAATGGACACCAGCATCAGTTGCCCTCAGGGTGGTGGTAACCGCTGATGTTGTGTCCCTAACAGCCATCCTCTGCTACTTCACTTACAGCAGGACCTCAGGTGTGCTCAGATGGCTACGTGCCTGGCCAGAGGGGGTTCTCAATTTTCAGCTCTAGTCATGTTATCACATTTCTCTTTCCCAATACCATCCTGTGAAGGTTAATTTCGTGGAGCAACTTGACTGGCCATGGGGTTCCCAGATTAAATATTATTTCCAAGCGTCTCTGTGAGAGTGTTCCCAAATAACATTAGCATTTGAATCAACAGACTTAGTAGGTTGCCCTCCCCGACATGGGTAGGCATCATCTAATCTACTGAGGGTCTCAATAGAACAAAAGGTGGAGGAAGGAGGAATTTGCCCTCTTTTTCCTGCCTCACCCCTTGACCTGGGTCATCTCATCATCTCTAGTCCTTAGACTGGGATTTACACCATCAACTCCTCTGGTTCTCAGGCCTTTGGACTTGGACTGAATTACACTGTCAGAGGCATTTGAACCAGAGTGACTCCATCTTGCATAGGGGCTAGGTAAAATAAGGCTGAGACCTGCTGGGCCGCATTCCCAGGAGGTTAGGTGTTCTAAGTCACAGGATAAGATAAGAGGTCAGCACAAGATACAGGTCATAAAGATCTTGCTGATAAAATAGGTCACAGTAAAGAAACTGGGCAAAACCGACCAGAACCAAGATGACGACAAGAGTGACCTCTGGTCGTCCTCACTGCTCATTATATGCCAATTATAATGCATTAGCATGCTAAAGACACTCCTACCAGGGACGTGACAGTTTATAGATGCCATGGCAATGTCAGGAATTCACCCTATATGGTCTAAAAAGGGGAGAAACCGTCAGTTCTGGGAATTGCCCACCCCTTTCCCAGAAAACTCATGAATAATCCATCCCTTGTTTAGCATATAATCAAGAAGCCACAATAAGTATAAGCAGCAGAGCAGCCCATGCTGCTGCTCTGCTTATGGAGTAGCCATTCTTTATTTCTTTACTTTCTTAATAACTTACTTGCTTTCACTTTACTCTATGGACTTGCCCCAAATTCTTTCTTGTGGGAGATCCAAGAACACTCTCTTGGGGTCTGGATCAGGACCCCTTTCTTATAACACCACCACCTGCTTTCTTGGGTCTCCAGCTTGCAGATGGCAGATTGTGGGACTTACTTCTTAGCCTTCATAACTGCATGACTAATTTATCATATTAAATCTTATTTTCTTTATATATATCTCCATCCTACTGGTTTCTCTGGAGAACCCTAATACATTTCCCATCTCTCTGCAGCTAGAATCAGCCAGAAACATATAAGGAGACTCCACCAGGAGTGGGGAGTTCTTGGGAAAGCTTTTGCTTCTGAAAAAAGATAAAAGTACACAGGAGAGCTGTCTGGTGCCATTCCTTGAGCATGTGAGAGACTGTGTCACCGGGAGCAGCAGTTATCTGTGGCCATAAGTTGAGATGACTGGATGAAATGCTAACATGTTGAGAAGGTAGGACAAAAAGAAAGAACCAGGGACACTGATGACATTGTTGAGGTGCATCAACCCTAGAACCATTATTAAGAGATTTATTATGTGAAATATTATTATTTACTGTTTTACTACTTGTAGCTGAAAGCATTTCTAACTGTGTACAGGACTACTTTTAAACGCAAGAAAGAATTTCTGGTGTTGAGGACTGGGTTATTTGCATTAACAACCATCCAATTCTTTGTGCACTGAAGTCTAAGTCACCCACATTCTAGGGTCACCTACACAGATAGTGATGAAGCTGCTTCTAACTGGTCCATGTTTTTTCCACTCTATGATAGTAAAAACAAATAGAAAAACATCTGCATTCCTCCCTTTTTACACACTCCCTGCGGCAATATTGGTATTAGACATAGCAGAAAATAATAACTAAGAAAATAACTTGAAGAAAACATGTCTACAAGCTTTTTGTTAAGAAAAAAAAAAAAACCCAATCTTTAAAGCCCGTATTTATTATACAAATAAATCAGAAATAATAGGTATATGGGGAGAAATGGGAGAAGAGAAAGGAAAGCCAAGATAGTGCTCATTTTTCACATTAATTCCAAAGGACAAAGGATGGGATGGGAGCTCGGGGGTTTCTGAAAATGCTCACCACAATCAGTTTACACAACTTTTCAGAAATATGTTAACTCTGTATCAGAGCACACTTTAATAATCTAGATATATATAGAGACACAATCTGTTTGTCTAAAGAAGCTTCCAGATTTTCCATTTAGTGTGTCTTTTACCTTTACCATAACCCTGAGTCATCTCTGATAGTTCTCATTTTGGAAGTGATTCCATGCATAGAAAGTTGTGTGTGGGCTCCCTAAGGACAGTAGCTGGGTCCCTTTTGTTCATTGGCTTACCCATAGCCTGCAGCACAATGCTTTGAACATAGGTAGTATTCAACCAATGTCAACTACAAGATCCCAGAAGACCCAGAAGACCCCTTACCTTTAGGAATGTGTGTCTTGTGAGGCACCTGGGATATTATCGCTAGCTCATTTTCTCAGACAAAACACAGAACAGTGACATAGTTTTGTAAAGGTCACAGGGCTAAGCAGCTCTCTCCAAATTTAGTCCTGTGCACTTTTCCCCAGATTTATTCCCAACAATGCCTGCTACACTCTTTAAAAACCAGCCTCAGACACATCTGTTCTATGAAAATTACATGGAACAGAGAAGTAACTATTTCCTCTCAGTGAACAACATTCTGCCATTTAAAAGGAAAAAGTGAACTTTGTGGGTTCCTCTTGTATAATTAGGATTTAATTTCCTTCAGATGGAGATGTGTAACTGATATTGCATATTATATACTGCACAGTCACTAATATAGAGAGATTCAATATGCATTCACTATGACAATGCATCAAAGAACTTTTTTTTTTACCCTTTTATCTTCATATCCCAGTTTGCTTTGCAAAAAGAATTGGCATTTCATTAAATATATAAATAAATAAAAGACTATTTTTTCAAGATTCACTAAACAGGTGTTGCTTACCTTAAGGCAAAATTTTTATAAACTAAAAAAATTCAGTTTCTGTAACTGTTCCAACATGAAAAGGACTAGTTATTCACCTGAGAGGAAATGTCTTATAATGAAGACTTTTTATTGAATCTGGATTAGTCCCTTGCCCAACACTAATACTGACATTTTTCCTGCTGAGTTGCAAGTGGCAATTCACTTTTGGAAGAATTTATGGGAAAATATAACATTATTCTATTTCCCAACCACAAGTTTTGTTTATTCCTCACACTATATAGATGGTGAGTCTCAGAGAACTGGGGGCTTCTTTGCTCCTTGATGGGGAAACCCAGCTGTGTGCTTCACGCAGGGCTGTCCATAGCCTGCAGCACAAGGCTTTGAACATATGAGGGGGTGTTCAACCAATGGCAACTGCAAGATCCCAGAAGGCTCCTTACACTGTGGGGACTGACAGCCTCTTATTCCCCAGTAACTCCTGTGGTGTTTCCAGCTTCACTCTTACATTGGCAAGTAGGGATGGAACGCGCTGACTGCCGTGTGAATGAACTGTGTACCTTGTTACTTCAAACATTGAAACTCTGATATTAAATTTTTTTTTTTTTTTTTTTTTTTTTTTTTTTTCAGACGGAGTCTCGCTCTGTCACCCAGGCTGGAGTACAGTGGCGCGATCTTTGCTCACTGCAACCTCTGCCTCCCGGGTGCAAGCGATTCTACTGCCTCAGCCTCCTGAGTAGCTGGGATTACAGGCACATACCACCACACCCAGCTAATTTTTCTATTTTTAGTAGAGATGCGGTTTCACCATGTTGGTCAGGCTGGTCTCGAACTCCTGGCCTCGTGATCCACCTGCCTTGGCCTCCCAAAGTGCTGGGATTACAGGCATGAGCCACCTCACCCGGCCCATTAAATATTTTTTAATGTGAGAAGATATACTTATTATCATGAACATACAAGGGAGGGATTTGATCACAGCCGAGCATTGCGGACATGTGACTTTGCGTGACTTGAAAAACCCTGGATACCAACATCTGATCAAGTGGAAAATTCATATGCCTAGGAAAAGTAGCCCCTGTGATGGGTGAATCTGGTGGCACTGAAATTTTTTCTTTAACTGCATTGAAAGGAGATGTATCAAACAAGCCTCAGCATGTTATTTAATTATGAGATCTGTTTTAAAATTTAAGTGAGAAACCAGGATATCTAGAAGCAAGTTATAGAGAATGCAAAACCTATTCCCCTTTAGGTATTCAGCTTGATGAGCCAAGTGATAATAATGGCTGTAGTCAGCTGTTGTTATTTTTGCAGTATCTAAGGAAGAGAGTGTAGATGAATTCTTCTCTTGTGAACTGCTTCAGTTAACTATGAAAGGAATCAATGTGTTCAATCTCATCCAAGATTTCTTTTTGAACCATTAGCTAACACTTCATGTGTGTGGATCAGTTCTTACTGATGGTACCTCCTGCTATGCTTGGTAAAACATCAAGCTTTGCTGCCTAGAATACAAAATAAAGAAAAATGAGTAGCTATTTGTATAATGCACTATTGTGCACTTGCTGCAAGAAGTTTGCCTGCAAAAACAAATAATGTTCTGTCTTCTTTATATGGTAACAAAAACTCCACCAAGAAAAAGATCCAAAACTTTGCCTCTTCCATGATTTTTTTTAAAGGAATTGGTAAGCTGACACATCCATTTCCATATAGAAATGAGGTGGCTTCCCACAGCAACATGTTTATTTTGCAACTAGATAAAGTGATGAAAATTAAGTGAAGCACTTCTCTCTTTCATCCTTCTGAGAGGGTAGCCTTCCCTTAGTTGTCTTGGGTGCCCATGTAATTGAAGAAAGAAAGAATGCAAAAATATTATATTTTTCCAATTCTGGCACTAAAAAAATAAGATTATGCAGGAAAAAAAAAAGACTTTCAAGTCAGGTTATTTCCTTGAGAGATTTCCCAAATACTCTGTCTCCTCTTTAACATACCATAGTCCCAGCCTGGAGGATCTAGCTTACAGAATTTTCCTGTGGGCTAGAGAAGAAACCTTTACTCCCTATGACAGCAAAGCTTCAAGACCTGCTGCTACATGGCAGAAGATACGACATCACAAAATAGACAACCCACCCTTTTTTTCCCCAAAGGATGGTGGGAAGAAGGAAGCAGAATGGAAAAGAACTAGGAAAGCCAAGTACAGAGATGATGTGTGTTCCAAGCACCACCCACCTTACCCCACCCCTGTCCCGCCCAGCTTAGAGGACTGAAGAGAATGCAGAATTAGGCATGGGTAGGGCTGCTTTTGTCCTAGTTCCCTTGGGACTGGTCGGGGACAGGCTCATAGGCTGTTCTGCACCACCCAGAGAGAAGCTGTGTCACTTGGCAGTACAGTAGGCCAGGAGAAGATTGTGGTGGCCCCACGTGGCTCTGTGGTATTTATATAGGATCCTGCAGCTGCTGAGTCTCTGGTGCGGAGCAGCCCAGTGGGGGTTGTTATAGTGGCAGTGGGGTGCCCTGTAGAGAGCATTACAGAGTGGGTCACCAGGCCCAGGATTAGAAGTGTCTGTAGCCCCCGAGGAACCGGGACAGGACTGAATCAGTCAAGAAGAGACGAGATGATGATGACGGAGTGGCCACAAAGTCCTCCCACCCCTACCCTATCCCAGATGAGCCCATGCTGTAACCACATGAAGAGCAAAGAAACAACTATTTATTCTCAGGGACTGTGTTAATGATTCCCAACCATCAGCATCGAAGAAGAGGTCCGGAAGAATGTGAAGAATGCTAAGTCTTGTGTGGAGAATAGAGGGGAGCATGAAGACAATCCACAGCCTGCAGGCAGGGACTTCATGGACACTCTACATTGTGCAGCAGCCACAGAATTCAGCCACAGGTGCCAGCTGGGTGAGTACCAACCAGGTGGATTAGGTCCACCACCCAGAAGATGCATAAAAAAACCACACCTGTCCCCCCAGATCCACAGAAGCCATCTTAGGGAAGAATCAGTGGGGATACTCAAGATAAAAAATGTGGAAGGCTCTTTTTCTGTCTTTTTTCCAAGAGCTGATTATTATCTGAAGGGATTGCTTACTAATTGGAACTAAGATTTCACCCAGACAGTGCTAAATGTTAGAGATTCTTCCCCCCGCTACTGGAGATCAGAGAGAAGTTCGCAACATTTATAGATAAAAATCATATCTCAATTGTAGTATAAGTTAAATTTGTAACTATTATATTTGTTTTTGAAAGCCATAAAAGTCTGCCTATTTACAACCAAATAATGCCATAGTTGACAATTTTAAAAAATAGAAAGTTTATCTTTTACCTAGCATATGCAGTAGCTATATTCAAACATGAAAATGAACACAATTAAGTCATCTAAATATTAATCTAATAAGAACATGGTGTGACCAGAGAGAAATTATTTGCTTTTATAAGAAAATTTTAGTGGGGGATAAAGCATATTGAAATAACTTTCCTTTTCTTAGAGAAACTGTTTTAACAAAATGAAAAACTGACCATTGCAACTGATATGACAACATACTTTGCAACAATTGAGTGACTCATTTTTATGGATTTTTTTTCCACTAGACATTTCATGTAGAAAAAAACAAAAACAAGAACCAAGGATACTGGAGCTTTTTTAAAAATTTCATTTCTATCGATGATTGTCTTCTATATAAATTATTTTTACTTAATTACAACTCAATGAATATATTTTAACAAGAAAGCCTTGGGAATTTCTGAGAACTTGACTAGCATTTTCTACAAATGGCAAAGAGAGCAGTGAAGATTATGTGATTTTAGATTTTTCTCACTTTTACACATCAAAATAAGAACTAGAAATTGATGTTGACATGAATATAGTTATTTCCAAGGGAAATGTCCTTATTTCTTGAATATCTTGGAACAAAAGCTAAAGGAGTATATATTATTTTTATATGGCAATAACTTTAATGTGTTATGAATTCAGGGTTGTAATAAACTCTAGTTGTGTTTTCACTCTATAATTATAATTAGTTAAAAAGTATCTTCTCTCATCATTATGTCCATGATGCTTACGTGGACATAGTTTGAGAAAAAAATGATGCAATTTGCCATACAATTAGGACCACAGTTCAAAATTCAAACTCAGCACAACTTTCCAAAGATCTGGTACTTAACTTCCGTTCCTATAGCAGCAACTCAACACACAAAGCCCACTGCCCTGATCTAAATGTAACCAAAACCTAATGCAAGCATTCATTTACCTCTCATTTTAAACCATGTCTTGTAGATTTTGATAGACTATGTGTGTTAAGAAGCAACTGGAAAAGCTAGGGCACTGTATAATCACTGCTGTTGATATAAAACAAATGTAGTAACTATGTCTAAATTGTAAGAGCACATTTTGAACATAGAATCATTTCAAGCAGGCATTTTCTCATGAGCTATTTGATCTTGAAGGCTCAGCATGTCAACATTCAATACATGAGCTCAGTGTCATTCCTTCCCTCCAGTGTTCTTCCAGCTGGCAGTCCTGTACGTCCATTTGTCAATGGCAGCTCCTTTTCCTTCCTCATTGGCAGTCAGTCTTGCTCGAAAATGTTGGGGCCTGCACCCGACATCTCAGCCTTCCTCCCTCCTTACTGTCCTTGTTTTTGTCCAGTTATTACACCTTCTCACATTCCAATGGGCACCAGATTCATTTTCATTAAAGGAAGTAGGTAGTGTGGAAAATCCTTACATGTATAGCATTTTGTTAAACTGTGCATTGGTTAGAGTTGAGCAATTAGATTGTCTAGATTCAAAGGTAGTTTTTACTACCAGATGTCTGCTTCTCCCAAGAAGAAAGTCTGTCTCACAGTTTCATCCCCAGGTCCCAAGGGGTCCACGGGGGTGTGTGAGCTTGCTTCTTGGGAAAAAAGACATCTGGAGTTCTCCCACACTGCCCATGCTGTGCAGGATGTCTGGGAGGCTCTCCTCTGCTGACTTGATGCTTCCATTTCTCATTGTGTCTAGGTCAGTCTGGCTGTTCACTTTGGTATCTCAGCCACCCACCCCTTCTTACTTCCAACAAGTGCATCCAACAGTATTGGATGCATATAATTTTTTTCACAATTTTACCAAGAAATCAACAAAGTACTGCAGCATGTTTACTAATACTGTAAAGACAAGTTCCTCATACAACCCTTTTCCAATCTCCATACTGCCCTGGCTCCTGCCAGTCTCAGATACCCTACTCTTAGACCTTTGTGTTTTCCACAAGGACTCTGCCTCTTCGGCCCAGTCACCTGGGTCACCTGAGCTCATGGCCCTCCATCTATAACCAAAGACCTATCTGAGTGCCACCCCCTTGGGAGGAACTCCTAGCAAACTCACACAAATTTTATGGATATAAAACTTAATAGATATAAAAATATCTGACTAATGGATATACATGAATTTATTTCTGGGTATGTTTTTGGCTAACAAAAGAATTTTGGATTAACAGCAGCTCCTATCAGGGGTACTTAGAAAAAAACAACAAATTAGTCATAGACAAAAGGAGGCAGAGAAAGTTGGAAGGAAAGGAATAGAGATATGTGTAATGGAATACTGAAAAGATAAAAGAAGATAATGGAAAGTAACCTAAGGCCTAAGAACCAAAGCATGCGAGGATATATGAGTAAAGAGAAGTACTGAAGAGCTGGGATGCTGGGAAGTAGGTGATGGGTGTTAACCTCAGAGTAAAAAATTCAGAAAAAGATTTGCAGTAAATATGGCTAGTTATCTATAGGATTCAATTTTCCTCTTCTTCTGTAATAAAATACTTATTTGTTTAGGGCAGAAATGTCATCAGTTCAGAATATTTAACTTCCTAGACCCCCCTTTGGCTAAGGGGCAGATGTGACACCAGTGAGATGCAGGTGAATGGGGTTCTAGAGGCTTTCCTTCCACAGCAGGGGACAAAGCCTCAGAAAGAAAAGAATGTTGCTATTTCCCTCTGCTTTCTCCTAATTCCTGCCTTGTGAGTGGTCCTGATGCTGACAGATGCAGTAGGTATCTTGCAGCCACGAGGAAGAAAACAGCATGACTAAGGACAGGAGGAGCTGAAAGGGGGATGACACGTGATTTCTGATGAAAGCCTTGAGCCATGACATTTTTTAAATGAAACTAGATACCTCTTACTGAAATGCAGAGATTTCCAGTTAAATTTCCAGCAAAAGAATGAAAAATGGAAATTAACTATAAATCACTTATTTATGTAAAATAATACGAACATAATTTCTATTTGGGGTTCTGTTTTTGTTATTGTATTTTAGTAAACCTTAAAATATAAGAGATTTAAAGCTTACTTATAACCTGAGTCTGCCAAGTGTTTTCTATTTCTTTGTGTATGGTTTTAAGTTCTTCAGCCTCAAATAGTACTTCACTGGGTGTTTTCAGGAACCTACATCTGTTTGGGGAGGAATTGCTATGTTATAATCCTCTAGGACTTTGAGTCCAAGGATATACACACCCCAGCAATCATAGTCTTATAGCCACTAATTCAATTCTTCTTATAGCTTTTGGGGTTTGGGTATTACCCCTTAGAAGCCAAGTTATTAGCTGAATAAGGAAGTAACACCTCCAACAATGCTGTTCACTCAGCATGTTTCTTAAAAAACTCCTTGTTATCCGAGCAAATCCTAAGGATATACACCCAAGATGAGTTATGGAGAATTAATTACTGACTCCTGAGAATCTAAAAATGGGGCAGCAGCCCAGGTGTTCTCATCCTGGAGTCATGCTGTTTCATAAATGCAACTTACCTTAGGTAAACTTAGTGTTTATTTTTGATAGTGCAACAAGTATAGAGCTCAGACCCGTTTCCGGTGACTTCCTTTAGGAAATCTCAGTATATATTTGTTCATTAATGTGCAATAAGAATAAGCTTTCTAAAATTTGGACAAGTAGAAAAAAGTGGTATTTCTGTTCTTTGAATAAAAAGCAAATGCATTTAAAACACGCATAATACACAAGTAGGTAAATTTATCAAAAGGAAAAAGTGATCAATCCTATTTAAACTACCTGTTTTACAATTGCAATAGTTTCTTATTCAGAAATGTATTAGGTCAACTTAAGTACTATTTATTACATCAGAACTACCAACACCTTTAGTACCCTGTTTGGAAGACCGAACATGGATCAGATGTTAGTCCCACCTTAGATATAGCAAATCATTTATTTCCATTTTAATAGTTGAAATTTAGAAAGCAAACGGACCCAGAGGGGATATGCCCACAAGCAGGAGATGAACGTGTTCCAAATGGCAGTATATTTCCAAGGAGACTTACAGGCTTTTTATTCCAAGGATTGGCTCAATACTTCATTACTCAGAAAGTGTGTTTGATCAGGCGAGACCTTCAAATTTGAGCTCCTCTGTGGTCAGGGGAATGCTAATGACTGTCTGACAGCTTGTCACAGACATTGGATTTTTTTTCTTAGCATCTCTGGCCAGATTTCCTGTTTTCTGGCAGCTGTGCTGGTGCAGATTGCCAAGAGGCACCATACCCACAATCTTGAGAGGATTCTGTTTCCAGCAAGCCTTCTTTTACTGTCATCTATGTATTACATCTCTATTTCAAGTCTCTCTAGAATTTATAGTCATACTGGGCATTTAGTTTCAATTTGCATTTGTTTGTTACGTGGCTTTACATGACTTTTTGTCTACTTCATGAATCTGTCCGATCTTCCCAGTAGATCTAAGTACCTGGAGGATCTGACTCTCTTTGACATAGAGAGACTCCCCAGAGACCATGCCTTTGATTTCATTTATAGCCCTTTAGGACAGTGTTTCCCCCTCAAACTCTCTTGCAGACTGGTAAATGTCCTAAATTACCATTTAGGAGTGGGGAATAGAAGGAATGGAGTAGGAAGTGAAATCCAAGACAAGTCACAGTACCTGTTCATAAAAGGGAGGGGTTGCTAGGCAGGAAATCTTTGCCACTCTGGTCTTTTCTCTTAGAGAACACTACCCAGGACTGCTCATCGATCATTGTCAACTATTTACTTTTACGTTAGGGTAAAAATGACCTTATATGCAAGTAGTAGTGATTCTTAGAGTAATATATGATGCCTAAACAATATCTGCAGGTGGTAATAAATTAGAGGTGTGACAGGGCAGTGCTTCACAAATGTTCCAGCTCAAGGTACAATCTCAAGCTTGTTCCAGCAAGTACATGCCCATGTATAGGGGTTAGGGGCTTTGTCTTCTACCTTCACCATTCCTAAGGTATTTAAATCCAAGTCTCTAATAACTTATTCTGGTTTTTAAAGAGGGTAGTTGTTCACATGATAATAATTTCAATAGGGCTGAGATGTTTTGGAGCATGGTAGATGGGCATCACTCCTACTGAGGCTTGCAGGCAAAGAGGAAGACAGATATTGACATTTCTCAGCACTGGTACATGTGCTGCAAGTCACCTATTGGTCAGTTGTAAGAGCAGGTGCAGGACAGTGTATATACAAGTCAACACTGGGAGAGGCACATGTAAGAGCTGAGGGCTTATAGCAAGGCTTGGGCAAAGCAAGGGGTATGGTTGAGCCAGAAAGTCTATGAGAATGAAAAGGCCAGGGGTAGAACCTCAGGCCTCAGATCTTGGTTAAATCCTAAAAACTACTCATTGTGCTTCTGTTGCAGACAATGCATAGGAGTGAATGAGACAGAAAGCAAGACCATGAGGATGACTAAGAAGAGCAAGTACAACATGGCTGAGACTAAGTGTCCAGGGAGTTGAGAATAAGTGGCCTATTGTCATGTCCTATATAAGTAGAGTATATGGATGGGAGGCCAAGAATACACCAACAAATAAAATATTGAATATATCGGTCAAGGGCATATCGAGATGATCAGGATGCTGCCTATTGGAATGTTTATCCTCCCACCCTACCCCAGAAGAGGAGCTTCTCGTCTTGTTCACCGCTGTTTCCCAGCTCCTGGAAGAGCCTGGCACATAAAAGGTGCACAATGAACATTCATTAAAATCAATGATTAATTGAACTGGCTAGTATTCCATCTCACTTTCATTACTGGAGAACTGAAGAGCCAGCTAGCCTACAAAAACTCATTCTGGATGTAGAAGCAATAAGAAAACATGCATTCAAATAAAAGCAGAGAATCCTTCTAATATTTCTTCATGTGTCTATCTTTTCCCATCCCCAACACATTTATTTTCCTTGACCTACAAAGGATCTGTTTTGTCCATGATGAGTCCCAAAAACAGCCCTCAAAGTGGTTCTCCCCACCTACCCCACTCCACTGATGCTGCATCACATGGTAGGGTGTTGCCTTGCTCCTCCATGCAGGGAGCTTTTCTCAGCACCACTAAGGTACCAGGGAAGTGGTAACTGGGAACAATTTTCCCCAATACAGATAAAGCCTAGATAAAAAGTAGGGTGATACATAGGCAAGGGGTAGATGGGGCCTTCCTAGAGGACACTATGTCTTCCTGAATTTAGTCCATTCATAATCAACAAACCAGCCCTACTGATTTAATGCCTAGGCTCTGCTGCCTGACTATATTTAGCAAAGCTTTTGAATGGCAGAGTGATTTCCTATAGGAATACTGAGTTTTTTCCAGGGACAGATGTAGCCTTGGTACATTGTCTGGTTATGTAGGATTTTTTTTTTTTTTTTTTTTTTTACTGCACTTGTGCTGTTCTCCTTTTTTCAACTTATAGCTGGAGACCGTTTTCTGCTACCTCAAAACCTTTTTGAAATTAACCAGTAATAAATAAGATCTTTCTCTATAGACAGCTTTTTTCAAAGGAATAAAAGAATTAGAAAATATGGAGGATCCATAGTATGCACGCCTTTGGTTCCTGAGGTCCCTTAGATGATATGGAATTCTTTAAAAATGTAGATCGATTTTGATAACATCATAATCAAGATCCTAAGAAATCACTAGCATCCATCAGATTATAAAGTTTCTGAGCAATTCTCTCCCCAACCCCCATCCTGAGCCTAACATGGTGACTTGCTCACAGCCTCACTGGATAGATACTGGTTAGATAAATGAAAGCATTCATTAATCAATGTGATGTGAAGAATTTAGATAAATGATTCCTATTTCTCTCAGTCTAACAAGGGGAAATAGTCCAATAAACATATCTGTAAGTTTAATAGAATTTGTAAGTTCCTTTGAATATTTGGAAATCTATGATTTCATTTTTAAGACACACAGAATCTATTATGATAGAGCACTGAATTTTATTCAGTTAGGTAATTTTGTGCCTCTTATTTTTAACCAGTTTGGTGTCTTTCTTGTGCTTTTCACTATAGTATTCATGGATCCTATTAACAGTAAAGAAAGTGGCAGACGCCAGGCATGGTAGCTCATGCCTGTAATCCCAGCACTTTGAGAGGCTGAAGCAGAATTATTTGAGGCCAGGAGTTCAAGACCAGCCTGGGCAACATAGTGAGAACCTTTTTGTTGTTACTGTTGTTGTTGTTTTTTAAAGAGAGAGTAGAGATACTAGGTTACTCCGTGGTGAGGCTTGGGATGGTGGTGGGAATGGAGTGGAGGAGGGACTTCCTTCCCAATGACTAGATATGTCTTAATTTGTAAGACGGCTCTCTCCCATGTGACTTTCTCTCCTCTACCTATGTCAACTTTGTGTTGGGAGTGTTCAGGACAATATGTGAATGGAAAATTCATAAATGAATGTACCAATAGAAATAAAGATACATGTGGGTGTTGCTTTTTCACTTTTTCAATGAAGATCTGATCCTTTGGTGTTTTACTTGGTCCCAATCCCACTTTTCCACAAGTTGTGGCTAAGGACTTGTCCTTGATTATAAGATTCTGGTTGTTGAAACTGTTATTTATGCATGAAGGACTACTCAGAATATCACTGTAATTACACATCTGCCCCTCTGAGTTCTTCAAAAATAGGAACATGACAGATATGTTTGGAAAAGGTTAAAAATATGCTTAATGCTAAAAGGAAAATGAGCTAAAATTTTCCTGGTATTGTATTATAGTTCTATATTTTATGATGATCTTTATTGCAATAGTTATACCTTGACTTTACAAAATTCTTTCATGTTTTAACCCTTGGTGTCCATACTTTTGCCTTTGGGAATATCATGCAGGCTTGATGTAACCATTTTGCTTATAAGACAAGCAAATTGGACCAGCCACAGTGGCTCACACCTTTAATCCAAGCACTTTGGGAGGCCAAGGGGAACAGAACACTTGAGTCCAGGAGTTCGAGACTAGCCTGGGCAACATGGTAAAACCTTGTCTCTACTAAAAATACAAAAATTTGCCAGGCATGGTGGCACACGCCTATAATCCCAGCTACTCAGGAGGCTGAGGCATGATCTTTTGTCAATTTAGTTTACAGGGCCCCAGCAACAGAACCTTGAAGGGTAAAAGAAAAGAAACCGTGTTCTTCCCTGCAATACAATAGGAGAGTTCAAAGGATGTGACTCAGGGTAGGTCAGAGATCCACAAGGGTTTCATTTCTGTTGTCAAAATAAGTACAGTGAAAATACCTACGAAAAGTAATAATTTAGAGACTATTAGTAAATAGTTCTTTGGTATAAGGTAATTTGTCATATTATTTGACTGGGGAAGGAACTTAGGTCATCCTCAGCTCTGGGATGCCTACACGGCAGGCAGATTGGTGCTTTTTGCAGCCTCACAGAAGACAGAAACAAGCAGAGGGCAAAAGATAGAACTCAGAAGGAGAAAGTCTAGTTGACAGAGCAGGAACATCGCCATCTTGGACAAGCACTGCCATTTTAATGTTCACCTTCATCAAAAACCTCGTAAATCCAAGGGCATCAGCCTAATGACTAAGGTCAGAATGACCATAAGCCACAAATGACATCTCTTACCAGAAACATTCCAACCATAAGATAAACCCCTCCCCAACCAGAGACTTGCCAGCCCCAAGATAACCTCCCCTCCAGCCAGAGAGATGTCAGCCCCAAGATAACCTCCCCTCCAGCCAGAGACATTCCAACCCTGCAATAAATTTCTCCCCCACCAGAAACATTCCAAGCCTGTGGTAAGTTCTCTCACCCTGAACCCTTAAATACTTATTCTGTAAGACAGAAGGCTCCTAACCAAAAATCAGCCAGAAGCCCCTCTCAGGTTTATTCTCCAAAATAAACCTGTCTTTGACGGTTGAGCTGCTTTTCATGTTTCTTTCCTCTTTGGCTCTTATGCTAGCGCTGTAGTGCTACTTCACTATTTTTTTTTCTAGAACAGCTGAAATTCTCTTTTTATGTAGAATGAGACTCAGGGAGATTTGATCACTTTATAAATTTTTTTTCAAAGCAGGTCCCATTTCTTTCCATCCCTTTCAACAATCCTCAGTGCCTTATATAAATGACAGTTTTCTAATAAATGACAATATTCTAGCTTAGTAGACAATAAACAAAATGGAGAGGGAGAGTTTTGCATAGTCTTAAATAATAGCTAAATAAAATATAATCATCAACTTAAAGATGAGAACTCTAATTACCACATATTGTGAACAATTTCCATATAATTAACTGTTGTTTAGGCTATAGAGTAACTAAGACAGCTCTCTGGTTTTCCTGTATGTAGAAAACATATTGGTTTGGCAGATGTTTTACTTACTATCAATTGCTTTTCAATAGATAGTTTCTCTTCCTTTGCAGTGAATTCAACACAATCCACTTAAAACAACAAATGTTTATTGAGTAATCAGTACATACAAGGCAATATGTTAGGCCTGAGAAGAAAAACAAAAATAAGCCTCAATACTTTCTCTTGAGAAGGTAACAAAAAGGAATAAAATGTATGTGTAAATTATGATAATCTGTGGCAGAAAAAGTAAGTGAATAAACATTTCATCTGGGTGGAAAAGTTTGGTCTTACATTTGTGATGATACTAGAAGGTAGGCAAGATTTAAAGGGCTGAGACTAAGGAGTTTCCAAGAAAAGGGAACACTGCCTATGAAAATATGAGGCAGATAATCTTGAAGTGTCTTAGTTTTTTCAAGTTTCTATAACAAAATATAAACCACGTGGCTTATAAACAATAGCAATTTATTTCTCACTGTTCTAGATGCTGGTCCAAGATCAAGGCACCAGCAGATACAGTGTCTGGTAAGAGCCCATTTCCTCGCTCCTAACTGACACCTTTCTTGCTGTATCCTTAGATGGTAAAAGGGGCTAGCTAGCTCTCTGGTGTATCTCTTATAAGCATACTAATACCTGTCATGAGGGTGGAGCCTTCATTATCTAATACCTTCTAAAGGCCTCACCTCCTAATACCATCACCTTGGACATTAGGATTTTACCATATAAATTTGGGGAGGACAGAAACATTCAGACTATAGCAGAGTGTTTTCAGGGAAGAATGAGAGATGTGGCTGACAGAAATTTAAGGGATCACAATAGAGTAGGACTAGTTTATGCTAATACAGTAGCCATTAGCTACACGTGGCTACTCAGCACTTGAAATATGGCTAGTCTAAAGAGAAATTTTCTGTAAATGTAAAATACATACCAGATTTTGGACACTTAATTTTAAAAAGTAAAATATCACATGTTTTTATATTGATTGTGCATTACAAGATATTTTCAATAATACAGATTACTAGAATTAACTTCATCTGTGCCTACTTTTTTTAATGTGCACACTAGAAAATTTTAAGTTACATATGTTGCTCATATTATTTTTCTATAGGATAACATTGGGCCAAATTATGCCAAAATTTGAGTATCAGACAAAGCTCCCCAATAACCCTTGCTGCCACTGCAGACTCCCATAGCCTAGGCCACCAAGGTTTCCCACAGTCTCCACAGATGGTGACCTCAGTTGACAGAGCTACATGGAGACTGCACCACTGCACCCTCCCCATAACTGCAGCCACTGCACCCCACCAGCCAGCACCCTAACACATACCTGCAAGTGAAACGCTTTCCCCACTGAAGCCAGTCCATAAAATCTGGAAATGTTTACTGCTCCCTCCAATGGCAGACATCTATGCAAGGCCATGAGAAACATGAAAAAGCAAAGAAACATGACACCACCAAAGGAACAAAATAATTGTCCAGTTACTAATCACCTCAAAATGGAGATCTAGAATTGTCTGAAAATTGATTAAAAATAATTATTTTAAGGTAGCTCAGTGAGATACAAGATAACACAGATACCTCAGCAAAATCAGAAAAATAAGACATAAAATAGGAAGTTCAACAAAGAGATAGAAATCATAGATAAGCCAAATAGAAATCCTGGAGCTGAAGAATACAATTAATAAAATGAAAAAAAATACAATAGAAAACTTCACCAGCAGATGAGATCAATCAGGAGAAAGAATTGGTGAACTCAAAGACAAGGCTTTTGAAATTATTCACTCTGAGGAGAACAAGAATAAAAGAATGAAAAAAAGTAAACAAACCCTGCAGGACTCATGGGCCACCATTAAGTGAACAAATATACACCTTATAGGAGTTTTAGAAGGAGAAAAGAGAGAAAGAGAAAGATACTTATTCAAAGAATTAATGATTGCAAACTTCCCAAATCTTGGAAGAGAAATAAACAACCAAAGTCCGTGAAGCTCAGAAGTTCCCAAATAGTCTTTACCCAAAGAAGACTTCACCATGACACATTATAATCAAATTGTCAAAACTCAGAATTTTGAAAACAGCAAGAAACAAGTCTTTCCACATACGGTGAAACCTCAAAGGTTATCAGCAGATTTATCTTGCAGATCAGGAGAGAATGGGAAGATACATTCAAAATTATTAAAGAAAAAAATTTGCTAATGGAGAATACTTTAACTGGCAAAGCTGTTCAGAAATAAAGGATAGATAATTTCTCAGATTAAAAAAAAAAAAAAAAGCTCAACAAGTTAATCATTCCTGGACCTGCCTTATAAGAAATGCTAAGGAGAGTTTTTCAACAAATGAAATGAAAGAATGCTAGCTTGTAACATAAAAACATAAAAATATAAAATTCACTGGTAAGGTAAATGTATAGTCAAATTCAGAATTCTTTAATACTCTAACGATCTTGTGCAAATCACTTTTAAACTCTAGCATATAAGTTAAAAGACAAAAGATTTAAAAATAATTGTAGCTACAAAATTTTGTTAACAAATACATAACATAAAACAATGTAAGTTGAGATATCAAAAACAAAATATGGAGTGTAAAGAAGTAAAAGTTGAGACCTCTTGTGTGCTATTTAAGTTTTTTTATCTTTAAATAGATGGTTACACTATAAGATGTTTCATGTAAAATCCGTGGTGACCACAAGGCAGAATCCTGTAGTAGATACACAAGAGATAAAGAGAAAGTAACCAAAGCATACCAATATAAAAAATCATGAAATCACAAAGAAGGGGAGTAAGAGAGAAACAAAGGAACTACAGCACAGTCAGAAACATTTAACTTAATGGCAATAGTAAGTCTCTACCTATAAATAACTACTTTAACTGTAAATACATTCTCCAATCAAAAGACATAGAGTGGCTAAATGGACTAAAGAAAAAAGCAATTATATGCTGCTCTCAACAGACTCACTTTAGCTTTAAGGCCATATATAGGCTGAAAGTGGAGGTATAGAAAAACATATTCCATGCTGATATTAACCAAAAGAGAGCAAAGTGGTTACACTTACATCAGACAAAATAGACTAAGCCAAAACTGTCATAAGAGACAAAAATAGTCATTGCATAATGATAAAGGTGTCAGTTCATCAAAAGGACATAACAACTGTAAATATGTATGCACATAATATCACAGCACCTAAATATATAAAACAAATATTAACAGATCCCAAGGGAAATATACATAACAATTCAGTAATAGTAGGGGACTTCAACACCCTACTTTCAACAATGGACAGATCATCCTAGCAGAAAAAATAATATAAAAGCATTGGAGCATTGGACTTAAAGTTCATTTTACACCAGCCAGACTTAACAGACATGTACAGAACATTCTATCCCAAAGCAGCGGGGTACACGTTCTTCTCAGGCATACATAGAACATTCTCCAGGACAGATCAGATGTTAGGCCACAAAACAAATCCTAAATTTAAGAAGATTGAAATCATATAAAGTGGTTTTTTTAATCACAGTTGAATGAAAATAGAAATTTATAACAGAAGGAAAATCTGGAAGGATCCAAAATATGTGGTAATTAAACACATTCCTGAATAATCACTAGATCAAAAAAGAAGTCAAAATGGAAATTTAAAATATCTGAGGCAAATGAAAATGGAAACTCAATGTACCAAAACTTATGAAATGCAGCAAAAGCAGTTATAAAAGGGAAATTAATAGCAATAAATGCCTGCATGAAAAGAAAAAAGATCTTAAATAAACTAACTTTACACCCCAAAGAACTAGAAAAAAGAACAAACTATATGCCAAGTTTTCAGAAGGAAAGAAAAGATTAAAACAAAAATAAATGAAATAGGGACTAGATAAACCATAGAAAAGATCAAAATTAAAAATTTATTTTTTGAGAAGATAAACAAAATTGGCAATAGTTAAGAAAAAAAGACTCAAAATAAAAAATGAAACAGGACACATTACAATTGATGTCACAGAAATAAAAAGGATAAAAGACTACTATGAACAATTAAGTGCCAACAAATTGGATAACCTAGAAAAAAATGAACAAGTTCCTAGAAACATACAACCTACCTGAATCATGAAGAAATAGAAAATCTGAACAGACTAATAATGAGTAAGGAGATTGTATCAGCAATCAAAAATCTCCCAATAAAAAAGCTCAGGACAGGATGGCTTCAACTGGTCAATTCTACTAAACATTAAAAAAAAAAAAAACAAAAAAACCAATCCGCCTTAAACTCTTCAAAAATATTAAAGATGAGGGAACACTTTCAAACTTATTTTATGAGGCCAGCATTACCTTTATATCAAAGACAGACAATGACACTACAAGAAAAGAAAACTACAGGCTAATAACCCTAATGAATATAGATGCAAAAATCCTCAATGAAATATTAGCAAGCCAAATTCAACAGAACATTAAAAGAATCATACAGCATGTTCAAGATGGATTTATCCTGAGGATACAAAGATGTTGTAATACATGCAAATCTATAAATGTGATACATCACATTAACAGAATGAAGAAAACCAAATGATCATCTCAAGAAATGCAGGAAAGACATTTAAAAAAATTTATTATTATTTTATGATTAAAACTCTCAATGAATTAGGTATAGAAGAAATATACCTCAAAATAATAAATGCTATATATCACAAGCTTACAGCGAACATCGTATTCAATGGCAAAATGATTAAAGCTTTTCCTCTAAGATCAGGAATAAGACAACAATACCCAATTCTCCCGAATTTCTATTTAATATAGTAATGAAAGTCCTATCCAGAGTAATTCGGCAAGGAAAAGAAATAAAGGCATCCACATCAGAAAGGAAGAAGTAAAACTGTATGTTTGCAGATAATATAATCCTGTATGTAGAAGTCCTAAAGGCTCAACCAAAAAAACTGTTTGAACTAATAAACAAGTTCAGTAAAGTAGCAGGATACAAAATCAACATACGAAATTAGGTAACATTCTCATTCTCTCTCACTTTATTGCCCAAGCTAGTCTTGAACCCTTGGCCTCAAGTGATCCTCCCATCTTGGCCTCCCAAAGCACTGGGACTATAGCTGTGAGCCACTGCACCTTGTAAGTGGTTTCTATACACTAACAATGAATGATCTAGGGGGAAAAAGTCAAGAAAATAATCCCATTTAGAGTAGTATCAAAAAGCATTAAACACTTAGGAATACATTTAACCAAGGAGATGAAAGATTTGAACACTGACCACTACACAACATTGACAAAAGAAATTGAAGATGACACAAATAAGTAGAAAGATATCCTATGTTCATGGATTGGAAGAATTAATGTTAAAATGTCCATATTACCCAAAGTGATCAATGCAATCCATAAAAGAATTCCAATCACATGTTTCCATAGAAACAAAAAAATCCTAAAATGTGTATGTAGCTACAAAAGACACCAAAGGGGGGGAAAATAAGCTAGAGGCATCACATTACCTAATTTCAAATTATATCACAAAACTATAGCAATCAAAACAACATGGTACTGGCATAAAACCAGACACATAGAAAAATAGAACACGGAGCCCAGAAATAATCTCATATATATAGTCACTAATCTTTGACAAAAGCATCAACAATACACAATGGGGTAAGAATAATCTCTTCAGAAAATTTGGTGCCAAGAAAACTGGATATCTACATGCAAAAGAATGAAATTGTTCCCTTATCTTACATATGTGAAAAATAAATTCAAAATGCATTAAAGTCTCAAACATAAGACCTCAACTGTAAAGCTACTAGAAGAAAACCTAGGAGAAATCCTCCTTAATGTTGGACTTGGCAGTGATTTTTTGAATATCACACCAAAGACACAGACAATGAAAGCAAAAATAAAGAAGTGGGCCTACATCAAAGTAAAAAGTTTCTGCACAGTGAAAGAATCAATCAACAAAATGCAAAGGCAACACACGGAATGGGAGAAAATATTTGCAAACTATATATCTGGTAAGGGGCTAATATCCAAAATATAAAAGGAACTCATACAACTCAAGAGCAAAAAAAAAAAAAAAAAAAAATTGAAAACGGGCAGAGGATCTGAATAGACATTTTTTCAAATAAAACATGCAAATGGTCAACAGCTATATGAAAAACTGGTCAGCATCCACTAATCGTCACAGCCACAAGGAGACATCACCTCACACACGTTAGGGTGGCCATTATCAAAAAGTCAAAAAATCTCAAATATTGGCAAGGATGCAGAGAAAAGGGAATTCTGTACACTATTGGTGGGAGTGTAAATTATTACAGCCATTATGGAAAACAGTATGCGGTTCCTCAAGAAACCTAAAAATAAAACCTAAAATAAAAATTGTATAATCCAACAATTTCACTTCTGAGGATATATCCAAAGGAAATAAAATCAGCATCTCAAAGAGATACCTACACTCCCATGTTCATTGCACCGTTATTCACAATAGCCAATGGAATAGGATATGGAAATAACCTAAGTATTTGTCAATGGATAAATGGGTAAGGAAAATGTGGTATATATACAATAAATTATTATTCTGCCTTTAAAAAGAAGGAAATCCTGTCATTTGTAAGCACACTGATAAACCTAGAGGACATTAAGCTAAGTGAAATAAGCCAGACACAGAAAGCCAAATGCTGCATGATGTCACTTAAATAAAAAATCTAAGATGGAATCTAAAAAAGTTGAATCCATACAAACAGTAGAATTGAGGTTGTCAGGGTCTGGGAATCTAAAATTCTAAAATCTGAAAAAGTCAAACTCATAGAATGTGGAATCTAAAAATGTTGAACTTGCAGAGACAGAGTAGAATAGTGGTTGCCGCCAGGGAGGCAGGTGAGCAACGGCAAAACGTTGGTCAAAGGGTACAAGCTCTCAAAAAGCTCTAGAGATCTAATGTCCAACATGGTGGCTACAGTTAATAATAACGTACCGCGTACTTGAAATTTGCTAAGAGAGTAGATCTTAAGTAGATCTTGCACACACCCCCATTCCCCCACCAAAAAACAAGGTAACTATGTGAAGTAAGGAATAGGTTGTTAATTAGATGGGGGAATTATTTCATAAAGTATATGTTTATTAAAACATCACATTGTATATCTTAAATATATACAATTTTTGTCAGTTATACCTCAATAAGGACGGGGGAGAGAATTTTGTAGCTATCCACTATTAAAGAAAATACTTTACATAGAAATTTCTGTAGGAAAAAAAATTTGTTATTATGAATCTGAATTTCTCTAGCCTGTAACTTTCATTTTCCTTTTGAAATGATAGTTCTTTATAATGGAATTGTTAAAAACTGAAGGTTGGTTACTTGGAAACCCAGTTACTGAGTTTTTTTATGCTGCCTGAAATTTAAGGTACTTCAGCATAGATAATGTGGTATGTAGGTGTCTGTTTAAATTAGTGTTAATCTATATCCAAGAAGATGCTTAACATTCAGTACACTCTAAACTCACACTTGAAAGGTGGGTTGCATATGAAAGATGCTGTACTCTGGATAATTCTGCCAGAGCTTCAAAACTTGCTATCTGAATCTGCACTTAAAGAGTTTCAGAAGAGATAATATAAGACCATTTTCAATAGTGAAATGAATGATATGCCTCCACTCTTGGATGAACAGAAGTGTGAGAAATGAAGAGCCTGGGAGCTTAACACCTTGGGAAAAGACTCCTAAAATTTAGAACCCTATCTTGCATTCCTCCCCTTAATGAAGGGTTTTCTTGTCTGACACCATTAGAAAGTTAGCTGATCTTTCAGTCAGAACACTTTCTCATTTTTCCTGGGAATTAGCCTTCCAGGCAAAGTGGCTACTAGAGTTCCTAGATGATCAGAGTATCAGGACTACACTGAGCTTACAGAGCAAGAAGTATGACTGTTTGGGAGTCTGCTTGTAATGGGTATTTGTACACCTCTTGATCTGAGACTTTCATGAGAGGTTGTAGAAAGATGTACACCTCAGTAACTATATACCCTGTTTTGCCCAGGAGGGTCCCAGTTTGCACTTACTGTCCAGTCTTGGTTTTTAATAACACCACTTTTCACTTCTAAAAGTTTCCAAGTTTGAATGTTAAATTATAAGGATACTCTTTTGTGGTATTTTAAAACATATGTCCACAAATTATTTGCTATTTCTCCCTCAAGAGAAGGAGCCTAATTCCTCACCTCTTGAGTATAGGCTGGACTTAGTGACCGACTTCTAAGGAATCAAATAAGGCAGAAGTGATGCTGTATGACTTTGGCCCTTGTCCTAAAAGATCCCCTTGCTTTTTTAGTATTTTTAGTACAGATGGGGTTTCACCGTGTCAGCCAGGATGGTCTCGATCTCCTGACCTCGTGATCCACCCACCTCAGCCTCCCAAAGCACTGGGATTACAGGCGTGAGCCACCACGCCCGGCCTAAGATCCCCTTGCTTTTTTTAGGGGGGACCACTCACTGGGGGGAGACCAGCTGCCATGTTGTGAGAACACCCAAGTAGGCCTAAGATAGGCCCACATGGCAAGGACCTGAGGTCTCCTGCCAACAGCCAAGTCAAGCAGGCCATTTTGGATGTGGATCCTCCCGCCCCAGTCAAACCTTCAGAGACCACAGCCCCAAATGACAGCTTAACTACAGCTTCATGAGAGACCCTGAGCTAGAACCACCTAACTAAGCCATTCTCAGATTCCTAATTTTCAGAAACTGAAAGAATGTAAATATTTGCTCAGCACTGCTAAGTTCTGAAGTATTATGCAGCAAAATAGAATACAACTACCTATAGCTTTCACACAGTTCTCATCTTTAGACTTTATTGACATTTACTATGACAAATGAAAATGACCAAATTGCCCTAGGTCTGGCTGAGCCCCAAACCCTCTCAGTATGTTCATATTTCAGCATGGCAAAGCAAAAATTAACCATTAAATTATACCCAATAGTAGTAATAGCTATCACTTTTTGGGCATTTAGAGTTTCTTAGAAACTTTGCTAGGATTTTGTATAGATTTACCTGATATACTTCTCACAATAAGCCCTATGAAAGGTATTCCCAACTTCATTTTGTAAGCAAGAAATCTGAGATTCAGGTAAGGCAGGCTCCAAAAGTTCCCACAGCCATTCATTGGTGGAACCAGCTCTCCACCCAGGTCTATCTGACTCCAAAGTTCACACTCTTCACCAAACTTAAAACTACACACTACTGTCTTTCAACAAAGAATCCAAAAAAAAAAAAAAAAAAAAGAACAGAAATTTTAGTGAAAGACAATGAACAAATGCAGAGAAACTTTGTCTGAAAAAGAAAATATGTAACGTTTTATATGCTGTTGTTAAACCATATTTTTTTCAAAGCAAATAATACATTCATATCGTTCAAAAGACACAAAAGATATTTTGACAAGATAGCACTCACCTTTGCCCCCAGCCACCTGGTGACCCCTTCCGGAGGCAATGAATACTGTTTCTTGCATATCTTTCCAAATATATTCTATGTGTTATCGAAGACCATGCCTACATATACTCCCCACCACTACCATTGTTTCTTACGCCAGTGATAGCATAGACTGTACATTGTTTGGCACCTGTTTTTAACCTAAGAATGAATTTTGGATGTCATTAAGAATCAGTGAATAACAAAGTATCCTCACTTTTTTTTTTTTTTCCTCTTTGAGATGGAGTCTTGCTCTGTCACCCAGGCTGGAGTGCAGTGGTGCAGTATCAGCTCACTGCAAGCTCAGCCTCCTGGGTTCACACCATTCTCCTGCCTCAGCCTCCTGAGTAGCTGGGACTACAGGCGCCCGCCACCATGCCCGGGTAATTTTTTGTATTTTTAGTAGACACAGGGTTTCACCGTGTTAGCCAGGGTGGTCTCGATCTCCTGACCTCATGATCCGCCTGCCTCGACCTCCCAAAGTGCTGGGATTACAGGTGTGAGCCACCACGCCCAGCCCTCACTTTGTTTTTTTTTTTTTTTTTTACAGCTGCATTATATTCTATTGAATTGTATAACATAATTTATGTAATGACTACCCTTTTAATAATGATTTTAGTTATTTGCAATCCTGTTATTTCAAAACAAAATGCTGTGACGACTAACTTTGCCCATATATCATCTCTAAATGCAAGTTCTCAGCCTCATAGCCTACACTGACTTGCTGAAGGTTCAGTCCTAAGGCATTGTGGACTAAATTATTTACTAGCTGAACATTAAAACTATAGGTACTGTGTTGTGATTTTTATTGTTATAGTTTCTAATTTGGACTTGAGATCTCTGTGGAGAATGGCCATAAGCCAAGATAGCCGCTTGCTAGGAGAGCCCTGGTTCAAGTGTGTTGGTCATGAGACAAAATGAGAAGGTGAAACCAAATTGCATGAAACAGAAGAAATGTATGACTTACATATCCCAGAGAGGTTAGGGGTCCCGATGGCAGGCCACAGAAGTCTGGAGGCAACAGGGAGCTCAACCACCAAGCGGGGAGCGAGAGAGGAGAGAGCACATGTGGTCACGAGGCTTTCATTAAGGCCCATTAGCCTTCCTGAGGGGGTTGTGAATTGTCTGGTTTAAAGAAAACACAGATGAAGGGGGAACTTATTAACTCTGGTGTGGGCCATTAGGTTTTATCATGGCCAGCAGCTGTGGGATGAGGAACAAGTGGGCTATATTGTAAACAACCACACAGGGAGAGGAAGTTTTCACCTGGTCGAATGCGACGGGGTACTACTGAGTTCCAGTAACTTGTGTTAGGTCTAAAATGGATGCCCAGGCAGCAACTCCATTAAATACATTTATGACAGTACTGAAACTACTGGTTTCCTTTTCTACTATTCTGAGAATGGGGTGAGGGCAAAAGAGCACATTTTCGTATTTCTTATCTTAAACAAGTGAATAGGCATTTATCTTCTAACCCACTTTATCAGAAAATAGCTGATGAAATGATTTGAATTTGGCAGGCTTATCAGTTCAGTTTTCAATACATTCTCATTTGTCTGTGCAACCAAGGAAATGGTGGCTGCTTTTTAATATAAATACCTTTGTATTTTCCTCAAACTTCCCCCATGTTCTCTTCTTGGAATTCCTACCTGCTTCCGTCCTGCTCCTCCTGTAAATATGCAATTATTTAGGCCTGAAAGCTGGAATTCACCTGTTTCCTCTTTTTTGCTCTCCCCCGGATTGTAGGGGCAATCATCAGAAGAGCCAGAAGTGACCTCGAAATTCTCATTCTTGGTTGCCAGGACAATGGGCCAGCTGGGATGGGAGGCTCCTTCTCACAGTATGAGAGGCTGCACTCACACCAGCTGCTCAAGTGACCAGCCCCCTTCCCAACCCGTCCCTCCTACCCGACACAATCTCCCATAATCTCAAGGTTGCCACATGCTGCATGACTAGCAGACTAGCATTCCTAGACAAAGTCTGTAAACTGCAGCCTCCAGCAGCGTGTCTCTCCCTGCAACAGATATCAAGGGGTTAGTTTCCACTGTTGGAATATAGACCCACACTGCACATCCAGCAGGGCACCCTGCCCCAGCATACTTCTCTGTGGGATGATGGGAGAATGGAGAAGACCTGCGGTCTCTTCCCTCGATAATTCTTCCAGTTTCCCAATAATTTGTCCCTTTTTCCAATAAAGCCTCTTCCTAAACACATGCTGTGTGGCATTGTGGAACTTGTCCTGCCCCTGAAATGAGATAAATGAGATAAAAAGAGACCCATCTTGCCTAGCATATGACCGGTCAGTCTCCAAATACTCCTAATCCTGGAGCGGCTGGTTTACTCAATGATGGACTTTGTAGGTAAGGCAAAGTACAGCATTTTTTGTTTCTCACCTCTCCCCCTTAAACCTGCCCTGCAGATCCATTCTAAGCCAGCCCTGGAAGAACTCTCAGGCAAGGAATATAACCTTTCTGGTCACTGTCACATAATAAACAGTCCATTCTAGCTGACCTGGCTGAGGGGATGAGGAATTACAAGAGCAGTCAATGTCACCAGAGTCAGAGCCACCTCTGCCAACCACCCTCCTGCGGCATGCATAGGGGAACTTCCAGCAGCACCACATCTTGGAACAAAGAGTAGATGTCCAACTTACCAGAGGGCAACATCCTACCAAAATCCCAAGGCGAACAGAAAGATACAAGGGGTGAGAAGCAGCCTCCTTTATTGGATAAAACCAAGCCTTTCATACCCGACCATGTCAACATGAGTAACTAATCAAAATAATTAGAAGGTGCTTACAGCTGAATACTGATCAAGCCTTCTTCCTGTTGGTGAGCAGAAATAGTATGGTGAGCATTTCCACACTGGTTTCCAAGGTGTATAAAAATGACAAGAATGAAGATGGATTCCTGTAAATGGTATATGACTCTCCGGAGACATTTGGAATGAAATTTCTATTTAAGACTGGCGAGACACATCTATTCTAGAATTTTTAAAATACTTAACATGGAAGCAAAGGGATGCTACCAGCTGAGATGGATCCATTCATTCAATCACAGGTCATCAAAACAGTAGCGTTTCCACCTAGGAGTTGTAGAAAAGCAGAAACACTTAGCTCCAGATGAGTACATTCAGCTTTGGAAAGCTATATTACTTAACCTACGCTTTAGAAATTTAAAAACAAAATACTTTGCATTTGAAGTTGCCAATAAAAGAGACTTTCAAGTTACTTTAATGTTTTTTTCCCCAATATGAATTTGCAATTCAAGCAGTAGCTTAAAATCATTCAGAGAGACTTTTTCTCTTTAGTTTCACAGAATCTGCCAACTTGTTTTAAAACCAGAGAAATCTCCATAAGAGGATCTTTAGGTATAAGTTTTCAAGAATAGCCCCCCCAAAACTCATTGCCATAACAGTTACTGCAAAGCAGGATACTTGGGGGTATATTTAATAAAAAACAAAACAAAAACAAAAAAAAACCTGACTCTGAATTGCTGTTCAAGATTTCTGATTTTTTATGGGAAGTATACCAAAGGTCAACTTTCTTGCAGTGTTAACAAGTTTTTACCTGGTTTGCTTCTAGACCATTACACACAGGGAAATAACAAAATCAAACCACTGCTTAATAGGAACCTTGAATAATTGATAGTTTTGGTCTGGCTTCTAAAACGGTCCCAGAGGGATTTAAAAAAAGTGGCATTTCTTTTATTTTGGATTTCCTCCAATCTAGGAATTCAAACTAGTTCTTGATTTGGTAAGTAAAGAAGCAGTTGTGATCAGCTACATTCTTTGGGACAGTGGTAGAAACTACAGAATATAAAAACTAAAAGCATGACAATTCAAATGTATTCCCTTCTACCTTTTGGCTTAAAGCTATACATGATTCATGTTATGTGTTAAGTTTAATAAAAGATGTTATTAAAAATTTCTCACATTTTTAAGAGTACTTCAGTTATCACTGTTAGGTGAAACAAGTCATCACAATTTCCCCACTCTAAGTGCACGTCAATTGTGAAGAAAATGTAGCCTAAGGAGACATATGTTCTTTACAAATACGAGGTTGGAAGTTAAACATCTTCAAAGTTCAATCTAGAATAAATGACGATGCTTCTCGCTACTTACATGGAAGTTGCATGGGATTTACTCTTTATGATTTCCTGGGAGTATCAGATAGACCACAGTTGTGTCATTGTAGACTGTAGAGGTAGCAGGTCAAAGTTCATCCTTCTGTGTTTGAATGTGTGTGAAATACCTGTATCTGTTAGTAAAAGTTATTTAATGGAGAGAAAAAGTCAATTTCACTGCATATGGACCCTCAACTGATTATAAAAGGATCTCTAGCCTCTGTCACCTACTCTTCCCACTGCATGCATCTGTCCACAGGGCTAATTTTTAAAGTGTATGTTTTTATATTGTGTAAATTCTTTCAGCCTGTCTAGTTTAGATTGTATACATCATCATATTTGGCATTCTTACCACTCCTGTGTGAGCCATAAGATTCCTATAAGAAATACTGCTTTACAAAAAACACCATGCTTTACAAAAAATGCCATGCTTTACAAAAATCACACATTAGTGGGTGGTCACTTTATTTATAGAATTATTAAAGCAAGTACTTTTTTCCTTTCTTTTTTTTTGAGACGGAGTCTCGCTCTGTCACCCAGGCTGGAGTGCAGTGGCGCGATCTCGGCTCACTGCAAGCTCCGCCTCCTGGGTTCGAGCCATTCTCCTGCTTCAGCCTCCCGAGTAGCTGGGACTACAGGCGCCCGCCACCACGCCTGGCTAATTTTTTGTATTTTTTTTTTTTAGTAGAGATGGGGCTTCACCATGTTAGCCAGGATGGTTTCGATCTCCTGACCTCGTGATCTGCCCACCTCGGCCTTCCAAAGTGCTGGGATTACAGGCGTGAGCCACCGTGCCCGGCCAAAGCAAGTACTTTTTAATGAACTATATCACATATTAGTGGGCAGTCATTTTATTTATAGAATCGTTAAAGCAATTGCCTTTTTAATGAACTAAAGTGAATAAGACACAACTAAAAACTAGTTTTAAAAGGCACTTGCTTTAAAGATTTAAAAATTTTAAAAACTAAAGTGCAGTCCAGTTTTAAAAACTAAAGTTTTCAGTGAAACTCAAAAGTCTCATTCAAAAGTCTCATTATAACTTTTCCTCTTCCCTACGTCAGGCCTACTTCAGGCTGAGAAATGTGTGGCAAAATATTCTTTAGTTTTAGAATCCTTTTTTTAGTATTGTTCTACCTCCTCCCTTCTATTTGGATACTGCTTTGGGCCCCTACAAGGGTACAGCAACAGAAGACTGGCAATTAGAGAGAATGGGCATAAAATATTTAACTTTCTTGAAAGGTGTAGCTATAATCTTTGTTGATATTCCTGGGGTATGATGAAAGCAAGAGCCTCCTTGGTACTTTGAGATACCTGTGGTGTGATGGCGGTATGAAGAGAAGCTTGGCCCTCTTGGCCAAGGTGAAATCTACACACAGGGCACCATCAAAAATGCCACAAAGTCATCTCTTCCCTTATTTCCTGGCCTCCAAGTCATTCTGCACATTGTCACCCAGTAGTCTTCTAAAAATCAGCTCTCACCTTAATATCACTCTCCCAAGCCCTAGACATACAGGCTATTGTTACAATTTCCCCGAAAATTCAAGATACCGTTCTCTGAAGCCCCAACTCTGAGGTAATTGCTTCTCCTAAAATAAATACAATGCATGTTTTTTTTCCTTATAGAGTCATTAATTGTTTATTATAGAAAATTAGGAAAATATAGAAAAGTAGAAAAAACTCATATCGCCACCATTGTTTCATGTTTTGGTGTATTTCTGTCCAGATTTGAAAAAGCAGCTTTACTTTTGTTTGCTTAGGTTTGCTACTTTAAAGAGGACAATGAAACAGAGAGGGTAATATATTTGTAATTTTGCATCTGGCTTTTTTGACATAATGTTTTAACGTAAATATTTTCCTACATTAATACAAAGTCTTTGTACACATGTACTGGGTGATGTTTAACTTTTTTGTATTTCAAGCCCAGAATGCCCTTTTATATATATACATATATACTTTTAGTTTTGGGAATCTTATGCAGCACGTGCAGGTTTGTTATATAGGTATACATGTGCCATGGTTGTTTGCTGCACCCATTAACCCATCATCTATGTGAGGTATTTCTCCTAATGCTATCCCTCCCCTAGGCCCCCACCCCCCGACAGGCCCCAGTGTGTGGTGTTCCCCTCCCTGTGTCCATGTGTTCTCATTGTTCAACTCCCACTTATGAGTGAGAACATGCGGTGTTTGGTTTTCTGTTCCTGTGTTAGTTTGCTAAGAATGATGGTTTCCAGCTTCATCCATGTCCCTGCAAAGGACATGAACTCATCCCTTTTTATGGCTACATAGTATTCCATGGTGTATATATGCCACATTTTCTTTACCAGTCTATCACTGATGGGCATTTGGATTCATTCCAAGTCTTGGCTATTGTGAACAGTGCCACAATAAACATATGTGTGCATGTGTCTTCATAGTAGAATGATTTATAATCCTTTGGGTATATACCCAGTAATGGGATTTCTGGGTCAAATGATATTTCTGGTTCTAGACCCTTGAGGAATCGCCACACTGTCTTCCACATGGTTGAACTAATTTACACTCCCACCTACAGTGTAAAAGCATTCCTATTTCTCCACATCCTCCCCAGCATCAGTAGTTTTCTGACTTTTTAATGATTGCCATTCTAACTGGCATGAGTTGGTATCTTATTGTGGTTTTGATTTGCATTTCTCTAATGACCAGTGATGATGAGCTTTTTTTCATATATTTGTTGGCCACATAAATGTCTTCTTTTGAGAAGTGTCTGTTGATTTCCTTCGCCCACTTTTTGATGCTGTTGTTTGTTTTTTTCTTGTAAATTTGTTTAAGTTCCTTGTAGATTCTGGATATTAGCTCTTTGTCAGATGGATAGATTGCAAAAATTTTCTGTTTGTCAGATGGATAGATTGCAAAAAAATTCTGTAGGTTGCCTGTTCACTCTGATGATAGTTTCTTTTGCTGTGCAGAAGCTCTTTAGTTTAATTAGATCCCATTCATCATTTTTGGCTTTTGTTGCCATTGCTTTTGGTGTTTTAGTCATGAAGACTTTGCCCATGCCTATGTCCTGAATAATATTGCCTAGGTTTTCTTCTAGGGTTTTTATGGTTTTAGGTCTTACATTTAAGTCTTTAATCCATCCTGAGTTAATTTTTGTGTAATGTGTAAGGAAGGGGTCCAGTTTCAGTTTTCCCCATATCGCTAGTCAGTTTTCCCAGCACCATTGATTAAATAGGGAATCCTTTCCCCATTGCTTGTTTTTGTCAGGTTTGTCAAAAATCAGATGGTTGTAGATGTGTGGCATTATTTCTGAGGCTTCTGTTCTGTTCCATTGGTCTATATATCTGTTTTGGAACCAGTACCATGCTGTTTGGGTTACTGTAGTCTTGTAGTATAGTTTGAAGTCAGGTAGTGTGATGCCTCCAGCTATGTTCTTTTTGCTATAGGGGCTCTTTTTTGGTTCCGTATGAAATTTAAAGTAGTTTTTTCTAATTATATCTGTTTTGGTACCAGTACCATGCTGTTTGGGTTATTGTAGCTTTGTAGCACAGTTTGAAGTCAGGTAGCGTGATGCCTCCAGCTTTGTTCTTTTTGCTATATGGGCTCTTTTTTGGTTCCACATATGAAATTTAAAGTAGTTTTTTTCTAATTCTATGAAGAAAGTCAATGGTAGCTTGAAGGGGACAGCATTGAATCTATAAATTACTTTGGGCAGTATGGCCATTTTCACAATATTGATTCTTCCTATCCATAAGCATGGAATGTTTTTCCATTTGTTTGTATCCTCTCTTATTTCCTTGAGCAGTGGTTTTTAGTTCTTCTTGAAGAGGTCCTTGACATGCCTTGTAAATTGTATTCCTAGGTATTTTATTCACTTTGTAGCAATTGTGAATGAGAGTTCATTCATGATTTGGCTCTCTGTTTGGCTATTATTGGCATATAGGAATGCTTGTGATTTTTACACATCGATTTTGTATCCTGAGACTTTGTTGAAGGTGCTTATCAACTTAAGAAGATTTTGGGCTGAGACAATGGTGTTTTCTAAATATACAACCATGTCATCTGCAAACAGAGACAATTTGACTTCCTCTCTTCCTATTTGAATACCCTTTATTTCTTTCTCTTGCCTGATTGCCCTAGCCAGAACTTCCAATACCATGTTGAATAGGGGTGGTGAGAGAAGGCATCCTTGTCTTGTGCTGGTTTTCAAAGGGAATGCTTCCAGCTTTTGCCCATTCAGTATGATATTGGCTGTAAGTTTGTTATAAATAGCTCTTATTATTTTGAGATATGTTCCATCAATACCTAGTTTATCGAGAGTTTTTAGCATGAAGGGGTGTTGAATTTTATCAAAGGCCTTTTCTGCATCTGTTGAGATAAGCATGTGTTTTTTGTCATTGGTTCTGTTTACATGATAAATTACCTTTATTGATTTGTGTATGTTGAACCAGCCTTGCATCGCAGGGATGAAGCCAACTGATCGTGGTGGATAAGCTTTTTGATGTGCTGCTGGATTCAGTTTGCCAGTATTTTATTGAGGATTTTCCCATAGATGTTCATCAGGGATATTGGCCTGAAATTTTCTTTTTTTGTTGTGACTCTACCATGTTTTGGTATCAGGATGATGCTGGCCTCATAAAATGAGTTAGGGAGGAGTGCCTCTTTTTCTATTGTTTGGAATAGTTTCAGAAGGAATGGTACCAGCTCCTCTGTCTACTTCTGATAGAATTCAGCTGTGTATCTGTCTGGTCCTGGGCCTTTTTTTGGTTGGTAGGTGATTAATTACCACCTCAATTTCAGAACTTGTTATTTATCTATTCAGGGATTCGACTTCTTCTTGGTTTAGTCTTGGGAGGGTTTATGTGTCCAGGAATTTATCCATTTCTTCTAGATTTTCCAGTTTATTTGCATAGAGGTGTTTATAGTATTCTCTGACAGTAGTTTGTATTTCTGTAGGATCAGTGCCATGTTTCTTGGAGGCTTTGCTCATTCCTTTTCATTCTTTTTCTCTAACTTCGTCTTCACACTTTATTTCATTAAGTTGATCTTCAATCTCTGATATCCTTTTTCCACTTGATCGCCTCGGCTATTGATACTTGTTTATGCTTCGCAAAGTTCTCGTGCTGTTTTTCAGCTCCATCAGGTCATTTATGTTCTTCTCTAAACTGGTTATTCTAGTTAGCAATTCCTGTAACCTTTTTTCAATGTTCTTAGCTTCCTTGCATTGGGTTAGAACATGCTCATTTAGCTCAGAGGAGTTTATTTCCCACCTTCTGAAGCCTACTTCTGTCAATTCATCAAACTCATTCTCCGTCCAGTTTTGTTCCCTTGCTGGTGAGGAGCTGTGATCCTTTGGAGGAGAAGAGACGTTCTGGTTTTTTGGAATTGTCAGTCTTTTTATGCTGGTTTTTCCTCATCTTCATGGATTTATCTACCTTTGGTTTTTGATGCTGGTGACTTTCAGATGGGGTTTCTGTGTGGATGTCCTTTTTGTTGATGTTGATGCTATTCCTTTGTTAGTTAGTTTTCCTTCTAACAGGCCCCTCTGCTGCAGGTCTGCTGGAGTTTGCTGGAGGTCCACTCCCGACCCTGTTTGCCTGGGTATCACCAACAGAGGCTGTAGAATAGCAAAGATTGCTGCCTATTCCTTCCTCTGGAAGCCTCGTCCCAGAGGGGCACCTGCCAGATGCCAGCCAGAGCTCTCCTGTATGATGTGTCCGTCGACCCCTGCAGGGAGGTGTCTCCCAGCCAGAAGGCATGGGGGTTAGGGACCCACTTGAGGAGGCTGTCTGTCCCTTAGCAGTGCTCAAGCGCTGTGTTGGGAGGTCCACGGCTCTCTTCAGAGCTGACAGCCAGGAACACTTGAGTCTGCTGAAGCTGCGTCCACAGCCACCCCTTCCCCCAGGTGCTCTGTCCCAGTGAGATGGGAGTTTTATCTATAAGCCCCTGACTGGGGCTGCTGCCTTTCTTTCAGAGATGCCCTGCCAAGAGAGGAGGAATCTAGAGACTCAGTCTGGCTACAGCAGCTTTGCCAAGCTGCAGTGGGCTCTGCCCACTTTGAACTTCCTGGTGGCTTTGTTTACTGAGGGGAAAACCGCCTACTCCAGCCTCAGTAATGGTGGATGCCCCTCCCCACACCAAGCTCAAGCATCCCAGGTTGACTTCAGACTTCTGTGCTGGCAGCGATAATTTCAGGCCAGTGGATCTTAGCTTGCTGGGCTCTGTGGGGGTGGGATCCACTGAGCAAGACCACTTGGCTCCCTGGCTACAGCCCCCTTTCGATGAGAGTGTACACTTCTGTCTCACTGGCATTCCAGATGCCACTGGGGTATGAAAAAAAACTCCTTCGGCTAGCTTGGTGTCTGCCCAAATGGCCACACAGTTTTGTGCTTGAAACCCAGGGCCCTGGTGGCATAGGCACCCAAGGGAATCTCCTGGTCTGCGGGTTGTGAAGACCGTGGGAAAAGTGTAGTATCTGGGCCAGAGTGCACTGTTCCTCATGGCATAGTCCCTCACAGCTTCCCTTAGCTAGGGGAAGGAGTTCCTCGACCCCTTCTACTTCCCAGGTGAGGCAACACCCCACCCTGCTGCTTACCATCTGTGGGCTGCACCCACTGTCTAACCAGTCCCAATGAGATGAATCAGGTACCTCAGTTGTAAATGCACAAATTACCCACCTTCTGCATTGATCTCACTGGGAGCTGCAGACCAGAACTGTTCCTATTCGGCCATCTTGCCCACGTCCAGTCCCTTTACTTTAAGTTTATGAGCGTCCTTATGTGTTAGGTGAGTCTTTTGGAGGCAGCAGATGGTTGGTGAATTCTTATCCATTTTGCCATTCTGTATCTTTTAAGTGGAGCATTTAGGGCATTTACATTCAATGTTAGTATTGAGATGTGAGGTACCATTCTATTCACCATGGTGTTTGTTGCCTGTATAACTTGGTTTTTTAAAAATTGTATTCTTGTTTTATAGGTCCTGTGAAATTTGTGCTTTAAAGAGGTTCTGTTTTGATGTGTTTCCAGAATTTATTTCAAGATTTAGAGCTCCTTTTGGCAGTTCTTATAGTGCTGGATTGGTACTGGCCAATTCTCTCAGCATTTGTTTGACTGTATCTTTCCTTCATTTACAAAGCTTAGTTTCACTGAATACAAAATTCTTTGCTGATAATTGTTTTGTTTAAAGAGGCTGAAGATAAGGCCCCAATCCCTTTTTGTAGGGTTTCCGCTGAGAACTCTGCTGTTAATCTGATCGATTTTCCTTTATAAGTTACCTGGTGATTTTGCCTCATAGCTGTTAAGATTCTTTCCTTCGTCTCAACGTTAAGTAACCTGATGACATTGTGCCTAGGTGATTACTTTTTTGTGATGAATTTCCCAGGTGTTCTTTGAGCTTCTTATATTTGGATAACTAGGTCTCTAGCAAGGCCTGGGAAGTTTTTCTTGATTATTCCCCCAAATATGTTTTCCAAATTTTAGATTTCTCTTCTTCCTCAAGAATGCTGATTATTCTTAGGTTTGGTCATTTAACATAATCCCAGACTTCTTGGAGGCTTTGTTCATATTTTCTAATTTTTTTTTCTTTGTTGGATTGGGTTAATTTAGAGACCTTGTCTTCAAGCTCTGAAGTTCTTTATTCTGCTTGTTTGATTCTAGTGCTAAGACCTTCCAGGGCATTTTGCATTTCTATAAGTCCATCCATTGTTTCCTGAGGTTTTGATTGTTTTTTATTTATGCTATCTATTTAATTGAAAATTTCTCTCCTCATGTCTTGTATCATTTTTTTGACTTCCTTAAATTGGGCTTTGCCTTTCCCTGGTGCCTCCCTGATTAGTTCAATAACTAACCTCCTTTTTCAGGTAAATCAGGAATTTCTTCTTGGTTTGAATCCATTGCCAGTGAGCTAGTGTGACTTTTTGGGGGTGTTAAAGATGCTTGTTTTGTCACATTACCAGAATTCGTTTTCTGGTTCTTTCTCATTTGGGTAGCCTCTGTCAGAGGGAAGATCTGGGGCTCAAGGCTGTTGTTCAGATTTTTTTGTCCCATGGGGTGTTCCCATGATGTAGTACTCTCCTCCTTTTCTTAAGGATGTGGCTTCCTGAGAGCTGAGCTGTACTGATTGTTATGTCTCTTCTGGACCTAGCCACCCAGCAAGTTCACCAGGCTCTGGGCTGGTACTGAAGTTTGTCTGCACAGAATCCTGTGATGTGAATCGTCTGTGGGTCTCTCAGCCGTGGATACCAGCACCTTCTCTGGTGGAAGTGGCAAGGGAGTGAAATGGACTCTGTGAGGGTCCTTAACTTTGGTTGCTTAATGCACCATTTTTGTTCTGGTTGGCCTCCTGCTGGGAGGTAGTGCTTTCAAGACAGCATCAGCCATGATAGTATGGGGAGGAACAGGTGGTGGGTGCCGTCCTAGAACTCCCAAGAGTATATGCCCTTTGTCTTCAGCTACCAGGGTGTGTAGGGAAGGACCATTAGGTGGGCGCAGGGCTAGGCGTGGCTGCCTCTACTGTGTCATGCAGGTTGTCAGGAAAGTGGGGGAAAGCTGGCAGTCACAGGCCTCACCTAGCTCCCACTCAACCCAAAGGGCTAGTCTCACTCCCACCATGTGCCTGCCCCCCACCCCCAATAGCAACAAGTCTGTTTCCAAGCAATGGGCAAGCAGGGCTGAGAACTTGCCCCAGGATACCTGCCTCCCAGCTGCAAAAGCAAGTAGGGCTTTTGTGCTTCCCCTACCTGTGAATTCTGCACACCGGATTCATACCCTCCCCCAGGTTCTGGCCAGAAGACTTCTCAATGGCTTCAAATTGTTACAAAGTTCAGCTGGAGGTTTCCTTCTTCCTGTTCCCTTTTCCCAGTGCCTCTGGCAGCCTGCCTCAAGGACCCCTGTGAGGCAAGGCAGAAACGACTTGCTAGGGCACCAAGCGAGCCCACAGGGCTTTTCCCGCTGCTTCTTCTACGCCTGTATTTTGCTCAGCTCTCTAAATTGACTCAGCTCCGGGTAAGGTCAGAATCTTCTCCCGTGACCTAGACTTTCAGGTTTCCCAGTGAGGGTGTGTGTTCGGAGCAGATGATTCCCCTTTCCTACTTTCACAGTTTGGGCACTCACAGTATTTGGGGTGTCTCCCGGGTCCTGCAGGAGCAATTCGCTTCCTTCAGAGGGTCTGTGGGTTCTCTCAGCTTTCCCGATTTATTCCTGCAGTCATTCTGGAGCAGAAGTTCAACAACGCGAGCCTCCACATGCTGCTCTGTCCGTCCGAGTGGTAGCTGCAATTCCTACTTCCACATTCTCACTTGTCAGATCAAAACTTTTCTTGGGGATCCACAGTTAAGCAGAGCAACAGAACTGGAAACCACTTCTCTGATTTCCAAACTGTATTTCTCCTCTTTCTTGGTATTCAAGCTTAAAATAAAATTAATTTTTCAGTCATTCATTCACAGTTGAGCACTTTATAAGAAAGTTCTTAGTAAGCATCTATTGTATTATCCCTAGAAGGACAAATTATTTTATGCTTACACAAAACTTTTTTTTAGAGATGGCAGAATGGGGGGAACAGGTGATGGTAGAGTATAATCCCAGAATAAATCCCCATGCCCCCTTTTTTCTGGGACTCTGATCATTGGATTTCCACTAGTAGCGGAAAATTATTAAATGATCTGTTCTATGCCAGCTTGGGGAGAGACAGACTCTGGGGAATCCTAGTCTAAAAAGTGAAAAGGGCAGTTCTTGACTAAGTCATTTGGCCTATCCCAGGTCCCGTGCCAGCTTCCCTTCTACACGTATGTGAGATTGATGGTGTAGGTAAACAGCAATCATCATATCCTAACCTGCATGTCTACTTAGGATTCGGCCTGGAATCCAGGAATCACAGAAGAAAGGTAGCTATTGTACCACTCTGTGCCTCCTAGCAGGCCTAGGCATGTGCCTAGTGGCCTGTGGGTAATTATTACTCTTTCATGGAGGTGCTAATGTAAACCCTTCTCATTGCCTGGCAGTCAGGCTTTCCTTGGAATCCAGTGGTCAGGAGGAACTGACACTCATGGAAGATGGCCACACCGGGAGGTAGAACACTGAATTGGAGTCACTGCATTCTCAGGGCCTTCATTTCCTTACTTCTAAAAAGAAGAGTCTCCTTGGACTCTTTTATCTTAGCTCATGTAGTCACGAGGAACAAATTTCTAAAGCACTTATCTTAAGAGGGGGGTTAATATATAGCTAGACAGAAACTGGAGGTAGAAAGTCAGAGAGTGTGGCGCAACTTCAGGAACCATCCTCAGCATCTATGGCTGTATCTCCCTCTCTGTCACTGCGTTGGTCTCCTCTCTCTCTCTCTCCTCCAGCTTCCAAGGCTGCCCCCTGCATCTCTTCTGTGCTCAGATAACTCCTGCTTGAACATGGCTTTCAGTGGCCCTGGCCCTGATTCCAGTACGCTGCTTTGTTTTACTTTGAACTCCACTCACCAACTGATTAGTTCTCTGTGTGTTTCTTAGTTCCCATTTCCAAGAAAAAACTTTGATTGACCCACTGCTGGGGGTTGAATTGCGTCCTTCAAAAAGATATGTTTAAGTCCTAACCCACAGTACTTGTATGTGTGACCTTATTTGGAAACAGAATATTTGCAGATATAATGAAGATCAGTTCATACTAGATAGATTAGAGTGGGCCCTAAATCTAATAAAACTGATGTCCTTATAAGAAGTGGTCAAATTTTGACACAGAAAAAAAGATGCATAAGGAAAATGCCACATGACAGCAGAAACAGAGATTGGAGTGACGCATTTAAAAGCCAAGGAAAAAGAATGATTGTTGGCAAACACCAGACACTGAAAGAGGCAAGGAAAGAATCTTCCCTAGAATGTTTTGAGAGAGGATGGTCCTGCTAATACCTCGATTTCAGACTTCTGGCTTCCAGAACTCTAAGAGAATAAATTTCTGTCATTCTAAGCCCCCCAGTTTGTGGCCATTTGTTACATCAGTCCTAGGAAATTAATACATGCAGCTTATCTTTCGGTGTCAGGCCAGCCTGGGAACTTGGTCACATAGGGTTGGACACTCACTCTTTACCCACTCAGACATGGCCAAGAGCATTAGGGCAGTATTTTCCAATCAGGGCCACTTAGGCAGCAACGCTGTAAACAGAGCAGTTTCCTTAGAAGGAGGCCTGAGTGTGGGTAGATGTTTGTTGGTGTCATCTCTCCATTAGCAACAAGGTGGCTTTTGAGTTACCTTTCATTTCTGCCCAGGACTGTATGCCATCTCTGGCTGTTTCCCATCCCAAGGAACATTTTTGTTAGCCAATGCATTGTTTTAAATATTAATTATTTTCTCACCTGTGATTCCTCAGAGAGTTTCTTGGAACAAAAGGCTTGTTGGCTACTGTCCAGACCTATTCTAGTCCACAGGTGAGCCCAGTGGCAGTGCCACCCACACCAGGCAGCTGCATGAGGAAGAATAGTTCTGGGCCAGCCTTGGAGGCATATTCACCTGGCACAGCCAGAGACAACTACATCTTAAGGAGAAATAATGATTTTACACAGAAAATTAAATAGAGCCAACATTCATGCCAAGTGAGGTAAAGAAATGAAGAGAAGAAGGTCCATGGCCTAAGGGTTTGAGAGCTTGATGGACCCAGGTGCCAAGAATGAGGAAGACAACAGTTTAAAACCAAGACTATAAATTATGAGCATATGCATTATTTTCTCTTTCTGCCTAAATGGTGTGTGATTCCAGGGTGGATCTTGTGTATCTCAGCACAGAGTAGACAGCCTAAGACTCTATTCCTATAGATGCTTTTTTTTTTTTTGTGGGGGATTTAACTTCTTCTTAATGAATTAATCATTTTGGTATATTAGAACTCTATATTTATGATGGTAGTCCTGAATATTTGTATCTTTTTTTAATTGATACATAATAATTGTACCTATTTATGGGGTACATGTGACATTTTGATACATGGAAACCATATACAATGATCAAATCAGGCTAATTAGGATATCTATTCCCTCAAACATTTGTGATTTCTTTGTGTTGGGAATATTTCAAATCCATAATAATAATTAATAATAAATTATTGTTAACTATAGTCATCCTACTGTGCAATAGAACACCTGAACTTATTCCTCCTATCTATAACTTTGTACCTGTTGACCAACCTCTCCTCATCCTCCCTGCCCCCATCCTCCCCAGCCTCTGGTAGACACTACTGTATTCTCTACTTCTATGAGATCAGCTTTTTTAGATTTCACATATGAGTGAGAACATGCAATATTTATCTTTCTGTACCTGGCTTATTTTACGTAACGACCTCCAGTTCCATTCTTGTTGCTGCAAATGACAGCGGCAAGGATTTTATTCTTTTTTTGTGGCTCAATAGTATTCCATTGTGTATATATAACATATTTCCTTTATCTTTTCATCTATTGATGGACACAAGTTGATTCCATATCTTAGCTATTGTGAATACTGCTGCAATAAACATGTAGTTCTGAATATATATTCAAGAAACTAATTATTAATTTAGGAACAGAATCATAGACTATAAGGAATTGGCAAGGTTTCCTAGGGTTTCGTTTTGTCACTTTTCTAGATATATGCTTTCTTGTGAATTTAAATATTTTGTTTTCATCAATGTACAAGTAACCTATGTAGTGTAGCGATTCAGGATGAAATCTTATTTTAAAGATTTTTTCACGCCTGTAATCCCAGCACTTTGGGAGGCCGAGGCGGGCGGATCACGAGGTCAGGAGATCGAGACCATCCCGGCTAAAACGGTGAAACCCCGTCTCTACTAAAAATACACAAAATTAGCCGGGCGTGGTGGCGGGCGCCTGTAGTCCCAGCTACTCGGGAGGCTGAAGCAGGAGAATGGCGTGAACCCGGGAGGCCGAGCTTGCAGTGAGCCGAGATTGCGCCACTGCACTCCAGCCTGGGCGACAGAGCGAGACTCCGTCTCAAAAAAAAAAAAAAAAAAAAAAAAGATTTTTTAGTGTCTGATGCCAGTAGTGATTTAGAATTCGGTTTTTTTCAACCAAATCTCTGCTGAAGTTCTGTCCATCTTAGTGCATTTTTTTTTCTTTCCCAGAAACTCCAGCTTTGCTAAGACTTAGAATTGTCACTTCTTCAGGAAAGCATTGTTTTTCCTCACCCTGGTTCCTCTATTTAAACAACACTCTGTGAAATCTGTCAAATTATAGGAATATCTTCCATTGCCTGCTCATACACTCACGAGAAAACCTTGGGAAAGATTCCTACCTGGAGCCAAAGACTCCTTGGCACTCACTTTCAGCGACAATTTGTTTATCTGGAAAGCAGGTGGCATTAACCTACCTCTAATTATTGTCTGTGATTCTTAAGCAGGTACCACAAGATCTCTCTACCACCTCCTAGAGATAGCCGCATATCTACAAAAGATGGGAGATGGTAGATCTGCAAATTTCCTGTTAAGTCCCACTATTTAGAAAGAGTCCTTGCTTCCTTTCAATGTTTTAACTTTTAAAATATGGGAAAACTGGCTATATGTTGCCCGATAGATTTGCATGATTATGGCCCTTTGGGGAAGGTAATAAGAATGATTGCAGCATTTTTCTTTCTGCCCTCACCTCCCATGTAGACTTGGTTATGCCCACAGAGATTTGACTATGAGTGGAGGACAACTGTGGCACTTGGGGTTATGAAAATCCATTGTTGATTGTTAGGCTTGAGCTGCATGTATAAGCCCATGTCTAGGATCTGGCCCATCACTGCACTGACTATAATTCTGCCTCCAGTCTACAGAACCTGAGGGTGGCAGATGACAGCAGGTGTGTTCCATCATTGGCACCCACACTCCACACCCTCCACAGGCTCTGCACCCGTGTCAGTCAGTTCTCTAGCTATAGCTGTACCTATCTTTTCCAAGGGCTTTTGAGACCAGTGACCCACAATACCAGTAAGCCCTTCTGATGGAGGTCCTCTCTTGTCTTTGATTTCATCATCATACTCTCTTGGATTGATTAAATGAGCAAAGGACATTCCTTGCATGGATGAAACTGGTCCTCTAGCTTTGCCCATGGGTTCTTCTCCTATCCTCCTTATTAGTGGTGGCATGTGGAAAGAAAAGGTGCAGTTAACATTGAATGAGATGATATTCTAGAAACATAGCAATTACAGCTCAAAGAGTTCTAGAGAAGACATGATTGGAAGACATGTTGTTCTACATTTATGGTATAAAATTCCAAGTGATAAATTTAACATAACCAGAAAATGAGTTTTCATTCACTTTTTTTCCGCATAATATGGGTAAGACTTGTACCTGTGGTCATTATCAACAAAGCATGTTAACCTTTAAGAGAGACTTTCAAAGCCAATATTCATGGGCAGCATGATGGATGATGCCATGTCATGAGTAATGATGTAACCAATATTACATCAGTGGTATCAGGAAACTGCAGGAGCAAGAATATCTATGAATCTGTATTTGCTTCAATACAAACAAGTTCTGAAGAGCCATAGCATTGTAAGAAATTAGCCAGTAGTGGTGCAGGTGACAGTAAAGAACACAAAGAGATGGTTCCTGGACCTGAACAGGTAGAGACATTACAATAAATATTTTTGTGTGCTGAATGGACAATAAACAAATCTGATAGTATCTCTTTTCTACCTATTACTTTAAATCTTCATTGATAGATAAATAACTACCTCACATGGGTCCATGAATTTTATAATATATTTTTAATCAAATTGCTTATATAGACTGGACCTTGCAAAAAAATTTTTGCCTAGGGCCTCACACACCCTGTCTTCATTCATTTTTCTTGAGAGAAAGAAGTGCAACATCTGCTTTCTAGGAGTAATTCTTTGGGCTATGACCTTGATCTCATACCATCCCTTTACTCATTTTGTGTGTGTGTGTGTGTGTGTGTGTGTGTGTGTGTGTGTGTGTGTGTGTGTGTATGCTTGGTCTCTCCCTCTCTATTGCTTCTTTTCCTCTTACATTTATGCAAATTCTCCTTTTTTTCTTGACCTTCCGATTTCAGTGAGCCACCATAAAACGCTCTTTCTTTTCACTATCACACTTATTAAAAGAATAATTCACAGCTTCTTCACCCATCTGTATTAAGTTCCTGTAATCACAGGTTCTACCTCCATTAATGACCCATTTTCCCTTTCTCTCTTTAGGCTCTGTTCGTGTGTGTTCTTTTATTTACACTTAATTCAGCATTGACCTCTTTTCTGAACACATTCTGAAGATATGCATTTCCACCTGCCAACCTGACAGCTCCACCCTTATGATCTCATGATTTATTTAAGCTAAACAAACTTAAAATTAAATCTACCATTGAGCTCCATTTCTTATTACTCCCATCTCCCACCCTCACCTAAAATGCTACTTCTGGCTTTCTTATTTTGATGGAGGTTATGGATTTCTTGGGAGCATTTTTTCTACTTCCCTTTTGAGAGCTTTTTTTGTATATGTTTTAGTACTCATTTACTACTCTTCTTTTGCTCTGTTCTTCACCAAGATGGCTGGCTGATAATATTGATCGTACATTAATCATCATTTCTGCTTTCTCTATTAGAGATAACGGTGATACAGGAAAAGTTTCCATTGAATTCTGAGATATGTCTTAAGGAAAACTCATTTAAAAAAAACAGCAAAAAAACCGCACCTTTTAATGTATGTCTCTGTAGTTCAAAATTAACACAGGATTGAAAGTTGAGGAAATTAAGGAAATCCCCAGAAAATAGGAGGAAAAGATAAAGAAATAAAAATAGGATGAAAAAGGTGAGGAACGTGAGAGAATAATCTAGGAGTCCATGATATCTCTAACAAGAGAAAAGCGCAGAGGAAACAAAGGGAGGGATACTTAAATGAGGAGATGCAAGACCCTCCTAGGCTAGGAGGTGACCTCAGGTTTGGGACTATTACCAACAGCTCCCTGAGTGTTGTTGCGCTTCACGTGCCACCTGGATCAATTTAGTCACTTGGCAGATGTCAGTCTCTTTTTAGAGATTATCTCTAGAATCAAGTAGAGGCAGTTCAGAGTCATTAAGTCAACCACTAAGTCAGAAAACTCACTATGAGATGGTAAAAGAATGAAGACAAATCTCAGACTAAATCTTCTAAATTTAATGCTATATAATGGCCAAGCAGGCACAAATAGTTCTGCAACAACTTGTTGGAGTTTGGGAGAGGACTTGTTGCTATGCCTTGAAGAACACTGGCAGCATGGCTAATGAAAGACTCTGAGCCAATGTGACCTTGCAGGATGAGAGGCCTGGTAGGCGACTCAGATGTATGGTGTGGGGAGGTCATGGGGGAGAATGCAGGCTGCATCTCCCGGGAATCTTCCATTTGGAGCCCATGGGCACACTGCCTCAGATTATGCCCCAATACCACATTATAATGACATTCATAAGTTGTAGTAAATTTATACACTTGTGCAATCATCACAATTGAGCTTTCGAATATTTCCATCACCTCCAAAATTTCCCTCATGCTCATTTGCTGTCAACCCCCCTTCCCATCTGCTTTCTGTCTTTATAATTTTGCTTTTTCTAGAAATTTTAGGCAAACGGAACCACTCACAATATGTAGTTGTGTCTGGCTTCTGTCACTTAGCAAAATGTTTCTGAGGTTCATCCATGTTGCTACAAGTATCAGTAGTTTGTTCTTTCTTATTGCTGAGTACTAGTTATTTATTTATGTAATTTATCATTTTTTTTCTTTAATAGATCTTAGTTTTTGTATCCTATCTAAGAAATCTTTGTCTATCCCAAGACCATAAAGATCTTTCCTATGTTATCTTCTGGAAGCTCTCTAGCCCAAGCTCTTACATTAGGTCTTTAGTGCACAGTGAGTTGATTTTTACTGTATAGTGTGAGGTAAGGGTCTAAGTTTTGTTTGTTTGCATATGTATATCATATTGTGCTGCATAAAAGGTTGAAAATATTTTTCAACATTGAATTACCTTGGTAACTTTGTCAAGTATCCATTCAACATAAATTTATTTCTAAGCTCTTTATTCTGTTCAATTTATCTATATGTTTATCCTTATGACAGTACCACATTGTCTTGATTATTGTGACTTTACGATAAGTTTGAAATTAAAAAATATTTTGGCTATTCTATGTCTTTTGCATTTCCATATACATTTTTGGATCAACTTGTTATTTCTATTCTTGAAAAAGCCTACTGAGATTTTGATTGGGATTGTCTTAAATATATAGATCAATTTGGGGAGAATTGCAGCCTTAACATGACAGAGTCTTCCATTCCATGAGCATAATATATCTTTTCGTTTATGTATGTGTTTTTCTTCCACAATATTATACTGTTTTCTTGTACAGATCTTGCAGTTTTTTCATTAAATTTATTCCTAAGTATTTTATTCTTTTTGACGCTATTGTGAATATATTTATTTTCTTAATTTTATTTTCAGATTGTTGATTGCTAGTTTATAGAAATATAATTCATTTTTGTACAGTGATCTTGCATTCTGTAATGTTGCTGAGCTCAGCAGTTACAATAGATTTTATAGATTCCTTAGGATTTTCTATACACGAGATTATGTCATCTGTGAATACATACAAGTTTACCTCTTCTTTTCCAATCTGTATGGCTTTACATTCCAATCAGCATGCCTTTACATTCTTTTCCCCTCCTTTTGCACTAGCTAGAATCTCCAGTACAGTGTTGAATAAAAGTTGTTAGACTGGATATCTTTGCCTTTTTCCTGATCTTACAGGAAAAGCAGTCTTTCACATTTAGTATGATGTTAGCTGTAGGCTTTTTGTAGATGTCCTGTGTCAGATTGAGGCGGTTTCCTGTATTCCTAGTATGTTAATTGTCCGATGCTTTTTTCTGCTACTATTGGAATGACCATATTTTTTATCTTTATTTTATTAATATATTGTATTCATTGATTTTTGAATGTTAGCTTAACTTGTACTCTGGGATACATCTGTTCGTTTCTAATGTATAGTTCTTTTTGTATTTTGCTGGGTATGTTTTGCTAATTTTTTAAATCAAAGATATTTGTACCTATGTTCATGAGCCTGGTTTTCTTTTCTTTATTTTATCATACTTTAAGTTTTAGGGTACATGTGCACAACGTGCAGGTTAGTTACATATGTATACATGTACCATGCTGGTGTGCTGCACCCATTAACTTGTCATTTAACATTAGGTATATCTCCTAATGCTATCCCTCCCTCCTCCCCCCAACCCACAACAGGCCCCCGTGTGTGATGTTCCCCTTCCTGTGTCCATGTGTTCTCATTGTTCAATTCCCACCTATGAGTGAGAACATGCGGTGTTTGGTTTTTTGTCCTTGAGATAGTTTGCTGAGAATGATGGTTTCCAGCTTCATCCATGTCCCTACAAAGGACATGAACGCTTCTGTATTCATTTTTATGAGGTTAGTATTAGCCTGATCCCAAAGCCAGATAAAGACATCATAAGAAAAGAAAACAGAAGGATATGAACATACACTTCTCAAAAGAAGACATTTATGCAGCCAAAAGACACATGAAAAAATGCTCATCATCACTGGCCATCAGAGAAATGCAAATCAAAACCACAATGAGATACCATCTCACACCAGTTAGAATGGCGATCATTAAAAAGTCAGGAAACAACAGGTGCTGGAGAGGACGTGGAGAAATAGGAAGACTTTTACACTGTTGGTAGGACTGTAAACTAGTTCAACCATTGTGGAAGTCAGTGTGGCAATTCCTCAGGGATCTAGAACTAGAAATACCGTTTGACCCAGCCATCCCATTACTGGGTATATACCCAAAGGATTATAAATCATGCTGCTATAAAGACACATGCGCATGTATGTTTATTGCAGCACTATTCACAATAGCAAAGACTTGGAACCAACCCAAATGTCCAACAATGATAGACTGGATTAAGAAAATGTGGCACATATACACCATGGAATACTATGCAGCCATAAAAAATGATGAGTTCATCATTAGCTATCCCAGAAGCATTGTATATTACAAAGAAAATAAATGTAAACTAGTAGAATTTCAGATCGCAACCACAGATAGAGAAGATATTTTGTTCTTTGGGGTAAAACTTTTGAACTCCTTAGCTCACACAAATAGATGATGCTGTAACCTGCCTATTTATAAATAAGTCTCATCCTGAATCAAGAATGGCAGCTAGTCAGGCAAGCCAGAGGGAGAATGTAAAAGGAACATTTAAACCCCATTACCTGTGCACTTAGACAATCTGCTCATGTCCAATTATTCTACTATTAAATGACTGTGCATCCAACCAAAGAGAAAGCTTCAAAGTAGATAAATAGATTAATTCACAGACTTCAAGGGTAAAGAAGCTTGTTTGAAATGGGGTTTTCTTACTTCTCACCATCCTGTTTGGAGTCTTATTCACACTGAGATTGACATATAAGGGAACCATTTATGAAACTGCACACCAGCAGACCATATGTCCTAGGAAACTTGCCTGGATGTCACATTGTGAGGGGTCTTCCACATGTCTAGTGATATAAGCACTGGAAAAACTGAGCCCAAGAACAAGACTTGGTTGGAAATAATTTGGCGTATTAATTGTATAATTCTTTTTTTTTGAGAAGGGATTTCGCTCTGTCACCCAGGCTGGAGTGCAGTGGTGCAATCTCAGCCCACTGCAACCTCCGCTTTCCGGATTCAAGTGATTCTCGTGGCTCAGCCTCCTGAGTAGCTGGGACTACAGGTGCATGCCACCACGCCCGGCTAATTTTTTGTGTTTTTAGTAGAGACGGGGTTTCACCATGTTAGTCAGGATGGTCTCGATCTCCTGACCTCATGATCCTACCTCTGCCTCCCAAAGTGCTGGGATTACAGGTGTGAGCCACTGAGCCCGGCCAATTGTATAATTCTTATTCTGTCCATATTTTTGTTTCTTCTTAACTCCTCCATCCCCCATTCCTGCTCATAGTATTCTCTGTGTGTCATTGTTTCAGAGAAGGTATGTGGAAGGTTGGAGACTTTATGCACTTCCTAGAAACTGAAGCCAACTGAGTAGATTAAGATATGAGGGAAAGAGGCATTGTGGGGAGATAGACTGAGAAGATCAAGGTAAGAAAAAGATACCCCTTGGCTTGAAGAGAAGAGAGACCTATGGTCTTGGATGAGCAGAGCCATGCTTCTGCTTCAGAACATTGCCCTAAGAAGGTGATGAGGTCTCAGGGACTTACTGCTCTTTGCCAAGTCTAGGTGGAAGAAGTCACAGTCCCTAGGATTTTGAGCCACAGCACCAGAAAGATTGCTATGGTCTAAGAGTAGAATGGAAGTAAACCAAAAGCCCAGGCGTGAAGCTGCCATACCCCCAGGGACAATGGATAACATTTTCTTGGACATAAAATTGATAAACCAAAGTTTATGCAGCTCCCTCTACACTAAATCAGCACTGGAAACTTGACATTATCCAGGCAGGAGGACTGGGAGGTGCCTCAAGTAAGGTTGAGGTAGAATTTACTGCCAGGTTAGCTTCATGGGAACTCAGAATGAAAGGCAAATGAATATATTTTAAAAGCAGATGAGGTTTCTTGTCTACTTGACTTTGTGGCTAAGGTTTATTTCAATGGGCAGGTACATTCTTCTCTGGACACAAACTGCAAAGCTTGAGGCTTTGGGAGTACAGTGGGTTTCTCACTGGAAACAATTTTGATACAGGCAAGGAAAGGAGGCAGTCTACAATCAGGGTATACTTTTAAGGCTACTGGCCAGTCAATTAAAAGAGCAGTTCCATCTTAAGGTTTTGCTACCTTTGGAGTAGGTAGTGGTTGGGCTGCTGTGATGGACAGGATGCATGGAGAGCCTTCTCCCCGTCACATATGTTCACCACCTCCTGTCCTAGTCCCTCAAAACTGCTCACAAGAAGTTCAGACATGTGGTTCTTGCTTTTAAGCTTTTTTAAAAGATACTTATAAATCCAGATCCTGTACAATTTTAAGCTTTTAAGATCTAAGATTCAAAATATAAATCATTAACAAGATCTTAACCACAGCGGGTGGTGCTTTCTAACCTCCCATCCCACCGCAAGAATGTTCCCTTGGAATGGGGAGGGGAGGGAGCAGAGGAAAGCCTCACCAGAAAGGACAGGTGGGGTAGACGTAGCATCACTGAGGCTGACATGGGGATGCCAGGTGGAGTGACAAGGAAGAAGTCAGGCCTTAGCCAGAGCTCCCAGAGCAGTGACTCTGTAGAAGAAGCCCCTGACAGAAATCTCCTTAGAAAAAACAAATGACCAGTGCCCTGGAAAGCTGGCTTTGGCCATCTTCCCTATGGAAACCAAGACCAATCAGTGTTAAAGAGAGAAGTGATAACAACCAAGAGAATCTGCCCGGCAGAAGCGTTCCTCCCTGCTCCTTACCAGTCACAGGGCAGAAAAAGGGGTGTAGACCATTCCTGGTCACCAAGCTAGCCTGTGCTGGAGGGGGATGGGGGGAATATGAAGTTTCATAAATTAAGGTTTTCATCAAATAGGAGATTGAAATTTTATAAATGAACAAGACTGAAGTATAAGAATGTGAATAGGATTGTCTTAACTAAATACTTGTGGAGCTAGGTTGAGATACTAAGTTATCTGACTGTTAACAGCTATAGATGGGGAACAGAGGGGGTGAGGGTGGGTCGAGAGAGCACAGTTAGCAGCAAGTTTTAGAAAAATAAAAATTAGATTTTGCATATATACCCGTAAGTTGAGCTTCTTCATTCAAAATTATTATGTTTACAAGCAATATAATTTCTTTTCTGCCCTTGTCTGTTTTTTTCTTGGCATGTTATCTGTATCTATTGATTAATTAAGGGTTCTTTACAGACTTAGGAAATTAGAATTTGGTCATATATTGGTAAAATATTTTTCCCAGTTTGTCATTGTGTGTCCTCTATTTGTCATTAATGAATTTTTTCCTGAAGTATTTTTTTATGTAATTAATTTGTCATTATTCTGTGGATTCTGGAGTTTGTATCTGATCCAGCTAAGAGCTTTCCTCACCCTAAAATAATAGCAAAAACAGTTGTTAATTGTAATACTTTCTTCCCATGTTTGTAAATGCCGTTTTGAGAAATCCGAACAAACCTTTAAGACAGAGCATCCTCTGTTGCTTTGACAGCAATGACTCTTTTGTAACTTTTTCTTCCAGCATTTTTCCACTCATACTTGGGTATTTTTCTCCCTGTCACTGATGTTCTGACTTGCTATGGATCACTGACATTTCAAGGTCTTCTTCAACTACTGTCATCTGGCTAATTGCCTATTTCTCACTTTGCCATTTGAATACACTGGTTCCTACTATATGCATGAACACTTCTCACAATCACTCCAAATCTCTGTTCAAGAAGTGGCTTGGTCAGAAAGTCTATCGTATCTTCATTCCACCTGCAAGAGTTGGTTTGATGTGAAGAACCCAGTCTGTTCCTAAAATTCAAGATCAGCAGCAGCCTCAGTGAACATAATGTTTCCTCATGTTTCTTGGGCTTAGACTTGCATTATATTTTCAATGCCATTTTGAAGATGAACAATGCCTTTCCATTCCACTTTCCAGAATTTTCATCTCCTGCTGGATAGGGATTATATTGCTGAAAGTCAGCAGTACTTATTGTAAGATGTAAGGAATTAGCATTAAAATAAATAGGGCATGTTATGTCTTTCATCAGAGGATTTCTATTAGGGTATTGCCAGCTTGATCCACCTGTCTCTTGGGATTTCTCTGTGGGCTAAAGAATAATGTTCCAAAGCACTATATAGGCCTCTCTAAGAAAGACTCAAAAACTATGTCATAATTACTGTCTCCTAAAGGTTTTTTTCCTCTATTATGAATTCACTCATTAATTCAACAGATCTTTACTGAGCACCTACTATACAACAGGCACTGGGGATAAAGTGTTATACAAAATTAAATCCCTGCTTTCATTGAGTGTACATTCTCATGGAAAAGACATGCCAAAAAAAATAAGTTAACCAATATGTGCCATAATATTAGACAGTGATAGGTGCTATGAAAATAAAATCATGCTGAGTCAGGGGGTGAAGAACAGTAGGCCTGACAGATGGTCATCAGGGAAGACTTTTCTGAAGAGACAACATTGGAGGCAAGACCTGAATCAACCGAGGGAAAGAGCAATGTGGAGATCATAGGGCAAAGCATTCCAGGAACAGGAAACAGCAACGCAAAGTTCTTTGCAGCAATATGCCTGGTGTATTTAAGAAACAGCACGTGGGCCCGTGTCGCTGGAGAAGTATGAACAAGGGAAAGAATGGAGACACAGATAGGATAAGGAAGATCTTATAAGCCAGATGCCAGTCTTCAAGAGGACTATTTCGTATGATTAAAATAAAGAGATGATTAAAGTATGACTTCACAAATCACATTTATTGTTACACAAATAGTTTTTTTTAGAACAAATCTCACAGGGAATACTCTCAAATAGATGAGGTATGTTAACCCTATAATCAGTGAGTTCCAATTTCATTTAGAGTTGAATTCTCATAGTCTAGTTGCTCAGTTAGGATGGAAACAGGCCTTTGTGGATGTAAAGTCTGATCAGTTTTGAGACATCCCTTTCTCTAAGAGGTTCTTGGGAGACACAGCCTGACCAACACAGGGGAGATCCATGGAACATGCAAGGTTCCTCAATGCTAGAGAGCAGTGACAGCGTAGATGGGGAAGGCTCAGATGTTGACAGAGATGGCTCAGATGTTGACAGAGATGAGCCCTCCCACAGCCTGAGCTGTCAAACTTCTGTCAAAACCTTGGGTATGTATGTGTTTTGGAGTCCAGTAGTTAAGGCCAATAACTCACATATGTGGTCTGATAAGGTGTGACACATAACATTCTTGCAGGGAATGGGATTGCACTCCATTCTTTTTTCTTTTTAATTGTATTCCTCAGAGATCCTTGTTCTGATTGACTTCCATTTTAGAAGGCTCACTCTGGCTGTAGTGTGAGGAATTGAATGCAGAAGGGCAGGAATGGAAACAAGGAGAGCAGTTAGGAGGCACAGGCCCGGCAAGAGATGATATGACAGTGGCTTGGGCCAGGAATGCAGTACCGGACGGGGTGAGAGGTGGTCAGATTCTGGAGATAGTTTGAAGGGCTTGCATTGGGATGAGAGAAAACGAAAAAAGTCAAGGATGACACTGAGGCTTTTGGCATGAACCTGTAAATAGTAATCATATTATGGAGATGAATTACAGTGGCGGAGGAATCCGTTTGGGGCTAAATTAAAAATTTGGCTTTTAACACATTAGTATTGAGAGGCCGATTAAACAGCTAAGTAGAGATTTCAGGCAGACAGTAAAATGAGACTAGAAGGTTGAAGACATGGCTAGAGATAAAAATTGGGGCATATAAGAAGTATATAGGCTGGGCGCAGTGGCTCACACCTATAATCCTAGCACTTTGGGAGGCCGAGGCGGGTGGATCACAAGGTCAGGAGTTCAAGACCAGCCTGGCCAAGATGGTGAAACTTTGTCTCTACTAAAAATACAAAAATTAGCCGGGTGTGGTGGTGGGCACCTGTAATCCCAGCTACTTGGGAGGCTAAGGCAGAGAATTGCTCGAACCCAGGAGGCGGAGGTTGCAGTGAGCCAAGATTGCGCCACTGCACTCCAGCCTGGGTGACAGAGTGAGACTCCATCTCAAAAAAAAAAAAAAAAAAAAAAAAAAAAGTATGTAAAGCCGTGGGGCTGGATGAGAGCTCCAGGAAGAAAACATAGATTGAGAAGCCATCTGAGACCTACATCCTAGGTTTCTCTGGTGCTAGAGGTCAGGAAGGGAAAGACGATGTAGCCAGGACTGGGAAGAAATGGCCAGTACTGCAGGAGAAAACCAGATGATTTCCTGGAAACCAAGGAAAAAAATAGGCACTTAAGAAGGAGGGAGGGGCCAGGCACAGTGGCTAATGCCTGTAACCTCAGCTTTAGAAGGCCGAGATGGGCGGATCACCTGAGGTCAGGAGTTTGAGACCAGCCTGGCCAAAATGGTGAAACGCCGTCTACTAAAAATACAAAAATTAGCTGGGCGTGGTGGCATGCACCTGTAATCCCAGCTACTCAGTAAGCTGAGGCAAGAATGCGGAGGCTACAGTGAGCCGAGATCATACCACTGCTTTCCAGCCTGGATGGCAGAGTGAGACTCCATCTCAAAAAAAAAAAAAAGAAAGAGGGAGGGATCAACTGTTTCAAAGGCTGCCAAGCAATTAAGTAGAATTAAACCTAAGGATTTTCCACTGCATTTGGCTCCTCTCCTCCCTGTTTCCTCTCATTCGATAGAATAGATTTATTCCTAGTGGCTCTTAGGGCCAGTCTTCCCCAGTTTGGGGAGACTACTATTGCCTATAGAATATTTTTTCCCTCTTCCCTACTCATAGACCCTACTTTTATCCAGAGTGCTCACATATCCACCTCCTCTGAAGCTAGAAATAACCATATGGCACAGGCCTAGCCAGTGAGAAGTAAACAGAAGGCATAGAGCGCGGAATTTGGAAAGTTCTTTAAAAGGGAGTAACTCAGTGGCAATGAGAGCTTGCTTCCCTTAGCTCATCCTTTTTGTTCCGCCTGGAACATGGATGTGACAACTGGAAATACATCCTGACAACAGGAAGACTATGGATACTTCCTAATGAAGGTGAGCAGGGAAGCTGGAAGGAACCTGAATTATTCCATCATGGTGTGGAGCCTCCAGGACAGTCCTGAACTATTTACCTTTTGATTCTTTTTTCATGGAAAAAAATACATATCCCCAATTTGTTTAAGATACTGTGATGCATTTGTTTTCTGTTATGTGACAACTGAACATAATCCCAAGTGACAATGCTAGTTGTGTGGTCTTTACCCATGGCTCTCCTGGCCAAAGCACTCCTGTCATCCCACAAAACAGAAATAACGTGGGGTTGGAGATGGCAGGCCATGATTCCTGGGCCATCTCTGCTAGTCCTATACAGCGGTATGCCTTGGTCATGTTGCTTGAACAATCTTTAAACTTGGCTTTCTTTGCCTGTAAAATGGCTGTGTTAGAAGGACCAACCCTTGACCTTCTTTTATGACTTTACATTTTTTCCTTACAATTAATTCTCTTGTTGGTTATCAATGAATTGCTCCGGTCATGCTGCTTGAGCCTGGATGAAATCAAGACTGTAAAAAGAAAAAAAAAAAAAAAAAAAAAAATCCATGAACTACAATAAAAATAAGCTCCTACAAAACTTGATCTCCAAAAATGGAAGGCTTCATTCCTTTTAGTGACTGCCTGGTAAAGCAAGAAAACACAAAAGCAAAATTTTTGATCATAAGTGAAAAGTAGGCTTGACACATTTAAAGGCCTAAATTTGAATTACAAAGTCTAAAAGTATTTCAACATTGTGGGTAACTTGTACAAGTGTGGGTTCGCATAAGACTTCAGCCATAACTGCTGGAGACACTGGTGGAACCCCCCAGCCCCCTAGAGAGTGGGCTGGCAGAATCGTGCAGGTCAACGTGGATGAGAACTGACTGCCTGGCTCAAGACCCATGCCTCGGGTCAGTGAGGCTAGCTTTGGAACCCAGGCAGAGGGTATGTGTGTGTGTTGTAGAGGGTTAAAGGAAGGCAAAGGAGAAATGAAAAGTCTAAGAGGAGGAAAGACGGGGGAAAGTGTTGCCTCTCAAAGAGAATGACTTTCAAAGTGTCATCTACAAACACTGATAGTTAGATCTAAAATGCCAGCACAGAATGTGCTGGTTAAGAGTAGTGTCAATTCAGGGTCCAGTGATTTTCCTGCTGGAAACCCTCCAAAGGAATTTGAGACACAGAGGAAGAACAGTCCTGGCCCGGGCAGAACTGCTTATGTCAATGTCAATGTTCATATTTGCATGACCGAAAACACACCCAGGGCAGGTTAGTCATGCTCGGGGCTATTGTCTGATCCAGCCCTGTCATTCTCACACTGTGAAAGAGAAGACTTCCACAACAAGTTCACTGGGGCGAAACGCTTAAAGTTGGTTGACAGCTTCAGCTGGGGCCACTTGTGTAGGAGCCCAGTCAGTTTGATCAATGTAGCTGAGTTGGCTCTGGGCTCTGTCATAGCCCCAGCTGGGTTCTGTTTACCATTTACTTCTGTGGGATATCAGCATATGCCTCCCAAAAATATGAAGGAATGTTGAGCTGAAGGCCATTAACAGGAAATGGACGCAGGCACACTCTCTGCCTTTCCTCTTTTTTCCTAAAAGCAGGATGTAGATTTACAAAGACATGTATATATGAAATATACATGTTAATAAACTTCTGTTTGTTTTTCTCTTCTGAATTTGTCTTTTGTAACAGGGGTCAGTTTCAATAAGAACCTGTTGAGGGTTATTATTTTTACCCTACAGTTCAAACATTTTGGTTTTTTTATACAACGATGTTGTAACTTATTGGGTTTTTTCTTATCATTAGGGGAGGAATGGTGGGCTCTTGGGTCTTTCTATATCTGGTAAAGGAGAGCCACGTGGTTATGGTTCAGTCCCAAGCAATATCATGGAGTCCCCGGGACAAAGCAGCTTGCAGGCATGCTCTGTGGGTTCATGGTTGGGAGCTTGTGACAGCTTTTCTTGTCAAACCCTGCCCAGAGCTCTTTCCACTTCGAAAAAGAGGCCCCAGGAGGCAGTGTCTTAGCTCAAAGGCATAACTGGTCAACCTAATGGAAGGACTTCAGATAAGTGGCAAGTAGATGGAATAGATATTTTAAGGTCACAGAGGACTTGCCAATTCCTTTATATCAGAGAACTGACGGGGTTTGGGACATGCTACCCCCCCCCCCAAAATATGACACCTTGTGCCAGTTTATTACCATTCGATCATGCCATTCCTTCATCCTATCACATTTCCTCCCCATTATTCACTCTTCCTCAAACCTACCATAAAATACACTCAGATTTAATAAAACTTATACTCAGCTTTAGTAAAACTCATATTAAATAAATGTGTTGCTTTTTTCTTCGTATAGGAGTCTCAGCCATTAACCTAGGGTGAGCAGAGAAAAAGGTACTTTTCTTCTCCTATAGAACCTTGGAACCTGCTTCATTTCTATGCCTGAACTTTGTACCAGCTGCTGATGTTACCTTGGGCTCAGAAAAATAGGTAAAGGGACTAGAGACAATAGGAGAGAGGGAAAGGATGGCCCTACTGGGAGAAGAATGAGGCAGTAATGTTTCAGATCACCACCATCAAACATAGGCCTGAAGATCCTACCCTTCTCCCATCCTATCCCTGCCCCCATCCTATCTCCCCCTGTTAACTGAGAATTTTTTATTCACCCATTCAACTGATACAAATTCATTGGAGCACCTGTTATACACAAAACACCATACTAAATTCTGGGATATAGTGAGCAAGACATATAAGGCACTTGCTCTCAGAAGAGATAGTAAAAAGTAAATAAATAAACATTGTGGTAAAGAGTCACTGCAGGAGCTCGTCACGTTTGAGCTGAGATCTGAGAGGTGAAGAGTGAACCAGTCATGCAAAGAGCTGTGAAAGGGCTTTCTAGGGTGAGGGAAGAGCAAGTACAAACACTCTGAGGTGGGAAAGAGCCTTGACTGTGGAGGCAGAGAAAGGTTGCCAGTGTGGCTGGAGTTCACGGGAGCTGAAGTGGGAGGCGTATGAAAGACTCAGGTAGGCGGCAGGAGCCAAGTCACATTGAGCCTTGTCTTGCAGGTTTTATGAGAGGCCATGGAATGATTCGTTGTAGGAGAGGGGCTCAATCTAATTTAGATGAATAATGGCCACAGTGGTAGCTGTGGGAGAATGTATTGTGTATTGGGCCTGGAGGGAGGATACTGGAGCATAATGTTGGAAATTGAGGAATTCCTCCCTCAGCCTTGCTCTGTGGGGCTTCAACAGCTGAGGAGAAAATCAAAGATTGGGGAAGCATACATTCTTTTCTTCCCCATCCAGAATTCTCTTCCTAGTTCCCAAAGATCTTGAAGGCATTTATTTTCCTCAGTGGTTATTGTGTCTTTTCTGCTGGGGGGATGTGCCCACATTCTTTTCACTGTCTGTTGACCACCATCTGCTGCCGTCTGGACTCTCATAACTCCCCTCCTCCCATTGCTGCTACTTTCTGTCCAACTGCTGCCAAGACTGTCTAGGGATGGGAGTGCTGGGATGGATCTTACCTCATGATTGGAGAGATTTCCCTTGACAAGACTGTCTCAGACTCAGGCCAGAGGGTGCTTTAAGGTCATTACTAGTTGCCATATGGAATACCTCTTTCAGTGTTCTGCTGTTCGGTTGTCCTGTCTCCAGTTCTTTGAGTGGCTCCAACCCAAGCCATCTTCTACTTCCTTCTAAAAACCAACACCCTAGAGTTACCTCAGCAAGTATTATATTCCACTCACTTATTCCCATCCTGCTGTCAACCTGATCCAGTGTGATGCTGACCTGAGACCCTGTGGACTTGACTTTTATCCTTGGAAATGAACATTTGTGGAAGGTGTTTCTGCTATTTGAGCATCAGCTTTTCCCACTGACCCCTGACTTGGTCTGTCCCTCCCATCTCTGCCACTAAAACAGCCTACAGCCGATCCCTCTAATTGGCCCCTGATTCCCTGTGAGAAAGGCTTGACAACTTCCTTGGATGCATCCTCTGCCCAGGTGAGTGACCCCACCCTCCTGGAATCTGACCATCTAATCTAAAGTTGCCTTTGCCCTTTCTCCCAGGAGTCTGAGAATGTCCTCATACAAACTGGACTCACAGCTGGCCCTGATATTCTAGAATTTCTAGGCAGACATGAAAATTAGATTGAAGCTGTGACCTTCATTTCACACATATAAAAAGAATGTGTGAGGACCTATGACTAATGAAAGCAGCCTCATTTCTTCACAGTCGTTTTCCAAATACCACTAATTGCCCTATGCTTTCAACGCAAACACAGAGTATTACTCAAACTGCCACAGAAATGAATGAGTAGAGAGTACCACACCTGGGTCACTAGCACATCTTGAATGACAAGGTTTCTGTTCTGCTCTCTTGACATCCTACCCTTGGAAGTGACAAGATTGGAGTAGACACTGGCTCAGGGATCGTTTCCTCCCTATCTGCCCTCTACATGTATCCTATCATCTAGATTTCCAGCACTTTCTTCTTTGCTACCTGAAAGAATCTAACCAATAACATGAGTAAAAAGAACCAGACTCGGTAGAAGCAAACATGACTATCTTGCTCTTTACAAAGCCAAATGGTTGATAGACTTCCCTGTATGTGGGAGAGAGAAAGGAAATTCTGACCCAAATAAGTTAGACCTTTTCTGTAGGATGCCAGAAGAAGCTGAGATTCCAAGCACATAGTGTTTTGGTTTCGATTTTGGAAGAATTAAAGAAGACTCAGTTAGTAATTGGAAGGGGACATGAGGAAATTGAGAATAGAAAACCACATGGATAAGGTTAAAACAAATCCCAAATCCATTTAAAAAAAAAAAAAAACACAATGTCCCATTGCCATGAGAAAATGAATGTAATGAGTGTTTCAGTGTATTGTCTATGTACGATGTTGTTGTAAAGCCATTTTAATGTGTTAGGAGGTATTTTACTCTCTTCTTGATTGGGTCACTGAAGTAACCGTGAATAGCAATGTGGTGCATAGAGGCAGTGTGGAAAGGGCGCTGGGCCCACAGCAAGAAGACCTGGATTGTGTACCATGTGAGGACAAAAGGCCACATAGGTCTCTAACCAATGATATAGGTTAGATATTATGTAGGAGGAAGACAAAGACCTAGAGACTGTGCAGCGTTCTGAGCAGTGAGCACTTGAAGATGTGCCCCACTCCAGAGATACACACTGATACATTTGTGATATTCAGGGGACTAAAACTGGTCTTACGCCATGGCAATCCTCGTCTCTTACAGGACATTCCTTCTCAGGAACATCCAACCTACTCCTACACAGAGAAGGCTTTTGGCCCCTCACTCTGCAACCAGGTGGAAGTGGCAAAACACTTGGTGGGCCACCCATGCCCACCGTCACCAATTACATTAATTCTTACGAAGGCACTTGAGTTCCATCTTTTTTTTCCTAATATATTGATGTGCTGTCATTCTCAAACCTAATTCTTAAGGGGTCTGAAATTACTGATGAATTAGAAGAAATTGCATTGTGAAAATGACAGATGAGATTCAGTATTAACATAAAGAAGAAATGGTGTTTTACAAGTAACAGTCAATGATAATTGCAAAACAATTCTTACAGCATTATGCATGGAAATGGGTATAAATCCTAGTGAATCTTATCTTGGATACCTCTACAGTTACGGTTTGCAACTTGAGAACACAGGACTGAAGAGGGCTTATCTGGATCTTAAGATTGTGGAAAAGAAAGCTAGGATTTTGATGAAGTGTAGATTTAAAATTCTAAGCCACTTGGTTCTAGGTCATATCCAAGGTCTAGGTTACACATTCAAGAGACTGCGTGAACAACTCTTGAATCTCAACTCTGCTTTAAAGGACACCCTGTTAAACAGTCCAAAAGTAAACGCAGTATTGCGAGTAGCTACTGCTATCTGATGCATATTTCTGAAATATTTCCTATATGAAAAGAAGTTGAGTTTCTGTTTCGGTAATTTGGCTGGCTGGAGTCAACCAAACCCATAGGTTTGACTCATAGCTGATCTACCTTTCTGGATACCTGTATCCCAGGAATGAACTGGAACCAAAAAGGCTGGAAGTTATTGTTTCTTCACTATTAGACTCTGAGGATTTAACAAACCACAGAATGGTCAGCACCCTGAGGCTGAACCAGAACTGACCAGCCCTTGGGAGTGGGCTCTTTGTGAAGGATCCTACCTGGTCAGTTACCCCATTCCCAGCCACCCTGACCAATAACTTTGGCAGTTAAAACAATAGCAACCTATTTATTGAAATTAGAACTGTTTTGGGGTAGTTACTTTCCTTTATAATTAGCTGTGTGACTAGTTAGATTAACTCACTAAAGTGACTAGCTGAAAATCACTATGAGCAAATCATTTTAACTTCAGGAACTAAGTTCTGATATTTGTAAAATAAAAGCCTTGGACTCAGTAACAATTAATAAACTATAAACTTCTATTAAGATTTATGGTAAGAAACATAAACTTTAAACAATTTAGGATATTAACCATTAGGGGAAAAGTCTAGGTCTTATTCATCTAAAACTCCCTATTTCTTAAATGTTTCTACTAAGTCAATCTTGGAGTTATAAAGATGCCTAACTGATAGAGCAACTTTTTTGGATTTCCTTAATAATAGGGAATACACATACTTCATGAAAATCCCCAATATTGTTTACATTAGAATAAAATTTAAGTATTGGACAGAAGAGTTTAGATTACAAGAAGAATTCATTTAAATAGCACCTGACGTTCCCTAACAACAGTGATTTTATGAAACATTGTAATTGATTTGCCACCTATGTGTGGATCTATCCTAAACTGACTCCTTTAGTTTGCAGGTTCGTTGGGGATTCAATGTCTTTTACTTCTTTTTCAGTCTCAACAACAGCTAATTCAGTACTCTAAATATAGTCAGCATTCAATACAAATTTAATTATTGACTGAATCTAGGCTGTCAGGGGAAAAAAAGATTTGCTACTTGTTTGGACATGTCTCTCTGATTCAATGCCACTTTTGCCTTACCAGCTAATCAGTCAGTAGACTAAGGGTGGTGCATTTTTGATCTTCCCCCTTAAAGAAGGTCAGTGGCTGAAAATGAGATCCAGAGTGATTACATTAGAAGGATTTTCATGTGTACTCCATCAGGGAGATTAAATGTCCAGGTGCCTCCCACGTTTCCTTTTAGGACTTGTTCTTAGTCTTCATACTTCAAGGGCTCAAGAGCAGCACTGACACGCAACATATTCATTGTCCATCCCCAATTACGTTCTCAAAAGGTAACTGTTACATATTGTATTAGAGTTCTCCAGCTAAACAGAACCAGTAGGATGGAGAGAAAGGGGGCTCGAGAGGAGGAGGGAGATGGGGGAGAGAGAGAAGGAAGGGAAGGGGGAAAGGGAAGCTGGTAAATCTAAAATTTGTAGGGCAGCCTGGCAGGCTGGAGACCCAGAGAAGAGTTGATGTTGCAGCTGAAGTGGGAAGGAAGATAGGAGGCAGAATTCCGTCTTCCTCAGGAGACTTCAGTTGTTTCTCTTAAGGCCTTCAATTGTTTGGATGAGGCCCACCCACACCACAAAAGGTAATTGGCTTTACTCAAAGTCTGCTGATTGAAATATCCTTAGATCTAAAAAACATCTTTATAGCAACATCTAGACCAACGTTTGACCAAACATCTGGGCACTGAAATCTGGGCAAGTTGACACAAGGAATTAACCATCACACATATCAAAATGGGACATTTTCATCATTCCAGTTATCTTTTGAAAGTTCTCTGATTTCTTTCACTATTTAAAATATTCTCCAAATAACAAACAGTTCGCCAATGCTGATAATTCTTTTTTTTTTTTCCTTTTTCTGTTTTTTTCTCTCTTTCATAAGACAGGGTCTCACTTGGTCACCCAGGCTAGAGTGCAGTGATGTGATCATAGCTCACTGCTGCCTTAAACTCCCGAGTGCAAAGGATCCTCCCACCTCAGCCTCCCAAGTAGTTGGGACTGTAGGAGTGTGCCCTCATGCCCAGCTAACTTAAAAGAATTTTTTTTTTTATAAAGACAAGGTCTCACCATCTTGCCCCGGCTCGTCTCAAACTCCAGAGGTCAAGTAATCCTCCCAAAGTGCTAGGATTATAGGCGTGAGCCACTGCACCTGGCCATGATTTTCTAATTACAGAAAGAAAAAAACTTTCTATGGTCTTTCACTGCCTCCTTCCACCAACTCCTACTTCAGATTTTGTTCATTTTCTCCATAAGTATTATACATTGGTGCTTAGGAGACAAAGAAGAGACATGGGTTCCAACCCTCAAAAAGCCTGTAGTGGGAGAAGAATGTGCAAATGATTGCAGTGGTGTGGGGTTTCTGCTCAGGTGTTTGATAGAACAGTAGAGGAAGTAAAATTTAATAAGCTTATTAGCATATAGGTGGTGCTTGCATACACAAGCCCTGTTTGGGCTGCACATACCCTCATTGTACAATGGTTAGAAGTATGATTTCCCCAGGAGCTGAGTCTAAGGGCATGTGACCATAAAGGTTTATAAACAAACTCATCATCTCAACCCCGTCGCCCCCGTATACACTCAGCTGAATTAGTTTAGTCTCTCAGTAACATGTGTTGCCCAAGGAGATGAAATTTACCTCAATGGCAACTTCTCTTTATGTCTGCTTAAAACTTTACATTTCTCTTCTAGCATTTTGTTCATTAAACTCCAGATTTTAAAATAGACTCTATAGGTACATCTGTAGTTGATGGAGCTGAGTCTGAGGATGGAGTGGACAAGAGTGCTGACCTGTGTCACTGAGACCAAAGCAAAGCCTCTTTTCTCACAGCACCATGGGGATGTGATTATACAGCTCTGGCACTAGCTCCTCAGAGCCAGCAAGGTATTAAACAAGCCCAGACTTTTCACTAAGCCTTTGTCCCCCAGGCACTGCTGAGAAACCACTGCCAACAGGAATTGAATTCTAGGAACCAGCATGCCAAGAAACACACCTCCTGGAATTTTGAGCATTTGACGGAGGTCTGGCAAGCCCTCCTTCTTCTTATTGATATTAGTAGTAGGGAGGGGGCAGAGGGGCTTGTGGATAGAGACTGGAAATTTTCAAAGATGTCCAGTTCTAGACCACAGATAGCATCTTCTGTTTTTAGAACTGAGAGCCAATACCATCAATGGAATAAGGAAAGTTATTATTGGTTTTGCCCCTTCCAGATTTAAGAGGGTCCTGTCCTCTTCCAACCCAAAAGCCTCCTGCCACTTCTCTTTTTTTCTTTGCTCCCAGGTATGAGCCCCATTTATTGTCTCAGGCCAAGATACAAAGGTGGAGAAATCCTGCATTCTGCCCAAAGTGTGAAGGGCTCTGTGTTGTAGATGGTGCTGCTGTCAGTGGGCTGCTTCATGTTCTTGACCCACATGAAAGAATTTGAGAGTGAGTCCAAAGTAAAAGCAGGCAAAGACATTTATTGCAAAGCGAAAGGACACTCTGCAAGCCAGGTCAAACTGGGTTCCTTGAGAATAAGACAGTCCCCTCTGACATTAGGAAATCTCATTTATGGAAAGCTTATGTGATTATTCATAAGAGGGTGGGAATGAGCCTGGCTGTTGGCTTAAGCATGTTGCAGGTGGTCTCCTGGGCGTGCATGTGCAATGCTATCACATATATGGCATGTCTTCTTATTAGCATCTTAATTCTCTACCCAGGAGTGTGTTTTTTACTATTATAATGAGCACAGGTCATGGACACTAATCATGGTCAAGGACACTAATCATGGGTTTCTGTGCTTGTGCATAATTTGGGGATTTTCCCTTCTGCTCTTCGTCCTGTCTGCTGCAGGATGTCCTAACCAAAGCTGCAGATGCCGTTTCTGCACTCTCAAGCGGTTTGTTTTCTCCACCTGTTTGGCAAGTTTGTTTCCCTTCAAGTGACTCTATGACCATCTTATCTAACCTATCTCTGTGCCAGATATGTCTGTAATTCCTCTCTGAAATATTGGAGGAAGGAAACAGAACTAAGTTTCTCGATTATCCACTTCACATGCTTAAAATTCCAGTGCGCCATTAGATCCTAGAATGGTTCAGAGTGAGAGTTCCAGAGAAAATGGAATAATTAAGCAGCAAAGCCCAGGCATATACCATTTAATAAAGCTACAAAAAATCCTGAGATTCTGAAAGTAGAAGAAAAACATTTGGCATAAGACTTATTCTCCTGCTTTTTAAAATGATCCTCACATTTTCAATATATTCTGAAATTAAATGTTTCATTCCACTTAAATGACTTCTGCATATTAACCATCAGTCTGGGGCAAATTTTGTGTTTCTTTTCTTATGTTTTATCCTCCCAGCTCCTGAGAGCAATTACATTGGCTCAAGTATTTGAAAAATCACTCAAATTAAGGAATTGCAGTCCCTCCTATTCTTCAGTAGGCAAATAAGAAATATAGGATCAGATCCATCTCTCCCCATAGGCACATCTCATGGGAATCATAATCAGAAGGATGCTTCCGGAGTCTTTAATCTGAGCAAGGGGTCCTGGTGGGGTGATGGAAGTGTCCACTGGCGTCAGTCTGTGACAGCCTGATGTCTCTGTCCACAGCAGGGATGAATCTGGACACCAGATGGGGCTGTGACCTGGTATGCCCCATCCTCCTCTGCCAGAACAGGATGGGTGCCACCATGTGCAGTTTTAAAGTAAACTGAAAACCAGTTAGTTTTACAGATATTTGAGAATTGTGAATTATCTCTTGAATCAACATAATTTTGCAAAGCCATAGTTAATAGGATTGAGTTGCTGCACAAGTGCTTCTCAGTGGTCCGGAATCAACTTGTGTCCAAAATGCTGCTTGATGTTGATGCAGGAGGCAGCATTTCATTAGGCCAGAAGGAAATGCTGCAGGTGGTATCATGTATATGTAGATTTAAATCATAAGAATTAGAGAAAGATGAAGTAGGAAAAATTGATATGGGAAAAAACAGAATTAGAAGGAGGTGAGAGGCAGGGGAGGGAAGCAAATACGTCTTTTAAGAGGATCTGTTTTTGCTGGAGGTATAAATTGCCTCCCAAAACTATGCCTGTGACCACAGGTTCCTGACAACCGGTTAGGCAACACAAGCATCTGAGTGGAGAAACAAGCCATGCGTCCTAATCTGAGATTAACTGAACAGTAATCCCTTGGGCAAGTTGCTTACTTTCTGTGTATTTTTCATCCATAATCCCAAGATAACAAATATTTGCAACGTAGAATGAAAATAAAGATCAAACTTTGTGGCTCACCATGATGGTATCCAGCCAAAATTACTAGTTGTTATTTTCTCAGCTCCATTCTTTCTTCTCCTTTTTTCTTTCCCATTAGGTATTGAAAACTACCCATTTATTTTTCTTAGTAACACCAAAAACTTAATTTCAAATTGGAGTCAGCCCCTAAAGCAAGCCAACCAATAACCAACTAAATACACCAAAATTGTTCAGAATATGTCATAACATTCACTTGTGAATTTCTTCAGGCTCAAGCATTTTGGTCAAAGAATTCGGAAGTAAATTATATTAATAAGTACTATGTCCTAGGTTATATATCCACAGCCTGGCTTGGATTTAGTCCAACCTTGCTAGATAGGTGTTACTTATCTCATTTCACAGATAAAGAAAGCATTTTGGTGGGCTTAATGGCCTGCATTCTTATTGCTAGTAAATGTGGAATTGTGATCCAAACTCACATCTGTCTAACTTGAACCTCCTTCCTGTGTCAAACCTTCTTCCCTTAATGCCTGATACCACTTCCCAATGGGGAGGAGTATTCTTTGAAGAATCGATTTGGGAACTTCCTTAGAAAAATGTAATAACTTCCAGTAAACTTGCTCTGCAGACACATGTATTATATGATTAACAGGTTGGACTGTCTAGTTATGCAATCTAGGGCAAATTTCTTAACTGCACCTAAGTTTCCTCATCTGTAAATTTAGGTTAATAATGGTAACCTCACAACAACAAATGAAGCAATAAAACAGAAGAGAATATTCAGAAATATTCTACCCATGTCGGCTCACCTCTTTTGGGACAGTCACTTCAATAAATGGGACTCAGTTAACTGGATAGCAATATGGAAAAAAAATCACTTAATCTCTACTTTACACCATACCTCAAAGTCAATTCCAAATGGATTGAAGATTTAAATATGAAATACAAAGCAATAAAGTTTTTAACAAGAAAAATATTTAATACCTTAGAATAAGCAAATATTTCTGATTTCTTATTTATTTTATATTTCGGGGTACATGTGCTTGCTTGTTACATGAGAATGTTGTGTACTGGTGGGGATTGGGCTTCTAATATACCCATTAGCCACGTAGTGAACATTGTACCCAATAGGGAATTTTTCAACCCTCATTTCCCTCCCACGCTCCTCACTTTTGGAGTCACTAGGTCTATTGTTTTCATCTTTATGTCCATGTGTACCCATTGTTTAGCTCTCACTTATAAGTGAGAACCTGTGGTATTTGGTTTTCTGTTTCTGAGTTAGGATAATTGCCTTAAACTCTAACTATGTTGCTGCAAAGGACATAACTTCATTCTTTTTATGGCTGCAGAGTATTCCATGGTGTATATATAGCACATATTCTTTATCCAGTCAGCTATCGATGGACACGTAAGTTGATTCCGTGACTTTGCTATTGTGAATAATGTAATGATGAACATAAGAGTACAGGTGCCTTTTTGATATAATAATTTCTTTTCCTTTGGGTAGATACCCAGTAGTGGATTTTTAGTTCTTTGAGAAATCTCCATATTTTTTCCATGGGGATGAACTATTTTATATTCCCACCAACAATGTATAAGTATTTCCTTTTCTCTGCATCCACGTCAGCATCTGTTGTTTTTTGACTTTTTAGTAATAACCATTCTGACTGGCGTAAGATGATATCTCATTGTGGTTTTCATTTGCATTTCTCTTACGGTTAGTGATGTTGAACTTTTTTTATATTTGTTGGCTTCTTTTAAGCAAACATTTCTTTTTTTTCCAACTTTTATTTCAGGTTCTGGGGTACATGTGCAGGTTTGTTACATGGAAAAATTGCATAAAATGACAAATGATCCTGTCGTGCAGGTAGTGAGCATAGTACCCAATAGTTTTCCAACCCTTGCCCCCCTCCCTACCTCCCTGCTCTAGTAGTCCACCGGTCTGTTGTTTTCATCTTCGTGTCTGTATGTATTCAATCTGTACTCAATCTGCAGCTCCCACTTAGAAGTGAGAACATGTGGTATTTGGTTTTCTGTTCCTGTGTCAATTCACTAAGAGGATGGCCTCCATCTGCATCCATGTTTCTATAAACAATAAGATTTCATTCTTTTTTATGGCTGCATAGTATTCATGGTATACATGTATCACATTTTCTTTATCCAGTCCATCACTGATGGGCACCTAAGTTGATTCCTTCTTTGCTATTGGGAATAGTGCTGGGATGAACTTGCAAGTGCACATGTCTTTTTGGTAGAACGATTTTTTAAAATATATACCCAGTAATGGGGTTGCTGGGTTGAATGGGAGTTCTGTTTTAAGTTCTTTGAGAAATCTCCAAACTGCTTTCTATAGTGGGTGAACTAATTTACATTACCATCAATAGTGTATAAGCATTCCCTTTTCTCTGTAACCTCACCAATGTCTGCTGTTTTTTGACTTTTTCATAATAGCCATTCTGACTGGCTACTGGTGTGAGATGGTATCTCATTGTGGTTTTGCTTGTAAGCAAAGATTTCTTATTCTTAAACAGAAGAGGAAAGTGCTATAATACAGGAAAAAACTGACAAATCGCTCTATAACATAAATAAGACTATAAGATTAAGATCATGAAAGGCATTATTAACAGACTGAACAGGTAATCCACAGAATAGAAGAGGATTTTTGCAATATATATATAACTGTTTCAAATCCAAAGTCTATAGCACTGTTTAAAAGCATACTGTTATGAAAATTAAATAAATTAAGGCAAGTTTAGAGTAGGATTTGGCACATAATATGCATTCACTCGGTATGTGCTATTATTATTATTACTAATCAGAACAAAAGTCTAGGACCCTCCTGTTTTGAATTTCTGTTATACTGCCAGCCTTTGTGTGTCAGGTTTTTGGTTTGGAAAACATAATCCTATAGTAATGAGGCACCAGGAAGGCAAATCTGTAGCCTGGAATTCAAAATACAGGATTGATTTAACGACAGGATTTGTTTTCCTGATTTAAAAACAAGAAAAATAACATGTTTTCCCAATATTTCAGTAATTTATTATTGCTACCAACCTCTATGTGCTGATAAGGCATAAAGTAAGGAGTTATGTTAAAATCTGAATTCAGCTCAAAGAGCAAAGCGTAAGGACCTCATGCCTACTCCTGCATCCTTTCCATTGGCATCACCAACATCTCCCAGTTCTCTTGGCCCTATAGGACCTCCAAGCCCCACAGAACCCGCCATCCAGGAGGCTCTTCCATGAGGCCTCACTCTCAAGCCAGTCTGAGGCTGACTCCTTTCAGAGGCACCAGAGTCTCCCCATACACTTTATATTTGATATATCCTAAGTATCTCTGGAAGGAGGACCTTTAAGTTCTCATATCCACCAAAGGTCTTCGAGGACTGATTCTCTTACAGTCTTGCAGTCCCCATAAGCCATCTCCTATTATCAGCACCCTCTGCCCCAAGTACTTCCTTAACTCAAATGACTTCCATTTCTATGTGAAAACTCCTCCAGAATGCTACCTTGTTGAGCTCATGATCACTCTTTCCTCTTCAACTACCCACTCTCATGGCCTTGCCTTAAACATTGTCATCACCCGATGAGCAACTGTTCCTCTGAAGTAATAAATTTAGGCATCCCACTCTTAAACCACAGGCTCATGTTCTTCCAATTGTCTATTACTCATCCAACCCAAATTTATATATTAAAGTCCTAAGTCCTAGTACCTCAGAATATGACTATATTTGGAGATAAGACCTTTAAAGAAGTAAATTAAGGTAAAATAAGGTCACACGGGTAGGTCCTAATCCAATATGATGGGTGTCCTTATAAGAAGAGGAGATTAGGACATAGACGTGTGTGTACGGAGAGACTGTGTGAGGACACAGTGATAAGACAGCCCTCCCAGCCAAAGAGAGGCACCTTAGAAGAAGGTAAACCTGTTGACCCTTGGTCTTGAATTTCTGGCATCCAGAATTTTCAGAAAATAAATTTCTGTTGTTTAAACCACCCATTCTGTAGTATTTGTTACAGCAGACTTAGCAAACTAATGCAACCACCTTCCATAGTTCCTTCTCTTTCAGTCTGATTTGTGTTCCATGATGCATGCACCACTCTTTCTGCTTTCTTGTTCCATCATCCTTCCAGTTTGCTGGCCTGGCAAAATCTCAACCTCACATGAACATAACATTTGATCTTGTCTAGGCCTGCATTTAAGCAGCTGAATGTGGTTGGAGAAAATTACAACAGCATGTTAGCTGATGAAACGTTAAAGTCATACGTGAAATCTCAACCAGGCATGCTACTTCCCTGGTTAGGTTTCTTTCCATATCCATAGACATCCTACCTTTCCTCCTCTTCTCTTGCTCTTGACAAATTATCTTGCCTCCTTCTCAATGAAAAAGGAGCCATCAGACAACAACTTACTCCACCTCTTACCATCAAATCAACACACGGCTCTGCTCTACACCCATCTTCCACTTTTGCTGTAGATCATATGCTTTCCCTCTACCTCAGGAACTTCCTTCTTTTGATGATCCCCTCTGTCCCATATCTTCAACCTCTTCCTCTATGCAACTCCTTCTGAGGATCATTTAAATATAAGCAAGTCTATTTCAATAAAATCAAATATAAAATCTAACCTTCATTCCATGTAGTACATTGATTGCAAAAAATGGCCCCAATTTTTTTCTTTTTTAAATAATTTCAACTTTTATTTTTTATTTTTAATTTTCGTGGGGACATAGTAGGTGTATATATTTATGAGGTACATGAGATATTTTGATACAGGCATACAATGTGTAATAATTACACCAGGGTAAATGAGTTATCCTCAACTTTTATTTTGGATTCAGGGGGTATATGTGCAGGTTTGTTAGATGGGTATGTTGTGTGATGCCGAGGTTTCACATATGAATGATTCTGTCACTCAGGTAGTGAGCATAGTACCCAATAGGTAGTATCTTACCCCTCGGCCCCTCCCCACCCATGCTAGGAGTCCCCAGTGTCTATTGTTCCCATCTTTATGTCCATATGTACCCAATGTTTAGCTCCCATTTCCAAGGAAGAACATGCGGTATTTGGTTTTCTGTTCCTATATTAATTTGCTTAGGGTGATGGCCTCTAGCTACATCCATGCTTCTGCCAAGGACATGACATGCTTCTGCCAAGGACATGATTTTGTTCTTTTTATGGCTTCATTGTATTCTGTGGTATAATGTATCACATTTTCTTTATCCAGTCCACTGTAGATGGACACCTAATCGATTCCATGTCTTTGCTATTGTGAATAGTGCTGCAATGAACATACGAGTGCATGTGTCTTTTTTATACAGTGATTTATTTACCTTTGGATATATATCTAATAATGGAACTGCTGAGTCAAATGGTAGTTCTGTTTTAATTCCTTGAGAATGGAATTGCTGAGTCAAATGGTAGTTCTGTTTTAGTTCCTTGAGAAATCACAGTGGTTGAACTGATTTACATTTCCACCAGCAGTGTATAAGCATTCCTTTTCTTCATAGCTTCACCAGCATCTGTTGTTTTTTGTCATTTTAATAATAGCTATTCTGACTTGTGTGAGATGGTATCTCATTAAAGTTTTGATTTGCATTTCTCTGATGATCAGTGATGTTGAGCATTTTTTCAAATGTTTGTTGACCACATGTATGCCTTCTTTTGAGAAGTGTCTGTTCATTTCCTTTGCCCATTTTTTAACTTGTTTTTTGCTTTTTAAGTTCCTTATAGATTCTGGATATTAGAACTTTGTTAGATACATAGTTTGCAAGTATTTTCTCCCATTCTGTAGGTTTCTGTTTACTCTGTTAATGGTTTATTTTGATGGGCAGAAGCTCTTTAATTAGGTCCCATTGTCAATTTTCATTTTTGTTGCAATTGCTTTTGAGGACTTAGTCATAAATTCTTTGCCAAGGCCAATGTCCAGAATGGTCTTTCCTCAGTTTTCTTCTAGGATTTTTATAGTTTGAGGTCTTACATTTAAATCTATCTTGAGTTAATTTTTATATATGGTGAAAGGTAAGGGTCCAGTTTTATTCTTCTGCATATTCTTCAGTTTTATTCTTCTGGCTAGCACCAGAAGAACTGGCATTATTCAAGCACCATTTATTGAATATGGAGTCCTTTCCCCATGGCTTATTTTTGTTGATTTTGTTGAAGATCAGATGGTTGTAGGTGTGTGGCTTTATTTCTAGATTCTCTACTCTGTTCCATTGGTCTATGTATCTGTTTTTGTACGAGTACAATGCTATTTAGGTTACTGTAGCCTTATAGTAGTTTCAAGTCTGGTAATGTGATGCCTCCAGCTTTGCTCTTCTTGCTTAGGATTGCTATGGCTATTCAGGCTCTCTTTTTGTTTGTTTGTTTCATATGAATTAGTTTTTTCTAATTATGTGAAAAATGATGTTGGTAGTTTGGCGGCAATCTGTAGATAGCTCTGGGCAGTATGGTCGTTTTAGCAATATTAATTCTTTTAATCCATTAGCATGGAATATTTTTCCATTTCTTTGTGTCATCTCTGCTTTCTGTCAGCACTGTTTTGTCGTTCTCCTTGTAAAGATCTTTCTGCTCCTTTGTTAGATGTATTCCTAGGTATTTTATTCTTTGTAGCTATTGTAAATAGGATTGTGTTCTTGATTTGGCTCTCAGCTTGAATATTATTGGTGTATAGAACCGCTACTGATTTTTACACATTTATTTTGTATCCTGAAACTTTACTGAAGATGTTTATCAGGTCTAAGAGCCTTTTGGTGGAGTCTTTAGGGGTTTCTAGGTATCATATCTCAGTGAAGAAAGATAATTTGACCTCTTCTTTTCTTATTTGGATGCCTTTTACTTCCTTCTCTTGCCTGACTGCTCTAGCTAGGACTTTCCTTATTCTTTACATCTACTTATGTGCTTTACAGTGAGACTGTGTAGTTTCTCCTACCAAGAGGTCAATCCCCTTCTCTTTAAGCTGAATTTTGGCTGACTTTGTGACTTGCTTTGGCCAGCAGGCTGTGACAGGGTGATATGCCAATTCATGATGAGGCCTCAAGAGATATTGCAGACTTCTGCTCTTTCTTAGAACCCTGCCATTGCCTTGTGAACTAGCATGCTGGATTATGAGAGAAACATGGCCCAGTTACCTGAAACACCCAAGCCAATAAAAAAATCAACTTCCAAAACTCTGAGTAGGCTCATCCTAGATTAGCCAGTTCTAAGCCGACTCCAAATGCACGAGTGAGCACAGCCAGGCTCAGACTGACAGAAACAACCAACTCATTCGTAGATATTTGAGTGATAATAAATGCTGATTGTTTTAAACCACTGAGTTTTGAAGCCATTTGTTATACAGCAATAGCTGATACACCCCATGTCTACTTTCATCGAATCCAATCTTTTGCCTCTTAATTCCCAGCTAAATTAATTGAAATAACATACTACTCTTGGTCTCTTCACTTCTTTACTTCCTATTCACTCCCTTAAGTATCCTAGTCTTGCACCAGCCCTAACACTCCTCTAAGACTGTTTTTGCTAAGGTCTCTGTATCTGTCCTGTTGTTCAATTAAGTAGACACTTTTGATATAAACCTTACCAAACCTTTTAGTAGCATTATCAAAATTGACTCTCCTGTTTTGGCTTTCGTGCTGAGGCAGAATACTGTTCTGACTCTCAAGTCACTCCCTCTGGGGATCCTCGGCAGACTTCTCTTTGATTTTCAATGCTCTGCCATTACTTTACTGTTAATTGGGAAATGTGTCCTAGAGTTCTTCTCTTTCCACTTTACACACCTTTCCTGGGAGATCTCATTCATTCATTTTCTTGCATAAAACTTCTCTTTTACAATCTGATTACTATTAAAAAAGAAAAAAGGCACATTATTTAATGACCACATGAGAATCACCATGCTGTGTTGTCCACCAAATTTGACTACTTCATAGGTGGTTAAGAAATAGTACATACTGGACGAGAACATGTAAGAAAATTAAATAAATTCTTCTGGGCTTGATAAAATTAGGTAGACTTTTAGGTCATACAAATTGTTTCTACATGATGATCAGGACTAGAAATAACATTTGTTTATTTCATGAAAGTCTGAATGTAGTTAAGAGAAATAACTTGAAAATCCTGCACAAATGTTGATTTGATAGTCCTTACATTATTGTTTTTGTTTTTGTTTTCATTGAGACAAGGTCTCACTCTATTTCCCAGGCTGGAGTACAATGGTGTGATCTCGGCTCACTCCAACCTCTGCCTCTCAGATTCAAGCGGTTCTCCTGCCTCAGCCTCTGGAGTAGCTGGTATTACAGGTGCACACCACCACGCCCAGCTAATTTTTTGTATTTTTAGTAGAGACAGGTTTCACCATGGTAGCATGAGCTACCATGCCCGGCCCATTATTATTTTTTGGTAATACAAGTTTTAAAAATTATCCATCCCAATATTTTTGAAAACCATATCAAGAAAACTCCTGTTTGAACTTTCCAGTGTTCCTGGTGAAGTCAATTGTGCTAGAGTACATAGGAAAACCTGCTAACCTGGCCCAGGTCAGGAGTGTGCTCTCATCTGAATGAAATTCTTGGGACTACTTAACATTGTTATTATTGATGTCTAAACTTTCCAGCTCACTGTGTCAAGATTTTCTTGATCCTTTCCCATACATGACAGCCTCTTCAGTGAGCTCCTTGGCTTTCCTGAAAATGTAACCTCTTAGCAGGGAATGATGCGGCCGTAGGCAATTAGCTCAATGACTCCTCACTGGCTGCCTTATTAATGATTTGCACTTAGACCAAGCACTTTGTACTAGGAATTGCCATTTCCCATCTTTTTTTTTCCCCCTAAGCAAGATCTTGATTCATCTCTAATCTGTGTTTTTTATACTTATACCTGCATTACTGCCGGGGTACTTTCGGGCTCACCTTGACATACAGACGACATATCCTTTCTCTGAGGCCATCTATAATCATTTGCAAACTCTGGGGAAAAGAAAAAAATGTACATTTGCACACCAACTGGGCATAACCTCTTACCTTGGTAAATATACCTTTATAATGACTAGGAAGACCTGGTTTGAATTTAGAATTCTTAGACTCTTCAGAGTTCCATCCAAATGCAGCCACATGGGGAGAGATGACCCCAGCTCCAGGCTAAGGTCCAAGCCCTTCTCTTTTCTACCACATTCTGTACTTACCCATACAGAGCCATGTGCATGCATAGGTAGACAGTCATCACCTCTGTGTGCTGTCCACAATCCTTGCAACACTGCCATTTGGCCACTTAAGGCCAGAACAGGCTCTGGAAACAAGCTTCAGACCATTTCAACAGAAATTATACGACTCCAGACACCCAGTGTATGATGTAGAAGGAGGATATAATTATTTGTGCCCGATCTCTTTTTTTCCTCTGCTCAGCATCACCAGAGATGTGTCAATTTTATTAGTCTTTTCAAAGAGTCAACTTCACTGATCATATCTATTCATGTTTTCTATTTCATTGAATTATGTTATTTTCAATTTACTTTTTAGAATTATTTTTGCTGATGCTTTTATCATCTCATTATTTTCTTTTTTAAAATGTATTTCCCTTTTTAAATTTTTTAGAGACAAGGTCTTGCTCTGTTGCCCAGGCTGGAGTGCGTTGGCATGATCATGGCTCACTGCAGCCTCAGCCTCGAACTTCTAGGCTCAAGTGATCCTCCCATCTTAGCCTCCGGAGTAGCCAGGACTACAGGTGTGTGCCACCACACCTGACTTCTTATTAATTTTCAGCCTTTTTTGCTATTATACAGTTTTACCACTTAAACTATCCTTTTAAGCACTCCTTCAATTATCTCTCTCTAGGTATGTAGTATTGATTTTCTAATTTGTATTTGAATTTTTAATGACTCATGAATATTTTAGAAATGTGTTTCTTCATTTATATATGAGGATATTTTAGTGAACTTTTTGTTGATTTCTAGTTTAACTACATTGTTGTCAGAGAAAATGCTTTGCCTTTGAAATTTGTTGAACTTGCTTTTTATGGACCAGTATATGGTCCATAAATATTTACATTTTGTAAATATTTCATTTATACATGAAGAGAATATATATTCTGCAGCTGTTAGGCACAGTGTTCAATATACTTCCATTTCATCAAATTACTTAATCATGTTATCCAAATATTCTATTGCCTTAAAGATTTGTGTGTGTTATTCTTTCAGTTACAAAGACAGAAATCTCCCACTGTGATTTTGGCTCCGCCTATTTCTCCTTATAGTTCAGTCCCTTTCACTTTATATCTTTTGAGGTTATGTTATTAGATACATACAAGTTTAAATTATTATATCTTCTTGGTGAATCAAGACTTTTATCATTATGAAGTGAAATCTCTATCTCCAATAATGCTCTTTTGCCTTCGTATCACTTTGTCTGACTTCAATATAACTACACCAACATTCATTTGGTTCGTATTAGCATGTTGTATTTTGTCCATATTTTTATTTTTACTCTTCCTGTTTGCCTGTTTTAGATTTGTCTCTGGTAAAAGAATGTATAGTTAGATATTTTTATCCAATCTATTACTCTTTGCCTCTTAATTGCAATGCTTGGTCTGAATACATTTAATATAATTATGAATACGTTTTGGTTTAAATCCAACATTTTGTGTTGGGCTTTTTATTTATCTGATAGGACTAACATTTTGTTTTGCTTACTTTCTTTTTTTAGATTAATTACTTTTATCTTTTTCCTTTCTTTTTCCATCTACTAGATTTGAAGCTATGTCCTCTGTTTCTATTCTTGTATTGCTTTTCCTAGAAATTCCACATGCATATTTCACATATCAAAGTCTAAAGTTAACCAACATCTTCATCTTCAGACCAGAACATTAGAATATCTTACCTCCTTTTACTCACTTTGGATTTATACATTACCATTGTTTTGCATTTTAATTCTTTTTAAAACATCATATTATGATTATTAATATTATTTGGGCAATGTTCATTTATTTTTACATACATATTTATCAATTTGTTTGTCCCTTAATTTTTCAGGTTTTCCACTGGGAATCATTTTCCTTCTGCCTAAAGAATCCTTTTTTTTATATAACTTATTTAGAGTTTTCTAGAGTTGACCTCACTCTTTTTCATCAGTAAATGCCTATTTCACCCTCATACCAGGAAATACAATTCTAGGTGGGCAATTACTTTCTTCCAAAACATGAAAGATACTCCTTCACTGTCCTTTAGTTTCCACTGATTTTATTAAGAAGCCAGTTGTACATCTAACCGCTCCTTCTTAGAGGTAATCTCTGTCTGATTTTAAAATTTGGTCTCGTCTTTAGTATTCTGTAGTTTCATATTATATATATATATAAGTGTAGATTTTTCAAATTTATCCTACTTAAGATTCACTGGGATTCTTGAACTTTTAAATTGATATCTTTTATCAGTTCTGAAAAATTTCACATGGTATCACCTTTTTAAAATTGTCTATGCCTCATGCCCCCTTTTTTCCTTCTCAATCTAAAATTCCAATTAATCTCAGACTGCTCACTCTAACTTCCATGTCTCTTAACTTTTCCTTTATATTTTTAATCTCTTCATCTTTTTCCTTGCTGCGTGCTAGACAAGGTCTTCTGAATGATTTTCCAGTTTTCTCTCTTCCACTGCACATAATCGGCTGTTAATTTATGTGTTACTTATTTTAAAATCAATTTCATGGGGTATAATGTACACATAAAAAAATGCACTCACTTCAAGTACGTAGTTTATATAAGTTTTGGCAAATAAAGATGCAGAATATTATAATATATGTGAGTACGTCCATTCCAGCTTTGTTATGCTTATTCTTTGCCTTGTATATTTTTCTCATCTTTTTACTCTGAACATATTTCTCTTTCTATATTTAAAGTGCATTTATGGGCCAACTGCTGTGATTCATGCCTATAATCCCAGCATTTTGGGAAGCCAAGGAGAGAGTATAGTTTGAGGCCAGGAGTTTGAGACTAGCCTGAGCAACATAGTGAGACTTGATCTCTACAAAAAAATCAAAAATTAGTTGGACATGGTGGTACATGCCTGTAGTCTCAGTTACTCGGGAGGCTGAGGTGGGAGGATAGCTTGAGCCCTGGAGTTTGGAGGCTGCAATGTGCTATATTGTACTACTGCCTCCAGCTGGGTGACAGAGTGAGACCCTATCTTAAAATAAAAATAAAAAAAAAAATAAAGGTGCAGGTGCATTTCTTAATTTCTTACATTCATGTTTCTTACATTACATATAGTTTAGTCTTGCCTTTTAAAATCCAGCCTGACATTCTCTGTCTTATGATTATTTAGTCTACTTGTATTTAATGTAGTTATCTATAAGTTTGAATGTATGATTGTCCTTTTACTATTTATGTTCTTATTATTCTCATTTTGTAGAGACAGGGTCTGGATTGTAAGTGGGAGCCACTGCACCTGGCCTATTGTCTCATTATTTGTCTTGTCTGGTTTTTGTTCATTTTTTTTCTTCTTTTCCTGCCTCCTTTTGTATTAATGAAGTAATTTTTAGTGTGCCAGGGTAATCCTCTAATGGCTTTTTAGTTATATTTCTTTGTATTATTTTTTAATAGTTGGTCTAGTGATTATAATATGCATTTTTAGTTTATCTCAACCTACTTATAGTTAAGATTGAATTACTTCAGATAAAAAACAGAAAATTTGCAACAATATAGTTTCATTTACCTCCATCCACTTTCTTTGTGCTATTTTGTCATATATCTATATAGATTTAAATTCCAAAATTACAGAGAAATAATTTTTGTATTGTTTCACATCATCTGTCTTTTAAATGCATTAAGAAAAGTAAGAGAATTTTTTTCTAAAATGTGAGAAATTAGCATCTAGTGGGTAGAAGCTAGGGATGAGGCTAAACATCCTATAATACACAAGACATTCCCCCCAGCAACAAAGAATTACGCAACCAAAATGTCAACAGCAACAAGGCTAAGAAACCCTGCATTAAACTGCTGCAATCTGCTGGAAGGCTGAACGCTTTTTTCTGACAAACCTGTCAATACATCATTTAGATGCTCCTTTTCATTTTTAGTCAGATATAATCAGATTAGGCAAAATTGAGTTATTACAGCGCAAGATCAAATTGCAGGTGCACAACCAAAAGAAAATGGACAGGAGAAATGAGTTTGGCCAAGAAATACACATACACACACACACACACCCCTTTCGCCTGAAGAGGTGTCTGTGTGTTGGCGGGGGTGGGGGGCGTTCTCTTTTGTGTGATATACTTGCTGAATTTGCAAAAGCAGCACCATATTATGTTATTTTATTAACAACCCCTTAATAAAGTAACTAGAAACAGCAAAATAAAATAAAATGTGAGAAATCAGAAAATGGAAAAGCTCTACCTATTAAAAGTTACATGATGTTGTTTGTATTGAGAGAAAAATAAAAGTTTCTCATGATGGAAGCAGAAACTTTAAAAAAAAAGCATACAGAATATAATGGAAACCTATTCAAGGCTTTTAATATGTTCATTATTATCTTGTGTTTGGTGGCTCAGGAAATCAAATTATAAAATCCAAGATCCTGTACTACTTGTATATTATTTTTACCTACATAGTTACCATTTCTGGTGTTCTTCGTTCCTTCCAGTAGATCCAAATTACCATCTGGTATAATTTTCCTTTAGGTAAAAAACTTCCTATACCATTTTTTATAGTACCTATCTACTGGAAAATAATTACCTTCAGTTTTTGTTTTTTTGTGTCTTTTTTTAAAATCTTCATTTTAAAAGAACAGTTTCACTGGTATCAAATTCCATCTTGACAGGTATTTGTCATTCAGCATTTTGAAAATGTGAAAATGTCTTCCAGTCTCCATTGTTTTTTTACAAGAAGTCAGTTGATAATCACATTTGTTGGTCCCCTGGATGTAATGTGTCATTTTTCTTTTTGTTGCTTCTCAGATTTTCTGTTCATTCTTGGCTTTTAGCAGCTTGACAATGATGTGGCTATGTATGTTTTGGTGTTTTGGTTTTTGTTTATTTAGCATATTCACCCTGCTTGAGATTCTTAGCTCCTTGGTTGACTTAATGTTTTTCATCTAATTTGAGATTATCTCTCTGTTTTCACATATAGACTATTTTTCATCATCCACAAGCTCCTTGATGTCCCTTTGCAGTCATTATTTTTTTGGTAGAAGGGTACCCTATTAAACTCCTCATTTCATGTGATCCTGAGCTTTAAATTTTGCCTTTTTTATATTCAGAAGCTACTAAAACTAAAGTTTAAGACATTCTGAAATAACAAGTATTTGGTGGCAAAATCAGCTCTAGTGTTCTACTATTTGCTCTAATTTCCCATTTTCCCTTAGATTTTAGCCTTGGAACCCCTTAATATCTCATTAGCTAGTTTTAATCATTTTTTTTTTAAGATTTCAGAGATCTTTTAAGAAATGTATTCAACTTTCTTCAAGAAATTAGTTGTTTTCAGCATAAGGATTTGCCCAAATAAAGTAGTCCTGCATATCGCTAGGAATAGAAGTCTCTAATTTTAAACAGATTCAAAATGTGTGTATTAATAAGAATCTATATTTACTAAAGTACTCATTCTAAACATTCTCTCTAAAATGAAGATAATCTAGAGAATTAGAAAAGCCCTCCCTCTTAAAGGCAATACAATGTTGTTTGAATTAGAATGAAAATAAAGATTTCTCCCATTGTGGAAGTAGCAACTAAAGAAAACATACAGAAAATACCAGAAAATGACTCAAGCCCTTTAATATGTTCATGTCTATTTTATATTATAGTTGATGGTTCAGGAAATCAAATGATACCATTGAATTTCCTATAGTCATTGATCTGAGAGATCTTTTTCAAAATAAAATAATGAAAAATTCATTCATTTTGGAAACTCATTTAAGCTCAAGGTAAAACAAAAATAAGCTGAAGGAGGGGCAGTATTTGTACTAGGAAAAGGGCTTAAGAAAGATATTCATTAATTTGAACTAAGTTCTGGGAAAAGGAAGATAGCAAATATATCACGAGAAAAACTTTCCAAATTGTTATGCCAACATTCCACTTAAAAATTATTTGCCAGAGCCTTTTGATACTGGAAGGATAAGTATTATCTATAGGGTCAAGTTTCAAAGCTTTATTATCTTAAGATATTTAAAATTATTTTTCTTTATCAAACCAGATAAATCAATTGCAACATTATTTTAGCAGACATGAATTAAGAAACCTGACTTTCATTTCTTAATACCAGAAGGCTTTTTTCCATGGAGTGATGGATCTTGATTCAGATGAATTATAATGTCCACACTAGCAAAAAAAACAATGTATATGAGCTTTCAATTAGTATTTGGCCATACCAGGCAGTGTAAGGAAATGACTGATCTCCTTCTTGTCCCTGGTGCATGAGCCCTGACTTAAAATACCTGTTACAGCCTCCTTTGAATGACACAGCTCCCTTTGTCATTAAGCAAATCAATTCTTTCCCAGTGGGTGGGTTAATATAATTGCAAGCCTCTAAATACCCAGAACATAGCTCTTTCTTCTTATGTCTATTCTAAGAAAAATGGCTGTTCATATTTTATTGCTATATTTCTAAAAATGTTCTCAGTCTCTAAGTGGCTCCAAGAAAGGGGAATACTGCAGTGTCCAACCTAAGCAGTTCCTCTCTCTTCTGGCTACCTCCTTTTTGCACCAGCATTTCAGTCATTTCTCTCAGCCCAACTTCACTGCCCCAGGTTGCAGTTAGTTAACATCTTATTTGTGCTGTTAGTAAATACCACTGGAGCAAAACCATTTGGGAGTCAAACAAAAGGGAGCCATTTCTGGGGCAAAGATGAGGAAGACTTTATCAAAGATATTTTAACTAAATCTTATATAGTCTGTAGGAGACTGCCATGTGGAGAAGAGACAGAGGAAACAGCAGGTACAAAGACACAAAGGCAAAAATACCAAAAACAAGCCCAACCTAATATGTTTGGGATTATTAAGCGAAGGCTGGAGCTGAAACATAAGGTGTGGAGGGGATGCTGAAACAGGATGAAGGCTGGATTGTGAAAGGCATTATCAGCCCTGGTAAGGAAGTTGAGCCTCCTCATGTAGGCAATGGGGGAGGGGGGTAATATTTTAATCTGATATGTATCTTAGGAAGAATATTTCTAATGATTCTATGAGGCATTAATTGGCATGGCAACTAATAAAACTAAGGAGAACATTTAAAAATAGCAGAAGTCAACATATAGAGGAGGAAATAGATTTGAGAGATTTCTGAGGTCTAATTGACAGGACTCAGTGAGTTATAGAAAGGGGGAGGATGATAACAGCTGAAGGTAAGCTTGGGAAATTGGATACATTTTGATGCCGTTAACTAAGACGAGGACAATGAGAGTAAAGTTGGAGTTCAGAAGGACTTGCAAGTATCATTGGAGCGATTCTAGCTGCTCTATGAGTTACGTAGTGTAAGGGGGAGGTGAAGAGCTCCATCCATCTCTCAAAACTCCAGCTTCTCCCCTTAAGATTAGGAGATGCTAATATGATAATCAGATTCAGGTCACCAAAGGAGACACATTTACCCCTAGGTAGGGGCAGTGTCAATTAAAATGCCAAGCTCATAAGAGATCTCCAGTCTCTGGTGAGTTCTAGCACACTCTCACTCGCTCACTCTCCCTCTCCCTCTCCTCCTACAAGATACTTTTAAAAACATTTAAAAGCTTTATTGAGCTATAAATGACACACAATAAACTGCATATATTTAAAGCGTACAATTTAAGAAGTTTTGACATGTATATATCTATTTATTTTCTGCTTCCTATTTCATTAGTTTCTGCTCTTTTTTTTTTATTATTCGCTCTTCTTTTCTCATTTCTTAAGGTGGACGCTTAAGTCATTGATTTGAGACCTTTCTTCTTTTCTAGTAGACATTTGGTGCTATAAATTTCCTTCTAAGTACTGCTTTAGCAGTATCCCGCAATATTTTTTAAGAGTGGCACAATCATAGTCCACTGCAGACTTGAACTCCTGGGCTCAGGTGAGCCTTCTGTCTCAGCTTCTCCAGTAGCTAGAACTACAAGCACCTGCCGCCACACCCAGATAATTTTTTAAATTATTTTTTTAGAGATGGCATCCCACTATGTTGCCCAGGCTACTCTTGAGCTCCTGGTCTCAAGCAATCCTCCCTCCTCAGACTCCTAAATAGCTGAGATTATAGGCATGAGCCACTGTACCCAGCTACTAATTTTGATATGTTGTGTCCTTCTTTTCAATCAATTCAAAACATTTTAAAATTTCCTCTATGGTTTATTTTTTGACATATGGACCTTAAAGTAGTCTATATAGTTTAGAAATATTTAAGAGTTTTCCAAATATATTGTTTATAATTGATTTCTATTTTAAATCCATTGTGATAAGAGAACATACTTTGTATGATTTGAATTCTTTTAAGTTTATTAGCACCTATTTACGGCCCAGAATACGTAGTCTATCCAATACTTCATGAATCTTGAGGTTTTCCAGTCTGGCTGGTGTGACAAGCACTATTTCTATCCCAGTATTAGCACCTGCTCCCTCTAATCCTTTCAGTTGGTTCTGTTACTGGCTTTGGGTAGTTTCCTCACTTGCATGCACCCCTCAGTACTTAGCTGAATGCTCAAGGTGAACCCTCTGCAGATCTCCTAAGTTTTCTTTCTGTGAAATTCCTTTCTTTACAGTACTCTTCCTTCAGAATTCTAGCTGCCTTAGTCTTCCTGGACTCCAGTATTTTCCCGTCCATCCTGGAAAACTGCCAGGCTCTGACTTGGTGTCCCCTTTCTGTGCTATGGCCTGGAAACTCTCTCAAAGCAGTAAGCTGGGGCCATCACAGGGCTCACCTCACTTTCTTTCCTGCCTCTCAGGGATCACTGCTCTTCCTTGCCTGATTTTGCAAAGCATCTTTTCATATATTTTATCTGTTTTTGGTTGTTTCAGGCATGAGAGAGAATTTGGTCCCTGTTACTTCTTGGTAAGTAAGGAAGTAAAGAAGAGAAAGAAAATGCGAGGTAGGGAGAGAGTAAGGGAGGGAGTGAAGAAGGGAAAATTCCAAAGGGAAATGAATAGTGCTCTCAAAAAGAAGCAAATAGTTCAGTGTAGCTGAATTGAAGAACAAATTTAAGGACATGGAGAGAGATAACCTGGAAATATAAGTGACAGAGAGGTCCTGAAAAACCTTGAATATGATGCTAAAAGGTTTGCCCTTTATCTTAAAGAATATGGAGGGCCCTTAACGCATTTGAAGGAGGAAAATAATTGGATCAGAATTACTGTAACTCCACAGTACTGGGCAGATAAAGATTGGAGAAGAGGAGGCCAATTTGGAAGCCAGGTGCAATGACAGTCTCAGGGTGGAGAGGAACAGGAAGAAGTAAGATAGACCAGACCCACTGAGCAATTGGATATGAGGAGTGAGGGAGATGAAAGGTTCAGGGATGTTTCTCAGAGGCCAGCTGCAGTCATTGGCTGGGTGACTGTGCCATTCACAGAGAGATGGAATACAGGGACTCCTGGTGTACAGTGGAGGTGGAGAGTGAGACAAGACATATGTAATAGACTTGGCCTCTAATCTTTAGTATAAGGAAAGCTAAGATAATGCTCCAAAATTTGAAGAAGCACAATTTTAGTCAATCTCACTGTGTTTGTCAACCTTTTCTAATAGTAAAACACATAATACCTCAGAGGCAAAGTCTATACCAATTCCAATATTTATTTCTTAGAAGATTAAAGATGAGATAATTACTTAAAGGCAAGAGTTGTTTTTGTTTTGTTTCATTTTCCAGCAGGGAGATGTTCTGTTTTTTGTTTTCTTTCCTTTTTTTTTTTTTTTTTTTAAAACCGCTGAAGGCAAGTCTCAGCAGTGATTTATTCTTAACGGAATCAGTTTGAGAAAAATCCCAAGTTGCAGATACTGGCAAACCATAGCACTCCTTATTAAGACGTACAAAAAAAAAGTATCCAAATGATACTTTGGCATAATACCAACAGATATGCCAAGAAGGAAATAACTGGAACATTCCATTAGCATTTACAAATAATGTCAAGAAACTGAGTGTGAAGTTTAAGGGCAAATTTGAAGGGTGGTGAAAATAAAATTTAAGCTTCTAGTCGATTTCAGAGAAAAATAGAGAAAGTCTTTGCTGTTTATGCAATCCACAAGTCTCAATTTACTTATTGATTTAGAATTCTGACTATGTAATTTCTCAGTTTTGTTCTACTGCCAAACTAGAGGGATATTTTGTCTTTTATTGACGTGGAAACCATCTGAGGTGGAATCCATAAGAGTATAAGAATTAGAAGAAGGAACATTCTGGTTTGTTCTTCTCCCCCACTTTAGTCACCGAAAACATCCTTACAAGCCAGAGGGCACGCTCAGAATTAGAGGATAGGATGGTAAAAGAGCCATGGAAACAGGAGAAGCTGCAGCAGCAGCCAGAATGAGAAAGGATATATTGACTGTCTTACAATAATAACACAATTATTATGATTGGCTTTACAAGGTCAGAGTAGGAGGCCAGAAGCCACAGAAGACATCCAGCTCCAATTACAGCAACAGAAGGCAGTGTTGTCTAAGAATGAGCTGCCCTTGGCAGAGATAATAACCTTCCTGAAACCCCAAGAATGCCCAGTTGCTTGGGGTGTTTGTCTAAAGGTTACAATAGCAATAGAGGGGACATAGGATTGGAAGACTCCAAGATTTCTTGGTAATTCTAAGAGCCCATATTTTCTTAACTTGATTAAAACAGGCTTTAGGGATTCCTAATTTTTGGAGTCTGATGTGACTTTAAATGAATTAGTTCATTTAAATGAAAGATTTTTTCAAAAATTACTAATTTATGTAAAATGATGAGTACATATAGACATTAAATCAGTCCAATATTTTAAAAATTAAAAAAACAAAATGTCATGTGTGTGTGTATGTGTGTGTATGAGTGAGTGTGACATATGACTTGGGGCTATAAACCAAAAATAAAATTCCAAGGCCCCCCTCTACCATCTGAATGGACACTCCTCTCAGTCAAGGGCATTCCAAAGTTAACCTGAAAAACTAGTTCAGGCCATCATGGGAAGAGGGAGCCATACTTGTCTCATTCTACTCTCTTTCCTTTTGGAATTACTGATAGAACACACTCTTTAAGTCTGAAAGGAAATATTTACAATCTATTCTCTCTGAAGCCTGCTACCTGGAGACTTCATCTGCATGACAAAACCTTGGTCTCCACAACCCTCACTCATTGATATATCCCTTCTCTCTTAGTCTCCTTTTAAACTAGTGTGGGTTGTTTTTTGGTTTGTTTGTTTTCTGATCTTTTTCTATTCCCGTCTTGCAAGTAGCTCATTATTTCTGTAATGACTTTTATACAATGAGTTCAATTTTTAATTTATTGAGTTCTTCTTAAATGTAAGGAACTAGGGATACAAAGATAAACAAGGCATGTCTTCGCTCTTAAGTAGCTCAAAGAGCAGGCAGAGGACACAGCTGTTGTGGCAGATTGAATAATGGCCCCAGAGATGTCTGCTCCCCAATCTCTCCTGTATATATGCTACCTTACATGGCAAAAGGGACTTTGTAGATGTAACTAAACTGAAGGACTTTGAGGTAGCAAGATTATTCTGGATTATTCAGGTGAGCCCAATCTAATCACATGAGTCCTTAAAAGGAGAAAATCTTTTCCAGCTCTGCTCAGAAAACCAGAAGGATGGCAGAATGTGAAGGACCCAACATGCTGTTGCTGGCTTTAAAAATAGAGGAACTATGCGCCAAGGAATGTGGGTGGCCTTTAGATGTTGGAAAAGACAAGGAAATGAATTATCCCTCAGATCCTCCAGAAGAAACACAGCCCTATGGACACTTTGATTTTAGCCCAGTGAGACCTTCATCAGACTTCTGACCTACAAAATTATAACATAACACATTGTTGTTGTTTAAGCCACCAAATCTGTAGTAATTTGTTATAGCAGCAAAAGGAAATTAATGCAGATGTGCCTCAACTAAGAGCAAAGTAGCTCAGCCTGACGTCAGTGTGCAGAATGGAGGCATAAGCCAAGGGCTTTGGGTCCTTAGTGTTGGGAGTGAGTGGACCACGTAAGGGAAAGGAAAAAAATCTCGGGACCTCCCCAAATTCTTATGCAAAAGGAAAGGTGAAGCCTGGGGCTGAGTCACTGTATTACTCTCTTCCAAATGAATAGCTGTTACATTGTGCATCAGCCAGATCCCCATGGAAAAGTAAAAGGCATTAGGTACCTGGAGAGCACTGCCCCCAACAGATCATTCATAGGTAAATCCTTTCCTGGCCTCCCACAAACAAGGACATGCCAGTTGTAACTATAGGTCTACAATCCAAGTCTAGTTCCTAAACTGAAGTCTGTTCAATTCCACACTGATAACATTGATTACAAGTTTATCTTCCCAGGTGCAGAACAAAGACAAGAGATCAATCTTTCCTCCACCTACCCAGAGACATCTACATAATTGGCTCTTGCTTCACTCTCTTTTTCTCTTCAGACCTTCAACTTGTCTTGTGTAAAATGTAGATCTACTGGGCACTAATGAAAGACACACAGGAATATAACTATTTGCCTTTCTGCCTAGCTGCCCCTCTTCCTGCATGCCTTCCCCACTTTACAGAAATGTATAAATACTAAACCTTCTGAAAGCCTCTTCAAATGGGTGTTTTCCCTGGATTTGCCCTAAAGTTGGCTTAATAAACCTCGATCATTGAGACCTGTGCCTCAGCCACTCATTTTGGTTGCCACTCAATTGGTAGAGATGAGAGGGTACCACAAAGAAAGAGGCCTTCAGGTTGTCCTTGCAGTATTAAGATGTGGTCAGTCAGGGAAGAAGGAGAAGGACACTGCAGACAAAGGGACAAACACCCAAGTCAACATTTACAACATGCTTCCATATCAGTTTTCTATGTGGGCAAAATTGTGAAAAGCTTGAACAAGAAATGTAAGTACTTTTTCTCCCGTCAAAATAGCAGCCTAGATACTCTAAAGGGTCCTTCTACTTTCCAACAACAATATAGTGACTGATACCTATGTTTTAATGCACTGTGGGCATCCAGGAAATGAGAAAATACCCATAGCTCTCCATCCTACAACAAAAAATATGGTAAAGGCTATTTCTATAACTCATACCCATTTTCATGCGGAGGACAACTAAAGAAGATAAAGGAGAAAAAAAAATTTTTTTTTTTTGAGATGGGGTCTTGGTGTCACTCTGACTGCAACCTTGACCTCTTGGACTCAAGTGATCCTCCCACCTCAGGCTCCCAAGTAGCTGGGACTACAGGCACCCATCATGATGTATGGCTAATTTTTTAAATTTTTTGTAGAGATGGAGTTTTCCCATGTTGCCCAGGCTGGTCTGAAACTTCTGGGCTCAAGCGATCTGCCCACCTTAACCTCCCAAAGTGCTGCGATTACAGGCATGAGCCACCGCACCTGGCCAAAAAAAATTTATTTTAAGCACCTAGAAATTACCAATGTTACTGGAAAAGGGGTGTCAACCCAGACCACAGGAGCAGGTTCACAGATTGTGTGCAGTAAAGAATTCAGGGCAAGTATCAAAGTATAGTGAAATTAAGATAGTTTATTAGAGGCTACTCTTATTACAGAGTAGGGTGTCCTCAAAAAGCAACAGGAGGAACGCCCCTACCTAAAACTTAATACTTGCTTATATAGGGTATTAGAGCTAAAAATAATGTGCTTTATTATAAAGGCTTGTGATCAGCTTGTGACAGGCTATTAGTATTGTTATTCTCTTCTGCAACTATTGATTTCAGCAAGAATCTATGAGTATATTATTATTTCTAATGTGAAACTCTAAAACTAAGAATGCTTTTTGTTCTTAAAATATTGGGACACTTCCATAACTTCTGAGTCTTACTTAATTAATTAGCACCATTAACTTGTTCCCTTAACCATAAATATCTTGTGACCAAGAGTACCTGACTTCCTGGGAATGTAACCCAGCAGGTTTGGCTTTATGCAGCCGTTATTCAAGGTGGAGTCACTCTGGTTTGGATGCCTCTGACACCAAAGAGCTAATAGGCTCCTAAGAAGTTACCTGGCACGAAGATGGTTATCTAGTGAGGTGGAGCCAGCACTCAGAGTCACTTTTGTCCTAAGGACATTTCTCACCCAAGAAAGATGACTGAGATGCTGACAGGCTGAGCGGAATAAAGAAGGAACAAAAGTGCCAGCCACAAAAGGAAAGATGGGTAAATTGGACTGCATTAAAATTGAGTTTGTTAAAATAAGAAAAAAGTAAAAAGACAAACTATGAAGATATTAGCAACACAAATAATTAGCAAAGAATTATATTTCAGATACATAGGAATTCCAAGAACTCAATAAGGAAAAGACAAACAATCCAATAAAGAAAATCTTTCCTAATTATAAACAGGTATTTCACAGAAGCAGCAGCACAGAGGGTAAATAAACATGGTAAGGTGTCACCAGAGAAACGTAAATAAAAATAATATACTGGCCAGACACAGTGGCTCACACCCCAAACACTTTGGGAGGCTGAGGCTCATGGATCACTTGAGGCCAGGAGTTCAAGACCAGCCCGGACAACATGGCAAAACCCCACTCCTACTAAAAATACAAAAGTTAGCTTGGCATGGTGGCAGGCGGCTGTAGTCCTAGCTACTCAGGAGGCTGAGGTGAGAGGATCACTTGAGTCCGGGAGGTGGAGGTTGCAGTGAGCTGAGATTGTACCACTGCAACACTCTGGGCAACAGAGCAACACTCCATCTCAAAAACAAATATAAAATAAAATAAGATACCATTTTATACCTATACTAGCAAAATAAAGAAATCTGATAATACTAAATGTTGATAAGAATATCAAGCAATGGGAACTTTTATATGCAACTGGTGGGAATTTATAATAAATTGGCTCAGACACTTCAGGAAACAAATGGGTATGATATACTACTTTTGAATGTTTACATACTCTGCAACCCAGAAATCCTACTTTTGGGGAATATACCCCAGAAAAACACTGATGTGTGTGTACCAAGAGACATGAATAAGAGCATTCACAGCAACAGTGGCAGAATACTGAGGAAAATGAAATAGGAGAACTTAACTGATCATAGATGAGGCATATTGTGGTATATTCACACAAATATACAACCGTGGAAGTAAATGAACATGTATGAATTATAATGCAATAATCTAGTGAGTTGTAGAGAATTACAAATTATGATGGAAGTTTTTTAAAGCTCAAAAAAGCTAAATAATAAATTATCTAGAGTACATTTATATATCATAAAATATATGGATTAGTTATACCATTGAATGAAAATAGTTAGTTGCAGAAGACTAGCGTATGACACCATTGACACCATTTTTGTAAAACTGTAAAATAAGCAAGGCTAAATATTTATTGTTTGGCAACACATAGAGATATATAGAGTTTTACATGTAAAATTACCTATAAATGTCAACAGCACATTGACATGGTAAATACGAAGTTCAAAATGGGATATCCCTGGCATGGAATAGAGAGCTGGGATGGCGGAGGGCCACACGGGAAGCTGCAATAGAATTTTTGATGTTTGCTTCATTCTCTAGGTGATGTGTTCACTGGTGTTCATCTTATCATGTTTTTAAATTGACAAGCATGTTACATATACACCACAGAATACTATGCAGCCATAAAAAATGATGAGTTCATGTCCTTTGTAGGGACATGGATGAAGCTGGAAACCATCATTCTCAGCAAACTGTCACAAGGACAAAAAACCAAACACCGCATGTTCTCACTCATAGGTGGGAGTTGAACAATGAGAACACATGGACACAGGAAGGGGAACATCACACACCAGGGCCTGTTGTGGGGTGGCGGGGGAGTGGGGAGGGATAGCATTAGGAAATATACCTAATGTTAAATGACGAGTTAATGGGTGCAGCACACCAACATGGCACATGAATACATATGTAACAAACCTGTACTTTGTGCACATGTACCCTAAAACTTAAAGTATAATAAAAAAAATTGACAAACATGTTGCATTATCTTTTGTAGTATCAAATATTACATAATACAATTTTAATTAAATAAAAAAATTATACATATCATTATTTCTGCCAAGATGGCTATTCTTCCATCTCCTTCTTCCGTGAGTGCTCTTTTTTGCACTGTTGAATTGAATGAGGGTAGACCTGATAGAAGGAGAAAGTATTTTGTTTTTTGTTTTTGTTTTTGTTTTGAGACAGAGTCTTGCTGTGTCACCCAGGCTGGAGTGCAGTGGGGCAATCTTGGCTCTCTGCAACCTCTGCTTCCCAGGGTCAAGCGATTCTCCTGCCTCAGCCACCTGGGTAACTGGGATTACAGGTGCACACCACCAGGCCTGGCTAATTTTTGTATTCTTAGTAGAGACGGGGTTTTACCATGTTGGCCAGGCTGTTCTCAAACTCCTGACCTCAGGTGATCCACCCACCTCGGCCTTCCAAAGTGCTGGGATTATAGGCGTGAGCCACGGCGCCCAGCTGAGAAAGTGTTTTGTAAGATAAAATATGTGGCCGGGCGGGGTGGCTCAAGCCTGTAATCTCAGCACTTTGGGAGGCCAAGGCAGGTGGATCACGAGGTCAAGAGTTCGTGACCAGCCTGACCAACATGGTGAAACTTTGTCTCTGCTAAGAATACAAAAATTAGCTGGGCATGGTGGCGCATGCTTGTAATCCCAGCTACGCAGGAGGTTGAGGCAGGAGAATCGCTTGAACCCAGGAGCGGGAGGTTGCAGTGAGCTGAGATTTTCCCACTGCACTCCAGCCTGGATGACAGAGCAAGATTCTGTCTGGGGGAAAAAAAAAAAAAAGAAAGAAATATGCAAGTGCTGTCTGAACTCAGCTCAGAACTAATGCTCTTCCCAGACAGGATCTTGCAAAAGTATTATAAAATGACAGAGTCAATTCTCCGTTACTCTCCATTACTCGCATTTCAATTTGGTGGCTCACTTTTCAGTGTGAATCCTGTCTTTAATACACACTGTTCAAGAGTGGATGCCAACTTCAAGTGGTTCCTGGCTGTCAAGGGCCTTCCCATTCCACTCCATAAAATGGAAGGGCCCACTGACATATTTTAATGGAAGGGTATAAAAACCTTCTTTGTTTTAACATACATTAAACACTTGTTACCAAACATGTTGGAGGAATACAAAGTGACAGTCTGTGATACATTTAAGTAATTGTAATTCAGATTGGTTTCTCCCTATTACCACTTTCAGGGCAAGTGAGGCAAAAATCTAACTACCCTCACCATCCCGACTCCTATCCCAGCACTCCTGCGTAAACATTTACATCATTTCTAATTCTCACACCGAAGTCCTTCCTATCACCTACATCTTGCTACTGCGAGGGACATAAGGAGGTTAGGGAGGTGAGTGGGTGGAGGTATGGGCAGGGACAGGGGTAGGGGTTTGAGCTGACATAGTACATACAACAGGAATTAAAGGAATCAGAATCACATTGCAGGTTGTGAAGTAGATAGAGTCTGTGTATTGAAGTTACACAGCTCTAAGTCTAAATCCTCAGCTCTGAAACTTTTTAGTTGGGTGACAGTTGACAAGTTACTAAACTTCTCAGAGCCTCAGCTTTCTTACCTATATAAGTGGTTAATAATATGTACATCCTAGGGCTGTAGTGAGAATTCAATTACATGTATAAGTTGTAAATACTCAGTATACACTCAAATATAGTGCTGTATTTGTATTGGGTGAATATGTGGAAATTAGGGAGTTCTATGCTTTTGATAGAGACAGGCCAATTTACTTGCTCATCCTTGAATGCAGGTTTCTTGACATTCCTTTTCACTGTTGAATCTATTTCCTGAGCCATTACAGCCACTGAACCAAAATCGGGCACAAGAGTTGACCTGTTTGTCATAATACCATCGAACCACATATTCACCACAGTTTCCAGGCTTCAAGGCTTCCAAACATCTAGGATCTAGAGTGAGAAAAGGAAAATGTGTCACGGATTTTTCTTATACTGAAGACATGAAAAATAAAAACTGTATAAAGTTATATAAATAAACTTTATTCTTCATGCACACTAACAAACCAAGAAAATATGGTTCTAAGTAAGTGAAAGAAGGATTCCCTAAAACCCAAAATATTTCCCTCACCACCTGAAACTCTGCTACTAGATATTAATTCTTTTGAAAACATGAAAGTTTTTGATCCTCATGAAACCACATTAAAAATGTTTATTTCCCTGAAAGCCTAAGTGAGACTTCATTGGCTAATACTTTTGTGGGGATTAGAAAGACAGGACTTCTTTCATTTACACTGGATTTGATTTACAATCAAATTAATATTTGGAATAAAAAATATTTCCACTTTCTGTACACATTTCCTCCCATTCTGTTCACAGAAGGCACCACTATGATCACATGCAATTGCCCACTATCAAAGGAAAACTCTTTAAGTTACAAAAAAAAAAAAAGTAAAATGAAGGACTGTCTTTATATTACAATTATAGTTTTAAAAGAGCAGCTCTTGCAGGACACTAAAAACGTGATACAACTTTCTAACGTCATATTGTCTTATCGTAGAAATACACCTACTATAAGAAAGCATAGGACAGCTGTAACAATAAAGCCACATTGTCCTAATAAGGTTCCTTTAATTATGGAACTCCTCATTTGCTAAATCCCTTTTTATTGTTTGGTACTCTGGAGTGCCTTGATTAGTATTTCCTACTTCAGGAAGTGATGCCAAGGTGGGAGAAGCCAAAAAACACACAAAAAATCCCCAAATAGATAATTGCTATCTGGGACTTATATGTGATAAACTTTATTTTGCAATAGCTAAACCAGCACTTTCTCTTCCTTAAACATTTTCCCAGATTTGGGGTATGGCTCGGTTCATTTATTTTCTCAAACTTACCTCTAAATCTACCTCTACTATGAAGACTCCCTAGACCAAATGGAAATGAGCCATAGATTTCTACTACCTCTGCCCTTAAAAACAAAACCAAATAATATATATTGTGTAATTCATTTTAAAGATAATCTAAACTTTTGAGCACAAAAATTGTCTCTCATGTTCTGCAGAAAATATGTACATAATAATACATTTTCTATAGATATTAACTCCATAGAAAATATGTTAATGAATCAGAATCTAGATTTTCGCTTGTTTCTCTTTCCTGTGCAATAAAAGGATCACAAATTCAAATGCCTACATGTGTGAAGGGCACATGTAAGACAATAGGGAGCAGTACGGACTACGGTAAACAGGAGAATGCAATCCCCTCTAAAGGCATTCAAATTAAAATAATAAATAAGAACTTTGAAATTCTTCATAGACCAAATTTACTCCACAGTTTTCAAATTCTACATATAGTCCAGTGAAAACTATATTTTGTCCTGCTTGTTTAGAATCATAACATTTTCTCTCTGGGTAACCCTGTGCCTTCCTCACATTGTAGATACAGTAGCAGATTGGCAGATCTCTCTTTCCTTTGTGCACCAAATCTGTGCACAAGACTGTAGAATCAAAATGGGACTTGGAGTTCTGGTTTACCTACCCTCTGCCCCATCCACAGGGGTGCTGAGCAGTGGCCTGGGGGTGGTGGTGGCCTCAGATGAGGTAGTGGCAGGCAGATCATCAGCCCACGTTGGCTCTGGAGCCTTATCATCTTCATCCTGGTCTCTGGTGACACTCAACTACACAAAAATATTCACATTTTGTGTTTCTGATAATATCAAGTAAAAAAAATACTAGTTTGCTTTTGGGAACATATAAAGACTAGTTCAGCCATGCTGTGTTTCCCTAGCTCTCTGATACTAACTATTTCAAATAAAACTCAGGAAATAATGCCCCTCCTCTGTGTCATGCATCCCTCAATACCCAAGTTGTGGATTTTCCCACCACTTGGTGTGGGTGTATTTCTGTGTACACACACATATACACACATACACACACACACGCAGCCCACCTCCAGGCACAGATTTTTGGGTGCTGGGACATCCAAAGCAGATGTGAAAGATGCAAAGTTGAGAGGAGTTTATTTTCATTCTTAGCCACTGCTATGAGAAAATAACCACTCATTTCTTTAACATTTTTATGGCCTTTCTCCATTTCCTAACACTAGACGTCTTAACAATATATTCCAAAATATTTACCATGAACTCAGTCAATTTTGAGATTGGGAATTAGGGTAGCAGAAGACAATAATACAGCTGAAATAAAAACAATAGTGGCCACTTTTTGATTGCTTACCCAAATCTCAGCTGCAGACACCTTTGCCTGCTCTATTATCAGACCCCAGCTAATACCAAATGCTGTAGGATGCTTAACATATAAGATGCTCTAAGAAATGTTTGATATCTAAAGAACAAAGGATTTTTGTTTCAAAAGCAAATTTTCTGGACTAAAATTTCCAAGTTTCATCCAAATTTATGATATATAACGAAACAAGAAAGGCATTTTACTTTTTTTTTAAAAATAGTGCCTTTATAGTAGAATGATTTATAATCCTTGGGTATAGACCCAGTAATGGGACTGCTGGGTCAAATGGTATTTCTGGTTCTAGATCCTTGAGGAATTGCCACACTGTCTTCCACAATGGTTGAACTAATTTACACTCCCACCAACTGTTTAAAAGTGTTCCTATTTCTCCACATCCTCTCCAGCATCTATTGTTTCCTGACTTTTTAATGATCGCCATTCTAACTGGCATGAAATGGTATCTCATTGTGGTTTTGATCTACATTTCTCTAATGACCAGTGATGATAAGCGTTTTTTCATGTTTGTTGGCTGCATAAATGTCTTCTTTTGAGAAGTATCTGTTCATATCCTTCGCCCATTTTTTGATAGAGTTTTTTCTTGTAAATTTGTTTAAGTTCTAGTATAAAGACACACGCACACATATGTTTATTGCAGCACTACTCACAATAGCAAAGACTTGAACCAACCCAAATGCTCATCAATGATAGACTGGATAAAGAAAATGTGGCACATATACACCATGGAATACTATGCAGCCATAAAAACATGAGTTCATGTCCTTTGCAGGGACATGGGTGAAGCTAGAAACCATCATTCTTAGCAAACTAACACAGGAACAGAAAACCAAACACCACATGTTCTCATTCGTAAGTGGGAGTTGAACAATGAAAACACATGGACACAGGGAGGGGAACATCACACAATGGGGCCTGTCTGTGGGTGGGGGCCTAGGGCAAGGAAAGCATTAGGAGAAATACCTAAAGTAGATTACAGGTTGATGGGTGCAGCAAACCACCATGGCACGTGTATACCTATGTAACAAACCTGCACATTCTGCACATGTATCCCAGAACTTAAAGTATAATAATAAAAAATCATGTCAGTCATTCTTGACAATTACCAGGAGCTAGACAAATCTTTTATGGGAATAATTATATTCTTTTGCAAATTTTTCCTTGGATTCCAGCTGTATGCAATTGAATCAGTCATTCACCTGAGTCCTGACACTTGGTTATTTATCCTTGCAAGAGTTTCTCTTATTTGTTTGTTTGCATTTTTATTTATTTAAATAGTCAAATCTGTGACTGAGATAGTTTTTTATGCTTTTTTACCCAGGGATCCTGGTATGCTGTCATCATTAACTGCCGTCTGCCAGCTAAGCTGTTCTATTGCTTTTGATTTTTTTTGTGTGTGCATGCATACATACACACACAAGAGGGAAAAAGTAATTAGTACTATTACTCATGTATGCGTATTTTTTACAGTGATTAAATTACTATCAGGTGACTTAGAGCAAAGATTTTTCCATTTGGATTGGTCATTAGCCCTATATAAAGGGCACACAATTCAAATACAATAGGAAATTTTCACTGTCCCCTAAACACAACTTTTGGTACAAGTGGAGACAAAACTGTGGATTACTTGAGGTTCCTCTTTCTTTCAGAATGATCCTGTATGCAGATACAGCAATTTGAATGTGAACTTTTAAAAATAATCATTATACTAGAGAATTTAAAGCTAGAGGAAAACTTTCTTGGTCCCTTATTTTCTTTTTTATTTTTTATAGAGATAGGGTCTCGCTGTGTTGCCCAGGCTGGTCTCAAACTCCTGGCTTCAAGTGATCCTCCACATTGGCCTCCTGAGCTCAGCACCGAGTCCCTTATTTTCTACTGGGGGGAATACAAAGCTATAAATGATTAAGAAACTTTCCAAAAGTTATTGGTAAGCTAGTGACAAACCTTCAGGAAAAAAAGTACTGGTTTTTTTTGCCTGCATGTATTTGGTTTTAAGCAACAAATAAAAGTTTGAGGAGTAAGTTTATCAAACATAAAAGCCAACTGACATTAGTCTACACTTCAGATATACGGTCTAGAAGGTGAGACTGTTCCATTGAAGAGGCGGGCTAAGCAGCACAGTTTTCTTCAAAGAATTAACTCAGCCTTTAAATCTTTACCTTGTTCAAGTCCTGAGTCCTCAAAAGTTATATTTTACCTCTTCTAAGCTTAGGAATGTGTGTTTCCATTCTCAATCACATAATCATTTGGAAATTTTGATATCTGTTAACATTACTCCACAGATTCCAAGACAAGCAAAATTAACTTTAATAAATGAAAATAATTTCATCAATTTTCTGGCTCAGTGAGATGTCAGATTATTTCAACAAATGCATAATTATTACGGCTTGCTATTTTTATAATTTCCTTACCACAAAAGCAAGCATGTTAACTGAAAGGAATTTTAGAAAATGTGGATATCAAAAAAAAGAAAACAGAAATCAGAAGTAATTCTACCTCCTAAAGATAGTCATTGTTGGCATTCAGGTATATTTTTCCCTAGTCTTTTTTCTAGGTGCATATCCATTTTTTTGTTGTTGTTGTTGTTACAAAAAAATACTGTATGTTCAGTTTTCTATGCTCTATGCTATTTTAAAAAATATACTATATTATGATCATTCTATATATTTCACCATGACTCTATAACATTTATTATTATTATTTTGAAGACAGAGTCTCGCTCTGTTGCCCAGCACGATCTCGGCTCACTGCAACCTCCACCTCCCAGATTCAAGCAGTTCTCATGCCTCAGCCTCCCAAGTAGCTGATATTACAGAGGTGAGCCACCACGCCCAGCCTCCTCCACATTTTTATAACCTTGTCTTCCACTACTCCCAGAATATCTGGTCAGGACCTTTCATTCCTTCTTCCTCTCTATTCTGCCTCAGGCTCTCAATATCAACCCTTCCACCACAGCCTAGGAAAAGTTGGTCTCCATCCGCAAAACCTTCTCCAATAACCCAGTCAGTACTGATTCTCCCCTTCTAGATGATGCACAGTACCTTCTGACTCTTCTATACTCAGTGCTGATTGTGTAGAATTTAACCTTTAGTCCTATCCTATTGAAGAGTAACAGAATATGCCTCCCAAAATATGCCACTTTGGCACATTGATTATTTTGAACTGAAGGCAATTGAGAATCAGATATAAGCTCATTTGTCTAAATGCAGGACATACATTCGTAAAGGAATCCCTCCTCAGAAAATCAGGGTAATGACTCGAGAGGAGTCTAGACCCTTACTTAGCCCAGAGATACACCAGAGGACTCTACATAAAAAACTATTCACTAATCCTTATCTTCCATTAATTCACCCATATGTTTACCTTCCCACCATCTGCTGCTGTAGAAAGTCCTTTCCCATTGTCGTCACTCCTCTAAGCTCTATTGTTCTTTCGTTAAGATGCTATATAAGACCAAGTTCTAACCACCCCTTTGAGCTACTCATCTCCATGCTCCTATGTGTATATGCTACATGTTAATAACTTCTGTGTGCTTTTCTATTGTTAATCTGTCTTTTGTCAGTCTAATTTACAAGGCCTTACCTAGCTAATAACCCTAAGATGGGTAGAGGAAAAAAAAATTTCCTCCCCTCCACTATCTTGTATAATTTCTTGTTTCCTATATATAAATACCACTTCCCTGATAAAAGAAATTATCTTTTTTCTTTCTTTTCTTCTTTCTCTACCTCTTTTTTTCCATAGCATAGAATAGGCAAAAAGTATCCATTAAATAAATTCACAATGGGTTAATCTTTCTGTTACACTCGTCTTCAGGTTGAACTTAATAAGGATATGCAAAGAGCGAAAGAGAAAGAGATAAATTTGCATTATTTAATTCCTCTAGACTTTAACGTCATCATTTTTCAAATAAAAAAAATTAGGCCCTAACATGACTTCCAACTCTAAAAGTTGGATTTAACCAACACAAACGACTGGCAGAATACACACCCAATTCACGATAGTGATTGCCTCTGGAGAGAGGAGGAAAAAGAGCTCTGGAGGGAAAAAGCTAGGACTTTATCTGAAGCAAGAGTGAATGAACAAATGGAAACATTGGTTACTTCTGGGTGGTGAGTACGCAGTCAAATGTTTGTTTCTATTCTTGTTAATAAATCTTAAATCTGAAAACACAAGCTTGCCTGTCAACTCTGCACATTTCTACTCCAGCCACACTGGCCTGCCTTGGAAAAGAAGGCTAGCTCCAGCTCTAAGCAGGGACACCATAGTAAAAGGCACAAATGAGTTGTCTAGGGACACCTGAGAGCCGACACCTGGAGTCCAGGGCTGCTCCGTGTAGCTGGACAAGCAGACGTGTTATCACCATTCTCTTTCAGCCTTTGAGCTGATCTTTAAGGGGAGGAAAACAGACTCAGTGCAGTATCCCAAGAACATGTATGCATGAGCTAAGAAGGATTGCTGACCAGGTGCCACATCCAAAAGGTCTTTTGCTTTCTGATTTCCAAACATTTTCCTTGAATTTATTACCCAGAATTTTGCATATATTACAAAGTCTTCAAATCTGAACACATGTCTGCTCTGGATGAATGCTAATGATCATCTGCATTAGTGTTTGTGTTAAGACTTAGCATATTCCCAGGAGTGTGGGTCAAAATTTCTCCAATTTGGCTCTGGGGATTCTACTGCCACTGGGCTCCACAGCCAGCATCTTCAAATTGTCTGGCTTCTCAGGAGTCCTTCTTGATTGATTCTCCCCAAGAATCAAACACACTTCTTTGTCAGGTCTCTCTGCACTCAAATACTTAAACTGAAGGTTACTTATTTGCATTTTAAAGTTACTGGGGCCTTTAGGAACACCTTGAGTTTGGGCTGCACCTCTCTGGATTCACTGTGGCTTTCAAAAAGGGTGTAATGCAGGATTTTGTTCTGTTTAAACCTCTCATACATTAGTGCAGTAAAATAGCCTGCATTCTGGCTTTACCCAGTAAACATTTTTGACAGCTGTAATCATATACTTTTAGAACAGGAAGAACATTCTAGTAACATTCTTTAATTTTACAGATGAGAAAACTGAGACCTCAGGAAAATAGGTGATTCCCCTAACATCAGGCAGCTATGAGATTTCATTTCTAAGATGTCATTCATCATGAGATATACCATAAATTTTAAAATAGTTTTGAAAAAAGACCACACACATTAAATAGATGCATCCCAATTTCAGAAATAATAAAATCGAAAAACTACAGACTTTGGAGTCAAGAGAATAGTCCTTAGCTTCAGCAATGAGACCACAAGCCAGGTTTCCTGACTTCCAGGTCTAGAATATTTCTTCTAGATCAGTTAGGAATATGTTTATTATTTTTGTTTTTTTCCTCTTCCATAACACAGGTGCATGTTATATTCTGAGGGTAACAAGTCTATTAGAAGCAATAAATAATACTTGTACAGCAACCTTTTGTAGTGATACTAATAATTAGTTGTTACGCAGGGTTTTATGAAGAATTTGAATGTTTTTCACGATCACGGTGAGAGAATGCTAATTTTATTTTTCGCTAAGAACATATTTTGGTAGAAAGAAGAAGAGGAAGGAAGGACAGAGTTAGGTGTCTTAAGGGAGTGACAGAAGGGACAACAGTGAAAAGGAAGAGACAACAAAAGGGAAATGGTACTTCTGAGATCATTGTTTACTAGCTTTGCAGTATTGCCTAGGGTAGGCTCAGGAAGGATCTGAGAATAGGAAGGTTGTAACAGATTCATTTTATTTTAAATGTTTGGATACTGTAATTATACTTATTAAAGGTGGGTGTGCATGCACAGAGGCATAAATATGTTCTTGTATGTGTGTATGTATATACTATGTGTGTGTGTGTGCGCGCGTGCATGTCTGTGCAGTCAAGTGCTGCATAATGACATTTTGGTCAACCACACACATACATGACAGTGGTCCCATCCGATTATAATACTGTATTTTTACCCTTTTCTATGGTTAGATATGCTTATATATATAGATACTTACCACTGTGTTACAGTTCCCTACAGTAGTACAGTGATATGCTGTGCAGGTTTGTAGCCTAGAAGCAATAGGCTAAACTATCTAGCCCAGGTGTGTAGTAGGCTATACTATCTAGATTTGTGTGAGTACACTCTATGATGTTCACACAAAAACAAAATTGGCTAGCGAAACATTTCTCAGAAAGTGTCCCTGTCATTAAACGATGCATGACTGCATGTCAAAGATTTAAATGTGAATAGAAATGCACGTTTGTTCAAACTAAATATCAATAAGGAAATAATTGTTTAAAAATTCAGTTTTGCATTGGTGCTTCTTTAAAAAGAGCCAGAATGAGAAAGCCTAGAGACAAGAGGCACTATCCGAGAAGGTCAAGTTCATTGCAAGGTCCCACTATCTGGGTCAAAGTTCCCCTAGAGAGACCTAGCTGATGTTCAGTTTCCCTTCATGTGGCTCTTGGTGTTATAAATCCAGAGTATTTTGGTTGTATTTTTCTTACGTCCTCCCCTCCCCAGCTACTAGAAAGCTTCATATGTCCTAGTCTGTTAATGTCATTTGTCTCTCAAGGCCATCAGGCTTCCTGGGATGTGATACAGAGGGATCTGTTCTTACTTTTCCTCATTACGTGTCATAACTGCCTTGGATGTCCCTCAGGCACCTCCACTTTACATGGTGCAAACTAAACTCACTATTTTCCTTTAAAAAAAAAAAAAACCACCCTGCCTTTTATATTCTCCATCTCAGTATATAGTGTTTCAATCCATCTCATCTCCATGCTAGAAACCTGACAGTCCTACCCAAACCCCTCCCTCTCCCTCACCTCCAATCCTTTCAATCACTATATCCTGTTAATTCTACCCTAGAAATGGCTTTTCAATCTGTGCCTCCTTTTTATTCCCAGTGCCCCTGCCTTCTTTCAGGGCCTCATTATCATTTTCCTGGACTATCACGCCTCATATCTCAGCCTCCAGTCTCCTCACCTCCTCCTCCTAGGTATGTTTCACACAGCAATCAGGGTTATTCTTTCTGTGAACCAAATATGACTATATGATTCTTGCTTTTAAAACTCCTCTGCTGTCTCTGCCTGCCTGGCCTATAGATGAAGTTCAAGCTCCTTGCCTTAATACATTAAGACATTTATAATTAGTCCTTAAATTACCTGTCCAGCTTTAGCTCTCATCACTCTGCCACCCACACCCTAGGCTACAATTAGACTGAATTTGTTCAACTTTCTTGAAATGCCATGGCACTTTAAAGACTCCCTTTGCCTACTGTTTTTTTTGTTTTTTGCTAGGAATACCCTTCCCCCTGCTCTTCTCTTGAAAAACTCCTAGTTATTCTTAAAACTTGACTCAATGTCACCTCCTCTGTGATGCCTTATGTAATGAACTAAATGTTTATGTCCCTCCAAAAATCATACATTGAAACCTGAATCCCCAGTGTGATGGTATTTGAAGGTGGGGACTTTGGGAGGTGATTAGGTCATGAGGGTGGAGCCTTTATGAATGGGATCAATACCCTTATAAGAAGTGATGTGAGAGATGAGCTGTCTCTCAGCCATGTGAAGACATAACGAGAAGGTGGCTGTTCACAAGCCAGAAAGCAAGCCCTCACCAAACACCAGATTTTAGACTTCCCAACCTCCAGAACTGTGAAAAATAAATATTTGTTGTTTAAGCCACTCAGTCTATGGTATTTTTGTTATGGCAGCCCCAACAGACTAAGACACTTTCCCATTACTCTTCCCTGAAATTAATTGCATCATCTCTGTGCTTCCTTCATAGCTCTGGCTAAAATTCATAATGCATCTTGTACTTACCTATCTCCCTGAAAAAATGTGAGCTTCTCTCAGGCAGGAGCCATGTCTTAAGAGCCACACCATCTATCACAGCAGTTAATAATCAATACATGCTATTGGAATTCATTGGTATTAATATAGCAAAAAATGTGATTCAGTGATTATAAGGAGGGCTCAGTTTAAGCATCAATTCCTGGATGAAACCTGAGCTTGCTCTTGTTTAGGAAGGCTTTAGAAAGGGATGTTGATTGACTAGGAGAGGGACAAAGTGGTAAGTCACACAAACAGGAGAGGCCCCAGTAGCGGTCCATGCTCAGGAGGAGATAGACTGTGTCCATTATTGTCTGGAATTTACTTTAAAATGCACAATATAGATCAGGGTTGGCAAACCACTGTGGGCCAAATCTGAGTCACTATCTGTTCTTGTGAGTAAGTTTCATCAGAACTTATTCATACTCATTCATTTAAGTATTATCTATGGCTATGTTTCTACTTCAAACGCAGAGCTGAGTAATTGGAACAGAAATCAAATTACCTGAAAATCCAAAACTATTCAGTATATGGCCCTTTACAGGGTTTGCTGACACCTGGTATAGACCATGGAGTATAAATGTTTGTGTTAATTTCAATCTGCAATTTAGTAGAATCTATTGCCCTGACTGGAATTACCCATTTTGCAGTTGGTTACTATTTAATCAAATAGAAATATGTTAGAGGCCTTTCTGCACTTTTGTGAACAGGATACGAGAATCTAGTGAGTTCTATAGCCTGTGCCCTTAGGAATGGTATCCTAGGCCTGATTCCTGAATGGCCCTGAGTCCAACTACTGATCCGAATGTTCCTTAGGGCCTTAGTCTAAGTAGACTGTTAGCTGAATCCTGATGTTAGAACACTGTTGCACATGCTCATGATCACTCTTTCATGTACATGAAGGCTTCAGAAAAGGGCAATGCAAGGACTTTACTGAGCTTACAGAACAGGGGCATGACTGTTATGTGCCTGCTTGCCAGAGGATGTCCATGGGGTTAATAGAAATGGGTCTAGACTTGCCCAAGTTGCAACTTGGTGGAGAAGAGACTATAGCACTCATCGGTAACTAAAAAAGGCTCCCCCATTTTCTCCTTAAAAAAACTAATATTTGCCCATAATCTGATTGGCTGAAGTCAGTTCCCAGAAGCTTGCTATGAGGACAGTCACATTTGTTTCAATTGATTCAGGAGGTGGTTCTTCACATACTATGTGATTGAGGAGCTCTGAAACAGAGCATCTACTTTGCACCATATGCATATATAGCCTCCCTCACAGTCCTCACTCAGAGCACAGGAGGTGGAAGCCAAATGAGCAAACACATGGCTTGGAGTGTGGGAGAGTGGCCAGTTGGGCATATGCGTATTTAGAAAAGACATGAGAGGGTACAAAGTGGGAAGCAGATGCACAGACGAAGAGGGAGAGTTGTGGCCTGGTATGAAAGGCACTGCACAGCATGGCAACTAGGTGAATTCAGAGTGTTGTGTTAATCTGTTTCAGCATACATGGTTACTTTGATGGTAATAGGAGTATAATATAAAAATATTATCAGCAACATTTAATAAATACTTATAAAATATGCAAGTTTTTAAAAATATCCTACAAAACCTAATGCTATTTCAGAACTGGAAATCTAGAGTCAAGATACTAACATTTAGAGCCAAGGACCTAAAAATACACGTGCCTCAGCTGATTCTTGACAATGCAGGGCAGAATGATCTTTGATATGAAACAGAGAGAATACACCATTTTAAGCTCACAAAGTAAGTGAGACAGTTACTTACTGACTCAGAAATTTCTTTTTGAGGCTCTGGAGTAGATTCACTGAGTTCTTCCCCTGACATCCCAAATCCAGGTTGAGGTGACGATGAACCAAAAATTTGAACGAGATAGGAATCAAAATCCTCACAAATTTTTTGAAACAATTTTTGCTTCAGGGTGTCTTTTAAAAAAGAAGTAGAAAAGAGAGATAGTAGAAGCAATGAAACAATACTTAAAACTCATTTAAAAAGATCTGCACTCTCCTTAAAATATGTAATTTCCCATTACTTGAAATCAACTGCTAAGTTAACGAACTTATAAAAGCATTTTTACATCCTGTGTAAGAGGTCATCTAAAATAATATATATGACACAAAGAGGCAAAAGAATGACTTGAATGTATGTTCATCCAAAGTGTCTCTGTTCAACGTGAATCACTCCTTGTCAAGAGCTAGCCTCACCCATAATAAGTTGAATTGGCAGCTACCTCTGGTTTTAAGGAGAGCAAATGGCCAGCCAGTTGCAAATATTCTTTACAGGCTGTAACAAATTACTAACTCCAGATATAATGATAAAGCTCTTCAAGGATTAAAATATAAGTTGGCTCTGAAATGTCTTTGGCTATTCTGACACATTCACAGCTGGGTGAGATTGAATATATCAGATAAACAAACCCACCAGTCAGCCAGCAGGGTACTGATGAAGTAGAACCCTAGGTTAGAAAGCTCTGGAGAAGGTGAGAAATAGCAAAAAAGTTTCTGAGAATGGTATGCTTTCCTTAGGGCCAGTGTGCTGGTACACGGCATAGGCAGGGCATGAGGCACTGATGGGCTGTGCCCAGCCACATCAGACTCCACTCCCAGGTGGGTGAAGGAGGAAGGATGAAGCCAAACTGAAGCCTTTCACTTACTTCACAAACTTGCCAGGTACAGGCCTGCCAGAATGAATAATCGGTTTCCAAAGAATTGGGATAAATTTTATTATAAAGTCATACTGACCATAATTTAATCATAGCTTAAATTAGATCAATGTCCTAGGATGGCTCATTAGTAAATATCAGTTAATGTGAAAGGATAAACTTAGCATAGAGAAGCCCATCAGATTAGCACTGGCTGTACAATAAATTCTATTTATTTTTTATTTATTTTTTGAGACAGAGTCTCGCTCTGTCGCCCAGGCTGGAGTGCAGTGGTACAATCTCGGCTCACTGTAACCTCCGCCTCCCAGGTTCCAGCAATTCTTCCGCCTCAGCTTCCCGGGTAGCTGGGACTACAGGCACACGCCACCATGCCCAGCTAATTTTTGTATTTTTAGTAGAGACGAGGTTTCACCATGCTGGCCAGGCTGGTCTCTAACTCCTGACCTCGTGATCCACTGTGCCTGGCATTGTACAATGAATTTTAAAAGGTTGTTCTTTGGCTGGGCACGGTGGCTCATGCCTGTAATCCCAGCACTTTGGGAGGCCGAGGCGGGTGGATCATGAGGTCAGGAGATCGAAACCATCCTGGCTAACACAGTGAAACCCTATCTATACTAAAAATACAAAAAATTAGCCGGGCATGGTGGCGCGTGCCTGTAGTCCCAGCTACTTGGGAGGCTGAGGCAGGAGAATCACTTGAACCCGGGAAGCAGAGGTTGCAGTGAGCTGAGATCACACCACAGCACTCCAGCATGGTGACAGAGTGAGACTCCGTCTCAAAATAAATAAATAAATAAATAAATAAATAAATAAATAAATAAATGGTTGTTCTTTTGAGATAAATTCCCGATATCAACCTGTTTATTCATCATTATCTGCTTTCATAAAAACAGAGAATAGAACATCCCCTCTAATTAATCCCAGTTACTTGCATTTCTCATCTCTTTAGATGACCATAACTTTTTTTTCATTCAGCAGGTACTTCTTAATTCATTTTGATTTCCTGACTGTTTTCTGCCTTGCTGTTGGCTTGCTCGATCCCTTATTTTAGTTAGGTAACTTTCTGAACATTAACCAATGTTAGCAATACTCCCAAGTCCTATTCTTTCTCTCCATTCCTGTCTGTTGACCATGGACTCTAGTTAACTCCAAGGCCAACTCAGCATTTATTAACCCTTAATAAAGACAAGGGATTGTACCCTCCAAACTGAATGATATTAAACATTTTTAATCTTCTGGAGTTTACGTGTTACCATTTAATGTTGGCATAAGCCTTATTAGCCTCCAGATTTTTCTATTTGGTCAGGACAAACCAGTGATATGGTACTTAGAGGAACAACATAAATGCCTTTCCCCTGGGCCAGATAGCCTTCCTTACCTTGCAGGGTAAAGAAATCATCAAACTGGTAAACATGCTCTGGGTCAGTAGCAATTAGATTCATTTCTTTGTGGAATATTTCAAAGTTGGGATCATTTTTCTTCACCACCCCTATCACAAATATCTCCACATTGGTGTCACTGGCATTCTTCACCACCTCTGTCAGTTTCTCTTTATCACGAGAATCTGTCTGTCCATCAGTGATGACCAAGGCCACTTTTTTTACACCTGGCCTTGCATCTTCAAACATGTCGTTGGCTGCTTGCAGAGCAGTGGCTGTGTATGTGCCTTCCCCCAGATACTGCATGTTGTCCACAGCCAACTTGAAGTCATCCTTGCTGGAGAACTGCTTCAAATTAGCCACCTTCTCCACCTTATGGCTATAGTTGATTATGCCTATGCGGGCCGTGGCAAGGTCCAGAGCAACCCGGTCAGCCATAGTCTTCACAAAATTTTTAATGATCTGAAAGTTCTCTGGCCCCACGCTTTCTGAGCTGTCGATCACAAACACCAGCTCTAGTGGAGTCTCTTTGCATTTGGGCCCACAACCTAAAAGATGAATGTTGAGAGAGAAAAATTGTGGGAATGATTGACATCAGATTGTTGAGGGGAGGGGAGAAAAAGTCAATGATGAACCTGAGACCTAAACTATTCTCTTCCTTTTCTGTGATTGTGAAAATACCTGACAGCTGTCTCCATTCTGGTTTCTTTTTTTTTTTGTGAGACAGAGTCTCGCTGTCGCCCAGGTTGGAGTGCAGTGGCGCGATCTCGGCTCACTGCAGGCTCCGTCCCCTGGGATTCACGCCATTCTCCAGCCTCAGCCTCCCGAGTAGCTGGGACTACAGGCGCCCGCCACCTCGCCTGGCTAATTTTTTGTATTTTTAGTAGAGACAGGGTTTCACCGTGTTAGCCAAGATGGTCTCGATCTCCTGACCTCGTGATATGCCCGCCTCGGCCTCCCAAAGTGCTGGGATTACAGGCGTGAGCCACCGCGCCCGGCCCCTTCTGGTTTCTATACTTGACTCTTAAAAAAAAAAAAAAATATATATATATATATATATATACTTGGAAAAACACCGTAGTTGATAAAATAATAAATACTTATGTGCTCGTTTCTTGGATTATAAAATAAAATATTTTTAAAAGAGTTAGGATGCCCTGTGGATGCCGTCCCAATAACATTCCTCTTCCTCTCCCAGAGAGGTAACCACCATCTGACATTTGCTCTTTATCATCCCACCATTGTATTTAATCTGAATCTGAAAGCTGATATTTCAGTCTTCAACCATAGCCTTATGTGAAAATTGAAATTTGCTCACCAGGCTGGCCAATGGATGAAGTAATGGGATGAAAAATTGTCATTGTGGTAGAAGGATTGGGACCTTAAATGTACACAGGAACAGCTATCCCTAACTACTCTAGTTGATGTCTCCAGTCACCCACAATGACAACTATGGCAGCTTTCACGTTATCAAGGAGGCCAGCAGTACATCCATGCTATGAAAGCTTTTGAGGGGAGTAATCCCCGAGAACACTAGTCAATTTAAAAAAACCTTCCATTTAGGTTGATAAACAACCACTTAAAGCAGTTGCCAGAGTCATCAGGAAATATAAATTATCAGGATTCTGTTTCTTTATTCATATCTTCCTGTTGTTCAACAAGCCTGCCACAGAAAACCATCAGGAAATCATGTGCTATTTTTATAGGGCTTCTAGAACCCAGAAGCCATGTCTAGATTGGTCTCTCACTAGAGAGACTCCCAGGCTGCTTCTTAGGCCCAGCAGTCTTTTAGGGAATAAGCTGGTTCTGGGATTCTCTGTATAGAAGGACAATATGCCTGCCTCTGACCACTTTAAACCCAGAAGATTCTCCCATCATTATTCCATTAGTCTCTTGTCTTTTGGCTAATTTCTTTACTTCCTCTTTCTGGTAATTCTAAGTCTACCATTCAGTCATGGAAGCATTTAGTAGTTGTGAAGCAAGGTGAATACCTGACTCTGTCCTCCCACCTTTGGGACTGAGTACAACTCAAAACTCTACTCAGAAAGAATTCATGGCTTCGGGAAAAACACAGACATTCTAATCACCAGCTAGGCTGGACTCAAATACCAGTTTGGCTCTTGTAGTCATATTTCCTTTGTTGAGTTTTTCGTCTCAGCTCAGGTAAATGTCACTGAATACAAACGAGCACTGTGCTAACAAAAGGCCCGGCTGCCTACATACCCTAGGCTGGCACCTTCACATGCCTTAACCAGCCTGGGAAGATGATTTTATTTCCTTACATCAGGATTCCCACAGTCTCTCTTACTGCTTCCTTTCAGTTTCCATCGACTTTTCAAATGAGCTTCACATTTTCCCGCTAGCTATATAATATACATCTGGACGAACACATTCTGTCACCAGCACAGTACATAGTGGGGCTGATGCTTTAAAGTGATGTTTTTTCCTTGATCAAATCTTACCACATATTTCTGTAATAAGTTTGATAATTTCTTCTTTCTAGGGGATAAAAAGAAAAATGTATTACTATATGTATGACTATAATATTTTTCCTAGAGCCATAAAAGATATCTCATTACAATCAGCACTGGACCATTTGATTTAATCCTTCCACTGCAGAAAATAAAATAAACAACACAGAAGTCAAAAGCTGACTATAATAGACCATAACTAAAATGCGTTTGAGCTGTGAAACTTAACAGCTGAGACTTTTGGAATTCAAATTGCAACTGCAGCATTTATCAGCTGTGTGACCTCGGGCATTTGGTGCCCTAACAGTATCTGTGTCTCAGGGCTATGGTATGGATTAATCAATGTTATGCACACATTAGCACAGGGTCTGGCAACTTTAACATACCTACGGTGCTGTGGTGCTATATATACATTCAGTTATACAATTTAAACCACATGTGCTGAGCAACCAAGACAAGCCGCAATGCCTACAGAGAATTCATTCTATGCTGTATTTTCTCTTCTTTTTCTGTACTAGTTCCTGATTTTTCAAGTCCTCTCTTCAGCTTCTTAACACCCTCACTTTGGCTCTTCTGTGACATTTCCCCATGTTCCTGAACGCCCTTTTCTTGTCCTGCTGCCCACAAGCTCCATCAGAAGGGCCTGAAATGAGCTGGGTACTAGAAATAAAGCTGCCAATGCCCTTCCCTGTGCAGTGTGTTTATAAGTAACTACAATGAGACTAGAGAAGGCAGGATTCCACATTTGCCAAACACTTAAAGCTAAAAGAGATGATTAACAGAAGCCTAGATCTCAACAGGAAGGACCAGTGGACCCAATCTAAGAAAATAAAGTTTAACAGGTGCAAAAGTAAAATTTTTAAGAACAAATCTATAATGTCAAATCGAGGTGGAGGTGATGTAGCCTGTAACATGGCTTAAAAGTAGAATATGTGGGGAATATTCATAGTATTTTAATTTAACTTTTTAAACTGTAAACTAAGTAAAAGCTAACGATTCCAAGTGGCTATTTAAAAAGAACATCTACTGCAGTGCTGAGTTATATAATACAATTCTACAAAATGAGAGTCAACAGTCTTCTTTTTTTCTAGGCCTTGTCATGCTTTTCCGCATTTAAAAAGGCATTTAAAAAAATCCGAAACAAGAACATGTACAGAAAGGTAAAATGTATGTATTTATATATTTATATTAAGTATATCTAGAAAGGGGAAATATATGTATTTATATATTTATGTTTAATTTTTTATAAACGGAGAAAATACACCAAGTTTTATGGTTATAATTTGTCACCTAATACTATATTATAATTCATTTTCCACATTATTAAGGATTCTGAAAAACTTGATTACTGAAATTGAATGTGCGGCCATTTAAAGGCTCTGCGATACACACTCTCACACTGTACTTTAGAAAAGTTGTGCTAACTGACACCTCCAACAGCAGTATATAAGAAAATCTGTTTTATTTTAGCCACACAATACTGGCTATTATTATTATATCATCACTGTCAATTGGTAGAGCAAAATCTCTCATTGTTTTAAATTACACGAATTAAATTATTCATGAGGCTACATTTCATTTCATATGCATGTTTCCAGGTTGTATTCTCTTGTGCAATCTGTGTATGTTCTTTGTCTTATCTTTTTCTATGGGAATATTTGCTTTTTATTCACTTATAAGAGCAATGCATGTATCAAGGTTAGATTTTAATTTTGCAACATATTTTGTGGCATAATCAGGTTTAAAATGCTTGAAGTTACCATATATGTAAATTTTTTCTTCATGTTCTTTGCATTTAAGTGACTGGAAGAGTTCATTCCTTCCACTGAAATCACTGAATAACTACCTTGGCTACTTGGTGCCAATGATGAAGGCATCATATTTATACCCCTCAAAGGATTCACAGTCCAGGAAGAAGCAGACAAACGAAGACTTTCATAAGTGCTATGGAGAGCCAAGGAACCATCTCGATCTGCTGGGAATTCCTGGGGCAGGAAACTGAGGATGGGACTGTGGTCCAAGGAGGCAGACTCTGACCAGGCTGGGACAGGGAAGGGGAGCGTTCAGGCAAGGTGGTCGGCCTTCTGTCAGAGCATACTGCATTACAGTACTCGAGTAAACTTATGAATTAGGGCACATAGCAGAAACAATGACAAGAAATGTTGGAGACAGATGGACTCTTGAAGACCTTTGTGTCATGTTGAAGAGTGTGAACTTTCTCCTGGGCAGTGGGACTCACATGATCCCTAGGCAGAGAAGAGCTCTGGTGGAACTTTTATTTAAGAGAGATGATCATAGCAGCCAGTGGAGGGGTTTGAGGTTCCTCAATAATTCACGCAAAAAAAAAAAAAAAACCAGACATCAGAAGGCTGTGGTAGTAGTAATGGATGAGGAGGACAGGCCTGGAGGGACATTCCAGAAGAAGAATGAGGGGCTTGGTGAATAACTGGAAGAAACGATGAGGGAAAGAAGGAGTCTAAGAGGAGGCAAATGACAGTGGGGCCATACTCTGAGAGAGGCAGGAGTGGGATAGGGGCAGGTTGGGAGCTCATGAAGATGACTGAGCCCAGCTTGAGTCTGGCTGAGTCTCATACGTCTATAAGACATCCACCTAGAGATGTCCACGGGCAGCCAAGGATGTAAGATCTGGCGCTTGGGAGAATTGTCCGGGCAGGAGGCAGATTTAAGAAATGCCAATGTACAGTTGGCTGTTAAAACAGGGACTAAAAGTAAGATTGCCTAGAACAGGGCTGCTCAGCCTTTTTGAAACCGGTGTGTTTCTCCTTCCCCACATTTGATAAACACATTCTTTCTGCTTAAAATAAAAACACTATTTTTTCATTCACTATATGCTTTCACTGTACTATAGAATTAGCCTTTTCAAACTATATGTCCCCCTGCCTTTAGTGGCTACATTCCCTGAGAGTTTGAAGACAGGGAAGACTGGGGCCAGACACCGGGAAATGCTAACACCGAAGTGACATGTGGAGAAACAGAGTCTTTTCAAATAATTTTATGAGATGTATTAAAACATTTAGTGCCATCAATGGCATTTGCCTCTTAAAAGAGGAGTTTGTTAGTCTGAAATGAATCTGCACAATTGATAGCTATTGGGGGATACATTCGATCACAGAAAGGATAAGAGGGGGAGAGGAAAGAGGCCTTCTGAGAACAGCTTTCATGGGGGAGCAGCCTGAACTTGGTATCAGACAGGCCACCTCTAGCTATAAGGGCTCTGCTACGTGCCAGCTAGATGACTTTGGGCGTAATGTCCAACCTGACTTGTGTGTCTCCATTTGATGTGGAGATACTGTCTACCTCATGGAGCTGTCATGCAGATTAAAGGTGGGATCTTAGGTAAGAGAAGGTTATGGCCATCAGCCTGTCACCGTCTTCTTGTACCACAACCCACTAGTCCTACACTGCATGGGGGTTTGGCCAGCATTCATGCTGTGAACCAGTCCTCATTTCCAAGCTCTGTCCAAATCCCCTGAAACCACCTGCTGTTTGGCCACTTCTTGGCTGGGCCCATGCATCCAGGCCAGTGCTTCAGCTCTCCAAACCTGTGGCCATTTCAACTGAGAATTCTGGAATTGCATGCATCCAGAGTGTGGCATAGAGGAACATATGTGCATGCCCTTTGGCCCCAAGGACTTCTAACCTGGAGGAAGGAGCGCAGCTGGAGAAGGACGAGGGTTCCAGAGCGGGGGCCTCTAAAACACCCTGCAGTACTAGGTAAGGAGCCTAACATGTACTGATGTACAGGAGCCTAACACAGAGCCTGTCACACACTAAATTCTCACTTAATGCAAATTCTCTTTTCCTTCACTCTTCTCGTCTTGCTAGTCTCTTCTTCCAGAATCTAGAAAACCAAAGTCAGCAGAATGATGTCCCTACTTCTAAGGTCTCTGCCTCTTGGTTGAAAAGCTTCCACTCAAGAGATAAAGCCTATCCTGCCCTCAAACACCATCATACACCATTTTGTCTGCTCTGGACCCCGAGACCACATCTTCTATCATAGCATTTATCACTCCGTAGGTGAACATCTTTGTTGTCTTTCTCTCCACCAGGCTGTGAGCTCTCTCAGTTCCAAGAAGTAGCCTCACTCTCCACTATTTCCCCAGTGCCTATTTTGGAGCCTGATCCAGAGTAAGGTTTACTGGATACATCCAATAAAGGTTGGTGAAATGAATGAATGAATAAATGAATGGAGAAAGGAAACCAGTCCCTCTCCCCACGTTGGGACAGTAGGGCAGGTATAAACCTACAGGGAACGTTCCTCTGCTCATTTACATACACTCTCCCCTGCTACTTTTGGGGAGAAATTGTGCATATGTAGCTACTTCATCTACTATGGGCATCTTTCGGGGTCTGACTTGTGGTGGGGAACAACAAAGAGAAAAAGGCAGACAGCCCGCAGAACACATGTGCAGTTCTGTTGGTCACATGCCCAGCTCTCAGCTCTTGCCTTCACCACCTGAACTGCCACTCCCTCACACTTGGATGTTCCTAGTACATCGAATCAGCCCCGCTAGACCACAACCCTGGAAAAGTCTAACAGGAAAAAAGGAAAAGGTCTGTGATTTTCCTCAACCCCAGAAGACAGATTGCCTTCAAAGCAGAAAGGAAGAATGAGACTTTGCCTTCCACTCATGAGACTTTAAAGAGTCAGTTTTCTGTTCTTAATGGTGTGGGGAGAAGAACAGGGAAACGTTTATAGATGCTCAGAAAATACTTATTGAATAATTGAATCAATATATAACTATAATCTCAATTTTGTGATTGCTGCTCTTCTCAGAGCACTTCTAAAGGAACTAGTTCAGGAAAAAAGAGTCCTCATTCTAAAATGAGACGAACCACATAAATTAAAGTCATTTGGTAATCTGGCTTTTTTGAAACAGCTCACCTCCTTGTTGGCCAGTAACAGCAGTGTGATCATTTCTACCAAGCATCCGAGTGGAGTAGTCACACACACCCACCACAAGGCAGGACAAGGTTTTATCTCTCCCCTCATAGTCAGATTCAATTACCTCATGCATCTAAGCCAACACTGGGCTGGTAGTAGTTGATCTCATTTAAATAGAAACTGGGATTCTGCATCCAAAAAATTCATAATTCTAAAGCTAAAGCATGAATGCAACAATTTTGCAAGCACAAAACCCTCAATTACCCTCTAGAATGGATACTCACTGTAAGTCCTAGGTCTCCTTTGGGTCCTTGTAAACCCTACTTAGTGGAAGAAGAGTAAAAGTCAATATAGGTTGGAACCAGTTAGAGTATAAAATCACAGTGAGACATTAAAAACTACTTGCCTGTTTTCCTGGAGATCCAGGCTCTCCAATTTCTCCTTTATCACCTTTCTTTCCCACATCGCCCCGTTCTCCGTGCTCTCCCTTTACACAATAGGGTAAAATGATAGGTTCAGAATGTGAATCTAAAAGCCAGATAAGAAAAGCTCTATAATTTGGTTATCTGCAACTGGCATCTCTTGAAGACCTTCAGTTCTTGTTTATACAAATGCAGTATTTGAAAAAAAATTGGGGGTAACTTATTTACATCCCATCAGATACCATAATCTAATTCATGATGAACCAGAGGTCTCAGAGTGAAGAGACCTTGAGATATAATACCATCTAATCGGCTCACCTTTCAGGACATACAATTATTACACAATTTACCGGGTACCTGAGTTATCTGGTATCTCCTACATGGTATGTTGTAAGTATGTTGTAAGATAACTAATAAATCCTTTATTAGTTATCTTCTGAGAATAAAGAAAATGAGATTTTTTTAAACATAGAGATGGGATCTCACTATATTGCTCAAGCTGGTCTTGAACTCCTGGCCTCAAGCAATCCCCCTACCTGAAGCTCTCAAAGAAAAGGACATTTTATAAAGTGAACCTATTTATAGGTAGACAAAGCAATGCACGAGGATTTTATTTTGAGTGGATTGTTTTTCTTCTGAGAGTTGTAAGGGGAAGAGTGACACATATATGAGAGTTCTTCCAAAGTTAAAGTTAAGCTATTGCGATCCTAAGCCTAAGCATTTCTCTAAGATCCTGAGACACTTACCTTCTGGCCTGGGAGGCCATGGCCCATTGTGCCCTTTGGGCCTGGGAAGCCTTGTGGTCCTTGTTCCCCCTACATAGGATATGAGAAAGAGATGTTCTATTAATTTCCCAGGATAGCTTGGCTATTCTTTGGGTCAGAAACACACTTACGGTTTAAAACTGCATTATAGTATTATCTAAATATTAGGGGAAATATATATATATATGTATATAAATACATATGTGTATGTGTGTATGTGTATGGCTCAATGGTTTGCTAGTAAGTGTTTAACAACTAAGACTAGGATAGGAGTGAGGGCTCTGATTTATGCCATTTGCCTATTTCTGTGGTGTAAATACTTTCACTGTGGCTAATTCAAGCTATGAACACATCAACCAGTTCACACATAACAGATAGCTGCTATTTCAGCTATGGTAGTAAAGGTGGGTTCCATCTTCTTTACATTTTTCCATGTTTTCTGGTATGTTAAAAAACACATGTTATTGGCTGGGCACGGTGGCTCATGCCTGTAATCCCAGCACTTTGGGAGGCTGAGGCAGGTGGATCACCTGAGGTCATGAGTTTGAGACCAGCCTGGCCAACATGGCGAAATCCTGTCTCTACTGAAAACACAAAAATTAGCTGGGCATGGTGGTGCGCACCTGTAGTCCCAGCTATGCAGGCGGGTGAGGCAGAAGAATTGCTTGAACCCAGGAGGCAGAGGTTGCAATAAGCTGAGATTGCACCACTGCACTCCAGCCTGGGCAACAAGAATGAAACTCTATCTCAAAAAAAAAAACAGAAAAAAAATGTCATTTTAGTAACGGGGAAAAGAGTATATAACAGCATCCATCCACAATTAATGCCAAGTTATTGTTTATGTAATTCCCTTTATACTGTTAGTTCCATCTCTCATAATTTGTAGCAACATTCAGGACTTGTTTCCAGATTTCTCCATCACATTTTAACATTATTTCTTGCCCCACCCAAACCACACAGTTTCCAAGGGGTTTCATGGTGTTGAGCATGAAACAGAAACAATCACTAGCAAGTATACAAAGTCATAGTTCTAATGCTCCTTGGATCTTATACTCAATCCTTATTTGACTCTGGATAATTATTAGTAATGAGTCTCTGGCAAAGGCTTGAAGGACCACGGGCTCCTCGGGATTGATCTGTGGTTTTCAAAACTATCCTGATCATCCCCACCAAGATCATTGGCATGCTTGATAAAAATTGCATCTCCCAGGCCCAACCTCAAACCAACTAAATGAGAATCACAGGTGAAGGTAAAGGCAAAATATGCATTTTGCCATAAGTCTGCTAAAGCTTGAGAGCCACTACTCCAGGAGGCATGATGGGATTTACGAGGCACTCCTGGAAGGGGCCACAGAGGTTTGCTTGGAGACCATTACAACTTTGGGCACCTCAACATCCCTAAGCCTCCTTTACCTTGTTCATTGGCTGTCAAGCTGTTTCAAATCAAAAGGGCCTATTCTCTTTTAAATTGTTATAATGAAATATTTCAAAACAAAAATCATATAGAATAAAGTAAACACCTATCTACCACGTTAAAAAATAAAACAGATACAATTCAAACCTCTTAGGTACTCATCCCCAATCCTATTTCTCTGAGAGAAAAAATCTCTATCTGAAATTCATATTTATCATTCATATCCATGTTTTTATGCTTTAACTACATTTCAAAATAATACATCTTTTTTTTGTTGTGTGTGTGTGTGTGTGTGTGTGTGTGTGTGTGTGTGTTTTTTTTGAGACAGAGTCTCACTCTGTCAACCAGGTTGGAGTGCAGTGGTGTGATCTCAGTTCACTGCAGTCCCCACCTCTCAAGTTCAAGCGATTCTCCTGCCTCAGCCTCCTGAGTAGCTGGGATTACAGGTGTGTGCCACTATGCCTGGCTAATTTTTGTATTTTTAGTAGAGACAGGGTTTCACCATGTTGGCCAGTCTGGTCTCAAACTCCTGACCTTAGGTGATTCACCTGCCTCGGCCTCCTAAAGTGCTGGGATTACAGGCATGAGCCACCACACCTGGCTGATATTTTTAATATTTTAAATTTCCAATAAATGATATATTTATGCATCCAATTTTTTAAAAAAACCTCAATATTATCTATTTGAAATTTGTGTGTGTGTGTGTGTATATATATATATATATATATGTATATGAGATTCTAATTTGTTGATCGTCTCTCTGCTATAAAGTATTTCATTAAATAACTGAATACAACTTATCCATTAGCCTTCTGATGCACATTTAGGTTATTTCCAATATTTCTGTATTAAAAATAATATTTTAAGAATATCCTTTTATATGCCTTTGCACACTTGTATACATTCCTAGGAGGAAACTCTTACATCGAAACAAATATTATATAAAATGGTACAAAATAAAATGAACACAGCACAGATTCTCTGAAGCTGAACTAAAGGGCTCCATTTTTCACACACCCATCCCTAACCTCTCACGGCACATTGGCTTGACTGAACTCTAAGGTTCTTTTTATTCTCTTACATGTGTTTCTAAACTGTTTGTAGGTATGGTGTTATGGTATTGCCTCCCCAGTTCAACACCAGAGGACTTAAAATAAGTTCTTTACAGGGGTGAGATTACAGAGAACTTAATTCACTGAATGTCTTTTCACTTTGGTATCTCTTGAGCCAAACCCAGTGCAGTAACATACTGGGCCCACTGGAAATGGGTATGCAGTGTTGCACTACAATGTCTTGGGCCCACCTAAGGAGGCTCACCCAGAAGAGGAGTGCTTCCTCTGTTAGTTGCTTAGAGGGAACAAGTAGGGATGATTGGTCTTCTTTATTCAGTTTAAAGTCAGAATAGAATACAGTAGTCCCCCTTTATCTGTACTTTCATTTCCCATGGTTACACTTACCCACAGTCAACTGTGGTTGGAAAATAAGTGAGTATAGTACAGTAAGATATTTTGAGAGAGACCACATTCACATAACTTTGATGACAGTATATTGCTTATAGTTGTTCTATTTTATTATGTGTTTGTTAATCTCCTACTGTGCCTAATTTTAAATTAGGCCTTATTATAGGTATGTGTATATAGAAAAAACATAGCATATTTAGGGTTTGGTAGTATCCAAGGTTTCAAGCATCCACTGGGAATATCGGAACATATCTCCTGCAGATAAGGAGGGACTACTGTAATCTTTTCCCACCAGGAAACTTGATATCATTGGGAGCCCCAGAACCCTGGATAGGAATTTGTACCAGTTAAATAAACCCTAAACATTAAACTGACACTGGCATTCCAAGATGAAAATTCAATCAAAAAAAAGGAGAGGAGAAAAATTTGTCCTGTTTCCAAAGATGGCACTCCCAACATAGGTGTCATGAAGATGAATAGGTGGGAAAGTGTAGATAACACAGAACAGCCTCATGAGGCTCCCTGCAAAACATGCTCTAATAGGAGTGGATCTGCAGCCTGCTTCTGAACATGAAGGTTAGTGGGGTCTGCCTACATACAGACTAGCAGCCAGCCCCCAGAGTGATATGCAGGACTGCAGGCAGCTACCTGCCTGAGGTTATACCATCTTCTTCTGTTCAAATCAAAAGGAAAACAAACGCAAATAGTATAGGAACGATATCTCTTAAGAAAGATGTCTTGGTAAATCACACTTTGGTATAAATTTGTTTTCTCAGATTTTTTGTGGAGGTGAATGAGGACATTTTCATTCAATGAGGTACCTGGTAGAAGGTTTGGGTTGCAAGGGAGATGCGTCAGACCGCTGTACCTAAGTTAGGGGGTACAGTTGGCCAGGGATAAGACAGACTAAAGGCTCATGGGAGAACACTAAGAGGAAATCCATGGTTGGCTTTGTCTCAGCCTGAAAGGACAGAACAGTGTGATAAACAGAGGAGCTGAGACTGTGGTGTGATGGTGAATTATCGCTAGGAGTTATATGTTTAGACAAAGTGAATCCAGAAAGAATGCCATACCTTTCTGACAATTACTCAGAATAATTATTTCTTTTGCAATATTTCAGATTCCTCCAGAAGATGTCCAATACATGTTCATGACTAACTAGCTGCCTTTAAGAAATGACACAATTTCCTAATATAGCTAAAACCTACTGTTGTAAGGGGAAGCATGACACGTGCCTGAGGGAAAAAACATTAGAGTAGCAAATTATCTTGTTAGGGTAATGTTCAGGAACTTCTTTTGCATTACTTCACAATGTAAGTATTTTCTATATAACTGTTAACACTATAGATATTCCAGGCAGCTAGATTTCCCTATAATAAAGGCAATTCATTTTCTTTTTAATCACTAGTTTCCCTTCAAAATACTTAAAGGCTTCCTATAACTTTCAGAGTAGACTATCTAGCTAAAAGCCTTTAGCAAGTAAATCCATGTCTGATCTTGGCAGAGGTGAATGCTATCCAATCAGACTTTTCAATGTATAAGTCTCAGGAAAATGATAAACAATGATTTGAGTGTGGGTCAGAAACAACTGCAGGAAACAACCTATTTTATTGGAAGCTATAATTAAATCTAAATTTCAAACCCTGGTTAATCACTATATCACCACATTAGATGGGTCCTGATAAAGAAGTGATCATTTTCATTTTTCAGATGACTGCTTGTTCTCTGGGAGAGAAATTTCTAAGAATAATGCACATCTACCTGAATGTTTCCATTGATTTATTTGTGCATTACTGATACGTCAGGAAACAATGATTTTTCTTTCGAAATGTTTTCTCAGTAAGGTGTGGTAAGAAAAAAATCAAATTTATAGATGATCATAAAATGTAAAATGGACATCTGGCTTCTGCCAGTGTGTAGAAAAGTGGAAAAAAATGCTACTCTCATTCTTAAAGCCCCAACAACAAAAAATGAGAACTAATCTGTGAAGTCACAGCTTTTCTTGAATCCATCATAGAGCTGTGGTTGCAGGGCATCCCGCCAATTCAGCATCTAAGGAAAGTCAAGATCCTTCAAGGAGACACAGGCTTGGAAATTCACCTACCTGGTGGAGGTGCCACATGTTATACAAGCTGGTGAGAATTTAGCTAAAATTTTTAACAGGATGCTAAAGGCTGAGTGTGGGATAGCAGGAGGGGATAGGACCCCTGGGAGCTGCAGGCACAAGAGAAAATCACAGCTACTCACAGACTCTTCTCAGGGACTTTGCTGGTGCTCAAGAGAAAGACTGGGGCCAGGACTAGGGTCAGGAGTAGGCTTCCCTTGTGGTGCTAGCCTGGGAAGGGAAGCACAGGTCCCACAGGTCGCAGTCTGTTTGTGCTGCTATAACAAAATACCATAGACTGGGTGGCTTATAAACAACAGCAGATTATCTCTCACAGTTCTGGAGGCTAGAAAGCCCACGATCAAGGAATTGGCAAATTCAGTGTCTGGTGAGGGTCCATTTCCTGGTTCATAGGTGGCACCTTCTTGCCGTGTCCTCACATGGTGGAAGGGACAAGACAGCTCCCTGGGGCCTCCTTTATAAGGGTGCTAATCCCATTCCTGAGGACAGAGGTGACCTAATCACCACCCCAAGGCCCCACTTCCTAACGCCATCGACTTGGGGGTTAAAATTTCAACATATGAATGTGGGGACCATATGAATTTTCAGACCACATTCTGTTTCCTTTTGAAGGAAACAGAATAAACCTTGCAAGAATGAATCCTGGGCCCAGATCTTTAGAGATGCCCTACTATTTGTGGAGGGTCAGGAAACCACGCCCAGACCATTAGATGCCTCCTCGTACGGGTTTGCTGGAACACATAAAACTGCATACTAAAAAGAGTAAATTTTACTGCATATAAATAATCCTTTACTAAAGAATAAAACAATACTTTAAAAAGTTAAAAAGAATTAGATAAACACTTGGCAAAATTTAAATGAGTTCTATAGATTAAATAGTATTATATCAATAATTTTCTGATGTTTATTATTGTACTGTGTTATATAAGAGAATGTGCTTGTTTGTAGCAAAAATACTGATGTATTAGGAGTAAATGGGTACCAAATCTGAATTTTACTCTCAAGCGTTGCAGAAAAATAATATGACACAGACATATATATATATATGCAAAGTGATATAGCAAATGTGGTAATATTAACATTTATAGAATCTGGGTAAAGGATATATAAAAATTCTTTGTATTATCTTTGCAACTTTTTTTGCAAGTCTGAAATTATTTCAAAATAAAAGTTAAACATTAATACATAAAATGAATGCATGAATAAACGTACCAAGTGGTTGCAAAAAGATGTCAGCTATCACTGCTGCAGCGGCTAAAGCATATGAGTATACAGGTACTTTGCCTACTCAAAGTTTGGGAGCCCAAAGGCTAAAAGAAAATCAAAAGACCTAAAACAAAGCTGCAGGTGTGGATTTCTCCCTACGCAGAAACAGCTTCTGCTGTTTGAATTCAGGAGGCTTCTACTGTTACCAGAAGCCTCTATACTTCCCTAGGATTTGTATTCATACCAATTTCAGTTCAATTTTTTTAAATTATAATTTCTGGGGTACATGTGCAGAACATGGTTTGTTACATAGGTATGCATGTGTCACGGTGGTTAGCTGAACCCATCAACCCATCATCTACGTTAGACATTTCTCCTAATGCTATCCCTCCCCTAGCCCCCCACCCCATGACAGGCCTTGGTGTGTGATGTTCCCCTCCCTGTACCCATGTGTTCTCATTTTTCAACTCCCAGTTATGAGTGAGAACATGCAGTGTTCAGTTTCCTGTTCTTATGTTAGTTTGCTAAGAATGATGGTTTCCAGCTTCATCCATGTCTCTGCAAAGGACATGAACTCATCCTTTTTTATGGCTGCATAGTATTCCATGGTGTATATTGCCACTTTTCTTTATCCAGTCCATCATTAACGGGCATTTGGGTTGGTTCCATGCCTTTGCTATTGTGAACAGCGCCGCGATAAACATGTGGGTGCATGTGTCTTTATAGAATGATTTATAATCCCTTGGGTATATACCCAGTAATGGGATTGCTGGGTCAAATGGTATTTCTGGTTCTAGATCCTTGAGGAATCGCCACACTGTCTTCCACATGGTTGAACTAATTTACACTCCCACCAACACTGTAAAAGCATTCCTATTTCTCCACATCCTCTCCAGCATCTGTAGTTTTCTGACTTTTTAATGATCGCCATTCTAACTGGTGTGAGATGGTATCTCATTGTGGTTTTGATTGGCATTTCTCTAATGACAGTGATGATGAGCTTTTTTTCACGTTTGCTGACTACATATATGTCTTCTTTTGAGAAGTGTCTGTTCATATCCTTCACCCACTTTTTGATGGGGTTGTTTTTTTCTTGTAAATTTAAGTTCTTTGTAGATTCTGGATATTAGCCCTTTGTCAGATGGATAGATAGCAAAAATTTTCTCCCATTCTGTAGGTTGCCTGTTCACTCTGATGATAGTTTCTTTTGCTGTGCAGAAGCTCTTTAGTTTATTAGATCCCATTTGTCAATTTTGGCTTTGGTCGCCATTGCTTTTGGTATTTTAGTCATGAAGCCTTTGCCCATGCCTATGTCCTGAATGGTATTGCCTAGGTTTTCTTCTAGGGTTTTTTTTTAAGGTTTTAGGTCTTACTTAAGTCTTTAATCCATCTTGAGTTAATTTTTGTATAAAGTGTAAGGAAGGGGTCCAGTTTCATTTTCTGCATATGACTAGCCAGTTTTCCCAACACCATTTATTAAATAGGAAATCCTTTCCTCATTGCTTGTTTTTGTCAGGTTTGTCAAAGACCAGATGGTTGTAGATGTATAGTGTTATTTCTGAGGCTTCTGTTCTGTTCCACTGGTCAACATATCTGTTTTGGTACCAATACCATGCTGTTTGGGTTACTGTAGCCTCATTGTATAGTTTGAAGTCAGGTAGCGTAATCCCTCCAGCTTTGTCCTTTTTGCTTAAGATTGTCTTGGTTATGTGAGCTCTTTTTTGATTCCATAAGATATTTAAAGTAGATTTTTCTAAATCTGTGATGGAAGTCAATAGTAGCTTGATAGGGATTGCATTGAATCTATAAATTACTTTGGGCAGTATGACCATTTTCACAATATTGATTCTTCCTGTCCATGAGCATGGAGTGCTTTTCCATTTGTTTGTGTCTTCTCTTATTTCCTTGAGCAGTGGTTTGTAGTTCTCCTTGAAGAGGTCCTTTACATCCCTTGTAAGTTGTATTCCTAGGTATTTTATTCTCTTTGTAGCAATTGTGAATGGGAGTTCACTCATGATTTGGCTCTGTTTGTTTGTTATTGGTGTATAAGAATGCTTGTGATTTTTGCACATTGATTTCGTATCCTGAGACTTTGCTGAAGTTGCTTATCAGCTTAAGGAGATTTTGGGCTGAGACAATAGTGTTTTCTAAATATACAACCACGTCATCTGTAGGGACAATTTGATTTCCTCTCTTCCTATTTGAATACCCTTTATTTCTTTCTCTTGACTGATTGCCTTGGCCAGAACTTCCAATACTATGTTGAATAGGAATGGTGAGAGAGGGCATCCCTATCTTGTGCCAAATTTCAACGGGAATGCTTCCAGTTTTTGCCCATTCCACATGATACTGGCTTTGGGTTTGTCATAAATAGCTCTTATTATTTTGAGATATGATCCATCAATACCTAGTTTATTGAGAGTTTTTAGCATGAAGGGATGTTGAATTTTGTCAAAGGCCTTTTCTGCATCTATTGAGACAATCATGTGGTTTTTGTCATTGGTTCTGTTTAGGTGGTGGATTATGTTACTTGATTTGCGTATGTTGAACCAGCCTTGCATCCCAGGGATGAAGCCAACTTGATCGTGGTGGTTAAGCTTTTTGATGTGCTGCTGGATTCAGTTTGCCAGTATTTTATTGAGAATTTTTGCATTGATGTTCATCAGGAATATTGGCCTGAAATTTTCTCTTTTTGTTGGGTCTCTGCCAGGTTTTCATATCAGGATAATGCCGGCCTCATAAAATGAGTTAGGGAGGAGTCCCTCTTTTTCTATGGTTTGGAATAGTTTCAGAAGACATGGTACCAGCTCCTCTTTGTACCTCTGTTAGAATTCGGCTGTGAATCTGTCTGGTCTTGGGCTTTTTTTGCTTGGTAGGCTATTAATTACTGCCTCAATTTCAGAACTTGTTTTGGTCTGTTCGAGGATTCAACTTCTTCCTGGTTTGGGCTTGGAAGTGTGTATGTGTCCAGGAACTTATCCATTTCTTCTAGATTTTCTAGTTTATTTGCATAGAGGTATTTATAGTATTCTCTGATGGTAGTTGGTATTTCTGTGGGATCAGCAGTGATATCCCCTTTATCATTTTTTATTGCATCTATTTGATTCTTCTCTCTTTTATTGGTCCAGCTAGTGGTCTATTGTGTTGATCTTTTCAACCAGCTCCTGGATTCACTGATTTTTTGAAGAGTCTTTTTGTGTCTTTATCTCCTTCAGTTCTGCTCTGATCTTAGTTATTTCTTGTCTTCTTCTAGCTTTTGAATTTGTTTGGTCTTGTTTCTCTAGTTCTTTAGTTGCGATGTTAGGGTGTCGATTTTAAATCTTTCCCACTTTCTCTTGTGGGCATTTCGTGCTATAAATTTCCCTCTAAACACTGCTTTAGCTGTGGCTCAGAGATTCTGGTACCTTGTATCTTTGTTCTCCTTGGTTTCAAAGAACTTATTTATCTCTGCCTTAATTTCGTTATTTACCCAGTAGTCATTCAGCAGCAGGTTGTTCAGTTTCCATGTAGATGTGCGGTTTTGAGTGAGTTTCTTAATCCTGAGTTCTAATTTGATTTCACTGTGGTCTGAGAGATTGTTTGTTATGATTTCCATTCTTTTGCATTTGCTGAGGAGTGTTTTACTTCCAATTATGTGCTCAATTTTAGAATAAGGGTGATGTAGTGCTGAGAAGAATGCATATTCTGCTGATTTGGGGTGGAAGGTTCTGTAGATGTCTATTAGGTCCAGCTGGTCCAGAGCTGAGTTCATGTCCAAAATATCCTTGTTAATTTTCTGTCTCGTTAATCTGTGTAATATTGACAGTGCTGTGTAAAAGTCTCCCACTATTATTGTGTGGGAATCTAAGTCTCTTTGTAGGTCTCTAAGAAGTTGCTTTATAAATGTGGGTGCTCCTGTATTGGGTGCCTATATATTTAGGTTAGCTCTTCATGTTGCATTGATCCCTTTACCATTATGTAATGCCCTTCTTTGTCTTTTTTGATCTTTGTTGATTTAAAGTCTGTTTTATCAGAGACTAGGATTGCAACCCCTGCTTTTTTTTTTTTTTTTTTTGCTTTCCATTTGCTTGATAAATATCCCTCCACCTCTTTATTTTGAGCCTATGTGTGTCCTTGCACATGAGATGGGTCTCCTGAATACAACACACTGATGGGTCTTGACTTGTTATTTAATTTGCCAGTCTGTGTCTTTTAATTGGGGCATTTAGCCCGTTTACAGTTAATATTGTTATGTATGAATTTGATCCGGTCATTATGATGTTAGCTGGTTATTTTGCTCATTAGTTGATGCAATTTCTTCAGTGTCAATGGTCTTTAGAATTTGGTATGTTTCTGGCATTGGCTGGTGCTGGTTGTTCCTTTCCATGTTTAGTGCTCCCTTCAGGAGCTCTTGTAAGGCAGGCCCAGTGGTGACAAAATCTCTCAGCATTTGTTTGTCTGTAAAGGATTTTATTTCTCCTTCACTTGTGAAGCTTAGTTTGGCTGGATATGAAATTCTGGGTTGAAAATTCTTTTAAGAATGTTGAATATTGGCTCCCACTCTCTTCTGGCTTGTAGGGTTTCTGCAGAGAGATCTGCTGTTAGTCTGATGTGCTTCCCTTTGTGGGTAACCTGACCTTTCTCTCTGGCTGCCCTTAACATTTTTTCCTTCATTTCAACCTTGGTGAATCTGACTATTATGTGCCTTGGGGTTGCTCTTCTCGAGGAGTATCTTTGTGGTGGTCTCTGTAATTTCTGAATTTGAATGTTGTCCTGTCTTGCTAGGTTGGGGAAGTTCTCCTGGATAATATCCTAAAGAGTATTTTCCAACTTGGTTCCATTCTCAATGTCACTTTCAGGTACACCAATCAAACGTAGGTTTGGTCTTTTCACATAGTCCCATATTTCTTGGAGGCTTTGTTGGTTCCTTTTCATTCTTTTTTCTCTAATCTTGTCTTCATGCTTTATTTCATTAAGTTGATCTTCAATCTCTGATATCCTTTCTTCCACTTGATTGATTTGGCTATTGATACTTGTGTATGCTTCACGAAGTTCTCGTGCTGTGTTTTTCAGCTCCATCAGGTCATTTATGTTCTTCTCTAAGCTAGTTATTCTAGTTAGCAATTCCTCTAACCTTTTTTCAAGGTTCTTAGCTTCCTTGCATTGGGTTACAACATGCTCCTTTAGCTCAGAGGAGTTTGGTATTACTCACCTTCTGAAGCCTACTTCTGTCAATTCGTTAAATTCATTCTCGATCAGTTTTGTTCCCTTGCTGGCGAGGAGTTGTGATCCTTTGGAGGAGAAGAGGCGTTCTGGCTTTTTGTGCTTGTTTTTCCTCATCTTCATGGATTTATCTACCTTTGTTCTTTGATGTTGGTGATCTTCAGATGGGGTTTCTGAGTGGATGTCCTTTTGTTGATGTTGATGCTATTACTTTCTGTTTGTTAGTTTTCCTTCTAACAGTCTGGCCCCTCTGCTGCAGGTCTGCTGGAGTTTGCTGGACGTCCACTCCAGACCCTGTTTGCCTGGGCATTACCAGTGGAGGCTGCAGAACAGCAAAGACTGCCACCTGTTCAATCCTCTGGAAGCTTCGTCCCAGACGGGTACCCACCAGATGCCAGACAGAGCTCTCCTGTATGAGATGTCTGCTGGTGGGAGGTGTCTCCCAGTCAGGAGACACAGGGTTCAGGGACCCACTTGAGGAGGCAGTCTGACCCTTAGCAGAGCTTGAACGCTGGGCTGGGAGATGCACTGCTCTCTTCAAAGCCAGCAGGCAGGGATGTTTAAGTCTGCTGAAGCTGCACCCACAGTCTCCCCTTCCCCCAGGTGCTCTGTCCGAGGGAGACGGGGGTTTTATCTATAAGCCCCTTGCTGGGCTGCTGCCTTTTTTCAGATATGCCCTGACCAGAGAGGACGAATCTAGAGAGGCAGTCAGGCTACAGCGGCATTGCTGAGCTGTGGAGGATTCCACCCAATTGGGACTTCCCCGCAACTTTCTTTACATTGTGAGGGGAAAAGTGGACCTCTTTCTCCACACCAAATTTGAGCATCCCAGGTCAACTTCAGACTGCTGTGCTGGCAGTGAGAATTTCAAGCCATTGGATCTTAGCTTGCTAGGCTCCGCGGGGGTGGGATCCGCTGAAGTAGACCACTTGGCACCCTGGCTTTAGCCCCCTTTCCAGGGGAGTGAACAGTTCTGTCTCGCTGGCGTTCCATGTGCCACTGGGGTATGAAAAAAAAAAACACTCCTGCAGCTAGCTCGGTGTCTGCCCAAACAGCCTCCCAGTATTGTGCTTGAAACCCAGGGCCCTGGTGGCGTAGGCACCCAAGGGACTCTCCCGGTCTGTGGGCTGTGCATACTGTGGGAAAAGCATAGTATCTGGACCAGAGTGCACCGTTCCTCATGGCACAGTCCCTCATGGCTTCCCTTGGCTAGGGGAGGGAGTTCCCTGACCCCTTGTGCTTTCCAGGTGAGGCAATGCCCCACCCTACTTCAACTCACCCTCTGTGTGCTGCCCCCACTGTCTAACCAGTCCCAGTGAGATGAGCCAGGTACCTCAGTTGGAAATGCAGAAATCACCAGCCTTCTGCATTGATCTCACTGGGAGCTGCAGACCAGAGCTGTTCCTATTCAGCCATCTTGCCAGCCTGCAATCCTATATAAGCTTTCTATAAATTTGATTTTATAGTATGGGAAACTAATAATATTCTGCACTTTGATATTCTTACTTTTCGTAAGGTTTATTTAACTTATTCTTAAATTCATTTGAAGATGTGTTGAAAGCTGTATTTTCTGCTGCAGTTGCTGAGGTTGGCCATGACAATAAGGAAATTCAGGATGCTATAGCTATGGAGGGTCAGTTCAATCTTTTAAACCAGCAGGATTGTCCACTTGGACACAGCCAGTTTGTAGGTCTGATGCTGGTTATCTACCCCGAGACTGTGAATTCTATCTACACATGGATAATATAAATGCTAATGGAGAAGTAGGACACCAGGGCTGGACAGCAAGAAAAGGAATCTTTTCCCTTCCTGTTTGAGTTCATGCCTTCCCAAGGTTCCTTTGTCATCTCATAGGTAATAATAGAGGTAATTATTTATAACACACTACTTATTTCTAAGAAGAGATAGGTATTTTACATTTACAAAACTGTACTAGGAGGTTCACTCTTAAGGAGAAAAAGGAATGAGCTGTTCTTGGATTTCGGCACTTGCTCATTGCCTCAGACTGAAATGTGGAAGTTGAGAGAAAAAAACAGCTATGGGCTGGGCATGGTGGCTTATGCCTGTAATCCCAGCACTTTGGGAGGTTGAGGTGGGAGAATCACTTGAGGCCAGGAGCTCGAGACCAGCCTGGCCAACATGGCGAAACCCTGTTTCTACTAAAAATACCAAAAATTAGCCAGGTGTGGTGGCATGCTCCTGTAGTCCCAGCTACTTGGGAGGCTGAGGCAGGAGAATCACTTGAACTCAGGAGACAGAGTTCTGCAGTGAGCCAAGATCACATCACTGCACTCCAGCCTGGGCAACAGAGTGAGGCTCCGTCTTAAAAAAACACAAACAAACCAGCTGTGGTACCTGAATGGGATTTTGGCCCAAACCCAGGCTTAATTCAGTGAAAACATTTCACCTTTTAATCTTTCATCTTTGTACTCTTTTCATTTTACTATTAAGTTGCTTTCTTCCTTATCATTTTCCAACTTTTGCAAAACGAAAAATGGCTAACTAAGGCCAATAATAATGGCCAGCATTTCTAGCTCAAACAGAAGCTTGGGTTTCTCCTCCATTAAGATTTGCAGTCCTGTGTGATAAATCAGAGAGACCTGGTTACACATTACAAACAAATGAAACTTCTGGCTAACCATCAGTTATAGTCAATTGGAACATGGTTGGTTGAGAGCACTTGCTGTAAAAGCTCTGAGAAGAGGAAGAATTTTACTTTAGCACAAAATTTTCTTTGCTGGGATGCAATCATGCAACCATATCAAAAGTTTAAACCCATCCCCACTACTTTTTCATGGCCCCCAAAACATCCCAGAATAAATAATTTTACCATTCTTTCCTCTACTTCTCTTCTAGTTTGCCTGTCCTCCTTTCTAATTACGTTATTGCTAATTAGGAACCGGGGGAACTGTACATTTTGAAAGTGGTGTGTGAAAGCCTTCTGCTAGGTCAAATAAAACAGCCAGGATTAAGATGTTGACTTAGTGGGTTAATAACAGTTAACAAGACGCAGTGACCTACCTGAATAGTCAACAAGTATTTGGCCTGGAATCCACGAACTACCTTTGTTTTGAAAGGGATCATTTTCTGCTTTGTGAGTACAGCTAATTCACTTGAGAAGGTAAAGGTATTTCTCATTAGCCTTTCTAGTACATAAAATTATACATATTGATAGAAGGACCTTATCCAGAGACCCCCTAGAGCAACCCAGTGGTCTGCCATTTGGGTATTGATCTCCTTCCCCCTGAAGTTCTGATCCTAATTCTCCTACTGTAACCAGCAACTGCCATTTATTGTGTGCCCATGTGCAAAGAATTGAGCTCATATACTCATTTAATTTTTGTGATAACCCTGGGAGCAAGTATATACATGATAAAACCAAGGCTTCACTAATACTTTCACTCAAATACAAAGCTGGCAGTCCCTCCGAACAAAGGCTTTGCTGGTTTTCATTCCCTAATACTATCTTGGTGTAGAGCAGAAGCCAGGCAGTTTCCCCTTCTCTGACTTGATAATCAGCAGCTTCCAGTGTTTTAAAATCCTTTTCCTTTGTGCAATTCAATCCCTCTAACTTAATGTCCCATATAGATATGTTAACATTCTCTAATGGGGACTAAGACGGCCTAATGCTTGTTCAATAAAGCACCCTATTTGGTTGGGAACAGAATCAATGAGTAAGTTACTTGTTATCAGGCAAGCCATTTGTTGAAGTGTAGGCCTGGCTCATTTGGTACCTGGCCAGAATACAATCCTGATGGGCTTAATGGAACAAAAACATGGCTTCATTATATTTGATTTTCATTCAAATGGTGATCTAGTTCCATTGTGTCTGGTGAAAGGCAGAGAAATAGTTGACCTTTTATAGATGCAGGGACTGATTTTGAGTCTGTTCCTAAAAACAGTTTAAAACCTGCACCATTTGTACCTCTTCCCCTGTCTCCATGGCCCTCAATGCAGGGCTTTTGTTAATAACCTAAGCACTGTCAGCCATGTACAGCAAGGGTTTTCAGAACGGCTCCCATGGAAATGTCCCTGTGCTGGACCAAGATGCTGCTGACATTAATACTGATGGCTATCTGTTTTCTATTGCTGTTGTAATGAATTGCCATGAATTTAGTGGTATTCTCTTACAGTTCTGGAAGTCAGAAGTCTGAAATCAATTTCACTGGGCTACAGTCAAGGTGTCAACAGGGCTGGTTTCCTCTAGAGGCTGTAAGAAGAGAATCTATTTCCTTAATTTTTTCAGCTGCTGGTGGCCACCTGTATTCAACAGTTTTCCTCCATCTTCCTGCACTCCAGTCTGTTTCCATCATCACGATGCATCTTCCATAGTCTCTTCTCCTTTTGCCTCCCTCTTATAAAGGACATTCGGGCCTTATATTCAAGGCCCACCCAGATAATCCAGGATAATCTCCCCAACTCAGGATTCCTTCTGCCATTTAAGGTAATATGTACTAATTCCAGGGATTCAGATGTGGACGTCTTTGAGAACCATTATTTAGCTTACCACGGTGGCTTTTGCTCTATTTATACAAAAAGTAAGATAATAATTATATTGTCTGTAATTTACCTTAATACACTTCCATTTAGATCATATCATGAATATGTGTATGTGCAAGTTAACTTAATTTGCACTCTAGGGATGCTAAGTTAACACTTGAAATAGCGTATTCAGTAGTCCACACTTCTCAGGCGTGAGCTTCAACTATTGCTATCTGGATTTGCTCCATAGGGATAAGTAAAACAATTTATCTTTGATGAAATAAGGAATGTTTAAGACATGTGGTAGCTAGAAATGTTGTACAGGTACCTTACCCCCTACACAAATTGGGCATAAGAGTGAGGTCCACCCACCAGCCAAACAGAGCACCTAATTCTTGAGCTCCATTCAAAACAAGTGCCTCCTACTCTCATCGCATAATGAAGAATCCCTTCACCTGACGTAACTAAAAGGTTAATTGGTCCTGTCATGAGAATATTTTTGCATTTGCCTCAGAGTGTTCATTTCATGCAAAATGCTTTAAAATATATTGAATTGGACCTTTGACCAATCTTTTAGTAAAAGTGTTTATGCCTGCTTATAATAAATAGCTGAACACAGGGTAGAATTCTGTGTTCTTATAATAAATAGCTGAACACAGGGTAGAAATTTGTTTTAATTGAAACATGCCATCTGATAGCAAAGCTGTCTAGGAGGAAGCAGATACTCCTACTGAATTCTATTCTTCAGAGGCCATTCTTCTGATAGTCATCAAACAGAATCTAACAAATAATAAATATCCAAATTGGCTTAGCTCAGCTCTCAATACTTACAGTCAAATGTTCTCCATTTGGAGATTGTTTCCTGCAATCATTTTCTTAAACTTTTAGTCCTTGCTTCCATTTTTTCTGTTTATAACGACTAGCAAATGATAAAGTGATTGGACAAGTAGCAAATGAATATTTGCCAATAATCTCAGCAACAGTCAAGCCACTTAACTATGTTGATTGCTTCATGGATACATGCTCACAATTTTGATTTTCTATCCAATTCACAGAATTTAGTCCTGTTTTCTGACAATGAAATTGTTCTTAGTTTAAGTCCTAGAGTTAAATACATGGATAGGTCATAGTGCAAAGGGTGCCATGGCTTTGAGGGGCTTTTCCAGTTGGACTCAGTTGCATACATTAACTTGTCCTGCCCTCCTATCTAAACAGCTATCTGTAAAACCTGCCAAATTTCATGAATGCCTCACATGGCATTTGAATATATTCACACTACAAGTGATAAATACAGAGAGACAGGGTTGCCTTTATGACAGTTGACTCTGCTAGAGACAAGGATGTCTCGAATGCTGTCTTTGCTGGCCATCTGCACGATGCAGTCTCCTTGTCCTCCTGAGTGTTTAGTGGTTTGTGTGTTTAGATGTCAGTTTGCCTTTAACTACTCCGATGCCTCCGTTGGTGCTCCCTGTATCCTCGAGGTAGGTTTCTGCCAGGGTCCCTTACTTTTACCTTCATGTTATCCTTAGCAATCTTGTCCACTTCTAAGACCTTAGTCATAGAATCTCCAATTCTCTAGTCCACAGTCTCAGCCCTGTCTCTTAGATCCAGGTGTAACTTCATATCTACTTTCTACAGTTTTCCATATGCTAGCCATTTCAGAACCAAATCCATCAAAATACACCTTAGCCACATCTGCTTTTCACTCTTGGCTTTCCTTTCTCCACTCACCCCTCAGGCTCAGGATTCTTTTTGTGTTCTGACCTCTGTGCTTCCTGAACACCCTCATCCAGTCTGTGGGCAAGTCCCAGCCTCCCAAACACATCCAAGAAGTCTTCCCTGATCCTCCCTGACCTCAGCCAAGAGTGACATCTTCCATATCAACCCACAACTTTCTTAGAGCGTGTGTCTCATAACAGGCTTGGATGCTCACATCCTATCTGTCCTACTTATTATAAACTCCCAAAGTGGAGGCATTTCTCCTTATTAGCCTTTCTACCTTCAGAGTGCCTATTTCAGGGCCCTGCATATTGTTCTGAGCTAGAGGTAATGGATGTGGAGGTTGGCCATCTTTTTGGTAGAAGATGCCTAGAGATGGTGCATCCTAAATTTTGTCTTGTTTAGCCTGGGTTCCTCTCAGGTTGATAGGAAGCAAATTTCATGACAAATTTTTGGAGTTCAATATGGAAAAGAAATAATAAAATAGGGATACATGGAAAAATGCGATCCAAGAATTCGTTATGTGGGTCAATTGAAAGAAGTGTTTACAACCAGATTCTCTGGGCCTGGAATCTGGAGCTGAGTCTAGGGCCACTTTATTAAAAAATTCTGCGGCACTGTCATCTGAGACAGTTAAATAAAGCAGATAAGGGAGTAACCGCAAGTTAGAAAAATACTACACTTCATTTAAGCAGCATTCTGCTGACTGCATAGGCCACTTCAGCAGAGCTGCCAGTATGCAATGCCAGCCAGAACTGCTGACCTGTGTGGCCACAGCTGCTACAATAGCAGCAGGAATGGGGCCTCCAAGCAAAGCATTCAATCCCTCTGTATATTTTTCTGAATGAAAGGATTCCATAAAAGGTTGTATGCTTTTCAGATTACTCTTCTCTTTTCCATTTATCAGTTCATTAACAGACAAGAATGGACCCAGAAGCAGTGAAAGGGCAAAGCCCCCTTCATGCTGATTTAATACTTGAGTAGGCTAAACAGTGGCCCCTAGATATCCAGGTCCCCATCCCTGGAACCTATGAACCCTATTATCCATGGAAAAAGTTAAGGATTGTGGCATGGGTGATTATCCTGGATTATCCATGTGAGCCCTAAATGTAACCACAAGTATTCTAAGAGCAAGGCAGAGGGAGATTTGACAGACAGGAGAGAAGAAGGCCAAGCAATAGAAAATAGGGTGAAGCAGAGTCAGACAGAAAAGATGGAAACCCTTGGCTTTGAAGATGGAAGAAGGAGCCACGAGCCAAGGAATATGAGGAATGTGTCTATAGAAGCTGGAAAAAACTAGGAAATGTATTCTCCCCTAGCAGAGTCTGCATGGCCAGGTGCCCTTCAGAATGTTGTAGAACGCATTCTCATGTTTGGTGGGAGGGGATCTGAAGAATCCCTTTCTTATTTGAAAAATCAAGCACATGCCTAGCAACTCCTTCCTCTTTGGCATTACAGATTTTTTGTCTGCTGGATTGTTTCCAGCAGCATACAACATATAATAATATCTCCCAGCTTAAAAAAAAAAAACCTTCCTTAATCACACATATTACTTCCTCTATAACTCCATTTCTGTACTTCTTTTTCACAAGTGTTGCCTGTATACTTTGTCTTCACTTCTTTCTTATCATTTTCTCTTTTTAAAATTTCTTATTTTAAAATCATTTCAAACTTACAGGAAAAAATTACAAGAATAATACAAATATTTCCCATATTCCCTTTACCCTAATTCATCAATTAAGACTTTCCATTTTTTTTATTTCTCCCTCCCTCTCCCCTCGTCCCATAGGACGTGTGGGTATTTGGGTGTGTGTGTGTGTGTGTGTGTGTGTGTGTGTGTGTGTGTGTGTGTGTGTACAGCTCTTGTGAAAGTCACCAATGACTTCCAGGTTGTCAAATCTAATGATCATGTTTCAGTTCTCATCTAATCAGCAGCACCAAAATTAGCTCTCTGTGAAATATTTCCTCACGTGGCTTCCAGGACACCTCTTTCTTTTCATTCTGTCTACCCCACTGGCCACTCCATCTCAGCCTTCTTTGCCAGGTCCTCTTCATCATACAAACTTCCAAATGCTGGAGGACCCAGGGCCCAGTCCTTGGATTTCTTCTCTTCTATGTATACTCTCACTCTCCACACGTCCTCATCCAGTCTCAAGACTTTAAATACCATCTATAAATTGTTAAATAAAATTTATATCTCTTGTCCTGACCTCTCCCCTGAACTCCAGATTTCTATCCCCAAATACCTACTCGGCAGGTCCATTTAAAGATTTAGCTGTACATGCCCAAGTCTGAATTTCTGATTTCTCAACACCTACCTATTATATAAAGTCCATTCTTCCTATTATATAGAGTCTCCCATTTCAGAAAATGGAAATTTCACCTTTCCAGTCATTCAGGTCAAAAACCTTAGTTATCCTCGACTTCTTTGTCTATATTATACCCCATATTCAGTCCAGAATGCAACCACCCCTTATCACTTCCACCATCACCACCCTGCCCACACCATCTCCTGCCTGCACTTTGGCAATACATTTCTATCTTACTTATTTGTTTTTGTCCCCTTATAGCCCATTTGTCACATACTGCCACAGAACCATCCTTTTAAATCATGATTAATATCAGGTCACTCCTCTGTGCAAAACCCTTCAAGAACTTCTTATATCACAATGCTCACTGCATTCCAAATTGTCACTGACGTTCCTCAAATATGGCAGGCATGGATTCTTATTCCAATCCCTAATTGAGAACCCCCAAAATTTATTCTATCCATTGCCTGAGCTTCTACTCCACTTCTAAACATGCAGGATTCAATGTTAAGAGCCAGGAATGCAGAGTACAGAAGGACAAATAACAATGCTCATAAGGGAGGCTTTTTGAAAAAATAAGCAAAAGCGTGTAGTGACGGGATTCTCCCAATGGGTGAGGAGTTGCCCTAAGTCTTCCTTTAATTCATACTTTAAAATCTACCATCAATACAGCTGGCTACTCTGGGAAACTGTTTTGCACATTGACTGAGATTACTAAGATTAGTTCCAGCTCACAATTTCATCATTTGAACATCAAGGTTAAACATCAGAACATTTCGCTTCTTCCCGTCAAGGCTTGTTGCAATGTCATTATCTTATGCAATAAGAAGAGATAAATTATAAATACCTATATTCTATGGCTCAGAAGGAGTGGATTCATTTTAGTGTGTGGTATATGGATTCAATCTTACTAGTTCCCAATCCCACCTCATATATTACTCTTTGTTCAATACTTTTATCTCAAATACAATTCATTGTTCAATTAGCAAATGAGAGACTGCATGTAGTAATTGTATCATATTTAAAGAAAATTGCTTTGTACAGGTATTTAGAGAATCAAACTAGGGAGATACAGTTCTCACTATGAGATGAGATGAAAACGTTGACACCAGTTCTATCAGGCACTAAATAAATATCAAGGCAAAACACTAAACAAGACCAACTTATCTTTTATAAAGTAAAGGGACAACAGACTCAATCCATAGGTCCTTATTTTCTCCCCCACTGTATGTTTTGATATTTTCTTGCCAAATGGATTTAAGGGAATGTGGATGGAGACTTCATAGAATCTAATCTCCATGCGTAGGGGCTTTAGCTGTGATAGTCCCTTCTATCTTCAGCACTTACCACAGTACCCAGCACATAGATGCTCATTAATATTTGTTGAATAAATGCTCTGGAAGATGGGCAAGATTATAAATACTGAGGAAGACTACAGACAGGACTCATGTTTTTTCCTTGGATAGCTACTGTGTATCCAGGTGTATGTTAGGTGCTCAGTATACACAATAAACAAGACATCTACTATCTCACAGTCTGGTGGTTAGATAAGAAATGATCACTCATGGTGTGAGAAGTGCTATGATGTGGACTAGTCAGTGTACCATGGGAGCACAGGCTTCAAGAGACAGGGAAGGCTTCTGGAGGACAGACTATCTAATATGAGCCCTGATATGTAAGTCAACCTGTTGAAGTTGGGGTGAAAGGGATCTTTCCAAGAAGAGGGAACAGCACGTGAACAAGCACCTGGCCCAGGAAACACAGCTTTCACGGGGAAGTGAAAGACTTTCAGTACAATCAGATCAAAGCCGAGGGGAGGAGAAGACTTGAGGATGGGTACCTAGATCATATGTGTATACTAGTTTTTGAAGCTGATCTCTTTGGGTATATGTCATAAACTTAAAGAGGCTTCTCAACGCCTCTTTTGACTTGTTTTCTTGATAAATACAGAAAATCTTTTTAAATTATAAGATGGATTTTTTATTTTATACTCACACTCACATTTTACTGTGGATGAAGGTTTAGTTTATTAAAAAGTACATTCCAGAATGTTTGTTAATGGCCAATAACAGACAGACACTTCCTTACTGGACATTGGTAAGGAAGTCAGTAAGGATGAGTGCTACTTTTCTTAAATGTATGTACTAAACCTGGTAATGTGACTTATAATGTCTCAGCACGTAATATTTATAGACTAAGGTGATAGAAAGGATGGATTCCACCATTGTTCTTGCTAAATGCATAATGAAAATATTCATCTAGGGACAGGATTGCTACATATGCTACAGTCCAGATATAAAATACAGTTTTGTATGGTTCAATAGCTTATAATTTAGTGGGTAGATTTGCAATTAGATTTATATACCTGGCATCAATTTTGTCATAATAAAATGTTTTCCATTCCAGGTCTCAGCTTTTAGACACAAGCCACTAGATAAAAACCTTTTCCTAAGAAGTTAAATGTATGTGAACTAGACTTTTGAATGCCATTTGTAATTGCCTGGTTGCCTGCAATAGCTTTCTTGGTGCAATCCTGGCCCTGTTGCAGTGTATTCTCAGCCCAAGAGTCACAGTCATTTTTTTTTAATTGCACATCAATCTTTTATTAGACCGATCAGGAAAAAGGATTTAGTAAACTTACGCTCAAATGAACACTGGGCCCATGTGGCAGGGCCAAGCAAATAGAACATGGTTCAGAAATCAGTCAGTGAAAGACACAAAACAAGGTGGGGGAGGGATTCTAAAACACACAGCAGGAGACACTCCTACCCCTCAGAGGTCAAGGAGCTTATATGTGGTCTGACTTACTCTTTGAAAGAGTGACTGCCCCCAGGAGACAGTTACTCTTTCAAAGAGTAAGTCAGACCATATCATGCTGTTGGTCGAATCCCAGCAAATGGCTCCCCATTTCACTCTGAGGGAAAGCCAAGGACCTAAGAAGGCCTATGTGGCTATAGGCCCACCCCAAATTCACTGCTGTTACCTCCCTGACCTCATCTGCATCCACACTAGTCTCTTTTCTCTTCTTTGAACATGCCAGCCACCCTCCTGCCTCTATAGGACCTTTGCACAAGCTCTTCCCTCTTCCTGAAATGTTCTTCCCTAAGAAATCCACAAGGCTGTCTCCCTCACCTCCTCCGGTCTCTGCTCAGATATTATCTACTCATAAGGCCATCCACTAAAATTACATCACACACTTCTAACCCCCTACCGTGCTCTCCTTGATTTGCCATAGCAGTTTTCACCTTCTAACATACTATATAATGTTTGTATTTATTATATTTATTGCTAATAGAAGCAATATCCACAAAGTCTCATTTTTGTCTCTTTTGCTTATGATACATCCCAAGCACCTAGAAGACAGACTGGCATACTTACATATGTTCAGTGAACATTCATTTACTATTTTATTTTAATTTTTTTGACACAGAGTCTCACTCTGTTGCCCAGGCATGAGTGCAGTGGCATGATCACGACTCACTGCAGCCTCAACCTCCTGGGCTCAAACAATCCTCTGGCCTCAGCCTCCTGAGTAGCTGGGACTACATGCATGTGCTACCATGCCCAGCTAATTTCAATAATCATTTATTGAATAAATTTCTGAAATAAAACTTTGTACAACTAGCAAGGATTGACTAGTGGAGCCAGTATCCTTCACTTTAAGCAGAAAGAAGATCTGATTTTAAAACTTGTATATGAACTAATTTCCTTTATATGTAAAACAAAAGCAGATTCTATTTTGAAGGACATATTAGCATTATTCATCTCACAACCCTGGCAAAGAGTGTGTGTACACCGTTATTTAAGTATATACATAGCAGGAAAATATAGCAAATATGATTGTTCACAAAATCACCACAGTATGGTAATTTAAGATAGATTGACGTCTGTGGAAGATTTATTTCTTTCTAAAACTGGCATAATAATCACAATGGGAACTATTAATACATCAAATTTCATTTTTCAAAACCAACAGAAGCCAGTTGGGGAACTTTTGGAAGACTAGTATTCTAATGGATTAAAAATCTATTTTCTGCTTTGAAATTTAAGAGGTACCATTTAAAGGCATAATTGCATATGCCTTTTATAAAGTCTTATAAAAGCTCACTGTCTTTATGCCAACAAAGAGGAATTGTAATGAATGTGTTAGGACTACTCTCTAAATGTCATCTCCTCAAATATGAATTCACAGGAAAAGCTGTCCATTTCCAAGACAAGCTTCCTTGTAGAAACCACAACTAGAAAGCATCAAGTGTCTCATTTATTTCTAATTTAATTATTAATCTAAGAGGGCCATGGAAACTGTAACAATATTGCATAATGATTGGCTGATCTAGTGACAGGCAATGATGGAGTAAGGCTCCTCCACCTTAGCTCTTTAATATATTAATATGAGTCTTTAAAAGTAGGACCTAGATCAGATCAATCAAGAATTTACTAAATATATACCCTATCATGGGGCAAAACCAAAGCATATAAAAGAACCAACAGACACAATACCCTTAGCTTTATTCATGTCAAACAAGTACATTCACTTTTATTGCATTCATTGTGATCCTGCTGCTTTATAGTGATAATTTGATCACAAAGGTATCAATTTAAAAAAATCAAATCCAGCTGTACCAAGTAAGTGCCTACCTGCTAGGCCAACCATGTATACCAACCTGTGAGTGAACACTACTGAACTTCCACTACTGAACACTAGGATTTAGAAAAGAATCACTTCACAAGTTTAGGGTTCTCTTTAATAATGGAATCCAATAATTGTTTGTTGAATTAAAGTATATATGAATGAATCATTTTGTGGGTCTAACAGTATTACTGCAGGTGGAGCTTGGTCATCACCCACCAAGTAGCCTCCATACATTCATTCAAGTGTTCCTTACTTTGCTTATTCATTCAACAAATATTTATTAAGTGCCTACTATTTGCCAGATACTCTGCTAGGTGCTGGGAAGGAGAGGGGGATAAAAGAAACACAGCCTCTGTGCTCACAGAATTTCTTTTTACTTTGAGAAGGCAGATAATCAACAAAGAAAGAAATATTTTCAGATAATGATAGTGCTATGAAAACAATAAAACAGGATAACATGATAAAATGATGGAGAATGGGGTAGGGGCAGGATAGTGTGGTCAAGGGTGGTCTCTCTAAGGACATAATATCGGAGCTAATACTGTCATAAAGAGAAGGAACCAGCCATGTCAAATGCCAAGATAGAAGAAACAATAATGCAAAGGCTCAAAGGAGTGAATATTGTTTTTGAGGAACAGGATGAAAGCCAATGTGCTCTGATTGTATTGAGTGAGATAAAGTGAGATGCAAGATAAAGTCAACAAGGTGGACAGCATCCAGATTACAACATACCAGATTAGTGGTTTTCTTTCTTTTTTTTTAATCTTTAAAAAATATTATAGGAATACCTTAGAAGCTTTTTAAGCAAGGAAGTGATATGGACTGAATTCTTTTTCTAAAATAATATTCTACCTATACAGAATGACTATGTGGGTTTTAAAAAATCAAATAGAACTTCTGGAAATGAAAAATGTAACTGAAACTAAAAACTCAATGGACTGGTTAAATGACAGATTTGATACAGCTGAAGAAAGATTTAATGAACTGGAAAATAGAATAGAAAAATAACGGCCATAATGTAACTCAGAATGATTAGATTGAAAAAATATATATAAAAAAGATATGTATAGATTGTAGAGAGGAAAGAACTAAAACGTTTAACTAATTGAAGTTTCAGAAAGATGGTTAGTGGGGCAGAGGGGGAAGAAGACTAGGTCAGAAGCAATCTTTGAAAATATAACACAGAGAATTTTCCAGAAATCATAAAATATACTAGTCCACAGAATCAGGAATTCTAATGAATCTTAAACAAGATAAATAAAAAGCAATCTACATCTAAACACATAATAGTAAGAATGCAAAACACTAAATAAAAAGAGAAAGTATCAAAAGCCACCAAAGAAAGGATAAATTACTGTGAAAGGAATAGACTGACAGATAACTTCTCGAGAGCGATAATGGAGACTAAATGACAGAGGAAAATCTTTCATGCCCTCAGAGGAAAAACTGTACTTGAAATTCTATTCTTAGGAAAATATCTTTTAAGAAGATATTAAGGAGGAAAAAAAGATACTTTCAGGCAAAGTAAAATGGAAAAAAATTGCTCTAGTAGACTTTTACCAAAAAAAATTCTAAAGAATACAATGCAGGCAGAGAGTGGTTTCAATCTGGGATGCAAGACGGATTAAAGAGAAAGAGAATAGTAAATACATGAATAAATCTAAATAAACAGTGACTATATCCAAAAATAATATTTTGGGGGCTTAAAAACTGATTAAAATGTAAAACAACAATATCAGGGTAAAGTAAACAGAATTTAAGTGTTAGAGGATTAAAAATAGAACACCAGTAAAATTTAACCAAAGGACAGTAACTACATTAATTTCAGATAATAAAAGACTTTAAGGCCAAAAGCATTACTAAACACAGGGTCCTAACGAAGTCATCACAACCAATATCCTATTCTCTTTTCTTCTATTTCTTTTTCCATTTTCTTCTTAATTCCATTTCTGTGTCTCTCTGCCTCCATTTCTCTTCATTTTAATACTGTTTGTTCTTCTCATTTGGCTTTCTTAGAGCAGGGTAGGCACTAGTTCCTACATTACAGCCGTGCTCATGATTCCCGCTCTGACAATGTGAAAGTTGTTCTGAAGAACTGCCGCTGAAGAATTTTTGCAAGATCAAAGACAAATTGCTCTGGGGCTAAATATCTTTATGGACTGCCAATTTGAGCCACAAATACTCAAACCTTCATTATCTTTCCTTTGTTAGAGATTCTGTAAGTAACCCTGAGCAGGTAATTTACTTCATTTCCCCTCACTTCTTATAATTAAAACAAAAAGACTTATCTGCAACTAGGTAAGGAAAGGTGCTGATGATAAAAAACCAACAATTGTAAAGTTCTTAAGGTGTTTGTAAGAGCAATAAAAACCTGTTTAGATTACATACTATGCACTAATTTGTCACAGAGGATTGCAGTACAAAAATACATGTCCTTCAACCAGTCAAACAGGAAAGAACTTGGTAAGTCTTTGAATGTATGAGAAGTGATTATTACAGCCCCACCCAAGTGCAGCTACACATGCCAGCCCAGATCCTGCTGTTGTTTTTCCTTGTAAAGCTAGCATTGATTTCAAAAGGTCACTAAATGCAACTCCTGGATTCTGAAGAACTGTACTTAGGGAAAAAGAATTGCTCTTTATGTAATACTTCTATCTTATAAAAAAAATAGATTATCAGGAAAAAAAGACCTCACTTTATATACCTCACATCTCCATGTGTCAACTTTAAATTTCAAGATGCAAATTAAAATTTTGAGTGACACTTTGTTTTTAAGAACTCAAATTGATTAGTTTTCTCTCTCTAACATTTATTCTGATTTGATTACTCCCTAACGCATGATTACTTCAAGTAGGTCGTGTGAAGAGCAGCTCTGAGTGATTTGGGAGATGTTGTTTAACATCTCTGTGCCTTACTTTTCTATAGCCTACCTCACAGGATGGTGAGGCTTGAATAAAATAATACATCATATTTAGAGAGTATAATATTTCCCTACCTCTCATCAGGAGCCCAAAGCTCTAAGTACTAAAAATACCTCTTACCTTGCTAAAAGGAGATGGAGAAAAATTTATACTAGTAACTTACTTCTGACCAACCACTGATGGGTAGGAAAAGGATAAAATGCCTTTTATAAATTTTCAACAATGAAATTCATGCGCTATAAAGGTGGTAGGAGCAGCTAAGAGTAACTTATTCATGTCTTTCACTTGACTTGGTTTTATATGGACAGAATCTGTTACAAGAATGAAAAAATAAATATATGATGTCTACATCTTTATATATTAGACAGATATGAGTAGGTGGGTAGGAGGAAGGGAGAGAGAAAGAAAGAAATGAAGGAAAAGGAGAGAAAAAAAACCAATTTAAACCAGCAGCATGTGTACCATAATTATAAATTATGGACTACTATAGCATGATGAGTAGTTTTAGTATATGACAGTTCAAATGAAATCTTTCACATGATTTTCTAACTTTTGGTGATATTTTCAAATCTCCTTTTTAAATATTCAGAATCAGCACATGGTACTGAACAATGTCTTATCTTTATTACCAAGTCAGCAGCCATTTTTATTTTTCTTTTGGAATTTGGAAACTATAGTAAACCTTGAGGTAGGGCACCCTATTTAATTCAAAAACGTGATTTCAAAATTTGCTTTTCCTTTTTGTTTCATGGCAGTGTAGGGAGTGTGGTATTTCAGCAAATCTGTGACTGTCACTGTCATCACACAGGGCCTTGTTCATAGCAAATAGGCAAGAAATATAAGCCGGTAATAATGATGATTCAAGCCCCACTCAATTGAGAGCCTAAAGTTTTCATTCCAAATCTGATTTGGAGAATTGGCTATTAAAAAGGAAAATTTAATAAGGAGATTGAAAGAGGAAAACAGCCTACTATATCCTCAGATTCTGATTTAGGAATTATTTTTTAAAAATTATCCTTTTTCTTAACTGGCTTGAAGGAATGAAAGCAACTTGGTCCAGGAGGAAAATGAAAGCGTGAACTAGTAAGTGAAAAACACAAATGGCCACAGATCCAGCCTCAGTTAATAAATGCAAATGTGCCCTGATGTGTACTACCCTACAGAGAATACTGTGGACTTTTGATTTTGGTTTATAACCCAGGTAATTGTTTACAATTTGGTTTTAAAAATAATAAAGGTATAGAGACGCTTTCAATGTCTATAACCAGGTTTGTAGATTTTGATCACCAAGATAATTTTAAGCCACACCCTCGACCCCCTGCCACAATTGACTTGGCAGGTATAATCCTAAAACACCAAACTATTCAAAACTTGAGGCCTCTCATGTGGTCTCGACTCCTCCTTTTTATGAAGTGGAGTCATCGTGTGAATTTCAAAATTACAATAAGAGATAAGTCACAGAGGTTAATTCAAAGAGAGTTTCTGGTGCACTCAAACACATCGTCTATGCTATGCCGTTAAGTGGATAACTTATTGTTTCTATTACTTTCTGAGGTGTGTTCAACTTGAATGCAGTGATTTTACTACTACCAAGATTGGTTTTGTCTTCCTTTTTTTTTTTTAAATGCTGTTGTTTATTTGCAGTCAAGAAGGAGAAAAAAACCTTTAAGTTCAAATGCCAAAGTCATAATATTAAAATATATGTGTGTTGCTCTCTTCATAATTAACACCATTGTACAGCATGGTTATGAGTTTAGAAGATGAAGGAAAAATTCCTCATGTCAATACTTTTTAACCCTTCTGCAGGTACTTACAACTTAGTGTACTTCAAACCCATCTCTGACTTTTTTAATAAATGAGATTCCTTTTTCCCCCTTAAGTTAGTTAAATTTCAACGAATAAATCGTTTCTATTTGGCCTTCAAGCATGGCAATTTTCTGTGCTGTAAAAGGTTCATTCTAACCACAAATCTAGTCAAGTGGATTCTGGAAACACTTTCAAAGCAATCAGGTCACAGGTAGGAGCCAGGCAGAAGGTTGGCAGGCTCCATGTGAGATTTCCACTACAGAATCCTGACATTCTTTCAAACATTATCTTTTCTTGTAAAGGGAAGCCAGAGGTAGCAAAGACACCTGATTCTATTAAAAGAGCCCTTGGAGTTTACAGAAACACAGTTACTGTGGCACAACTGAGACAAACCAAAAGAAATCTTCCTAAGAAATGACATTAATCTTAAGCACAGAGTCAAGAATCTTATAACGTTCCACATTATGCCCCAAATTCCTGAATCAGAGAGCTTTGGAGGAAGAAGCAATTTTCTGGCTGTGCCCATTTATGCTACACTCTGCAAGGTGAGCTGACCCACCCATCTTCACACCCCTGTTTGGTCTCAAATGCTGCTGGCATCCCAAGCAATCACCCAGGACTCCAAACCTTCCCTTATTCTCCTTCAGGAGCCTAACTGCTACTCCTCTTTTTCTCCTGAAATCAGGCTCTTTGTGCCAGCTTTGTCCCCCTCCCCTGATCCTTTCCTGCTCATCTCTCCCCAGCCTTTGAATCATGGTGCTCCTACTAAATTCCAGGTGTCCCTCATTCTCTGGCCCTGGCTTTGCTATGGACATGAATGAACTTTCCTGGTCCTACCAAAAACCCCAAGCCCCCTCCAGCTCTTTGGCGAGTTCTCAGCCTGTCTACTGACAATTTCTAAGTCATCCATGAGTAATACTGATGCTGTTTGAAATAAGAAAGAAGATTATCAATGCTCTAAGCTTCTCTTTTTAGGATAGGATAAAATAAATGACGGGCTAAACCCAGTCCTTATAAGCCCAGGTGTCTGTGCCCACAGTATCAGGAGAATGACGGGGCATTCTGGAAGTTGCCATGGAGACCACCATACTTTCTGTTCTCTTCTGGAGGCACCAATATACTTCAGAGCAAAAAATAACTTAAAATTTCCATCCTTCCTAGAAACAGGCTAAATTATGAATGGCAATGATTGTTGACTCTTCACCAAACCTCTGGTTCCTTTTCCTCCTGGGCACACAGCATGACTACCTTTCCAAGCCACTTTGCAATTAAGTACAGCCATGCAACTAGTTCTCACCAATAAAATGTGAGCAGAGGGGATACATGTCAAGTCCTGGCCACGAGTTTATGAAGCAGGTATACCCCTTCTACATGCTCCCTTTTTGCCTGCTGGGTGTAAGTGATAAAGAGGCCCAGCCAACAGAAGAACCATAAATGGAAGACAAGGTTTTCTAAAATTCTGTGTGGAAGAAAATCACCCACCAACCAGGAACACACACATTGGACGGTTATGTGAGCAAAACCCTCTACTATGTTTGAACCATTATACATTTGGGTGTCTGTTTGGTATTGGAGCAATGTCTACACTAACTAATGTAACCAATATATTATGCTTAAGAGCATTAAATCACTTGAGTATTAGAATTCTAGGCCTTGTTCCTGGAAAATACAAGAGGGACTAGCGAAAGGGAAGGGAAGCAGGTGGAAATAATAATGTGAATAGCTGCAAACATTTTCCATATATATAACCATGTATTACATGCATTACACATACTATCTAATTTCAATCATTCCTCACAACAACTTTAGGAAACAGTACTGTATTATCCCATTACTCAGATATGGAAACTGAGGGAGAGATGAAATACTCAGGAAGTGGAGAAGCCATGATTCAAATCTGTTGACTCCATAGCCCACACTCTGGTGGAATATCAACTCTGTGTCCTAGACATTTTATACAATTTTTTCTTTTTAACACTGTGTAAAATAAGCCTTATTAGCCCCATTTTAAAGATTAGTAAGCTGAGATTCAACAAAGATAAATGATTTGTCTAAGGTTACAACTAGAAAAAATCGAAACCCAGATTCAGGCCAAGATCTGACTGGCTCTAAAGCCACTGAGAAATGAGTCCCTCATTCTCTTTCCCTTACACCACAGAGGTCAGAATACAGATGGGGGGAGATATCATGCAGAATGTATTTCACTCTATTTATGGGCTTCAGATGTCTCAGAGGTTGATCTGTTAGGCCTGTGACTGTGTGACCACTGCAGTCATTACTATTTGCCAGTTTTGGGGACCCCAGGGTTTCTGTTGGATAGAGGTCACCAAATTACCCAGCCTGTCATTGAGGCTATTTTTTAAAACTGATAACAAACTTGTTAGGCATGGAATAGTCAGTCCCTCCTTTGCTATAGCCCCATAAGAGGAATTCTCAGCCAGGAAGTTGCCATGTAGACCACCATACTTTCTGTTCTCTTCTGGAGGCACCAATATACTTCAGAGCAACAAATGACTTAAAATTTCCATCCTCCCTAGAAACAGGCTAAATTATGAATGGCAATGATTGTTGACTCTTCACCAAACTTCTGGTTCCTTTTCTTCCTGGGCACACAGCATGAGTACCTTTCCAAGCCACTTTGCAATTAAGTACAGCCGCGCAACTAGTTCTCACCAATAAAACCTGAGCAGAGGGGATATGTGTCAAGTCCTGGCCAAGAGTTTATGAAGCAGGTATACCCCTTCTACATACTCCCTTTTTGCCTGCTGGGTTTAAGTGGTAAAGAGGCCCAGCCAACAGAAGAACCATAAATGGAAGACAAGGTTTTTTAAAATTCTGTGTGGAAGAAAATCACCCACCAACCAGGAACACACACATTGTACTGTTATGTGAGCAAAACCCTCTACTATGTTTGAACCATTATACATTTGGTTCAAATGGGTGGGTGGGTCAGTCATATTCAAGCCTACAGGAAGAGCAAAAGGCAGTGGCATAGAAGCTAATTCTCTCAATGAATAAAGCATTTATGCATAGGAAGAGTTATAGTAGAGCCAGTCCACAAATCTACCTCACAAAGTCTTTAAAGTCAAGGAGGGCTACCAGGAATTGTGTTTATATAAGGACTTCTGGGTCCTCTGAAAATAAGTACTAAGGGAATGTCAGGGCTGATCAGGACACTGGAACGGACTTAAACAAGGATGGAGATGGGGAAACTGGCATAACTCCCAATTAGAAATGAAGAATGGGGAGAAGCCATCCACATCTGTCTCCGTGCTTTTTAACCTGGGTGGTGCACCCTCTGATCACATCCCTCCTGGCCTCACAATGGCTACTTGGCATATAAAGGAATTCCTCCAGGTCCAGACCCATTCCTTCTCCCTTCTGACTTAATCTGTGGGACTTCTGATATATCTGGAGTCTATATCTGGGTTACTGCTGGAGGCTTACAGTGGGACAAGATGGCAGCATCATATAACTTCCTGGCCTGTGACATGAACCTGAAAGTCCAAGGCCATTTTAGGATCAAACAGCCACAGTCCCATATTCATTGATCCAAACAACAGACATCTGTGGTTGGGAAAAAGCCCAAGGCCCTGAAGGAGCTGGAGTTCCACTTCAGGGCAGAGCCAGTTGGGCCAGCAGAGGAATGGCAGGAGGCTGCCATGGTACTAAATAAAGAGGGGCGAGCCCATCGTGCTCTCAGGGTTTTCCAGGACCAGAGCTACCACAGCAGCAGCCCTGGGTGGTCCCAGAGCCCCAGGAAAGGCCGGGGAAAGAAGTTCCCAGAAGATCATACTCTTCCACATAGAGAATCAAGAGAATAGGAAGGGGCATGGAAAGAGAAGCCCTTCTACTCCCACATTCCTTCCAGTCATGTCCATTCATTCTACAAATGGTAGCCAGAGTGAGTCTCTTCCAAACTGATCAGATCATTCTTCTCTGACTTCCAGTTGCTCCTAGGATTAAGGCCAAACTCATTACTTGGCCTATAGGACCTCACAAGGGCCCTGCCTACTGCTGTAATCTAAATTCACTCCATTGTGCCATCCTCTATACTCTCCAGAACTCAAAGTTTAATTATTTTATAGCCTGTAAATTCCATGAGGACTAAGTTCACATATTTTTACTCACTACTTTATACTAGCACTTGGCTTATTTGCCTGACATAGGTGATGCTCAATCCGTATTGGTTGGTCAGCTGAATGAATGAATGACTGGCTGAAGAGCCAATATTCTAGCAACTAAGTTAGGTTGAAGCAAATCACTTGTGATTGCAGCTACAACCCTTATTTCTCCCATAAGTGGAAGGGGATAGAGAGACAGAGTACAGTTCAGGCTTCTGTGTTAAAGGTTAACAGCAACAAAGCTTTCCGTCAAAGGCTACTAAGCACACACACCTGCAAGCAGATTTCACTGATTCAAATGCTCTTTGGAAAGGGGTAGGAAATAAGTCAACAAATGAATGTAAGAAATGAAATTTTACTGTTCCTATATCCTTGAAATGACTCAGAAGAATGCCACCAATTTGGTTTTTCAGTTCCCTCCCTTTTGCAGTGATGGTATTTCGTCGGTGCAAAAGTAATTGCGGTTTTTGCCACAGTCAGGAAAATGAGATGGAAGTCCTGAGGGACGAACCTCTGCCCTGCTACCAACTGGATGCCAGGCAATCCAATATGTCTAAAGAGGTTTTTCTGGTTGTTTTGTTTGTTTTTTGAGACAGAGTCTAACTCTGTTGCCCAGGCAGGAGTGCAGTGGTGCGATCTTGGCTCACTGCAACCTCCGCCTCCAGGATTCAAGCGATTCTCCTGCCTCAGCCTCCTGAGTAGCTGAGATTACAGGTACGCACCACCATGCCTGGCTAATTTTTGTATTTTTAGTAGAGATGGGGTTTCACCATATTGGTGAGGCTGGTCTCAAACTCCTGACCTCATGATCCACCCACCTCGGCCTCCCAAAGTGCTGGGTAGTTTTCTTTTTTTGGGAAGACAAGGTCTCACTCTGTCATCCAGGCTGGAGTACAGTGGCACTATCTCAGCTTACTGCAGCCTCTGCCTCCTGGGTTCAAGCGATTCTCATGCCTCAGCCTCCTGAGTAGTTGGGACTACAGACATGCACCACCACACCAAGCTAAGTTTTGTATTTTTAGTAGACACGGGGTTTCACCATGTTGCCCAGGCTGGTCTTGAACTCCTGACCTCAAGTGATCTGCCTGCCTTGGCCTCCCACAGTGCTGAGATTACAGGCATGAGCCACTGCACCCGGCCTAGAGAAGTTTTATGAGTGAGCCTTAGTCAGGGCTCACTGCTAAGCAGCATCAGGCTACAGCCCTAAGTGAAGGAAAAGCTTATCTCATTTCTGATAAGATGGGATACGTGGCAGTTTTGATTTTGGTGCTTTCCTGTGATGGGAGGCTTCAGGACCTGGTTTCACCCAGGATGGAGTTTAGACACAGCATAACCCTGAGGGCATAAGGAGAGGCAGGAAGCCAGATAAGTTATAGTCGGTAAGGATTAATTAAACACAACCCAGGTGAGAATGAGGAAGTAGTTCCCAGATAACAAAGTGGAGAAAACCGGCCCCAGGCCTAAAGACGTGGCAGCAATAACCTAACAGCATGTGTGAACTGAGCTCATGTTGGTGACAGGACCTGTGGTTTGGCATAGGTTTATTCCCTAAGCAAACTCATGCAAAACTGGGTATACAGCACTACCACCTTCTAACCACAGAATTTAAAGATTAAGTATGAGATTGGTGTTGTTTATGAGAAAGCAGAGTGTTGCTGTATTTTCTTTCCAGGGCTTGTACAATATGGGCAACATGCCTATTTGGCCTTTGCTTAGATACTCAGCCCGAGAGATGAACAACAGTTATTTAGAAGACCTGCTGTAGAAGCTCTAGACATTGTGTGATAAAACTGGAGATTTAACACACATTCTATGAGTTCTGCTCTTGACTAAGCTTACTCTCTCTACACAGAAGTAGGCAGTTTAATTTCAACACAGGATTTTCACATTATCTTAAGCTCCTACTGTCTCCTACTGACTAAGAAGTTCTGCTATTTGAAAAGGAGTTTATTTTGAATGTTCCCACAGTTTTAGAATCAATCTCAATCATCCAGAGGTGAATAACTCAGTTTCAAAGCTTAAGCATGGTAAAAATATATATATATATAAATGTATGTAAAATAAAAAACCAGCTTATGACGGGGGCAGCAGTGGAATCGGAAAAAAAGAGAGTGAACCGATAAGAACAACATCATCAACATATTAGAAGCAGAAGAGGGAATTTTTTAGAATTACATAGTAATGTTTAGATGCCAAATTTGTCTACTGAGACATGAGAGACCCTGAGAGTCCCAGCATGCTGGACAAGCTTGTTGCTGCTGACGCAGAAGCAAAGTGACATGCAGATGGCTATGAATTCCAGTAACACAGACTCAGGGCCTAGAATAGAGGTTCTCACCTTGGCTGCTCAGGAGAATCCCTTGGAGAGCTTTGAAAACCACAGCACTCACACTCTACTCCCAGAGATTCGGATTTCGTTCCTCTGGGAAAGGGCATTAGTACTATCCAAAAGCTCCCTAGGTGATTCCACTGTGAGCTAAGATTGGGAAGCCCTGGGCTACCATGGAGGATACAGGTGAGGAAGGTAAGGGAAGGAGGGAGGGGGAGGGAAGGAGGGAGGGGGGAGGGAGGGAGGGAGGGGGGGGGGAGAGAGAGAGAGAGAGAGAGCAACTGAGTATAAATTCTCCATTCAATTCACAAAGAGGGGAAAGCAACAAACCATAGAACAGTTCACTTTTGCACCAAGCAATTTATATAATGTTTAGCATTTGCTGAAGTATTGTACTCATACCATTTTTACACTTCCAGATGATGTCTCTAAACACTGGATGCCATTTAACTGCGAGGCTCACAATAAATCTATTTCATAATAGCCATTTTTGCGTTATCTACAACCTCTTCTCCCAATCACTCTGGTGAAATCAGAGGTGACTCCAGCACAACCCTATTCACTTACTTTAATTCCCTGTGATCCATAGCCAGGGGGGCCAGGAGGGCCAGGCAAGCCTTTCTGCCCAGTATCACCCTGTTAGAAGATGGGGAGAATTTGAAGACAAAATGTAAGAAGATCGAAGAAGAAACAACGTTAAGTATTACTACTCTCAGCTGCATTCTTACTTCAGTCTGACCAGGACTTTCATGCTGCCTATAAGCTACTTCCTATTTTACTTAGAGTGCTTCCCCAATATTTTTAAACCACAGAATTCTATGCAAACAAAACCTTAAATATAATCCAAATAAAAATTAAGCAGTAAGCAGAGCCGCTGGGCCTAAGCAGAAATGGAGGCCCAGGGCCTCATCTGCTTGGGCCCCCTTCACTGCCCTACCACCAAGCTCAAGAACACCAGGGCTGCCCTGCACCACATATGAAAACCACTGACATGTGGCTCCACATAGCCTTAAGATGTTGCTCCATTTCAATATAAGGTGTGATTTCACTGGGGTTGCACTTAAAGATCCAGTGGATATCAATGTCCAAATTTTTAGGAAAATGTGTAGATGAAGCTATAAGCAAGTGTAGCATTTCCCAGTATCTGTTCATAAACTGAGCCCATGTTTCTTTGGAAACACTTCGTGGTGGAATAAGATTGGAAAATAGCATGCGCTTTCCCTTGGAGATCTCCAGTGCACACTAATATAGTAGACTAATGGCTCTAACAAGTCCCACAGTAAAGAAATTAGTGTAACGTTGCTTATCCCAGAAGTTCCTAAATTAACACTGGATGGAAGAAGCCTTCAGAAGTGCTGGGTTAATATAAGTTATTGTATAAGTCAGTCTTTTACTTTCCAGTATTAAAAAAGCTTGACTTTTTCTGATTATAAGAGGAATACCTGCCCATTGCAAAAAAAAAAATTAAACAGAAATAAAGATGACATGAACAAGAAAAATAGACCCATCTTCCCATCACCCAGTGATAATGACTACTAACATCTTGGGGGGATCTTCATCCATTTAAAGTGATCTAGAAGGTTCAAAAATAGCATACCGCCAAAATTGAGTTGAGGGACAAAACAGAGATAAACTGAGAATCTTGGTAATTCTGGGATGCTCAGTAAAATCTTTGACTCATACAGCCTTTTCCCTCTCCTCTCTGAGAATGGGCTCTAATTCACTTCTGTGCATTTTCGGCATGAATATACCAATTCAAAATTTGAATTTGTGGTGGGTGGTTCATTGACATCTATTTTCCCTATTGAACATGCTTGCTACTTCTTTACCCTACTTTCGAACAAATCAAAGAAAGTTGTTGAGCAACTGAATGAACAATTAAAACTAGGTTTCTCAAACTCAGCACTATTAACATTTTGAGCTGAGTCACTCTTTCTGATGGGAGGCTGTCCTGGGCATTGTAGAATGGTTGGCAGCATCTCTGGACTTGATCTACTACAACCAAAAAATGTCCCTAGACATTGCCACATGTTCTCTGAAGCCAGGGAAGGGAAACAAAGTCTCCCTCTTTGAGAAACACTGGATTAAAAGAATAAAAGGATGAATAACCACCAAACTGAAGGAGACATAGAAAGGAGGGAAACTGGGCCAAAAGAAGTTGCTCTCATCTTCTCCAGGGACAATCAGTCTAGACCCTTGTACTGACACCCTGCCAGAGTAGCTGTGGCACAAAGGGCACAATGACACATTAGCAGGTGACCTGTTAAAAAAGCCACCTGAGGCACCTCTGCCAAAGTAAAGATGTGCTTCTTGATGACGGCACAGCCTCTAAGAAACCCAGAAATGTTCTGAGCACTTTGCAGTTAAAAAGAGGCTGACTTGCTCATTTCTTTTGGGGGAAGTGAATGGCTTTATAAACTCGAATGTTCTATTTTACTGAACGTTCACCTGATATGAAAAATAAGACGTTTCATCAGTCACCAAGAAAAAAATAAGTCAACACCAAGACGAACACTTATTATGAAGTTACTGTTCACTTGTTTGTCACTGATGATATCTGACCCTCACACAAAGCACTGAGCTGAGGACTCACCTTTGGCCCTTGGGTTCCTACGCCCCGAGGCCCAGAAGGACCTGGAGGGCCTCTGACCCCAGGCTCTCCCTGAAAAGACACAACAAATAACAAGTTACTAATTTTTTAAAGACTTTATGTTTTTTTCAATATATATATTTTAATATCAAAAACTTCTTGAATGTGACTAAGGTATTAATTGAACCCTCTTCTCCTAGATCACTTTTCTATTACCACCTAGGCAATCTTCAAACCAACAGATCCAGGTCCATTTCAAATTAATCAAGTCAATTAACTTCTTGGCAACATTAACTTTTTTCAGAACCCTCTTCTCTAGAATTTGGAAAAGTAATTACGAGTATTGTGAATAGAGGATGGAAGAAGAGACAAGAATAAAAAACAACCATTAAGAAATATAATCATATCCTGAACTAGTTGCTTTTATCATTGTATGCAACAAAGATTATGCTATTTGAGTTATGATGTTTCTGCCACCTCATTAACTGGAACTGCAGGGTAAACTCTAAAAAGGATTTTCAGCTTCACTAAGGCATGACAGCTTCATAGCTGGCAACTATTACCAGAAAATTGGTGGTACCTGATGAGGGTAGGTGACGCCCTGTGGCAAGACCTACTAGAGATGCTAATGATGGGAAGAAGGAGAGAAATAAAAATTGCTTCATTAGCCACCTTCTGTATTCCCAAGACTATGCCATGTATGTTCATATATGTTATTTGATATAATTTAGTACTCACAATAATCTTGCATTATAATGATGTCTAGTTTATGTAACTTCTCTGAACCTCGGTAAATTCATCACATATGTAGAAAATAATATCTACATTTCAAAGGGCTCAGAATTAAGTGAGACAAAGCTTGTAAGTGTTTCTATCATGATTTTTACCACAGAATAGGCACTTGGTATATGTCAGCTCCACTCACCTATTTTATTAAAGTGGAAGCTAAGGTTTGCCCAAGTCTGCACAGCTATTAAGGTGCAGGGCTAGAAGGATGTAGAAAAACAGGAACCCTCATAATTGCTGGTGCAGCCACTTTGGAAAACAGTTTGGTGGTTTAAGGTTCAACATAAATTTGCCAAATGATACAGTCATTTCACTCCTACATATACACCCAAAGAAAATAAAAATGTATGTCCACTTAGAGACTTGCATATGAATGCCCTTAGCAGCATTATACATAATCATCCAAAACTAGAAACAGCCTAAATGCCCATCAACTGGTGAATGGACAAAGTGCTGTAAATTCAGCAATAAAAAGGAATAAACTATGAATAAATGCCATAACATGAATGAACCTCAAAAACATTATTACTGATGAAAGAAGCCAGATATATGATTACATTTATAAATAATACCCAGAAAAGGTAACTCTATAGAAACAAAAAGTAGATTAGTCACTGCCAGGGGCCAGGGACAGCAACATGGATTAACTATAAATGGTCGTGAGGGATTTTACTGGGGGGATAAAAATGACCTAAAACTGATTTATGGTGATGGCTGTATAGCTTAGTAGCAAATTTACTTAAAGAACCATTGAATTTTATACTTAAAAAGGATGAATTCTAGAATGTGTAAAATATGCCTGAATAAAGTAATAAAGAAAAAAAAGAACCAGGGTCAGGCTTTGAACTACCACCCAAGACCTTTAGCCTTAGGTCCTGTTTTGCCCATATCCTGTTACCAGCTAAACAGCTTCCAGCTTCCAACACTGCAAAAACCATAAATTACAAGAAATGTTGAAGTTGTTCATTCAGAAAAACAGTCCATCTTTTAATTTACTTTCTACTTATAAACTCTAAAATACTTCCAGATAACCCAAGCCCTTAAAAGGACGGGGGCCACTTTAAAACTGTACTTTATTACTGACTTAATTCTTTTAATATCTACTTTCATAATTATGTATTTCTATTTTGCTTACAGACCACTTTTATTATACTGTCTCCATCTGTTCCACTTAGTACTTAGCTGCTTCTAAGGCTACGGGTGCTAATTATCTCTTTAACACCTCTCTCCTACTGACTCCCATCTTTGAGGGTCCCCAAGTTCCTGCCAGCTGAAAGGATCACTCCAACATCAAGGGCTCCAAGTAGAGAACATGAAAACCCTGTAGTACATACATTTCCATTAGCACTCCTTTCTTGAGTACCTATGAAGTACTTTCAAAGGGAGAGTGTGTAAGTTCACTGCCTGAAGTTCTCCAACTACACCTGACTGATTCATACACTTTGCTACATCTTAAAAGGACATGTCTTTTCTCTTCCAAACATTTTGACACTCTCCAACAAAACAAGTCAAGCATAGTTAAGTAAATCTTACCCAAAATCATCGAAAGTTTCATCAAAAATAATACTCCTCTTTGCTCAGTCACCCCAACCCACCCCAGATTTGGTGGCTTCCTCTCATTCATTTCCGTTCACCTGTGCCCTTCCAAGATGAGGTGAAAAGGTTAGGAAGGATATGGCCAGGTTGGGCGCAGTGGCTTACACCTGTAATCCCACCACTCTGGCAGGCCGAGGTGGGTGGATCACATGGTCAGGAGTTTGAGATCAGCCTGGCCAATGTAATGAAACAGTGTCTCTACTAAAAATACAAAAATTAGCTAGGCGTGGCGGCAGGCACCTGTACTCCCAGCTACTGGGGAGGCTGAGGCGGGAGAATCACTTGAACCCGGGAGGCAGAGGTTGCAGTGAACCAAAACCACGCCATTGCACGCCAGCCTGGGTGACAGAGTGAGACTCTGTCTCCAAAAAAGAAAAAAAAAAAGGAAGGATATAGCCAGACACCATGTGCCTCCTGCTGTGATACATTAGAGAATACACCACCCTACCTATCAATATTCTGGCCTAGAAAAAACTGAACCTGGATGTAAACACGTCTCTTGACCTACCAGCTTTGAGTGTCCCCAAGTTCCTGCCGGCTATTACTACCAGCTTACAGTAATAGACGGAAGAGGGAGAAACACGTTACACAACACCATGAGGATATCATCAGCAAATCCGCAAGTACAAATAACACATACACTAACTGCGAGCTAAAAACAAGGGAGGAGTCTACTTTGATTAAGAGAGATTTAAGAGCTATTTCAATCAAATGCAATGTGTGGGCATGATTTGGATCCCAATCCAAACAAACCAATTGCAGCAAATGGGTAAGACAAGCTTGGAAATGTGAATGCTGGATATTTGCTATATTAAGGAATTGTTCATTTGTTTTAGGTTTGATAATAGTATTGTAGTCAAGTTTTTAAAAAGAGTTCTTACATTTGAATGACAAATGCTAAAGCTTTATATGGATGATGTCTGAGGATTGCTTCAGGATAATGTGGTGAGGGGAGGAGTGAAGAATATAGCTAAAACAAGATCAACTATGTGTTGATAATTGTTAAGGAAGTGTGATATGTAAATGAGAGTTCATTTCACTAGTCTTTCCACTTTTGTGCATGCTTAATTTTCATAATTGTTTTAATACAATTTTTAAAAATCCATAAACAATATCCAGCAAAAGTCTCTCCAGTGAACCTGAGATAGTGTTGCTGTAATAGACCCCCTTAATAATAATTCATGATTTTAAAGATATTAAAACTGGGCAAAGGGGAGGAGCACACAGGTAGATTCAACATCATTAGAATTTACATCTGTCGTGTGTATTCTTGGGATGTACCAAATGTTACATAATTTTTTTTTTAACATAGGGATACGGAGAGAAGGCAAGATTTTTTTTTAACAAAGTAGTATGTTTTAAGAAAAAATTTGACACTGTAGTATTTAATTCATGATTTTTTTTGTGTGAGAATGTTAGCTAAAACCTCCCCTCAACTAGTATTAATTACACTAATACCCACACATGGGAAAGCAAGCGGGAAAAGCAGTTAAAATAGGTCCATAGTTTACCTCAGGCCAGCCTTGTCAATGCTCAGTGTTGCTATTCATTCTCTCCTTCACAGTCTCCCTTATTCACGTCCCCCTAACCCTCAACCTTTGGGAGTATCTGAAGGCCAACTGCAGTAGGACAGCTGACCCTGTAGATACCTTACTGTTCTCTCTGTCCCGCAGCCTCAGCCAATGAATTTAAGATGTGTTCCATGTCATCTGTGGTCCTTCAGTGTTCACCTAAAACAAACTGTCCATCCTTATCCATATAATTGTTGACATATAGCTATGTTTCACATATCTAAATAATCTTTTGTATCTTTCAAACTACGGGAAAATAATGACTTATAGCAATGCTTTTGTGAATCTAATAGACTTTAAATCAAGTCTTAACGTTCTGCAGATATTAGAATTGGTCTGTAACACGGCATGAGAGTTGTTCCTCAGTGTATATGTACCATACTTTGATAGATGGGAACATTAGGCATTTAATGATCTGAGAATCCACAGAAGTAGTGTCTCTCCACTATGGTGGGGTCTTTGAAAATGATCTTTTGTGGTTCCATGGGCCGTGTGTCCATGTTAGGCCACCACACCTGGTAAATGTGAGCAAGAGAATTGCGGACAGGTCTTGCTTGGCCATTTGACGGCACTGGTTTTGTCATAAGGCAGCACCGTAGGTACCTAAGAAGTGCGTTGACCTGTGATATTTTCAGATACACAGTTTATTGTCAGTGGATACAGCAATATTCACAAATAAAGGAATTACAACAGGTTGTCGCATAGCTGGACATAGCTTCCCACGCAACAGCTGAGGGTTGTTGGAGCCTGCAGAGGGAGCCCTTGTATTAGGAGATAATGAACAGACGTGCGAGCAAATTCTAGAGTCGCCATTGGTAACAACATCTATCACTTTCCTAAGATGACAGTCTTAGCCTTACCCCTAACCCCTGCACCCACTCTCTCAAAAGAAGAATAACGGACTGTTTAGATGGCATACCACTTCCTCTTGGCCCGCCAAAGGGATTCTAGATGGGAGATACTACTTTCATTTTCACAGGAAACGGCCAAATTCAGGACTGTCTGCAGTATTTGTGCATATGAACTTAACAAATGATTCAGTGAAGACCACCTAGACCATAACCTTGCAGAGTGGATAATTTTAACTCCTTTAAAAATACACATCATCTTATGATGGTTCTAAAACTCACACATTGAAGCTTTCCCTTTTTAAATGAAAGAAGAAAGAGGAGAGCAAACACATTCATTCATTTTCTCATTAGTAAATCTTCACTTTGGTTAATATTAAAACTATTATAATAAATAATAAATAAAAATAATACTTATTAAGTTTATTATGCAGCAGGAAGTTTTCATTCATTATCTTACCTGATCTTATCAACATCAACTTATTCCATTTTACAGATAAGGAAACTGAGCTACAGCAGGATACATGACTTGCCAAAAACCAGGCAGTCTGAAGCAATTCAAACCCAGGTATGACTCCAGAACCCATCTCCCATTTTGATGTGGACTGGGACTAGATGCAAGACGCTAACTTTTCCATAGACTTTCTTCCAGCTGTCATTTAATGCAAAGACCTCGGCTGTTTGGCTGTGAAACTGTAAAAGTCCTTTCCCTACATCGCCAGTCACACCCTCTCAAGGAGAAGAACATCCTGGATTATAAGATTCATCCTGTATTACACAGGTCCCACACGACCTGCACAAGAATCCAGCCCTCTAAGTCTTCCCGTCCCATTTTCCCTCCGTTGCTAATCCTTGGTTTTGCGGTTTACTCCAATGTGTTAATTGACTTCATTCCAGATCTCCTACCTATACCAGTTCTTAATCTCTCTTCTTATCCATCCTACAATGTGTGTGATTTGGCAGCGTGATGCATAAAATGGCTACTACCACTAATTATATTTGAATTTGTTAGGATTCATAAAGATGTTTTACATACATTAGTCTATTAATTTATCATAATAAACCTGTGAAGTAGGCATTATTATCCCAAATCACAGATAAGAATGCTAAGCCTCAGGGAGACTAAACGACTTGCTGAGGTCACACAGCTAATAAGTGGCAAGGTTTCAAGGTGGAGCAGTGACAAGGAAACAACCCATTATACCTTATGAGTTTTCTAAAAATATCAATATAATATTTGAGGAAATAATCAGCCCATTAGATTATTTTCCTCCCCCTTACTCCCCCACACACTAATGAGGCTTTAATCATACTCTCTCCCTTTGTGCCAGCTAAGTTGCTGCCACTCTTTGAGAAGAAGGTGGAAGCAAGATATACTTGTTCCAAAAGTGATTTCATGCTTTTTCTACTTTGGGGACAATAAAAGCAAATTAAATTCACTGTGAAAGAATCAGCCTCTTAAGGATGTTCCAAGGAATGGTACTCTAAAGATTCTGCTAAATGATGAAACTGAGGAATGACTGGGTTTTAAAATAAGGTAGAAGTCAAAGTGATGATAGCAGCTGCCTTATGTTTCTTTCTTTCTGGTTTTTAAATAAAATTAAGATATAACTACTCCAACTACCACAAACATAGGCAGAACTCTGGAATGAATTACATAATTCCACCTATGTCATGTGTTAGGACCTCTAGAATACCTCACTCGTGGTAGCCAGAATGTCAATGGAAGTTTTAGAGGCTTTTTTCTAAGTATATGCACATATTGGCAATGTGTATTGATTATTGAATGACCGTTGTCATATGACTCAGTCATTTCTCAATGACACCCTTTAATATGAATAGGAAGATAGTACCAACTGTCAGCATGATCATCATGGGGATGAGAAAATAATTATACAAATGCTAGAAAACAAACTTCTCAAATTGCTACATTTCCTCTCAAGTATTTTCTCACCTTTAAATTTCAAATTATTTAAAGTATTTTCAATTACTTGAATCAATTTATCTCCTAAAACTTTAATATTCACCCCAAAACAGCTGTATCTCATAGTCCCTGACAATTTTAAAACTTCTTATTTTTTCCTTTTCTCAAAATCATCTCATCAAAGATGAGCAAATGATGGCCTTTTGCCAAGAACTTCACTGGAGAGCAAGAGTCTTTCTTATTTAGCTTGGTTAGAAACCTTGAAAACATAAATATTGATACTGCCCCTTACGACAGTGAGAAGAGCAGGCTGTCTTGTACTAAAACTGAATATAATTTTCCACTGGGAGAAAGTTCCTCCAAGTCTGCATGATCAAAAATAACAATATGTTTATGGTGATGTGGGCAATGAATGTTAAGGGGATTTACCATGTGTCTCCAGGGCTGAAGGAAAAGTACGTACATACTCATAAGAAGAGAAATACAAAGCTAGGAAAACAGCAAGGAGAGATGAAAGCAATATTCAAAGTCATGAGGTGGACTACTAGAGTGCAGCTCAGATTTTAGAGATCAGGCATATAACTGCATTGGGGAGTAACCTTGAATAGTCACCTTTTCCTGGTCTTGGATATGACCCTTTCTGAAACCTCTGGGTCAAACTGCCTAGGGTCTAAACTTTGTATGGCTCTGGCTTTAATTAGTTCTGTTTTGGGCTGATTGTCCAGGCTGAAGCAATTTTGCAGTCATATTATAGGGAGGTGGCTTTCTTCAAGTCCACTTTGGAATTACATGCCCTTAACTTCATTAAGTCTGTATCCTAGGCCAGCCCTCCTTGTTGGGCACTGTTCAAAAATGGAGTTCCTTGTCCAGTCTATGTCTGCCAATGGAATTCACACATTCCTAATGCATCTCTGTGTGAATCGGTCCTCTGTTCCACCAATGCCTGTTGGTGGAGTGTACATATGTGAGCCATTGCAGAGAACAGAGGGGCAATTCAGATGCTGGGAACATTTTTAGAATAATGATACTCAGTGGAATTCCACATAGACTTGCATTTTATGGCTATGGGTCACTTTTGTCAAATAAAGCATGTATTTACAATACTCAAACATTTAAAGTTACTGAAAAATATTTAACTCTTTTGGGTTTGGGGTTTATGCTTCTCTTTAATGTTTATATAATTTAAGTTTTGACAATAGAAAAGCTAGGCTGAAAGGGGAAACAATCCAACTGCACACACAAAAGAGTGCCTAGATAGAAGACGGACAGCATAGGAGATTGAGCATCTGTGGATCAGGGTAAGTCATGCTTTCTGCTCTGATTTATTCATCCATTTAGTTTTTCATTCATTCATCCATATCCATAGCCCCTCTCATATACAAAACAAATGTAGTATCAAAAATGTTTCTATTGTAAAGAGACAAGTTGCTCAACCTTCTGGTTCTTCATTTCTTCATCTATAAAACAGGGGGACTGTTAAAAATGTCATAATATTCTGGAAATATTTAGGTAATACATAATCATGACAATGATAATAGTAATTATACCTGTAATAACAACAACAATCCAACAAGTCTTTTCTGCCAACAGACTTATGCCAACAACTTGATGGTTAAGAGGTCCTAACCCCAAATCCAGGTTAGATCTCCTCTGTGCAAAGATTAGGCTAAGTTCAACCACTCCAAGGCTTTGGAGCGGGTCATAGCTTTTTCTGTGATGATCCAGCTCCCTGAGAGGGCCTGAAAAAAGCTAAGAGACGGGCACGGTAGGCTGTACCTGCCCTTAGTGAACTCAGGAGAGCCACGTCTTATATTCCTTTTCTATGAGGCCAGAAATAAACTCTTATATCAGAGACATCAGGAAATCAGACCTTATGCTACATGTACCTTACAAAGCTTTGGGGGTGAAAACACAGGAACAGAGTTATCTGCAGCTCCTCGAAGAGAAATGAGACGTATGGCATGTTTGCCCTCAAACCACAAGAAGTGCCCTTAATATCTAAGGCTCCAGAGAAGAAAAGCAGGCTGTGATGAGTGGGGCTTGGAGCTTGGCTTCCCCATCAACGAGCCAGGAGATTGGATCCAGGAGTGAGGACACTGGATGAGCACTTCCCACTTAGCAAGAAACCAAATTATCAGTTCCTCTTCCCAGCATGTTTCAAAGGTGAGTTTAAAATCTATATCTCCTCTCTCCTTCAAAGTTGTAGTTTTTACAAGAATTTTAGAAATATCTCAGAAGGTCTTGCCGAATTTGAATTAAATTCAAGGTAATTGTATCCAGAAGGACAATAACCACTGATGTTGCAGGGAATTTTTCCACTTGGAAAAGAGCCACGGAGAACCACAAGGGTGCTAGATGTCAGCAACTGCTTTTTATATGTTTTGAAACACAGAAGCTTTGAGTTTAATGTCTGTGTCATATGCTAAACACATGTGACCTTAACTAAACAGCACCAAAACCCACCATAAATTCATCGTCAACCTTAATGGTTTCCTCATTTCAAAACACATTTGTTTTGTAAGTTAATGCCTTAAGGCCACAATTTTAAGGCGACTACACAAAGCTTAAATGAAAAACATATCAGGATCCATATGGCTCTACTACCACACACACATATATACAGTTTCACTGTCATTTTAACTCAAAAGGGGAGAAATTTTGCACACATTTGGGTCCTGTGCTTCCGCTGCCATGGACAATTTTTGGTATTTTCAGAATTTCCCGTACTTTACCAAGCAAGAAGGGCAAAGTTAACTGGAATTATCTTCCTTTCTTTGCCAGTTTCTGTCTATGAATCTCCCTCTCTCTCTCTCTCTCTCTCACATACACACACACTCTCTTTCTCTCTGTGCTCTGTGTGTGTGTGTGGGGGGGGGGATGGTGTGTGTGTATGCGTGTGTGTTTCCAGAAGTTTTCTTCAGAAAAAAAGGCCACATAGAAATTTTGAAGCCCCTGTAAAAAAGGAGAGATGATTTTTAAAGTTACTTAGAAGCTGGTATTTTCTTTTAGACTTTCCTTTATTTTCAAGTTTATGATCCAAGTTCCCTTGATTCTAAGACCAGCTCACCCTCCTAACATCTCCTTCCAGGGCTAGAGAAATTCTGAACAACACAATTTCCATGGGAAGAGACAAGAAGCAATGGAAGGAAGGAAAAGCAGGTGAGAGGGAGGCGTGCAGACAGGTAGGTCCTACCTAGTACTCTTCTCCCCCGGGCTCTGCCTGCAGCTGGAAGCAAACCATGGACTGCCGCTTCCACTCAGCCTTCCGCGTGGGCTCACTCAGACAATGGGAGTTTCACTTAAGATACATCTTCTGGCAGCATATTAGCCATTTCAAAAAAAACAATAGGCAAGATGAAGTTTTGAACCCTTTGTTTCTTACCTTTTTCCCCCTAAAATGTAGACGAAGGCAAATACAGGGGACTTTTGGAGGAAAATGGCATATGCAATCATTTAGTAAATGTTTTAGTCTGTATCTTAGATAATCTGACACAGTGAAATATTCATAAGAATTGGGTTTTTTATGTTCTTTTTTTTTGAAATGGAGTTTCGCTCTGTCGCCCAGGCTGGAGTGCAGTGGTGCGATCTCAGCTCACTGCAACCTCCGCCTCCCGGGTTCAAGCAATTCTCCTGCCTCGGCCTCCTGAGCAGCTGGGATTATAGGCGCCCACCACCACGCCCAGCTAATTTTTGTATTTTTAGTAGAGACGGGGTTTCACCATGTTAGCCAGGCTGGTCTCAAACTCCTGACCTCAGGTGATCTGCCCACCTCAGCCTCCCAAAGTGCTGGAATTACAGGCATGAGCCACCACACCTGGCTAGTTTTTTAAGTGTTCTTTATCTGTGCCTAAGTGCCTGTATTTATTATTATTGCTCAATGTAAAGCAGTAACATAATCGTATAATTTAATATAACATCATGTCTAGTTATATAAAAAATTCATAATAATCTACTCTGTGAAAATGTAAATGATCATCTGTTTCCATTGGAATACACATATTCTAGTATATATTTAACATATTTTATTTCATGTTTTATTTTACATAGAAATAAGCTTCTACTTCCCTAAATATTCAATATACAAGTTTTTACCATTGTTTCACTCACAGCGTAAGATAATGAGGTTTACCTATTGAATTTCTCTATTTTTTTTAATTTTAGGATTTTGACAGGTGCTATGCCTTAAAGAAAAAAGAATACATCAGTACCCAAATTTGGTGCAGTTTATTGATACAGTTGAGGCTTATTCAAGGATCTGATGTAGTCCTGAGTCAGACCAAGCCAGATCCTTCATCGAAGCACCTCGGGTTTGTCCTGTCTGTACAGTGTACACAGCACTTCCAGATACATCCTCATTGGACTCTCATCATTACCCCCAGAAGCAGAATGTGGCAGCTATCAAGATTCCCTTTTAAAGATGAAATTTAGTGCCATGGGTCTCCAATCTTTTATTCCACCTGGGAGAGGGCAAAGAGGCACTTCTAAATTTTGTGGCAGGGGCAAAAACCAAGGGGAGAAGTTGGCATTAAGCACGTACAACATCTTTTCTCTCTAATGACCTGGAAACATTCAAAAAAGTAAGTAGATATATTTCAAAGGAAAAATTCTCCCTTTAGGGTAATATTGATCATTTATTCATTTTCCATTCATTCAACAAGTTGTAGAGCTCCTACTGAATGGTACACCTAGTTCTGGTGACATGAAGTTAGGAGGGAACAAAGCAAGAAGCCTGCTCCAGGAAAACCTTCACTCTCATGGAATATGCAGAGAAATAAATGAGGAAGATGATCTCAGAAAGTGATACACGCTACATGGAAAACATACAGAGGGGTTGGGGTAGTAATGCTTTCTGTATGGGTGGTCGGGGAGGTGACATTTGAGCTAAGCTTTTAATAATCAGCCATCCTGGCGAGTCCCTGATGCAGGAATGAGCTGAAGTAGGGCAGGCCATTTTGGCTGAATGTCGGCAGCCAGGGAGAAATGACAGAAGCTGCAGTCGGGGCATGAAGGATCTTCAAGGCCATGGGAAGTGTTCAAAGTCTGAAAGAGAAGCCACCAGGGTGTTTCTAGGAAGGAATGGTATATGCTCTGATTTACGGTTTTAAAAGACCACTCTTCCTGCTAAGTTATAGGAGGACAGAGGTGGAACAGAGGGAAGACCAATGAAGAGGCTATTTTTACAGCCCACGTAAGAGATGACATTGTCTGCCTGGCAGAAGCAGAAAGAAAAAAAGGAGCCAGAGTTGAGATATATTTTGGCGGTAGCATTGACAGGATTTACCAAAGGACTAGGTGTGGAGGAAGGAGAAGGAAAGGAAGGAACAAAGGATGATGCTTAATCCTTCTGGCTTGAGCATGGAAGAGCCATTTGCAGGGTTATGGGGCAAAAATCAAGGATCTTATTTTGGATTATTTTAAATTAGAGATGTTTGTGAGAAGCCCAAGAGGGGATACATGGTAGGAAATTAGATACATGAGACCAGATTTTAAGGGAGAAAAGATAGGTATTTGGAAGTCATCAGTGTGTGGACAGTGGTTAAAGCCATGGGGCTGGACGAGAGTATCTAGGGAAAGAGTATGGCTAGAGGAGAGAGGAGATCTCCGACTTGTACCCTGATCTTGGTATAAGAAGAGGAAGCAGCAAAGGAATGCGAGTTGCTATCAGAGAAGGAGGACCCAAACCATAAAGTTAGTCTACATGTTCAGATTAGTTCCCCAGGAAGTCTATAGATAAGGGCAAATAACTTTATCAATTATTTCAGACACCTCTACTCTTCTAGCTGATAAAAAATTTTATTTTTACCAAAGTCACCTACCTATAGGTGCACTCTTAGAAGCTAGTACGTTGCCTACTTTAAAGTCTTACCTTTGCTCCAGTGTCTCCCACTCCACGTAAACCCATCGGCCCAGGGGGTCCTGGTAATCCACGAGGTCCCTGAGATGACACAGTAAGGGAGGGAGTGAGCATCCTTGTAGTATGCAACACTCAAAAAGGAGGGAGGGAAGAAAAAAATGTCCCACTTACAGGCACACCAGGATAGCCATCACCTTTGAGTCCTGGAGCACCCACTGGTCCCCGAGGGCCTTGGACACCCTGGGTAAATTCCAACATCAGTGATATCATGAGACTCAACTAGAAAACACCTGGTCAAACTTAAGCATAACACCAACTCAATATGCCAACGGTCGATTTCTAACCCGGGAGTTAGAAAATGACTTATTGCTAGTACTTTAATTCTTAAAATTATAAATTTTTAGTGCATCGTAAATCAAGAAGAAGTATAAAAAAGAAAATTTATTAAGCACAATGTGAGAAGAGTAGAAAAGAATACATAGCAAAATTTTGAGTGTGGGATAACTAGTTTCCTATTGTTGCGTTAAATCTATTCTCTTCATTAATGGGGCCCGAATTATACGGGGAATAAATAAACCCAGATGAAAATAAAAACACATTAATTTTTCAAAAACAAGTTATGAAGGGATAGAGTTTGTGACTCATATCTTGAGACCTAGGGAAAAGTTGTAAATATTGTTTTACAGTGATGACCTTAGGCATCAAAAACTTTTAGTAACAGCCCTTAGTCTCCTACAGAAAGAGCAGGGAGGGGTGATTATTGTCCTTTAGACAACAGAGTTTTCTAAGACTTGTAACTGTCTCACAAACAGCAATCAGAAAATTTCTGACTCAAGTAAAACGGGGGGAGAGAAAAAAATTAAGAAGGATCTTTTAGAAGATTACCTACAAGTGGCCGGGTGCGGTGGCTCACGCCTGTAATCCCAGCACTTTGGGAAGCTGAGGTGGGTGGATCACCAGGTCAGGAGTTCAAGACCAGCCTGGCCAACACGGTGAAACCCCGTCTCTACTAAAAATACAAAAATTAGCTGGGCATGGTGGCGGGTGCCTGTAATCCCAGCTACTCAGGAGGCTGAGGCAGGAGAATTGCTTGAACCTGGGAAGCTGAGGCTGCAGTGAGAAGAGATCACACTACTGTGCTCCAGCCTGGGCGACAGAGCAAGGCTCTGTCTCATTTAAAAAAAAAAAAAAAAAAAGATTACCTACAAGTCCATTACACTTTTATTTAAAACTTGTAATACTTCTTTTTACAACATATTCCACTGATCTGTTACACCGATCTGTTGTTGATGACTCTTACAACAGCCCTTGTCAATATGCAGCCCTTGTTTTGATAAAGAGCTGCTCATGTTTTAAAATATTTATGGTTTTTCTTTATATTGGGAGGAAACTCTAACAACAGGCAGACCTTTGTTTTGCAAGAATGGAGAAAGAAAGTAGCAGGACTCTTAAGAACTTTCCTCATATGCAAACAAACTCGGAGATCAAATTGCCATTATTCCAAGTGAAAATACTGCCCAAAGTCCAACTCTCAAAAACTATTCTCAACTATACTCCAATAAATGAATAATTGACTGGGAACAGGGGAAAATTTTTTATATACTCTTTAAGCAATCAGAAACTTTATTTTAAAAACCAAGAATGCAACAGCTGTTATTTCCTATTAAATCTAAAAGGCTGTTTTTATGTGGTTAACCTTCTTAAGAATGATCATCTTTAGGAAATATGTGGCCACTTATAAAAATTTAACCTACTATTCATCATCAACAAAAACTCAAGGTGATTTTTTAAAGTTGAATGAGAGAAAGGAAGCCCATGGTCTTCAGGACAGGTAAATTTGGGTGTATTCCAACTATGGGGAACTGGTCACTTCTCAGAACCAATTTTTTATGCTATTCCAGTTACATTTAAGGATGAAGCTCTAAACATCTGCATATGAAACTTGTCCCAAAATAAGTTTTCCACTTATCTCCATGTTTACACAAGGAGAGGGCCAACAACAAACTAAAGCAGTAACAGCTCCCCGGTTGAATTAAAAGGAAAAGAAAATTGGAATCAAAATTTACTTTTCAGTTTTTATTTCTACAGTCCAAACTTAGAACAAATTGTCAGCAGCTGCTCTTGTTTAACGTCTGACACCACAGCGGAGGGGAAAACCATGCAAACACTCACAGTTTACAAACATCCTTTTTATAGAGATCTTTGTCCTTGCTCCTGCAAAAATCTCAGGTAGCTTGTTACTTCTATTATTAACAGGAAATATCAAGGAGCAAGAGGAGGAGCAGGTTTTTATTTTGGACTCCTTACCATATTTTTATAGATGGAATTTTGCCACTTGGCTTTTCTGTACTGGATTCAAGGAAATGTCCTACAAAGTTATTTACTTCAAAGTGTTTCTCTCATTCAATAGAAATTAGGGTAAAAATGGAAACCTAGTATTTTGAAATCAGCTTTAGGGGGCATCTGGGAGACCCCTGAAGTATTACATAAAATGAAATTAATGTGCTAAATCTTCCGTCAGACCTTCAAAGGTGTGTATGACCCTCCCAAAACTGAAAAACTAATGAACTAGGGAAGAACAACAGAAAGAGTATCATTAGAGTCCAGGGGAGTAGCAAAATGATTGAGTGAAGAGGCAAATATCTTTAAATACCATCACCTATAATGCCTAATAATCATCAACAGAAAACAGGTGAGGCCTATAAACTCTAGCAGCACATTTAATTGGATTGTATTCCTATTGCAAACAGAAGTATATGTAGAGAGAGATGTATAAATCGGATTGTGAATACACAGCTTCAATCTATCAAAATTGTCATGCAAATATAATTGATCAAGGTCATAGCTGCAGTTTTCAAATTAGAAAATTTGCTATTGTCCCCATGAGCTGTCTATATAGCTTGTGTTTCTAAAGAGAGTGGTCTACATAGTTTGGGTTACCTTGGGATCTGTGGGAAGTAGACGAACAATTCGTCCAAGTTTGCCCAAGATTTTCCCAGTTTTAGCCCGGAAAGTCATGCGTTCCAGGAACCCCTTCAATCCCGGGCAAACTAGGGCAGCTGTCACTCTAGCAGGGAGGACTGTTAAAGCAATAAAAACAGGAGAGGCTCAAGATTCTCCCTTTACCTTTAAAAAGAACCACTCCAATTTATGTCAGTTTTTATACAACAGGTTTTGCATCATATTTTATTTAAAAAATGACTCCATGTTTTCTTCTTTTAACTTTGAAGGTCATCAGTTTAGTACTTGAACCCTTTTATCTAGATAAGACAACTTAGTATGGGAGAATATAAGCAAGTTTCAAAGCTACGTAACAACATGCTATTGATTTTAAAAGTGCTAATGATGGGGCCCTGAAGCTTGTCCTCATAAACAGAGATATGCTGGTTGACACCTAGGAATGCTATACATGCTGAATTTTGCTGTGGTGCTGGGTATAGTGTGAGGAGGAAAAATGGTGCTTCGTTGCCATGAAAAACCAGATATGATTACAGAAACCTGGTTTCTTCTTATTTGTCTTTCCCTTTGAAATAACTCAAAAGGATAAATAAAGCAGGAAATTTTTATTCAGCAAAGCTTCCAAGCACACACGCTTTTTTGGACAATGTTTTGCAGAATAGATACTTCAGCCACTAATATGTAAATGAAGAGGCCAGAGGCCATTTAATGCCTTGTATCACTGACAGTGCAAAAGAGCATTTTTCAAACAATTGTCTAATCAGCAAAAATTTAACCATAAGAGCTACTTTTCCCCACAAGTATGAAAAATAAACTATGTGATTGCTTGTTTTTTTAAAAAAAGGGAATAGCTATATTCTTACATTTTAGTTAATCAATGTAGAAACCTCACAAGTAGAAAAATCAACTTATGCATTAAATCTACCTTCATTTATTTCAGATACAGAAAAACAAAAAGAACATGAATAAAGCATACCTTTGGTCCTCGAATAGAAAGTCCAGGTTCTCCCTTAAATCCAGGTATCCCAGGTCCTCCTCTATCTCCCTGTACATTTCAAATAACATTTCACAGGCTACAGTTGTGCGAGAAATCACAAGCACACATAGCAAAAAAAACCATTGGCCACTCTGTAAAGAGCTTAATCTGTCCATCTCAGACCTTGAGATAGTATATTCTTCAAACATATTTGAGGGGACTTTCAAATCCTAAGTAAATAACACCTGTCAGTAAAGACTATTACTGCTGTTGGGAGAAAGTCCATTGAAATAATATGTGGCAATTCAGACTCAAATATTTCGACTTTAAGAATGGCTGAGAATGCTCTTAAAATTGAGTGAAGGCCAGGCACAGTGGCTCACACCTATAATTCCAACACCTTGGGAGGCCAAGGCAGGCGGGTCACTTGAATCCAGGAGTTCAAGATGAGCCCGGCCAACATGGCAAAACCCCGTCTCTACTAAAAGCACAAAAATTAGCCAGGCATGGTGGCACATCTGTAATCCCAGCTATTTGGGTGGCTGAGGCAAGAGAATCACTTGACCCCAAGAAGTGGAGGTTGCAGTGAGACAAGATCGCAGCACTGCACTCCAGCCTAGGGGAAAGAGTGAGACTGTCTCAAAAAATAAACCAGTCAACCAACCTGAGTGGATATCTCTTCTGCTAAACTCTTCAATTATAAATCCTGGTAGATTCTTCTGAATAAATGTTCTAAATTCTTACCTGCATTAGGGTTTAGGATTTGGAAGACGTAATGAAGGGTAAAGTGACAAGCTTGGGACCAAGAGCACAAAATCTGGTTTCTAGTCTTAACTCTGCTGCTGGCTGTAGTTTGCTTATCTGTGAAGTTTCAGAGTTAAACGGAATCATTTCTAAGGCTCTTCCAAAACTAAAATTCTAGTTCACTGGTATCATGATTTTTTTTTCTCCAACTGCCAAAGGGTCAAGAAAAAGAAAATAATCTCCAAGAATATATACCTTTGGCCCAGGTGGTCCAGGAATTGATGTTCCAGGCATTCCAAAAGGGCCCATAATGCCCGGTTCACCCTTAAAAAGAGCAAAATGCTCACTACATTTCAAGCAGAGAAAGCACATATAGAGACAATATTAAGAAAAGTACAGAAATGTCTGCAGATTTTTAAATTATGTTATGACCTCTATCTGTTTCAAAGACCAATGTGAAAATAATTTGAGCATCTTTTGTAACCACTGCTAGTTATTGACTAGTAAGATTTCAGTGCTTTTAAATAACTATGTTCAATTAATCACTGAATGTTAGGAACATTTTATCTCTTGTGCAGCCTCTTATTAGCTAATAAAAATTATGCAATTCATGGTGCTTCCTTTTTGTGTTGTATGTTGGGAAGCTCAAAGAGAATTTTTTTTTCAATATAGCAATTATCTTCAGCAAATGTTTTAGGGTGTACTTCTAGGTTATAACTCTTTTTTCTTTGTTGTTTTATTTTAATGACCAAAGGTAAAATAGTCTTCCATTCCATGTTATCTCACATCCTTTTTAAGAAGTAGAACCCCTATGGGCTGGGTGTGGTGGCTCACACCTGTAATCCCAGCCTTTGGGAGGCCGAGGCTGGCGGATCACTTGAGGTCAGGAGTTTTGAGGCCAGCCTGGCCAACATGGCAAAACCCCATCGCTACTAAAAATACAAAAAAAAAAAAATAGCCAAAATTAGCCAGACATGGTGGCATGTGCCTGTAATCCCAGCTACTCAAGAGGCTGAGGCAGGAGAATCACTCAAACCCTGGACGCAGAGGTTGCAGTGAGCTGAGATCGCATCACTGCACTCCAGCCTGACCAACAGAGCAAAACGCTGTCTCAAAAAAAAGAACCCCTATGATTTTAAAAAAATGACATTTTTAATAGAAAATTTTAAACATTTAGTGGGGGAGATGTCTAATATTTAGAGTCTCAAAGACTCAATCTGGAGCAACAGGTAATTCTCCTGTTCCATCTGGATCTAGACAAGTGATTCTCAGATTTTAGAAGCAGAGGAATTATCAGGAAAGTTTGGTAATGCACAGTTCTGGGTTCAAACTCCAGAGATTCTGATTCAATAGCTCTAGAGGTTGGGGCCCAGGATTACGAAATTTTATGAAGCACCCCTGGTGAAAAACACTATTCCAGAGCAATTGTCACCGCACACCGCAAGGTGTTCCAAATGACCCACTGGGATATAAAGAAAATATTACAACTTGTCTCTATATTTTTATCTCATCAATTAAAATTTCATTTATATAAATTCATAACATATTAGTATGATAGCTTATAAACAGAAATTACAATTAAAAAATTAAAAATCTGTGGCATGTGATCAAAATTTTACTGGAGGGGTTTATAATCAAAACAGTTTGGAAACTACTTCTCTACGGTAGGTGGGCCAAATCCAGCCCACCCCCTTGTTTTGTACAGCCTTGAGCTATGAACGGCTTTCACATTTTCAAGTGGTCATTATACAAATAACTAAATATCTTCCATTTTGCCTCTTGGGCCACAGGACCTAAAATATTTACTATCTGGACCTTTACCAAAACAAACAAACAAAAAACACTGTGGAGATGAGTCGTGGAGAATGAGCTGTATCTATGCTATGTCTAAACATGACCCTCTAGGTTTTCAGACTGCTGACTACTCCTGCCTCCGTCTGACTCATGTCCTCTGAAAATTCAATTGCATGAGCTTCCTTTTCAGTCATCCTGCTTCCTCCAGCAGGGACTCCATCAGTCAGATTCACCAGTGATGACTCCTGCCCAGGGCCGTGTTCATCTTCAGAGCTGAAGCCTCCCGCTGTATTGATTAGCCAATACAACCAACAAGCTGAGCACACTGGCCCACTGAGACCCAGTTCTTGCCAAGGCATGTATGTGCCAGTCCTTAAATCCAAACCTGGAAGGCAATGGCACAGGACATGACAAGAATCGGGAAACACAAAAAAACCCCATCCAAGCCTTTGACAAAGGAACAGAACATGAACCTGTTAAAATTCTTCACTAAAACCAAAGGAAAATCAAAATTATGTCTCTAGATTTAATTTTACTTCTTTTTTCAAAAAAAGAGGTCAATTACTTTTATACCATGAAAAGTATCATGGAGAGTATTAAAATACAGGTCTCAAATACCCTGTATTAAGGGGTGATTATGCTTTAACATATGGCAATTCTTCACCTTCATCTTTAAAAACAGCTTTATTTCAAAACACAGAAAAATGTTCACTTTGAAATAGAGTAACTAGGACATAAAGACTAATCTGTTATTAATACTAATACAACACATCTGTTACATAGTGGCACTTCTCATAATGTGCTTCCTGAACTCCCTGCAGCACAGGGCATTTACTTGAGAAGCACAGATTCCTGGGCTCACTCACCACTGAATCCAGAGAGCTGAGGATGGTAACAAGAAATCTGGATTTGTAATCATCCCCAGGTGATACCGATGGACACTGAATGGACACTGAAGTTTAAGAGTCACTGGTGTACAGGTGATGTTTTGTATCTGATGTTGTCAGCACCATTTTTTAAAAATGTGCTTTTTAATCATCTGGTCCTAAAATATACTCCTTGTCTCTTTCTCACAATTAGTATCTTTCTAGAGACATGAACTCTCTTACGTTTGCAGTTTCTGTTTCCTGACACATTCAAATGACCTTAATGGTGGGTCTCTGAGGCTAAGTCAGGACACATACTTAATTGCTCACCTCACAATCCCCTTCGCTTCTTCCTCAGCACTGTGTTATCAACAATTTACCAGGACATAGATCCCCTACTTCCCATTTCACCATATTGATTTTTTTCTCTGAATAATTCGATGTATTCAACACTTACTATATACCAGGAAATGTGCTAAGTGCTTTATTAACTCTTTTAGTCTTCACAACAACTCTGTGAAATAGAGCATATCGTTATCTTCTTTCTATAATTGAAGCGACTTGCTCCAAGAGGTTCATGGCACAGGAGGATGCAATCAGCCTTCCAAAGAAGAGCCTTCATCATCACTGTGCTGCCTCTCACTCTCAGGCTTTTGGGTTGTTTAGCAAAGCAAGATTATGAAGAACTGATAGCTCCTATGGTCCCAATTTTATCCCAACTTCTGAATATTTGGTTGTTACTAGAGAGGACTGACAGACAAATTAGGAACATAAGTATTTCTATGAGTATTACATATTTTATGCAATCTATTCCATTCTATTGTGGTCTGGGAATAGTATGTTTTCTATAGGTTTCTTATTTTGGGGTATTTGTTTTGTACTTGTTGGGAAGGAAACAAGGAATCCAATTTTCAGTGGAAATTTAATACTATATTAAAACCAGACACAATACAAACTCCTCAAAGCGTAAGTCAGAATACAAGAAACATACCTTTGGTCCTTCGGGCCCTGGAAGTCCCCTCTGTCCTTGATTTCCTTTGCTCCCTTTCTTGCCTTCGTCACCCTAACAAAATAATTATGAAAATATAGATTTTCGTATGGTATTAGCAACCTCCCCTAATCTAGCAAGGACCATAGCGGAGCCGGATTCTCGACTAATACCAATTTTAAAGTGGTGTGCCCTGAGCACAGCTCAATTGCGCAGGATTCGTCAATGTTCTTGAGGAGATCAGATGACTTCAGATTGTTCAGCCTTTACTATTTATTCAATATGATTTGCTATTTTTCAAAAATCTAAGTTTTGTATCTTTCTTTTGGAACTTTTGTTTGAATTTATAGTTCATTTTCACCCTTGGTCTATTAACAGATGGTTCTGAGACATTCACAGTTTCAGAAATGAGTACTATCTATGCTTTTTCATGCTGTTTTTCAATTTTTCTATTTCAGGTTTAAAAGATGAAATGAGACATTTTAAAAATCACAGCCCTATTTCGTCCTCACTGGGGAGTCTAATTCTTTCCCCCAAAAGAGACCAATAGTTTTATTGGCAGGAAGATGCTTGAGCATTAACCTGGGGCAGAGCTAGGAACTGACTACTAGATGTTGCCCAGCAGGGTTGTGTAAAACAGTGCTCTCCCAAAAGAATTCCTTTACCTTCAAAACTATCTTTCAACTAGGGTTCAACTGCAAGGCGCCATATCCAGGGATGTACACAGCTCAACAAACGAAAAAAAAAAAAAAAATTCCTCGTGGTCTGCAGCTGAGGCTATTTAAATATTTATACTATAAATTACTATACCATGGTTTTTAAAGTTGAGCAACAGAATCACCTGGAGAGCTTGTTAGACCACAGATTGCTGGGCCCTCCACCCAGAGTTTCTGATTTAGTAGGTCTGCACTGAGGTCCAAACATTTGCATTTTTAACATTCCCAGGTGATGCTGATGCTGCTGGTTCAGGGACCACACTTTGAGAATCATTAGACTATACTAAGGTCATCAGCAAAGCAGGCACTTTATTAAGAAGAGATGACCTCCTGTAGAATCCACAGAGGTTTCCATGGTCCACACTAATGTAAAGCAGTGGCACCGGTGTAAAAAAAAAGAGTTGAATGTCCAAATATCTTATATCATTATCACTTACCAGTAGAGACAAAATTCAACCACAACTCTTTATTTTCTTCCCTCCACTACCACTAATTTAGGTTATTGACCTAAATCACCCCAGAAATGAACAGCAGGAACCCAATTACATGTAATAAATCGCCAACACTGAACCATGGTATACCTGGGCTATGTAACATGTTCCTACCACTCTTCTCCAATAGGCTTTCATAAGCCACAAGTCACCTCAAGCCACAAATTCAGTAGCCTCTCTTTCCAATGCACATTCTTCTTGCCTTATTGGTGGCATCTGATACCACCCATTGCTTTCATCTTGAAATCCTTTCTCCTCAGTATCCCTAACATGCTACCATTCTGCCTATTCTGTAGAGTTGTTGTTCTCCAGCTACCTCACAATGTGGGGTTTAAACCTCAACTCTCTTCCTTAGAGACATTGTTCATTCTCACGGCTTCAATTATTAACTCCAAGCGCCTATTTTCCAAAAACACATCCTAAAAACAATTCTCCTGAATGTTAGCAGATCGGCATTTCTAAAAGTATATTTCACGTGATGATGTTATCCCCTCCACCTCACCCAAAAAGGATCCCCGAGACTGGTAAATCAATAAACAAAAATGTTTAAAAGCCTACAAATATATTTAAATTTCATGTCCTCACATTTAAGATTAAGGATTCAATTTTAGTGAGTATGTTCACAAGACATCAATTACTATTTTAGTAGAATTATGAACAGAACACTAATATGTATACAAATTTTATTTTTACTTGACTTGTATATAATCCATAACAATCTTTACATGGGAATTGATAACTACACATAAAAATAGAAAGAAGCCCAGGCGCGGTGGCTCACACCCATAATCCCAGCACTTTGGGAGGCTGAGGCAGGTGGATCATGAGGTCAGGAGTTCCAGACCAGCCTGGCCAATATGGTGAAACCCCATCTCTACTAAAAATACAAAAATTAGCTGGGTGTGGTGGCACACACCTGTAGTCCCAGCTGCTTGGGAGGCTGAGGCAGGAAAATCGCTTGAACCCGGGAGGCGGAGGTTGTAGTGAGCCAAGATCGTGCCACTGCACTCCAGCCTGTGGGACAGAGTGAGACTCCGTCTCAAAAAAAAAAAAAAAATTGCAGGAAGACCTGGAATCTTAGGGGCTATAGGTTATGTCACTAGTTGTCTTATCCTATTGATGAATTTGTATAGTCTCATCTTAACATATAAAAATGTTATTCAACTAGCATTTCTACAGTGGTTAAAATAGATTTATGCCAAGTTGTGAAGTGAAATGGCCATTCAATAAAGTGATATTTCTTATTGCATGAGATTTTATAAAGAAAATTTATGGACTGTCAAATCTCAACGATGTATCTCAAGGCTTCTTTTCCTTCCTATGTGTTTTTTAAATGTCAATCTGACCATTTATTGAGAAAACGTGTGTCAAACTCTTCTCTATGCTGGGTCTTACAATAGACGTTAGGAAAATAAAAGTGAATCATATACGCTTGCTGTCTTCCAAAAGCTTCCAAGACAGTATTCATACTTTTAAGCCAGACATAAACACATTGACATAGTAAGAATAACAATCAAATTTCTTCTAAGTTGGCTCCTCAGTATGAGGACCAGAACACAGGCTGCTTCCACCAACACTGTCATTTCCATACCTTGGGGCCAGGCTGTCCTTTTCCAGGTGGTCCTTCTGGGCCTCTTGCTCCCGGAAGCCCCGCTTCTCCCTAGAGAAAATGACACTGATGTGTTAGCTGACCCTCCAGTAGACAGACTGTACGTATCATCCCACCTTGTCTCCTTTTATCATTAGTGGATTCAGCTGAGACTCTCCAAAACACACCATACCTTCACTCTAGTCTCAAAATCAATTTGGAAGTTTATAAACTTGAAATAAAGTAACATCAAACTCCAGTTTAACTCAGAGCAGCTGCAATATCATGAAAAAGTAATTTATCAGCCAATTTCCAAAGCAATAAGCTCATTTTCTTTTGGCTCTTCATTCGCATTTGGTAGATTTTTTAAAAAACAGGGAAGACCTTCAGCCTTTCCATCTGCTGTTTTTTTTTTTTTTTTTTTTTGCTACTTTTACTGAAAAATGAGTATTTCAAATGTCAACACAAAATACTTCAGGAAATCTTTACAAAGGCCTTATTTCCTGTATGCATTTACAGACTTGCCTCTTAGGGGGAGGCGGGGGGAGTGGCTTTCTCTTAAGTTTAAATTAATGTGCTTTCTAGAAATCCTGAAGAAACTAGGCCATAACCAAAACACCAGACAGAAGGCAGAGGATGTGAGACACTATCTCAGCCTTTGAATAGGCCACTCCTTCTCTCAGGGAGAAGTGGAAAGGGACATTTGGGATTGTGAGATATTTTTTCTTAAAGAAACTAAGTTTGTCCTGAATGGTTTTATTCGAGCTCCTGCAGGACCAAGATATCAGTTTGGTTCAACAGTTCCTACTCCAGTAATACGAAAAACTTGGTGTTACCTTCTTCCCTGCAGCTCCATCTTCTCCTGGTACTCCTGGTTGTCCTGGGAGCCCTATTGAGCCTGGCTCTCCCTGGTGAATGAACAAATATTTTATTTCCCTAAAGTTCATACCTCCATTCTGAGGTACTTGCAATTGGATGTATCTTACAGTGTCTGAGAAAAGCCTCCGAGAAATCTCATTAGCAATTAATACTAAACTATTTGATCTTGGGAAGCTACTTAACATCCCTAGGCCTTAGTTTTTGATTCTATTTTTATGGGCTGAATTGTGACCCCAAAAAGATATGTTGACATCCTAACTCTTTGTACCTGTGAATGTAACCTTAATTGGAAACATGGTCTTTGCAGATTTAATCAAGTTAAAATGAAGTCATTACAGGGGGGCCCTAATTCAGTATAAAAGGTGATATAATTTGGCTCTGTGTCCCCACCCAAATCTTATTTGAATTGTAATTCCCAGTGTTGGAGGAGGGGCCTGGTAGGAGGTGATTGAGTTATGGGGGTGGACCTCCCCCTTGCTGTTCTTATAATAGAGTTCTCATGATATCTGGTTGTTTAAAAATGTGTGTGTAGCATGCCCCACTTCACTCTCTCTCACTCTCCTGCTCCTCCATGTGAAGATGTGCCTGCTTCCCCTTCACCTTTTGCCAGGATTGTAAGTTTCCTGAGGCCTCCCCAAAAGTCAAGCAGATGCCAGCATCATGCTTCCTGTGCAGCCTGCAGAACTGTAAGTCAATTAAACCTATTTTCTTTATAAATTACCCAGTCTCAGGTAGTTATTTAAAGCAATGAGAGAATGGACTAATACAACGGGTACTATAAGAAGAGGAAAATGCCTCTTGAAGACAGACACACAGGGAGAGCACCATGTGATAAGAGAGGCAAAGACTGGAGTGAGCGTCTGCTAGGCAAGGCATGCCAAGGATTGACAGACACCCTGAGAAGCTAAGATGAGACCAGGAAGCAATCTCCCTTACAGGTTTTGGAAGAAGCATAACCCTGCAGACTGATTTTGGACTTCTAGCCTCTAGAACTGAGAGACAATAAATTTCTGTTGTATTAAGGCACTCAGTTCCTAGTACTTTCTTACATCAGCTCTAGAAAACTAATATAAAAGTGAAATAACAAATTTGTGCCCTAACAACACTTCCAGCTCTAATATTCAGTAATTCCACTTGCTTTCGAGTTAATTTACGATTAGTAATAAATCCTTTAAAATGTTCAGGAAAAAAATATGCTACTTTCAATCAGTTTAAAGCATCTTTATGGCATTTATTAATAGCAACAAAATGGAAAATAATTGAAAGCAACTTCAACTAACCTAAACAAGCCAGTGAAAAAAAGCACAGTAAATCTAACACTAAGTAGATGGAATGATAAAGATGAGAGAAGAAAATAATAAACTTGAAAACAAAAAGTAAGAAGATTCATAAAACTTAATGCCTTTTTTTTTTTTTTGAGATGGAGTTTCGTTCTTGTTGACCAGGCTTGTTCAGTGGTATGATCTCAGCTCACCGCTACCTCCGCCTCCCGGGTTCAAGTGATTCTCCTGCCTCAGCCTCCTGAGTAGCTGGGATTACAGGCATGTGCCACCACACCTGGCTAATTTTGTATTTTCAGTAGAGACGGGCTTTCTCCATGTTGGTCAGGCTGTTCTTGACCTCCTGACCTCAGGTGATCCGCCTGCCTCAGCCTCCCAAAGTGCTGGGATTACAGGTGTGAGCCACCGTGCCTGGCCAGTAATGCCTTTTTAAAAACTAATAAAAGTAAATAAATTTCTAATAGGAATGATGAGAAAAAACCTAGAATAATAGGTTTTTTAAAAGATATCAATAAACAATATCAAAAATGAAAGACATAACTATATATATAGTAAAAATGTTTTAAGTCATAGAAAATTGGTGATAATTTTTTCAAATGTATTGGAAAACAATAATAATCTTTGAGAAAAATATGAATTATATAAATGCTGTAAAAAGAAATGAACAAGCTAGATAAACCAATAATATTAAATAAATTGAGTCAGTGATTAAAAGTCTCTACTTTCTCTCTCTCCAAGATCACAAGCTTAGTTGGTTTTACAGTCAAGACTTACCAAACTTCTAAACTTTTGAAGAACAGTTATTCCCTATCTTATACAAACATTTCTAAAAAAAATAGAAAAGAGGGACGTCTACCTAATTTATTTTATGAGGCTTATAAAGCCTTTTCAAAAACAATTATACAATGGCAAGACAAGAAAACAAAATTATAGACCATTCTCCCTATGAGACATAGCACAATTTAAGCTTCCAATCAAATGCTTTAATTTCTTCCAGTGCCTGTACAAAGTTTCCAGGTCATAATGCAGGGATTGAGAAACCAGGGCAAGTTCAGGCATCTCTCTAAGGAGACAAACATGCATCTGGGTGAACCAAGGTATCAAAAGTTCACAGAGTAGATTACCAGAAAGAGTTACACAGAGAAAACTATAAGTATCTGCTGAGCATCCATCTTGAGTATTCAGCTGAATATTGCTCAGTACATGTGTGTGAAGAAACTACCCAAGGCCAGGAAAACAACCAACTTAAAGGATTAGAGAGAACTGACATTGAACCAGGAATAGTGCCTATTTCTACTGGCAAGAAATAAAACCTCACAATTCTGAGGGCATAAATTGGAGTTCTAAAAAGGGTCTTACCTCAACAGTGGGAAAAAATTAACCCTAGACTAAATGTTGCTGTAGTCTTACCTAATAAAACTTAAAAGCAAGACCCAAATGGGTCAATCTGTTTTCAAGTAACTAAAAAACATCCAAGAACAAAGCTCAAAATAGAGGAATACAAAAATATCCAACACAATAAAAGGTAAAATTCACAATGTGGGGCATTCAATAAAAAAGTATTCAGCCTGTACATGCCTGTAATCCCAACTACTCAGGAGGCTAAGGCAAGAAGACAGCTTGAGCCCAAGAATTCAAAGCAAGCCTAGGCAACATAGCAAGACCCCATCTTTTAAAATATTAATATTAATAATAATATTTAATTTAAAAATAAAAAATAGGCGTTCAAAAAGGCTGAAAAATATAGCACTTTGTGTTGAGAAAAATCAATCGATTGAAACTTATCCAGAAATAACACCAGTAGTAGAATTAGGAGGTAAGAACATTAAAACAGTTATTATGACTATACTCCATACAGTCAAGAAACCAGAGGAAATTTAAAGCATGTTAAATAGACAAATGGAAGATATATGAAGGATACAAATTAAAATTTTAGATTTGAAAATTATGATGTATGAGATAAAAAACACTGGACAGAATTAAAAGCTGATTAGTGTCATGGAAGAAAAGATTAGTGAACTAACACATATAGCAATAAAAGCTATCCTAAATTAAACACAGAGAGAAAAGAGACTGAAAAAGAATGAGCAGAGCACCAGTGAACTGTGAAATAACCTGAAACATCCAAATAGCCAGGCCAACATTACTAAAGCCCATCTCTACTAAAAAATACAAAAATTAGCCAGGAGTGGTGGTGCCGCCTGTAATCCCAGCTACATGGGAAGCTAAGGCACTAGGATCTCTTGAACCCAGGAGGCAAGGCTGCAGTGAGTCAAGAGCATGCCACTGCACTTCAGCCTTGGTGAAAGTGAGACTCTATCTCAAAACAAAAATAAAATCCAAAGATAAGTAACACTGGAGTTCCTGAGGTGAGGAATTGCTATTTCAAGAAATACTGGCCAAATATTTTCCAAATTTGATGAAAACTATAACTCATAGATCTAAGAATATCAGTGAACCAAGAATACCAATGAACTTCAAGCACAAGAAACATATCTAAGGCACATTATAATCACACCACTCAGAACCCATGATGTACAGGAAATCTCAAAAGCAGCCAGAGAAAAAAAGACATGTTGTGTAGAGAAACAAATATAAGGATAACAACACATTTCTCATCAGAAACAATGCAAGTGAGAAGACAATAGAACAACATCTTAAAAGTACTAAAAGGAAGAAAAAGCAACTGCACACTATAATTCTATAACCAGAAAAAATAATAAGCAAAGATTTTTTTTTTGGAAGTTGATTTGGCAATTTCTTGGAAAGCTAAATGAATACCTACCTTCTGACCTAGCCATTTGACTTCTAGGTGTTTACCCAAGAAAAATAAAAACAAATGTCCATACAAACACATATAAAAATGTTCATTTATAACATTTTATTTATGATAAAATTTATAAAAATTTATAAAATTTATTTAAAATTTTTATTTATAATATTCCAAATCTGGAAAAAAACAAAATTTATACACAGGTGAATGGATAAATAAATTGTGGTATATCCATATAATACAATACTATTCAGCAATACAAAGGAATGAACTGTTCATATATATGCTACAACATGGATCTTAGATTTTGCTGCATTAAAAGAAGCCAGAAAATATCATATAGTATATAATTCCATAAAAATCTAGAAAATGCAAACTAGTCTATGATGACAAAAAACAGATCAATGGTTAGCAGATAATTGGAAAGCAGATCTGTGGGAAGCCTATTAGTGAACATAGAAGAAGTTACAGAGGGATAGAAGGACAGATGGTAACTTCTGAGGGTTACAGAAATATTTATCATCTTGATTGCAGTAATGATTCCAAGGGTATACACATATCTCAAAACATCAAATTGTATACTTTAAACATGTGCATTTATTATATGCCAATCAGATAATACAGTTATTAAAATAAAAGCAAAAATCCTGAATAAAAGATTAGTCAGTTGAATGATCATCATAAAAAAGTACACATAATGAATTGAGTTTATCTCAAGAATGCAAGGATGGTTTGACATCTGAAAACTCTGTAAATGTAATGTATCGTATTAACAAGTTAAAAGTGGAAAACAACACAATTATCTTAGTAGATGCATAATTTGATAAAATCCAGTAATCATTTATATTTAATAAGTAACTTTTGGTACAACCAAAAAAGAAGGAAGCTTCCTTAACCTAATGAAGGGTATCTATCAAAAACTTTCAGCAAACATCACACTTAAGAGTGAAATTTTAGAAGCACTTCTTTTGAAGTCATTTCTTTTAAACATTGTACAAGTGATCCTAGCAGTACAAAATGATAAAAAAAAAATCAAAGAAGAGCTAAAAAATAATAGGCAAAACTTTATATTCAGACAGTATGATTGTGTACATAGGGACTGAAAAAGCAAGAGATTCCACAAACAGATTTCACAGGGTGGCTGGATACAAAATCAACATGCCAAAAAACAAAACAAAACAAAACAAAAAAATTCTCCTATAGACCTATACTAGTTAGTTAAAAGATATAGAAAAAAAATTCACAATTATAAAAATTTCTTCAAGGTATCTGGAAATAAATTTAACTAAAAAAATACAAGACCTTTATGGAGAAAATTACAAATATTTTCTTGAAAAATTACAGCTTTACTCTGTGGTGTGAAAGACTTGCTATTTAATCTGTAGATTTAGTGCAAACCAAATGGGGTATCCTGTTAAATATGACAAGCCAACCCTAAAACATGTATCTTAGAGTCAATAATAACCAAGAAAGAAGATGAGAGTATTTTTCCTTTTAGATGACAAAATATATTATAAACCTATTATAATCAAGACAAGGAGGTAATAGCACTGAGAGATATAAATAGACAAATGGAGTAGAATACACAGCTCAGGCACTGATACTCAAAATATGGAAGCTTCATATATGAAAGAGGTGGTACTGCAAATCAGTGTGGTAAAGATGGACTATTCAACAACTGATTCTGGGGTACTTGTTTATTTATAGTAATAAAAAATAGATCCCTACATTGACCCATACACAAAAATAAATTCCATGTGGGTTAAATCCCTAAATTTTAAAAACAAAACACTAAAATTTTCAGAAAAATGCATAAGAATATCTTTATCAATCTCAGGTCAAGAAATGTTTTAAAATAATATTCAAAAATCACAAATCACAAAGGGATAGAAATATAGAATTTAAAACTTCTGTATACTAAGAAGTACTCTAAGTGAAAAAAATAAGTCAGAGCCTAGGAGAAGATATTTGCAGTTTGTATAACACAGTAAGATATATTTGTACACACTTCATATTTGCACAGATTTAGAGAAAGGAACATCATCGCCTACTGCTAGCAGGAAGGTAAACTGGCACAAGCATTTTGGACAAGATTTTGGTAGTATCACAATTGAAGACTCGCACGCTCTATGATCTTCCCATTCTACCTCTAACTGTCTATCTTCTACAAGTCAAGAAACTTGTCCTCCAACGTGTGCAAAAGGAAACAGAATGTTTGTGGCAGCATTGTTGGCAAAAGCAAAAAGAATGACAAGCAATTTAAATATCCACCATCATGAAGATGAATAAATATAAAATGAGATATTTTCATACAGTGGAATACTATAACGCGATTAATATCAATGAATTAGAGGCATACAAAAACACAAATAAAACATAAGGCTGACTATAAATATATTGCAGAATGATATATCATGTAAAGTTTAAGGACACAAAAAAAGTGATATATGGTTTATGGATAAAAATGTGTGGGAAATTATAAAAACTTCAAAAGAATGATAAACACCAAATTCATAATAATGATTATGTGTGAGGAGAGAAGGGAGGGCAGTGGGATTGGGGAGTGCCAGCAGGGACCTTCAGCCACACCTACAATGTTTCTTTTAAAAAGTCTAGAGTCAGTGTGGTAAAACATTAACATTTGATAAAGCTGGGCCGTGGAATACATAGGTGCTCTTTGTATTATTCTCTGTATGGTGAGTATATTTGAAATACTTCTTTTTTTTTTTTTAAGATGGAGTCTCACTTCGTCGCCAGGCTGGAGTGCAGTGGCGCGATCTCAGCTCACTGCAACCTCCGCCTCCTGAGTTCAAGTGGTTCTCCCGCCTCAGCCACCCTAGTAGCTGGGACTACAAGCACGCATCAATACGCCCAGCTAATTTTTGTATTTTTAGTAGAGACGGGGTTTCACCATGTTGGCCAGGATGGTCTCGATCTCTCGACCTTGTGATCCACCCGCCTTGGCCTCCCAAAGTGCTGGGATTACAGGTGTGAGCCACTACGCCCAGCAGAAATACTTCATTTTTTAAAGTAAGTTTAAGATTGCACGTCATAAGTAGTGAAACTGAGATTTAAACTTGGGTACTCTAACGGCTGAGCCTTACTATATCGTATATTGCCTCTCTGCAATTGACATATATATAACATAATATGTTTGTATACATACATACACAGAGGCATATATTACACATATGTATAAACATATGTCAAACTTGGCACTTAGTATACTGTGTAGCACATGGAAACCATGTAAAAATGGCAGCTATTATTACTATATTAATACTTTTTTATCCTTTGTAATCATGTTTATGTATGTAACATGTATATTCTTCTTAGACCTACATCTTATATATTCTTCTAATACTCAAATGCTCGTAAGAATATGACAACAACAGAACAATGGTGAAGTTGAGCGCTCAACTGGCTCTCTAGATCCTATATAACTTCAGGATGACTTATCGAAACTGTGAAGGGTAAACTAAGTATTCGTTCATTTATTCAGCAGTATTTATTGAGAATCTATCATGTCCCGAAAGCTGGGGATTCTATAATAAACCAAGATAAACAAAGTGCCACCCTAGTGGAGTATATATTTTAGAGCAGCACTGTCCAAGAGGAAAATAAAGCAAGCCATACGTGTAATTATAGCTTTTGCAGTAGTAGTAGCCGCACTTAAAAAGTAAAAGGAGCCCATTATGTAGAGTTAGATAACACACACAGAGTCTGTAAGGCAATTGGATATAAAGGAAACCTTATATAATGTTACATAAAGTATCATATCACTTCTGAGCAGCAGTCAACTCACCTTTGGACCTTGTACTCCAATTCCCACTGGTCCTCGAGGGCCTGTAGGTCCCATTTGGCCTACTTCTCCCTAGTAAGAAAAGAGTTTAATACAGCAGCAAAGTGAAAATAATATATTCCTGCTGTTGATCTCCTAAAACCTGTCTTATATCAACAAAGTAAAACAGTTTCATGTGCTCAATTCATATATATTGCCTGAAATCCCTTCGGGGGATGGATTTGCACCAGATTTGGAATATATATGTAAATGAAAAATGTACATAATGTTTGATGTATATATGGTCTGACTTAAAATATAGGCCACATAGCATATTCAAAATTGATTTTAAGGAGCCCCTTGTGGAGGGTATCTGGAAAAGATAGGCAGTTGCATTCTAGAACAACTAAAATTGGCACAGGAAAAGCCAAGGTAACTGCTGATCAAGAGCAATGTCATAAGCAGAGAACGCAACTCAAGCTTTCAAGGCAGGCCCCAAATCAAAACTCTCAAGAATAGTCAGAGTGGTCCATTGAGCAGCTTCTCACACGGACAGCTCTAGGGAGTGTGTTCTAAGGTGAATAGTCTCAGAGAAGTATTTTATTTATTTAACAATGATTCATGATTCTTAGAAGCAATATTAAGGATAACTAGTTAAATAAGTGCCATGCTCCTCCTCAAGGAAAAAATAATAGTTCCAATCTATGAGATAGTTTGATTCCCAAGTAAATAAAACATTTTTATTTGTTAGGTCATTTCTGACCCCATCTCTTTAGCTAAGGTTTTAGTAGTTGCACCTACTGTCAGAGTGGTGGTGAGAATGAAAATTAGCCAACCTAGAGAGACACATAACCACTGGTTGCCTCTATTAATATTACTGTTTGAGTTGGTAGAATAGGATCTCATAAATAAAAGTAACAAAGAAAACAACAAATGAAAATTGTGTAAATAAAGCTTTCTTAAAGCATAAAGAATACATATTACATTTTCTAAATTGTCAGGAATATCAGTAACATTTTGCATTAAGTAGAGATCTCTGATTTTTAAGTTCATTCTACCTGCTGTCTTCCCTTGCACTGGCACTGATCAGAAAACAGCAATTATACTATAGATATATTAAACTCCGCTCTCATTTACAAAGTTACCTTGGAACCAGGTAAGCCCTGTCCTGCGGGCCCTTGTGGACCAGGTGGACCAATAGGACCTTGGATTCCCTTTAAAATAAAATTTTATAAAATAGTGTTAGTGAAATGAAGTAGTTTCAAATCCTCTAAAGTGAAACTTTAGTTCATACCCCATAATAAGTTACTTACACTCAATAAGCATTTGTGGAGTGGGGTGCCAGGGGCTGCTAGTTAAACCACAATTTGCATTCTTCCCTATTTCCATATTAATAGAAATTTTAGCTGGCCCGTATATCTGCCTAGAATAAAGACCACGTTTCTCAGTCCCTGTTGCAGCCAGGCGTGGCCATGTGGGCTAGATTCTAGCCAATGGGATAGGAATGAAGTGATGTGTGTAACTCCTGGTTCATGCTAAAAGAAGAGGTATGCCTTCTCCTTCCCTTTTCCTCTTCTTCAGTAGCTGGAATTAAGAGAGGGTGGCCATCCAGGATCATGCAGATGAGGAAAGCACCCTCAGTATGGCAGACTATCAAGACCGATTAATAGAGGCAGTAGTCAGTTGATTAACAGAAGCAATAGTCAGTAGATACCAAACTGAAGAAGGTTCAAACACTTGACTCCCTCCTTCACAATATAAAGGAGGTTTTTATACATGGGTATAAAAAAGGATATGCACATATGTGTACATTTGTATATGTGGTTGTTTATTTTTCACTCTATTTGTAAAAGATCTGAGTTGATCAAGCCTCCAAATATTTAACAAAAATCTGTGGGCCATTTAAGAGAGATTGTAAACATGTTGCTGGAAACAGAAGTTCCCTCATAAACACATGAGGGAAAACATTCATTTTTATGAGAGAAATAGGAAGATCTAACATAACAAGAATTCAATGGATAAACACATCAAATTAAAGAACATTGAATAACTGCATAGACAGAGGTTAAATTTAAGTAGAATTTATATCATTTGTCTTAAAAGGTAAATAAATTCTTTTCTTGCTCAGATCATTTTACAAATAGAGATCTCATTTCCAATAGAGATCAGCTCTGTAAGGACACATCTACCTCGAAATTTTTTTTTCTTTACAAAAAGAAGAAAAGGGGGTAAGAAAATGAAAGAAGTCCGAGACTTTTGTTTTGTTTTTTTTCCCAAGCTGAAGAACAACAACCTCCACCAAGGAACAGCATTAAAGGCGACAGGAAGCTGTAGGTAGGAGGTCCAGAATTCACAGGCCATCTGAACAGACTTGTCTTCGAACCTCATATTTAGCCCCATAGTGGTCACTCAGCACCAGGAGCACTGCAAGACCCAAGATGTGACAACACTGTCCGGCCACTTTTGGGATAAGTAAGCCCCTGCTAAAACCAACAAATAAACTAAAAGGCTTGAGAATGTCGGCTGGTATAATCAAATGATGATATTTGAGTAGCCCAAATGTCCAGCTCTTAATTATTATCTAAATATTTATTTATACATTTATCTTGGCTTCTTCTGTACCTTAAGATTCCTAATGTGTTAGACTAGGACCTCTGCCAATGGCAAGGGAATGGAAAAAGGAGTCATATCCAACTTTGCTGTTGTTTGGACTAGCAAGAAAAGTAATAATAATAATAAATTAGCAGCCAATTAGAAATAAACCCAAAGTAAATCTCAACAATGACACCGGAATTATCTCATTTTTTAAATTCTTCCCTTCTCCCACTACCCTAGATACAGAAACTAGATACAGAAAGCACTATTCATTCTTTAAGCAATAGAATAATTCAAACCTTACTCATAAATCTTAATCAAACCTGACCTGCCACTTTCTAACCAGGAGATATTTAGCATAAAACTGAATTTGTGGGTTGCTTTGATTAATAAGGCTGCGTAAGTATATGGCAAACAACAAAGTATATGGTAAACAAAAGACTACATGGTAAACAACAGTAGAGAGTACTGTTATACTATCTTCACATTATTTAGATTTATCACAATACCCAGATTTTCCAAAAGTTATCAGAAGATTTTGGAAATGGTTCTAATCACGAATGTAGACATTCTTACAGATCTTTCTTTTCTTCTCACCAAGAGGGGCCAGGTGTCATTTATAAATTATATCTGTGTTTTGCTTCTATTCCAGAAGTTTGCCCCTTAAACTAAGTGGTTATCTCTGATCCTGGTCCAAGTTTTAACTATAATACTTTTTTAAAAAATGGATATGTGGCTAGTTAGAGTGGTTGGTAGGGGGATACCACTCTACTCCATTGGGAGAGAGTGGGATTTAATTTTCACAAAGCTTCAAGGAGAAAAAAATACACAAACCAGCAGGTGAGTAAACTATTGTTCCCAAGGGGAACTAAAAATATTGCACCAAAACATTTACCTTGTTAATTAGGTTTTAATGTTAAAAGTCACAGCATCAAGAAACACACTACTTATTTTTTAAGCCTTTGGAAGTTCTAAAAAATAAAATCTTCTCATGAAACCATCTTATCCTTCCCTATATTCACTTCTGGACTTATACTCCACTGCAATTAACTGTCAAATATACTCATAGATGTTTGCAGGACTGGCCTTCAATGAAGACCAGGATTGGGCTGGAATGTTCTGCACTGAAGGGAAAGGAAGAATGCATTAATTACCTGTTCCCCTTGACTCCCGATTCCAGGGATACCCATTGGTCCTTGGGGTCCCACAGGTCCTATATCCCCCTGCACAGAAAATAAGCCAGGAAATATAACAATAAAATAAAATCTTATTATTTCATACTTTGCTAACCTGGAATTGGGCTGTGTTAAAATCTATCTTTATACTATAAAAAAAATTCAACATGGAAAATTATAAAACTTTATTTTATTCCTTTAAAAGTTTATAATTCAAATTCCCCAAAATAGTAAATGACATTTTTGCTATTCAGTCTAAGTTGGTGAGCATTTGTATAGGCTTATATTTATCAATCATTTTCTCACAAACAAAATTTCCTGAATAGTTGTTATGACACAAACATTTCCTGCTAAGATTGTAACAGAAATATTTAAAAGTAGAAAATTCATAGGATATAATAAAAATAGAATGAGAGATAAATTGAAGAAAAATATTTTTAAATTTTCTAAATACCCTTTCCCTCCAAATCTTATTGAAAATGCATTTTGAAAATGAAGAAATGATCTCAAGTGAATGCAGCAAAATTAAACAGCCCTATTTTCTTCTTCCATGAAATTGAGAAAACAAAATTAAAGTTACCAGCAAGAAGAACATAATTCATTCTTTCTGTGTCTTTATACAGGTGTTTGTTGAGTGCCCATTATAAGCCAGAAAGTGTTCCAAACACTAGGAAAACAACAGTGACCAAAACAGCTCAAAATCTCTGTCCTCCATTGAGCTTAGATTTTAGTAGGGGAAACAAGATGGTAAACAAGACAGGTAGATAAAATAACTAGTATGTTGAATAATAAGTGTGAAGGAGAAAAATTAATCAGGGAAGAGAAGAGGCAGCGATGATTTTGGTTAAGATGTCCAGAGATGAAGTCACTGACGAGAGGGAATGAGCCAGGTAGAAACCCAGAAGAAAAGCATTCCATGCAGAGAAACAGCCAAAACAAAGATGATGCCTGACATGTTCCAGAAACAGCAAGGAGACAGTGCGGGTGGAACCATCTCCATGAGGGAGAGCGGTAGACAATGAAGTCAGAGAATTATGGCAGTGGAGTCAGGTAGAAGGATCAGTGGGGCCTTTGAGGCCACTGTAAGGACTTGGCTATCCTCTGAGTAAGTTAGGAAGCCACTGGAGGGTTTTGAGAAGGGAAGTGAGAGATCTGACTTGGTTTTTAAGGCCCCATCTGGAAGCTGTATGGAGAACAGACTGAAGGGGGTCTGCATGAGAGATGATGGGGCACAAACCAGAATGTTGAGAGTGGAGGTGGTGGGGAGTGCTCAAAACCTGGATAATGTTGAAGGTAGAGTGATGGGATTTGCTGAGGACTGAAAGGACTCTTGGCAGAATAGAGTTGTCATTGACTGAGAAGAAAAAGCCTGAGAGAAAAGCAAGGTTTGAGGTGGAGGGTGATATCAGGAGTTCAGTTTTGGACATGTTTAGTTTGAGATCCCTAAAATGAACATCCAAATGGAGATATCAAGTAGGTGGGAGAGGCCTGGGATGAGAACATAAATTTGGGAGCCCTCAGTATATAAATGATATTAAAGGCCATAATTGAGTGAATTTGCCAAGTAATAGAAAAAAGAGATGGTCCCAGGACTGAGCCCTTTAAGCACTCCAATCATTAGAGGTCAGAGAGATGAAGAAGTCACAGCAGTGGAGACTGAGAAGGAAGCAGCCAGAGAGACCAAGTGAAGAGAGTGTTTCAAGAAGGTGAGGGATCCATCTGTCAAATGCTACCAACAGGGCAAATTAGTTGATGACAGAGAATTGACCGCTGGATTGAGTAACATGGTTAACATGCTCATTTTAATGGCAGTTGTATTTAGACTACATTAGGGCCGCAAAACTTTTAAACAGTTGGATAGCAGATACTTTGGGCTTGAGGGTCATAATGATGTCTCTCGTAATTGATCAATGCTGCTTTGGTAGTACAAAAGTAGCCATAGATAATATATAGTGAACAAGTATACCTGTGGTCTCATAACATTTTATTTGTAAAAACAGGCAGCCAGCTCAACAGTTGGCCAATGTTTGAGCTAAATAAATATGTTTTTATGAAGAAAAATGTATCATTTGCTGGGCGCCGTGGCTCACGCCTATAATCCCAGCACTTTGGGAGGCAGAGGTGGGCGGATCCCCTGAGATCGGGAGTTCGAGACCAGCCTGACCAACATGGAGAAACCCCATTTCTACTAAAAATACAAAATTAGCTGGGCATGGTGGCACATGCCTGTAATCCCAGCTACTCAGGAGGCTAAGGCAGGAGAATCATTTGAACCGGGGAGGTGAATGGTGCAGTGAGCTGAGATGGTGCCATTGCACTCCAGCCTGGACAACAAGAGTGAAACTCTTGTCTCAAAAAAAAACAAAACAAAAAACAAACAAACAAAAAAAACAAACAAAAAGAAAAGAAAAATGTATCATTAGATCAAACTTTATATAACATTAAATATATAGAACCTGCACTAGGAGATGCCCTGGAATACACTACTTAGTGCTCTATCAACCTTTGATCTACATAAATATTACGGAAGGAAAACATAATGGAATCCAGTTCTGGCTCAGAGCTGGACTATTTTGATTCAGAACTTGATTTCTTATGCATCAGATATTGTGCTTAATGCTTTACATCCTTTCATTTATCCTCACAACAACCCCTGTAAAGTGGCCATCCCCATTTTTCAGATGAGTGTAAGTAACTCACCCCAGGTCACGCAACTGTTAGACGGCAGAGGTGACAGTCAAGTCCAACTCATAGCCACTAGCCAAAACCCAACTCATAGCCACTAGTTTGCAAATATTTGTTAAACACATAAGAGAGGGTCCCTTTTTGTGCAGTGTTATTGACATTTAAATACCTGTGCCATAAGTACAACTTTGTTTTGTACCATTTACATACATTTGAGAGGCCTTATCAGAGGCGTGTTTATATTATCACTTGAATCACAAACATCAAGCCCTCTGAATCTAGTGTTATATGTAAAAGAACAGGAAAGGAAGAAAGGAAAAAGAAGATGGTATTGAGGGAACAGCAGATAAAAGCTTTGCTATGTAATAATATCCTGATACTTCAGAGTGATTTCTTTGCATGACCTCCAAATGTAAAAATAACATGCACCATGTCCCAACACCACCTGAAAAAGTTAATTTACTGAACTCATAAAACAATGGTTCTGTTGTATTCAGTTCTCGCTGCTCCAAAGGAAGAAAGAGCAACTCATGTATTTTTTGGAGTATTTTGGAGTTGCTGTACAGCCAGAGCTAAGAGATTGAACAAAGAATTGTATTGCATCTAAAATTCCTATCACTCACTATTTATTTCTGCTATTTAAATACAAACAGCTAGAAGAGATAACTACCAGCAAATAAAAATAAGTCATTCAAGATTGAAACCCAGCACTTGAGATAATCATGAATATCAATTGTTATCCTAATATAATATACAATATAATTATCTGCTTAAAGGCTGATATATAAATGACTCCAAATTGATATGAGTTCTCTGCTTTTTTATACATTTCTTATATCCTTCCCCCTCTGGCAGCTTCACTTCCAATGCTCTTTATGGCTGTATCAGCCTCTAGTAGCTCCTATCACCAGCTCCATTCCCATTTCTAATCTGGTATAATCTGCAGCTGTTTTAAAGAAAACAAATAGCCAGTGAGAAAGAGAAAAGCAATCCCTAACAACGAGGAGCTGACCTGACCCTGGCAAGTAGGCCGTGGTGTCAAACATGAACAATTTGACAAATCATCAAGATCAAACAAGGCCACCCCATGACTGTGATGGACCAAGATGAAAGCCAGACTACTCCATAATTATATCTGAGCACAGACAAAAACAGCAAACACTATATAAAACCCTCAAATTATCAAACATCCTCCAATACTGGCTAAAATGAGTGACTGCTACTTCTATCAGTTATGACTCAGCCTAACTCCATTTGTCCCAACTTCTAGATGAGATTCATTAAATACTCAATCCTAAACTTATCCCCAACTATTGACAACATTAAATCCAGAGCCCATCCCTGATTTCTTAAATGCTTCCCAAAATCACCTAACACAAGTGCAAATCCTATGAAATATCTTTCATCCTCTTCCTGAGTCACTGTAGGTTCATCGTATGTGGTCTTCCTTCCTTCAGAGTCAACAAGCCTTGCTAAAACTCTGGATGGATTCCTGTTGGTCCTTGCTGGAGGGCATCAACACTAGTTTTCTTAAATGAGTTTTCTGATTTTAACCTGATTTTAAGATAATATTTTTGAGTGGGAGCCTAGGGATGGATATACACTTCTATAAGAAGGTCAAGTCAATGTTTTTTGTTGTTTTTTTTTTTAGAGATGGAGTCTTGCTCTGTCACCCAGGCTGGAGTGCAGTGGTGCAATCTTGGCTCACTGCAAGCTCCGCCTCCTGGGTTCACCCACCATTCTCCTGCCTCAGCCTCCCGAGTAGCTGGGACTACAGGCGCCTGCCACCACGCCCGGCTAATTTTTGTATTGTTAGTAGAGACAAGGTTTCACCGTGTTAGCCAGGATGGTCTCGATCTCCTGACCTCGTGATCCGCCCGCCTCAGCCTCCCAAAGTGCTGGGATTACAGGCGTAAGCCACTGCGCCCGGCCAAGTCAATGTTTTTAACAACTGTTTTCTTTACTAAGAAGAAATGTCTTTCGATAATGTCTGGATTCAAAGCTGCTTTGCTGATGGTAGAAGTCACTGGATGTCAGAACCCAAATAAGTGAGACATTACAATAAATAGAAATAACCTAATTTCTCAGATCATAACTCATCCTACATAATAACACACCTTGCATATACTAGATTTGGAGATCATCGTGGACAGGAGGCAGGACTAGATCGCAGCTCCCACTCGGATGGAAAGAACAGCATGTGGAGGCTAGCACTGTGAACCTTTGCTCTAGAACGACTGCAGGAATACATTTGGAAAGCCAAGAAAACCCACGGACTTGCTGAAGGGAATGGATTGCTCCTGCAGGACCTGGGAGACATCCCAAATATTGTGAGTGCCCAAACTATAGAAATGGGAAAGGGAGATTGTCCGCCCCTGAACACATACCCCCACTGGGGAACCTGAAGGTCTAGATTATGGGAGCTGAGTCAATTTAGAGAGCCAAGCGAAATACAGGAGTAGAGAAAGCAGCAGGAAAATCCCTGTGGGCTCAGTGGGTTCCCTAGCAAGCCATCTCTGCCTCACATCACTGGGGTCCTTGAGGATGGCTGCCAGAGGCACTGGGAAAAGCCCACAGGGGGAAGGAAACCTCCAACTGAATTCTGTAATAATTTCAACAGATTGAGAAGTCTCCTGGCCAGAACTCAGGAAAGGGCGTGAATCCAGTGTGCAGACTCCACAGACAGGGGAAGAAGGAAAGCTCTACTGACTTTCCTAGCTGGGAGGTGGGAAGCCTGGGGCAACCTCTCAGCCCTACTCACCCACTGCCTGGAAACAGACTCAGTGTTGTTGGGAGGGCACGGTGGGAGTCAGACCAGCCCTTCAGTTTGCACTGGAGCTAGGTTAGGACTATGACTGCTGGCTTTCCCCCACTTCCCTGACAACCTGTATGGCACAGCAGAGGCAGCCATTATCCTCCTAGGTATACAATTCCATTGATCTGGGAACCTCTCCCTTACCCCCACAGCAGCCACAGCAAGACCCACCCAAGTAGAAGTAGAGTCTGAGCTCAGAAACACCTAGCCTTGCTCCCGCCTAATGGTCCTTCCCTATCCACCCTGGTAACTGAAGACAAAGGGCATATACTCATGGGAGTTATAAGGCCCTGTCCACCACCTGTTCCTTCCCATACTACCACAACTGATGCTCTCTTGAAAACACCACCTCCCAGGAGGAGGCCAACCGGCACAAAAATACTGTACTAACCAACCAAAGCTAAGGACCCTCACAGAGTCCATTTCACCCACTGGAGCAGGCGCTGGTATCCATGGCTGAGGGACCCACAGACGGTTCACATCATAGGACTCTGTGCAAACAGCCCCCAGTACCAGCCTGGAGCCCGGTAGACTTGCTGGATGGCTAGATCCAGAAGAGAGATAACAATCACTACAGCTTAGCTGTCAGGAAGCCACATCCCTAGAAAAAGGATGAGACTACTAAATCAAGGAAACACCCCATGGGACAAAAGGAATTTAATGACAGCCTTGAGCCCTGGAACTTCCCTCTGACAGGGCCTACCCAAATGAGAAGGAAACAGAAAACCAACTCTGGTAATATGACGAAACAAGGTTGTTTAACACCCCCAAAAAATTACACTAGCTCACCAGCAATAGATCCAAACAAGAAGACATCCTTGATCTACCTGAAAAAGAATTCAGAAGGTGAGTTATTAAGCTAATCAGGAAGGCACCAGAGAAAGGTGAAGCCCAATGTAAGGAAATTTAAAAAATGATACAAGAAGTGAAGGGAGAAATATTCAATGAAATAGATAGCATAAATAAAAACAATCAAAACTTCAGGAAACATGGACACACTTACAGAAATGCAGGCTGAGCACGGTGGCTCACACCTGTAATCCCAACACTTTGGGAGGCCGAGGCAGATGGACTACCTGAGGTCAGGAGTTCACGACCAGCCTGACCAACATAGAGAAACCCCGTCTCTACTAAAAATACAAAAATTAGCCGGGCGTGGTGGCACATGCCTGTAATCCCAGCTACTGGGGATGCTGTGGCAGGATAATCACTTGAACCCGGGAGGCAGAAGTTGTGGTGAGAGCTAAGATCACGCCATTGCACTCCAGCCTGGGCAACAAGAGCAAAACTCCATCTCAAAAAAAAAAAAAAGAAAAAAGAAAGAAATGCAAAATGCTCTGGAAGCTCTCAGTAATACAATTTAACAAGCAAAAGGAAGACCTTCAGAGCTCAAAGACAAGGTTTTTTAATTAATCCAAACAAAAAAGAATAAGAAAATATGAACAAAGCCTCCAAGAAATCTGGGATTATGTTAAATGGCCAAACCTAAGAATAATTGGTGTTCCTGAGGAAGAAGAGAAATCTAAAAGTTTGAAAAATATATTTGGAGGAATAATCGAGGAAAACTTCCCCACCCCTGCTAGAGAACTAGATATCAAAATACAAGAAGCTCAAAGAACACCTGGGAGATTCATCGCAAAAAAGATCATCACCCAGGAACACTGTCATCAGGTTATCTGAAGTTAAGAAGAAGGAAAGAATCTTAACAGCTGTGAGGCAAAAACACCTCACTAATGTTTAATTGTAATTCTTTAATAACATATTATATCGAGCACTAAATGGAACTTTTAAGTTTTATAAAGAGTATCTACAAAAACCCTAGAGCAGAAGTAATAATAATGAACTGTTGAAATCTTTCCTGTATAGGTAACCTATAAAGGAAAACCTATCAGATTAACAGCAGATTTCTCAGCAGAAACTCTACAAGCTAGAAGGGATTGGGGTCCTATCATCAGCCTCCTCAAACAAAACAATTATCAGCTAAGAAGTTTGTTTCCACTGAAACTAAGCTTCATAAATGAAGGAAAGATACAGTCTTTTTCAGACAAACAAATGCTGAGAGAATTTGCCACTACCAACCCAGCACTACAAGAACTGCCAAAAGGAGCTCTAAATCTTGAAAGAAATCCTGGAAACACATCAAAACAGAAACTCTTTAAATCATAAATTTCACAGGACCTATAAAACAAAAATATAATAAAAAAGGTATATAGGCAAAAAATAGCACAGTGAATGGTACCTCACATCTCAATACTAACATTGAATGTAAATGGCCTAAATGGTTCACTTAAAATACATAGAATTGCAGAATGGATAAGAATTCACCAACCAATCTGCTGCCTTCAAGAGACTCACCTAACACATAAGGACTCACTTAAACTTAAGGTAAGCTGATGGAAAATGACATTTCATGCAAATGGACACCAAAAGCAACCAGGGGTAGCCATTCTTATATCAGACAAAACAAACTTTAAAGCAACAACAGTTTAAAAAGATAAAGAAGGTCATTATATAATGATAAAAGGCCTTGTCCAACAGGAAAACATCACAGTCCTAAATATATATGCACCCAACACTGGAGCTCCCTAATTTATAAAACAATTACTAATATACCTAAGAAATGAGACAGACAGCAACACAATAATAGTGGGGCACTTCAATACTGCACTGACAGCACTAGACAGGTCATCGAGACAGAACGTCAACAAAGAAATAATGGATTTAAACTATACCCTGGAACAAACGGACTTAACAGATACTTACAGAACATTCTACCCAACAACCACAAAATATACATTCTATTCAACAGTGCATGGTACCTTCTCCAAGATAAAACATATCACAGGCAACAAAACAAGCCTCAATAAGTTCAAGAAAAGTGAAATTATACCAAGCAGTCTTTCAGACCACAGTGGAATAAAACTGGAAATCAACTCCAAAATGAACCTTCAAAGCCATGCAAATACATGGAAATTAAATAACCTGCTCCTGAAAGATCACTGGGTCAAAAATGAAATCAAGATGGAAATTTAAAAATTCTTCAAACTGAATGACAATAGTGACACAACCTATGAAAACCTCTGGGATACTGCAAAGGCAGTGCTAAGAGGAAAGTTCATAGCCCTAAACACCTATATCAAAAAGTCTGAAAGAGCACAAACAAACAATTTAAGGTCACACCTCAAGGAACTAGAGAAACAAGAACAAACCAAACCCAAACTCAGCAGAAAGGAAATAAGCAAGATCAGAGCAGAACTGAATGAAATTGAAAATTAGATAAATGAAACAAAAACTGGTTCTTTGAAAAGATAAATTGATAGACCATCAGCAAGATTAACCAAGAAAAGAAGGGAGAAAATCCAAATAAGTTCAATTAGAAACGAAACAGGAGATTTACAACTGGCACCAAAAATCTAAAAGAAATCCAAGCAGAAATCCAAAAGATCATTCAAGGCTACTATGAACACCTTTATGCGCATAAACTAGAAAGCCTAGAGGAGATGAATAAATTCTTGAAAAGATACAACCGGGGGAGGAGCCAAGATGGCCGAATAGGAACAGCTCCGGTCTACAGCTCCCAGCGTGAGCGACGCAGAAGACGGGTGATTTCTGCATTTCCATCTGAGGTACCGGGTTCATCCCACTAGGGAGTGCCAGACAGTGGGCGCCGGCCAGTGTGTGTGCGCACCGTGCGCGAGCCGAAGCAGGGCGAGCATTGCCTCACCTGGGAAGCGCAAGGGGTCAGGGAGTTCCCTTTCCGAGTCAAAGAAAGGGGTGACGGACGCACCTGGAAAATCGGGTCACTCCCACCCGAATATTGCGCTTTTCAGACCGGCTTAAGAAACGGCGCACCACGAGACTATATCCCCCACCTGGCTCAGAGGGTCCTACGCCCACGGAATCTCGCTGATTGCTAGCACAGCAGTCTGAGATCAAACTGCAAGGCGGCAACGAGGCTGGGGGAGGGGCGCCCGCCATTGCCCAGGCTTGCTTAGGTAAACAAAGCAGCCGAGAAGCTCGAACTGGGTGGAGCCCACTACAGCTCAAGGAGGCCTGCCTGCCTCTGTAGGCTCCACCTCTGGGGGCAGGGCACAGACAAACAAAAAGACAGCAGTAACCTCTGCAGACTTAAGTGTCCCTGTCTGACAGCTTTGAAGAGAGCAGTGGTTCTCCCAGCACGCAGCTGGAGATCTGAGAACGGGCAGACTGCCTCCTCAAGTGGGTCCCTGACCCCTGACCCCCGAGCAGCCTAACTGGGAGGCACCCCCCAGCAGGGGCACACTGACACCTCACACGGCAGGGTATTCCAACAGACCTGCAGCTGAGGGTCCTGTCTGTTAGAAGGAAAACTAACAACCAGAAAGGACATCTACACCGAAAACCCATCTGTACATCACCATCATCAAAGACCAAAAGTAGATAAAACCACAAAGATGGGGAAAAAACAGAACAGAAAAACTGGAAACTCTAAAACGCAGAGCGCCTCTCCTCCTCCAAAGGAACGCAGTTCCTCACCAGCAACAGAACAAAGCTGGATGGAGAATGACTTTGAAGAGCTGAGAGAAGAAGGCTTCAGACGATCAAATTACTCTGAGCTACGGGAGGACATTCAAACCAAAGGCAAAGAAGTTGAAAACTTTGAAAAAAATTTAGAAGAATGTATAACTAGAATAACCAATACAGAGAAGTGCTTAAAGGAGCTGATGGAGCTGAAAACCAAGGCTCGAGAACTACGTGAAGAATGCAGAAGCCTCAGGAGCCGATGTGATCAACTGGAAGAAAGGGTTATCAGCAATGGAAGATGAAATGAATGAAATGAAGAGAGAAGGGAAGTTTAGAGAAAAAAGAATAAAAAGAAATGAGCAAAGCCTCCAAGAAATATGGGACTATGTGAAAAGACCAAATCTACGTCTGATTGGTGTACCTGAAAGTGATGTGGAGAATGGAACCAACTTGGAAAACACTCTGCAGGATATTATCCAGGAGAACTTCCCCAATCTAGCAAGGCAGGCCAACGTTCAGATTCAGGAAATACACAGAACGCCACAAAGATACTCCTCGAGAAGAGCAACTCCAAGACACATAATTGTCAGATTCACCAAAGTTGAAATGAAGGAAAAAATGTTAAGGGCAGCCAGAGAGAAAGGTCGGGTTACCCTCAAAGGAAAGCCCATCAGACTAACAGCGGATCTCTCGGCAGAAACCCTACAAGCCAGAAGAGAGTGGGGGCCAATATTCAACATTCTTAAAGAAAAGAATTTTCAACCCAGAATTTCATATCCAGCCAAACTAAGCTTCATAAGTGAAGGAGAAATAAAATACTTTATAGACAAGCAAATGCTGAGAGATTTTGTCACCACCAGGCCTGCCCTAAAAGAGCTCCTGAAGGAAGCGCTAAACATGGAAAGGAACAACCGGTACCAGCCGCTGCAAAATCATGCCAAAATGTAAAGACCATCGAGACTAGGAAGAAACTGCATCAACTAATGAGCAAAATCACCAGCTAACATCATAATGACAGGATCAAATTCACACATAACAATATTAACTTTAAATATAAATGGACTAAATTCTGCAATTAAAAGACACAGACTGGCAAGTTGGATAAAGAGTCAAGACCCATCAGTGTGCTGTATTCAGGAAACCCATCTCACGTGCAGAGACACACATAGGCTCAAAATAAAAGGATGGAGGAAGATCTACCAAGCCAATGGAAAACAAAAAAAGGCAGGGGTTGCAATCCTAGTCTCTGATAAAACAGACTTTAAACCAACAAAGATCAAAAGAGACAAAGAAGGCCATTACATAATGGTAAAGGGATCAATTCAACAAGAGGAGCTAACTATCCTAAATATTTATGCACCCAATACAGGAGCACCCAGATTCATAAAGCAAGTCCTCAGTGACCTACAAAGAGACTTAGACTCCCACACATTAATAATGGGAGACTTTAACACCCCACTGTCAACATTAGACAGATCAACGAGACAGAAAGTCAACAAGGATACCCAGGAATTGAACTCAGCTCTGCACCAAGCGGACCTAATAGACATCTACAGAACTCTCCACCCCAAATCAACAGAATATACATTTTTTTCAGCACCACACCACACCTATTCCAAAATTGACCACATACTTGGAAGTAAAGCTCTCCTCAGCAAATGTAAAAGAACAGAAATTATAACAAACTATCTCTCAGACCACAGTGCAATCAAACTAGAACTCAGGATTAAAAATCTCACTCAAAGCCGCTCAACTACATGGAAACTGAACAACCTGCTCCGGAATGACTACTGGGTACATAACGAAATGAAGGCAGAAATAAAGATGTTCTTTGAAACCAACGAGAACAAAGACACAACATTCCAGAATCTCTGGGACGCATTCAAAGCAGTGTGTAGAGGGAAATTTATAGCACTAAATGCCTACAAGAGAAAGCAGGAAAGATCCAAAATTGACACCCTAACATCACAATTAAAAGAACTAGAAAAGCAAGAGCAAACACATTCAAAAGCTAGCAGAAGGCAAGAAATAACTAAAATCAGAGCAGAACTGAAGGAAATAGAGACACAAAAAACCCTTCAAAAAATCAATGAATCCAGGAGCTGGTTTTTTGAAAGGATCAACAAAATTGATAGACCGCTAGCAAGACTAATAAAGAAAAAAAGAGAGAAGAATCAAATAGACACAATAAAAAATGATAAAGGGGATATCACCACCGATCCCACAGAAATACAAACTACCATCAGAGAATACTACAAACACCTCTACGCAAATAAACTAGAAAATCTAGAAGAAATGGATACATTCCTCGACACATACACTCTCCCAAGACTAAACCAGGAAGAAGTTGAATCTCTGAATAGACCAATAACAGGCTCTGAAATTGTGGCAATAATCAATAGTTTAGCAACCAAAAAGAGTCCAGGACCAGATGGATTCACAGCTGAATTCTACCAGAGGTACAAGGAGGAACTGGTACCATTCCTTCTGAAACTATTCCAATCAATAGAAAAAGAGGGAATCCTCCCTAACTCATTTTATGAGGCCAGCATCATTCTGATACCAAAGCCGGGCAGAGACACAACCAAAAAAGAGAATTTTAGACCAATATCCTTGATGAACATTGATGCAAAAATCCTCAATAAAATACTGGCAAACCGAATCCAGCAGCACATCAAAAAGCTTATCCACCATGATCAAGTGGACTTCATCCCTGGGATGCAAGGCTGGTTCAATATACGCAAATCAATAAATGTAATCCAGCATATAAACAGAGCCAAAGACAAAAACCACATGATTATCTCAATAGATGCAGAAAAAGCCTTTGACAAAATTCAACAACCCTTCATGCTAAAAACTCTCAATAAATTAGGTATTGATGGGACGTATTTCAAAATAATAAGAGCTATCTATGACAAACCCACAGCCAATATCATACTGAATGGGCAAAAACTGGAAGCATTCCCTTTGAAAACTGGCACAAGACAGGGATGCCCTCTCTCACCACTCCTATTCAACATAGTGTTGGAAGTTCTGGCCAGGGCAATCAGGCAGGAGAAGGAAATAAAGGGTATTCAATTAGGAAAAGAGGAAGTCAAATTGTCCCTGTTTGCAGACGACATGATTGTTTATCTAGAAAACCCCATCGTCTCAGCCCAAAATCTCCTTAAGCTGATAAGCAACTTCAGCAAAGTCTCAGGATACAAAATCAATGTACAAAAATCACAAGCATTCTTATACACCAACAACAGACAAACAGAGAGCCAAATCATGGGTGAACTCCCATTCACAATTGCTTCAAAGAGAATAAAATACCTAGGAATCCAACTTACAAGGGATGTGAAGGACCTCTTCAAGGAGAACTACAAACCACTGCTCAAGGAAATAAAAGAGGACACAAACAAATGGAAGAACATTCCATGCTCATGGGTAGGAAGAATCAATATCGTGAAAATGGCCATACTGCCGAAGGTAATTTACAGATTCAATGCCATCCCCATCAAGCTACCAATGACTTTCTTCACAGAATTGGAAAAAACTACTTTAAAGTTCATATGGAACCAAAAAAGAGCCCGCATTGCCAAGTCAATCCCAAGCCAAAAGAACAAAGCTGGAGGCATCACACTACCTGACTTCAAACTATACTACAAGGCTACAGTAACCAAAACAGCATGGTACTGGTACCAAAACAGAGATATAGATCAATGGAACAGAACAGAGCCCTCAGAAATAATGCCGCATATCTACAACTATCTGATCTTTGACAAACCTGAGAAAAACAAGCAATGGGGAAAGGATTCCCTATTTAATAAATGGTGCTGGGAAAACTGGCTAGCCATATGTAGAAAGCTGAAACTGGATCCCTTCCTTACACCTTATACAAAAATCAATTCAAGATGGATTAAAGATTTAAACGTTAGACCTAAAACCATAAAAACCCTAGAAGAAAACCTAGGCATTACCATTCAGGACATAGGCGTGGGCAAGGACTTCATGTCCAAAACACCAAAAGCAATGGCAACAAAAGCCAAAATTGACAAATGGAATCTAATTAAACTAAAGAGCTTCTGCACAGCAAAAGAAACTACCATCAGAGTGAACAGGCAACCTACAACATGGGAGAAAATTTTCACAACCTACTCATCTGACAAAGGGCTAATATCCAGAATCTACAATGAACTCAAACAAATTTACAAGAAAAAAACAAACAACCCCATCAAAAAGTGGGCAAAGGACATGAACAGACACTTCTCAAAAGAAGACATTTATGCAGCCAAAAAACACATGAAGAAATGCTCATCATCACTGGCCATCAGAGAAATGCAAATCAAAACCACTATGAGATATCATCTCACACCAGTTAGAATGGCAATCATTAAAAAGTCAGGAAACAACAGGTGCTGGAGAGGATGTGGAGAAATAGGAACACTTTTACACTGTTGGTGGGACTGTAAACTAGTTCAACCATTGTGGAAGTCAGTGTGGCGATTCCTCAGGGATCTAGAACTAGAAATACCATTTGACCCAGCCATCCCATTACTGGGTATATACCCAAAGGACTATAAATCATGCTGCTATAAAGACACATGCACACGTATGTTTATTGCGGCACTATTCACAATAGCAAAGACTTGGAACCAACCCAAATGTCCAACAATGATAGACTGTATTAAGAAAATGTGGCACATATACACCATGGAATACTATGCAGCCATAAAAAATGATGAGTTCATATCCTTTGTAGGGACATGGATGAAATTGGAAACCATCATTCTCAGTAAACTATCGTAAGAACAAAAAACCAAACACCGCATATTCTCACTCATAGGTGGGAATTGAACAATGAGATCACGTGGACACAGGAAGGGGAATATCACACTCTGGGGACTGTGGTGGGGTCGGGGGAGGGGGGAGGGATAGCACTGGGAGATATACCTAATGCTAGATGACGAGTTAGTGGGTGCAGCGCACCAGCATGGCACATGTATACATATGTAACTAACCTGCACAATGTGCACATGTACCCTAAAACTTAGAGTATAATAAAAAAAAATAATTAAAAAAAAAAAAAAAAAAAGAAAAGATACAACCTTCCTAGCTTAAATCAGGAAGAATTAGATACTCTTAACAGACCAATAACAAGCAGTAAGACTGAAATGGTAATTTTAAAATTACCAACAAAAAATGTCCAGGACTAGACGGATTCACAACAAAATTCTACCAGACATTCAAAGAATTATCAATCCTATTGACACTATTCCACAAGATAGAGAAAAAGGGAACCCTCCCTGAATCATTCTATGAAGCCAGTATCATCCTAATACCAAAACCAGGAAAGGACATAACCAAAAGAGAAAACTACAGACCAATATCCCTCATGAACATATATGCTAAAATCCTTAACAAAATACTAGCTAACTGAATCCAACAACGTATCAAAAAGATAATCCACCATGATCAAATGGGTTTCATAACAGGGATGCAGGGATGGGTTTAACATACGCAAGTCAATAAATGTGATACACCACATGAACAGAATAAAACAGGCTGGGCATGGTGGCTCACACCTGTAATCCCAGCACTTTGGGAGGTCAAGGCAGGCAGATCACTTGAGGTCAGAAGTTTGAGACCAGCCTGGTCAACATGATGAAACCCCATCTCTACTAAAAACATAAAAATTAGCTGGATGTGGTGGCGGGCACCTGCAATCCCAGCTACTCAGGAGGCTGAGGCAGGAGAATTGCTTCAACCTGGGAGGTGGAGGTTGCAGTGAACTGAGATGGCACCACTGCACTCTGGCCTGGGCAACAAAGTGAGACCCTGCCTCAAAAAAACAAAACAAGAAACAAAAATCACATGATGATCTCAATAGATGCAGAAAGAGCATTTGACAAAATCCAGCATCCCTTTATGATTAAAGCTCTCAGCAAAATTGGCATACAAGGAGCATACCTCAAGGTAATAACAACCATCTATGACAAACCCATAGCCAACATAATACTGAATGGAGAAAAGCTGAAAGCATTCCCTCTGAGAACTGGAACAAGACAAGGATGCCCACTCTCACCACCCCTCTGACACATAGTACTGGAAGTCCTAGCCAGAGCAATCAGATAAGAGAAAGAAATAAAGAACATCCAAATCAATAAATAGAAAGTCAAAGTGCCTGTTTGCTGATGATATGATTGTTTACCTAGAAAACCCTAAAGACTCCTCCAGAAAGCTCCTAGAATTGATAAAAGAATTCAACAAAGTTTCCAGATACAAAATTAATATACACAAATCAGTAGCTCTTCTATACACCAACAGCAAACAAGCCGAGAATCAAATCAAGAACTCAACCCTTTTTACAATAGCTGCAAAAAAAAAAATAAAATACTTAGGAATATACCTAACCAAGGAGGCGAAGGACCTCTACAGGGAAAACTACAAAACACTGCTGAAAGAAATCATAGATGACACAAACAAATGCAAACACATCCCATGCTCATGGATAGGTAGAATCAATATTGTGACAATGACCATACTGCCAAAAGCCATACACAAATTCATTGAAATTCCCATCAGAATACCATCATCATTCTTCACAGAATTAGACAAAAACAATTCTGAAATTCATATGCAACCAAAAAAGAGCCCACATAGCCAAAGCAAGACTAAGCAAAAAGAACAAATCTGGAGGCATCAATTACCTGATTTCAAACTACACTATAAGGCCATAGTTACCAAAACAGCATGGTACTGGTATAAAATAGGCACATAGACCAGTGGAACAGAATAAAGAACCCAGAAATAAACCATCATACTTACAGCCAACTGATCTTTGACAAAGCAAACAAGAACATATAGTGGGGAAAGGACACCCTATTCAACTGGAATAATTCAGCTGGAATAATTGGCAAGCCATATGTAGAAGAATAAAACCGGATCCTCATCTCTCACCTTATACAAAATCAGCTCAAGATGGATCAAGAACTTAAATCTAAAACCTGAAACTATAAAAATTCTAGAAGATAACATTGAAAAAACTCTTCTAGACATTGGTTTAGGCAAGGATTTCATGATGAAGCATCCAAAAGCAAATGCAATAAAAACAAAGATAAATAGCTGGGACTTAATTAAACTAAAAAGCTTTTTCACAGCAAAAGGCACAGCAAAAGGAACGGTTAGCAGAGTAAACAGACAACCCACAGAATGGGAGAAAATCTTCACAATCTATACACCTGACAAAGGACTAATATCCAGAATCTTCAATGAACTCAAACAAATTATCAAGAAAAAAACAAATAATCCCATCAAAAAGTGGGCTAAGGACATGAATACACAATTCTCGAGAAGATATACAAATGGCCAACAAACATGAAAAAATGCTCAACATCACTAACGATCAGAGAAATGCAAATCAAAACCACAATGTGATACCACCTTACTCCTGCAAGAATGGCCATAATCAAGAAATCAAAAAATAATAGATGTTGGCACGGATGCAGTGAACAGGGAACACTTCTGCCTTGCTGGTGGGAATGTAAACTAGTACAACCAGTATGGAAAACAGTGTGGAGATTCCTTACAGAATTAAAAGTATAACTATCATTTGATCCAGCAATCCCACTACTGGGTATCTACCCAGAGGAAAAGTCGTCATTATACGAAAAAGATACTTGCACATACCTGTTTATAGCAGCACAATTTGCAAATGCAAAAACATGGAACCAACCCAAATGCCCATCAATCAATGAGTGGATAAAGAAACTATGATATATATATTACAGTGTGTGTGTTTGTTTATATATATAGTGTGTGTTTATATATAGTGTGTGTTTGTTTACATATATAGTGTGTGTGTTTGTTTATATATATGATGGAATATATATACTGTATACTATATATACAGTATATATAGTGTGTATATAGTGTATATATAGTATAACATATATTATAGTGTGTTTTTATATATATGATGGAATACTATATATATACTATATACTCTATATATATATGGAATATATATATATATATATGTGATGGAATACTACTCAGTCATAAAAAGGAATGAATTAATGGCATTTGCAGTGACCTGAATGAGATTGGAGACTATCATTCTAAGTGAAGTAACTCAGAAATAGAAAACAAAACATTGTATGTTCTCACTCATATGTGGGAGCTAAGTTATGAGGACGCAAAGGCATAAGAAAGACACAGAGGACTTTGAGGACTCGGGGCAAAAGGGTGGGAAGAGGGTGAGGGATAAAAGACCACAAATTGGGTTCAGTGTATACTGCTTGGGTGATGGGTGCACCAAAATCTCACAAATCACCACTAAAGAACTTACTCATGTAACCTATCACCACCTGTTCCCAAATAACCTGTGGAAATAAAATAATTATTTTAAAAAAAGAATATACTAGATTTATAATTAACCAGATACCTGTGTGGCATGGTTGTCATGTATACAGTTCAGAAATGTACATACATAAAGAACAATGACAATTTTATTGGCATTGTTTCCAGTGTACACCCTATTATACAGTACCTTCTCCCCTTTGATTGACAGGCCTTGTAATCCCTGTGGGCCAGTTGGTCCTTCAGAACCTTTTTCACCCTGAAAGTACAAGGGAGGGATATCAATGCACCAACCAAAATCTGAATTTTAAAAGAGTTTACATTACAAATACTATGAATTGTGCTTCAAAATTATTTTTTAAATAAAGCATCCAAAGTCACTGTTTACTACAAATGGGTAATTCTAATTGACTCTGAGATTTGCAACTTGCAAAAAATACATTAGTCATAACACTTAAACAAGAAGGAAGCTATCCAAGCAAAACACATATGTAGCATCCCTGAAGTTAGAAAAGAGCTCAGTTCCCAATTTAAACAAAAATATTCTGGAAATGGATCACCTAATCAATCACATAGTATAACTAACTGGATCAAGTCTCCTTTTCCTTAATATTGCTGAAACTGGGTCCATCACACAAGGAAAATTTATTTCTCGTACTAATATGTGAACTAATACTTGCTAGGATTAGATTATTACCTTTTTTTTTGTTTATAAACATTCATTGAAAATTTATGTTTAAAAGAATTCATGGAAAATCTTCTTAGATATGCTCCTACAGTTACATGACGTAAGTGAACAGCTCTGTCCTTAATATAACGTATATTGTCATAATACTTCATGCATTTTTATGAAAAATAAACCATATAATAAATCAGAAGCAGCATTCATTTAATAAATTTATTAGAACCAAGAGTAAAATCAAAGAACATTTACAAATTAGCCCCAAATAGTACATACAGAGAACACCCATTGGTCTGACTAGTTGGGGAATGAAATATTCTGATTCTGGGTTCTTCTGATCATTACCACAGAATATAACTGCATATACTTGATCCTAAAGCAGCACGGAACACGATGTGTTCTTTCTTTGATGAGATAGAGGTCAATGCCCATGAGCTATTACATACAAGAGTATCAATAAAGTATGATAATACCTCATATAATATAAAAGTATGTTGAACCTGTCACTATGAAATACCCTGGAATATTCTTCTTAATGTTTCACATATTCATTTCTCATTTATTTCTTTCTCTTTAAAAAACACAGATTTTAAAGAGAAATAATTCTATTTGAATTTTTCAGATTATTTGGGCTACACATAAATAGAAGTAGAAATTTACTAAGTGCCAAAAAAATCTCAAACTGTGTATTACAAAACTTTCGGTGATGTCATGCCAAGTTGCTGACCTGTCTTCTGATAGTGATACTGTGATTAGTCAAAGGTGTTAGTAATATCCCTTTATCCAACATATTATTTCCATTATCATGACAAATTAAAATGTGTTCATTAACAAGGGCGTCTTTTAAAATTTAACCCAGCAGTCACTCAAAACTAAGGATGAATTATTTGTTTTTATCTAATTGTTTTCCCTCTAGTAGAGATTTAGGATTCTCATAGATAATTGAATATCGATCATGGTGGAAGAAGCTGAGAATGAAATGCACTTTTAGAGCATGAGGCCATACTGAGAAGGCCATATCTTAGTCACCTGATGGAATGACTGATGTGGAGGGTCTCAGACACTTAGAAAGCAGCATGTACTTCTCCGGGCAGTATGTGTGTATATGCATGTGTGTGTTTTTTGGGGAGACTTTGGAAATAAAGGAAGAAGGACTCCAAAATGTATCTTTACGTACTCTGAAATGTTGTTGATGCTGCTCATTTTGGAAAACACTTTTTAACATGCCCTTCAGCAAATGTGCCAAAGATTATATACAAACTGCCTATATCAGGGGACAGCAAACTACAGCCCATAAGCCAAATTCAGCCCACTGCCTGTTTTTATATTATAAATATAGTTTTATTGGAACAGCCACATTCCTTCATTTATACATTGTTTATGGCTGCTTTCAAGCTACATCAGCAGTTAAGTAGTTACAGCAGATACCATATGGCTCACAAAGCCTAAAATATTTGCTATCTGCCCCTTTACAGAAAAAGTTTGCCAACCTTTGGTGCAGAACAACTTGAGCTCCAAGAATTACATAAGGGAAATGACAGGAAATTCTCAATGGCTAGTTAAAAAGGAAGTCTTTCATAACATTTTGTTTCTGTAGTAAAATTTTCTTTCTTATTATATTGATGGCAGTACTATTACAGATTGGTTTCTTATCTGTGTTTCACGAAAAAAGCTGTGAGCAAAGAATTGCCATAGCTACACTCGATGATTTAACTTCTGGGCATAAGGATGTTATTTATCACTGTGGCTTTAAATGACTACAAACTACTTTAAGAGATTTTTCTAATTTCATATGTAGTAATTACATGAAGTAGAAGTCTTTCAATTACTTATTTGTAGTTCCAAATTTTACTGTATTTTCGCATTACAGGGAAATTTACATATTCCTTCATTAAATGGAATAAAGATGGTCAGAAAAATAATTAACTTCTAAAAATTGGCTAGGACACATTTTTAAAATTTGTAATTCACGAGCATGTAAGACAAAGCACCTTTTCCTGGTACAGAAGGTATTGTTACCTTTGGTCCTGGAAATCCTTCTCCGGGTAAGCCCCTCTCTCCTGGTACTCCCTCAGGACCACGGGGACCCTGGTTAGGATAGGAGAAAATGAGGAGCAGGAGGAGAGAGAAAAGGGAAAGAGGAGTGATGAAAAAGAGGAAAGAGGAAGAAAGAGAATGGTTATATTTCAGTTTACATGCCAAAAAAAAATGGATAGTTGGATCTGTACTAAACATGTACAGGCTTTTTCTACTTTATTAGTTCCTAAATACTATAGCATAATAACTATTTACACAGCATTTACATTGTATTAGGTATTGTAACTAATCTAGAGATGATTCAAAGTATACCAGATGTGCATAGGTTATACGCAAATACTATGCCATTGTGTCTGGAATTGGTGGGTTCTTGGTCTCACTGACTTCAAGAATGAAGCCGCGGACCCTCGCGGTGAGTGTCACAGTTCTAAAAGGCAGCGCGTCCAGAGTTTGTTCCTTCTGATGTTCAGTTGTGTTCCCAGTTTCTTCTTTCTGGTGGGTTAGTGGTCTCGCTGGCTTCAGGAGTGAAGCTGCAGACCTTCGCAGTGAATGTTACAGCTCATATAGGCAGTGTGGACCCAAACAGTTAACAGCAGTAAGATATACAGCAAACAGCAAAAGAACAAAGCTTCCACGGTATGGAAACGGACCCCAGCAGGTTGCCTCTGCTGGCTAGGGCAGCCTGCTTTTATTCTATTATCTGGCCCCACCCACTTCCTGCTGATTGGTCCATTTTACAGAGAGCCGATTGGTCTGTTTTGCAGAGAGCTGATTGGTCCGTTTTGACAGGGTGCTGATTGGTGCGTTTACAATCCCTGAGCTAGACACCAAAGTTCTTCACCTCCCAGCTAGATTAGCTAGATACAGAGTGTCGATTGGTATATTTACAAACCCTGAGCTAGACAGAGTGCTGATTGGCGCATTTACAAACCCTGAGCTAGACACAGAGTGCCGATTGGTGCATTCACAATCCCTTAGCTAGACATAAAGATTCTCCAAGTCTCCACCACATTAACTAGATACAGAGTGCCGACTGGTGCATTCACAAACCCTGAGCTAGACACAGAGTGCTGATTGGTGTGTTTACAAACCTTGAGCTAGATACAGAGTGCTGATTGGTGTATTCAAAATCCCTTAGCTAGACATAAAGATGCTCCAAGTCCCCACCAGATTAACTAGATACAGAGTGCTGATTGGTGCATTCACAAACCCTGAGCTAGACACAGGGTGCTGATTGGTGTGTTTACAAACCTTGAGCTAGATACAGAGTGCTGATTGGTGTATTTACAATCCCTTAGCCGGACATAAAGGTTCTCCAAGTCCCCACTAGACCCAGGAGCCTAGCTGGCTTCACCCAGTGGATCTCGCATGGGCTCGCAGGTGGAGCTGCCTGCCAGTCCCAGGCCCTGCGCCCACACTCCTCAGCCCTTGGGCAGTTGATGGCACCAGGCGCTGTGGAGCAGGGGCCGTGCTCCTTGGGGAGGCTCAGGCCACACAGGAGCCCACGGCGGGTTGGGGAGACTCAGGCATGGCAGTCTGCAGGTCCCAAGCCCTGCCCCGCGGAGAGGCAGCTAAGGCCAAGTGAGAAATCGAGCGCACTGCCGGTGGGCCAGCACTGCTGGGGGACCCAGTGCACCCTCCGCAGCTGCTGGCGCGGGTGCTAAGCCTCTCACTGCCCGGGGCGGCAGGGCCAGTCGGCTGCTCCAAGTGCGGGGCCCGCCAAGCCCATGCCCACCCGGAATTCTAGCTGGCCTGCAAGCGCCAGGCAGCCCTGGTTCCACCCGTGCCTCTCCCTCCACACCTCCCCGCAGGCTGAGGGAGCCGGCTCAGCCCTCGGCCATCCCAGGAAGGGGCTCCCACAGTGCAGCGGTGGGCTGAAGGGCTCCTCAAGCATGGCCAGAGTGGGCACCGAGGCTGAGGAGGCGCCAAGAGCAAGTGAGGGCTGCGAGGGCTGCCAGCACGCTGTCACCTCTCACCATTTTATACAAGGGACTTGAGCATCTGTGGATTTTGGTGTCTACAGAGGTCCTTAAACCAATCCCCCATGAATACCAAGGAATGGCTAATGACTGTGGCTCTGTTTAAATTTTTAGTGAGAATCCTTCTAGTCAACTCAATACTGATCAGTAGAATTGTAGAGCTACGAAGAATAATACTCCCATTGTATTAAATACTCGTTCCATTTGATTGGCATAAAATGTTCTATTCCACTGTTCTCAAAGTAGAAGAAAATGGAAATTAAATGATGCTTTGAAATAAGAATTAAGAAATAAATTATCTGAGGAAATGCTAAAAATCTGGAACTGTGTGGCCCAGAGAAGGATGCAGAGTGATTTAATAATTTAATTATCAGGGGAGTGCTGTGAAGAAATCATCACACAGCTGTTTTAAAGCATTAAGTGCTGTTTACATGTGTTTCAATTTCTGTACTGATAAATTTGGATTAAAACTTGAATTATTTCAGGAACTGGTTGAACCCACAGGCAGTTTTATATGCAAATTGAAATCTTGATAGGATCATTAAGGGGAAACATGATTTTCAATTGCAATGATTCAAATTAAGAAGTTCATGTAACTATTGCTCAAAAAGCCACTAGGAAAGATGACTTCTCACATGAGTTAAGAAAAACACAGTCTCGGGCTTTGAAATGGACTTGCAGAAAATGTACTAATGGAAAAATAAAAGAGTAATAGTGAGGTTTTCATTTAAATCAGGAATTTTTAAAGACAATAATTTTTCTCTCCTTTTCTTCTTGGCCAGAAGGTAAAAAAGTAGTAAAGGAACTTACAACAAGAATCTTAGAAGAAGAAAATGAAGCTTTTCCTCTGATGAATCTAAACAAATAATTAGGCTTCACTTGCCAGAGAAATAAACCTATGATGGAACAAAGTCTGCCAACTTTCCTGCAAGTTCCTAAACCAGCACACTACAGACACTGAATGATGTTTGGGCTTGAGATACAGTAATCCAGGGTGATTTAAGACGCTTTTCTCCTCAAGCCCAGTAGCAGAACGAGGATGCAGCATTATACTCATCAGTGACTGATCATAGTTATAGATTCATAAGAAAAAGATCTGTTTTTCAGTGTTTAATTTTTTTGTCTTTCCCTAATGTTTTATATTTTACAAGACAATCTTCTTTAGTATTTATGCATACTGATTTTGTAAATAATTAAAAGAAAAAGCTAACATCTTTTTCAATTTAAATTGTAACACTTAACAGAAACCTAGCTTTTAACACTTCCAAGACCTTAATGAAAGCACTAATATCCATGACAGTTTATTGTACGGGCAGAGCAATTAGCTAGTAGGAAAATAAATAGGAGCATGAAAATTATTAATAGATTGCAAACTCAACCAAATTATTAATAGATTGCAAACTAAACCAAAAGTGCCAAGCCAACATCACATACTTTAACAAAGAAAACACATACTTTAACAAAGAAAACACTGACAAATTATTTTTTCCCTAATAATATGACAAATGAAAAAAAACACAATTTATATTAAATGTAAGGAAGTATTTTTCCAGTTCACTCAACTTTTTTCATTCATCCAACAAAGATATACCAAACTTCTAGCAGGTAAACGGCATTGTGCTAGGTTCTAGGGATAGCAGACAAAACTGCTCCCTGTCTCATGGAGCTGACAATATTGCATAATAGTTAAAAGCAGATTTTGGTGTCATTTGTACTGAGGTTCAAGCCCCAGCTCTGCTACATAGTAGCAGTTTCACCTTAAACAAGTAAGTCAATCTCTGCAAAGCACAACATCCTCCTCAAAATGGTTGATAATAATAGTATCTACCTCAACCACAAGTGTTCATGTAAGGATTAAGTCAGAGAGATTTAAATCTTTTACAGATTAAGCACTCAATAAATATCTGCCATCATTATCCAAATTATTTTACTTGAGTCCTGTAATTGCTAAGAATGTCCTTTCATGGAAGTTTTTACAAATAAAAGCAGTCTCTGAGTGAATGATTTAAATTAAACAATGTGTAAAAAGCATGCTGCACTGAATAAACACTGAATCTTCCTTCATTCTCTGCACTTCTAGAGTACGTTAGCTAAACTGGAGGTGAAAATATTGGATCTTTAAGGAGCCAAGTATTCAAAGCTGCTGAGAACGGAGAGTTAATGCTCATGGACAGTCTTTTAGGAGAAAAAAGCAGTGATCCAAAGTGTAATTACTATAAACCATCAGAGTAGTATTCCACGCCATCAGTATATTCTCAAGTCTTCCAGTTAAACACTCAGCATGGACGATGATCATTAGCCAGAGAAGAGAAGTAGAAGGTACTTGGGTTAAATGGTTATAGTTTAATTTATTAAGATAGTACCAAAAGATTATTTTTAAAAGACAGAAATCCTTCTATTAAAAAATCTCAGTGTCCTTTCTAAGGCCATGAGAACCAATTACAACTACGACATACTTACTTGGCTTCTAACGAACACCTCTAATAAAAAATAAATAATGAAGGAATCTAATTATCAGTTAACACAGCCTGATCAGTGAAATGCTTTATCTGAGACATTAACGATGAGATGAAATACGATTGTCCATTATGTTCATCTTATTACTTTCCGTAGTAATCTCAATAGTGTTAATAATCAATACAAATGCTTTCAATATGCATTGCAAGCATTAGAGATAAATATGCTAATAATAATAGTAACTGTCCATTATCTTCAAACAGTGCCATCTACTTTATTTTTTAATCTCAAAATAATTATAGTTCCCTTTCAGGGTTTTTTTTTTAATTTACAGTGCTCTGAATAACCTTGCATAAAAAACAAACAGATCACCCTGACAGTCTTAACCAATTTAATTTTTATGAATCAGTTACATCTACCAGACCAGCACAAAACTAGTGGTAATCACATAAAGATGACAGATGACAGTTCAAAAGTAGGTCTCGGAGCTAGAATATTAATTCAATCTATCAGCAGATTTATATTAGTGTGGTAGTGAAAAGAGAGTAGTACTAAATACGAAACACTTGAAATAATTCAGGCAAAGAAACAAAAGCAAAGGACTTTCAGTAGAATCTTTGTCAGCCCTAAGATAAGTCTTTACCTTACTTCTAAATAATTCAAAAATTCACATTGTTGGCTGAGCATGGTGGCTCAGGCCTGTAATCCCAGCACTTCAGGACGCTGAGGTGGGCGGATTACCTGAGGTCAGGAGTTCGAGATCAGCCTGGCCAACATGGTGAAAACCCATCTCTATTAAAAATACAAAAATTAGCCAGGTCTGGTGGCTGGAGCCTACAGTCCCAACTACTTGGGAGGGTGAGGCAGGAGAATCGCTTGAAGCCGGGAGGTGGAGGTTGCAATGAGCCAAGATCGCCCAATTGTGCTCCAGCCTGGGGGACAAGAGTGAGACTCTGTCTCAGAAAAAAAAAAAAAAAATTCACATCATTGATTTTTTTATAATGACATTTTGGTGCAACATTTTGATACATTATTTAGGAACTTTCCTACCTTTGTTATGATTTTAGTTCCCAATTAAGTATAACTCTGTAATTATGACTTGGAAAGCAAGCAAGCAAGCAAGAATTTCATGTTCTGGTAATATTGTTAAAAACTCTCAACTACAAACAGTTAGAAAGACAGGTAATATACGTTTTTTAAGATGAATTTTAAAGGCATGGAAGAGTCCAAAGAAGATAAGAGAAATTGCAGGGTTCAAAAAGAGAGAATCAAAACTCGAGAACTCTAGCATATAAGTTAAGCATCTTAGGTAAGCATCTAAGCTGGTGCTACAGCTGTCCTGAATAGAAAAGTGTGTTTGTGTGGTGGGAAGAAGGCTAGGAAATTTAGAGGGAGGAACAGCAGCAAAGACTTTGGCTCACGCAATGGAAAATGAAGACAGAATTATAACTGAGAGACTGAGATTCCCACAAACTTAGACAGACAGTCTCCAACTTAAGATGGGATGGTTCGACTTAAGATTTTTGGATTTTACAATGGGTTGGTCAGCATGTAACCCCATGGTAAGTCAAGTACCTCCTTATGACTTACAATGGGCTTATGGTTTCTACTGAATGCATTGCGTTTGCATCCTCATAAAGTAAAAATATATATATAAATCAAACCATTGTAAGTTGGGAACCATCTTCGGTGTTACCAACACTAAATGCATTTTCAACTTACAGTATTTTTTATTTATGACGGGTATAGTAGGATGTAACTCCATTGTATGTCAAGGAGCATCTGTATATATTCAATGAAAGAACAAAGTAGAAAAAAGCCATCCCATCAACACAGTGGTATGAATGACAAGAATCTTGTCTGCTTGGCTTGGGCTCATAATGACTAAAAATTTCTACCATGGTCCTGTGCTGTGTATGAGTTTATGATTTCAATTGACATTATCTAAGTGGTTCATGAACACCTTAGTCAAGACATTAGCATCAAGGAAACCCCTGGAGTACAAAAGAGATACAAACACAAACTCCTCTCAAATCCTAAGAATGCTTAGGATTCACAATTAAAGCCCAGCTGAAAATAACTCAGATGGAAAAGTACAAAACATAAAAGAAAATAACTCACAATGAATAAAAGTAAACTAACACAACGTAAACTTCCTCAAGAATGTCAAATAATAGAATAAAATAATAGAGACAAAAAAGAAGTACTTTAAATACTTAATGGTCTTATGGAAATAATGGAAAATACAAGAACAGTATAGTAAAAAGATAATAAATATAGTTAATAAAAGGCAGATTTTAAAAAATAACTAAGAATTTTTAAAATACTTATTAACTTAAAAATACAATGAATGAGTTAAGAACATTTTATAACATGATGAAGATAAATTTGTGGGTTATAAGTTAGATTTGAGAAAATTATCCAATTGCAACCAAATATCTAGTAGGATTTCTTGATAAATAGAATGGGGCAAGAAAATATTTGAAGAAATAATAGCTAAGAACTTTTTTAAACTATGGAGTCCTCAGATTCATGAAACGGTAAATCTGAAAAAGTATATGTGAAAATATACTCACATTTATATGCATCATAATTCCTCTACAGGAAATCTAAAGAATAAAAAAAAATTGCAAAAGCAGCCTAAAGCAAAAATGAATTACTACAAGAAATTATAAACAGACTAAAGACATGGAAACAGAAACCATGGTTGCCAGCAGACAATGGAATTAGTACACAATCCAGACTGCACCAGCTAAACTATTCTTACAAAGCAAACTAAACAATGGCATTTCAACCAAAGGCTGAAAGGGTTTACTGCTAACATATTTTTACTGAAAACATCTTCTGAAAGAAGTATTTATTGAAAAAAACAAAGAAATCAGCCAAGAAGAAAAGAGAAATTTAGGAAGCTATGTCAACTAAGAAATGGGTAAATATATGGGTAAAACTATACAAATACTGACTTAAAAAAGTTCAAAAATAATAATAAATAATTTTGGTAGGATGAAAATAAAGTAGAACTAAGTCAATAGGAATGATACTCTGAAGGTGGAAGAAATGATTGAAGTAAAAGTGTCATATGGTCAGTATATTTTTCAGGAGTAGGTGGCAATATTGATGACATTTCAAACTTGTTAGTCAAGAAAACATGTTAGGAATCAACCTAAATGCCCATCAATAGTAGACTGGATAAAGAAAATATGGTATATATACACCATGAAATATTGCACAGCCATAAGAAAGAATGAGATCATGTCCTTTGCAGCAACATGGATGGAGCTAGAAGCGCTTATCCTTGGCAAACTAACTCAGAAATCCAAATACTGCATGTTCTTACCTATAAGTGGGAGCTAAATACTGAGAACACAAGGACACAAAGAAGGGAACAGCAGACACTGGGGCCCACTTGAAGGTGGAGGGTGAGAAAAGGGTGAGGATGGATAAATTGCCTATCAGGTACTATGCTTCTTATTTGGATGATGAAATAATCTCTACACCAAACCCCTGTGACATGCAATTTACCTATATAACAAACCTGCAAATGTACCCCTGAACCTCAAATAAAAGTTAATAAAAAGAACACATATTAAAGTTTAGTAACCACAAAAAAAGAAACAAAATATGTAAAAATATATACAAGTATATGTACACATATATAGATATATACATACCAAGTTGTGCATGTGTGTGTATATATGCTTGAGATATGTATATATATTTGATATTTTGCCCAATTTCTAATTCGATTTTTATTATTGAGTTTTGAGAATTTTTTTTAAAAATGTATTCCCAATACAAATCCTTTGTAAATGTGTAGTTTGTGAATATTTTCTCCCAATCAGCAGCTTGTCTCTTTATACCCTTAACAGAGTCTTTCACAGAGCACACATTTACCACTTTGATGAAGTCCAGTTAATTACTTTTTAGGGGGGGATCATGTTTTTGGTGACATGTCTAAGAAATCTTCATCAAGCCCACGATCCTAAAGATTTTCTCATATGTTTTATTCTAAAAGTTTTATAGTTTTTACATTTTATATTTAAATCTATGATCCATTTTGAGTTACTTTTTGTATAAGGTGTGAGACTTAAATTGAGGTTAATTTTTTGTGTTTGCACAGATAACCAATTGCGCCAGCACCATTTGTTAAAAAGACTATGTTTCCTCTATTGGATTGCTTTCACAATCTGTTGACTATACTTGTGTAGGTCTGAATCTGGGGTCTCTATTCTGTTCCACTGATCATATTTCTATAATTTGCCAATACCACACAGTCATTGTTACTGTACCTATATAATAAATCTTAAGACCAGAAAAGTTAGTATAATTTCTCCAAGTGTATTCTTTTTCAAGTTTTTTAAAAGCTATTCTAGCTCTTTTGCCTTTCCATATTAATTTTAAAATAGCCCTGTCCAAGTCTAAACAAAATCTTGCTGGGGTATCAAAAACATTTGCACTAAACTTTTACATCAATTTGGGAAGAATTTACATCTTTATGTTGTTGAGTCTTCTAATCTGTAAACATGCCTCTAAATGTATTAAGTATTCTCTGATTTCTTTCATCAGTGTTTTGTAGTTTTATACAAGCCCTATATGTGTCTTATTAGATTTCTACCCAAGTATTTTCTTTTTTAGCAATTAAAAATGGTGTTGTGCTTTTAATTTTAGTTTCTATGTGTTCATTACTAGTATACAGAAATTAAATAGATTTTGTATGTTGATATTGTACCCTGTGACCTTGCTGAACTCACTTGTTAATTCTAGGAGGTTTTTGTATAGATTTCTTGGGGTTTTCTATGGAGGCCATCATATCATCTGCAAATAAGGATAGTTTTATTTATTGTTTTTATACCAATGCCTTATATTTCTTTTTCTTGTCTTATCGTGCTGGCTGGAACTTCCAATATGTTGAATAAGACTGATGAGAGCAGACATCTTTGTCTTGTTCCTGATCTTAGAGGGATGCATTCACTCTTTCACTATTACGCATAATGTTAGCTCTAGATTTCTCATAGAAATTGAGGAAGTTCCTCCTCTATTTATAGCTTTCTGAGAGTTTCTATGAGAGATTTATCAGCGTTTATTAGGGTTTTGAGTTTTGCCAAATGCTTTCCTGTGTCTTTTGATGTGATCATGTGATCTTTCTTCTTTAGCCTATTAATATGGTGTATTCCATTGATTAATTTTCAATTATTAAGCCAGGCTTGCATCCACAGGATAAACCCCACTTAGTCATGCTGTATAATTCTTTTTATATATTGCTGAATTCTATTAGCTAGCATGTTGTTAAGAATTTTTATGTCTATATTCACAAGGGATATTGGTCTGTAGTTTTCTTCTTATGTATGTTTAGTATTTTGTTTTGGTATCAGGGGAAAACTGGCCTCATAAATTAAGTTGATAAACGTTTCTTCCTCTTCTATTGTCTGAAAAAGATAGGGAGACTTTACTGTATCCATAATGTTTTATGTTTTTTAAAGAAAATCTAAAGCAAGAGTAGTAAATGTACTAAGTATAATTGTCTACCTGGCGGAGGTTTACCAACTCATTCTCTATATTTTCCAATATGCTTAAAATATTTCATTATTTAAAAAAAAACATTTTAAGAACGACAATGAATAAGTGACACTCATTCTTAAGTTTAGTGCTGAGTTTGGAAGGTATAAATAATAGCAAAGCACAAAGTTCTTTGGAAAAAACAATCATCAATCTATATTTAAAAATTTTTTACGCGGGGCACAGTGGCTCACGCTTGTAATCCCATTACTTTGGGAGGCAGAGGTGGGTTCATCACCTGAGGTCAGGAGTTCGAGACCAGCCTGGCCAATATGGTGAAACCCTGTCTCTACAAAAACTACAAAAATTAGCCAGGCATGGTGGCGGGCACCTGTAATCCCAGCTACTCGGGAGGCTGAGGCAGGAGAATCATGTGAACCTGGGAGGCAGAGGCTGCAGTGAGCCGAGATCATGCCTCTGCCCTCCAGCCTGGGCGACAGAGCAAGACTCTCTTAAAAAAAATTAATTATGACTTATTTCTTTGACATTTTCAGAATATTTCCAGCTCTGAAAATCATAGACCTAAGGAGAACCCAATCTTTTAATTTTATAGAAGTTAAAATTTGAGACTTCGCTAAATTAAATACATCCACAAGTTCTTTGATATTCTTCATAAGCGGGCAAAATCTTTTTCTATTCCACTCGAATCTGAGCTGGTCCTATACTTACTTTAGATGTCACAGAAATGATGCTGTATAATTTCTGAGGCTAAGCTTTACATGATGAGTGGTTTCTGCCTATTGGAACACTCCTGCTTGGATTCAAGCTGCCATGTTGTGAGGAAGCCCAAGCAACCACTGTAGCTGCCCATGTGGAGGAGAAATGAGGTCTCTGGGCAACAACCCTAGCTAAGCTCCCAGACAACAACCTGCACCAAACTGCCAGCCATGTGAGGCCATTTTTAACATTGCAGCCATTTTAGCACTCCATCTGACTTCAAGTTATAAAGAACTCTCATGTCAACCCGCAAAATCATAAGGAATAACAAATTATTGTTTTAAGGCACTTAGTCCTGAGGAAGTTTGTTAAGCAGAAACACAAAACCAAAATAGAGACCAAAATAAGTTAGTGGTTTATCTTTAATGGTACTATCTATTTAGTGGAAACTAAGACTAGATCACTGATCTCTAGATGATTAGTCCAGTGTATTTTTCTTCCATATAATGCTCTCTTTTTTGAATTAGTATGTTCAGACATTAGTGAAAAGCCTAAACCTAAATAATATGTTGCCATTTCACTCACAGAGTGCAGTAAGGAAGTGTATGTTTCTGTGAATATACACATGTGAGGAACTATGCAGTGCAAAGACAACTTCAAAGACCAGCTATCCACAATCAGTTGTTTTTATTTGTACCTAAGTGAGTCAGCTACTATTTTTCCCTAGGAGAATAATGATTACTTGAAAAGTTAACAAGCTTTATATACCAGAATAATCATATTTTATTCACTTCCTCTCCAAATGTCTTTTAGTAGAAATTTTTTTCTTCTCCAACAACAGTAAACTTCAAAACTACATAAAAGAGATGCTGTGAATAACGCAGGTATTATCTGTCTACCATTATCAATCCTAGCTTTAGAGCATACTCATGGATTAGATAATGAGCCAAGTCCTTATTCTCAGTGATTTTTCTCATGGTTACAAAGAAATCCATTATAAAGTATAAACATTAGGCTTGAGTCCAGATCTTCCTAGAAAATTTTAACACATGAGAACTCTTTTCTTCTTGTTCAAGTTGATTCATCTTGTAAGAAGTTACAGTAAAAGAGAGTTGGTGTAAACATCATATATATTTACACATATACATATATACATAGTTCTATTTCAAGTGTTGTGAAAAATAGCACGTGGATCTGGTTCTCGCATATTTATTTTCATTTGTTGCTCGTAAAGATGCAAGGTGGTTGGGAGGCTGAGGTGGGTGAATCACCTCAGCTCAGGAGTTCGAGATGAGCCTGGCCAACATGGCAAAACACCGTCTCTACTAAAAATACAAAAAACATTAGCTGGGCCTGGTGACGTGCACTTGTAGTCCCAGCTAATTAGAGGCTGAGGCAGGAGAATCACTTGCACCCAGGAGGTGGTGGTTGCAGTGAGCCGAGATCATGCCACTGCATTCCAGCCTGGGTGACAGTGAGATTCCGTCTCAAAAAAATAAATAAATAAAATAGATACAAGGTGGATTAATCTGACCATTTATCCTAAACAGAAAGAACAAGTAAAAACTATATTTGTCCTTTTCATTCCATCTAGAATTTTTGCTACTTACTGGCTGTCCAGGCTCACCAACTCCAATGGGTCCTGGAGCTCCCGGTCTTCCTTCTTGGCCTCTTTCTCCCTAAGAGAAAGAAATAATAGAATGAAAGCTTGAGATTTTAAATAAAGAATAAACATAGCGCAAAGTTCTCTCAAGATTTCAACAAGGATAAATAGCGAAATAGACAAAATGTTGGTTTTCATAAAGGTAAAAAATTCTAGAGGAAGAGAAATAGCTCGAATTTAAGTGAACAAATTACCCTAAAATGTTTATTATCTCTTCTTGTCCAAATGTAATTCAGTATTTTCAGTTTTCACAAAATATTGTGTAAGAATTGGCAGGACAGACTGTGTGGCAATGCAGGTTGGTTACAGAGCTGACTAAGCTGACAATGTGTGTGCTGTGCCCTGCCCTCTTGCCACCATCCAGGAATGTCACCCCTTCCTTGTCCCCACTCTATCCTATTCATCTCTCCTTTAAGCTCTTTTCAGACTTCATCTCCTCCAGAAAACTTCTCCATAACTCTGCCAGCATAAACTCCACCTTTCCTGGAGTCTCAATGTGCTCATTGTTGAAATGCTATACATGGGGATATTCAATTACATTCAAAGTACACTGTTTTGTACTGCTTGCTATTTTAATCCTGCATCAAAGTCTTATTGTCACAACCACTTGGAAAAGCCATTCAAAATAGGCACTTCTGCTTTATTAATATGTCCTGCATAATGTACAGCCTCACAGGATGGACGTTCCTTCCTTCCCTTTCTAGTTCTCTACAAATCTCTCTGCCAACATTGACCTATTCATTGCCATGGCCCTTCTGGTTTCTGCCCCTTTATGCTTATTCAATGTGAACCATGATTGTTGATGTGTTAAGTTGTTTCACTTCCCAATAACATATTTGCATGTGAATGTTTAAAGTCCATGAAAACAACAGAACTACATGTACCTTGGCAAAAGGGTGGGTATTTGGAGACAAGTAAGTTTTTCATTCCAACAAAATTAAAAAATACGTTAATTATTCTTGTGGTAACTGCCCCTGACAAGCACATTTCTGTGTCCAAGCACATAAAATGAAGTAACTTCAGGAAGCCTCCTTGTGTCTATTGGATTTAGGCCAAATGGAGTTCAAATCATGGCTCCCCCAGGCCCTACAATAAATTCAACAGTCATCAGTGGGCAAAAAGACAAGTATCTTTACCTTAATACCTTGCTGTCCAATTCCAGGAGCTCCTGGAGAACCATAAGGACCAGGAGGACCTGGCTCACCCTGGAGGAAGAAATAGTGACATCAGTTATATGTTAGGTCGACTCAATAGTATTGACTAAGCAGCTTTTAGATGTATGGTTTTGCAATAGGGGCTTTCAGAGCAACAACAAACCTGTACATCGTGCCTGCCCTCAATTGTTTACAACTCATTTGGAAAGAAAACACAGACCCAAGATCAAATTATCCACTAGGCACAGTAGTCACAATATCTGGGTCCACAACACTTTCAGGAGCCTGCAAATATGTTCCAATTGTAATTTTTTGATTCAAAATAAAAATAAACATAATGACTATATAACAATGAATACAGCTTGCATTCATAAATATAATTTTTTAATGTGTTTATGGAGGAAGGGGCCCACAAAGTCAAGTGTTTTCAGGATCCATAAAAGGCATAACGCAGCCATCACTCATTCATTCACAAATCTTTAAGTGCTCTGGAAGACATATTTTGTTTCCTCCCCTGCGGCTGTCCTTTCTCAGCTTTCCTTCCCTGCTGATAAACCCCCAATTGAGTCAGTCAGTGGGCAGCTGTTCTTTGCCCTCAGAGGTGTAGGATGAATGATCATTGGCCTAATGCAAGATGGGAATCTCCTTTCCCTTTGTCACTGATTCATCTCAGTTGGTCACATGGCTCAATTCTGACAAACGAGATGTGAAGGACCTTACTGGATGCAAAGGAGAAAACTGCCTCTGTCTCTTCTTTCCTACATAGAGATGTGATAACTGTCTTGTAACTATGAGGCAGCAATCTCTAGGACAAAAGCCAGCTGCTGAAGAGGCCTGGCTCCTGGATACCCTCAATGAGCAACTGATCCAGTCCTGGACTACCTGCCTTCAAATATTCTGTTTACTCAACAGCAAGAGTTCTCATGATTTAAGCCACTATTATTCAAGATTTCTGTTACTCAAAGCCAGAGCATTTTGAAATAATAATAGCCTATGATGTGGCAAGCCCATAATAGAATTCAGGCATTTTAGAACTAGATGTGACCATTGCACTCAAACCCCTACATTTCACAGGTGAGAAACCCAAGTCCCAGAGAGATTACCTGGCCAGCCCAAACTCACACCTGAATACCACTCACACAGTTACAGCTCTTTAGGTCTCTCCGGCTTTAAGCCCTGTGGCATGATGATAGGGGAAGGGGAGTGGCTATTGACCCCAATTACCCATTTCATAATATTATTTTTTTCTGTTTATCAAAATAATATGTCTCATTGTAGAAAATTGTCATATATTAAAAAGCATGCATGCAAAGAAAATTTTAAATTACCTATCTGTAACTATTAATACTATAAAATTTCGGTGTATTTCCTTCCAGTTTTTTACATTCACACGTGTACCTTTAATTTATGCTAAGGAAGATTGCTGAACACTCTTTATGTTTCAGCTAATGAATATTTGCTATTAAAAATTTCATTCAACCCAAAGGTTTCTCTCTTCATGCTTTCACTAACCAACAGTAAAATGAAACAGGAAAGTGAAACAAGCCTTCTCTGAGATGAAGGGAGATAAAGGAGTTTTCAGAAATATTAAAGTCTCAATTTACCCCAGAAGCTTGTGATTTTGGAAGGGACACCTAATGACCAGAGCAATGTTCTGTGGATATAGTAAAGACATTGCTTTACTATAAGAAGTCTGTAACCGATGTGGTGGCTCATGCCTGTAATCCCAGCACTTTGGGAGGCCGAGGCAGGTGAATCACTTGAGGTCAGGAGTTCAAGACCAGCCTGGCCAACATGGTGAAACACTGTCTACTAAAAATACTAAAAAAAAAAAAAAAAATTAGCTGGGCCTGGTGGCATGTGCCTATAGTCCCAGCTACTCGGGAGGCTGAGGCAGGAGAATTGCTTGAACCTGGGAGGTAGAGGTTGCAGTGAGCCAAGGTCACGCCACCACACTCCAGCTTTGGCAACAGAGTGAGACTCCGTCTGTTAAAAAAAAAAAAAAAAAAAAAAAAAGGTCTGTTGACTTTGACCAATTGCGAAAGAGAACCAGAAGGGCTAAGAAGGGTCAGAGTCAAACCAGCTCCCCAGAAGATATGCCCAGGCTCAGGGTGATTTAAAACAAAGGAATCCTGCCTCAAAATGAGTCATCCACATTTATGATCCTTTGATATTTAAGTGGATTGAATTCAAAAGTACTTACTGTGCATGCTGTTGAGTACAAGTCAGTCTGGCAAATATTTTTTCCCTTAAACTCCTAAGGTTGTACTTGTTTTTCTATATTGATTAAGTTTTCTGAGCAGCCAGTTGACTGACATTCTCATTTTACATGTTTTTAGCCATGGAATTTATATATATATGTTACATAATATATGTAACATTATATATACCTGTTATATAATATATATACATATATAACAGGTATATATAATGTTATATAATATATATAACATTAATATATAATATATATATATATACCATTAAAAATACAATAATAATATCTACCCACTGCTGAATTTGTCTGGCTAAAAAAAATACAATAATAACAATACAAGGCCCTAAATTCACTTATTCTATTCATTTTTTATCCCTTCTATATGTAGCATTGGTTCTGTAATGGGTCAGAAGGCATCTAAATTATATATTTGGTAGAGAATTTGAGGATTTTTTGAGTAGTGGAAGTTCTGCCCTACTTGGTACTTATCTGATGTTTGATCAGAAACAAACCAAGAGCCCAGGTTGGTGACAAGAAATTGGTTTGGTCATTACCTTGAAATGTATGGATCAGGAGAATCAAGAGTAGAAGCAGCTCTCTTACCTTGAGCCCATGAAATCCCTTTAGCCTTAGTCAAGTACCAAGAGCAGCTGAGCAATATCTTAATATTGCTTTACAAGGCAGTTGCAGGGATCTGAAGATTACAGAGGGATTGCTCTCCTTTACCTGAACACAGCCCCTTAGCAATGTAGCTTCACATTTCACTTGCTTAAATTTATTTCTCGGGAGCCTGGTATCTCAAGGTAGGATCCACAAAACAGTATTGGCCTATAGCTCATGTTTATTCCCTTCCCATTTCCCCTTTTTCTTTCCTACAGAGATTCCTGAGGTAGTAAAGAAAGTGGTCCTGACTCTAAAATATGCTGTCTGGGTAAAAACAAAACAGGGAGGGAAGAGTCAGCACTCTAGTCAGAATAGCCCTGGTAAGACGGCAGGCATGATTCCTTTCCTGTTAATATTCCTACCCCAGCCCTTAGCAACACACACACACACACACAAAGACAGAGAGATGGCATGCCCAAAAAATTGCATGCCCACAGTAATTATTTCTCTACTTTACTTTCATTTGCCATCAGAGCCATTTACCAACAGGCAAGTATAACAAAGAGGTCTGGGTTAAAATCAGTAGCCCCAGAAAGAATATGTTTCTCATTACCTCCATGTGAGTGTGAATGTGTGTGAATGTGAGTGTGAGCGTGTGTGGAGGCAGCAAAAAGTTTAGGTAAACCACCTTTGTCCTTTTCAGAAATTAAGAACACCCATACTATGGGCTTCAAGAGGACAGGAAGCCAATGTTTAATAAAACCTGCTATTTATCAGCACTGCCCAGACATGTTACATACATTATCTCATTTAATCTTCTAACAATCATAGGAAATAGATTTTGGGGTTTGGGTTTTTTTTTCGAACTCCTTTCCTCAAATGATTGTTCTGTCTTGGCCTCCCAAAATGCTGGGATTACAGGTGTAAGCCACCACACCTAGCCCTTCATGCATGGAGTCACAGGGAAAAAACCATGGCTTTGAATCATTTGGTCTTGTAGAACCTTGGTTCTATCATTTACTAACAATTTTAGCTTTTGCAAGATCTCCATATGCAAAATGAGGATAATTATATCTGCCTTGTAGCATTGTTGAGAGGATTCAAGATATTGTCTGCAAAACATCTAAGTCATAACCAGTCACACAACACCTGTTTAATATGTATAGATTTAATTGTTATTCACCAGACCTTTTTTGAGCACCAAACTAATAATAGGTAAATAACAATTTATGTCTATAATTGAATATCAGGTTACCTAATCACAGACATAAATCAGATTGCACCTGCACTTTGCAGAAGCTTACAATCTGGCTGGAGAGACAAATCAATATAAAATAAAATACAAGCATGTGAATTAGCATAATAAAGATATTAACAGAATACATAAGACTCTGAGGCAGAAATGTTTAATTCTACCTTAAGGAATTGGGAAAGTTTCATATAGTAGAGGAGATGTTTGATCCAAACAAAGAAGTAGGAATCATAGCTAATCTGATGGAAAAGAAAAGAAACAAAAGTTACAGAAGAAGAAAGAGCATGAGGCTTAAAATGGTGTTAAATATTCTAGAGACGGTCAGCAGCCCGTGAGCCCAACAGGCCGGAAACAAGGTGACACTAGGGCCACTGTCTGGAGCAGCATGGTCCAATGCAAGTAGACAGCGAGCCACATTTGTAATTTTAAATTCTCTACTAGCCACATTAAGAAATAAAAAAACAGGTAAATTATAATTAATAAATTTTACTTAATAAATACAAAATATTATCATTTTGACATGTAATCAACACTTTTTAAAGTATTAATTATTTTTTTACCATCTTTTAATGCTAAGTCTTTGAAATCTGATGTGTATCTTATACTTACAGCACATCTCAATTTGGACCAGCCACATTTCAAATGCCCAGTAGACACATGTGGCTACCTTATTGGGCACTGCGGTTTAGAGTGATTAATGAGGTTGAAGGCTCAGGTCAGTACCATGAACAGTACCAACATTTAAGTCAGGTGGGAGTGGAAGAATACAAAGATGTCTTGTGGGGAGTTGGGGAAAAAGAGAATTTCAAAAAGAGACTCATCATTTCCAAAGATAAATTGTCATCTTTCACTCCCCAATATAGTCATCTTCCAGCCCTTCCCACCTCAGGGAAGGGCACCAGAATCCCTCCTGTGTCAAATGGGAACCTAGGGGTCATTCATGACACCTCCCACTCCCTCTGCCACCATATGCAACGCATCCCAACACCTATCAGTATGCCTCCTAAATATCTCTCAAATCCATCCACTTCAGTCCTCTACCACGCGTCTCCAGTCTACAGCAAACTGATAATACCTCTTGTTCAGAGTACAACAAAGCCCTTAGTACTCTACTTGCACCCACTCTAGCATGCTCCAATTTATTCCCTCCATTGCTGCAGAGCAATTTTTTAATTTTAATTTTAATCTGAGTAAAACCTTCTGAGGCCTTTCCCAAAGACAGAGCTCCTTACAAGGCCCTGCCTCTCCAATCCATCTGTCATCAGTCACCTCTTTACTCCCCACCCCAGCAACATTGGCTTTTGTTGAATTCCTTGTACTTGCCTTGCTCCTCCTGCCACAGGATCTTTGCACAGTCTATTCTGTCTGTCTGGGATGCTCTTACCTTTCTCTTTCATAGTGATTCTTACCCTTCAGATCTTATTTTAAGCAGCATGGCTTCAAGAAGGGTTTTTCTGATAAGATGAAATCACTATTTTAGTATTGATAGCACTGTTTTCCTTTTTTTTCTGAGCATTCATTACAAGTTGCAACTTTGCATTTAATGTTCTCCATCTCCTCCCCACTAGACTGTGGGGATGATGCATATGATTTTGTTCAGCTTTGCATTCTCAGTGTTTAGCTCATTACTATAATTCACTCAATCATCCATGCACCAGACATTTACTGAGCATTGACTAGGGAGCAGGGGCTCTGCTAGCTGTGGGAGGTGAACAAAACTGGAAAGCTGTTCTGGGCTGAGGAGCTGTGGGTCTAGAAATGCTCCTCTGCAGTTCCCTGTGGTTCACTTAGGTTTTCAACTAGGAGCAACTGTATATAAATTACATAATGATATCAAGTACCTATTACACAATTTCTCCTACCAATTCACCCAGACACAATTAATCTTTTTTTTTAGCTGAAAGAGTAATGAAACCACAATGAAGAGGAAAATTCAGCTGAGAAAACCGACTAACACTCCGTATCCCTGGCACTGATTCTAACCAAAAGCAAATCCTTCATTTCTCTAAGACAATACATAACAAATGGTTATCCAAGACTGAATTATTTGTGGACAGAACTTTACACTTTTTTTGATAATACAATTATGAACAATTTTATCATATTTTCTTAACATTACAAAGATGTTTTAGCAACTTTTAAAAATCATTTCCCAGATATGCATGGGACCAACTTTAATATTTTAAGTTTTATTGCAAATATTCTAATACTTTTCAAATGGAAGAAAATGATGGATGAACATTTTGTAGGTGCAGAATGGTTCAAGTATGGCCAGGATACATTCTCAGCTGAAACTCAGTGAAGTGATGACTGTATACAGAGACTTGGGAGAAAGGTCAAGAAAGCCTCCTTTTGGAAAGAGAGGAAGGAAGGAAAGGAGGGAGGGAGGGAGGGAAGAAGGAAGAAAGGAAGGAAGAAAGGAAGGAAGAAAGGAAGGAAGGAAGGAAGGAAGGAAGGAAGGAAGGAAAGAAGGATCAATATTTATCAAGTACTTGTTAAATCAAGCTCCATTTTTAGCACCAAGTTTCTCATTTCAGAGGAAGTGTTGTGTTATAAAAGGCTTGTTTTTAGAAAATTTACCAGAATAAACTTGGTCTACATTAGTATAAAGTTGTCAAAATGCTTAACTACTTAATTAAAATTACCAACACATATGGCACTTACTATGCAAGAAGTGCTGCTCTATGTGACTGACGTGTATTAACTCATTTAATCCTCACCACAGCTCTAAGAAGTAGTTACTGTTATTAACTTACTGCATGGATGAAAAGATTGAGTCATAGGGAGGTAAAGTAACTTGCCCAAATCATAGAGCCAATAAAATATAGGACTGGGTTTGAAACCCAGCAGTTTGAGGTTAAACCCAAATCTTAATCACTATGCCAAACTGCCTCTTGAAACTTTTTAATTCTTCTTTTAAAGTATTTCAAAAATTGTATGACTGCAGACTAAATTCATATCTTTATTACAGGATGAAAAATACAAAAGTCATATAATTACAATCTACTCACAACTGAAAATCCATCATATGAAGACAAAGCATCTCTAAAATAAAATATAAGCCAAGGGGAAATATAATTTATCCAAGCTGATGCACATGCTATTTCAGGTACATAAAGTCTACTTGGTTGTCACTTAATGTTAAAAGTAATGTAAATTATAACTGGCAATACTGTGATCACACAAGGTAAATCTACATATAAACTGGTAAGTGAACTGTACTGAGTTTGGAACCACTATTATGTCAAATCTCCAACTAAAATCTTTTTTGAATACCAGCTATTTAGGTAAGAGAGAAAGTCCAGTCCATATACTCTACGTACTTGTGCTTTCTAAAGCAGAAAAAGACTCCATAATAACAATGAATTGGTGAAGAATATAATAAAAATTATATTGAACCACATTTTAGTAACTCTTAACTCACCTTCTAGAATGCTATTAGGTTTAACCACATAAAATTGACAATATTTGATCATGTTTGGCCTACAAACATGGCAATTCATGTGTTTCAACTAATAGGAAAGTCATACTTCATTATATATAACAAAATCTGAGAAAATGCAAGTCATTTTCTCTGAAAGGAAGGACCAGTCAGCAGCCCATTAGGAGAGCTTTTGAGAATCGCAGCTCTAGAAGACACTGTTTAGAATCCTCCAGCACAAAATGAGTTGCTGGTAAAAATTCAGGGTGGACATGCTCCATTAACCTAAAAACAAGGCCACTGATTTATGAGAGCAGATGGGTGTATATGACAGCGTGATAATGTTTCTTCAAAACTTACCCTTGGAGGCTGGGAGGAGGGAAACATGGGGAGTTATTGGTTAATGGGTACAGAGTTTATGTTGAGACAATGAAAAACTTTTGGGTATAGATACTGGTGATGGTTATACAACACTGTGAATGTATTTAATACCACTGAATTACATACTTATAGATGGTTCAAATAATAAATATTATGTTATTATATATTTTACCACAATAAAAACACCCTTGGAATACAATTAATTTTCTCTGTTGCAAACTTGCTATTGCAACTTACTTGAAATAAATAAGGACATTGATGTAATTACAAAGAAAACATTCTGACATCCCTCTGAAGACACTGCAGTGGCTGATTCTGTTCCATTTTAGTGCCCCCTTTGACTATGCATGCAGTTTAAACTCAGCCACTTTGTGGGAAATGTTGGCAGCATTTTCAGTTCCTTGGTCCATCAGAGCTTTTACCTGACAATCTACACACACACGCACACACACACACACACAGAGTATATATACCCCATCTGCTGAGAACCACATGCATCAGCTATTTGGGAATAGAAATCATCTACCTTGAAGCTATTGGCTGACATCCCACATGTTCTGGCAGCCACTTCAAGTTGTCACTATCAGTTGTCTCATGTCAAACGAGTTAATAAGCTCATTTAGAGTCTTGGTGGGCAGATGTGCATGTAGGTCAAAGCCTTTTCTACAGCAAGAATTGCTGGATTACTAATGATTCTTTCCCTTTAATTAGGCCCAGAACAGAAATAGCATTCAGACTTTGACGTCTTTGAAGGAAAAACGTTCACATCGTTTGGCGGCTTGGCTATGAGTCTTCATTTAACAGTTATTTATAATTAAAATTGTAAAGGGATTCTTCCTATACACTGAGCAGTCACAACCCTTGTTCAAAATTGTTGTCCTGCCAGAAGAACCAGAAAGCAAATTACTGTTTTTGGACAACTAGAAAAGCTGACATGTTCAAGTACCCTACACTTAAAATAGTTTATATGAAGCCAAAAATACAGTCATTCTGTTAAGAGAATTGTGAACTTAAAACAGTTTTTTGTTTGATTAATTATTCTTTACCAAGAAATGTAGGAATCTACATGTTTTCACTTGATTTACTTCACTTCAAGTGATAAATTATAAGGAATTATATCCTGTTACAAATCATGACTTTTTAAGTGGTTGAAAGCAACATCATGATGTTAGGAAATTGTTAGGTTTTTGACTTATATAAGAACTGAAATATATCTACACAAGATGCTTGTTTGAGGAGAAAGTTTAAAATTCTTTATAATTGTTCATATTTGTGATGTTGAACTACTTCCAACCCATAACTGGAAACATTAGTTATGTTTAGTAGGTTGACCTAGCTACTAAGCTAATTTTGAGCCAAACCAAGTACTTAAATAATGACCAAAACAATAATGTATTTTTAAAACTACTAAATCTTCATTAGTGATTTCTATTCTAACGAAAATACTGGCATAGAAAATGTAAGACTCTAAGTTGTACACAAGAAAGTGTAAAAAATACAAATTAAACCCCAAGTCTTCATGCCACTTTTAGAAGAAAGTAGAAGTAACACATTGGATTGTTTAATGCACAGGAAGCTTTTGATGGGGTATGTCAACACTGTCCTGTTTGTCTTTATTACCCAACTATGTTAGAAGAATGGTCAATGTTCCCGACTGTTACATCCTTCTCTCTGGTTTGCTCCACAACTCATTGCCATCTCCTTGACCCTTCTACTGAAATTATTCTTTTGAATCTTCCCAATGACCTCAATATTGCCAAATTAAGTTACCACATAGGCAACTGCCCACATAACCTGTCTTCAGTATGATACTGTTGACCACTCATGCCATTTAAAACCTTTTATTCACTCATTCATTCAAGAAATACTTGTTGCTTCATGTAACTGTGTGTGAATTAGTGTGCAAAGCAGAATTTTTGAATCTCCCAGATAGTGGTGTTCCTGACCCATTGTTCCCAAATCTTCTGATTTAGACTTTTCAAAAATAGTGATAGACCTGCTCATATCTGTCCAGTTCTTCTGCCAATGGTTCCTATCTGAAAGAAGACTAGGAATGATTAACGGTATAATACATGGAAGCTCAAAGGAGAGAAACTTGATTAGCACACTTCCAGCTCCCAGAAATATCCACACATGCATTCCTAATATCATATCTGAAAGGAAGACAGCCAGCCCTCTTACCAAAACCCTTTTTCATAGAACACTTTGAAGAAAACAGGATGTTGTGTAGGGACGTTTAGCATGCTTACAGTTTTAAGTTCAGGGTCTGTACATCTAGCTCTTGTTTACTGAATCTCCTCATTAGTATATCATTAACCTGAAAAATATATCCTTTGCTTGGGAACCTCAGAAACTGGGATGGAAGCTTGAAAAAGTAGGGTTCGGAAAAGTAGGGTATCCAAAAACTGTGGTGTGGTGCAAGCTTCAGGGTGAACTAAATATATCATGTACTACCCTCATCGCCCTCACTGCAACGAACTCCTCTTCAAACATGGTTGTAGTTCATTCACTAACAGTAGGTCTTTTGTCCATTTGGGATGAATGTTTGTGTCATTTACCCTGACCATATCCATTTATTAAACTGGGCCAGTCTAGTGCTATTTCTCTATGGATTTTCTTAATATCTCAGAAGTTTAAATTGAACATAAAGTAAGACCAAGTCTCATAGGTAAAAGAATGCTAAGTTTCTTACACTTGACTGTACAGCAAGAAGAAAACACTTAGGACAAATATCCTGCAGGAATATTATGAACGTCCTAGAGTAGAACAATGGAAGGAGTTAGGAGAAGGGAGGCAATTCATTTTTTAAGATAAATATACAATACTGCAGTATTTTTTAACTGTTTGAGGATTAGCATATGGTACTTTCCCTTGGGAAAAAACATGAGGGATATCTCCTTGTGCCCTTTAGGCCTTGAAGCTCTAATGCTGGGGTACTTCGAAATGTCACCAGCTGCTTCCTGCACACGCCACTGTGCAGTCCCTCCTCCCAAGGCACAAAGAGAGTCTTGGAAAGAGTGGATTTGCATGAGATTTGAGAAGGAAATGCCCTTCAGAAATAACCTCAGAAAGACATCAAGAAAATGGCAAAAATTACCTAATATAGGCTGGGCAAACCCAGTGTTCCACTGTGTTGATTTATTCAAAATTAGTTTTGGTAACTTGTCCTCTGTGACTTGAAAGGCCTACCAATCATAAGCCATTCTTCCTAGTAATTAAAGGCCTTTTTCAAGGGTCACATGTGATTGCAACCTGAGCCACCATGACAGCCCCATGGAAGGCAGCAGCGTTGGGTTTTTAGGGGTTCAGTCTTTCCTCAGAGCATAGCGCTGTCTCCTGAGTCACAATTTCAGTTTGGTCTCAGGGATAAGGCTTCTTGGGCACTTGTGTGATTACAATTCTAACTGATTTCCGAGACTATTGAGACGTTCCGTTTTTTTTCTTTTGAGACAGAGTCTCGCTCTGTCACCCCAGCTGGAGTGCAGTGGTGCAATCTTGGCTCACAGCAACCTCTGCCTCCCGGGTTCAGGCAACGCTCTGCCTCAGCCTCCAGAGTAGCTGGGATCACAGGCGCCCGCCACCACGCCCGGCTAATTTTTGTGCTGTTAGTAGAGACGGGGTTTCACCATCTTGGCCAGGCTGGTCTTGAGTCTTGAACTCCTGACCTCGTGATCCACCTACCTCGGCCTCCCAAAGTGCTGGGATTACAGGCGTGAGCCACTGCGCCTGGCTGAGATGTTCTTATGAATGCCACAAGATGACCTTCCTGTGTGGTAGAGGATGAGGTGGACTCTGAGCTAAGGCTTCTTTCTGAGAAACATCTATGTTTTGTTGCTAAGGCAACAAAGTCATTCAGGGCAGACTAGGAGCTACTTTACATGTGGAAAGTATTATTGACAGAAATAATTTGTGAAAATGGGCCAGGAGCACATTTTTTCCTGACTTAACACATGCATTTTTTTCCTTTTGTTCTTTGGCCACCTTTTCTGAAAACCCTTTAATGAAGAAAAGCCAATCCCTAAAGCAACAGAAAGTGAGCGTAATTCAAGAGAAAGACCATTTGTAAATTCATAGACATAGGCAGGCCCTATCTAGAACCTCTCGTGGAATCTTTGCAAATGTTGCAAGTTTAAAGGTTTCTATTTTAAGGTCTTATATGAAATATAGTATTTGAAAATGCACAATTAGCATTACCGTTTTCTTTCTCCCAAGATATTCCCTTCCTTTTTTTTTTTTTTTTTTTTTTTTGAGACGGAGTCTTGCTCTGTCGCCCAGGCTGGAGTGCAGTGGCGCGATCTCGGCTCACTGCAAGCTCCGCCTCCCAGGTTCACGCCATTCTCCTGCCTCAGCCTCCCGAGTAGCTGGGACTACAGGCGCCCGCTACCACGCCCGGCTAATTTTTTGTATTTTTAGTAGAGACGGGGTTTCACCGTGTTAGCCAGGATGGTCTCGATCTCCTGACCTCGTGATCCGCCCGCCTCGGCCTCCCAAAGTGCTGGGATTACAGGCGTGATATTCCCTTCCTTTTTCCTGCACTTTCAGATGAAGATTAAAACCCAGGAGAAATGCACCTTTCAACAAACTGTTGTCCCTAGCCAGAGTCCACCAGAAGGGAAGACAGATAGAACTTCCACACTGTCAAAAAGAAATGCATTTATTTCAGGCCAAATATTCAGGAAATTCAGCAATTTTTCCTAAAGGGATAAATATAATATGGTAGCTAAGAGCAGACTTGTGGGTTTCAATACTCAGTCTGTCCCTTACTAGCTCTGTAGACTTGGACCCATTGCTTAAACTCTTTGTGCCTTAGTAGACTAATCTGTACAATGGAAATAAGAATAGATCATGTCTCAAAAGGTGGTATTAGTATTAAATGAGCACTTAAAACTTTACTTATACATAATAAATATACAATAAATAAATGTTAGGTACTGTACAAGTTTCAAAATAAATAATCTTCCTTGTGCCCATTAGAGAATACAGAATTACTGAATTTTAGAGGGTTTCTTTGCACAAATTGCAAAAGCAGCTTCTTTTAAAATTGTCTAATAAAATGATAATGGATAAAAATAAATGTCACTATAAAATATTATTTCCAGATTGAGGAACAAAAATAGCTTATTATGTCTTCAAAGTATAGTACATTCTGGGAGGCAAGATGAAATCATTCCCTGAAAACTGACTTTTATGACAGTACACTAATAAGTGTATAAAATGAAAAAAATAGCTAATGACCAATATGACATGAATCTCCAGCTAACAGATCCAAAGAGCAGTAGAAATTATATAGAAGTTAGTAATAGTGTCAAAGTAAGAGTACAGACCTTAAACCAGAACTATGACTAGAAAGAAAAGGGGGAACTCATGCCCACTTCATAGACTCCGAGCGATCCCCAACATTATCTAGAAATTGACAGCTTTTTGATTGGCAATGAACTTTGTTCACTTGGCAGTGAACTTTGTGCTTAAAACTTAAGTGGCAATTTCATGTCATGTATATTTTACAAAAGAGAGGCCCTTGGGAAATTGATGAAGTCCTCAAATGCTTTTGGAAAAATGACTCCTTTTATGATTATGCTGTAAAAGTCAACCACAAAGTGCTATTATGTCAGAAAAATTATAACCAACCCCCCCAAAACATACTTGATGCATTATTAAAACTTAATGCACTGCTGAAATTAAAGGCCAAATTTTATTGAAATATGTTTTTAACCCTAAGTGATAACACTATTAGACATAAAGAGTTGAGCCAGGTATGGTGGCTCACACTTGTAGTCTCAACTCTTTGGGAGGCCAAGGCAGGAGGATTCCTTGAGGCCAGGCATTCCAGACTCAACTGGGCAACAAAGCGAGAGCCCATCTCTACAAAAAAAAAAATTATAATTTAGCCAGGCACAGTGGTATGTGCCTCTAGTCCTAGCTATTTTGGAGGCTGAGGCAGGAGAATCACTTGAGCCCAGGAATTCAAGTTGCAGTTGGTTATGATCATGCCACTGTACTCCAGCTGGGGGAACAGAGCAACATCCTATCTCTAAAAAAGAGAGAGAGAAGAAGAAGAAGAAAAGGAGGAGGAGGAACACCTTTTTATGGACCATTCCCTACCATACCACCACAACTGCCAGCCACGACCTGCATCACCCAAAGCTGCAGGCACTATTTCCAGGCCAGCACCACCTCAGTGCCCTCCACAGATGATGGGACCTCACTGGGACTCTGCCTCAGGCAAGCCATTTGATCTCCAGGCTTTGTTTCTCATTTCCAAAATGAAAATGCTAAGCCAGTATGATCTCTAACATCCCTAGTGGCTCAAACATTCTATAATTCCATCATACTGCAAACCCCAGCTCTGATCCCTGACTGTAAGCCTCTTTCTCACAAACATGAAAATTGTCATCTTAGGTAATCAAAGAATTCTAAAAATTGTGTGGTCTGTCAAAATATATATTTTTTTCTTACTGTAGGATTGTACCTGTAGCCAATGCAATTTTATCAAAACTTCTGCTCATCAGTATTCAACAAGGCCATTTCTTTCCCCAGAGAGAATTAATCATAGGCAAGAAGTGAAAAAGACAGTTTCCCCAGTTGAAGCCTAAGCACATGCCTGCTGAGAAGCCCATTCTATTTTAATTTGCCAATTCAAAGTGGCCTGGTAAATCACACACTGTCATTATCTCATTAAAAATATTATACTGTCACTCTCTTTCCTCTCTCTCAAGTAGCCCAACTGCTCCCTACAACTTCAGTTTAATATCACCCTTAAAAAGCTGGCTTTCTTTAGGGTCAGTTGAGGATGGCATCTTCTGCTTTTATTACTGCCATAAATTCCATACCACTCAAATCACTAAGTCGACACCATTTACTGGATATTTACTATATCCGTGAAATTTACTAAGCTTTGAGAAGAGTTAAAAAGGAACTAAACAGCTTGTTTTAGCAAATTAATGGTCACTCTCATTGGAAAAGAGAGCCTTATAACCAGGCCTTTAAAGATCCCTCCCATCTGCATCTTTTTGTTCTGCGTGGCTTGTATTCAACCCCTCCCTATTTGTCTTGGCTGGTTATCTGTGGACTGATACTACAAGCATGGTGCTGATGGTTGAGATTTCCCTGTAATTAAAAAAAGCTTGATTTCTGTTGGTATAACAACTGTAAATTTCCTTCCCCTATAAAGTGTATATTGAGGTGGCATTACATTTGAGAAATAGAGTGGTTTGAATTGTGTCACTTGTTATTGCTTTTTGGTTTCTAATGAGCCATAAAATAAATAAAAGTCAGGAGTAAGAAGGAAACACAGCAAAGATTCTAGATAATGGCTTATAGTTAACAATATCCCTCTTTGAATAACATAATAATAAATGATAAAGGTATGCTGCTAACTTCCTGAATGCATTAGGACTTAATTCTCTGTATACATCTGCAGGTTATTATGCATTTCCAAAGGTACTTCCTCAAAGAATCCATTGACTTTTACCTAATAAAACATACATTACTATAGCGCACTAGGGGAAAGGCACTCTGCCTGTCTTTAATCAAAGGGTAAGATTACCTTATTGCCTTGAAACCCCTTTGGGCCTGGGTCTCCTGGAGGTCCAGTAATTCCCTGCTCCAGGATGAAAACCAAGAATTAGTTCTGTGTACAAAAGGCCAGCAGGAATGAATCATTCTTTAGGGTCCCTAGAGATCCTGGCGATCGAAGTTAGACTGTGTAACTCAGAGCTAAATTGAAATCACATTCAATCGAGAAGTGGGATGAGATAAAATTTCTTGTGTCAAATACGTAGCTTCCAAAATAGCACTTATGCTAAGAGCAAACATTTAATTAACGAGATGTTTGTTTACTAAACCTGTGTTTCCAACATTATTCCAACGTTCTTGACTCCTTTTAAAAAATATTTTGCCAGTTAAGTATCTTCTTTTTTAAAATATCTAAGGCATATGTAACTGACGTTAGAGCTTCCAATGAACCTGGGATAACCAGAATGACTGCCTGGCTCTGACATTTCCAGGCTAAAGCAAAGAAGTTAGTGGTTAACTAGATGGTGTCTAGGAGATTCTGGGTAAAATTATAATTTTCTGTAGGCTTTTTGAAATACTGAAATTAACTCCTCACACAGAGCACCATTATAACTTTAGAAGAGATAAGTTCCTAGGCTAGGAAAAGATTCAAATTATTTTCTGAAATCTATGGATGTCTAACTTAAATGCCTTAGAGAATCAGTCCATATTATAGAACATTATCTAGTTATAGAACAATAAAAATATACTGTGATTTAGATAAAATGCATAACTTTTCCAACTACATTATAGTAGCAGTGCAAAAATAGTTACATCCTGCTTTTAACCACTTGACTTTCCATCTTTCCAGACTCTTAATTTTTTAACTTCATCCCCTAAGCTGCTCACTAATACTTGCCTGTTGGTACCTATCTTTAGGGAGTCTTAGTTAAGTTAATGAAAACATTAGGGAAGTTGTTTCCAAAATTTATTGCACATTGTAATCTTCTGGGTATCTTAAACAATATTAATGCCTGGCTTCAATCCCCAGACATTCTGATTTAACTGGCAGAGGGTGCAAGTGGGCAAGGGGATGGTTTAAAAACTCCCCAGGTGATTCTAATTCAAACTTAGATTTGGTTTTAACCCCCTTACCTGAATTCCTCTGGGTCCCTTTGGTCCATATGGCCCTGGGGATCCCTGTGGAATAAAATTGAAAATAAGTCTCTCTAAATATACATCTTCAACGTGCAGTGATTTTAGGTAGGAGGGAAGGAAATGTGTTCTCGGTAATTGCCATCTTCCCTGGTTATCTTAACATCAAAGGCAATAAACTGAAATAATCCTAATTAACAAGCCAAGGGGTAGGAGTGTCAAACTTTCCTTCAGTAAACAATCTCCATGAAAATACAATTTTAGATGTAAGTCCGTTGCCTACATATTGACATTTTGGTCATTTTGGTTACAGTAAAGAAATTACTTTATAAGATTCCTTAGAGGGCTATAAACTTATTGGAATATTATTTCCTTCCGACAGGGTAATGTCAGTTAAATTAACAATGTAGTGCATTTCCATGCTATCTAGATCACTCTTTTGCTCATCTTCAAAACACTGAACGTGGCAAAACACTGTTTATATTCAATACTCTTCTAATAGAAAATATTTCATTCGGTCCCATAACCAGGAAACCCTTTAAAATTTATTTTGTGAGGGAGAACATAGTCTAGTTTTTATTTCCCCAGATTTCCACTTTTTTTTTTTGCTTATCAAAGTACAACCTGTTAACAATTGACACACTTTGACAATTATAGAAACATATAAATAAACAATTTGAAAAATCACACAGAAGCAAATGCTGTTAACATTTTAGGCATATTTTCGTCCAGTTTTATTCCCAGTAGATTCCTCTTCAAATAATGTGATCAAAGTGTATGTCTGATTTTGTGTCCTACCCATTTGGCCTTACACTGTATCAAAAATATTTTTCCGGCCAGGCGTGCTGGCTCACGCCTGTAATCCCAGCACTTTGGGAGGCCGAGGCGGGCGGATCACGAGGTCAGGAGATGGAGACCATCCTGGCTAACACAGTGAAACCCTGTCTCTACTAAAAATACAAAAAATTAGCCGGGCGTGGTGGCGGGCACCTGTAGTCCCAGCTACTGGGGAGGCTGAGGCAGGAGAATAGCGTGAACCCGGGAGGCGGAGCTTGCAGTGAGCTGAGATCGCGCCACTGCACTCCAGCCTGGGCAACAGAGCGAGACTCTGTCTCAAAAAAAAAAAAAAAATTTCCTTTTTCCATGTCATTAAAAACTCATAGTAAACAGATAATAGTCAAGAATAGGGAACTACCATAATTTATTTACTCATTTCCCTAGCTTTGACCTAATATTATAATGAACATCTTTATGTATAAATCTCTGCCCAACTTCTGATTCACTCCTAAGAATAGTCTACTAGAAGAGGATGATGGAAGCAGAGACCATAAGCACATTTAAGGTTCACCGGCTGTCCTTTGTCTCTCATGCCATATATAGAAATAAAGAGAGAGAAACTTCCTCCATAAAGTTTGTTTGTTAATCATTTCCACTACCCGAGTATGAGAGAGTGTATCTTCATCTTATGGGCTCCCCATCAACAATTAGTATTATACATTACTTCACTGTTTGCTAATTTGATAGGTGATATAATACTTTTGTATGTTTGCTTTTGGTTGCTGGTGTTGTTGTTGTTGTTGTTTGAGACAGGGTCTTGCTCTGTTGCCCAGGCTGGAGTAGCTCACTGCAGCCTCTATCTCCCAGGTTCAAGCAATCCTCCCACCTCAGCCTCCCTAGTTGCCCACACTGGTGATATAATACCTTATTGTTTTATTGTTGGTTTTGTTTTGTTTTTGAGATGGAGTCTTACTCTGTCCCCCAGGCTGGAGTGCAATGGCACAATCTCGGTCCACTGCAACCTCTGCCTCCCAGGTTCAAGCAATTCTCCTGCTCCAGCCTCCCGAGTAGCTGAAATTACAGGTGTGCACCACCATGCCCAGCTAATTTTTGTATTTTTAGTAGAGATAGGGTTTCACCTTGTTAGCCAGGCTTGTCTCAAACTCCTGACCTCTGATGACCTGCCCACCTTGGCCTCCAAAAGTGTTGGGATTACAGGCATAAGCCACCACGCCCAGCCTATTTTGTTTTTTTTGAGACAGGGTTTCGCTCTGTTACCCAAACTGGAGTAGAGTGGCACAATGACAGCTCACTGCAGCCTCAACCCCCTGGACTCAAGCAATCTTCCCACCTCAGCTTCCCAAGTATCTGGAATTACAGGCACATGTCCAACTAATTTTTAAATTTTTTGTAGAGACGGGGCCTCACTATGTTGCCCAGGCTGGTCTCAAACTCCTGGACTCAAGTGATCCTCCCACTTCGGCCTAATTTTAATGTATTAATTTCACTTATCTGATTGCTACTGTATTCGGATATTTTTCTTATTTATTAGCCATTTTAATTTCCACTTCTCTATCTCTTCATGTTGTTCATATGTTTTTCTGAACAAACTTGTGTAAACTCTTCGTGTCAAGGACTCTATATCTCATCAGTTCTAAGGCACATTTTTTCACATTTTTATATCTCTGACATTGGGGTATATTTTACAGTCAATTGCACCTTACATTTATAATTGGCAGTGGGTTTTTTTTGTTGTTGTTATTCCTTTTTGGTATGGAAAATAATGGGACATTTAATAATCCCTGACATCTTAGTCAATGAAATATGATATCCTTTGTCAACCATTTTAATTTCATCTAGTTTTCCCAGGTATTCTTTGACTTTCATTTCTATTCTATTCTATGTGTGTCCCTTTTTCTGCATTGCCAATATCCAGGTCCATCTTCCATGTTCAGTTATACTCCAGGAAGAATCTATTCATTTTCACATTTCCCATTTTGACCAGAGATAATTACCAAGCCTACCTTTTGCAGATCCACCTGACTTTAACTCTACAGTACTTTAAAAGCATTCAGAAAGTCTCAATCTATTTAAAGTGTTTAGTTTCATGGGCCAAAGTCATTATCTCACCCTCTTCTCCTAACCTTCTGCCTCATTTTCTCTCCTTGACTCCCTTCCAGAATTATAACATAGAAACTGAAAAAGTTTGGTATCTTGGTGGCATGATGTTAATAGTTCTTAATATAATGAAAACTATTTATTTTTACTCTGTACTTTTTTGGACCCTTTAACATCATGTTTCAGATATACTCTCTGTATATATTTGGCCTTTTGAGGAACTCTTTAACATAATATTATTTCCAAATTTAAGTGCTTTCATTATTGATTGATTGATTGATTGATTGATTTTTGAGACGGAGTCACTCTGTCACCCAGGCTGGAGTGCAGTGGCACGATCTTGGCTCACTGCAACGTCTGCCTCCTGGGTTCAAGCAATTTTCCTGTCTCAGCCTCCTGAGTAGCTGGGACTACAGGTGCACGCCACCATGCCTGGCTAATTTTTGTATTTTTAGTAGAGATGGTGTTTCACCGTATTGGTCAGGCTGGTCTCAAACTCCTGACCTCAGGTGATCCACCCACCTTGGCCTCCCAAAGTGCTGGGATTACAGGTGTTAGCCACTGCGTTCAGCCTATATTTATTTTTTAAAATAAAGGTGAATATTTATCCAATTGTTTGTGTCTACATTTTCAAAATTCCAAATCTCTATGTCTAGTTGCACCACACTGTTTATAACTATTTCACTGACTGATTTCAGAGTTCTTCACACTATTTTGGAAAGTGCCTGTTTTCAGTGTTTGCATCTGGAAAGCACTTCTACCCTGACCTAACTGCAGCTTTAATTAACTTTGCAGGTTAAATAATTCTTTTTACCATAACATTCAGTGGGCGTGGCCTCCAAGGTTAGGGTGTCAGAAAATGAAGTCTTAATGGTCCATAAAAAAGGCATTTGGGGGTTCTATTATTGAGTTAGGCATCACTTTGTTTTCTACCACATGTTTTACAGATGTGAAAAATTGAGCCATTGATTCCAACTCTAGTAGTGAGATCACCATAATTCAGCCCAGGAATTTCCCCTTAAGGAAACGCAACCCAAAAGGGATCACAGCTGTAAGCAGTTTAAAAACATGTTCCTTACCTTGTCACCTTTTATCCCTGGTTTACCACATTCCCCACGTTCACCCTAAAAAATAAATAAGTGAAATAAATAAGAGAACACTTGCAGTCATTCACTATTAAGAATGTTTGTTTGTTTGTTTTTTAAATTCCCAGCAGACTCTTGTAACATAAGCACTCTTTTGGTTTCTACACAATATTAGCCTCAATACTGTGGGTTTTATGGGCATTGAAATCTGAATATTTTTACCCAAGAGTCATCCTTAACTTGACAGGAATAAATCAGGAACAATGTAATAAGGTTTGACATTTTTAAGAAATGGATGAAACTAGAAGAAAAGGAACCTAGCATCTAATCACATATTAGATGCCCTTTGCATATGTGGTTTAATTGAATCCACATAACGGTCCAGGGAGATCAGCTTTATCATTCTTATTTTATAATTGAGAACATTTAAACTCAACAAGATAATTTCCCTCTATCAAATAGCTAGTAAGTAAAAGAATCAGAGTCTGAACCCAGATACTTTAACTTGGAATTCCTATTTTTTCAAGAACACCATGCTTCAGCCTGAGTACCAACCTTGACCACCTAGTAGTGTTCACCTGGAGAACCGTGAGAGAAAGGTTCTGAAGTGAGATTGCATCGTGAGTTAGTGGGAACAGGTGCCATGATGAGTTAGCGAGGACTGCTGTAGGAGAGCCGGGCTTGGCAGCAAGCATGCTACATATTTTTCATTATTATGCTCTACTTCCCTGTCTTCCCTAGAATATTGCTGAAAAAACAACATTTGAGTTATTCTTTAGAGTTTATCAGTGATAGTTTATCATAAATATTTTATCTTAGTTAATCTGACATTACCTGTCTGAGATAAATATTAATCCAATTTTATAGATTAAAATTTTGTAATTAAGAAGGTTAAGTAAAGAGAATGTGGTATACAATGGAATATTATTCAGCCTTTGAGAAAGAAATCCTGTCATTTGTAACAACATAGATGAACCTGAACCTGGAAGACATTATGTTTAGTGAAATAAGCCAGGAACAGAAAGACAAATATGGCATGATCTCACTTATATGTGAGATCTAAAAAATTTGAACTCACAGAAGCACAGAGTAGAAGGGTGGTTACCAGGGGTAATTGGTGGAAACTTGGGAAATGTTGGCCAAAGGATACAAAACTAGTTAGATAGGAGCAATAAGTTCAAGAGATCTATTGTTCAACACGATGACTATCATTAATAACAATGTCTTGTATTGAAAATCACTAAAAGGGTAGATTTTAAGCATTCTCACCACAAAAACTGATCATTATGTGAAGTGATATATATGTTAATTAGCTCAATTTAGCCATTTTATAATGTATACATTTATCAAATTATATTTTATACAATACAATAAATATGAACTTTTTAGATTTGTCCATTAAATTTTTTAAATAAAACTAAATATTTTTAAAAGGTTAGTTTCCTCAAGTAGAAGGAGAATTGGGACCTCTGAATACTAATCCATTATATCAGACTTTTGAAACTTCTACTACTTAGAACTAAAAGGTGACAGTCAGAAAAATGACTAAAGTTTCATAATCATAGTAATATTATCTCCTTTATAAATCACTTTAGAGTTTTCAAAATGCTTTTATATATATCGTTATTTTGATCCTCAATTCAATTCTCATTTTCAAGATAAGGAAACACAATTGGATATGTCAAATGATTTACTTAAATGTACAGGCTACCCAATGACTCCTAGTCCAGTGCTCTCAACACTAGCTTCTGCTGCTGCTTCTTTATTCTGCCTCTGTACTGCTCTAGGGCATGTTACTGGAAGTGCCACTACACAATGACAAGGAAATTACATTCAAATGTAAATCAATGCACTGCTTCTTTCATCAAGGAAGTCTTGCTATGAAAAATAAATGTCAGCTGAACTTTAAACAGTATACGTTGTAATATAGTGGATTTATATGCTGGCGGAAGCTTTATCTTGTTGCAGAATAGCAACAAACCATTCACAGACTGGCAGCCAGCCTGCAGACCACAGTTTCAACAGCAGTGCTCTATGGAGGGAAATCACAACTGTAACCTCCAATTATGGATGCAAAGTGTGTGCCATAGCCTTTACATTATTGCTAATCCCCATAGCAGCCTTGCGAGGTATATATACATATCTCCACTCACAGATAAGCAAAATGAGGCTCAGAGACATTACATACTTTGTCCATGACCACAAATTTGAGTCTGTTAGGCTCTCAAGTCCATGTTCTTATCAGTCACCTGTAGCTGAACAAGGCACACTATCATAGGCTGCAAGTCACTTTCCATTAACCTGACATTTCTGCCTAGGGTACTGCCTGGGCTCTTGCAGGCATCAGGAGCAGGAAAGAGGGAGGTGTGACTCTTAGAGCCAGCTATGCCTCTGATCAAAAGCAATCTGTTCTCTCTTCACATCCTTTCGTGAGTCAAACTGACCCAGGAAAAACTGAGCTTTCACTTAGAACAAGTTGAACATTTATTTCTGAATGCAAATGGAAAATCACTTTTGAAGAATCAATTAGAAAGCAATTAATTTAATAATTTTGGATGGGAATAAAATGAGTCAACCACCAAAATATAAAACAGAAAGTACCATAAATACACTCAAAATGCTTTTGGCTACAATTCACATTCCATTTGTCCAGACAGATTTGTTAGCTATAGGGGCCTGAGGAACAGCATTTGTTTTTTGGGGGGCACAGATTGCCATCAATGAAAATATTGTATTCATGTTATTTGCCTCTGCAAAGGCGTTTTCCTTTTTGGTGGGCTCATTAATCCCTGTGGAATGGCCACAACTACATGGTTTCAGAAAGCGAGTACTTCAGAAAGCCATGAACAGATCAGCTCTGTTCTCAGCCTCTATTTTCTGATGCTGCTGCTCCTGGTGAAATTCTGGTTTGAATGTCGATGGTTCAGGGTCACTTTGCTCTGACAGCTTGTATTTTCCAAGTGAGAACTCTTCCAGTGAATCAATAATTCTCCAGAAAGTGAAATTAATCTTTTCAAAAAATATATGTATAAAGCTTCCTTGTGTTGATAACTACCTCACTATATAAATCAAAATGGAGGAGGGGGCCACCCACTATTTTCCTCAACTATACACACAGTTGATAATTTTACAACTGTGAAACTTTTTTAGTTTTCCCATATTAATATTTGTTCCTTTCCTCTTCATAATGGCACTTACATTTGTAGACAAGCCAACATTTTGGAATACATTGTCACGCCCATTATTTGATTCTCCAACCACTCTGTAAATTAGGCAGGCCTGTACAAATTGTATTCCATCCAGTTGAAGAAACAGATACTCCAAGACATTGAGTTACCTAAGTTCTTAAGGCTGCTAAGTGTAGAATCATGGGATTCCTTACACTCTTCCCCTTGGAGTTCTAACATTGCCAGCGATTAGGATATATTTATTGGCTTACATGTAGGCTCACCCCTAATATTTGCAGGGCCCAGGGCAAGAGTGTAAGTGGAAGCCCACATACCATGTGTCTAAATAGTTGAAAGTTATAACTAAACTAATAATGTTCTGGCTTCCTTCCTTAACAAATATGTCTTCAAAAGGGATAAAGAATTAAAAGACTTATGAATTCCTCAGAGGTCCTTGCCAGACATAGCCCCCTGCAGCCTGGCCCCAACTTCCCTTCCCACCTCCAACTCCTTCCACAGCAAGAGCATGAGCACACACGTGAAGATGCCCCGGGTAGCACAACAAAGCCCGCTACATGACCTCTCCTGCCCCAACAAACAGCTACCATTCGGCTCCCCCTCCAGCCTAGGAAAATGATGGATATGGAAAGGAGGTTTTTGTATGCCCTCCCAGCAGCAGGCCTTTTGAAGTCTTGGCTACCCAATGCATGATCCAGGAGAAGGAAGCACAGACCTCCTGCAGACTCCTGGCTCCATGAGAAGCAGGGAGGCCAGAGGAGACTCAGAGCTGGACCCTCTAAAGTTCTAGCCTCTTTCTCATGCCTGAAGGTTGTAGCCCTGTAGGATGGAATGGATGATAGGTGCATGTTCTGATTCAGATAGAAAATCTGATAATAACAAGAACTGTGGGACAGACTTATCAATGAACCAGTGAGCACTCTCAGAGGTTCCTGAGCCCCAGTATGACTTGTTAATCCCTTTTAAAGCAGTTTGGTATCCTAACTTGTAACTCGCAAATAATCATCAAATCATCTACCAACCCATACCTTTTGTTTGCTTGTTTGCCAAATTTACTCCCCTGCAAGCTCTACCCAATTGGCTGACTCAGTGAAGTCAGTGGCTCTTCACTGCTTAACCAGGATAAATCCTCTCTTTTCCCTGGGAGAGGATTTGGTGTCTAGGTTTTCACAGGAAGTTAAACACCAAGGGTGCAACCTATTTGCAGTATTGCTGAATCTGTTTGTGTAAAGAAACTTTTAGCCTGCATACCTGTGCTGCATGGCTTATAAATTGGGGTTCTCTATTAAAATAATTCATGTTTGCAAAGCTGAAGGAGGCTGGATTCTAATCTCAGGAATCATGGTACCCTCCATCCCTTACAACACACATCCATATGTTAAGTTCTATTATTATTTTATGTTAACTCAGGAATGAGGGAATCCAGACTTACAAAAATAAAGAAAATAACTTTTATTAAGTTCCTAAGTACACTTATGTTTCTGTTTTTCTTTTTGAAATTCTGGTCAATCTATTTGTTGTTACCAACTTACCTTGTCACCCTTGTACCCAGGAATTCCCTAATTTAAAAAGAAAATAAAAAGTAAAATATGATACTCTGAGGCAGAATTAGAATAAGGATTAGGTATTTTTCAATTACAAGGTATAACAAAAACACATCTATACAGTCTGGAAAATTAGATCATAGAAATGTAAACTGTTCCACTTCTCTTTGTGCTTGGAGAAATATACATTTACTGAGGAGAAGAAAATAATCTGTTTTCCCTTTATCACATTTTATTCTCAGTTTCAGGTATTTTTCCATATCCAGTTTCTTGCCCTTTGGCCCAAAACTAGAGGAGATAATGTACACTGAAAGTCATTGTAGAAGTGATGGCCTATAATGGTCCCTTCAAAACTGTTATATTGACTTTTAAACTATGAACTATTGCAGCTAAGAATGTTTCATAGAGACTCTGAAAGAAATTGGCTTTGAAAATGAGCTGAGATAATGGCCTTTAAAATGTGTGTAAATATTTGTATCCATTATGGTCCTCCTTACAAATTCGGTCTAAGATATATAACATCAAGGAAATGAAAGGTTCCTTTATCAGCCCTAATGCGACAGTGACCTTTAAGCTACTGTCTTTTATCTCACACTAAATAAGAGGCCAGCACTTCTACTGTCTTCTGTGTGTCACCCTTGGGAATCCTGTACAGCCTTTTCCATTGTGTCACTGCCCATGGCCCTTTAAGAAATACAATAGTGAATATTACATGGCCTGGGAAATCACCAGCTCTAAGCAGCAGCAAGTCCTCTTCAAATGGGATTTTTTTGTCTTTCATACAGCTATATTTTTCAAATATGGAAATAGAATTGTCAGATTTATTGAGAGCTGAAGAAACCTATTTAATAAATAAGCTATTATTACAGTTACATGTGAGTCAGACTACAAAATTTTGTTCTATGCATGACTTTTTTATTAATACTATTATCTATTTATTTATTTATGTGTAGAGAGAGGGTCTCACTATGTTGCTCAGGCTGGTCTCAAACTAGTGGCCTTAAGTGATCTTTGCACCTAGGCCTCCCAAAGTGCTGGTATTACAGGTATGAGTCACTGTGCCTGGCCTGACTTTTTTTACAAAAGGAAACTTCATGAAGGAAATAAAACTTCCAAATGTGTGGTCAATGAGGAATAGAAGATAAACGTAGAATTCTCTCCTATGAGATAATAAGCTTTTTAAAAATACAAGTACTTTATCTTAGTTTTATTTTTACATACTTGTATGCTTTATATGTAGAATATACCTAAGAAATGTTTCCTGAACACAAATTTCAGATTTTTTGTTGACATTACTAAACTTTCTATCAGATTTTTTAATGAAGTTGATTCAAAATACCAAGAGAACAGTTTTTAACATCTCTGGGTCTGAGTCCAGGGCACATCCAGGGGGACAAGCAGAGAGGGGCAATGTCATATGGTCTTCTTTTTATGCACCGTACACATCTCTGCTATTTGATACACTTACTGCAATGCCCAGAAAAGTGCAAAATAAGAAATATACTGTAATTAGTTCTTGGGCAATATCCACTATCTTCTAATTTGGGGTATAAGAAATCAAATAGAATGGTAAATTTTATTATGTCTGCAGAATTGGATTAACAAAAGCATAGTTTAGACCATGTAGTTCTTATGCTCCTGAAATTCTAACTTATTCTTTATCTTAAAAAACTTAAGAAATAAAGCAAACAGTTTTCTCATTGGAGCCTTTCACCAATGTCAAATTAAGCATCAGAGAATTTGATAGGGTTGAACACTCCTGCTCCCATTTTCACTCTGTTAGCTGAGTATTTTCTCCCCACATTTCCACTTCTAAGATCATATCTTTCTGATTGCCTTCTTGAGCCATCAAGAGCACAAGGTAGATAGAAATCACTTTTGCACTTGCACTAAGGGGGTCAAAATGGTCAACCACAAAATCAGTAACCTAGGATCACTTTCTTAGGAAGGCATTCCAGTTGTGTACATACCCCTGGACCTCTTTCTCCAGCTTCTCCTTTTTGAGCGTTGCCCTGTGACAAACAAAAAACAGTAAAAATTCCACAGCCCTGAAGAGTGACTGATTGCTCAATAAAATGCATTATACAGAAGATTAATAGCTTAGCCCAATTAGGAAACATCTTTAGTCTTTCCCGTTGACATTTTCACTATGCAATCTAGGCAAAAAAAAAAAAAAAATAGCAACTCAGATAAACTTTGCCCTTTGCAGTGAAGCCAGATGTGTAGGGTGCAGGATCCAGGTACCTTTTCACAGCTTACACCACATCCCAGTTGAACAACACAGCGATTGTTCTCAAATACATCATTATACTCACTTGGAGCCAGTCACTCTGGCTTTTCTCTAAGGGGCTTTGGAATGTTTTCCAAAATGTCCTCAAGAGTGATTGCTTGATTTCAGCAAGACTTAAGAAAATATATTATGTGGCACAAAATTACAAACCAAAGAAATAAAATGTGAACTTACATTTATAATGGGTATTTAACACAAAAAAAAGAAGACATGATAGCATCAGTTTGGACGTATATAAGATGAGTGAGTATAGGGTTGTTTGGTTGAGCATGTGTGTGTATGTTGTAAAGCTATCCAAGGCTGCTATATTCCCTTTCCTTGACAAGCAGACAATTGCCAAAAATGCTTTTATGCATTTAACTTTTGATTTTTTTCATTACCTCTCTAAAAACTTTCTAATAGGGCTGTTTTAGAGTTCATTTTTGAGTTAATTTTTAATGTAATAGTTAACTTTGTTAGTATTTGAGTACCTCTTACTTATTGCCTAATTTTTCCCAAACTATTTGTGTCAAGTTACCTGCAATGAAAAGCAAACCAGTTTCACTGCCACATTGCTATCACTAGTTATTATTGTTTTAATATTGCTGTGTTAATTGCTATAATGAAAGAAATGTTTTTAAACGTCAAAACACACACAAAAACAAATGATGTGAACTAGAAAACCACTTCCAGAAAAAAATAATCCTCTGGATTCCAAAGTTTCTAAAATGTAAGTATCACTACTAAAGGATATCTCATTCTCTCTATTTAAATTTATTTTATTACCTAATGAAATTAAATGTGCTTTTACTTTTTTCTTTACTAGTTTTGTTTCCTCTCTTGAAAATTGTGTTCAGAAATTAACTCAGTGTACTGTAGAAATTAACCCAATGTCCATTACATTTGATGCAAATATTTCCTGATATTTCTATTTCTTTAATATTCCTTCCTTATATTAGGACATTCTCATGCTGCTAACAAAGACACACCTGAGACTGGGTAGTTTATAAAGCAAAGAGGTTTAATGGACTCACAGTTCCACAGTGCTGGGGAGACCTCATAATCATGGAGGAAGGTGAAGCAGGAACAAAGCCACATCTTACATGGTGACAGGCAAGAGAGCTTATGTAGGGGAACTTCCCCTTATAAAACCATCAGATCTCATGTGACTTACTCACTATCACAAGAACAGCATGGGAAAGACCCGCCCCCTATGATTTAATTACCTCCCACCAGTCTCTCCCACCACATGTGGGAATCATGGGAGCTACGTACAATTCAAGATGAGATTTGAGTGGGGACATAACCAAAGCATATCACTCCCTTTTCTTTAATTATTATTTTTTTCATTACACAGAATTTTGCCTTAAATTTTCACATAGTTATATCTACTTTTCTCTTTGTGATTACTGCTGTTGTTCTTGAACTTGGAACCAAAATCCTAACAATGATCTGAACAGATGAATGTTTTCTTTAAAAGCCTGGGATTTTTTTTGATAGGTACACAGAGAAAAGAATTCGAGAAGTCCTTGAAGATGCTCTGGGAGTGAGAAACAATCTGGTGGTTTTTCTATGATTATTGTCAGTCAGTTAATCATTAAAAGTATACCCATTAAAAACACAAGTGCCAGTGTCAATCTGATATGGAACACATATTACTAGTTGCTGAATCATCATCCTAAATAAGATTGGCTGCTATCGTTTAAGTACTAGTTTCTGTTTATTCAATGTCCCTAGGTTTCCTAAACTTACTGACTAAAATGTTCATATATGTTACTCAGAATTTGTGAATTCAAGCTAATAGAAATAAGATAGATAATATAGGAAGTGGAAATCCTGTATTCTTCACAAAAGTTGTCACATTTTTGCCATATACTACAATGCTTTTTATTTTTAAAATTGTTGTTTTAAAAAAAAAGTCTAGAAGGAGATACGCTGGTTTAAAGAAAAGCTGTTTATTCATTTACCGGGTTTCCTTTTGGTCCTCGCTCACCTTTGATACCTGGATTTCCATGTGTACCCTGAAGGCAAAGGGAAAAAATATTATTTTAAGTAGGAATTCTATTGTTTTCTATACTTTATAATAATTTCTGATCAGTTTTGTTTCCTAGAATGAGGGAGAATTGTAAAACCTTTACCTGCCAAGCAGAAATTCAATTCTCTTCTCCCTTTTTCTACACCAGGAAAACCACTGTCTTGAATTGGCAGATTTTCTAGATTTGCTCAAAAGAGAATAATGTTTCTCTCTTCCCACCAATTACTTCTTCCCAAAACAATCACTTCTCAGCAGTTTTGCAAACAAAATCAAACTCATGCAAAGATTTAAAAGAGTAGCTGCAACAGGCAGAAGGATAGGAGTTGTTCCCAATCTCTCTTCATTGTGGGTCACTTCTACGATTCCCTCTGTCACTCACTTTTAAAAGGACCAAGCTAGCTTGCTTGCCTTTGGTCAAAGAGGTTCTGATATCCAGGAGACAATCTCAAAAGATGGGAGAAAGGAGCTCTGTAATCCTGTTCCAGAAAAGCATTTTGTTTTCCTGTTCCTAATCAACCAGAAAGCTTGCTTTTCTGAGAAATGGTGTTGGGGGTACTCGATAATGTTAAATAACATATTCTGTGGCTTATCCCTACTAAAATGTGACAAGAATGTGACTAAAATTGTCAGGTGCTTAGCAATTGTGAGCTTTCTTATTGCTCATTTTAAAATATAAAGAAATATTTCTTACCCTGGCCATCTCTTGGTGTCATAGAGATAAACGAAGACTTTATAGGAAGGGATGGCTAAACCTTTGCTTTAGCCAAAGTCAGCTTCTACTGGCTGCCCCACTATCATATAACGCATCTAACTTTGTATTTGGGGAGAAAAACATCCCTTGATTGGTAGGATGGTTTGAAAAATTGTAGGCTTTGGACCCGAGTCTCAAGGTAAAATTTGTCACATTCTAATTCATTCACAGTACACATTCCCCTCCCACCCCCAAATACAAGCATTAGTTGAAAATTTTTATCCATGCATTTTGTGAGATTCTCCATAGGGCTTCTTCTGAACTCTAAGGATGATATTTGGAATTATACAAATAAATAGAAGACTGAATGAGCACGTGAATGCTTTATGAAGATAAATGTTAAAAAAATGCTCAGCATTTCCAGTGATCTAGATGTCATTTCAAATGCCTTCCCAGTACAGACATGGCACCTACCAGTTATTAGGCCAGAATATAAAGAAAGCACTCCTTCCTGGATTATCTTATCAAACAATGAATCATCATAGTCAATCCTGCCATTTATTTTTGGTTGCCATGTGCTTACTTCCATTTCACAGAACTCACCCTAATCCCCCAAAGCATCGTGACCAGCTTCCTGTCCATGAGGCCACACGGTGTTGCTGCTGCACTGCTGCATTCGTGTGAAGCCAACATTTAACTTTCAGAGAGGCTTGTACTCCATGTTTCTAGTAGGATAAAGCTTTGCTTAAAGCACTGATTATTTGTATTAGCTTTTTCTGTATTCACTTCACTATTGAGAAATTCTGGCTTCAATTATTTTATGAGGAGGAATATAAATGTCCTTTGTGGGAACAACTTCAAAACACACCTGCCCTCAGTTCAGGTCAGTAAAATCCCAGGCTTATTTCTAAGGATAGAATGTGTCCCTTTAGAAATAAAAGAAAGAAGTAGCATTTCCATTTTTCCTCCCATTTCCAAACAATTGCTTTTCAGCAGTGCAAAATAGCCCCGATGTTTTCAAGAGCGAGTAGAGCTATCATTGCTAGGACTTTCTGACTTAAGTTCAAAGTGGAAGTATACTCACAGGAGGCCCTGGATCACCTGGATCTCCCTTCTCACATTCACAAATCTTGCGTTCACACTGAATCAATAATGAAATATGATATTAACACACAGTGAAATTCAAATTGTATGCAGCATTTCAAATTGTATTTCAAATACATTTCAAAGTGTATTTCAAATAAATTTCAAATAGCATTTCAAATTGTATTCAGTATATAACCAACTGGAGCACTCTCAAAGAAATTTTACCTTGCACATTTATGGATGTTTTGCTCTCTCTATTAAATTATTCCAGGCAAATTTATACCTACCAAGAGCTAGCTAACAAAATATTATTAAATTTCAGCATAGTTAAATAAAAGACATCCCATCAAAAATACATGTATAATATATAGATGCCAGTTAAAAGGAGAAAATAAATATTTTCAGTGGACTTTTAGAATTTCTGATCCTTCTCTTCTATATAACACATCAAAGCTCAATAATATAATAATATTAAATGCTCCTTTACTAGGCAAAGGAAAACATTTGACTTATAGCATATTTTACTAATTGTAAGATAATTGTAAGATGCACCTTCTTCCTCATTTTAACAACTCTGAAATCAGAATGAGTCTTATAACAGCTGTTGACCAGGTTCAGTCATGACAAAGTAGTTGCTTTTTGCACATGCACTTCAAAACTTACAGAATGAAATGGGAGAAAATTCCAGAACATACTTAAGAAATGCTTCATCACCAATGGTTTTGCTGGCATAGAGGTCAGTATTACGCAGAAAAACAAGGACATCAACAACTCAGACAAAAAATGATTCAGATTTACCAGGGGTGTCTAATCTTTTGGCTTCCCTGGGCCACATTGGAAGAAGAAGAATTGCCTTGGGCCACGCATAAAATACACTAACACTAACGATAGCTGAAGAGCAAAAAAAAAAAAAAAAAAAAAAAAAAAAAAGGGCCGTGCATACATTTTATAACGTTTTTAAAAAGTTTATAAATTTGTGTTGGTCCGCATTCAAAGTCATCCTGGGCTGCATGTAGCCTGTGGGCCGCGAGTTGGACAAGCTTGATTTAGAGTCTGATGTGAAGAAGTTTTAGAAATAACCAAGTTATTTTGCTTACATATTCCCTTATATGTATATATGAAAGTGATACAGGATTTTAAAATCTACATCCAAAATGTCTAAAAACTTATTTCCACAGGTATAAAATAAAAAGTGCAATTAATAAGAAGACACTGTATCATAGATAAGCTAGCAAGGGTTTTTTCCTTTCTTTCTTTTCTTTTTTTTTTTTTAAACGGGAGTCTCACTCTGCCACCAGGCTGGAATGCAGCAGCAATCTTGGCTCACTGCAACCTCTGCCTCCTGGGTTCAAGTGATTCTCCTGCCTCAGCCTCCTGAGTAGCTGGGACTACAGTCATGCACCATCACCCCCAGCTAACTTTTTTGTATTTTTAGTAGAGACGGGGTTTCAGCATGTTGGCCAGGATGGTCTCGATCTCCTGACCTCATGATCCACCTGCCTCGGCCTCCCAAACTGCTGGGATTACAGGCGTGAGCGACCATGCCTGGCCGTTTTTTTTTTCCTTTCTTAATGGTACATAACATAATGGTATATCCGAACATGTACAATTCAATAAAACATGGTGTGACGTAGGTTTGGTTGACTCCTATTATTTTATGCAACAATACTTGTAAATTTCCTGATGTTAAATAAGCAGCTCATTGAACAAAGCTCAGATGTTCCAAACTCTTTCTTTTAAGAAATGCATGTCCAGGACAGGACTCCTCAGCAAGCTGATGATTATCTATTGTGCTAAGGCTCGTCCAATCTTATTGGCCAGTTTCCTTTGCCACGTGGTCTGGTTGCCATCATCAGGCTGCCTTTTCTTCACAATAAGGAGAATGAGCTCAAAGTCAATTGGCAGGCAGCAGGGGATGACTCTAGACTCTGTCTCTTAGCTGGGAACCCTCTGCCTAACCTAGCCAACACCAGGAACACCCCCCAAAATAGAGGACCTGATGTGGCTGATGTCAGATACATGCTTAGAATAAAGGAAGCACATCAAAGTAAGCAAAAACTATGTAGTTTGCTCATGACTGATTTCTAAAATCACTCCTGGAGTCACATTCAATATTTCCTACTTTTTCTAAATTTTCCAACTTGCATTGAATATGGTAGTATAAAAGAAATCAGATGGCTGCCTCAGAATAGAGTGGCTCATTTTAAAAGAACTAAGCATTTTTATTTAGTCACACTTAATCTTCTAATGTGAATTATAATGCTGATTTGATAATGCAAGTGTTTGGAGTAATTCGTAGTAATCAAAGCATGTGGTGCTTACCTTCTTTTCAAATAAGATATCCTACAAGGGAAAAAAGAATGAAGCATTAACTCGATTGATAGTTCTGCCTCCAGCTACTTATTAGTCATAACTATTCCCTATGGGATATGAAGTTTCCACAAAGAATAGCAATTCAGCCTTTTTAAACTTGTAAAAGCAATAAAACCAACCAGCCAACCACCCAAGGAGCAGTCCGAGCCATGTAATAATAAGAGATATAACTACCATTAAAAATTAACCTATATTTTCTAGGAACTTCATCTTACTGCATTCTATGTTTTATCTTTTGTTTCCTTTATCAGCTCTGTAATCTCCATAATTTGACTATAAAGTTAATCAGTCATAATGACAAAGCTCTCACTTTTACATACAAAGACTGAGGCAGAATATATAATTGTATATTTTCAATTTTTTCCATCCCTATGCACATATACATGCATCTATTTTTCATGATTTATTTTTCAAGATTAAAACAATATAGTCATAACTTCATGAAATATTAATGGGTGTTAGATCATATTAAAACTCAAAAAGAGAAAATTACAAAGTCCAGTGACATTTTTTGAGATGATCTGAATTATGAGAAGACAAAGATTTCCATTATTATGATCACTAGGGGAGGAGTTTTCTATTTCAAATTTGAAAAGCCTCCAATATGATACTTTATTTACAGAATTTCAACAGAAGCCAAAAAAGATACTCAGCTTTTAAATTTAAACAGTATTAGGAATAATATTTTGGTAAAAATTTTGAACTGTTCATAGCAATATGCATTACTTATGTAAAAGAGGACTTACATTTATAACTGGCTAACTTAGGGGAAAAACTAAGTGATAGAAAAGTAATACATATTTCATAATAAAAAATGATCATTATGAAAAACAAAAAAACAAATTTAATGAGTCTTAGTCAATCAGACTCAACCTCTTGCTTTGCAATAAGGAAACATGGTTCCACCATAATGTGACTCAACTGAGGTAACACACTTGGGCTGCACCTCCTGACCGTCTTCAGTGCATGTCATATGTACCATACAGGAATGAATTAGCCAGAATATTTTTCAAAACTATTTTAAATTTATAATTTTGCAGAAATGTCATGATCTTGTTTTTGTCTAACACCTAGGCCTCACTACCATACTTGAATTCAGTGGGATATTACCTGACAAGTGCACTGAAGGCTGTGTTGGAAGACAAACGCTGGAAAGAAACTAATCTATGTTTATATATAGAATTAGTACTTTCTTAACCTAGAAATTATGTGTCAAACCAGTGCCTTGTGATTTCATCTGAAGGGGTAATTTACATACGATAAAATAGAAAGATGAAGGAGCAAGCACTGGAATATTTGTTGCAAGATATTAAAAATGCAGAAGCTAACAAGGAAGTTAAATAAGAGTATGTAGCTTTATGAAGGATGCTGCATCCCTTTAGTTTTATTTTTACTTTATTTCCGTACAAACTAATACTATAGAGGGACGAGATAACAAAATGCTTTAATGATTTAATAGGGAAAAAATTAGGCTGGGAATTAAGTGTCATTCTGGGTTTCCATCCCGTTTCAACAATTAACTAGCTATGTGGCCTTGGACAAGTCATACAATCCTTCCAGGTAATTTTCTCCATATATAAAAAAGGACAAAGTTTGACTACATGATCTCAGGAGCTATAAAACCCTAGCCACAGACACTAGCTACAAAATTTAGAGTCTCACCTACCACCCCTCCCAACCAAACGATTTTAAATTACTAGCCATGTAAATCCAGGCTGAAAGCAGATGAGATATTTGTATCTTTAAGAGCTAGGAGGTCCTATGGAGAAATAGGAACTCAGATACACTGATAGTTTTAGTTAAAATGGTATTACCCTCTGTAGAACATTTGGTTATGCCTACAAGGCTGAAGATGGACCTGCTTTATCACGAGGCTGCCAGGACAATTCTTGCTTTTGCCTGTTATCCTGACATCCTTTCTAGACATACCACAGGGAAATTCTTGCACTTGCACATTTCAGCATTCATTGTTTTTTGTAATGAAAAACTGTAAATAAAATAATTGCCAATAGTGGAATGGATCAGCAAATGAAATACTACTCGGCAGTTAAAGTGAATGCATTGGATCTACACATTTCAACAAAATTTCCAAAAAAACATTGAGTGCAAAAGCAAGTTGTAGATAGATACATACAATATGATCTGATTTATTAAAATACGTAAGATATTTCAAACCACGTCAGAGAGTGGTTTCCTCTGGGAGAAAGAGAGAGAAAAGAAATTCAAAAGAAGTTCAACAGAGGCAGTAAAACAACTAATAATTCAAGTCAAATTGTAATATTTAAAAACCACTACTGAAATAAAGAAAAATTTAAATATTTGTCACTTTAAAATCTTTTAACAATGAGCAATATCTTTTTTTTTTCTTCTTTTTGAGATGGAGTCTCGCCCTGTCACCTAGGCTGGCATGCAGTGGCATGATCTTGGCTCACTGCAACCTCCACCTCCTGGGTTCAAGCAATTCTCCTGCCTCAGCCTCTGAAATAGCTGGAATTACAGAGCACGCCAACAAGCCAGGGTAATTTTTGTATTTTTAGTAGAGACAGGGTTTCATCATGTCGGCCAGGCTGGTCTCAAACTCCTGACCTCAAGTGATCCACCCACCTTGGCCTCCCAAAGTGCTGGGATTACAGGTGTGAGCCACCGCACCTAGCCACAATAAGCAATATCTTAATCAATTTTTAAATTCACGAATTCAGCTCTTACTGTGCCTGATGTGTAATTTTATACTTTTTTCAGTTCTTTCTTTTAAAATTCAATTTCTTCTTTGCCATATTGCTCTTTAGAAATATGTGGCATAAGGCTTAAAACCATAGCAATGCAAAAAACTATTTTTGGAACTCATTTAATTTTGTGTTTGCTGGAATTTATATTTCTATGGAAACAAAAATGAACCCAAAACTACACAATAGATAAGACTGTTTCAAACAAAGAACAAAGCCCCATCCCTGAGGGCTCTTATAGGCTATAAGCCCCAGGAACAGAGGACAACACACAGCAACCCGAGTAGGAAGGAGGTCCTAGGCCAGGGGCGGGGGAGCCGCTAACAAGATGGCTTCTTGGAATAGGTGGGTTTTCTGGATGGTTTTGAAGAGAGGAATGCAAAGGACCACCCATTGATGGTATGCTGTCCTATATGTCAAAGTTGATGAGGAAAAAAGTCATAAGGACTAGTGTGGGCAATAAGACAAAGGAAGTAGTTATGAGGAACATTTAAAGGGAGTGGATGGAAGGGCCCACATGGACAGAGCCGGAGGCCTTGGGAGGTGGCGAGGGCTTGCACTCAGGCAGGGAAGCAGGCTGCAAGGAGAACAGTGTCAAAGCCTGACGGGAGGCCATGTTCAATGACAGACTGGGGGCATGCTTGAGTTTCAATGAAAAGGATAAATAGGGAAAGGGTCTCATGACAGCAAAAGAAGATGCAGTCAGAATTTCATTAATGGATTCATATATATGGCATATATTCACATATACTATATATGCAAAACCAGAATGCTAGAATGGAATCACCAATTTTTCAAGGAGTATAAGGTTTATGCTGTGAGAAGGGGACAGAAAACATGTGAGGGATGGACAAATATCACAGCACATGGAATGACAGCAAAGCACTCGGTAGGCAAGGGGAACAAACCCTGTGACAAAAAAATTCAACTTAAAATGGTAGCAAAATGGCCACTATAAAATCTAAAACAGAAAAATAAGGCCCTAAACAGAGGAAGTCTTGAAAAAATGGAAAGTGATCATAATTAATAGATTAAGAAAGCATAGGATTCTAAAGATGATATAGACATCATCACATTGATCTCTTCTTGGTATGTGAGGGAGGGAATACCTTAAATTTATGTTTTTTAAAAATCGTTCAGAAAAAAAGACAAATTTGTCACAACCCTTATTTCCATAAAGGCTTTTTAAATACTTAACATCAAAGGCAATAGAGGGAAAAAATTGTCTTTAATTTTCACATATCCTCTCTTACTCTTCTACAGGACCAAGTAATATATCCAGGACTTTGGAATGAATTTGTTTGTTTGGTTTCAATACTATTATGTAAATTATAATAAAAATAGCAATAAAAATATATTACATGTCTTCTTCAATTTGGAGTCATTAAGTCTCTTTTGAGTAATTCAGAACTAAAATGTTTCTATGGGGTTCTTACATGATAATTCCTACTAGAGGCATCAAGGAATTTGCAATGATTTGTTTTGTCTTTGCTCCTGAAGAATCTATTCATTCTGTATACTCGTGTCCATTAAATTCAACTAAAGTCTATTCTACAATAAAAGGGAGTAAACTTCTGATACAGAAAAAAACCCTGATGAGTTTGAAAATCATTATACTGGGTACAAGAAGCCTGACACAAAAATAATACATACTATTTGAGTTTGTATAAAATTCTAGAAAGTATACACTAATCTAGAGTCACAAAAGTAAGATCAGTAGCTCAGGAGCAAATGGGGTCTTACAAAGAGATATGAGGCAATTTGGGGAGGTGATGGAAATGTTCTCTATCCTAATTGTGTTGGTAGTTTCATAGGTGTGTACCTATGTCAAAAGCTCATGGAATTGTGCCCTTTAAGTTAATGCAGTTGTGTACTTAAATCATACCTAATTAACTTATTTAAAAAGTCAACTACATAATTATTTTAAAATAAAAAGTTTAAAAATTCAACTAAAGATGTAATAGAAAGGGATTAGATAAAGAATTTTTCCAATGGTCTCATCAAGAGTCAAGTTCTGGGCCCGGCGCGATGGCTCACACCTGTAATCCCAACACTTTGGGAGGCCGAGGCGGGCAGATCACCTGAGGTCAGGAGTTTGAGAACAGCCTGGCCATCTCTACTCAAAAATACAAAAAAATGAGCCGGGCATGGTGGCAGGCGCCTGTAATGCCAGCTACTTGAGAAACTAAGGCAGGAGAATCGCTTGAACCCGGGAGGCAGAGTTTGCAGTGAACCAAGATCGTGCCACTGCACTCCAGCCTGGGTGACAGGAGCAAAACTCTGTCTCAAAAAAAAAAAAAAAAAGAGTCAAGTTCTGCCTTCTAGATGGTGGCAATTTGTAACATTGAAAGTTGGTATACCATTCTTTGAAGAGCCTAATAAGCACTTTGGATCCTGTAAGTGTTTGGAAAGCAGCACCTCCTTCTAAAAAGTGGTTTATTCATGGAGCTTCCATCTGAACAAACAAGCTGAAATCACAGATGCTAAACAAACAAGCTGAAGTCGCCGGATGCTAAGGAAGAGCAGTATTCAGTCATTTTCTGTTTGCCCAGGAACAGACAAACAATTTTGCTTCCAGTCTACTGCCAAGAGCCTGTGTTCTCAGTGAAGCAGGTGCTCTCAGCGAGGGTGTATCTGGTGGGAATATGAACAACCTGAGCCTACACCTGTGGCCAAACAAGGAGCTGCCTGTCCCGCATCTTCTATGGTCAGCTCTTATCCATCTTAAGGTGAAGATGAATAAGTAACAACAGCCCACTCATGACCACATCACCAGGATTCTCTCCCACACGGGCTGGAGCCCTCTGTTTTATGTTCAGTGGTGAGGACCCCTTAAGTCATGGCACAGGCAGGGCTAAGTGTTAGCCAGGAACCACTACAAATTTCCCTTTCATGCAAAAGAGCTGCTCAGAATGAGTACTTACCTTGAGCACCACAGGACTGGGCCCATCAGCTCTATCTCTGATCTAGGCATAACTCTCCCATTTACCCCGAATCCCCAAGGAAAAAAAGGCTAGAAACAATAGTAACTTTGGAGGAGGGCTGCTACCAAACTGTTTCAGAGCAGTTCTGATTGAGAAAATATTTTTTTAAAAAGCAGTTACTATTTCCTCTCTCAATATGCCTTTATAGGGTTAAGCATGCAAACTGTGAGGTCTTCACCGGCCTTAAATTTTCAACTACAAAATGGGTATAATAACATTACCTACATCATAAGATTGTGGCAAACATTGAATAAAATAAAATATATAAAGTGTTCAGGAAAATGCCTAATACAGAGAGAGTACTCAATACCTAAGAGCTATTATTTAGGTAAGAAAACCTCAGATCTTATGCTGAAAGCAACAGAGAGTAAAAAGATAAGAGTAATGTTGAGAAAAAGATCGAGGGATAAGACAAAAGGAGCAAAACAATCTCTGAAATAGAGCCTGAGTTTTCTGTGCAAGCTGTAGAAAACAGCCATATGAAACGCTCAGTACATAAAGGACACCTTTGCCTTCCTTTCTCAGGAAATCAAAGAAATCCAAGTTTTTAAGAAAATCAGTTTTTAACACTCAGCCAATCAACCAATTTATCTCTAGGCGTTTTCTCCTTGAGAAATATTGTGAAGAGGGATTTCCTTTTGATTGTGGTGCCGTGTGTTTTACAAAGCAGCAAGGAAAGGCTTTTATACACAGCTGAGCAACAAACAAAGAAAAGCTGACCAGACCTATCAAGTGGGACTCATTGATTTGATGGGAGAAACTGTTGCTTGACTGCAGGTTGCAGATGATTTTAAATTGGATGGGCTTGAGAACATCTAAGAAAGAAGGAGGTAATTTTAAAAATTGGAAGTCTATGAACTTTGAGTAGCATAATGTAACAATAGGTGAGACAGAGTCAAAAATACTCAGTCCTTTAGAAGAGTAAGAGAGAATATGTCAAGATTATGTCAAAAATACCTGTACAGATGTGGAATGGGAAAAGACCAACTTGGTACAAATATAGCCTAACACCTCAAGTTGAGCACAACCTGAATATAAGTCAGCAATGTTCATGATTGTAGGCTGTATAAACAGGAGCTTAAGGTATATGATTGGAAAATAACCCCTTCCAAAATCCTCAGCATCAGCTAGCAATAAAGTTAAAAATGCAATTCCAGGGAATTAGCCTGGAACTTTTCCAGATTGTCTGGAGTAAACTGCCAAGAAAGTGGAGTGACACTTCAGAAAGATTCTTCTTTCTGTTTTCAGTGTTAACTCTCATTTTCTCCATCTTTTTGACCCAGTATCTCTTCTTATGGGATTTACAACAAATATGTCAATATTATGATGATAACTGTATAATCAACCCATTAGGTACCTACCAGACGATCTTGAATTTTATCTACAAGGGTTGGATCACTCAACAGTAAAGTGGGTTCACTGGATGAATCCCCAGAAATCAAACGAAGTTTGGCTTCATTGACTACCGTAGAAAGTGCAATGGTGATAAATGATATTCCTGAAATTCTGGCATCTTCAGAAATACTTTGAACATCTGGATTCTTTGGATGGTCGATGCCATCAGTCATCAGCAAAACCACTTTCACACCATCCTTACGCCCTTCTCTCTTAAGTAGCCTAGTGGCATTGGAAATGGCATAATAAGAGAAGGTACCTTGCCCTATTAAATTCATAGACTTGACCTTCTGCTTAAATGTCTGCAGGTCCTTCCAGGAAGAAAAAGGTGGATCAATTTGGACAGAGCTGCTAAACTGAAGGGCTGCCAGTTTGATGTCATATTCCAAGGAGCGACCAGGAGTCAATTGGAAAATCTTGTCACTCAAGCTATCCACAAAATCTTTCTGTTTATCAAAGAGGGCAATTTTAGAACTTTCAGAGCTGTCCACGATGAAGACAATATCTATGAAACAAATGGAGCCTGAAACAGAATAAACAGGTTAGGCAAAATAATTATTCCTATCATGAAACAAATTTGCATACGGAAAGCCCTGAAGTGGTGTGTTGTATATTGTTTGGTGTTGAGAGCAGCGTGAGGAGAGAAAGAGAGACACGTTGGACAGAAGGCTTCAATTGTAAAAAACTAAATGTCTAAGTTTATGAATTATTTTCTCCTTGTAAAATCATGCAAATTAAAAATAAATAAGATATCTTTTATTCTGAGCATCTTTTCAATGTTAAACCTGCTGAAAGTGGGAGGAAATGGGAAGTCAAGATGCATCACATTTTAAAAATCCAACTAACACTGAGCATAGTTGTCTAGAAGTAAATGATACTCTAATTCTCAGGTTGTGTCATATTGGTGAGTCCCTATTTTTTTTTAAACTTTCTTGAAATCAAGGGAGAAAATGACTATACCCCCTATACCAAGAGTAAGTGGAGAAGAAACCTAACTTAAACACAACTTAAGTTTAAATCCCAGCTCTGTGTCTCAGTGGTTAATTTGCCTATGGCCTTGAGTATGCCACTCGACCTGTTAAGACCTCAATTTTTTTAATCTACACTATGAGTGGCAATCTCCGTCCTGCCTATTTTACAAGGTTACTGTGAGGCTCAAATGAGATAATAAGTGCACAAGTGCTCTTATTAAAGACTCTGATGTGCTATAAGTATGTAAGGTATATTATCATCATATAATTTTATCAAAGTAGACTATCACATGTATACATGTATATGGCTTGCTATTTATATCAAATGCTATTTAGAAAAATTCACATAAGTATTTTTAACAGGCTAAACTTAAAAACAAACAATTTTTTTTTTTTTACCCTGGACATCACTTTTCCTTGCAAGCAAATTTGATTTTGGTCCTTTCTTTCTTTGTCCGGATACTGTTTGACTCGTAAACGCTGACAAAAGCAGGAGATAGAAGACAAAATATCTGTTCCACATTATGGTAGATGGTGAAAAATCATCTGTCTTGTAGCACCTTTAATAGAAAAGTCAGTTACAAATACTTTAATAAAATATGGTGTTTGTTATTTTTAAATTTCAAGCCAGCAGGGTTGAAAACTGGCATGTGACTGGAAAAAAGAGGTTTTCATTCATATTTCTAGAAAAATATTCACATTGAGATTTTGAAAGATTTCAATCCAAATAAATCATGGCACCATGACCAAACATTTATTAGTGAATATTTCTATATATTCAAAGAACTATATTTAAGTATTCTTAATTCCGCATTGTATTTTGAGGAGCATAGAGTTGGGAGAGCCATTTAAAAACATTTCAATCCCGCTCTATATGATTACTGTGGTTCAATCACAGGGTCTGCTTTGACATTTCCAAATTCTTCAGGGGGAATTCAGATTGCTATATGGTCATTTCATTCACTTTCATTATAACTGATTCCTGACAAATCTAGTATTTTGTAGAACTGTAGACAACCACCACCCTTTCAGGCTTAATACTACACACATAACTTCAGTGAGTTCAGAGGTCAAGGTAAAAATTAAACGACCCTTCTGTTTCCATAGAACCCCATCTCTCTTTTCTACCCTAGCTTTGGAAACTTTGTCTCCACCAGGGGTTCAAAGCTGCATATGCAATGAATCAAAAGAGTATGAGAGCAAAAATAATAGATTTGCTTAAAAGCAACACTCTTCTTCCAGTGATGGCTAAAAGAACTAATGGACAGAAACGGGACTTAAAGCCAAGAAGCACCCCCTCTGAATAGCCCCGTGAAACTATTTTTCTGGGTGGATTAACAACGAAAAATCTAATTCTGTATTAAAATCCTCAATCTTCATCAGTCAATATGCCTAGCTACACACCAACTGACTCTTAAACTGACAGATTTCCCTGGGAGGAGAAGACTCATGTGTTGCTGCCTCAGTATACCCAAGAGAATGGGAACGAGAAAGCTTATTTCGAATCAATACTTAGTATGGCTTAAAAATGCTTGCCTGCTGAAACTTTATTGACTTCAGGAGTTCTGGAAAAGGAATCACATTTTCCTTCTTTGGCACCTTGCCTTTAGGGGATAAGAATCTGGGAAATCATGAGCACGATTTTTCCAGACTCTGAGTAGAGAGTGGAAATATATGCAAAGGCAGTGAGGAGTGAGATGGAGACTGACTTTTTTCATACATGCCAGATGGATAAACCCCAAAGGGAAACAAAACTGTTGGGTTAGGAGAGGACCAATGGATGGCTTCATGCCACAGTCTGCTCCTCACATAGCATCATCCAGCTGGAAGTGTATTAAAAGAACTTTGGATAGGTATGACCAAACATCTTGTGTAGCAATTGGCCAAATGCCAACTGATCCTCAGACAAGGTATACTAAAATGTAAAGACAGCTGGGTATTAAAAACAAAACAAAACCAAGAAATGTGCTAAGGAAACAGAACACACAAAGGCCATCTCTCCTCAAGTTGTCCCTTTGCTAACCAAGGAAAAAAATAAATGATGTACAACTTTAAGTCTGAAGGTTAGTGTAAAGATAAGGCTATGTGAAAAACACAGTTGTTATTGCATTTTCAAAGGGGAAAGGGAATAACACCATGGCCATGGTATTACATATGACTTTTCTCTTTGGTTGAGTTCATACCATAAGGAACATCTCAGAAGTTCTGGAAATAAGAGGCTGAGAACTGAATTCCATTGAGAACTGAGCAAGATTTTATAAGCAACATAATCAAGCAACTCTTCAAAACCCTTCATGTAAGGTTTTAGAAATACTGGCTTTAAATAAAGATTTATCTTTTCCCAAAACTAAGCACCTGCTCTTACTGTTTTCTTGGCATATAATCATGAATTTGTACCTGATCCCTGTATATATGATATTCACAAACATAACTTTTCCATTGACAATAATCCCAGTATCTCATATTTTGTTCTTATTTGCTCTGACATTGTTAATCTAGCTCTCCCAAACCAAAGTCTTGTTATTTCTTTCTGTTTCCCTATTGTAGCCAGAGGACATTTTCATACCTCTCTAGATTTGTTTCTCTAGCTTGTTAGTTCTACTGCTTCCCTGAAATATCTTTCTCGTTTATTAATTTGGCATCTTGAGAGCCCACTCATTTCTAATCACTTTTTACCATGTTTTATTTTGCCTCTGTTTTTAATAATTCTCACCTTTCTCTCTTTCTGATGTCACGTACAAGCAAAATAGGTTTCAGAGGAAACAGTGCCATTAGTTAAGTGAAAGAAATGTGAACCTCTGTGTTTACTATAGGTTACATTTTATAAATGCAGAAACAATCATAATTATTAATCAAATACCGTAGTTTTACTTTTGGCCTAAAATTTATTTGGGGTAAATATCAGGATCAGTAAATAAATCCAAGATACTTTATTTTTTATAATTTTTCAAAAATAAAATGATCTTATATCAGAGTTCACCAACTTTAGTTACAATGTTTGCATCTCAGTTTCTACACAAATAGAAAATGATTGAATAAAGACTTTATTCAAATTGACAAATTAGCCAAGTTGTAAAGTATTCTATAACTAATTCTGAATTGTAAACCCTGTTCCAAATTAAGAAAAAGATGTCCTAAAATATATTAACATCGTTGTAAAACAATTTAGAAGACTGTAAATTAAAAATCCATTTCAAAATAATTTTAAGTTTTAAATTTCTACATTTTAACAATGTTAATATTTTTCTAATAATTGATTTGAAGTAATTGCAGAGAATACAAACTATTGACAAGCTTTCTCACCTAATAATTATGTAAGTAAGTCATTTAGTCTTCCACAGTTCCTTGATGGTCCTATCTGATTTCAAGTGACTAAAATAAATCTGTTATGTCTTACCTTATAAAGTTTGTCAAACAGGAATTAAAGACTAGTTGAGTAAATGCCAACAGCAAGGACTGTGGTTGGGGGTGAAGTTAGCTATTTGATATTGTTCTGTTCTGTGGGAAATAAAAGTGTCTTTGCTTTAGGATCTTTTGCAGTCTTTTGTTCATGTTTATTCGACTAAGTCAAAGCAAGAGTGGTCAGGCATTTGGCCAGGGTGCAAGATCTGGGTGGGATCAGTAAGCAATTTAAAGGAACAGTGTCCTTTCAGAATGAGACTGTGTTTTCCAGACTATTGTAAAAACAACTTGAGAGAACTTTCTACATTTTAGGCATTGGTTGACAGCCTGCCTTTTTTTCTCATGCTATGTCCTTCTCTTTTTATTGCTACATTTCTTTGCCTGGGGGATGTGCTCTAAGATACTGGTTCTGAACATCTCTGTGAAGGAGTATAAATGACACCAGACTCAGAATCAAAGCTGTTTTTTTAAGAGAGGTAACAGTTTGATTGTTATTAAAGCTGGATGATGAGTACATAGGTGTGCATTGTTCTAGTCTTTGTATTTCTGTGATTTTTGAAATTTTTTATAATAAAAGGTATATATAATATACAGGGAAAGAGTGGTCTGAGTATAGTCATAGTTCTGCCCCTAACTTTTATGGGGGCTTCAGTTCCCCACTTATGAAATGAGAGAGTAGATTTAATCATTTATTAAGATGTGTTCGAACTGTAACATGAGAGGTTTACAGCGGTTAATATTTTGGTCTCTCTCTAGGAAAGGATCACTGTGGTTTTTCCACTCCCTGTTTCCCTATTTTCTACCTTGTGGTTATGGTCCATATTAAGTCAATGTTTATCATGTAATATATACTGCCAAGAAGCCACCTGACCCCTAGACAGCTAACAGGCAGGCTTCTCCACGGACTTCCTCTGAAATAGAGAATAGCAAGATCATCCGAGAAAGCAATACAAATGTGCATGTTACGGTTATTTAAAATGAACTTTCTTAGCCATTTTAATGTGTATGAATTTCCTTATTACAGCAATAATAGCCTCCAATTCATGGACACTTACCAGGTGCTAGGCACTGTCCTGAGTGCTTCACACACATTACCTCATTTAATCCTTCACAAGCACAACCACCTATATACAGTAAGTCCTCACTTAATGTCCTCTGTAGGTTCTGGAAACTGTGACATAAAGTGAAACAATTGATAATGAAGACAATTTTCCCAAGAGCTAATTGATATAAATAAGAGTTAAGCTCTTATGGCATATTCCTAGTCACAAAAACATCACTAAACCTCTAAATACTCAAAACACCTCTAATAATAAACATTGAAATAAATCTAAGCTATATATACATTTATGAAAGATTGATAAAAACAAGATAACTGCTTACCTGCATATTCCAGTTCAGGGTCACGGTTGACCAGATCCTGTCCCAGCAGCTGAGGATACAAGGCAGGAACCAGCCCTGGACAGGATGCAGTACTGTCAAAGGGCACTCATACACCCACCCACTCTCTCAGACAGGCACCATGTAGACACACCAATGCATCTAATGGGCAAAGCTTTGGGATGTGGGAGGAAACTCCAGGACCTGGAGAAAACCCACACAGACATGGGGAAAACATGTCAACTCCACACAGTGAGCCTGGCCCAGGAATTGAATTTTTTTTCTCATCAATGTTATAACAAAATGACATTGAACAAAATATTATTCCAGGACCCCTTGTACTTAGTAGATGTTGTAAGAATTCGAATTTTTCCAAGATGGAGGCAGAGAGAGGTTCAGTAACTTGTCCGCTGTCATACTAAAACCAGAGAATGGCAAAATGAACTTTTAACTCAGGCTGGTAAGACCTGTGAGCCTCACTTATAACAACTACTGCATCATTAAGTATCTATGCGAACGTCTGTGTTTTCACTGTCTCCTCCTCACAAAACAGGTTTCGAGGAACTGAGGAAGTTTTGTGAGGCTTTGGTAACAGAAAGAAGAAACGGTGGGTATAATGCAGAAATAACAACGGAATTTCCTAGGGAACAACCATGTATTTACCTGATAGCCTATGGGTGTTAGTCACACTTTTTACTTTTGTAAGATGAGAATCAAGAGACAAGGAAGTAGCATCTTTTCAGGTCAACTCTCTTTTTGCTGAGGCAGGTTAAAAACATGCAGAATAATAATGCCACTAAGAAGCAAACAGGTGATTCCTAGATGGGGGAAATGGACTAAAGCCCTCCTGCCTTGGAGCTGTTTTGATTAAAGTTGGTGGGAGGTTGGAGTCCAACTTAGTCATCCATTCCCTTTCATTCTCCAACATTAAATAGGGTAACTCAAACCAAAGATTTGCCACCTCTCATTCTCAAGCGTGAAAATCAGCACTAAATTAATTGGGAAGATTATGCAAAATAAAATCTTCAGTTTCATCAATCTATAAAAGACAATTAGTTTTGCACCCAGAGAAACAATGCACCACAATCTTAATCCCAACAGATGGTCTTGAATTAGTATGCTATTGGACTTACACCAGAACAAATAAGAGAGCATGGATAACCATAATGACTAGAAAAAGGCAACGTGGAGCCCATGCCCTTCTGACAGTTATTTTGTAGTAAAAGTCTTTATGGAAGAAATATAGCACACTATTTTCATTGTTACTACTATAAATAGCCCAGAGTAAGCAGTCATATTTGTGAAATAAATGATTATTAGAAGTAATTTTTAGTGTTTATCAGTCACTTGAGGTCTGTGATACAATAAATTGCTCTTCTCCAAAGCTCTGCTAGATGAAAATCTTTTTTCAACTTTTTCAAATTCTTTTAATATGCTACCATAGTAGCATCTGCATTGTGTTTATTGATTCTAGTACCAGTGCCAACATCTTAATTTCAGTGGTGATGATATTTTGGGGTCCTAGAATCATTTAAAAAGAGACAAGTCTGCTAGGACTTACATATTTCAGAGAATTGTATCTGCATGAAGTCATAGAAATACACACAAAAAAAGGCTGGTAACAAATCAAAGTTATATATTTTGACCAAGATTAAGGCATAGTATAGTTTCACAAGCTTCTCCCTATTTTAGCCACCTCCCACACTGCTGATCTAGAGTAGAAAAAAAAAAACATTACCAACTAACAAGGAAGAAATTAATGACCTTCGTACCTGATTTGAAGAAATTTGTTCTTGAAGATCCTTTCCTTTCTTTCTTTCTTTTTTTCTTTTTCTTTCTTTCTTTCTCTTTCTTCTTTTTGTCAGTAGAAAAGCTTGATATAGTAGAATTTCTAACACCTGCCCCAAAGCTCTGAAATTTCTGGGATTCATTATCCTTGGACCCAGAATATGACCTAGGCATTCTCTCAACTCCTTCATCAGTAATTAGAGGAACACTGTCTTAGTCCATTTTGTGTTGCTATAAAGGAATACCTAAGGCTGAGTAATCTATAAAGAAAAGAGGTTTATTTGGCTTACAATTCTGCAGTCTATGCAAGAAGCATGACACCAGCATCTGCTTCTGGTGAGGGCCATTGACTGCTTCTACTCATGGCAGAAGGTGAAAGGGGACCAGCGTGTGCAGATCATATGGTAAGAGGGAGCAAGAGAGCAGGGAGAGAGGTGTCAGACTCTTTTAAAGAATCAGCTCCCCCAGGAACTAATACAGAGAGAACACACTCATTACCGCAAGGATGGCATTAAGTCATTCATAAGGGATCCACCCACATGACCCAAACGTTTCCCATCAGGCCCCACTTCCAACAGTGGGGATGAAATTTCAACACGAGGTTTGGAGGGGGCAAATATGCAAACCATGGCAAACACCAAAACTGTATTGGTCTTATTTGTCAACAAAGGGAAAGATTAAAAGCATTCAAAGACAATAAGAAAATAAAAATTATCATTGGTAATAAAATACAGGATGTGGCATTGCTTAAATGTGGAACAGCGTGACTTCAGTTCCTATGCCCTCACCAAATTCTGATTGAGTTGATCCTTCCACATTCCCTCTACTATTTTTCAATTGTTACTATTATTTAATAAACTTTATGGTTTAGAGCAGTTTCGGGGTACAGCAACACGGACTCAATTATCTTTTATATCGTTTACTCCCTAAGATCTCTTGCTTCATTATTTGTCATTCAATCCCCAGCTTGAATAATTGTGTCACATTTGCAACACACAGTGCCTCATAGGCTACAGTGACAGGCTAAATTCCCGTTATACCAATCTTATGACTATTAATCTCTTTCTCTAAAATATTTTTTCAATATTAATATTTCTTCTTTCCATGTTGTTTATTCCTGACTAAATGCAATTATTTTAGACCAAAAATAAATCAAGGTGCCATCTGGAAAGTTTTACAATTTTTTTTCTAAGAAATATCTGAAAGTAGATTGATCTAGTCCTATCATAGGTTTGAATGTTCAATATTTTTCTTTAATTATTTTCTTTGGTCAATGGATAGAGCAGTTTTAACTTTTTCATGCAGAGCCTACAAATAGAGAAAGATCAGATCTATTTATACCTTGACTAAACTCTGCTTTAAATGGCAAAATATTTCTATTTTTCACTTAGTTCATTTTACTTTCAGATATTAGACAGTGTTATTCTAGATCTTGGTGAATTATTTGATAACCACTGATTGGTATTTAAACTTTTCTTGTATTGGGGACAAACAATAGTGTTAAATCTCTGAACTGGAAGGAAACTTAGAAACCACTTTTATTTAATTCTGCCATTTCACAGTTGATAAAATAGAGGACAGATATTAAGACCCACCCAAAGGTCAAATCATTAATCAGTGAGGGACTAAAATTTAGGTCTTTGTGCATCAAAGTGGCCATCTTTCATTATCTCTAAATGCCCTAGAAAATTTTTAGGCCTTTGCGCTATCCAGGCTTGTGCTTGAGCAGGAGAAAAAGGAAGCTGTATGGCTAATAATTTATATTTATAAGGATTTAACTTTAGTGGCAAATGGCTCAGAACAAATCATCATGGGCTAAGTCCCAGCACATTAAAGAGTCTCACCTCTCACTGTGTAAATCTTAGTGCCTGGGCCATTAAAGGCAATGAACACCACCTCTTCGAACCCTGGGTTGAAAAACTTTCTCCTCCAGGTTTGGACAGGTTTATCTGAGTAGCTGGGGATTGTTACAGCTACTTCAATAACTGATCCCTAATCAAAACATAGCCAGTAATATAGGTAGATATCATCATTTGCATGAATATTAAGTTGTAGAAACACAATACCTACTTGGGTTTTCTGGTCAGTGTATTGAGATTTAATAAGAATATCCAAAAAAAGTTTTAAAATAACTCTTCTAAATTTCTGGAATAAAAGTGTTTTAAGAGCATTAAGTAACTTATTATCCCATGTTATATTAAGCCGTTACAATGCTGGTTTACACAACATTGTTCCCAGTTAAGGTAATAGGGTCATCTGTTTTTTTCATTGCATCTAAATTATATAGTTCCTCCTGCACAACAGTTTGTTTCTCCTTCTGCCCTTAGAAATTCTATACTAAGGGTAAATTATTCATGGACAAAATTTATAGAAAAGGGGACTTGAGGTGAATTTTTTTTTTCCTATTTGGGGATATGAACAACCTTTTAATAATACTAAATTCTACACAGAAATAAAGTACCTATTATCATTATTCATTGTTTATATCCAGAACTATAGATTTTGAAATCACATATATAATGTTATTTAATGTTGAGTAACTTTTACTTAATTATATATTTTCTGTTATTCTAATTGACCAAATTCAGAAATGCCAAATACTAACACAATTTAGTCAGGACTCTGCATGGGTCTTCAGGAAGTGTTGTTTGAAAAAAGATATTTGGGCACCACCTTGTGGGACTTTGTAGAAAGACATAGTGTGAGAGTTTGTCAACTATTGTTAACAGATGAAAAATTTTAATCGTCTGTGATGCTGAACGGGTGGAATAAAAGTTGCTTTCTACAGCTTTTTTGGGCAGAAGAATGAGGAGACGAACGAAAGAGTGATAAAACTACTCTTATATAGGATCAAGAAGCTCTCTAAGTAACATCTGATGAAATCCATAACTCATTCACTTAACTAACATCAACTTAGTTTCTACTATATGTGAGGCACTGGATAGAAAACAGATAGATGCAGTCACTTCAACCCAGTGAAGAAAATAAGCAAGTAAAGAGCAATGGCAAGTTTTACCCAAAAAAAAAAAAAATTAAGTAATCACATATCTAACTCTAGTTGACAATACCATGCTGCAGGGTTTGGGAACAAAATTTACCAGTGTCTGCAACTTACTTTGAAATGCATCATAAAGAAAGAAGATGGGGCTGGGTGCGGTGGCTCACGCCTGTAATCCCAGCACTTTGGGAGGCCGAGGCGGGCAGATCACAAGGTCAGGAGATCAAGGCCATCCTGGCCAACATAGTGAAACCCCGTCTCTACTAAAAATACAAAAATTAGCTGGGCGTGGTGGTGCATGCCTGTAATCCCAGCCACTCAGGAGGCTGAGGCAGGAGAATTGCTTGAACCAGTGCGCTGAGATGGCACCACTGCACTCCGGCCTGGCCACAGAGTGAGATCCCATCTAAAAAAAGAAAGAAAAAGAGAAGAAAAGAGACGGGTAGAAGAATGGGTAGATGGGTAGATTATGCAATAGAGCAAATATGTTCATTGTAAATACAATTGTGAAATCTGGGTGGCAGGTAATGGGTTTGCTGTATAATTCTGTTAACTTTTCTGTATGTTTGACAATTTTCATAACAAAATATTAGGCCAAAAAGAGCAAGAGCAATATAGTGTGATAACATCTATAAAAGAGACTTACACAGAGGGCACCCAGGTCAGACTGTGATATGGAAGTTGGAAGTGCAGGAGCAGAGGATAAACAGTGGTTTCTTTTATGCCATGTTAAAGGGTTTAAACTTTATCTTGAAAGCAACGGGAGCCACTGAACAATTTTAAGCAGGGTTGTGACATGATCACACTTTCATGCTAGGAAAATCACTCTGATTGCTGTGTGAATAATGGCAGGAAAACAAGCTTGGAGGCTGAGATCTACTAGGAAACTTACTATGACACCAATGAGAGATAAGGCTCTCAAGTACCAGCAATGAGAATGCAAAGTGAAGAAGTCTAAGAAATATTAAGAAGCAGAATCAAAGAGCTTAGTACCTAATTGGCCTAGGAAAGTGGAAGAAATGAAGGAGAAAGATGGTACCCAGCAGTCTGCCAAAAAGTATTTAATAACTGTCTCTCTGGGGAAAAAAGTGTATTGTACACATATACATACGTAAGTTTATCAGAAATGTTATTGATAAAGAACGTATGGTATAAAATTTTCAAATAATAATAAAATACACAATATTCTCTATTATAAATTCTATATAGCAAACTGATTCATACAGATTGCTTTCATTGATTTTTGGCCAAATTCTTATATCTTTAGCCAATCTATGGTTGTAATTGATGAATGAGTATAGTTCCAACAAGAATGTTGGTTGGCATTTTCCTCTTCTTGAACAAGTAAGACAAAAATGAAACAAAGAAAAAGGTGCATGTGCATTGAAACTTCATTTGTTTGTCAATGATATAAGCAACTTTGTAGCTGAATAATATAATACTTTTCAAATACTGAAACATTTTCTTAGTTTTTTTCTTATTCAACTGTTACAGATAAAATACACTTTTGAGTTTAATCTGCATTATTGTTTTCTCCATCACTTTCTTTGGCCTAGACAATAAATAAGACAGTAATTCAAGCCCTAATTTGTAGCAGATTTCTATTGTGTAAAAAGTCCTACTATGTCAGATTTCAAATTACTAATGTGACATCACTGAACACAGGGTTGCAAAGAGAAACACAAATATATAGCAGCATACCACTATGCAGGATTTCCATCATATAGTTGCCATGGATGCAAACAACTTCAAGTACACACACAATAGTAAGATTTAGTAAATAATTAGGAAGTAATGAGTTTTGAGTATTTATTACTATTGTTTTTAATGTAATTTATTTACTTGTAAGTTAAATATATAATACAACATTTAATAATATCTGCGGTTAACAACTGGCTCAAAAAATTTCTGGAAATTTAGCAGTTGACCCTCACAAGGTGACATGAGCCATCTTCAGCACACCAGAGACTATACCTAACTTCCAGGCTGTGCGGTGCGCTCTTGCCTCTTAAAAGAGTACAGCACACAGGTCTGAGAATTGGTTCTGCCACTTTTTGACGCTGGACCTGTAAGTTCTGAAAGCCTTACACAGTTTCCACATCCGCAAGTGAAGACTATGAGGAGGAGCCCAATAAAAATAAGGATAGCAACAGCAGCATCCGAATCAACAACAAAAATAACACCTCTCTCACAGTGTTGTGGTGAGTATCAAAAGAGCTTTGTAAACAGTAAAAATCCATAAATGTTCTGTAATTTCAAAAACAACTTAAAAGACAAACTAGTAAAAGAACAGAGATTATAACAAACTATCTCTCAGACCACAGTGCAATCAAACTAGAACTCAGGATTAAGAATCTCACTCAAAACCGCTCAACTACATGGAAACTGAACAACCTGCTCCTGAATGACTACTGGGTACATAACGAAATGAAGGCTGAAATAAAGATGTTCTTTGAAACCAACGAGAACAAAGACACAACATTCCAGAATCTCTGGGATGCATTCAAAGCAGTGTGTAGAGGGAAATTTATAGCACTAAATGCCCACAAGAGAAAGCAGGAAAGATCCAAAATTGACACCCTAACATCACAATTAAAAGAACTAGAAAAGCAAGAGCAAACACATTCAAAAGCTAGCAGAAGGCAAGAAATAACTAAAATCAGAGCAGAACTGAAGGAAATAGAGACACAAAAAACCCTTCAAAAAATTAATGAATCCAGGAGCTGGTTTTTTGAAAGGATCAACAAAATTGATAGACCGCTAGCAAGACTAATAAAGAAAAAAAGAGAGAAGAATCAAATAGACACAATAAAAAATGATAAAGGGGATATCACCACCGATCCCACAGAAATACAAACTACCATCAGAGAATACTACAAACACCTCTACGCAAATAAACTAGAAAATCTAGCAGAAATGAATAAATTCCTCGACACATACACTCTCCCAAGACTAAACCAGGAAGAAGTTGAATCTCTGAATAGACCAATAACAGGAGCTGAAATTGTGGCAATGATCAATAGTTTACCAACCAAGAAGAGTCCAGGACCAGATGGATTCACAGCCAAATTCTACCAGAGGTACAAGGAGGAACTGGTACCATTCCTTCTGAAACTATTCCAATCAATAGAAAAAGAGGGAATCCTCCCCAACTCATTTTATGAGGCCAGCATCATTCTGATATCAAAGCCGGGCAGAGACACAACCAAAAAAGAGAATTTTAGACCAATATCCTTGATGAACATTGATGCAAAAATCCTCAATAAAATACTGGCAAAACGAATCCAGCAGCACATCAAAAAGCTTATCCACCATGATCAAGTGGGCTTCATCTCTGGGATGCAAGGCTGGTTCAATATACGCAAATCAATAAATGTAATCCAGCATATAAACAGAACCAAAGACAAAAACCACATGATTATCTCAATAGATGCAGAAAAAGCCTTTGACAAAATTCAACAACACTTCATGCTAAAAACTCTCAATAAATTAGGTATTGATGGGACGTATTTCAAAGTAATAAGAGCTATCTATGACAAACCCACAGCCAATATCATACTGAATGGGCAAAAACTGGAAGCATTCCCTTTGAAAACTGGCACAAGACAGGGATGCCCTCTCTCACCACTCCTATTCAACATAGTGTTGGAAGTTCTGGCCAGGGCAATTAGGCAGGAGAAGGAAATAAAGGGTATTCAATTAGGAAAGGAGGAAGTCAAATTGTCCCTGTTTGCAGACGACATGATTGTGTATCTAGAAAACCCCATTGTCTCAGCCCAAAATCTCCTTAAGCTGATAAGCAACTTCAGCAAAGTCTCAGGATACAAAATCAATGTACAAAAATCACAAGCATTCTTATACACCAACAACAGACAAACAGAGAGCCAAATCATGAGTGAACTCCCATTCACAATTGCTTCAAAGAGAATAAAATACCTAGGAATCCAGCTTACAAGGGACGTGAAGGACCTCTTCAAGGAGAACTACAAACCACTGCTCAAGGAAATAAAAGAAGATACAAACAAATGGAAGAACATTCCATGCTCATGGGTAGGAAGAATCAATATCGTGAAAATGGCCATACTGCCCAAGGTAATTTACAGATTCAATGCCATCCCCATCAAGCTACCAATGCCTTTCTTCACAGAACTGGAAAAAACTACTTTAAAGTTCATATGGAACCAAAAAAGAGCCTGCATCGCCAAGTCAATCCTAAGCCAAAAGAACAAAGCTGGAGGCATCACACTACCTGACTTCAAACTATACTACAAGGCTACAGTAACCAAAACAGCATGGTACTGGTACCAAAACAGAGATATAGATCAATGGAACAGAACAGAGCCCTCAGAAATAATGCCGCATATCTACAACTATCTGATCTTTAACAAACCTGAGAAAAACAAGCAATGGGGAAAGGATTCCCTATTTAATAAATGGTGCTGGGAAAACTGGCTAGCCGTATGTAGAAAGCTGAAACTGGATCCCTTCCTTACACCTTATACAAAAATCAATTCAAGATGGATTAAAGACTTAAATGTTAGACCTAAAACCATAAAAACCCTAGAAGAAAACCTAGGCATTACCATTCAGGACATAGGCATGGGCAAGGACTTCATGTCTAAAACACCAAAAGCAATGGCAACAAAAGCCAAAATTGACAAATGGAATCTAATTAAACTAAAGAGCTTCTGCACAGCAAAAGAAACTACCATCAGAGTGAACAGGCAACCTACAAAATGGGAGAAAATTTTCACAACCTACTCATCTGACAAAGGGCTAATATCCAGAATCTACAATGAACTCAAACAGATTTACAAGAAAAAAACAAACAACCCCATCAAAAAGTGGGCAAAGGACATGAACAGACACTTCTCAAAAGAAGACATTTATGCAGCCAAAAAACACATGAAAAAATGCTCACCATCACTGGCCATCAGAGAAATGCAAATCAAAACCACAATGAGATACCATCTCACACCAGTTAGAATGGCGATCATTAAAAAGTCAGGAAACAACAGGTGTTGGAGAGGATGTGGAGAAATAGGAACACTTTTACACTGTTGGTGGGACTGTAAACTAGTTCAACCATTGTGGAAGTCAGTGTGGCGATTCCTCAGGGATCTAGAACTAGAAATACCATTTGACCCAGCCATCCCATTACTGGGTATATACCCAAAGAACTCTAAATCATGCTGCTATAAAGACACCTGCACACGTATGTTTATTGCGGCATTATTCACAATAGCAAAGACTTGGAACCAACCCAAATGCCCAACAATGATAGACTGGATTAAGCAAATGTGGCACATATACACCATGGAATACTATGCAGCCATAAAAAATGATGAGTTCATGTCCTTTGTAGGGACATGGATGAAATTGGAAAGCAACATTCTCAGTAAACTATCGCAAGAACAAAAAACCAAACACCGCATATTCTCACTCATAGGTGGGAATTGAACAAGGAGATCACATGGACACAGGAAGGGGAATATCACACTCTGGGGACTGTGGTGGGGTGGGGGGAGGGGGGAGGGATAGCATTGGGAGACATACCTAATGCTAGATGACGAGTTAGTGGGTGCAGCGCACCAGCATGGCACATGTACACATATGTAACTAAGCTGCACAATGTGCACATGTACCCTAAAACTTAAAGTATAATAAAAAAAAAAAAAGAAAAGGTGGGCAGCAAAGTCAAAAAAAAAAAAAGACAAACTACACTAGAACAGGTTCATAATATATAGGATCAGTATCCAGAATATATAAGAAAAAGAAAAAAATAGGATATGAAATGGCAGTTTTTTAGAAGGGAAATAAGAATGTCTAACAATCATATGAAAAAATATTTACTCTCATTAGTATTCATGAAAATGCAAACTAAAAGCACTGAGATATCATATGTTTCTCATTAGATTGACAAGTTTAAAGAGTGTAATAAAGGGTTAGCAAGGATGCTGGGAAATGGGACATGTGGTGGGAGGGTGATTTGGTAAAACTGCATTACAGAGCAACTGGGCAATATTTGTTAAAAATAACAAAGTGTATTTTTTTCGCTTCCAGGAATATACCCTGGAGAAATTCTAGCACATTTGTTCAAAAGACATAGACAAGAATGTTTATTCTAATAAAATGTTAGAAACAACCTAAATGTTGATCAGTAGGTTGGATAAATAATTTGGGACGTAACAACATTTATTTATTCAACAAATATATCTTGTAATCTTTATATATCCTTAAAATACAATTTTAAATAGAAAAGAAAGCTATGTAATGATATAAAAATATGATATATTTTCTATAACATTTTAAAACATACAAAATGTTAGCTATTTTACAGATACATCTGTAAAATAGATACGTCTATATGTTGTAAATCTATAACAAACTTTGATAGTAGAAAACTCACCAGTTTTCTGACAGTGGTTGTCACTGGAGAGAGAAAGGGGAATAGGACTGGGACTGGATACAAAGGGGACTTCAACTCTATTTCTAATGATCTGAGAAGAATTTTTTTAAAACCCTGAAACATTTAAATTCTGGGTGGTGGGTATACAGATTTTTGTCATATTACCCTTAATATACATGTTTTTAAATTTTCACAATAAAAAGTACTTTGAAAACCCTTCAACTCTTCAACCTATTAAGCAATAGCTAAAACAGAGTTGATACCATGCCAGTTACACAGATTTACCATTTTGGACTCTACTCCTTAGGCCACCAGATCTCATTAATTCTTATTTTCAGCATTTCTCATGGATACTTTAATTTTCCACCAGATCGCCGCTTCACTAACTAGAATCCTTAGCCCCTGCAAAATACTCACTCTCCAAATAGCCCTAGAAATCCCAAGTAGACATCGTATATGTACTCATAAACAAATCATCAGTTACCATTTGACATCATCCATTTCTTTCTGTCCTGTACTTGAAGCTCATTCTATCTCTAGACTTATAGAAAATGGGGCAAATTTCTACTTTTTAATGCTTCTTAACTGGCATGCAGCCCACAAAGATCATTCCTTGCTCTGAATTCTTCCAGCGTTATTTATGGTACCATTCATCTAACAATACTTATTGTGTTTTGTACTGAGAAGTGAATATTTTATGTTATATAATAATACTTAAATAATATATATTTTATTAAAGGCAGGAATTTTTTAAAAAATTCTACTTCTTTTATAGTACCCGTAGCAATGTATGCAGTCATTCATCAGCAATGGTTGTAAAATGAACAACTATTTTAAATATTGTAGCACTGTGTGATTGTCTTCTAAATAACTTTATCTTTCCAAGATTTTGATGACTTAAACTCGCAAAATTCCTCAAAGTATGTCATGGGAACCCTATGCCTCTGCCTTCATTTTTTCATGATACTTCTGTTAGTGTGTAATTTTAGGCATCTCTATATCCCTTAATTCACTGCTACCCATAGGAGGAGGAGTTAGGTGTATCTCATACTTAGTATAAGTATGTCACATGCAACATGTGGAACATACTTACACTGAGAAAAAAACTAATTGCTTATCTGAAACTTAATTTAACTTGGCAGCCTATAATTTTTGTGTATGCTAAATCTAGCAACCCTAACACTGACCCATCTCAGTGTTATGATGGGGGGAGATAGTCTAACATGCATTGATCTAACATCCATTCGTTGATTTTTCTTGAACTAGTGGAGTTAGTATGTTAAAAGTCCTATGCATTGTGATTTCCTCTTTTCCTCTTTTACTATTCAGAATCCAAGGATGGAAGGCAGCGAGTGACACCCTTTGCAACTGTAATACCCCGATGAGAAACTCCAAATCTAGACATGGGTACAGGTACTTAGAAGCTTGGTTTGAGTTGCAGGTCCAAGGCACATTCAGCTTTATGGAAAACTATGCTGATATTTTGATCCCTATGTTTCTGACCGCTATGTGTATTTCTCAATTAACTCCAAACCCAGAAGAATGTTGAGAATAATTATCAGTGTTAACCCCCATCTCCCTGTGGATATATGTGGATATAGTTAAAAGTGACTACATTTTATTTCATTCTTTACATACTCTCCAATCCCTAACCTCTACCTTGTCAAATACATCCAAAGTAAAGAAAAAATTAGGTCAAAAGGAATAATTTTCAGTAACTAAGATTTTAAAGAGCTTGTAGGAACACGAATGTTAATTTCAGCCACAAGAAAACTTCATGGAGTCAGTGCTTTTATTAGAACGAATAATCTTAGCCAATTTGATTTAATCATCAGTGTAGATCTTACTTGTATCCAATAATGTCAAGGCCACTGCTGATACATCAGCATTCTTTATAAGCTATTAAATGGGAGTCTTATTTCCTAGACATTTATATTAAACTTATAAGAAAGGAAAACTCTTAGGCAATAAGACATGTATTTAACAAATACAATTTAGCATTTGTAAACATTAATATAAGGAATCATTTCTAAGTAACCACAGAATGCCTTAGAACTTCAGTCAGACAGATAGAATTTAAATGTGTTTGGAGACAAAGTGGAAATGTCAAAGTTTACTAAATTACTAATTTACTCTAAAACTCATGCACCCAAAAAACTAACTTTATTTTCTAAATATGAACTTAGCTTGTTCCAGATAAAACAAAACAAAAACCTTAAGCTGATCACAGGAGATGATTGTCTTCCTAAATAAAATAGTCTCGTCCAATTAAATTCAGTGTCTTGTGGCTCTTCAATATAGATTCAATAGTTACACTTATTGCATACTTCCAAAGATGCAGTATAACAGACATGTATTTCCTTGGCTGATGTTAAAAAAACAAATATAGATTGAAACTTTAACTTTTAAACCATTAAATAAATAATTACCAAGATGCTGGTAATAATTAATGAAAACTAAGCTGCTTTCTGGAAAGAAGCTTATTTTTGAATCCACTGTATAAACATTCATCACATAGTAATGTTGTTAATAGTCTGAGCACTTGCTTAATTGACACACTATGTGCAAATACTTCTCATGATACATGGTATCATTCCTTTTCCTACCCCAGATTAGAAAAGCGCCTCTTCCTCAAATCTCTCGCTACCTGATAACTGTCAGAATAGGTAGGATGCAATTGACCCTCCATGGAGACGTTTAATGTACAAACTGAAGAAGTATAGGCCTCAGCCCTGTGTAACATCTCACTGTTTATGCAGTTAACATACTTGTGTAGAGTTGAAAAATTATTTTTATTTTTCAGTTTGTATTATATTTATTAAAGTTTAAAATTTTAGTTTAATAAAGTGGCTTGCTCATCCTGATTACAGTTGAATGTTACCATTCTGTCGAGTAGAAGTCCACAGGATGCATCATAAAACAACTTTATTATTCCCCCACCACTCTTCCTATTGGGGAAGTGGGGCAGGATTTTCCTTGCAACATGGATGAAATCACAGGTAGTGGTCATGAATCTTCGGGTTGGTCTTTGATAAAAAAAATTGCTTCTTTCAAATTTAGTTATAAAAACTCTCTCGTTCCAATAATTTAAATGTTTATCACAGGTAGTAGCCAATATTCTGAGCTTGAAGTTTCTTCTCTGGAATACTGCAGTAGGAAAGCGGACATAGTCAACTTTTCCATTTCCCCACTTTGTGCCTCTCTGCCTTCCCCAAACTCATGAATTGCAGTTTCAGGCCCTTCCAGGTAGAAGACAGGAAAGATCTGCTTAGCTGGTCACTGCCACGCTTTGATTTTGGAAGGTATTCAGGTGATCTCTTTCTCACTGCAGAGCTCTTATGCATTCTTTGGAGACTCTGCTTCACCAGGGATTTCTCATCTGAAGTTCTCTTAATGCTGGCCTTAATGCAAGATCTCTTCTCCAGCAGGTATCAAATACAATCTTTACCTCACACCATCTTGTTCCCAACAGAATACCTCCAACATCTCTCTGCTATGGTCACCTCAGTCCTGGCAGATAGTTCTACAGATTTCTTTAAGCTGACTCTCTTGCCCTTGTAGTCTACATCCCATCCTCAGGGCAAGACTCATATCCTCTATCCTGACAAACTGAGAGTGAAGGTTGTTCCCCACAGGTGCACCTCTCACCTCTTGGCCATTAGAACCAGCCAGCCCCAGTACCTGAGTTTTAAGGCATGGGTCCCAAAGCAGCCCACCCTGTTCCCTACCTACCTCCCTCTTCCAAGATGCACGGATCAAGCTCTCTGTGTGGAACAGCACCTGCCCTTCACCCCCAGATATCTCATAGGGGATTAGGAGTGAGACTCACAGAAAATGAATTTCTCCGAAGAAATCACTTCCAGACTCTTCTGTTCTTTTATATCTCAGAAAGGATTGGGTTTTCAGGTTGCAAAATCTTTTCCAGCTCTGCATAGGTAGGTAGCATCTCACTGAGGAATGGAGTATTTACCACCTATTGTTCTGTTCCAGTCTAGTAGAGCTTTAGCAAAAACTACAGGCAACAAATTCTATTTTTAACATCCTGTTACACAAACAAATATGCTGAGTATGCACACAAATAAATGGTGAAAGAGGCACAAAGAAGTGAAAACAATCGTGCATGGTAGGAATATTTGAATTGTATTACATGTCCTTTAATATTGTTTTAACAGTAATATTTTTACATTTTCAATTGGAATGAAAGCATGTATGTGTTTGAATAATTTTTCATCGTGCACTCATTTTTTTGATTCCACAACTAATGAGAGAAACAGTGATGATTGTAAAATGTATCCCACCCTTAAGGAATTCACAGTAGAATTCCTTGTAGTTCCTGTAGAACTACAATAATATAATGTAATATAATAGGTAATAGTATTATAATACTCTGTGTGTGTGTGTGTGTGTGTGTGTGTGTGTGTAAAGAGATGGGGACTAAGGCAGGTACAGCAAAGTGCTAAGGAGTCCAGATGGGGATAGATGCTACTTCTACTTCTAGCTGCAGGAGACTTCAAGGAGGGGCTGGAGGGATGTATCTTGAGGGATGGATAGCATTTGATTTTTCTAAGTCTTGGAGAAGAGCATTCTGGGGGCCTGGGGGGAAGGAACAAAAGCACGTTATAAGGAAAGTGCTATGGAAAAGTAATTGGGAACAATTCAGTGGGACAGCTCTAGTATGAATTAAGAAATCAAGTGGGAAAAAATATGTTGGGCCACAGTAGGTAGGGACAACCTCATGTTGATAACCCTTTAAAAAAATTCCAGATGTTTTTATCCATGTTACATGGAGAGAAATATTCACCATTACATGTAATTTACTAATCTTTAAATAATTATCATATACTTACCTCATTTATACAACACATTTAACATCTATTAATTTAGTAAATGAGATTTCTCTTAAGCACTGTTGCAAACTGAATCCCTCTTCTCAAGTTTAAAGTAGGAGACTCTTGGAAATATTTTTCAAAGAGAGGACAAAATATGCCAATAGAACAATGATTATAAAACTGAATAGTATAAAAGTCATTAAAAGGCTAAAACTTTGGAAGTAAATTTGTGTCCACATCATGCCTGTCCTGATTCTAATTCTGGTTCTCTTTATGCTTCTGGGTTTTTTCCCTCTTTCATTGCTTCCTTGGGTTATGATTATACTTAGCCAAGAAAGTCAGGCTTAGCTTCTCAAATGAGCTGCTAATGTTCCAGGATTTAGAGCATGTGAGTCAACTCTGTTATCCATCTGAAGGTTTTCCAGTTACACATTGTAAGGTACAATGTGTACCTTACAGATGTAAGGTACATCTGAAATAGTCCAAATTACTGACTCAGGCCAATCACATATGCTTTGATTTTTCTGTGACCTAATCTTTTTCTCAAAATGACCCTGGTCCTCAATGCGTTGTCTTCATAGTCTAATAAACATCTACCTCCCAGTTCTTGTTCTGAAAATCTTTTTCTTATTTTACTACCAACAGAAAACTGTTTATATAACTGCTTTGGGTCTAATTATAAAGTTAATCTGATTCATTGAAAATACAACTTTTTTTCTCATCTCTCAACCATTATGACTTGCAACACGGACATTTAAGTCAAGTCTGAGGAGTCTGGATGTTGGTCTATAGGGAATGTTAACCAATGAAAGGCTCTAAGTAAAGGGTCGCTTCAGGTATGCTTCAGAGTAATCAATCTGGCCTCACAGAGGAAAAGGATTAGAGTAAATGAGCAGGAACCAGGGAGCCAGAGGCCAACTGGGGAGACTACCGTCTGGCTGAGGAGTAATTAAGACCTAAAGCAGGGCAATAGCTGTGGGAGCAGAGACATTGGCAGAATGTAGCCACATCATCTGTTTCAAAATCCCAAATGTGATTTACTCAAGTCTTGTTCAATGAGGGGTAGAGATCAGGCAGTAAAATGACTGTGGTTTTACTGGTACTAACGATGCCAATTTGAGAACAATTTTGATAGCTGCTACTTTAGTGACTCAGTGCCCGTTAGAAGAAACGCGCCAAATTACTAACAAAAAAAGCAATGAGCAAGGCAGGAAATGTTTGGATTGCCCATGTTGCAGTTGTCATGCTAAAACTGCTCCAGTTAATAAGGCATCTGATATGCTGCTTGAATCTTATTTGTACCTTAACTTTGTGGATATAGGATTATGATGTGTCTATTATGGAATTTAGCATCCTGATCCCTCCAATTATACTCTTAAAATAACATTCATTTTTTTCTTATTAAAAACATTTTTATATTGTAACGCATATAACAATTACATTCAAATTTAGAAAACACAGAAAAGTATAATGAAGAAAATAATGATCACTTTTAAACCTACCACACAGAGAAATCTGTTAAAACTTACCCTTTTAAAATAAGGCTAGGATCAGTATAATTATTTCATCCAGTAATATTTCATTCCTGTAACAGTAAACCGTAGTGCTTTCTCAATCTTTAAATAATTTCCTAAAACGGGTCAACAAGCTAATCCAGCCTGCCACCTGTTTCTGTAAATAAAGTTTTGTTGGCACAGAGCCATGGCTATTTGTTTATGTACTATCTATGGCTGCCTTTGCACTACAAGAGCAAAATCGAATAGTTGTGACAAAGGCAGCACAGCCTGAGGAGCTGGAAATATTTACTATCTGGCTCTTTACAAACAGTTTGCTAACTCCTGCTTTAAAAGATTATTTTAATGACAGCATATAATTAGATCAAAAGGCAGTTCCCTTGGAGAGTGCACGAGCCAGTGGTTAGAAGCACAATGCTGGCGCCAGATTGTCTGGGTTTGTATCCTAGCGCAACCATTTAAGAAATGTATGAGCTTGCCTACCTTATTTCACCTCTCTGTGCCTCAGTTTTCTCATCTGCAAAATAGGAAAAATAAAAGTGTTATCCTCATAAAGTTGTGATGAAGATGTTGTGAGCCCTGTGATGCGCCTCCAGATTTTCCTTTGGTCATTAGTGACTTCTTCCTTCAGCTGTGGGAAGTGCTGCCAGTAGACAGCCCTCAGCTGTCAGCTTTCTTTGGGGACTGCCTTACCCGAGGAAATTGCCTCACTCAAAATCATGCCTCCTCCAAGGGACAGTTCACATTCAATGACACATCCACATAAATGGAATAGTATAAAGGCCTGTGTCCCAGCCCCCAACTCAGGACAACTCTGAAGGACCAGTCCAACTCCAGAGTTACCCATGGGCTGGCAGAGGCCTTTTTTGGCATTGCATAGCTGCTCAATCTCCCCCTCTGCCTAATCTCCCTTCTTCCTCCTCCCATCCTTAGGTGCTGATCCCAACAATACTCCCTAATGAATATGCTACATCCTAGTCTCCATTTTAGAATCTGGTTCCCAGGAAACCTAACCTGAGATAGTATGTTAAATGAGTCTATATTTAAAATCTCTGACACATAGTAGATGCTATATATTTATATAATTTTTTCTTAAATAAACAAATAATCCAGTGGGAAAGAGTGAAATGGAAATACAAGTTCAAGGAGAAAAAAATAGAACAATGTAAAATTTCCTACAATTGAAGAATAACTTAATCATAAAGTTTTTGTTAAAAAAATTAATTATATAGATCAAGCAGTGGTTATTGGTTGAGACAATCCACATTGACAACTTTGAAATATTCCAGTGTTAATATTTATTTATTTTTAAAAATCTTTTTTAAAAAGGTGTACTTTTCTTTTAAATAGTATGTGTATCTATTTGTGGGATACATGAAATCTTTTGATACAGGCATGCAACATGAAATAATCCAATGCTAATCTTTAAATACAGGGGACAAACATCAATCAGATTCTCATAACATGTTCAGAGTCTACATAAACTGAATTCTGGACCTAGTTCAATACACAAGGGAAAGAGAATGACAGTGTAATTACCAATAATTAAACCAAAGGCATAATTTTCCAAATCACTTTTAGTAAGTGAATAAATTCTGACATTTTAAAAGTCTAAAGCTACATAAAATTCAAAGCAATCAAACTATTTTTCTACCTGAAATTTTTTTTGAATTTCTGGAGGGAGGGCAAGATGGCTGACTGGACACAGCCAGGTGGAACAGCTGCCACCAAGGAACCAAGATGACTGGGGCATGTCTAACAGATCTTCAGAGGGAAGTCACCTAGAGTGGATGGAGGGAAGACACAGAACCTGGGCTGAAGGGGGAAGAAGCTGGGAACCCTGCATGAGGCTACCACACACTGAGACTCGTTCCTGGCCCCAGTGACACCAGGGGAACAGGTGAATTGAACTGGCAAGGAGCAACCCGTTCTTGCCATGGGCCTCTGGAATCCCAGCAGGAGGAGACCCCCTTGACCAGCACAGACACTTGAGTTAGCAGGAAAGGCTGCTTAGAGAAGTGGTAGCGGCAGCACATCAGCTGAGGCAGAGCCTAGACGGTTTGGTGCAGGAGCATCTTTAGTGGAGCACAGCCAGGGAAGCCCATCTCCCTAGACTCAACTTGCTCCCATAAGAGACTTTAGCCCTAGGGAAACTGTAAGATCTGAACTCTGCAAGGTGATCTTGCCCTTCAAATGGGGCCAGTTCAACCTGAGCACCTCTTGGTCTGCTGGCCTCTCCCAGGGCCCCAGCCTCCCCACACCTGGTTGCAGAGCAGCCTCAGGTGCCCTGGGGGCCCACTTCACAGCTCCTGTACTGGCAGATCATGCCTGGCTGGCAGACAGCTCCAGAGGGGTGGCCCCCATGGCCATGCACCAGCCTGCCTGCTCCCTTTCTACACTGCAGTTTCTCCCAGGCTCACAGCAAGCCCCCACATTGCTTTCCCAGAGCACATGTGCATGCGCAGGTTTTGCCTTCCTTACCCACCAGTGCAGTGTGTGCAAGCTCCCTGCCCTGCTACTGCTGCAGTGAGAATGCACTCCACCCCACCTCCCCACCACCACCACCACCATTGCAGTTGGAGCCTTGGCAGGCATAGAGCCAGCCAGCCAGCCCTACTCCCACCAGTGCCCTGCCCTTGTGCCAACACTGCCCTGGGAGTGAAACTAGGCAGAGAAAACAGTGGATCCTCCCCTGCCCTGAGGGACCACCCTAGCCTGCAGCACACAGAGAATACACACAGACCTGTGCCCACCAGCACCCCACCCCCATGCTAACACCACCACCAGCCTGACTGCACAGTTGCCAGCAGCGACCCCCCGACCCCCACCCAGCGGTGCTGCCTCTGCCGCTGTGATGAATGCCCACATGGAGGCAGGCATCCCAGCACCTGTACCCTGCTGCAGCAAACAAGCATATACCTCACTATGCTTCCACTGCCACTGCTGCTGTCATGTGTGAACGAGGATGGATCCCAGTGTTACTGCACTACAAAATGCTTTGGCTAACACCACCCATTAGTGTAGTGAACAGCAATCCGAACCACCTCAGCTCCCCACCCCAACCCCCCATACAGTGGATTCCTAACCTCAAGGATCCAGACAACAAGATCAGGGCCCGATACAAGTCCCCCAGAGAGAGAACACACAGTCCAAGAGTTGAGAGCTTCAGCATTGGCCCCTTAAAATCTTCCAAAAACAAAGCCAGTTGACTGAATCCATCTTATACCACAACCAAACCCTCAAGGTCATCATACTAGATGAAAGAAAGAAAAAAACACCCAAAGGTCAGCAACCTCACAGATTGAAGAAACATCAACCCACAGAGATGAGAAAGAACCAACCCAAGAACTCTGACAACTCAAAAAACCACAGTGCCTTCTTTCCTCCAAATGACCACACCACCTCTCCAGCAAGGGTTCTGAACAAGGCTGAGATGGCTGAAATGACAGAAACAGAATTCAGAATATGGATAGGAACGAATACTAGCCTTGAATGTAAATGGCCTCAGTTCCCCAATTAAAAGGCAAAGTGGCAAGTTGGGTAAAGAAACATGATCTATTGGTATGCTGTCTTCAAGAGACCCATCTCACATGCAATGATACCCATAGGCTCAAAATTAAGAAATGGAGAAAAATCTACCAAGCAAATGGAAAACAGAAAAAAATCAGGGGTTGCAATCTCAATTTCAGACAAAACAGACTTTAAACTAACAAGGATCAAAAAAGATAAAGAAGGGGATTACATAATGGTAAAGGGTTCAATTCAACAAGAAGACCTAACTATGCTAAATATATATGCACCCAATATACAAGCACCCAGATTCATAAAGCAAGTCCATAGAGACCTTCAAAGAGATTTATACTCCCACACAATAATAATGGGAGACTTCAACATCCCACTGACTGTATTAGACAGAGCATTGAGGCAGAAAATTAACAGATATTCAGGACCTGAACTCACCAATAGATCAAATGGACCTGATGGACATCTACAGACCTCTGCATCCAAAAGCAACAGAATATATATTCTTCTCATCACCACATGGTGCATACTCTAAAATTGACCACATAATTGGACACAAAACTCTCCTCAGCAAATGCAAAAGAACTGAAATCATAACAACCACTCTCTTGGACCACAGTGCAATCAAATTAGAAATAAAGACTAAGATATTTGCTCAAAACCATACAGTTACATGGAAATTGAATAACCTACTCCTGAATGACTTTTGGGTAAATAATAAAATTAAGGCAGAAATCAAGAAGTTCTTTGAAACTAGTGAGAAGAAAGATACAATGTACCAGAATCTCTGGGACACAGCTAAGGCAGTGTTAAGAGGAAAATTTATAGCACTAAATGCCTGCATAAAAAAGTTAGAAAGATCTCAATTTAATAGCCTAACATCTACAACTAAAAGAACTAGAGAACCAAGACCAAACTGACCCCAAAGCTAACAGAAGACAAGAAATAACCAAAATCAAAGATGAACTAAAGGAGATTGAGACACAAAAAAACATTCAAAAGATCAATGAATCCAGGAGTTTGGTTTTTAAAAAAATTAACAGAATATACTACTAGCTAGACTAATAAAAATAAAAGAGAGAAGATCCAAATAAACACAATCAGAAACAATAAAAGGGGCATTACCATTGACTCCACAGAAATACAAATAACCGTCAGAGAATATTATGAACACCTCTATGTACATAAACTAGAAAATCTAAAAGAAACATAAATTCCTGGACACGTACAACCTCCCAAGACTGAGCCAGGAAGAAATTGAATCCCTGAATAGACCAATAACAAGCTCGGAAATGGAATCAGTGGCTGACTACCAATTAAAAAAATAAAAAAATAAAAGCCCAGGACCAGACAGACTCATAGATGAATTCTACCAGAGCTGGTACAATTCCTACTTGAAACTATTAAAAAACACTGAGGCAGAGGAACTCCTCTCTAACTCATTCCATGAGGCTAGCATCATCCTGATATCAAACCCTCATAGAGACACAACAAAAAAAGAAAACTTCAGGTCAATATCCTTGATGAACCTTGATGCAAAAATCCTCAACAAAATACTGGCAAACCAAATCCAGAAGAACATTGAAAAGCTTATCTACCATGATAAAATAGGTTTTATCTCTGCAATGCAAGGTTGGTTCAACATACGCAAATCAATAAATGTGATTTGTCTCATAAATGGAACTAAAGACAAAAACCACATGATTATCTCAATGGATGCAGAAAAGGCTTTCATTAAAATTCAACACTGCTTCATGTTAAAAAACTCTCAATAAACTAGGTATGGAAGGAACATACTTCAAAATAATAAGAGCCATCTATGACAAACCCACAGCCAACATGATACCGAATGGGCAAAAGCTGGAAGCACTCCCCTTGAAAATCAGCACAAGACAAGATGCCCTCCATCACCACTCCTATCCAACATAGTATTGCAAGTCCTAGCTACAGCAATCAGGCAAGAGAAAGAAAGAAAGGGCATCCAAATAGGAAGAGAAGTCAAATTATCCCTGTTTACAGATGACTTGATTCTATATGTAGAAAACCCCATAGTCTTTACACAAAAGTTCCTTCAGCTTATAAATGACTTCAGTAAAGTCTCAGGATACAGAATCAATGTACAAAAATCAATAGCATTTCTATACACCAACAACAGTCAAGCCAAGAGCCAAATCACAAACACAATCTCATTCACAATTACCAAAAAAAAAAGAATAAAATATCTTTCCTAGGAGAACTACAAAACACTGCTCAAAGAAATCAGAGATGACACAAACAAATGAAAAAAATGTTCCTTGCTCATGGATAGGAAGAATCAATATTGTTAAAATGACCATACTGCCCAAAGCAATTTAGAGATTCAATGTTATTACTATCAAACTACCAATGACATTCTTCCCAGAACTAGAAAAAAACTATTTTAAAATTCATATGGAACCAAAAAAGAGCCTGAATAGCCAAAGCACTCCTGAGCAACAAGAGCAAAGCTGAAGGCAGCATGCTACCTGACTTCAAACTATACTACAGGGCTACAGTAACCAAAACAGAAAGGTATGGGTACAAAAACAGACACATTGACAAATGGAACAGAACAGACAGCCCAAAAATATAGCTGCATACTTACAACCATCTGATCTTCAACAAAGCTGACAAAAATAAGCAATGGGGAAGGGACTCCCTATTCAATAAATGGTGCTGAGATAACTGGCTAGCTATATGCAGAAGATTGAAACTGGACCCCTTCCTTATATCATATACAAAAATTAACTCAAGGTGGATTAAAGACTTAAATGTAAAACCCAAAACCCCTGGAAGACAACCTAGGCAATACTATTCTGGACATAGGAATAGACAAAGATTTCATGACAAAGACACCAAACACAACTGCAATGAAAGCAAACATTGACAAATGAGACCTAATTCAACTAAAGAGCTTCTGTGCAGCAAAAGAAACTATCAACATAATAAACAGACAACCTGCAGAATGGGAGAAAATTTTGCAAACTATGCAACTGACGGAAGTCTAATATCCAGCGTCTATAAGGAACTTAAACAAATTTACAAGCAAAAAACAAAAACCCTATTAAAAAGTGGGCAAAGGACATAAACAGACACTTTTCCAGAGAAGACATACATGTGGCCAACAAGTATATGAAAAAAAAAAGCTCAACATTACTGATCATTAGAGAAATGCAAATCAAAACCACAACGAGGTACCATCTCACCCCAGTCAGAATGACTATTACTGAAAAGTCAAAAAATAACAGATGCTGGCAAGGTTGCAGAGAAAAAAGAATGCTTATACACTGTTAGTGAGAATATAATTTAGTTCACCCATGGTGGAAAACAGTGTGGCGACTCCTCAAAGACCTAAAAACAGAACTATCATTTGACCCAGCAATCCCATTACTGGGTATATACCCAAAAGAATATAAATCATTCTATTATAAAGACACATGCACATGTCTGTTTGTCGTGGCACTATTCACAATAACAAAGACATGGAATCAACCTAAGTGGCCATCAATGGTAGACTGGTTAAAAGAAATGTGGTAAATATACACCATGGAATACTATGCAGCCGTAAAAAAGAATGAGATCATGTCCCCTGCAGGAACATGGATGGACCTGGAGGCCATTATCCTTAGCAAACTAATGCAGGAACAAAAAACCAAATATCGCATGTTCTCATTTATAAGCGGAAGCTAAAAGATGAGAACACATGGACGCATAGAGGGAAACAACAGACATTAGGGCCTACCAGGGGTGGAGGGTGAGACAAGGGAGAGAATCAGGGAAAATAACAGGTACTAGGCTTAATCCCTGAGTAACTAAATAATCTATATAACAAACCCCCATAACATGAGTTTACCTATATGGCAAACCTGCACATGTACCCCTAAACTTAAAATAAAAACTTAAAAAATCTTCCTTGTCCTATTTAAACATAATTCTTGGTATTGAGGTAAATCTGAATTCACATGATATGCTTTGTCAAATTTTTCCAAAAACTTTTTTTTTTTTTTTTTTTTTTGGAGACAGAGTCTCACTCTGTTGCCCAGGCTGGAGTGCAGTGGCATAGTCTTGACTCACTGCAACCTCTGCCTCCCGCATTCAAGCGATTTTCCTGCCTCAGCCTCCCAAGTAGCTGGGACTACAAGTGCGCACCACCATGCCTTGCTAATTTTTGTATTTTTAATAGAGACGGGCTTTCACCATGTTGGCCAGACTAGTCCTGAACTTCTGACCTCAGGTGATCCACCTGCCTCGGCCTCTCAAAGTGCTGGGATTACAAGCATGAGCCACCACACCCAGCCCTGTTTTGCTTATAATTTAAAGATTTAAAAAATATTACAAATCATATACTTGACAACTATGTAAATTTGTTTTGACAATGTTAGGTGTAATCCCAAAATGCATGAAGAAATGCATTGATTTAAAAAATTTATTTGGGGATATTCTAGAAAAGTTTTTGAAGGCCATTATTTTAAGATATCTCTGATCTTCTGATCTTCAACCTATGTGAAAAGATTACCTAAGCCATGGCACATGTTTACAGGGCTTCATTTCAGCTTGATACCTGCCCAGCCTCCATCTAAAAGCAAAACTTGCTCTCAGGTACAGACTGATTTTGTGCATGTGGAAATAAAAAGAATTGGGATTAGCCAGTCACAGACTTCACAAAATGTTCCAGTACTGTAGTAACTGAATTGCTGCCAGGAGCAGCTGTAAATAAGAAAGAAATTCGCTGTCCTTCAACTGCAATCCTTCTGGTTTTAAAACCACAACAAAAATCCTCTCCTGGATCACCACAACATAAATGAAGAATCTTAAAAAGAACATCCTGGCCAAGCGCAGTGGCTCATGCCTGTAATCCCAGCACTTTGGGAGGATGAGGCAGGCAGATCACTTGAGGTCAGGAGTTCGAGACCAGCCTGGCCAACATGGTGAAATCCCATCTCTACTGAAAATATAAAAATTAGCCAGGCATGGTGGCGCATGCCTGTAATCCCAGCTACTCAGGAGGCTGAGGCAGGAGAATCACTTGAACCTGGGAGGCAGTGATTGTGGTGAGTTGAGACTACACCACAGCACTCCAGCCTGGGCGACAGAGCGAGGCTCCATCTCAAAAAAACAACAATAAAAAAATCCTATTAGGAATACAAAAGCTTAAATTAAAAACAAACAAAATACCGAGACTGAACTACAGTGGCCCTAGGATCTATTGTAAAACGCATGTTTAGTAAAGGCAACTAGTGTAATCTCAGACCAGTCTGTCAAGTTCTCTGCTACGGTTTACTGTTTCCAAAGATACAAAGCACTCACTCAACTCAGTAAATATTTTTTGGATACCTATGCAACAGGTGCTAAGGGAAATCCAAAGTTCCATGCTAAAAGATTGCTACCTGCAAGGATCTTGGTTTAGTAGAGAAGGGGAATCAGTTTCCAAAAAGACTGAGAAAGGTGTCACTTATTCCTGTGAGGGGCTTTAGAAGAATTAGTGGCAATATGAAAAAATATATACTTTCACAAAGCTTGAGTGGAAAAGAAAGTTGAAAAAGGGACATTAGCTGGAGGAGGATGTAGAATAAATACGTTGTTTTAGGATTTATTCAATACATTTTTATTTACCACATTTATTAGGTACTGTTTTACATCCTGGTGATTAAGCAGAGAATAAAATAGACAGAGCCCCTCTGTTTTAATTAGGGAATTGGCTAAGCTGCTCTACCAGGTCCAAACAAACAATGATTTTTTAAAGAACAAAGTTTATTTTCTCTTGCATAATGGTCCAGAAGTCTGTGGTTGATCCAAGGGAGGAGGTGCCCCAGCTCCCTGAGATTAGTTTGGGACTTAGGCTAGTGAGAACAGCTTTGCCTTCCTTAATACATGGCTTCCATTTCCAGTCTGTATTTCTTTTTGCCATTTGCCAGACAGCAAGAAGAGGGAAGAGAAAGTGTATAGCAAGCAGCTTTCCTTTTAAGGGACATGATCCAGTTCTACTCACATCTTACAGGACATAACTTTTTGATATAGCCTTACCTTGCTGAAAGGGAGGCCAAGGAATGTCATGTCTAAGTAGGTCACCAAGTGCCCTGCTCAAATTTGAATGTAGAGTTATTTCCTCTTACTAAAAAGAAAAAAAATACAGAATGAAAACTGGAGATAAGGAGAAGACACAGTCTAGAAGATAACTATAGGAAAGTAAAGAGATGGCGACGTATGTGAAGTTGTGGTGTCATAAAGACAACAACAAAGGAGCTAATTTATAGGTAGTCAGTGACAAGTGAGCAGTCTTGAGTAAAGGGAGAGTATGAGTCATGTAGATTTCTGCATTCCAGACAGAGGGAATAGCTAGTGAAGAAGCCCTGAGGCAAGAGCATGCTTGTCATGTTTAAGGAACAGTGAAGTCACAGGGATAAAAGACAAACCAGAAGAAAGTGATGATATGCAACAAAGTGAATGAGACATGTCAAGAGAGGAAGTAGTCAAGAACAACAGAAGTTGCAAGAGTGAAGCTTTGGCCATTGAAACTGGCAGCATGGAGCTCACAGGTGACCTTGACAAGTGGCAGTTTCGTGGCATGGTGGGCATGAAGGACTGAATGGAGTGAATTCAAGGGAGAGAGGGGGAAGTGGAATTACAGAGAGCAAATATGATCCTCTCCTTTGAAGAGAAAATGGGAATAACTTGAGTATGTGTTGAAAGTAAAGAACCAGTAGAAATGGAGAGGCAAAGATACATGGAAGTGAAGTAATTGATGGTGCAAGGTCCCAGAAGAGGAGATATACATGGGGTTCCTCCTCTTACTCTTTGTCACCTAAAAGAAGGTAAGAATGGTAGTGAATCAAGATGTTGGAGGAGGGAAGGAGGAAGCAGTGGGAGGTTGTGCAAATTCTAGCTAATAGTTTTAATTTTCTTTTCTGAAGTAGGAGGCAGTGTCATCTCCTGAGTGCAAGCAGAAAAGTTGTCCTCAACTATGTATAGTAGGAGTGGATAAGGAAGAGATTTGTATTGATCTGAGGTTTTGTGTGGGGGTTTGAGGCCAGGGTCAAAACCACTGAGAAGATTGGCAAGATAGTGTTTGAAGTGATGAATACTGTCATGTCTCCTCTCAGTAATACAGCACTTTCTTCAGCCTACATTCTTCTAATGGCAGGATTGGAAAGGCAATACTTTCCCCAAACTCATCATCTTATCAAAACCATCTGCCACCAAGATCATCAGGACTAAGCTCATTATGCTGTTTACAGCCATCACCACCACAAGCCCAAGACCACCCACTTTTAATCATGAACAGACAAGCAAAGACTGTCAGACATCTGAAGACTGCCTCGAGGTCAGACTCGTGACACCTGAGGCAGCACCATTCACTCAGTTTTGGGAACAAAAAACTTGGAATCCTCTTTCACCGTCATTCACTTGGTCAGTCACCAAGCTCTGTTCATCCCGCCTTCTAAGTATTCCCCAGGGCCCCCACTTCTCTCCATGCCCACTCTCCGTGCCACTGGTAACCTGCGTTTCTATCATCCCTCATTCTGATACTCTATCCCTCCAGCTCTCTGCGCAAAAACTGATCATACTGGCCGGGCACAGTGGCTCATGCCTGTAATCCCAGCACTTTGGGAGACCGAGGTGGGCGCATCACGAGGTCAAGAAATGAGACCACCCTCGCCAACATGGTGAAACCCCATCTCTCCTAAAAATACAAAAAATTACCTGGGCGTGGTGGCGCGCGCCTGTAGTCCCAGCTACTCGAGGTGCTGAGGCAGGAGAATCGCTTGAACCCGGGAGGCGGAGGTTGCAGTGAGGAGAGATCGCGCCATTGCATTCCAGCCTGGCGATATAGCCAGACTCCGTCTCAAAAAAAACAAAACAAAACAAAAAACTGATCATACCACTTGCCTGATTAAAAACTTTCGATGACTCTAACATTGCCTTTAGGTAAATGCCATCCAAACTCACTAAACTGGTTTCCAACCCGTTTCTGAAAGCACCTTAATCTCTCCCCACTTCCTCTGCTCATTCATCCATACCTACTGCCTCCTCACTGCTATGTCCTCTCTCCTGACCCGGCACTTGCTCTTTCCCAGTCCTAGAAGGCTCTTCTCTTCCAGTTCCCACTGCCCTTTTCCCTTTCCTGGCTAATCCCATACTCATCCTTCTTGTCTCAACCTAGTGGTCCTTAAGGAAGCTTTGCTGACCCCCGACACCGAGCGGGCGTCCCTCCTGTGTAGCACTGTGTTAGCCCTACCAAGTCAAGGCTCTCCTTGCCTGTTTCCTGCCGGAACCATGTCTTTTTACTTCACTCCTGTCTCCTCAGCATTCCAGCACAGTGCTGGGTACATAACAGGTGCTCAAGACAAGTTTGTGGAATGACTAATGAGTGAATAAATCATTAACCAAACACCTTGGATCTCCTACTACATCATTTGCAAAAAAAAAAAAATGTTTAATAGAAATTAAAATGGACCCAGTGAGCTAGAGTGTGTGACCCTGCTTAAAAACGACAGAGTGGTTCTGAGAAGCAGTCCCAGCCTAGGAACCCGGGGATCCGGCCTGTGGACCCACGGGCAGGGCCTGCGGGGTGCACCGGCGCTTTCGGGCGGAAGGCGGGGCCTCCCGGCCAGTGACCCCGCCCCGAGGCGCCTCCCGGGCGGGGAAGGGCGGGGCTCGCGCTGGGAAACTCCCCTTCCAAGGCCGAGGCGCCGCTGCGCGTCCTCCAGGCGTGGTGGTGGGGTCGTGGGTCCCAGCCCAGTGGTCCAGGTCACGGGCCGCACGGCCGCGGCCGCCATCTTGCCCGCGTCCGGGCTCCTGCGGCGGGCGGGGCGGTGTCCCGGCCGGAAGCGGCTGTGCGGCGGCCGCGCTGCCACCTCAGGTCAGTGAGCGCGACCCGGTTCGCGTCTCGACTCTCGGGAGCGCCGCGGCCGCAGCGAGGGGCCGGAGATAGCCTAGTTGAAAGGCCCGGGCGTCTCGGCGGGGAGCGCGTTCCGCGCTGTAGGGTAATCGCGCCGGGCGGCCGGCCGCCTGGCCGGGCCTCAGCGGGAGCCACCGGGGGCTGCGGGCGGCCGTGGGACCTGCGGAGACCTCCTCGGGGCGCAGGGAACACGCTACAGCCTTCGCCGCGGCGGGCTTGTGGGGAGCGGCGTCCCAGCCTTTCCCGGGAGGCTCAGCCAGGTGCCTGGAGCGGGAGAGTCGGACTCAGATTCCTGCTTTACCTAGAATAGCAACGTGCCCTGTTCCCGTTGTACCCTCTTAAATACTATACTTCTTAAACGGCCTGTCTCCCGGTGAGCTCTGTTCTCTTCTCATATGAGTAATGAAAATTAAGAGGATGAATGAAACCTCACACATGTTGTGGACTTTGCTGAATAGGTTAGCAAATGACTGCAGGCCTTTTGTATATTTTAAGGGAAATTTGGATATGTGCAGTGCATCTCCTCGAAGATGCTGATGGTGGAAATTTCTTGAAACCGCTCTCGTAATTTGCCACGGTAAGAAAAGTAAAAGACAACATCAAAAAGCATGTGGTTGGATCCTTTGTACACTGAGTAGTATTTTAATGTGTTGGACTTCACTGTCCAGTAGCCACATGGGATTGAGATGTGCTATAAGTGTAAAATACACATCGGATTTCCCAGAGTTGGTGCCAAAAAAACGTAAAAATCCTCAATAATTTTTGCATTGATTACATATTGAAAGGATAATGCTGTTGATATGTTGGCTAAATAAAATGTGTTTTTAAATTTCATTCCACCTAATTTTACTTTTTAAATGTGGCTACTAGAAATTTTTAAATCATATGGCTCACACTGTATTTCTTTTGGACAGTGCTGTTGCAAATATTCTGGTGAATGAACACAGAATCAGCATGGCTTTCCTTTGCTGAGAAATCACTGATGGGAAGTGAGACTTGTTAAACTTGAAAGGTGAGGATATAAATACAAGCTGTAATTATTGCAGACCGCACCCCTTCTACACCTAATTTTTTAATGTCTCCAAAATTTGGAAAAAACATTAACTTTCAGGGCTGATTAAGGGAATGGTAGTAATACTAACATCTGTGTGATGTGAAGAGCTCATTTCAGTTGATTGTCACAGCTTTGTGAGATGGAAATGGGATAGATTTTATCTCGGTTTTATGGTTTTGGAGTATTACAAGATTTGTTAGGATCTGAGCTGGGGAGTGGCTGTAGGATTTCTGACTCTAGATTGTTTTCTTTACACCAGATTCTTGGTGATGTATGTTCATGAGCAAGGAACTGTTTATCCTGTATATTACATGGTGAAAAAAAATACACTTCTTAAAAGGGTGGACATAGATGCACCTCTCTATACAGGGCTACTCTTATGATGTGCAACCTGTGCAGTAGCACAGAGCCCAGCATTTAGAATGGCTAGCACTTAGTTTAATGGCCAGTCTGCTGTCACTGTCTGGACATTGTAAATAATTTTTAAATGAGGGGCCCTGCATTGTTATTTTGCACCACGTCCTGCATATCGTGTAGCTGATCCTTTTCTTTGCAGTAATCTAGGACGGAAGTTGAGAGACCTTGGATAACCACCCAAACATCTGGTCTTCACTTTACTCCTTTGTGAAATTAGAAGATTTAGCTAGTCTTTTTCTCTCAAGTTTTGATTCTGTATGAATTACTGTCATCAGATTTTGTGGATGGCAATAGAAGTATTTTAGGTGCATAACATGGGAAGAAATGCTGATATTCTCCGTTGAGAGTCATGTAAATCAAAGTTTTAAATTTTATGCTAAAACTCGTATTTTATGTTTTGTAAGATGGATTTTTCTTTGTGGCATCAAGATTGCTTACCATAGACCATTGGTATAAAGAGTCGGGTTGTGGAATGAAAGCCTAGATAAAAAGTGTGTTTATTTAAACATTGATTTTTCAATGAGATGGGAAAATGGCCCAGATCTCATGATGTCTCCAATTAAGAGATTTCCTTTGTGGGGGTATGAGTATGAACCCTTATTTGGCAGTATCTGTTCCTCTTTGCTGTCGTAGCTGCTTCCTGTTACGTGAGGTGCCCCTCTTCCTCCTCATTCTTAAATTTTGAAACTCTTTTTAAGGTTGGACTTAATTTTATCACTACAGTGCAGGTTTTTTTTAGACCAGAGACTTCATCGGCTCATGTTTGCTGCTGTGTTCCCAGCTTCATAACCATGCCTAGAACATAGAAGGTGCCCAATCAATAGTCACAGAATAAATGAAAGTATAATAGCAGACATTTAAATCTTGGCCGGAGCCAGCCTCTCCTAGGGAGCGTAGAAGTGGAAGCATGAGGAAATAGGTAAAACTTGGAGATAGCAGTTGTGAGAAGTGTCAGAGGGATCATTCAGCACATGCATTTATTTAACAAATGTTTATTAACTTCCTACTAAGTGCCTAGCACTGTACTGGGGACTAGAGGTACAATGGAACACCAAAAATACTTCACCTGCTCTCATGGAGTGTATAATCCAGTAGAAGAGACAGAGATGGATGATTAAAGGGAAAGAATACTGTTTAATGACAGTGTATGTCTGAGTAACCAGACCTCGACTAGGGAGGGGATGGAGGGTGGTTGACGTCAAGGTTGAGCAGGTATTAACTTGGCCCAGAAGACAGGGAACTGTGCTCTAACCAGAGGAAACATCATTTGCAAAGGTATGGTGATGAGGGAGGAGGGTATATACTCTAGGAAGTGGAAAGGACAGTGTAAAAGGACAGCAAGAATGTTGTGCCACAAGGCCGGTGCAGTAGGCAGAGACCAAAAGCATTTAGGGTTTTGTAGGTTATACTAAGAGCAGCTGAAGACCATTAGAGGGTTTTAAGCAAGGAAGGATAGCCTGGTCAAGGTTGTGTTGTAGAAAGATTTTTACTCTGGTATTCTATAAAGCAAAATTTCTGAAGGACCAGGGGAAAGATGAATAAAAGAAAAGCCTCCAGCACCACACACCAGATATGTTGTATACCTTAATTTACTGAAATCAGTTTTCAGAGGCTTGAGACTATCCTCTGTGTGGTAGCACTTGGAAGCCTGAGTGAGGAGACAAGATGATAAATAATTGGGTTGATCTAGGACTGGGGAAAGGCAAACCCAAAGTGGCAAGGAAATGAAGACATTGAGGGTGCTAGTAAGAATATTGAAATGATTGATCTTGGGCTTGAGAAATGCTAAAGAAGGAAATAAAACCAGTATAAGAATTCCTAAATCAGTGGTCCCCAACCTTTTTGGCACCAGGGACCAGTTTCATGGAAGACAATTTTCTCACGGATGAGGGGTGGGGGTGTGGTTTCAGGATGATTCAAGCGCATTACATTTATTGTGCACTTTATTTCTATTTACATTGTACTATACAATGAAATAATTATACAACTCACCGTAATGTAGAATCAGTGGGAGCCCTGAGCTTGTTTTCCTGCAACTAGATGGTCCCATATGGGAGTGATAGGAGACAGTGACAGATCATCAGGCATTAGATTCTCACAAGGAATGCACAACCTAGATCCCTCTCTTGCACAGTTCACAATAGGGTTTGCACTCCTGTGAGAAACTAATGCTGCTATTGATCTGACAGGAGGCGGAGCTCAGGCAGCAGTGTGTGAGATGAGTGGCTGTAAATAACAGATGACGCTTAGCTCCCTTGCCTGCTGCTCACCTCCTGCTGTGTGGCCTGGTTCCTAACAGGCCAGGGAGCAGAACTGGTCTGCGGCCCTGGGAGTTGGGGACCCCTGGTCTAAATTATATGAGTCTATGAAGTTTTAGACTGGTAATTCCCAACTGAAACTTTTGCAAGATCAAAAAGAAAAGCAATTATGTTTGAGTTGAACTATTTAGTGTATCCTTATTAGGAGTCTATGCCAGGCTCTATATATGGCACTAAGGATAGAGAGGTAAGTGAACCATAGCTTTACCTTATGAGAACTGACAACAGAGTTGTACAGATGCCAATTGCAATGAAGATTTTAAGTATGTTCATTCTTTTTGAATCTATTACCTTTTGCCAGCCTCTGTTAGAAACAGGCATTTAAATTTTTGTAGGCAACCTTAATTATTGAAACACCATTTTTAACTATAGCTATATTTAGTTCGTGTGCTTCTACTGCTAGAATATTTATTTTTTTCAAAAATTCTACTTTAACACTTATTCAAAGTTTGTAGAAGCGAAAACTGAAAGAGCCTCTAATGATCACTTAATCCACTTTCTCAGAGTGTGGTATGTGTGTACCACTGGTCATAAACAGGATGCTTTGTAGATAAAACACAATCAAGCCTTTTTAATAGTTATATATTTCAGTGTAGGTTAAAAATATATTTAGCATAGCATACCATGATTCATGGACCTTATGAAGAGATTAAAGTCAATTTTCAGATTTTAAAAATGAGTCAGTTTAAAGAAAAATATTAATGGCATAGGTGTTACATGACTGAAGTTTGGGAAATACTAATCTAAACCAGCTCCTACATTGTGTAGATGAGAAAACAAAGGGGTTCCCCACACACAATGACTTTTCTGAGGCATATAACTAATATACGGCAGAGCTAGGACTAGAACTCAGGTTCGTTCAGTACATTCCAGTGTTTATTCTGCCATACAAGGCTGATGCTTATTACTAAAGTTGAAGAAACCGCTGTCTTAGTATGACATTGTACTTTAAATCTCCATTGTTCATTACGATGACCACATATGGTTATTTATATTAAAATTTGTTAAAATTAAGGTTTAAAATTTGAATTAGTCACATTTCTAGTGCTCAGTAGCTACATGTGGCTAGTGGCTACCATATTGGACAGCATGAACATGAAACATTTCTGTCATTGCAGAAAGTTTTATTGGGCAGTGCTGCTTTAAACTATTGCTTAGGAATATGATTCATAAGTTTTCCCCCCTTCAAAGGGATAATACTTATTAATTTGCTTACCACACTGAAGTTGTTATAACTCTGAAGTTAAGCTGAAGGTACTAGTAACAGTGCAATTAAGATAATTGATCATGGGAAATATAGCCAGGATGGGATTCTCAGATTCCTACCAGCTCATTTTATTGGAAGTGGTTGTTCTTTCTCCTTTTTTTTCAATAAATATTTTCTTGAATTCATAGCAGATAGAGAGAAGAAATACAAATATATTGAAAAAGAGGGTTCTTGAATAGAGAATTTTCTGACTTTCTGAATAGTTTATTCAACGTAAGAATTATATTTTGCTGATATTTTAAAACTTTTTATTTTTAAACATTTTCAGTGAATGGACCTGAGTGGACCCTTTGATCACATCAGTAAACATGAGCGGTACCAAACCTGATATTTTATGGGCACCACACCATGTTGATAGATTTGTTGTGTGTGACTCAGAACTAAGTCTTTATCATGTGGAATCTACTGTGAATTCAGAACTCAAAGCTGGATCTTTACGTTTATCTGAAGACTCTGCAGCTACATTACTGTCAATAAATTCAGATACACCCTATATGAAATGTGTTGCCTGGTATCTTAATTATGATCCTGAATGTCTGCTGGCAGTTGGACAAGCAAATGGTCGAGTTGTACTTACAAGCCTTGGTCAAGATCATAACTCAAAGTTCAAAGATTTGATAGGAAAAGAGTTTGTTCCAAAACATGCACGACAATGTAATACCCTTGCCTGGAATCCACTGGATAGTAACTGGCTAGCTGCTGGTTTAGATAAGCACAGAGCTGACTTTTCAGTGCTAATATGGGATATCTGCAGCAAATATACTCCTGATATAGTTCCCATGGAAAAAGTGAAACTTTCAGCAGGTGAAACTGAAACAACATTATTAGTAACAAAACCACTTTATGAGTTAGGACAGAATGATGCTTGTCTGTCTCTTTGTTGGCTTCCACGAGACCAGAAACTTCTCCTTGCTGGTATGCATCGTAACCTAGCTATATTTGATCTTCGGAATACAAGCCAAAAGATGTTCGTAAATACAAAAGCTGTTCAGGGTGTGACGGTAGACCCATATTTCCACGATCGTGTTGCTTCCTTCTATGAAGGTCAGGTTGCAATATGGGATCTTAGAAAATTTGAGAAGCCAGTTTTGACATTGACTGAGCAACCAAAACCCTTAACAAAAGTAGCATGGTGTCCCACTAGGACTGGTCTACTTGCCACTTTAACAAGGGATAGTAATATTATTAGATTGTATGATATGCAGCATACACCCACTCCCATTGGGGATGAAACTGAACCCACAATAATTGAAAGAAGTGTGCAACCTTGTGACAATTACATTGCTTCCTTTGCGTGGCATCCAACAAGTCAAAATCGAATGATAGTTGTAACTCCCAACCGAACAATGTCAGACTTCACTGTTTTTGAAAGGATATCTCTTGCCTGGAGCCCAATTACATCTTTAATGTGGGCTTGTGGTCGTCATTTATATGAATGTACGGAAGAAGAAAATGATAATTCTTTAGAAAAAGATATAGCAACGAAGATGCGTCTTCGGGCTTTATCAAGGTATGGACTTGATACAGAGCAGGTGTGGAGGAACCACATTTTAGCTGGAAATGAAGATCCACAGCTCAAGTCACTCTGGTATACTCTGCACTATATCCTTTTCATTGTGAATTTTGTGAGGTGAATCAGGTAGAAATGTTCTTGAAGTTTGCCAAAAGGTCAGTCTGTAAATATGCTCAATGTTTTATATACAAATACAAGTTACATAATACTAACATTATAAAGTAAAATTGTTCTAAACTTTCGAACTTGAAATACTGCTTTGTAGATTGTGTAGGAGGAAGAAAAGTGTATCTCTGCAATAGAGTCGAACCACCTTATTTACACTGATACTTATTATGAATTGGCTCCAAATCAAAATAAATTTAGCTTTGAAATATATTGTCATGCATCACTAGTATTTCCTATGCATTTAAATACTTATGAAGCAATACACAGAAGATATGGATCAGAAATCTCCAGGCAACAAAGGATCATTGGTTTATGCAGGAATTAAATCAATTGTAAAGTCATCGTTGGGTAAGAAAATTCTATTTCATTTTCTCCAATATGTTTATAACTTTTGTACTTTTATTTTGCCCCCTGTCATTTGGCAGAAATTATCTAGTTATTTCAGGATCATGTACATAATTTTTTTTGTTTTCTGATTGGATATTTCATTGTATTGTTGAGTTAAATGCATACTTGTATTTATATCCAAAACCCTTTTTGCAGGGAGTCTTAATTCTCTGAAGTGATGTTGATCTTCTTAAATCTATCCACACGTTTATTCAATGTTATTTTTTTGAAAACCCACTTTGAGAGGTTTTACACTAGACAATTTACAGATTACTGATTGTTAGTTCAGGTTTTATCGCAACATTTTGCTTCTTAAAAACTAAAAAGATCTCTAATTGAAGGAGATCCCTTTTTATTTTGCTCCTCAAATACTTTCATTGAGCCATCTAACAGCAAGGAGTATGATATGAAATATGGCCTAACGTGGAGGAATTATACCTGATATAGTCCTTGGTTAATTAGTGAATGAATTAATTAACGTGTGAGTTAATGTAGGATTGAAAATTGGTATGGTAAACTATTAAAGAATAAAAGTGACAAAAACCAAACTTTTTTTTTTTTCTGACTGCTTTAAACAGTTGTTCCTATTCTTTTACTGGAATTGAATAATGGGTTATATTAGAATTGCAGGTTGAGTATACCTTATCCAAAATGGCTTGGGACCAAAAATGTTTCAGATACTTTCAGATTTTGAAATATTTGCGTTATATACTTAGAGATTGACCATCCCTATTCTGAAATCCAAAATGCTCCGATGAGCATTTCCTTTGAATATCATCTCAGCACTTAGAAAGTTTCAGATTTTGAAGCCTTTTGGACTTCAGTTTTCAGATTTGGGATGCTCACCCTGTATCTCTGTGATCTAGGATTCGTTCTCTAACTTTTGGTAAGTCAAATTTGGGCCCAAGTCAAGCTGTTAGAAAAGTAGTTAACATTATTTAGTCAAAGAGCAGTAATAGAAGTAGTAAATCCAATTTGATTTTTTACGGAGCTTGTATCAGTACCATACAAACAAAATACAAAATAATAAAATATTTTAGAGTAGGTTAAGTGTTTTAATTAAACTGTTACATTATAGTGTTTTTTTAACGTCTTTCAAATTACTTTGGTTCACTTTACTGAAAGATGCAGTAGACTACTTACTGATCAGTTTGATTTTATTGTTTTTGTATTAGCCCTCCACCAAAAAAAGTAACCTTTATTATAAATAGTAAAATGAATAAGTTTAGTTAGAAGCTGCTGTTTTTATTAACATAGGTAAAAGGGCACACATACTGTTTTACTCCCACAAATGAACCTGGTACCATGGTTCAAGATTTTAGAGCCATTGCCTATTGCTACAAAGAATTAAACACCAAGTTTATAGAATTTATAGTGTTTTAGCTATATAGTAGATCAGGCCACACTGCACTCAATTATTTAGAGGTTGGTTATTGTGTTTTTTGTATTTTGATATATTTTAAGGAAAAGCCAGCATCTGAGGAAAAGCAAAAGGGGAAAATGTAATATGTTTATGTTTCTGGTGCACTAGAGACAAACTGAGTATCCCACCCCTGTGTCAAAATAGTCTCTACCCAGACTAAAGAAACACTACTGTTGGAAAGATTTCCTCATTCATCATTCTCTCATTGCTAGGTTTTCAGCTTTTTTTTTTTTGTTTGGTATAGATATTTTTGTTTCTACTACCCAAAGGTGAAAAGTAGAGAAATACTGTCAAATATGCCACTCTTAGATTTCAGTCTTCTGTTTTATTTGGCCATACCTTTTCCTCTAATTGTATCTCTAATAATCAACACATGGTAAGTCAACACATTGAGCCATCTTGTCCACAGTAACCTAATACACAAGTTTATTAGAGCATACAGCTAAATTTTAATTTTGGTAACAAATAGTATATATATAAGTGCTTGCTATGAATTAGTTGCTTTTCCCATGTTACTTTAATTTTTACAACTACAATATGAAGTAAGCTCATTCATTCAGCAAGTATTTATTACCTACATGCATGCTATATGCCAGGAGTTATCCTAGGAACTAGAGACATAACTCTCAAGAAGATACATAAATCTCTTCCCTCATGGAGATTGAGCAGGATCAATGTCATCCCTGCTCTTGAGGAGTTTATATTCTAGTTTAGAATATAGACAAGTAAGCTGGCAGTTATAACATAGGGAAGAACAGACAGTTAATTACAGGAAGGACTCCTAATCTGGTTGCAGGGATTAGAGGTTTCTCAGAGGAGGTACAGTTAAAGACAAGGTCCAGACAGGGAGCAGCATGTGCAGTGGACCCAGAGGGTAGAGAGCATAGCACATTATTATGGCTGAAACAGAGCATGAGAGAGGAAGTGAGGAAAGAATGGAGGCTAGAAAGGTAAGCAGTGGGCTAACTCAAGAAAGACTTAGAAATCATGTTAAGAATTTAGGGAGATTCATCTTGTAAGACGGGGAAACAGATGGATTTGTGACAGATTTGTGTTTTAAAAGGATCAAGATTGATAGTAGGGATATCAGATAGAAGCCTGCTGCAAGGAGGCAAGACGTGATGCTATCCTTACCAAGGTTAGTAGCAGAGGAGCTAGAGAAATGTGGATACATTAGAGAATAGGAGAAAATTTAATGATTAATTAGATAAAGGGGTGGAGAAGATGGAAAAGTCAAAGGTAGCACACATATATTTAGTTTGGGAAACTAGTTAATTTTAAGTATGTTAATTAGGAATAACACAGGAAGAGTATTTGGGTTTATTTTGGAGCAAGTTGAAATCAAGATGCTTAGGTAGAGACGTCCATTGGGCAATAGGATATCAGTTCAAAGCCCAGGGGAGGAATATAATGTATGTCAGAAATAAATGATATTTGATAGAGTAAATGGAATTGTTTGGAGTAAGAAAGAGATGGCTTAAAGGAGACTGAGGCAGATTGTCGAGAGATGTAGGAGAAAGATCTATATGACAAAAACCGCAATCACTTTTGTACCAACCTAGTATACATTCATGTGGAAGAGAGGTCAGTTGTCCGGTGCTCCATGCTTCAGATCCAGCCAAATAAGAACTAAAAAGGACTCACTGAATTTAGGACTAGGAGAAGGTCTTTCACTGGCGGTATGGATAGCAAATTGCAGTTATATTAGAAATTCAGAGTGGGTTGAGGAAATGAAGTAATCAATTATAAATACTTTTTTTGAAGGAATTTGACTATATAAAGGAGGACAAAAAGATACGCAGTAGGAGGAGACAAATCTGGAGCCGGGAGCTTTGTGTTGCTTTATTTCTGTTTTCAACATGGGATTAATTTAAGCATGTTTAAATGCTAATTGAAGGAAGCCCATAGAGGTTAAAGATGCAGAGAGAAGGGAGTGAAGCGAAGTTCCTAGAAATGGGAGGGAATGGGATCCAGAGCACAGGTTTCTTTAGCTTTAGATACAAGGGTGCACACCTCCACATTTGCCAGAGGAAAGGGGGAAAGGATGCTGTATGCAGGATGTTTGAGTTTCAATAACCAGAGGCTGAGGGATTTCCCATTTTATGGCTGCTGTTGAGAAGGAGCAGGGAGGTCGTAGGAAGAGGATATGGAGAAGAGGAGAGAGAGCTGTCTTGAGAAATATGGGAGGATTACTGGGTAACATTATTTTACCAGAAGGCAGAATAAAGGACAGTAGGGCAAGATAATTAAATATATTGGCAAGAGAGTGGTTCACTTGACCCTTGGGATCTTATTTGGATAGAGATGAAAATGAAGACAGGATAAGACTGATAAGTAAAAATAATAGTGGTGAAGACACTGCGAGGTTGTGAAAAATATAAGGAAGTGAGATTTTTGGAAGGCTATGTGGTTGTGGTTAGAAAGTAGGTCTTTTGGAGGAGGACAGTTTCAAGTGTGGCTGTGAAAGGAGTAGCTAAAGTCTTGGAGGTGTAGACCACTGGAGATAAGGAAGCAAAGGAACTGAGAGGCTAGTTTATTGAATGGGCTAAGTGCTTAGATCAACCAGGATGAGAAGAATGCATGCTCTGAGGGAATCTCTTCTACAGACCTGTATAGCAAGTTCACAGTGTTATTAGTAGGTATAATTCCTTCCTTTTAAGATGGCAGAAAGTTGTATAAAAAATATTGGCCTGCTTTAATCCATCATGAAAATAATATTTTTCATGCTTAAAGAGTAAACTCTACAGTTCCGGCTACTCAGGAGGTTGAGATAGGAGGATCGCTTGGGCCCGGGAGTTTGAAACCAGTCTGGGTTACATAGAGACCCTGTCTCTCTTTTTCTTTAAAACAAACAAACAAAAAGGTAAAATCTAATCTAGAGAACTGAGAATTTGTCTATGCAAAATGACTTCAAGGGGCAAAATAGCTAGGATTTCTTATAAACTGGATAATTGTATTGCTTAGTTACTACATAGATATTAAAATGAAACAAATTAGTAGCTACAAAGAGCATAGTATCTGATTGCTGATTTGAAAGAAATGTTTAAATCCTAATTTTTTTTTTTTTGGAGACAGAGTCTCTCTCTCTGTCACCCAGGCTGGAGTGCAGTGACACAATCTTGGCTCACTGCAACTTCCACCTCCTGGGTTCAAGTGATTTTCGTGCCTCAGCCTCCTGAGTAGCTGGGATTACAGGCGCATGCCATTACACCTGGCTAATTTTTGTATTTTTTGTAGAGACAGGGTTTTGCCACATTGGCCAGGCTGGTCTCAAACTCCTAACCTCAAGTGATCTGCCTGCCTCGGGCTCCCAAAGTGCTGGGATTACAGGCATGAGCCATCGTGCCTGGCCTAAACCCTGATTTTTAATGTTTAAATAAACTTGTTTTCCTCGCAGCCATCAGTAAAACGTTTTCTGTTATTTATGTATAGGACAGTCTCAAATTTAGGAGATAAAATTTTGTTACTTTAGTGGTACATAACATGCATAAATATATTTTACTTCGTTTTCAGAGATATATTAAAAATTTATATGTAAAACTCATAAGTTAAAACCCATGCTGACATCATATTGCTTATTTGATAATTCTGATAATCAACTGTAGCATAGTTATCAATAAAAAGATCTCTAAGCAGAAAAAATATGTGATACAATAACCATGTTCTTAACATGCAGGACATATTAATATTTCTACCTCCTAGCAGTGACCTCTTTGAATTCATTTTCAGTCATCTACTGCACAATGACGTTTCTGTTAACAATCGACTGCATATATAATGGTGGCCCCATAAGATTTAATACTGTATTTTAACTTTACCTTTTCTGTGTTTAGGTACTCAAATACTTACCATTGTGTTAGAGTTGCCTGCAGTATTCAGTACAGTAACTTGCTATAAAGCAGAGGTGTCCAATCTTGTCTTCCCTGGGCCACAATGGAAGAATTGTCTTGGGCCACACATAAAATACACTAAGAATAGCTGATGAGCTAAAAAATAAAAAAGTTCTTAAAAAATCCCCCCAAAATCTCATAATGTTTTAAGAAAGTTTACAAATTTGTGTTGGGCCGCATTCAGAGCTGTCCTGGGCTGTGGGTTAGACAAGCTTGCTTTATAGCCTAGGAGCAACAGGCCCATGTAGCCCAGGTGTGTAGTGGGCTATGCCATCTAGGTTTGTGTAAGTACACTGTGATGTTCATACAACAACGAAATTGCGTAATGACACATTTCTCAGAATGTATCCCTACTGTTAATCAACTCATGACTGGATTGTTCTCTATTCTGTTCCATGACATGATTTCTATAAAATAAAAACTCTTTGAGAAATTAGAATATTATTATTAAGCTGTAAGGAACCATTTGAAAAATAAATTGCTGATTTTTGCTCACCTGTTTTAAAATTGTATTATCACTAAATACCAGCTTTAAATCCAAAATTTATAGGAGAGATATGAAAATACACACCTTATAATACATCTCAGCCTCTACCTGAAATTAAATGACTGCATTCTGCCCTGACAATTTAAATTTGTTATTCAGAATGAATGTTTTAATTTTTTTAATAAGTGTTTTGTTAACTTTTATCATTAATCGTTAAAAGTTTTCACATTATAGTCCTTAAAAATCCACTTTCATAAGCTAAAAGTGATTTTGTCTTTGGGCTGACTCCCCTCATGGTTGCAAATAAAGTAGCATGCTCCTTCTTTTTAGTGGGTAGGAAGTGCTGTTAAAGTAAGAAAACTTTTTGGAAGTTTCCTCTTAACTCCTTGACCTGAATTGGCAATAGTTTCCAATAGTCAGGTTAAAAATACGTAACTTCAAGTGGAATTATTTAACTAATTTTTGTATTTCCAAAATTTTACAAATAACACATCTTGAAACTTTTTCATAAAGCAATCGGATATAATTTAAAATATGTACTAACATGCATAATATTTTAGACTTGCCACAGCCTAAAATCAGATAATCACACAAGGTTTTTAAAAGTATGAATTAGGTATAAAAGAGAGTTTAGACCTTTGACTATGTACTATTTTACCTTTTTTTTTTTTTTTTTAAAGAGACAGAATCTCACTCTGTCACCCAGGCTGGTGCGATCTCGGCTCACTGCAACCTCCGCCTCCCAGGTTTAAGCGATTCTCCTGCCTCAGCCTCCCGAGAAGCTGGGACTACAGGTGCACACCACCACACCCGGCTAATTTTTGTATTTTTAGTAGAGACCGGGTTTTGCCATGTTGGCTGGGCTGTTCTCGAACTCCCGACCTCAGGTGATCCGCCCACCTCGTCCTCCCAAAGTGCTGGGATTACAGGCATGAGCCACGGTGCCTGGCCTAAAATTTTTCTTAAAAATCATTTAGTCTGAATACTTGAAAAGAGTAAAAATAGGCCGGGCACGGTGGCTCATGCCTGTAATCCCAGCACTTTGGGAGGCTGAGGTGGGTGGATCACCTGAGGTCGGGACTTCGAGAACAGCCCGGCCAACATGGCGAAACCCGGTCTCTACTAAAAATACAAAAATTAGCCGGGTGTGGTGGTGTGCACCTGTTGAGGCAGGAGAATCGCTTGAACCTGGGAGGCGGAGGTTGCAGTGAGCTGAGATCGTGTGCCATTGCACTCCAGCCTGGGTGACAGAGCAAGACTCCATCTCAAAAAAAGAAAAGAAAAATTTTATATATGTAATTTAACTTGCAAATGACAAGTTTTTAATATTTTCTTATTTTTGCTTGTGTTTGTTTATGCCTTTAATTCCTTGACCAGAATGACTGTAGCTAAATTAACTTTGGTAGTGTATTTTCATTCATTTACTATCTCGTCATTTCCATGGGTCAGGAGTCTGGGCACACCTTAGCTGGGTCCTCTGTTGAGAGTCTCAAAAAGGCTAACCAGAAGGTATCAGCCAAATTGTATTTATTTCTAGAGGTTGGAGTGCTCTTCCAAGTTCATGGAGTTGTTGGCAGAATTCAGTTCCTTGCAACTGTGGGACTGAGGTAGCCATTTTCTTGAGGGCTAATGGCCAGAAATTGCTCTCAGCTCCTTAGAGGCTATTCACAGTTCCTTGCCACGTGGCCTTCTCACAGACCCTCTCAGAGCACAGCAGCTTTTACATCTTCAAGATCATCAGCAGGAGATCTGTCTCCTGCTGCTTCTCTCTTACCTCGAGACTGTCTTTCAAAGGACTTACTTAATTAGGTCAGGCCCACACAGGATAATCTTCCCTTGATTCGCTCGGTGAACTGAGTAAGGGCCTTAATTATATCTGCAAAATGCTTTCACCTCTGCTGTATTCTGTTATCTCGAGACAAGTTACAGATTCTACCTGTACGCAAGGGGAGGGGTTTACACAAGAGTGTGGTTGGCGGGGCGGGAGGGCGGGCCAGGACAGGAATGCAGCCGTTTTTAACAGTTCTGCCTACAACCAACAGGTTGAATGAGGAATTCTAGAAACTGTCTGCTGTTGATCTAGTTATTTACAAATGTATAATTGCAGTATTGTATGTAAATATATAAATATATAATTACTGTAAATTACAAAGGTAAATTACTACAAAAAATAAAAAGTTGGTAATGTTGGACATTCATGTTGCCTAATTCATAATTTAGTTTATTCTGAAAATCCTTTTTGTTAAAAAACATAATTATATAATGACAATTTTGGTGGTAAAACTTTCTAGAACATTTAAGAATTTGTTATTATAGTTCTTAAGTGTCATCTTTATTCGTTTTGACTTTATTTGGCACTAAGTATCATCCTAAGTGAAATTACCATGTCATTAGGATCAACTGCCTTGATTGCAGTATAAATAATGCTATGTGAAGGCAAGGGTTTGTTCTGAAAAAAGAATGAGAAATGAAGTTTTCTGATTTAGTAAGGGGAAAAATAGCCCTCAAGTTAGTCCCATTATATTTTAAAATTATTACTTACCTTAAACTTTCAAAGTACTTTGAAGTCTGTAATCTTGTTTTTTAATGTACAGAGAAAGAAGGAAGAAAGCAAGATCACTTCTACTGGATTTCAGACAGTAGGGATACCTTGTGAATAAAACAGACAAGACACCTGCCCTTTTGGAGCTTATGCGCTACTGGGAGAAGAGATAAGACTGAAAAATAAATTAATAAATGGGAGCACATATTAAGTGCTAAAGGAAATAGAGGAAACAATGGGTGGTGAGTTAGATAATAACAAGTATGTCTATTTTAGATTAGGTGGCCAGGCAGTAACTCAGTTTAGTCCATCTGAGCATTTGCTCTTATTTCAGTAGTTCTTTGCTAACTCAAGGAGCTACTGTACTTAAAAACATGCAAAATATGTTGTATTTGTGGCATAGTTCATATTTACACTATCATAAAATTATGGCCGAGAAGTTAAATATTCTAAATGTGTCAACATAGTTCTCTGTAAAACTGACTTACTTTCCAAATATATTTTGAAATAAAACAATATAAAAATGTTTTCTGTTTTTAGGAATGGTGGAAAGCAGCAGACATAATTGGAGTGGGTTGGATAAGCAAAGTGATATTCAAAATTTAAATGAAGAGAGAATCTTAGCTTTACAGCTTTGTGGGTGGATAAAGAAAGGAACGGATGTAGACGTGGGGCCATTTTTGAACTCCCTTGTACAAGAAGGGGAATGGGAAAGAGCTGCTGCTGTGGCATTGTTCAACTTGGATATTCGCCGAGCAATCCAAATCCTGAATGAAGGGGCATCTTCTGAAAAAGGTATTAGGTTATAAACTAAGATATTAGTTATAATCTAAGATGTTAGCAGTTCATGGAATCTTTTAAAGAAAAGAGGCTAATAATTTTCAAATATCTAATCACTTAAAATTTTAATTTAATTTTTGTTGGAGGAGAAAACACAGCAGTATATCTATAACAGTAAATACTTAGCTCATCTCTTATGCCTTGGTTTAGGGCTGTAAAAACAAAGATGTGTCTTAAATGTTAGTATAATATTATAAGGAGTGCTCAAGTGTGTCCATTTTCAATGTTTTCTCTTAAAGATAGTTCACATAACATTTTTTAAAATATATTTTCTTAAAGATTAGGGCTACTTTAGCCTACAAGTATTTTTACGATCCATATTTGAGTGTTTTAGTTTATACTTTCTTTGGGATGGTTATTGTTTGACCTTTAAGAAACTCTGAATGACACTTTTATTTAGGCTAATACAAATTGTTATAAAAAGCATACTTTGATCTTCAAATTGCTTCTTGAATCTGGTGATTAAAATACAGTTTTCATTTAGTATTTTTTAAAAAGAAAGAGATAAGGTTTTTTTACTCTGGCATTTTGCCAGAGGATCCTCGGAAAAACAAATCCTAATACAAAACCTCAGGGGTTTTTTTCTTATCAGGAATATTTCGCTTGGAAATAACTAAAATATATATAGCTATTGGTCTTTAGTACACCTAAAAAATAATTTTTGAATATTCAGAATACTGAATCCTTACTTGCTGGTCCATTTTGAAACCATTATAGTTTAGCTGTAGCATAGAGAAAAACATGAAATTCACTGTAATTTTTTTTGTAGTCTAAAAGTTAAAAAAGTCAATGTTTTGCTCAGATTGGCATCTTTTCCTTCACCTTTGCTCTAACAAAAGTCTCCCTCATTTAAGAGTGCAATAGAAAATAGGTGATGATGGAAAAAAGAATTGATATTTAAAGCCATTTCTAATTATAATTTTGCTATAACTTGAAAGGGTGATACTTTCCTATCTTGTGTACCTGGGAAATTTGGTGGTCGATTTAAACACCCATACTAACAATAGGGAAAATGTATCTTTCCAGTGATTTTAAGGACTGAAGAGAAGACTTCTCTGAGTCAAACATTCTTTTCCATTTAGAAGTAAATTGTTCTATACAAAATCCAAAGATACTTCTTTGCTATTTTTATTTTTATTTTAAAAGACCTTAAATCTAATGTATTAGGCAAAGGAAGCAAGCACAAAGTAACTTGGGAAAGTGTTTATAGAAATGAGGAATATAAAGCTGTTAAGAACATAAAGTGGGAAACACTGCTTTATTTGGAAAAGAAAGAAAAAGATTAGAATCAAGAAATAGATTAAGAAAACTTATATAATAAGTGTAGAAAATACTTAAAAGTCAAAGTTAAAGGAAAATTCAGTTTTTTCTTTTGAAGCTGAACTTCGGTTAGAAGACTAGGCAGCCATACTGCTGAAGGCAAAGTTAGCAGCTTATCAGCATGCATCTAAACTGCTAAGAACAAATGTTTAAAAGACTATTGGTAACAAATGCTTTCTTGCAAATGGGTCTAAATGCAGTTCTGTGGTAATTCTTGTAGTTCATTTTGTCCTGGAAAAATTGTAAGTGTAATACTGTAATTAAAGTATTGAAATATTACTTTCTGCACTTTGCATTGACACTTATATACATAAGTGTCTGCATTATATATTTAGGAATAGGAAAATAAAATGATTTTGAATATTGCAGTCTTGAGATGCAATATTTACTATAAGTGTTTTTGAAATACCTTTACATTAATAAACTTGTTAAAGTTGACAGTGATTCTGGTAGGATGACTTCACTTTTCTTCATTTAGTAAGCAATAACATACATATATGGGAACATACACAGGAATAACTTATATAAGACCCTGCCTGGATTGAGAACTTGAAAAGTAAAAGATCTGCTTCCCTGCACAGAGTTTGCACACATGGGCATGAGTTTTATAAGGGTAGAAATGTTTTGCTTATTGTCTTTGCCAAATTTTCCAGTCTGAATCAAAACCCAAACCCCCCCCTTTTTTTTTTTTTTCAAGAGTAAAGTGCAACTTTATTAAGAAAGTAAAGGAATAAAAGAATGGCTACTCCATAGGCAGAGCAGCCCAAAACCCTTATTCTCTGAGCTCATTTTTCTGAGGGTAAAAGTCACCCTCTGATTTCTATTTATGGTTTAAGAAATGTAGAAGAGATATTAAGCTTTTGATCACTTTGATTAGCTGGCTGTTTTTAATATGCAGGAGATCTGAATCTCAATGTGGTAGCAATGGCTTTATCGGGTTATACGGATGAGAAGAACTCCCTTTGGAGAGAAATGTGTAGCACACTGCGATTACAGCTAAATAACCCGTATTTGTGTGTCATGTTTGCATTTCTGACAAGTGAAACAGGATCTTACGATGGAGTTTTGGTAAGCTAACTTGTTTTTTAAGATCTTCCTTTGAATTAAGATAGGAGTTTTTATCTAACTTTATTAAAATTTTCAAATGTCTGTTGCATAAAATATTATATTTTTATGCATATGTTATTTAAAATAAGGCATCTTGGGCTTTTTTTTTGAGCAGCTCTTCTTGAGTGTGATTCCCGTCCTAGAGTTAGTTAACTGATACCAAACTGGATTTGATTTTTATGGTTTTAATATAATTTACAGATATAGAAGGAATAAAGATTTTATCCTTTAGCTTAAGAACTGAGCTGTAGAAATCTACAGCTGTGTAAACATAAAAATATATTCGCTGTTTACACTGTGCACACATGCACGTGTGTGTGTGTGTGTGTGTGTGTGTGTGTGTGTGTGTGTAGTTAAATAAAACAACTCACGATTATTGATCAGTTATGGTGGAGGTGGCCATACATCTTGTCCCAGTTAGTCTTTGTGGTTCCTGTTAGGAATGATAACAGTACTTACAGTGGACTATTTCAGCTTTTTATTTGGTCTTTGTGTTATTCTTTTTCTCTTCTGTTTTAACCACCTGTGATCATAACACAATCAAATAGGTTCTTTATCACAAAACGGGGAAAGAAAGAATGAAGTGAGATTTGCTTACCAGTTTTAGCTATTGGGTTTTAAGCTAAACAATAGTACTACAACTTTCTTTGCACTACTTGGCTTCTTTCTAGCAGTGGGAAGAACTTTCTACACTGAAATTCATTTCTGTGTTTGCTACTGTACCATTTCTTATCAATTATACATTTCTTGAATAAGTGATTTAAGGATTAGTCCCTAAGAATTTGTAAAAATATGTATTTTATTGGAGCAGCTTAATGAAATGTTTAATAAATGTGTATTTTGCACTTTATGTACTTTATTACTTTTAATAAATTACTATTGAACTTTTTCTGACCAATTCAAATTAATACGTATAATGTTAGGACTTTATTTTTTAACTGTAATTAATCTTTTTTGTTAAACAGAAGACTTTAAATGTATCTTGGAGAGATAAAATAATGCTTTCACGAAGTGTTAGAGAATGATAGAGACTAGATAAACAAGTGGATTGTTAACTTCTGAATTGATAAAAGATGTATATTGTTTAAATATTAAATTTCTGCATTTTAAGTTAAGTGACCCATAATAAGTACTTTTCTTTCCCTTTTTTTTTTTTTTTTTTTTGTTGTTGTTGTTGTTGTTTTTGAGACAGTGTCTTGCTCTGTACCCATACTGGAGTGCAGTGGTGCAATGGCAGCTCACTGCAACCTCCACCTCCTGGGTTTAAGTGATTCTTGTGCCTCAGCCTCCCAAGTAGCTGAGACTGCAGGCATGCACCACCATGCCGGCTAATTTTTGTATTTTTAGTAGAGACGGGGTTTCCTCATGTTGGCCAGAAATATCAATTCTGGTCTCGAACTCCTGATCTTGAATGATCCACCTGACTTGGCCTCCCAAAGTGCTGGGATTACAGATGTGAGCCGCCATGCCCTGCCCCAGTATCCTTGTTTTGCTATACATAAATTTGAGTTATTAGATAACAGTCATCTTGAGTACGAAGTTCATATTTCCAAGCTGTTTCATTTATGTATTTAGTTATACTTTATGTATAAATAATTATAATTAATGTTGCTATTTAAAAAATGTTAATAGTAATGTGAAAAGTACTGAATTGGGAAGTCGGAAAATACAGGCCTGACTCCTTGCTCTGCCCCATTTACCATAGCCATTCAGTTAATTTTTTTGAGTATTACTTTCTCGAGATGTAAAATGGGACAGAATAATGTTTATAACTCTTTCCAGATCAAAATTTTGTAACATATGCAACTGAATCTAAGAGTTAAATCTAGTTATATGAAATATGTTCTCTCTTTAGGGCAAAACCATATTTTATCATAGAAAAAATATGCTAAGATATAGGTATCAACTGAAGTGATCTTACGGTTAAAAAAGTAAAATTTTCATAGGATGACTTCAGTGGAAATTGGATCTTTTTTCCACCCTTAAATTATTTTTACAAATTACAAAATTAATTGTACCTTCCTACATTTGTAGTAAATATATTTCAAAAGTGTTTCATGATATTGACGAGTTTACAAAAATTTTAGTTATTATAATGCCTCTGAAATCTTTGCCACAAACCACCTATATAACAACTTTAGCCACAAGAGTGTGTCTGTTTATGTTTTAAAACTTGTCACTTTGTACTTGGAAACGTATATTGGTATTCTTCTAAGTTGTGTACTGGTGTAGCCAATTCACAAATTTCTTAGACTTACTGATTAACTTAGTAGCCAAGGAAAGATTTCCTTAGTTCTCTAAAATTAATTTCTATGATGGAAAGATTATGTGGCATCTTAAATTTGATATACTGTGCATCATTGCTTATGTTTTATGTTATGTAAGACTGACCTGGATTTTTAAAAACTGAATTTGGCTAGTGTTTAAAAGGTAAATTTTTACTTTGCAAGGACAAAACCTTATTGCTGAATTTCCTAAGAGTTACATCAAGAAAGGCATCTCAGGCAATTAATGGCTCTGCAAGATAAATATAACTTATTAATAAATTTGGAAATAAACATATTCATTTTATTTATATAAAACATTCAGTCTCTGCAAAAATTTAAAACCAGTGCGCCTAGAAGTAACTCCTTGCTTTTTCTCTTCTTTCCAGTATGAAAACAAAGTTGCAGTACGTGACAGAGTGGCATTTGCTTGTAAATTCCTTAGTGATACTCAGGTGAAAACTGATTTAATTCCACATTTGAAGTAATTAATATGTACTGTCACAATTATGTAAGAAACTAGTCTTTATAATTACATATGTATGAGATTGATAAGCTAATTCTTCTAAAAAGTATGGTAAGAATTTATTAGATAAAAATATTTTGAAAATGTCTACCATAACTAAATTTATTTGTTTAGAATACTGACAATATTTTAGTATATTTCTTCTTTGGAGGGTAAGATTAGTTAGTAGGTAAAGATGTTAAACTCACCTCTTAGTGATGCTATGAAAGGGTTCCTCATTTTTACTACATTAAACAATGCTAAATGCCTATGCTGTGTATATAGTGAGGGGGAAATGCATGTAAACAACCAGTAATACTATATGCTAAGTACTATAATAATGAAAAATGCTGGGGAAAGATGGAGGAATCTTGGCAAGAGTTTGGGGTGGGTTGAAGTCAGGGAAGACCTAAAGGAAGTTATTCTTGATGATCTTAAAGTTCCCTTCCAACTCCAGATTTTGTGATTCTGTTACATACTACTATGATAGACAGCAAAAATTTCGCAGAATAATGAGGACAATTATCTTTAAAATAATAAACCATCTATAGTTCTTTTATGGATTAATTATCAACATAATAAATGCCTTTTTAAAATATTTTAAATGATTATGGATATTGCTTTGAAATTTGTAATAGATGCAGACTTCTTAGTTAAATATTTATATTTTAGTAAAGTCTTTTGTTTTAAAATGTTTTCCATTAGGAATGAAATTGTTCAAAATGTAGTTTTGAAGTACAAAATACATAGTGAAACAGATTGCTTTAGAAAAATCACTTTAAATTTTCCAGTTAAATAGATACATCGAAAAGTTGACCAATGAAATGAAAGAGGCTGGAAATTTGGAAGGAATTTTGCTTACAGGCCTTACTAAAGATGGAGTGGACTTAATGGAGAGTTATGTTGATAGAACTGGAGATGTTCAAACAGCAAGTTACTGTATGTTACAGGTCAGTGCAGTTTGACAGCAGCTTTTAAAAAAGTAACAATATTCTATATTTTCTTTCCTCAGTTGAAAGTAAATATGCACTTTTGCTTGCTTAGGATCTTTAGAAGGCATTTAGTTTTAACCTAATCAGTTGATCTACTGAAGACTTGTGCCTTATCTTACTGTCCCTAAGCCTCTTCATTGAGTTATCCAGTTTTTCCTTTCAGTCTGAGAAGGGCCAGTCTTGACTGCATCTGAATTTATGTAAAGCTCAAATTGAATAGAGAAACTCTCTTCAGTTTCTCCAATTGTTGACATAACTGCATCTTCTACAAGAAAGATTGGCTTTTCCTGATCTCAACTATAGTCTTACTTGAAGTGCTGAAGTCTAGTTATACCACAGCTCTCAGCTTTCATTTTCTCTTTTTATTATCATTGGGGGTATTTGGGGTAACCAATTTATCCATATTTTCTCAATTTTTACTGTCCAGTGATTAAAAACAGATTCCAGGCATAGATTGCTGTCTACTTTACTTTTGCTGGAAATAATGGTAAAATTTAGAGTATTCTCCTGAGATTTCCTGTAGCCCTCCAGTTGATCTTATCCTTACATGATGTTGGTACCCTCCTCTTTCCTGCCCTCATCCTCATATCACAATATGGTAGCATACTGTGTACTGGGTGAACACAGGAAAATGCCCCCTCTCCCACTGCACCTTCTTGTGCATATATAGAGACACTAGCCCACAGACCACAAAGTAAACTTACCTAATGTATCAAGCCACTGCCCATGGAAGAAAAAGTACCCTTCTATAACATTTTTTCTTGTTGAGATAAAATTATGTCTTTTAAATTAAAGTGTATGTATATGGCTGTAGATGGCTACAGAGTGCAAATGAGTTAGTAACTTCTTACCAAGATTTATAAAATATATTTAAAATGCAGACAATACAGATCTTGCTTTTTTAAAATCCAGTCTGATAATTGCTGCCTTTAATTGGAGTGTTTCCTTCATTTACATTTATATGGTCATGGTTAAGTCTACCATCTTGCTGTTTGTTTTCCGTTTTGTTTGTCCTTTTTCCTTTTGTTCCTATGTTCCTTTCCTACCTTATTTTGGGTTAATATTTCCATGTTTCATTTTATTGCCTCTATTGGCTTTTTAGCTATATCTCTTTTCATTATCTTTTTTAAAAGATGTTGCTGTAGATCTAACAATATGCATCCCTCAACTCATCAAAGTCAACATTTTACCCCCTCATACTTCACATTTCTCACCTGACACATCATGCTTTCTTTCTACTTTACCCTTTCTTATGTCACTCTGACACTTTCTGGGTTTTACTTCATGCTTCACAAATGTCACAACAGTGTGATTTCATTTACACATCCATTCCTTTGTCCTATTGTCATATATTTTACTTTTACAGATATTATATACTCCAACTTACAGTGTTTTTTTAACAGTCATTTGTCTTTTATGTAAATTATGAAAAGAAAACATGGGCTTTTATATTTATTCACTTATTTACCATTCCTGGCATTCTTTTTCCCTTCTGTAAATCCTATAGCATTCCTTGTAATATAGGTGACAGATTCTCTCAAATTTTAACTGAAAATGTCTATTTCACTCTTATTTTTTCTTTCAACACTTTAAAGATGTAGTTTCACTGTCTTCTGGCCTCTGTTGTTTCTGATGAGAATCAGCTGTTCTTATGCTTGTCTCCCTGTCTGTGATGTTTCATTTTTTGTTGGGTTTTTTTTTTTTTTTTGAGACAGGGTCTCGCTCTCTCACCCAGGCTGGGGTGGATCTCAGCTCATTGCAGCCTCCAGGCTCAAGCAATCCTCCCACCTCAGCCTCCCAAGGAACTGGACCACAGGTTCACGCCACCACTCCTGGCTAATTTTTTGTATTTTTGACAGAAATGGGGTTTCACCATGTTGCCCAGGCTGGTCTCAAACTCCTGACCTCAAGTGATCTGCCCGCCCCGGCCTCCGAAAGTGTTAGGATTACAGGCATGAGCCACCACGCCCAGCCTAAATTCTGATTTTTAATGTTTAAGTAAATTTGTTTTCCTTGCAACCATCAATAAAATGTTTTCTATTATTTATATGTAGGATAATCTTTTTGGGTTTCTTCCAAGATTTTTCCTTTACCTTTGATTTTTCAGTAGTATGACCTTAATGTACCTGGTTGTGGTTCATTTTATCCTGTTTGTGGTTCACTGAGCTTCTTGGATCTGGAAGTCTGTTTTTCAGCAGATTTGGGAAGTACGGGGATATTATTTCTTTAAATATTTTTTTCTGCCTCAATCTTATTCGGTTTTTCTTCTAGGACTCTTATTACATATGTATTAAACCACTTCATAGTGTTCGTAGGTGCCTGAGGCTCTATTCTTCTTCCTTCCATGTTTTTTTTCCCACTATTCTTCAAATTGGTTAATTTTTTTTTTTTTTAAGACAGAGTCTTGCTGTGTCACGCAGGCTGGAGTGCAGTGGCACAATATTGGCTCACTGCAACCTCCACCTCCCAGGTTCAAGCATTCGAGTGATTCTCATGCCTCAGCCTCCCGAGTAGCTGGGATTACAGGCATGTGCCACCACACCTGGCTAATTTTTTGTATTTTTAGTAGGACATGGTTTCACTATGTTGGCCATGCTGATCTTAAATGCCTGTCCTCAAGTGATCTGCCCGCCTCGGCCTCCCAAAGTGCTGGGATTACAGGCGCAAGCCGCTGTGCCTGGCCCAGATTTGTTGATTCTGTTGACTTATTCCATCACCTCTGTCTGCTGTTAAACTTCCCAGGGAATTGTTCATTTCAGTTATTGTGCTTTTCAGTTACAGAATCTTAACTTTGTTACAGTTTACTTTAGCAGTCCCCAACCTTTTTGCCCCAGGGACTTTTTAGCACCAGGGGGTTGGTTTAGGGATGATTCCAGCACATTGTATTTATTGTGCACTTTATTTCTATTATTATTGCACTGTAATACATAATGAAATAATTCTACAACTCACCATAATGTAGAATCAGTGGGAGCTCTGAGGTTATTTTCCTGCAACTAGATGGTCCCATCTGGGGATGATGGGAGACATTGACAGATCATCAGGCATTAGATTCTCATAAGGAGTATGCAGCCTAGATCCCTCACATGTGCAGTTCACAGTAGGGTTCACTGTCCTATGAGAATCTAATGCCACCACTGATCTGACAGGAGGCAGAGCTCAGGCACTAATGTGAGGGATGGGGAGCAGCCGTAAATACAGATGAAGCTTTGCTTATTGCCCTGTCACTCACCTCCTGCTGTGTGACCCAGTTTGTACCAGGCTGTGGACCTGGGGGTATATTGGGGGTTGGAGCCCCCTGGTTTACATTTCTCGGTTCAGATTCCTTATCTCTTCACTAATCAAAACACTATTTTCCCAAGCCCTTCTGATTTGGTCAGACTCAATCTCTGAACTATTTTCATTACAGATCATGTTGTGGCTTGATTTTAGGCTTTATTGGAGAGGATCTAGAGAAGACTTACTGTATATGTATTGACCAAATTCTTACTTAGTTTATCCCCTTCTTGCCATATAAGGGGAAAGAATGAGATGTGAAAACATCTTATTTTTCTGTGAATTTTCTTTTTAAACCAGGGATTATATGCTACTTTGGTACTTAGTTCTGCCTACTTGGTCATAATTAGGGCTAGAGTAGACCTCTACTTTTTTAAGAAATGAAATTGTAAGCTATGTGTTTCACATGTTCTTTTAGCTAAATTTAACTCTGGTAATTAACACTGAATTTAATAGATGAAAGATATGTTGCTTCAGTTTTTGATTGGATGTCTAAAGATTATATTAGCTCTTACAGATTTTTGTTCTTTTTTTTTATAAGTAAGATATACGCCAGGTTCTCTCTGAAATTTCACTTTTCTATTGGCCCTCAAGTAGGACTGAGAAAACTAACCTTCAGATTGATGCCAAAGCATCATTGGAAGTAGAGACTTTCTCTCCTTTCTCCATTATGTAAAGTTAAGGAAGATATCCTGGACAGGGCTGAAAGTCTTCTAAGAAAACCTAAAGCGGCCGGGCACGGTGACTCATGCGTGTAATCCCAGCACTTTGGGAGGCCGAGGTGGGCAGATTACCTGAGGTCAGGAGTTCAAGACCAGCCTGGCCAACATGGTGAAACCCCATCTCTACTAAAAATACAAAAATTAGGTGGTGGCACACCCCTGTAATCCCAGCTACTCAAGCAGGAGAATTGCTTGAGCCCGGGAGGCAGAGGTTGCAGTGAGCCGAGATCGTGCCACTGCGCTCCAGCCTGGCCGACAGAGTGAGACTCTGTCTCCAAAAAAAAAAAAAAAAGAAAAAGAAAAGAAAAAAAGAAAACCTAAAGCAAGCATAGATGAAATGTGGAATGTCACAGCTGCCAGGGAAAATACAACTTTAGGAAAATTATTACTGGCAAGAACTTGAAGATCTTAATGAGAAGAACTCTAAAGTAAATTTAACTAAAACAAGGTGTTGCTTTTAACTGTGGCTACGGGCAAAAGAACTAAGAAGGTATTTGGTTTGGTTTTGCTTTTTCTTGTTCTGTTATTATTTTTAAGGCAAGAAATGTATGTTTTAATTGAAGGCAAGAGTAAGAATAGACAGGTTTAACTTACAGATAAGTAGATATATAAAAGCAGCATCTCAGTTCACCGTGCATTGCTAGATAGGAAGGACCAAGCTAACTGTTAGTTCAGATGTGACTGAGCAATTTTGGTGTGCATTTGGACTTTTTTTTTTTTTTAAATGGAGTCTCATTCTGTCACCCAGACTACAGTGCAACGGCACAATCTCAGCTCACTGCAACTTCCGCCTCCCGGTTCAGGCATCAACCTCCCAAGTAACTAGGATTATAGGCGCCTGCCACCACACCTGGCTAATTTTTGTATTTTTACTAGAGACAGGGTTTCACCATGTTGGCCAGGCTGGTCTCGAACTCCTGACGTCAAGTGATCCGCCTACCTCGGCCTTCCAAAGTGCTGAGATTACAGGCATGAGCCATCACGCCCAGCCTGTATTACATTTGGATTTGATAGTAAACAGAGTTTGTGAACCCAGAGGTTTTTAATTGCTGGGACAAAGGGTATTCGTATCACTGTTTACAACATTCAACCACGAAGTTCTATTTTCTTAAACTTAACTAAAAGGTAGAGAATTAGACTTCCCTGGGCAGGTATGATATATAAAGTACATATTTATGTCATTAGTGGAACCCAGCTTGAGATAAATTAATGGAGCTTCCATAAATTTTCTTTATTCTCATTAGGAGCCAGCTTTTGGCAAAAAAAAAAAAAAAGGCCTATTTCTTCTGTGTTACTCATACTTACATGCTACCCAGAAGTCTCTGGCCTAGCCAGGAGATTTTAAACAATTGAAATAATTCATGTTTTCGTTTTAGGGTTCACCTTTAGATGTTCTTAAAGATGAAAGGGTTCAGTACTGGATTGAGAATTATAGAAATTTATTAGATGCCTGGAGGTTTTGGCATAAACGAGCTGAATTTGATATTCACAGGAGTAAGTTGGATCCCAGTTCCAAGCCTTTAGCACAAGTAAGTACATTGTTTTGGAGAAAATCAAATTGTAACATGTTGATGTTCAATTTAATAAGTTACTATTAGCTCATTATTTTGCTTATATTGAGTTCCCATTGATGTCTTTGTCTTTTGTAGACTGAACTTTGTCCTTGATCTTCCTGTCCTTTGGTTCTGCTTCTTGCTAACAATCATCTCAGTGGCTTGAGCTTTAGTCGCAGATAGAACAAACCACAGCAGGCCTGAAGTTTTCCAGTGTATTTCCAGCCCTTTCAGATTCTAAACTATTACATTATCTTATAAATTCCACTTGTGTATTAAGTTTTTTAGCATTATTTATGTGCAGTAAGGCAGGATTTGGGTTTTTTAGACTTTAGCAGTATTACCTATATCTATATGTTTAATTACACATGGAAATTTTTTTTTAGCATTAGTTTAAAAAATGAGATTGTTGTCACATAAGGTATACCACATTAAATCACTGTGTCTTAGTTCAGATATTAAATATTATGTTATCCTCAATATGAGCACTGGATGGTGCTATTTTCTTATTTTAGGAACTTGAGAAAGTGCTTATGTTAAAACCAGAGTGTTGATAAAATAGCATTACATGGTAGTACATGTTACTAATCTATATGATAAGTGATTAAGAGCCTAGCAATTTACGGTAAAAACAAAATGAACAGCTTCTATTGCTATTATTCTAAAAATTTAACTATTTACCATTATAAGTTTGTTAACTCTCTTTGTCTTAGGAACAGCGTTTTCTTTATAAGAAAATTTTGTTCAGAAGATTATATCACTGAACTGTGGTTTAGAAGTCATATTGGGATATTTTGTAATGGCCCAGTGTGAATTCTGAAGTCATTGTTATTTCTAAAATGTTGGAGTCTAAAGTTTGAGTTCTTCCACCAATTTCAGTGGTATTAGTAAGAATATAATTAAAAAGGAAGTACCCCAAAAATGTAATTGCTAGGTATAAATTTTAAATGAAAGCTAGTCAACCTTAGCAGATCAATTTTGAAATATAAAATAAAGTTTTTTAAAAGTATTTAAAAATAATTTGTTAGGCGCACACTAAGTTATTTAGCATTCCATTATGGTTTGCATTACATTTATTTTTTCTTTCATTTGTTTTGTAGGTTTTTGTGAGTTGCAATTTCTGTGGCAAGTCAATCTCCTACAGCTGTTCAGCTGTGCCTCATCAGGGCAGAGGTTTTAGTCAGTATGGTGTGAGTGGCTCACCAACGAAATCTAAAGTCACAAGTTGTCCTGGCTGTCGAAAACCACTTCCTCGATGTGCGCTTTGTCTCATTAATATGGGAACACCAGTTTCTAGCTGTCCTGGTATGACATAATTTTACAAAATACTTTTATGAACTGAAATGATTCTTACATAATTGAGTTAATGTTGCAAATAAAATACAAACTAGCTAGAGTTATTATTTCTAAGAAAGGGCAGTTTACTAGCTTGAAGGCTTTTATGTTCCTATAATTTATGAACTATGAAAACTAAAAGCAAAATCTATATCTATTGATACTTCAGGTAATTTCACAAGTTCTGACCAATTTAAAGTTTGTGAGAAAAACTTAAATATGAAATAATCTTAATATATTACCATTTTCTTATCACTGTTTCCACTAAGAGGAGTTCGTTCAAATTTGATTATTTAAAAGTCAGTATACCCGCACCTATTAACAGATACTTTGTATTTCTAAGGATCTTTTGACATCATTAAAGCACTTTGACATTTCTTCCTTCATCTTCAAAACCTACCTATAAAATACATGAGAGAAGGGTCAGTTGCAGTGGCTCATGCCTGTAATCCCAGCTCTTTGAGAGGCCAGGGTGGAAGGATTACTTGAGCCTGGGAGTTTGAGACCAGCCTGAGCAAAATAGTGAGACCCCATCTCTATAAAAAATTTTTTTGGCCGGACATGGTGGCTCACGCCTGTAATCCCAACACTTTGGGTGGCCGAGGCTGGCAGATCACAAGGTCAGAAGATCAAGACCATCCTGGCAAACATCGTGAAACCTCGTCTCTACTAAAAATACAAAAAATTAGCCGGGCGTGGTGGCACACACCTGTAGTCCCAGCTGCTTGGGAGGCTGAGGCAGGAGAATTGCTTGAACCCGGGAGGCAGAGGTTGCAGTGAGCCAAGATCATGCCACTGCACTCCAGCCTGGGCGACAGAGCAAGACTCTGTCCTAAATTTAAAAAAAAAAAATGTTTTTAATTAAAAAATAATAATAAATAAGAAAATACATAGAGAAAGTATTAGCCTAGAAGTCAGGTCCCTTGACTTCTAGATTTTGATGCTGCTTCTGCTGTTTGTCAGTTACCTAGTAAATTTATATATATATATATATATATATATATATATATATATATATATATATATGAAGGCAATACGTAATGTTTTAAATGTACATTTTAGTTTTGATTTAAATTTTAATCAAGGATTTTTATTTTATACATTGCATACTGACCACTCTTTTATGTTACTCTGGTCCTAATAAACAGAAAATAACAATTTGGAATATATACATATACACACACACACAGTGTTCGTTTTTGTTTGTTTGTTTGTTTTGTTTTTTGAGACAGGATCTCACTCTGTCACCCAGGATAGAATGCAGTGGCATGATCTCGGCTCACGGCAACCTCTGCCTACTGCCTCCTGCCTCCTGGGCTCAGGTGATCCTCCCACCTCAGCCTCCCAAGTAGCTGGGACCATAGGGTTTCACCCTGTTGCCCTGGCTGGTCTTGAACTCCTGAACTCAAGCGATCCACCTGCCTCAGCTTCCCAAAGTGCTGGGATTACAGGCATGAGCCACCATGCCCAGCCTATATTTTTTAATGGTTAGAAATATTAAGATTATTTTTTATTCTTTATAGTAAACATATGGGAAAAAATTTTGAGAATAGTAGATAATTAAATATCTTATACCTGGTGGCTGGAATTATTCCAGCTCTTTACCTAACTTGAAAATGATACTGTGGCACAATTTTCAATTAAAATCATTTTGGGTATTTGGCACACAGGTGTAATGAATAAAGAACTGGTTAGAGTGTCAGAATGTCTGTTTTAATTCTAACTCTGTGACATGCAGTCTGTGACACTGAGAGTTACTTGCACCTTCCTCTGGACTGGAGATCCTTTCTAGTGCAGACATTTTATAATTCTATTCTGTATCGTGTTCATTTAAGTAGTCTGCTTTATCATTACATTAACATTTATGAAAGACTTGCTGGTATCATTGGCTTAGCGATTATTTTTCCATCTAGATGCTTTTTTTAAAGAAATGAAGAGAATATGTAATGTTTTAAATGTACATTTTAGTTTTGATTTAAATTTTAATCAAGGATTTTTATTTTATACATTACATACTGATCACTGTTTTATGTTAACTCTGGTCCTAATAAACAGAAAATAACAATTTGGAATATCTACAACAATGAGAGCTCGAGGTAAAATATAGCATAAATAAGACATATATGTGTATGAACTGAGATATATAGAAATAATTAAATGTAACACATCTTTTGGACCATAAGCCTCAGGAAGCTATAAGGATTATTTGCATTCTTACACCTGGGCACTCTTCCTTTTTGCTGAATACCAGTTTTTCAATCTTTTCTATTTTTGAAATAGGTAAGAAAAGAAAATAATTTTCTAGAATTTGAAGAAAAATCTTAAAACATTTGAAATTCTTTGTTATGATGACTAATATAACGAATAGCACTCAGGTTTATCAAATATTAACATTTTTCCATATTTGTTATAGAATTTTTTTCCATATTTGCTACAGAAATAATTTCTTTATATATATAATACATATTTGAACACTGATTTTACTTGATACATTAATATAATGCTGATGTGCTGAGATGAATAAATCAAAGAACCTCTTGGAGCTCTTGGTGTGCAATAAGCATAGTTAACGAATATAAAATAAGTGATATTTTCTAGAAAATAAATACTGGTCTACAATGCCTTATCTGTCATTTCAAAGTCTCTAAAAAGATCTGAAAATCCAATGCCTTTTAAAAATAAAATTACGGTAATCTCATTTGACCACAAAACCTGTTCAGAATTGATGTGAGGCTATTAAGATATTTATTTCTCTTATTTATTAGTGAATATTCATCTTTCACTACAGAAATACTAACGAGTTTGATTACAGGGTGCTTTAGACTTCCCTCAAGGTGTACATATTTGCTACTTTTTTCTAAAATCCCAAACATCCTGGATTCTGAAACACATCTAAACCCCCAACATGAATTAGGACTATTATATAAGGAAAGAATTAGGAATTTTGAAAGTGGGAAATATTACTTCTATCTGAAGGATATCTGGAAAGCTTTAGGAGGAAGTTACCATTTAAGCCAGTCCTTTAAAGTTTGGTAGATTTAATATATGAAGATTGCAGGGAAGCCGTCCAGGTTGCAGACCAAGTGTAAAAAACATGAACTAGGGTGAAGAGATTGGTAAGTATTATGATAAGTACAGGGGGTGTTTGGGAAGAGCAAGTGTATTGTTGTGAAAGGACCTAGGAAGTGAACTGATAAGAAACAGTAGGAAAATTAGGGAGAGCCTGAATATGATCTTTAAAGGCATTGCTGAGCTAAGTTAGAGAATAATCACTCTTTATAATAGCAAAGACATAAAATCAACTTCAATGCCCATCAGTGGTGGACTGGATAAAGAAATGTGGTACATACACAGCATAGAATACTATGCAGCCATGTCTTTTGCAGCAGCATGGATAGAGCTGGAGGCCATTATCCTAAGCAAACTAACACAGGAACAGAAAACCAAATACCACATGTTATAAGTAGGAGCTAAACATTGAGAACATATGGTCATAAAGAAGGAATAACAGACACCAGGGCTTACTGGAGGGTGCTAGGTGGGAGGAGGATCGAAAAACTACCTGTCGGGTACTATGTTTATTACCTGGATGATGAAATAATCCGTACACCAAAACCCCCATGACACGCAATTTACCTGTATAACAAACCTGCACATGTACCCCTGAAACTAAAGTAAAAGTTTAAAAAAAAGAAAAAGAAGCAAATTATTTTTTTTTGGCATGTGAAATCAGAAAAGTCCATTTCCAAAGTAAAACAGGATCTAATAGAAATCAAGTGCTGGATAATTGGATAAAGAGTCAAGACCCATCAGTGTGCTGTATTCAGGAAACCCGTCTCACGTGCAGAGACACACATAGGCTCAAAATAAAGGGATGGAGGAAGATCTACCAAGCAAATGGAAAACAAAAAAAGGCAGGCGTTGCAATCCTGATCTCAGATAAAACAGAGTTTAAACCAACAAAGATCAAAAGAGACAAGGCCATTACATAATGGTAAAGGGATCAGTTCAACACGAAGAACTAACTATCCTAAATATATATGCACCCAATACAGGAGCACCCAGATTCATAAAGCAAGTCCTTAGTGACCTACAAAGAGACTTAGACTCCCACACAATAATAATGGGAGACTTTAACACCCCACTGTCAACATTAGACAGATCAACGAGGCAGAAAGTGAACAAGGATATCCAGGAATTGAACTCCGCTCTGCACCAAGCGGACCTAATAGACATCTACAGAACTCTCCACCCCAAATCAACAGCATATACATTCTTTTCAGCACCACACCACACCTTTTCCAAAATTGACCACATAGTTGGAAGTAAAGCACTCCTCAGCAAATGTAAAAGAACAGAAATTATAACAAACTGTCTCTCAGACCACAGTGCAATCAAACTAGAACTCAGGATTAAGACATTCACTCCAAACCGCTCAACTACATGGAAACTGAACAACGTGCTCCTGAATGACTACTGGGTACATAACGAAATGAAGGCAGAAATAAAGATGTTCTTTGAAACCAACGAGAACAAAGACACAACATACCAGAATCTCTGGGACACATTCAAAGCAGTGTTTAGAGGGAAATTTATAGCACTAAATGCCCACGAGAGTAAGCAGGAAAGATCTAAAATTGACACCCTAACATCACAATTGAAAGAACTAGAGAAGCAAGAGCAAACACATTGAAAAGCTAGCAAAAGGCAAGAAATAACTAAGATCAGAGCAGAACTGAAGGAAATAGAGACACAAAAGACCCTTCAAAAAATCAATGAATCCAGGAGCTGGTTTTTTTTTTGAAAAGATCAACAAAATTGATAGACTGCTAGCAAGACTAATAAAGAAGAAAAGAGAGAAAAATCAAATAGACGCAATAAAAAATGACAAAGGGGATATCACCACCGATCCCACAGAAATACAAACTACCATCAGAGAATACCATAAACACCTCTATGCAAATAAACTAGAAAATCTAGAAGAAATGGATAAATTCCTGGACACATACACCCTCCCAAGACTAAACCAGGAAGAAGTTGAATCTCTGAATAGACCAATAACAGGATCTGAAATTGAGGCAATCCTTAATAGCTTACCAACCAAAAAAAGTCCAGGACCAGATGGATTCACAGCCGAACTCTACCAGAGGTACAAGGAGGAGCTGGTACCATTCCTTCTGAAACTATTCCAATCAATAGAAAAAGAGGGAATCCTCCCCAACTCATTTTATGAGGCCAGCATCATCCTGATACCAAAGACTGGCAGAGACACAACAAAAAAAGAGAATTTTAGGCCAATATCCTTGATGAACATTGATGCAAAAATCCTCAATAAAATACTGGCAAACCAAATCCAGCAACACATCAAAAAGCTTATCCACCATGATCAAGTGGGCTTCATCCCTGGGATGCAAGGCTGGTTCAACATACGAAAATCAATAAATGTAATCCAGCACATAAACAGAACCAAAGACAAAAACCACATGATTATCTCAATAGATGCAGAAAAGGCCTTTGACAAAATTCAACAACCCTTCATGCTAAAAACTCTCAATAAATTAGGTATTGATGGGATGTATCACGAAATAATAAGAGCTATCTATGACACACCCACAGCCAATATCATACTGAATGGACAAAAAACTGGAAGCATTCCCTTTGAAAACTGGCACAAGACAGGGATGCCCTCTCTCACCACTCCTATTCAACATAGTGTTGGAAGTTCTGGCCAGGGCAATCAGACAGGAGAAGGAAATAAAGGGCATTCATTTAGGAAAAGAGGAAGTCAAATTGTCCCTGTTTGCAGATGACATGATTGTATACCTAGAAATCCCCATTGTCTCAGCCCAAAATCTCCTTAAGCTGATAAGCAACTTCAGCAAAGTCTCAGGATACAAAATCAATGTGCAGAAATCACAAGCATTCTTATACACCAATAACAGACAAACAGAGAGCCAAATCATGAGTGAACTCCCATTCACAATTGCTTCAAAGAGAATAAAATACCTAGGAATCCAACTTACAAGGGATGTGAAGGACCTCTTCAAGGAGAACTACAAACTACTGCTCAAGGAAATAAAAGAGGATACAAACAAATGGAAGAACATTCCATGCTCATGGGTGGGAAGAATCAATATCATGAAAATGGCCATACTGCCCAAGGTAATTTATAGATTCAGTGCCATCCCCATCAAGCTACCAATGACTTTCTTCACAGAATTGAAAAAAACTAAAGTTCATATGGAACCAAAAAAGAGCCCGCATTGCCAAGTCAATCCCAAGCCAAAAGAACAAAGCCGGAGGCATCACACTACCTGACTTCAAACTATACTACAAGGCTACAGTAACCAAAACAGCATGGTACTGGTACCAAAACAGAGATATAGACCAATGGAACGGAACAGAGCCCTCAGAAATAATGCCACCTATCTACAACCATCTGATCTTTGACAAACCTGAGAAAAACAAGCAATGGGGAAAGGATTCCCTATTTAATAAATGGTGCTGGGAAAACTGGCTAGCCATATGTAGAAAGCTGAAACTGGATCCCTTCCTTACACCTTATACAAAAATTAATTCAAGATGGATTAAAGACTTAAACGTTAGACCTAAAACCGTAAAAACCCTAGAAGAAAGGCAATACCATTCAGGACATAGGCATGGGCAAGGACTTCATGTCTAAAACACCAAAAGCAATGGCAACAAAAGCCAAAATTGACAAATGGGATCTAATTAAACTAAAGAGCTTCTGCACAGCAAAAGAAACTACCATCAGAGTGAACAGGCAACCTACAAAATGGGAGAAAATTTTTGCAACCTACTCATCTGACAAAGGGCTAATATCCAGAAGCTACAATGAACTGAAACAAATTTACAAGAAAAAAACAACCCCATCAAAAACTGGGCAAAGGATATGAACAGACACTTCTCAAAAGAAGACATTTATGCAGCCAAAAAACACGTGAAAAAATGTTCATCATCACTGGCCATCAGAGAAATGCAAATCAAAACCACAATGAGATACCATCTCACACCAGTTAGAATGGCGATCATTAAAAAGTCAGGAAACAACAGGTGTTGGAGAGGATGTGAAGAAATAGGAACACTTTTACACTGTTGGTGGGACTGTAAACTAGTTCAACCATTGTGGAAGTCAGTGTGGCGATTCCTCAGGGATCTAGAACTAGAAATACCATTTGACCCAGCCATTCTATTACTGGGTATATACCCAAAGGATTATAAATCATGCTGCTATAAAGACACATGCACACGTATGTTTATTGCAGCACTATTCACAATAGCAAAGACTTGGAACCAAGCCAGATATCCAACAATGATAGACTGGATTAAGAAAATGTGGCACATATACACCATGGAATACTATGCAGCCATAAAAAATGATGAGTTCATGTCCTTTGTAGGGACATGGATGAAGCTGGAAACCATCATTCTCAGCAAACTATCGCAAGGACAAAAATCCAAACACCGCATGTTCTCACTGACAGGCGGGAATTGAACAATTTGAGAACACATGGACACAGTAAGGGGAACATTACACATCGGGGACTGTTGTGGGGTGCGGGGAAGGGGGAGGGATAGCATTAGGAGATATACCTAATGCTAAATGACGAGTTAATGGGTGGAGCACACCAACATGGCACATGTATACATATATAACAAACCTGCACGTTGTGCACATGTACCCTAAAACTTTAATAATAATAAAATTTAAAAAAAAATAAAGTGCTGGCTAGTGGCTCGAGTATCTAAACCTCCCTGGTGCTTTGCCTGCAATCAGAGATTGCATCCATCCATCATGCTTTGTGATTCAAATAGCTGGAATTTCTATAAGCTTATTTAACTGAGAGTTGATATTTTTATACTCAATTGTGCTTTGAAGATTAGAAATCTGTTGAAACAGTTCTAACATCATTATAAACATTATAAATATTATTTATTCAACAAATGTTTATTTGGTACCTATTGTTCCAAGTGCTAGAAATGTTACAGTAAAGAAGACAAAAATCGCTGCCCTTACAGAATTTAACTTCTGGACAATGACACATTTTTTAAAAGTTAGATTATCTACTGGTTTCCTTCATTTTCTTCTTACATTATGAGTTAATGCATAAGTGAAACTCTAGTTTCGCCTAAAGTGTTCTGTGGCACTTGTCTTCATAATTCACTATAAATCTTTTAAAATTTGAAGTCATTTGATCTTAAGCCTTTATACTTGGCAGTGAGATAGACCTTAATACTTCCAGTTTCGTCAGAAAAATATAAGGATATGCCTTGTTCTGATTCAGTCTGTTATCTGTTTATGTTAGAAGTTACAAAAACAAAGTGACAAGCACTAATGAGAGCTTTACACAAAGGTGTAAAGTAGTGTACATATCAGATCTATATTTTATTTATCTCTTCCCCCTTTCCTTTTTGCCCTCTCATTATTAATTGTTGGTGACCCTTTCAGGAGTAATTCTAGTGTGTTTACATCTTTAATCATTGAATTACTTACACATCCTTTCACCTCATATCATTAGCAAAAACGGATATTTTTTAAAACTATTCCCGACTGCAAGATTATCCTTTTGGTCATGAAAGCGTGACCTGCAATGGTCCAAGCAAAATTTTTAACATAGTTATCGATGCATAATGTCTTTATAGATAGCAATTAAGTAAAAATATTAAGTCTAATTAAGCAATTGTTTAAGTTACACAAGTCTCATGAAGTGCATTGGGAAACTTTCTGCTTTTTCTCTTCTTTGAAAGGGCTTGTACAGATGAGAATTACCTGTCCCTTGATAGATTTTTTTTTTTTTTTGAGACAAAGTCTTGCTCCATCACCCAGCCTGGAGTGCAGCAGTGCAATCTCGGCTCCCTGCAGCCTCCAATCCCCAGATTTAAGCAATTCTTGTGCCTCAGCCTCCCAAGTAGGTGGGACTACAGGCATGTGTCACCACCCCCGGCCAATTTTTGTATTTTTAACAGAGACGGAGTTTCACCATGTTGGCCAGACTGGTCGTGAACTCCTAGCCTCAAGTGGTCTGCCCGCCTCAGCCTCCCAAAGTGCTGGGATTACAGGCATGAGCCATCACACCCAGCCCTACCTGTTCCTTGAATGTTAAGTAAAATTCACTTGTAAACTGGGCCTGGTATTTTCCTTGTGGAAAGATTTTAAACTACTGATTTGGTCTCTCCAAAGTTTTAAATTTAGATTGTTTCTTAGTGGGTTTGGATTTTTTTTTCCATTTTTATATTGGCTATTAAAAATGTAGGGGAGCTTCTGTCATTCAGTTTCGCTTCATCTAAACTAGAACCTACCATCAAAATTGCTATTTCAATATGATGTGTGATTCATATTTGGAACACAGTTTTAGAAATGCTTTTTGAAAGTAACTTTAAATAAAATATTATGATATAGTTAATGAAGATCATTTTATTTTGTCATAGGAGGAACCAAATCAGATGAAAAAGTGGACTTGAGCAAGGACAAAAAATTAGCCCAATTTAACAACTGGTTTACATGGTGTCATAATTGCAGGCACGGTGGACATGCTGGACATATGCTTAGTTGGTTCAGGTAATCAGCACATTTCTTCTTTGATAGGCTTGGAGTTATGGGGGATAACACAGATTGCTTCTAAATAGTTTGGGTTTATCTATTAGCATTTAGCCAAAGTATGAATTTTATTTTTTACTGTCACTCATGTTAACAAAGGTGGTGTGAACATGTCGTGATTAGATATCCTATGTAACCTTAAACTATAAAGGTAATACTTATGTAAGAACTAATTTAAATGTTTTGTATGAGTTAAATGTTTGAATAACATTATTTAACTTTATTCGGGGAGAGGATATGTTTACAGTTTTTACACTGAATATTCTGTAATTTACCATGCAATTGAATTACTAATGAAATGTTAAAAGAGCATATCATACCTCTGCCTCAGTTCTCTTCTAAGTAAGCTTTTTATGTAGTCACGCAATTAAGACTGTCAAGACATATTTGAATTTCATTTTGAATGGTGCCAGTGGCCCTGTGCTCCTGGTTGATACAGCATTTATACCCAGTTTGTCTTACTAGCTAATTTAAACTCTGAGCACATCCCTGTCACCTTCACAACTATAAATGAAATATCTTGCCATATATGTAGAAAGTAAAAGGTATGTGTTTCTTAACTTCTCCCTAAACTTCAGCTTGGCAGTAGTTTATAATTTGATGCTTTTGATGCTTTTTTTCTCTGGGTTTTAGTTTCTATATTTTTCCAAATGCCATTTTGAAAAGTTGCATTATAGATAGATATAAGTAAACAGGTGGGCACAGTGGTGCACACCTGTAGTCCCAGCTACTCAGGAGGCTGAGGCAGGAGGATCACTTGAGCCCAAAAGTGTGCGTACAGCCTGGGAAATATAGGGAGACCCTGTCTCTTAAAAAATAAATAAATAAATAAATGTATGTCTGTCTAATTTGGATTTTTAACTGTTATTTGACCTATTTTTTTAGGGACCATGCAGAGTGCCCTGTGTCGGCATGCACGTGTAAATGTATGCAGTTGGATACAACAGGGAATCTGGTACCTGCAGAGACTGTCCAGCCATAAAATGTTACCACCTTAAGAGAACCCTTCAAGTGTGGAGCTTTCTAGTAGGTGTCCTTCATAGCTCAGAAACATACCTCAGAACAAGCCATTCATGACTTACCTGTAATGGGAAAATAAATCATTCTATCAGATCAGCAGTTTTGATGTTTGAGTGATTTTGATATGCTTCACAGAGACAAATGCTGCCAAAATAAACATCGAAGTATAGACATGAGTTCTGTTCAGCAGGTTGAAAAGTCTGATTTAGAAAAACTTTCTAAGTTTTGGTTGAAATTATGAACACTCTAGAAGCAGAATTTCTGGAAGAGCCAAGAACAGACTTTGAGCCTATATCTTCAAAGCTGAAACTGGATATCTTTCAATAAAATATGTGCACTTTTAAAATAAAATGACTAATTCTGTGATTCAGACAATAGTTTTAAGTTCAGCTGTGCTTAGATTTCTTTCAGATTAATTTAAAATTACAGATTTTTACTTTTAGAATTGCAGAGCCCCTATCCCACACTGGAGAATATTTTTTATTACTGTCTGTTATATATGTGTCTATGTGTGTGTGTATATTTATGTGTGTATGTATAAATATGTATTTTTTAAAGGAGCCTTTTCCCTCCTTTGATTTTAAGATAAGCAATCTTTTGGCATAACATTATCGTCTTCCTAGAAAAGCCAAGATGAAGAATCTATCTTACAACTTTTTCTCTTCAGTAGAGAAAAACATGTACCATTTCAGGTGAACATACAAAATTTTCACTTTCTACCTTTTGCCTTCCAATGTCCTGATTTGTCTTCAAAGGTTTTTCTCCATATTAATTTGTCATCTTATCCTCATCACCTGAGAACATTTTACTGCATACAAAGTCTATGCAAGATTATATGTAACTAGCCATTTAGTATAATCTATGTCAGTGTTTCTGTGCTGTCAAATTCCGTCCTGATTTGGAATACCATACCTTGTTCTTTCCAAGGTAGACTAGGAAGTGTTGGGGAAATGGGGTCACTTCAGAGACCATTTTAGATGTAAGTTTTTAAATGTAAGTGTTACTGGGGCTAAGTCAGGTACTTTATTTAAAACATTTTTTTTTCTCATTTCATAGCTAGATAGTTGTAAGAGAAATACAAAGAATTTACAAGATGCTTCTCTGTCATCTGCCATATGCAGAGGGACTGAACTAGGAATTTTGTAGTTGAAGCTGTGTTCATAAAGAGTAAATCTTATTTTATAGATTTTGGAGAAATAAAACAAGAATTTTAAGAGCTTTCGTATTAGCAGTTTTGCCTTATAAAAACTAAGATTTGTCAGATTAGTTTGAGGTGTAACCTAAATATTAAAAGTAGATTAAATTTATTTTTTACCTTGAGTGTCTGATACATAAAACCCTTTTCTAGGAAAACATTGGAAGTAGTACATATTTACTCTAAATGTCTCACCTGCATGACAGTCTTTTCAAATGAAAGACATGGTAATTGCAATTTTTTTTTAAAGATTGCTATTAAGGGTACTTTTTCCAGCCTTCATTTGAGTAAATCTTAATTGATTTCATTTTATTAACATATACCCTTTACCTTTAATATTTCATTTGAAGTGTTCCTTTCAAACTTACTGTCTTAAATATGAAAGTCAGCTTTAAGTAATGTCAGACTCATATGCATTTTCATTCTCATTAGCTAAAGTAAAATGTAAAATTATCTCAAATAGTTACAAGTTTTGGAAATACAGTATAAAACATGAATGTAAAGTCTATTATGTAATATGCTTATTTGTAATCCTAATATATGAGGGTGACATTTTTAAGATTGTATGTATGTGTCAACCTCTTAAATGTTTTCTGTGAAGCCCAAACATGCAGTTTATGTCTCTGGTGTCTGTTTTGCATTTCAGTGTGCATGGACAATCAAATTATTTTCTCATTTTTATCACTAAGTCACTGGTATTTGGGTTTATAAACTCAACAAGATACTTTACCTAAACATGATCAATAGATGTGTTTATTAAAAGTGTTTTTATTATTTTTAAAAGATTGAATAAATCTGGGTTGAAGTCATTGTATCTAATCAAGAAATTATGATTCCTTTACAAATAATCCACGTGAAGTAATATTGGTGCTTTTTTTGATGACAGACTTCATACTTAATATTAGAAGTAACATTCCTTTTAGGCTCTGTTTTTCAATTCAACCCACTTTCCAGAATAGTTATTATCCTTTAAAATGGTATATTTTAAAAGTAGCTTCCCATTGTCAATGCTTCACATAGTAAGTATTTAAAAGAATGTAGTTCTTCATTTAATTAGATGACTCAATTTCAGTCATTCATTTGACTGCAAGTAGTTAAAGCATGGTCTTTGAAACATAAATTATAATCCTAGCCTCGGGATCTTCGGTAAGTGACTTGACCTTTTTGAGCTTCAGTTTCTTCATATGTTAAAAGAAAGATACAGAAATACCTACCTCAGAGTGTGGGAGTATTAGGTGATGCAATAAACATGAAGTGCCATATCCCTGTCACATGGTGCTCTATAAATGGTAGTGATTAGCAGTCATTGTTACCTTCATTTTCATAGATTGCTCATGTATCAGTACTTTTTCAATGAATACTTATAGTATAATTTTAATTATAGTTAAAATTATAAGTATAATGAATACTTATAATTTTAACGAATCTACATTTGTCTCAAGAATGAAAATTTCCTTGGTGTGAGTTAGCTGAAATAGATTTTCTTAAAAAGAGTGAAAATTCCCAATAATAGTTATACTCCAAATATAGGGTAAACAAAAGTAGCTAAGTCCTGTCTCAAAAGAAAAATGCCATAATTTGGATAAATTTATAGTATTACTGTTTTTGCTGCATGCAAAAATCCTCCAAATGACCTCCTAAGAGTTAAATGTGATATAAAAATGAACCCAGAGGAAAAAATTATGGCAAATTTAACAACTGACTATTGAAAACTTTAAGTTTTATGTCTAAACTCTTAATTTAACTACGTTTAAATTGAACTCCCTAATCTGGATACTTGGAGAAAGTATCCAGGATTATTCTGTGTACTTTTTCTTTTTCTGCCATTCTATTACACTTGATGTTCATTTAAATTATAATGTTGGGGTGGTAGTGATAATTTCAAAAGTATACTGTGAGACTTGCTGTCCCGGAATAGCCGTAATTAAAGCTAGTGGGCACAATTTCTGACATCTGCTCAGACAGGCATCAGAGAGGTAGGAGGCACATATTTGGGTCAATATCTTGTATCAAGTCTAGTGACCCACATCACAATGACAGAAACAGGCCTTGTTAGATAGCAGCTCCCCTGTCCACTACTCACTCCTTCCATTACATCATCTGCCAGTTTTCTCTCCTACCTGAAAATGTTGTAGGTTACTTTGTTGATTATAACAAGTAGCACTTTACAAATATATTAATTTTTATAAAATACTACTTTTCCCAGAGTACAGCGACAGAAGGAAAGCTTCCCAAGGTTTTTAAAAGCTAACAACCCAGATATCAAATTAACACAACTTTAACATGATAAAGTCACAAGTAAAATTAGCATCAAATGCAGCAGTATATAAATTACTGTTAATGCCTTTTATGTGCCAGGTGCCAAGCGCATTATCCTGTTTTCGCCATAAACCTATGAGGCAGTTATGCCATTATTGTCCCCGTTCTGTAAAGGAGGCAACTCAGGCATAGGGACATCAGGTCACTTGTCCTAGGTTACATGAGTAGCAAATACAGCCAAGACTTAGATTCCAGTAGTCTTGACCTGCTAATCTGCCCTTTTAATTTCTGTTTTCTGCTTCTGTGTACTACTTTGTAGGTTATATACGTAAGAGAATGATTCACTACGACAAAGAAGGGTTTATTCCAAGAATTAAGTACTGGGTAATATTTTAATTATATTTAGTATTAATATACCAAAAGAGAAGAACCACAAAGAGCTTGATAAAATTCAAAAATTGATCTCTTAATTTGTTTTTGAGGTCAGTTTTTATGCAAAGGAAATGTTTTCTCTCCATTTTCTCCCCTCCTGTTTTACTGTCTCATACATCATGATGCCTATTAGAGAAATACTAGAATCCTTCTCACTATAGACAGGAATAAGAAGTGGATGCTGTTGTCACTGGTTCTGCACATGGCAATGAAAAAGAAGAAAGCGAAAGGCACACCTTTGCTTCTTTTCCAAGTCATCAAAATTTGATATGGCAAAAATCATAGTTACAAGGCAAACAAATTGATAAACTACAACATTTATGACAAATTGCCTTAATTCAGAAAGGACATTTTCAAAGCCGAGGAAAAAACAATCAGTAGATAATATCAATCAAAGACTTGTGCAAGCAAAATAGAACTGCTGACAAATAAATGCTAAATCAGTAACATGCTGATTAAAAAGTAGAATACTGTTCGCCTGACTGCATAGATTTAAAATAATAGGCATTTTCATGGATGTGGGAAGGAAACATTCTGAGATAACAGCTTATGAGAGTTTAAGTCTTGAGGACAGGTAAACTGTATTAATCAGAAGCCGTAAAGAGTTTCATACCCTTTGACATAGTATGCTGGGAATATTTTCTGAGGGATTGATTGCATAAGTGCACAAAGATGTATATTTTTATGATACGGTTCTACACAGTATTGTTTATAATAAAAACTTGGAAACCTAAATGTCCAATAATAGAAAAGAATAAATTATTGTATATACATACAGTGGGTTACTAAGAAATGATTCAATTAGTATAGATATTTTCATTGACAAAGGTTTCTTAATATATTGGTAAGTGAAAGGGAAGTTTTAGGATAGTATATCTAGCATATAAATATATTTGTTTGGGATATGGTTAATACAGAAACTTTAACAGTGGCCATCTTTAAAGAGTGGAATTTTGAGTAACATTTTCTTCATATCTATCTTTCATTTTTCCCAATAATAATGAATATATAAATGTACATGCATCTCTCTGTCTCACTCTGTCTCTCGCGCACACACACACATACACACCATATATGTATATACTGGCTTTTAGAAAAGTTATCCATGACCTTGTATCTTGTTATTAAACACAGTGAAACAATCATATGTTAGGATTTATTCTATGCGGTGAAAAAACAGGCTACAAGATGTTATGAAAATTTGGATTGAGATCTAATTGTTCAGAAAGCATTTTCTAGATTTCTTACTCTACACTAGTAATATACAAGAATAACAAGATATAGTCCTCTCAATTCTTCATTACATTTGGAAGTAGTGCATTATGTTCTCCACTTAGCGTATTGGGAAATGAATATGTAAAATAATTCTGATTTCCCTGAGCTTAGTGGTACATGATTAATAACTTCATTTCAATATTTTTTCTCCTATATCTTCGTCATGAGATTTCCTGACTCCTCTTTTTTGGCTCTGGGTCTGTGGTGGGAAAGCTGTCCTCCTCTATGTACTGAATTTATGTGATTATTGTCCAGTCTAATCTGGCATGCACTTTGCTCAATTCATTTCCAATAATAGCAGGTTATTTAGGTTTAAGTGATGAATTCTGAACATGCCTGTGTGTCTTTGCTTCACCAAAACACAGAACCATACCTACGTGTGCTGGACAGTGTTAAAGGTTCTGATGTTAAAGGATTGATGGCACCATAGTTGCCTTGGAGGAGTTGTATGTCTAATGGAAGAGGCAGATCCAGGCATAGTTTTCAGCAGATTCAAATCTATTAAGCTTAATATTTACAACTGCTATAGCATTTGCATAAAATGAGTATCATTTTAGCATCTCTGCAAGCCAGAAAATGTCTATTTGATTTTCTCATTTTGGACTTTAAAAATTATTTTCCAATTAAAAATAATTTGAGGAAATAGAGATTTCCATAACGTTTTTCAAAAATGTAATTTTCTTACTCATCTACTAATGGCACAGTGTTTTAAAATGCTTTGCTAAAAAGGCAGCTTTAGGATTAAAGGATAATTTATGTAATGTTAGAAACAGCAGCAATAATAATTCAGTAGAGACTTTCATCATTCAATTTATGAAAAGCATATTGCCTTAACATAATTTCTTAACTGGAAATTTAGATGCAGGAATCAAATTAGTCTCTTAAAATATAAAGTCACAAAGACAAGTCTGGAGGAGCATTTGAAGGGATTAATGTCTCACAGCTTGAAACATATATGTAAGAATTCATGCAAACTATTTATCTTACATCTTTTTATTTAAAGAATTTTAGCTCCATCTACACATAAGAAAGCCTGGAGTTTGAAATAATAGTTGTCCAAATTCATGCTTATCCAGATTTATATCACATTGCAGCCACATATTTTGCTGATGATAGTTAAATAAGAAGTTGCTACTGTAAAATGTAAAGCTAAGTATCCTTTTTAGCACCATGTATTATTTCATAGTAAAAATTGGAATGTTACAATATTCCTGTGGTGTTATGTCAAAAAAATATTTTCATCGTCAATTTGAAAACTTTTATTATGCATTAAGTAGGTATACTTAATATTTGAACAACTATGGATGTGTATCTTTATGGTACATAAATGTTCCCAAAATAGATGAAGATGTGTATTTATGAAGCAAACATATTCAGCGATGTGACAAATGTGAGAGAAGTATCTCTTGATAAAGTAATACTTCTTTAAAAATTAATATGTTTTATCATTTCAAATCTTCTGATCTTTTTCTTCCATTCTTCAAAAATGGAATGTATGGTCACTTGTCACTCTTAGTACAGATTAGCATTTTTAAACATAGACGGCTTTCTGAAATACATTAAATGCTTTTTGGAAAATTGAGTGTAACTCTTTGAATGAATGCTAAGATACTGTTGGCTTCCAAAAGAGAATACTCCAGACAGGGTACATTTTTTCTCTTTTTCTACTGGAAGAACCAGACACAATTTAGAGACAAGTAAGCTGAGGACAGATTTTCAAGGTCATCTGGGAACAACTACTCTTTTAGAAACATTGTATTGTTTTTTAATATATTTTATTGAATTTTGTTACTTCTGTCTTCAGAAAATGTTATATGAATACAGAAAATGTATGTTCCCTGTGGGGACCTGGGAAATTAAAAACGTGTATCATCCTGATAAAACATATCTCATGGGAAAAATTGGCCAAAACAGTTAGTTACTCAGTATATCTCCAGGTTTGCATCTTCTACTTCTTATGTATTCATTTAGAGTCCTCTTCCAGTGTGTGGACCTCTGCAGATTCTAGATAACTTTTCAAATATGCTAGATTTTGAGCTGTATATTTTTTCTCAAGCAGAGACATCTGCGCATAGTGAAAATCAATTCTCAGAGACCAAAATTGCCAAGCATACGTGACGGAACTGTAGGGAAAAAGGGCATAACTTTAATCTTCAAAGAAGCTTAAAAATAGCTCCACAGTTATTATGCATGAGGCCTGACAATTGACATTTCTCATTTTGGCAGCATTCACCTACAGCACCCTATCAGCAACTGAACACATTCATCTCTGGAATAAATGATTAATGAGCTGCCTATCATTTCCACTCCTTTTGTACCAAGTGGTGGAGGCTTCAGTTGATCATATTGCAGCCATCAACATCATTACTGAAATTGATTCTGCCACTAGAGGGTTGTGCTAGGATCATCAATTAGCATTTAAATTAAAAAGTTATGGCATTAAAAATAACAAAAAAATAATCCCTTCTGAGTCACTCTGTCAGACCTGGTAAGGTGATTTTGTTTTTTTGCTCATCAGACAGCATCACAAAACCTTAGATTGAGGAAGGAAGCATGGAAGGATTGTTTTTGTTTCAAGAACAACCCTCTAAGATTTCCAAACTTTTTATTAATCACTGTCATGTTCCTTGAAATGCAGATTTATGAAATGCTACAATTTGCATTCAATAGTGACCAATGAAGTTGCCAAATTATTTCCTTCAGACAAAAAGTCAAAGGATAGAGTTAGGCATTTTTGAAAGGTCAGAATTTATCCAGAAAGGGGGAAGTTAGAGGAAGGAGATTTACAAATGATACTGAGATACAGCAAAATAAAGTTTTTCTTATATTTCAGCAGGCAGATGTGAGAATGAAGTGAAAAGAACATCATCATTTAGATGTCGGGATGATGTGGGCTGCATTTCTAAAACAGATGGCAGATAATGTGGGTCTCCATAGTCCTACAAAAAAGTGACAGATTGTAGTTTTGGTAAAATGATACATCAAGGAAAATGAATGGTACTTGGAATAGGTATTTTAGCATCTCTTTCTGCTCCTGGGACCAAGTTCCTCAAGTTCTCAATATTACTGAGCTTAAACTCCTTCCTCATCTATGTTCATCTTCCAGCATGGCTTTCTCCTATTTCCTCATTGTTTCCTCTCTCTTCCCCTGTTGAATTTCAAATTCAAATATAAACAGTTGGTTTTGGTTTTATCTGCCTCTGAATTAAGACACTACCTTTACTACATTGTATTGGTCACCCAATTGAAGTGCATGTGCATTTTCTTCAGAGCTGAGACGCATTGATTATACAACAAAATGGAGCTATCATAGGTCCTCAATCCAGCTGCTCTGTCCTATACTTGATTAATATTCTTTCCACAATCTGTTGGTAGTGGTATTGTGACTTTTCATTTCTGTCTTTGTGAAATTTTAAGAAGAAGCTAACAAAGGCTGCTTTGAGGACTGCTAAGTAGAGGACATTTTTACCTAACATTGATTAATGTAGATAGCTGAGACTTACTTGTATTTTGAAAAATGGGAAGAAAATGGTCATGGTAAGAAGCACTGGGTGATAAGAAAAACACATAGTAACAAGATTTCTACATGTGAGCCAATAGCAAACTTCCTCTATGTGTTAAAATTCTCCAATGAGAAATACAGCAACTCGTTTCAGACACCATGAGATGGACAGGTTAGGCCAAGTTGTGCTTGACCTAGTGGTGAATGACCACACACTTCTTTACCTTTGGCACAAGTGGTTCATCAATCTCCCACTTTCCCTCAGATCCTTTTTCAGCGTAGTATTCTAGGCACCAACTGCCAACTGGCCAGTGTTCACCTGTTTGTCATTTTCAGCTTAACTACCAATTTGGACAATTGGAGAGGTATTCGAACCGGATGGTAAAGCTGAAATTAGATCTCAAGTCTCTTCACTGAAGTCTAGTACTCTTATATTTCATAGACAATGAACTGGACCAGATGAATTCTTCTGTTAGTATGATGTATATCATATGAACTTCCAATAATTTTAAAGCTAACTTTTTATTATAAAAATGATACAGGCTCATGGTAAAGTCACTGTGGGAAACAGTATGGTGTTTCTTCAAAAAATTAAAAATAAAATTACCAGGCAGATGTGGTGGCTCACACCTGTAATCCCAGCACTTGGAGAGGCCATGGTGGGAGGATTGCTTGAGCCTAGGAGTTCAAGACCAGCCTGGGCAACACAGCGAGGTCCCAACTCTACAAAAACAAATTCCAAAAATTAGTTGGGCATGGTGGAGCATACCTGTAGTCTCGGCTGAAGCAGAAGGATCACTTGAGCCCAGGAGTTCAAGGCTTCAACAAGCCATGCTTGTGCCAATGCACTCCAGCCTGCGTGATAGAGTGAGACCCTGTCTCAAAAAAAAAGAAAAAAAAAGAAAGAAAAAGGAATTACCATATGATCCAGCAATTGCACTTCTGGGTATATACTTAAAATAATTGAAAGCAATCTTTTGAAATGGTCTCAAAGAGTTATTTGTGTACCAATATTTATAGCAGCATTATTCACGATAGTTAAAATGTGAAAGCAACTCAAGTGTCCTGGACAGATGAATAAGGAAAATGTGGTATACATATTCAAAGCAATATTATTCAGCCTTATAAAGAAAGGAGCTGGATATGGTGGCTCACGCCTGAAATCCCGACACTTTGGGTGGCTGAGGTAGGAGGATTGCTTGAGGCTGGGAGTTCAAGAAGAGCCTGGGCAACATGGTGAGATCCCATGTCTACACAAAATACAAAACTGGGCCAGACATGGTGGCACATGCCTGTAGTCTTAGCTACTCGGGAGGCTGAGGTGGAAGGATTGCTTGAACCTGAGAGGTGAAAGCTGCAGTGAGCTATGATCACACCACTGCAATACAGCCTGAGTGACAGATTAAGACCCTGACAAAAAAAAAAAAGGAAATTCTGATATGCTGAAACATGAATAAATTTTGAGGATATTATGCTAAGCAAAATAATCTAACCAAAAAGACAAATACTTTATGATTCCACCTGTATAAGGTACTTAGATTGGTCAAAATCATAGAAAGAGAAAATAGAAAGGTGGTAGCCAGAGACTAGAGGGGAGGGAATGGGGAGTTACTGTTTAATGGATACTGAGTTTCAGTTTTACACAATGAAATGAGTTTTGGAGATGGATGGTGGTGATAGTTGCACATAATTATGAATGTATTTAATATCATTGAATTGTATGCTTAAAAAAGGTTAAGTTGGTAAATTTTATATTATACGTATTTTGCCACAATAAAAAATTGGGAAAAAATGCAGGCTTATCACAAGAAAAAAAAATTACATAAAGTATAAAGTGGAAGTAAATATCTTCTTAGCAGTTTGCCCCATTATCTTCCTGCTCTATGTGTCACCTCCCTAAACGCCAACTCTCACTTTCTAGGAAAAGCTGCTTTAAAGTCTGTACACATGTAAGGAAATGTTCTTTACATAAACCACATCTGGCTGTGTTTGTCTGCGTTCATCTTTGCCTCTCTCTCTTTGCCTGGATAAGATCATACTGCATAAACTCTCCTCTAATGGTTTTTTCCTATCTAAAATATGTATTTTGAAGAGTTTCCCTTATTAGCCTATATATATCTAATTTTTAAAAACTGACTGAATGGTGTGTGATTAGATGTCTATATCTCCCATTGATAGAAATGTAGGGTATTTCCATTCGTTTTTACAAATGATACTGCAGTGAGCATCTTTGAGTATAAATCTTTGGGTACTTGTGAGTGAGTTAATTTCTCAGATAAATTAGGTGGAATTATGAGCCAAAAGTTATGTGTATTTTACATTTTGATAGATATTGACAAATAGCCCTCCAAAAGTTGAACTAATTATCTCCCTATAAACTAAACAGCATAGGAAAGTGCCTGTTTTCCCAACACCTTCAACGCTAAGCATTATAAAATTTCTACTTATAGCCATGTAGTAGATGAAAATATTGAAAATATTTTAATTTACATATATTCAATTCTGAATGAGGTTAAACATAGATTTTATATGACTATTCACTGTTTGTATTTATTTACAATGCACTGCTTGTTCATTTCCATGCTCAATTTTAATGGTGTTTACTTTGAGGAAAAAAAAACACCTATATGGAAAAGCCCTGAATTATATGTAATTCCCTCTTTCTACACCTTTTCTGCTATAATTTGAAAGTTAGCTTTGGTCAGTTTTTTCACTGTCACTGTTTCTTTCCTCCCTCTCCTCCCTCTCCTCCCTTCCTCCCTTCCTCCTTTCCTTTCTTCCTTCCTTCCTTGACAGGGTCTTGCTATATTGCCCAGGCTGGAGTGCAGTGGCTATTCACAGGTGTGATCCTAGTGCACTACAGCTTTGAACTCCTGTCTCAGCCTCCTTAGCCGCTGGGAGTACAGGTGCATGCCACTGCACCCAGTGCCTTGTTTCTTTTATGATAATCATTTCTCTTTCAATGTTTAACCAGATTCTCCACACCTTGACAGCAATTAGGGTGAGGAGGACTAATAGTACTGCCAAAGGCCCCTGATGGTCTTGTTTCAGAGATAATTTTTGTTACAACATTGCTTAGCCCATTATGCTTTATAATCTTCTTGTCAGTAACTGTGTGTCCTTGGTATTCATCTTGTTTCTCAGTCATTTCTACTATAGAAAGAATCATATTTTCGAGAATAACAAAATGTCTGATACCCTGTTTTCAGGATACCTTCATATACTAACAGACCAAAGTGACTGGACTTGGCCAATTCAGTTACAATGAATCCTATTGAAAAATGAACCTGGTTTACCTGAGGGCTAACCATTCAGGAACAACTGTTTATCATGAAGACTTTTTAGTTTAATTTTCAAATAGGAAATGTATTCACGTGTGTATTAGGTTCTCCAGAGAAGCAGAACCAGTAGGATACACACATACACACACACACACACACACACACACACACACACACACACACACGGGGATTATGGGAACTGACTTCATGACTATAGAGGCTGAGAAGTCCCAGGATGCGCCATCTGCAAGCTGAAGAATGAGGACAGCCAGTGGTGCAATTCAGTCCAATTCCGAGGTCCTGAGAACCAGGGTAGCCAATGATATATCTCTCAGCTGAAGGCATGAGAACATGTGTGTGTGCGTGTGTCTGTGTCTGTGTGTGCGTTGGGGGGTGCAAGTCCTGGAGTCCAAAGGTCCAAGAACCAAGAGCTTTGATGTCCAAAAACAGGAGAAGATGGATGTTCAGGCTCAAGAATAGAAAAATTCATTCTTCATCCACCTTTCTGTTTTATCCTGGCACTCAATAGACTGGATGATGTCCACTCACATAGGTGAGGCTGGATTATCTTTACTCAGTCTACTGATTCAAATGTGAATCTCTTCTGGAAACATCCTCACAGACACACCCAGAAATAATGTCTTACCAACTATCTGGGCATCCGTTAGCCCAGCCAGGTTGACACATACAATTAACCACCACAACGTGGCTCAAAAGTCAAGAAGTATAAAGAAAACAAAGTGAAAAGGTTTTTTTTTCATCCCCATCCATTATCTTCCAGTTTCCCCACCCTATCCTCATGGAGTTTGTAGTATATTGAACAGGTAGACCACCAAGAAATTATAATAAGGTACATTCAGTCTTCTCATTATCAGTAATTTTTTACTACGTTTCTGGGTTCTGGGAGGAGGGTGTTACAGAATGCTGAGCTGGGAAGCTTCAATCATGAGATTTTAATATTTATCAATGAAGGGTTTAAAAAGATGGAGAATGAGTTAAAGGAATTAACTGCCACAGAGAAAAATAAAGTGGTCCCTTGTCCTACATCTTGGAATCTCTATTGCGATAATTGCTATGTGTGTGGCAACTTCCTGGAGGTTACTTATTAAAAATGTACCCTGAAGTAATTCATATGTGTCATGCTAATGCCCTGTCCACTTCTTACTAAAATGTATGGGTTAAAATTAACAGTAATACTTTTGTCTGGATACTGAATCCAACTAAGTAGAAATTACTCATTTCTAAGTTGTAATGTATTGTATATAAATGTAACATTGTTATAATACAATTATATGTATACAATGTAAAAATGTAATATATTGTGTATATGTACAAATGTACATTTGTTGTGAAATATTGTGCAATATAATTGTAATATTTTCAAGCCCTATATGAAAAAGCTGTTATTTGCATGACTGTATCCTATGAATAGTTATGGAAATGAATAAATAAGCTTTTTAGAAACAGTTTACAGAGTCATAAACACTTAAATATTTGCGCCTGAATTTTCTCATCAATTCTTTAGGTGTTTTCCCCTAAACAAAAGAATCTGTCTTTATTTTTCATGAAATCACTTTTCTATTTTGGCATACATTTCTTTTTCATTTTAAAGTCTGCAATCTTCATTATATAACCTGCAGGCTATATGAGTGAGGTAATCCACTCTCCCTCTCTGTTGGAGGGAGAATGTTTTCCTGTGCCACTCTGTAATTTGTTTTGCAACAATTATTGCTATTTGTAAGCATATCTTGTAATCACAAGATACATGTAGCTGAATTTAGAATCTGTTGAGAACACAGAAGGCAGCAGCAGTGTTTCTAAATGTCACTGACTTAATGATTTTAACTAATAAAATTTTTAAAGATTCAAATGCATCAACCCAAATCATCCATTTCTGAAATGTATTTTAGATAAATCCCTTGAAGTGTTCTTTTGTTGCAAATGGGTGTCATTATGCATTAGTTTCTTTCTCCAAATCCCTGCAATCCCCTAACCTAATTTCCAATAAGACAATCTATCAGACAATTTATCTCTAGTTCCTGTGTTTTAAAATTATGGAAGCTAAATGTTGTGTTCCAGATTGTTTAGGGAGTCATACCTAGAAGCATTTTGTGCCTTATACTTCTTTCTACTCTTTTGATTAAGAAAACATAAATGTGTATATAACTGGTATATTTTCCAATTATTTTAGGCGAACGTCGCAAATGTATTTTGGCCCTTTTGCGGGGGCCTATTTTTCCTTTTAAAAAGTACCAACCATTCAACTTTGAATAACAGATTATACAGTGGAGCATTATTTTTTTGAAAAATAAATTATCTTAGGTAGAATTTTAGAGTTTGTATATACTCATCATTTATTTTCCCTGTACTGCTTAAAATGTATTCTTAAATTTGTATGTTGGGTCAGGCGCGGTGGCTCACACCTGTAATCCCAGCACTTTGGGAGGCCGAGGCAGATGGATCACAAGGTCAGGAGTTCGAGACCAGCCTGGCCAATATGTGAAACCCCGTCTCTACTAAAAATACAAAACATTAGCCGGGTGTGGTGGCGCTTGCCTGTAGTCCCAGCTACTTGGGAGGCTGAGGCAGGAGAATCGCTTGAACTCAGGAGGTGGAGGTTGCAGTGAATCGAGATCGCACCACTGCACTCCAGCCTGGGTGACAGAGTGAGACTCCGTCTCAAAAAAAAAAAAAAATTATGTTAAATAGGTTTAGGTTATGAGATGAAGAGAAAGTAGGAAAAGCAACATAGAACATATTTTATTGCTATTGAAATGTTATTTTTATTTTCCTTGAAAAGGGATAAAGTGGGATATTAGTGCCAATTTTGGCAGGTGAGTGGTCTGGTGACAAATAACACAGTAATAAATTGATTGTCCCCTTATATCTCCACTGCTAACTGAAGTTTACATTGGGCAAAGAAGATAGAAGCCTTTGCAGCTGCCTTAAATTCTGCTGTGGAAACAAGTGTTGCATATATATATAATTTTTTTTTTTGAGTCACAGTCTCACTCTGTCACCCAGGCTGGAGCACAGTGGCGTGATCTCAGCTCACTACAACCTCCACCTTCTGGCTTCAAGAGATTCTCCTGCCTCAGCCTCCCAAGTAGCTGGGATTACAGGTGCATGCCACCACGCCCAGCTAATTTTTGTAGTTTTAGTAGAGACGAGGTTTCACCATGTTAGCCAGGCTGGTCTTGAACTCCTGACCTCAGGTGATTCACCTGCCGTGGCATCCCAAAGTGCTGGGATTACAGGCGTCAGCCACTGTGCGCAGCCATAAATATATATGTGTTACCTTGAGTTGTTTTCATGACTTACTTACACTGTGGAGAGTGAAGGAAATTGCTCAGTGGGTCAATTCCTTGAGGTCACCGAGTCCCAACAGAAATAGTCCACAAATTCCCCTGGTTTAGAGGCAATGATTTCTAATTCCTAGCTCCCCACTTGGTCCACCGTATGTTCATCTGGAAAACATTTAGTCATTTCCAAGGAGATTCTAAAATGAGGCAACTCGTGGTCAACTGTCTGCCTTTCATAACAGGTCAATCAAATATATGACCAACAAAGACATACATTTCTGAGCCATATGGAAAAAATAATTGACTAAATGGGACCCTGATCACTTAAAAGAATAGATGCGTCTCTTAAAAAGAAAATGTATTCTCTCATCAGTTCCAATATTTTCATAACATTTAAAGCTCTCAAATGCTAAATAAAAATATGAAAACATTTGAGTGAAATGTGGCACTGTTTCTGATTTTCTGTAAGGTTATGATAAATTTACTTGACACAATTTAACTTTAAATGATCATGTCGTGTTAAGCAGAATTAAATTAATGAAAATAAATGTCACCATCTAAATAATAAATATTTCCTAATTGAGTAGCTAAGGTAAAAATAATGCTAAATTATCTAGTTTTTTAATTAGTAATTATTCAACAGAAGATTTCTCCCTGCTAATTATCTTTCAAGATTCAGATGAAAAGATACTAAGATCTTTTAACAAAACCATTCATTTAAGCCCATTATTAAACAGACTATATTACCTTAACATTTTATGGTATGAAATTCTCACAGTCAAAATCATTGGCTTGTTTTCCTGGGTAATATTTCAAACTCCTGTGAAAAATGAATAGTTGCTTAGAAAAGGGGGCTAATTAAGTCATAGTGTCATTTACGGCATTGCCCAAAACTGTCACTCTGCTCACATATTTTCCTTCAACTTACAGGCCTCGCTATTTTCTGATAACTGTTTGGAAGTTTTCTGAATTTTGCATCTTGAATACCTCACTGTTGTTCTTTATCTGCCCACCGAAGAGACAATCATGTTGAAATTGCATTTTTTAATATGCAAAAGCCACAGTATTTGTCTAAAATTTACATTCTGTAATATGTAAGGAAACAATAGTATGCAAACTACAGTTTTATCCTTGCAATCAATATGAATGTATTACACTACAAATTGTTTATGGCCTACACTTCTGGCCTTCATTAGCCATCTCAAAATGTCATGCTGTAGGTCAAATGGGGTCATAAAGAACATAAGTGGCTTACCTCAAACCAACATCACTATTAGAAAGTAACTTAAAACACATGCTTTGTTGGTATTTTAGATTTAACATCATCTTCTTAGGAAAGATAACCTGTGGTTCCAGAATTATTAATTTTTTTAGCAACCTATCAGAATCAAATTCTATGCAAATTAAATAAGAAACCAAATTGGAGTTTCACTAAATAGAACCTACAGAATTTGCTTGTTGTTAATGCTGGTGGATTTCTTTGAAACCTTAGACTAGTTAAATATTAAATAGCTAGTAAGAGTGGAGACATTTCTAGAGATTATACTAGACAGCTGTCGACTGAGATTTCATAGGGCAGATTTTAGACCTTATTTGTATCTCCAGTAGTTAGCCCAGGATTTTTACTCAAAGTGCTTGTTAAATAATATAATGCATATTAAATTAATACCTTAAAAAGACAACCTCACTCTAGAAAAACAAAAGACAACCTCAAAATTCTATAAATTTAGTAATAATACTAGGTGATCATTCAGAGCACTTAACTCACCTTATGAAGAGGTGCTTTCGGAGTTGTGTTCAATTTTGTCACTTTCAGATGAAAATAAAAGTGAACACTGGAAGAACATTTGTAAAATTACAGCTAAAGACAACCATATTGTAGTTCATCATTCATTCCCTACATTAGATTGTGCTTGATATTTCTTCAAAAATTCAATGTTAGTAAAAAGTTTGATTGTCCTAGTGAATTTAATGATATTAAAACTCTATAACCTATTGTTCTTTTCCTTTCTTAGCTTCCCAGGAAGACTCGGGGCTAAATTCAATGCCTAATTATATTTTCTATATTAGTTTGGGTGTTTTTGTAGTTACCATTTCCTTTTTTCAATGTTTCCCTTTTTATTTTTATAGTTTAATCCTTTTTAGAAATGTGTGCTGTATATTATGAATTAATGTCAGTTTTTTATTCTTAATCCTCATTTTTCAATTGTTTGTTTTTGAGCTTTCAAAACACATTGTTCACTACTCCTTGAAACTTTTTTTTTTTTTTTTTGAGACAGAGTTTTGCTCTGTTGCCCAGGCTGGTGTGCAGTGGCACAATCTCGGCTCACTGCAGCCTCCGTCTCCCGAGTTCAATGAATTCTCATGCCTCAGCCTCCCGAATAGCTGGGATTATAGGTGTGCACCACCATGCCCACCTAATTTTTTGCATTTTTAGTAGAGGCAGGGTTTCTCCATGTTGCCCAGGCTGATCTCAAACTCCTGGACTCAAGTGATCCAACTGCCTTAGCCTTTCAAAGTGCTGGGATTACAGGTGTGACCCACCACACCAGCTGAAACTCTCTCTTCCTTGCCTTTCACTATATTCTTTCAGTCAACAAATATTTATTGAATACTTAATTGTTGTCAGGCACTGTTGTGATTCCTCTCCCAATTCAATGATCCTCTTCCTCATCCCACTTACTCTCAGTTCTGCCCCATATATGGTGCAGGTCCACCAAGGTTCTGTCATTTATTTTATGATGTTCTCAATTCTGCACTCTGTGCCTTGATTTAGGAACACAATCCCTTACTTGAAACTTTTGAAGCCACATATGCTTCAAAATTCTGAATTTTTGGATTTTAGCAAAGTCATAGATTGTAACAACCATATATTTTGTAACACTTTACACAGAGAGGGGCAGCACTCTTTAATCAAATATATTAATATTTCTGCAATGAAATATATGAATGTTTACACAAACCGAGATAGGGACTATGACTACTATAGTAGTATATATAGACTATAACCCTCACTGCATTTTTTTTTTTTTTTTGATACAGGATCTCACTCTGTCACCCAGGCTGGAGTACAGCGGCACAATCTCGGCTCACTGCAATCTCCGTCTATGGGGTTCAAGCAATTCTCCTGCATCAGCCTCCTGAGTAGCTGGGATTACAGGTGCCCACCACCATGCCCGGCTAATTTTTGTATTTTTGGTAGAGATGGGATTTCACTATATTGGCCAGGCTGGTCTCGAACTCCTAACCTCAGGTCATCTGCCCGCCTCAGCCTCACTACAATTCTTACCAGGTGTTGCGGCTAAATGAGTTCTGTCTTAGAAAATGCTTTTGCTTTTCAAACCATTTTCGATTTTGAGATTGCAGATAAGGGATGATTTACCTCTTAAACTTTTCCTACTTTAAATATATTAAGCAAATTTTGTCTCGAATCTGTCTGGTCCTACATTTCCAAATACCTTCTAGACATCTTTACAAAAGGACCTATCAAATACTTTAATTTGTACCAAAGCAAATGTATTGCCTTCTAACCCACTGATCTCTTTCTTGGTTGTCATTCTGTTTAACTCTTTAGCATCATCACTGAATCCTATGGAATCCATCATAATAGTTCTTGAACTCCTTGCCTCCTATCACCCGCCCCAATATTCACGTAGGTTCTTTTCTATTTTCCCTAAGCTTCGGCCAGCTTGAGAAATAAAGGGACCGAGTACAAAAGAGAAATTTTAAAGCCGGGCGTCCAGGGGAGACATCACATGTTGGTAGGTTCCATGATGCCCCCCAAGCCGCAAAAACCAGCAAGTTTTTATTAGGGATTTTCAAAAGGGGAGGGAGTGTGTGAATAGGTGTGGGTCACAGACATCAAGTACTTTACAAGGTAACAGAATATCGCAAGGCAAGTGGAGGCAGGGTGAGATCACAGGACCACAGGACCGGGGTGAAATTAAAATTGCTAATGAAGTTTCAGGCACCATTGTCATTGACAACATCTTATCAGGAGACAGGGTTTTGAGAGCAACTGGTCTGACCAAAAATTTATTAGGCAGGAATTTCCTCTTCCTAATAAGCCTGGGAGCACTATGGGAGACTGGGGTCTATTTCACCCCTACAGCCTCGACCATAAGAGACGGGCACACCTAGGGTGGCCGTTTATAGGCCTATACCCCCAGGCGCATATTCTCTTTCCCAGGCATGTTCCTTGCTGAGAAAAAGAATTCAGCGATACTTCTCCCATTTGCTTTTGAAAGAAGAGAAATATGGCTCTGTTCAGCCCAGCTCACAGGTGGTCAGAGTTTAGGGTTATCTCTCTTATTCCCTGAACAATTGCTGTTATCCTGTTCTTTTTTCAAGGTGCCCAGATTTCATATTGCTCAAACACACATGCTCTACAATTTGTGCAGTTAATGCAATTATCACATGGTCTTGAGGCAACATACATCTTCCTCAGCTGACAGGATTAAGAGATTAAAGTAAAGACAGGCATAGGAAATCACAAGGGTATTGGTTGGGGAAGTGATAAGTGTCCATGAAATCTTCACAATTTACGTTTAGAGATTGCAGTAAAGACAGGCATAAGAAATTATAAAAGTATTAATTTGGGGAACTAATAAATGTCCATGAAATCTTCACAATCCATGTTCTTCTGCCATGGCTTCAGCCGGTCCCTCCGTTTGGGGTCCCTGACCTCCCGCAACAATTGTCACAGTTCTGACAATGGTGCAGGCCTTCATTACCTCTCCTCTCAGTTTTGTGACTTCTCAAACTAGGCTAGATAGGCTAATTTATTCATGCACTATGTTAGACATTGGCAAATACCAATAAGGCAGGCTTAACTTCAGGTTCCCCATTTATAGGGACCTCTTCTTAGTGGGGAAGGCTAATTAAAGGATTAAATAAATTAGGGAACGTTTGGTACAATGGGCTATTTTGCAACCATTAAAGACAATGAGATTATTCTATATGTCAGTTGCCAAGACATATTAAGAAAAAACGCGTCCGGGCGTGGTGGCTCACGCCTGTAATCCCAGCACTTTGGGAGGCTGAGGCGGGTGGTTCACGAGGTCAGGAGATTGAGACCATCCTGGCTAACACGGTGAAACCCCGTCTCTACTAAAAATACAAAAAAATTAGCTGGGTGTGGTGGTGGGCACCTGTAGTCCCAGCTACTTAGGAGGCTGAGGCAGGAGAATGGCGTGAACCCGGGAGGCGGAGCTTGCAGTGAGCCAAGATCGTGCCACTGCACTCCAGCCTGGGCGACAGAGCGAGACTCTGTCTCAAAAAAAAAAAAAAAAAAAAAAATTGCACATTGCAGAATAGTGTATTGAGGTCCTATGAACACATAGTTTGCCTATATAGAGAAAGTCCTGGAAAGCTATATACAAAAACATGCATATTAAATTAATACCTTTAAAAGACAACTTCACTCTAGAAAAAACAAAAGACAACTTCAAACTTCTATAAATTTTGTAATAATACTAGTTGATCACTCAGAGTATTTACCTCACCTTATGAAGAGATGCTTTCAGAGTTGTGTTTAATTTTGTCACTTCTAGATGAAAATAAAAGTGACCATTTGAAGAACATCTGTAAAATTACAACTAAAGACAACCATATTGTAGTTCACCACTGACAGCACTGTCTCTGGAAAGACAATGTGGACTTTATTTTCTGATTTTTCCTTTTTTAGTGTTGTAAGTTTTAAAAGAATATGTATTTTAATCTGAAAAGGGATTATCAAATTAAATGTGATGAGAGATATGAATAAATAAATATAATGAAGAAAGGAATATAACACGAAGTGGCCGGGCACAGTGGCTCGCGCCTGTAATCCCAGCACTTTGGTAGGGCAAGGCGGGCAGATTGCTTGAGTTCAGGAGTTCAAGACCAGCCTGGGCAAAAATAACAAAACCCTGTCTCTACCAAAAATACGAAATATTAGCCAGGCATGGTGGAGCACACCTGTGGTCCCAGATACTTGGGGGACTGAAGTGAGAGGATCGCCTGACCCCAAGAGGTCAAGACTGCAGTGAGCTGAGATCATGCCACTGCACTCCAGCCTGGGCAACAGAGTGAGGCTCTTGTCTTAAAAGAAAAAAAAGGTGGAAATATAGCACAAAGTAACTAACTCAGGCTAAGTTATGAAAATCTTAGAAAATGCTTTCCTTTGAGTACAGCAACAGACATTCCAATCAGAGCAAACAGCAGATTCGGTGGTACTCATTTCTTAAAGGGTACAGTGTGTCTGGGAACAGCAGATTGGGTGCTGGAGAGTAGCTTCAAGGGGAAACCAGATTTGACACTGATGTTAGATATGGAAGATAGTGAAAAGGACTGGAGATAGTCAAGTGTTTCTGGGCAACTGGGTGGCTTATGGTAGCTTTAAAAGAAACAGGGCTAATCAAAACCACAGTGAGATGCTACTTCAGAGCCATTAGTGCAGTTATAATAAAAATAAGTCAGTGAAGGGTTTCAACTTTTGGTAATATGGACCTGCTCTAGTCAGTGGAGAGCCTCTGGAGGTTGTTGATTTTTAAATAAAATACTTTTTTTTTATTTTGGAGTAATTTTAGATTTGCAGAAAAGTTACAAAGATAGTACAGAGAGTTATCATATAAGCCCTCAACCAGTTTGTCTCCCTTAATGTTATCTTACGTTATCACGGTATATTTGTCAAAACTAAGAAACCAACATTGGTAAATTATTATTACCTGAATGCCAGTCTTCATTCAGATTTCACCGGTTTTTCCATTAGTGTGCTTTTTCTTTTCCAGGAGCCAGTAGAGGATCCCACATAACATTTAGTTGTCTTGGTCTCTGTAATCTCCTCACTCTGAGTTTCTCTTCTCAGTCTTTCCTTGTTTTTCATGAACTTGACAGTTTTGAGGGGTACTGATCAGAAAGTTTGTCGAATATCCCTCAATTTGGGTTTGTCTGACATTTTCTCATTATTAGACTGGAGGTACGGGTTTTAGAAAAAATATCACACAGGTATTTTTATCACATTATTTTAGAGGACACATCACTGCTGATGTTAACCTTGATCACTTCATTTAGGATGTTTGCTAGGTTTTTCCACTGTAAGCTTCCCAGAAAGCTTTTCCTTTCCATGCTTCTCAGGCTTTTAAGCTTTACATTATATTACAAGCAGTGTTTAATGCGATTTTTTTGGCTGGATGATGGGAAGAGGGTGGAAAAAAGAAGGTCAGTTACATAGCTAAGGTTGTCGTAATAATTCAAGTGACAGAGGACAAGCACTTGGACTTCTAGTGGCTATAGTAGATAGTAAAATGGATTGGAGATATTCAAGTGTTTCTGGGCAACTGGGTGGCTTACGGTAGCTTTAAGAGAAACAGGGTAAGTCAAAACCACAGTGAGATACCACTTTATACCCATTAGGAAAGTTATAATAAAAAGTCAGATAATAAGAAGTGATGGTGAGGATGCAGAAAAATTAGAATCCATATACACTGCTGATGGGAATGTAAAATGGTGTGGCCACTTTGGAAAACAGTCAGGCAGTTACTCAAAAAATTGAACATTTTACTATTTGATGCAGCAATTCCACTTTTAGGTACATACTTGAGAAATAGAAACACAGGTACACATAAAAATGTATACGCGCATCTTCATAATGGCATTACTCATTATAACCAAATGGCAGAAACTACCCAAATGTCCATCAATTGATGAATGAACAAAATGTGGTATATCTTATTCAGCCATAAAAAGGGTGGAAACACTAACATGCTATGTTACAACACAGATGAACTTTGAAAATGCTATGCTAAGTGAAAGAAGCCAATCACAAAAGACCACATATTATGATTCCATTTGTATGACATGTCCAGAATGGAGACAAATCTAGAGACAGAAAGTAGATTAATAGTTGCTTAGCACTGGGGGAGTGGGTGGATGGTGGAGGGATCAGGCTATGACAGGGCAAATGGTATGAGGTTTCCTTTTGGGGTGATGAAAATGTTTTCAAATTGATTATGGTGATGGTTATACAACCCTGAATACACTAAAAGCCATAGAATTGTACACTTGAATTTCGTAAATTGTATGATATGTAAATTACATCTCAATGAAATTATTACCAAAAAAATCTGTAACACATGGCAGGGGAACCATACTTGTTCAAACTACACTCATTCAAATCAAAGTGCTGGTGGGACACCCAGGTGGAGCAGCTGAAAACTTAGGTTGGGGCTAGAGATATGGCACCACAAATCATTAGCATAAAGGATTCACTCAGTAGAAAACAAGGTAATTCATTTAGTCCAATTTACTAAATATAGTAGCTGAAGGGAAGGTTTCAAGCAGGGCAACTTCAACATTTAATAGCACTGAATTTTCAGGGGTTAACACAGAACTGAGGACTGACTCTGATATGGTTTGGCTCTGTCTCCCCACTCAAATCTCATCTCAAACTGTAATCTCCATGTGTTGAGGACAGAGGTGATTGAATCATGGGGGTGGTTTCCCCCATGCTGTTCTCATGCTAACAAGTGAGTTCTCAAGAGATCTGATGGTTTTATAAGGCAGTTTTCCCTGCTCTTGCTTGCTCTCTCTCTCCTGCTGCCTTGTGAAGGTGTCTGCTTCTCCTTCTGCCATGATTATAAGCTTCCTGAGACCTATCCAGCCATGTGGTACTGTAAGTCAGTTAAACCTCCCTTGTTTATAAATTACCCATTCTTGGGTAGTATAATATCTTTATAGCAGTGTGAAAATGGACTCATACAGTTAACTGGTACCAGAAGTGGGGTACTGCTATAAAGATATAGAAAATATGGAAGTGACTTTGGAACTGGGTAATGGGCAGAGTTTGAAATAGTTGGAGGGCTCAGAAGAAGAAAGGAAGATGTGGAAATGTTTAGAACTTCCTAGAGACTTGTTGAATGGTTTTGACCAAAATGCTGATAGTGATATGGACAATGAAGTCCAGGCGGAGGTGGTCTCAGATGGAGATGAGAAACTTATTGGGAACTGGAGCAAAGGTCAGTCTTACCATGCTTTAGCAAAGAGACTGGCAGCATTTTGCCCCTGCTTTAGAAATCTGTGGAACTTTGAACTTGAGAGAGATAATCTGAAATTGGAACTTATGTTTAAAAGGGAAGCAGAGCATAAGGTTTGGAAAATTTGCAGTGTGACTAAGAGATGGAAAAGAAAACCCATTTTCTGGGATGAAATTCTAGCAAGCTGCAGAAATTTGCATAAGTAATGAGGAGCCAAATGTTAATTGCCAAGACAATGTGGAAAATATCTCCAGGGCATGTCAGAAATCTTGGTGGCAACCCCTCCTATCACAGGCCTGGAGACCTAAGAGGAAAAAAATGGTTTCCTGTGCAGGGCCAGGTGCCCGCTGCTATGTGCAGCCTCAGAACTTGGTGCCCTGCATCCCAGACTTTCCAGCCCCAGACACAGCTAAAAGGGGCCAAGGTATAGCTTGGGCTGTTGCTTCCAAGGGTGCAAGCCCAAAGCCTTGGCAGCTTCCACATGGTGTTGGGCCTGCAGGTGCACAGAATTCAAGAGTTGAGGTTTGGGAACCGCCACCTAGATTTCACAGGATGTATGGAAATACCTGGATGTCCATGCAGAAGTCTGCTGCAGGGGCAGAGCCCTCATGGAGAACCTCTGCTAGGGTATTGCATTAGGAAAATGTGGGATTGGAGCCCCCACAAAGAGTATCCACTGGGGCACGCCTAGTGGAGCTGTGAGATGAGGGCTACCATCCTCCAGACCCCAGAATGGTAGCTCCACTGATAGCTTGCACCTTGTGCCTGGAAAAGCCAAGGACACTCAGTGTCAGCCTGTGAAGGAGCTGCCCAAGGCCATGGGAGCCCACCCCCTTACATCAGCATGCCCACGATGTGAGACATGAAGTCAAAGGAGATTATTTTGGAGCTTTAATAGTTAACGACTGCCCTGCTGGATTTTGGACTTGCATGGGGCTATGGGGTTTTGGTCAATTTGTCCCATTTGGAATGGGAGCATTTATCTGATACCTGTACCACCATTGTATTTAGAAAGTAACTAACTTCCTTTTGATTGTACAGGCTCATAGGTGGAAGGGATTGCACTTGCCTTACCTCAGATAAGACTTTGGACTGTGGACTTTTGAGTTAATGCTGAAATGAGTTAAGGCATGGGGGGCTGTTGGGAGGGAAGGCATGATTGGTTTTGAAATGTGAAAAGACATGAAATTTGAGAGAGGCCAGGGGCAGAATGATACGGCTTGCTCTGTATCCCCAACCAAATCTCATCTTGAATTGTAATACCCATTATCCCCATTTGTCAAGGGAGAGAGACCAGGTGGAGGTAACTAACTATATCATAGAGCGGTCCTCCCATGCTGTTCTCATGATAGTGAGTGAGTTCACAATGAGATCTGCTGGGTTTTTTTCTTTGTTTGTTTTGAGATGGATTCTTGCTCTGTCAGTAAGCGGGATCTCAGCTTACTGTAACCTCTGCCTCCTGGGTTAAAGCGATTTTCCTTCCTCAGCCTCCTGAGTAGCTGCACGCACCACCATGCCCAGCTTTTTGTATTTTTTTGTAGAGATGAGGTTTTGCCATGTTGGGAAGGCTGGTCTTGAACGTCTGACCACAAATGATCCATCCACCTCGGCCTCCCAAAGTGCTAGGATTATAGGAGTGAGCCACTGTGCTCAGCTGATCTGATGGTTTTATAAGGCAGTTTTCCCTGCTCTTGCTCTCTCTCTCTCTCCTGCTGCCTTGTGAAGGTGCCTGCTTCCCCTTCCACCATGACTGTAAGTTTCCTGAGGCCTCCCCAGCCATGTGGAATTGTGAGTCAATTAAGCCTCCTTTGTTTACAAATTACCCATTCTCGGGGATCATCTTTATAGTAGTGTGAAAATGGATTAATGTAGACTCCTCTGGCATTCAAGACAACACTGTTATTGAGACTGACTGATGTCTCTCCTCATTTTCAACTAGTCTCTGAATGAGAATACATTCTGAGAAATGAACCATTAGACAAATTCATTATCGTGTGAACCTCACAGAACATACTTACACAAACTTAGATGATATATGCTATTGCTCCTGGGCTCAAACCTGTACAGCATGTTGTTGTACCGAAGACTTTGTGCAGTTTTAAAAGAATGGTCAGTATTTGTATATCTAAACGTAGAAAAGATACAGTAAAAATATGGTATAGCCCAGGCACAGTGGCTCATGCCTGTAATCCTAGCATTTTGGGAGGCCGAGGTGGGCACATTACTTGAGGTCAGGGATTTGATACCAGCCTGGCCAACATGACGAAACCCCATCTCTACTAAAAATTCAAAAATTAGCCAGGCTCAATGGTGGTCGACTGTAATCCCTGCTACTCAGGAGGCTAAGGCAAGAGAATCTCTTAAACCTGGGAGGCAGAGGTTGCAATGAGCCAAGATCATGCCACTGTACTCCAGTCTGGGTGACAGAGCAAGGCTCCATCTCAAAAAAAAAAAAAAAAAAAATTACAGTATAGAAGATTAAAAAATGAGTTCAAGACCAGACCGGGTAACATAGTGAGACCCCATCTCTACCAAAAAATACAAAAATTCACTGGATGTAGTGGTGTGTACCTGTAGTCCTAGCTTCTCAGGAGGCTGAGGTGGGAGACGCACTCCTGTCTGAGCAACAGAGCAAGACCCTGTCTTTAAAAGAAAAAAAAAAAAGATACACCTGTATAGGGCACTTACCATAACTTGTGCTTGCAGACTGAAAGTTGCTTCCAGGTGTCAGTGAGTGAGTGGTGAGTAATGTGAGGGCCTAGGACATTATTGAACCCTACTGTAGACTTTACATACTTAGGCCACACTAAATTTATAAAAATATATTTTTCTTTCTTCAATAATAAATTAACTCTTGCTTATTGTAGCTTTTTTAATTTATGCACTTTTAAATTTGTTTTAACTTTTCTTTTTTGGATGGGGTCTTGCTGTGTTGCGCAGGCTGAAGTACAGCAGCATGATTGTTGCTCACTGCAGCTTCGAGCTCCTGGGCTTGAGCTATCCTGCCACTTCAGCCTCCCAAGTAGCTGGGGCTATAGGCATGCACCACCACACATAGAACACAAAAAAGGTACAGTAGGGCAGGTGCGGTGGCTCATTCCTGTAATCCCAGCACTTTGGGAGGCCAAGACAGGCAGATCACGAGGTCAAGAGATTGAGACCATCCTGCCCAACCAACATGGTGAAACCCTGTCTCTACTAAAAATACAAAAATTAGCGGGGCATAGTGACACACGCCTGTAGTCCCAGCTACTCGGGAGGCTGAGGCAGGAGAATTCCTTGAACCCGGGAGGCAGAGGTTGCAGTTAGCTGAGATCATGCCACTGCACTCCAGCCCAGGTGACAGAGCGAGCCTCCATCTCAAAAAAATAAGTAAATAAATAAAAAAGGTACAGTAAATTTTTTAAAAACATTTCACTCTTTTTGAATAACACTTAGCTTAAAACACGCTGTACAGCTGAACAAAAATATTTTTCTTTGTATTCTTATGAACTTTTTTCTATTTCCAAAATTAAATTTTCTTTTTACATTTTAACTTTTTTGTTAAAAACTAAAACACAAGCACACACACTAGCCTAGGCCTATACAGGATCATCAATATCACTGTCTTCTACCTCCATATCTTGTCCCAGTGGAAGTTCTTCAAGGGCCATAACATGCAGGGAACTGTCATCTCCTATAACAAGGTCTTCTTTGGGAAGACCTCCTGAAGGACTCTCCTGAGGCTGTTTACAGTTACCTTTTTTCCTGTAAGTAGGGGTACAGTTTAAAATAATGATAAATAGTAAACACATAGCCAGTAACATGGTATTTTATTATCAAGTATCATGTACCATACATAATTCTATGTGTCATACTTCTACATGCAGCCTACTGTGCGGCTTGTTTACACCATCATCACCACAAACATGTGAGTAATGCATTGTGCTAAGATGTTACGATGCCTTTGTCTTTAGACAGGAATTTTTCAGTTCCATTATGATCTTATGGGACCACCATCATATATGCAGTCTGTCATTGACCAAAGTCATTATACAGCGTATAAACTGTACAGTTGTCTTCATTTCATGTAACAGAATGCTTTACCGTAAATGGCTATGGCAATGCCCCTCAAGTAATGAGCAGAGTATTTTTGGATGACAGAAGTTGAAATTTAAGATTACACTAATTAAAACTAAGTATTTTTGGTATAATTTACAATAACCTATATGGATTTAGAATTATTTCCTTATTCAAGGGAATGGGTCAAGCCATAAAACTTAACTGGCCACGTAGGTCATCGGTTATTCTATACTACCTTATTCCAAATCTGCCACATCTTCCCTGCTCACCCCCAACATGGTGCTAGAGAGAGATTCCATACTAAAGATTAGACAGGTGAAAAGAATAAAAAGAAAGTCAAATGATTCCACCAACTCTTTCAATGATCATATATTCCTTGTTTGGAATTTAGTAAATGCTATTTTAAAACCCAGGAAGGCTGGGCATGGTTGTTACACACCTGTAATCCCAACACTTTGGGAGGCTAAGGCGGTAGGATTGCTTGAGGCTAGGTGTTTGAGTCCAGCCTGGGAAACACAGTGAGACCCCATCTCTACACGGAAATTTAGGAAAATCTAGCTGGGCGTGGTAGTGCCCACCTGTAGTCTGAGCTACTTGGGAGACTGAGCCCAGAGGTTCAAGGCTGCAGTGAGCTATGATTGCACAACCGTATTCCAGCCTGGGCAATAGAGTGAGATCCTGTCTCTACAAAAACAAAACCAAACCAAGCCAGAAAAAGAGATACTTCACAGATTACAGAAGATGTAAGATTCTGTTTGCCTTTTTTTGAGACAGAGCTTCACTCTTGTTGCCTAGGCTGGAGTGCAATGGTGCAATCTTGGCTCACCGCAACCTCCGCCTCCCAGGTTCAAGTGATTCTCCTGTCTCAGCCTCCTGAGTAGCTGATATTACAGGCGCATGTCACCACGCCCGGCTAATTTTTGTATTTTTAGTAGAGACAGGGTTTCATCATATTGGTGAGGCTGGTCTCGAACTCCTGACCTTAGGTGATCCACCCGCCTCGGCCTCACAAGGTGCTGGGATTACAGGAGTAAGCCAGCGTGGCCAGTCTCTGTTTGCCTTTTTAATGTCATCTACTTCATTTTGTAAGTAGGGTATCAAGGAAATAATTATCAAGGTATAGTTTGGGAAAAGGTGAGCAAATCCTTAACACAGCTGGCCCAAGGTTTTATTTGGTAGGTCTAAATCTTGACCTTATGGCTATGAAATTTCAAGTTTGTGCTTGAATACATGATTAAAAGAATGAAAATGAAATGACCGATAGTACGTACCATTTTAGTTTTTATTAATAAAATAGAAACTTAGACTCGGACAACTGCTTTATTCTTGCATCTAATCTGACCATATATTGGAGTAGCAATTCTTTATAAAAGGACTTCGGTGAGAACTGTCAATATATCAGTTCCATCAAAAACTCTAGGTTGGAATATCTTAAAAACAGCAAATTAAATATGAGAAAGCACAGAAATCTCTCCCTCAAACAAGAAGGGCTTCCTTTAATAGACTTTAATATAGCTCATTTACAATCGTATGAAAATCCATCAAGATCAATCATGTTGCACAATCCCTAAAGGATAAAACTGAGGGAAGTCATGGATAATTTTCACAGCTTCATTGTAAAGTCCAAGATCTGAAAGAAACATTTAAGCAAACATTTAATCTACAATGGAAAGTTGTAACATCAATTATTATCTAAGATATTTTTACCTATTTCCTTTTTCTCACCCTTTTGGAAGTGAGTTTCTAAAAATGGAGATATGGATTATGGATTCTTGTATTTAACTGTGGCACCAAAAAAAAGACATGGGAGTACCATCCATTTTGATGTTCATTATACAGGCAGTTTCTGCCTGGTAGTGTTTTGGGTGTTATGCATTATTCAATTCCTTCAATTCAGATATTACAACAAAAAAACTAATACTATTTTTGTTATATTTAAAAAAATTATCTTTCAACAAACATTAATTAATCTTTACTGAGTTTCTTACATATATAAGCACTACTTAAAAGCAGGCCAAAACAAAATGTACCCCCATTTGCCTTTACGATCACAAAATTCTATAGAAATTGAAAATGTGGCAGTACTAAAACTCTAGACCAATATATATCAAACTAAAAATAAAACTGTTTTCCTGTATGTTTATGTTATGTAATTGTATGTAATACATACAATTTTGTATGTAATACAAAATGTATGTTAAAACATAGTTATATAAAACTGTATGTTATGTAATTACATACAGTTATATAAAACTGTATGTTATGTAATTACATACAGTTATATAAAACTGTATGTTATGTAATTACATACAGTTATATAAAACTGTATGTTATGTAATTACATACAGTTATATAAAACTGTATGTTATGTAATTACATAAAACCAGTCAATACTAGAATGCTTTATTTACCAAAAGGATGGCTATCTTCTTTAAACTGGACATAAGATGTACACAAGATGGTGGCCTTGGCGGTTACTCTTCCAACCACTTCCACAATTCCAGAGATTTCTTCATCAAGCTAAGACACAGAACAAGACATCGATTTGGTGATATCACATTTTCAGTTGACAATTATTTTGGAAAACTGTTATACAGGTTACTAATCTATCACTTCAAGTAACAAAGTAATTTTAAGAATTACCAGTGTAAAAGTTAAAATGTAACTTGTTAACAAATGTTTGAGTACTTAACTGTCAGCATGTTAAAATTCCTGCTACCTTTAGCAGTAGCTTCAAGTCCAAAGCTACAATTCAAGTTAAAGACAAAATCACTATTGAAAACGTCCAGCATTTCTATAAGCAGTAATATCCTATGAGAGGAATCTTCTATAATCTGTATTTCACAATGTGTTCTGTATACATTAACCAAACAGCATATGGATTTGTCTTCACAAAATACCAAAAAAAGTTTTAAGTATGTTAAACATAAAATGCAAACATAAATAAGTAAAAACTGGAAATATATGAACAAAAATAGAAAATAAAATAAAATCGAAAACTCTTGAGGGGCTGGTCGAGGCAGGAGGATTGCTTGAGACCGAGAGTTCAAGACCAGCCTGAGGAACATAGGGAGATGCCATCTTTACAAAAAACAAAACAAAACAAAACAAAACAAAACAAAACAAAAATTAGCCAGGCATGGTTAAGCATGCCTGTAGTCCCAGCTACTGGGGAGGCTGACATGGGAGCAACTTGATCTTGGGAGGCTAAGGCTGCAGTGCGCCATGATGGTGCCACTGCATTCCACCCGGGGTAACAGAGTGAGACCCTGTCTCAAAACAAAAAAACAAAAACGAAACAAAAAACCTCTTGAGGAAGAAAAAAGCAACGTAAATTTTTCTTATGTGATTTTATGGTCTTTCATAAGGAATGAGAATTGTTATCCAACATTTATGGGATATGTTCAAAAATCATGACGCCCAAAAAATCATTGGTTAAAAATGTAAAAGGAAATATAATGAGAGAATAGTACAAGAATTAAATTTTACAGCCAGGGACGTTTTACCAGCTCATCCTTTTTAAATCCATTGCAAAAATTAGAAACATCGGCAACAAACCAAATCAAGATGAAGAATTAACTATAATATATAAGAGACTTATTAACACTTAAACATACGGGTTCCATCAACTCGATGGTTCCATTTTTTCCTTCTCCATCTGAAAGAATAAACATTTTTCCGGTGGGATGAATCTAAAAACGAAACATATAATTAAAATCTCACTAAAACAACAACAAAGTTTGACTAAAGATGAGTACATTGATCCTTAGTTGAGCACAAATCAACTGTTTCTTGAACAGTTTATTCATTCAGTTTATTCAACTTATTGGATCAAATTATAATCTTATGTTATCAAATCTGTTCATGGAACACACAGTTAATTTCTGAATTTCAGATAAACAAGGATTTTTTTTGTAGTGTTAAGTAGGTTCTGTATTTGCTAAATATGGCAACCCTATTCTGATAACAAATTAAAGGATGCCCACCCTAAAAGTGAAATCTGCTGGCACTCATGATTTAGACAGTACATATCCCACGGAGGGTATGTTTTAAAAAACAGGCATGATGAAGTAAAAGGAGAACTGGTTGCTAGAATATCTGGGTCCTACTCCTGGGAAGCAGCTGTAAAGAGCGCTGTCAGATTGCGTTTGAATGCCAGCTTTGCCATTTGCCGAGTTTCTGAGCATTTTAGTCAACCACCTACCACTCCTACTCAGTTTCCCTACTTGGGAAGTCAGAGCAACACTCATTTAAGGAAGAGGATGTGTGGATGAAATGAGCTACTAAATAAGTCTTTATATAATAGTTTTCTTTTCCTCAGCTTTTCAGGTCACTGATTCCAAGACTTTGGGCCTGTTTCTCGCCTGTAGAATGAGGGAACTTCACTTTAATACTGGGGTTAAATAACTCGTTACTACGGGACCCAAAGCGGACAACCAAGGCATGTTTTACAGAGAAGCGATCACAACGAGGAAACGAGGTTTGCAAAAATAAGTAATTTCAGAAGAGAAGGAAACCAGCAGATTAGTTTTGTCTGCGTCCGTCACGTCTGAGTAAACTAAGAAATCTGAAGGTAGATGTGGGAGTGGTGTTTATAATTTCCCTTACGTAAGCACGGCTAGAACGGAGGCGACGGGCACTGGAATTTAGAACTCAGCATTTGAAAACACTTTGTTTCCGTGCCATAAAAGAGCGCCAAAATGGGGCTACAACGGCTAAAGAATTTCCAAAAAGTTCCTTGTGCAAAATAAAGGAGTCGGGGGCGCAGTGATCGGAGGCTTTCCGTCCTTTTTCATCCCCCGTTATCCAGGCGGGGTCCCTCCCTCCAGCTACGGACTTGGGAGCCCATGATTGCGAACCCGCACACCTTTTCCAGCCTCCCTACGAAGCAGACAGGCTTGTCGATGAATTGAGCTAGCATGCCGGCGTTGATGCGCGACCTGGGCAAGTCCATCATGTCCACCATGATTATGGTCCAAGACTGCGGCTGGCGGGAAACCCACGGACGACTGAAACTGTGCGCCCCGCGGGTGTCTATGGGGCAGATTTCTCGGCACCAATCAGCGAAGACTAGCGCTCCAGCTTCGCCAATTAAATGCGCGGAAACCTAAATCGCAATCGCGCTGTCTCTGAAAGGGGTGGAGAAGGGGCTGGATGAGTCCGGAAGTGGAGATTGGCTGCTTAGTGACGCGCGGCGTCCCGGAAGTTGACAGATACAGGGCGAGAGGCAGTGGAGGCGGGACTTGGATAGGGGCGGAACCTGAGACTACCTTTCTGCGATCACAGGATTCCCGGCGGTGACTTGACCCCGGAAGTGGGGTGTGAAGCTCCGGTGCTGGTGCGGCGGGGGACTGCGGGGCCAGCCTCAGGTACCTCGTCTCGCGGGAGGCGCCGCAACCTTACTGTTTCCCCATTCTTCCCGCGAACAGAGTCAAAAGAGCTAGGCGGGAGTCGGCACTAGCTGCTGCCGCGGTGCTGTGGGTGCTGCGTACCAGCTGTTCACTGCTGTCTCGCCTTCCCTCTTGCCAGTTCTGCGTGGGAGGCGCGGGAGTTTTGCGGAATGATACGTGGTGTGGCGTCGGGGTTGTGATACCCGCCCCCTTGGAGATGGGCAGCGGGGTCATCAGTGATCTTGATCACTTTCTTCAGGCTTTTGCCACTTGTTGGCTGAGGGTCGATTTACTCCCTTAGCTGCGTCACTCTACTTTCTCCACTTTCTCCACCTGTAAGAAGAGAGATTGATCCGATTACTTCTAAGACGTTTTTTAGCCCAACCTGGCCACACTGCGGAGGCGCCGGTTCTTTCACCCCGCTAACCCCTCCGTGTTGGCAGCCAATAGAAGCACTTAAGGATGGGTAACGGGGAAGAACCACTGGCCAGTACTAGGGGAGACAAGCTTAAATCGTTGTTAGACCCCGAGCTAGGGTTCCCCGAGCTAGGGTTCTCCCTTCTGAGGCGTGTTTTCCCCATCTGCAAAACGAAGGGTTAGGCGGAATGATTTGCAAGGTCCCAGTTGACTCTGACTTTTGGCCATATGTTTGACTCAACAGTTTAAACCCCCTCAGCAGTCTTTCTGTCGTTGCCCTCCACACTGCGAGACTCTGGAGGGCGATCTGGAGGTCTGGAAGATAACCGATTCCTGGGAGATTTGGGGGTAGTCTCCAATCTGTCCCTGGCTCATCTTGTGACCCGAAGCCGGCGGCCTTGCCAGGAGTATTCTAGAATGAGTGCACATAAAAATACCTTCAAACGGTACGGTGGAAATTGGACAGAAGTTTTAATTGGGTATTATAACGTTGTGGAAACTGAGTCTGTGAATTGGCCCAAAGCTACAGAATTGTCATCGTTCAAATTCCCTTAAGCAAAAAAGATCCGATTTGAGACTTCACGTGGCAATTTAAGATTGGAATCTCATGTACGATAATTAAATGATAGTCTCCCTTAGTGTTTCCTTAGCACTTAATAGGTTTGTCTTAGTTTTACTCACTAACGGTACTTTAAAGGATTTCATTAAACAGATGTAGAATGTGTGTCAGTGGTGTATAAAAAAGTTGTGGTTGTATTGGTGCAAGTCAGTAAAGTCTATTTTATATTACAGCTTTAAGTCTTTTGTACTTTAGCATTGTTTTGCAAAGCAAGTTGATGTGCATTATATAGGGGAGAGTACACACATCAATGTCTTTAATAGCATTTTTTTTTGAGGCAAGATCTCTCTCTGTCACCCAGACTGGAGTGCAGTAGCATGCACATAGCTCACTGCAGCCTTTAACTCGTAGGCTTAAGCGATCCTCTCACCTCAGCCTGCCAAGTAGCTGGGACTATAAGCACATACCACCACACCCAGCTAATAAAGATTTTTTTTTTGTTGTTTGTTTTTTTTTGTTCAGATGGGGCCTCGCCATGTTGACCAGGCTTATCTCAAACTCCTGGGCTCAGGCGATCCCTCCCTCCCCCGTCTCCCTCCCAAAGTACTGGAATTACAGGTGTGAGCCTTGGTGCGTACCCTGTAATAGTGATTTTTTTTTTTTTTAAAGAGCACTCCTGTGAGTACCAGATGTTAATGTCGTTGTTTACCTGCAGTTAGAAAGACCACTTTTAAGCAAAGGCTTTCTTTTAAAACAGGGAGATGAGCAGGAAGATAATTTAAAACAGCTTTTTCGTGTATTTTTGAGTCACTTAAAATATTATAAAATACATGATGTACAGAAAAAAGTATAGCTAGCCGATTTGCATAGTTTTGAGAGAAATGAAATGAATCCATGGGGCCTGTCATTCAGCTGAAGAAATGGAACTTTACCAGTTACCAGTAAATTTTACCAGTTTGCACTTCCCCAATGAAGCCCTCCTTGCTACAGCCATAAGTAAACACTATCTTGAAATTTGTGTTAAGCTTCCTAAGCTTTTCTAGGTGGTTTTATCACACATGCAGGCGTTGCTAAATGGTATGTTGTTTAATATTGCCAGTCTTTGACCTTTATATAAACAGAAACGTATGTATCTTCTGACTTCTTTTGTTTGTTTTTGAGATTCATCTATGTTGACGAATGTACGTAGATCATATTTTTTTTTCTGTTACAGGTAGGCATGAGTGGGACAGTAGTGGGCTCTCCCCCAACCCACTAGAAATGTTGGGGGATGGTTTGGCAATTACCGAATTTGCTTCTCTAAAAATGATAATTCTGCAGCGCCAGGGAGAGGCCATTTCCTGATGGTCCACACCTGTTATCAAAATGTTAATTGAATGTAGACCCGAGGGAGAAACAGCTTCCTGGGCATGCATATTAAGAGACAAAAATGGTAAAGTATGATCTTCCAGGTACACTCCACCGGAAAAAGGAAGGAAGCCTCAGATGGGCGTGCATGTAACTCCCTAAAAACACTTCCCAAGGCTAAGGAGGGCTCTGTGCCTGCCGGCAGCCTATCCTAAGGAAAGAATCATGGGAAATAGACAAGCTTGTAAAAGTCCTAGGATCAGGGCCGGGCGCGGTGGCTCACGCCTGTAATCCCAGCACTTTGGGAGGCTGAAGCGGGTGGATCACCTCAGATCAGAAGTTCAAGACCACCCTGGTCAACATGGTGAAACCCTGTCTCTACTAAATATACAAAAAAGTATCCAGGCGCGATGGCGGGGGCCTGTAGTCCCAGCTACTCGGGAGGCTGAGGCAGGAGAATGGCGTGAACCCGAGAGGCGGAGCTTGCAGTGAGCCGAGATCGCGCCACTTCACTCCAACCTGGGCCACAGAGCGAGACTCCCTCTCAAAAAAAAAAAAAACAAACAAACGAAAAAAAAAGGATCAACGGTTAAATCGGACACTTGACCTACTCTCTTTAACCTTCACATTCCCGCTTGGGTCTCTAACAAGCACACCTTCCTTTCTTCCTGTTTTAAGGCCTTTTAAAGTAAACTTCCATTCCTGCTCTGGAACTTGCCTGGGTCTCTGTTTCTGCTTTATGCCCCTCAGTCAAATTTTTTCGTCTGAGGAGGCAAGGACTGAAGTTGCTACTGACCCGTGAGGATAGGCCACCGGTAACTTGGGGTAACTTGGATCTCTGCCACTAGTAAAAAAATGATTTCCCCAAATGGTGGTACCAGTTTACTCTCTTACCTGGAGTATAAGACAGTTTACAGTTATTGTATATTCTTGGCAACTCTTGGAGTTTTTTCCCCCAATTTGATGGATATGAAGTGTTTTTTTGTCGTGACCCTAATTTGCACTCCCTGATTACTGAAAAGTTTGAACATTTTTTCAGATTTTTATTGGTTATTTATGTTTATCTTTTTTTCCTTGATTTTTCTTTTTCTTACTGACTTTTAAGAGCTTTTTATTAGTGAGATATTGTAATGGTACAAGTGTTGTCTGTTTTTGGCCTATCTTTCCGTTTCCTTCCTTCATTCCATCCTTTTTTTTTTTTTATTAGGAAGACCTCTTTTAATATAGTTAAACATTTTCCCCCTTAAGTTTAATGTAGGAGAAAAGTCCATTAAAATCTCATTTATGAATTCTTTGATACATCGTACTCTTAAAGGTATTCTATTTTTCCTAAAATGTTTAGAGTTTTGCCTTTCATATTTAATAGTCCGTCATCTAGAATTCACTCTTCATGTATGTTGTCAGATAAGTCTCCAATCTCTGTTTTGTTTTAATTTCAGTTGTCCTAATGTGATTTGACTGTATCACCTTTTTGCCACCTTCACTTGTCACCTTAAGTTTACAGATATGTGTGGAGTCAATTCTATTCTATGGATCTATTTTTCTATCCCTGAACCACTACCTATTTTCTTTAATAGTGTAGCTTATCATAACTTTTGATGTCTGGGGCTGTGTTCTCGGGAATGTCTTGGTTATTTTTGTCTCTTTGCTCTTCTGTATAGAATGTAGCTTATGAATTTCCAGGAAAAACTGTGTTGGAATTTTGATCAAAATTGCACTGTATCCTTGGATGTATTTCAGGAAAAGTAACACCTGAATGTCAACTCTTACTATCCTTGAGCCATTTTGGTCCTCTTAAAATCTTTCCAAAAGGTCTCATACTTTTCTACATAAAAGTTTTGACTTTTAGCTTAGATTTATTCCTAGATACCTTGTTTTTGTTGCTATTATGAATGGTATCATTTTTTAAATTAAAGATTTTAACTGATTGTTTTGGTATATAGAAATGCCATTTTAAGAATTTTCTATCAGTTTTTTTTGGAATTTTCTATTCATATTTGAATAATTATAGTTTTGTTTCTTAAGAATTCTTACATATTTTATTTATCTTTCTTACCTTTTGCCTAGGATAGAGCCTTCAGTACCATTTTGAATAGAAATAGTGTTTAAGTCAAGATGGGGTTTAGCTGCATAAACAAAAGTATCTTTAATGCACAAACGCTTATTCTCACATGTGAAAGAAGTCCACAGCTGTGCAACTTAGTACTTATGTGGTAGTGCACTAAGACTCAGGGCCCCAGGTTCTTTCTGTCTTTCTGTAGTTCTACATTCAATATCTAGTTCCATATTTATGGTTATCTCATAGGCCAGGTAAGTGATGGAGCTTCAGCTATCAAGTAAATCCACGTTCTATGTGGCAGAGAAGTGGACCCGCATTCAGCTTCCTTTAAGGAGTATTCCCCGAAGTCCTTCCCAACTTGAATTTCTGTTTATTAGATTAAGGAATTTTCCTTCTATTCCTAGTTTGATAAGCATTTTAATTGAATTGTTACGGAATTTGATCAAATGCATTTTTTGCCTTAATTGAGATGATTGAAATGAGTATGTATTTTTCAGTGTTTGAACCAAGCTCACATTCTTGGAAGCTTGGTTATGATATATTGTCTTTTATATATATTCCTGGATTTGATTTGCTGTTGTTTTTGTTTAGGATTTTTTTTTTTTTAATCTATGTTCATGAGTGAGATTGGTCTGTAATTTTCCTTTTTTGTATAGTCCTTGTCAAAATTTGGCATTATGGTTATAAGACAGGAGAATTCCCTGGACCCCTTTGTGGGACTTGGAACCAGGGTGTGGCTCGTTTGCTCGGCTGCCGTGTACTCAAACCCCTTACGGGAGAGGGAGCATGCAGGTGAGCAGGTGCAGGAGTTGGGGTGAGTGATTTGGGCCTCCAGCCCCATGGCAGTGTCTAGGGGCGTTACAGTGCTCTTTTAGCCCTGCCGTCTGGGAATGGCTTAAGTGTTAAATAGCTCAGTAGAGTCAGTGTGACAGCCTTTTTGGGTTCCCACACCCAGTGCATCCTGAATTCTTGTCTAGCATCGAGGAGGAATCAGGTTACATGGGCTTGAAAGATGGTGAATGTGGGCATTTTATTGAGTGATGGAGGTGGCTCTCAGTGGGATGGTGATACGGTTTGGCTGTGCCCCACTCAAATCTCATCTTGAATTGTAGCTCCCATAATTCCCATGTGTTGTGGGAGGGACCCGATGAGAGATAACTGAATCATGGGGACAGTTTCCCCCATACTGTTCTCGTGGTAGTGAATAAGTCTCACGAGATCTGATGGCTTTATAAGGGGAAACCCCTTTCGCTGGATTTTTTTTTTTTTTTTTTTTTTTTTAATTCTCTCGTCTGACACCATGTAAGACGTACCTTTTGCTTTCCGCCATGATTGTGAGGTCTCCCCAGCCACGTGGAACTGTGAGTCCATTAAACCCCTTTTTCTTTATAAATTACCCAGTCTCAGGGGTGTCTTTATCAGCAGTATGAAAATGAACTAATACAGATGGGGAGCTGGAGAGGGGATGGAGTGGGAAGATGATCTTCCCTTGGAGTTCGGCTGTCCCATGGCCAATCTCCTCTCTGACCGTCCCCAGCCAAACTCCCCTCGACACTCAGATGCTTCCTCTCTTCTCTCCTCTGCTGCACCATTCTGCTGCTCTGCCACTCTTCTGCTCATGGAGCCTGGGGTTTGGGGTTTATATGGGCACAGAATAGGGGTGACATATTGGGCCAAAAGGCAACATTTGGGTGCAAAAACAGCCTGTTCACATTTAGGGCTATGGGTCCAGGCTTAAGGGTGGAGCCCTCGCCAGGGACCCCACCCTTCTGCCGCTTGTCCGTATCAGTTACACTAGTTTTGTGAAATTAGTGTGGAGTGTTTCTTTTATTTATTCTCCAAGATTGTACATAAAACTGAAATTATCTATTGAGTGTTTGGTAGTGTTCACCTATAAAACCTTTTAGATCACTATAGTTATCTTTGACTAGAGCTTTAGACATTTCCCACAAGTTTTTATAAGCAGGTGTACATTAAGTTCTAGGTATTTTCTAGTTTTCAGCATATTTCTTTTTTGACCCATGCATTATTTTTGTTTCAAAATGTATAGGTTTTATTAAAGTTATTTTGATAATTCCCAGTGAAACTGCATTATAATCTGAGGGTATGGTTTGTCTAATTCTTTGCAATTATATGAGACTAATTCTTTGAAATTATGTGAGGCTTGCTTTAAGGCTTATTAGGAACATGGACAATTTTTCATGTGTGCTTGGCAAAAAAATGTATTTTCCAGTTGTTGGATCCAGTGTGTAAATTGCACTGTTCACATAATTCTGTTTTCTTTTTGTCTGCTTAATATCTCAATTATCGATAAATATGTGACATAGCCTATAGATGGTAGCATTGTCAAATTTCTCCTTGAAGCCCTGATGACTTTTGCTATATATATACATTTCTTTAAGAGACAGGGTCTTCCTCTGTTGCTGAGGCTGGACTGCAGTGGCGTGATTGTGGTGCAATGCAGCCTTGAACTCCTGAGCTCAAGGCTCAGCTTTCTGAGTAGCTGGGACTGCAGGCACGTGCCATCACACCCAGCTAATTTAAAATAAAATCTTTCTTTTGTAGAGACGGGTTCTTTCTTTGTTGCCCAGGCTGGTCCATAACTGCTAGGCTCAAGCAAGCCTCCCTCCTTGGCCTCTCAGAGTGCTAGGATTACAGGTGTGAGTCACTGTGCCTGGCTTGGCTTTAAAGTTTTTGTTGTTGTTGTTTGCTACTATTATAGACGTGCCAGCTGTGTTTTGGTTAGAATTTATTTGTCTTATCGTTTTCCATCCTATATCTCACCTAGGGGAGACAAGACCCATGGGCTTGAATGCTCATTTTCTCATTTCTTTTGTAGCTTAGCTGACAGCTGGCCTGGGAGGTCTCAGCTGAAGGTAAAAACAGGCTGATACCAGCCAGTGGGCTCCAGTGGCCTCCTTCTTCTTAAAGAAGTCATTTCGTTCTAAATCAGGAGATTTCCATTAGGACTTAATTGCCTAGATGTATGGGGGATGGATTCCTTTCTAAGAGAGCACTAGCGTTTGACAGATCATGAGTGATTTGCTGTTTCTCTGCTTAAGTTTTCTCCGCTTAAGTTTTCTCCAGTAAACCATAGACTTTATACTGTGTGGCCCTTCTGTTATTTGTGTTTGTGTTGGCCTGACAGCTTTAACTTTTTTTGTATTCTTATGTTCCAGGTGTGTCTGTCTTGTAAATAGTGCATATAGCTGGCGATTCATTTTTTCTCTCTTTTGTCCATTTATATTGATTGTGGCTACTGATGTATTATGATTTGTCTTAGTCTATGTAGTGTTGCTATTACAGAATACCACAGACTGGGTAATTTATAAAGAAAATAAAATTGGCAGGGGAATTGGCTCACTCCTGTAATCCCAGCACTTTGGGAGGCCGAGGCAGGTAGATCCCTTGAATTCAGGAGTTCGAGACAAGCCTGGGCAACATGGTGAAAGCCCATCTCTACAAAAAATACAAAAATTAGCTGGCCATGGTGGTGTGTGTGCCTGTGGTCCTAGCTACTTGGGAGGCTGAGGTGGGAGGATGGCTTGAGTTCAGGAGGTGGAGGTTGCAGTGAGCTAAGATCGTGTCACTGTGTTCCAGCCTGGGCGACAGAGTGAGACCCTGTCTCAAAAAAGAAAGAAAGAAAAAAAAAGGCCGGGCGCGGTCGCTCACACTTGTAATCCCAGCACTTTGGGAGGCCGAGGTGGGTGGATCACCTGAGGTCAGGAGTTGAGACCAGCCTGGCCAACATGGCAAAACCCTGTCTCTACTAAAAGTACAAAAATTAGCCAGGCATGGTGGCGGATGCCTGTAATCCCAGCTACTCAGGAGGCTGAGGCAGGAGAATCGCTTGAACCCAGGAAGTGGAGATTGCAGTAAGCCAAGATTGTGCCACTGCACTCCAGCCCGTGCGACAAGAGCGAGACTCCATCTCAAAAAAAAAAAAAAAAAAAAAGAAAAGAAAAGAATAAAAAAGGAAAGGAAATGATGTCTTATAGTTCTAGAGGCTTGGATGTCCAAGGTCCAGGGACCCACATCTGGCAGGGGCTTGTTATGAGGAAGACAGAAAGGCAAGAGACCATGAGAGAAATGTAAGGGAAGGGGACTAACTAATGCTTTTTTTCAGGAAACTACTCCCCCAATAACTTAACCCACTCTAGCAATAATGGCATTAATCCATTTATGAGGTCAGAGCTCTCATAACCTGGTTACCTTTTATAGGTCCCAGCTCTCAACACTGTTGCATTGGCAATTAAGTTTCTAACACATGAACTTTGGGGAACATATTCAAACCACAGCAGGATTAATTTCCACGTCAGTTTTTTGCTTCCTATGTGTTCTGTTTTGTTGTTATTTTTTCCTTTCTTGCCTTCTTTTGCATTGATTTTTTTGTTACTTTTTTCTTCTTTAATGTTATCAGTCTGTGTTAATTTGAATGTTATACATTCTGTATTCTTGTTGGTGGGGGGGCCCACCCTACAAATTTTAACCTGCTGCCATGGTCCGAATGTTTGTCTCTCTCCCCCCACCCAATTCATATGCTGAAATCCTAACCCCTAAGGTGATGGCATATAGTATTAGGAGGTAAGGCCTTTGAGAGGGCACATGAATTGGATTCATGCCCTTATAAAAGAGTCAGAGAGATCCCTTGCTCCTTCAACCATATGAAATTATAGTGAAAAGATGGCTGTCTGTGAACCAGAAAGTGGGCATTCATCAGACACTGAATATACTGGAGCTTTGATCTTACACTTTCCAGCCTCTAGGACTGTGAGAAGTAAATTTCTGTTTATAAGTTACCTAATTCATGGTATTTTGTTATAGCAGCATGGACAGATTAAGAAGCATGCATATTAATCTTGAAGTCGAAAGTTACTTTGGGTCAAGACAGAACCTGTAATTCCATTTACCTTTTCCCAATTTTTATGCTGTTGTCTAGAGATTTAGTTCTGTTTTGATTTCTTGTAATCCCACAATTTACGTTCTTGTAACTCTGCCTAGACATTATTATTGCTTTATGCAGTTAATATTTGCTTGAAATTACCCATATATTTATCATTTTCTTTACTTAATATTTTTACAGCTTCATCAGTTCATGTTTGTTTTTCTGAGTGTTTATTTCATTCGAGTTCTCAAAGCATAGTTTTATTATCTTTCTGTGGTATAGAATTCTAAGTGGATGGTTAATTTCTTCCAAAACTAATGTAATGATAATATTTTACTCTTGTAATGTCTGCTTTGTTTTAAATTGTGATTTTGCTGTAGGCTTACATGTCTCATTATTTGCTTGATCCTCAGTTGTAACAGGATGGTAGTGATGGCTGCAGGACAGTGTGAATGTACCTAATGCCACTAAACCGTACACTTAAAAATTGTTTAAATGATAAATTTTATGTAGTATGTTTATTACCACAGTTAATAAGTAAAACAAAGTTTAAGCTGGTTAAAGTGGCAATGTTACTTGTGCCAAACGCACCTTGATTTACTAATCCAGCCATTCTGCATCCTGAACCCAGAATGGTCCACCTAAAATATCAGACTGATCACTCTCCATCCAGTGATTTCCTCCGGCATCACTGTTAAGTCCAAACTCCTTGGCATGGCATATAAGAAAGACATTCCAGGTTCTGGCCATGGCTTACCTTTACCTTTAATGCTGTCCCTCCCCAACACTTTATTATAACCTTCACTGAGATCTTGGTTAATGTATAGTCAGATTTGTTGTACTCAGGAACCAGCAGAATCCCCATATTTGCTCTCTTAAAAGAGCATTTGTGGTACAAAAAGCCAGGTGCATGACCTTTGAGCAACCCCTCTGTAGCCAAAGAGAAAGCCCAAAGCAATACCAGAGCACATTTTTCTGGTAATATAGCAAATCAGACATTCAGAGAAATCACTCCCTGTACAGTCCATCTAAAAAAGTTGGATTAAATATTTTTAAAAATATATGGCTAAATCAATAAAAGATTTCAAAAATTACATAGAAACCAGAAAGGACAAGGATCTACAAATCCACAAAAGTATATGTTAGTACTAGAGCTAATGTTGGAGAGTTCCCTGAACCTCCTTGCAGGACTTGTGACAAGGGTGGGCTTGGCTTGTCTTTTGGCTGGGGTTTGGGGTTTATAAGGGTACAGGATGGAGGGTGTGGCAGGCCAAAAGGCAACATTTGGGTATGGAAACAGGAATGCCTGTTCCCATTTAGGGCTGTAGGTTTTCAGGCTTGAGGCTGGGGCCTTTGCCAGGGAACTGTCCTCTTCTGTCTCGTATTTTCCTGCCTCCTGTCCATATTATTTTCCCTATGGCCATTGCTTTGGGTACGTATTTTTCCATCCTCATGTTGATCTCATTCTGGTGATCTCTAATTGAAGGAGAGACTGTGTCAGATTACTTTAGTCTCCCTCACTTAACTTTTTATTGCTGGCAGCTTCTTGTTTCTGAGTCTGGTCCTGAAAGTCAGAGGGATGTACACATTTCCTGGTTCACTCAATTCCCAAAGGCTAACAGGCATTCATCATATGTGACTCTGCTGGGTGGAAATTGGGTCTTCCGAGACTCAGATTTTAAAAGGTCTGTGAGTGAGTTGAAGAATTAGGAGCAGTTTACAGTTCTTTGAACTTGAAATTCAACCTTCTTTCTTTCTTCTGCTCAGAGTTTTTCCTGTCTTGTACTCTGTTTTACAGAGTCCTCCTTGGGCAGTTACACACCATTCAAACCACTGCCCTCCTGACTCCTCCCTCTCTCCCCTTGCAAGAGCTGTGACTTCTGAATGGAAGTGGGAGAAGATCTTGTCAGGGAGGGGTAGAAGGAAGGGAGGAAATCTAGTCCTGTAAGACTTTGGGGTCTCCATGCAGTGGGATGTCTGGCAGTCTTTTTTTCTGGTAGATATAGCTCTTGTATTTTATAATTAAGCTCAGGCAGTGGGGATGGACAAAGTATTTTCCACATCTTCTTTGTGGTTCATGCTCCTGTTTTACATTGCTCGTTTGCTCACTTGGCCATTTATTCATTCCTTTGATAGGATTTCCGAGTAAAGCAGTATACTCTTGGTCGATTGTACTTCTTGGTCAATACCCATTGATCATGCAGTTCGTGGAAGTTTGACTCAGACTTTGAGATATGGTCTCTGATTTTCAGTTGATATAGTTATTACCAATTTTTTTAGTGTGTTTCTTTACATACATTTTGTTGTAAAACAGCTGGCTGTCTTGTTTACTCAGCAGTCTGAAGCAAGTCATTAGACAGCTAGCAATATTTTTGACTAGACTAGAATGTGAGTAACATTTTGCATGGTTAATGCATGGTTGATGCTGGTTTTATACAGGACTTAGCACCTTGCTTTGTGCCCATTGACATTGTGAGAGGTGGTAGAGAAGTAGGATAAAGAGGCAGGAAGTAGATTGGTTAATTCCGTGAATTTGGAGAAAGTGACTTGTCTAATTTTGTTTGTCTAGGGCCTACCACAGTGCCTGGCCAATTTTGGGCCCTCAAAAGATGTTGGTTGAATGAATTAAATAGTGAACAAACAAATGACTGAGTGTTAAAAGAAGTTTGTTCTTCAATGGGGAGGAAGTAGTAAGCCTTCTGATGATGCAGTCAGGCTATATTGAAAGTCAAATAATTTTTAGTTGGCAGTTTAGGGAGTGATTCTTTCTGGATGTTGAATGTGATGGCTTCTATTTTGTGTAAACATTAAAATGAGCGAGCAAATAGAATATTTTAAAGACCCATACTGAATAATGTTTTATTTATTTTTACATTTATTCTTGCTCCCCAGTGCTCTAGAGAGTTGTAAAGAGGTGTGACCTCACATCCCATGACTTAATTCTCCCTTAGGACATTATTTAGATGTGTTTTATGATATTTGTTTTATGTGGAGAGATGCTTTTTGTTAGAGTTGTCTGAATTCTTTTGCAGGGTGTTTTTTCATTTTCAAAATGCAACACCAAATGAAGTTGCTTCAGAAATTCTTCTTGTACAGTAGTGTTATTTACACTCAAATCAAAATGGTTTGTGGCAGTTATGCAGTTATATTTGTAACTTTCCTAAAACATATAAATGTGTCACTGTATCATTAATTTAGATGACTCAAGATGACACTAAAGGCTGTAAATTGCCTTCTTTGTCAGTGATTGAGATCCAAATGATAAATTCTTAGTGCAGTTTGTTTATAAGCTCTCAAAAAGGCAGTAATCTTATCTTCTAAACCTTATCTTCTAAGGATGCTAGTTAGCATCCTTCTTTAGGAAAAAAACTGTGGTTTTCACATGTATAGCATTACAAAAAAAACCTCTTGAAATTAAGATGTTTTCTGACTGAAGTGCATCACGCACTAGGTGATCATACCCATTCACAGAGGAGTTACAACACATTTTTTATTATTCACTGTCATTGTTCACACTGAAGAAAAGGGCAGTATTCTGAGAGTTCTCAGGTGAAGTCTGACGCTCCCAGACCTAGGGGAATGTCTTTACCTAGAGAGTGCTGCTGAGTGGTTAATGTTGAAAAAGAAGTCCCTTTCTTGTAATGTCTTGGTTCTCCACCAGGGGCGGTTTTGTCCCCTAGGAGACATTTTGCAATGTCTGCAGGCATTTTTGGTTGTCACAGCTGGGGGATAGGAAGGCACTTAGTGGGTTAAAGCCAGAGATGGTGCTAAACATGATACAGTGCTAAGGACAGCCTCCCACAACAAAGAATTACCTGATCCCAAATGCTTAGAGTGGAGAGATTGAGAAACCTTGGTCCAATGTAATATGAGATTTCCCCCCTAAATTAGTAGATTGAGGGGAGACTTTATTATTCCGTTCTGTTTTTCATATTGTGAATAAGAAGCAGTAGAGAAAAAAGCAGTCATTTCTTATCACTGCTAGGCTACCCTTCTTGATTCTGAAAACCATAGGACCATAGGGCATTCAATTAAAAAGAAAACAAACACAGATCCTTAAATCCATCAACAACAAAACCAAAACCTTCCCTGACTATTCTCTAGTAGATACTTTGAGGCTCAAATTTATTTACAAAGTAATGGAGGAGAGTAAAATTGTTTGACGTCTGTTTTACCCAAGTGAGGCCATCTGTATTCAGTGATGGAAATAGGATCTGACAAGAGGGGAGGTTCTGTTCTAAAATTTTCTTAGGTGAAGTTGTTAGTTTTCAAGATGACTTTATCATATGGATATGGGAAGTGATTCTGTAGAGACAGTACAGTTATCCTTCGGTATCCCTAGGGGATTGGTTCCAGGACTTCCTGCTGATACCCAAATCCACAGATGCTCAAGTGCCTTTTATTAAATGGTATAGTATTTGTATATAGCCTTTGTACATCCTCCCATATGCTTTATCCCTAAATTCCTTAGAATATCTAACTCTGTGTAAATAGTTATATTTTAAAATTTGGGCTGGGTGCGGTGGCTCATGCTTGTAATCCCAGCACTTTGGGAGCACAAGGTGGGCTGATCACTTGAGGCTAGGAGTTCGAGACCAGCCTGGCCAATATGGTGAAACCCCATCTCTACTAAAAAATACAAAAATTAGCCAGGTGTGGTGGCGGGTGCCTGTAATCCCAGCTACTCTGGAGGCTGAGGCAGGAGAATCGCTTGAACCTGGAGGCAGAGATTGCAGTGAGCCAAGATTGTGCCCCTGTAACCCAGCCTGAGTGACAGAGTAAGACTCTGTCTCAAAAAAAAAAAAAAAATTTGTGATATTTTTAATTGTTGTACTGTTTTTTATTTTTTTGACTATTTTTGCTTCATAGTAGGATTGCAGGACCTATGGATCTGGTGGGCCCACTCTATTCTAGAAAATTAGTAATTCTGGATTATGTAATGCTTGCTATGCTAGCAGGATTTACTGTTATAGTAACAGCAATGATTCCAGACAGTTCCTGGTAGTAGATATCTTACATGCTAATGATGAGTAGCTGGCAGTTGAGATTATCAAATGATGCCTCTGGCCTGCTCTCCATGGCAGACAGAGCCAGCCATTAAAAGTCATCCAGTCGTGGGAATAAACTAGACTGCCCCTTCCCCCAGTACTCTTTTCACCTAGGATTTCCTGTATTGCGTTTAAGGATTTCATGTTTGAAATCCACGTGTCTCATTTGGAAAAAGCTTTTCCTGCCTTTAATTTAGTATAAAGTAAAATAAGAAAATGATTGAAATTATGAGGATCAAGAAAAAATAAAATAAATTAAATGAAAAGTTTCAGTTTGGCTCCTGTTGAACCCTATACAGTGAAGTTCTCTGGAACCCTCTGCATTCCTCCAGAGTCCTCCCTGGCTTGATGCTCTATAATTGATTTGTAGCTCACCATCTTCCAACTTCCTAAGTATTTTAGCTGTGCTGTTTTGGCTAAAAGTAATAACATTTAAATTCTCAGTTGGCTGAAAGCATCTATAAGGTTATATTAGAGAAGTTTTATTAACTCATATAACTTCCCTTTTTAATGGATGCTATATATGTGTATGATGTGACATTACATTTAGGGGACGAATGAAAAGATTAGGAGTGTTAAATTAGAGGACAGGCTCTTTTTTATGTATTTTAATTTAAAAAATATTTTTGTAGGTATATAGTAAGTGTATATATTTAGGACAGTCTCTCTCTCTCTCTCTCTTTGTTTTTGTTTTTGAGACAGAGTTTCGCTCTTGTTCCCCAGGCTGGAATGCCATGGTGTGATCTTGGCTCACTGCAACCTCCACCTCCTGGGTTCCAGCGATTCTCCTGCCTCAGCCTTCCGAGTAGCTGGGATTACAGGCATGCGCCATCATGCCTGGCTAATTTTGTATTTTTAGTAGAGACGGGGTTTCTCCATGTTGGTCAGGCTGGTCTCAAACTCTCAACCTCAGGTGATCCGCCTGCCTCTGCCTCCCAAAGTACTGAGATTACAGGCATGAGCCACTGCGCCTGGCCAGGACAGGCTCTCTTAAAAGTGAGGTTACCGCCACTACTTTTATTCTTCTGTATACACCATTGTAAAAGCTGCGTGGTTCTGAGGGTGGAAGTGGAGTGGAAATACGAGTTGAAGGAGAAAAAAGAACAATGTAAAGTCTCTTGCTGTTAGTAAAGAACTTGTTCATGTATTTAAAAAAATTTTTTTTTTGTTTTATTATACTTAAAGTTCTGGAGTACATGTACAGAACGTGCAGGTTTGTTTCATAGGTATACACGTGCCATGGTGGTTTGCTGCATCCATCAATCTGTCATCTACATTAGGTATTTCTTCTAATGCTATTCCTCCCCTAGCCTTCCACCCCATGACAGGCCCCAGTGTGTGATGTTCCCCTCCCTGTGTCCATGTGTTCTCATTGCTCAACTCCCACTTATAAGTGAAAACATGTGGTGTTTGGTTTTCTGTTCTTGTGTTTGTTTGCTGAGAATGATGGTTTCCAGCTTCATCCATGTCCCTGCAAAGGATATGAACTCATTCTTTTTTATGGCTGTATACTATTCCATGGTGTATATGTGCCACATTTTCTTTATCCAGTCTATCATTGATCGGCATTTGGTTTGGTTCCAAGTCTGCTGTTGTGAACAGTGCTGCAATAAACATACGTGCGCATGTGTCTTTATGGTAGAATGATTTATAATCCTTTGGGTATATACCCAGTAATGGGATTGCTGGGTCAAATGGTATTTCTGTTTCTAGATCCTTGAGGAATCACCACACTGACTTCCACAATGGTTGAACTAATTTACACTTCCACCAACAGTGTTAAAAGCCTTCCTATTTCTACACATCCTCTCCAGCATCTGTTGTTTCCTGACTTTTTAATGATCACCATTCTAACTGGCGTGAGAATGTATCTCATTGTGGTTTTGATTTGCATTTCTCTAATGACCAGTGATGATGAGCTTTTTTTCATATGTTTGTTGTCTGCATAAATGTCTTCTTTTGAGAAGTGTCAGTTCATATCTTCTGCCCACTTTTTGATGGGGTTGTTTTTTTCTTGTAAATTTGTTTAAATTCTTTCTAGAGTCTGGGTATTAGCCCTTTGTCAGATGGATAGATCACAAAAATTTTCTCCCTTTCTGTAGGTTGCCAGTTCACTCTGATGATAGTTTCTTTTGCTGTGCAGAAGCTCTTTAGCTTAATTAGATCCCATTTGTCAATTTTGGCTTTTGTTGCCGTTGCTTTTGGTGTTTTAGTCATGAAGTCTTTGCCCATGCCTATGTCCTGAATGGTATTGCCTAGGTTTTCTTCTAGGGTTTTTATGATTTTACGTCTTACGTTTAGGTCTTTAATCCATCTTGAGTTAATTTTTGTATAAGGTGTAAGGGAGCAGTCCAGTTTCAGTTTTCTGTATATGGCTAGTCAGTTTTCCCAACAGCATTTATTACATAGGGAGTCCCTTCCCCATGCTTGTTTTTTTCAGGTATGTCAAAGATCAGATGGTTGTAGATGTGTGGTATTATTTCTGAGGGCTCTGTTCTGTTCCATTGGTGTATATCTCTGTTTTGGTACCCATACCATGCTGTTTTGGTTACTGTAGTCTTGTAGTATAGTTTGAAGTCAGGTAGTGTGATGCCTCCAGCTTTGTTCTTTTTGCTTATGATTATCTTGGCTATGTGGGCTCTATTTTGGTTCTATGTGAAATTTAAAGTAGTTTTTTCTAATTCTGTGAAGAAAGTCAATGGTAGCTTGATGGGGATAGCATTGAATCTGTAAATTACTTTGGGCAGTATGGCCATTTTCATGATATTGATTCTTCCTATCCATGAGCATGGAATGTTTTTCCATTTGTTTGTGTCCTCTCCTATTTCCTTGAGCAGTGGTTTATAATTCTTCTTGAAGAGGTCCTTCATGTCCCTTGTAAGTTGGATTCCTAGGTATTTTATTCTCTGTAGCAATTGTGAATGGGAGTTCACTCATGCTTTGGCTCTCTGTTTGTCTATTATTGGTGTATAGGAATGCTTGTGATTTTTGCACATTGATTTTGTATCCTGAGAATTTGCTGAAGTTGCTTATCAGCTTAAGGAGATTTTGGGCTGAGACGATGGGGTTTTCTAAATATACAATCATGTCATCTGCAAACAGAGACAATTTGGCTTCCTCTTTTCCTATTCGAATACCCCTTATTTCTTTCTCTTGCCTGATGGCCCTGGCCAGAACTTCTAATACTGTGTTGAATAGGAGTGGTGAGAGAGGGCATCCTTGCCTTGTGCCAGTTTTCAAAGGGAATGCTTCCAGTTTTTGCCCATTCAGTATGATATTGGCTGTGGGTTTGTCATAAATAGCTCTTATTATTTTGAGATACATTCCATCAATACCTAGTTTTTTGAGAGTTTTTAGTATGAAGGGCTGTTGAATTTTATCGAAGGCCTTTTCTGCATCTATTGAGATAGTCATGTGGTTTTTGTCATTGACTCTGTTTATATGCTGGATTACGTTTATTGATTTGTGTATGTTGAACCAGCCTTGCATCCCATTGATGAAGCTGATTTGATTGTGGTGGATAAGCTATTTGATGTGCTGTTGGATTCAGTTTGCCAGTATCTTATTGAGTATTTTTGCATCGATATTCATCAGGAATGTTGGCCTGAAATTTTCTTTTTTTGTTGTATCTCTGCCTGGTGTCGGGATGATGCTGGCCTCATAAAATGAGTTAGGGAGGAGCCCCTTTTTTTCTATTGTTTGGAATAGTTTCAGAAGGAATGGTACCAGCTCCTGTTTGTACCTCTGGTAGAATTTGGCTGTGAATCCATCTGTTCCTGGACTTTTTTTGGTTGGTAGGCTATTAATTACTGCCTCAATTTCAGAACTTGTTATTGGTCTATTCAGGGATTCGACTTCTTCCTGGTTTAGACTTGGGAAGGTGTATGTGTCCAGGAATTTATCCATTTCTTCTAGATTTTCTAGTTTATTTGCGTAGCTTGTTTATAGTATTCTCTGATGGTAGTTTGTATTGCTGTGGGATCAATGGTGATATCCCCTTTATCATTTTTTATTGCATCTATTTGATTCTTCTCTCTTTTCTTCTTTATTGGTCTTGCTAGCAGTCTTTTTATTTTGTTGATCTTTTAAAAAAGCCAGCTCCTGGATTCATTGATTTTTCGAAGGGTTTTTCATGTCTCTATCTCCTTCATTTTTGCTCTGATCTTAGTTATTTCTTGTCTTCTGCTAGCTTTTGAATTTGTTTGCTCTTGCTTCTCTAGTTCTTTTAATTATGACGTTAGGGTGTCGATTTTAGATCTTTCCCACTTTCTCTTGTTGGCATTTAGTGCTATAAATTTTCCTCTAAACACTGCTTTAGATGTGTCCCAGGGATTCTGGTACCTTATATTTTTGTTCTCATTGGTTTCAAAGAACATCTTTATTTCTGCCTTAATTTCGTTATTTACCCAGTAGTCATACAGGAGCAGGTTGTTCAGTTTCCATGTAGTTGTGCAGTTTTGAGTGAGTTTCTTAATCCTGTGCTCTCATTTGATTGCACTGTGGTCTGAGAGACTGTTATGATTTCCGTTCTTTTGCATTTCCTGAGGAGTGTTTTACTTCCAATTATGTGGTCAATTTTAGAATAAGTATGATGTGGTGCTGAGAAGAATGCATATTCTGTTAATTTGGGGTGGAGTGTTCTGTAGATGTTTATTAGGTCTGCTTGGTCCAGAGCCAAGTTCAAGTCCTGAATATCCTTGTTAATTTTCTGTCTCGTTGATGTATCTAATATTGACTGTGAGTTGTCAAAGTCTCCCACTATTATTGTGTTGGAGTCTAAGTCTCTTTGTAAGTCTCTAAGAACTTGCTGTATGAATCTGGGTGATCCTGTATTGGAGGCATATATATTTAGGATAGTTAGCTCTTCTTGTTGCATTGATCCCTTTACCATTATGTAATGCTCTTTTTGTCTCTTTTGATCTTTGTTGGTTTAAAGTCTGTTTTATCAGAGACTACGATTGCAAACCCTGCTGTTTTTTGCTTTCCATTTGCTTGGTAAATATTCTTTCATCCCTTTATTTTGAGCCTATGTGTGTCTTTGCACATGAGATGGGTCTCCTGAATACAACATACTGATGGATCTTGACTCTTTATCCAATTTGCCAGTCTGTGTCTTTTAATTGGGGGCATTTAGCCCATTTACATTTCAGGTTAATAATGTTATGTGTGAATTTGATCCTGCCATTATTATGCCAGCTGGTTATTTTTCCAGTTAGTTGATGCAGTTTCTTCATAGTGTTGATGGTCTTTACAATTTGGTATGTTTTTGCAGTGGCTGGTACCTGTTGTTCCTTTCCATGTTTAGTGTTTCCTTCAGGAGTTCTTGTAAGGCAGGCCTCATGGTGACAAAATCTCTCAGCATTTGCTTGTTTGTAAAGGATTTTATTTCTCATTTGCTTATGAAGCTTAGTTTGGCTGGATATGAAATTCTGTGTTGAAACTTCTTTTCTTTAAGAATGTTGACTATTGGCCCCACTCTCTTCTGGCCTGTAGGGTTTCTGCAGAGAGATCCACTGTTAGTCTGATGGACTTCCCTTTGTGGGTAACCCAGCCTTTCTCTCTGGCTGCCCTTAACATTTTTTCCTTCATTTCAACCTTGGTGAATCTGGCAATTATGTGTCTTGAGGTTGCTCTTATCGAGGATTATCTTTGTGGTGTTCTCTGTATTTCCTGAATTTGAATGTTGGCCTGTCTTGCTAGGTTGGAGAAGTTCTCCTGGATAATATCCTGAAGAGTGTTTTCCAACTTGGTTCTATTCTCCCTGTCACTTTCGGGTACGCCAATCAAATGTAGATTTGGTCTTTTCACATAGTCCCATATTTCTTGGAGGCTTTGTTCATTCCTTTTGATTGTTTTTTTTTTGTTTTGTTTTCTAATCTTGTCTTCATGCTTTATTTCATTAAGTTGATCTTTAATCTCTGATATCCTTTCTTCCACTTGATTGATTCGGCTATTGATACTTGTGTATGCTTCAGGAAGTTCTTGTGCTGTGTTTTTCAGCTCCAGCAGGTCATTTATGTTCTTCTCTAAACTGGTAATTCTAGTTAGCAATTCATCTAACCTTTTTTTCCAAGGTTCTTAGCTTCCTTGCGTTGGGTTAGAACATGCTCCTTTAGCTCAGAGGAGTTTGTTATTACCCATCTCTGAAGCCTCCTTCTTTCAATTTGTCAAACTCACCATTTTTGTTCCCTTGCTGCTGAGGAGTTATGATCCTTTGGAGGAGAAGGGGCATTCTGGTTTTTGGAATTTTCCGCCTTTTTGCGCTGGTTTGTCCCTATCTTTGTGGATTCATCTACCTTTGGCCTTTGATGCTGGTGACCTTTCAGTGGGGTTTCTGAGTGGACATCATTTTGTTGATGTTGATGCTCCTCCTTTCTGTTTGTTAGTTTTCCTTCTGACAGGCCCGTGTGCTGCAGGTCTGCTGAAGTTTGCTGGAGGTCCAGTCGAGACCCTGTTTGCCTAGGGATCATCAGCAGAGGCTGCAGAACAGCAAAGATTGTTGCCCGTTCCTTCCTCTGGAAGCTTTGTCCCAGAGGGGCACCCACCAGATGCCAGCCAGAGCTCTCCTCTATGAGGTGTCTGTCGGCCCCTGCTGGGAGGTGTCTCCCAGTCAGGAGACATGGGTGTCAGGGACCCACTTGAGGAGGCAGTCTGACCCTTAGCAGAGTTTGAATGCTGTGCTGGGAGATGTACTGCTTTCTTCAGAGCTGGCAGGCAGGGACGTTTAATTCTGCTGAAGCTGCACCCACAGCTGCCCCTTCCCCCGAGGTGCTCTGTCCCTGGGAGATGGGAGTTTTGTTTATAAGCCCCTGACTGGGGCTGCTGCCTTTCTTTCAGAGATGCCCTACACAGAGAGGAGGAATCTAGAGAGGCAGTCTGGCTACAGCGGCTTTGCTGAGCTGTGGAGGGCTGTGCCCAGTTGGATCTTTCCCGGCATCTTTGTTTACACTGTGAGGGGAAAACGGCCCACTCAAGCCTCAGTAATGGCAGATGCCCTTCCCCCCACCAAGCTCGAGTGTCCCAGGTCAGCTTCAGGTTGCTGTGCTGGCAGCGATAATTTCAAGCCAGTGGATCTTAGCTTGCTGAGCTCCATGGGGTTGGGATCCACTGAGCTAGACCACTTGGCTCCCTGGCTTCAGCCCCCTTTCCAGGGCAGTGAATGGTTCTGTTTTGCTGGCGTTCTAGGGGCCAGTGGGGTATGAAAAAAGAAAACACTCCTGCAGCTAGCTCGATGTCTGCCTAAATGGCCGCCCAGTTTTGTGCTTAAAACCCAGGTCCGTGGTGGCATAGGCACCGGCGGGAATCTCCTGGTCTGTGGGTTGCGAAGACCGTGGGAAAAGCGTAGTATCCGGACCGGAGTGCACTGTTCCTCACCGCACAGTCCCTCAAGGCTTCCCTTGGCTAGGGGAGGGAGTTTCCCAACCCCTTATGCCTCCTGGGTGAGGCGACACCCCACCCTGTTTCTGTTCGCCCTCCTTGGGCTGCACCCACTGTCTAACCAGTCCCAATGAGATGAGCCGGGTACCTCAGTTGGAAATTCAGAAATCTCCCGCCTTCTGTGTTGATCTCACTGGGAACTGCAGATGGAGCTGTTGCTATTCGGCCATCTTGCCAGCAACCCCTCTTCATGTATTTTTAAAATGGTTAATGGTGAGTGTTAAAATGTTGTGGTGTTTAGATTTTGTTGAATAAATTTAAAAGAAAGATATAATGATTTTGTTTCAACATGTAAATATTTATAGTATGCTAGAAACTATGTCCTTTATAATTTTCAATGGAAAGTTTTAGATGTGAAATTAAAAAGTACATAATTTTCTCAAAAAAATTTAAAGAAGTGTGTGAGTGCTTTGAAAAAGCCTTTTTTGCCTGTAGCCCAAACTAGAAAATAGATTTCTTATTATAACCCAGCACAGGCACCCAAATGCGAAAGTTTATAAAGCATTAGTTACCATGTATAATGCTCTCAATCTTTTTGCCTTCTTTCCCTCTTCCCCTACTTTTTTTTTCTTCCTATTTCATTCCATTAAAAAAAAAAAGTCTGGTCTTGACCTGCTAAATTGTTTACTTCCACTCAAGGGTTGGAACTTGCAGTTTGAAGCAAACACCTAAATCTAAGATAGTTTTTTCTTTCTTTGTTTTTCTTTCATTTTTTAAAAGTCTGAGCATAAATAAGAGAGGTGGAAGTAAAATTTATGTTAATCAATTTAATTAATTAGTTTCCAAGCTGTTCTGTGGAGCTGAAAAGTGACATCAGTTTAAATGTCTTCTCTTGCTTATCCTCTCAGGCATCTGTACCTCTTCCCCATTACACCAATATCAAAAACTACAAAATAAAAAACCTAGGTGGGACGGAAAAACAGGGGGAGAGTCTTTATGTAATACTAATTAGTAGTCTAACTGATACTAAAGGATAAATTTTAAAAGAGGATTAAATCAGGTCTCTACTATGAATCTAAAATCTGTTAAATACTGAACTTGTTAATTAAGGAGAGAACTAGTGAGATACTGCAACTGGTTCAAAAGAGAACTCAAAGCCTCATCACACACTGATAGGCAAATAAGGAATGTAAAATTTATAAATGGATGCAAAATTGGTTAGTATCCCCGGGGCAATAACGAATGCATTTTACCAGAAGCATTTTTATGGATAGGAATTACATGCATGACTATCAGTTTTATACAACTGATCTCCTATTCCTACAGATTTATAAAATAGCCTAGTCAAAACAAGCAAAGGTGGGAATAACCTGAATGGGTGAGCTAGCCAGGAAATCTACTGAATTCTAAAGTATTAAACAATTTTTCCTTCTACTGATTAGATTTAGGCTATTAATTCCTAACCTAGGTCTAAAACACTTTGCCACCTGAAGGCCAAGTCCAGTTTTAGAGGATTTCTACCATCTGCACAGTATTTGTAAACATCGTGAATTTCTTGCTATTATTTAAAACCTAGATTTTTACATAATAGCTGGATTTCCAGTTTGTCTTGGAAAATCAGATTGAAATGGAATTTACTATTATTTTCTTCTCTTAAGATAAAGTCCCCTACTTTTCCTTTTCTTATTCATAATACCACTTTTCCATATCATTTCTGTACATCCCTTCTTTTCTCATTCAAACTTCACCCATCTTAATCCAGTCCCGTTTCAGTACAACTGTCTTAACTTCTTGGCTCCAGGCTCTTCTCAGTCTCTCTAGCATGCTATTTTACATTTAATCTCTCTTAAATACTTTGCTCAAGACTCCAGACTGCCCAGTAATGTCCAACAAATCCTGTTTTGCCACTCTGAATATGCTGACACTTTCCTGACGCTTACAACTCTTCAGTAATTTATTTCTTCCCTTCTTTTGCAGTCTTGATTTCTGTTGCTTATCTACATGGTTCCTTCCTCTAGTGAGGTTAATCTCTTTGCTTTCCTCTATACCCACTATGCTTTTTGTTCATGTTGATCCTTCCTACAGGAAAGGCCTTCCTTCTCTTCTTTGTTTATACACATCAGATGAAGTTAAACTCAAGGCTACCTAGTCTGCGCAGCCTACCAGAGTTCTAATTCACATTGATCTTTCTGGAATGTTTTATGCTTTCTAGCGTTGTTTTAGGTTGTGTATTCTTATCACTCAAGATTAAAGCTACCAAAAGCATGGCCTACCTTCCTCTGTACTGTATTGGTATCTCTGAGGAGAAATTAGTAAACTTGTTGTCTAAATTTTTATATTTGCATAATCATGCATTTCACTGTACAAAAGGAGGAAGGTTAAACATCGTTCAGGATTTTAATTTTTCAGCACTGTGAAATTTACATATTTATTGTATTTGGAATAAAATGTGTGTGGGTGATATATAGATATATATATATACACACACACACACATTCATACACATGTATTTACATTATTCTGTCTATAGACAGTAGCTGCATCAATCACACAGGAATTTTAGTCTATTTGATATATTTACATTAACTAGTAGTCTGTTGAAATTCAAAGGAGATAATCAAATTGAGAAAACCATGTTGCCTAATCCTTTTGTCATGGATAATATTACTTAAAAGGGAAGCCTTGGAGTAATAGGAAAAAAGAAATATATTCTAGTGCTCTCCTACCTCTATTCTGAACAATAGGATCTGCCCTGCTAAGCAATTAGGCAGGCCCTTTTATACGCAGTCTGTGTATACCATTAAAAGTCAATACAGTGTCCTTTTATTTTCTAGTTTTGTGTGATGCATGCAGAAAAGAAACATTTTGCTTTTTATATAAAGACTGTCCCTGTAACACAAAGTGGGTTAAGAGATTTGAGACAATTTTCCCAATAATTGTGAACTAAAACTTACATGTGACATCTAATTGTGTCAATAAATTTTTAAAGAACTTTATTGAGATTGGATCAGTAACACATTGAAAATATACAATTTGATGAGTTTTGATGTGTGCTTATACTGCTGAAACAGTCACTGCTGTCAAGATAATGAACATACCCATCACTTCCAAGAGTTTCCTGCTACTCCCTTGTCATCCCTCCTTCCTTTGTTCCCTCTGTGTTCCTCCCCTCCCCAGGCAACCTCTGATATACTTTCTTTCACTGTACACTAGTTTGTATTTTTGAGAAGCTTATATAAATGGAATCATATAGTATGAACTTTTATATTGTCTGGCTTCTTTCCATCAGCTTTTTTTTTTTTTGAGATCGTTGCATGTTGTAGCATGTATCACTATTTTGTTTCCCTTTTACTACCGAATGGGATGCATATGGCAGTTTTTAAAAATCCATTTACCTGTTATTGGACATTTGGGTTGTTTCCATTTTTTGGTTATTAAAAAAAAAGTTGTTACAACATTTGTATACAAGTGTGGACCTACGTTTTCATTTCCTAAGGGCTAAGTTATATGGTGGATATATGTTTATGTTTTTAAGAAACTGCCAAACTGTTGTCCACAGTGGCTGTACCATATTACCCTTCTACCACAAGTGTACAAGAGTTCCAGTTGCTCCATATCTTTGCCCTTTGCCAACACTTGGGAAAGTGTTTTTTGTTTGTTTGTTTGTTTGTTTGTTTGTTTTTGTAGATAGGGTCTCATAGCCCTGTCACCCAGGCTGGAGTGCAGTGGCATGATCTTGCCTCATTGCATGCTCGACATCCTGGTCTCAAGCAATCCTCCCATTTCAGCCTGCCGAATAGCTGGGACCTCAGGCACACGCCACCACACCTGGCTGATTTTTGTATTTTTTTGTAGTAGAGATGGGGTTTTGCCACGTTGCCCAGGCTGGTCATGAGCTCCTGGCCTCAAGTGATCTGCCTACCTCAGCCTCCCAAAGTACTGGAATTACAGATGTGAGCCCCTGTACCTGACCGGGGCAAATCTTTTTAATTTTAAATATTTTAATAGGTATATAATGGTATCTCATTGAGATTCTAATTTACTTTTCCTTGTTGACTGATGATATGGGTCATTTTCCTTGTGGTGGTTTGCTGTTCATGTATCTTGCTAGGTGAAGTGGCTGTTCATATTTTTTGCCCGGTTTTTATTGAGCTGTTTTTTCATTATTGAGTTTTAAGAGTTCTTTATATATCCTTTATATACATTATTTATCAAATATGTGATTTCCAGGAATTTTCTCCCATTTTTGTGGTTTGGACAGATGAATTTATTTATTTATTTATTGTTTGAGACGAAGTTTCACTCTTGTTGCCCAGGCTGGAGTGCAATGGTGGGGTCTCAGCTCACTGCAACCTCCGCCTCCCAAGTTCAAGTAATTCTCCTGCCTCTCAGCCTCCTGAGTAGCTGGGATTGCAGGCGTGCGCCACCACATCCAGCTAATTTTTATATTATTAGTAGAGATGGGGTTTCACCTTGTTGGCTAGGCCAGGTCTCTAACTCCTAACCTCAGGTGATCCACCCGCCTTGGCCCCGCAAAGTGCTGGGATTACAGGCGTCAGCCACTGCGCCCGGCTGACAGGTGAATTCTTTATCCCCCACCTGTATAGAGGTAGCTCCAGGATCCCTGAGTATTAAGATGCATTATAGGTTGGGTTCTAGCTCAGATAGGTAAGTTGCCACTAGCTAATAATGGGTTTTTGAGAATAAAATTTGGTATGTTTCCTGTTTATAAATGTAAAATTTGCTCATTGTAGACAATTGAAAAAAATACTGAAAACTACAGAGAAGGAAATGAGACTGGAGTATTCTTGGGAACTCCAGGCGGAAGTCCAGCTGTCAAGGCCATGCATATCAGAAGCAAGAGTGCTTAGAGCTTACCGCATACTAGGCTTGGGGCAGCAGGATTATACAGGTCCCTTCCACTTAAATTACTCTTAATTCTGCTAAGGATTGCCTCAGAAATATGATGGGCAGAGGTTGCAGTTTTTTTTCCCTAAATGTAAGTTCACTGCTACACCTACAGTTTTGGATCATTGTCTGGCCTATCCACTTAATGAATGTTTATATTATAAAAGTATGAAGTAAGTGAAGGTCTTCATAGATGTTGTGCAGGTAGTAAATGTCTTCACAGCATAGAGCTGAGCAAGGCTTGGGAAAGTAGGGACTGACAAAGACAGAAATGGAATTAATCAAATGTATTTGACTAACATTGAGAAATATTATATTAAAGAAAGTCCAACACAGACGTCCTAAGTGTTAAGTGTTTCTGGTCTCTGCTGCTTTACTGATGAAAAGCATTCAGTTTTGGTGCCAATAGAATTTGGTTTAAGATTGTGCTCTACTCTACTAGCTATGTAAACTTGGACCAATACTTAACCTAGTTTTTCACTTCAGTTCTTTTTTGTTCATTTAACACAGGGTCTTGCTCTGTCACCCAGGCTGCAGTGCAGTGGCTCACTTTCACCCCCGCCTTCTGGGCTCAAGCAGTCCTCCAACCTCAGCCTCCCGATTAGCTGGGACCACAGGCACACACCACCACAGCTGGCTAATTTTTTTTTTTGTAGAGACACGATTTCGTCATGTTGCCCAGGCTGGTCTCAACTCTTGGGCTCAAGCAATTTGCCTGCCTCGGTCTCCCAAAGTGCTGGGATTACAGGTGTAAGCCACCATGCCTGGTCCTACTTTACTTCTTTTACTTACACAATGTGAATAATTGTGTATACCTGTGGGGCTACTGTAAGGATTATAGGAGATAGAGCATACAGTAGTCCCCCTTCTTATCTATGGTTTTGATTTTTTTACTGTTTCAGTTACTTATGGCAACTAAGTAAAAAAATTTATGAGTACAGTACTATAAGGTTTTAAGAGAGGGAGAGAGAGGGGGACCATATTCACATAACTTTTATTACTATATATTGTTATAGTTCTATTTTATTATTAGTTATTGCTAATCTCTTAGTGTGCCTAATTTATAAATTAAACTTTATCATAGATGTGTACATACAGTAAGTTCTCACTTAGCATCATGGATGGGTTCTTAGAAACTGACTTTAAGTGAAACAACATGTAATGAAACCAGTTTTACCATAGGCTAATTGATATAAGCAAGAGTTCATTTCTTATGGCATATTTCTGGTCCTAAAAACATCACCAACTTCTAAATAAAGATAAAAACTTTTCTAATGTTAAACATTGAAATGAATGTTAGTGATACATACATTTAAGAAATATTAATAAAACAAGTAAGATAATTATTTACCCAATTATTCTAGTTAAGTGCTACAGCTGGCCAGAGGCTCTTCTGGCAGCTTAAGCCCTCAAGGCCTCAGGAGGAACCAGCTCTGGACAGGAAACCACTCTATTGCAGGGCACTCACACACCCACCCACACTCACTCAGAAAGGAACCATGTAGACATGCCAGTCCACCTAATGGACATAGCTTTGGGATGTGGGAAGAAACTGGAGTACTGGGGAGAAAACCCACACAGACGTAGGGAGAATGGGCCAACTCTACACATATATAGACAGTGGCCCCAGCTGGGAATCAAGTTTTTTTTTTTTTCTCATCAGTATTAAAATGAAGCAACATTACTTGGGGGAACCTTTTGTATAGGAAAAAACATACTGTATATAGGGTTTAGTACTATTGTTGGTTTCAGGTGTCTACTTGGGATCTTGGAACATGTCCCCCATGGATAAGGAGGAAACGATTGTATACGGTATTTTGATATAGGGTCTGACACACTGTAGGAACTCAGTAAATGTTAGTGGCATTTGTAGTTATTCCCCTTCGCCTTTCCAGTTACTAGTCTTAGGCAGGGTAACTAAATCTTGCTGTACCCCTCATAGAGGGGAGATCTAAGAATGGTATTTGCCAGTCCTTTTCTCCACTGTAGGTTACGTTTTTATACCACTGTGTGTTTTTGAGTGATATGAAAAGAATATCATGGGATTAAGATAAGCTGATGGCAGATTTTAGTGCTTTAGCATATGTTCTTTTCAGGCATGGAGGGGATTACTCAAGATACATGGTTAGACTGACCTTAGGTACCTAGTGGCATGAGTCTTTAGCATCAGCAGCAGTATTGATCATACAAGGGAATCCCAAGACTCTTATTGTAAACTAGGAAGCATGTTCCCACAGAACAACATCTTGAGGTGGACTGTAGTAGGGGAAGGAGTTAAGTTGGTGGTCAGATTGGTGGAGTGATAGACACGAGGGTGACTGATGCCTTTGTAATAATTTCGGAACTGTCTGAAATTATCCAAAGCAAATCTTTGTTGCCATTCTCAGTTCTTTTCTATAGTCTCTGCCTCCTTTGCCTTATTCCTGACCTGTTTTTTTCCATGCCTACACGTTTCTTGACTTTTGGAGCCTAAATTATCCCTCCTTCTATAATATATTTGGGATATTATAATGTTCTGATGTTTGGAAGTGACAGATTATAATGTTATGCTTTGCCAGTAAGTCATGCTATGTAACAGACTGCTGCAGCCAGTGTGTTTAAATTTGATGTTTTAGGTCATTAAAAATTTTAACGTTTCACTTAATTACTTGTTATAAATTCCATACACAATACTTGGGTTAAAAACAGGTTGTTTGTTTTCTTATACTACACTTGAGTTTAGTCTGGCTTTTATAACAACTTAAACTTTTGGGGTTGGAGAATGACTTATTAAAACTACTTTTGTGATATCCGTGTTTGTTCCATTTCTGACTTGTGGCCAGACATCAAAAGGCATTGGAAATTTGAGTCCTTCTGTTAAAAGACTGTTATTCATATGTTAGAAGAGGAGCCACTTCGTAAAGGGTCTCTCTATATATACAAAAGTTCTTGTAGCACTCTAATGGCATGTGGCACAGTGAACAAGGCAAGTCACATGGCCACATCTAACTCCAGGGAGGGAAGAGAAAACTGTCCTATTATGTCTCCATAAAACAGAGCTGGTAAACAGCCCTAACGATTCGGTGGTTCTCATTTGTGTTCACCATATATTCAGATCTGTCTCTCTACTACTATAGGCAAAGTAACTCACCCCTCCCCAAGGCAGTCTGTCTCATTGCCCCATTCAGATATAGCATCATGCTCAAAGTTCAGTGCCTCTGGCTGATACACAAGAGTCTGTTCATCATGTTCAGATGTGGTACTCTTGGTCTGGAGACTTCATGAACTAAAAAGACAAGTAATCTGCCCCTCCTTTACCCTTACACCCTGGTGGAACTGGTAAGCATAATTGCCAAAACCACTCCCATTTACAAAGGCGAACAAAGGGAGAGAGAGAACAGTCAAAAGTTGTAGCAATTCTGCAATTCCACAGTAGAATTTTGGGGGACCCCTATCTTGGGCCCAAGAATGTTCCTTAATTATGTCCAGATTCTGCTTCCTGGGAGAGGCTCCTCCATCCATTGTCTTCCATGCCATTGGCTTCACCCTGTTGGAATTTTTTCCTTTTCGGTAACTTCCTTGGCTACAACGGAAATGGGCACTGGGCCTCCTTGGGGGCTGAACAGTTTTCTCTGGCAGCTTCTTATCTGTAGAAAATTGGTGTCTAAGGGTTGTTTTAAGCATTCAATAATCATATTACTCTTTGAATTGAGACCAGATTATTTTTGCAGTACAACTCTCAAAAATTTTGTTGGTTTCTTATCTACTTAACTTTAGTCAGCTTCGTGTGTCAATAGCCAGACCTAAAATTTTTGCTAGATGTAATTCTTAGATTTCCTGTATTTCTTATCTTTTTCACCTCTGTGCATGCCCCCCTCTTCTCTTTATTTATTTGAGGATATCTTGGCTCCACAAGGCTTCAGTTGGAGACCCACACCCTTAGTCTCTTTTTTCTGAACCGTTTTATCCCAAGAGAAAGAATTTACTGAGTGCCACATTAGTCTACACTGAGGTTTTAATATCAGCTATATACCCTTTATTTGATCCTTAGCTGAGGCTGAGTTTTAATTAGCTGTTGTTCCTTAAAGGCCTTCTCAGTTTTGTTTTTAACTGTTCGAGGTTGAAAAGTAGTTGCCTTTTCCAATTGTGTAAGTCGTTTAATTTGAAATCTATTGTCTTACATTTCTGCTTGCAAACCAATTCTTTTCTGACCTCATTTTTTCCTTGTGGGGGTTTCCCTTTATCTTATTCAGTTACTTTTTTTCATTTGATTCCTTGTCTTTTCATCCTTTTCTTTTGCTTTTTCATCTAATCTTGTTTTTCACCAGTTTCATTAGAGGCCATCTCTCCTTGCTCTCTATAGAGAGTGCCAAACTGTTTTCAAACTTTTCTTTTGTATCTATTACTATATCCAGTAAGCACTTTCTTTAAGGATTTCAGAAGCTGTTCCTTTTTTCTAATTAGAATGTTTTCTTCTTCACATGACTTGTGTTTTTCTTCTCCATTTTGAATTCCTTTTTTAAAAGTGAAATCTGCCAGATATGTTTTCTAGCAACCAATAGATTCCTTTTACCATTCACTTATGTTGGGGTTCATATCCTTCTCTGATCTACAACTCAGGTCAGGCCAACCAGCACAAATCCCAGTATAATTTTCAGTTGCTAGAAGGCTTTCACTCACATTAAATCCTCACCCTCCCTTCTTGGTTTTCTGCTATGGGTGAAATATATGAAAACTAAAACTTGGAGCACTTGCTGCCACCAGGATTATTCTTTGCTTTCTCTTTTATTTTTTTGGCTTGTAAGGAACTGTCCTCAGAATCCTATGTGTCCTTGCAAGTACCCTTCAACTTTCTCCCCAGTTGTTTTCTAGAAATTGTTGGCCTACTTGAATGTATAACAATGGGAATAGTAGGAAAAGAGGGTTGTGTATGTGTGCTTGTATTTGTGTGCGTGTGAGCATGTGTGTATGAGGGATGGTCACAATAATCTCACCAACGCAAGGATTTGCACTGATGGGAATTTAAAGTTGGCTGCAATTTTATAATGGGTACTGATATGGTTTGGTTCTTTGTCCCCACCCAAATCTCACTTTGAATTGTATTAATGCCCATGTGTCGAGGGCAGGACCAGGTGTAGATAATTAAATCATGGGAGCCATTTCATGTTGTTCTCGTGATAGTGAGTGAGTTCTCATGAGATCTGATGGTTTTATAAGGGGCTTGGCACTCATTCTCTCCCTGTCGTCCTGTGAGGAGGTGACTTCCCCTATGCTTTTAAGTTTCCTGAGGCCTCCCCAGCCATGTGAAACTGTGAGTCAATTAAATCTCCTTTCTTTATAAATCACTCAGTCGAGGATATTTCTTCATAGCAGTGTGAGAATGGACTAATACAGGTACAGTGCTTGAGTGTCTCAATTAGGTAACCATCAGTAGGGGATGTTTGATGTGTTTTCTTTTCTCCAGTGGCCTTAGTCTTATGAGGCTTAAGGTAGTCACAACATGACAAGAAACCTGGACAGGTCTGTTTATTTTATTTTTTCCTATCACCCAAACCAGTGTCTGTTTTATGGTTAGCAAGATCCTTCCAGATTCTCGTGTTATCTGTTGATTTGAGTTTTGTATGTAGGGATTTCCTGGGTTATTTTCTGAATCTTCAGAACTTGAGAGAGGTTGCACTGTGAACTTCAAAGGATACAGGAGTTTAAATTGGAAGATCATTTTCTAGCTTTGTCGGCTGACATCTAGAGAAGGCTCATGGTTTTACATGTGGCCATAGAATTCCTAAGAGTAACTATTGTTATATCGTTATGCTGAACTTTTTGCTAAAAAGGGTAAGAGTTTTACAGTTGCATCTGAATTTGACATTGTGTAATGTTTCTATTTCAGGTAGCAGCAGCAGCAGCAGCAGCAGCAGCAGCAGCAGCAGCAGCAGCAGCAGCAGCAGCAGCAATGTTTCACTTCTTCAGAAAGCCTCCGGAATCTAAAAAGCCCTCAGTACCAGAGACAGAAGCAGATGGATTCGTCCTTTTAGGTGAGTCTTTTTAAGAAACAAAATAATTAGATGAATTATGTTCTCTTTAAAAAATTACTTGAAAATTATATGATTGATTTTAAATTATTTCTTATAATTTCAGAATTAATTTATGTGTTTAATTTTTAAAGCGTAAAATCTGTAAAGATGAAAGTCATCAATTACTTGGAATAGTGTCATCAAGTGAGACTTTTCTTCCGTGTTGATTTGGCTGTGTTCTCCAAGTTAAATGTGTAAAATCACTTCTTTTTCCCCCCCTTTTTTTTTTTAACTGTGGAAAATCTAAAGTCTTCAAGAATCCTTGATGAATTCAAGTTCTGTCTTATAAATAGTACTAACCTTGTTTCATAAATTAGCATCTGAAATTAAATTAGGCATCCAATAAATATTTGCTGAATGAAGTAGACTTTAAAATCTAAATATGTTAAATAGTGTTTCCTGTTTAAGACTATTTTCTATTATAAAATTAATACCTGCAAATTTTAAAGGTTTTAGTGTCTTTAAAAAATATTTCTTACAATCAAATACAGTGTTCTTCACCAGGGGAGTTCTGAAAAGTAAAATTTCCTCCATGTCATGTCACATTTCTTCCCCTGAGGAAAAGTTTTGCACAACATCTTTGTATGCTCTTCCCAGAAATTCTCTTTCCAAAGTATGGTGTGGGGTAGTCAAACCCAGTGTTTCCTTGTGGTTCTCATCCTTTTCCATGCTGGACCTCCTCCCACCAAATTCCTACTCCTTCTCTGAGAAGATTTGCATTAACTCATATGGTCTTCACTCCCTGGAATGTTTCTCTGGGTCTCCTTTTCCAGATACTGGTTTCCTACCTCTTACTTCCTTTATCTTGGCCCCATCAGACTGGCATCTGCTAGCATCAGCCAATGCTCTGTAGGCTTTGAGAAATAAGGGATGTTTCCCTTAGATTTAAGGGTAATCTCTGTGAGACCAGAATAGAGTTTTTCTCGTGGATAAACTTTACTATAGAATTTTCCATCATTTCTACAGCCATGTTCTGGCAGGCCTGTTGTTTTTGAGAACCTGTCTTGTATGTCCAGGGACAGGAGCAGTAGCTGGGAGGTTGCTCAGAATTGTTTTCTTCAGACCAGATCCCTTATACCTGAGGTAAAAATAGTGGGGCTTAGTCTTTGACCAGGGCTGATGATTTTTCTGGGTAGCCTTCTGACTGGGATAAGGTAGGGTGCAGTGGACTTAATTGCTAATATGACCCTTCCTTCATAGTGTGTCAGGAATTTATGCCTTGGCTTCCAAGTCAGAACTGACTCTGTTAACTCCGATTTTAGTTCCTTGAAAGCTGCCAGTGTTACTTTTTTCACACTTCTTGAATTAGCCTCGCTAACAGAAAACTTCAGGGGTACATCAGGCCTCCTGTGAAGTTTCTCTTTTTCAGGAGTTTCACAATAAATTCTTCTCTCAGAATTTTTTCCAAAAAACTCTTGTTTTCCACTCTGTTATATATTCCTGATTTTAAAATACCTCTGAAGTCTTAACACATATACAGGGAACTCTGCTTTTTTCTGTTGTTTTTATTATATATGTATTTAAAATTTTTTTTAAAATTATTTTTAAAGAAAATAGAGATGGGGTCTTGCCATGTTGCCCAGGTTGGTCTTGAACTCCTGGCCTCAAGCAATCTTCCTGCCTCGGCCCCCCAAAGTGTTGGGATTACAGGCATGAGCCACCACGTCCAGCCTCTTTTCTGTTGTCTTTATGATTAGAAATTGACATTATTCTTTTTGTTATCAAATAGCCATTTAGAGGCTGTAAGTTGGGTGTACTGGCATCTTTGAAAGCACATAGAATTCCTAATGCTGGACCTTAAACTTTTTATTCATCTACTTTATCCCTACTTCTCTGCCACTTTGTAGGATTTCTGAGACAAATTTTAACCACCACTGCAGTGGCTCCTGGTGCTGCTAAGATCTCCTCCAATTTCTGGTAGCATGTAGTCCTGATGAGACATTCCATTGCATGTCTTGTAGCTATCTCAGTAGAAGCCCAGTTTCCAGGGCCTTCTGCCTCCGAGTATTATCTACTATGGATCTCCTTTCCCTTTCCAGGAAAGACTAGTTTAAGAAGTAGTCTTTCTTTAACTGAGCCTCAGAAGGCACACAAACTTCCAAATTTCGTATTTTAAGAAGGAATTTCCGGGACCTAATTACTCTAATATGCTCTCAGTACCAGCTGCTCCATCTGAGGGAATTTTCCCAGGACCATCTTGGACTAGCATAATTGGTGTCGTACCCAGCACCATATGTCTAGCAGTTGAACAGTCATGGTGAGGAATCACTTCCGTCGTAGTTCCAGGATAGCAGTTTAATTTGCAGTGCAGCTGGTGCTGTACCTGGTTCAAATGACCCAAACAAATCAGGTCCGCCAGATGTTGGCTGAGGCCTCGTTGCCCTTCAGCTCCTCTGTCTGCTGATGCTTGTCTCTGTTTAGCCTCATTTCCCCCCAGGTGCAAAGCTCCACCCCTTCACCATTTTCATAAAATCCTCTGTACATAGTCTTCTGTGGGTACCATTACTCTCCTGAAGTTTTGATGGTATCAGTCAGCATCATGTCTCAGCTCTTACTTCCTCTGTCTTCGTTCTCTTTTCATCATTCATCCCCTCTTCCTTCTTCCGCAGAAGCATCTCAGAGGCTCTCCAGTGACGTGCTGTTAAAAGTGCTGACCCTGGGTCAGACCCTTTGGGTTGGCTTCGTGGCTCCACGACTTACTCTCTACCCTTGGCAGGTTAGTTACCCTTCCCAGTACCACTTAGCATATCTAGGAAATGAGCACGATATCGGTACCTACCCCATGAAGTTATTGAGGGGAATAAATGAGTTAATGTGTGTAAAATGTTTAGAAAAACCCTGTGAGTGAGGTAGTACTATTATATCACCATACACAGGCTAGGATTTAATGTTTCCAAGTTTCTCCAGTTAGTATGTAGCAGATCTGGAATTAGCCCAGGCAATCTGACTTCAGAACCTATCCTCTAAACCACTGAACTATCCATCTTTTTGTAAAAAAAGTTATATCATCAGTTTTAATTCTAAGACATTATTGACATCCTAACCTCTTTGTTTTTTAAAAAAAGTTGTATTCTCTACAATTGAAAAGAGAAAGTGCTGTTTTTTATTTGTTTTAATAAAAGAAGGTTGGTGGTTGTAATACTGTTCATAAAGTTTGGCTTTTATTTTGGCTAACCCAAACTTTTTACTATTTAATAGTTTAAATGTTTTTAAAATATTTTAAAATATTTCAGAAAACTCCTTGATGAAGTTGAAATTGGAAGTTGGTATATATGGTTTAATTAGTGAAAACATCCTTCAGTGGTGAAGAACTTAACTGAATTGACAGATAAAGATCTTGACAGATTATTAGGAATATAGTTAATTGTCTTTAAAGTTATAGTTAATTATCAGGTAAACTCTTTTTTAAAAAATTGATTTGCTCTGCTAGGTTTCTCTTTTTATTATATCATTCTATACTGACATATATAATATCTACTTTAGTCTCAGAGCATACTGTATAAAATATTCTGGAAAAAGTCAAGTAGATCAAATGGTAAATAGAAAATGCTTTTAATGCTTTTATTAACATGGACACATACTTGCACACATCTGTTTTGTTTTAAATTTTTTATTTTTAATCATTATGGGTCCGTAATAGTTGTATATATTTACAGGGTACATGTGATGTTTTGACACAGGCATATAATGTGTAGTGATCAAATCAGGGTAATTAGGATATCTATCACTTCAAGCAATTATTTCTTTGTGTTAGCAACATTCAATTTCCACTCTTTTAGTTATTTAAAAATATACAATAAATTATTGTTAACTATAGTCACCCTATTGTGCTACCAAATACTAGATCTTATTCCTTCTATCTAACTGTATTTTTGTACCCATCATCCATCCCCATTTTATTTCCCTCTTTCTGCTACCCTTCCTTGCCTTTGGTAACCATCATTCTATTCTCTATCTCCATGAGTTCAATTTGAAAAAAACTGAGCTCCCTCATATGAGTGAGAAAATGTGAAATTTGTCTTTTTGTGCCTGCTTTATTTCACTTTACATGATCTCCTCTAGTACCATCTATGTTGTTGCAAAGGACAGGATTTCATTCTTTTTTTATGGCTAAATAGTATTCCATTGTGTATATGTACCACATTTTCTTTATCTATTCATCTGTTTTTTTGTTTTTTTTTTTTTTTTTTTTTTTTTTTGAGACGGAGTCTCGCTCTGTCGCCCAGGCTGGAGTGCAGTGGCGGGATCTCGGCTCACTGCAAGCTCTGCCTCCCAGGTTCACGCCATTCTCCTGCCTCAGCCTCCCAAGTAGCTGGGACTACAGGCGCCCGCCACTACGCCCGGCTAATTTTTTGTATTTTTAGTAGAGACGGGGTTTCACCGTTTTAGCCGGGATGGTCTCGATCTCCTGACCTCGTGATCCGCCCGCCTCGGCCTCCCAAAGTGCTGGGATTACAGGCGTGAGCCACCGCGCCCGGCCTATCTATTCATCTGTTGATGGAGACACTTAGGTTGATTCTATATGTTGGCTATTGTGAATAGTACTGCAATAAACATGGGAATGTGGACGTCTCTTTGATATGCTGATTTCTTCTTTTGGGTATGTACCCAGCAATAGAATTGCTGTATCATATAGTAGTTCTGTTTTTAGTTTTTTTGAGGAATCTCCATACTGGTCTTCATACTGGCTGTACTAATTTACATTCCTGCCACCAGGGTATGAGGTCCCTTTTCTACACATCCTTGCCAGCATTTGTTATTGCTTATCTTTTGGATTAAAGCCATTTTAACTGGGTTGAGATGATATCTCATTTTGATTTTGATTTGCATTTCTCTGATGATCAACAATATTGAACGTTTTTTTAATATGCCTATTGGTCATTTTGTATGTCTTGAGAAATAGCTATTCAGATATATAAAAAAATATATTTATATATTATTTAATATATATTTAATTTTATATAATAAATATATATTTATATATTTAATTTATAGATAATATATATTTATATATTTAATATAGATAAATATATTTATATACTTAATTTATAGATAAATATATATTTATATACTTAATTTATAGATAAATATATATTTATATACTTAATTTATAGATAAATATATATTTATATACTTAATTTATAGATAAATATATATTTATATATTTAGTTTATAAATATATATTTATATATTTAGTTTATAAATATATATTTATATATTTAGTTTATAAATATATATTTATATATTTAGTTTATAAATATATATTTATATATTTAGTTTATAAATATATTTATATATTTAGTTTATAAATATATTTATATATTTAGTTTATAAACATATATTTATATATTTAGTTTATAAACATATATTTATATATTTAGTTTATAAACATATATTTATATATTTAGTTTATAAACATATATTTATATATTTAGTTTATAAACATATATTTATATATTTAGTTTATAAACATATATTTATATATTTAGTTTATAAACATATATTTATATATTTAGTTTATAAACATATATTTATATATTTAGTTTATAAACATATATTTATATATTTAGTTTATAAACATATATTTATATATTTAGTTTATAAACATATATTTATATATTTAGTTTATAGATAAATATATATTTATATATTTAGTTTATAGATAAATATATATTTATATATTTAGTTTATAGATAAATATATATTTATATATTTAGTTTATAGATAAATATATATTTATATATTTAGTTTATAGATAAATATATATTTATATATTTAGTTTATAGATAAATATATATTTATATATTTAGTTTATAGATAAATATATATTTATATATTTAGTTTATAGATAATATATATTTATATATTTAGTTTATAGATAATATATATTTATATATTTAATTTATAGATAATATATATTTATATATTTAATTTATAGATAAATATATATTTATATATTTAATTTATAGATAAATATATATTTATATTTAATTTATAGATAAATATATATTTATATATTTAATTTATAGATAAATATATATTTATATATTTAATTTATAGATAAATATATATTTATATATTTAATTTATAGATAAATATATATTTATATATTTAATTTATAGATAAATATATATTTATATATTTAATTTATAGATAAATATATATTTATATATTTAATTTATAGATAAATATATATTTATATATTTAATTTATAGATAAATATATATATATATATATATACACACACACATATTAAGAGGCAATAACTCACTATGTTACTCAGGCCACTTTCGAACTCTTAGGCTCAAGCCATCTTCCTGCCTCTGCCTCCCAAAGTGCTGGGATTACAGGCGTGAGCTGCTATGCCTGGCCTGCCCATTTTAAAATTGGATTATTTTATTTTTTCCTGTTGAGTTGTTTGAGTTCCTTATATATACTGATTGTTCATCCATTGTCAGATGAGTAGTTTGCAAATATTTTCTCCCATTCTGTGGGTTGTCTCTTTACTGTTGATTAATCATTTCTTTTGTTGTGCAGAAGCCTTTTAACTTGATGTAATCCCATTTGTCCATTTTTGCTTTGGTTGCCTGTGCTTGTGGGGTATTACTCAAGAAATCTTTGTTCAGATTACTGTCCTGTAGCATTTGCCCAATGCTTTCTTCTAGTAGTTTCGTAGTTTCAGGTCTTAGATTTACGTATTTTATCCATTTTGATTTGATTTTTGTATGTGGCGAGAGATAGGGGTCTAGTTTTATTCTTCTGCATATAGATATCCAGTTTTCCCAGCACCACTGATTCAAGACTTCCTTTTCCCAATGTATATCCTTGGCACCCTTGTTGAAAATGAGTTCATTGTAAATGTGTGAATTTATTCCTGGGTTCTGTATTTGGTTCCATTCGTCCATGTGTCTGTTTTTATGCCGGTACTGTGCTATTTTAGTTACTATAGCTTTTTAGTATAATTTGAAGTCAGGTAGTGTGATTCGTCTAATTTTGTTGTTTTTGCTTAGAACAGTTTTGGCTTCTCTGGGTCTTTTGTGATTCTATATAAATGTTAGGATTATTTTTTCCATTTCTGTGAAGAATGTCTTTGGTATTTTGATAGTGATTGCATTGAATCTGTAGATTGTTTTGGGTAGTATGGACATTTTAACAATACTGATTCTTCCAATCCATAAATTTGGAATATCTTTCCATTTTTTTTTATGTGTGTTCTCTTTGGTTGCTTTCATCAGTATTTTATAATTTTTATTTTAGAGATCTTTCACTTTGGTTATATTTATTCCTAAGTATTTTATTTTACTGGTAGCTTTATAAATGGGATTACTTTCTTGGTTTCTTTTTCAAATTGTTTGCTGTTGGCATATAAAAATGCTATTGATTTTTGTATGTTGATTTTGTATGCCGTAACCTTACTGAATTTATTTATTAGTTCTGATAGTTTTTTTAGTTGCATACACATGTATCATGGTTAGCATATATCCACATAACTTTTTTTGTGGCATCGTGTGCAATACGTACATTACAGAAAAATAAATATATTTTGTTGGTTTGTGTGTTTGTTGATGTCTAAATGATAAAGCTAAGTAAAAACTTATAAACATGATTATATTTGTAGCAACAACTTTTTATCAATATGGACACCACAGAATTTGTTAGATTATCTCCTTATGTGGCCTTTATAACCCATTTCTAGAAAGGTCAGAGTAAATTATGTTGTTTAAGCTATAAATTATCTATTTTTTTCCACTTGAGAATACCTTTTCCCCTAGGCAAGCATTTCTGCTTAACACAAATAGGTTTTAGGTCACAATTATTAGATGGCATTGCAGAGTTGATGGAATCAACACATCATGACTTGAAATTCAGGTCTGGGCAGAGTCTAGACACTTGTTTTGGTAATAGGAATATCTGGGCTGTTCATATACAGTTAGCTCACATTTGGACAGAAAACCTTTCTCCGCATTAAGATTTCGAAAGCTTTTAGCCTCTGTAAAATGTCTAGTGGTGCCGAATAAGAATAAGGGAAAAAAGTTCTTGTAGAAAAACATCCTTTCCCTTGTAACCAGTTCCTATTCACGTAAGAAGGTAATAGCTATTCCTTCATTCAGTAATGAAGTTGAAGTAATCCTCCAGGGTACTCATTTTACACAAAAACAAATTGCAGTTTTCATTTGCATCACTGGGTGGCGATTTTTCATAGCCTTATACTACTATTTAAAAATCCAGCAAGCATGGCACTATTCGTAATTACCAGGGTTTTCTCCTGTTATGACATGTTTAATTGTACTTTTAAGACATTATCTTTAAGTTGATTACAAATTTACTAGTGTAGTGGCAAGCTCATAGTTATTTTAAGTTAGGAAAAGGGATATTGCGTAAATGTTAGGATATAATTCCTTCCAAAACTAAGACAAAAGCATGAATTAGCTTATTATGTTATAGCAAAAAGAAGGAAAAATAACAACAAAAAGTAATAGGATATAAATGAAAAGGAACAATTTAGATATTGTTGTTGGTTCACTAATATTGTTGACCAAATATTGAATATAACTTTGAAGCAGGCAGAATGAAATTGGGCAAACACTATTGTAGAGATTAAAGGAATTGGGTTACAGTACAAGGGAAATGCATCATGGTTTTCAGAATATGCAGGTGCTTCTTCAAGTAGGGCATAAGAACTTCTAGTTTCCATTAAGCTAATTATTTTGTAACACTTGCTGAATTTAGAACCAGAATTTAATAATTCACAGCAGCTTGGATTTCACCTTTTAAAATACTTAAAACACATTGAAATATGTAATTTAGTCTCACCTTCTGTTTTCCAGTCTCAATGATCAGTCAGATATTGAAAATAAGTGAGTTATTTTTAAGATTATCTCCTATGGAATTCCTCATTCTGGGAACCAAACCACATATACATACTTCATTTAAACTATCATATTTTTATATGGAACTTTTAAAGGTAGTCTCTTCATCGCTGTGTTGTTTCCTTTATTTAAAAGTGGAAATTTAGCTGTATACATAAAAATTTACATTCTAAGGAATGAGGGACAGTAAGTCACTTTGATTCTGTCTAGGGTTGAAGGCTTTAATTAAAACAGTGACAAAAACTAAACAGGTTTTCAACATGTGCTTCCTATTTTTATTGCCTGTTCTTACAAAAAATGTATACCAGATCTTTAAAAAATTAGAGTGTTTATGGATTAAAAAGTAACTTACCCTATCGCTGTCTCCTTACCCACGTATCGGGATATCCAGAAAAACTCGATTTACATTTAATTTACTTAGCAGTTTTTGTGTTTTTACTTTTGACCTTTAAATTGCAAAGCAAGTATGCCAGGATTTTTCAACTAACTTCATGATGTAGATGCTTGTTTTTCTATTAAGAAATGTGGAGTTGTGTGTCTAATGGATAGAATTAACAGTATTTTCAGTCACTGTTACCTGATTCTGGTTTACCTGTTAATCTAGCAGCGTTTCAGTTTCAGTTTTTCGGAGGTGAAAAAGTTAGGTTAGGCCATCCCCGTGTGGGGTACACCACCCTTCCTTAACTCCTTGAATGTACAGTGAAAGGCAATTGCATGAAGGAAGAGGAGAGGTGCCAACTGTACTCAGAGGCAGAACTGAGCCTTCTGTTTGGCACAGTTAATTGTGGGAAAGTCATTCATTTTTTTCGGGGACTCAGTGGATTTAGTTGACTCAAACGTAAATTAGGGATCTATCTCTCTGTGATTCTAACCCTTCTGTGCATTAGGGGATACTTAGAAAAAAATACTGGTGCTGGGACCCATTCCTAGATTCTGATTAAAAGGTCCTGGGATTAGGCCCAGGAATTGATTTTTTCCCCCCAGAGTTCTCCAGATGATTCTAGAGTTCATGCAAGGCTGAGAAGCACTACAGTTCACTCTCTAATAATTGTATGTCATCAAATAATGTGTTGAGACACTTTGAAAAAGACTTCATAAAATATAAAGTTACAGTTTCTTTTTTAGTTGAGCCATAAACAAAAAGCAAATAAAACCACAGAATTTCTGGGTAATTACATTTCCTTCAATATATTAAATCATTAAATAGAAAAAGAGCAGAAAGCTTCATACATGATCCTATGAAATGAAATTTGTTTTCTTTTCCTTTTCTTTTTTTTAGACGGAGTTTTTGCTCTTGTTGCCCAGGCTGGAGTGCAGTGGCATGGTCTCTGTTCACTGCAATCTCCGCCTCCTGGGTTCAAGTGATTCTCCTGCCTCAGCCTCCCAAGTAGCTGGGATTACAGGCATGCACCACCACACCTGCCTAATTTTTGTATTTTGGATAGAGACAGGGTTTCACCATGTTGGCCAGGCCGGTCTCAAACTCCTGACCTCAGGTGATCCGCCTGCCTTGGCCTCCCAAACAGCTGGGATTATAGGCGTGAGCCACTGCTTCCAGCCAAAATTCATTTTCTATGAGTAATATACAGTTTTCCCTTGGTATCTGTGGGAAATTGGTTCCAAGACCCCCGCTCATACCAAAATCCATTGACGCTCAACGCTCTGATATAAAAGAGCATAGTTTTTGCATGTGACCTACATACATCCTCCCATATACTTTAAATCATCCCTAGATTACTAAAATACCTAATGCAATGTAAATGCTATGTAAACAGTTGTTTTACTGTATTGTTTGAGGAATAATGACAAGAAAAGAAGCCTGTACATGTTTAGCACAGATGCAATTTTTTTTTTTTTTGAGACAGTGTCTCACTCCATCACCCAGGCTGGTGGCAGTGGCACAATCTTGACTCACTCCAACCTCTGCCTCCCGCGTTCAAGCAATTCTCATGCCTCAGAGTCCCAAGTAATTGGGATTACAGGCGTGTGCCACCATTCCCGGCTAATTTTTTTTTTTTGTATTTTTAGTAGAAATGGGGTTTCACCATGTTGGCCAGGCTGGTCTTGAACTTCTGGCCTTGAGTGATCCACCCCTTTCGGCCTCCCAAAGTGTTGGGATTACTGGCCTGAGCCACCACGCTTGGCAACCACAAGCAATTTTTTTTTCTGAATAATTTTGATCCACTGTTGGTTGAATCCACCCATGAGGAACTCATGGATACGGAGGGCTGACAGTTTTTGAAACCTTAGATGTTTTTTGAAAAATCAGTGGAACAACTGGGAAGCATTTTATTAAATTAATTATACAATGTGAATTCCAACTGATCTATGACTCTTTCTGGCTTTAGCCATAGTACAACTATGAATTTATGTGAAATTATTTGACAGATTAACACCCGTAAACTTTTCAAACCAACATCTGAGGTACCTTTTAAAAATCAGACTAACGCATTCAAGCAGCCATGTTTTAATACAACTATTTGGGGGTAGTTGACTGTTTCACTATGGTACTATTTCCTTGAAGGGTGCTTATTCCATACAACATCTGTAGGGAAAACATTGTAAGTATGCATACCATGTTATGTACATGGAATTTCTCCTACTGTTTCCTTACAGGCTTTACTAATGCTGTAACTTCACATTTTGTCAGATTTAACTCAAAAATTATGATGAGTGGCTTTCATATTTATTTAAACTTTATTATTTCATTATATTAAAGATATAGATAATGAGGATGAGACTCTAAGTAAAATGTACAGTATGAATATTCTACCTTGTATGAGTAATTCATATAGGGTTGGAAGACCTGAATGTCTTTCTGGTAATCTTAGTACTACAATATTCTTTTATACTTAAGTAATTATCATATTGAGCATCTGTTTTTTTTATTCATTGCATGCAACCAATGCATATTATGAAGGGAAGAATTATTATTGGGTTTACACATTGATCTTTTTTTTTTTTTTGAGACGGAGTCTTGCTCTGTCTCCAGGCTGGAGTGCAGTGGTGCCATCTCAGCTCACTGCAACCTCTGCCTCATGGGTTCAAGCGATTCTCCTGCCTCAGCCTTCCGAGTAGCTGGGACTACAGGTGTGCGCCACCACGCCCACCAAGTTTTGTATTTTTAGTAGAGAAGGAGTTTCACCACTTTGGCCAGGATGGTCTCCATATCCTGACCTCGTGATCCGCCCGCCCCTGTAATCCCAAAGTGCTGGGATTATAGGCGTGAGCCACCGTGCCCGGCCACATTAATCTTTATAAATGTGAATTTCTAAAAAATTTAAGTGTTGGCCCACTTGGTTTCTCAAGTTGCCTGCCTGACCCTCTTCGAAGTTGTACTTTTCTTCTTTTCTTTCCTTTCCGTACTATTCTAAAGCTTTTTAATAAACTTTCACTCCTGATCTGAAAAAGAAAAAAATTTAAGTGTTTTCTTCCTTCATTATATCATGATAGAATTATGGTCTTACCTTGGAAGAATAGTATCTCATAAAATAAGTAAGAAGAATGTGGTAAATTAGTGTCGTATCTTTTTTTGATTGTAGTAATCAGTAAGTGAACATTCTTGAGCACTTTCTCTATCCCAGGTGCTCTCCTGCTTGGTTAGGGATGCTCCAGATTCCTGGGCCTTGCCCACACCTAGTGAAACAGAATTTTGGGAGCTATAGCCAGAGAATCAGCATTTTAAGCAAGCAATGCATTTAGTATAGCTACTTGGGAAGAGTTGACTGTTTTACTCTACAGTATTTTTATGCATACTGATGTCTGAGAATTGCTGGAATAATTATTTTTATAAGGTATGGTAGAGGAGCAAAACTATTCTAGGTGGTGGGGCAGATTGTGTAAAGTTATATAGCTTCAGAAGAATCTGATACATAGGCAGGGCCAGTATTCTTGGCTGAATAGAGAGGGTGTATCAGGGCCACTATTGGGAAGTGTGTCCAGAAACATGGTTTGTGGGCCTTGTGTGGCCTTCTCAAATGTTAGAATGTTATCCCATTGGCAGTAAGGAACTATCAGACCATTTTAAAGCAGTAAAGTTATGGGTTTTGTTTTTTTGTATTTTTTATCAGAAATTTATTGACAATTTTTTAAAAATGTAGATAATTTTTATAGTTTCAGCAAGATTGAGAATTATCTTTTAATGAAAAAACTAATTGCAGCATCATGTCCTGAATGCATTACTGAGAAGGCATGCACGTATACTCATACGAGGTTGACAGAGTAAGTCAGAGAAACCACAACAACAAATTAATAAACTTTCCAGAACCATCATGCTGCAAAGTTATTTTTCTGAACACCTGATAATTTAACCTTTTAAATCTTCTTTAGCTTCACTGTGATATGGGGCAGACACTACTAGTCCCTCAATATCTGTTTCCCCCTTTATCTTTCCATGTGGCCGTTTTCCAGTTAGGTGTGAAGATTATGATGAAGTTTCTGGCCAATGGGATATAAGAAGAAATGTTGTGTTGCAGATTCTAGGAAATCTTTTAAAAACACACTGCTGTGTACCTTCCTTACTCCTCTCCCCTGCCCCCACTTCCCTTATCCTGGAATGTGGATATGATGATTATGTAGAATTCTAGCCAGCATCTAAGACCATGAGAACTAGGGTACGTTGTAAGGATAGCTGAAGAGTGAAGTCAAAGAGTTGTGAAGTTGCCATACCAGTCCTTTGAACTTTCCTTTGAACTTCCTTTATGTGAGACACAAAGTTCTGTTCTGTTTGAGCAACTATTTTATTATGTGATTTGCGGATGAACCAAGCCCTAAGTAATACAGGTACTGAACTGGAAATAATAGTATTTGGATTCTATTTAAGTTCTGTCATTTACTTGCTGTGTGATTTTGAGCAGGCTACTTACCATTTCAGCCTCATTTTCCTTTTGTGTGAAATGTTAATGATATCATGGTGTCTTCATTACATTGTTGCAGGAGATGAAGCAAAAGGAAACTGTACACAGATCTGCACTGACAAAAGGGAGTACAAAGAACTTGTAATTCTTTTGCTGACCCTGGGCAGTTCAGTGAAATGCTTGGGAGAATGATTCTGAGGTAGCACTTAGTTTAGCTGGAGAGAATTTGGGGATCACTAATGATGTATGTTGTAGGCAAAGGAATGGTGTGCACCCTGCCAGGGCCACATATAGGCCTTCCCTCAACTCAGACTGGAAGGCCGATCTATGCTTATATGATCAGTCCACCAGAAAGTCTATTCACACCCACTAAAAGCTGAAGTGTTTAAAGTGTGCATTAACTAGCAGAACATTATTAAAGAGAATTGCTGCCAAACTCTGGTTGTCAGTTAAATTTGAAAAGGATTCACTTCCTACAACCGGTATTTCCATCAAAAATGATATGTACTTTTATGACTATACATACACACACATATTTTTAATGATAAGTATTAAATACATGATATTCAAGGTTTACACTATAGTGTTACTGATTTAAAGGAGTAATTGCTCTGAAAATTTTAAGTATTCTAAGTCAAATAACTAAGCTGTAAATTTATGGAACGACTTATTTTTATTTCTGGCATCCATCATTTCCTGATGCACCAGCTGAAAATATGCTTGGCAGCACCAAAGGAAAACTGTAACCCCTGAAATAGCTTGTTGATGGATGGCTTGAAGAAGTTGATAACTGAGATAAGCAGCCATTGTCCCTGTTGCTGTTGCTATGTTAGGGGTTCTTAACCCATGTTGAGTTTGGAGGGCTGCATGCAGTGGTCTGGAAACTTCTGACACTACATGTAAAATTTTAGGTTTGTATTTTTGGGGGGAGAACATTCCCTGCATTACATCAGATTCTCAAAGATCTGTAACCCCCAAAATATTAAGAATTACTTTTTTAGATGTTGCTTTGGTTTACTAGCTCCTTGGGCTGTGATTTCTTAGGATATTTTTATCTTAATGGTAAAGGTGGGAGAGTTGTTGTCAGGTGGGGCATATCTCATTGGGTACCTTTACTAGTTTGGCGTCAGAAAGTAGAATGTGAGAACCTTTTTACTTGTTATCTTAAAAAGGAAAACTTACTTATAATTAGTAGTGATTATTTGCTCATGGTTTGCCTTTTCACTGATTATCCGAATCCAAGGTGTTTTTCTGCTGCCTTGCCCTCAGCCCCGTGTTTCCTCATGCAGAGTGCCCAGCTTGTTTCATTTTGTCTGTGTCGTGTTCAGTGTCAAGATCTCAGATGAAATCTGTCTCGAGGCTTCCTCAGTTTCTAGATAGCTCTCTTTTTGATCTCATGTTGTAAATCTTCTATCATTTATTTGCTTCTTAATCACATGGTATTTTGTAGCAGCTCCTATATTATTGTTTTGTAATGTTATTTACGCCTTTATTTTTGTATGTCTTGCCAATTATGTTGTAACCTCCTAAAGGACATCTAACCCGCTGCGTATTTTATAAAATTGTAAGCACATGACTATCAAAAAGCTGATCCTCAGTCTGTATATTGTTAATAGCTTTTGTAATGACTTGTAAACCATTTAATATTTGGTTAGAAAACTTGGTAATATCTTCTATTAAGGTATTTTCTCCAATGAAAATAAGTCTTTGTTAACTTATCTATTACTTGGATTTAAATTATACTTACTTTATTTAGTTATATAAATGCAAATTAGTAAGCATTCAGACTAAGCCTGCCTTACTCTGGGGAGGAGGGGCTTCCTTTACTTCCCTACCTCTGCTTGACCATGCGTTTTAGGAGAGCCAACCTTATTCCCAGCCCCAGAAAGTCAGTGCTCATTTGCCTAAGCCAGTCACGGTAGTCTAATTCACCTTGCCAGTGATTGGCTTAGGAATGGGCACCCATCACATTTCTGACTGCGACATGAAGGAAGATCAACTGAGAGACTCATGGGCAGATACAGACAGAAGAGACTGCCACCTCTTCTCGTGGCAGTTATTTGATCTGGATGAAATGGCTGATGATGTTTTATCTATCATTGCCAACTTTGCTTAGGAGAGCTAGCTTGAGACAGAGGTCACATGTCGAAGATGGCAGAGTAAAAGGAGGAAGCAACCATGATGACATTGTTGAACTGACATATTCACTAATTTGGGAGCTGTTTACCTCTGGACTTTTTAGGTGAGATAATAAATTCCCGCATTAAAGTTTAAGCCACTTTTAGCTAGGTTTATGTTACTTGCAGCTGAAAATGTCTGCACCGATGTTTGACAGATGTGCTTATAATGCTATCTCCCTGGATAATCTTTTCTTGGTAGAGCCCCTGTTTTTCATGCCCAGACTTCATGGAAATGTATTTATATGTATATCTCAGTAAAGCTCTTCAGTCTGTGTCTATATAGAAGACATTTATATTTATGTCTTTCTAAACTCAAAACAATTGGAAATAGTCTGGAGTTCAATTTTAAATGAAATTAATAGATTGTCAGAGTCATAAGTAAACATTTTGAATGGTATACTCACTGCCATCAGAAATGTTGTGCATTTTGGATATTGCTGGTACCAAGGGAGACCATATTACTGCTACAAAGCAGCTAGTGATTAACAACCATAGTAATTGGTGATCAGGAAACAAGTTAAACATGCTCACATAATAGTTTGCTACTTATATATAGGTGTTTTTACTGTGTTTTAGTTATGTCTTAAGAAATTGGTTGAGGGTTTTAGATGATATATTCCACATTGTAATTTTTCCCATCTAAAGTGATGGGAAATAAGCTTGCCATTATATTTTCCCACCCATTTGATTTTCAGGAACGTATTACTGATATTAGGCAGGGATTCCTTTACTAATCTGGACCAGCTATGTTATTAAGTCAGCAATTCTGCTGATGATAATGTAGTCTTTAACTAGCAACTCACCTGTATCCCTCACATATTTTAAATGTTACATATTTGGAAATGTATTTCCAAAACGCTGAAGGCAATAAATGAAACCATAATTTTTTTTTTAAGCATGGAAGTTCAGGAGAAAAATTGAAGTGTATATGTTTCCTTTTACCATCCCAAATTTCTAGTTACAAAATCACTTTATAAAGTTTAAAACCAAGTATATATTATGTTTTTACTGGAGTTGAACATTAATCATGCCCAGTATGTCAGATGTGAAAGAAGAGTTTTAAAGGTAATGAAAAATATTGTATTAATCTTATTTTTAAATGTTTACTTTTTTATTATAAATTGAGCTGCAGTTTTTTAATATTTTGCAATTATAAGGTGGGGGTGATGCCGCACCTAAGTTTTAGAGCTAAAAGGACATCTTAGGGATAATTCTAAACAGCCACATATGTAAATATTTCTGTTTGATAGTTATATATTGAGAATACTTTAATATATCTAAATTCTTTTGTTTTTGCTAAGGAGAGAAAGGAAGGTAAATATAGTATTGAGCTACCTTATATGAGTTGCCAAATTATGGTATGAACCAATTATAGTGAAAGCATTCCCTTCACATATAAATGCTTTTCTAGCCTGTAGGCATCTTTTCATTGCTAAAGTTGGGTTAAATTTTCACCACAGAAATTCAATTATGACTTATACCTGTTATGAAAATATGTAAATACATCAAATATATTTTAATGTTTTAGGTCCAGATATATTTAAATGTTTTTTATCCCCTAAAGGAGTGCAGTTTCTTTCTGCTCCTTCTAGGTCTCCAAAGTTACAGGACCTTGAAGCATGTAGAGCTCAGCATGGTACAAACCTGTATTTTTCAATTTGTGCTCCATGTGACCCTTCCTGGAACTGAGCAGAAGTGTTATGCTGCCAACATTGAATAATGGTGGTCTTTTCACAGTTTGTAGGGGAAAAAAGCTGATGGAATTTTAGGTTTTTCATTCCAAAATTTTCCTTAAATTCTAGAAAGAGCCACCATTAATTTTCAAGCAAGTATTAGGCAGGTAAAATGTATGTATGAGGAAAAAATGGTTATTCAAGGAAAAAAACTTGTAAACAACTGATAATATCTACTTTTATAACTGTTCTTTAGATATTTGTAGTCGTCATCATTATTTTATATTCAATTAAAATAAACCAAACATTAATAGCAATTTAAACTTAGAATTACTAAATACATAATTTCATCTAAAATGATAGTTTGTATGATAGAATTTAAAATATCAGTATTTACTACTGTCCTGCAAAGAGCATTTTGACTTCAAGCCTTGCATGACATTCACTATATGAAGAGATTACATTTCGAAGGAGAAGATGGGAACTCTGCTGCTTATTTTCTTTCTCATCTTACGCATTTCAGATCATTTTGCTGGGGCATAGATTCTCTATCCAGTGACTGAGGAAGTAAATTGGATTTTTATCTCTAAAGTTTTCTTAGAAAGAGCTTTACATTTTAGTGACCCTTTTTTGTTCTATGTATTTAAAGAGACTGACAAATCCCTAATTTATTCTAATCTTTATCGAATTAAAATTTGATGGTATTGAAGTGTTTTCTGATACATGGAGTTCTTTCTCAGGAGGGAAAAAGGTGGTTCACCAGCTGCCAAACAAAAGTCATGAAGATTTTTTAGTTAAAATTTTATCTGGCTAGTAGCTCAGTTTAGCCTTGACTAATCTTGTATTAAAATACTCATGCAAATGTGGAAGGAAAAATTTTATAACTGTTCCAAAACTTAGGAATGACAGTTTAATGCTAGAAACTGAGGTGAAGTTAGATTGAGAAAAAACTAAGCTTCTACACATAGTACAGTATGTTGATAACTGCAGTTATTAACAGCTATTCCTCTTTACCCCTGGGGTTCCATTCTGTAAATGAAACAGAGTACTTCGCCCCCTTTTTCTGCACTCTCGCACACATATCACCATCTTCCCTTACTCTGGAAAGCAGCTAGTCAGCAGGTAGAGAAGGGACTGGTGGTGGTGGTGGTGGAGGGTGATGGGGAGGTATAGTCTAGTCCTCACCAGGAAAATAATGTGGGCAGGAATAGAGACAAAAATTGGTGCTGCTAGTAGTCATGAGGAGAATTATAACTTTTTTCTTGTACTCCTGCAGACCACGTGGTAGAAATAGGAGGAGAAAGACATTCCAAGAGAGAAGAATGACACTGAATGAAAGCCCAGAGAAAATAGGCAAATGGATTGAATGCTATGGGCACCCACCTGCCTCTAAGCTGGTGGAAATTTATATTCATACAGTCTTTGTGGAAGACAAATTGTCAATATGTATCAGAAGCTTTAACAAGGTAGATCGATTCCCTTTGCCTTAGAAATTCCACTTTTAGTAATTTATCATCAAAACACAAGCAAATGCATTTTTTGTTTGTTTGTTTGTTTGAGATGGAGTCTTGCTGTGTTGCCAGGCTGGAGTGCAGTAGCGTGATCTCAGCTCACTGCAACCTCCACCTCCTGGGTTCAAGTGATTCTCCTGCCTCAGCCTCCCGAGTAGTTGGGACTACAGGCCTGCGCCACCATGCCCAGCTAATTTTCGTATTTTTAGTAGAGACGGGGTTCACCATGTTGGTCAGGATGGTCTTGATCTCTTGACCTCGTGATCTGCCTGCCTCGGCTTCCCACAGGGCTGGGATTACAGGCATGAGCCACCGTGCCTGGCCAAAATGTGGCTTTTAAAATGGTATATTTCATGTGAACCTTTTTGTTATGTATATTTTATGTGTCTAAAATAGCTGTAGGAGGAAAAACATTTACCTAAGGACCATATGATTACAGGTAATTTAATCTTTTTTCTTCCTGTTGATTACTTATATCTACTTCATTATTCTGTAATGAACAAGTATTACTTGTATAACTCCAAAGTCAAAAGGAACCCCAAAGGTATATATATGTCCCTGAATTCTTGAATCTCTCAGGGAGCTGTAGTTCTTCTAAAAGCAGAAGTACATTTTACTATTACTACTGAAATTGTACTGTGCTTCTTGTTTCCAGTATACAATTCACCAAACATTTACTAAGTAAATATGAATAGTTACTCTTAAAATATCTTTATCTATCTATCTATCTATCTATCTATCTATCTATCTATCTACATTATTTCGGTAGACTTAAGGCCAATGTATAATATAGGAAAATCTCATCTGAAACTTTCCCTTCATTCTGCAATAGCTTAGTAATGTATAGACTTTCCAAGGGGAAAAGATGTTTTGGGGGAAGAAGTTAACCAAATTTTTATTTGGGTTTCTCTCTCATGTTTTCCTGGATGTCGATAGTTCTTTTATTCTCAAAAGAGCTTCATGAAACTAGAACTTCCAGTGTATCAGGAGGCATCCTTTAAACATTAAGGTCTATTTTAAGGTGAAATTCTACTATATTTTAAAAATTGTTTATTTAAATTCTATAACTTTTAGTGGATTGCACAAATTTATGCCTTGTTTATTTTATAATGACTTTATTACAATTTTAATAATTTAGCAATATTATATGAACGTGAAGTTTTATATCCTTCTTTAAATATTTTGTAAGATGTTTATGTGATATTTTAAGTTTAAACTTATAAACTCTAATCATATTAACACTACTTACCATGAGTGTATGTAATAATTTTTCCTCTGTGGTGGGTTTTTATATTGTTAATAAAGTTATATTTCATATTATCTTAAAATGGCAATTATTAAAAAGAAGAGCTTTCCCTCTGAGGACTGAGATCTCTCTTTTTGTTGCCATTATTGTCAGTTGTTCTGGAATACTAATGCTTTGTTGATATAAGGCAACTGAGTTTTTTTCAACTGAGTCATTAGACACTTGAACAAGAGCAAAGCTTTAGATTTTTCTCCATACCTATAGAGGGGCACTATGAAGTAGTTGGAAATTTGTCTGTGTGAGTCATATTTGAGCATTCCAAAGAAGGAATGAAGCATGTTTTCTTTTTCTCCTCATGACTAGTGATAATTGAGTATCTTTTCTTGTACTTATTGGTAACTTTTTATTTTTAATTTTTATGAGTATATAGTAGGTATATATATTTATGGGTTATATGAGATTTTGATACAGGCATACACATATAATAATCACATCAGGGTAAATGGGATATCCATCACGTCAAGCATTTATCATTTTTTTGTGATACAGGCACTCCAATTGTACCCCCTCAGTTATTCTAAAATGTATAACAAATTATTGCAGACTGTAGTCACCCTGTTGTGCTATCAAATGCCAGATCTTACTTATTGTATCAAACTATGTATTTTTGTACCCATTAACCATCTCCATTCCCCACCCCACCCCCACCACTGTCCTTCCCAGACTCTGGTAACCATCATTCTACTCTCTATCTCTCTGAGTTCAATTATTTTAATTTTTAGTTCCCACAAATGAGTGAGAATATGTGAAGTTTATCTCTCTCTGCCTGACTTATTTCACTTAACATAATATCTTTTTTCCATCTATGTTGTTGTAAATGACAGGATCTCATTCTTCTTTATGGCTGAATAGTACTCCATTGTGCATACGTACCACGTTTTCTTCATCCATTCATCTTTTGATAGATACTTAGGTTGATTCCAAATCTTAGCTATTGTGAATAGTGCTGCAATAAACATGTGAGTACAGCTATATCTTTGTTATCCTGATTTCCTTCCTTTTGGGGATACACCTAGCAGTGGGATTGTTGGATCATACGGTAGTTCTATTTTTAGTTTTTTGAGGAACCTCCCTACTGTTCTCCATAGTGGTTGTACTAATTTACATTCCCACCAACAGTGTTTGAGAGTTCCCCTTTTGCCATATCCTTGCCAGTGTTTGTCATTACCTTTCTTTTGGATAAAAGCCATTTTAACTGGGGTGAGATGATATCTTGTTGTAATTATGATTTGCTTTCTCTGATGATCAGTAATGTTGAGCACCTTTTCATATACCTGTTTGCCATTTGTACGTCTTCTTTTGAGAAGCTCGCTGTTTCCAAGTAGAGAAAATCACTGTTGCTGCCAACCAAGTAGCCGTGCAATAATTTGTTTACTTGCTGTCAACATTTTCCCCACCACAGTTTATCTCATAGAGAATTCTCAAGCCCAGCCAACTTTAAGATTTCATTTGTAACACAGAATGATTATGTTATATTAGATAAGAAAGGCTGTAGAGAGAGAAAAATCTCCTAACCTTGTCTTTCTGTCTTTTCTAGACATAATACGTTGATTTTTTTTACTCTGATTCTGTCCATTTAATTTTTATTACATGTTTCTCAACCATGGTCTTTCCTTGTTACTTTCAGGCATAGAACTTCCTAAATGTTTAGTCTCAGAGCAAGAACACTCAAGCTTTTCATGTTCTTTGGCACTAGCAGCCGTAACACATTGAATTTCTGGCAGTGGAATTTCTACTCACAGGATCTGACCCCTCACACCATGGCCCTGAATTAAAAAAGACATTGCTTCTGAGCATATGCAACTCAGCAAGGATCCTCAACAACTTGTGTCCTATGTAGACCTAGCATCTTTAATATCTATGTATGTTGGGAATTATCTGTCAATGTGTCACCTTTAGGTTCTTTATTTTTCTACATCTGTCTTCTGTGGTCATAAATGCTGATTATAAGTTAAGCAGCAGTGTGCACACTACATCTTATGCACTAATGGTTGGATTTAGTATCCAACCATGGCAGGAGTGTGAAACAGTGAGATGGATCATTGACCTTTGTCTATAGGAGGCTCTTTTAAACCCTACTGTGTATATCTCCGTTTTTTTTTTTTTTTTCTGATAAACTTACCAGTGTAATTTTTTTTTGAGATGGAGTCTCTGTTGCCCAGGCTGGATTACAGTGGTGTGATCACAGCTCACTGCAGCCTCTACCTCCTGGGTTCAAGCGATCCTCCCATTGCAGCCTCCTGAGTAGCTGGGACTACAGGCATGCACCACCATGCCCAGCTAATTTTTTTATTTTTTGTAGAGATGGGGGTTTTGCCATGTTGCCCAGGCTACCAGTGTAATTTGTTTTCTCCTTGAACTCATACAAGACTCACTCTTTTAGCCAAAGTTGGTAAGAATTATTAGGTAGATTAAAAAAAAAAACACCCCAAAACAAATGTGGTCTGATGGTGAAGTATCACGATAAAGACAATTTGTAAAAACTGTGAAATCATATTAGATCTTAGTATAAAATTCTAATTTTCTATAAAAAAATACTTCTTAGAAGTCCTGAGCTTAGCCACTGGAACTGGCCACAAGACCTGATTTGGGAAGAGGTAACCTGTTATATGAATTTAGTTAGTAAAATTGTAGAAATTCAGATGTCATTTGATCCCAGGGAAGTGTATTTCTCCCCAGCTATTAACCAGTGTCAACTGTCTGAAATTTATTGATCCGAAGGCTCTTCCTCATTTGTTGCCAGTAGCTCTCCCTCATACAGAACAAATGACTCACATGCTCAAGCTAAATAAAGCACTCCGTAAAGATTTTTCTGCCTCTAGAACTGCTCAAAGTCAGCTCTCAATAGTGGGCACTGATTCTTGCCAACTGGTTTACCCTTATTAACTCTATAGGTAGGGCCCTGTGAAACCACACTAACATGTAGATGTTCTCTCTTTTTCTTTCTTCTTCTTTTTTTTTTTAAAGGCTGCCCTTTTCAGACATTCCTTCTGAAATCTGTTAAGAATAACATAAGACTAGTCACAGATTTATTGATTTTTCCTGGGCATTTGACTATGTGAAGTGGAACCAGCTATGACCTAAGCTTAGCAAGCTCAGTAAACACCCTCTCTTTGCTCCAAGGTCTGTATAACTTCTGTCTTAGTACACATGCCAAGCAGTCAGCAGGAACGGTCTTGTGGTAGATGAGATGATTTTCAGTCAGGATAAGTCAGATTGTTTTGCTTTTCTTTTTATTTAAAAAATTATTTTTTCACCCTTTAAAGTCTTGATGATCATAATCCACTTCTTGATGGAATGTGTACCTGACACTTTGATACACTTTGCAACAGTCCTGATTGGCTTTCTGAACAGATTCCTTATTATCTAGGAATGATATCTTCTATCTAATTATTTTCCCAAATAACTGCTTAGTGTTTATTGCTTTAATATCAGAATCCTCTATTCTGCCAGACAAGTTGCAGCATTTAATTTGTTTTCTTCTAAAACACCTATGAAACAGATAAATTATCCATTTTATTTCATTTCCTGTAAGTTATTTTCTTAAAACAGGTATCTTATGGGTACATACTGGAAACTTTAAAAAATGGCTAATGTAAAATTCATTTTGAAATATGATTGTGGCTTCCTTTTGTGGCAGTCCTGCTCAAAATTTTCCAAGTATCTCAGGAAGGAAGAAGCACGAATATGTACCTGCTAAAGCCCTTGGGGTGGGCACCTAACTTTAAAGATATTTTTATTTTTTTAAGCTGATATTATCACATTCATGTGACATTGGCACCCAGTGTGTAATAGAGCTGTGGTTATTTTAACATAAAATGCTTTAAATTATGGATCATCAGGTAGTAAACTGGAGGATATGAGATTTACTGTATTTTTTCCTTGTCATTATGCCTCTTTTCACATGGTGCATGTACTCTTGGGTATCCATCTTCCAATTTGAGACGTATAAATCAGAGTTTTTCAGTTGCTTAAATGACTCTCTGTTTGAGACCAGAAGTGTTTTCAGAGGAAAATTTTGATATTCCCTCAGCTCACCTTCATGAGGGCTGTGAAATAAAAACTTTGGGGAGTTGCCTGGATTGGATTCCTTAGCAAGCTGACCCCACTACTCATTTGATTGTTAGAATGTGCATTTCTTTTAATTAGAAATAGAGAATTTCTGCACTTCACGTTCTGGCTAGACAATATGTTATCTGAATCAAATACTTACTAAATGCCCATGAGTTAGACACTGTGCTGACAGGCACTAAGAATAAACAGGTAGTTCTATATCTGATGTGATATTATTTATTTTGAATTGCTATATGCTTCATTAGTGTTTTTGGATGAAATTTAGTAAGATATAGACAGGGCAGATTTATTTCTGTGAGAAGATTGCAAAATATAACAGTTCCCATTCTTGAAGTAACTAGAGAAAATTTTTTTAGTGCTTTTTAAAATAAGGTTTATATAATGGTGCGTTTCCTGCTGCATCTCTGCCATCAATTTCAACCAAACTGGTAGAAGTTTTGATTGAGAAGTAGCTGTAAGTTGACTTTCAGTGTTTTTACAGCTTAGCCTTTTCCTTAGAAGTCACTTCTAGAACCAGATCCACCTGATTTAACAAAATGTGTTTGAGGTTGAATCATTGCAGGCTTTATTCTGTCTAAATGTTTTTTTCTTTTCTTTTTTTTTGTAGTATTTCGTAGAACTGGAGATCCTGTTTAGGCAGTTGATTCCACAGTTTTGACTATCAAGTAACCCAGTTGTAATGTGGGTGCTACAGCCTCAGCTTCTTAAATTTGGTTTGGAGCATCCTTTCAACCTTCTTTCTCCAGCTCTTAATAATTACCTGCTCCACTTCTTTAATGACTATTTAGTGGTAAGGTAAATAGGAATCTTGTCTTAAGATGAATTCATCTCAAAGTGATTTGGAGCCAAAAACCAGACCATGACATTTCTGGCTGTGGATTTCGTTTCCACCAACTCACCCTCTTGTCTTTTTTTTTTTTTTTTTTGAGACAGTCTCACCCTGTTGCCCAGGTCTGATAACAGCTCACTGAAGTCTCGACTTCCCTGGGCTCAGTGATTCTCCCACTTCAGCCCCCCAAGTATCTGGGACTACAGGAGTGCACCATCATGCCCAGTTAATTTTTATATAGTTTGTGTGTGTGTGTGTGGGGGGGGGGTAGATACCAGGTTTGCTATGTTGCCCAGGCTGATCTTTGCCTGCCTTGGCTTCCAAAGTGCTAGCATTATAGGTGTGAGCCACCGTGCCTGGCTGGGTTCCCCCAACTCTCAAGGGGTGCTGAGTTGACTGATTATGGGAATGCCAGAACAGAATTCTGAGAATGCATTTGTGTTTTTCCTTCTTATCAGACTCATTTTAATAATATAACAGATTTAATTTTTAGTTTTCATTGACTCTTTATCCAACTGATTTAAAATTTAAATATATTTATGCTTTAATCACTCATAAACTTGGACCTCAAGTTAAAAATTTAATATCCTTAGTTCCTTAGAATTTTGTAAGAATTTTTGAATTAGAAGTACAATTTTGTTTAGTTTTTACTTACACTAAAATAGGAAAATCATTAAGCTGTTTAAAAATAGTGGCACCAGACTGAACTAAACAGGAGCAGTGGAAAGTTTCACTTTAGAAACTGCTAGAGAACTGAATCCCTAGGGTGGTCCCTGGATGTGATGGTCCAATCTGTAAGGTCATCTTGGAAATAGATTTAGTTCTAAGTTTAGGACCAGAAAAGACTACTTCCTTCCTCCAGGCTTTTCACATTTATCCCTAAAGCTATATTGAGTGAGGGCAGATATATTTTTCAATTCCACAACTGCTGGTGCACCACAACTTGTAAGGTTCTGTAATCTTAGTGCTCATATAATGCCTTACACATATTAAGTTTTTAGTAAATATTTGTTGGGGGAGAATGAGTAGATGAATTGGCATGGTAAGAACTCTAAACTGAGCTCTGGGTTATAAGTAATACTGTTTATATAAGTGGAAATACGTGTTTTGTTTATTCATAGATTATAGCCAGAAAACTACACTTAAAAATAAATTCCTGAAGTGAAAGTAAAAATTAATGTTTTCTTCTCATGAAGTAAGTGTGGTGATACTTACAAGTTATTCAAATATTTAGAGATGCTCAGTAAATAACTACTTCTGTGGAGGGTGTCTTAGTCAGTCTGGGCTCCTTTAACAAAGTGTCATAGATTGGTGGCTTGTAAACAATAGAAATGTATTTCTCAGAGTTCTGGAGACTGGGAAGTCCAAGATCAAGGCATTGGCAAATAGGCAGTCTGGTGAGGGCCTTCTTTCTGTTCATAGATGGCACTTTCTCCCTGCTCCCCACATGTTGGAAGGGTCAGGGTGGCTTTCTGAGGATTATTTTATTCCATTCATGTGTACTTCACCCTCAATACCAAAGTACCTCCCAAAGGTCTCCTAATACCATCACTATGAGGGGTAGGATTTCATTTCATGAATTTTGAGGGAACACAAATATTCAGTGTAGAGAAAACACCTGAAGTCCAAAAATTTATATTAAGAAAAAGTCAGGCTGGGTGCAGTGGCTCATGCCTGTAATCCCAGTTTGTGGGAGGCCAATGTGGGAAGATCGCTTGAGGCCATAAGTTCTAGACCATACTGGGTAACATAGTGAGACCCCCATCTCTACAAAATAAAAACAACAAACAAACAAACAAACAAAAACACCAAAGGGCCGGGCGCGGTGGCTCACGCCTGTAATCCTAGTACTTTGGGAGGCCTAGGTGAGCAGATCACCCAAGGTCAGGAGTTCAAGACCAGCCTGGCCAACATGGCAAAACCCTGTCTCTACTAAAAATATAAAAATTAGCCAGGCATGGTGGTGGGTGCCTGTAATCAAAGCTACTCGGGAGGCTGAGGCAGTAGAATCACTTGAGCCCAGGAAGTGGAGGTTGCAGTGAGCTGAGAATGTGCCACTGAACTCTGGCCTGGGTAACAAGAGCGAGACTCCATCTTAAAAAAAAACAAAATGCCAGGCATGGTGGTGCATACCTGTAGTCCCACCTACATGGAAGACTGAGGCAAGAGAATTGCTTGAGCCCAGGAGTTTGAGGCTACAGTGAGCTATGATCACGGTACTACACTCCAGCATGGGCAACAGAGGGAGACCTTGTCTCTTAAGAAAAAGAAAAAGTCATACAAGTATAATTCACACTTGGATCTCTATCGCCATTTGGTTAATATTCCAGTTGTGTATTAGACATTTAATAAACATGTTCTGTATTCTTGTAGAGGAAGATGTGTGAGGAGGAATGGAATCTATCATACCTATTTAAGGAATGAACTGTATCATTTCCTCTCTAACTGTGGGGCTTAGAGCCCTAAAACCTCATGTAAAGATAAATTTGTGGCTGAGAAAGTTAAAATTTTAAGGGGAAACTAGGTTAGGGGACCTTAAATTGAAGGTATGTGACAGTTTTTGCATTTGCTAGAAGAAAACAAAGCACACTACAGACAATCTATGTGACATTTTATATATCTTAAATTAGTAATACTGGAACTGTCCTGCTCAACTTCATTTGCCATCCGTTGTTTGCTAGAGACTTTCTCAGTGCTCACTCTTACATGCTTGTAAATCTGTGCTGCTTTGTGAAGATGAGAGATGTATGAAGTAGTATTTTTCTGAACCTTCCCCTCTATTTAAATGCTCTGTGTCTGTGCTTTTCTGATTCAGAGTTGACCTTATGGGTCTTGCTTATAAGGTCCTATATTTCATAGTGAAATATGATTAGGAGGCTGATTAGGATGATTAAGAGAATGACAGGGTATTTACTTATGTTTGCCTCCTATCTGTTTATCAGTTCCCCTTCATTCTATTCAGGTTTCTGCAGCTGTGGGTCCTCCCATGGTTATTTCATGACAAGCCATTTACCCATGTCTCGGATGACTGTCTGCCCTCTGAGGATGCCTGGGTGTATTTGCTTTCTTCAGTCTCCATTTATCTTTCCTAATAATTCACTGCAACCATTTCTGCCATCTCTCTGCCATCAGCTATACCTCCCTTTTCTGTTTCTGACCTCTTTTCTCTTCTTAACGAATTTTCCAAATAAGAGTGGCTCATGATTTGTAAAAAGTAGAACTGAAATTCATATTGAAATTCAGATAGAGAAGGTATACAGAAATATATTCACATATAGTTGAATTTAATGTAAGGGATGTCAAGGTAGGGAAGTGATTACTATGTAGATGTTTTCTATTGTGTTTGTGATTGCAAGGAGGATTTTATATGATAGTCATAGCTTGTCTTTAAAAGTTTGGTATGTGATAATATCAGAACAGTAAAAGGCTATTTCACATTTTAAAACTAAATCTTTATTAAATAATTATTTCACAAGTTAGTAATTATTGATATTCTTCTTCAGGGACTAGAGTTCCTATGCTTCCTAAACTGACTTTTAAGGAAAGATGAGACTATATTCAGTGCAGTTTTAATATGACATATTTTATTATCTCTTATTTTTTAAATTGATATTTTATGAAGGAGTCTATGGACTATAATACGAAAATTCTGGTTGGGGAGGCAGGAAACCTGGCTTTCAAGTACACTCCAATAGCTTTTATATAAAATTCAGGTGTTCTTTTTCTCTAATACTTGAAATAGCTATTTTCATTTTCATGTCATTTTCTGTACTTTTCCTGATACTTTTAAACATTGTTTTATTTTCAAATGAACAGCCCTCAAAGATGAAAATAAAAAGCAAAAGTTTCTTAATGTCTTAAATGCTTTTGTGTATATTAAGTGACTTTCTTTAAATTGAATCTTACTTTTCCACTGACATCTATGATGATTTCTGAAATGTGCTCCGGTGAGTAAAATTTGACAAGCCACTCCATCTGCCAGTGGCCTGGGTTTTTGTTGTTGTTGTTGTTGTTGTTTTTGGTTTGCCTTTTGTAAAAAATGCTTAGAGACAAGTCAACCAGTTTGTTTGCTGATGAACAGTTATTGCTTCACCCACCTGTACAACTTCATTGTCCTAGCTACAGGGGAAAATCATTTATTTTTCACTTGCGTCATTCTCCAGTCCTGTTGTCGTGTAAACTTATCATGTGCTCCTTGAAGCCATGCGAGCAGGCAGAGCAGAATTTCAGGAGAATGCCTTCAGCTAGTCTTCTAGTTAGTACTACACTGAGTTTACTGCCTGCTTTTTAGAACTTCCTTGCCAAACCTTCACTGAATGACTCTTCATATAATTGAATACAGCTGTAGTTTATTTTATTTGCCGAAAATAATTACTGGTGCCCACTAAAATGGTGATTAAAATCCACTTGATGTTTGTACTCTTTTTTGCTGAGATTTTAAAAATGTGCTTACAGTGAGGCTTCTATAATAAAAATAATGTAGTTTCCTGAATTATGGAATTCGTGTGTTCTCATTTAAGGTTGCAGTTTAAATTGATCTTTTATCAAAATTTAGACTGAAGAAGAGATTTTCCATCTAATTTATTTACCTATAGAATTTTTAACTTTTTAGTATGAAGTACCATTTTGTGAGTGCTCTAATTTCTTATTTATTAAATAAAAAGAAAACTAAATTTTATTCATTGTGTGGATATAGCACATACACATAATTTTATAAACATCTTTTTGTAACCTATATTGAATCCCAGAGGTCCTGACTCAGGTTTCAGACAAGCTCAAAATACAGGCACTTACAACACAGGTGCTAACAACAATTTGTCCTAATCAGTTCAGGGCCAAAGTTCAGTTCCTTCTTCTCTGGCCAATAGGATGTTTTAATTATGAAACGCAGACATCTCAGCACTTTGGGAAGCCGAGACTGGCAGATCGCTTGAGCCCAGGAGTTTGAGATCAGCCTGGGCAACGTGGCGAAACCCCGTTTCTACAAATAATGCAAAATTAGCCAGGTAATGTGGTGGCGTGCCCCTGTAGTCCCAGCTATTTGGGAGGCTGAGGTAGGAGGATTGCTTGAGCCTGGGAGGTTGAGGTTGCAGTGAGCCATGACTGTGTCACTGCAGTGAAGCCTGGGCGACAGATAACCTGTCTCTTAACAAAGGAAAGAAAGAAGGAAGGAAGGGAAGGAGGGAAGGGAAGGAAGGAAAGAAAAGAAAAGAAACATAGACATACCTTAGAGCAACAGTTCTCAAGGAGATACTTTGATGGAATCCCAGACATCTTCCTTTTCCAACTAAGTATCTGTGTGTGAGGCTGTGTTTTCTTTATTGTATTTCAACTAAACAACACATCATGATAGTCTGAATGCAGAAGAGAAAGGCCAACTGTTTTCTGTTGAGCTAGAAATTAAGGATATTTGTAAAATTATAAGGCTACTCTTTTTACTACCTTTCTTTTTGTTTTGGAAAATATAGTCATTTTTCATAGAAACATTCATGTAAATATGTAAAACAGTTAACTTAATAAATATATTTAAAATTTGTTTTGAAGTTTTGATTTCTAATATGAAAAATATTAACAGATATAACTGACGTAAGAGTCCTTTGGGTCCTCAGTAATTTTTGAGAGCATAAAGAGGTCTTGGAGATCACAGAGTTTAACAACTGCTGCCATAAAGAATTGCTTCTGGGCCGGGCGCGGTGGCTCATGCCTGTAATCCCAGCACTTTGGGAAGCCGAGGTGGGCGGATCACAAAGTCAGGAGTTCAAGACTAGCCTGGCCAATATGGTGAAACCCTGTCTCTACTAAAATAGAAAAAAAAAAAAAAAAAAAATTAGCTGGGCATGGTCATGCACGTCTGTAGTCCCAGCCATTCAGAAAGCTGAGGGTGAGAATCACTTGAACCCAGGGGGTGGAGGTTGCAGTGAGCTGAGATCGCACCACTGTACTCCAGCCTGGGTGACAGAGCGAGACTCCATCTCAAAAAAAAAAAAAAAAAAAAAAAAAAAGACTTGCTTCTGTACTTAAATGCCAGTTTAACTTATAGATTGTCTTTAATCACAAAAGGGTCATCAATTGAAAAAAAACGATGTGTTTTATTTGGGTAAAGTAAAATAGGCCTAGAAGATGGGCAGATTCTAAACAGTATTCATCATCTGAATGAAAAGAAGATTCTGGATAAACTCAGCATGCCTTTACAGATACAGAAGAGGAAGGGCGCTGATTGTGAACCATGGTGCTTCTTGGCATCTGTAACACAGGACTACTGACATTCTTTCTGGCATTGTTATTATTCTGAATTGAAGGGAGCTCCTGTTCTGACATGTTGTAAACCAGTCTTTGTTTTTGAACTTTTTATGCAATGATGAGAAGAGATCTCAACTTAGGAATCTTGTTGACATGCATGGAATAGGAAGTGGCATATAAACTTCCAAGATGATTGTAACGAAGTTCGTATAGTTGATGCACTGTGATTTAGTTTTGTCATTAAGATTCTGTTTTGGAAAAATATCTGACTTATAAAAAAATAGAATCTTAAAAATGTTTAATCATAATAACCACCTACATTATTAGAGTGCTTTGGAGTTTAAAAAGTAATTTTACATGTTCTAAAAATGTAAGCACGATAAAATAACTATGTAGGTTTAAGTTAATGTAATTGGTTTGGGTCACTGCTCTGTACAGCCTGCACCCAGTGTTTATATTCAGTGTGTTATTACAAAATGCTTAATACATATTGTATGTAATCATCTGGCTCTAAGTACTATGCTTGTGTAATCCATTGTTTTCATAATCATATTAGTATTTCTATTATAGGGATAATGAATTAGAGTTCAAGATGAAACAGTCGAACTTATTTATAAACAGAGAACTGAATGTTTTTAGGATTTTTAGGGTAGTGAAACTACTCTTATGTTAATATATTGGTGGGTACATGTCATTATAAATTTGTCCAAACTCATAGAATATAAAATAAAAAGACTGAACCCTAATGTAAAATATGGACTTTGGTGATAGCGATGTGTCAGTGTATGTTCATCAATTGTAATAAACATTCCTTTCTGGTGGGGAGGTTGTAAATGGGGGAGGGTGTGCATGTGTAGGGGCAGGAGTTATATGGGAATTCTCTGTACCTTCTGTTCAATTTTGCTATGAACCTAAAACTGCTCTAAAAAATAACCTCTGCTTTAAAAAGGTATGTGTACTCTATAATCTTTTATTAGAAATCTTTGTTGCTATTTTTACATGGAAAAATACAGGATGAAGTCATTATTCCCTAGAATAAATTATGGAAGTCACCATTCAAAGTTATGATGGAGTCAGGATGCTACAAAGAAAGTAGATTATCTCAATAGTGTTGTGTATGTTGACTGATTTGGGGAAGAGAGAGTAATTAGTGAAAATATGTGAAGTCCATGTTGAGTCAGAACAAAACGGATAATCACCTTCTGAGATGAAAAAAATCATCAAAAAGAGTCTAAAAATTATCTGTTGGTACAGATTTTGGGAAAATCTAGAAGAGGTGGAAGTAGTGAGGCTGCTCATGTTATCACCCTAGTCTGGGTTTGCTGGTTAGAGCATGTATGATTGGAAGAGAGAGAGAGAAGTTCAGGAAATACCAACAGAGCATGGGAACTGTACTAGGTTCAGTGATTCCAAAACCAAAAATGAAACCTATATAACAATGCTAACAATATATGTAATATTTCCAGAGTTTCCAAAGCCTCATTTAAATTGTGCCTGAAAATGTTAGATATCATTTTTTAAAATTGGAAAAAATGAGGAATACAAAACTTAAGTAACCCATCCAAAGGCACATACTAGTAGGTAATAATGAAGATAACTAATAATAACTCATTTACATAAGAACTCTAAGAACTTAGTACTATTATTTCTAACTCACAGATGGGAAAACAAAGTGTCGATGAGGTTGACTAACTTGCGTAAGAGTGCGTGGTTAGTAAGTGACAGCTGGGATTTTAAACTAGATTGTCTGAGTCTGTGCTCTTAATCCGTATGTTCTACATCCTATCTGTTGGTTTTGTTATTTTTTGGATAGAGCATCTTGACTTACTTAGATTTAAAATAAAATCCATTGCAGCACAAACATTTGCAGGGGTGGCTAAGATCCTAACAGAGGCCCAGGGAGATGACAGCAAATCTTTCCTAATGCCAGGCTTATATTCTTGTCTCATTCTTGTCTTTGAAGTCAAAACATTTTTAGTCAGTCTCTAGAAACAGAAACATGACTGTGTCAGGACACTAATTAATTAGCATTGAGGAGTTGTTTTCTGATTATAAATATATAACTATTGTACTACCATTCCCTGGTTGGTAGGATTGCTGTTTGTGCACATTATTTGAGGAGATGGAATAAACAGGCAAAATCAGTTTTTACAACCCTGTGTGAATACTGGTCTGTACAGCAAAGATTATATTCATTATGGTTATAAACTCCTTGTCTGCCTACAATATTAATATGGAATGAATGTTATCACCAAGTTACTGTAACTCAGAAGACTTCAGAAAATATCCTCTAGGTATCAAATTAAATTTGTAACTACGGTACTTTTTGCTTGCCTTGAATGACTTTCCCTGGAAGCCAGAAGCCTTGTGTTCAGTTTCTAGCACCATCAGCAATGTTACCTTGGGTAAATCATTTAAACATGTTGAACGTATGTTCCATTTGGCAGTGGGAATGCCATATGCTCTCAAATTGCTTCAGTGTGATTTTGTAAAAGTGAAATTGATTTTAAAATATGAATATATAAAGTGATTTCACTACTTATTAAGTAGAATGCATTGTATACTTCATAAAGCTAACAAATAATAAAAGACTAAATGATATTTTGGAATTTAAAAAAGACCTCTTTAGTTTTCTGTGATCCAAAATCTGGCTTAATTTTGCCTTAAAGCTATTCTTAGTGTTAATATATAATGCTTTTTAAAAATCGGCCAAGGTATCTTTGGGCATTTGTAGTCCTTTTCTGTTCAGAAATGTCATTAACTTGAAATATAAAGATGCTTTCTAAGGAAACTGGTTTGCCTAGCCAGATCTTTTAATGTAGTTATTTTGCTATGTGAGCTGTAAAACCCAAACATTGAGGCTGCTTTCCACAATGCCTTGTTGCCCAGACAGTGATGTCATGTTTTAAGCATGTTTAGTTTGCAAAGGTCCTGCTTTTGATCCTTTAGTTGTCACTTTTTTAATGCGGCTCCTCCTGAATCACAAAGGTACTGAAAGTAATTTGCTTCATTAAGGTCTGTTGCTGACACTGTTGTATTTCAGTCGTCATTCTTCTCTTAGCCTCCTTCATTAAGACCTTATTCAAATTTGGATCATGGTTCTGCTGCGACATCCACGCCATTATCATCTAAATAGCAATTACATATTCAAACACAACAGCTTCTCCTTAACTGTCTGTAACTTAACATTTTACATAGATTCAAGTGGGAATTAAGAATAAAATGAATCTTTTCTTCGTGATTTACAACCCTCCCTTTCACCCTTGGTTTACTAGTTAATGTTGAATAAGCTACTTGTAGACGAAGGAAGACAAAATTATTGATTGCTCAGCTTTAGTTTTGTAGAGAGATATATATTATAAATTGTTTCTGTATTAAACAGTTACCCAAGTGTCAGTGACCCTTATTCAATCACCCATGTATTTATTAGACAGCATTTACCATTTTGGATATAAGGGGATCAGGTCTAACACTCTGTTAAGAAATTAATAGGATCTTTTACAAAAGCAGCAGTGCTTTATAACTTGAAACATTGAAAGGAAACCTTTAAAAATAAGTCAACATATTTGTCCTTTTGGGACAGACCTCAAAAATAGAAGCAAATTCCATTAAAGTAGTAATATACTTTTCCTACTACTTCGTTTTGGCCATCTTAAAATTATATTTTATAATTAGTAAATAAGCTGATTTGACTGAAACGAGCAACTATGTTTATTGGAGACAGACCCAGCTTTTCAACAGATAGAATGTTAGGACTTTTTTTGCCCATTAATATGTGGTTTAAAGGGAAGTTATAACAAGACACCAAATGCATATGTATATATACAAATACAGGCAGTTGTATGTTTTTAAGAAGTTTTTAACCAGCAAGGGGTGTGTGTTTGTGTTTGTGTGTCTGTGTGTGTGTGAGAGAGAGAGAGGGAGAGAGAGAGAAAGGGAGAGGAAGGGAGAAAGTGTGGGAGGAAAAGAGGAGAGGAGGAGAAGACAGAAGAGGAAAACAGTCCTAACTATTAAAAATACCAATTAACTACTTAATAACACATCTTTCAGTGTCTTGCATAATAATTTCTTAGATATTTTGCAAAATTCGGCATGGTTAAGGGATTTTGTAATGGTTAAATAATTTTATTAGTTGTTTGAAATTGACTGTCTTTGTTTTCCTATCTGTGTGCTGAGATTTATCTCAATTATATGTGTGAATAATGTTATGCATGGGGTTACTTTTAATATGGATTTAACTGAGATTCTAGACTATATTCTTTGTAAATATGAACATTAGAAACTTGTTCAATTGTGGGTCGTCATTAATTCAAGTCAGGAAGGCTCACCCTTTGTCCTCACACCATCTCTTAAGAAGATAAGTCCTGTGGATAAGCTGGAGAGGTCAGATGTTGGTGTTGACTTAAAGCATTGCCACCCGAGGAGGGCAGAATGCTGTAAAACAAAGCAGAAGGAACTGTGTGGAGAGAAGGTGAATGACTGGGGGACTTGAAGTTGAAAGAAAAGTCAGGCGCTGAGCCTGCAAGGGCAAAATGAGGCTTGTGGGATAAGAATGGTTTGTCAGAAGTCACCTGTTTGCTCAGAAGTCATCTTTCCCTAACAAGGGTCTGTTTGGTATGTTCCTGTATTACAATTTATAATAACTGTTTTTTTACCTGCTGAGGGTAAGATCTTTAAAGTGACATCTTACCAGCTATTATTCTTAGCTCTTGCTTATGCAAATCTCAATTTGAAAAATAACCTTTTAAAGTTTTTTTTTTTAAATAATGAGAACATATTCAGAATGACAATGTGATGAACACCTGTGTACCCACCAATTGGTTTAAGAAATATAATTTCTTGTTAACCTTGAAGTTCTCTAAGTCTTCTCCTTACTCCCACCTCAGAGGTAAATTCCACTCTTTAAATTCTGCTTTTTTGGGGTCTCTTTTTAAATAGTGTTAACATATTTTTCATATGTGTAGTTTTGTATGTTTTACAACCATATATAAATCGAGTCACTCACAATGTATGTACAATATGTTCTTCAGCAATTTGCCTCTCTCACTCAGTATCATGTATCTGGTCTCATCTATATTGCTCTATGTATCTTTAGTTCTTTCATTTTTATTTGACATTCCATTGATGAATATACCACAATTTATATATCTGTTCTGATGATGAACATTTGGGGTTTTGTTTTGTTTTCCTAAAAACAGTGCTGTTACTGAACATTAGTAGGCAGAAGAAAAAACAAAACACCTTGATCTGTGTCTCACACTTTATGCAAAAATTGCCCAAAATGAAAGGACTAGTCCCTAGAATAAGTACTTGCAAAACTCAGCAGTAAAAAACAAAAAACAAAAAAACATAAAACCAAATTAGAAAATGGGCAAAAGACATGAAGAGACATTTCACTGAAGAGGATATACATATGGCAAATAAGCACATGAATAAGTGTCATTAGCCATAATGCAAATTAAAACCATAATGATAGGTCTCTACAAACCTGTATCAGAATAGCTAAAATAAATAGTAATAACACCAAATGCTGGTAAGGATGAAGAGAATCTGGATCACTTATTGATGATAGGAATGTAAAATGGTACAATTACTCTGGAAAATAGACAGTTTCTGAAAAGCTGAATATGCAGTTACTATACGACTCAGCAATTACACTTTGGGCATTTATCCCAGAGAAATTGAAGACGTATATGTGCATAAAACTGAGTATTTATAGCAATTTTATTCATAATAGACCCAAACTGGATACACACCAAATATCCTTCAACAGGTGAATGGTTAAATCTATGGTATATCTATATCATGGAATAATACTCAGCAAGAAGAAGTAACAAACTGTTGATATATACAACAACCTGGATGAATCTCCAGAGAATTATGCTGAGTGAAAAGAGCCAATCCCTAAAGGTAACGTACTGTATGACTTCATTTATGTAGCATTCTTGAAATGACCAAACTGTACACAAAAAATAGAGAAATCATTGGTCGCCGGTGGGTAAGGATGGGGTGAAAGTTAGAGGCAAGTGTGTGTGGCTATAGAAGGATAACACTGGGGATTCTGGTGGTTATGGAGATGTTCTGTATCTGGTCTGTGTGAATGAAATATCCTGGTTGTGGTATTGAACTATAGTTTTGCAAGATGTTGCCATTGTGGTAAACCAGGTAGAAGCTACATGGGATATTTCCATATAATTTCTCCAATCTGCCTGTGAATCTAGAATTATCTGAAAAAGTTCAATTAAAAGACAACATGATGCTGTTACAAACATCCTTGTACATGTCTCCTGGTGCACATATGTGAGCTTTCCTCTAGATTTTATTTCCGGGAGGAATTACAGGCTATGCACATGTTAACTTTAGTAAATCATGGCAAATTTTTTTCCCAAGTGGTATATGAAAATTCTATCCTTTTCATATTATACTCTATCCTTTTTAAGGATATTGTACTTCAAGGATATTATACTCTATCCTTTTTAACATGTAATACTGTGAGACTTAAATTTTTATCAGTCTGTTGGTTAGAAAATGGTATCTTGTGTTTTTAATTTACATTTTCTTGTTTATAATGGAATTGGACATTTTTATTTATGTTTAATAGTCATATGTGGTTTTTTTGCTCAGTAAAATCACTATTGATCTCTTTTCCCTGCTGTATTGTCTGTCATTTAAAAAGTTGATTCTAAGGGGATCTAGTTACAAATTTTGTTGCATTTTAATGACTTATGTTTTTCTTTTTATCTGTTAATGAAGAGACATTTTGATGTGACAGTTTTAAAATATATAAAACTTTTCCTTAACTTTCATATTTCAGTCTGATTTAAAAAGTCCCTTCTTGGAGATCAGAAAGTCATCTTCCTATAGCATCTTCTTATAGCTCTATGGTTAACTTTGGTTATAGTGTGGTATAGCGATCCGATTTTAATTTTTTTTTGTAGGGATAACCTATTTTCTTAGTACTATTTTGGATTAATTCATCTTCTTTTCTTCACGTATCTTCCAAGCTTACTCTTACATATATAGTATCTTTGGTTCTCCTACTTTATGAGGCTATTTTTCTCTCTCTTAGCCAATGTCATAAAGCTCATTATATTACCATCCTTTAAAACCATCTCAACCTTCCTTTGTTCTCTGCTTTTCTATATAATGAAGCATCAGTTGATCTTATGCCAAATAAATAAAAAATGAATAACAGATGGATAATCACTCAAACCTACCCACTCTGATGTGATTTTTGTTGAAATTTTATTGAACATATAGATTAATTTAGGGGAGAATTGCTATATTTACAATATTTAGTCTTCTTCAGAAATATATTTCTGTCCATTTGCTTAGGTTTCCTTAATACATTTTTGTAAAATTGCCATGCATTTTTCATAAAAATCACATTTCTGCTTTTGTCAGATTTATTCTTAGAGTGCTTTTTTGTTTTATTATTATAGTAAATATTTTTAAAGTTGTATTTTCTGTTTGTTGCCAGCATAGAAACATGTAGCTGATACTTGTAGCAACCATCTTGATAAAATATTTACTTCCCATAATTCATCTTTAGATTCTTTTGAATTTTCTAAGTACGTAATTATAACCTCTGTGAATAGTGAGTTTTGTTTCATTCAAATCCTTGTGGTTTCATTTTATCTTTTGGTCTTACTGCATGGTCTAGGACCTCTAGTATGTTGAAGAGAAGTGTCAAAGAAAACATCTTTTCCCCACTTTTGATTGTAAAAAGAATGCTTATAATGTTTGCAATTGTGAACTACTACATACAATACATTTTGTTTTTTTGGGTTGCTCCTGGTTGGCTAAAGGCTTATTGTAGAAACATAATAGGCATAGAGTGTTGTTAGAATTGGTATAAGATTTGATTTTAATAGAATTCACCTGTAAAAATTATCTTGGCCTCGTGTTTCTTTAGTGGGTAGCTTTTATGTACCGAATGAATTTGTTGATAATTGCAGACTAGCCTATTGTGTCAATTTGGTAAGATATTTTTCTAGGTGATTGCTCATTCAAAAAATATTCTAGGGCCGCGCGCGGTGGCTCACACCTATAATCCCAGCACATTGGGAGGCTAAGGCAGGCAGATCACAAGGTCAGGAGATTGAGACCAGCCTGACCAACATGGTGAAACCCTGTTTCTACTAAAAATACAAAAAAAAAAAATTAGCTGGGCATGGTGGCGTGCACCTGTAGTCCCAGCTACTCAGGAGGCTGAGGCAGGAGAATCACTTGAACCCAGGAGGCGGAGGTTGTGGTGAGCTGAGATTGCGCCACTGCACTCCAGCCTGGGTGACAGAGTGAGACTCCATCTCAAAACAAAACAAAACAAAAACAAACAAACAAACAAATCTAAGTTTATAGACAGAGTTTTTTTTTTTTTTAAATGATATCTTCTTACCATTTTTTAATCTCTGGGATTTTCATTATGTTCTGCTCCTCCCCCCCATGGCAATATTGTTTATTTATTGCTTTACTATTTATTTTCTTAGTGTTTTCAAAAGACCAGTTTTAGGATGTATTGTTCCTCTTTTGCATTTTATTTTCTGTTTCATCATTTCTTGCTCTTACCTTAATTATTTCCTTTTTCATTTTCTTTGGAGTTTATTTTGTTAGTTTCATTTTGACTTTTTAAGTTGGTTGTTTGTCCTTGGATCATCATTTTTAAGCTTTTAAAAATTCTAATATGTTCATTAATAATGCCCTGTATTTCCCTTTAAATGCTATTGAGCAGCTTCCAAATTTTAATTTGTATTATTTCCATTCGTTTGTCATTTTGCACATTTTTCTCTTTTCAAAAAATTAAAAAAATTTTTTCTAGAGGCAGGGTCTCACTCTGTCACCCAGGCTGGAGTGCAGTGGTGTGACCACAGACAGCTCACTGCAGCCTCGACCTCCTAGTCTCAAGTGATCTTCCTGCCTTGGCCTCCTGAGTAGCTGGGACTACAGGCATGTGCCACCACACCTGCCCCACACGTTTTTCATCGTCAATACTTCTTTGTTGAGTTATTTTTAAATGTTTTAAGATTTCCAAAAATTGAGTTTTTTTGTGTGTTATCTTTTTGATGAAGATTTTTAATTTAATGTCCTGTGGTCAGAGAGGGTGGTACAAATGATAGAAATTCCTGAAATGTGTTGAGACTTGATTCATGGCCTTTTCTCAAAGAAAAGCATATCAGTCTTAACTGACCTCCACTTATATGACTTTGCATATTGACCAGCATTTCCAACTTTTCTATAAATCCTTGGATGTTGACAGCATCTAGTTTATTCTCTGATGAGCAGACTTTCTTTGGCTGCTCCAGCAGAGTGCTGCTGAAGTGTCAAGCTGTTTGCTCCTAAATGTATGTACTTGTTTATTATAATTGCATGATTTAATTAAAATATGAATTAAGAGGTTGTACTTAAACATGAATAAAGAGGGAGTACTTATAGCTACGAAACTTTGTTAAATGCTTTAGAAATAATCTATATAGTTTAATTGCTAAAATAAAAAAGGAGCTGTCAATTTAGGTGTGGGTGAGATGACTTAGGATCTAGGAATCAGTGGTAGATTGATTTGTAAATATCTTTAAATTCTCATTTGCTTTAAAACAGTTGGAGGTTGTGTACAATGTATTATATGTTGGACTTACATAAGAAAGACTTAGAACTCCATCAGGTGTCCCTAACTGCAAATAAAGGCCTCAGCTGAAAACCTTCCTGGGGGAAGGTTAAAGCAAGTAACAGGTTGGAAGCTGGGAGAAAGTCAGGATTTAGGGTGTTGGGCACTTGTGTAGAGTAATTTTTTTATTTCCTCATGAACTGGTTGTTCAAAAATTTTTCTTTTTTTTTTTTTTTTTTTAGTTGATAGTAACACTTGCAGACCTGTTGTACCATGTGGTTGAACTAAGCAGAACAGGGGCACTAGAATTAAACAACAACAACAACAACAACAAAAAACTACAGAGGAATTACAGTTGCCATAGGCAGCAATGAAACTAGAACTAACCAACTGCAGTTTTTTGTTGTAGGCAAATCCACAAATCTTAGAACTTAAAAAAAATACTTTTTTTTAGTGTTTTACGAGATGAACTCTGAATTATAGAATATCTCACCATTAATATGCACCTTCAGCATAGAAACAGTTAAAGAAAATAAACTTACCTGAAACTATTGTATTCCCTGTGCATTGTCTTCACATCCTTTTTCTGAGTACCTGAGACAAAGTGAACTACAAGTAGGATAAGAACTGAAAAGTTTTCACCAGATTTATGAATACAGTTTCATCAATGATCTTGGTGAATAGTAGTAGCAGAAGAGTTGACCATAGACCTTATAGCTAGCTGTTAGAATAGCTAATTTAATGAATTTTTTCCCAAATCTGAAACTCAAAGCTACTGATAACCAAAGCTAGTTCCCTGATAAGTAACTTAGGGAAGTGCACTCTTATTTCAATAATTAATGCTTCCATGAAATTATATAAACATTCATGCATTCCGACAATATCTGAATATTTCTGTGTGCTAGGTGCTGTGCTGGGTGTTGGGTATGCCATTATGAACAATACAAAGAAGAGCTCTGTTTTCATTCAAATGAGGATAAAGTTTTTCAATAGCAATTATTTTTAAAAATGAAAATAAAGATCCACAAATTTCCAGAAAAAAATGACCTAAAAGTCATAGTTTTACCATTGAATGTAATATCCTTCCTGTAATCCATGAATCAGAGTATGTAAAGAGATGTAAAAGATGTAAGAAAGAGTTTTGAGTTTTAATTTGGGAAAAGAAGTATAAGACAGTAGTAGCAGTCATATAAAATAGAATAGCATCAAACATTTAAAAAATAGTATCGTGATAGCATAGAGCAAAATTTACATTTTAACCATTTACTAAACTTTGGTGAAAACTATCACTTAAAAAATCCTTAATTACAAGGAGATAGTATAAAACATAGTTTGTTGCTGTTGTATATTTGTTTTTAAGTATCTCAGACAAATCGAATAATTTTTTAAATTAGAAACTAATATATGTCAGGCATATGGCTACAGTTAAAATTTTTTTTGAAAATGAAATTATGGATGCAGAAAGCAAACAAGCTGTGGCAGAAAAGGATGGATCTAAATATGAAGAGGAGGAGGAGATAAGAGCAATCCAGCTGCAAAAATTACTCATGCCATAGGTAGTTTTAGATGCCCTAGAAATAGTTCTATGTTGTATTGAATAACAGCTTGAATCAGGATTCGATATTATTACAACATGGGAAGGAACAATGCCAAGAAAAATTGTATTTATTCTTATAACTTCAAAGTGATACAGGAGCTCGAAAGAAATTTAGGCAGTTAGTGAGGCTAAGAGAGTCCTTGGCAAGGTTTCCTTTTAAATAAAAAGCAGCCCCCAAATCATTTCTTTTCTAACAAAAGAGCAGCCTGAAAGATCGAGCTGCAGACATAGATAAGCAAGCTGGAAGCTTGCACAGGTGAATGCTGGTAGCTGTGCCAATAGTAAAGGGCCACTTGGAAGCCAGGTATGTTCAACATGGAGGCTCCACCTTCCCTTTTCTTTGTCACCACGTGCACAGTAAAGAGGCAGGCAACATGGTGCTGGCCAGGTAGCAAACCCATCTGCCTAGTAAAAGATTAGGGTGGAGGCCGGCGCGGCCGGCGCGGTGGCTCACGCCTGTCATCCCAGCACTTTGGGAGGCCGAGGCAGGCGGATCACGAGGTCAGGAGATCGAGACCATCCTGGCTAACACGGTGAAACCCCGTCTCTACTAAAAGCACAAAAAAATTAGGCGGGCATGGTGGCGGGCGCCCATAATCCCAGCTACTCGGGAGCCTGAGGCAGGAGAATGGCGTGAACCTGGGAGGCGGAGCATGCTATGTAAATGGCACACCTGGTCTGATCAATCTCTCGTGCCCTATGTAAATCAGACACCGCCTCCTATAAAACCAACCTCTTCTTGCCCTGAACCCGGAAACCCGTTCGGGACCCCTTCCTCTGCACGAGGGAGCTTTCCTCTTTCTTTTTCCTTTTTCTTTCTTTCTTTTTTTCTTTTTTTTTTTTTTGAGACGGAGTCTTGGTCTGTTGCCCAGGCTGGAGTGCAATGGCATGATCTTGGCTCACTGCAACCTCCGTCTCCCGGGTTCAAGCGATTCTCTCACCTCTGCCTCCCGCGTAGCTGGGACTACCGGTATGCGCCACCACGCCCAGCTAATTTTCGTATTTTTGGTAGAGACTGGGTTTCACCACGTTGGCCTGGCTGGTCTCGAACTCCTGACCCCAAGTGATCCGCCTGCCTCAGCATCCCAAAGTGCTGGAATTACAGGCATAAGCCACCTCGCCCAGCCTCCTGTTTCTTTCATCTATTAAAACTCCACTCTTAAACTCACTCCTTGTGTGTCCTCGTCCTTCAGTTTCTTTGGCGTGAGACGATAACCTCAGGTATTTACCTCAGACAACTCTGCTACTTCAGAAGTATTTACTTTATTAAATGAATATGATTTATTGTTTTGAAGTAAAATGTTTAAGGTATGCATGTATTTTTTATGATTTCCCACTTTAACTGATTTTTTTATTAAATGAAGAAATGGTCTCAATCACATTGGCTAACATGGCCTCTATTTATTTAATTCATCTGTTTTTCCCACTTTGGGGCATCAACAGCATGGAGTATTTGGAAAACTACTTGTATTTGTAAAGAGTAAAATGCAGTTTAACAAAGAAGTTAGTTTGTCATTGTATAGTTCAGGAACTCTGGCCTGGATGAGAGCATGAGTTTGAAATTTTGTCCTCAAGATTTTGTTTTTATCTTACCATCACCTTTTATGCTTAAGTTTATGATTGGCCATAATTATCAAATTGACACATTATGTCATGTGAAAATCTGTTTACCAAACTTTTCTATTAATAAACTTGATGTTTAATTGTAATATTAAGAGTCACAGAGTGCTGTAGATTCTGTTTGTCATAGTTGTGTAGCTTTTAGAGTTTAGGGAAATCTAGTTTTTAGAATTGACACAATGATTTTTAATTTTAGCAGTGTGTTGAATAACCTGTGATATACCATTCACTTATTAACTTCACATTGTTGTATAATAAGTTATAAATTTTAGATCAGATAAGAAAGTAAAACTGGTATTAATTTGGGAAGAAGAAATTGCAGAACTTGAGTGATTTTTCCAAATAATGTGTCAGCTGTAACTTGAATGTGTTATTTTTATCCCCAAGGGTATTTTGAAATATACTTATGTGAATTTCTTATAGTTTATTTTAACCATAAAACTATTTTGATATTTTTATAATGCCATCGATGATACTGTATGCATAGTGAGGGCATGGGTTGTCTGTTCTTACCACCATATTCCCAGCACTAGCATGGAACAAATGAATAAGAACGGAGTAAAAATGCATAATCTAAACTTGACTATGTGTGTCTTCAAAATAATACCTTTAAGTTATTTTGAAGGAAAAAACTATGTATCCAACAAATTCAAACAGATACTTACAAAATTAAGACGATTGTAAATGTGTGTTGTCCTCCTTCTCATTGTTTTTCACATCCAAAAATGTCCTCTTGGAGCCTCTTATCTGAGTAGCTTCTGTGGATCTGATGATGCTAGGATTTTATTTTTTCTTTTATTTTAAAGTTCTTCTGATTACATCATCTCTTTGTATAGACATCATTCTTGACAGATGGCATTTATTAAATATGGACAGTAGCAGGCAGTTAAAAAGACCTGCATGAGATAGGCAGGAACCTTTCTTTTTTCTTTCTGACTCTCAGAAGCAATACCAGCATTAGCTTTATTTAACTTCTAGATTAATTTAAAAAGAAACCTCTTTAAATTATGACTCAACAGGTACAGGGTGAAGTGGGGGAAATGTATGTGTGTTTTAAAGCTTCCCAAGTGATTTTGACCATCAGTTAAGTTTAGAAACCACTGATTACAATTAATTTCCTTAGAATTTGCTCATATATTTAATTCCAAAGAGGAAGAAAATTGAAATTTTAAAAAACATATGAGTATTTTTGGAGATGACATAACTTTCCTTTTATTGTGTTAAAAAAAGCTTTAAGAACTGTTTTTTTCTGCATTTTTATTAATTATCAAGATTTAGTGATGGTTTAGAGAGCTAAAAACACCTTTAGGGTGAATTCAGAAGATCTAGCAGATACAATGATGAAATATGATCAGCAAGCTTTAGGAGAGGATAACAAATGTGTGATTTTGAAATCTCTTCTATTTGAAACCAATCCAGAGTCTTGAATTTGATCCAGTATATAGTATGCTACAAATGGAAAGATTAAACTGGAGCAATATAATTAGGGTAAGCCATTGCATCTGCACTTGTATCGCAGCAACTGAATTTGAAACCAGCTGCAAAATGGTGACTAATCTCTCTGGCAAGCCCACATGAGAGTGTAGTACAATAAGCCAGCTTCAGCCTCATGAGCACATGTTTCTTCAACTTGCCTCTGAGCAGGTGATGGTGATGATGCAATCTGATTATACTTTTGAATGTATTCTAACCACAGTCAACAGTAGAGTCTCACAAGGGATTTCACAAAAGACTTCAAACCGACTGTATATTTTTCAGAGAGTTGAGCTATAGACAGCCATGGAAAGTAGTAGTTTTTTTTTTCACGTTAGTGACTACTGTACTTTGCAGTACTTTATAATCTTAAGTTTAGGAGGCTTTAGTTTTCATATGTGAACTGAAGATGAGAAGAATAATGTGGAAAGAAAGTACTTGTACTTGGAGCTTTTATTCTGAATTGTTCACAACAACTTACACTGATCAATTAAAATAATTAAATTGTCTAGACTATTTAATTCTGTACAAACAAGAGATGGTAAATCAGTGTACTGTGTTTAAGTGGTACACTAACCTTTCCATATTCAGAGAAGTACCTCCCTGGGTCTTGAACATTAAAGGTGTTTAATAAGTACTCAGTTTGACTTGGACTTGAGCCTTTATTTTTGAAGGGAATAAAGTTTCTTCTTCCAGTGTACCTCAGAGGGACTTGGTAAGCATGAATAAAGCCATCTGTTTGAAAATGTATGTCATTTTTGGAAAAGTGCTACAGAACCTAAAATACAGTCACAAGTATTATTTCAAATGTATAGTTCAGAAGTAGAATACTTAGAAATTGCTTGTTAATCTTAATTGTAAATAGCTAAAAAAAATATAGCTTGCAATAAAGGACACAAGAGCATTAAAATATAAAAGTCACAAACTATACATCTCTGAGAATAAAGGGGGAAATGGGATGTAAAAACCCTAGGCTGGTGGCACTCACAGTTGGTATACAGCAGAATGACTTTGGCTGCTTGTCAGAAGCGAATAACCCTGGGCCTCTTCCCCATCACTTCTGATTTTATAGGTTTGGAGTGTGTCCCAGGCATCTGTGTTTTTAATCATTTCCCCCCCTAACTTACTCTCCCCATCTAAACTTGAGAAACACCCAGACTACTGTAGTATTATGGTACTATAGACTACTGAGTATTAGTACAGTACTATAGTGCTGACTAGTAAGCTTCCTAATTGCCAAACAAAAGAAAAATTTTCACTGTCATCAAAAGAAATAAACTTTCTTCATGGTAATTATAAAAAGACTTTTTGAGAAAAAAAAGCATCTTCAATAGTGATTTTGTAGAAGAAGCCAATTTGTTTTTTTGTGTATTTTTATTTAAACATTTTTATTAAAACAAGGGGCATTTTACTGAAGAATTAAGAGCCTTCAGTGAAGGCTAAGTGCAGGTGTGCTGCCTTCTAGTAATCCAGACTAGGTGGTTAGTATGAGTTATGGGTTGAATTCTGTCCCCCCAAAAAGGTATATTTAAGACTTCACCCCCAGTACCTATGAATGTGACCTTATTTTGAAATATAATCTGTTTGCAGATGGAATCAAGTTAAGATGAGGTCATACTCATTGGAGTGGGCCCTCCTCCTTCACTGACTGATGTCCTTATAAGAAGAGGGAAATTTGGACACAGGGAGACACAGAGGAGAAATGGCCATGTGAGAGAGGCAGAGATCGAAATGATGCCACCACAAGCCAAGGGACACCAAGGATTGCAAGAAACCACCAGAGCTAGGAAGAGGCAAGGAAGGATTCTGCCCTAGAGACTTCAGAGAGAGCTTAGCCCTACTGACAACTTGATTGACGATTTCTAGTCTCCAGAAATGTGACAGAATAAATTTCTGTTGTGTTAAGCCACCACGTTTGTACCATTTTGCTATGGCAGCTTTAGGAAACTAATACAGTATGTGAATCTCTTTTTCTGTCATTTGGATTTTTGACAAGTTTCTTTTCTCACATATTCCATATGTGTGCAGAGGTTCATGAGCTCTGGACCTGTCATTGTGGTCAAATTTGAATTCTACTTTAAATGTTAAGGCACCTGCGTGAAAACCACACTACTGCTGCATAATTGTGAGCCGTAGGGGATACTGCCATTAGGAGCCATTTTTCCTTAAAAGGAAGCTCATGCATTTGAATAAGTAGTAAATGGTGATGGCAGAGTTATGTTTCATAAAATATGGAGGAGACTTTTGTCATCAGCAGGAACTGTCACTTTTATGATCTTCTACTGGAATGAAAACTCACTTCCACCCCAGGAAAGATCTCTGCAGAGGCAGTGAATCAATCTCTGTGCTGCCTCTTCCTCCTCCTTGATCTTTTTTGTGATTGTCCATGAGGATTTTGCTACCTGCCCTCTCAGGGATTTTACTGAACTCCCCATCTGTGATGGTTAATACTGAGTGTCAACTTGATTGGATTGAAGGATGCAAAGTATTGATCCTGGGTGTGTCTGTGTGGGTGTTTTCAAAGGAGATTAATATTTGAGTCAGTGGGTTGGGAAAGGCAGACCCACCCTTAATCTGGATGGGCACTATCTAATCAGCTGCCCGCTTGGCTGGGATATAAAGCAGGCAGGAAAACGTGAAAAGGCTAGACTGGCTTAGCCTCCTAGCCTACATCTTTTCCCATGCTGGATGCTTCCTGTCCTTGAACATTGGACTGTAAGTTCTTCGGCTTTGGGACTTGGACTGGCTTCCTTGCTCCTCAGCCTGCAGACGGCCTATTGTGGGTCTTGTGATCATGTGAGTTTAATACTCCTTAATAAACTCTCTCTCTCTCTCTATATATATATATGTATATATATGTATATCTATATATCTATATAGATATATAGATATATACTATTAGTTCTGTCCCTCCAGTGAACCCTGACTAATATAGATTTTGGTACGAGGAGTGGTTCTAGAGGAACAGAATATTAAGGATGGAGTTCCTTCGTTGGTTTTGGGGATTCTGGAGTTGGCTGCTTAATATGATTAGACCCAATAATGCGAAGGACTCTACTTCTAATGGTATAGAGAACACTGATAGTCCTTGGCATGAACTGTTTAGACAGTTATGCAAAATAAATGCATTTGACACTCCTGATTTACCGCCCATGTGAGACAAGGGGTTTAGTGACTCTGTACATAATACCTTAGGCTGTATGTGGAGAACTAAGGAATGTAATGAAGTTGGTTGGTTGCTCCTAAGTTCACTGGACAAAGTGATGAAGGAAAATGATGAATTCAGGGATTCTGACTCCTGGCTACAGAAGCATATACTGAGCCTTAAATCTCCTAAGACTGCCCTCAGTGAGAGTCTTACCTCCTGTAGAGAAAGAGCTGAAATTGTGGCAAAACAGACACAAGCTCTTATCATGTGGGTGGCTGACCTGTAATGGAAGGTGCATGCACAGCCTCACCAGGTGTCTACTGTTAAAGTGAAGGCATTGATTGGAAAAGAATGGGACCCTGCAACTTGGAATGGGGACGTGTGGGAGGACCCTGATGAAGCTGGGGACACTGAGCTTGTAAACCCTGATCAATCTTTTTTGCCAGAAGAAACAGCTTCTCCATCCCCAGTATTGGCAACATTCCCTCTCCAACCGATGCTGCCATCAGCCTTTCCACCTTTGTCTGAGGAGATAAACCCTGCACTGCCTGAGGCAACAGTGATGGCCTCCCCTGAGCAGTTGCCAGGCAAGATAATGTTGATTCTCCTCAGGAGCCACTGCCAACATCCCTGTTTGCTTCTAGAGCTATAACTAGACTAAAGTCCTGGTGGGCCCCTAGAGGCAAGGTTCAGAGTGTGACCCATGAGGAGGTGTGCTACACTTGAGAAGAACTGCTTAAATTTTTCAGTTTACATAAGCAGAAATCTGGAGAACAGGCGTGGGAATTGATATTAAGGGTGTGGGATAATGGTGGAAGGAACATAGAGTTAGATCAAGCTGAATTTATTGATTTGGGCCCACTAAGTAGGGATTCTGCATTTAATGTTACAGCTCAGGGAGTTAAAAAATGTTCTAATGTAGTTTATTTGCTTGATTAGCTGAAATGTGGATTAAAATATGGCCCACTATGAGCGAGCTGGAAATGCCTAATCTCCCTTGGTTTAATGTAGAGGAAGGGATCCAAAGGCTTAGGGAGATTGGGATGGTGGAGTGGATTAGTCACTTTAGACCTACTCTTCCCAGCTGGGAGGGTCCAGAAGATATACTTTTGACCAGTGCTTTGCAAAATAGATTTGTGAGGGCAGCACCTGTATCTTTCAAGAGCCCGATAATTGCTCTTCTCTGTATGTCAGAACTAACAGTGGCAACCATAGTCACTCAACTACAAAATTTAAATATGATGGGAATAACTGGATCCTGAGGTGGCAGGGGCCAAGTGGTGGCACTCAGCCGTCAAAGGCAAGGTAGGCATAGCTACTGTAATGGACAGCAGAGGCAAAGCAACAATCAGAATAGTCTGACTCGTGTAGAGCTCTGCCATTGGCTAATTAATCACGGTGTTCCTAGAAGTGAAATTGATAGGAAGCCTACTGCATACCTACTTAATTTATATGAGAAGAAAATTTTCAGATCGAATGGACAAAAGACTAATTTGAATTATAAAAACAGAATCATGGCTCCTCAATCAATTTCCAGAATTGAGCCAGTTTACAGACCCAGAACCCCTTGAATGAAGGGGAGGCCGGGTCCCCTTGAGGAAGGATCCCATTATACTACCGACAATTTATGCTGTTAATCTTTCTCCCATCCTCCCCCAAGGAGACCTCCAGCCTTTTATCAGGGTAACTGATAATGTCATTTCAGATAGTCCCTGAAATGCCTCATCATTTCCCTTTCTCCAATGCACGGTTGATCTGAGGTGATGTTGATTCCGGGGGACCCAATGTGGTCTTCCAGTTAAAATAGGGCCTTATGGAGGTCAGGTAATTAATGGAGTTTTAGCTCAAGTCTGACTTACAGTGTGTCCAGTGGGTCCCCAGACTCATCCTGTGGTCATTTCCCCAGGGCCAGAATGCATAATTGGCATAGACACACTTAGTAGCTGGCAGAACCCCCACATTGGCTCCCTGACAGTAGGGTGAGGGCTATTATGGTGGGAAATGGAAGCTATTAGAGATGCCTCTACCTAGAAAAATAGTAAATCAAAAACAGTATCACATCCCTGGAAGGATTGCAGGGAGTAGTGCCACCATTAAGGACTTGAAAGATGCAGGGGTGGTGATTCCCACCACATCCCCACTCAGCTCTCCTGTTTGGCCTATGCAGAAGGCAGATGGATCTTGGAGAATGACAGTGGATTATTGTAAGCTTAACCAAGTGGTGACTGCAATTGCAGCTGCTATACCAGATGTGGTTTCATTGCTTGAGCAAATTAATACATCTCCTGATACCTGGTATGCAGCCATTGACTTGGCAAATGCCCTTTTCTCCATTCCTGTCCATAAGGTCCACCAGAAGCAATTTGCTTTCAGCTTCCTGTTCTACCTCAGGGGTATATCAACTCTCTGGCTTTGTGTCATAATGTTATTTGGAGAGAACTTGATTGCTTTTCACTTCCACGAGATACCACACTGGTCCATTACATTGATGACATTATGCTGATTGGATCCAGTGTGCAAGAAGTAGAAAACAAACTGGACTTACTGGTGAGACATTTGCATGCCAGAGAATGGAAAAAAATCTGACTAAAATTCAGGAACCTTCCACCTCAGTAAAATTTCTAGGCGTCCAGTGGTGTGGGGCCTGTTGAGATATTCCTTCTAAGGTGAAGGATAAATTGCTGCATTTGGCTCCTCCTACAACCAAGGAAGAGGTACAACACATGGTGGGCCTGTTTGGATTTTGGAGGCAGCACATTCCTCATTTGGGTGTTTTACACCAGCCCATTTATCGAGTGATCCGAAAGGCTGCCAGTTTGAGTGGGGTCCAGAACAGGAGAAGGCTCTGCAACAGGTCCAGGCTGCTGTGTAAGCTGCTTTGCCACTTGGGCCATATGACCCAGCAGATCCAATTGTGCTTAATGTATCGGTGGCAGATAGGGATGCTATTTGGAGCCTTTGGCAGGCCCCCATAAGTGAATCACAGTGGAGGCCTCTAAGATTTTGGAGCAAGGCCATGCCATCTTTTGCAGATAACTACTCTCCTTTTGAGAGACAGCTCTTGGCCTGTTACTGGGCTTTGGTGGAAACTGAACGTTTGACTATGGATCATCAAGTCACCATATGACCTGAACTGCCTATCATGAACTGGGTGCTTTCTGACCCATCTAGCCATAAAGTGGGTCATGCACAGCAGCATTCCATCATCAAATGGAAGTGGTATATATGTGATCGGGCTTGAGCAGGTGAAGGCACAAGTTACATGAGGAAGTGGCTCAAATGCCCATGGTCTCCACTCCTGCCACCCTGCCTTCTCTTCCCCAGACTGCACCAATGGCCTTTTGGGGAGTTCCCTATGATCAGTTGACGTAGGAAGAGAAGACTAGGGTCTGGTTCACAGATGGTTCTGCATGATATGCAGGCACCACCTGAAAGTGGACAGCTGCAGTACTACAGCCTCTTCTTAGGACATCCCTGAAGGACAGTGGTGAAGGGAAATCTTCCCAATGGGCAGAACTTTGAGCATTGCACCTGGTTGTGCACTTTGCATGGAAGGAGAGATGGCCAAATGTATGATTATGTACTGATTCATGGGCTGTAGCCAGTGGTTTGGCTGGATGGTCAGGGACTTGGAAGAAGCATGATTGGAAAATTGGTGACAAAGAAAATTGGGGAAGAGATATGTGGATGGACCTGTCTGGTCAAAAACTGTGAAGATATTTGTATCCCATGTGAGTGCTCACTAACGGGTGACCTCAGCAATGCTTCTGCCAAGACTATCATCCATGGACTCATGGAATACCTTATCCACCATCATGGTATTCCACACAGCATTGCCTCTGACCAAGGCACTCACTTTACAGCTAAAGAAGTGCAGCAGTGAGCTCATGCTCATGGAATTCACTGGTCTTACCATGTTCCCCATCATCCTGAAGTAGCTGGATTGATAGAATAATGGAATGGCCTTTTGAAGGCATAATTACAACGCCAATTAGGTGACAACACTTTACAGGGCTGACGCAAAGTTCTCCAGAAGGCCGTGTATGCTCTGAATCAGTGTCCAATATATGGTACTGTTTCTCCCATAGCCAGGATTCACAGGTCCAGGAATCAAGGGGTGGAAGTGGAAATGGCACCATTCACCCTCACCCCTAGTGACCCACTAGCAAAATTTTGCTTCCTTTTCCTGTGACATTACGTTCTGCTGGCCTAGAGCTGTTAGTTCCAGATAGAGATGTTAGTTCCAGAGGGAGAAATGCTGCCAGGAGACACAACAACGATTCCATTAAACTGGAAGTTAAGATTGCCAGCTGTACCCTTTGGGCACCTCCCACCTTTAAGTCAACAGTCTAAGGAGGGAGATACAGTGTTGGCTGGGGTGATTGACCTGGACTATCAAGATGAAATCAGCCTAATACTTCACAACAGAGATAAGGAAGAGTATGCATGGAATAGAGGAGATCCATAGGGTGTCTGTTAGTATTACCCTGCCCTGTGGTTCAGGTCAGCGGGAAACTACAACAGCCCACTCCAGGCAGGACTACAAATGGCCAAGACCCTTCAATAATGAAAGTTTGGGTCACTCCATCTGGAAAAAAACCCATGACCTGTTGAGGTGTGTGCTGAAGGCAAAGGGAATACAGAATGGGTAGGATAAAAAGGTAGTCATCAATACCAGCTACAACCACATGACCAGTTGCAGAAATGAGGACTGTAATTCTCAATGAGTATTTCTTCCTCTTTTTGTTAAAAACATGCTTGTTCATGTATACACTGTGTTAAGAAAATGCCTTCATTTTCCTTTTTACTTTATCATGAGACATAAGATTTATTGGCTTCATATCAACCCTTAAGTATTGTTAACTTTATGTAATAGCATTTGGGTTGGGGATTGGTGTGTTTTCGGTTGTACATAGCATAGTTGAATTATGTTAGGCATAATTATGACCTTATTATTGTCTTTATTTGAAAATTATATATGATCTCAGGAAATGTGTATGAGTTCAAGTTGACAAGGAGTGGATTTGGGATGGTTGATACTGAGTGTCAACTTGATTGGATTGAAGCATGCAGAGTAATAATCCTGGGTGTGTCTGTGAGCATGTTTCCAAAGGAGAATAACATTTGAGTCAGTGGGCTGGGAAAGGCAGACCCACCCTTAATCTGGGTGAACACCCTCTAATCAACTGTTTGCTTGGCCAGGATATAAAGCAGGCAGGAAAACGTGAAAAGGCTAGACAGGCTTAGCCTCCCAGCCTACATCTTTCTCCCGTGCTGGATGCTTCCTGTCCTCAAACATCAGACTTCAAGTTCTTCAGCTTTGGGACTTGAACTGGCTTCCTTGCTCCTCAGTTTGTAGATGGCTTATTGTGGGACCTTTGTGTGAGTTTAATACTCCTTAATAAACTCTCTTTATATATGATTGTGTGATTTAATGCTCCTTAATAAACTTTTTTTATATACGATTGTGTGATTTAATACTCCTTAATAAACTCTTTATATATATATATCTATTCCATTAGTTTTGTCCCTCTAGAGAACCCTGACTAATACACCATCCAAACCTATTTTCTTCTGTTGGCCCTATTTTTAACTCTTGGGACCTCCATTCTGTGGTAAAATGCCCCATTCAGAGTACCAGCTTGAAGCCAAACTGGTACATGTTCAGATATGTGTGTACATGTGTGCACATCTAGAGTTGCTTTTTTGAGGATAATTTGGCTTTAACTGTAGGAATCTTTATAGTCAACTTGACATAAAGATCTAGGGTACCTCTACCTGGGAAAATCCTGGTTCTCGCTGTTCACAGCTGGCGGCCAGCAGGCAAGTGATTTAATCTCTTTGAGTGTTCAGTTTTCTCATTTACAAAATTGAGATGATAAAACCTATCTCAGGCCGGGCACAGTGGCTCACACCTGTAATCCCAGCACTTTGGGAGGCCAAGGTGGGCGGATCATGAGGTCAGGAGGTTGAGACCAGCCTGACCAACATGGTGAAACCCCGTCTCTGCTAAAAATACAAAAATCAGCCAGGCGTGGTGGCGTGCACCTGTAGTCCGAGCTACTCAGGAGGCTAAGGCAGGAGAATCACTTGAACCCGGGAGGCGGAGGTTGCAGTGAGATGAGATCACACCAGTGCACTCCAGACTGGGTGACAGAGTGAGACTCCATCTTAAGAAAAAAAAAAAAAACACCTATCTCAGAGGTTGATCCATGGATTAAATAAGTAGCCATATCTGCTACACAGGAAGCACTCAAGAAGTGGTATCTCTTGCTGCTATATGAATAGTATTAAGATTCCAGTAGTCTTTTCACTATGTTCCTTCTCATTTGTGGTGTATCCATGTTTTCATTCATTTATTCAACAATATTTATAGTGGGCCTACCGTATGTCAGTGACTTTGCTGGGCATTAGGAATGTATGGTGAATATGATGGATACAGCCTGTGCCCTCATAGAACTGACAGTCCAGTTGTAGAGACAGACATTACATATACGACAACCTAAATAAGTGTAAAACTACAATGTTCATAAGTGGTATGAGAGCAGCTGACCAAATGTGGAAGATTGAGTAAGGCTTCCATAAGTACATAATGTATTTGTGTCGGAAATGGAAACGTGAATGAGTTAACTGGATGGAGAAGGGAGAGGTGAGTTTGAGACTGAGGGAACAGCAATGTTTAATGGCTGTTTGGTGGGAGGGAACATAGCACATTTGGTGAGTGGGAAAAGGCCCTTCCACTGATGTGCAGAGAGCCAGGATGGAGCATGGAACATGATGAGGCTCGGGAGTTAGGCAGACCCTGGTCATGCTAGACCTTGTAGGCACTGGCTGTGTCTTCATCTTAAGAGCCATGGAAGCCAATGTTGAACATTAAGCTGAAGATGGGAATGAGCTGGACAATTATGGGTTTGAAATGATGTTTCGTTTTCATCCTTTGAGAGGACTTTGTTCTCTCAGACAGATGCTCTCCATTCTGTCACACACGTGGTACTTGGCTTCTGTGATTAGGGTGCCAGTCTCTTGCAGTCATTCTGCCACTTCAGGCTATTTCTTTGCTACCTCATTGATAAGGCTGCCATCTTCTGAGCTTGCATTTGCCCATTGTTATCCTCTACTCACTCTGGATTGTTCCCCAGACTTCATAGAGCCCTTTGACTTGATTTCTTTCCCTTCCTAGATCCTATAGTTAGCCTGGACAACTCTAAAATTCAGGATGCCCTGGTGAACACGCTAACCTCAGTCTCCAAAGACTTTGTCAGTGGAGCCAGCCATTCTCTTTTCTACCCCAGTCATTCTCTGCTGTGGTCTTGCTCCAGATTATATAATCACACAGAGCAGTGCTACCTTGAAAAACGTAAATTTTAAACCCAGAAATCCTACCCTCTCGTGTCAAGTTGTCCCTCTTTCCTGCCACTATTCCCACTCGTTCACTGAATTCATTGACAGCTGTTTGCTCAGTCTCTCATCACTGTCTGACTTCTCTCACCCAGTCTGGAGCCTATGGTCAATAGTTGCAGTGTTCTAAGATCAGGTCTCTATTATTTAGGACCCTGCCACTTTTCAACTCTGGATAAACTCGACTTTTCCCTTTTTCTGCCCTTGCTCCTACACTATTAAGCATTCCTGGAAAAAATCACAACTGTCATATGGGCACGATAATGTATCTTTGCTTTCCAGTTATGTGAGCTGTCAGCTCTCTTCTGTGGTCTTTTCTCATCACTTTTGTCTTAACTGGGTGAATTTCAACCTTGGCTGTACTTTGGAATCACGTGGGGTGCTCTAAAAAATACCAATGTCTGCGATTTACTCCTAGAGATTTTGATGTAATTGGCCTGAAGAACACCTGGCAGGGACGTTTTAGACACTCCCCAGGTGATTCTAACATGCAGCTAAGATGGAGAACCACGTGCTAATGTGCCCACAGAGACTGATGGACATGTTTGCTGCTTCTTGCACTCTCTGCTAGTCCTCATTTTAAGCAATTGATCTTGTCTCATCCAGTTCTCGTCCTTTTTCTACCTTTAAACTTACCTCTGATTGCATTCATACTTGCCTAGTTCATTCTTAATCTAGAGAAAAACAATTGCCTACATCCTCACGTATAAGCCCTTCAAAAGGTACACTAGGTGTCTGTCTCACCCTCTCTGCTCCTGATCTGAGCCAGATGAGCTTAGTGGCTAGGTTTAAATAATAGGCATGTACTAATAAGCATGCATTTCTCTTAAAAACAAAACAAAACAAAAACCTGGGGGAAAAAAAACCCTCAAAATCTGCCAAACCTAAATCTAAGCAATATTAAGCAGAAAGATGACAATTTTCAAAGCAAATAATATTTGATGAAATATACTGAGATATGTGGTATTTAATAGATGGTTGGGGCTGGATAGGGGCAGTAGTCGGAGTGGAAGCAGTGGCGGGAATGGTGGTGGGGCTTTGTATATTACACTAAAGTTGTTGAACTTTGAGTTTTAAATGTGTTGAAAGTTCCTCCTGGGGGAAAGGAGTAAAATGATCAAGTATGTTTTTTGTTTGTTTGTTTGTTTGACATGGTGTCTTGCTCTGTCACCAGGCTGGAGTGCAGTGGCACCAATCTCGGCTCATTGCAACCTCCGCCTCCCGGGTTCCAGCAATTCTCCTGCCTCAGCCTCCTGAGTAGCTAGGACTACAAGTGCGTGCCACCACGCCCAGCTAATTTTTGTATTTTCAGTAGAGAGGGGGGGGTTCCACCATGTTGGCCAGGATGGTTTTGATCTCTTGACCTCGTGATCCACCTGCCTAGGCCTCCCAAAGTGCTGGGATTACAGCCGTCAGCCACTGCACCCGGCCTCAAATATGTGTTTTAAGGATGGAACTATTGTAGTAGTGCAGGGCATGGTCTGTAAAGGAAACAGGTTAGAGGACATTTGGAAGCAGTGTTCAGCGGTTTAAGCAAGAAATGATGATGTCCTGGACTAAAGTGATAGCAGTGAGGAAGAAAAAGGAAAAGGAAAAGGAAAAGCAAACAAACAACCCCCCCCCAAAAAAAAAACACTTCTAGAGGTATTGTTAAAACTAGAATCAATAAGATTGGCTCATTTTGCATTCTGGAGAATTATGCCAAAGACTCATAGGCATTTAAGTTAATTCGCTTATGGTAATTAACCCAAAAGACTGCTAAATTGCCTATTTGTTTATAAGCTGCCGCAATAAAAGAGAGTTTTCAGAAAAATTTTTTTTAAAGAATAGAAATCTCTTCTATGGAGTGTAACGCTAGAGCAAATTTGAAATAAGCTGTTTGATCAGTGACTCAGAATCTTTATAATGATCCATTAAAATGTGTAAAAGAAGCCTTAAGTATAAAAATACCATAATCAGGAGAAGTGTAGTAGCTAAGGGCTTGGACTGTGGACACAGACTGGCTTTGAAGTTTATTTCCTGCCTTAACTGACCTGATGACCTTGAGCAAATTGTTTAACAGTGCTATGATTCATTTTCCTTATCTGTACAATGGAGACAGTAAGAGGGTCCACCTTAGAGGATTGTGAAAAATATCTGAGATAAATATTAATGACCATTATTTTGTTTTATATAGTCAATTTTAGATAGATATTCTTACATCTTCTGCTTGGATTACTTGCTCTAGCCATTGAGATTCACTAAATTATTCTTGTTATTTAGTAAGCAAATGCAATGAGTAATTCCTGTTCCTTTTAAGAAAATATTCATTGGCTGAATATTAGCCAACTGATATGTTTTTGTTAAACGTAAAAGAGTAGATCCTCCCATGAAGTTCCAGTTGAGTGTTTTTTCTTGAAATTTACTAATTGTCCTTAACTTCTATAATCAATAAATTCTGTGAAGTGAAAGAAGTAGGGAGAACAGTAAGGTGAAAAGGCAAACATTTTCTAATGAGTTGCTATTAGTCTTCTAACCTGGGATAAATAATAAAGTTTCTAATAGATGTGTATAACATCATAGCCATTTGGGGTGTTTTAAAAATTTCCATGTTAACTTTAAACCTTAATCTTTGTTGTATTTATGACAGAAAAAAATTAAAAATGACTTAAATCAGTGTGCCTAAGACTTTAACATTGCAGTTTAAATTTATAGACTTCAACATAACCACCAGTTTTTGGTGATCCAACATTCAGTCTGATTTTCCACCTCATTGAAAACATTCTACAGCTGCTGCCGAGTGATTTCATAAATTGCATTCATGATCCTGGCTGGAAGTTCTCTTAAAGAATGTGGTCTGGATGAATACACAACAGTTTTAACACAGTCCCATAAAATATAGTTCAGTGGGATAGGTCAAGTTTAAAGTTGCACAAGGATTTCATAAACACCCTGAGTAGATGGGCACTAAAACTTTGAATGTGTTATATGGAAAAACCTTATAAAGGGTGGCAGTGTTCCAAAGGTAGATTAAGTTGGTCATCTATGAAACAATTCCTACTACTGATGGTTCTTAATAGTACCACCTGCTAGTTGTTTCATATTAAATTGTGTGAAACAACACATTCTGGAAACTGATGAACTACTTATTTATTTAATAAACCCGTCAATGAAAGAAACCTCTGTCATAAGTAATGGAGTTATTTATTAGGCCCAAAAAGTCTTAAGCCAGAAATGTCAGGCATTTTTGTGGACAAAGAGTGTTGTAATCTCGTATTGTTTTTTCAAACAGCAGCAAGTAGCACACGATACCCAGTTGGTATGTTTGTCCTTTATTTGGATGGAAACTCCAGAATCTCTGGGTAGTCAGCTGAATGCCAATTTAAACCTCAGAAAGACATCAGTGGTCTTGGTGTATAGTTTCAAAGATACCACTAGGCTTTAAGTATGCCCTGAAGCCTGACATTTTGGGTGCTTCACTGATGCATTTCCTTTGCTGATCTTATTTATTGGTTTAGTGAGAATATCTTCAATGACATGACAGTTGCTATCTTAGAAAGCAAGGCCAAACAATCTAAACTTCATATTCCTGATTGAAGGAATTCCTCCTGCAATTCCGTACATTATAATTGTGGTCCCTTGTTAGAATAGATGTTGCTCATGTTTTGAATTAATATGATGACATGAAATGAGTGATACACAGAAAACATTAGCAATATATGGTAGTTATGACTTTGCCATCTAGTATGTCACCAGACATTGTACAGAATTATCCCAGGCCAGTTTTTAATACTAGCCAGTCATGTCAATTGAAGTTAGATATTCTCCCAAAATATTATTTTCAGCTCTGTCACTAAACTTTTCTTTATTTATAATAATATATGACTTTTTATAGTTGTGCGTTGTATGGGTCTAAAATAGTCCATTTGTATTAGTAGCTTTGAGCTATCTTGAATCTAGATAGCATACACCAAGACAGATTTCCCACATATTTTTAAAATTGATTATAGACTTCTGTCACACATAATATGAACATCTCTCTTTAGAGAAGAAAATATGAGTGTAATTTCAGGTTCTTTCAGATAATCATGAGATTTTAATTTCCTTGGATTTTCAAAGGAATGTAATCTCTTTTCATTTTTTTGTTATAAATAGTTAAGGATTAACAGTGTGTGCTTTAATTACAAGGTATGTATAAGGTTATTCTCCCCCCCGCAACCAACCCTTTTTTTAAACTTTTGATGTTTTTGATCAATGTCATTATTATCAAAGTTCTTTCAGAGTTACTGCAGGGCTATAGGCTTAAGTTCTTTTTGAGATATTGTTCCTAGTTTTGTAATCGTAGGAGACTTTGTTAGCTCATGACATCTCAGAGCTTTGAGCCCCCTGTGGTATGATTTTGGGTGTGCCAGGTCAAATTAGACTGTTATATTTACCCTAGTGTGGACGTGAATCTTCTCTTAGTTCCCAGAAATTCTTTGGTTCCTGTGCCTTGGTGTTGTAGCTAACCTTTATTTATTATTAAGATTTTTAAATTTTAATTAAGGTCTTTAGGTTTGAAACCTTAAGAATTTCATGATAATAAGAAGCTTAATACTTTTGAAATTATCTTTTCTATTTAATTAAGCTGTATTTTGGTGCTTTTACTTTCAGAGCTAAACCTCTCTCCCTATTCAGTGTTCACCCAAGTAAATTTGAAAGATGTTATTCTTCATTATATTCAAAAGTATATAAATTTTACTGTACATTTGAAGTTTCATCATAAATACTCAAGATCACAAGGAATTTTGTTAAAATAAAGCCCTTCGCCATATCATGCTGAAACTAAATGCCTATCCTCAAAGGCTTTTTTGATCTCTCTTGTTTTCCATTCTTCCCTTAAAATAGTTACCTATCATTTCCATTAATTTGCATTAACCACCTTATCATATCTTGTGGTCTTTAAAGGAAAATGATATGCTAGCTAACTTTATTTTTTTCATACATAAAACAATGTGTTTAACCCCAAGTGTATTAACAATGCTTTGCAATTTCCTGCAATGCTCAGGAAATATCTAAGACTACTATACCAAAAAGCAGATTGAATTTGAATTCTATTTTTACATAGTAAATATAAAATTGTATTTTATAGTCCTAAAATTATATTTAATAAATATAGTGTGAACAGGGTATTATTTTAGTAGTTTCTGTCATGAAATACTTATGCCTCACAAAACCAATAGTGTAAAAAAAATTTCAAGAACACATCAAATAAGTTACAGTTTAATAAACAATGATTTGTCCATGAAGAGTGATTATGCCTTAAATTAATATTGTTGCAAGGTCAAAAAGTTGACATTGGTAACACACCACTCTTGAGGATACAGACATTTTGGCAAAAAAATAACCCATTACGGGATCAAATTAGAAGGAAAGTTAGTAATAATTTAAAGGTAATTCTAAAGGTACAATATGTGCAGATACACACATACTCTAAAGACTTCTGCAGACTTTTAATCCAAGCTTAATTTTAATGTGTTGTAGACATTTCTTGGAAAACCACTGGGGTAAATCCCACATCCTCACCTTTTTTTTTTTTTGAGACAGAGTTTCACACTTGTTGCCCAGGCTGGAGTGCAATGACGTGATCTCCGCTCACTGCAACCTCCGCCTCCCGGGTTCAAGTGATTCTCCTGCCTCAGCCTCCCGAGTAGCTGGAATTACAGGGGCCCACCACCATACCCAGCTAATGTTTGTATTTTTAGTGGAGATGGGGTTTCGCCATGTTGGCCAGGCTGGTCTCGAACTCCTGACCTCAGGTGATCCACCCACCTTGGCCTCCCAAAGTGGTGGGATTACAGGCGTCAGCCACCACGCCCGGCCACATTGTTATGTTAAATATGAATTTCTTCAGAGTTAATTTCTATCAAGGCAGTTTTGATTATTTTGACCCAATAGTTTTAGTTTCCCCGAAGTCAGCCTCACTGAATTTAGGAGGACTTGGAAACACCCAGAAAGTATCTTCCACAGGTTTTTTGCTATAGGAATTGTGTTTCTAAAAGTTTGTGCCATCATTAGGCACATCCATAGGAATGGATCTACATTGTTTGTCCATGATTAGAGAATTGCTTTCCCTGATGAAATATTTAGATCCCCTGGTAAAGGAGAAGCTGTGGTATTTCTTAGAAAGAGCTTTACCATTTGGTGAGAAAGAGAGATGTCTTTTGAATGTTGCAGTGAAATGCATGAAATGCAGTTTCATGTTGTCCTCCCCAATGTCTTCAACACATTCTCTTGGGACAAAGGCCTTCCTGGTTGTAGTAAGAATTTTCAGTGTTCTTAGTAGTCATTTCTCTCTTCAGTTCCCAATATAAATGTTGCATATTATGACTTGAAAAACTTAGTTTTTGAAAGTGTCTGCTGGTCAGGCCTTCTTCCTGAGATGGATCCCTTTGGATTTTTGCAGCTCTATTTTGAAATTGCACGTTTCTTCCTTATAAGTACCAGCTGTCATTCTAAAACATGGATCTTCAGATCACAGTTCAATTTTCCACCTCCCAATTTGATGAAGGTGGGTTTAAATGACTCTTCACCTGCCGAGTTTCTACTTCTGTGCATAGGAGGAGGAATTCTTCTTATTTAGATTACATTTATTCACGCACTACTTTCAGAGATTCAGTCGTCTTTATTTATTTGATTCCAGTGTGCTCTTCAAATGATCTCCATCAATGCAGGCCTCCTGATGTGCATGATAGCCCTTATTTACTGGTTTTCATTTCACAGAACATGTTTTTCTTCATCTTATTTACTAAAAATGTTTCTTCCAAAGTCTGATTCTTTTCTTTAAGAAAGAATTCTCTCTCTGAATCCTAAAGCCCTTTCTTGATGTCTTCATATCCAGTGACTGAGAAAATAAGAAGCAACAGACTCATTGGTCCATGTTGAGATGGGAGTCACTGTATCTCTCCTCTGAGCTTTTCCACAATTCAGAAGACAGATGTCACATCCTTTACCAATGCATCTCTGACAGCTGTAGCCTGGCTTCCAGCGGCCTCCTGCTGAGCTGGCTGCTTTTCATTCTCCAGTGGTGGGAAACAATCTGAAAACAACCTGGGTCACCAGAGGTCACCAGGCCTCTGGTTTTCCTGAAGACCCCACTGCTTCTCCAGAAGCTGCCATGGCCACCTTGCTCTGAGAGGGGTTTTCCTTCTTTGGCGTGGGCCATGCCCCTGTCCAGTAGGTTCTCTAAAGCTACATTTTGCGAATCTGTCGTCTTTTGGAGAGAAAGGAGTTAAGCTTACAAATTATATATAATTTCTGTATATTAATTGAGGGGAAAACCCCATTGTCTACTAAGTCAGTCCCTTGGAGCTGAATCTCAGCTCTGCCACTTGCCAGCTGAAACTTTGGTGAGTTAATTAACCTCTCTGGGCTTCAGTTTTCTCAGCCGTGAAACAAGGATGATGACATGGACTCAGTAGGGCTGTTGTGACGTTTAGATCTAATAACTTATGTAAACTAAAATACCAGCCCAGTGGGTGCTCAGTCAATAGAAGTTTCCCCTTCTCTCCAGCAGAAACCTCAGGTTTCTACCTACCACCAGTTCTTACCTTTGGATTTTGTTTTTATCTTGTGCATTATTCAATCACAAGAACACATAACATTTAGTCATGTTGTAGGATTAAAAGCCTGGAGAAAACAAACTACTGCCACAGCATGAATGAAGAACTTAACCACTGGGAAAAACTCAGTATTATTTGATTCATTTCACCTATGACAGTTTATGTATTTTGGGGGACAGCAGTGGTTGTACTATTATTTTAAAGTGTACATTGAGATTTATAAAGTGTTAATTGTGCTTATATTTTCACCCATCAAAAAATGATTGTTTTTGCTTGATTTACCTACCTAAGTTTTTGCTAAATTTGGTCTCCTTGAAGCTGGGTATATTGTCTTTTTGTGTATAGTAACTTAAGAATGTGGAATGTGGGCAGACAGCATAATCTATGGTAGTTAAACTTTTATTAGATTGTTGTGAAGATTAAATGAGATAGTACATGCCAGAGGCCTAGCCCAGCACTTGCATACACTAAGTCAATAAATATTAGTCATTATTCTGCAGTGGAAAATTTAGTGTCACTAAAACTTTGTCCTGCTAGTCACCTTAAAACAGACAGCATAACCTAGTTTTTCATGTTATCAATTGAGAAAATGGATTCTAAAGTCAAGCTAACTGAAGAATGTCACTTTAATACATAAACGGGTATATTTTTTTTGAATTGATAAAAGGGTCTGTAGAATATTAAACAGTAGTTATTAAAAGAATTAATTCCATTTCTTAAAGAAGTTTAGTGTGACCAACCACTAGTGTAGGCATTGGAAGAATTTAGTATATTTTGTAAAATTTTTTCCAGCATGGGATCTGACTCTCTGAACCTGAAAATGAAGCAAACAAAACAGAGGCTTGTTCTGCCTATGCCCTTAGTGCCAAAACATAAATCATTGCTGTATTCATCAAGTCATAAAATTTAAATCATCTCTATTTGAGTTGGATAACTTGCTGCGGTATTTGATACTAACCACTGGTTCAAGCAGGACCTGGTGATGTTTAATGGACTATTGTTCAAAGTTGTTGGACTAAGTTGTTGCATTAATATAAAAGTTTTGCAAAATAACATGGTTGTAAAAGAAATCTTCCACTAAGCAATGAATATAAATGAACTTTATTTGTCCTTGTAACCAAATACTGTTCAGGAAAATTTTTTGCTTTAGCTTTACAGCTAATTTGCCCTCTTTCTGGGATACTTTTAGGGCTGTGGCTACCGAGTGACATCATATGTAGGCATTTCTGTATATGTTTCTCTTGCTTTCCTATTTTCTGTAGGACAGAGTTGCCAGCTGTCATCCTCTCTGGGAGGGAACCGATGCTCAAAAAATGGCACTACCTTTCCTCTCAGCAGTAAAGTGCCAGTGTTTCTTTTACAGCTGCCATGTGCAGGTGCCTTGACATGGCTGCATTTGGAATTTAGACGACAGCTGCAGAAGGTGGAACCATTGGCTGTAGGGTGAGTGGTCTTAAGTTTTCAGCTGAGACATAGGTAGGAAGAGGAAACTGAAAGGAGGCTCAGCACAGGGAATGAAATCCTGTTGTTTGGATTCTTGAAAGAACAGGGAGAAATTTCAGGAAAAAGGATGAGAAATTATTTTTACTTTTCAGCACCATTATTCAGGCACAAAATCTGGACAACAAATTATAAACTTAAAGCATTTCAAGTGTCACTTAATTGTTACCTAAGTATACTTTAAGTAGCTTAGATTAATGTATTTTAATGTAGGAAATTAGCATAGTTTGTTAAAAGATTTTAATTCGACAGACCACAGATGAGTACACGTAAATACTTAGTAATGAACTGCTGCATCAGCAGGCATTTGAGGTTTAATCATGCAGTCAATAATATAGCTCACTGTCATTACCTTGCCTGGTCCCTGTGAAATTTATCATATTTTTAGTAAGTTACTGTAGCCTTAGGTGAGATTTGGTATTTTTCTTCGTTACTAACACCTGCTCTTTTCATGGTACTCTCAACAAAATAAAATAGTTTTGTTTTGTTTTGGTAGCAAGCTTAACAAGTGGTTTTTTGAAGTAACTGATTATTTGCTCTTGTGCAGTGTGGTTTGACCTCAGCACCTTTGCTGTCTAAAAATGGTCAGAAGTATTTTCCAAACTTAAAATAGATTTTTCAAGATCTATTTTTCTCAAGGAAACTGTTTGATGTTCCTAGTGACGTAACAAATCAATCAAGCAAAAGCTTTAGAAAATCTGGATATTTATATTAGGGTCAAAAAGCACTTAATATTTCCTGATATTATGTTAAAAATGGAAACTGTAAGTTTATACTAATCGAGTTATTTTTTGCAGAGAAATTATGAGATCTTTGATTTTTCACTTTGTAATGATGACAGATTCATGAAGAGTAGAAGAAATGGCTCAGCTGGCTATTTAGTAGTTAGAGAAACTTGTGAAGAAGACATTCAGATTCTGCTTATTTGTCTATACAAAGGAGAGCACAGGAAGATTAACCAGGCAGGCCTGAAGAGAAATCTGAGTCAGCATCCTTGCTACCTGTGTCAATGGGGAAAATAGGAAGGCAGCTTAAATAAGTCAAGACTGTTAAGCATCTAATTACTATACAGTGAACCCTTTTTCCCCTTCAGATAGAAGCATGATTGTTAAAAGTTCTTGAAACCCTGGATTGCTACTGCTTTCAAGGCATGAGACAGATTTGAAATTCTGGGCAGCAAGCTATCACTTTCATTTGAAAACTGGCTTCTCTTTCTTTGTTTCTTCCTTTCCCCCTTTCTCTTTTAACCAAAATCTAACTTATCAATCACAAAGTTTAATAAGAGTAAAGAATT